>NC_000002.12:127489618-129989618 GCF_000001405.40 Homo sapiens
ACAAACTGACCCAGAAAGGTCTGGTTAGGAGGACAGGACCCTCACTATACACTATCACATTTAAACTAAAAGGATATTATGAATTATGTACACATATCAAGCTGAGAGGAAAGGAAATCCTATCATCTTGCAGGCTTCCTAATGATCTTACTTAAAACTGAGTTACTGCAACAATAACGTGTATTCCACTTACTCATACCTGTTCCCTCATACCTGTTCATTCTTCGTCGTTGAGGCATCTGTTCTAGATCTCTCTGCTCCCTTTCTTCTCTTGTCATTCCTTTGTAGTTTGAGGTAAGACCAAATATAGGCCTAGACCACTCATCTGTAGTAAGAAAAAAATCAATTATTTTGTCCATAAAATTGCATTTCCATTTTTTTCAAATAATTGCACCCCAGTGTGAGGGGATATTCTAGACATTTAGAATATTCTTTCCTTGAAGAGTCCATTATTTCAGAGTAATTTATAGGATAAACAAAGCATAATGCCAGTGTACTGACTGACTCTGGCTGATTCAGAAAATTTAATGTAAAAGATCACCACAGAGATTTAAAGAAAGTAACATGTGATACACTTTAATAGTCAACAATTAGCTGGATTGACATTTCATAAAAGACATTTATTTAAAATTTTTATTTATTTATTTTAAAAGGCAGACTAATTTCTAAGTTTACGCTACTGGAAATAAAAAAGTCTTGAAATTCTGCTTTCTTATCCTAACCCAGAACAAACTCCTTTACAACTACCTTACAAAATGGTCTGTACCTTTAAAAATTACAGTTTAATAGTGCGGGTGGAGACTTTGTACTTCATTAAGTCTAACATAGCTGCTACAATGACCATGAAAGAAAGTATATGCCACTGTTCAGTCAGTCAAAGTCCAGGAGCCAACTGATGTCTTTGTTCTAAGACATAATGTAGCTTACTGCTACATTTAATACACTATAAAAACAAGAAAGGACCTTTATAGACCGAACATGGGTGCTGTCACACAAAGAAGGAAGCAGGGATTCTCAGGGGGTCCACGTATCTTTTAAAACCACCCCATTGACCCCACTTCTGGATTCAGAATCACTGCTGTAGTAAGTCATGGAAACCAGTGGGGATATTCTGCTTTTCTCAGTCTAGGGCAAAAAAATAAAGTTGCAAACTACTGCATAAAAGCACCAAAAGTTTATTACTTAACAGGCAGTAAGCTGCAGTTTACTGACAAGATCAAAGATGGTAGTATATCTCTGGTTTATAGAAGAAATTTACATTTCTCTAAAAGCTTTTGATAAACTTAACAATTCAAAAGAAAAATAATTATTCTATTCGAACGTAGTAGTTACTTTTTCAATCTAGCCTTGAAGTTCTAAAAATTCCTTTTCAACATGGAGGACAGGAAGAGTTAAGGAGGACAACAAAAACAAACACGGGTTTCATTCGTAAAACTGAAGAATTTCACAAACATGGCGCTTGATTACATAAATTTTGGTTTAGACTTCTCTGGATTTCTCTGGCATCATTAAATAAGAACATGCAAAAAGGTTTTGAAGACCATTGTGCAAGTAACAACAACAATGGCTGTTTCTTGAGTACTTACTATGTGCTAAGCACCGTGCTTTAGACACAACCTCTCATTTAATCTTTAAAGTCACCCAAAAGAAAACACATAATTATCTCAACTTTACAGAGCACAAATCACTAGCTAAGGAAATGCAGTAAGGTAGGTGGTGGATTCATGATCTGAACCCAGGTAATATCAACTCCATGGCCTGCAATCTAACCCCTCTCTTTCTCCATGCTCTCGACCCATGACTAGAAAATGCATACTTTTTACTTGCAATTTTTTTTTTTTTGAGACGGAGTCTCGCTCTTGTTGCCCAGGCTGGAGTGCAGTGGCGCGATCTCGGCTCACTGCAACCTCCGCCTCCCGGGTTCAAGTGATTCTCCTGCCTCAGCCTCCCGAGTAGCTGGGACTACTCGTGTATACCACCATGCCCGGCTAATTTTTTGTATTTTTAGTAGAGATGGGGTTTCATCGTGTTAGCTAGGATGGTCTCGATCTCCTGACCTTGTGATCCGCCCACCTAAGCCTCCCAAAGTGCTGGGATTACAGGCGTTAAGCCACCACACCCAGCCTCTTACTTGCTATTTTTAATACTGAATAGCATACTTAATTATATTGAGGTTTTTTTTTAAAGTCTAAGAGAAAATGCTAGTACCTGTAAGAAGTTATTCAAAAATTTCTATTCCACTTTACCGACTCGTTTAAAACAAATACTGGTAAAAATACAGCTTTTATATATACGCATCTCTCTCTTATCTATACACATAAACACAACAAACAAAAAGGAAAATTTACATACTGATTAATTTCCCTGCCATGTCCTTGTTAGACCTTGACTCCTTGGGGTGTTTATAGAGATACATCACTGCTCGTCCAATCCCACTATGCTTCAGGGTCTCCTGGCTCACACTAGGCAGCTGGGGAACATAAACACATACACACATATTAATCACTCGGAAGCTGGGGGTCTTGCTAGTCTATTCTAGAGACCTGGCACATTCACAACAGAACAAATAAAAAATTCCATTTTCAGGATCTACAGACATAGAACACAAAGATACTTTGTGTCCACATCAAAAGTTCAGAGTTCAGGCCAGGCATGGTGGCTCACGCCTGTAATCCCAGCACTTTGGGAGGCTGAGGCGGGTGGATCACCTGAGGTCAAGAGTTCAAGACCAGCCTGGCCAACATGTGGTGAAACCCATCTCTACTAAAAATACAAAAATTAGCCAGGTGTGGAGGCAGGCGCCTGTAATCCCAGCTACTCGGGAGGCTGAGGCAGGAGAATCGCTTGAACCTAGGAAGCGGAGGTTGAAGTGAGCCGAGGTGGTGCCACTGCACTCCAGCCTGGGCACCAGAAGCAAAACTCCGTCTCAAAAAAAAAAAAAACAAAAAGAGGTTGAGAGCTCAGTATTACAGCTGAGTTGAAGTAAAACCTAACAATGTGAGAAAGTATGAACCAAGCGTACTCAGAGGTTAGCAGTTTAATACAGGAGCCAGCACAGGCCTCAGAATCCAATAGACCTAAGACTGAACCCAAGCACAGCCACCTTCTAGCTATGTGACCTTGACGAGTCGTTTAACTTCTCTGCATCTTAATTCCCTCATCTGTAAAATGGAAATAATACACCTACCTTCTCAGTTTACTGTGAGGAAAAAACGAATCAATACATATATAAAGCACCTGGCACAGTGCGTGGCATAGGAGGTTTCCTTGGGAATTCCTTCAGAAGTTAAATAGCTTACCCAAGGTGTCACAACTACGTAAGGTGGCCCAGCTCAAGATTCAAATGCAAGTTCATATGATTCTGAATTTGGTGTTCATTCTGCGTCACATTTCTCCCTGGAACTTGCCCACTACTGTACTACTCTTCTCAGACACATTACAGCTACTCTAAGATTTTTTCCCTTCAATGCGATAGTTACATGAAGTTTTATAAGGTCTTCCCTTTCACGCTCATTTTATTAGATATGTTCCTTTTTTCCAACCCCTCTTCTGGCAGGCTGTAGCAGAGATAACATATAAAAACACTGTAAACTACACAGGTTATGACCATACAGACCACATTAGATAATTAATAAAGAACAGTCAGATTATCTGCCTCTAACCTCTTGCAGGATCTTCAGCAGCTCCTCCCGGATCTTGAGTGCAGGCAAACTCCTATCTGGTAGAGGTGAGAGCCATTCTTTGATGGCAGACATCACACCACTGTCAATGAATGTTTCTTTAAGGTCCTGCCTGCAGTAACAATAATTTTTAAAAATTCTGTGAACCTTGGTTCTACTGTATCTTCCGACTTTTCTTACATATTTAGTGATGTTTCTAAAAACTGCTTTTAAAGCGTTACTCATATAAATTTGACATTTACTGAACACCATTCTGGTTTCGAAAGCAGTATGACATTTAGTTCTTATTTTCCAGAAATGCATATACTTGACAAAGATGATTTGCTGAAAACAAAACAAACTCAAGTTACACAAGATAAATTAATGCTGATATGAATGGTACAGACAGTAAGAACAATTAACTCCAATCTTTTCAACTAAAAAAAAAAAACGTTCAATCTATCAAAATAGTGATTCTTGAACAGTTTTACATGGTGGTGAACCCAGATTTGCTCTTCTCTGCAGGACACCAATGAGACTAGCACTCCACTGGCAGGACAAAAAAAAAAAAAAAAAACTCAATAAAATAATACTTAAATTCCATTTTATGTACTGGAATCAGTTATGTTAATAGAAAAGATAACATTATATACATAAAACCTGCCACAGATAGTTTCCCCTGTTAGAATAGAGGGAGAAATTTTCTAGTTACAGATGCTCTAGGCCATGCTGGTGGCAGCTCACTGATGCACCAATACATTTCCTCAGTCATCAAAAGTAGGCTGTGGCTTAGTTCAAAGAGAAAGCAAGGTTGCTCAGAAATATAAGCAAATCAGGGCCCGGTGTGGTGGCTCACACCTGTAATCCCATTCCAGTACTTTGCCTTTGGGGTGTTGAGACGGGAAGATCGGCTGAGCCCAGGAGTTCGAGACCAGCCTGGGCAACACAGCGAGATCCTGTCTCTAATTAAAAAAAAAAAAAAAAAAAAAGCAAATCAATGAAAAAAGTTAGAAACAAGGATCTACTCAAAAAGGGCATCATTACTTCAGAAGGATCAATAATTGTGACACATTAGAGTCATATAAGCCTTGTACAATGCAGCCTTCAGGTAGGATCTTCCAAGATTTACTATTTTCCATCACACGGAGAAAACAGATGCAATTTTACCAGACCAAAAACTGTCTATAAAGAACAAAATTAGTGGCCAGGTGCAGTGGCTCATGTCTGTAATTCCAGCACTTTGAGAGGATGAGGTGGGAGGATTACTTAAGCCCAGGAGTTCAAGACAAGCCTGGGCAACATAGCAAGATCCTGTCTTTACCAAAAAAACAAAAACAAAACAAAAAAACACAAAATTAGTAGTTTCCAAGTTTTTCTTTCGTTAGTATCAATTTTTTATTTGTTCTGTTTGCACCAGGCATCAAGGCTTAATAAAAATTTATGAAGAAATATAATTTAGGAAATTTTATTCATTATCTTTCTGTGAACCGATAGAAGTCTATCATTATTTAATATTCCTAGAACACCAGTACATCATTTGAATTATCATTCCATGAAAAGGAAAAAGACATTTTAAAGAAAACAAAATACTTACTTCTTAAGGTGCATAACTACAGCAGGCAGTAAAGTTAATTTTTTCAGTGCTGGCTTTTTTTGATTGTTCAACTGTCTGTCTTCCTATTCAGAAAAAAAATAAAGATTTTTTTTTAAAACAGTACTTTTTATTAATATTGAATTCACTGTAATTCTGAACCTTAAAATAACAGTTTTTCAAAGAAACAATTTTTCCTACAAGAAAGAATAATTTAAGATGGATCTTCTGCAGAGCACCAAGCTCTGTATCTGTCTATGTCAGTCAAACCCAAAAAACTATTAGAATAATTGCCTTTAACAACTACAAATTGAGAGAAACAATTTTAATGTAGAACATTAGCATAACTGTCAAATTTTCAGAGTTCATTAAAGGTACAAATTAAAACTGGGAAATTCTGGTTTATTATATTAGGAACAATTTTCCAGGTGTGAGGTTATATGATATTGGAATATACTATATCAAAGAAGAGTTTCAGTATTACTTGGGCAGTTTTTTCTATTTTTTTAAATTATGAAAAATTTCAAATTCTACAAATATAGAATAATATACCTGTTGCATATATTTCAACAACTGAATACACATAGCTAGTCTTCTTTTAGCTACTTTCCCTCCATTCTTGAATTGTTTTGAAAGAAATCCTAGACACAGATCATTGAATCCATGCTGAACTCTCAACAAGTGTCTCCAAAAGATCTGAACTTGTTTTTTAAACATACTACTGGGCCAATTTTTATAAGTTGAGCAGATTTTTAAAATGCAATGAAAGAAGCCGTGTCTTGATCAGGAGCAAGAGAACGACACATGAATTTGTAACACCTTTTATATATGAAGAAACTAAACTTTGTGGTGAACTAGCCAAATCTGAGAACAAAACCATTTCCCATGAAACTAGCAAAGCCATTCACCTAAAACGTTTCATTTTACTGAATACCTCATATTTTCACTTTTTCTAAACGTGTGACTAAAAAATTAAAATATTTCCATGATTAAAATTGAGAACAGTAAATGCTTTATTACAAAAAGCAAAGCATCTTAATTGTAGTTTAAGGGTTAAGTATCAAAAAAAGGGCATCCAATAAACTCAGTGGGAGGAAAAAAAGGTGAACCTAGAAGCGACCCAGCTCACCTCAGCAGCTTCATTCATCTTGACGATCATGGCACTCACGACGTCGTCTGCATCACTAATAAAGGTGCCACCATCGCGGTTCCGTCTGCGCTTGCCACTCATGCTCTTTTTTCGCTGCAACATCATCTCAAAATCTGACAGAAAGTCCATACTAAAGCAGTAAACAAAAGCAAGTGAAATACAAGTTGTCTTTTAAATACACATTTACTTTCACAACAATTAAGAACACCAAATTTCTTAATTCTAACTCAATGAAGTGCTACCTTCTTTTAAAAGTGCAAATACAGTCATGCGCCGCATAACGATGTTTCGGTCAATGACGGACTGCAAATACGACGGTGGCCATCCAGTAAGCTAAGGTTAACTTTTTATTGAAGAAAAAAATATTTTTTATAAATTTAGTGTAGCCTAAGCATACAGTGTTTATAAAGCCTATGGTAGTGTACAGTAATGTCCCAGGCCTTCACATTCACTCATCACTCACCCAGACCAAATTCCAGTCCTGCTTTCATTCATGGCAAGTACTCTAAACAGGTGTACCATATTTTATCATACACACACACACACACACACACACACACACACACATTTTTTAAAGAGTTGGGGTGTTGCTCTGTCACCCAGGCTGGAGTGCGGTGGCACAATCATAGTTCACCGTAGCCTCAAACTCCTGGGCTCATCCTTCCACCTTAGCCTCCTGAATAGTTGAGACTACAGGCCCACACAACATGCCTGGCTAATTTTTTAAATGTTTTGTAGAGACAGGGAGGGCCTCACTATATGTCACCCAGGCTTGTCTTGAACTCCTGGCCTCAAGTGATCCCCCTGCCTCAGCCTCCCAAACTGTTGAGATTACAGGCATAAGCCACCACGTCCAACTATATTGTATTTTAACTGCAACTTTTCTATGTTTAGATACACAAATACCATTGTGTTACCACTGCCTACAGCATTCAGTACAATAACATGCTGCACAGGTTTGTACCCTAGGTGCGATAGGTTTTACCATACAGCCTAGGTGGGTAGTAGGCAATACCATGTAGGTTTGTATAATACTATGATATTGATACAACAACAAAATCACCTAATGACACATTTTTCAGAATATATCCCTGTTGTTAAGCGACGCATGACTGTACTTAGAACCTGCTATTAAAAGAACGGTTGATCCTAGACTTTATTTCAATTCCTGTACTACCCTGTTATATATACACATATAAATCGCTAATAGCCCGGAACTTTTCATGCACTATATTCACACTTGCATCTATCAGTTTGAGAAAGTACATTTTAAGTTCCAATGCAGGGGATTCATTCAGCTTTAGTGGCACTGCCCTTTCTTGGACTAGGAAGGTGTTCAATTATTTGAATGTTGTGGTCTTATATAGCATGAGTAGAAAAAATGAAAAATAAACTGCTGCTTTTCAGTGATAGGAAGTATAACTCTCAAAACATAATGAGAGATACACATGGAAAACTACAGGCTTGCTAAGCGCCTCAAACCTTTATGGCTTTCATCAGAATCATTACACTTAAAAAAGAGGGAGTTAAGTTATTGTCTGCCACTATCCTATCAATTCAATTTCCAAAAGTACTGCCAAACTCATTCAGTTTAATTACTGCATGCCACTAGGAATTAAAAATGAAACTATTTTTTAAAAGCATCTTTACGACTGAAAACAGTAACTAATCCTTCTATTACCGTATGACATCTTTTAAGATATCAGATTTTTCTGAACATAGATTCCAACTAGCTCAACTAAAGTAAGTGAAATATGGTCAAGTAATATTTTGTAGTTAAGATGTTAGACTATTTCCCCTGCCCCACAACATCAGCTTGTCTCTCAAAAAGGTATTTTTAAAATTAGGTTATTTTTCATAAGAGTTTACTTGGTGAGCCATAAATTAAGTCTGGTGCCATATAAATACAACTCCACAAAGTAAGACATCTGAGCACAGGGTAAATGAAAGACAAGTAACAACAGCAGGTAATTCACTGACAACACCGTAAATGGAGAAAAACAGGAATAGACCCACTCCTAAACTTAATCAGGAACCAAAATGAAAAACAAAAGAGAGTTTAATAGTCTCTACCTTGATTTTTAAACTTCTCTTTAACAAATTCCTTAAAAACAAACTTACTGTTTTCCTCTCTTTATGTTATCATCAGAATCTGAATCTTCTGCTTCTTTTACCTGTGTTTCACCTTTTTCTTCTTCCAGATCTTCTTGGTTAAAACCCTAAATGCAAAATTATCACAACCTCCTTACAGATTTTCTTCTGTATTAAGTGTTCTTAATATTTTGCATTTTTAAAGTAATTCATTCACAAAGAACAAAAATTCAATAGATATCAAAAGGTACATAACAAAAGGTCCCTCTCCAGCCACTAGTGTTACTAGGTTTCTTGTGTTTCCTTCCAGAAATAGTCTGTTTATATAAGCACTTCTACACATACTTCATATCCTCTCTTATTACACAAACTGAAGCATACTATTCAGAGTGGGTACAGGATAATGCTCTGCATCTTCCAAATTTAAGAAAAGAATCTAGAGGCCAATCCATGTCAGTATTAAGTCTTGTCATTTTTTTCAAGGCTTTAGACTATTTCACAATATGGCTGCAACCACAATTTGTTTACTTATTTGCCTAGTCACATTTAGTTTTATGTATATGAAATTGCGAAATACTTGCCAAACTGTATTCCACAGAGGTTATACCAATTATCTCTCCAGCAAGTATGAGGACTCCTGTTTCCCTACGTACTCACTACTACAGCAAAGATATCAAACATTGATACCCACCAATCTCTGGATGGAAAAACAAATCTCAGGGTAGGTTTATTTGCATTTTCTTACTATGGGGGTAACGTTGGGCATTTTTTCCATTTACAAAGCCATGTGTCATTCTTTCTCTGTGAACTCTGAACATTCTATGCCCATTTTTTGCTGGACTGTTCATCTTTTTCTTATCAGTATGTAAAATCTCTTTGAAAATTAGATATAGCCCCCTACAAGTGACAGGAACTGTACAATCCCCACATTTGTACAGTCTGATTTTGTTTATGCTAATATTTGCCAGGCATAATTTTTCTTTTTCTTTTTTTTTTTTTGAGACGGAGTCTCACTGTGTCGCCCAGGCCAGAGTGCAGTGGCGTGATCTCGGCTCACTGCAAGCTCCACCTCCCGGGTTCATGCCATTCTCCTGCCTCAGCCTTCTGAGTAGCTGGGACTACAGGCGCCTGCCACCATGCCCAGCTAATTTTTCGTATTTTTAGTAGAGATGGGGTTTCACCACGTTAGCCAGGATGGTCTCGATCTCCTGACCTTGTGAGCCGCCCACCTCGGCCTCCCAAAGTGCTGGGATTACAGGCGTGAGCCACCGCGCCCGGCCAATTTTTCATTTTTATGTAAATGAAATGGCCTGTCTTTTCTTTATAGTGTCTACCTTTTGTGTTATACTTAGAGGCTTTCTCAATGGTTCACCTAGTACAATTTTTTTCTAACTGAACTGAAACTATAACCAAGTTGATGTTAAGTCTCCAAAACAGGTAAGTATACCTTATTCTTACAATATGGTGCTTAACTAAGTATGAGCTCCATGAAGGCAGTGTCCAGTCTCTGAAACATTTGTTGAATGAATTCTTCCTTTATATTTTTCTCAGGTTTACTTTCTTATTTCACTATTGTCCTGAATTAGATTCTAAATTCATCTACCTTCACTCTCTATTGCATTGGTTAAAAATAAGTATTGTTTTTTTTTTGACCCAAGAACTATTTAAGCAGGGTTTAAGTTTCTGAGCGGCAAACAGATTGGAAAATATATACAGACACTTGATATATGACAAAGATGGCACTACAGAATAGTAGGAAAGGATGATCTTTTCAATAAATGGTGCTGGGTCAACTGGATACTTCAAATAAGGAAAAAAATCTTGACTCTTACCTCATACCACATACGAAACCAATTCTAGGTGAATTATACAATTAAATGTGAAAGACTGAATAATCAAGCTTCTAGAAGATAACTTGTATCTTCACGACCTTGGGGACAGGCAAAAATTCTTAGGCAGAATTCAGTCTTCACCATAAAGAAAAAGATTGGTAAATTTGATCCTATGTTAAAATTAAGCACTTTTGTTCATCAGAAGACTCCATGTTAACGGAATGAATTTAAGATATTCTAAAAAAATTTTTAAAGAAAGACTCCATTAAGAAAGTGAAAAAGAAGTAACAAAATGAAAGGTATTTTTAACATTCGTAATTGCCAAAGAGGATTATACGTGGATTATATAGAGACTGTTCCCTGGTTTTTTCGATCTGCTTCTTCTGTCAGTTACATTTCTCTTAGATTATGGACTTGTCCATTTCTCTTTTCAGTTCTATCAATTTTTGATTTTTAAGTGTGCATATATCTATAAAGCCATGTTATTAGGCGCAAACAATTTTAAAATCTTTTTATCGATATAAAGTGACCTCTTTATCTTAAGTACTTTTTTTTGCCTTAATGTCTACCTCCCTCTTTTATAATATTATAGATACCACAACAATTTTCTTTTGGTCCATGTTTACACAAAGTCCCCTTTCATACACCTTTATTTTCAGCTTTACCTTCTGTTTCAGACAAATCTCTTGACATCAGTATATGGCTGGTTTTTAAGATCCTGTCTGGCAATTGTTGTCCTTTAACTGGAATATTTACTATTTACATTTAATTTAATTTCTGATATTATCAAAATTTAAATCTACTATTTTACCATGTAATACTTTCTAATTGTCCCTTGTCCTATAGTTCTTTCTCTTTTCCTGCTCATTTTCGACTGATTAGTTCTAGTTGTTCCACTTTCCCCCCCTATTAGTTTAGAAATTACACATTCCATTTTAGTCTTGTTAGTGGTCACTTTAGAGACTACAACATGCACCCTAACTTATCAGTTTACTAATGTACATTCATACACATTTGCAAAGGCCTATGAGCACTTCAATTCCACGTATGCTCCCAATTTACTGCTGTCATGTTTTAATTTTATATATATTCCACATTAAATACATTTCATTTTGTATAGTCAATACTCATTTAGACTTATACACATACTTTTGTTGCTCTTTTCTCCCTCCTGCATCTCTAACCTTCCATCTGAGATCATTCTTTCTTGCATTTCTTTCCTTCTGTATTTCCTTCAGCTGGTACACTGTTAATTAATTCCCTCCTTATTTCATCTTCATTCCTGGAAAGTATTTTTGCTAAATTTAACAAAATTCTAGGTTTGCAGTTAGTAGATTCTATTGTTTCTGTTGTGAAGTCAGCTGTTAGTCTAATCATTACTTTTCTGAACGTATTTTTTTTCCCTTGTGGCTGCTTTTAGACTTTCCTATTTTCGTTGGTTTCTTGCAGTTTTATTACGATGTAGTTAGGTGTAGATTTCTTTTTGTTTATCTTCCTTGCAATGTGTACAACTTCGAGAATCTATGGTTTAGGTATCATTTCCTTTTAAAATACTGCTTCTGCTATACATGTAACTTTCCCTCTCCTTTCATTATTCCAATTTTTGCGAAAACTTTTCGATGTATAGTCTATATCTTTTCCTTTCTTCTGTAATACTGTATCTTGAAGCTTCATTCCAGATCTCTCCTTCTAAGCCATCTTCCAGTTCACTTATTTTCAAGTATGTCTAATCTGATGCTAAACTCATCCACTAAGTTTTCTGTTTTCCCCACCCCCTCCCACCCCATTTTTCTTTTCAAACAGGGCCTCACTATTTTACCCTGGCTGGTTTCGAACTTCTGGGCTCCAGCTACCCCCAAGCCTCAGCCCCCCGAGTAACTGGGACTACCAGCTACTTGCACCTACCTACCTGTACATCGAGTTTTTAATTTCAGTTACTGTATTTTTATAGTTCTAAAATTTCTACTTGGTTCTTTTCCAAATTTGCCTTCTTTTTGTTTGCTCTGACATTTTGAATCTTGTTTCTTATCTCCCTGAACATATTTAAGGTGGTATCTAAAATTCCTATATCTAGAGCCCTAAGTCTATTACTATTGTCATCATTACTGTTACCTTTTAATGTTATTTTTGTGTATAATAAGTACATATGAAAAACTTAAACCACTGTAATCTTATTTCTGAGACTGAGATTCTCTAGTCTGCCAGAAGATTCAAAGATGGCCTAAAATCTGAGCAAAGGCTATTTTATTTCCCCCTAAATCTTATGGTGCTGCTCTCTGAAGTCTCAATCCAGGGTATGGGGTTTACAAAGCCCCCTAACCTCAATAGGCCCCGAACTCTAAATTTTGTCCCCAAGCCTTGAGGCTGTCAAAAATATGAGTAGCCTCTCAGCCTGACAGGCAAACACCCCCACAGAAAAAGCACTTCTAAACACTGAATTACCACTTTAGGTTTCTCTTGGCTTAGTAATTCTTTGCTACTTTGTTCCTAGATAATGAGCAGATTTCTATATATTTTTGTCTAGCTTTTCTAGTTGTGCTTGGCAGAGGGGTTAGTCCAAATCACCTAGAATGCCACTGTGAAAATCGGAAGTTCCCTAATTATTGTGAATCTTGCCCTTTAGCATTATAAAGTGACTTTCTTTGTCTCAAAGTGTCCCTTCCCCCTTAATTCAATTTTGCCCATTAGCTTCCTTTTATGTCTTTGTATATACGCTTTCATTTTACTTCCTGAATCCCTCTTCTAGATTTTTATCTTGAATACATCATAATTGTTTATTCCTACTTATTAGAATCATCTATAATGGTATCACTGCCATAAAAACACCAAAAAAAAGCACAATCAAGGAGGAAATATTTCCATCTTATACTTACTGTAAATTCTTCTTCCTCTTCATCACCAGATTCTCCAAATATGTCTGCAATAAGATTTCTAGAAAGTAGACAAATGTAAAAACATTCATTTGCTTTATCCTCATTTGCATAGGAACCATTTTTTAAAAAATAGAATTTATGTACAGTAAAATGTGCAGATCTTCAGTGTTCAGTTCAATGAGTTTTAACAAATATATACACTCATGTAACCAGCACCCTATACACTCATGTAGCCTCCCCAGAAAGTCCTCTCATGGCCCCTTCTAGCTGGTCCCCAATATCAACATCCTAGAAACAACTGCCACCTTGACTTCCAACACCACAGATAAATTTTGCCTACTGAACTTCATGTAAATGGAATCATATATGTCCTCTTTGCTTTCTTTCACTTAACATGTTAATTCTGAGATGAATTCTGAGATTCACCCACATTGTAGTGTGTTCAGTTCAGGAACTAAAATACTAAATCCCCAAAGACATGCAATTAGGCAGGACATATTGTATTATAACACAGACCCCTCTCTACTGCCTAATTAAGAACCCCTGAAAACTCATGTTATACTGTCACTTACTCTTCTTCATTGCCTGACTCACTGTCACTCCCAAACAGATCCTTCTCTTCATTTTTCTTATCAGACAATTCTTTCCCAGCTTCTTCCTCACTGTCAGATGCTATGGTCTTCTCTCTTTTGCCTGACTTGTCTGATACAGCATCACTGTCAGAGTCATCTGCATCAGAGACAACACGACTCTTCTTTGCTGCTGTTGAAAAAGAAAATCATCATTAATTTTATTTTATCACAGCCATTGTATTACTAAGCATAACAGGTGCTTTAAGATGGCAGTATACAGCAAAAATAAATAAATAAATAAATAAATAAATAAATAAATAAAATAAAATCAGAGGGCCTCCTGACACATGGTTTAGAATTTTTAAAATAACTAAATGGCTCATTCAGAGTCATCTTACAAATTATCTGTTATTTTGCTTAAGAAAAACTGGCCAAAAGATGAAGAAAGATATCATCAATATAAAAGCAGCCACCTTTCCTTTTGGGAAATCGAGAAAATTAAAACTAGATTGATGGGCAAAACTGGCATCCTTTCTATGTTGCCTAGTAGTAACTGAACTAAAAAGGACTACATATTTCTTTCTAGGAATAGTCTCCATGTTCCTCTATCATTGCTGGTCAGTTTGAAATTTCTCATCTCCCTTAACAAATTGACAGCATGTCTGGTACCTTTTCCTTCTCCTATAAGAACTGTGAGGTTATAATGAAATATGTCTTTTCCAAAAAAGATAAGTTTCATAAAAAAGTAGACAAGTAATACTATCTGTGCAAATGGAGTCTTAGATAGCAGAGACTGAAACACTCTGGAGAGAGATGGTGTCTCTAAATAGAATCCTCTCAAAGCTTCCCTGTATCTGAATATTCAACAATGTTTAACAAATGAAGAGATGTACCTGTGGGAGCTGTTACTGTTTGGATGGGATCTAGTGAACTAAGTGTCAAAGAGACCCACAGCTAACAATTAATACAGTTAGGGGTTTTTATGTAAACGTATTTCTTTGAAACATTACCTCTTCCAGTTTTAAAAAAAAAAAACAGTATTTTATATTCCTATTGACATGTGGTTTATCACTTTGAGGCAGTCAGAGATTAATATGTGCTAATAGAACTCCAAGGAAACTTACTATTAAGCTTAGCTAATGATAACCAGGGGAAATGAGTGTCCTACTGATATTTTAGAATATTAAGCTGAATAACAGAACACAGATCTGACATACCAAGAGGATACAATGTTCCACAGTTACAAGCTTAGACAATGAATAAAGCCATTGATAAACAGCCCAAGGTAACTCCTTACATGCTTTCTCTTCATCTTCACTATCAGAAAGCACAGCAGCTTTTCTCTTCGCTACTTTCTCCTCCTCACCCTCTTTTTCATCTTCATCACTGTCCATTTTTTGCTTTTTGTGTTCTTCCTCCTCACTATCAGAACTGTGAAACTTTTTTCTGTCCATATGGCTGTCTGAATGGAAGGAGTCATTCTGCATTTCTGTATCCTCTCCCTTATTCTCCCTGTCGCTGTCATCATCTGACTCTGGCTTCTGTTTGTGTCTGGACGCATCCTCAGTTTCTGAGTCACTGGCAGGCCCCTTCTGAGGCCCCTCACTCTCAGAGTCACTGACTCGGGGTTTGGGTAGCTCCTCATTTTCCGAATCACTGGCCTGGTTCCTTGGGGGATCCTCACTTTCCGAATCACTGATTCGGGGTTTGGGAAGCTCTTCATTTTCTGAGTCACTGGCCTGGTGCCTCGGAGGGTCCTCACTTTCTGAGTCACTGATACGAGGTTTGGGAAGCTCCTCATTTTCAGAGTCACTGGCCTGGTGCCTTGGGGGTTCCTCACTTTCTGAATCACTGACCTGAGGTTTAGGAAGCTCCTCACTTTCAGAATCACTCATTCGAGGTTTGGGAGGCTCCTCATTTTCGGAGTCACTGGCTTGGTGCCTTGGGGGTTCCTCACTCTCAGAGTCACTGATTTGAGGTTTTAGAGCATCTTCTGTTTCAGAGTCACTAGCAGGACTCTTCTGGAGCTCCTCAATCTCAGAATCACTGGCGGGATGCTTCCCAACATCTTCGTTTTCTGAGTCACTTGCATGCCCATTAAGAAGTTCCTCATTTTCAGAGTCACTACCAGGTAATTTCCTGGTCTCTTCACTCTCAGAGTCGCTCCCATGCTGATTGACATCCTCATTTTCAGAATCGCTTGCAGGAGGCTCTGCACGTTCCTCAGATTCAGAGTCGCTGTCCTTTTGCCTGTGAAGCTCCTCACTTTCAGAGTCACTAGCATTAAGATTTAAGGGCTCATCGTTCTCAGAGTCTGTCACATGATGTCCTTTGGGGAGGCCATCTTCTCGATCACTAGTTTCATTCTGAAAAATAAAGTGAGAAAAAATTAGGAAAGTGCAAAAAAAAAAAAACCATTAATAATAAAACATTAAATTTTTTCTGTGATTTTTTTAAAATACAGGATTATGTGCACCTAAATGGAGAATTCTTGTCCTATACCCATATAGAAACACCCCCACAGAAAGCCAATCAGTGAAATGGTTTTATTTGGATCCCCAAATGGGGAAATATAACCAGCCTTCATCAAAACAGATTTGTAAAGCATGCCCTCAGATTACTACAGAAAACTGACCGTGAAGAGCTAGATTTTTTCTTTTTTAAAAGGCGAATTTTCTCATACATACTTCTGTTTTGTAAAAATATAACTCTAGGCTGGACAAGGTGGCTCACACCTTTTGGGAGGCCGAGGTGGTGGATCACCTGAGGTCAGGAGTTCGAGACCAGCCCGGCCAACATGGTGAAACCCTGTCTCTATTAAAAATACAAAAATTAGCTGGGCGTGGTGGTGGACACCTGTAATCCCAGCTACTAGGGAGGCTGAGGCAGGAGAATCACTTGAACCTGGGAGGCGGAGGTTGCAGTGAGCTGAGATTGCACCATCGCACTCCAGCCTGGGTGACAGAGTGAGACTGTCAAAAATAAAAATAAATAAATAAAAATAAATAACTCTATTTTTCAAAGAAATACAAGCAAACATGTAACCAAGTTCTTTTACACAGGAACATTCTTGGGTTTTATAAGGTTAAGATTATTTAAGGGAAAAGAACTATAAAATTTAATTTTATTTAAAGGGTCAAATAACATATGGGCACCTTCTCCCAAGATAATTTAAGCAAACAAAGAAAGGAGAAGTTAACATTTCCTAAGTACCCACTAAGAGCCAATACCACAACAGGCTCTCTCCTGTTAGTTCATTTACTCCTCATAATGGTACTTCTCATGATAACAAAATTGAGGCTTACAGTAGTCACGGTCCTGTGTCTAGTAACCCTAGAAACAAGAAAGCTTAAGTTTTAGGGAGAACATGATTCATCTAACTATACCAACACATAATGTTACTTGAAATAATTACTCTGAAAACATGCCCTGGGGTACAAACTTGATATGTGCATATTATAGCTATGGCTTTAAAATGCAGAGAAAAATATACAAAATTAAACATGCCAAAATACTAACAAGTATTTTAGGATCCGGTGAATTTTTTCTCCCATCTGGTAGCTCAACTTTAAATAACATGGCAATAATATTCTAGCTTAAAAAGTGAAAGTATTTCCGTGTTTGAGTATACCCTCTTAAAAATTTACTGAGCCAAATATTTCTTGTTAGATATATGACTTAAGCTATGTGAACCTACCACAGACCAATTTTCAAGGACCAAAGAGCCTTTAATAATATATATGCCCAACATCATGCTATGAAACAGTTAAGTGACAAGATTATTCTTGTCAATGACAAGATAAATGGCTTGAAAATGTTCTCATAAAACCCAAACTTTTACTAACCCAAGTATGCTGTGTCTACAAATTCAAAAAGAATATGAAAAATTATAAAATAGCCTACAAAGCCAATGTTTGAAGAGTTTTTAAATATTTTATCACCATTATGACAGCACAGCATTGCAAAGAGTCATTGCTATACACAGTCACTGAAATATAGCACATTCAGGTAAGTTTCCAAAATCATACACTTTTCAAAATTCCTAAATACATTTTTCTTGAGTTCTCACTGGGCACTCAACACAGTACTGTATTAGATTCCTTGTCAGTCACAAGCTCTATTATCCCACTGAAACAGGCACTTATCTATTAAAACGGTATTAGGACTTGAGAGATATCATAGAATCTTACAATTACCGTACAATAGTCTGTATGTTGCCTAAAGTTTACTTTAGCCACACTTCATAATTTAAAAGAATGCAGATGGAAAATTTAACTATCTAGATTGTAAGCTCTAGGAAGGCAGACATATTTTGGTTTGTTTTCCTGAGGTATCCTCAGAGTGCAGAATGGTCTCCAGAACATACACACACTAGGTAGAGTTCGAGCATTCCTAATCTGAAAATTCAGACAACTCCAAAATCTGAAACTTCTTGAGCACTGACATGACACCACAAGTGGAAAATTCCACACATAAGCACCCAACACAAACTTTGTTTCATGTGAAAAATTATTTAAAATAATGTGTAAAATTACCTTCCAGCTATGTATATAAGACACATGAATTTCGTGTTTAGACTTGGGTTCCATCGCCAAAATAGCTCACTCTGTATAAGTAAATATTCCAAAACTCGAAAAAATTCTAAATCCAAAACACTTCTGATTTGAAGCATTTTGGATAAGGGATACTCAACGTGTATTTGTTAAATGAGTAATAAAGGCCTTAAGTGGGAATAACATAAGGTGAGGAAAAATTAATCCAACAAGAATGTATTTCATGTCTACTACGTGCAAGACACCAAGAATCCAGGCGGAGTATGTCACAGGGCCTGACCTTAAGAGCTGCTGTCTGATGAGGAGCCAGCCAAGCATACTGTAACAGTATAGTGTGACATGCACTATTCACAAAGTATGTATATGATATTTCAAAAGTGTACTGGAAGTGCATCTATATGAAACTGAGCTGCAAAAAAAAGGTGTGCAGACAACAGGCATGTTTGCATGCAGTTTGTGATGGCTGAGTTAAGACGGGAGGGTGGGGAGAGGCATACAGTACCAGCAGAGGCAATTAAAGCAGGAGGCAAAAAGGAAAATTATAATTGGCTTTTGGAATGCTCTCCATGATATATCCATCACATAACTCTAACACCATTTCTATGTGTGACTTGATTTATTTTAGTTGAAACTACAGAAATCATCTCTAGCTAAGTCCAGAAAAAAAGAACAATCTTCTCAGGATCAAAGTCAGTTGAATGACTAAACACTTGGGAAGGTTAAGTACCAACGCAGCACAGAGAGCTTAGAAAAGGGAACTCAAGGATCATTTTACTAGAGTACCATCAGTAACATGACTCAGCTATACCCTGTCTAGAACCTAAATTATAAATCCCCAAGAGAGATGACTTAACTGGCCAAGGCAATATTAGAAACTGTGACTCAATCAGTTACAGCTGGATCGGGGCACAGCACTGGGAGTCACTCCCAAAGAAGTGAGAGACACTGGGCAGTCATCCAAAACTCACCCGCTACACTCTACCCCAGATTTCCTGACACATGGTGTAGCATTCCAAAACAAACCCTTACAAGGACACTGCATAAGACAATGATTGTAAAATTTAGGAATCCTCATGAATTTTTTATGAGTTTCACGAAAACATAGCATTATGTATGGCATGACAGGGCAAAAAAGGGGAGAAATCACTACAGTAAAGAAGTACTAGTTTAATAGACTCGAGCTAAAGAATACACTTAGACAACACCACCACAGAATTTGGGACGAGTATGCTGGAAATTATACAGTTAAGCTTAAAAGTTATCAAAACAATATCCAAAGTTTTTAGAGTGGTTTTGGCAATTAAATTGCAAGCTTAAAAAAAATCCAAAAGACAGTTTTTTAAAAGTCAGATGAGTACAACAAACCAACAGTTGAAACTGACATTTAATGTCATTTCTAAAATAATGTAACACATTTCCTAGTTGTAATGGTAAAAGAAATTGAGCACTCAGAAGGTCCTTAGATGCTTTAGAAACATCTATAATGCCGCCGGGCGCAGTGGCTCACGCCTGTAATCCCAGCACTTTGGGAGGCCGAGGTGGGCAGATCACGAGGTCAGGAGATTGAGACCATCCTGCCTAACATGGTGAAACCCTGTCTCTACGAAAAATGCAAAAAATTAGCTGAGTGTGGTGGCGCACTCCTGTAGTCCCAGCTACTTGAGAGGCTGAGGCAGGAGAATCACTTGAACCCAGGAAGCGGAGGTTGCAGTGAGCCAAGATCGTGCCACTGCACTCCAGCCTATGTGACAGAGCAACACTCCATCTCAAAAAAAAAAAAAAAAAAAAAAAAGCCATCGATAATGCCTCATACCTCCTTCTTAGCCATCATTCACACTGCAGTTATAAATCACTGGTTATCCATCATAATAAACAATCTTGTTTATCTCAGTCTACAAAGAATAACCACACTTCTTATGACCAGGGCCACAATACACAGAGAGATAACTGACATTCTTAAACTGCAAAGTAAATAAAACTGCTATAAATCAAATAATAATTTGTAAAGTATTCAAATTTCAAAGTATTATATCGTCAAATGGAAACGTGTATAGACCCAAATAACTCAGGACACTTTGTTTCTTCTTTACTGGTGAGAAGTGTCAAACTCAAAGTACTTGATGTTGCATACTACTCTACCATTATAAACTGGTAAAATGCTCAACACTAAACCACACAGTACATTCCATGAGGAAATATCTATAGGACCATTTTCAAAAACATGTTTCACGGGACCTTAGTTCCAGAAGATATAGCTGAAACTATCATACTGGACTTTGTCAATGCGTATCAGTTTAATGAGCATGAAAGAATCTGAGAAACCCTGCAGTAAAATACATAATGCTGTCAATCCAATGTAGTTCCTGGAGTGTTGCAACACTCTGAGAAACTCCCAAGCACACACTTAATATAATGAAGCTATAAACCAGAATGTCCCTTGTGTCCCCTGTCTATCAAAAGTTGGTTGATCTTAGAATAAGAGTCAGAAACAAAGGCACTCCTGATGAATACCAGAAAAAAAAATTCTACACAAAGCTTGTTTTTTGTTTGTTTGGTTTGTTTTGTCTTTTTGAGACAAGGTATCACTCTGTCACCCAGGCTGAAGTGCAGTAGCATAACCATAGCTCAGTATAGCCTTGAACTCCTGGGCCCAAGAGATCATCCTGCCTCAGTCTCCCAAGTAGCTGAGACTACAAGCACACGCCACCACGTCCGGATAATTTTTTTTTTTTTTGTAGAGACAGTCTGTGTTGCCCAGGCTGTTCTCAAATGCCTGGCCTCAAGTGATCCTTCCGCCTTGGCCTCCCAACCAAGTTTAAGATTTTATAATAATGATGCAAACTCTTGCCTACCTCTTTAGACTCACTTCTTTCCACTCACCATCAACCCTATGTGTTACACCAGCAGTTCCCAAACTTCAGTATGCTTAAGAATCACTTGGGGAACTTTGGAGAAAACCATACAAACTTTTGTGCTTCTCACCTCCAGATATTAATTCAGTGTATCTGGGAAAGGTGTCACAGAATCTGAATTTTGACATGTGGTCCACATGATTCTGACCACATTTTAGAAATTCTACTCCAGTTCCAGCAGAGTGGAACCACTAACTTTGCGCCTTTACAAATGCTGTTCCCTTTACCAAGAATATCTTTCTTCTACCTTGTCTTTTTCGTGCCTAAAAACTTGCCAAAAATACTCGCCCCATGAAGTCTCTTCCATCTTTCTCCCTAGGTAGAATGGATGGACTTTGTGCAACATAATGTGACAGTTAAGGCTGTGGAATTTAGAGTCAGAAAGACCTGAGGTCCAAGCCCCAGCTCTGCTATTTTCTACTATGTGATCAAAGGACATTTTCCTAACTCTTCAAAGCTTCCATGTCCTTGATCTGATGGAATTAGGAATACTATCTATACCGTAGAGGGCAGTTCTGAGGACTAAAAGCATGCAAAGCCGTTAGCACAGAGCCTGTGAATATTCAATAAATGTTATGCACCATCAGTAACAAAATCTCATTAATTATTAATTACAAAACATTCACCCCTTCAAGACTCAGCTCAAATACATCCTGTGACGTCTGCTGACCTGGTTAGCCATTCCCTCCCTTCATATCCCCATGGCATCTTGTACGCTCACACTTCACTGAAAGGTGATTTACACATTTATTTACATTTATCTGATACACTGACCTTAAGATCAGAGGCTATTCTGTAAAAATGTATCTTTTACCTGCAGCATAAAAAAGACACTCAAAATACACTCACTAAAATGAAGAAACCCCACAAGCAATGCTTAACATAAAATAAATGGAAAATAATGTTTGCATTAAACATTATTAGAATCAAAGACAAAGACTGAAAACTAAAACAGGAAAATGTAGACAGAATCAAAAGAACTAATAAGAAATAGGACAGCAATGGCCAAGACAAATCTTCTAGTTGTTTTGATGTACTCCCCCATAAGGATGCTTTCCTTATACTAACACAACCTCCTGGTGGAAAGATCCAAACAAGAGCAGACTTTTTCTTTTACTCAATTCAAGTAATGTTGGAGCTAAAGGAGTTGTCACTGACTTCAAGGGCAGATGGCTGGGCCCACTGTGCTTTGCTTACAGTCAGAGAACCATGAGAAGCCAGGTTCCATTCCCAAACAACATCTTCCTCAATGTCTCACACTCCATTTTTTCCTGTGGGACGCTCAGGAGGGTACTTCTATATATAGATAAAATCTACAGGCTTCTGGATGTTAAGATAAGCATTTCCTTTGATACATTTTCCATGAAACAGAAACCAGCTGAATCAAAACCACACAGCTAATTGGCAAAAATACTGTCTAAAAGAATATATGGTAAAAATAACAAAAACTAGAACTGGCAACTAGTTACAACTAGGTCACATTTGACGGCCACCCCTCACTTGGTGCTCAAATTGCTTTATTAAAAAGTTACATTTCCAGTGATTACTATTCGAAAAGATTTTTACAGAGTTTTCCCCCTTCTTCCCTATCTGTCCTACCACAAAAGGTGTGAAGCCATCTAACCCAAACTTAATTATTCAGCATTACCTTCCATTAAGCTATTCCATTTTCTAGCCACAACAATCATTCCTGAAATATATCAAGTCCTTCTTAATGTTAGGCCCTGTACCTGTTGCTCTTCTAGCTAGACAGAATTACCACCACCCCTATCGCCACCCCTAACCCGTTTCTCCAACTGGCAATGTCTCTCATTCTTCTGTCAGCTGAAATATCTTGGCTACTAAGCCCATCCTCCCTTCCTCTCAGTGCTTGGTATGTATCCTTTCTACAATGACGCACTATATAGTAGTCACCTATTTATAGGTCTGCCGCACCCACATGGATACCTTAAAGTTTTAAGTTTGCATTGCTATGCCTAGTAAACAATAAACATTCAAAAATGTTTATTGAAAGACATGAATAATAAATTATCACACATTATATAAACTTAAGCAAGAGTGCCAATTTTTTGGGAAATGCATTCCAATCTAAAGATTTAATTATCTGGTGGGGCACCATGGCTCACACCCATAAAACCCAGCACTTTGGGAGCGCAAGGTGGGTGGATCACCTGAGGTCAGGAGTTCAAGACCAGCCTGGCCAATAGGGTGAAACCCTGTCTCTACTAAAAATACAAAAAGTAGCTGGGTGTGGTGGCGCATGCCTGTAGTCCCAGCTACTCAGGATGCTGAGGCAAGAGAATTGCTTGAACCCAGGAAGCAGAGGTTGCAGTCAGCCAAGATCACACCACTGCATTCCAGCCTGGGTGACAGAGTGAGACTGTGTCTCAAAAAAAATAAAAAACAAAAAAAAGGTTTAATTAACTTGATTTGGAAACCATATAATAACACAGTTGGGGACAGAGAAAAAAATGTCAACTATCCAGGCTGCACATGAGGTACGGGGTAATTGGGAATACAAAATATTCAAAGAAAGATGTGTAAAACTTCTATAGGCTTCTGGATTGAGAAATCTAAACTGCAATACCTTTTCTTCAAATTTAAGAAACTATCTTTCCATGTATGCTTCCAACTAATCTATTAGGAAAAGACAATTTGATACCTAATTGTTATAATTTTTTAGTAAGGGAATATAAAGATAAAAACAGAAAAAAAAACAGCTAGTAAAGAAAGGTTTATCTTTATTCACATGAAAGGGTTCTTCGCAAGGTTCTTCTAAATCTTGAATTTTTTAGTACATTTTGAGTTAGCTCTTGCATGCTTATAAAAATGGGTTACCATATAAAATGGCATAGTATTCTACCAAATTATTTTCTTTTTTATTTGAAACATTAATGAGCACTGCAGAAATAAGACGAATGCAAATCACACCCAAAGATCACCATCATTTACATTTTAGTCCTTTCAATCTCTTCTATGTGTAAATTTACTTTAAAAAAATTAAACTAGGACCTAGAATCACAATAATAGCCTGTATCTTTCAAATAATAACAGCAGGAAGCAGACAAATTCCTAGGCAGATAGGGGTGGGTCCCTGGTGAAATGTGACCTTCAAGCCAAAGACAGCTTAAACCCTGAAAACTGAGCTGCTAAAGCACCTGACCGGAATGAGAACCTTTATTCCCGTTTGCCTGCTCTTTCCTGAGTGGTTCTTTCTGAATAATGCTAATTTTTAACTAATCAAATGTTGCCTTTCCCAAGGCTACCTACAGCCCATACTCCCCAATTCTGAGCCTATAAAAACCCCAGAGTTAGCCACACATTGGGGACAACCCACCTTTGGATAGGGGCTGCCCACTTCAAGTCCCCTTGCTGCTGATAGCTGTTCCGTCACTCAATAAAACTCTTCCCTACCCTGCTCACTCTCGGTTGTCCGTGTAACCTCATTCTTCTTGGATGCAGGAAAAGCACTTGGGACCCGCCAAACGGAGGATGCAAAAAGGGGTGTCTAACACTGTACCCCTCCCTCCCGCTTACCCAGCAATGGGGGAGAAAAAGTCGCTGGGCATGGCATACCACCGTTCACCAACGCCGTGGGCAGCAGGAACAAATAAGAGCTGTAGTGCTTCTTGAGAGCCCAGACCTCGAGACTCTCCAAAACAGGGTTGTAATATGCCCCTGCTCACCAAGCCCTTGGCAGTGGGAACTGAGCTGTGACATCCTTGGGGCTCTGCAGTTCCTGGCATCTCCGAGTTTTCAGGCACCACCACATCCCCCTCGTCTGGACACCGGTGCCTTCTATGGAAATTGCTGCGGCACACTGTGTCCAGCTGCAGCCTCACACGGAGCCAGCGCCTGTGTCGGTGCCTGGAGCTGCCCGCCCGCTGCAGCAGCTGACCCGCCTGGCTGTGTGCTGTAACCAGACCCTGCACTCACTCATTCACACACCCCTTGCCATTCCATACCTGTCTTGCCTGCAGAGGCCGGTAGCAAAAACCAAGTGCAGCCTGCCAGGCCGAGTGGGCAGGGTGAGTCCAGGCAAATCCAAGTGAGCCCAGAGCCCAGCAAGGCCCAAGCAGGGGCACTGCTGACCCCAGAGGTTTCCTGCCAACCGGAAGTGGCACTCTCCAAAAAAATCCTGCATCACAAGTAACATGTTCAATTCTCCATGTCACTAAATATTCTTTGAAAGCAATTCCAATAGCTGCATTGCCATTTTTATAAATGTTCTATTTACAGTTTAATCACTCATTTTCTACATTGTTGAGTATTTGTTTCCTTTCTTATGTTTATTACACCTCATTTGTCCATTTCAGTGTTTTCAACCCAAGGGCGGCTCTGGGTCTTCACCCAAGGGGTTAGTGGGAAATTCGAGGGGCTGTTTTTGGTCATCAATGATGGGGAGGATGTGTTACTAGCATTTCATTTAATGCCCAGTAACCAAGATGCTAAATGTCCTGTTAATATACAGGCATGCCCCCAAATATCCACAACTGGCTTGCTAAAAATCTCTTGTTCAGGAAAGCAACACAAGGCTGCTCTCTCTGGAGGTGTGGCCACAGGCAGGACCCGGAGGTCCTCACCCATACACACATAGAGGAAACTCCATGAGATGAAAGAGCTCAATGGGCCCAATACAGATTGCGCTAACAGACAAGAGAAGCATAATAGGTCCCTTTGGGATTTAAACTGGGGAATATGCAAAAGCCTGACCAATCTGTAAGAGATAAACAAGAAGTCAAACAAGGACTTTTGGCATCACAGAATGAGAAGCTCTACCGACCTCCCCAGTGAAAATTATTAAAAACAACCACTTAAAGCCTCTACAAATGGTCCTAACGGCAAAGGGCAAATGAAGAAACGCCTACACAAATTCCACAAGAGAGATTACTTGAACCAAGATCAATCCCTCCTTCCAACCTCACAATTCAGTGAGGCTGACTCCACTCCAGATTGCTGCAGCCAGAAATACAGAGTTCCTTCTCCATCCTGCTTCAGTTAGAGGGCTTCCTTCCCAGGAAGAGCAGGGCATCAGCATCTCTCATCCGGCTCCCCAGTGCCTGCTGCTGTGGCTAAGTTCCGAAAGACTGCAGTTGAGAAGTGGAGATTCCCATCTTTTGCCCAACCCTCACTTGCTTAAAGAAGGCTCTACCTTGGGTGGACCACACTGAGAATACTGGGGCCCTAATCACCCTTGGGCCGGCTTGTGAGACCATGCCAAGAGATGCAAGCTGAAAGGATTTCAGGTTACTAACTCATTCCCACTCCTCCACTCCCTACCCAGAGCTCAGTGTTTAAAAAAATACAGAAGGCAGCCTAGGCAACGTGGCAAAACTCCATGTCTACAACACAAAAATTAGCTGGGCGTGTGGTGTATGCCTGTGGTCCCAACCACTAAGGAGTCTGAGGCAGGAGAATCTCTTCAACCTGGGCAGTGAGCCGAGATCGCGTCATGGCACTCCAGCCTGGGCGACAGTGAGACTCCGCACCCCGCCCCCGCAATACACACACACAAAATAGAAAAGGAGAAAACAGCTGAATAGAATTACTAGACATAAGCTCAATGAGAAAAAAAAGAGGACTTCAACAATACTATAAATCAACTAAATCAGATATCTAAAGAAATAGGCCTGGCACAATGGCTCACACGTGTAATCCCAGTACTGCTGAGAGGCCAGGGTGGGAGGAACCACTTGAGGTCAGGAGTTCAAGACCAGCCTGGGCAACATAGCAAAATCCCTCTCCACAAAAATTTTAAAATTAGCCAGGCATGATGGTACGCAACTGTAGTCCTGGCTACTCAGAGGTATGAGGCGGGAAGACTCCTTGTGCCCAGGAGTTCAAGGTTACAATGAGCCATAATTTTTTCACATGCCCGCTGTGTCAAAGTGAGCCACAAATACACCACTGCACTCCAACCTAGGCAACAGAAGAGACCTTTTTTAAAAACAAAACAAAACCTTTATTCAACAATATATATTCTTATTAAGCGCATGGAACATTCTCCAGGATAGACTATGTGCTAGGCCCTAAAACAAACCCTGACAAATTTAAAAGAATAGCAATATACAAGGTTTGTTCCCCCACTACAATGAAATAAGATTAGAAATAGTAGGAAAAGTGTTTAGGAACAATATGAATATGAAATTAGTAAGATAATTCCATTTACTAAACATCAAAGAGAATAACATAAATTTAACAAAGAAATCGAACATGTATACACGGAAAACTATAAATCACTGTTAAAAGCAATTAAACACTTAAATAGACATCCCGTGTTCTTGGATGAACAGACTTTACACTACCAAGATGGCAATATTCCCCAAACTGGTCTACAGATTCGGTGCAATCCCCCATCAGAATCCCAGCTAACTTCTCTGCAGAAATCAACAAACTGATTCTAAAATACACAGGTAACTCCACGAGACCCAGATTGGCTAAAAGAATCTTGAAAAAGAACAAATTAGGACTCATACTCTCCAATATCAAAACATACTACAAAGCAATAGTAGTTAATACACTAGTACAGGCACAAGGATAGATGCAGACATGAGTAAGTTTTTAAAGTCCAGAAATGAAGCCATATATCCTATGGTCAACAGATTTTCAACAAGGATGCCAAGACCATCCAATGGGGAAAGAACAGTCTTCTCAACAAATGGCAATGGGATAACTAGACAGCCAATGCAAAGAATAAAACTACACCCCAAAAAGTCAGGTAATAATTGCCGACAAGAGTATGGAGAAATCAGAACACTTACACTCAGCTGGTATGAATGTAAAATGGTGTAACCACTGTGGAAAATAGTCTGGCAGTTCCTCAAATGATCACACAGAATTACGTTATGAGCCAGCAATTACCTCCCTAGGAATAAACCCAGGAGAACTGAAAACATATGTCTACAAAAAATTTGTACACAAATGTTTATAGCAGCATTATTCATAATACCAAAAGAAACAATCCAAATGTCATCAGCTGATGAATGGATAAGCAAAATATAGTATATCCATATAATGGAATATTATTTACCACAAAAAGGAATGAAGTACTCATGTGTGCTACAACATGGCTACACCCTGAAAATATTATGCTAAGTGAAATAAGTCACAAAAGACCATATTTTACCATTCCATTTGTAAGACATGTCCAGAACAAGGACTTCTATGAGACAGAAAGTATATCAGTGGTTGCTGAGGACTGTGGGGTGGGGAGGGGTAGGCAAAGGGAAGAGGAGGTTAGAAAGGTAACAGCAAAAGCGTTTCTTAGGTGATGAAATTCTAAAACCAACTGTGGCGATAGCTGGGCTACTGTGAAATACTAAAGATCACTGAATTGCACAAATTGTATAGTATGTAAATTGATCTCAATAGAGCCCTTTTTTGGGCCAGGCACGGTGCTCATACCTGTAATCCCAGCACTTTGGGAGGCCAAGGCGGGCGGATGGCTTGAGCTCAGGGGCTTGACATCACCCTAGGCAACATGGCAAAACCCCATTGCTACTATAAATACAAAAATTAGCTGGGCATACTGGCGCATGCCTGTGGTCTCAGCTACTTGGGAGGCTGAGGTCTGGATCACTTAAGCGTGGGAGGTTGAGGCTGCAGTGAGCTGTGATTGTGCCACTACACTCCAGCCCGGGCGACAGTGTAAGATTCTGCCTCAAAAAAGAAAAAGAAAAAGAAAAGCTGCTTTTTAAAGGACAGGCGATTCTTTTTTTTTTTTTTTTTTTTGAGGCAGAGTTTTGCTCTCGTTGCCCAGGCTAGAGTACAATGGCGTGATCTCAGATCACTGCAACCTCTGCCTCCCAGGTACAAGTGATTCTCCGGCCTCAGCCTCCCGAGTAGCTGGGATTATAGGAGCCTGTCACCACGCCTGGCTAATTTTTTGTATTTTTAGTAGAGACGGGGTTTCACCACCACGTTGGCCAGGCTGGTCTCGAACTCTTGACCTCAGGGGATCCACCCACCTCGGCCTCCTAAAGTGCTGGGATTACAGGCGTCAGTCACCGCACCCGGCCCAAGACAGGTGATCTTTTTAAAGATCAACGTTGGTGCAAAAAAACCCATGACGAACAAAATATTTAAAATGTGAAGACAGGATAACCAGTACTGGTTTTTCCTTTTCCCTCTGGCTCAAATATAGACCAACACAGCATTGTTACTGATCCTAACTTTAAAGATTTTGATATTTTGTTCATTTTTTTTTGCATTCATTTTGAGTTTTAAAATATCATTTATCTTGATTACTGAGTGTTTTTCAAATCTTGGAGAAAAAAATAAAGCCAACCATACAAGAATAAACAGAGATGTTATTAGAAATGGCCATTAGGCAGGGCCATCAATGACAGATGGACAGAACAAGCTACCTAGACAGAAAGATTTACAGCCCATTACATACATGTGTTACAGTAAACTCTTGTTTTCTTAAGGTAGTCTGATATGAGACTTGTTCTGTCACCTGTCTGAGATTATTTATAGACATATACAATTACTTTAAGAAAAAATAAGTTTTTTTTTTAATAACTAAAGGAGCTTTCTAATAAAGTGGTTAAGAAATCTGCAAAAGTTACTGGTCTTCAAAATCTTATCAGTATTTCCTATACTGACCACTATCTTAAAGATTGTGTGTGTGTGTGTGTGCGTGTGTGTGCACTGAGTAAATACTATAGGTGAAATGAATTTAAAAAAAATACTAGCCTAAATTCTAAAATACAGATGAGGGGTTTAAAAAAAAAAATACCATTATTGGGAAAATTATGCTGTGAGTACCATCTTATGGTAGCAAAATAATGGCCCTTCAAAAATGTCCACGTTCTAACCCTTGGAACCTGTGAATATGTCACTTTACATGCAAGGGACTGTGCAAATGTAATTAAGGTAAGGACCTTGAAATAGGGACATTACCCTGGATTATCCAGGTAGGCCCAATTATAATTACAAAGGTTCTTACAGGAGGGATACAGGAAGGTCAGAGTAAGAGAGAGATATGATGACAGAAACAAGAGGTCAGAAAATGAGTTGTGAAGATGCTATGCTGCTGGTTTTGAAGATGGAGGAAGGAGCCTCAGCCAAGAAATGCAGGTAGCCACTACAAACTGAAGAAAGCAAGGAAATGTATCTTCCCTCAGAGAAGAACACAGCCCTGGGACACCTTGATTTTAGTACAGTGTGACCCATTTTGGACTTGACCTCCAGAATTATAAGATAATAATTTTTCGTTGTTTTAAGCCACCAAGTTGTATCAAGTTGTTACAGCCTCAAGAGGAAACTAGTATCTTTCAGGCTTTGGACCTGTAATTTGTACTGCCCCATTTTTTTTGTTTTGTTTTTATTTTTGAGACATAGTCTCGCTCTGTCGCCAGGCTGGAGTGCAGTGGTGTGATCTCTACTCACTGCAACCTCCACCTCCCGGGTTCAAGAGATTCTCCTGCCTCAGCCTCCTAGGTAGCTGGGACTACAGGCGCAAACCACCATGCCTGGCTAATTTTTGTATTTTTAGTAGAGACGGGGTTTCACCATGTTGGCCAGGATGGTCTCGATCTCTTGACCTCATGATCCACCCACCTCGGCCTCCCAAAGTGCTGGGATTACAGGCAAGGGCCACCACGCCCGGCCTTTGCACTGCTTCATTTAATGCAACCGTACTCTTTTAACATCCCATTACTTCTAAAAAAAAATGTTTAATGAGAAAACAAAATGTCTTCTTAAAAGCCATTTTAAACAGGCAAAAGAACATTAATACAGAACTCAACACTTATACACAGTACAACTGGCACTCTTGAAGTACTAGTGGTTTAGCAAATTACCATAACCTTCCTGGAGAGGAATTTCTATGAAGAGCCTTAAAATGTCTTAGTCTCTAATCTCGTTAATTCTCCTGGCAGCTTTCTAAGGAAACAATAAAAAATGATCACAAATGTTTATGTACAAAAATCTTCAGGGCAGCTTCAGTTATTTAATACAATAGCTAAACAGCATAAATGACAACAATTAGAAAATTGCTGAATAAGTGATGCTGCATCCATATTGTGAAACCATTAAACATTACGCTTATTGAGAATCTTTAATGACGTGGGGAAACACTTAAAAGTATCATCTTAAGTGAAGAGATAAAAAATAATACATAGGCTGGGCACAGTGGCTCACACCTGTAATTCCAGCACTTTGGGAGGCCAAGGCCGGTGGATTACAAGGTCAGGAGTTTGAGACCAGCCTGGCCAACATGGTGAAACCCTGTCTCTACTAAAAATACTAAAAATTAGGCGTGGTAGCGCACTGTAATCCCAGCTACTCTGGAGGCTGAGGCAGGAGAATTGCTTGAACCTGGGAGGCGGAGGTTGCAGTGAGCCAAGATCATGCCACTGCACTCCAGCCTGGGACAGAGTGAGACTCTGTCTCAAAATATATACATAGAAAGACACAAAATATATATAATAACATCTCAAGTAAAGTTAAAATATATAGACGTCATATACCTGGGACAGAATGAAACTGCAGGATAAATAATGTGAAAAGGCTCATAGTCATTTCTGTAGTTGGACTATGCTGGTTTTAATTTTTTTCTTTAAACTTCACAGATGCAGGAGTGCCTCAACTTATTATGGGGTTACAGCCTGATACACCCATAGTAAGCTGAAAATATAATTAAGCCAAAAACGCATTTCATACATCTAATCTACCAAACATCACAGCTTAGCCTAGCCTACCTTAGATGTGCTCCAAACACTTACAGAGGTAAGACCTACGGTTGGACAAAATCACCCAACACAAAACCTATTTTATAATAGAATGTTGAGTATCTCATGTAATTTACTGAATACAGTGAAAAAACAGAACGGTTGTATGGGTACTCAAAGTATACATACAGCACTTGCAACATCGCAAAGTTGAAAATTTTTAAGTCAAATTATAGTTTAAGTCTGGGACAGTCTGTGATTTCCAAATTTTCAAAAACAGCCACACTTATTTATTTAGAATCCATATTATAAAAAAACAAAGATGCTTAGGGTAACCTGAACTTGTAACTGCACCATGAGGCCATGAGATGACTACCCTACTGGGCTCTAAACTGACCATGATTAATCTCTGAATGCTGTTTCCAAAGAGGAAACTTAAAATATCATGCACTAAATGCACTGGCTGTAACAACATATACATTATTAAGTAACTTCCAACTATCAATTAAAATATTGGAATTTATTCTGAATGTTTAAAAGCACAGAAAAAACCTGAGTGACATCAAAATATATAAAAGATGAGCCTTTTCCACACCCGCATTTAGTTCTCTGACCTCCCCTACCCCTTAATGACCCCATTTCAGTTCCACTGGCTCCTTGAAGATATCAAGCACACTCTCACCTTGGGGTCTTTGCCAGGGATGTTCTTCCCCTAAACGTCCATATCCACACGGCTATTCCTTTGCCTCCCTTCACACCTTGGTTCAAATGTCACTTTCTTAATAAAAGACCTATATGGTCCCTATTTAACACCAAAGCCTGCCCTCCATCCTTTGTTCTAATTATCTGTTTTCTTCACAGCATTTGTTATCTTCTAGCAGACTACACAATTAAAAAAAAATGTTTATTGCTTAATGTCTTTCTCCTCCTACTGGAAAAACAAACCTAAGAAGAGAAGGATTTTAACTTCTAGTCACTGATAAGTCCAAAGCACCTGCAAAAAGTCTGACACATATTAGGTGCTCAATAAATACCTGTTGAATGTATGATATGCTAATGTTGCTGTCAAAGGACAGAGTCAATATAATCTCTAATCACACCTACTAAAAATTGGACAATTTTCTGCATATGTGTAATCAAGAAAAATATAAGGCATAGAAAGTTCTTAAATCTTTGCATCTTTATCATTCCTATTTGTTTCAGTCGTATCTACCAAAGACTTACGGCGAACTTATTGAAAAATTTCCCAATTTTATCTTGTTAACATGATGTATAAACAGAAAGGAAAATAAAGCAGTTCTGAAATATTTATGTATTAGAGCAAATACGTTAAAATGTACACAAAACCCAATACTATTACATATTATTAAACAAAAACAGCTCTTAAAATTATATTTGCAGGCCAGGTGTGGTGGCTCACGCCTGTAATCCTAGCACTTTGAGAGGCTGAGGTGGGCAGATCACTTGAGGTCAGGAGTTTGAGATCAGCCTGGCCAACATGGTGAAACCCCATCTCTACCAAGAAAACAAAAATAGCTGGACGTGGTGGCCTGTGCCTGTAGTCCCAGCTACTCGGGAGGCTATGAGGTGGGAGGATAGCTTGAGCCCAGAGGCAGAGGCTGCAGTGAGCCGAGGTCTCACCACTGTACTCCAGCCTGTGTTACAGAGTCAGACCCTGTCTCAAAAAAAAAAGCATTATTATTACATACATTATATACACCGTAACAGTTCAAAATCAGAAGGGCAAATGCTGACATAAATGTTGACAGGTGATAACCCCCATAACTTTCTATTTCAAGTGGTGTTTCTTCAGATTGCAAATGCTCAATGCCCCACTATGACATTATTGCAGAATAGGGAAACTTAGTCAAATATCAAAGGCCGGGCCCATTTTCTGAATCAATATGCACAGTTGAAAACTGCCTAACATTTGAAATGTGACCCAATCAGAACATATTTCACTGTGATTTCAACAGTAACCAGACCATCCCTATTTATTTTTCAAGCGGTTTTCTATTAACTTATGCTCCTTTACTCTCAGAGATTAAACCCTAAACTCTGTCACAGAGATTCTGTAACTCCTATAATATAACAGATCTCACAGAACGCAAGGGAAAAGCCCTCCCAAAGATGTTGGTTAGCCAATACCTCTGAATGACGTTCTACACTTCCAGTGTCTGATCCGGAGTGTTGCTCATTTACATCATCCTCACCGTCTGACCCTGAATCCCGTTCATCCTGTACTGGGGTAGCACCACCATCATCTGATTAAAAACAAAACAAAAACCAACTTATGGTGTAAGATGAATGACATCTACAGTGAAATGAACACACTGAATCAAGAATAACGTAAGTGCAAAAGTTACCACTGAGGAAGCATTAACTAAAGTTGCTAATATTTTGAATAAGGTAATACAATACTCATACAAACACCAACAAGCATAACATGTACTGTGAAATACGTGGCAGCAAAACTACACCATAAAAACAATTTGTAGCTTAAGAAACAACACTAAACACCAAGTCAACAATTTATTTCAACTTCATGTTAAAATTGGGTCTTTCTCTCCATGGCATTTATCACCTTCTAATATACTACCTGAAGTTATTTTGTTTAACGTGGGTCTTCTTCACCTGAAAGAAAATGCCACAAGAATAGGGATTTTGGTTCACTGCTAAATCTCTGGAGCCCAGAACACTGCCTAGTACCTGATATACAGTAAGTATTTGTTTACAAATGAAGAACACAAGGAACTCCAGTCCAAAACTAGTGAAAATCCATTCAAGAAAAGCATATATAAAATGGTAAATACAAACTGTTACCTAACTTTCTTTTATATTTTTGTAGAGATGGGGTCTTGCTATGTTGCCCAGGCTGGTCTCAAACTCCTGGCCTCAAGCAATCCTCCTGCCTTTGCCTCCTAAAGTGCTGGGATTACACCCAGCCCCAATACTTTAAAAAATACAGAGTAAAATCGTATTTTAACCTATATACATGTATTACATATAATTACTTTTTTTTTTTTTGGAGACACAGTTTTGCTCTTTTGGCCCAGGCTGGAGTGCAATGGTGTGATCTCAGCTCACTGCAACCTCCACCCCCCCGGGTTCAACAAGTGATTCTCCTGCCTCAGCCTCCTGAGTAGCTGGGATTACAGGTGCCCGCCACCACGCCTGGCTAATTTTTTGTATTTTTAGTAGAGATGGGCTTCACCACGTTGGCCAGGCTGGTCTCAAACTCCTGACCTCAGGTGTTTGCCACCGTGCTCGGTCTACTTTTTAAAAAGTAACTTAAAAACACAAATGAATGGAAAAAAAACTATTCTGAAAGTATCAGGAAAGTGTTTTTTTGTTTTTGTTTTTGTTTTTGTTTTTTTTGAGACAGAGTCTTGCTCTGTCGCCCAGGCTTGGAGTGCAGTGGTGCAACTTCCGCTCACTGCAACCTCTGCCTCCCGGGCTCAGGGCTCAAAGGATCCTCCCACTTCAGCCTCCTGAGTAACTGGGACTACAGGTGTATGCCACCACACTCGGCTAATTTTTGCATTTTTTTGTAGAGACGAAGTAGGGGGGTGGGGTAGGGGCGTAGGGGGGTGGGGTACGGGCATGGGGGGTGGGGGTGGTGTTGGTCTCACTATGTTGCCCAGGCTGGTCTCGAACTCCTGGGCTCAAGCCATCGGCCGCCTACGCCTCCCAAAGTGCTGGGATTACAGGCATAATCCACCGCACCTGGCTTAGGAAAGTGTTTTTAAGCAGTGCATGCCTGGAAAACGCTTTGCAGTCATTAGAATTCACTGTCCTACGTAAGGAAAAGCAATGAACTCAAAACAGTAAAGGGCTTAACGCTTAAACAATTATTTAAGCACTCAAGTTTTCTTTTTAATTTTCAATTTTTGTGGGTACATAGAGGGTGTATTTATTTATGGTGTATTTAAGAACTTTTGTAACAGAACGCCCCAACAGGACTAGCACACAAAGGGAAAGCAAATGCGACGTGTTTCCCACACCAGGTTCTGCCTCACTTATCCTTAATCTCAGGTGCCAAGCACCGTGCCAGCAGAGTGGGCCCCAGTAACAGCTTACAGAATAAACAAACAGTAAAGAAAGGAGACCAAACTTCGGTGAGGAGGAAGAGGAACGATCTCAAGGTGGAGGAAAGGCACAAAAACCACCAGTAAGTGCCAGAAGCGCATTCCTTACTCTATGCATGCAACTGAAACATGGGTCCTGCACTTACGTCCGGTGTTGCAAGCAAGATTAAACCACTCCTAACTAGCAGTGAAAAGTCTAGGAAGGATCCCCCGCCCCAACGCCCCTTGGATTCTCCAACTACTCAACTACTGAAAACTCTCTTAACAGAAGACACCTCTCCTTCCCTGCACACAATAGGAGCTTAACATATGAAAGTGACTTCCCAATTTCAGCAAAAACCTTCGCCGATTCAGAAGAAAGCTTTCCCACCAGAATCCCCTCTCCAACGTTCTAGCTTCGACGCTTGCAGCTGGTCAGAGGGCTCTTGCCCTCCTCGGGCCGGGTCGCGGGAGGGAAGGTTTCGGGGGGCCTCCTTGCCCCCACCCGCGGGGTGCCAGGCCAAGCCCCGCCGAGTAACTGCTCCGCCTCCCAGCCCGGTCCCCCAGGTCCCTGCCCCACCTGACTGGTCGCCGCTGTAATATTCCGAGTCCATGGCAGGCGGACTCTCAGCGGGGAGTGTCCGCGCCCCGCGCCGCCCCCGTCACCTCCTTCCAGGCGGTGTGACCCCGGATGGCGCGGCTAAGTGTTCAGAGACTGCCGCCCGACCGGAGAACTTAACGGGTGCGGAGGGTAAGAAAGCGGTAGCGGCAAAGGCGAATTCTTTGACCTGGAAGCCCCGGCGGAAAAGGCCGTACCCGGCAGGCTGGCGGGCGGGCAGGCATGCGAGCCGGCGTTCTACTTCCTAGAAGCACCGCTGGGGCCAAAATGGCGTCTGCCCACGACCCTCAAAGGAATGCAGCGCGCAGGCGCCGCAACCCGTCAACCGGCCAATGAGAAGACGCAACAGCAATGACGCCAGGCACGGCCGGAAAGGAGACTCCTGGGAAAATTGAGCTGGAACTCGGGCTTTAGTTAAATACCTTCCTCGGGTGGATCCTGGTCTGACCCCCGTGGTAATAACGTTATCATTGATTCTTTATCATTTCCTAGATTCTGTGTCCGTGCCTTGTTTGAAGAGCTTTTGAGATACTCTTCCGAAAAATGAAGACCTGCTCAAATGACTTTTCCGTCATTCAGCCAAACCACTGTCTTTCCCGTCAGGCCCAGAGGCGCCTGGTTCCCGCCCGCAGTAGGCAAGAAAGCGGGCGTTGCTCACTGGGACTTGTAGTATGACGCCCGCGAGCTGTGATGCGTTACTAACTGGCGCGATCCACAGCGCCTCCTCTCCCGGCGTCTTCCTCTCTTTCATTCTAAACAACGATTTAATTTCCTTGTTAAGAAGCCATTTAGCCAACAGTAAGAAGTACACGTCTTTGCTTCCAGAAGGGTTCCCCTGATGAAACACCGGAGGAAGGTGAAGTTGAACTTTACCTGAGCCCTGTGTTCCTGGAAAACAGCGGTGATTAAGAAACCCCCTCATCTATTTGTGTTTCTGGAACGGCACACTGTAAAGAACCACCCGTCTCCATGTGACTCAGATAAAACGCGTGCAGATGACCCCCTTGTTTGCCTGTGACAAGGCCAGAGACCTTTCCCCTTTATTCTGAGCCTGTTAATAAAGCCAAACAGACCTTCCAAATTCCCGCTGATGATATCGAGTGATTAGTTGAGATTAGAACTCTCCTCCCCCCAACTTGTTAGACACAGAGAACATTTCCTGTTCACCTGACTGAAACTTCTCCTGATTGCAAAACAATCCCAACTGTCAATCATCCCACCTTCCTCCCTATAAAAGTCAAAACTACGCTGCCAAGACACTGATCATATCTGGAGTGCTCTCCCTATTGCAATAGGCTGAGTAAAATCCATTTCCTTACTTGTTCATTTTAGTCTTGGACAGAGAGGGGAACATTCTTGCCTTTGGATCGGAGGAGGGCCAGTAGAGGTTTAAGCAAAGACTCCCCAGGAGGTGTAGACATGTAGAAAAAGAGCCTTTTGTTACTACTGCAGATATCTGACCCTTCGTTAGCCAGTCAGAGTATGCTGGCAGAGCCCAATTATAGGCTCCTGAAGAGGACGTGGGAAGAGAAGAAAGGGGAGAAGTGGTTTCTCTCTGGAAATTCCCATTTTCCTGCAAGAGAGTTCATGGATATTCCTTTCCGAAGTGGTGGAAACAGCATTGAATCCAAATTCCTTCTTTTCAGCTGTGGGAATGACATCTTCTCAGGCAGTCTTGAGAATCAAAAGAACAAAGAATTAGCAATGCCCGAAACCGAATCACTTGATAGAAGATATCAAGGCTCTAAGCCCTCTTCTAAAGAGAAGGTGAGAGTACACCTGTGTAAATGGAGCAGGATTAATAGATCAAAATTCCAGGCGGAGGTTCAGTGGAAGAGAACCTTTTAGTTTCACCAGAGATGTAAGTCCAACAGTCAGGAAAGTGGTTGGGTTATAAACAATGCAATTGCCGGATGAAAATTACTGAATTTTAGCGTTAAAACTAACTGTACTGGTGGTTTGGAGAAAGGATAGAAACACTCTGGACACACAACAATGTTCTTAGCTCTAGAAGCCTGCAAAGAAGCATCAGATCTAATTTTTGTACTCAGAAAGCCAACAATTTAGTGAGACAGGACAAGTCTTTCAAATGAATACAGAGCCTTAGTTAAAGCAGTGTGGTTGTCAGTGTAAACACAGCTTACGGAGAGTTCCCAGAGCTCCTTCCTACCAGCTGGCTGTCCCTCCTGGATCCTGGTAGAGAAATTCTGTAGTGGCACAGATGTGTCTTTCTGAGTCTTGGCTGCCTTACATTTTCAGGACTGCCATCTCCTTACCCATCACACCCCACCCCAGTACAGTTGGCCCATGGCGGTGGTAGGGAGGCACCCAGAAGATAGGCTGTTTCCCACACCAAGGGTGCTAATGACAGAAGAATGGAGAGGCAAACTTGCAGCAGTCCACAATGCTTCCTCCCTTAACAGATAACCCAGAGACGCTGCATTCCCTAAGTGAATGTAAGATTTATTTGGAGACACTCTGAAGACACTGCCATCTGCTGAACATGTCAGGGAGCAAGAGGCCGCATAATATAAATAGCCTGGCACCATCAGAGCTGTAGACTGGGGGCTTAGAGCCCTAGGCTGTGGGCCTATCGCTGGGCTTATTGTACTTAGTAAGCTGGGACAAGCTACCAGCCTTCTATGAGCCTCAGTTTCCACATGTATCAAATGAGAGGGTTGAATCAGGTTTCAAGTACTCTTAGCTTTTTTCTACGTCAGAGAATCCAGGTCTCTAAGTCTGACCCAGCTTCTTGTGCTTGAGCCACTAGCAAGCCCTACCAGGGAAGACACAAATGAAACTTACTAGCTGCGTGACCTTGAGCAAGTTGCTGAACCTCTCTGTGCTTCAACGTCCTCATCTATAAGTTGGGGATAACAGTACCATTTATGTCACAGAGTTGTCATGAAGCTAAATGCACATATATAATTATAATGTATAATATGTTATATATATTACTTGTATAATATTATACATGATATAAATATATATATTATATAATGATTCCTGGGACAGAATATTGTGAAATTAAATAATTCAAACTTTTTTTTTTTTTTTGAAATGGGATCTCGCTCTGTCACCCAGGCTGGAGTGCAGTGGCACAATCTTGGTTCGCTGCAACCTTCGCCTCTTGGGTTCACGCAATTCTCGTGCTTCAGCCTCCCTAGTAGCTGGGACTACAGGTGTGCACCACCACGCCTGGCTATTTTTTGTATTTTTAGTAGAGATGGGGTTTCACCATGTTGGCCAGGCTGGTCTTGAACTCCTGGCCTCAGGTGATCCACCCACCTCGGTCTCCCAAAGTGCTAGGATTACAGACGTGAACCACTGCACCCAGCCAAATAATTCAAACTTAAAGCTGTTGGAACTTAAATTGTTCTGAGTCTTGAGAGGAATGTGACTATGCAGCCTGAGTCACATGGCATGCAGCTGCAACTTCTGCCTTTTTTCCACCTATAAATAATTGAGACTAAGTGGTGCCAGAGATAAAACCCCCTCAGATCACTGCCCCTTCTACAGAGTAATAATGTCATCTTCCTTGGGATGCAGCAATCTGTAACCAATCAAATCACTGTAACATATGCACTGTCTTGTATGGAAAATGTTATAATCCTGCTAAAATTTTTCTGTCTGTCTCTGTATAAGTAAAACCTTAACTTCTTCACTTTGGAACGCTGAACCCATTCGTTTGGAGTTGAGGTCTCCTGGGTGGCTATCCGCACACTCAAATAAACTCTATGTGTAATCATATTTTATGCATCTTACTATTTAAGATTAGCAATATATATGTTAGCTATTATCATTATTATTAGGCATTGTGAAGATACAGAAAATTAACACATGATTCCTACCTTGAGAAGCTTACAATTCATTAGGAAGTACGGCTTTGAAAAAAGAAAATGCTAAGAGGTGAATTGTGTGATGTGGGTAACAAGTACCATGGGAATTAAAAGGAGGGTGAGGCTAGAGTGAACAATCAGGTTGGCTTCCTTGGGGGAGGGTGCTTGAGGTGATATTTGAAGGACAAAGGCCGATTTGGATGGAAAGATAATGTTTCAATCATGGTAAGCTAACAATCTACCATGTAGTTATGTTGTTATAACAACATCAACAAATTTCAGTGGCTTGACTTGATAATAGTTTGTTTCTTCCTCTTGTCAATGGGCAGTGGGGTCAGTGGTGAGGTGGAGGTTGCTCTCTGCTCCTAGCAGTCATTCAGGGATCCAGGCTCTTACCATATTGTGGCTCCACCATTTCCCAGGGCCTCAGAAGCCCCTACTGGATGCTCTGCATGCCACCAGCAGATGGGAGAAGAGAGTGTGTAGAAAGGTGCAGGATATTTTAGTGGGTCTAGCCTGGAGTTAGAGCATATCACTTACCCTCATTCCATGGCCCCTTCTAATTGTGAGTGAGGCAGGGAAGAGTATGTCCACTGTGGGACCAAGAGGAAAAGGAAAGTGATCTTGGTGGATATGCAGCATTCCAGGCAAGGTTAAGAAATCCACCCCAGTACTTCTTTTCCCAGAAATAAAGTTCTCAGCAATGAGCCTAAGAGCTAGGCAAAGTATCACTATCTTCCAAGAGCTAGGCAAAGTATTACTATCGTCATAATTAGCATCATTAACTTCATTTATTTAGTTTATTGAGTTGACACGTAAGCAAGTTTTGCTTTTCCTTGTCAGTATCTCAATCTCCCCCAGGGCAATAAGATTAGTCATCAGGATATGCCATTAACCCTGGTCATGGGACAGAGGTCCCATGTTTATGGCCAGTGACCTAGGTTTAAATGCTAGGGCCTAAGACAGATTTATCCACTGGATTGCCCAAAGCCCTCTAGAGAGGAGGAGGTGACCTTTTCATTTTGTGCCCCTACTTTCCCCCTCTTGCTGCCTTGGACAAATCTCTGGGTAGTTTCCTCAGAGGGCTTATGGTGACAAAAGCACCACCAGAAATGAGTCCTTTCCTCCTGGGCTGAGACTGTGGATGCCTAGCTGGCCCATCAGGACTTTGGATCCAAGACCTTCCCAGTCTAGGAGCAGCTATCTTGAAGCTGCTGTTCCCGGAGGATGAAGTACTTGAGTTTGCCTGATGACACAGTCATCTCCTTGGCATGTCAGAACCAAGATCCTCCAGGAAGCACTCATCTTCCATGCACCCTCCCTCTGAGCCATATCTTCCTGCCATTGAAGGAGCCCAAGGGTCAGGGTCACCTCTTCCGGGAGGACATTCGTTCTGGTCTTTGTTGGCCTCCTCTTTCTCCCAGCCTCCAATGGCACCTGGGCCTGTGAACTATATATTGGTTCCCAACTGGGACTTTGTCCCCCAGAGACATTTGGCAATAATATCTGAAGACATTTTGATTTGTCACCACTAGGGGTGGGGACATAACCAATGGCTGCTGCTAAATGTTCTGCAGTACACAGGACAACGCCTCTCATTCCCCAACAAAGAACAATCTACTCCAAAACGCTAATAATGCCAAGACTGAGAAACCCTGAACTACAGGACAGAATGTGCCCTGTGATCTACTGTCTTGTACTGTGCACAACTGTGTTTCCAGGGAAGCATTTAAGCGTTGCTTCTCTTCCCAGATATTCCCTTGCCCCAGCATCTCAGAAACCAAGGCAACAAAATGGGCAAGGCCTTTCAAACCCTGGGCTAGGGCCAGCAAGTTGGGGAAACACCTTTTTTTTTTTTAAATCTCTGAAGATAGGATGTCTCATGCATCACTGGGGTGAGGAAGGAGGAGGTCTGGTTTGTCTGAGGGTTGGCGTGGTATAATACATCCCAATAAGCCCAGGCCATGGGGTCAGGTACACCCTAATTCAAACCGCACCTCTGCCACTTTTGGTTGTGTGGCCTAAGCAAGTTTCATAACCTCTTTGACTTTAACTTCCTTGCTATGAAATGAGGAGAAGCACCCCTCATTTGTTGAGGTTTGATGAGGGTTGAGTGAGATGGTACAAGCAAAGAGCCCAGCACAGAGAAAATCCTTATCACATGCCAGCTCTTTCTGAGACTGAGAATTCAAAAATGTTCTAAAGAGTAGTTCAGTCGCAGAGGTCTGTGCTGCCAACCTTGCTGTTTCATAGGGTTAATGGATAATTTGGCTGCTGTAGCCTAGATGGGAATATTAGGGCCACCATAAGCAAGTGACTTCAGTTAGCTCTATGATATGCTGGTAGAGCTGAAGCGAAAGGCTTGCTCTGTGTCAGTCGCTGTGATGACGCTATAATGGGCTTGGTCACTGACAGGAATGGAATGAACCATAGGTTGTCCATGGGCGCATTTCAGCTCAGCTCACAAACATGTTTTTCAAGGTTAGCTGAATATTTGCGTCTTGGGAAATGAGCACTACGCTAATTGTGGAAGTAGCACTGGGCTGGGAGACAGCCAAGCCTGGTCGCCCGTGTTACCAGGAAGAGCCTGCCCTGCCTTTCCCCAACCCATCTTCTTGATTTCCAGGGCTTGGGGTCCCTTGGCTATGGAAAGCCTGAGGCTCCAGGAGAACCATGCCTCAGGGTGTCCCCCTTTGCACCAACTCACACAGCAATCAGACCAGGTCCTTGCAATCATAGGCGCAGTTTTGACTGGGAGGGAGGACTTGGCATGCCACTTGAGAAATATTAGCAACCAAAAATTCATGCCCACTGTTCTTCCATAGTGGAAGATCTTCTTCCAGAGATCCCACTGGAATCTTCCATAATGACAAAATGCAAACAACGCTGAGAGCACAGATATGTTCATTGCAGTATTGTGTGTGACAGCAAAGGATTGGGTACCTCCCAGGGTCCATCCAGGGAGGATGGGTATACAAATGATGGGGCACTTGTGTGACATACTGTCACGCTGTTTCTAAAGACCAATGGTAAAAGTTTGGTACAGTGTCAGAAAGTTCTTGTGATATAATGTGTAACATAAAATAGAGAGAGACAGAGAATAGCAGGTCAGTATCTAAAATGTGTTTCTGTCAAATTTTGCATAAGGTGAGAACTGGATGGGAACATCTTACAGATTGTTTTGGTCCACACAGATTTTCTGTCCCAATATTTTCTTACATGAGGGCAGTAGAAAAGGTCCGAAGAGGACTCAGTCTCAGCCCCAGAGCAAGGGGTTCACCATCTCTGGGAGCTGCCAGGAGCAGCAGCGTCAGCCCTAGAGGAGCTAAATGGTATCTTTCTAAACCCGAGAAACCATGTGCAGCATGAAGCTCAAAAAGGCTGAGTGTGGACCCAGAAACCGAACCAAATTTTAGGGAGCAGGAGGCTAGTCAGAGCAAGGGCAGAACTTGGGGGGCTGTTCTAGGGGGAACAGGCGGGACAGGGGGCCGCCTGAAAGACTCGGAACATGCAGCTCCCTCCAAGTGGTCCTTCAAGGGATCTCCCAGCTTGGTTCCCTGTCTTTGGGATGGGCCATTTGGTTTTAAGATACAGAAACTCCTTCAAGCCATGTCAACAAAGAGAACATTTAATAGACGGAAACTGGGGACTCCATGGAGCCCACCCACAGGAGGCACAGGAAACCCTGAGGCATCGGGGGTCTCCTCCTGTCTCTGGAGCCACTGGGTCTCCACCTCTGCAGCTTGTCCACCTCTCCTTTTCTCTCCCACCACCGCTTGGTCTGTGTCCCCACGAAAGGTCCATGTTCAGGGTTGCCACCCTGCCTTGACCTCAGTTCTAAAAGACGATGGCTCATTCCCACATTTCTGCCTGCAGTTCCCAAGTCCCTCCAAGTCCAAGGAAAAGAAAGGAATCTGATTGGCTCTAGTTGGGCCAACTGTAAGGATGACCAGACCCCTTTTTTACCCAACACAAGGCCTGTGGCTGACCAGGTAACTACCTGCCCCTATTATCCACCCGCCTTCAAAGCCTTGCATAAATGAGCTCCCCTCGCCCTCCTGCTCACTTCCAGGGACTGCCTGGCCCCTCCAGTCTGACCCCACCCAGGGCCCACTGCGGTTGCACTTCCCTTCTAAACAGTCTGTATTTGCCTTAAGCCCAAATCCCCCTTGATCAAGTGCCAGCCCAAGCCTGCCCAATTTGTTGCCAGGTACCCTCCTGGGAACCTTGTTGTCTGATGGCCTTTGTCTCTAAGGCTTCCTGATGGCCCCAGACATGTCCCAGGTGTATGCTCCTTTCACACTCAACACAGAACACTCTCTTGACCAGGTGTCCAAGCAGTTCTCCAGCAGACTCCGTCTGGATGTCCTATAATTCAATTCAATCAGACACTGTCAACCTGGAGTCATAGATCCCACAGGTTAAGGGCTCAGTCCCACAAAACTGCCCCACTTCAAATGCAGTCTCAAGTCCTAGGTTGCCACCTATACTTCTGACCAATTGGCTATAAATCGGGGTTCCCATGCCCCACACCTGAGGTTGGATTTGCTAGCATAGCTCATGGAACTCAGGACGGCACTCATATTGACCAGTTCGTGGGAAAAGATTTTACAAAGGATTACAGATGAGCAGCCGAATAAACACGCACAGGTGAGTTGTGTGGGAAGGTCATGGAGCTTCCATGCCCTCTCCCGCATGCCACCCCCCAGGGACCTCAGATGTGTGGAAGCTTGTCAAATCTTGTTCAAGAGTTTTACCTTCCCAGAGGTCAGTAGGCGGGGCTGAAAGTTCCAACCCTCTATTCACTAGGTCTTTCTGGTGACTGACCCCATGCTGAGGCTAGGTAGGGCCCCCACATGGTCACCTCCTCAGCATAACTTCAGGTGTTATCAAACGGACTCATTATGAGATGATCACTTGGGAAATTTTTTGTTTGTTTGTTTGTTTGAGACGGAGTCTCGCTCTGTCACCCAGGCTGGAGTGCAGTGGCCCGATCTTGGCTCACTGCAAGCTCCACCTCCCCGGTTCACGCCATTCTCCTTCCTCAACCTCCAGCTGGGACTACAGGCGCCCGCCACCACGCCCAGCTAATTTTTTTGTGTGTGTGTTTTTAGTAGAGATGGGGTTTCACCGTGTTAGCCAGGATGGTCTTGATCTCCTGACCTTGTGATCCGCCTGCCTCGGCCTCCCAAAATGCTGGGATTACAGGCGTGAGCCACCATGCCCGACGATCACTTTGGAAATTCTAAGGGTTTTAGGAGTTCTGTGACACCAACCGGGAACAAGGACCAAATATACTGTATTTTATATTATACTACCACCCTCAATTAGAGCTTGGGGTGCTTGGGGGCAGAGCTCCTGCCATGCAGCACCTGGGAAGATGCTGAGCCCCCGGATGGTCAGCTGACTGTCACCATGGGATCTGGCTGGTGGCCAGAGCAGGTGCACAGACTGCAAACCCTGGTGGCCTCCGGGCAGCATGCATCGCTGCTCTGCAGAAGGGGCCTGGGTTAAAGAGCAGGTATCATGAGGCTCTGCCAGCTGGGGCTGAGGGAGGCGTGTGGGAGTGGAAGTGCCTGGAGCCCAGGGACAAAGTCCTGTAATAAATTACGTGGGCCCAGAGTGCTCCCAGTCATTTCCTCTTGGAGCCCTACCTCTTCTTCCTCTGTCCCTTACTCCCTGACACACCCGGAGTCCCAACATTGCCTCCTTTCCTGGCTCTTTCAGGGTGCCCAGGGTGGAGGGGAAGGGGAGTCAGCCAGACCCCCATCCTGACAAGGTAAGGGCGTGCCGGGGGCGTGTCTGCCAGCGGGGAGTAGGGGGTCACCTCTCTGAAGAGGGTCGCTGGGCAGGAGGCAGGTCCCCTGGAAATAAGATGGAACAGGTCTGAGGGATAGAGAGTGGAGAAGCCCTTCAGGAGCCTGGAAACCAGAAACCGCAGCAGGGGACTCAGTCCATCGGGCTGAAGGGCAGCACCTGGGGGGCTGAGGAGGAGGAGGAGGGGGAGAAGCTGTCTAGCCCTCTGCTGTAGAAGGGCAAACTCCCTGCAGGAGGGGAACGGCAGGTGCCAAGGCTGCTCCCACCCTGAAGCCTCCTCACAGCTAGAGGGCCTCACTGTGGAATCATGGGACATCATGGATAGCCTGGGTCCCATGATGAGCCCCTGCCAGATGTCAGCTGTGCCGTGTGTGACATCCCACTGCGTCCTCGCAACACAGTGGTGGAATTGCCTCCATTTTATGGACACAGAGACTGAGGACCATGGAAGCGAAGGTGCCCACGGGAAGAAGCAGAGCCGGATTCGACTCCAAAGCCCAGGCTTATCCGCCTTACCCATGTACCTTGGGCAATTGGCTTTAGTCACCTCTGGAAGGCTGGGACCCTAGGGAGAGGCAGGACAGGTCTGGGGTGTGGTGGGGGGGGGGGTGGGGGAAGAGGTGGCTGAGGAGAGGGACCGCACCGGGGCTCACATGGGCTGTCCCCCTTGAGCTGTCCAGGTGGTGTGTGTCCCATCCCCATTTCACAGAGGACGAAACTTGAGACACAGAGATTGTGAGAGCTGGCCCAGGTCAGACAGCTGGTGGGTGTGGGGCCCCCAACCCAGATCCCCCAAATTCTCCATGACGAGGCCTCCCCTTCAGGCTCCACTTTGTAACCCTGGACTTGAATTTTGCTCTAATTTATCAGAACCCTGCACTTTGTTTAGGATTTTAGTTCAGAGATTCACACACACCCTCAGTGAATCATTGTTAGGAACCACTCAGCTCATCAGCCCACCCCATCTCCCTGGACCTGCTGGGGGCCCTACGTCTGTCCTCAGATGCCACCTCTAAGAGAATCCTCCCCAGGCGGCTGTCTTGGGGCCTGCTGCATCCACAGCTCTAGCACGGGGCTCTGTGGAGAGGCGGCACCACAGGGATGACCTATATGTGTTGATATTGCTTCCTGTTTTACATATGTCAAAAGACAAAATTATAAAAAATTTATCTTAAAGATCTTAATTGGCTTTTATTTGCAATTCTAGAATTGGGCAACACCCCACTTATAGAATACAATGAATGATCTGATGAGCCGAGCAGAGGAGTTTGGCTTTATAGACAGAATGGGGCTGAGAGAAACAGAAAACAAAAGGGGATTAGTCATTTCAATTTATTTTCCTTGTAAAGGATAGAGCTGAGGGAACTTCCTTATCATGCCCGCTGAAACTGGCCTGTCTGGGGCTCCAGCTATTGTCTCTCTCCTGATTCTTGGAAGGTCAGATAACCTTCGTTTGGGCCTGGTGGTGTGGAACTTCAGCATGAGTGACTCCATTTTGGTCTGGTCTGTTGGCCTTGTGTAGGAGCTCAGACAAAACCAATGGCCTCCATACATTTTACTTAACACATGTATTTAAATGATGTTTGTGTGCCCATTCTTGGTCCACATACCAAGCTGTTCAGGGAGGAAGAGCCAGAATCTTAGCACATTTTTCACAGAAGAGATGAAGAAGGGTAAAGGAGACTGGGCATGGTGGTGGCTCATGCCTGTAATCCCAGCACTTTGGGAGGCCGAGGTGGGAGGATTGCTTGAGCCCACAACATGGGGAGACTCCATCTCTATAGAAGAATAAGAAGAAGGAATAGGAGGAGGAGGAAGAAGAAGAGGAGGAGGAGGAGGGGGAGGAGAAGGAGAAGGAGGAGGAGGAGAAGGAAGGATTTGACCAAGGCCACTGGACTATGAGCTCCTCGAGAGCCTGGGCTGGGTTTCTCTGGGGTTTTTCCATCTCCTGCACATGCCCAGGCCTCAGCAGAGAATGGACACTTGGCACATGCTGAATGAATGAATGGAGTAGCTAGCGGCAGAAGACGAGCTCAGGATGAAGTCAAGTTTTCAAATCCAGTGTCATTGTAGACTCTGTTGTCTGCCTTTCCAGCAGTGTGTAGTGTGTTCCTTCACTGCCAGCTGGGGAGGCGAGGCTGCGAAGGAAAAGTGACCCATGTACACCAGAGGCACAGACCTCCGGCATTGAGTGGTCAGAGGAGGCGGTCCTGGGGCTGAGGACAGGTAGGGGTGGGAAGGGATGCAGCAGGCTGTGAGGGGAGGATGGTGTGAGGATGAGGGTGGGGAACGGGGGATGTTCCAGGTGGAGGAAGTGGTAGCTGCAAAGATACAGAGCAAAGGAAGTACCAGTAAGGCTTGGGCACTGTTGGCGCCTGGCAGGGATGAAATACGGTTGAGGGGGGTGGTAAGATATGCTCTAGAACGTTCCATGATGATAGAAATGTTCTCTTCTGCACTGTCCAAAACAGTAGCCACTAGCCACAAGTGGCTGTTGAGCACTTGAAGTGTGGCTAGTGCAACTGAGGGTCTGAATTTTTAATTCAGCTCATTTAAATTTAAATAGCCACATGTGGCTAGTGGCTACCATATCGGACAGTGCAACCTAGAGGGTCTTGCTCATCAGGTTAAGAGAGAGGTGAAGTGGAATAAGCAAACGCTTTGGAGCCAAACATTTGCAGATTCAAATCTTGTTTCTTTCTTTTTTTTTTTTTGAGATGGAGTCTGGCTCTGTTGCCCAGGCTGGAGGGCAATGGCATGATCTCGGCTCACTGCAACCTCCACCTCCCAGGTTCAAGCAATTCTTCCCCCTCAGCCTCCCGAGTAGCTGGGATTACAGGCGCACACCACCACGCCCGGCTAATTTTTGTATTTTTGTAGAGATGGGGTTTCACCATGTTGACCAGGCTGGTCTTGAAATCCTGACCTCATGTGATTCACCTTCCTCAGCCTCCCAAAGTGCTGGGATTACAGGCGTGAGCCACTGCACCAGGCTCTGCAGAAATCTTGAGTCAAGAAATCTTGACTCAGTCACCTACCAAATGTGGGGCCTTAAGCCTCAGTTCCCTCTTCTATCAAATGGAGTAGCATCACTTACCTTGCAGGGTTGTTTTACAGATCAAACTAATGAGCAGGTGCTGGAAAACTTTCAGCACAGTGTCTGTCTGAGCTCCTACTCTGTTCTGGGGGCTGGGGGCAGAGTACTGAGGGTATGAAAAGGAACCACAGGGCAGTGGTTCATGCACAAGTATATGTATCTGTCAATTTCTCTTTCATCCCTTGCCTGCCTTATTCAAATACTAAACAAAACAGAGTGATATGAGGCAGCTTACAGTATACCTATAATACAACAGAATCAAAAATAAAATAAGCTGGGACGTAGGATAAATGAAGGTAGGAAAATACACTGCAGCTGGGAAAATGTTAGTAAACAAAATGTACATCAGAAAATCCCATATATTTGCTAGGCATAGACACAAAATTTGTTCTGAACTTCCAGATAGTCACGCACAAAACTATGCAGTAAAGATTAATAATGTTCTCAAGTTAGGCAAAAGCCAGTTTCCAAGGGGAAGACCAGCTTTCCTGTTGCAATGTCATGAAGGGGATAAAAAGGGAGAAAACGACATTGGCTATAACAGGAAATTCAGGAGAGTTTTTAAAGAGCTATTTGTAGAAAAGGAAGGAAGATTTCTCAGGGACTATCTCTACATGAGGGAGGGCACCTCACGGGCTATCTCAGCATGAAGGGGGCTTCTCAAGGACTATCATAAAAAGGAATGAATAAGGACTTCCTTGAGGGCTATTTCTTTTAAAAAAAAAAACTCCATAGTTTTTAAGGTACAGGTGTTTTTTGGTTACATGGATAAGTTCTTCAGTGGTGATTTGTGAGATTTTTTTGCACCTATCACCACAGCAGTGTACACTGCACCCAATGTGTAGTCTTTTGTTGCTCACCCAGCTCCAGCCTTCCCCCGAAAGTCCCCAAAGTCCATTGTATCGTTCTTACGCCTTTGCAGCCTCATAGCTTAGCTCCCATTTATAAGTGAGAACATACGATATTTGGTTTTCCATTTCTGAGTTACTTCACTTAGAATAATGGCCTCCAGCTCCATCCAAGTAGCTGCCCAAGACATTATTTCATTGCCTTTTATGGCTGAGTAGTATTCCATGGTGTACGTATACCACATTTTCTTTATCCACTCATGAGTTGATGGACACTTAGGTTGGTTCCATATCTTTGCAATTGTGGATTGTGCTCTTATAAACATGCACGTGCAATTGTCTTTTTCTGGTTTTATTTTTTTTTTTTGAGATGGAGTCTCGCCCTGTCACCCAGGTTGGAGTGCAATGGCGTGATCTCGGCTCACTGCAATCTCCGCCTCCCGGATTCAAATGATTCTCCTGTCTCAGCCTCCCGAGTAGCTGGGATTATAGATGCCCGCCACCACACCCAACTAATTTTTGTATTTTTAGTAGAGACAGGGTTTCACCATGTTGGCCAGGCTGGTCTCGAACTCCTGACCTCAGGTGATCCACCCGCCTCGGCCTCCCAGAGTGTTGGGATTACAGGCGTGAGCCACCGCGCCCAGCCGCAAGTGTCTTTTTCATATAATGACTTATCTTATTGCTGGATCTAACGGTAGGTTTAATTGTAGTTCTTTAAGGAATATCCCTACTGTTTTCCATAGTGGTTGTGCTAGTCTACATTCCCACCAGCGGTGAAAAAGTGTTCCTCAAGGGCTTTTTCTGGAATGAAGGGGGGCATCCAATGGGCTTTTGCTCTATCTCATGAAGTGGGGCTTCTCAAGGGATAGCTCTAGAATAAAGCAGGATTTCTCAAGGACCATCCCACAAATGAATGAGGGTTTTCAAAGGCTATCTCTACAGTAGAGGAAAGTTTCTCATGGCCTACCTCTAAAATGAGGGAGGGTTTTTGAAAAGGCACTGATACAGTGAACAGGGGCTTCTGTGGAGCTACGTCTACATGAAGGACGGTGTTTCAAGGGCTGTCTCTCTAATGAAGAATAATTTCTCAAGGGTTATCTCTGTATAGGAAAGGGGGTTTCTCACAGGCTATCTCTACAGCTTAGGAAGTTTTCTCAGGTGCTAGCTCTAAAATGATGGAGGGATTTTCATTGTTCATATCTATAATGTGGGATATCTCTCTCTACTGTGAATGACATCATCTCCAGGCTATCTCTCCACAGTGAAGGCAGCATCTGCTGGGCTGTCTCCACAGTGAAGGGAGCGTCTGCTGGGCTGTCTCCACAGTGAAGGGAGCTTCTCTGAGCCATCTCCATGGTGAAGGAGGCATCTCTGTGGCTGTCTCCACGGTGAAGGGGGCATCTCCAGGGCTGTCTCCACAGTGATGGGGGCTTCTCCAGGGCTGTCCCCACAGTGAATGTCATCTTCTTGATGCTGTCTCCACAGTGAAGGAGGCATCTCGAGGGCTGTCTCTCCTATGCTGTCTCCAGATAGGCCGACAGCATAGCATAAAAGTGCAGCTTAGGATGAACTGCCTCTGAATAAGTGTAAACCAAGCATTTTAGTGCAAAGCAGTGAACGTCACTACAAAGTGCTGTACAGGATCCACTGGTAGCAGAGGGTGTCAGACTTCAGTTCTGATTGAGAGGAATAGCATCAATGAGTCTGAAGGAAACAGTTGAACCAGGTCTAAAACTGCAGGCTGGACTAGAAGCTAAATAGGCCGACACTTGCCCATACCTACACGGGAGCCATATGGCACCTGAACCTAGTTGTGTGTGTCAAGTGTGTGTACATGGTGGGGAGGGATAAACTTGGTCAAATTTGCTCATCTTGTGATGTTGCAGAGGATAGGCAGGGTCTTTGCCAAATCCCCAGCCCCATATTTCCCCTCTGATAGGGAGCAGAGCCCTTCTGGGAGGAGAGATTCTCCTAGAAGAGGTTCTTCTCCAGGGCACCCTGCCTTCGCTGACTTCCCCAGGAGGGGCTGCACCAGGCTCTCCAAGAGCAGGGTCTCTTCCCCGGGGCTGCCTTGCCGTCGCTGACTGCCTCCTAAGGAAGCTGGATTTCTCTAGCCAAATTGTGTCATGTTGTCGGATTTTTGGCAGTGGGTTGGCTGGGCCCTGTGCCCACTGGGAGAAGACAGGATGGAGGACTGTAACTTCTCATTCTTACCCTGGGCTTGCCTGGGCAGAAGAGGAGGGAGCCCTCATGGTGATCCAGGAGCACTGCATCTCTAGGCCAGAGAACATCTCGCAGGGACATATATCTCCGGCACTGTCAGTCACATGCTATTCATGGGAAGGGTATCTCTTGGACATTACCCTGAATGCTGAGCTGTCCTGTGGGTGTTAGACTCCCTTCCAGAAGAGGGGCATACCCTTCTTCATGGGGAGCCCTGGGCTGTGGAGACAGGCTGGAGCAGGGCAATGGAGGGAACTTGAAATCTAGACTCAGGACCCTTTTTCTCTGGTGTGCACTGACAACCCCAGCACCACTGAGAGTGGGGCTGCCGCCACTTTCAGCTCTTCCTGTTGCTCCCTGGCAGCTGTGTGGGGGCCCTTTCTGTTGGGCCCTCCCATGGCTGGCTCCCCACTGAGCTTGGCAGTGAGGCTGTGCAGATGGTCATCACTGTCTGGGCGGGGATGGAAGCTCAGATATCCCAGACAACCCCTGTTGACAGTAAAATAAGTAACAAATGCATACTATGGATAAGGATGAAGGGGTGGCCAGCCCCTCCACACCTGTGGGTGCTTCTCGTCAGGTGGAATGAGAGACTGAGAAAAGAAAGAGACACAGAGACAAAGTATAGAGAAAGAAAAGTGGGCCCAGGGGACCGGTGCTCAGCATATGGAGGACCCACACTGGCACTGGTCTCTGAGTTCCCTCAGTATTTATTGATCATTATCTCTATCACCATCTCAGAGAAGGGGATGTGGCAGGACAATAGGGTAATAATGGGGAGAAGGTAGGCAGGAAAACATGTGAACAAAGATCTCTGTGTCATAAATAAGTTTAAGAAAAGGTGCTGTGCTTTAATGTGCACATACACAAACATCTCAGTGAGTTAAAGTGCAGTATTGCTGCTAGCATGTCTCACCTCCAGCCCTAAGGCGGTTTTCTCCTATCTCAGTAAATAGAACATACAATCGTGTTTTACACCAAGACATTCTATTCCCAGGGACGAGCAGGAGACAGATGCCTTCCTCTTATCTCAACTGCAAAGAGGCGTTCCTCTTTTACTAATCCTCCTCAGCACAGACCCTTTACGGGTGTCGGGCTGGGGGATGATCAGGTCTTTCCCTTCCCACGAGGCCATATCTCAGGCTATCACATGGGGAGAAATCTTGGATAGTACCTGGCTTTCCTAGGCAGAGGTCTCTGCTGACTTCCACAGTGTATTGTGTCCCTGGGTACTTGAGATTAGAGAATGGTGGTGACTTTTAACAGGCATACGGCCTTCAAGCACTTTTTTTTTTTAACAAAGCACATCCTGCACAGCCGTAAATCCATTAAACCTTGAGTCAACACAGCACATGTTTCTGCGAGCACAGGGTTGGGGCTAGGGTTACAGATTAACAGCATCTCAAGGTAGAAGAATTTTTCTTAGTACAGAACAAAATGGAGTCTCTTATGTCTACTTCTTTCTACATAGACACAGTAACAGTCTGATCTCTCTTTCTTTTCCCCACAAAGGAAAAGCCAGACAGGACAGAAAGGAGCCATGTGTGAAGTAAAAGTCTCTTCCCTCCTTCCACTCTCCACCCCAATAAATTACAGTTAACAGTTCAATATAATTACCTCCCCAGAGTATTTCTCTCCATCACTCTCTTTCTCTATATATGTATATATATATCCTCTCTCTCTCTGTTTCTCTCTCTCCATATATATATATATTTTTTTTTTGAGACCGAGTCTCGCTGTGTCACCCAGGCTGGAGTGCAGTGGCGCGATCTTGCCTCACCGCAAGCTCCCCCTGCCGGGTTCACGCCATTCTCCTGCCTCAGCCTCCCAAATAGCTGGGACTACAGGCACCTGCCACCACACCCGGCTCATTTTTTTGTATTTTTAGTAGAGACAGGGTTTCACCGTGTTAGCCAGGATGGTCTGGATCTCCTGACCTCGTGATCTGCCTGCCTCTCCTGACCTCGTGATCTGCCTGCCTCGGCCTCCCAAAGTGCTGGGATTACAGGCTAGAGCCACCCCAACTGGCCTTTATTTTTATTTATAATATTTTAGTGATGGAGTCTTGCTCTGTCACCCAGGCTGAAGTGCAGTGATGCAATCATAGCTCACTACAGCCTCGAACTCCCAGACTTAAGTGATCCTCCCACCTCAGCCTCTCAAGTAGCTGGGACCACAGGTGCTCACCACCATGTCCAACTAATATCTCCTATATTTTTAAATAAAAATAACATTATACTATAAAACATATATTATTTTTATTACATACTCATATATCAACACATATATTAGATTGAATCATTTGAAACTGCCAATATGTGACCTTCTTCACTTAGAAAAAGGACACTTTCATATAGTTCAACCTAACTACACTTTTTCTTTTTTTGAGACGGAGTCTCACTCTGTCACCCAGGCTGGAGTGCAATGGCACGATCTTGGCTTGCTGCAACCTCTGCCTCCCAGGTTCAAGTGATTCTCCTGCCTCAGCCTTCCAAGTAGCTGGGATTACAGGGGTGTGCCACCACGTCTGGCTAATTTTTTTTTTTTTTTTTTTTTTTGAGGTGGAGTCTCGCTCTTTCGCCCAGGCTGGAGTGCAGTGGCGCTATCTCGGCTCACTGCAAGCTCCGCCTCCTGGGTTTACGCCATTCTCCTGCCTCAGCCTCCCGAGTAGCTGGGACTACAGGCGCCTGCTACCACGCCCAGCTAATTTTTTGTATTTTTAGTAGAGACGGGGTTTCACCGTATTAGCCAGGATGGTCTCGATCTCCTGACCTCGTGATCCACCCGCCTCGGCCTCCCAAAGTACTGGGATTACAGGCATGAGACACCGCGCCCGGCCACGTCTGGCTAATTTTTTTGTATTTTTAGTAGAGATGGGGTTTCACTGTGTTAGCCAGGATGGTCTCGATCTCCTGACCTCATGATCCGCCCGCCTCGACCTCCCAAAGTGCTGGGATTACAGGTGTGAGCCACCGCACCCGGCCCTAACCATGCTTTTTAAAGAGCTGTGTGGTATTCTACCCAAAGGTTGAACCTGAATCCAGCAGACCTCTGTTGTTGGACAATTGGTGGTTTGTTGAGTTTTTGTTTGTTTCCATTTTTTGCTATTACCATCAATGCCTGTACATCTACCTTGATGAACTTTTACAAGTATATTTGCAGGGTATGTTGCTAATAGTGGGATTGTGTAGACAAAAGGTGTTTAAATTTTTGATAGATGTTATCAAATTGTCTTCTACAAATGGTGGCACCAGTTTACCCTTTACCACAGTGCATGGGCAGGCAGGGTCATCTGAGGCCACACACAGCAGCGGGCCTCCTGGGTGGGCCCACTGTGCTGCCCAGGGGCCCCCTCCTTCCTCAGGCTCCCATCCTGGGTGAGCAGCCGCATGCTGGGATGAGATCAGACCCTTCAGTTGGGGGACATTGGGAAGTTACCTAGCCTCGAGCAGCCTCAACTCTCTGAGAGACAAGTCGGGGAAAATGAAATAACTTGGGTGAAGCACAGCCCGACAGCATAGAACGAGGCTCTGCTGGGAGCAGTTCCCCTTTCTTTTCCTCTCCTCCTGCCCAGGGCCTTGTCTGGCCTGGTGGATGGGTGCACAGGCTCTGCCACAGCCCTGTCACCACTAATGCCAAGGCTCAGTTTTTCCAAATATGGATGAGTATGGGAAATAATCATATGTGCCTCACGGGCTTATTGTGCAATGGAAGGGGCATTGTATGTGGAGCTGTTGGCCCGGTGAACGCCCAGTAAGTGCTGCTCTTGTAATGATACCAGGACAACTCAGCCTGTGAATCCTTGGACCCTGGCAGGCCCTCTCCCCAAGGCTGACCATTTATAGTGACCTTTCTGGGGTCCAACTGGGGCCCACTGACCAGCCTGGGCTAGCCCCAAATTCAGGGTGTTTGGCCCGGATCTAGACTCTGGTGACTTTGCCTCCTTTGGGTGGTGGCCCTTCCAACCTGTGTTCTTCTTGAGTGATGGCTTCCATGCCAGGTACTCTCAGCTCTGGGGAGCAGGGAATAGGCAGTCAGCTGGTGGCATAGGAGAACTTCCAAGTCTTACTCATCCCTCACCCAGCCCCAGATGCCCTTTCTGCCCAAAGAACACTCAGACCCCTTTGGAGGGCAAAGCTTTGTCAGTGCCCCTTCCGGGCTGGTATCCCATAGGCCAGAGTCTCAATGTTAGCTTTGCTTCTTGGACCCCTGGTTCCTGATCTGTGAAGTGGGATGTCTCCATGGACAGCACAGGGTTGCTGTGGGGCTCAAATGAGAGAACCTGTGGAAAGTGCCCTGCACACAACCTGGCACTCAGCTGCTTGCCCACTCCAGCCCTGTCCTGGTCCAGCAATGCTTTGATCTTCCCTGCACCTCCACCTCCCCACTTGCCTTTCAGCATATTCTTACCCACTCTACCCATACTCCAGTTCAGTGGCACCACAGAAATGTTAGTGGTGTGGCTTCAGACCCACAGCAGCTTTGAGGAGGGCTTTGAGAACTAGCAGTTTACCCTTCTCTTCTCAGGTGAAGGTAACCCTCATTCTGGTCCCTGAGATTAGGTAGGACACTGATCCCCGTAAGCTCAGCCACACTGACCTGCCTCAGGGCTTAACAAAAGGAACTGGACTAAGAAGTCATCCCATTCCCAAGGGGCAGAAAATTTTAAGCACACCAGTGCTTCCTGTAAGGGGCAATGCCTCACCTGCTTTCCTGGGTAGGTCCATCCATCCATCCATCCATCCATCCATCCATCCATCCATCAATCCATTCATCTGTTTGTTCATTCACCTATTCACCCACCAATCTATCCACCCATTCACTTACCCAATCCAACCATTAATCCATCCACCATCCATCTATCCACCCACCCACCCATTCACCCACTCATTCAACCACTAATCGACTCATCCATCCATCCATCCACCAATCTATCCATCCATCAACCCATCAGTGGATCCATCCATCCACTTACACATCCATCCAACTACCCATACATCCACCTATTCATTCACTAATCCATCCATCTATTCATCCATCTACCTATCCATCCACCAACCCATCCATCCATTTACCTATCCACCCGTCCATCAGCCCACCCTTCCACCTACCGACTCATCCATCCACTCATCCCATTCATCTGTCCACTCATCCATCCATTTACTCAGCAAGCATGTCCTGAGCCCTGACTAGTATGAGTAAGTCACTATCCAGCTCTCAAATTTCTCACAGGTGTGGGAGAGACACACACTGTAACACATAAAAACAGGGATAAATGCTGAGGTTGAAAATCGCAGCCTCTGCATGTGAGGATGTCTGTGCCTGTGTGTGTGTACATGCATGCATGTATGGTAACACACGTGCTTGTGTGTGTGCTCCAAATTCATATCAGATCAAGTACAGACACACTGAGGTAAAAGAGAACATGGGGTGTTTCAGGAACTGCATGATATTCAGTGTACCCTGGGGGGAAGAGGTAAGATACAAGGTGGGCTGAAAAGGTAGGCAGGCTATGATGCTGAAGATCCTTGAGTGTCATAAAGATATGGCACATTCTTAGCTGTGGGAGGCATGACACGGTCAACTTTTGCATCTTCTAAAGATCACTTGATTGGTGTGATGGAGGATGATTGTTCTGAGAGTCCAGCAGCAGCAAGGCCACCTGGGATGCTTCCAACCTCCCAAGTGAAGGATGACAGGAGACTAAGGGGTGGCAGGAAGGAGAGTGCCTCAAGTTTTTTCTTCCTTTTAATGTCTTTATCTCATTTTGGCATTAGAGTAACGCTGGCCTCATAGAACGAGTTAGAAAGTATTTCCTCTGCTTCTGTTTCCTGGAAGATACTATGGAGAATTAGGCTCATTTCTTCCTTAAATGCTTGGTAGAATTACCAGTGAAACCATCCACACCTGGTGCTTCCTTTTTTGAAAGGTTGCCAATCATTGATTCAGTTTCTCTAATAGATACAGGATTTTCAGATTATCTATTTCTCTTTGCTTGAGTTTTGGTAGTTTTCATTTTTCAAGGAATTTGTCCATTTCATCTAAGTTACCGAATGTGTTGTTCATAATATGTCTTTACTATCCTTTTAATGTCCGTGGGATCAGAGTGATGTCTCCTCTTTCATTTCCAATAGTAGTTAATTTGTGTCTTCTCTTTGCTTTTCTTGGTTAGCCTGACAGAAGTTTATCAATTTTACTGATGTTTGCAAAGAACCAGTTTTTTGTTTCATTGAATTTTCTCTTTTTATTTCCTGTTTCCAATGTCATTGATTTCTGTTCTAATTTTTATTTTTTATTTTCTTCTTACTTTAGGATGATATTCTTCTTCTTTCTCTAGTTTCCTAAGGTGGAAGCTTAGATTATTGATTTTAGATTTTTCTTTTTTTTTTTTTTTGAGATGGAGTCTCACTCTGTCACCCAGGCTGGAGTGCAGTGGCGGATCTCAACTCACTGCCACCTCTGCCTCCCAGGTTCAAGCGATTCTCCTGCCTCAGCCTCCTGAGTAGCTGGGATTACAGGTGCGTGCCACCAAGCCTAGCAGCTTTTTCTATTTTTAGTAGAGACGGGGTTTCACCATGTTGGTCAGGCTGGTCTCGAACTCCTGACCTCGTGATCCACCCGCCTCGGCCTCCCAAAGTGCTGGGGTTACAGGCATGAGCTACCACGCCCGGCCTCTAGATTTTTTAACTATGCATTCAGCACTATAAATTTCCCTTCAGTACTTGTTTCATTGGATTCCACAAATTTCGATGTGATATTTTCATTTTCATTTAATTTTACATTTTTCTTCGGACTTACCTGACCCATGTGTTATTTAGAAATATGTTTCTTAATCTCTAAACATTTTGGGCTTTTCCAGTTATCTTTCTGTTATTGATTTCTAGTTTAATTCCATTGTGGTCAGAGAACATACTTTGCGTGTATTTTGACACTTTCTTGGCAGGTGCGTACATGTTAATAATTGTCATGTCTTCTTTGATAAATTTATCCCTTTATCATTATGTAATATTTCTCTTTATTCCTCATAATATTCCTTGCCCTGAAGTCTGCTCTAAAACTAGTATAGCTACTCCAACTCTCTCTTCTTTCTCTCTTTCTTTCTTCTTTCTTCCTTCCTTCCTTCCTTTCTTTCTTTCTTTCTTTCTCTCTTTCTTTCTTATACAAAACACTGATGTATCTAGCTCTATTTTGATTAGTATAAGCAACCTAATACTAACCCAACCCTTTCTTTTAACCATTTCTCCAACACTTTACTTTTAATTTATCTATGTCTTTAAAAAATAATTTCAACTGGTATTTTTATTAGGGAGTACATGTACAGGTTCGTTACGTGGATACATTGCGTGATGCTGAGGTAGAAATGATCCCGTCACCCAGGTAGTGAGCGTGGCACTCAATAGGTAGTCTTCACATTTAACATAGGTTTCTTGTGGACAACATATAATTGGGAGCCTCAAGTTTTTAAAAGACAAAATCTCCAGGTCCTAGGGATCATTTGGCTGTGAAGAATAGAAGACTCGGTGTTTCTTTCAGCAATTGTTAGTTTCATTTGCTGAGATAAAGAATGCAGGGGCAGAAGCAGGTTTGGGGATCGAGGAGATGAGGTGCTATGGTCACTTTGAATTTGATGTGCCCATGGCATATCTGAGGGACATGTCCAGGGAGAGGGGCCTTGGTGGGTCTGGAGATCAGGGTAGGGATGAGAGTTGGAGACGCTAATTTGGGACTCAGCAGGGCTATGATCCTGGTGGCCCTGAGAGAGTGGGCACACATAAGGGGAGTGTGCAGGCTGAAAGAGAATAGAACAAGGGCTGGCAGATCAGTGGGAATTAAGCCATCCAAATGGCTTACCCCAAATAATCAAACTGCAAAAAGGCAGAGACAGGATTTCTGTGTTTTGTCTCCTTCCCTCCACATCTGCCAATTTTATTCTCTCAGATCAGCTATTTTTAAGAAGCTAGGACCATAGCTCCTGGTACTTTTGGCATTGTATTTCATAATTTTGGCATTAGAGAAGAAAACCAACCCTCAGCTCCCACTCAGAACATCCCAGAAAAAGCTGTGATTGGCTCTGGCTTGGACCACATGGCCGCTTGGGGTCCCAGGATTCACGAGCTTCTCATCAGCAACACAATTTGAACTAGGGGAGATGTTCCCCATAAGGATATAGGAGGAAGGCATACTGGGCAGACAAAAGTCACCAGCCACTCCCTTGGACACCAAGAGGTCAAGGTGAGTGAAAGGGCCAGGCGCAGTGGCTCATGCCTGTAATCCCAGCACTTTCAGAGGACAAGGTGGGCAGCTCACTTGAGGCCAGGAGTTCAAGACCAGCCTGGCCAACATGGAGAAACCCCATCTCTACTAAAAATACAAAAATTAGCCAGGCATGGTGGAGCATGCCCATAGTCACAGCTATTCAGGAGGCTGAGGATCCCTTGAACCCGGGAGACAGAGTTGCAGTGGGCTGGGATCACGCAACTGCACTCTAGCCTGGGCAACAGATTAAGACTCTGTCTCCAAAAAAAAAAAAAGCTCTAGGAGGAGATTTAGTGGTGCCCCAGAAGCAGAGGGAAAGTCAGGAAAGTGGAGCCTTGTAGGAGCAAAGTGAGATGGTCAGGAAGGCATGAAAGGTGAGAAGGTGGAGGCAGTGTTATGGGGTGGCTGTTTCAGGCAACTTGGCTGTGGGGCAAAACCCAAGGAGGAGGAGGGTATGAAAGCTGGATGGGGACGGTGAGGCTAAGAAAATGCATTTTTAAGATAGACAAGACCTGAGCTTATCACTATTCAGAGGGTAAAGGACCAGGAGAGTGGACGAGGATGAAGATGTGAGGGAGGATAATATACTAGTCACTCATTGCTGCATAACAAGTTATCCCAAACTTTAACAGCTTGGAATAACAAGTATTTATTATCTCACACAAGTTTTGGGGGTCAGAAATCTAAGAGCAGCTTATCTGGGTGGTTCCGGCCCAGGGACCCTCATAGGGTTTGTAGTAGTTGCTTGGGTTGCCATGACCAAATACTGCAGACTGAGGATGGGGTGGGGGTGGGGCTTAAACAATGGAAAAGTATATTCTCCACTGTTCTGGAGGCTAGAAATACAATATCAGGGTGTCAGCAGGGTTGGGTTCTACCAGGCATCTCTCCTTGGCTTGCAGATGTGGGCACAGCCATCTGTCCTCTTGTCATCTCTTCACACAGTCTTCCCTCTGCATGTCTGCATCCTAATCTGTTGTTGACTATAAAATTGTCGTCACAATGTTGGCTGAGCTATGGTGATCTGAAGCCACAACTGGGGCTGGAGGGTCCCTTCCAAGATCACACAGCTGTTAACTGGGGCCCTCAGTTCTCACAACACGGGCCTCTCCTTAGGGCTGTTTGAGCATCCTCACAACCTCCAGGCTCCCCAGGCTGAGAGATCTTAGAGAGAGAGCAAGCAGGAAGCCACAAAGGCTCTACTCCATTCCTTCTACCTTATTCTATTTGGCAAAAGCAAATCACTAAGTCCACACTCGAGATGGGGTGAATTAGTCTCTCTTTTGAAGGGAGATGTGTCAAAGAATTTGGGGACATACATTAAACCACTACAGTAATTGATAAAGCAAGGCCCTAAAGCAGAGGCGGGAGAAGGCAGGGCTGGAAGGATTCGTGTGGGCTGTCAGGGTTCCCTGCCCCTGGGCAGTCATCTAAGTCTGCAGAGATACAGAGGAGACAGGGAGGGGCAGCGTTGGAAGCTGAGTGTTGTTTCTCTCTTGTTTCAGTGAAAGAGGTCAAGGTGTTCTGCGGAGTGGGTGGTGGAAAGGAGCTTTGAAATAGGGATTTTGGCAGAAACAGCTGACTGGGGCCTAAAGAAGGATCTCTGGACACTGCTGAAGGCCTAGAGGAGGTGCAGGCCATGAGACCACCCTGCCCCTGTCTGTAAGGGGGTGGAATACATCCCCAGCCCTGCTCAGCTCCAAGGCTGGGACTTTGCAAGGAGAGATCAGGAATCAGTTCAAGGGAAATCACAGTATTCGCAGGAGGGTGACGGACCACAGGGGCCCACGTCATGTATGCTTCCTTCTGGTTCAAGTTGGCATTTGGAAAAAAAAGTGTGCTTCTTGTATTTTCTTTTCTTTGGGCCTTTTAATTTTTACTTTTAATTGACGCATAATAATTGTACATATGTGTGGGGTACAGTGAGGGTGTTTCAATATGTATTTTATTTTTGTATTCCATTTACAAGTTTTGATCTGACCACTTTCGTTCCAAAAAGATTTGAGGCCGTTTCCAGGCTAGTTGGGGATGGAAATGAAGCCAGGAGGTGGGCTGGTAGACAGAGGAGACATGGAAGGACCCAGGTGTCATGATGGAATGAGAACAAGTTGCTCATGGGACCCAGCTGGGTCCAGGGCGTGTTGTGGTGAGGAGGGGCGGTGGAGGCCACAGCTTCTGAAGCGGAGCAGTTCTGGGCTGTGGGAAGACCAGGCAAGCCATGGAGTGGGGGCCCCTAGGGCTGGGGGTCAGAGGAGGAGACGTCTATGGTATGTGACAGGCCATGTGGGGAATGGCAGGACCAACATGGGGTCTCCTGTGAGGCAGATCCTGGTGTCTGGAGAGGAATGATGGGGCATGCCTGGAGGTCAGATGCTGCAGCGGGGAGGAGGGCAGGACCACGGGTGGGCCTCAAACTTCCACATGGGGTGGAGAATCCAGAATCTGGAAGCAACAATGGGCAGCCAGAGGCAGGGCAATTCCCTCTGTGTCTTTTCCCACCTGCCACCCCCTGAAAGAGCTGTCTGGGAGCCAGGATTCAGTTATACAACAGGTATTCTCTGCATTTTTATACAGGTTCTTAAACATTCCCAAAGCAGAGGATGTGGGGCAAAGAGGAGGGATTTTGGAGCTGGGGAGAAAATTCTCCTTCTTTGCTTACTAACTGCATAGCCTCTGCAAAGTCTCAGCATTTCTCAGCATTTCTCAGTTTTCTCACCTGTAAAACAGAGACAGCAGCATTTCTTCTCAGAGCTTCCTCCGCCACTGTGCACCCTCACTCATCCATCAAAGCCGTTGTCAAAGTCACATCCTCTCCAAGGGCTTCATCTGCTCTTTCACTGGACAAGTATTGACTGATGGCTATGGCCTTATAAGATAGTTTGAATTCAGGTAATGTGATGCCTCCATATTTGTTCTTTTTGTTTAGTCTTGCTTTGGCTATGGGGGATCTTTTTTGGTTCCATATGAATTTTAGGATTGTTTTTTCTAGTTCTGAGAAGAATGATGGTGGTATTTTGATGGGAATTGGCTTGAATTTTTAAATTGCTTTTGGCAGTATGGTCATTTCACAACGTTGATTCTACCCATCCATGAGCATGGGATGTGTTTCCATTTGTTTGTGTTGTCTATGATTTCTCTCAGCAATGTTTTATAGTTTTCCTTGTAGAGGGCTTTCACTTCCTTGGTTAGGTATATGCTTAAGTATTTTATTTTTTTGCAGCTATTGTAAAAGAAGTTGAGTTCTTGATTTGATTCTCAGCTTGGTCACTTTTGGTGTATAGCAGAGCTACTGATTTGTGTACATTAATTTTGTATCCCGAAAATTTGTTGAATTCATTTATCAATTCTAGGAGCTTTTTGGAGGAATCTTTAGGGTTTGCTAGATATACAATCATATCATCAGCAAACAGCAACAGTTTGACTTCCTCTTTACCGATTTGGATGCCTGTTATTTCTTTCTCTTGTCTGATTGCTCTGGCTAGGGCTTCCAGTACTATGTTGAAGAGGAGTGGTGAGAGTGGGAATCCTTGTCTTGTTTCTGTTCTCAGAGGGAATGCTTTCAACTTTTCCCCAATCAGTATTATGTTGGCTGTGGATTTGTCATAGATGGCTTTTATTGCACTGAGGTATGTCCCTTGTATGCCGATTTTGCTAAGGGTTTTAACCATAAAAGGATGCTAGATTTTGTCAAATGCTTTTTCTGCATCTATTGAGATGATCATGTAACTTTTGTTTTTAATTCTATTTATGTGGTGTATCACATTTATTTATTATTTTTATTTATTTATTTATTTTGAGACGGAGTTTCATTCTTGTTGCCCAGGCTGGAGTGCAATGGTGCAATCTCAGCTCACCACAACCTCTGCCTCCCGGGTTTAAGCGATTCTCCTGCCTCAGCCTCCTGAGTAACTGGGATTACAGGCGTGTGCCACCATGTCCAGCTAATTTTGTATTTTTAGTAGAGACAGGGTTTCTCCATGTTGGTCAGGCTGGTCTCAAGCTCCCGGCCTCAAGTGATCCACCTGCCTCAGCCTCCCAAAGTACTGGGATTACAGGCATGAGCCACTGTGCCCGGACGTATCACATTTATTGACTTGCGTATGTTAAACCATCCCTGCATCCCTGGTATAAAACCCACTTGATCATGGTGGATTATCTTTTTGAGATGCTGTTGGATTCAGTTAGCTAGTATTTTGTTAAGGATTTTTGCATCTATGTTCATCAAGGATATTAGTCTGTAGTTTTCTTTTTTGGTTATGTCCTTTTCTGGTTTTGATATTAGGGTGATAATGGCTTCATAGAATAAGTTAGGGAGGATTCCCTCTTTCTCTATGTTGTGGAATAGTATCAATAGGATTGGTTTTCTTTTTTGAATGTCTGGTAGAATTCAGCTGTGAATCTGTCTGGTTCTGGACTTTTTTGTTGTTGCTGGTAATTTTTTTTATTACCATGTCAGTCTTGCTGCTTATTATTGGTCTGTTCAGGGTATCTAATTCTTCCTGATTTAAATTAGGAGGGTGTATTTTTCCAGGAATTCATCCATTTCCTCTAGGCTTTCTAGTTTATGCGTGTAAAGGTGTTCAAGTAGCCTTAAATGATCTTTTGTCTTTCTGTGGTGTCAGTTGTAATACCTCCTGTTTCATTTCTAATTGATTTTTTTTTTTTTTTTGAGATGGAGTTTCACTCTCGTTGCCCAGGCTGGAGCACAGTGGCATGATCTCAGCTCACTGCAACCTCTGCCTCCCAGGTTCAAGCAATTCTCTGCCTCAGCCTCCCAAGTAGCTGGGATTACAGGTGCCCACCACCATGCCTGGCTAATTTTTTGTATTTTTGTTAGAGATGGAGTTTCACCATCTTGGCCAGGCTGGTCTTGAACCCCTGACCTCGTGACCCACTCGCCTTGGCCTCCCAAAGTGCTGGGATTACAGGCTTGAGCCACCGTGCCTGGCCGTCTAACTGATCTTATTTTGATCTTCTCTCTTCTTGGTTAATCTTGTTAATGGTCTATCAATTTTATTTATCTTTTCAAAAAACCACCTTTTTGTTTCATTTATCTTTTGTGGGTTTTTGTTGTTGTTGTTGTTTCAATTTCATTTAGTTCTGCTCTGATCTTGGTTATTTCCTTTCTTCTGCTGGGTTTGGATTTGGTTTGTTCTTGTTTCTCTAGTTCCTTGAGATGTGACCTTCCTTAGATTGCCTATTTGTGCTCTTTCAGATTTTTTGATGTAGGCATTTAAGGCTATAAACTTTCCTCTTAGCATTGCCTTTGCTGTATCCCAGAGGTTTTGACAGATTGTGTAACTATTATCGTTCAGTTTGAAGCATTTTTAAATTTCCATCTTGATTTCATTGTTGACCCAATGATCATTCAGGAGCTAGTTATTTCATTTCCATGTATTTGCATGGTTTTGGAGGTTCCTTTTGGAGCTGACTTCCAGGTTTATTCCACTGTGGTCTGAGAGAGTACTTGATATAATTTCAATTTTCTTAAATTTATTGAGACTTGTTTTGTGGCTTATCGTATGGTCTATCTTGGAGAAAGTTCCATGCACTGAGGAATAGAATGTACATTCTGTGGTTGTGGGGTAGAATGTTCTGTAAATATCTGTTAAGTCCATTCATTCCAGGGTATAGTTTAAATCCATTGTTTTTTTGTTGACTTCTGTCTTGAGGACCTGCCTAGTGCTGCCAGTGGAGTATTGAAGTCCCCGGCTATTAATTGTGTTGCTGCTATCTCATTTCTTAGGTCTAGTAGTAATTGTTTTATAAATTTGGAAGCTCCAGTGTTAGGTGCATGTATATTTAGGATTGTGATATTTTCCTGTTGGACAAGGCCTTTTATGATTATATAATATCCCTCTTTGTCTTCTTTAACTGCTGTTGCTTTAAAGCTTGTTTTGTCTGATATAAGAATAACTACTCCTACTCACGTTTGGTGTCCATTTGCACAGAATGTCTTTTTCCACCCCTTTAAGTTTATGTGAGTCCTTTTGTGTTAGGTGATTTTCTTGAAGGCAGCAGATGCTTGGTTGGTGAATTCTTATCCATTCTGCCATTCTGTATCTTTTAAGTGGCACATTTAGGCCATTTACATTCAACATTAGTATTGAAATGTGAGGTATTATTCCATTCATTATGCTATTTGTTGCCTGTATACCTTTTAATTGCTTTTTTGTTTTATAGGTCCTATGAGATTCATGCTTTAAAGAGGATCTGTTTTGATGTGTTTCCAGGATTTGTTTCAAGATTTAGAACTCCTTTTAGCAGTTCTTGCAGTGCTGGCTTGGTAGTGGCAAATTCTCTCAGCATTTGTTTGTCTGAAAAAGACTGGATCTTTCTTTCATCTATGAAGCTTAGTTTTGCTGGATACAAAATTCTTGGCTGATAATTGTTTTGTTTAAGGAGGCTGAAGATAGGGTCCCAATCCCTTCTAGCTTATAGAGTTTCTGCTGAGAAATCTGCTATTAATCTGATAGGTTTTCCTTTATAGGTTACCTGGTGCTTTTGCCTCACAGCTCTTAAGATTCTTTCCTTTGTCTTGACTTTAGATAACCTGATGACAATGTGCCTAGGTGATGATCTTTATGTGATGAATTTCCCAGGTGTTCTTTCTTGTATTTGGATGTCTAGATCTCTAGCAAGGCCAGGAAGGTTTTCCTTGATTCTTCCCCAAAAAATGTGTTCCAAACTTTTAGATTTCTCATCTTCCTCAGGAATGCAAATTATTCTTAGGTTTGGTTGTTTTACATAATCCCAAACTTCTTGGAGGCTTTGTTCATTTTTTAAAAATCTTTTTTCTTTGTCTTTGTTGAATTGAGTTAATTCTGAATTGGGTTGATTCAGAGCTTGTCTTCAAACTCTGAAGTTCTTTCTTCTGCTTGTTTGATTCTATTGCTGAGACTTTCCAGAACATTTTGCATTTCTCTAAGTGTGTCCCTTGTTTCCTGAAGTTGCAATTGTTTTTTATTTATGCTGTCTGTTTCAATGAAGATTTCTCCCCTCATTTCTTGTGTCATTTTTTTGATTTTCTTAAATTGGACTTTACGTTTCTCTGGTGCCTCCTTGATTAGCTTAATAATTGACCTTCTGAATTCTTTTTCAAGTAAGTCAGGGATTTCTTCTTGGTTTGGACCCATTGCTGGTGAGCTAGTGTGATTTTTTGGGGGTTTTAAAAAAACCCTCATTTTGTCATATTACCAGAATTGTTTTTCTGGTTCCTTCTCATTTGGGTAGGCTATGTCAGAGGGAAGTTCTGGGACTCAAGGCTGCCATTCAGATTCTTTTGTCCCACGGGGTGTTCCCCTGATGTAGTACTCTCCCCCTTTTGTGGTATTGGTATAAAAATAGGCATATAGACCAATGGAACAAAATAGAGAACCCAGTAATAAACCCAATTGCTTACAGCCAACTGACCTTCAACAAAGCAAACAAAAACGTAAAGTGGGGAAATAACACCCTATTCAACAAATGGTACTGGGATAATTGAAAAGCCACATGTAGGAGAGTGAAACTGAATCCTCATCTCTCACCTTATATAAAAATCAACTCAAGATGGATCAAGGACTTAAATCTAAGACCTAAAACTATAAAAATTCTAGACTATAACATCAGAAAATCCCTTCTAGACATTGGCTTAGGCAAAGATTTCATGACCAAGAGCCCAAAAAACAAATGCAACAAATACAAAGATAAATAGGTGGGACTTAATTAAACTAAAGAGCTTTTGCACAGCAAAATGAACAGTCAGCAGAGCAAACAGATAACCCATAAAGTGGGAGAAAATCTTCACAAACTATGCATCTGACAAAGGACTAATATCCAGAATCTACAAGGAACTCAAACAAATTAGTAAGAAAAAAAACCAAACAATCCCATCAAAAAGTGGGCTAAGGTTATGAATAGACAATTCTCAAAAGAAGATATATAAATGGCCAACAAACATGAAAAAATGCTCAACATCACTAATGATCAGGGAAATAGAAATCAAAACTGCAATGTGATACCACCTTACTCCTACAAGAATGGCCATAATTAAAAAATCAAAAAATAAAAGATGTTAGCATGGATGCAGTGAAAAGGGAATGCTTCTACACTGCTGGTGGGAATGTAAACTAGTACAGCCACTATGCAAAACAGTGTGGAGATTCCTTAAAGAACTAAAAGTAGAACTTCCATTTGATGCAGCAATCCCACTACTGGGTGTCTACCCAGGGGAAAAGAACTCACTATTCGAAAAGATACTTGCACGCACATGTTTATAGCAGCATGATTCACAATTGCAAAAATGTGGAACCAGCCCAAATGCCTATCAGTGAACAAGTGGATAAAGAAATTGTGATATCTATGTATCATATATATAGAGATATAGACGTATATATATGATATACATATGTATGATGGAATACTACTCAGCCATAAAAAGGAATGAATTAATGGCTTTCACAGCAACCTGGATGGGATTGTAGACTCTTATTCTAAGTGAAGTAACTCGGGAATGGAAAACCAAACATCGTATGTTCTCACTCATAAGTGGGAGCTAAGCTATGAGGATGCAAAGGTGTAAGAATGATACAATGGACTTTGGGGACTCGGGGAAAGGGAGGGAAGGGGGTGAGGAATGAAAGACTACAAATTGGGTTCCATGTATATTTCGCTGGTGATGCGTGCACCAAAATCCCACAAGTCACGGCTAAAGAGCTTAGCAATAGACCTGGTACCCACCTTGCACTGCTCAGCGCAGGGAGGGGAAGCTGCCAACACTCAGTCAGGGTAACTCGGGGTTTCCTCCTTTAAATGGGACAAGTGGGCTCCTCCCCGCTCCTCCTCCTGCTGGGCCTGGCTGCCTACTTGGGCCTGGCTGCCTGCTCCCTCTAGAACCACCAGGTGCTAAGGACAGGTTTGAAAGGAGGCAGATCCGGGTTTGATTCCCAGCTGTGCTACTAATTAACTGAGTGGCATTTCCTGCATTGAGTCCCATGTCTAAAGTGAGGGAACACGCACATTCTGCAGTGCTGTGAGGCTTAAAGTTGTGTCTATAGCTCCAGTGGCTGCTTACCTGAGCACTTCCCAAGATGTGTGACGGTGACTGGTTTTCATGGATATCTGACCAGTTAAAATTGGGGCTTCTGGATGACAGGGAACCACCTACTCCCTGTATCAAGCCCAGGACTGGGTATGAAATACGTCTTCAATAAAGGTGACATAGGATGAAGAAGCTGAGAACAGCTCTTGCACTTGGGCTAGGACTGTGACTCATTCATCCATTTATTCAGCATTGTTTTTGAGCCAGGTCCCATGCCGGGCACTTAGGGAAGTGTTGGTGAACAAGCCCAGCTCCTGTGCTCCAGGGGCTCCTATTGGGGCTGTGTATGGAGCTGACGTTCTGCTTTCTCTCTCCATACAGGCTTGTGGAACTGCTGACTCAGGATGTCGGGGTTCAGGCTGGTAAGAATTGTATGATTTGATCTAGGGGTTATTGGTGTAAGTTACTCAAGGCCAAGTTGAATCGCTCCCAAGGAAAGAGAGGAAAGGCAATGAGACCCTATAGGAAAATACCAGAGACAGGGGAGTTTAGGAAACACGACAGATTCTAGCATCTAAAGAAAACAAGTTTGGCCAGCCACTGGCCTCGGCAATACATGTATAGTTATGTATAGTTATCCCTCACTTTCATGTAGGGCTTAACATGTCCCTTTGTCTTGATAAAGGGATTTCTTTTCTTTTCTTTTCTTTTCTTTTTTTTTTTTTTCAGACAGGGTCTCACTCTGTCACCCAGGCTGGAGTCCAGTGGCACGATCTCAGCTCACGGTGACCTCTGCCTCCTGGGTTCAAGCGATCTTCCAGCCTCAGTCTCCCAAGTAGCTGGGACCACAGGTGCATGCCACCACACCCAGCTAATTTTTGTATTTTTGTAGGGAGAGGGTTTTGCCATGTTGCCCAGGCTGGTCTCGAATTCCTGAGCTCAAAGCAATCCACTAGCCTTGGCCTCCCAAAGTGCTGGGTGTGAGCCACCTTGCCCAGCCAACAAAGGGATTTCCCAGTTGCCTCATTGCGGCAGTTGCCGGGAGCTCCCCCAGAGAAAACAGGGAACTGGGGAACTGTGGGCATGGGTAGGACTGAAACCCAGGTCTGAATCACCCCTTTGGACTCTGCATCGTGTTCCCTTCACTCAACAAATATTCCTGTGTTCCGGTGGCCAAGAGATGGCTCCTCCACAGGAAGAAAGCAGAGGAGTTTTGCATTTACTGTCAAATCAACAGACCCTGGGGAACTGCCCTGCCCTGGGAGGCAGGGACAGGCCTTGAGAAGCCTGGCGGCGGGGAGTGCAGGGTGGAGAGCTCAGAGGCTGGTGAGCCCAGAGAGCAGAGGCCCCAAACCAGCCTGTGCATCCTTCCCTGCCCTCCACATTTCCACCCTTGCCCCATGCCCTACAGAGTCCAGGAGAGCAGGACAGTGCTGCGAAGTGCTCTTTGATAAGAAAATGCCCCGAATGTTCTCCTCCTGAGTGCAAAGCCACACAGGACATCGTTCCTGGCTGCTGGAGCACACTGCTGCGAGGAGGACCTTCACTACGCAGCGGCCCCTGGTGCTGCCACTAAGCCTGGCAGCATCTGACTCACAGAATGGACAGCCAAGATTGGCTTCTTGTTTTCAGTTACAGAATAGAGCTTAGGCTGTTTTAGTTTGGAGAAAGGACACACATGGTCTAAAAGGTCAGGTTGTGAGCGCTTCTGGTAACTAAGTTGCAAACATGAGAGCGTGGCTCCACTTTGGAGCATGATGTGGTTTTAAGACAAAGCCAAACATTTCACAAAGGAATATGCCACGGGATGCATCAACGCCAAATGTCCCTCTGGGAATGCGACTAACTGCAAGCAGAGTTTAGAAAAACACCTCTTGGGGCCCTATTACTCACAATTACAATTGCAGGCCTGCTCTGTCTTCAGAGATTGTAAGTCTTTGAGAGGAGAGTAATTTTTTTTTTTTTAGACAGAGTCTTACTCTGTCACCCAGGCTGGAGTGCGCAATCTCGGCTCACTGCAACCTCGGCCTCCCAGGTTCAAGCAATCCTCCCACCTCAGCCTCCTGAGTAGCTGGGACTACAGGCACCCACCACCATGCCCAGTTAATTTTTGTATTTTTAGTAGAGACAGGGTTTCACCACGTTGGCCAAGCTTGTCTCGAACTCCTGACCTCAGGTGATCTGCCCACCCGCCTCGGCCTCCCAAAGTGCAGAGTGGTCATGTTTTTAATGAATAAGTCTTTCAGAGGGCCCATGTGGTTGTTGAGCCCTCTGTGGTGCCCTCTGTGCTGGACACTATGCGGGGTCCCTGCCATAGGGCATTCCATCTTCACAGCAGCCCTGTGAAGCGGGCCCTTTCAACAGATAAGAAAGTTAAGGTTCAGAGCAGTTAAGTGACTTTCCCAAGGCCGTATAACTCCTGTAATATAGAGTAGAGATTAGAACCCAGCCGGACTGTCTGACTTCACTGGGGCTTGGACTGCCATAACAAGGTATCACAGACTGGATGGCCTAAACCACAGACATTTGCGTTCTCACAGTCCTGGAAGCTGGAAGTCCAAGGTCAAGGTGCCTTTAGGGTTGGTGTCTGGTGAAGCCTCTCTTCCTGGCTGGTAGATGGCTGTCTTCTCATCTTATCTTCACATGGCCTTTCTTCTGTGCTTGGGGGTGAGGAGAGGGAGAAAGAAAAAGAGAGAGAGAGAGAGAAAGGGAGAGAGAGAGAGCGTGCATGCATCTCACTCTGGTGCCTCTTCCTTTTTTATAGACACCAGTCCTGTTGGATTAGGACCACACCCTTAGGACCTTATTTAACCTTAATTACCTCCTTGAAGGCCTTATCTGCAAATATGGTCATGTCAGGAATTGGGGCTTCACTATATGAATTCTGGAGGGACACAATTCAGTCCATATAATGAGGTTTACTTGTATTTTTGCCCATCTTCTATAGCGATCTTCTTCCTAATTCTAATTTTATTTTATTTTTTATTTATGTATTCTTTTTTGACAGAGTCTCTGTCAGCAAAGCTGGAGTGCAGTGGCACGATCACAATTCACTGCAACCTCCACCTCTCAGATTCAAGCAATTATCCTGCATCAGCCTCCTGATTAGCTGGGATTACAGGCGCCCACCACCACGCCCAGCTAATTTTTGTGGGGTTTTATTGTTTTTTTTTTTTTTTTTTTTTTTTGAGACGGAGTCTTGCACTGTTGCCCATGCTGTTGTGCAGTGGCATGATCTCGGTCACTGCAACCTCTGCCTCCCGGGTTCAAGCAATTCTCCTGCGTCAGCCTCCCATGTAGCTGGGACTACAGGTGCTTGCCACCACACCCGGCTAATTTTTGTATTTTTAGTAGAGATGGGGTTTCACTATGTTGGCCAGGCTGGTCTTGAACTCCTGACCTTGTGATCTGCCCGCCTCAGCCTCCCAAAGTGCTGGGATTCCAGGCATGAGCCACCACACCCAGCCAATTTTTGCATTTTTTTAGTAGAGGCAGGGTTTCTCCATGTTGGCCAGGCTGGTCTCAAACTCCTGGCCTGTCTTGGCCTCCCAAAGTGCTGGGATTACAGGTGTGAACCACCACATCCAGCCCCTAATTCTAATTTTTTAACAAATTCTATATCATTTTGCTCACTTTTCTCCTTCCTACCTTTTATGATTCTTCCCATGTTTTTATAATCAGGGTATGTTCTCCTGCTGTTTCCAATTTTGCTTTCATTCTGGTCTGCATTTCTTTCATTTCCTCAATTTTTTCATTCGGCTCTGCCAACTCATGTCTCATCCTTTTTCTCAGTTGTCCCCCATCTAATTCCTGGGCTCTTTTGCCTCTGACCTACTCTTTGGTCAGTTTTTGTAAATTATGGTGAAATACTTGGTCACAACTTCCTACTGCTCTGTGGCAGTTATTTCTCTTTTGCTGAGTATTATTTGCTCCTTTCCTCCTCTTGGGTTTCAGTACCTCCGAACACAGAACTGTGCTGGTTCCTTTTGGATTACTTCTCTTCAGATGGGGTGAGCTTTCTTGGATTAGAAGGAGGTTCATGAGGTGTCAATGCCACAGTGCAGGCTAGCAGAAATCTCACATGTGAATTTTTAGTAGTGGCTTCTCCCACCCAATAGATCTGGGTACTGCAGAGCTTTTCACAGGGCAAGACTTCTCTTTTCCCACCCCACAGAGAGACTGCTTCCTGCAAATATGGAAGACCTGCAAATATGGTGTTTCCTAGAACCAAGACAGGCCAGGCAAGCTCCGCCTGCCACCTTGTGCCCTTGCTCCTACTGCTGCAGCAAGACATGCTGCTTTTGCATGCCAGGATGGGCTCCTGCCTTGGAGAAGTGAACTTTGCCCTCTCTTTCTGGAACCTACAGCTGGGGCCACCTTTTCAGCTTCCTCCTGCGTCTTCTAGTGCTCGTTTCTGTTTCTCATCCTCCTATTGCTTGTGGGTGATTTCTGAGAGGATGCAACTCTTGCTACCGTCATCAAGCTTGAGAAGCACTTTCTCTCTTAACCACTCAGCCACACCACCTTCCTAAATAGTAGCCAAGTTTCTTTTTCATTATGAGAGGTGCTGTGGTGAGACCAGAGCTCCTGTTCTTGTCAGCTTATTGTCCCAGACAAGACAAAGACATGGAGAGAAGCTGTACAGGCGCTTGGTACCTGCCCAGTGAGCAGGGAGAAAGAGAGATGGGAGAGGGGAGGAGAGGAAAGGAGAGACAAGCTCCAGCCACCTTGGGAGCTCTGGGCTGGAAGGCATAGCCCCGAAGAGAAGTAAGTATCCAGCAGGGAGGGGAAGAGAGAGCGGGGATCACACCACTGTCTTCTGTCTGCCCTCCAGGGTGACCACGTGTGGCTGGAGCCTCCCTCCACCCACAAGACCGGCGTGGCCATCGGGGGCATCATCAAAGAGGCAAAGCCAGGCAAAGTCTTGGTTGAAGATGACGAGGGCAAGGTCAGTGTTCTGGGGTTTCCTCTGGGCCCTGCCCTGCCCTCACATCCAGGGCCCTGGAGCCCTCCCCGCCCTGTGGAGCCTCTCCCCAACACCAGGGGCTCCAAGGCCAAGTGGGGACCTGGGTGGCAGGACAGATCACGGTGGAGTCCTGCCATGGAGAACATGGCCTGTGTGTCCTGGGGAACGTTTCAAGAAGGAAGTGGGAAGTGGGAAAGGGGCTCTGGAAGGGCCAGAGGGGCAGAAAGCCAGTTTGCAAAATGAAACGGGCAAGGGGGAAAGGTGGGTGAGGAAGGTGTGTGGAGGGGCAGGACGGGGCAAAATGCACAAGTAAGAGGCCAGCAAGCTGGAGTGGCCCGGGAGTGACCAGCTCGTCCACCAGAGGGGTCAGGGCCAGCTAGGTGGTGAGCAGGGAAGGGCTTACAATGGAGTGTCCAGCCGGTCACTTAGCTCCTCAGATTGTCCTCTGTGCTCAGCTGGGTGCTGCAGGCTTAGCCTCCAAGGAGAAGTTTCTAGGCTGTGGCCTGTGAGTTCCAGATGATGGAAGTCAGTAAAATAATAACAATATCTTCTATTTGTGTGACACTGTAGTTTTTTAAAAAAGCTTTTACTTGCACAGTCTTATTCCAACAACCTGCAAGGCTCCCAGCTGCAACCTGACCCTAAATCTAACTTCTGGCTATAAGCTCCTTTGTCCCTGGTCTGAAATTCAGCCCTAGCCCCAGCTACGCCCTAACCCTGGGCCCTAGACCCATGCTGACCCAGCCATAGATGGACCGGATCCTGCCACAGGAGTCTCTTGACCCTTGTCATAGACTGACCCTGGCCGGAGGCTGGCCACTGCCCCAGGTCAGCTGATCCATGACCCGGAAGGTCACCTTGCTGCTGAGAACTTGGAGGGGAGGGTGTGGCAGGCTGGCCATGGGGATGGAGGCCACCCCTCAGGGGAGTCTGCACCCATTGTTCCAGGAACACTGGATCCGAGCAGAGGACTTTGGTGTCCTCAGTCCCATGCACCCCAACTCAGTCCAGGGTGTGGACGACATGATCCGCCTGGGGGACCTGAACGAGGCAGGCATGGTGCACAACCTCCTGATCCGCTACCAGCAGCACAAGATCTATGTGAGTCTCCCCAGCCCTGTGTCCACAGGGGAGCCCCTCACAGGTGCCAACCTCCTGGACAGGGAGAAGAAAATGATGCACAGGGGGCACTGCCCCCCATGCCCTCACTGAGGGAGGTGGGCGAGGTGCCTAACTTTTCCCAATCTCTGCTGCCCAGTCCCAAACAAGGAGGGTGATCCCACCCTGGAGGGGAGGAAGCCAATGCGTAGAGTGACAGCACAGTGCCTGGCACAGTCTCTGCTCAGTGAGGGCTGCAGATGGCCATCAGGTGGCCATCATCCTCTGCCCTCTCCTTCCCAGGCATGTTGTAGAGACAGAGTCACTAGACAGAAAGCCCCTGGCCTCCCAAGAGTGAGGCCCGTGACAGCCCAGATCCCAAGGTCCTGATTCACCAGACGAGGGGGCCATGGGGATGGATGTGGGCCCTCCGTGCAAACCTGGCCTGGATGGAGGTTCACTCCAGCCTGAAGCTCTCATCCTGGTTCCAATGCAGATTTTTCCAGGGGAGGTGGTATTCCAAAACCGACACCAGTTCGGCCTAAGTAGGTGTGGCCTGCAGAAGCCACTGCCTGCCTGGGCCTCTCTGGTCTGGAGGGGTGGCTAGCTTGGTTCTGACTGGCCCTTCTGGGCTGCTCAGAGGAAAGCAGCTTGTGCTTCCAAAGGGCTTTTGCCTGCACTCCTCATCTGGTGGCACAGCCTGAAGCCAGAGGGCACGTCCTCTCCTTTCCTAAAGTGAAAACCAGGACACCATGGTCATGTGGCTTATTGTGCAGGCTCTGCCTGCCGCACCCCCTGAGGGGCAGTGGGGCTGGGTGGGGGCTCCAGATGGGCAGCTGATCCAGGGCGGAGGTCCCAGGGGCACACAGAATTTGGGGTTGGGGTCCGTGAGGCCCAGTTGTTGACCAGCCTATATGAAAGCCCCTGCGGGATGCAGGTGAAAACCCATTTCATACTTAGTCCATTTTTATCGAGCCCCTTCTAAATACCAGGCAGGGTACAAAACAGTTAACATTTGATCTTCCTGGAAATATGTTCCCTGGGAGCTCACCTTCCTGGTGGATATCCCATCTTCCCAGAGGAGAGATCTGCGCAGCTGAATGTCTGATCTCCCTGGCCCAGAATCAGATTCTACTTCCCCACCAAAGTCAGTGGCCCTGATAACCCCGAGGGCAGAGCCAGAGCCAAGGCCAAGGCCAAGGCCAGGGCCGAGTACCTCTGCCAGGGGCAGAGGGCACTGACCACCTGCTTCCTTCCCAGACATACACAGGCTCCATCCTGGTGGCCGTCAACCCGTTCCAGGTGCTGCCGCTCTACACCCTGGAGCAGGTACAGCTCTACTACAGCCGCCATATGGGCGAGCTGCCCCCGCATGTCTTTGCCATCGCCAACAACTGCTACTTCAGCATGAAGAGGAACAAGAGGGACCAGTGCTGCATCATCAGGTGAGGCAGAGGGGTCAGGCACCACCTCCAGGCATCTCCCTGAACTGCTCCCCACCAGCATGCCTGCAAGATCAGGCGAGATGAGAGCTCTCCCTACTCCATGGCACACACCCATCTCCACAGCACACAACGGCCCCAGTTACCCTGCACCCCGAGCAGTTCCCCCAAAGCTTCCTTCCTTCAGAACCTAGGCTTTCATCGTGTCACCAGGGACTGGACTGCCCAGCTTTTAATAAAGGTTTACTGAGTCAAGGAAGGAAGTTGGGCTGGGTTCCTTTAGAAATGGGCCCCAGGAGTCGGGCATAGTAGCTCATGCCTATAATCCCAGGGACTTGGGAGGTCAAAGGAGGAGGATTGCTTGAGGCCAGAAGTTTGAGACCAGCCTAGACAACATAGCAAGACCCTCTCTCTGTAAAAATAAAAAAAGAAAAAGATATGGGACCCAGGTTAGGCACTTAAAGCTGCAGGAGTTGAACAGGTGAGGGCCCACTCAAAAAAAAACACAGGGCAGGCCTCAGGTGAGGACAGAGGAGCAGCAGCTCCAGGGGACAGCTCTCAGTTCACTAGGGGACCAGAAGGAAAGTGTCCCCTCCAGTCCAGGTCCTGACTGCTTCAGAGACTCCCTGCCTGGCCTGGCCTCTCTACCAGTGACCACAGACCCTGAGAACTTGGAGGGGAGGGTGTGGCAGGCTGGCCACGGGGATGGAAGCCACCCCTCAGGGGAGTCTGCACCCGTTGTTCCAGGAACACTGGATCCTAGCAGAGAACTTTGGTGTCCTCAGCCCCATGCACCCCAACTCAGTCCATGGCGTGGATGACATGATCCACCTGGGGGATTCATTCATTCATTCATTCATTCATTCAATCATTTGAGGTTTTGTCATGCCCCAACTGAGTGCCCCCAACTGTCCTAACATGGTGAGGCAGCAGCTAACAAAAGGGACCAGAATCCCTTCCTCAGGGAGCTTATATTCTAGAAGCGGAGACAGACAGGCAACAAATAAGTGCGTTTTTATGTAGGTCCTAACAGCTTTGAAGAAAAACACAGCAGGGGAGAGGAAAGGGTGATGTCGGCCTCTTCATTAGATAGGGGGCAGGCCAGGCACGGCCTCTCTGAGGAGGGATGTTGAACAGAGACCAGAATGAAGTCCTAAGGCACAGGTGATCACATTTCATGTCCTCAGCAACCCTCTGAAAGAGATGCTCTTATTCCCATGATATGGTCTCATGTTACTGCTGGAGAGACCTACAATCAGAGGGGCTGAGATCCTGTTCCAGTGGTACACAGCAGTGAAGTGGGAAATTCAAACCCAGGGCTCTGGAGAAGACAGCAGACAGGTACTCTGGGAGAAAGCTGGAACTCCCAACCTGCCCCCAGAGGCAGGGCAAGAGGCCCCTCAGCAGAGCTGGGCCGCAGGCTGGCTGGCCAGGGAGCTTACGGTGTGGCTCTACCTGGAGGTTGGCGGGGCTGGCAGTGTGAACAAGGAGAGGAAAGAGCCCCCTGATTTTGGTTCCTTGCAGTGAGCAGAATGTCACTTGTCACTTTGAATCAAATTGCATTCTCCTCCTGCCCTTTCCTCCCCCAGGGCTGTGGGCAAGTCCCCTTAAGCCCCTGTCTCTACAATGGCAGGTTATTTGATGAGCTCGTGTTTATAAAAACGCCTGGCGCTTGACAGGCACTCAGGGGAGTCCACAGCTATCACTGGAGGTTTGTTGATCTCACTCTGCTTTGCTGGCATAGTGATTGTGGGTATTTTGATCATAACTTTTAAAAAAGGTAATATTTTGGCCGGGTGCGGTAGCTCACGCTTGTAATCCCAGCACTTTGGGAGGCTGAGGCAGGTGGATCACCTGAGGTCAGGAGTTCAAGACCAGCCTGGCCAACATGGTGAAACCCCGTCTCTACTAAAAATATAAAAATTAGCCAGGCTTGGTGGCCGACGCCTGTAATCTCAGCTACTCAGGAGGGTGAGGCAGGAGAATTGCTGGAACTGGAGTGGGCGGAGGTTGCAGTGAGCTGAGATCGTGCCATTGCACTCCAGCCCAGGCCAACAACAGCAAGACTCCGTCTCAAAAAAAAAAAAAGACAGTATTTTCAGGCCAAGCACGGTGGTTTATGCCTGTAATCCCAGCACTTTGGGAGGCCGAGGCGGGCAGATCATCTGAGGTCAGGAGTTTGAGACCAGACTGGTCAACATGGTGAAACCTTATCTCTACTAAAAATATAAAAATTACCTGGGTGTGGTGGCAGCCACCAGTAATCCCAGCTACTCAGGAAGCTGAGGCATGAGAATCACTTGCACCCAGGAGGTGGAGGTTGCAGTGAGCCGAAATCATGCCACTGTACTCCAGCCTGGGTGACAGAGTGAGACTCCGTCTCAAAAAAAAAAAAAAAAAAAAGGTAATATTTTCAGATGAAGCAACATCTGGGATTTGCTTTAAAATAGTACAGGACGGGAAACAAAATTGGCCGGGAGTTGAAGCTGGATAATGGGACTGTGGGAGTCTGTTTTGCAAACTCCAAAGTGCAGGAATCCTCTGGGGATCTGGTGAAAATGCAGATTCTGATCAACAGAGCCTGTGTGACCTGGGCATCTGCATTCCGAGCCTGCTGCTGGCCTGTGGGCCACCCTTTCATTAGGAAGACACTGAGTCATCTCACTCAGTCTTCTGTACGTCCTGGGCACTGTGGTGCTGACCCTGGAATGAATCAGATCCGAGTGTGCCAAGGAACTTGCAGCCAAGCACAGAAGAAAAGACAAACACAATAACATGTACAACACAGGCAGCCTGAGACCCACAGGGGATTTCAGGGCTTCAGTGCAGTGGGATTTCTGCAGGGGAGAGGCCATCCCTGTCAGACTGGCTCAGAAAGCAGGACTGGGGTTTGCAGGAGAGTTGAGAGGTGTTGAAAAAAATAGTCGTTTTGTGGCATCATGTCCCTGCACACCCTTTTTGCAGCGGCGAGTCTGGGGCTGGCAAGACGGAGACCACCAAGCTCATCCTGCAGTTCCTGGCCACCATCAGTGGCCAGCATTCGTGGATTGAGCAGCAGGTCCTGGAAGCCAACCCCATCCTGGAGGGTAAGCATCACTCTGGGACCCGCCCTTCTCCCCCAGCCCCCCTGGAGCCTTCCTGCCAGGTAGGACCATGGGGAGGGACAGGATAGGCCACAAACCTTCAGCAACTCCTCCAGACCCTTGGGACACAAAACACAAGGGTGGGGTGCATGGTAGGGGAAGGGGGGCCAGGCAGCACAAAGGGGAAAGACTGAGGACTTAATAAACTTCCACCAGGTGTGTTTTCCACGGGATTGTAAGGAATATTCTTTTTAAAAAGGCATCCAAGATCAAATCAATTTGGGAAATGCTAGATGCATGTGTTCAGTTGCTGGAACTGAACTGGAAAGCAGTTGCTGGGCCAGAGTGAGGACTGCAAGAGGTTTATTGAGGGGTAAACCTGCAGAAGGCAAAGTGGGAGAAAGCAGGAGTGGGCAGGATGAGCCTTCAAACTTGGATGCTGCTCAGACGCTTATGAACGGGAAAAAGAGAGGAAGCAGCTTGGGTCGGGAGAGGCTCACGCTGTGATCCAGATCTAAGTCTTGGCCAACCCAGCAGGCAGCTCTGGAGCAAACTGCTCCTTAGAAGGCTCCTGGCTTCGGCCCCGGTGACCCCGGCCTCAGTCTAGTCGGGGCTGCCCAGAAGCCCGTGGCCTCGGCCCCAAGGCTGTCAGCTGCTGGACAGCACAGTCTCTCTCGTTTCTTTACAACTGAAGTTTGCTTTACATATAGTAAATATTCACCTTTTTCAAGTACAGTTTTGTGAGTTTTGACAAACTCATACAGGCCTGTGGTTCCCATCATCATCATGAAATAGAATTTTCCCTTCACCCCCCAGATCTTCTCTCACACCCCTTCGTAGTCACCCTGTCTTCCCAACCCCTCCCCTGGCAACTACTGATTTGTCTTTCCCCCGCCCCCCTTCACAGTTTTGTCTTTTCCAGAACGTCATAGAAGTAAAATCACAGGGTTTGTAGCCTTTTGTGTCTAGTTACCTTGGCTATTTGGGATTCTTCCTTGTTGCTGCCTGCATCAGTGATTCATTCCTTTTTAATGCTGAGTAGAATTCCATTGCGTGAAGGTACCACAGCTTCTCCACCCGTTCAGGACATCTGGGTTGTTTATCGTTTTTAGCTGCTAGGAGTAAAACCTCTATAAATGTTCACATACAGGTTTTTGTGTGCACATTGGTCTTTCCCTTGGATAAATATGCAAGAGTGAAATTGTTGGCTCAAAAGGCAAGTGAGCCATTTCACTTTGTCAGAAACTTCCGAAATGTTTTCCAAAATGCTCACAGCATTTTGCTTTCCCACCAGCAGAGCAGGAACATTCTGGTTGTCCTGTGTCCCCACCAGCACCTGGCACAGTGAAGGACCTGGTCTGCCTTCTGATATGTGTGGAGCATGCTTGTAACTCCCGTGGCCCTGACGACTAAGGATGTTAGCGTCCTTCCTCATGCTTACCTCCGCTCTGTATATCTTCTCTGGTGAAGTGTCAGTTCAAATCTTTTGCCTATTCTTTAATATTCTTTAATTGGTCTATTTCCTTACCAGTGAGTTTTTTTTTTTTTTTTTGCTTGTTTGTTTTTTGTTTGTTTGTTTTTTATTTTTTTGAGACGGAGTTTCGCTCTTGTTGCCCAGGCTGGAGCACAATGGCACGATCTCGGCTCACTGCAACCTCTGCCTGTTAGGTTCAAGCGATTCTCCTGCCTCAGCCTCCCGAGTAGCTGGAATTATAGGCATGCACCACCACGCCCAGTTAATTTTGTATTTTTAGTAGAGACGGGGTTTCTCCATGTTAGTCAGGCTGGTCTCAAACTCCCGACCTCAGGTGATCCACCCGCCTCGGCCTCCCAAAGTGCTGGGATTACAGGCGTGAGCCACTGTGCCTGGCCATTAGTGAGTTTTAAGAGTTCGTTCTGTGTTCTGGATACAAGTCCTTTATAAGATAGGTGTTACATCTTATATTGTGTCCGAGTTTGTGGCTTGTCTTTTCATTCTCTAGACAGGGTCTTTTGCAGGGCAGAAGTTTTAAATTTTGATGAAGTTCAATTTTTCCTTTTATGGGTCATGCTTTTTTGTGTTGTATCTAAGAAATCTTTGCCTAACCCAGAGATTTTCTCCTATGTTTTTCCTATATGTTTTGTAGTTTTAGGTCTTATATTTAGGTTGATGATCCAGTTTATGATTTACATTTGTGATCCGATATTTTTCTATGGTGCAAGGTACACAGCATAGAAAAAAAGACTTTTGGCTGGGCATGATGGCTTATGCCAGTAATCCCAGAACTTTGGGAGGCCAAGGCAGTCAGATCGCTTGAGGTCAGGAGTTCAAGACCAGCCTGGTCAACATGGGGAAACCCCATCTCTACTAAAAATACAAAACTTAGTTGAGCATGGTGGCATGCGCCTATAATCCCATCTACTCGGGATGCTGTGGCAGGAGAATCGCTTGAACGCAGGAGGCAAAGTTTGCAGAGAGCCGAGATCACACCACTGCACTCCAACCTGGGCGACAGAGTGAGACTGTCTCAAAAAAAAAAAAAAAGACTTTTCTGTCTTTCCTTCCTTGCTTCTTTCTCATCTTTTCTCCTTCCTTCCTTTCTTTTTCTCCTTCCTTCCTTTCTTTTTCTCCTTCCTTCCTTTCTTTTTCTCCTTCCTTCCTTTCTTTTTCTCCTTCCTTCCTTTCTTTTTCTCCTTCCTTCCTTTCTTTTTCTCCTTCTCTCTTTGTTTGTTTTGCATGTTGATACTCTATTATTCCAGTCCTATTTGTCAAAAAGACTATTTTTTCTCTGTTGACTTACCTTTGCACCCCTGTCTAAAATCAACTGACCATCCATGTATGGGGCTGTTTCTGGATTCTCTATTATCTTCAATTCCCCTCTCTGTCTATTCTTTCACCAGTGCTACACTGTCTTGATTTCTATAGGAAGCGGTGCAATCAGATAGCATGTGCCCTCCAATTTTGTTATTCTTTTTCAAACTTGGCTATTCTAGGTAATTTACCTTTCCATATATAGTACATTTTAAGATCAGCCTGTCAGTTAGTACCAAAAAAAAAAAAACTGCCTGCATCAGATTCTTTCTTAAAGAGACACCCAACCAGTCGCCCCCATGATGGCCACACTGGGTTCAATAAGTTAAACAGGTTTCGTAATGGTGGCACTTCTCAGAGGCTCTGCTGTGCATTGGGATTCCTCGAGAGAGAGACAGGGTGCCGTGTTTCCTAAACCTACTTCCCCAAGGAACCCTTTTCCTTCGTTTCATGGGACTATGCTGGATGCTGGTATTCTGAAACTGCATTCTAACCATTAATGGGCCATAAAATCAGTCTTCTAGAACAAATCAAATATCATAGAATAGAAACACCCCAGCACGTCACTCTTCATAAGAACTAGTACTGAGTATTTTGTTCTAACTTTGTGTGTGCAGGTGGACATGTGTATATACTAGGATGTAATGCAAAATATCTTTCTTACTGTGGATCACATCAGAAAACTTGCAGAAACAGCTTTACAAAAAAGACTGACCACTTCCGTGTGCCCTGGCCTGGACACGCTGTTGGCACTCCCCATGCCGGCTTGGCCTCTCCGTATCAGCCTCAGCCCTGCAACCTGAGCCATCTTTCTAAGCTGTGAATCTGCTCCCACACTCTCTCAGAAGCTTTACTGCTTCCCTTATTACTGCAGAATGATTGCCCAAGTTCTGAGCCCGGCATTTAAGGCTCTGTGCCACCTGGCCCTACCTACTAACTAGTTCTGTCTACCTTCCACTGCTTTCCTCCTGCATCCCACACTCTGACAAGATTTCTGCGTCTGCAAGCACACTCCATGCTTTTTCTGACCTCCGAGGTTTTCCCTGCATTTTTGTCTTCCTCTTAGCGGGCGCTTGGCTTCCGTCACTGTCTGGTGCAGCCGTGCCCATTCTTCAATTCGAGGCTTGGCCACCTCCTCTGAGAAGCCCTCTTACATGATCCCACTCAAATTACATTTTCTCCTCTCTGCTCCCATCATGGGCATCGCCCGCTTACCTTCAGCCTTTGGAAATGCCAAGACAATCCGCAACGACAACTCAAGCCGCTTTGGGAAGTACATTGACATCTACTTTAACCCCAGCGGGGTGATCGAGGGCGCGCGCATCGAGCAATTTCTCCTGGAGAAGTCCCGGGTCTGCCGGCAGGTGAGGCCTCCCCCTTCCCAGGTCGGGAGTTGAGGGAATGGGGGAGGTTTCCAAGAGGGGCCCCTTTCCCACTCTCACCTCTCCTCCCCTCTTCCCCAAGGGCCCTCCCAGAACCCACAGGCCTCACTGGATAATGAGGGCCCTTCCCCAGTATTCCAGGACAGCAAATGATAGAAATTTTTCCATTTTGAGCAGGGCTTGGTGGCGCACGCCTCTAATCCCAGCACTTATGGGAGGCCAAAGCGGGTGGGTTACTTGAGGCCAGGAGTTTGAGATCAGCCTGGCCAACATGACAAAACCCTGCCTCTACAAAAAATATGAAAAAAAAAATTAGCTAGGCAGTGGCACACGCCTGTAATCCCAGCTACTTGGGAAGCTGAGGCATGAGAATTGCTTGAGCCTAGGAGGCAGAGGTTGCAGTGAGCTGAGATTGCACCACTGCACTCCAGCCTGGGCAACAGAGTGAAACTCTGTCTCAAAAAAGACTTTTCTCCATTTTGAATTTTCCATTCACATACATTTCTTCTTTCTTTGGTGCCTACCATTCCTCATCCCTACTAGAATTAATTCTGAGACTAGGCTAGTTGGGTGGGCCGTATCTTCAGGTATGTTAGGGGACATGGCAGAAAGACACAGATGACAGTATCCCAAATACCACATGGCCAGGAAGTACAGTGGCATGTGGCCTGTGTTGTCACACCAGGCCCTGTGCTCAGGGGGCCCCATGCTTGGTTTCATGCTCTGCTATTGCCACCTTGAAATTCTTACTAGCTTTTTAGCAAGAGGGCCCATGGTTTCCTTTTGCACTGGGCGATCATGTAGCCAGTCCCAAATGGTAGGAATCCCAACACATGGCACCCACAACAGCAGAATTAATGCACCTGTGTGTGTGTGTGAGTGTAAGGGGGTGCTCTCGTATGATGGCATAACACCTAACACATGCATGTGTGCAAATGAGTGCACACACACAGAAGGGGTCCAGAGGGGAGAATGCCACCAACAGAGGGGCTGTGGCTGTGTGAGAGGGACAGATGCCTCCGCACTGTGACAAGCTGAGAAGGAAGGTCACATTTAGTGACCCTCCGACCTGGTGCTATACTTTTCCTGTTTTATCTCATTTGACCTTCACAACCATGAGAGGTAGGTCTCTTTATCCCTATTGTACAGATGAGAAAACTGAGTCCAGTTAAGTTCGGCCCCTTGTCCAGGGTCACAGAGCCAGCAGATGGCAGAGTCTCTCTGCCCTGTCTGGAAGCTCCTATTTCTTGATATAGTGGTTGCTGAGTTCATAGAACTTGTCACCCAAAATGATACCCTGAAATGGGCAGGAAATTTCTAAAGCAGGTGAGAAACAAGGCCTGCCCAAGAAAAGAGAAAGAATTTAAAATTACGGCATATCTATACTACAGAGGAGGCGGTCTGTCCATGTCAATGTAAAGGATCACCAAGAGATATGTTTAGGTGAAAAAAAAGGAAGTAGCAGAACCACAAATATGTTTTGTGTAAAAAAAAAGAAACAAAGAAAAGAAAAGAGATAACTATTTATAGATATACTATAAGTAAATGTTTTTTTAAAAACATGTCTAGGTTCTGGGGCGGGGAGGAGGGGATTTAAGAAAGGGGAAGGCAGGATGGAAAGGAGCTCTCATTTTTTTGTTTTTGATCCTCCCACCTCAGCCTTTTGAGTAGCTGAGACTAGAGGTGTTTACCACCACATCCAGCTAATTTTCTTATTTTTTGTAGAGGTGAGGTCTCACTATATTGCCCAGGCTGCTCTCAAACTCCTGAGCTCAAGTAATCTTCCCGCCTCAGCCTCCCAAAACTGCTGGGATTACAGCCCAACTGAGACTCCCATCTTTTAACACTACTGCATATGCTTCAGATTGTTTGATTTGTATGAGAATGCATTTATAAATAGTGTTTTAAAAAATACAGAAGGCACCCTAGGCAACATGGCAAAACCCCATCTCTACAAAAAATACAAAACTTAGCCGGACGTGGTGGTGTGTGCCTGTGATCTTAGCTACTTGGTAGGCTGAGGTGGGAGGATGGCTTGAATCCAGGACTTCGAGGCTACAGTGGGCTGAGATTGCACCACTGCACTCTAGCTTGGGTGACAGAGCAAGACCTTCTCTCGGAAAAAAAAAAAATACTGAAGGCCTAGGGAGCCCCGTGGCTGTCAGATCTCTCGTGGGCCACTAAGTGCCTGTGAAGACTGTGGGACTATAAGAGAGCCCCGACTCTGTGCCATCACTCCTGGCCTGGAGACTTTGGGCACAGCAGTGTCAGGGCTTCGAGGAGCAGTCAAGATGCAGGGAAATGGAGTTCTCAGGGCAGGGATGAGACAGCCGCGGAGGCCCGGGACAGGGACAGCAACCAAGCCAGGCTGGCCCTGGGTCAGTGCCAGAGCTGCTCCTGGCTGAGAGATGTGGAGCGGAGGCCAGGGCTGGGCTGGGCAGAGGCAGTCTGAGGCCCTGAGGCCTCAGGGGAATGGCTCATGAATCTGTCTGGAATGCCCTCCCTCCCTCCCAGGCTCCCGAGGAGCGGAACTACCATATCTTCTACTGCATGCTCATGGGGGTGAGTGCTGAGGACAAGCAGCTGCTGAGCCTGGGCACGCCCTCCGAGTACCACTACCTGACCATGGTGAGCTGCCCACCTGCCGCCTCCCAGTAGCCAGTGGAAGGGAGGAAAAAGAGCTTGTGCCGCTCCACCCTCCGCGACAGCTGCAGAGAAGCCCAACGCTGGCCGGGCCCCTGAGGCGGGGCTGGTTCCCTTTGCCTCTCCTCGCCAGCCCCTCTCTGCTGGGAATCACCTTGCCCGCGTGCCTCCCGCTTCCCCGTCACATGTACCCCATGCCCCAGGCTGGACCCGGGGCCTCCCCGCAGACCTCATCTTCCTTTGGTCCCCACTGGATGACAGGCTCCCGGTGCCCAGTGGGCCACAGGGAGTTGCCCACATGCCTCCTGCTCCTGATTTCACTCCAATTGTCTGTCCTTGCAGGCCCCCTAAAACGTAAGCCCCGGGCCCCAGGAAAGCAAAGCCCTTCCTGTGCTCCCAGCTGCACCCGCCACCTAGGACAGGGCGGCACCACAGCCATCGCTCATTAGCTGAGGCTCCCTGGCCCTCAGGAGAACTGCGCCTCCTGGTTTATTGACCACAGAGTGGACCCAGAGCATTCTGCCTCTGGGATCTCTCCCATGCAACCCTCTCTCCTGGGTCCACTGCTCCAAGGCCTTCACCAGCCCCTGCCTAGACTTCATGGGTCCCCCATCGCCAGTCTTGACCTCTAATCTGTCATCTACCCTGCAGCCAAAGCACTCTTCCTGTAGGAAGGTTTGCACTGTAGTGTCATGCTTTGGATGGCACTGCTGCAGTGACCCCTGCGGCTTGTAGGGTAGAAGTCCAAACTCCTCCATGTGGTTTCCAGGTCCCTCCAAGATCTGCCCCTCTGCCGACCTCTCCCTTCTCAACACCCACCCCAGCCTCCCCGCAGCCCTGTCCCTGCCTCCCCACCTCGTGGCCTTGCTCCCATCATCCTCTGCCTAAACTGCCCTCTGTCCTCAGAGGCGGTGGGGCCAGCTCTGCACCTCCTCCAAGAAGCCTTTCTCCACCTCTCGATAGGGCTGGCCCCGGCCCCTGTGGTCTGGGCACCTGTAACAGGCAAATGGCCATGGCACGGTCACTGGCTCCCTGCCTGCCCCCCTGGATGCGCAGCACAGGGCCTGGCCCATGGCGAGCCATGGAAAGTGTTTCTTAAAGGAACAAACCCACAGTGTCCCCCAGAGAGACAAGGCAAGCTCGAGTAGGGACGAACGACAAATAGAGGATCAGAGAAGAAGTGTGACTTGGCCAAGGTCACACAGTGGCCAAATGCTGGTGCTGGTGGCAAGGCCTGATCATGCTGTGGCTACTGTGTCATGATTCTGCCTCTGAAAAGAGTTTTTGAGCGTGGACCCTACGTGGTCCACCCATTGCCTATGAAGTGCAGTGTCTCAGCCTTGCTGGTCCCAGGAGGGAGGTGGTGGGGCAGGGGATGGCCCCATTCACTGAGGCACCCTGTCCCTCAGGGGAACTGCACTTCCTGTGAGGGGCTCAACGACGCCAAGGACTACGCCCACATCCGCTCGGCCATGAAGATCCTCCAGTTCTCCGACTCCGAGAGCTGGGACGTCATCAAGCTGCTGGCTGCCATTCTCCACCTGGGGAATGTGGGGTTCATGGGTAATGCCGGTTCTGCCCCAACTGCACCCTTGGGGAGGGAGAGGGAAGGGGACAGGAGCAGGAAGGCATCTCTAGGGGTTCTCACAGGAAGGATCCTGTGGTCCAACCCAGGCCTGGAAAAATATATCTAAAAAATTCAGCTGTGATTTTGGAGGCCTCGTGAGGCAAAGGGGAAAATGTCAAAGCTTAAGGCTCTCCACAGGTGGAGACCGGCCAATCATCCCCCACTTTTAGCTGGGACCCAAAAGGGCTTCCCCCTTAAGGTTCAGGTAAGCCAGAGTAAACAAATCCACGTGTGAACTTGCAAACCAGGTTGTGAGCAAGGGGTGGTCTGGGGATTAAGTTGTCCTGACCTGTGAACACCCCCAAGCACCTAACGGCAGTTATTGACAGTCCTCGCTGGAAAAAAGCACCAGCAAGTTAGATTACAAATGATTCCTGTGAGTAGTTTTTCAAACACAACATCCAGCATGAAGCCAGGAAGAAATAGGAACAAGGAAATGAGATACCATGAACAAGAACCGGCAGAAATAATAAACAGTAGAAATCGATCCACAAAGATTTCAAAGTTGGAATTATTAGACACAGACTAGAGAAGTTCTGCTTATTTTGCTCAAGAAAAGAAGCAGCCAAGCTTGAAAATTTAGACAGCGAATGGGAAACTTTAAAGACATTATAGATTTATAAACAAACCACATAGAAATTCCATTCTAAAATTAAAAAAAAAAATAACCAAAAGGAAGAACCCAATGGATGGTTTAAGGGATTCTGTGCCTGTCTAGGAGATGGAATGTGTGAGCTGGAGGGAAAGTCAGGAGAAACTGAGTACAGCATGGAGAGAGGAATGGCGGGAGATGTCAGAGAGAAGGTGGAGACTGGGAGGACACCGTGGCAGAGGGAGCACACCTTTCATTGGAGTCCTAAAGGAAAGGAGAGAGAAAGGGGCAGAGGCAATATTTGAAGAGATAGGGCTGGTTCCAGAACTAAGGAGAGACCATTCTCAAAGCAATGGGAAGGGATAGACTTTTCATAAACTGTTCTAGAGCAATGGGGTGTCCATATAGAAAACAAAAGCTTGGGCCACCATCTCACGCCATGTGAGAATATTGCTTCCAGGCAAGCTGCAGCTGGGCTGATCTGTCGTCTATCAGCCAGACTGCACACTTCGGCCAGGGAAAGGTGGGTGCTAACCAGAGGTGGGCACCGGGGCCTGGGACAGCATCAGAAACATGATGCTGAGGAAGTGAAGCAGGCACAAGAGAATGCAGACAGATCCACTAACATAACATTTGTTTGTTTGTTTGTTTGTTTGTTTTTGAGACAGGGTCTTGCTTTGTTGTCCAGGCTGGAGTGCAGTGGTGGGATCTCGACTCACTGCAAACTCCACCTCCCAGGTTCAAGCGATTCTCCCACCTCAGCCTCCTGAGTAGCTGGGATTACAGGGGTCTGCCACCACAGCCTGGCTAATTTTGTATTTTTAGTAAAGATGGGGTTTCACCATATTGGTCAGGCTGGTCTCGAACTCCCAACCTCAGGTGATCCTTCTGCTTCAGCCTCCCAAAGTGCTGGGATTACAGACACAAGCCACTGCGCCTGGCCCACTAACATAACATTTAAAAGCCGGCACATTAAATGCTGTTTAGGGACTCTATGTAGGGAATAAAAAGCTAGGAAGTTAGAAGTCGGGAGGGTGCTTACCTCCGGAGGAGAGGGACACAGTCTCAGCCCGCAAGGACCTCGGAGGGCTGTGGGTGCTGGCAGATCCTAGATTTGGCTTTAGCGTGGTTACGTGGTGCTGACTTTATTCTTTACAACACAGCTTTGTGTTTTATGCACTTCTTTATCTGTATATTTTATCTCCAATTTTTTTCAGTTTAAAAAAGAAAAAAAGCAAAAACAAAGACACCCAAAGGTCCCGTCCCCCACCAGCCTGGCACGTCCTAAGCTGGACGTTGGTTGAAGAGGAGGAACTGGAAGCTGGGAGGCCAGTCAGGAGACGGTTGCAATAGAGCCAGGCCTGGCTTACAGCTGGAGCTCCATTAGTGCTTTGCTTCCTGTGACTGAATAAATAACGAAATGTCCGGGTTTCCACACCCAGCAGCATGGACTGAGGGGCCTGATGGCTCATCTCTCCAGTGCCAGTGTCTGCTGTGTTTCCCAAGTCAGACTTCTCCCTCCAAATAAGCCCACCTTTCTTTAAACTTCCCTTCGACCCAGGGCCCTGGTCTCCTCAAGAGGAAGTGGTCTGCCACGTTCATCAACAGCTAAGGTGTGAATGACCCATGGTCATGGGGCCGTTGGCTCCCTCAAAGAGAGGACACTGGGAGAGACCGTGGCTTACGCCAGGGCAGCTGTCCTCCTGAGTGGATCTGGGGCTGCCAAGGGCCCGGGCCAGTCGGGACCTTGCTCCCATCGCTCCAGGCTGCTTTCCAACTCAGCATTCCTGCTTCTCTCTCTAGCTTCGGTCTTCGAGAACCTGGACGCCTCAGACGTGATGGAGACGCCCGCCTTTCCCACCGTGATGAAGTTACTGGAGGTAGGGGTGCTGTGCCCACAGCTTCCATTTTGGTGGGGGGCCTCAGAGGCCTGGGCTGACAGACCCCTGACACCTGATTCTTATAACCCTACCCAGGCCCCCACCCCTTTCCCAGGGCCTATGCTCAAACCCCTCCCTTCTGTATACTGCAGGTGCCTGAGGGTGGGCGCAGAGTGGGGCAGTGCCAAACAGAGCGGCGGAATGGCCAGTTTGGCTTTAATGAATGTTTCCTCCCTTTCCCTCCATTTCCTCCTGCTTGTCAGTGGCCCTGTTTCAGTATCCTCGCCCTCCACCCTGTCAGGTCCCTAGGCTCCCCACTTGGACCCCAACCCACCCATCAGACTAGCCCTGCCCTGTGCCCTCACCCCGCAGGGCTTCTCCGGGGCTTGCACTATTCTGGGAGAGTGGAATGTGCCAGTGAGTCTGGGGCCCATCCCATTAGCCTTCCCGGTTGTTCCCCAGTCCAAATGCAGCCTTGGCTTAAAGGAAGGGCTGCAGGCCCTGAGTGAGGGGCTACCTCTGCAATGGGGACATGGCAGCACCCCACGTCACCCCCATTGACAGTTCTGGTGGAAAATTAATAGAATCAGGAGCAAGAAATAAATACATAAAGCAAGCAATCACATTAGGTACCTTTTGCTATTAACATTCTTCTTTTGGTTCGAGGGTACTCAGAAACTCTGGGTTTTGTCAGCTCCAGTGGAGGGCTGGCCCAGCACACTCTCTTGCTCCTTTAGACTCTCAGCCTTCAGGCGGGACTGATTTCAGTCAGGACATGCCTGAGGTCTGGCCTCAGATCCCTCCCTCACCCTCATTTTCCAAGGCCAGGCTGGGGGAGCCAGCCCCTTTCTCAGCCCCCAGGAGACCCACTGAGGGCTTGACCCACCGAGCTGGAGAATCCTTCCCTAACAGCTCCCAGGGCCCTGGCCCTGGCCTCGGGCAGCGCCCACCCTCCGGTGGGCATAGGTGCTTGGTCACGAGAGGGAACAAGACTTGGCAGAAGCAGGTCAGAGTGCTGGGCCAGGCCCTGCTCCACAGGTGCGACGCAGCCCCCACCTGCCTCCCCAGGTGCAGCACCAGGAGCTCCGGGACTGTCTGATCAAGCACACCATCCTCATCCGAGGGGAATTTGTCACCAGGTCCCTGAACATTGCCCAGGCTGCTGACCGGAGGGACGCCTTTGTCAAGGTACAGAGCTGAGAGAGCAGGGCTTACATGGCCATCTGTTGACCACGGCTCTGCTTCTTGCTGTGCCGGTGGAGGGCAGGATGGAGCAGAGGGCCCTGGGCAGGTCCCCACTCTGCCAGTCACCTGCCTGGTGACCATGGACTCCTCAGCCTCTTGGGCCCTGGTTTCTTGCCTTTGAAGGAGGGATAACATCCACAGTAGGTCCAAGACATTCGGCCTCTCCAGGTGAACTTGGAGGTAACCTCCGCCTGAGCCTCCAAGCCCAGGATTCTCCCACCCCCGTGTCTCTCCAGGGCATCTATGGGCACCTCTTCCTGTGGATTGTCAAGAAGATCAATGCCGCCATCTTCACACCACCAGCCCAGGACCCCAAAAATGTGCGGAGGGCCATCGGCCTCCTGGACATATTTGGCTTTGAAAATTTCGAGAACAATAGGTATGAAGATCTCAGATCCCAGCCCCACTGCTTCCAGAAAACAGAAGATAAGCAGCTCCTCTCGAAGGGGGCAAGTTGGAGGGGAGCCGTCACCCTGCACCCAGGCCTGGCGAGTCCCACCAGATCCGTGTGCTCTGCATGGGGTGGCTGCTGTCCCCTGCCATCTAGAGAAGGCTGCACAACTAAAAGCTGTCCCTGAGAGCCGGGCTAAGGCCCCGGCATTTGTCACCCTTCTTGGGCCACCTGCTGTCCTCATGAGCCAGAGTGGATTATCACACGAGGTCAGGGTTGAAACAGAAATCAATAACATGGATTCATCTGCATCTGGCTGGTTTATCATTTTAGGTAGTGGGGGAAGCTAGAAGCATTTGCAGACCATCCCTGATTTTTTAGTTTGTGGGGTAAGGCACAGCAGGACTCCTCTGACCGGGCATCCCAGTGTTCTGGCACCCCAGACTAGAAGCTGGAGAGCTGTAACCAGGAGGCAGGTCAGAAAATAGCTGCAAGCTATGACTGTGATGAAGGCTGGGGGTCGGATAGACAAAGGTGGTGAGGGGACCAGGCAACGGAGCCAGGCCAGGCCAGGTGATGCTCAGGGGCACTATCACCAGCAAGAGGAGTCCCATGACGACTGGTACAAGCAGGCTGACAACACTAGCTTTGCAATTTAGCTTACCTGAGCCAGCTCACTGAAAGGGCTTGATGGGACAGAGACCGGACCACTGGCTCCAGGAAGCAGAGCTCCTCTGGGCCCTGTCTGAGGAGCCAGGGGGCTAGCCTGACCTTGCATGCCCCTGCCCAAGGCCTGTCTGATCTGAGAGTGATTTAGAAGGGCCCCCCTTGGACAGCCAGGATTGTCAAGACACAAGCCATTCCACACGCAAGCACGCTGGGATCTCAGCCCTCCCAGGGCCAGCCGGGGGTGCAGGGCAGGTGCCTGCTCACTGCAGTCAGGTGGGAGAGGCAGGGCTGGCAGAACTTAGCCCAATGCACTCTCTAAGGCATAGAGAGCTCAAGTGTGATTCCGATTATTGGCGTCTGGCCCTGGGAGGGACAGGTATTGGAGACAGCATGGGCCAGACTTTGGCAACTGATGGGAACTGGAGAGGAGGGACAGAGACAGAAACTCCTCGGTTTCTGACTTGAGCCGGGGGTGGTAGGTGGAGGGGCCATTTCCCAAGGCAGGGAATGCAGGAGGAAGTGCAGGTTGGAGTTCTGGGAACAGGGGCAGTAGGGCGTATGCCTGGTTGATGCAGAGGGGCCCAGCAGTCAATGCTGGGTCTCTGGAAGCTTGTCTCAATACCAAGGCTCACGGGTAGGGCTGCTGGTGTGCACTCAGACCACAAGAATTGTTTCAGTGTCAGGTGGGCAGGCCTGGTAGAGGACCCGGCAGGGGGCTGTGAGAAGCTGAAGGCGAGGACTTGATGATATGCTGAGCCTCCTCGTTTCTTTGTCTTTTTGACGTGGGGTGGAGAAGGTGACAGTGATGGAGGCAGACAGAGGAGAGAGAGTGTGCAGGAATGAGTGTGCATCTCTGTGTACACGAGGTGTGCATCTGTGGGCATATCTGTATGCAGCTGTTTGCAGATGGCTGGTGATCCTATGGCTCCAGCCTGCTGCAGCGGGGACTCAGCTGGCCCCACTCCACCCCTGGGCAGTGACCTTGCCTCCACAGCTTCGAGCAGCTCTGCATCAACTTCGCCAACGAGCACCTGCAGCAGTTCTTTGTGCAGCACGTGTTCACCATGGAGCAAGAGGAGTACCGCTCGGAGAACATCTCCTGGGACTATATCCACTACACCGACAATCGGCCCACCCTGGACCTGCTGGCCCTCAAGCCCATGAGCATCATCTCCCTCCTGGACGAAGAAAGCCGCTTCCCGCAGGTGTGTGTTCGGGCCTGCCGACCTTCTGGTGGAGGCCCTGCTATGGGTCTCCTCTTGGAGGCTGGGAAACTCCATTTGGGTGGGCCACTTGTTCTGAGAGTCACTAAAACCTCTGCCAGGAATAAGCAGAAGAGCCTCAGTCTAACCAGACAGACCCTCCTCTCCAAGGCCCACTTCTCTGACTGCTGGGGTCCTCAGACAGTAGTTCAGAGGGTGGAGCAGAAGAGCTGGTGGTGGAGGGCGGCAGACCCGGCCTCTGCTCCCAGCTCAGCCCTCACTCCCTGCAACAAGTCACTGACCCCTGGGCATTAGTTTCCTGTCTGTACAAAGGCCCTCAATCATTCTGAGCCCAGATCTCTTTGCCTCCATGAGGAAGTCCCTGAGCCTCACCTCCCCATGGCTGGACTCTGGGACCTCAGCCCACAGGGTGTCTGGGTTCTTCCAGGGGACAGATCTCACCATGCTGCAAAAGCTGAACAGCGTCCATGCCAACAACAAGGCCTTCCTACAGCCCAAGAACATCCACGATGCCAGATTTGGCATTGCCCATTTTGCCGGCGAGGTGTACTACCAAGCAGAAGGTGGGTGCAGCTCTCCTCTCATGTCCCTTCCAAATCTGGACCGGGTTCCAGGGAGACCGTGGAAAGCAGGCTCAGAGGATGAGGCTATTTTGCAGCTCTAGCAATGGGGCAGAGGGATGAGTAGTATGGCTTCTACTGGAGAAAGAAAATGGAGTGGACCGGGCATGTTTTGTTTTGTTTCTGGTAATAACTCTGTTGAGACATAATTCACATACCATGTTATTTACCTATTTTAAGTGTACGACTTGACTGTAATATATTCAGAGTATATTAATGATTGCCACAATTTTAGAACTTTTTCGCCACCCCTAAAAGAAACCCCTCATGAGCAACCACTCCCATTTCCCCCCAGCCCTGGGCAACAATTAATTTCTGTCTCTATGGATTTGCCTATTCTGACTTTTTGCATAAATGGAACCATATAATACGTGGTCTTCTGTGGCTGGTTTCTTTCACTTAGCATCATGTTTTCAAGGTTCATCTATGTTGTAGTACGTGTCAGTGCTCCATGTCTTTTTATTGCAGAAAAACATTCCATTATCTGGAATGTTTATCTCGTCATCAGTTGGCGGACATTTGGGTTTTTTCCACTTTTTGCCTATTATGAATAACACAGCTATGAACACCCATGTACAAGTGTTTGTGTGGGCATATGTTTTCATTTCCCCTGGGTATCTACCTAGCAGCAGAATTGCTGTGTCATATGATAACTCTATGTTTAACTGTTTGAGGAACCACCAGACTGTTTTCCAAAGCGGCTGTATGATTTTACATTCCCACTAGCAATGTATGAGGACTCCAGTTCCTCCACATCCTTGCCTACACATGTGATTGTCTGTCTTTGTTATTATAGCTACCCTAGTGGGTTTGAAGTCTCAATGTGATTTGCATCTGCATCCCCCGATGGCTAATGATGTTGATCGCCTTTTCATATGCTTCTTGGCCATTTGCACGTCTTCTTTGGAGGGATGTCTATTTAAATGCTCTGCCTGTGTTTTCACTGGGTTGTCTTTTCATTGTCGAGTTGTAAGACTTCTTTATATATTCTGGATACAAGTACCTAATAGGTGATTTTAAATTTTTTTCTCATTCTGTGGATTGTCTTTTCATCTGCTTGACGGTGTCCTTTGAGGCCCAAAAAGCTTTCATTTTGAAGAAGTCCAACTTATCTATTTTCCTTTCTTTGCTTGTGTCATATCTAAGAGTCCAGGGTCAAATACAAAGTCATGAAGATTTATCCCTATGTTTTCTTCTAAGATTTTTTTAGTGTTAGTTTTTACGTTAGGTCTTTGACCCATTTTGAGTTAATTTTGGGATATGTTGAGAGAGGATCGGTAATGGTTTTGACTGAAGAAGTGAAGGCCTGGGGTGGTCACCCTATGGGTGTGCCAAGAAAAACGAGGAAGGTGGCCGTGGGCTGCTGTGGTCAGGAAAGCAGGGCGGCCAGAGGGTCACTCTCTGCCCCTCATGTGGAGGAATGAGGAGGTGTTCTGGTCTATTTAACTGGAGACAGGAATCCAGGGATGATTCTTTTGAGTAGAGGGTGATCATTTAGTCAGAACAGGCTAGGCTTTGGGAGGCCAAGGGAGAAAGGGAAAGGTGCCGTGGCTCCTTCATAGTTCCTGCCACATCCTGGCTTTGGGCTCTTGGAAAAGGGAGAGGCTGGAGCCAGTCGGACCTGCAGGGTCCTGGGACGCAAAGAAGATACCGAGCCCATCCTCCATGGGGCAATTCAAGGCTGAGTTTTATTTTTTGAAATGATAGGAAACTTACATAATGCTAAGATTAAGGTCGATTCTTTCTAGACTTTCTGGTTGCAGAAATATTAATTAAAACTAAGCCTTCTTTTTATTTTGGATACCATGCTGTGCTGATGACCTCAGCTTTACTTACTCTGCCTGTTGGGAGACTGAACCCAGGAGTGTCTCAACCCTCCCCACCCTTAAAACATCCAGGGAGCTCCCTGCCCCTGGTGGGGAGCTCTGCCTGAGCCTCAGGGGTGCAAGGTGTCACCGAGTGTCCACCCCCTGCCCAGCACCCAGTGCAGCCCCCCTGGTGCTGCTCCCCTCACAGACACCTGCAGGAAGAGGTGGGAAACAGACTCCCTTCCCTCTCCCACTCTTGACTCTTCCTCCCCAGATCCACAGCAGGCTGTGCAGGTGTGCACAGAGCATACCACTAAAAGCTGGAGTGACTTAAGGGGAGGAAAGTGAAAGAGGAAAGTCAGGGTCGTGCCCTTGGGAGTTCGTCCTTAGAGACCAAGCAGTGCAGCCCCTGGCCTCATGGAGCCTGGCTTTGAGGAGCAGCTCATCTTCAGTGCCTTCTCAGTGTGGTTCTGTCCCTACTGCAGGGCTAGGCCATTCTTACTCATGGCCGGAGGGGAGACATGGGATCTTCTCACCCGCTGGAGCCATGCCTGTATTAGGCACTAGGGCAGCAGTAACAAACACCACAGACTGAGTGGCTTAAACAACAGAAATGATTGTCTCAGAGTTCTAGAGGCTGGAAGTCCAAGATCAAGGTGCTGGCAGGTTTGATCCCTTCTGAGGCCTCTCTCCTTTGTATGCAGATGGCCGTCTTCTCTCTGTGTCCTCATATGGCCTTCCTTCTCTCTGTGTGTGTCTGTGTCCTCATCTCCCCTTCTTTCTTTCTTTCTTTTTTTTTTTTTTTTTTGAGACAGAGTCTCACTGTGTCACCCAAGCTGGAGTGCAATAGTGTGATCTCAGCTCACTGCAACCTCTGCCTCCGGGCTTCAAGCGATTCTCCTGCCTCAGGCTCCTGAGTAGCTGGGATTACAGGCACATGCCACCATGCCTGGCTAACTTTTGTATTTTTAGTAGAGACAGGGTTTCACCATGTTGGTCAGGCTGGTCTCGAACTCCTGACCTTGTGATCCACCTGCCTCAGCCTCCCAAAGTGCTGGGATTACAGGTGTGAGCCACCACACCCAGCCTCATCTCCCCTTCTTATAATGACACTAGTTACACTGGATTAGGGCCCATCCTAATGACCTCATTTTACTTTAATCCCCTCCTTAAAGGCCCTATGTCCACACACAGTCATGTTCTGATGTATAGGGTGTTAGGACACCAACATATGAATTTTAGGGGACACATTTTAGCCCATGACACTGCCCCTCTCCTATTTCTGGAGGCTGCATCTGTTTTTAGTCTGAAGGAGCCTTAGCCCTAGTAGGATCTGCCCAGAGGCAGGAGGATGTGGCAGCTTATATAAGGGGGTTTGGAGTGGGAATGGGAATTAGGGGGGGTCCAGAGTTTAGACAGGAGAAGTGACTTTGTGCTGGGTAGATGGTGGGGGCCATGCCTGGGTAGAGGGGTGGAGAGCATGGCCGTAGTGGGGCCATTGTAGGAGGGGGCTCCTCCACGCATCCTGTATTCCCCCACACTGCCCTCTTCTTCCCCATGGGTGGGCAGTGATGGCTAAGCTGGGATGCTGGGTGGGCCCTGTGTCTCCACAGGCTTCCTGGAGAAGAACCGAGACGTGCTGAGCACAGATATCCTCACCCTGGTTTACTCCTCCAAAAACAAGTTTCTGAGGGAGATATTCAACTTGGAGTTAGCAGAGACCAAGCTGGGCCATGGGACCATCCGCCAGGCAAAGGCAGGAAACCATCTCTTCAAGGTGGGCTCCCAGGCACCCTCCTGGGTCTGTCACCCCTGATGGCTACAGGGCCAGACAGACATGTACAGGAAAGACTGTTTTACTCACCTCTGGGTCCACAGCATGCAGTTGGCACTTGGGAATCCTGCAATGGATGGATGGATGGGTGAATGGATGGGTGGGTGGATAGATGGGTGAGTGGGTGGATGGGTAGTGGGTGGGTGGATGGGTGAGTGGATGGATGGGTGGTGGGTGGGTGGATGGATGGGTGGGTGGATGGATGGGTGGGTGAGTGGATGGGTGGATGGGTGTGTGAGGGTGGATGGGTAAATGGATGTGTGGTTGGTTGGTTGGATGGATGGATGGATGAGTGGATGGATGGGTGAGTGGATGGACGGGTGAATGGGTGGTTGGGTGGATAGATGGGTGAGTGGGTGGATGGGTAGTGGATGGGTGGATGGATGGGTGAGTGAGTGGATGGGTGGTGGGTGGGTGGATGGATGGGTGGGTGAGTGGATGGGTGGATGGGTATGTAAGTGGATGGGTGAATGGGTGTGTCGATGGTTGGGTGGATGGGTGAGTGGGTGAATGGATAGATGGATGGGTGGGTGGCTGTGTGGATGGGTGAGTGGATGGACGGGTGGGTGGGTGGATGGGTGAATGGATGGGTGGATGGGTGAGTGGGTGGATGGATAGATGGACGGGCAGGTGGCTGTGTGGGTGGGTGAGTGGATGGATGGGTGGGTGGATGGGTGGGTGGGTGGATGGATAGATGGATGGGTGGGTGGCTGTGTGGATGGGTGAGTGGATGGATGGATGGGTGGGTGGAATGGTGAATGAATGGGTGCATGGGTGGGTGCATGTGGCAGCTTATATAAGGGGGTTTGGAGTGGGAATGGGAATCTGGGGGGTCCAGAGTTTAGATAGGAGAAGTGACTTTGTGCTGGGTAGATGGTGGGGGCCACGCCTGGGTAGAGGGGTGGAGAGCATGGCCTTAGTGGGGCCATGGGTGGATGGGTGAGTGGGTGGATGGGTGGTGAGTAGGTGGATGGATGGGTGAGTGGGTGGATGGGTGGTGCGTGGGTGGATGGATGAGTGGGTGCATGGGTGAATGGATGGGTGAATGGGTGGGTGGATGGGTGGGTGGGTGGATGGGTGAGAGGGTGGATGGATAGATGGATGGGCGGGTGGCTATGTGGGTTGGTGAGTGGATGGAAGGATGGATGGGTGGGTGGGTGGGTGAATGGATGGACGCATGGGTGGGTGGGTGGATGGGTGCTGGGTAGGTGGAAGGATGGGTGAGTGGGTGGATGGGTGGTGGGCGGGTGGATGGGTGGGTGGGTGGATGGATAGGTGTGTGAGTGGATGGGTGAAGGGGTGGGTGGATGGGTGAGTGGGTGGATGGATACATGGATGGGTGGGTGGGTGGATTCTTGAATAGGTAGATGCACCACCCCACCTGTGGGGCCTTGGCCGCAACCCTTGCTGGCCTACAGGGTCAGCTGTCCCAGGACATGGCTCCTGAGACCCACTTGTGCTCTGTGCTTCCATTCACAGTCTGCAGACTCAAATAAACGGCCCTCCACCTTAGGAAGCCAGTTCAAACAGTCTCTGGACCAGCTGATGAAAATCCTGACCAACTGCCAGCCTTACTTCATCCGCTGCATCAAACCTAATGAGTACAAGAAGCCGCTGGTAATGACAGGAGGCTGGGGCACAGCAAAGGAGGGAGGAGGAGGAGGCTGATGGCCTCTAGGGTTGTGGTCACTCCCTCTGCCAGGGCCTGGCTAGCGTTAGAGCTGTTACTGCCCCTACCTTACAGATAAGTACACTGGGGTAAGGTGACCAGACTAGGTCATGTGAAGGTCAGTGACCTGCAGAGCTTTGGGTTGCTGAGACCTCAGTTCCCTTAGCTCCGCCATGCATCTTCTGTGCGTTCTTGGCCTGGCTCTTTGCTGCTGTGAGCCTCAGTTTTCCCTTCTGTTAAGTCAGACTTGCTCCTGCCTGCAGGAATGCACTGAGGGTTGGACATGAGGTTTGCAGTACATGTCCCATATGTAAACCACACTCAACAAAGGCAGAAATCAGTAATAGGACTTTAGAGGCTGACACCACTCCTTTCACCAGCCCTGCAGACAGTCAGCTTTACCTGCTGTGAGACGGTGAGGGGGTGAGAGCCCACACTCCCTGCCCACAACGGAGTCCCTGCTCCATTGGGTGGGGAGTCCCACCCAGAGGCCGCATATGCAGGGATTCCCCAAACTAGGAGACATCAGCTGAAACAATATAAAATGGTTTTATCCCCATAAGGGAATAAAAATATTACATGAAATTAAATGCTTTTTGGAAAGAATAAAACTATGTGAAATCGAGTTTGATCTGGGTGCAGTAGCTCACGCTTGTAATCCCAGCACTTTGGGAGGCTGAGGCGGGAGGATTGCTTGAGGCAAGCCTGGGCAACATAGTAAGACCTTATCTCTGCAAAAAAATTTAAAAGTATAAAAATTAGCTAGGTATGGTGGTATGTGCCTGTAGTCTCAGCTACTCAGGAGGCTGAGGGAGGAGGATCACTTGAGCCCAGGAGGTCAAGGCTGCAGTGAACTATGATCACACCACTGCACTTCAGCCTGGGTGACAGAGCAAGACCTGTCTCTAAAAAAATAAAATGAGGCTTGCCTTATGAAATCTAGGTTGCATCTTCCTTGAAGGCAAAATAGGCAGATGTGAGATAACCTATCTTGTTCCTTAACTGCTGGGAGAAGTAGCTGGGCTCCCAGAGACCCTTGGCTCGTTCAGACCCTGCCTACCTTGGGAGCTGGGAGTTGCAGGACAGGCAGGCAGGCCTGAGGCTGAAGCTCGGGGGTTAAGAGTGCCTCTGGCTGGGATATCTCTCATTGGTGGCTGCTCAGGGTTCAAACCCAGGCTCAGCCCCTTAGAAGCAAAACCCTATGCCTCAGCACCTCATCTTTAAGTTGGAGCCAATCACCCCCACCAGGTAGGAATGTTGTAAAGATTCAGTGAGAAACACCAGGCCCATAGGAAATCGTCAGTGAAGCGCAGCTAAACACTTACCCGAGGCTAAGCTCAGTGTGGCCTGGACCCCACCAGCAGTTGGCGCTGTGACCCTGCAGGTGGGGTAACAGTGCCTGCTGGTGGGTTTGCCACATCAGAGGGCGTTCCCCAGGGTCCCTCAGAGACTCCTGGCTTGTAGGTGGAGAGGGGCTCTCTAGAATCCAAGCCATGGCAGAGTCTTGGAACCCCTGCTGAAGCCTGACACCCCAGGGAAGGACATCATGCCATTTCTCTGCCAGTCACACTCGCCTCAAAGCAAAAGACGGCTCAGCTCCCTGGGGCCAAAGGCCCTCCACTCCTCCGCCCCAGCCACTCCAGGTCTCACTCTGACCTCCATCTCCAGGGAGGGAGAGACTAAGTTGATTAGGATATTTTCTGCCTCTGAGTAGATTTATTTTTTCATTTAACTATTGTGAGGGAGGCACCATGAAACTGCAAGTGCCTGCGGGGCAGCTTTCCACCCCGACCTATGTAGGCAAGGGGCGCTTAAAAACATTTTAAACTGGGCCAGGCGCGGTGGCTCAGGCCTGTAATCCCAGCACTCTGGGACGCCAAGGCGGGCGGATCATTTGAGCTCAGGAGTTGGAGACCAGCCTGGCCAACATGGTGAAACTCCGTCTTTAACTAAAAATACAAAACTTACCCGGGCGTGGTGCTACACGCCTGTAATCCCAGCTACTCGGGAGGCTGAGGCAGGAGAATCGCTTGCACCCAGGAGGCAGAGGTTGCAGTGAGCAGAGATCGTGCCACTGCACTCCAGCCTGAGCGACAGAACGAGACTCCATCTCAAAAAAATAAATAAATAAAATTTAAAAAATTTTTTTAAAAAAAGCATTTTAAACTGGGCATGTGCAGAGGACGTTTACATTCACAGCGCTTCGAGTAGTTGACAGTGATGGGAGTGCTGTGTTTCTGTGGGTGCCACAGTTTCCATGCTATCGACTTTTATCTCCTTGACAACATTACGGGTTTTTCAACTACTTGCACTACTCTCTTCAAAATGTAGCCTTACTGAAGTCGCATTTGTTTAGTTCTTCCATCTCTGGAGGACAGTGGGGGTGGGCGGGGCGGGGGGCTGGACACACTGACCTCTGGCTGTGGGCCCGTGCCCGGTGGTGGGGTGCCGGGAAGGGGGGTGGCTGGAAAGTGGGGCTTGCGCTGGGTCAGCGCCCGGTGTCCGCCCACAGCTGTTCGACCGGGAGCTGTGCCTGCGGCAGCTGCGATACTCGGGCATGATGGAGACCGTGCACATCCGCAAGTCGGGCTTCCCCATCCGCTACACGTTCGAGGAGTTCTCGCAGAGGTTCGGCGTGTTGCTGCCCAACGCCATGCGGATGCAGGTCAGCGCCCCTCGGGGACGGTCACCTCTGGCCATCCGCGGCCTTCCCCTCGGCCTTGGCACCTCCAGCCCCCAGTACCGAGGGGGTCTCCCGCTGCCCTCCCCGGCCCCAGCCTTGCGATGAGCCCTGTCCTTCCTCCCTCTCTCCTCCTCCCACCCTACCCTCTCCCTCTCCCAGCGCCGCGGAAGTGAGGGGGCTTTCCCTGGGGTCTGGGAGAGCTGGCGGCCGCAGCGGTTCCTTCTGGAACATGTCTGTAGTTGTACAGCAGACACGTTCTCTCCTACCGCGTCAGGGAGCCGAGGTGTGGCTAGAAAGCTACTGGGGCCCGAGGTTCTTCCTGTCCTGTCTGGAACCCTCAGCCATCCTGAGGCTGGGCCTGGCCTGGGCCGAGTCCCACAGCACATGGAGGCCCCGGGCCCCGAGTTCCCTCCTCACCCCAACCCCTATTCGAGGTTCCCGTTGTGCCTGTGCCTGGGCGGGGGTGGGCGGCAGCCCCTGATGGGGGAGCCTGTGGGAGAAGGAGGGAGACACCACCCCCAGAGAGCCGCCGAGGGGTCTCTGCCCCACCTCCCACCGATACCCCCGTTTGGTCTTGGCAGCTGCAAGGCAAGCTCCGCCAGATGACCCTGGGCATCACTGACGTGTGGCTGCGGACAGACAAAGACTGGAAAGCGGGGAAGACAAAAATTTTCCTGAGGGTGAGACCCCGAGGAACCAGCCAGCTGTCGGCCTCCTGCAGCATGTGGGCTTGTCAGCTCTTGCACCAGGCCCGGGGTCCATGGTCCATGTGCCCTGAGCCAATGACACTGGGCAGCAGCTCAAAGTGTGGTCCCCACCCTCAGGGCACCCCTGGATGTAGAACATCACGCTAGGGGACAATGAGGTGGTGGTGAGGGTACTGGGGAGGGCCAGCCCAGCCTGTGGAAGCCCAGGAGGCTTCTCAGAGGGGTACCTAGGGCAAGGCCTGAGGGTGCAGAGGAGGCGCCTTCCAGCCACAGGGCAGCACCCAGGAGCTCAGGGCGGTCTGCCGGTGTCCTGAGACCTGGCCTCCATCATGCTGGGAGCCACATCCTGCCATGCAGGCTTCCCTACACTGGGGAGGCCCAGCCTCTGCAGAGCCCGGAGGGCTACTGCTTTAGTGGAAGGGTGCTGTGTGTCAACTCTCCACAAAGCGACTTGTCCTTAGCGGGGCTTGTGCGAGCCTCACCACCACAACCTGCCTCCCCCAAAATGCACAGGGAGCTGAAGTCACACAAAGGAAGCTTCGGGGCCCTCCAGAAGTGCCATTTGGGTCAGAGCCACTGAGGAGGGAACCTTCCTGTCCCCTAGTCTCATAAGCCTCAGCGGGCCAGCACAGTGAGAGGGAAGAGGAATAACTGGGAGCAGAGCTGGGAGGATGCTTTGCCAGCTTGCCTGAGCTCCCACCCATCCCTGCTGCCCCTTCCTCTTCCCCCATAGTGCCTGCCCACCTGCCCTTATGTGTCCTCAGAGGGACGTCCTGGCCCCAGCCCTCGAGTCGGTCTGTCTGTCCATTTGGCTGTGCAGTAGTCAGGCTGTTCTGGGTCTCAGAGGCTAAGATGCGCGGGAAGAAGCAGAGTGGCTTCCAATTTAGTGGGGGAGGCAAGGCCAGCAGAGGGACCATCTCAGTGCACTGTGGGTTTGTCATAAATGGCTCTTATTATTTTGAGGCATGTTCCTTCAATACCTAGTTTATTGAGAGTTTTTTTTAACATAAAGCAATGTTGAATTTCATCAAAGGCCTTTTCTGCATCTATTGAGATAATCATGTGGTTTTTGTCTTTAGATTTGTTTATGTGGTGAATTACGTGTATTGATTTGCATATGTTGAACCAGTCTTGCATCCTGGGGATGAAGCCAACTTGATCGTAGTGGATAAGCTTTTTGATGTGCTGCTGTATTCAGTTTGCCAGTATTTTATTCAGAATTTTTGCATCGATGTTCATCAGGAATATTGGCCTGAAGTTTTCTTCTTTTGTTGTATCTATGCCAGGTTTTGGTATCAGGATGCTGCTGGCCTCATAGAATGAGTCAGGGAGGAGTCCCTGCTTTTCAATTGTTTGGAATAGTTTCAAAAAAAAGGGTATCAACTCCTCTTTGTACTTCTGGTAGAATTCAGCTGTAAATCCATCTGGTCCTGGGATTTTTTTCATTGGTAGGCTATTATTGCCTTAATTTCAGAACTTGTTACTGATCTATTCAGGGATTCACCTTTTTCCTGGTTAATCTTGGGAGGGTGTATGTGTCCAGGAATTCATCCATTTCTTCTACATTTTCTAGTTTATTTGCATAGAGGTTTTTATACTATTCTCTGATGGTTGTCTGTATTTCTGTGGGCTCAGTAGTGATATCCCCTTTATCATTTTTTATTGTGTCTATTGGATTCTTCTCTCTTTTCTTCTTTTTTAGTCTAGGTAGTGGTCTATCTATTTTATTAATTTTTTCAAAAAATCAGCTCCTGGATTCATTGATTTTTTGAAGAGTTTTTCGTATCTCTATCTCCTTCAGTTCTGCTCTGATCTTGGTTTCTTCTTGTCTTCTGCTAATTTTGAAGTTTGTTTGCTCTTGATTCTCTAGTTATTTTAGTTGTGATGTCAGGGCGTCAATTTGAGATCTTTCTAGCTTTCTGATAAGGGCATTTAGTGCTATAACTTTCCCTCTTAACACTGCTTTAGCTGTGTCCCAGAGCTTCTGGTATGTTGTCTCTTTGTTCTAACTGGTTTCAAAGAACTTCTTGATTTCTGCCTTAATCTCATTCTTTACCCAAGAGTCATTCAGGAGCAGGTTGTTCAATTTCTATGTAGTCGTGTGGTTTTGAGTGAGTTTCTTAATCCTGAGTTCTAAGTTGATTGCACTGTAGTCTGAGAGACTGTTATGTTTTCCGTTCTTTTGCATTTGCTGAGGGTGTTTTACTTCCAATTATGTGATCAATTTTAGAGTAAGTGCATGTGGTGCCGAGAAGAATGTATACTCTGTTGTTTTGGGGTGGAGAGTTCTGTAGATATCTATCAGGTCCACTTGATCCAGAGCTGAGTTCTAAATATCTTTGTTAATTTTCTGTCTCGATGATCTGTCTAATATTGACAGTGAGGTGTTAAAGTCTCCCACTATTATTGAGGGTAACATTTTTATATTGAAACAAGCATGGGGCTTTTACACGGTTGGATGCAAATGTCACATGAATTTTGGGAAATAAAACACAACTTCAGGAAAATTTTGTGCCCCCTCTTGAATTCTTCAGAGTAGAAATAAAGGATGCCAGATTGAATTAGCAAGAAGAAAGAGCTAATGTGGGAAGTTCTTGGATTGGGGTGGGAGGTATAGTTGCAGCTCCTGTCTCTGAGCAACATCAAGGTCACTTTGAGGGCCCCCTTCTCTGGCCTGCCCTCCTGGGAGAAGCCTGAGAGATGCTACCTTCGGGAGACAGAGCCCTGGCCCCAGGCAGGGGCTGTAGGGTGAGGGTGAGCAGCCCAGTGACGGCGTCTCTCCTGTTCCAGGATCATCAGGACACTCTGCTGGAGGTACAGAGAAGCCAGGTGCTAGACAGAGCGGCGCTCAGCATCCAGAAAGTCCTTCGGGGCTACAGATACAGGTGCCGGCCCCACCCCAAGGCCCACCCAGCCTACTCCTGCCCACAGTGTCCCCACACAGGCCTGCAGCCCACAAACCAGGATCACATGTTCCCGCTGGGCCCTCCCTGGGGTTACTGAGATCTTCCAATGCCTTCCAACCAGGGACACTGCAGCCTATGTTGGCCAGAGAATTCAGATACATTATTGGAATGTTTGGAAAAAACAAAAAAACACTCCATATGCAAGAGATGGGAGCCGAATGAAGGGGCAGCCCCGCTCTCAACCAGGGTTTGACGTTCCACTTCCATTATATCAAAGCGTATGGGTTTGGGTTGTGAGGCAATTTGCTTTTGGACAGGAAAGAATCCATGGCTTGCCTGGGTTCCCTGGTCAGTAAGAGGGTACCGCTAGAGTTGTAATCCAGGATCAGTGGATCAGCAGCGCTGCTGCCTTGCCCCACCCTCACCTGGGTTCCTGAGCCACCATAGCAAGGGCTGGAAACCCAGGCATGAGAAAGTAGAAGACAGCCAGCCCCGGGAATAGAGAATGAGGGGACAGAGAGCAGGGCAGGGAGCAGGGAGCTAGGGCCCACAGCTAGAGAGGCAGCTGTGCTGCTGGGAAGCCGGAGGCCATCTCAGGGCCAGACCCTGGTGCTGCTGATCTCAGGACAACAGGCCGCATCTGACCAAACAGGCCCACGTGGTCAGAGGCGAGGCAGGCTGGCCACCCTGACTCCCAACATTTTAAATTAAACTTTTTGTTTTGAGATTACTGTAGATTTACATGCAGTTGTAAGAAACAATACAGAGATATTGCCATAATCTTCACCCATTTCCCCCAGTGGAACGTCTTACCACCAGGATTCCTTCTGCGGCCTTGTTTAGCCACGCCCCCTCCCTCACACCTGCCCCCAGTGCTGCTTAACCCCAGCAACCTCTAACCTGTTCTACATTTCTAGAATGTTGCCATTGCACAAATGTTATATACGTGGAATTATACAACATGCAGCCTGGGGTGGGCTTTTTTCACTTGGCATGTTTCTCTGGAGATTCATCCAGGTTATTGCTTGCATTAATATTTATTTATTTATTTATTTATTTATTTATTTATTTATTTGAAACAAAGTCTCACTCAGTCAACCAGGCTGGAGTACAGTGGCACAATCTTGGCTCACTGCAACCTCTGCTTTCCGGGCTCAAGCTATCCTCCCACCTCAGCCTCCAAAGTAGCTGGTACTACTACAGGCGCCCGCCACCATGCCTGGCTAATTATTGTATTTTTTGTAGAGATGGGGTTTCGCCATGTTACCCAAACTGGTCTCAAACTCCTGGCCTCAAGTGATCCGCCCGCCTCAGCCTCTCAAAGTGCTGGGATTGCAGGTGTGAGCCACTGCGCCCAGCCAGTATTTTGTTACTTTTTATTGCTCGGTGGTATTCTATGGGATGGATACACCACAGTTTGTTTAACCATTCACCTGTAGAAGGACATCTGGGCTGTTTCCAGTTTTTGGCTTTGATGAATAAAGCTGTTATGAACATTTATGAGGTTTTTGTGAGAACATCAGTTGCCGTTTCTCTGGGTTGTATGCCCAGGAGTGCAGTTGCTGAGTCATACAACGGTTACAAGTTTTGTTTTTTAAGAAACTGCCAAAGTGTTTTCAAGAGTGGCTGCACCATTTTACATTCCCACCAGCAATGTCTGGCTGACTCAGTGTCCGTGCATCCTCACCAGTATTTGATGTTGTCACTGTTTATTTTAGCCCTTCTGACAGGTATGTGATGGTCTCTCATTGTGGCTGTCCTTACCATTTCCCGATGTGGAACACCTTTGTGTGTGCTTGTCATGTATGTGTCCCCTCTTTGGTGACCTGTCTGTGCATGTTGCTTGCCTGTTTTCTAATTGGAGTCTTTGTTGAGTTTTGAGAGTTCTTTATATATTCTAGATACTAGTCCTCTGTCAGCTATGTGGTTTGTGAATATTTTCTCCTAGTCTGTAGATTGTCTCTTCATCCTCTTAAGAGGGCTTTGCAGAGCAAAAGTTTTTAATCTTCGTAAAGTCTAATTGTCAAATTTCTCTTTCATAGATCGTGCTTTTAGTGTTAAGTCTAAGAACTCTTTTCGTCAAGATTTTCTTTTGTGTTTTTCTAAAAGTTTTTATAGTTTTAAATATGTTACATGTAGGTCCATGATACATTCCCATTTTGAATTAATTTTTGTGTAGAGCGTGACACTTAGGTCAAGGTTCTTTTAAATTTTTTTCTATGGTTGTCTCCCCAGTATTATTCATAAAAAAAAGTCTATCCTTCCTTCAATGAAATGCTTTTACATCTTTATCAAAACCTAGCGGTGTGGGTCTGTTTCTATGTTCTCTATCCCATTCCATTGGTCGATGACTCTATCCCTCCACAATGTCACAACATCTTGTTTATCATAGTTATATAATAAGTCTTAAAGCTGTGTAGACTAATTCTTCCCACTTTTCTTCTTCAAAAGTGTTTTAGTTATTGTAGTTCCTTTGCATTTCCATGTACATATAAAAATAATTTTGTCTATATCTACAAAAAAAACCTTGTTGGGATTTTTGATAGTAATAGGCTTGTATAGCAATTTGAGAATTAACATCTCTACTAAATCCATCTTCCAATCCATAAACATGATACGTAGCTCCATTTATTTAGCTCTTATTTGATTTCATGCATCCGTGTTTTGTAGTTTTTAGCACACAAACCCTGTACATGTTTTATTAGATTTACATGTTTTTTTTGGAATTATAAATGGTACTGTATTTTTAATTTTGACATTGGCATATTCATTGCTAGCAAATAGAAATATGTTGGATTTTTGTGTGTTGACTTCATATCCTGCAGCCTTGCTGAGCTCACTTTTCATAAATTCCTTAGAATTTTGGATGTAGATCGTCCTGTCCTCTGCAAATAGGGACAGTTTTCTTTCTTTTTTTTCCAATCCGTATGTCTTTTATTTCCTTCTCTTGCCTATTGCAGTAGCCAGAACATCCAGTATTGTTAGAGTGGTGAGAACAGATATATTTGCTTTGTCCTTTATCTTAGGGGGAAAACACTCAGACTTTAACCATTGAATATAATGTTAGCTGTAGGTTTTTCATTGATGCCCTTTCTCAAGTCGAGGAAGCTTCCAATATTCCTAGTTTTCTGGGAGTTTTTATCATGAACAAGTGTTGAATGTCAATTTTTTTCCTGCATCAGTTGATAATGATATGTGATTTTTCTTCTTTAGCCTTTCAATGTGGTGAGTTACGTTTACTGATTTTTAAATATTGAACCAGCTTTGCATCCCTGGAGGAAACACCACTCGGTCATAGTGTATAATTCTTTTTTATGTTGCTGAATGCTATTTGTTAATGTTTCATTAAGGATTTTTGCGTCTATATTCATGACGTCTGAGGATTTTTTTTCTTTTGTCTTGTCTGGTTTTGGTATCAGAGTAACACTAGCTTCATAAAATGAATTAGGAAGTGTTTCCTCCTCTGTTTTCTGGAAGAAATTGTGTAGAATTGACGTGAATTTTTCTTTAAATGTTTGGCAAAAGTCTCCAGTGAAAATATCTGGGCCTGGGAATTTTTTTATAGAGAGTTTTTAATTATAAATTCAATTTATTTAATAGTTATAGGAATGATTCAAATTATTTTATATTGAGCGAGTTGTGGTAATTTGTGCTTTCTGAGGAACTAGTCCATGTTATCTAAGTTGTCAAATGTATGCATGTCAATTTGTTCATAATATTCCCTTATTATCCTCTTGATATCTGCAGACTCTGTAATGATATCCCCTGTGTCATTCCTGATATTGGAAATTTATGTCTTCCCCTTTTTTTCTTGGTCAGTCTTGCTAAAGATTTGTCAATTTTCTTGTCCTGGCCGGGCATGGTGGCTCACACCTGTAATCCCAGCACTTTGGAGGCCGAGGCAGGCAGATCACCTGAGGTCAGGAGTCCGAGACCAGCCTGGCCAACATGGCGAAACCCCGTCTCTACTAAAAATACAAAATTTAGCTGGGTATGGTGGCAGGCGCTTGTAATCTCAGCTACTCAGGAGGCTGAGGCAGGAGAATCGCTTGAACCTGGGAGGTGGAGGTTGCAGTGAGCCAAGATTGTGCCATTGCACTTCAGCCTGGGCAACAAGAGTAAGACTCTGTCTCAAAAAAACAAAACAAAACAAAACAAAAAACATTCTTGTCCTTTTCAAAGAATCAGGCTTTAGTTTCATTACTTCTTCTCTAATTTTTTATTTTTAATTTCCTTAATTTCTGCTCTTTTATTATTTTCATCCTTCCAAAATATATCCTTGGGTGTATTTTACCCTTCTTCCTCTAGATTCTTGAGGCAGGAGATTAGATTATTAATTCAAGGCTTTTCCTCTTTTCTAATGTAGAGTGATATAAATCTCTGTCTTAGCACTGCTTTAGCTGTGTTTCACAAATGTTCACATGTTATGCTTTCATTTAGTTCATTCAATTTCATTCACTTTCACTCAGAAGAAAAATTAAATTTTCCTTGAAATTTCCTCTGTGAAATTTAGAAGTATGTTGTTTGGTTTTCAAGTGTTTAGAGATTTTTCTGTTATCATTTTGTCTTTGACTTCTAGTTTGATTTCACTATGGTAAGAGACACACTCTGTATGAATTAAGTTCTATTAAGTATGTTGAAGTTTCCTTTATGGCCCAAAATATGTCCTCTCTTGGTATATATTCTAAGAGCACTTGGAAAGAACATATATTTTGCTGTTAATTCGGAGGTGTGCTCTGAAAAATGTCAATTAGATCTTGTTGGTTGATAGAGGTGTTGAAGTCTATATTGTTGCTGATTTTCTGTCTATGTGTTTTATCAATTGTTGAGAGAGTCTCTAATTATAATTGTGGATTTGCCTTTTCCATTTCAGTTTTATCATTTTTGCTTCACATATTTTGCAGCTCTGTTGTTTGGTGAACACACAGTTAGGATTGCTATGTCTTGGTGGATGTGCTTTTTATTATCATGTAATATCCTTCTCTGTCTCTGGTTATCTCCTTTGCTCTGAAGTCTACTTTATCTGGTATTAATATAGCCACTCCTGTTTTGATTACTATTTACATGATCTATATTTTTCATCCTTTTACTTTCGGCCTACCTATATAACTATATGTTAAGTGAGTTTCTCATAGACAGTATGTAATCGGGTCATGTTTTTCAATCCATTCTGCCAGTGTATGTCATTGGCATACATTAAATTCTCCCTTAACATCATCAACAGATTCTTGGAAACTATGACTTTCCAAGAATATACAGCAGGTGTTCGAATATCATTGTTCCCTTCAATGTGGTTTCATTATAATGATGAGAAAACCGTTGGTTCCATTACATATCATTTCACTCAAAGCCTGTTTCCAAGAAGGTATCAGCAACATTGAGGACTTACTGTATTTAGGCCTTTTACATTTAATGTAATTATTCATGTTAGAGCTCAAGTCTGCCATTTTATTTTTTGTTTTCTATTTTTTTCCTCTCTCCTTCGCATTTTTATGTTTTCTTTTTCTTGCCTTTCTATGACTTATTTAAAAATTTTTAAGTATTTCATTTTGATTTATCTACAATGTGTTAGAGTATATATCTTTTTTATAGCTCTCTAAAGTGGTTGCATTAGGTATCACACTATACACATACACACAGAGAGAAAGTATCTACCGCTGTCATCATTTTACCACTTCCAGTGAAGTATAGAAACTCTACCCCCTTTTATGTCCATTTACCTTCTCTCATATGTAATACAATTTTCTTATTTTCTCTACATACATGTAGAATGACATCAGAAAGTGTTGGCCAGGCACGGTGGCTCATACCTGTAATCCCAGCATTTTGGGAGGCCAAGGCAGGAGGATCACTTGAGGCCAGGAGTTCAAAACCTGCCTGGTCAACGTAGTGAGAACTCATCTCTACAAAAGAAAAATACAAAAATTATCTGGGCATGGTGGTGCATGCCTCTAGTCCAGCTATTTGGGAGGCTGAGGTGGAAGGATCCTTGAGGCCAGGAGTTCAAAGTTATGTTGAGCTCTGATGACGCCACTGCACTCCAGCCCAAATGACAGAGTGAGACCCTGTCTCCAAAAAAGAAAACAAAGAAAGGAAACAACAACAACACTTTCTTTGCTCATCTATAAGAAGCAACTCCTGGCTGGCAAGATGACTTATGCCTGTAATCCCAGCACTGTGACCGGCTGAGGCAGGTGGCTCACTTGAGCTCAGGAGTTCAAGACCAGCCTGAGCAACATGGTGAAACCTCATCTCTACTAAAAATACAAAAAATTAGCCGGGCGTGGTGATGTGCACCGGTAGTCCCAGCTACTCAGGAGGTTGAGGTGGGAGGATTACTTGAGCCTGGGAGGTGAAGGTTACAGTAAGCCGAGATTGCACCACTGTACTCCAGCCTAGGCGACAGAGTGAGACCTTGTCTCAAAAAAAAAAAAAAAGTAACTCCTAATCCATTCAAGTTTTATCATGAAATTGCAGCAAATTCGCCACATCTTCAGGCTCCACTTCTACTTCTAATTCTCTTGCTATTCCCGCTACATATGCTGTTTCTTCCTCCACTGAAGTCTTAACCCCTCAAAGTCATTCATGAGGATTGGAATCAACTTCTAAATTCCTGTTAATGTTGATATTTTGACCTCCTCTCCTGAATCATGAATGTTCTTAGTGGCATCTAGAATGGTGAAAGCTTTCCAGAAGGTTTTCAATGGACTTTGCCCAGATCTATTAGGAGAATTACTATCTATGGCAGCTATAGCATTATGGCATTTATTTCTTAAATAAGACTTGACAGTCTGAATTACCCTTTGATCCATGGGCTGCAGAATGGATGCTTTGTTCACAGGCATAACAACATTAATCTCCTTGTATGTCTTCATCAGAGTTCTTGGGTGGCCGGGTGAATTGTCAATGAGCAGTAATAGTTTGAAAGAAATCTTTTTTTCTGAGCAGTAGGTCTCAATGGTGGCCTTAAAATATTCAGTAAACCATGCTATAAATAGATGTGCTGTCACCCAGGCTTTGTTGTTTCATTTCTAGATTACAGGCAGAGTAGCTTTAACGTGATTGTTAAGGGCCCTAGGATTTTCAGAGTGGTCAATTAGCATTGGCTTCAGCTTAAAGTCACCAGCTTCATAAGCTGCTAATAAGAGAGTCAGACTGTCCTTTAAAGATTTGAAGCCAGGCACTGAACTCTCTATACCTCTCTATTACCTAGAAAAGTCCTAGTGGCGTCTTCTTCCAATATAAGGCTGTTTTGTCTACATTGAAAATCTGTTGGCCAGGTGTGGTGGCTCATGCCTGTAATCCCAGCACTTTGGGAGGCCAAGGTGGGTGGATCACAAGGTCAGCAGTTCGAGACCAGCCTGGCCAATATGGTGAAACCCCATCTCTACTAAAAATACAAAAAATTAGCCGGGCATGGTAGTGGAAGCCTGTAGTCCCAGCTACTCGGGAGGCTGAGGCAGGAGAATCGCTTGAACCTGGGAAGTGGAGGTTGCAGTGAGCTGAGATCACGCCACTGCACTCCAGCCTGGGCGACAGAGGGAGCCTCCATCTCAAAAAAAAGAAAGAAAATCTGTTGTTGAGTGTAGCCACATTTATCAATGACCTTAGCTAGATCTTCTGGATAACTCGTTGCAGCTTCTCCATCAGCACTTGCTGCTTCACCTTGCACTTTTATGTTATAGAAGTGGCTTCTTTCCTTAAACCTCATGACCCAAACTTTGCTAGCTTCATACTTTTCTTCTGCAGCTTCCTCACCTCTCTCAGCCTTCACAGAATTGAAGAGAATTAGGATCTTGCTCTGGGTTGGGCTTTGGCTTAAGGAAATGTTGTGGCTGGTTTGATCTTCTATCCAGTCCACGAAAACTGTCTCCATATCAGCAAGAAGGCTGTTTCACTTTCTCATCATTCATGTGTTCACTGGAGTAGCACCTTTAATTTCCTTCAGGAACTTTTCGTTCGTATTCACAACGTGGCTGTTTCGCGCAAGAGACCTAGCTTTTGGCCTGTCTCAGTTTTGGACGGGCCTTCCTCACGAAGCTTAATCATTTCTCACTTTTGATTTAAAGTGAGAGACATGAGATGCTTCCTTTCACATGAACACTTAGAGGCCATTATAGAGTTATTAACTGGCCTAATTTTAGTATCGCTGTGTCTCAGGGAACAGGGAAACAGAGAAAAGAGAGAGAGATGGGGCACTACTGGTTGGTGGAGCAGTCAAAACACACACATTTGTTAAGTTTCCCATCTTATATGGGTGCAGTTTGTGGTGCCCCAAAACAATTCCAATTGTAACACTAAAGATCACAGATCACCACAGCAGATGTAATAATAATGAAAAATTTGAAATATTGCAAGAATTGCCAAAACGTTATACAGACATGAAGTGACCACATGCTGTTGGAAAAATGATACCAATAGACTAGCTCAACACACGGCTACCACAGACCTTCAATTTCTAAAAACACAATATCTGCAAAGTGCAATAGAGCAAAGTAACATCATAATAAACTGAGGCATGCCTGCATCTCTATATGCACTGAGCTTGCCTGGGAGTGACTCCGTCTCGCCAGAGCCCAGCTTTCAGGTTTTCTTCTCCGTGTCCAGCCCTGGGCTAGTGGCCAGAGGAGGGCCGTCTGCAATAAAAATGCGGAAGTAAGTTTTATCCTTTTGTAGCTCTTTGGGGGTAGAGGGAATGAGGGAGAATTTTCTGATAACTTAAAAAAACTGGACTGTTGGCTGGACACAGTGGCTCACGCCTGTAATCCAGCACTTTGGGAGGCCGAGGTAGGTGGATCACTTAAGGTCAGGAGTTTGAGACCAAACTGGTCAACGTGGTGAAACTCCATCTCTACTAAAAATACAAAAATTAGCTGGGCGTGGTGGCAGGCACCTGTAATCCCAGTTACTCAGGAGGTTGAAGCAGGAGAATTGCTCAAACCTGGGAGGTGGAGGTTACAGTGAGCCGAGATCCGTGCCATTGCACTCCAGCCTGAGCAACAAGAGTGAAACTCCATCTAAAAAAACAAAAAACAAAAAACACTGGACTGTCATCATCCACAAATTTGGGTTGCTGATAGTAGATTTTTTGTTCCTAACCTGCCTGTGCGTCTTTTGGTCTGTAACACCTTCTGAGAAAGGATTGTACGTATTCATTTTTCCCAATATTTCACTAACCCTGTTCCCTTCCAAACCAGTTTTTCTCCCTCAGAAGCTTTAAACCATCTGGGATTGTTACATGTGTGTGGCTTGCATTGCCCTTCTAGGAAGGAGTTCCTGAGGCAGAGGCGGGCAGCTGTGACCCTGCAGGCCTGGTGGAGAGGCTACTGCAACAGGAGGAATTTCAAGCTGGTGAGAGAGCTCTCTGGGGCGGCTGGGCCGCGGGACCAGCGGGTAACTGTCCAGTAAAAGACAGATTTGTAAAGTTTGTTTCTCTGAATGAGAGACCTCAGGCAGGAAGGATCAAATCATTCACAGACGTGGCATGCAAATTTAAAATGATCAGACCTCAGCATCCCACACAGTCTCTTCTTAGCATAATCTCTGGCCCCATGGTCTGCAGGCTTCAAAATGTTTTGCAGAATTTGGAGCATCCTCAGAGCTAGACTAGGTGTCCTGCTCTGGAATGGAATACCTCCTGTCTTTTCCCAACTTGCAGGCAACAAATAAGCAAATGGATTGATTATTCTTTGTTCCAAGTACCTTTTCCTAATTTTTTCTCTTAACCACGGGCATTTGCTAATGAGTATCTGCTCAAAGGAATGAACTAGAGCAACCATGGCTGTGCCTGTGTCACTTGGCCACTTGCTTTTGTCACGGATGTGACTGGTTATGACACGAAATGGTCACATCAGCAAGACTGGCCCAGCCTGCCTGCATTCCATGCCCACCAATGGCATGATAGTAGCTGACCTGTGTGGAGCAGTTCCTTGGGGCCTGTTGCTTCGCATACATCATTTTATTTAATATTAAACCAACTCTGTACGTCAAGGAACTGAGACATAGAGGGGTTGAGCAGTTTCCCCAAGAGCATGAGACTAGTAAACCCCAGAGTTGGGGTTTAGATGAGGGGCTGTGACTTCCAAGCTCTTAAGCCAACCCGTTGGGCAGGTCTTTAGGAAGCCCAGGGACTGCTGTGGCCCAGGGGATGTTTGCGGCACTGACGTGGTGTTCATCCATTTATTACTGCACTTTTACTTTAAAGATGCCCTCAGGGATTTGAGTGGCCACAGGCCTCCACACGGGTGTGCTAGCCCGTGAGCAAGTCAGCTGAACTTGGCTGGCAGATGTGGACAGCAGGGCCTCAGGAATCCACTCTCCCATTTCACCCATGTGAAATCCACACCAATTCTCTCCATCCACGGCCCCAAGGAGGCCACTTTATTATTTATGCTATTTCACAAATGCTTATTTAGCACTTATTTGCATGTCACGCTCTGGCCTAAGTACTTTGTAAGCAATAACTCACTATTCTTGTGTTCATAGGTGTGTACCATTCTAGCACCGGCCCTTTGCCAAAACAAAACTAACTGTAAATCTATCTTGCACTGCCTCCTGGGGAGCACCCCTCTCTGTTTCCTGGGGAAGGCCTTCTTGCCCCTGATCTCACCTCTCTCTTGCCTCCGCAGATCCTCGTGGGCTTTGAGCGCCTGCAGGCTATTGCCCGGAGCCAGCCGCTGGCGAGGCAGTACCAGGCCATGCGGCAGAGGACAGTCCAGCTGCAGGCCCTGTGCAGGGGATACCTGGTGCGCCAGCAAGTCCAGGCCAAGAGGAGGGCAGTGGTGGTCATTCAGGCCCATGCCAGGGGCATGGCTGCCCGGCGCAACTTCCAGCAAAGGAAGGCCAATGTAGGTGGTCACCTGGCCTCTTGGGCAGGTGGGGCTGGCTGGGGCCCCAGTGGGTGAGGGCAAGAAGGAGTGAGCGGCTGTGTAGAGAGCTCACCAGAAGCGCTTTGGAAAATCCCCCCGCCCCCGCCACAAGCCAAGACGTTAAAATCTGTTCAATTACTCAAGAGCACAGCAAGGATACAGGACACAAGATGCAAATTAGCAGGCACCTGGGCTGAGATGTAGCTATCACGAGAGACACACCGTCCTCCTCTCCCTATTCAAAGTCAGTTCTACAATGGCTCTGCAATGGCTGGGGAGCCGTGGCCACCACCCAGGAGCACGCAGGGTATAGCATGGGAGAGGCAGCAGGTCAATGGGACAGCCTTAGCCTTGAACCTGGAAGGTGAGCTCAGGTCCCCTCCCTTTCACCTTGGAGATGATTTCTGGGGCAGGGATGGTTGGTCCCCTGGAAGGTGCAGCAAAGCTGAGCCAGACAAGCTGGGAAAGGCCCCAGTTCCATGGAAGAGAGCAAAGTGTCCTGGTTACTGGGCTGTGTATGACAGCTCAGGGGACAGAGAAATATTAATACCAAGGGGAGCTGCTGAGTGTCTGGGGGGCTGGGAGGACACTGAGCAGGGGGACAGCACCAAGAAAATAACCCCATTTCCTCCATCGAGTACTCGAGACTCAACCTTCACACTTGGCTCATTTGGAAGTTGTGATAAGGCAAAGGGGCTAGGATGACGTTGACTTCTGCTCCATGGATGAAAACTTGGTCTACTAAGCACACTGCTAATACAGTGAACAGGGCAAATGAGAGAATGCACCCATAGACACGTCAGCAGCATGCTTCTGCACCCGCATGCCCCCAGCTGCCTGCAAAGCAGCCTTATCTGTGACTTCGTTACTGCAGCCCCTGGGGACCTGTCCTGGTGGACCCTTTTTGCCCTTTGAATAAAGGGACCAAGTGGTCCTGAGCAGTGGTTGTGCAGCTGGGTTCCTGGGGGTCCCTGGAGTTTGAAGGGGTGCCTTAAGAGCCATCTGAGGGTAGGGACAAGCCAGCAACCTCACCTCTCCAGAGCTCTGATTATCACTGGGAAAGGGAAAGCCCTGGCTGGTTGATCTCTAACCACACTAGCTGTTAAAATCTACTGTTTCAGAGCAGAATATTGATTTGGACAAATGATGGCAGGATGAGGCTTACTTGGCTTCTGGGAGGTGCTTGCCCTGTGGGGTAGGCAGGGCTGGGCCCCCTGAGCCCTGCTGGGCCCCTGGGTAACCTTCCTCCACGGGGTATGCAGGCGCCGCTGGTCATCCCGGCCGAGGGGCAGAAAAGCCAAGGCGCTCTCCCTGCCAAGAAGCGCAGATCCATCTACGACACCGTCACTGACACGGAGATGGTGGAGAAGGTGTTCGGCTTCCTCCCTGCCATGATTGGGGGCCAGGAGGGCCAGGCCTCGCCGCACTTTGAGGTAACACAAGCCTGGTGTCCACAATCCGCCCCGGGTGGGGACAGGGAAGCCTGCCCAGTCCGTGAACTCAGTCCACCTCTCGGCTCCCTGAGAAGCCAGAGCGGTGGCCAAGTGTGTGCTGCAGCCCTGCTGGTCCCACACGGAAGAGGGGAGCGTGCGTGGGTTCTGTGGTCAAAGCCTTCGAGTCAGGCAGGCTTCCCACCTGCAAGACTTCCTGGAGCCTTCTCTACCAATGCTGCCGGGCTCTCCATCACATGGCATTCCCCGCGTATATTTGACCCCACCCGGGCACCCCCAGAGCACCTTTGAGGCCGCTGCTCTGCAGTGTGGCTGAGGAAGCTGCAGTGAGGATGGTGCATGCGGCAGAGGACACAGTGTCTGAGCGTGGGGCCAGGAGGGGAGAGGGCAGGAGCCCTGCCCCTGCCCGGCAGGGTGTGTAGAGAGCCCTGTGCTGGCACACGGCAGCCCACCTGAGCCCACTGAATGTGGGGATGGGTGGTCTCCAGCACCTGAGGGATCAGGGTAATGCAACAGCCCCCGTGCTGCCCGGCCTGCTGGACAGTCAGCTGATGGGTTGGTTGTTACCTGAAAGCCCTGCTGACCCGTGTTCTCCCTCAATGGCCGTAGGATCTGGAATCGAAGACCCAGAAGCTGCTTGAGGTTGACCTGGACACAGTCCCCATGGCGGAGGAGCCTGAGGAGGATGTGGATGGCCTGGCCGAGTACACCTTCCCCAAGTTTGCTGTGACTTACTTCCAGAAATCAGCCAGCCACACACACATCCGGCGGCCCCTCCGATACCCGTTGCTTTACCACGAAGATGACACTGACTGCTTGGTACCAGGGTTCACTGGCTTCTAGTGGATCAGGCCAGCCCCGAGCCTGGGGTGTGAGCTATGGCTCGGGGAAAGAAGGAAGGGGCCATAGTCACTGATGGGTTCCCACTGGGCCTTCTGTCTTGTTTCCCCAGGCCGCCCTGGTCATATGGAACGTCATCCTGAGGTTCATGGGTGATCTCCCAGAGCCAGTGCTGTATGCCAGGAGCAGCCAGCAGGGCAGCTCAGTGATGCGGCAGATCCATGACACGCTGGGCAGGGAGCACGGTGCCCAGGTTCCACAGCACAGTAGATCTGCACAGGCAAGTGGGGGGCAGCAGCGGGCAGAGGAGGGCGACACCTACCAGGTGCCTACCAGGGCCCAGTCCCTGGGGCAGCTGGACAGGACGGAGAGACAAGACCTGGAGCCCTGTCCTCAGCCTTACCCATGGAACCCAGCCCCCAGGCCATGGTGCAGGCACTTTCAGTATTGAACCATGTTCAGGAGCTCATGAATCCCCATCCCGGGCTTTTTGAATTATACAGTCATTAACGGAGAGGGTGCCCTGGACTCTGAGTATTGGGTGTGACTTGAGCCAGATTCAGATGCACATAACAATAACAATAACAGGTGTTACTGACTGACAGCCTGCTCTGTGCCAGCTGCTACTCTTAATTCAATTCCCAGGTGGGCCAACCCTACAAGGTAGGGATGACTATATTTATTTATAGCTAAAGAAATGAAGAGCTGAAATGACCTGCCCCCAGTTGCAGTGGACATGTGTATGGGACCTGGGCTTTGAATCCATTCTGCTGAATTCAAAAACTGAGCTCCTGACCCATGTTCTACCTTGCCCTCTAATGAAAGTTAATTCACATCCATTTTTGGTCAGAAGTCCTTCCTAAGGTCCATTTCCATGCTGTAATGTTAGTGGAACTAACCAAGAACAGTCCAAATGAATTACATGCAGTGACAGCACTCAGTGGCCCGCCAGTGGCAGGAGCCCATGACTGCCCCATGTGCCAGGTAACCAGCTGGGACTTAGCTCAATACCTGTGGGGTCCTGTGTGCAGACTAACTGCATAGGAATCTAAAGGAGCCTGCAGCCCCATCACATGGCCAACCTTGTCCAGGAATTACAGAGAAGTTGCCCAGGCCCAAGCCCTGACTCCTTGATCTCTAGAGGTATGGGCTCTGCCAGAGTGTGTCAGATATCTGTAGCTGTGTAACAAATTACCCCCCCCAAACCTAACTGCTTCAAATAGCACACATTCATTATCTCACACAGTTTCTGAGGGTCAGGAGCAGCTTAGCTGCATAGTCCCAGTTCAGGGTCCCTCATGAGGTTGCTGTCAAGCTGTCCCCTGGGGATGGTGTCATCTGAAAGCTTGACAGCTGGAGGGGCTGCTCCTAAGAGGGCTCACTCACATGGCTGTTGGTGGGAGGCCTCAGTTCCTTGTCATGTGGGCCTTTCCACAAAGCTGCCTGGGCATCCTCACAACATGGCTTCCCTCAACATGAGTGATCCAAGAAGAAAAGCAAGAAGGAAAGTGCAAATGTCCAGTCTTGGAAGTCACATACCTGTGGCTGTGGGAGGGGCCCACACAGGGCAGGAATTTCAGGACGCAGGGATCACGGGGGCCATGTTGGAGGCTGGCAGCCACTCAGGGAAAAGACTCTGGGAGGCAGTCCAGCCAACCAGCACCTCTGAAGGGTGGACATGGGGGGAAGCAGGACTGGCTTCCCAGAGGTCAGATCTCAGGTTTTCTGTCCTGCATGTGTTTATTAAATATCCATGACGTGCCCCAGACACAGAGCAGTGAGCCCAGCAAGCCTCACTGCCCTCACGGACTTTGCCAGCTCATGTGTTTCATGGCCAGCCCCTGCACGGTAAACCAGCTTTGACGCACCCAGGAGCTGGTGCCTGGCCCTGGACCAGGCTGACCCCCACCCAAGCTCAGTCCCACACTGAGCTCCAATTTTGGCAGCAAATTCTTCTCATGACGCCATCATGAGAAGGGGCGGCCTCTGCCTAAGGAGAGCAACAGATCGTAGTGGCTGCAGCCAGTCCCTCCCTCCTACCTGGCCTCTCAACCCCGGCTCTTCGGATCCCCTGCAGAGCACCTTGCAGTGGCAGAGCATCCTGCTTCATCTGCTATCTTTACTGAGAATGACCATGGCCTGGGGCTGTCCTAAGCACCTGGGCTCAGACCCAGTCCCACCTCCCAGGGGTTTACTGGGGAGAGGCACAAGCTTTGGGATCAGAACAGCCCTGAGCCCCTCCCTGGGGGCTGGTGACCCACTGAGCAGCTTTTGTCTAGTCTCTTGCCTTCCCTGAGCCTCTGATTCCACACCTGGAAGTGAGGATGGGACACGCACCTGTATGTGTGTGTGGTAAAGCTCTACCAAGCTGAGGGACTGCATGGTGCTTTATAAATCGGGCCAGGAAATGGCTGGGTGAAAGGGACACGTGCTCCACCCCAGGAGGCTGTGGGGTCAGCATCACTGAGGTGAGCCCAGGCTCACCTTCCTGCGGGAACTGTCTCCCTCCACAGAGATCTGGCTGCAAGGACAAGGGGACCAAGGATATCTCCTCCATGAAGCTGAAGCGGTCCTCCCGGATCACAGGCCAGGTGAGCCCAGAGCACAGAATCTCTGCTCCCAGCTGCTGCTGGCCTGCTACAGGGTTCCAGTCTATTGCTTCCCTCCCTGTGCACCAGTTTCCTACTTGGCAGATGGGGAGAATCATAGCTGTCCTGATGGCTGCCTTTGGGTTTCAAGGTGGCCAGCCAGCTGAACATTGGAGAGGAGGCATTGGAGCCTGATGGCCTTGGTGCAGACCGGCCCATGTCCAACCTGGAGAAGGTGCACTTCATCGTGGGCTACGCCATCCTGCGGCCCAGCCTCAGGTCAGTTCCCACTCCCATCCCGGCCCCATTCAGAGCATCAGATGCCCTCACTGGCTCTCAGCCCATGGCCACAGCCTCCCCCACCACCCCTATGACACCTCCTTGTCCTGCGGCCTGCAGGCTGGGTCTCAGGACAGCAGATGTCATAGCTACCGAGGGTTCTCTATGTGCTCTGCCTTTTAAAAAAGCCATGAGTAAAACCCGGTTTTAGGAAAAGAGTCATCATGGACCAGTGATTCCTTTTAGAACAGGCTGTAGTGCAGGGCCCTGTAAATGAATGGCTTCCTCATTTATATTATACATTTTGTGCTTTATATACAATTTGCTTTATAGGAATGGGTTTCTATACCAATTAGAAGAAACACGTATAGTCAGCCTGCAAACACTGCAGTTCCCATCCGTGTTGGCTGAATGCGTAGAAGCAGAATCCGAACATGCAGAGACTGATTGTTCACTGCTTTAAGGGACTGACTACTGTGTTTTAGGGGTTCACTTACTTTAGGTTAATACTTTTAACAAAATTTGGGAAACTGTTGGTCATTATTTCTTCACATATTTTTCTACCCCATTCTGTCTCTCTCCTTTCCTTCAAAATCTAATTAAGCCTCTGTAAGATTCTTTTATATTGTTCTTCAGGTACCTAGGGGTCTGCTTATCTTTTCTTTCTTTTTTCTCTGTGTTCTTTAGATTGGATAGTTTCTATTGACCTGTCTTCAAATTTACTGATCTTTTGTCTTCCCTAGTCTGCTGTCATATCCATCCAACAAATGTTTTATTTCAGATATTGTATTTTTCAGTTCTAGAATTTGTATTTGTGTCTTTTTTATATTTCTGTGCCAAGATTTCCTATTTGTTCATTCACTATGAGCATTGTTTCCTTTATATCCTTGAGCAGATTTACAGTAGTTTTTAAATCTTTTCTGCAAATCCAATACCTGGGTCATCTCACGGTCAGTCTCTATTAACTGTCTTTTCTCTTGAGGATGGTGGTGTGTTTGTTTGCTCATATATCTGGTACTTGACTGTTTTTTCCTCATAAGTCTAGTACTTTTGGGTTGTATCCTGGACATTGAGGATGATACGTTAGAGACTCTGGATTCTGTTATACTCTTTCAAAGAGCATTGATTTTTTGTTTTAGGAGGCAACTACCTTGGCTGGACTCAAACTCTGTCTCCTCCATGATGAGCAGAAGCTAGAATCCCTTTTTAGTTATTTTAGCCTTGGCTAGAGTACCTGGAGTCTGCCCCACCATGTGTGTCAGGGGGCAACCAGAGATTTGGGAAGATTTTATGTGCAAAATTTAGGACTCCTCTGATTGTCTTTATTCCAAGATTTCCCTTCTCACTTTCAAGCTACTGTGGGTACCCTAAACTCTCTCCTCTGGTTCTTCAAGCCAGTAAGACTACAGGGCTTCTCAAGTTTTAGCTGCCTGCATGACACTAGCTGGGCAAGTCTTCTGACTTAGCTGGTTCTAATTCTCTCATGGTTAATCCTCACTGGCCACCACACCACACCCTCCAATATGGCAGACACATAAAAGCTATATTCGAATGATGTGTACTTTGGGTTCTTCAGACACCCCCTATAGGCACTCCCATACAGTGCTGGTGTCCAGCAGTGATACTGTCCAACACTGATCCCTTGAGACTTCCTACTGACTCTAGGCTGAAGTGGAACATCCCACAGCCTCTTACTGCTGGGGTCTTCTAGAAAATGGGCTGCCTGCTTGTGTGGGATCCCATCTAGATGCCTGAAGCTCAGCTCCTTCCACGACATCTTTTGGTCAGCAGGAAGCTCATGCCTGCCCAACCATACAGTACATGTACAGCTCCCATCTCCTGTCCTCTCTCCTCCTTGCCCATCAGGATGGGCTCAGAATTCTCCAGGAACAAGCAGGCGCTAATGTCTTTGTTCATGGAGGTCCCTAACTCCAGAGTACAAAAGTCAAGCACTAGCAAGAACTCAATCAACAGGCTCTATTCTAGTACCCTGGGAGGTGGCAAATGGGCTTCTGGAGCTCAGCAGGCATCAGATGGGGAGTGACATGGGTCTCTTCTCTGGCAGCCCCCAGTTCTCCTGGGGTCCCCTTCACCAACCTCATCACTTACAGGGAGTGGAAATGGGCCACAGATCTCTCTATCCCCATGAAGTCCCTTCCAGGAATCACATTCCAAATTTCTTATCTTCCCTTATGCAGGCTGGAGGTGGCTTGGTGGCTGCACTAGTTCTGCCACCTTTTAGTAAATCCTACAAGAATGTGTCTCTTTAGAACGTCGGATATGAGCATCCATTTGTCCTTGGCTGCAGGGCCTTGGTGAAATTCCCAGACAAAGCAGATGCCCTGTTCCACATCTGTCACACATTCCACACACACTTGCTCATTACCCACTCTGGGTCAGGCCCCAGCCTGAGGGCCAGGGACAGAGATGAAGAAGACATGGCTCTGTCCTGGAGGAGCTCACCCTTTAGCTGGGGGGCACGAGAGGACCAGGAAATTCACAATGCCAGTGAATTTCCTGGTCCTAAGATGGACCAGTGCTAAGATGGAGGTCTGTTCAGGGCCCCACAGGTGCACCAAGGAGGAGTGGCCTTAGTGCCTACCTGGGCCAAGGAAGGAGGAGGGGTGTTTGCCAGACAGAGGGAAAGGGTAGACGGGTCACCCGTGACAGACTGCCATGGTTACTACTTGAGACCATTGCTACGATAGTTACTACTGTCACTACTTGAGACCATCGTTATGAGACAGAACAAAGGGGGATGAACGTAGAAATGAAAACTGAAGACAAAAGAAACTTTTAAAGGAAGGGGTCAGGGGAAGAAGAAAAGGGCTCCCTACTCCTAGTGAGCAAAGACAGCCCCCGCCCTGAGCTTCTTCAGCCCTTAGTATTTATTGGGTAGAATGAGCAGGGAGGAGGAGGTAACGATTGGTCAGCTGCTTAATTGATCACAGGTTCATAGTATTACTAACAGGCTTCAGGTGTGCCCTGTAGATAATCACAAGAAACACTTGTGCCTGGGTCGTGACTGCCCTCAGCATTCCTTCTGGGCGGTAGACGCGGTTTGTCAGTTGGCCAACATTCTGCTTTTATGAGAACAGTTTGCTGTTTGCTCATATAGCCTCCAGTGGTATACTAGATCACGACTCTCACTCTTTCGGCCTGCAACATCTCTCCCTTTTTGTTTTGAATTAATTGAGAAAGGCAATTGCAGGCTGTGCAGCCCTTAATTGCCAGTTGGTGGTTTGTTCCGTCTTCGCATTCAGCTGGTACTGGGGGAACCAGGCCCGTGGTTGGGATCCACAGGTCCCTCCAGTCTCCCGTTGCATGGTCGCACACAACTTGAGGGCACCTACATGGTTTGTTCATTTCCTGTGAAAACACAAGCATACCCTCGTTCCCACAATAGTAAATCTCCTGAAACAGAAGCAAAGGCTTTTGTGGCTGCAGCCGGGAGGCATGCCGTTGCTGAAGCATCCGCTCCACAAGCTGCAACTCAGCTTCTGCCTCTTTGGTTAATTACCGCGGGGTAAAACTCCACTGATAGCAAGAGGCAGGCTCTTTCTGATTAACAGAAGGCACAGAGAAAACAAATCAAGAGTTTATCCTTCTCCTGCAATAACAATAAAAAAAAATCCTCAAGCTCTATTACCATGAGAGATCGTATCCATAAGCCCACAAAATCTACTTTCTTCAATTTACACTGCACAAGTGGATCTACTAGATGCTATGGGTTGTGATAGATAAATCTGTCTCCTAGTTGTACTTCCAAATCCCTGACCTCCTCGCTTCTTCTTACGTAGAGAAGGGTACAATTTACAGGGAATAAGCAACAGTTGAGCAACTTATTCTCCCGGTTCAAAAACCCAAAGGCCTTGTGATATCACCACCACCTGAATTTCTCCTTCACAATCCGAATCAACAACTCCTGGGGTTACAATAATGCCCTGTAAATTAAGACAGCTTTTACCTAAAATTAATCCCACATATCCTGTTGGCAAAGGTCCCCAGATACCGGTGGGAATCTTAGTGAGTTTGTCTCCTCCAGTTAACGTAACGCACTCCGACTGGGAGATCCAATCCTGCATTTCCAGGCATTCCTGGAGAGAGGGAATTAATGTGCCTCCGGAGACCCACCCCTGAAGCAGAGCTGTGGCCTGGATGGGGAATGCCCTCATTGTTTGAGGTGCCCAGGTCCAGGCCCCCTTCTCATTTCCCGACAGGGGGGTGCCATTTTGATGAAATTTTGAGTGGCACTGATGAGCCCAATGATTTCCTTTATTGCAATGAGGGCAAAGTCTTGGTGTTTTTCTGTTGGGAGGGGAACCGTGTTATAAGATCCCTTTTGCCCAGAGGTCTGGCGGTGTTCTTTTTTGAAATGTCCAATTTTCCTACATTTATAACATTTTCCCACTTTAGGGCTTAACCCTTGGCTTCTTTTAGATCTGTCAGTTACCAAATTAGCCATTGCCTGAGTCAACATTGCAGAGCAATGAAGCTCAGTTCCCACATCTTGACAAGCTCTGAGAAAACCTCCCAAGTCCTCTGCACATCTCACAGGTACCAGCGCACGTTTACAAGCCACGAAAGACAAAGCTAAAGTTCGCCTTTCTGTAGCTGCAAAAGAAGACGGTACAAGCCAATTTTCATCCTTCCTCTCCCGTTCACCACTTTCGATAGGTGCTGTAGGTGGGGCAAAAAATTCTCTCAAACCCTGAAATGACAAGAAAATGGTATGTACCAAACTCCAAACAAAAAAGAGAAGAGAACCAAATTCTTCCCCATGTTACCCTGATTGAAAAACTTCCCGTTCTTTGTACCTCTAGGACACTGACCAGTACCTTTTTAAAGCACTGACCTTATGCTGCCAGCAGACTTGTAACGGGGTTTTTTTTTTTTTTTTTTTTTTTTTTGAGACGGAGTCTCGCTCTGTCGCCCAGGCCAGACTGCGGACTGCAGTGGCGCCATCTCGGCTCACTGCAAGCTCCGCTTCCCAGGTTCACGCCATTCTCCTGCCTCAGCCTCCCGAGTAGCTGGGACTACAGGCGCCCGCCACCGCGCCCGGCTAATTTTTTGTATTTTTAGTAGAGACGGGGTTTCACCTTGTTAGCCAGGATGGTCTCGATCTCCTGACCTCATGATCCACCCGCCTCGGCCTCCCAAAGTGCTGGGATTACAGGCGTGAGCCACCGCGCCCGGCCTTGTAACGGGGTTTCTTATTCATCTGGTTGGTTTTAGTTTTTTCTGGGCTTTAGTTTTTTTTTTTTTTGCTCCAGCAGACCTTCCTCGCTCAAGTCCTTATAGGACCCTATTGTCCCTATCTGTTCCTGTCTGTCCCTGCAAGTTTCTCCTAGTCTTTGCTAGTCCTTGCTAGTCTTTGTCTATCCCTATCTGTCCCTATAGTCCCTGTTAGTTCCCGCAAGTCCCTGTCTTTCCCTAGCTCTCTCTATTTGTCTCTATTTCTATTTATCCCTACTTATCTCTATTTGTCCCTGCAGGCCTCTTCAGGTCCCTTCAGGTCTGTTTGTCCCTGATTGTCCCTGTTACGTCCCTGTCCAGGCAGCACTTGCAGCAATTTGCCACTGTTACTACTTGAGATCGTCATTACGGGAGTTACTACTGTCACTACTTGAGACCGTCATTACGAGACGGAACGAAGGGGGATGAACGTAGAAATGAAAACTTAAAACAAAAGAAACTGTTTTAAAGGGGCCAGGGGAAGAAAAAGGGCTCCCTACTCCTAGTAAGCAAAGACAGCCCCCACCCCAAGCTTCTTCAGCCCTTAGTATTTATTGGGTAGAATAAGCAGGGAGGAGGAGGTAACGATTGGTCAGCTGCTTAACTGATCACAGGTTCATATTATTACTAACAGGCTTCAGGTGTGCCCTGTAGATAATCACAAGAAACACTTGTGCCTGGGTCGTGACTGCCCTCAGCATTCCTTCTGGGCGGCAGACGCAGTTTGTCAGTTTGCCAACATTCTGCTTTTATGAGAACAGTTTGCTGTTTGCTCATATAGCCTCCAGTGGTATACTGAGCTGATCACGACCCTCACTCTTTCGGCCTGCATCAGTCACCCTTGAGACAGCCCACAGGGTCTGGAATTTATGAGTGGTTTGCCATTGTTGGGGCATGGAGCTTGGATTCCATCCTAAGGGAAGTGGGGAAAGTTTTAAGCAAGAGAGGATCTTGATCATATTTGACTTCCAGAAAGACCTCCCTGGCGATGTGGCAGGATGGAGCCTGGGGCTGGGAGGCCAGGCAGGGCTGCTACAGAGATCCAGAGAGAGCTGATGAGGAATTGCCCAAGGAACAGGAGCCAAGAGGAGGGGACAGAGGAAACATGCAGGAGACAGATGGTAGCATGTGGGCACTGGTTGGATCGTGGGGGCTGGTTGGATTGTGGTGGCTGGTTGGGTTGTGGGGGCTGGCTGAATGGTGGGCGCTGGTTGGATTGTGGGGGCTGGTTGGGTTGTGGGGGCTGGTTGGGTTGTGGGGGCTGGTTGGATGGTAGAGGCTGGTTGGATTGTGGTGGCCAGCTGGATTGTGGGGGCCGGTTGGGTTGTGGTGGCTGGTTGGGTTGTGGTGGCCAGCTGGATGGTGGTGGCTGGCTGGGTGGTGGGGGGTGGTTGGGTTGTGGGGGCTGGTTGGGTTGTGGCCAGTTGGATGGTGGTGGCTGGCTGGGTGGTGGGGGGTGGTTGGGTTGTGGGGGCTGGTTGGGTTGTGGGGGCTGGATGGTGGGGGCCGGCTGGGTGGTGGGCGCCAGCTGAGTAGTGGGTGCCGGCTGGGTGGTGGGGGCTGGATGGATGGTGGGGGCTGGTTGGATTGGAGGAATGAAGGGATGGGAGGGCTCCAGGATGACCCCCAGATTTCCAGTTTGGGTGAATGGCTGATGGCGATGCCTGTAGACCACAGAAAGAGGAGGGATGCAGGAACTCAGAGAGCCAGCCATGCACATTGCTTCCCATCTCTGTTCGGTGATGTCGTGTCGCAGTTGACATTGGCTTTGGTGGGAACATGTACACCACAGAAATAAGCAAATGCTGTGAATTGGGCTTTTCTTCTTGGGGGAGCTGGTTGATAAACATTTACCAGCACACCACTGAGTATTAGGGGAAAGATGCTGGCCTCTGGAGATGTGGCATTTGAGGTGTTAATGGGCCACTTTTATAACATGATAGAGGCTTGAGTCCATGGGGAAGGACGCAGGAGAGAACCGCCCCCAACACACCCCCACCAGGAGTGGGGAGGCTCCACAGACCGTGGGAGTAGGAATGGTCAGGAGATGGGGTTGAGTGGCTCCCATGAAGTCCTCACTTTTCTCTCTGCTGTGGAGGGGAGGGGCTGCATTCAGGGAGGGAGGTGGGGCCTCAAGGCAGAGAGAGAAATGACTGTAATCACCGTGAGACTGGGGATCCCGCACATCTGGGAGCAGATGGGCTGTGCAAAGGGCGCGGCTGCTGAGGACAGGGCTGTGGCTGGAGAACCTGCTGCTTCCTGAAGCCGAGCCCCACCCTAAAGGACCGAGAGCACAGGCCATGGGAGAGGAATCGAGTAGGGATGCAGAGCCTGGTGGCACTGTCCTGAGAGAGGAGGAGGCTGGGCAGGGCCCCGGCGCTGGAGAGGTGCCCTGCATATGGGACCTCTCAGAGGTGCACAAGAGCTGTGTGCCCAGGTACCCCTGTCTCCTCTCCTCCTCCAGCCCCCAGCCTACTCTCCTAATGGTCTGTGTCTTTCAGGGATGAGATTTACTGCCAGATCTGCAAGCAGCTCTCGGAGAACTTCAAAACAAGCAGCCTGGCCCGGGGCTGGATCCTGCTCAGCCTCTGCCTCGGCTGCTTCCCACCCTCAGAGAGGTTCATGAAGGTGAGAGGGTTCATGAAGGGAGGGCGGGCAGGGGGCAGGTTCTGGTGGGAGCGTAGGTGGCCCCTGGCCCTGGAGCAGGTCCACAGATTCCAGTACGTGGCCCATTTCTCCTGCTCCTGCAGGCCAGATGGGCAGCCATGCCTATGCTTCTCCAGGACTCAGTTTCCCCATCTGGAAAAGAGGACCCTGCTCCTGGCTCCTTCCAGCCCCTACGCAGGGTCTGCAGGGCCATTTCACTTTGGCTCAGGTGTCAGGATGGTGCTTCAAGACTAAAATGAGAAGGTAGATGACACGGGCCTTGAAAAGACAGGTGTCCAGGAGTGGGCCCTGCCTGGAGATGTGCCACGGCACCTCTTTCTAGTTCTTAGGACTGAAAATGGAGCTGGGTTGGCCGAGTGTTAGTGGCCCCAAGCTTCACTGATTTAATATGCCTTTAAATTCTGATTATAAAAGTAATATGTGGAAATGCAGAACATCTAAAACCAAAATAAAAGTCACCCCCACACTCAGAGCTAACTTCCGTTAATATTTCCTTCTGGCCTTTTGTGGTGTTACAGGGTCCTTGTGATCAAACAGAAAACACTTTCTCACATGTCCCTTTGGGGACAGCAGGAACCACGGTCACTGAAGCCATCTGCGCATGGCACTCAGGCTGCTCCTGACACCAGTAAACCCTTCCAGGCTGTTCCTCCCCACCCCAAGGCAGAAGAAATAACATCTCTCTGTGAGACAAAAAGAACTTCAATGTGTTTTCTTGAGCATGTTGGGGACATGGACTCTTCTGCAATTTTTTTTTTTGTTTTTTTTTTTTTTTTGAGACGGAGTCTCACTCTGTCGCCCAGGCCAGAGTGCAGTGGAGCGATCTTGGTTCACTGCATCCTCTGCCTCCCGGGTTCAAGCAATTCTGCCTCAGCCTCTCGAGTAGCTGGCATTACAGGTGTGCATCACCACACCAGGCTAATTTTTGTATTTTTAGTAGAAATGGGGTTTCACCATGTTGGCCAGGCTGGCCTCAAACTCCTGACCTCAGGTGATCCTCCGACCTTGGCCTCCCAAAGTGCTGGGATTATAGGTGTGAGCCACCATGCCTGGCCCTGCACTTTTCATTTACTGTCTTCATTATGTTTTCTCATGGTGTCAACCTCCCAAATGCCAGCTTGATGCCTCGCTGTTCCAGAAGGCACTGGGGTTGGGGGTGGGCATTTAGAGTCCATCTTCCAGTCATTCATCACCATAGAGGCCATCACAATCAAAAACCACACATCCACCTTTAGGATAGGCCTGCATTGTTGTGACAAAGAGTGTGCACACATCAAGACTATGCACCGTTTAAAACGTGTTGCCAAACTGCTCCTCAGAAACACACTGATCCATGTTCCTTCTAACGGGTGTGAGGGTGCCCCTCAATGCACATTATACACTGAGTATTATAATTCTTAAGTCCACCTGGGTGGTGAGTAGAAACTGGCCTCCTTTCTGAGTGTCTTCCTCCCTTCTCCCCTCCTCACCCACCAGTATCTACTGAACTTCATCGGCCAAGGGCCGGCGACCTACGGCCCCTTCTGTGCCGAGCGCCTGAGACGCACCTATGCCAATGGGGTGCGTGCGGAGCCCCCCACCTGGCTGGAGCTGCAGGTAGGGGCTGGCAGGGGTGAGAGCGGGCAGGGTGGGGTGGTGCAGACCCCCAGGGACCCCCAGCACAGCTCATGGGGTGCCTTCTCCTAGGACAGAACTTTGTCCTCTGAGCCCCGCCATCTCCTCTGCAGTACCTCCCATGCCAGTGGTCCCTGTGAGTGCCCCTGGGGCTCGGCCTCCCCAGGCGTGACCCCCATCTCCAAATCCATATTCCTTTAGGGCCCTACTAGCTAAGGGGAAGATCACCGGACCCACTCATTAGCATTACAGTGCGCCAGTTGCTTCCAGCACTCCCCTCCAAGGGCATTTCACTTGGTGACAAGGGCAGTAGTCACACCATGGTTGGCATCCTTGGTGGCATTGCTATTGGGCACATGTGCCACCTCGACCTGCTTTGGCAACTGTGTCATCTGTGAATTCTCGCTGTTTTCTCAGGAAGGGTCATTCAGAACAGCCAGCCAGGGTGGCGAGAGCACACCTGCACCCGGCTCTACACAAAGCTCTGGCCCCAGCCTAACCCCGGCAGGTGCCCGCCCTGTGACCCGAGGTGCCCTATACCAGGAGCTGTGGGTCACTTCCGCTGCACCTTCTTTCTGTTCTCACCCTGCCCCCGAGCCCACAGGGGCTCCCTCCCACGAGCCCTGGAATTGTAGGTGAACTTGCAGTAGCTGTGCATGTTGACACAAGGGAACAATACGTAAAGGCCCCAAAATGTTCCCGAGTCCTGGACTCAGATTCCCAAGAGCTCCTGGTCTTCTGTGAGGTGAAGTCACTGAACCACACCAAGCTCAGGATTCTCATAAAAGCAGCCACTATGGCCTCAGGCTGCCCCCACTGGAGGTCCAGGAGGACCTGGACGCCTGTGGCTAACATTGCTCTTGCCTGGTTGCTGTGCTTCCAGCGGCAAACACCTGTTGGCCTGAATTTTGTTTTCTATGCCAAGCCCATGGCCTGGGGCTTCAGAGGGCCCACCCCTGGGAACCCACGGGATGGCAAGCAGGGCCCATGGGCTGGGGAGAGGAGGGAGGTAGTGGATGGGGGGTTGGCCTCCTGTCCATAGGTTCCAAGAGGCCAGGGAACTGAATCTCATCTGTCCCCAGGCTGTCAAGTCCAAGAAGCACATCCCCATCCAAGTCATCTTGGCCACTGGAGAGAGCCTAACCGTCCCCGTGGACTCAGCCTCCACATCTCGGGAAATGTGCATGCACATCGCTCACAAGCAGGGCCTCAGCGACCACCTGGGCTTCTCCCTCCAGGTCGCCGTGTACGACAAGGTACCAGCCAGGCACCCTGCCCGTCAGCCGCCTCCCTCATACACCCAGGGAGAGCACCCTGAGGCTCAAGCCCTCTCACCTTTCCAGCCCGGCCACCACCTACCCTCCCAGCTGCCAGGCACAGCACTGCTTACCCTCCCAGCCACCAGGCACAGGCAGGTGCACACACACAGAGCAAACAGCCTTTCCTCCCGCACTCATATGGTCACCTTGCAGCTGCGCCTCAGCCCCAGCAGTGCCGCATGCACACCTGGTCCCCCACCCAGCAGCCACGCACAGACATCAGGCACTCACACCAGTCTCCTGCTCCAAACTCCCTCATGCCCAGGAGCTGTGGACACCCCTGCAGCAAACATGGAGGGTCACACCAGCACAGACCCTCACCGCCCACATAGGCACCCCCAATTCCACGCCCACACCCTCAGACTCACACACCAGTCATCCAACCGAGGCGCCGGATGAGTCACATCGGCCAGACTCATGTCTGCCTCCTTAGGGAAGGGGCTGCAGGGAGAGTAATGGGGAGTGGCAGATGGGCCATTGCTGTGTGGAGAAGCCCTTCAGGTGTCCACACGGGCTCAGCAGTGTCCACTCAGCCCACGCTGGGCTCCAAGGGCCCCAGGCCCTGTCTTCTACGTGCACACGCTGACGGTGGGCGTCCCCGTGGGGTGGGGCATGCAACAGCCGCTAACCCCTGCTCCCCGACTCTGGCCTCAGTTCTGGTCCCTGGGCAGCGGGCGCGACCACATGATGGATGCCATCGCCCGGTGTGAGCAGATGGCCCAGGAGAGGGGCGAGAGCCAGCGCCAGTCACCCTGGCGCATCTACTTCCGGAAGGAATTCTTCACCCCCTGGCACGACTCCCGGGAGGACCCTGTCAGCACCGAGCTTATTTACCGCCAAGTCCTCCGAGGAGTCTGGTCTGGCGAGTACAGCTTCGAGAAGGTGAGGGGCCTGAGAGCCAGGTCCACCCTAGGCTTTGCCATCAGGAAACATCCCATAGAGGAGGCACCCAACTGGCTTCTGAGGCCAGGTAGAAGGTGGGGGGGCAGGAAAGGGGGTCACAAGGGTGTAGGTCCCTTCCAGGCCCAGCCTCTGTTTCCTCCTCCCTTAGGCCACAGGTATGTCCAAGCCTCCGGGGTCCGTGGTTCTGGCAGCAGGTCCCAGAGGGCCCAGGCCTTGCCTGGCCTCACCTCTCCTGCTCTGTTTATGGGGCAGTGAGATCTGGTGGCCAAGAACATGGCCTTGGAGCCCTAACACCTAAGTCTGAATCCCACCTCCCCATCTTCTTGGCATTGTGACCTTGGAAAGTCCTGTCACCGCAGAGCCCTGGGCCCTCATCTGACTGGGGGGCTCGGGAGGGGCTCTCACCTGGACCGTGCGGAGTGTACCGGGAGCTCTTTTGTAGGGGATTGTGAGAAAGCAGAGTGATCGTACCCCTGAAGTTCTGGGGGCAGCAGGCACAACCCTCCCTGTGCCAAGTCAGGCAGATGCTGTTCCGGGACCCATTGGAGGCGGCCATAGCAGTGCAGGAAGCCCGCCTGGAAGAGGCATGGGCAGGGGGTGGCAGGGGACCAGGCTCCAAGAGGCTTTGGTCTTCCAGAGGGAAGGGGCTCCTTGGGTGCTGCCCAGCTGGGCCCCAGCAGAAACTCCGCAAGGGGGGCTACTGGTCTCCCTTGACAACCAAGGACTGGAACTCAGATGAGGAAACGCCTTGTCACTCAGAGCAACCCTGCTGGGTCCACCCCAGAACTGGAGAGCAGCCGTTGTCCTCAGGCAGAGGGCCTGTGAGGCTCTGGCCAAGGCCTCTGGGATTCCCAGCCTGCATGGTGGCCCAGTCAGGGCATGCAGGGAGGGGGAAGGTCCTGCCCGAGCCACAGGTTAGCTCCCCTGTGATGGGGCAAGAGCCCGGCCACGGGACAGGGGCATCCTGGGGAAGGGGGGAGCTCTCACTTGTCTCACTCGCCCCCGTGGGTGCCCTGGGCTGTGCAGGAGGAAGAGCTGGTTGAGCTGCTGGCCCGGCACTGCTACGTGCAGCTCGGCGCCTCAGCAGAGAGCAAGGCTGTCCAGGAGCTGCTGCCCAGCTGCATCCCCCACAAGCTGTACAGGACCAAGCCCCCAGACAGGTGGGCGAGCCTCGTCACTGCCGCCTGCGCCAAGGTCAGCCTGCATGCAGCTCAGGCACCCACCCGAGGGCTCTCCTTTGGGAGGTGGGGGGGCTCATGGTATACAGAGGAGATGGATTCCCTCCCCACAACCCCCACCCCCTGGGGAACAACAAGCCTCAGCTTGACAGTTAAGTAGAGCCCTGTCCCTTCAGGTTTAAGCAGTCCCACTCAGTTCAGCTCTCTGTCACAGGCCCATGCCACCTTCTTCCTTCCAAGCTGGCATCTTGGATGGGTCCCTGTGCTGGTCTGCACTGTGGTGTCTGGCCAGGCCCTCGCTTCTTGGGATGAGAGGGCACCTGCAGTGGCTGACTGCTGACCATACCATGGCCTTGGGGGCCCCCCTGCCTGCCTCTGGGCCTCAGCATCCCCTCGCTGGGTGCATGGGAACCCCCCAGGCCAGAGTGTATGGACATTCTAAACATTCGATACATATCGAATATTTTCAAATCACCCTTCAGATTTGATGCATTTATTACATTCCCAAAGCCAGTATATGAATAGTACCCAGCCACTTTTCTAAGAAATAACGCTGTATTCAACAGTGAAAAGAGAGTTCGGTTGGATATTATAGTCGGTGATGGACACAGCACAGTGGTGCTGGGGAGAGGAACGGGTGAAGGTGGGGAGTTAGGAAAGAGGAAGGAAGGAGACTGGAAGACAAGGAGCTAGAGGTGGTCCCCGAGAGAGGCCCCCAGAGACACAGAAGAGCTCCAGAGAAGAAAGAAGAGAGGCACCCGGGACACAGACTCGGAGCAAGATGCCCTCCTGCACGGAACGAGTCACAATCCTGCAAGGCATAGGCTGGCAAGAGCGAGCCTGGGCTGGGGCACACAGACAGCGCCTTCCACAGCTAGCGCAGCCCCGCCCTACAGATGCTAATGAGGGGACGGGATGGCCTTCCTCCCTCCTCCTAAAGGGTCCCCACACCCCTCCCAGGTAGAATAGGGTGGCGCCAGGCTGGACGTGGTGGCTCATGCCTGTAATCCCAGCAGTTTGGGAAGCCAAGGCAGGTGGATCATCTGAGGTCAGGAGTTTGAGACCAGCCTGGCCAAGGTGGCAAGACCCCCTCTACTAAAAACACAGAAATTAGCCAGGCGCAGTGGCACGCGCCTGTAGTCCCAGCTACTCGGGAGGCTGAGGCAGAAGAATCGCTTGAACTCGGGAGGCGGAGCTTGCGGTGAGCCAAGATCGCACCACTGCACTCCAGCCTGGGTGACAGAGCGAGACTCTGTCTCAAAAAAGAAAAAAAAAGGATAGGGCTGCACCAGTCCCTGGGGACGTCCCAGGTGCCTCCCTACAGGATCCATCTCCAGACACTGGCCTTGTAGAGCCTTCTCAGAAGGATCCATCAACTCTTTTACCCTGAGCACTAGGTGAGGGATTCACTAGGGAAGGCAGGTGACGGAGGTGACATCCAGGATCCCCCCTCAGGCCCCATACACTCAGAAGCAAGTCACACCACTGGCCGTGCGAGAGCAGGTGGTGGACGCCGCCCGCCTGCAGTGGCCGCTGCTCTTCTCCCGGCTCTTCGAAGTCATCACACTCTCAGGTAATGGCATCTGACAGGGGGCAGGGAGCAGGTATGGGCTGGGCACCCAGGGGTCCCATGCAGCCTTCACACTGCCGTCTCTCCTGGCCAGGCCCCCGCCTGCCCAAGACGCAGCTGATCTTGGCTGTTAACTGGAAGGGGCTTTGCTTCCTGGACCAGCAGGAGAAGATGCTGCTGGAACTCTCTTTCCCAGAGGTCATGGGTCTGGCCACCAACAGGTGCGGGCCCTGAGGGAAGATCTCTTCTTACACACTGAGTCCTTGTGATGCATCTGGGGGCTCGGGGAGAGATGGGGAGAGGGGCAGTGTGCCGTCCCGGGTAACAGGCCGGGGTGGAGGGACAAGAATCTACGTATGCGATGGCTTCTGTACTTCGGAGCCCCACCCTCCTGCACCAGGCCGTACTGCCCATGAAGTACTCCATTGGGGCATCACGCGTTGCACTGGCAGCTTCTCTTTGAAACCCAGGTCCACCCGGAAGGGGCAGGGAAGCGTGCAGCCTCTGGCGGGCACTTATTTAGAAGGCTCCTTTCTTTGTCATGGACGAGAACTGGTGGCCTGGAGGGTACAGGTTGTCTGGGAAGGCGACAAGGGACAGTGCCTGGTGTGTCCTGGGGCACAGGGCAGGGCTGGGGGTCCTCTTAGGCTGGGGCTGACCCCCACTCCCATGGGTCTCCATGGATCTCATTGACTGGGAACTTTTCCATGCCCTTTGGGAAGTCCCACCCAAGCCCTGCCAGAGCGCCCCTTGGTTGAAGCACACAACAGAGTGGCACATGCATCTCTGGGCTGTGCCAGGTGTACAGTGGCCACCACTCCCCACTGGCCACCTCTCACTGAGGCTGACCATGCTGGGCACTTTCCTGTATGCCACGAAGTACCGACAGCATCACCCATTCTGCAGATGAGCGGATGAGTAAACTGAAGCACGCCGAGGTTAGGTGGCTCAGAGTAAGCACATGGCAGAGCCGGCAGCTCATCTCAGCTCTGACCTTTGCAGTGTCCCTGCGGTGTCACTGCACACCAGCCACCTCATTATCTGCCCACAGCCAACCCCACACATGGGCTGCACCACTCTCAGCCTCCGAGAGGTCCTGTGCTCCGCCGTCCTTCATTTGTCCAGACCCACAGTGGTGTCTGGCCTAGTCCTGGCCCTGGCAGAGCAGCTCTGTGTCCTCATCTGTGACTCAGGACCCCCAACCCCACCTCCCGAGGCTGTTTAGGGGCTGGATCAGGGGAAGGTGGAGGGGGCTCCTGGTCACGCTGTCCTTCATCTCCAGGGAGGCCCAGGGCGGGCAGAGGCTGCTGCTCTCCACGATGCATGAGGAGTACGAGTTTGTGTCACCCAGCAGTGTGGCCATCGCTGAGCTGGTGGCCCTGTTCCTGGAGGGCCTGAAGGAGAGGTCCATTTTCGCCATGGCCCTGCAGGACAGGAAGGCCACAGGTGCCAGACTGGGTGGGGTGGGGTGGGGTGGGGTGGGGTGGGGGAGGGCCGCGCATGGGGTCTGTAGGTAGGTGGCATGCTCATCTCCACACAGCAGCCACAAGGCAAGCAGAGGGAGGGAAGGCCCCAAAGCTCTGTGGGGGCAGCTTTAGGCAAGGCCCTGCCTTCTTTCAGCCACTGCTTCCTCTTCTACAAAATGAGGGGCTAAAGGAGGTGGTCTCCAGCCCTGCATAGGCCAGCCATGCTCAGCGCTGCACTGCTGCAGAAGCACTGAGAAAGGCCAGCCCCCAGCCCAGGGAAGTTTTGAACACCATCCCCACAGCGCACTGCTGCAAAAGCACCCCATTATCCCATTTTACAGACGTGAGGCCAGAGGCCCAGAGATGGAAGTAGCTCACCCAGGGTCACACAGCTCAAGGGGGTGGGAGCCTAGTTCTTGGCCACAGCTCTCCCACAAGCCAGCACTCCATCGAGAGCTGGGCTGTGTCTGTGGGCTATGGGGGAGCATGGCAAAGCCCCAGGACCCCCGCTGGGCCAGCCTGCTGGCCGGGTGGTCATGGGCGGTGGGTGGTGTGGTTAGTGCAGGGACTTCAGAAGGGGGTGCTGGTTGGGATGTAGCAGAAGAGGCTGTGTGTGGGGTCTTTGGGCAGTGAGAAATGTCAGCCGAGATGTGCTGCCCTATCGCCCCATTCAGTCCTCACGGCCACCGCAGGAGGGAAAGAGGATTGCCATCTCCAAATTCCAGATAAGGAAGGGGTCTAGAGAGGCAGGCAGCACTCAGGCCAGGCGTGGGGACTGCCAGCCTGTGCATCCTCCCCTCCCTCATCCCTGGCTCCTGGTCAGCCCTCCGAGGGTCTCCCAGGGCTAGGGCTGCAGTCAGAGCTCTCGAGCCCCCACCCACCCTGGGCTCTGTGCCTGTGCAGCTGCAGCAGGTGACAGCCGTCTGAGGCCCCTGAGGTTCCAGTCCCACCATCGCTCACTCTTGGAGTGGTCTTCTGCCCACCACTCTATGCCTCGGTTTCATCTGTCAAAGGAGATGACCCACAAAATTCCAGCACAGCCTCTGGCCCCTGCAGAGCCCTCAGCAAATAGCCTCCCTGCCCTTACAGATGACACCACCCTCCTGGCCTTCAAGAAGGGGGACCTGTTGGTCCTCACAAAGAAGCAGGGGCTGCTGGCCTCTGAGAACTGGACCCTCGGCCAGAACGACAGGACAGGCAAGACGGGGCTGGTGCCCATGGCCTGCCTCTACACCATCCCCACGGTCACTAAGCCCTCGGCACAGCTGCTGGTAACTGGCACGCTCCCCTGTCCTCAGCCTGGGTACCCGAGGTCAGGGTGGAGCAGTCCTGGGATGCCTAGTTGGGAGGCCTAGCTCAGGGCCTGCAGCCCACCTAGCAGAGGCCAGGAGGGCCACCCGGGCAGCCCCCACCATTCCTGCGGCAAGGTGTGTGTGCAGTGCCAGCCCAGCTCTTGGTACTTAGTAGGTCCTCAATAAATGGGTGTTCCCTCCCTCTTCCATCATGGGGGTGTCCGGGGGACAAACCCAATCTTTCTCTGCCTCATTTACACTCTGACCCAGGGGGACTCAAGTCTCTCCCTGCACAAGGGAACCACCCACCCCAGCCCCCAAGACCAGCCTCTCCGGAGGCAGGAATGGCAGGCATTGCAACATGTACATACTGAGTGCTGAGTATGTGCCCTGTGCCTGTGGTACGAGTCTGGGCATAATAGCAGCTCCACCCTCAGGGCAGACATTTGGGCAGATAATGACACATGGATGGCAACTGTGCAAAGTGCCACCAAGGAGAGGAACAAATAATAGGGTGGGGAACTTACCCTGTCTGGGAAGGCATCCCCGAGGGAGGGACATTTGTGCTGAGGCCTGAAGTTGGTGGCAGACTAGGCAGGCAGGGCTGGGGTGAGAGGTGGCCCCATGGAGAAGGGGAGCTGGGGAGCTGGGGGTCTGAGAAACCCAGAGTGCCGTGGCCCCCAGAACGGGTGATGTGGGTGCCACAGCCATTGGCACTCACCCTCCCAAGGGAAAGGAGACAGGCACCAAGAGGTAGAGTCATGGTCCTGGGTCACACGGCAGGTGACAGGGGTGTGGGTAAGCCCTGGCCTGTTCAGCCCTGGGCCTGACCCCTCCCAAGTCACTGAGGCTGCCAGGCCGGGAGGAGCCTGCAGGAAGGGCCTCATGGGCGGTGGCTCCTGGGCACCCACAGGCCTGTGCCCCCTTCAGAGCTTGCTTGCCATGTCACCAGAGAAGAGGAAGCTGGCGGCTCAGGAGGGGCAGTTCACAGAGCCACGTCCTGAGGAGCCACCCAAGGAAAAGCTGCACACCCTGGAGGAGTTCTCCTATGAGTTCTTCAGGTGCCCCCCAGCCCCGCTCCGCCTCATTGCACCCCCACCTCCCAGCCCCACCTCACCTCATTGCACCCCCTGCTCCCAGCCCCGCTCCACCTCATTGCACCCACTGAGAGCTGCAGAGAGGCCACGCCACCCATGTGGAGCCTGCCTGGCCTTCCCAGGCCAGGGGAGTCAGGAGGGGCTTGCGGCAGGGTGGGGTGCTCTGGCCCTCCCACAGCCACTCAGGGGTGTCAGAGGACAGAGAAGCGTGGGACAGAGAAGGCCACAGGGCAGGCCTCACACCAGCCTCTAACCTCACAGGGCTCCAGAGAAGGACATGGTGAGCATGGCCGTGCTGCCCCTGGCCCGTGCCCGTGGCCACCTGTGGGCCTATTCCTGCGAGCCGCTGCGACAGCCGCTGCTCAAGCGAGTCCACGCCAACGTCGACCTCTGGGACATCGCCTGCCAGATCTTTGTCGATATCCTTCCCCACCAGCCTGCCTGCACCTCGTCAATGCCAGGGCAGAGGCACCCAGCACATCCTGGCCCTACAGCTGTGCTCTAGGGCAGGAGAGCCCAGGAGATCTGAGAAACCTGGAGTGGCGGGACAGAGCCCACACATGGCTCACCGCAGGGCCGGGGTCGGGGTCAGCGTCTATCCCCAGTCTGTGTCAGCGTGGGGCTGCCCCAGCACTGTGCTCCTTGACAGCCACACCCATCCTCCGGTACATGGGCGACTACCCTTCTCGGCAGGCCTGGCCCACCCTGGAGCTCACCGACCAGATCTTCACACTGGCCCTGCAGCACCCGGCCCTCCAGGACGAGGTCTACTGCCAGATCCTGAAGCAGCTGACGCACAACTCCAACAGGTCTGCTGGGGCGGCGGCCAGCCCACGCGGGCACCCTCAGTCCTCATCCCGGCCCCTGAGGCCAGACCGAGGCTCAGAGAGGACACCGCAGCTGGTGGCGGCAGAACCCCTGCCTGGGCTCCTGCCTCAGCAGTGGGAAGGGTTGGGCCCTTGGTCTGCTCTGCTGATGTCCTAGGGGTGGTCAGAGCAGGAGAGGATGGCCCTGCCCACTCCCACCCTCTGTGTGTGACCTGGCAGGCCATGACCTCTCTGAGCTTCAGTGTCGTCTTCCACAAAATGGGTGCAATGCCCACCCGCCCCCATCTTGAGGGTGTGAAAGCCCGTGGCATCGGGCAGCCTGGCACAGCTGGCATGGTGCAGCCTGGCAGGTGCCCTCCCCCTCGGGCCCTCTAGACCCCAGGCAGCTCTCACATCCGTCCCTGCTCCCCAAGGTGCCTGCCTGGCCAGGGCCCCCTGAGGGGCCTTTCCCGGCTGACAAGTGCTACCCTTCAGGCACAGCGAAGAGCGGGGCTGGCAGCTGCTGTGGCTGTGCACGGGCCTCTTCCCGCCCAGCAAGGGGCTGCTGCCCCATGCCCAGAAGTTTATAGACACTCGGAGGGGGAAGCTGCTGGCCCCCGACTGCAGCCGCCGAATCCAGAAGGTCCTGAGGTGAGCCCAGTGCCTCCAGCCCCCAGCATTGGCCCTGGGCCCGCAGACCTGGGATGCTGTGGGGCCTGGCCAGCCTTCCAGGAGCTCATGGTCCTGGGAGGACTCTCCAGAAGCCAGTGTCAGCTTGGCAGGCAGGATTGGGCCCCGAGCTGCCAGAGAAGAGGGTGGAGGGTGAGGCCCAGGAGGGTCAAGAGAAGGCTCAGTCATAGCCACCAGCTCCCCTGCCCCACCACTGCCCAGCAGTGGCACAGAGGCACTGCCTGAGGGATAGAGAGAAACCTGGATGCCCCAGCCCAGGCCCTCAAGGCTGAGGTCAGAGGCCCATCCTTCCAAGTCCATGCGGCCTCCCTCATCCGCCCACAGCCGTGAAGCTCTTCCTTGGCCGTCTTTGCTCTCCCCCACCCCTCCTGCCTCCTCTGGCTTGGCCTCCTGTGGCCGTGAGGAGGGCAGGTTGACTGTAGGAGTGGCCATAATTTCAGTGGCAGCCGTGGTCACAGAGAGAGGTGGGCGCCCCATAGAGGCCCTGCCAGAGTCCCTGGCCCCTGCCCGATGCCCCTGTTGTGCGAGAATAAGAATACTGCCAGCCTTTCCTGCCGGCGCCTTCCCGGGAGCCCCTGGCCTGGCCCTTCCCCGTGTGTGCCCCAGGCTTTCAGGCACAGCTGCACCATCACTACCTCTGAGGCCGCGTGGAGCCAGGGGCAGCCCCCAGGACATGCGAGGGGCTGGAACCACCCCAGTGATGGTCACTGGGGTTTTCTTTTGTTTCTGGCACATGGTTTAGGGCCCACATCGGGGCTGGGGCATGGGTGAGGATGAGGGTGGGGGTGGCACCTGCAGCACACGCTGTCCCCCTCAGGACGGGGCCCCGGAAGCAGCCCCCGCACCAGGTGGAGGTGGAGGCCGCAGAGCAGAACGTCTCCCGCATCTGCCACAAGATCTACTTCCCCAATGACACCAGTGAGGTGAGGCCCTGCTCTGGTCTGCACGGCAAGTCTCAGGCCTCCAGAGGCCATGGGGCATCCTCCTTCCTGGCCCAGCCTGCTCCTTGGTAACCCCAGAGAGCCTTTTCTAGGGCTGTCCCATCCTAACCAGTCTCCCGCCCTCTCCCCATGGGATGCAGGCCCCACCTGCCCTTGGGTGCTTTGGAAGTCAGGCCAGTCCCAAGGTATGAGTTGGGGGATCCAGGCCCAGGACACAGGAGAGGACAGAGGGGTGGGCAGCAAGGGTGAGTCCCAGGACTTGGGGGCCCCTAGGGGCTTCTGACCATCTGGGGTGCAGGAGAGCAGGTATTCCCACTGTGTGTGCCTTGTGCACAGAGCCTGCCATGGCTGCTGGGGGAACAAAGGGGCCAGGGGGCAGGTAGGAGACCACCAGGACCCCACCGTGACACAGAGGCCTTGATCAGGGGCAGCAAAGACAAGCGGGCTGAGAGGCCAAAGTGGGCAGTGTCGCCTCGCGCCCTCTCCAACAGCACAATGGTCTTTTTGGCCTTGATATTCGGGTCCCGGTAACAGGAAGTTCCCACAGTCTGGCTGCTGGGCTCTCAAGGCGAGTCAAAAGGCCAGGCCTGCAGGGCCCCAGGACAGCGAATGCTGGGACTAAACAACATGAACCTCTGGCCAGGGTTCTGGAAGGGAGGCTTGCCCTGCTCAGGGCAGACCACATCCAACCCAAGTTTCATGAAGGAGCAAAAGTGCCAGGCTAGGAAGGCTCATCCTGGGCTGTACTGGCCCCTAGCCAGGCCCCGGGCCTCACCAGCTGCCTCTCTGTCCAGATGCTGGAGGTGGTTGCCAACACACGGGTGCGGGATGTGTGTGACAGCATTGCCACCAGGCTGCAGCTGGCCTCCTGGGAGGGCTGCAGCCTCTTCATCAAGATTTCAGACAAGGTGGGCCGGGCTGGGGCTGGGCAGACGGTGGGCGGACGGGCAGTGAGCGAGGCCCTAGGTGCTGCCTGTGGGGGCCTCAGCCTACCAGGGGCACCCATGCTGGACCAGGCTGCACGGCCAGGGCTGCTGGGACAGAGGTAGGTGGGGTCCTGGAGCAGAGCCAGCTCCACACGCCAATAGCCCACGCACAGCCGACTCCAGCGCAGCACCCAGGCCGTAGGCGGCCACTGGACCAGAACCCAGCAGGTTCTCAGGAGGACAGTCCCCGGAAGCCACCCAACTTCCCTGTACCTTCCCCTTCCCCAGGTCATCAGCCAGAAGGAGGGAGACTTCTTCTTTGATTCCTTGAGGGAGGTGTCTGACTGGGTGAAGAAGAACAAGCCCCAGAAAGAAGGTGAGGAGGCCTCTGTGGAGCTGGGGGAGGGCGTGGCTGGGTGGGTCGAGGGGGCACTGGCGGCCTCTGTGCGGCCCATGCCCATTCATCCATCCATTCGTTCCCGTGTGTCCCTGGGTTGTGGGAACAACCAGGCCCTGGGGCCCGGCGGTGAGGGCCAGCTCAGGCAGAAACAGGTGGCTGCACCTTGGAGTGATGAAGGATGCCCCAGGGCTGAGGGGCATGACCCTCATGGGCTGGGAGTGCGAGTCCAGGAATGTTCCTGGAGAAGGCAGCCTCTACACTAATATTGAAGGAAAATGTGGGGACTGGGGAGGAAGAAGCGTGGGGGCTTTCGAGGCAGGGAGGTGGCAGGCGCAGTGTGGGGGGTGGCAGGGGGTCAGGGCTGGTGTACCTGCTGGGACAGGCTTGGTGCCCACTGCTGGCCCTCGCCCAGGGGCCCCCGTGACGCTCCCCTACCAGGTGTACTTCATGCGGAAATTGTGGCTCAACATATCTCCAGGGAAGGATGTGAATGCAGACACCATACTCCATTACCACCAGGTACCGGGCAGGCTGCCCTGGTGGGCACTGGGGCCACCCCCATCTTCCCACACCTGTTCTGAGGCTGTAGAAGCCAGCAGGCCAGGGCAGGGCCAGCCTCAGCCCTGGGTACCAGCCCATGTGGTAGGCAGACCAAGCCCCTGAGGGCTCTGGAACCAGGAGCAGAGGGCAGCAATGTTTGGGGACAGTGACTGCACTGGCACCTGCAGCATGACTTGGAGAGGGTGGGACAGAGGGTCCTGTGACCCATGGAGCAGTGGCCGTGGCCTGCAGGGCCAACCACATGGGTGGAGCAGGCCATCACCTCCACGCAGATGTCAGGGGGCCCTGCCCTGACTCAGGGTCATTCCCCTGGCCTGAAACTCTCTACCCTGCTCAGTCCGTCCTGGATGGAGTGGGCTAAGCCCCAGTTCCCCACCATCTGAGCGGGAAAGAGGTTGGGGGCGGGTGGGCCGCAGCTGGAGACCCAGCATGCCCAGTGTGTCCATCACCCAGGAGCTGCCCAAGTACCTGCGCGGATTCCACAAGTGTTCGCGGGAGGATGCCATCCACCTGGCGGGCCTCATCTACAAGGCCCAGTTCAACAACGACCGGTCCCAGCTGGCTAGTGTCCCCAAGATCCTGAGGGAACTGGTGCCTGAGAACCTCACACGCCTGATGTCCTCGGAGGAGTGGAAAAAGGTCCCTGGTCGGGCTGGGGAAGGGTTCTTGTGCTGCTGCTCCTCCCTGGGCCCCTGCACCAGTGCCATGCCCTGCCTGGGCTCCAAGATCACATGGGTGCACATGGGTGGTGTGGAGGGTGGGCTGGCTCTGCACACACCACGCCTTCCTATGCCATCCACAGCACCGAGACTGTCCCATGCTGCATTCCTCCCCTCCCCTCCCCACCGTACTAGCCCTGGGGTAGGCAGGTGCTGCCCCCACCAGGGCTTTGGAGGGCCTCTGGGCACCCAAGTCCTTACTGGCCCTCCTGTCCCCCAGAGCATCCTTCTAGCCTATGACAAGCATAAGGACAAGACAGTGGAGGAGGCCAAGGTGGCCTTCCTGAAGTGGATCTGCCGGTGGCCCACCTTCGGATCCGCCTTCTTCGAGGTGAAGGTAAACCTTGCCCCACGCCAGGGCCTCCTACCCAAGCAGGCTCCGCTCAGCCCAGCCCCAGCAGGCCCAGCGTCAACCAGCACACATCTTGGGTGGGGCTGGCCGTGAGGCTGGAGGGCGTGGGTGTATGTGTGTATGTGCGTGTGGCCTAGATGAGCTCCTGGGAGGTGCAGCCTGGCCTCCCGGGCTGGACTATGACCGCCGTGTCCCTCCCTCCCAGCAAACCTCGGAGCCTTCCTACCCGGACGTCATCCTCATCGCCATCAACCGACATGGGGTTCTGCTCATCCACCCCAAGACCAAGGTAGCTGCTGGGCCTCCGGAGGGGCTGGGGGCCACCAGGTCCAGGGACCTGTGCAGGTGGGGCTGCAGTCATCTCTGCGGTGTGTCCTGCCTCTCTCCTGTCCCCTAACACACACAGAGCCCGTGCTCTGGAGGCGTCCGGCCCACCCACCCTCTCTGCCCCCAGGACCTGCTCACCACCTATCCCTTCACCAAGATCTCCAGCTGGAGCAGCGGCAGCACCTACTTCCACATGGCGCTGGGGAGCCTGGGCCGTGGCAGCCGCCTGCTGTGCGAGACCTCCCTGGTGAGCTCAGGTTCTTTCTCCCATCCAAGATGCATAGGACAGAGCTGCTGGAGACTGGGTTCCCCACCCTCACCCCTTTCAAGTGGCTCACTAAGAGGGCTCAGTCACAGGGCCCAGGCGGGGCCAGCAGATCTGGAGAGGGCCTGGGTGCATCCCCAGGACCAGCAGCCAAGGTGGCAAGGCCAGGCGGGACCCCCTGCGCCCTTGGCCCATTCCAAGGAGGGAGGGAGACCCAGCTCCAGCAGGGCAAGCAGAAATGACGGCCCCAATGGCAGGAGCCCGCCTTCCCTTTCTCCATGCCCTGCACTGCTGGTTGCTGAGGAAGAGAAGGTGGTCCCTGAGTCCAGGACCCCCACCTGCCCTCTGCACCCACAGCCTCTGACCCCCCCGTCCCCTGTCCAGGGCTATAAGATGGATGACCTGCTGACCTCATATGTGCAGCAGCTCCTGAGTGCCATGAACAAGCAGCGGGGCTCCAAGGCCCCAGCCCTGGCCAGCACCTAGCAGCGGATGCTGGCGTGTCTGCTCAGGCGCCCTTCCCGACCTCTAGCCTGGCGGCACCTTCCCAGGCCCTCTCAACCCAGGGCCTGTCCTTGGCGGGCAGCCTTCCATGCTGCCCCCCATACAAAGCCCACTCAGCCCCGCAGGCGGCCCCCTCTGTCCTGGGCGCTGCCCAGGGAGGCCAAAAGACGGGCCCAGAATGGGGTCGGGAGTCTCGGACCCCCAGGCTATTGGTGGATGACTGACTGACAGGACACCTCCCAACCCCACCCCACCCCACCAGAATGTTCAATAAAAACTCCTGGAGCAGGAGAAGTGTGTCTGTCTGAGGGAGCAGGGTGTGGCACAAGGTGGACAGGGGGCCTGGGAGGCTCTGGCCCGCAGAGAGCTGCAGAAAAACCAAAATGCCGTGTGACTGACTCCCCCAGGGAACCCGGAGGGCAGCTGCATTCTCCAGAAATGACTTCATCCCTCCCTTTCTGCTTCCTTCCTCCCCCTCCCTTCCTTCCTTCCTGTTTCTCAGACTGGGGAGGGGCACTCATGGGAGAGTTCTCCTCCCAGGCCCCTCCTCACACCTTCTGTCCTTCTCCCCACCCGGGGCATTGATACGCCTGCGCTACCCCCAGGAGGCCAGGGTGGAGGTGCGGCTCTCTGGCTGCTGGCTTCATGCTATGGCCAGCTTATGCCCAGACAGACAGTGGGCAGAGCTGGACATAGCACCTTGGAGGCCTGGATTCCCCCACCTCGCTGGCATGCCCTGTCCCTGCCCACCTCCTCCTCTGCCCACTGGGCCAGCTTATGTGGACCTGGCCACCCAGGCTTGTGAGGACCTGGCAGGGCTAGTCTTCAACTGCTTATGGCAGCCTGGCCTGGGATAGAGGCTAGGGCCCCCTGAACTCGTGCCTGTCTATGTCTGTCCCTCTGTTCAACTGCCCCAGCAGCAGCGTGTCCAGAGCTGCTGCCATCCCCTCCACCCCCGACCCCCGCCACAAACCACGCAGGCTGCTGTGGTTGTGTGAACAAGCCTTCATTGTGCAAGCGTGAGCCCAACAAACAAACACCAGGTCTGCGCTGGCCGAAGACGAAGCGTCCTCCCTGGAGGTGGGAACAAGTCACCTCTGACCACACCTCCTCTGACGCCATCACCTCCTCCTGGCCCCACCCAAGGGCTCGACACAAGCCCCAAGGTCGGGGGGAGAGGGGCGGGGCGGAACCGAGGGCGGAGGCCAAGGTGGGATTCCAGGAAGGCCTTCCGAAGGATGGAGGTGGGTCCTGTCCCTCCAGGTAGCTTGTGGGTGTGGACAGCAGGACTTGCTGGCTCAGTGTGGGCACAAGGACACTGTGCCACTGGTTGAGTGAGTGGTGAGGGATTGGAGGTGGCTCCCAGAGGCCTCCATCTGCATGGCCCTGGCCCTGTGGCTCCAGCAGGCTGCCCTGGCTGTGGGTAGCCCAGGAGCCACATGCGCTTAGTGGGGCCGCTCTGGGGCAGGGGCTCTCACAGGACAGCATGAGCCACTGAGCCGCCTGGGGAGGGCCAGGCCAGGCGGGGAGCTGTGGTGCAATTTGCTCCTGTCCCTGGAGGTCTGTGGGCGGAAGCTGTGGGCACAGGTGGACATGGCTGTCAGACGTGGGGTCATAGGCTCCCACTCCCCAGCTCCTGCCTCCTCACAGACAGAAGCCACGGCCAAGGAGAGGAGAGACATGGGGAAGGCAGAGATGAGGGAACAGGAAGGGAGAAGGCAATGAGGAAAGAGAAAGGGAGGGTAAGATGCGGAGGGCACAGGTGGATGGGGACGAGGGGGCCAAGCATGGACAGCAGGAGGGGAGAAGGCGGAGGGGCCGAGAGGCAGCTGCGCAAGAGGGCCTTCAGGCAGAGTTGAGGTCTGTGGCCTTGGGCTGGGCCTTGCGGGAGGTCAGCTCCGACAGCTTCTTCAGCCGCTTCTTCAGCTCCAGCGGGAACTTCTCGTAGCACCTCTTACACACGGGCTTCATGTCGAACTCCACAAACTTGTTCCTGAGGAGGAAGCTGAGCTGTCAGCAGAGCCCCACGCCCACCCCTTTAACCCCAGACAGGTGACTGTGGAGTGGGCTTCCCTCAGCCCCCAGCCTCCCCACACCAGCCTCTCCTAGCCAGCAGGCCAGGCCCTAGGGTGAGATGGCCAGAGAGCATAGGGATGAGAAGGGCCTTGAGGCTTCCCTTGCCTCCCAGAGGCTTCTCTCAGGTTCTGAAACCCCAGAACCCTCTATGCCTCCCCACAGCCCTTGGAAACCTGGACGCCATCTCTCCTCTCCCAGCTCCAGCCATCCCACACCCCTCGAGGCTTCCTGGATGAGCAGCTGACACTGCTGCTTTTGCATATGCTGTTCCCTGAGCTGGAATGCCCTTCCCTCCCCAGAGCCCAGGGTTCTGGCAGGTGTGTTGGAGGCATGAGTGTTCCTCCTCCTCTCACTGTGCCTGGGGTCCCTGGGGTCCCTGGATCCCCTAGACCCCCTGAACCTGCCCCCATCTCCCTGGGTGGTATAAGGCCGGGCTGCCCCTTGTCCCCACCATATCCCCAGGCCAGACTCAGCTGGTGTGCAGGAGGGCTGCTGAGAGGAAGGACCTGCAGGAGCCCCCTCCACCCTGAGCCCCATCCCACGATCACAGGGACTCACTTCAGGGTGAGCTTGCTGTTGCAGGTGGAGCAGGAGAAGCAGCTCACACACCAGGCCTTGTTGAGGGCCGACACCACTGTGAGGGAAGCGTGGGACTCAGCAGGCCTGGCTAGGCTGCCGCAGGCCCGGCTGGGCTCACAGCTGCAGCACCCAGGCCCCAGGAGAGCAGGTGGGGTGGGGGAGGGAACACAGGGCCTCACCATCGCCTTCAATCACATGGCTGCAGTTGTAGCAGACGTCCCCGAAGAGCTGTGGGCCGAGCAGGCTGTCAGAGTAGCTGCAGGCAGTCACACCCCAGCCCAGGGCCATCATGCAGCCAGCCTGGCCCTCCAACACGGCCCCTCTCAGGCATCTCCCAGGCCCTGCCTCCCAGGGCCCAGCTGCAAGGCTGGGTTGAGGGCACGGCAACCCATGAGAACCACCCTTCCGGGAAGGACAACAGGCTGGGGCGTTGCTCCCCAGAAGGCCCCTCTGCTCTGGCCACTGCTGTCCTGCAAGGAGGTGGGCCCAGGTGGTGACTGCATCCCACCAGCGCCCCCTGCCTTCTGTACCAGAGCAAGGGAGGGAGGGGGTTGCTGGCACTGTCAGCCCCATGTGCCCGGGACCTCACACCAGCCCCAGAACATTCTTCAAAGGAAGACACTGAGACTGAAGAGAGCTGCCCAGGTCTCGAGACCCCAGGCCAGGAGCCAGGGCTGAGGGTGCAGGCCTGGGCTCAGCACCTGGCAGAGCTCCTGAGGGGGTGCCCACAGCCTCCCTTGCTCACGGCAGCTCTCCTGGCCACCCCTCCAGACCCGCATCCCTGAAGGTTCTGCACCGGGCTCACCTGGTTGTAGTGAGTCTCGCAGTAGGCCAGGCCCTTCTTCTCATAGTGCCGGTGCCCCAGGAATGGCTTCTCACACTTGGCACAGACAAAGTGCTGCAAGGACAAAGGGCGGGCCGGGTGGCATCAGGGCTAGAGCGGTGACCCCGAGGGACAGTGGTGACCCGGGGACAACAGTGACCCCAGGAGCCAGTGACTCCAGGGGACCACAGTGGCCCCAGGAGGCAGCAGTGACAGAAGGGGACAGAAAGCAGAGTCTGGGCAGGTGCAGGCCTTTCAGGATTCACACTGGGCAGAGGGGACTGACACCTCTGTGAATGCCCTGGGGTCAGCAGACCCTACCCCTCCTCTAAGGCACTGATGGTAACCTTGTGAGTCACCATCCCCTCCCAGTCTGGCCTCCCCCTCGGCAGCCTCAGCCCCAGGAGTCAGGTGCCAGCCTGGTGCTGCGGCATGGTGGGCCCTCATAGGCAGAGGCGGCCCTGCCTGTCCACGTGGGGCCTCCTGCAGGCACCCCCTGCAAGCCTGGGATCACTGAGCAGCACCTTGCATTCCCCCAGGGATCTGCATGTGAGGATGAGGGCTGGGGGCTGGGGCCTGCATCAGGGCAGGACCGCATGGCCTCCCACCCAAGCCGCCACCCAAGGCACAGCTTCCGGACACAGCGCTGGCCAGGTCATCAGGGGAGGTGGTGGGCTCACTGTTCCCAGTGTACCCATGAGAACATGAGAGCCCACCACCCGGTGGGGGCACTCCAGGTGACCCAGTGCTCACACCTGAGGAACTCTTCAGCTCCGTGTCTGCACAGGGCTGTCCATGCAGCGGGTTCTGTCATCCACAACCCCCAGGCACTCTGGACAGACTGCCCCCAAGGTTTTCTCCTGACCTTGGAGTCTCTTAGAATGCCAGCAGGGGGAAGAGGAGAGGTGGGCACAGCTACCCAACCGTGTGTGTGCACTCGGGTCTCCTGGCTCCCGTGGGCAGGCTGGGGTCCCTGGCTGAGCACAGGGAGGGGCAGTACCCCTGAGGAAGGGCCTCGTTGGGAGCCAGCCACCCGCCCTGGGCTGGGAGTGTGGAGGAGCTTTAGGGCTCTTACCATGACCCTGAGCTGGGGCACCCCCCAACCTGAGGCCACGTGTCCACCAGCCTGGCTCACCTCCACGTGCCACTGCTTGCCCAGCGCGTTGACCACTCGGCCCTCGATGGGCCGGCGGCAGGCCCCGCAGATGGGGACGCCCATCTTGTCATGGCAGGGCAGGCAGTAGAGCTCACCCTTCAGCTCGCGGGCCTCGGCTGTCAGCTCCTTCCTGGAAGACAGCGTGCAGCCCCCAGGTGCCACCCCTGCCCTTCTGCAGGGTCATGCCAGCAGCGCCTCCACCCCAGGGCACGGCTCCCCGAGGGGCCCATTCTGTCCCTGCAGAGCCGAGGCGGCAGCGCCTTCTGATCTCTGGGCACTTTGAAGACTTCCTGTGCCCCAGACAGGCCCTGGAGCACAGACTTCCTGCACAGCCCAGAAGAGTGGGCTGTGTTCTGCACCCAGGCCTCTGAGAAGCAGGTCTGTTCTTGGGCCCCCCTCCTCCTCCAAACCAGAGGGGGTGTCTGGATAGGCACGGAGAGGACTGGAGGGGACGGTGGGGGTGGGCGAGGACGGGGGCTGAGGGGCTGCCTATGCAACTCCTCTCTCCAACACCAGCACCAAGCCCACTCCCGGTCTCTTGCCCTGCCCCCTCAGGTCCCTTCCACTGCTCCATCTCAACCCTCGTCTGCAGTCTAGGGGTCCAGCCCACCCGCCTCCTGAGTCTCAAGTGCCCCCCAAACAGAGCCCTGGAGAGAGAAGCTTCCTGCCATGGCTGCTTCCCAGCCCCCAGCCCACCTCTGCCCTGCAGCCTTGCTCTCGGGACCCCTCTGTCTGCCCACCCTGCTCCCCTCTCCCTCCTCAACACTTCCCCAGGTGGAGGCCCCACCGCCCTTACCCTGGGCCAGCCCTGGCTCCCCGCCCCCACAACTGCAGGGCCGGGCTGCGCACCTACCCACAGTGGGTGCAGTTGAAGTGGTCAGGGTGGTAGGCGTCGCTCCTGAACATGAGGGGCTGCTCGTCGATGACCAGGTGGCACCGCTGGCAGATGTACTTGCCCAGGCCCTTGGCCTTCTCACGGTTGTGGCAAGGCCGGCAGAGATGCCTGCGGGAGGCGGGGGCATTAGGGGCAGAGCCCCCACTCCCACACAGCCTGGCCACCTCCAGGAGAAGAGAGGCCAGACCCCTGCAACTTCACTGAGCAGCTGGGGGCTTCAAAGGGGCTCAGCCCAGGGTATGGGAAAGCAGACTGCCCTGTCACAAGGCCCAGAAGGTCACAAGTGTGTCCTGGGAATGGGACGCATGCTCAGCAGGAAAGATGCCAGAATGCTCGAGGTTACTGTCTCTGGATGGTATTTTCCTCTTTCTACTTTCTCTAAGCCTGGGGCATGCTGCAGAATACAGTAGACATTTAATTGATATCTGCTGAAAGCATTATTTTCCCAATGTATTTAACACACACGAGTTATAATGAGTGTCACTGTGCCCAGCAGAGTGGCCAGTGAGTGTCCCGGGAGGCCCACTCACCCCCTTCCTTCGGGGTTTGCCAGATGAAGAAGGGCCCAAACACGTACAGGCGATTTCTGTCTCCAAAGACAAGCACTGCTATGTCAGATGGAGGCCCCCAAACCCAGGAACTGTCACTACAGAGTCTTTTTGTGAAGACCTCAGAATAATTTCTGATGCTACTCGCTGTGTTGGACGACAGCTGTGTTCTCAACGGAGAGACAAATCAACATGGTTTCTGTTTCCTTGGACCTCAAAGGTGGCAGGAATCTAGATTCAGAGTCCCCAGGCAAAGATACACAAAGGCCCCAATCCAACCTCCCTGGCCCCCGTCTCCACCTGCCACCCGAATCTCTCTCTGGTGCTCCTGCTGCATCCAGGCCTCCCTTCCCAGGCCCCCCAGCCCCAGGGGCCCTCTCCACTCCTCACGAGCCTCCACGGCTGCCCGACGCCCAGTGTTGGCCCCTCTGACAGGCTGGTCAGGGAGGATACGGAAGAGATCCAATCGCAGACCCAAGATCCCCACCCAGGTTATGGTGGGCAGACCCCAGATGCCAGGGCCACCCATTCAGCATCCCTCCCTGGACCCCAGGACCTGCTACTGCTGGGTGTCTGGACTCCATCCTGCACAGCACTGTGCTCCATCTGCCCTGGGGTGTCTCATCATCAGCTGTGTGCAGGGCAAGGGGCCCAAACAAAGGCCCAGCAGTCACTGGCTAAGCTGCCGACTGGCTCTCTGTGCCTCCCCAAGACCCTATGTGCCCAGCAGGGGGCAACAGCTCAGGGTCAGCTGACCGAATGCCTCGGTGAATGAATGACTCTACAAGAGAGGAAGGGAGCCTCGGTGGGCATCATCTCCCCTCGACTACTGGCCAGAGCCCTGGCTCTTACACCCCAGCGACGGGAAGCAGTTGTGGCCTGTGGCTTCAGTCTTCATCACCACAATCCCTGAAGCCCACCCTTGCCCAGACACCTGTGCCCCAGCCCCAACCCCAGGCCACCTCCTCAGCAGGTCTGGGGCTGAGCTGCCCCACCTGGCGCCTATGGCGGCCAGCCCATGCCCCCTGCGGTGCCTCTGTCCCAGACTCAGCATGTAGGCCCCATGACCCCACTCCACATTCTGGTGACTCCTCCTGAGCGTCAGGACAACACTCAACCCACGAGGAATTATTTCTGTCTCAAAGATGCAGGAATCAGCTCAACGCCTCAAAACTCCATCACCACGGTCAATGCCCTTGAAGCCATCGACAGTGATCACCCCAATAACAGAAGGTCTGTGAGCCCAGAAATGCCCTGCTCAGGGTGGTTAGCTTCAAGCCACCACCTTTCCAACCAGCCTGGGCCAGTTCTTCCAGACAGCCGCCTGCGGGCACAACAGGAAAGAGACCTGCGCCCCGGCTCAGACACCTCACACCCAGCTGGCTCTCAGGCCAGACAAACTGGGAAGCCCATCTCTCTTGAAGGAAGTCCAGATGGGAAACAGCTTCTCAACAGACCAGATCACAGCATCAGATCTAAAGGTGGCCTTCAGAATTCTTTTTCAGGTTGAATTAGGATCAAATCTAAGAATTCTAAATTCAAAATGCAGCAGAAAAACAAAACACACACACACACGGAGCCTAAGTTCTGGAGTGACATGTGCTTGGGTTCAAATCCTGGCTCTGTTGCTTCCTACTGTTTGTTGATGGGTGAGTTTCTTCATTTGCCTGAGCCTCAGTTTCCTTGTCTGTAAAATGGGGCAATAATCCCAGCTGCACAGGGTGATGTGAAGAGACAAATTTAAGACACTGCCCCTTAAATGCTAGCCACATACATACAGTTTTCAATGTTTAAACAACAAAATGTAAAGTCTTTTGAAACCAGGAAGGGTGATTTGGTTTCCCATGTTGCTGGATGTATCATTTTCAGAAAGACAGAGAGAAATGAACTTTGTTCACTCAGTCTCAGAGGCGGCCGCCGGCAGCATTCAAAGGCACCCCAGCCCGGAGCCACCCCAGGGAGGAGCCCCAGGCCAGCGGTCAGATTCATGGGCTTCCGTGCAGAAGGGGAGCTGCACCGGCGAGCACCCGGCCTCTGAGCTGAGCCGCATCCTCACGGACAGGACAGCGCCCCATTATGAGGCTCCTGCAGCTGTTCCTCGCTCCAGATAAAGGCCATGATTTATTCTGTGTGCCCAAATGGGGCCTCATTATACAGGGCAGGACACAAGGACCCTACAGCAAGTGTCCTCAAAGAGTCGCCTCTCACTCCGTGAGCAAGACTCCTCGGCCTCCCACCCTCCGTTCACAGGCCCCCTCCGCCGTCTGCGGGCGCAGGCCTGGGAGCGCCGCCTGTTGCCATGACAGCCGGCCCCTCCCTGCCCCCCATCAGTAGGAAATCATCCCCTTCTGAAACGTCCTGTTGTGTCCCTCAGCTCCAGCCCAAGCCCCCCACCCAGCCCCCGCCTGCTCTGAGTCTCTGAGACAGTCACACACTCAGACTATGTGGCCAAGCTGGGGGCGGGGGGCATGGGCTAGGGACACACTAGAATATTCACGCTCCGGTGGCAGCAGCAGCAGCAGCCAGAGGAGCAGCCCGACACAACAAGGGACCCCTCAGGAATGAAGCAGCCTTTCAGGGCCAGAGGGGCTGTGGTCTCCCTTCCTCTCCTTAAATAGCCAGCGTTCCACCCACAGCGGCAAGGAGCCCCCTGCCACCACCGACACCCACGGGCGGAGATCACCTGCTGCCCCGCAGACCCCTGTCCCTTCCTCCCGGACCAGCAGCTAGAGGTAAGGGGCAGGCTGGGTGGGGTGGACTGGGAGCCCAGGGCTAAGCAGAGGAAACACTCAGCGGGGAGCCCTGCCCAGGGAGACAGGCAGCAGCCTGTCTCGTCCCATCTCTTTGGTGATGGTCTGACCTGTGCATCGAAGGCTGACCACAGTCTGAATTCACAGCAGCCCACAAAGCGGTGTTTCGTCCCTCTGATGGGGGCTTGCAGAGGGGAAGTGGCTTGCCGGCAGTCCAGGCTGCAATGACAGCACCGCTGCCCCTAACCATTAGGCAGCCTTGACCCATAGAGGAGCCAGATGCCTGGGAGAGGGCTCGGGCCAGGGATGGAGTGGCGCTAATGCAAAGGAAACTGCCACCACCTGGCCATGGCGCTGCCACCACAGGCCCTCCCCGAGGCCACACATGCCCACCTGCCACCTCCACAGAGGCCTATGACCTGTCCTAGATGCTCGACTCACCCACAGCCACGGGACCCAACACTGCCCAGGCCCCGGCCCATGCCACGCCCTTTCCTCTTACGGACACCGGCTCGGTGGCCGTCTGACCAGTGAGTCGTGAGGAACCAGCGAGTCTAGACTGAAGTTTGTGTTTCTAAAGGGCAACAGAGAGTGAAGCGGGGCCCATCTCAGACCAAACTGCAACAATCAGTATCAGAACTCCTCAAACGGGGGACAGAAAGGGAGAAGAAACCTCAGCAAACCTGAAACCAACCAGAAAGCTGTTTAAAATGGAGTCTCAGTCCCAGAGAGAGCGAGGGGCACGCCCTTCGGCCCGGGCAGGAAGTGGAGGGCAGTGCCCAGGCTGAGGCCCCCGGGCTGGAGGCAGGAGGCACCACAGGCCCACCTGGTGCCATGAGATATGCCACCCCTGCCGTCACTCAGGGCCCTGAGCCCAGTAACACTCTGCCGTCACTGTCCTGAAACTCTTCCTTTTTGAGCAAGGGGCTGCACATTCTCATTTCATACATGGGCCCCTAAAATGAGGGAGTGGCCCCAGGGCCAGGAGGGGGTGCTGAGCCTGGGAGACAACTCCATGGCAAACTCTGAGACTGAGTCACACTCCCCACCCTGGCGGTCTTCCAGGGAGTGAGACCGTTTCCCCGGTCTCACTTCCAGCTCCAGGGCCAATGTCCCCTGGTCAAGTGACCTAAGACAAGTTAGCAGACACTCAGCCTTGACTCCCTAACCTGCAACATGGGGCTAAAACTGGTTTGAGCCAGCACAGGCAGGCCCCCACCATGCCAGGCAGAGTGGTCAGTCGTACCTATGAGCTGCTCTCTCGTGGGGCCAGGTGATGCCTGCACTGTGGGGCACAGCACAGGCCTGAGGGACAGCCTGGGGTGGAGGGCACCCACCTTGGCCCCTTCCCACCCCCAGGTTCTAACAAGGGCCCCTCACTCACTGGGCCCCCTCTCCTCTTCCAGTCTCCAGGGCCTCCCCGCACACACCTTCCTCCTCTCCTGCCAACCTGAAAACAGCACACCTGTGTGCCCCTCCCATCTACCATGGGCTGTCCTCTCTGCTTGCCCATGCGTCTGCCCTGGAGCCCTGTTCCTCCAGTCTCCGGGTCCTCACCCCCAGCACATGCAACACGACACCCTCAAAGTCATGGGCCCCCCTCCCCTGCCACCGTCCCACCGGTACCTGCTCCCTGTTCTCCCCTGCCTCACAGGCCCTGTCAAGGGCTGTGTTCCTCCCTCCTTTTACCTCTCCTCCACAGCCCCCTTCACAGCCCTCAGCCCTTCCCCAGGGCTTCAGCCAAGCCTGTCTCCCTCTCCCAAGCATCACTCACCCCGCCTTCTTCGGCCCTCAGCTCTCCGCCCTCACCGTGGTTTTAGCAGTCCTAGGGAAAGTGCCAGCCGAGACCAGCCAGACCAAGTCAGAGTACTGTGGAACCTGGATTCCTGGGGAATGGGGTCCCCATGAGGAACTCCACATTGGACTAAGAACAGACCCTGTTCCTGGAAGCAGCAGGAAACCATCTCTGGTGTTAGAACTTCAGGCATCTTGAAACACTCTGAAGCCGGGGGCAATCTTTTCAGGTAGGGGAACCTGCCTAGAGAAATAGCTAAAAGGTAATATTATTAGGTAGTTGCCCTCCCCTTTGCTTGAGGACATTGATGGCCAGGTGCTCGGGCCAGCCCTCACCCTCCATGTGAGGGCCACAGCAGCTGGCCACTCGCTCTCCTGAAGGAAGGGTGCGGCCCACCCTTCCCTAGGGCTAGGGCCACCACCATGCCTGCTTCTCCTCCATATGAGGATGGCTCCAGCCTCCTCCTCGAGGGGCTGCTGTGTCCATGAACAGTCACCATGCCCTCTCTGCCCCGTGCCACCAGCATCCTGAGACAGCCCTGTGGAATCAGTAAGAGGAGAGGGGCTGGGCGCAGTGACTCATGCCTGTAATCCCAGCACTTTGGGAGGCCAAGGAGCACTTTGGGAGGCCAAGGAGAGAGGATCACTTGAGCCCAGGAGTTTGAGACCAGCCTGGGCAACATGGCAAAACCGTCTCTACCAAAAAATACAAAAATTAGCCGGGTGTGGTGGTGTGCGCCTGTAGTCCCAGCTATTCAGGAGGTTGAGGTGGGAGGATCACTTGAGCCCTGGAGGTTGAGGCTGCAGTGAGCTGATTGCACCACTGCACTCCAGCCTGGGTGACAGAGGGAGACCTTGAAAAAGAGAAAGAAAAAAAGAAAAAAGAGAGGGAGGGGAGGGGAGGGGAGGGGGGGAGGGGAGGGAGGGGAGGGGAGGGAGGGGAGGGGAGGAAGGGGAGGGAGGGAGGAAAGAAAGAAAAAGAAAGAAAGAGAAAAGAAGAAAGGAAGGAAGGAAGGAAAAAGAAAAGAAAAAAAGAAAAAAGAAAAGAAAAAAGGAAAATAAAGAAAAGCAAGCAAACAAGCAAAGCGAAGTGAGAGAGAGAGGAAGGTAGGAAGGAAGGAAGGAAGGAAGGAAGGAAGGAAGGAAGGAAGGAAGGGCAGGGAGAAATGTGCAGAGTGAATTTGCTGCAGGCAGGACCCCGGCTGTTCGGTGCAGAGCCAGGCTCGCCCAGGATGAGGACCCTGCCAGGGCTGTGGCCCGTGCCTCCTCCCCTCCTGCTGCCACAATGGGCACAGGCAGGATGCCAGCTTCTCTTATGCAAACCTCTCTCCAGCCTCTGCTTCAGCCTGGCTGTGCAGGGTGGGGATGGTGGATACTGGGAAGCCAGGTGCCCAGAGGAGCCCCAGAAGCTGTGCCATCATCAGCACCCACCTGGCCGAAGCCCGCTGGTGACCCCAATTCAAAGGCAGGCCAGGTGCGCTGTCCTGCCCTGGTTCCGGGCTGCGGGCTGCTCTGGCCCCACCGCCTGCCCACACTGCCACTCGCAGGCCTGGGTTGGGGAGGCAGAGTGTTTGGGACCCTCACTCTCCTTCTTCAATCTTCTGAGTTGACTAAAATCAAAACAAGAGTGGGTTTCTCTGCTGAGGGTGGGGAGCACCCTATCCAGACCCAGGGTTCACCAGACGGACATGACTTGTTACCCAGGACTGTCACAGGGCTCTGCACTTGGCCTTCAAACGTGGGCAAGCCACGAGGCCTCCAGGCCTCTCTGGGGCTGCAGATCCGTCCTCAACAGCGCTGGCCAGTGTCTCTGACGCTGGGTAAAATGGGTCTTCCCCTCCTGGAAGAGATGCTGCCCCCTGGTGGTGGATCTACTCTGGGAGAGAAAATACTCCCAGCTGGCCTGATACCCAGGCACAGGCTTCTCCTAAACACAGGTCTCCCCACCTGTCAGGATGTCCAAACGGAGTTGGTGGGCTGGATCCAGAAAGCCCCCAAGAGAGATGCTGAAACTCTCAGGTGGGTAAAAAGAGTAGACCTCTGACGTCCCAGGGTACAGCCCTTGCTGCCATCCTGGGGGCACCCTCCTAAGTGCCAGGGGCAAGCCATGGTCAGGGGAAGCAGAAAGCGGTGACACCCCGGCCACTGCACCTGTGGGCAGGTGGGTCAGGGAGGGTCCAGGCACTCAGGATGAACAGAACTCACCTGCCAAGGCTTGGGCTGAGGAGGAGCTGGAATCCCGGAGACACACTGCCCCCGCCCCTCACCACCCCTGTCACTCAGACAGCACACCTCAGAGGCAGAACAGAAAACCCAGAGCCTCACCCAGGCAAGGCTCACGTCCCATTCCCCGCCATGGCACTGACCCGGTCCTCCCAGCTCTGAGGAGCCTCAGATCTCCTGGGTGGCAGGGGTGCAGCTGCATAGCGGCGAAATTCCAAGCCCTGGTTCTGCGTTTGCCTTGTGCTGAAGTTCAGAATGCCTCTGACGCTCACGCACACCAAATGGACAAGGAGGTCCCCTCAGCAGCCCCGTGGGCGGTGCTGAGCTTGAAAGTGGGAGGTTCTGAAGGCATTGGAGGCCTGACTTCTGGACTTCAGAGAGCGTGAAGCTGCCTAGATCGCAAGCTCATTGTGAACTGTTTGCTTGTTCCCTCCAGGCTCTGACTCCAGCCAAAGCATGAATGGCCTTGAAGTGGCTCCCCCAGGTCTGATCACCAACTTCTCCCTGGCCACGGCAGAGCAATGTGGCCAGGAGACGCCACTGGAGAACATGCTGTTCGCCTCCTTCTACCTTCTGGATTTTATCCTGGCTTTAGTTGGCAATACCCTGGCTCTGTGGCTTTTCATCCGAGACCACAAGTCCGGGACCCCGGCCAACGTGTTCCTGATGCATCTGGCCGTGGCCGACTTGTCGTGCGTGCTGGTCCTGCCCACCCGCCTGGTCTACCACTTCTCTGGGAACCACTGGCCATTTGGGGAAATCGCATGCCGTCTCACCGGCTTCCTCTTCTACCTCAACATGTACGCCAGCATCTACTTCCTCACCTGCATCAGCGCCGACCGTTTCCTGGCCATTGTGCACCCGGTCAAGTCCCTCAAGCTCCGCAGGCCCCTCTACGCACACCTGGCCTGTGCCTTCCTGTGGGTGGTGGTGGCTGTGGCCATGGCCCCGCTGCTGGTGAGCCCACAGACCGTGCAGACCAACCACACGGTGGTCTGCCTGCAGCTGTACCGGGAGAAGGCCTCCCACCATGCCCTGGTGTCCCTGGCAGTGGCCTTCACCTTCCCGTTCATCACCACGGTCACCTGCTACCTGCTGATCATCCGCAGCCTGCGGCAGGGCCTGCGTGTGGAGAAGCGCCTCAAGACCAAGGCAGTGCGCATGATCGCCATAGTGCTGGCCATCTTCCTGGTCTGCTTCGTGCCCTACCACGTCAACCGCTCCGTCTACGTGCTGCACTACCGCAGCCATGGGGCCTCCTGCGCCACCCAGCGCATCCTGGCCCTGGCAAACCGCATCACCTCCTGCCTCACCAGCCTCAACGGGGCACTCGACCCCATCATGTATTTCTTCGTGGCTGAGAAGTTCCGCCACGCCCTGTGCAACTTGCTCTGTGGCAAAAGGCTCAAGGGCCCGCCCCCCAGCTTCGAAGGGAAAACCAACGAGAGCTCGCTGAGTGCCAAGTCAGAGCTGTGAGCGGGGGGCGCCGTCCAGGCCGAGCGCAGACTGTTTAGGACTCAGCAGACCCAGCAAGAGGCATCTGCCCTTTCCCCAGCCACCTCCCCAGCAAGCAACCTGAAATCTCAGCAGATGCCCACCATTTCTCTAGATCGCCTAGTCTCAACCCATAAAAAGGAAGAACTGACAAAGGGGATCCATCGGCCACCCCTCTGCAGGGGCTTGTGATGGCTACAATGGCTCCTAGACACTCAACGACTTCATCTGTGGCAGGGAGAGAGGAGGCCGGAAGAACAACCCCTGAACAATGGAGGCCTTTCTTTCCCGCTAGGCTCCCAGCCTCCTTCCCGCTACAGAATCGCTCATCGGCGAGGCTCAGCAGAAAGACCCTGAAGGCAGGCTGCAAATGACCCAGAAGAGGGACCTGGGAGTCCTGGTGGGGACGGGGAGGGAGTCTCAATACTCCTTTGCAGTGCAAGGTACTCTGAGTCCCCTCTGTAGTGCCTCTGCCAGACACACACTGCCTGAGTTGAAGAGACACAGGCCACACATTTCAGGCTGGTTGCCAGCGGACGTCAGCACTCACGGCCTGCAGGGACTCAGCACAGCTCTGGATTCTGGATCTCTCCTGCTGTAACCCCACGCACAAGCCTGCAACCCCCAGAGCTCTTTGACAGGCTCCCAGGCCTCCCAGTCCTGGACAAGCATGTGCAGTCACGGGAGCTCAGCTCAGGCCAGGGCTGGGCTGTGCACCTGCCTCCCACTGACCCAGACCCACTTCCTCCAGAGAGGCCTCTCTCCGCCTGAGCTATTTCCCTTGCTAGTGTGCAGATATTTCCCTAACATGTCCTTTTTTGTATTTGTTTGTACGGACCATAAATATAACTGTAGCTTTAAGACTACACAGGTTGTTATGTTTGGTCAACATGAAGCGTTTCCCAGAACTTCTCTGACCCAAGAATGGTGAAGTGGTGGTACAGTGGCAGAGGCAGCCTCGTGGGCTCTCTTGCTGGGGCTCTGGCAGCTCACAGCACATCTGCCCAGATTCTGAGGTTCTGCACTGTGGGGCTGGGAGGGCCAAGTAGGGGCCCTCATTCCTCACTCTAGCTGCCACCCTGCACCGTCCTTACGGCAACATGCTTTTGTAGCATGTTTGACTTTCCAAAACGTTTCCAGCATCTTTCAGATTTCCCCAACCAGCCCTTGGGGCAGTGGCCCTGTGCAAACCTTGGCTCAGGAAGGAGATTGGGCTCGCTCCACACACCCTGTCGGCGACGTTGCTGGTCAGCACGAGCTCCTGGTGCTGTCCCTCGGCCCCTGCACTGCACCGTCTGCCCCTCAGCCCTTCATTTAGACAAGCTGCTCAATGCCAGGCACCGCCCAGCTCCGAGGACAGTGGGCCGGACGCCAGGCCCCAGGCCACGTGCCTCTCTCACGGGCAGCACACGGACAAGAGCTCGGTAGTGTCGGGGAAGCATCTCGGAGGAGCTGCGGGAGGGAGCAGAGTGCCCGGACAGAGAGAGTGTGGCAGGGGAAGCATGGCTGGGGCCTCTGGGGGTCGGCGCTGCCTCTCACTGATACAGGGGACGCATGCAGAGGCAGCCTTGGTGGTCAGTGGAGGAGAATCCCAAACTGCTTGTGCCTCATTGCGTTTGGGATGCCTGGTGGACACCAAGTGGAGGTGACATGTGGGCAGCTGAGGACAGCGAGAGAGAGGCCTGAAGTGGAGCCTGGAATTCTCCAGACACATGTGCCATTTAGGGCTCTAGGATTCTGTCTGCAAGGGCAGCCATGAGGGCCGGGCACGGAGCCCCAGACGACTCCCCATGGAGAGACAGGGAGAAAGGTGACTCAGAGGAGGGGAGTGAGCAGGTGCAGCTGTGGGGGCGGGCAGAACCACAGGAACTCAGGGTCCCGGGTGCCAGAAGGGGGGCGTTTCTGCACCTCAGCAGCTGTGGTGAGGGCTGCTGAGGGGTCAAGAGGAGGTGTGGGTCCCTGGGCAGATGAGGCCAGGGTAGCACACGCGAGGGGCAGCGGGTGTGCTGGGAGAAGCCGGGGAGGAAGGCCCAGCAGTGTTTTTAACCCAGCTCCCCAGCCCAGTCCTTCAGAAAGGACGAGAGAGTGGCGTGGAGAAGCAAGCCCTGGAGAAAGTGTGGGGATGAACAGGGCTCACAGACAGAGGCCGGGCTGCACGGGATCTCAGAGCTAGGGCCAGGGGAGGTGGGAGACAAGGCCACCTGCTATAGGGACAGTGCTTGGGAAGGGAGGATGAGAGACCAAGGGTTCGCAGAAGGTGGGAACTTCTGGAGTACCCATGAGGTTTGTGGCCCTCAATTTAGAGTAAATGTGGGCATCTCCCTCCAGCCACACTGAGCTGCACAGGTACAGGCAGGAGAAGGTGGACAGGTGGGGTCAGTAGATGGGGTGGCCAGGGGGGTGGCAGAGTGTGAGGATTTCTCATGGCTCCCGAGAGGCTGCCAGGAGCTCGCTGAGCGTGGGGCCCTGTAAACTGGGAGCTGGACTATCCGCCCCGGGGTGACCTGGAGGGAGGGCAGCTACATCAGTGCAGGCTGCAGCACCGGGACCCTTCTGCGCCCTCAGCAAGTGGGTAGCACACAGGAGAGGTGGCAGGTGTGCCAGGAAGGGCTGTGGCCCAGTCCTCTCTGGCCCAACACGGCCACCTCACCTGCCGGCATTCTTCACAAAGCCCAGGTCAGCCAGCTCCACATCACACAGCTCGCAGCGGAAGCAGCCCGGGTGCCAGTTGTTGTTCATGGCCTTGATGACGCGGCCAATGATGAACTCACCTGGAAGAAGACAGGTCCCTGCTGGCTGGGGAGCACGTGCCTGTCCCCTCTTCGGACCCTCCCAAGCCCTGTCCACCTAGCACTCCGCCTGCTCTCTGCCTGGCCCATGGGCTCCCTCGTGGGATGGTGATGCCTGTAGGGGGCCTGACGGCTGCCGCTCAGAGAGGCAAGGTGGGGAGTTAGGAAAGAGCTGGGCCAGTTCTGTGTACCCCCTCGGCCCCCTGCCCCCCGCCACTGCTGCCCACTTCCCAGGCAGCCCAGGATGTGTACTGTCACCGGCCTTACCGCAGGATCCACAGCACGGAGCAAACAGCATTTGGAAGTCGTGTTCGCAGTACTTCCGGCCTTCAAACTGCAAAGGGGTCGCAGAGAGAGGACAAGCAAACCACCTATCATCCCCATGAGCAGCCCAGGCCCTTGTTGGGTCAGGACCTGACAGCAGGGGATGAGGCACTGAGGCAGGGGCATGCCGGGCTGAGGCTGGAGCAGTGGGTCCCAGGCCTGGCCAGAGAGGACACTGGCCCTTTTGGGATGGTGGGGTGCAAAGGGAGGTGCCCCCGTGGAAGCTGGAGAGGTCCGTGAGGCCACCTGTCAAAGGGCCACTGGTGTCTACTGAGGATCTGGACCCTGTTGGTCCGGAGAACAGGCTGGGGGCGAGGCGGTTTTAAGCCAGGAGGGATGAGATCCAGTCTGAAGTGTAGTGTCACTTGGTCCTATTTCGTATACCTTCTCTGTGGGAGTATCCAGCTCTCTCAGAGGCCATGAAGACCCGGGTATAGGAGACAGAAGGAAGGGAACGCAGGAAGGGCCTGGGCACGGGGAAGTGGGAAGAGCTCAGGGCTGCGGCCAGCAGGAGCCAGTGTGCACACCCTCCAGGCGGCAGCTGCCAGCGAGGGCCCCTGTGCTGGCCACAAGCGGGGCCAAAGCCTGCCTCTGCTTTCCTCTAACAATTGTATTTTCTGTTTTTTAATTGGTTTTTCCCTGTTCTCTAAAATGAGTGTCTTATTAGACTAAACTGGATATAGCCCTACCCAGTGACCTGTAGAGTCAGGAAGGGCTTAAACTCTTTCAGCAATGAAAATCTTCTGGGCACCTGCTGTGTGTGAGAGAGAGAGGCTTTGTTCTGGGCATATGGCCACCCCTCCTAGAGCTTTGCCCACCCCTCCCGCTGCCTCTACACTTAGACAGCATTCCTCAGGAGGCTGAAGACACTGTGAGGAACAGCGGCTCTTGCTCTGCCAGGCGGACCACAGGCCCCACATCCATCCACCAGCCAGTCCCATCAGCTCTACCTTGAAACAGAGCCAGCATCTGACCCCTGGCCACCACCGCCACCACAAGCACAAGTGATGTTCTGGTAAATGCTCAACAGCCAGCTCTCTGGGGCGCAGAGGCAGGCCCTGCTGTGGGGCGTTTGCCAGTGTCCATGGTGTGAATATTCCCGTCATGGCCAACTCCTGGCTGCCAACATGACATCGATGTGGACTTGAGGGGAGATGTGCAGTGGCCACACCAGCACAATGGACAGAAATAACCCCATCAGCATAGACGATAGTAAAGTGGAACAAAATAATTAGCAAGTGGTATGCTTTGAGTATTTGTTACCTTTGTTTTTAATAAAATTGTATCCCATTGTACGCTGATATAATTTAATTTTTAAACAATAACTCTGTTGCCCAACCAGCTCCCAAGATTGTTGATGATTTAACGACTGCTCCTGTGAGCTGGTGGGGGCCCCTTCACTTTCATCTGGGTGATTGCACTAATTCAGCTCCTGGTCCCCCCAGCCTCCTGGCCCAGCCTCTGTTCCTGCCCCGCCTTACATCCTCTCCTCAGCACAGCGGCCACAAGCCTCCTTTTTTTTTTCTTTCTTTTTTTTTTTTTTTTTAGATGGAGTCTTGCTCTGTCCCACAGGCTGGAGTGCAATGGCGCGATCTCGGCTCACTGCAACCTCTGCCTCCCAGGTTCAAGTGATTCTCCTGCCTCAGCCTCCCGAGTAGCTGGGATTACAGGCACCTGCCACCATGCCAGGCTCATTTTTTGTATTTTTAGTACAGACAGGGTTTCACCATGTTGGCCAGGCTGGTCTTGAACTCCTGACCTCAGGTGATCCATCTGCCTCCGCCTCCCAAAGTGCTGGGATTACAGGCGTGAGCCGCCGCGCCCGGCCAGGTCACCTTTTCAAATGTCAGCAGATAGTGTGACTCCTCTGCTCCACACCCCGAGGTGGCTCCTGCCTCTTGCAGAGGGGAAGCCTATGGCTCCGTAGAGGCCCGTGGGGCCAAGCGAGATCCACCTCCCTTTCCTCAGCTCCTGGCCTTCTCCCTCTCATGCCCTCGGCTTCCATCACACCAGTCTTCCTACTGCTCTCCATACACCCCATGTTCTCCCACCACAGGGTATGTGCATATGCGGTGCCCTCTGCCCAGTATGTCTCCCTCCCCTCAGGTGTGCCCAAACCTCACCTTCCCTGAGCACCACCGCACCCCACCCCGGGAACCCTGACCCCCAGGGCATCAGCACCAGCTGGTGGGCCATGCGGTTGCTGTGCTCACTGTCTAGTCCCCAGGGAGGGCAAGCACCACCAGGGCAGGCTCTTCCTGCCCCCAGGGCCTGCCCAGCATCTGCCCAGAGGAGGCTGGTGAAAGGTGGCTCTCTGTTAGCACCCAGGGCACCTGGGGTGCTGTTCACATCTCACAGGTGAAGGATGGGCCCGTGCAGGAGCTCAAGCCTGGTTCTGGGCTGGCTCCAGACCTGGCCCTGTCACCAGTCGGGACCACTGCATGGAGCCCGGCCCACCCGCTCATAGAGGGCAGACTCCGAGCTGGGTCTGAGAAAGCCCTCAGTAGTGTCCTCACCTCATAGAAGAGCCCCTCGGGGAAGGGCCGGAAGCACTGGGCACACACGAAGCAGTGCTCATGGTACAGCTCCCCATTGCTGTTGACAATGCGCTCGGCGGGGGAGAAGCGGGCCTGGCAGCGCTGGCACACGGCGTTGGCCAAGGCGTCCGACATATTGCTGGGGGCAGGAGACAGGAGGAGTGAGTCAGAGCTGGTCAGGGGTGCAGATGGGGCACACGCGGGGGCCTGCGCCCGACAGACACACCTCGTATTAAAAAGTGAAGACGCTCTGCAGGATCAGGAAAATCGCTCTAACCCAGGGTCCAGGCTGCTCAGTGCTTGTAGTGCCCACCCCTTGGGGTGTCAGGGGCCCAGTCAACTCCCACTTGGGCCCCTATTACCCCTTCTTCAGGGACCAGAGAGTCTCGCACACAGAACACCACCCAGCACAGGTGAGCGGCTCTGTATTCACACTCTCATTTAATCCCCAGGGCAATACTGCAGCTACTATTATTATGGCCTCTTCCAGAAAAGGGACCTAAGCCTCAAAGAGGTTGAGTAACTTGCCCAAGCTCACACAGCAGAGCGGGGTCCACACTTGAATCCAGACTGCTCAGTCTTCCATGGTTCCATCCTCTGCACCATGAGTTAGTTTCAAACTGACTGCCTCCAATAAACACATAACCACCCAAACACAGAGCAGGCAAGAGGGTAGCTGGGTGCGTGTGCAGAATGGCTCAAGCCTGTCATCCAGAGCACTGTGGGAGGCCAAGGTGGGCGGATCCCTTGAGCCCAGGAGTTCGAGACCAGCCTGGGCAATATGGCAAGAATCCATCTCTAATAAAAATACAAGAAAACAAAAAAATTAGCCAGGTGTGGTGGTGCAAGCCTGTAGTCTCAGCTACTCTGGAGGCTGAAGTGGGAGGATGGCTTGAGCCTGGGAGGCCGAGGCTGAGTGCCACTGCACTCAGGCCTGGGCAACAGAGCAAGACCCTGTCTCAAAATAAAAAATAAATAAAAAAGACAAGAGTATGAATCTTTGAGACGAGACGGGAGTGTGGTGAGGGGGAGCAAATCTCATCCATACTGGGCACTGCCTGTCCCCAGAGTCAGTGGTGGGTTTCCTTCTGGGAGGGGTGAAATGCGAACTACAGGGGAAAAGCCCACAGTGAGCCAGGCCCGCAATCAGTCCAGCCCCAGGGCCCTTCGGCACAGCCAGGAGGGGCCTTTTAGACTCAAAAACAGGGTCAGGATGTAGTCCTAAACACCCCAACTGCCTCTACGACCTTCAAAGAACCGGATACCCCACACCTTTTGCTAGGAAGGGAGAACGTGGGTTCTGTCTCAAGTGTCAACTCCAGTGGATTCCTGGAAGACTGGGCAGAGAGGGAGCATCAGGCTCGCTGGGGAGTGACGCAACCAGCTGGTAACGTCTGCCTGGTTGCAGCCGGGTGGTGGCAGGACTCGAGTGCAGTGCCTTTGGGAATACCTCTCCGCCTGCTCTGCCTCCCAGGATGAATCCCACCCAGCAGTCACTGCCGCGACATCATGAGGGAAATGCTTGGTGAGTGAGGCTCCTGTCGGGCTGTTCTGCGGCCTGCAATCTGGGCAGGGCCAGTCTGAAGAGTGTCAACCACAGAGAAGAGGGGCCTTAGGATGAGTCCAGGGGTGGACGACAGGGCTGCGCTTAGGGTCTGGGCATGGGCTGTGGGCGGAGGGTCTCACAGGAGGCTGCTGCGAAATGGAGATGGACTGGAAACTTGAAAGGGGCACCCAGGCTGTCCTTTCTTCTCTGCTTAGGGACCCATGTGGCAGAGGCTGTCTGGAAGGCCATTCAACCAGGCTTTCTGGGCATGCTGGGCTTCTGTCCACCTTGGCCTGCCCTCTGGGGTGCTTAGGAGACCAAAGCCACCATGCGAGCCCACATTTAGGCCAGAGGGGCAAGGAAGCAAAGATGGTGGCAACAGGAGTTGGGAAGAAACCAAGAAGAAAGGAGGCCTCGGCACCCAGCGGCTGGTCCTCAGTGCTCCCAGCTCCCTGCTGGTCTCCACGGGGCGAGCCAGGCAGGCCACCAAGGTGGAGCCTGGCCGCCCCAAGCCACCCTCGAGGGCTGGGCAGGGCTTCACTAGGACAGGCTTGGTTTCCTTCCGGGAGAACACTGTGAACCTCCTCTTCTGAAACACACACCCAAGGTGGCAGGGAGGACATTCCAGTGCCTGCCCATGAGCGAGACCTTGGGAGTCTTAGAGAAGTCGGAAATCAACAGGAAATCCCATGGCTCTGGGCCTGGAATTCCTCACTCCAAGGACCCAGAAAACGAAGCCAAATTAAGGACTTCCACCCAGCCCCAGCCTTTCAGATTCCGCCTTAAAGCCAGACCTCTAGACCCCAGTGAGTGAGCACACATCCCTCGCACCCCCTTCCAGGCTCCTGTTCTCTGCCTCCAGGAACTGCTGTTTAGGGCCTGCACCCACACGCCTGCCCCCTCTGGCTTCCAGCTGTGCTGACCCTACTCCCACGGGCCAGGTGCTGCTGGGACCTGTGACTTTCCTTGTGGTTATGGGCACTCCTGCCCTGCTAGCCCAGCTGCTTCACCACCCTTCCTCCCTCGCCGTTTCATAAACACACCCTCAACTAGCACTCCCCAGTTACCTTGCTTCCCACTGAAAGGGGAAGCTGGCTGGGCTTCTGGTTGGGGTGGGGACTTGGAGAACTTTTCTGTCTAGCCAAAGGATTGTAAATGCACCAATCAGTGCTCTGTGTCTAGCTAAAGGTTTGTAAACACACCAATCAGCACTTGGTAAAAACTGACCAATCAGCACTCTATAAAATAGACCAATTAGCACTCTGTAAAATGGACCAATCAGCAGGATGTGGGAGGGGCCAAATAAGGGAATAAAACCAGGCCACTCGAACCCACAGCAGCAACCAGTTGGGGTTCCTTTGCTTGGTGTGGAAAGTTTGTTCTTTTGCTCTTTGTAGTAGCTTTTGCTGCTGCACGTTCTTTGGGTCTGCGCCACCTTTATGAGCTGTAATGTTCACAGCGAAGGTCTGCAGTTTCAATCCTGAAGCCAGCGAGACCATGAACCGACGGGGAGGAATCGTTTCGAGGAACAGATAATTCCGGATGTGCCACCTTTAAGAACTGTAACACTCAGTGGGAGGGTCTGAGCCTTCACTTCTGAAGTCAGTAAGACCACAACCCCACCGGAAGGAAGAAACTCCGGACATATCTGAACGTCTGAAGGATCAAACTCCAGACATACAGTCTTGAAGAACTGTAACACTCACCGTGAGGGTCCATGGCTTTATTGTTGAAGTCAGCGAGACCAAGAACCCACCAAAAGGAGCCAATGCTGGACACACCTGGTCAACCTGACAGCAGCCTGGCCACACACACTCTCCTCTACCTTCCGGCTCATCTTCCAGTTAGACCTGATAGCCAGTCTGTAAGCAGTTCCTCGGCTGGTCCCTGAATGCATCCAGGGAGATCATTGCTGCCTGTGGCCGACAGTATCGCACAAAGCGTGGCATAGGTGGGGGTGGGGGGGGCGGATGTGGGGGTGGCCACCTCCTTCCTGTGCCCAGGGGCTGCCCCAGCCCAAGTCACAGAGAGCCCCTAACAGCAGCTCTGTGAGGGAACATTCTGCTCCAAGAGCAAAGACGGGACAGACAGAAGCATGCAGAGACAACGGAGACACAGCACCATGAGAGAACACGCTTCCTGACTCCTGCAGGGGAGGAAGAGAGGCAGTGTGACACAGAGAGGCCGGCAGAGGCCTGGGCCCAGCCGCTCAGCTCTACACGTGATAGCCCCAGCCACCAGCCTGGGACCTGGAGAGAGATGCTCGCTTCTGTAGGCCTCACGTTCTCTTTTGTAAAGAGGTGCACCAGAGAAACAGCCACATCGAGGAGCCAAAGTGAATGAATGGCACCCACGTGTCCAGCACAGAGCACCAGGCCAGGCAGGGCAAAGCGCTGGATAAGGAGAACTGTTGTTTTCCAGCAACTCTGGGAGCCTTCCAGAGTCCCTCTGCATGGCTCAGCCTAGGGGAAGGCCTGCAGGCTGCCTGCGGTCCCTGCGAGAGGTCAGAGGGTCAGAGACGTGGACATTCCATGTCCTCCTTTGCACATTCCTTCAAGATAGAGAGCACAGAGTCTGTCCAGTTATCCCCCAGGAGACACCACTACCCACCCCCAGCTGGACTACGTAGAACATACTGCCCAGGGCACACCCAGCCTGGAAGCCAAACCCCAGAGGTGGGGGAGAGCACACCATCTCATGCCCTTCCTCAGCCCTCTCCAGCACCCCAGAAGGCTCTCAGTTTTGACAGCCAATACAAGCCAATTTGTTGCAAGATGTCCCTGAGTCTGAGGTGGGATCAGAGGAGCCTGCTCTGTTCCAGGCCTTTGTATAAGGGGAGGAGGCTGGTTCCAGATAAGGAGATTGAAGCACAGAGAGAGTCAGTAACCAGCTGAGGGTCACAGAGGATTGGACTCATGTTCCTCCCATCTCCTCTTGGCATCCCCCATTCCGGATTCTGTTTCTTCAACAACCCCAGACCTTCCTCCATCCCAGCCTTCCTGATATCTGAGTCAAGGAAGTGTGTGTAAGGATCTGGGAAGAGTTGGGGGCCAGCCACAAGAAGTCTGGTCACACCCAAGATGAGCAAGTGTTGCTGAGGCCACGTCGGCCTGAGCAGCAGTCAGACCAAGGGTGTGTCCCCTATAGCCAGGCACACCAGGCTGCAACCCTGGCCCCGACGCCCCCTGTCTGTGTGACCTGCAGCACAGGACTCTGAACCTCAACTTCCTCGTTTATAAAATGGGCCAGGAATAGCTACCTCCAGGGACTGTTGGGAGGGTTCAGTGAGGCCATTCCTGCAAGCACAGCCCATGCTTCTGTCCTCCTTCCAACGAAGTCCTCACTGAGCACCTGCACTGATAGGCACTATTCCAGATGCAGAGGGTTTCGGGGAGGGACCCTACTGCAGCACAGCCCAGGGAGCAGCTCCAGTCCCTCAGCACTGCCTGGGCTTCCTCCCTGCCCCGCCTCCATGAAGCCAGCCAGAGGCCAGTGTCGGGTCACCTGGCCACATGAGGTCAACAAAAATGTACAAAAAGCCAGCCCACCATGGGGACGCTAGAAAATTAACATGCTGCCTGTTCTCACTCGTAGGTGGGAATTGAACATTGAGAACACATGGACACAGGAAGGGGAACATCACACACCAGAGGCTCTTGTGGGGTGGGGGGTGGGGGGTGGGGGGTGGGGGGAGGGATAGCATTAGGAGATATACCTAATGCTAAATGACGAGTTAATGGGTGCAGCAAACCAACATGGCACATGTATACATATGGAACAAACCTGCAGGTTGTGCACATGTACCCTAAAACTTAAAGTCTAATAATAATAAAATAAAAAAGAAAAAATTAACATGCTGCCTGGGCTGCTATACACAAGATGCATTGACACCATCAGAAACAGACTCCAAATCAGTATGAAACCTGTCTGAAATTAGAGCTTTTTTGAAGCCCTTGCCATATCTCTTTGCTCTAGTGGCTTTTCTTTTAAGCAGGTACAACTGAAACATGTTACACTAACAACAAAGAACTGACAAAGGACATGAACCAGAAGTTCAAAGAAAAACAGTGTGAATAGTCACATGCGCATGCATGCTCAGGGCTGCCCCAGGCCTGTCATCATCGTGCCTGTCCTGCCTGCATCTCAGCTGTGGTATCAGTACTGTGAAAATCACTCCAGAACAGCCTTGGGGCCATCAGTGCCCTGGCCACTCGCAGCCTGGTACCACAGTTATGCCACACGCATCCAGGGCTGTCCAGAGGTTGACCAGGGAGGGTGCCTGCTCCAGCTCTGCCACACTCAGGTGAGTGACTTGGCCTCCTGAGTCTGGGGGTCCCCACCTGAACAGCAGGCTGCCCCAGACCTGCCATGCCAGCACAAGCGGGAGCCCAGCATGCAGCAGGGACTCCACAGATGGCCGTGCTGCCGGCCTGCAGTTCCCGCCCTCCACTCGGTGCCCTCCTTCCTCTTCTGTTCTCAGCAAAAGATATCTTTGATGGCTCAGTCCTCTAATTGCCACTCTGGGAGCCTTCCCTGACCACACACAAGGAGCTGAGAGTGGGCTATGCTTGCCCTGGGTGGCACTGGCCTTCCTCTGCTCCTGGGTCCTCCAGGCCCTCCCCTACCTCTGCGACTTATGTTCCTGGCTCCCTCCCTGCCCCCCCGCCCCAGCCCTTCTGCCCAGCCTTGGCCTCCTCCCCAGGGTCCCTATCTGTCACCTTGATGCCAAGGACCCCAAGGTCACAGCCCTATTGCTCTCTCTTCCCCGCTGGCCCCTCGGCACTGCAAAGGCAACATTTTCAGGAGCTCCTCCTCATGCCCCTGACCCCAAGAGTGAGGGGAGGTGGCTCCACCACCATCCCCGTGCCCCTCCCAACCTCCCCATCCAGAGCCAACTCATTCTCTGAGATGCCCTGAGGACCATCCTGAACCCCACTGCTGGAGTCAGTCTAACCTGGGTTCAAATCACAGCATAGCCATGTTTGGGGTGGGTGAGTCCAGCAGGTGTCTGCTCTGCTCAGAACCTGTCTGCTCATCTATAAAGTGCAGCATGATCACCCCCGTCTGAAAGCAGTGCTGGGGGCTACACAGGCTCCCTCGTCTCTAACATAGGTCCCTGGGCGCACCCTGCCAGGAGAGCTGATCACAGGTGACATCCAACCCTGTTAGATAAAGTCGCACGCGCCCACCCTGTCGCCAACCCAGGGCCCATCCGACGCCGGGGCAGAGCCCACGGCGTCGGAGGGCCCCGGTCGGGTTTCCGAGGGAAGGCCTGCCCTGCCGCCGCAGCTTTCCGGCCATTGTCCCCGCCACCCGCCCCGCCCCTGGCCACCTACCCCGTGGCTGGCGGCGGGCTCTGCCGGTGCTGGCGCCGCCGGTACAGCCCCGACGCGGCCAGCGCACCCAGCCGGGCCGCCATGGCGCGGGGCAGCCGCCTTGAGGTCGCGGGCGCGGGCCGCCTGGTGCAGGGGCTATGGGACCACCTCGGAGGGGAGGCGCGGCCGCCTGGGGCCAGACACCAAGACGGGACGGGCGTGTGGGCGCCTCCCCCGCGCTGGTCGCGAGCTCACGTTACGCGCTGGGATCTCCAAAGGGCAGCAGAGTCAACTCCAAATAGAAAGGATATTGTTCGCGCCGCGGGGGCAGCTCCTGAAAGCTGAGGCTGGCGGGGGTTGGGTCCCGCTGGGAGGGGACTGGTCTGGGAAGGCCCCAGACAGCACTGAGGTGAGGTCCACAGTGGCGGCAGGACACCCAGGAGGTCTCCGGCTGCCACCTGCCAGGAGGAAAGCCTGTGCCCGTGGACACACTGAGGAGGGCAGAGTCAGCTGAGGAGGACAGGGAGGACCTGGCGCCTTTAGGATCCCTGCCAACAGTTAGGAAACCGAGGACCGGAGCCACACAGGCCCACATTCTGCTTTGCTCCCTTCTCTGAGACCCTCTGCCACAAACATCACCGTGGGGCACCCAGACCAGGGCAGAGCCGATCCTCTGGATCTGGCCAACAAATGGTCAGGCACCCCAAAAGAGGTCCTTATTTTAGAGAAAAGGCAATCCTCCAGCTTCCAGGGGAGCAGACGCAGAGGGACCTGGTGGCAACCACCAGGAAGGCACCATGTACCCCGCATTTTTACCCAGAGAGACTGGCAAAGTTACTTGTGATTCATAAACACCCGCGGTAGGCATCCAAACTGTGACCAAGGTAAGCCTGGTCAGCAGTACAATAAAGATCCAGAGCACTCATGGAAATCTTTAGCATTGATCCCATTTCCCTGAAAGACCTTTCTAGAAAGGTCAGAAAGCTTGAGCAGTATCTTCTTCTGCCTTCTGAAAGCAAGAGCTGGCAGCCGTCACTAAAGACAGCAGGGCACTGATCCTCCCAAACTAGGGTGGGAGAAAGCCTTGGAGGGGCTCACTGGCATTCAGATACCAGGCCCACACGCCACTGAGGAACACACTCACCCAGCAAGTCCCAACAGGAGGAGGTACTCATTAAGCACCCTGGCAGTCAAGTGACGACAAGCATTGGGTACAGTATAATTTGTAAATGTAGTCCAATTCCAAAGTTGCCCAACACTGATCAGTTCAACAAATAGTTTTTAAAGGTGGCCCCAGGGGCTAAAGGGCATGGAGAAGCTGAGCCCAGAGGAGCCAAAATGAATAGGGAATACCGCTGACTCTCTGATGTAGGTAGCCGAATGCTTAAGAAAACTTACACCGAAAATGTTCTTAACAGCAGCTACAAGTCAATGCCATAGGGCCTAGACCCTCTCACCACTCCCGACTCAGCCCATCCATGTGGAAATCCTCAACACTAGAATCCAGGACTCTCATGCAGACCCGCAGTTTTCTGTAAGGAGGAAACATTTATTTAGGGCTCCAAGGGTCACATATAGCACTGGAAAGGAGGCTACAGCCACAAGTGTTTTGTGCAACATAATCTGTAAATGAAGTTCAAGCACAAGTTTACCAAGTACTAATCAATTCAACAAATATTTACTATAAAAGCGGACATCGAAGGCTAGAAATTGAGAGAGGCTTAGAGTCTGATTGAGCCCAAATCCCAAATCTCTGCACAACCTTACCACCCATTCTGCAGCCTGTCCTGCTGCAGGGATGGGATTGGGAGCCACAGATACTGTAAACTGAATCTAGAACTCTATACAAAGTATTATACACCATGACCAAATGGGATTTGGTTCAGTGCTCTGGCTCTAGATATTTGCAAAAACACCGAGAGTGATGTCAGCAGAAAGTGGTGGAGTAAGGACCTCCAGAAGTTCATCCCTCCATAAAAGCAATGAAAAACCTAGCAAAAATTATCAGAATCTACTCTTTCAGAACTCTGCAAATCCACCAAAGGTTTTCAGTAACCCTAGGAACATTTGGTCAAGAAAAACAGATGAATCTTGGTAAACAAACAAACAAACACAAACCAGTGAGGTTTGTGTTGTTTTAACTTATCCTAGTCCCTTATTCCTGCTCCCTAACTCCATGGCTTCCTTGAATAATAATAGCTCGTGGTCCCAGTAAGGAGGTAGCAGAATGGAATATTATGAACAACTGTATGCCAATAAATGAAATAACCTACTGAAATGGAGAGATTCCTAGAAGGACACTACCAAAACGAACTCAAGAAGAAATAGAAAATCCAAATGTATCAGTCTAAATTTTCATACTGCTATTAAGAACTTCATGAGACTCGGTAAATTATAAAGGAAAGAGGTTTAATCGACTCACAGTTGAACAGGGCTGGGGAGGACTCAGGAAACTTATAGTCGTGGCAGAAGGCAAAGGGGAATCAAGGCACCTTCTTCACAAGGTGGCAGGAAGAAATACCAAGCAAAGGGGGATGAGCCCCTTATAAAACCAGCAGATCTTGTGAGAACTCACTATCACAAGAACAGCATGGGGGGAAACACCCCCATGATTGAATGACCTCCACCTGGTCTCTCCCTTGACACGTGGGGATTATAGGGATTACAATTCAAGATGAGATTTAGTTGGGGACACAAAGCCTACCCAAATCACTTAGTAAGGCCAGTAACATGTAAAGAGACTGAGACAGTAACCAAAAAACTTGTCACAAAGTAAAGCCAGAGCGACATGGCTTCACTGATGAATTATATCAAAGGTTTAACTAGAATTAACACCAAACCTACAAACAAACATACAAAACACCAGTGTGGTGGCACATGCCTATAATCCCAGCTACTCAGGAGGCTGAGGCAGGAGAATCACTTGAACCTGGAAGGCGGAGGTTGCAGTGAGCTGAGATCACGCCACTGCACTCCAGCCTGGGTGACAGAGTGAGATCTTGTCTCAAAAAGAGAAAAAAACAAAAAACAAAAAACAACAAACCTTCACAAAATCTTTCCAAACAAAAGAAAAGAAAGACTAGGAGGGAATACTTCACAACTCATTCTATAAATATTATCTTGATCTCAAAATAAAATGCTAAAGTCACATAGATGCAAATGTCCTCGATAAAATACAATAAATCTAACACTCTATAAAAAGTATTATACACCGTGACCAAATGGGATTTATCCCAAGAACATAGGGTTGGTTTCACATCCAAAATTCAATGTAATATACCATATCAATAGAATATAGGGAGGACACTCTATGACCATCTCAACAGATGCAGAAAACACATTTGGCAAAATCCAACATCTTTTCATAATAAAAGCACCCAACAAACTGGGAATAGAAGGGAACTTCTTCAATTTGATAAGGGGCATCTACCCAAAACCCATAGCTAACATCATACTTAGTGATGAGAAAATGAATGCTTTCCTCCTAAGGTCAGGGGGATTTCCAGTCCGCTATTTGTTTTCAACATTGCACTGCAGATTCTATCAAGGACAGTTAGACAAGAAAAAGAAATAAAAGACATCTAGTTTGAGAAGGAAGAGTAAAACTATTTTTATTTACATATTACATACTCATATATAGAAAACTCGGAAGAATCCCTCCTCAAAAAAAGAAACCCTATTTACAGATAAGAAATGAGTTCAGTAAGTCTGCAAGGTATACACTCAATATACCAGAATCGCTAGCAATGAGAAATCTGAATATGAAATAAAACAACCCCATTTGGGACAGCATCAAAATGAATAAAATACTTAGGAGTAAGTTTAACAAAATAAATGCAAGACTTCTTATTCACTGAAATTATAAAACATTATTGATATAAATTAAAGAAGACCTAAATAAAGATATCCCATGTTCATGGATTGGAAAACTTAATATTGTTAAGATGGCAATACAACACTACATCAAATTGACCTATAGATTCAATACAATCTCCATTAAAATTCCTGCCTTTTTTAAAGAAATAGACAAGGCATTCCTAAAATTTATATGAAAATGCAAGTGACACAGAATAATCAAAACAACTTTAAAAAAAAACAAAGAGGCCAGGTGCAGTGGCTCACACCTGTAATCCTAGCACTTTGGGAGGCCAAGGCAGGTGGATCACTTGAGGTCAGGAGTTCAAGACTACCCTGGCCCACATGGCAAAACCCGATCTCTACTACAAATATAAAAATTAGCCAGGTGTGGTGGCACATACCTGTAGTCCCAGCTACTCAGAAGGCTGAGGCAGGAGAATCGCTTGAACCCAGGAGGTGGAGGTTGCAGTGAGCTGAGATCAGGCCACTGCATTCCACCCTGGGTGACAGAGTGAGACTCCGTCTCAAAAAAAAAAAAAAAAAAAAAAAAAAAAAAAAAAAAAAAAAAACACCTTACTTAAAAATTACAATTTACTTACTAAAAAATTGTAAGTGTGGCAGTGGTGTAAGGATAGACATATACACCCATAGAACAGAACCAAGAGTCCAGAAATAGGCTGGGTGCAGTGGCTCACGCCTATAATCCCAGTACTTTGGAAGGCTGAGGCAGGCAGAGCCCAGGAATTCAAGACCAGCCTGGGCAACATGGCAAAATCTCATCTCTACAAAAAATACAGAAAGTAGCCAGGTGTGGTGGTGTGTACCTGTGGTTCCAGCTACTCAGGAGGCTCAGGTAGGAGGATCACCTGAGCCCAGGGAGGTTGAGACTGCAATGTACCAAGATCTTGCCACTGCACTCCAGCCTGGGTGAAAGAGTGAAACCCTGTCTCGAGAGTCCAAAAATAATCCCATATATTTGTGGTCAACTGATTTTTGACAAGAGTGCCAAGACCATTCAATGGGGCGAAGAGTAGTCTTATCAACAAATGATGCTAGGACAACTGGATAGCTACATGCTAACAGTATAAAACTCCTAGAAGAAAACAGATGTTTTCATTTCATGAGCCAGGATTAGGCAATAGTTTCCTAAACATGACAAAAAAAACTCAAGCAACTAAAGAATAAGGAAATAAATTGGATTTCATTAAAAGTTAAAACGTGTGTATCAAACGACACAATCAAGAAAGTGAAAAGATGATCCACAGAAAAGGAAAAAATATTTGTAAATCGGCTGGGCACGGTGGCTCGTGCCTGTAATCCCAGCACTTTGGGAGGCTGAAGCGGGAGGATCACCTGAGGTCAGGAGTTTGAGACCAGCCTGGCCAACATGGTGAAACCCCATCTCTACTAAAAATACAAAAAAAAAATAGCCAGGCATGGTGGCACACGCCTGTAGTCCCAGCTACTGGAGGGGCTGAGGCAGAAGAATCGCTTGAACCCAGGAGGCGGAGGTTGCAGTGAGCTGAGATTGCACTACTGCACTCCAGCCTGGGCGACACAGTGAGACTCCATCTTAAAAAAAAAAAATTTGCAAATCATATGTCTGAGAAGTGTCTAGTATTCAAATAAATAAGGAACTCTTACAATTCAACAATAAAAAGACAACCCGATTTAAAAAATGGGCAAAGAGTTTGAATGGACATTTTTCCAAAGAGGATTTACAAGTGGCCAACAGATACATGAAAAGATGCTCAACATTATCAGTCATTAGGGAAATGGAAATCAAAACCACAATATGACACCACTTCACACCTACTAAACCGGACAACAATAACAAGCATCAGCAAGGATGTCGGGAAATTGGAACCTTCATACATTCCTGGTGTAAAATTTAATAAATGTAAAATTGTTCAATTACTTGGAAAACAGCTTGATAATTCCTCAAAAAGTTTAACATAGAGTTACCATATGCCAGCAATTCCAGTCCTAGGTATATATTCAAGGAGAAAATGTATGTTCACACCAAAACTTGTATGGGAATGTTCATAGCAGTATTATTCACGGTAGCCAAAAAGTGGAAACAATGCAAATGTCTACCACGGATGAAGGAAGAAACAAACTATGGCACAATGGAATATTATTCACCCAGAAAAAGGAATGAAGTACTGATTCATGCTACAATATACGGATGAATCTTGGAAATATGTTGTTAATAAATGAAAGAAGCCAGGCACAAAAGGCTATATAATATATGGCTCCATTTATGTGAAATGTCCAGAACAGACAAATCTGTAGAGACAGAAGGCAGGTTACTGGTGGCCAGGGCTGGGAGGAGGGGGAAATGAGGACTGTCTGCAAATGAGTACAAGGTTTCTTTTAGGAATGATTAAAATGTTCTGGAATTAATGGTGATGGTTGCACAGCCTTGTGAATGCACGAAAAACCACTGAATTTTACAATCTAAAGTGGTGAATTTAATAATATGTGAACTATGTCTCAGATTTTAAAAAACACGTGAGTAATGAAGAATGCAACTACATGGCTTCTTAGAGGCTGGAACTGAGGCCCCAAGCTATGAGGCAGGGCTGCCTCCCCAAGGCCCTGGGGCACGTGCCCTCAGCCCAGTGGGCAGAGGCAGAGACGGACAGAGGCAGAGATGCCACAAACAGGCTGTCCTCCAGAGCCAGCTCCCCCACCAGACTCCTCGCTGGGAGGCTGAAGACAACTCCATGAGTTTCCCGTGTATTCCTCCAAGGACGTGGGTGAGGACACAGTAGGTTTTATGTTCATATGTGTATTCAGTCACCTCATCTCAGCAAGACATATGCATTCACTCATGGAGGTATCTCACTAGGGTGGTCATCCTGCTAAGTCATCTAAGTAAATATTCACCTTCAGAAATGTACACGCTACACCTCAACAGAACAAGCAAGACAGTGACAGTGCCTCCCTTGGCCCCTTTCCCACCTGGAAGTGAAGACCTAAGGGATGGTTAAGCCTGCATGCAGGCTGGGCACGGTTGTTCACGCCTGTAATCACAGCACTTTGGGAGGCCAAGGTGGGTGGATCAAGAGGTCAGAAGATCAAGACCACCATGGCCAACACGGTAAAACCCCATCTCCAATAAAAATACAAAAAAAATTAGCCGGTTGTGGTGGTATGCACCTGTAGTCCCAGCTACTTGGGAGGCTGAGGCAAGAGAATTGCTTGAACCTGGGAGGCAGAGGTTGCAGTGAGCTGAGATCACGCCACTGCACTCCAGCTTGGGTGACAGAGCGAGACTCCATCTCAAAAAAAAAAAAAAGAGCCTGCATGCGGCACAGCACAGATAGGGACAGACAGAAGAAGGATAACCCGCTGTGGATAGAAAGCCCGGGCTCCTCTCCCCAGTGGCTCCCTGGGCTGTCCCTTGCCAGTTCACAAGTGCTGACTGTTAACTATTCAGGAATTCCGTAAAGCGTTAATGCCATGTTGGTGGCTTGAAATGAGCCCAGGTGGGGGTATCACACCACGGGACTGGACACCCTGCAGATCAGTCCCTCCATCCCTATTATGCCACTGGCCGGCTAGAAGGGGCCAGTCAGCACCAGAAGTAGAAGAAAAAGGAAGGAGGTGAGGGGCCATGGCAGTGCCACCTGGCCCAGTCTGGGGCTCAGGGCTCAGTGGTGCCACATCACAAGCCACATCACTTGTTACCCACTTTACAGTTTGCTTAAGCCCCTGACGCCACTGCAGCCTCGTGTGCTGTGCTGAGGGCTCTAGCTGCAGTCAGCTGCCCCTTGGCCGACACCTTCTGCCTAGGGGACCACCGGGCACACTCCTCACCCGGAGGAGGGGCAAGATTGGTGGATATGAGGGCAGGGATCTAGCAGCCTGCTCTGCGCTGTACTAAGCATGGGCTCAGCACACAATCAGGCATACGACAGCCTCACATGTGACACACATGACGGTCACACCATGGGTGGGACTCCACTTTATGCAGCCAAGCCACTGAGCTCACGTGGCCGTGGGTGTCAACATCCCAGGCTCCATTTCCAGGAATGCCAGGGACAGCTGGGTCCCTAGGTAGGTGGCCTTAATATCCTCCCTGTAGAACAATGGTGATGCCAGAGGTCCCTTCAGCTGTGATAGTCAAAGATCTTGTGGTTGTAAGTTGCAAAGTCCCTGAGTTGCTGCTGAGGCCGAGCCCCCTCTCTTCCCACGGCGTGCCACCCCATGCTCTGGGCTGCCTTCACTCCCTGCCCAGCTGGCTACTCCTGGGCTTCAGCCCCTCCATGCCCAGGTGCCTCCCACGGCTCCCCCTCAGACTTGCCACAGCTCTTCAAGCACTCCACAACCACACCAAGCATGCCATCCACCCCCACCTGTCATCACAGGAGGGGCATCCTCCCGAGCCCCACCCTCTGTGGCCCACCTCACAGCCAGTCAGTTGGGTCCTGTCCACTCCACCTCCCAGAACCCTGAGTCAGCCTCCTCTCCTCCACCCGCTCAGCCACCCAGGAGAGGCCTCCCTAGTGGCTGCCTTCTGTCTCCTTCCCCATCTCCTTCCCAGCAGCCCTTTCTCCACACAGCACCCATGGGTTCATCTGCAGACAGCATGGCCACACATGCCACTCCAGGTCACTTTGGTGGCTCCCCACAGCCCTCCCTCTGCTCTTGCCTGGTGAGGTCCTAGGGAGAGCTGGCAGGGAGAAGCCCTGAAGGTATGCGAGCAGAGAGGGTGTTTCCCAAAAGCAGCCTGGCTCTGGGCAGCATGGGGGATCCCGAGAGAACCAGGATCCAGGCACGAGGAGCTGCCCGGGATCACATGGGAACAGTGGACGTGGGGAAGGGCACCCAGCATGAAACGGTGGAAATGAAACTCCACTGCTTCTGGGACAGGAAAACTCTCGCCCACTCCGAAGGCCGGGTTGGATGTCTGTTCCTCACAGACTGGCCCGGCCCAATCCCTGTGTATGGAAGGCAGGGAAGCCAGTGGGGCACCAGCACTGCGGGCAGCAGGGTCACCTTTGAAGGAGCGGGTGCATTACACTCAGATCGCTCACAGCTGCGTCAAACAAACTCCAGGAGAAAGGACTGCGGGGAGCCACCGAACTGCATAAAGGGAGGCTCTTGGGAGTGGAACTGTGGCAGTTTCCTTCTCTTTATGTTTCTGTTATCTTTTATGTTTCCAGGTTTCTCCTTATTCTCTAAGACGAGTAGTATTGCCTGGACGAGGAACGCCCTACACAGTGCCTGCCAAAGGCTGACTGTCATCCCTGTGTCATTTGAGGGTAAGAGTTTCTCAGGCCCTTGGAGCCCACAGCAGCAAGGGAAGGCTGACCCCTGCTCGCCACCACCTGCCTTCCCAGCGGTTCCGGCCGGGCTCACCTGACGGCCTCCGTCTCCAGGGAAAGGCCCAAGGGACTCAGGGGCAAGAGGACCCTTGCCAGGGAGCAGTGGCACCTCGGGGCCTCCCATTCCAGCCCCGCACCCTTCACGGCTCTGTTCTCCTCGACATCCCTCCTGTGCCTGAAGGAACCGCCTCTCACCCACCTCCACCTCAATGCTGCTGCTGGGGCTGCTCCGGACCCTGTTCCTGTCTCTCCCCACTTTCTTTTCCTAGAAAACAGGAGAGTGAGAACCAGCCAGCTGGCAGGGATGCTCTGAGGAAAATGGGAGGCAGCCCCGCTAGAACCCTAGGGGGTGACCACAGGCAGCCAGTGGGCCTGCAGATGCCACTCTCCGGGGGATGAGTCCCTCCATCTCACTGCAGAGGGGCCTGGGCCAAGGCTTAGAGGTGACTCCAAGTCAGGGGAGCTAACTGGGAAGAGAGGCTTGGGGAGAAGAAAGGGAAGTGTGTCTGGAGGGCAGGACTTACAAAGTGACAAGTTACAGGCTATTTTTGGTTCCTGGGCTGCCCTGAGACCCCAGGCCACAGCCTTAATGGCGATCACAGAGGCAGCTCCCCTGTGGGCCTCGGATTTGAGACTGCAATCCTGGACACTGCCCTGTACCCTCCAAGCCCCTTTCCCCAGCAAAGCCACAGGTCACTCTCCGGGCTGGGGCTCCCCAAGAGCCCCAGGTCATGGGATCCTGAAGAACAGCATCCCCCTGCCAGGACTTGGCTGGGGGAGACCAGGGCCTCAGGGACAGCCCCCTCCCACCCAGTCCTGAGTCATGCACTTGTACCCAGCTAGGTTCCAGAAAGGGCTGCAGGGACAAACACTGGCCGGACACTGGTGGACCTGTGACTGGCCTCCTGAGTGGCTCAGCCTCTGTGGCCTCTGGTGACCTCATCTGTGAAATGGCAACGAGGGGCCTGAGAGCAGAGGGTGGGCCAGGCCCAGGGGAGCGCCCTGTCCCCAACCAACCCCTGCACAGCTGGTGCTTGGGCGCAGCTCTGGCCAAGTTCCAACATACCCTTCAACATTTTTAACATTTTTACCACCCCAGGTTTACAGAGGAGGAAACGGAAGGCTCCAGAGATGACACTCACCGGGATCGGGGATCGCACAGCGCGGGCTCGGGGAAGTTGGGGGAGGCACGCAACCTTTGAACCTTTTGCCCGTGGTTGGTGTCTGACCTTGGACAAGACCCCCTCCCGCAGCCCTGGGCGTCGGTTGTGAGCAGACGGCTGTCCCATCTTGCAGCGGGCGGGTGGGCAGGAGCTCCACCTTCCGCTGCAGGCGCTCGCCCAGAGGAAGAGGCGCGGGGGCTGGGGGACCCCTGCCCCGACGGGCGCTGCCGCCCCGGCAGCTGCGAGAATCCGACGCGCCAGGGCGGAGCGGGGATCGTGGCGCCGCGGGGCTGTACGAGGGCGAGCTGCGCCTCGGCCAGGGGTCCCGCAGTCCCGCCTCCCCGGCCCGGGGGCGTGGGTGGGGGCCGTTACCTTCCCGTCATGGTGGCAGCGACGCCGAGCCCTGGGTTGCCGGGGTTGCCGCGGGTCTCCCTCTGCTGCTGCAGCCGCCAGCCGAGCGCCCGCCCGCCAGCCCGGGCCGCGGAGCAGGGAGACGCCCAAAAAAGGCCAAGAGCCGCTCCGCCCGCGAGAGGGGTGGGCGGGGGTGGCAGGGTGGGGCCCGCGGGGCGGGGTGGGATGGGGAGGTCAAGGCTGAGGGTGGTGGGGGTGTTGGGGAGGTGACGGTGGGAGGTTGCGGGAGTATAGGTGGGGGTGGGGGTGGCAGGTGGGGGTGGCGGCGGGTAGGGTTGGAGGGGTGGGGGTTAAAGGTGGGGCTGACGGTGGGGTTGGAGGGGTGAGAGTGAGGCGGGGGTGGGAGTGGGGGTAAAAGTAGGGGTAAAGGTAGAGGGTGGGCCCCGCTCCCGCACAGCCCCAGCTCCAGGGACACGGAGCGCGGCCAGCGGCGGGCGCGGGTCAAGTCCTTCCCAACCCGGGCTCTGCTCGCCACCTCCTGGATTCCGGGCATAGCTTTCCTTTTAAAGGGAGTAAAGTTATAATAAACGCGAACAAGCACCCCCACCCCCACAGCCCCGCCGGGACGCCCCGCCCGGCGCCCCCTCTGCAGTCCCTGGGCCGCCCCAACCGCAAACGCGTGCAGGAGATGGTAGGCGTGGGGGCGATGCTGAGACCACCTCCCTCCCGGGCTTTCCTAGCCCGGAGTTCCCACCGCGGATCTGGGCACTGACTCCCTCCCGAGGCACCCGGGACCGCCGAGTCCACGCAGTCCCGCCCCCAGGGAGGCTAAAGCCGAGAGGCGTCCCTCTTCAGTCGCAAAGCTGCTTTCCCCGGGAAATTCCGATTTCATCCCCCGTTGCGGGCCATCGCCCTAACTTGGCGAAAGATATTTCTTAAACGACAAAACCAAATGCCCAGCTCCCAGGTTTCCAGGGGAACCAGGCACGCCTCTGTATAATGAAGCGCTGAGAAGCTACCATTAGAGGCGTTAAGATGGAGGGGTAATATAAACTATTTAGGGAATCTCTTCGGAGGAAATTTTCAAACAAACAAAACAAAAAACCCCCGCCCTGCCTAAAGGCAGATATTTCCAGCTGGACAGTGGCGTGCAGCTCATCTTTGGAAGCAGCCCAGATGTCACACTGAGGTTTGGGAGCTGGGCGGCCTGATGTGTAAATGTGGTGCTACTCCGGTCTTGGCAGCAGAGAAAGATGATCTAGAAATGACGGTGTGAATTAGCAACCCACAAATAAACTGGTGCCGTTCAGAAAGATGAGTTGATAGTATCCTGCAGTTCCACCTGCAGAAATAAGCTGGGAAAAGACACCTGTTCCTAAGTGGCTGGTATTGTGGAGTGCCTTTGCAGTTGTTACTTTTTTTTTTTTTTTTTTTTTGAGACGGAGTTTCGCTCTTATTGCCCAGGCTGGAGTGCAATGGTGCAATCTCCGCTCACTGCAACCTCCGCCTCCCAGGTTCAAGCGATTCTCCTGCCTCAGCCTCCCAAGTAGCTGGGATTACAAGCATATGCCACCACACCCAGCTAATTTTGTATTTTTGATAGAGATGGGTTTCACCATGTTGGTCAGGCTGGTTGCAAACTCCTGGCCTCAGGTGATCCGACTGTCTCGAGTTATTACTTCTTGTTGCGAGCGTGTCTCAGCTGATTCGGCTTAACTGTAATTTGATGGTTGATTAAGCTTAAGTATGGATAATTTCTTGGCTCACCTGCTCATACAGGGAGAAAGGCTTTCCACCATTACTGACACAGAGGTGTAGGCATGCTGGGGCCGTGCACCAGAAATCCACTGCTGGACGGTTAATTGAATATCAGGGTCTTGTGGGAACCAAAGAGGATGAAAAGTTGAAAGCATTACACCAGAGGCCCATGCTCTCCACAGAGGAGACCACATTCCTGCCTTTTAGCCCAAAAGCCTCCCTGCATATGATAGCTGAGCACACACGGATCTGTATGTGGCCAAACCAGGACCCTATGCAGCTCCCAGTGTGCCTCATCCCTGGGCCAGGGCAAGCTCAGTAACAGCTGGTAGGGGTTGTGGGCATGGCTTAGCCCTGCTGGAGATGCAGAGGCTTCAAGGAGCCAGGGCCAGCCTCCCACAGTTCAGCCAAGAGGGCAGAGTTGCAGGAAAGAGCTGGCAATCACACATTCACACACTTATCCACTTGTTCCTTCAAGAGTATTTATACCGCATGGGCACTGGAAGTACTAGGGGGAGAAAGAAGCCATGGACCAGGCTCTCATGGAGTTTAGCAGGAGGTGGAGGATGGGCAATAAACAAATAAATAAATACGCAAACTAGATTTTAGACAAGGGTAAGTGCTGCAAAGAAAAGGACAATGGTGGTGGCTGCTTTAGAGTGAAGGGTGAGGGAAAGTTTCTGAGCAGGTGACATTCAAGCTAAACCAGAATAAGGGAAAGAGCCAGCCCTCAGCCATCTGCAGGAAAAGCATTCCGGCAGAACAGCAAGTGCAACAGCCCTGAGGTGACATGAGCTTGGGGTACGCAAGGTCAGAAAGAAGACCAGTGGGTCTGGAAAAAGGGGAGGTGGCAGGTGGAGGGGCACGGGAAATAAAGGAGAGGGCCCAGGGCAGAGCAGCAGGGCCACAGCAGAAGTAGGATTCCACCCTTAGATGGAGAGTTCTAAGCAAAGACAGACACAACACTCTAGCATCAGCAGGGGTGAATCTCAGAAATACTGACTGAATGAAAAAAGAGCACCTTTTCCATCTATATCAAGTTCTAGAATAGGCAACATTTGTCTGTGGTAGAAAAAATCAGAACGGTGGCTGCCTCAGGCTGGTCTATTACACCCCGGACTGCCCTGAGGTGGCAGGACAGGGGTTGACTAGGAAGGAATGTGAGGGAGTTTCTGGGGTAACAGGCAATGTTTTAGTAGGAGTTTGGGTCACACAAGTGTATATGCCTTTGTTAAAACTCATGGAATATATGGCCAGGATTTGCACATTTCATTATATGTACATTTTACCTCAAAAGAAAAATACCGTAAACGATACTGAACTCCAGTTAATGACATACAATGCTGAAGTGTTTAGGTAGAAAGGTACTGATGTCTGCAACTTACTTTGAAATACATTGTTTAAATCAAGATGAGCCGATGTGGTGGATCCCCGTAGTCCCAGCTAGTCCTTAGCTACGGGGAGGCTGAGGAGGGAGGATCACTTGAGGCCAGGAATTCAAGACCAGCTTGGGCAACATAGCATGACTCTGCCTCTAAAAAATGAACTCAAGATGGGGAGATGGGTAAAGGGAAGGACAGAGAGGTGGTAACGTGAGTCTACGACGATATTAATGGGAGAATCTAGGTGGTGGGTATCTGGGTTTTCAACTTTGATGAGTGCTTGAACTTTTTCATAGCAAAAGGGGGAAGTGTCCCTAGCTGCTGTGTGGCCACTGTGTGAGGGACAGAGTGGTCTCAGGGACAGTCTGATTAGAGGCTATGGTGAGCGTCCAGGAGGGACTGGTGCCTTGGGCCGTGCGACAGTAGGGACATTGAGAAGGCATCAAACACAGGATCTATTTTGCAACCAACAGGATTTGCTGGGAATCTGGATGTGTGTGTGTGGCCGGCGTGGGCGTGGTCAGCACAGGTGTGGTGGTTGTGGGGCAGGTGTGTGTGTGGCAGGTGTGAATGTACAGCCGTGGGAGTCAAGAGGACTTGCAGGTGGCCTTGCTTTCCTAGATATTGGTGGCAGTGGGACAGTCTGGGCAGGTTAGCGAGGGGTGACGTTGCATTGGGCCCTCCCCAGGCATCCCAGGGGAGATGGTGGGCGGGGCACTGTGAACCTGGAGCAGGGAAGAGAGGTCCATTCTCCAGCGTAGATGCAGAAGGCTTGGTACAAATGGAATTTCAACTCTAGGGCTCCATGGAGACCCTGGGGTGTCTGTACCAGTCAGGAGCCCTCCAAGGGTAAGAGGTGGGACTGGCAGAAAGTGAGGGGGAGAGCAGGAGAGTGTGAGGTGCCACAGAAGCCCGGAGGGAAAGAGCTCCAGGGAGGAGGTGCGCCACTGCCCCGTGTGCACACTGCTGCGTGCAGAGGCCAGGGAAGCATCTGGGTTTGGGTCAAGAGCCGGTCCCTTGGAGTGAGGGGCCTGAGTCCAGCTGCAGAGGGGCAGGCAGGGCCCCTGCAATGCCTCCCCCAGGAGCACCCCTCCCTGGGGTCTGTGTAGATGGTGCTCCCCAGAGTGCTGCACACAGTGCCCCTGGGGGGAGAATGCTCTGAAAGGGGGGGCAGAGAAGAGACGGCAGTTGGAAGTGGGGAGGGGAAGGGGAGGGAAGGTGAGAATGCAGTGTCCATTCCCAGGTCTTATGGGATGGCATCACTGAGGGACATTCAGAGAGTGGCTTGAATCACACACTTAGTCTTCGCTGGGGGACAGTGGGGCTCTGAGGCTGAGGCTGGGCCACAGAGTGACATGACAGCTGTCCTAGAAGGTGAAGGAGGTGCAGCATCTCCCTGGGCACGAGCCTTCTGCCCTCTGGGGTTCAGGGCAGGTGGGCACCCCCTTTGCTGGGCAGGTACCCGAGTTTCTCCACCCCCCACCTTCTCCCTTCCCTACTCCAGGGGACAGCTACCTGAGACAGCCCAGGGCCCAACGCTCGTGGGAGCTGGGACCCAGGGCCAAGAGAGGGGCTGGGCTTGGTCAGCGTGGCTAATCAGCAGTAGGAGGCTGAGGAGAACCCGGGGTCTCAAAGTGCCTCAATGAGCCTCCGCCAATATCCAGAGCCACAGCCCTGTCCCCATGTGACCACAGGGAATGGAGAAGGCCTTGCAGCTCTCAGGAGGCCTCAGGGTCTCCTGCCACAGCCCAGGTCCTGGGGCAGGAGCTAGCATGCCTTCCCAACAGGTAGGCTGTTCATCCTGCCTGTTCCAAGAATGGCCCCGTGTGATGTGAGGCCACCCAGACGGCCACTCTACAAGGCCTGTGCCCCAAATCTGGTTAAGGCCTGTCCCTTTCAGGGCACTGGGAACTGGCAAAACACAGAGACCTGCCGAATATCAACACAAAGTTCAAAGCCTTCAGCCGCCTCCTGCGAGACCAAAGTTAACTTGGGAAGTGGCTGTGAGAACCCCCCGGGGGGGAGCGGGGAAGCACCTGCACAGCCGGAGCCCTCCCGGGCGGCTCCCTGGGCCAAAGGAAGAATAGTGAGCAGGACACCGCCCCTGGCACCCACAGGTTTCACAACACATTGAAAAGTAAATGTCTCTTTTTAAAACTAGGAGCATAAAACCAGCTGGGCACGATGGTGCATGCCTGTGGGCCTAGCTCTTCATGAGGCTGAGGTGGGAGGATCGCTTGAGCCCAGGATTTCGAGGTTACAGTGAGCTATGATTGTGTCACTGCACTCTAGCCTGGGCAGCAGAGCAATCTCCTGTCTTTTAAAAATAATCATAATAAATAAATAAAAATAAAAATATGAGCCTGCCCTCAGAACTGTCATTAGACACACCCTCTGACCAGCACAAAATGGCCTTACTTCTCCCTGTGCCACACGGCAGCTCAGTGAGAGAAGCTGGCGGAATGTCGATCCACAATTCTCTCAACATTTGCAGAACACACAAGAGACCCAGGGATTCTTTTCAGTCTGAGGGGAACACAGTGCCCTTCTTGAAAGTCTGATTTACTCAGGAGTAGAGGTGGACCATCGAGCTTCACAATTTTCCAAAGATGACCTGGCCTTGGAGTTCGGGAGGAAAAGGCCATCTCACTCTCGCCTTTGCTCTGGGACAGACTCCATTCATCTCATGGGTTTGGCTACCCGAGGGCAGCCCCCACCACATATCCAGGAATGCCACATTTTAACACCTCAACACATCATGCCGTCGAGTATCCAGCAAGAAGCCTCCTGGGCGCAGAGCTCCTCACCTGCGGGGCACCTGCCTCTCCCTGCCTCTGAGAGTATCTCTTCCACATACTGAGGGTCACTTTGCTTCTTTTTTCCCATTGTGACCTTCCCACTGGAGCTTGTTCCACTCTGTCCAGGGGAAAGAGCAGCTGCCCATCCCAAGCCCAGCCTATCCAAACGTGGCCTCGCCCGCAGAAGGCCCCGCGTGCGGCCACAGTGGGCTGAACCTTCACCGTCCCCATGCCGCCTGACGGAGGGCAGCCCCTCCAGGGCTGTTCCTTGACCCCAAATGAGCAACATTAGCACAACCACTCAGAGTACAGGGAATTGCAGGGGCAGCGCAGCGATTGGCAGGTGGAAAGGACCTCCCGGGGCCCTGTGCCCATCACAGAGTCTTTACCTCTGTGGCTGAGATGCCGCTCCGCCTCCTCGGGTGCTTCCTTCCCTGAGCGCCGCCAGCAACTTCTCTGAGGGAAATAGCAGCTGCCTGGCCCGCTTGGCACAGCCACGTGCAAGACTGAGCAGCCGCCAGGAGTGTCCGGCCACCACGGGGCACCCAGGCACGGCAGCTTCACCTCTCCCTGGGCAGGAGGCTTGGCCAGAGGTCCTTAGCTGGAGGCAGAGGCCGGAGGCACCTTGGGGTCAGGAGGAGACGGAAGAAGCCGCGGAAGGAAAGGCGGCCTCCCCAGGGAGGTGCTGCTCCGGGCCCAGAGCCAGGCCCACAAAACAAAAGGAGCAGCGGCTGCCCTCTGAATCCAGAGAGGCCGGCAGAGGGGCAGCCCCAAAATGAGCATTTCTCGAAGCCCTGAGCGCAGGAGCCCGGCCGAGTAGCCTGATGTTCACAGTATCCACGGACAGACTGCAAAAGAAGCCCCACAGTGAAAAGAATCCTGGCAACTAATTACGTGAACAACCCAAGAACAGCTACTAGGATGCTGTCTTGCCAAGTACTATTTTCCCTGAAAAGAGGAATATCTCAGGACTATTTATATTAAAATAACATAAATGAATTATTTTATAATTTTCTGCTATAAAACTTTCATTGTATTAGAAATGCCCAGAAGTAGAAAGAAGAAAAATCACCTCCAGAAGATGGGTACTGCAACACTTTGTTCACTTTTAACCATGTACATTTATTTTTTGCCTGATTGTGATCATTTTGTGGTTTGCAATCTTTCCTTTCCTTCCTTTCTTCCTTCCTTTCTTTTCTTTCCTTCTTTCTTTCTTTCTTTCTTCCTTTCTTTCTTTCTCTTTCTCTTTCTTTCTCTCTCTCTCTCTTTCCTTTTCTTTCTCCCTCTCGCTCTCCCTCTCTTTCTTTCTTTCTTTTTTTTTTTTTTTGAGACAGAGTCTTACTCTGTCACCCAGGCTGGAATGCAGTGGCAGGATCACAGCTTACTGCAGCCTTGACCTCCCAGGCTCAAGCCATCTTCTCGCCTTGGCTTCCCAAAGTGCTGGGGTGATGGGTGAGAGCCACTGGGCAGCACTGGCCTCTGTTTGCAATTTCATATCAGTTTCTTCATAAATAAATGGCAGCTGTCTGCCTCTGCATCGTATCAGTGCGCATCAGGGCTGCCCTGGGTCTTGTAGCTGAGAGGCACCACTCACAATGTGCTGTGCCCCAGGATCTCCCTGGTCTTGTGCTATTTGGAAGAAGGAGTGCTGGGATTTATGTAAACTGTGTACATGATTTCTGTGTCCAACTTTTATGAGCACAACTGGTTTGCATTTTCAGTCAAATTTTATACCCCTCCAGCGGGGGACTATTTGCTTTTACACAACACGGAGCCCAACAGAGAGCCAGCTAGAGATAAAGCAGGCACTAGAAGATGTGTTGAAACCAGTGATGTATTACTCTATAGCCACTTTGGATTTTTAGAGACAGAGTCTCACTCTGTTTCCTATTCTGGAGTAAACTGGAGTGATTATAGCTCACTGCAGCCTCAAACTCCTGGGCTCAAGCAATCCTCCTGCCTCAGCCTTCTGGGTAGTTTGGACCACAGGTGTGAGCCACAATGCCCAGTCCCATGTATTGTTACATTTTTAAAAATAACCTACCCGCATGTTATAAATATGCTATATGCCAGAGTGTAAACTGCTCAGTAAATATTTACAGTGTGTTGTTGTAAACATTCTTGGTAAGTTTCACACTTGTATGAGGAGCTGCCTAAATGTAGAGTGTATATCATCCTGTTTTGCTCAAAGAATCTCAAATATCACTTTACCCAACATATCTATTCCTGAACTGGATTTGTATAAATAAAAAACAGTTTGACCAGTACCTGTAGCTCTAACTACTTGGCAGGCCCAGGCAGAAGGATTGCTTGAGCCCAGGAGATCTAGCCTGCAGTGAGCTATGATTGCACCACTGCACTCCAGCCTGAGTGTCAGAGTGACACCCTGTCTCTCATACAAATATTTTTTTAAAAGAAAGAAAAATAATAACAGACTCTGTTTGAAAACCAATTCACTCTCAAACTCATTTTTCATATTCCAGATGTTACAGTATGGTATGAGGCCACCACTTCTCTTGTTGGCCTTCTCAGTTTCTCCCCAACCTCCCCTTTTCCCTAGTTTATAAGACAGGAGAAAAGGGAGAAAGCAAAAAGTTGGAAAGAAACAGAAGTAAGATAAATAGCTAGACGACCTTGGCACCACCACCTGGCCCTGCTGGCTAAAATAATAATAATATTATTAACCCCTGACCAAAACTACTGGTGTTATCTGTAAGTTCCAGACATTGTATGAGAAAGCACTGTAAAACTTTTTGTTCTGTTAGCTGATGTATGTAGCCCCCAGTCACGTTTCTCACGCTTACTTGATCTATTATGACTTTTTCACGTAGACCCCTTAGAGTTATAAGCCCTTAAAAGGGCTAGGAATTTCTTTCTCGGGGAGCTCGGCTCTTAAGACACGAGTCTGCCGACGCTCCCGGCCGAATAAAAAAAAACCTCTTCCTTCTTTAATCTGGTGTCTGAGGAGTTTTGTCTGCGACTCATCCTGCTACAACAGCTGCACACTAGCCTGAGATCTGCCCCAGGAGAGGCAGCCTGGGAAGCCCACAGTGCAGTAAGTTGGCCCGGCACTAACGTTGATCTGCCAAATGGGCATGTGCACAGGGCTGACCAGCTACGGGCAGGCCCACCGCCTCTGCCACGTACCCCCAAGAGAAGCTGCAACCCCACTGCGCTTCTGTCCATGTGGATCCAGCCCATTGGTGTGAGGTCAAAGGGTGAGGGAGATCAACCACACACCTTCTGCCAGACGTGGGCAACGCAAAGACACTTGGAACCCATGGCCTCTGCTGGACAAGAAGTGGGTGCAGGTGCTGGGGAAGAACAGGGCTGGGCCTGCATCTGATGTTTACTCTGTGAGGCTTAAAAGTGTTGTAACAGTCTGAAAACATATGCTAATGGAGGCAGCGTGGCACGGTGGATCCTGGAACGTAGACTACAGAGCCGGGCTACTTGGGTTCAGATACTGTCTCACACTCACTGTATGATCTTGGACAACTCCTTCACTTCTCTTGGCTTCAGTCTCCTCATGTATAAAATAAGGTTGATAACAACAGTACCTTCCTCATAAGAATGTTGTAAGGCGTAAGAAAACTCATATGTGAAAGTGGTTATCAAACTTTTTGGTCTCAATACCACTGTCTTATACTCTTAAGAAGTGTTGAGTATATCAAAGAGCATTTATTTATATGGGCTATATCTATCAATATTTACCATAATAGAAATTTAAATGATACATGTTAAGAATATTTCATTATTAATTTATGGCCGGGCATGGTGGCTAACGTCTGTAATCCCGGCACTTTGGGAGGCCGAGGCAGGTGGATTACCTAAGGTCAGGAGTTCAAGACCCTCCTGGCCTATATGGCGAAACTCTGTCCCTACTAAAAATACAAAAATTAGTCGGGCATAATAGTGGACACCTGTAGTCCCAGCTACTAAGGAGGCTGAGGCAGGAGAATTTTTTGAACCCTGGAGGCGGAGGTTGCAGTGAGCCGAGAGGGCGCCACTGCACTCCAGCTTGGACAACAGAGCGAGACTCTGTGTCTCAAAAACAATAAATAAAATATTTCTTTTTTTTTTTCTTTTGAGGCAGAGTTTCGCTCTTGTCGCCCAGGCTGGAGTACAATGGCGACCTCGGCTCACTGCAACCTCTGCCTCCCGGGTTCAAGCAATTCTTCTGCCTCAGCCTCCTGAGTAGCTGGGATTACAGACACGTGCCACCACACCCAGCTAATTTTTGTATTTTTAGTAAAGATGGGGTTTCACCATATTGGCCAGGCTGGTCTCGAACTCCTGACCTCGGATGATCTGCCCGCCTCGGCCTCCCAAAGTGCTGGGATTGCAGACGTGAGCCACCGTGCCCGGCCAAGAATATTTCATTATTAGTTTACAACTCAATAAGAAAACTATTACATATGAATGCAATATGAATACAATGACATATCTTTATTAAAAAACTGTATTTTCTTAAACAAGAAATAATTACTAAGACTTCTGTACCCAGCCAAGATGGAGTAGCAGCAGCCAGACAAAATACATGAAACAATTGTTTCTGGGATACTGAACATCAGGCAGCGAGGGACAGTGATCTGTAAGAGATGGGCAACAAAGGAAGCCATGATTGCCCCAGCGTTCTGCTGTGAGAATACTTCCAAGGCCTCGCCCAGGGAGGGGAAAGCCAGGTGGGGCTGAGAAGACTCCTCGAGTTGTGGAGCTGAGAGTACAGGGAGACCAAGGCAGCCAGATGCCACAGGACTGGATACCAGACAGGAGGAGGCTGCACAGAGAGTGGACACAGATCTCTAGAGGGTTCCCCCAAGTATTCCACTGAATGCTGATAAGCATGTGTGTGTGATGAAACTATCGTGGGCCAGGAAAGAAATATTTAGGAGGATTATACATGGGGGAGGGAGATGGATTAACTGTGCTGGCTAATTTTACGTCTCAACTTGACAGGCCGTTGTCTGCCCAGATTAAACATTGTTTCTGCTGTGTCTGCTGCTGTGTTTCTGGGTGAGGTTAGCATTTGAATCTGTGGACTCACTCAGCAAAGTACACTGCCCTCCCCAGCGTGGGTGGGCACCATCCAATCCACTGAAGACTTGTACAGAACAAAAGGCAGAGGAAGGAGGAATTCACCCTTTTTCCTTCTTGCCTGCTTGAGCTGGGATGTCTCATCTCATCTTTTCTTGCCCTTGCATTGGGGTTTATACCATCAGCTCCCCTGGTTCTCAGCCTTTCTGACTCAGCCTGAATTATACCATCTTTCTTGAATTTTCCCCTTGCAGGTGGCAGATCATGGGACATCTTGGCCTCCATAGTCATACAAGCCAATTCCTCATGATAAATCTCCTTTTGTATTTATATATATGCATATCTTATTGGTTCCATTTCTCTGGAGACTCCTGACTAATACAGGGAATTAACAGGAGGTAAGTTTTCTACACTTTATTTGAACTGGTAATATGCTGCCACCAGTAGGCTGTGCATAAGTTATATATGTATGGCTTTTTAGAACAACCACAAAAAAACCTATACAAAGAGATATACCCCCAAAACAGTATAGATAAGTAAAAACGGAATTCTAAAAAATATTCAAAGCTTACATAACAAGGCAGGGTAAGATACACGCAACGACTCGGATATATCTCAAGGGCATTATGCTGAGTGAAAAAAAGCAACCTGCAAAGATCACATACTGTATGATTCTACTCATATAATATCCTTCAAATGACAAAATTATAGAGATGACAAATAGATTAGTGGTTGCCAGAGACTGGGAATGGTTGCAGTACGGGAGTGAGTGTGACTATAAGGAGTGTTCTTATCCATTAACATAGGATGTCTTTCCATTTATTTAGATCTTCCTTAATTCTACTGAACAATGTTTTGTGGTTTTCAGTGTGTGTAAGTCTTGTGCTCATTTAGATAAATTATTCCTAAGTATTTTACTCCTTTTGATATGATTGCAAATGCAATTGTTCTCTTAATTTCCTTTTCAGATTATGACTGCTGGCATATAGAAACACAAATAAATTTTGCATATTAATCTTGTATCCTAAAATCCTACTGTACTTGTTAATTCCAGAGCTTTCTTGGAAATTCCTTAGACTATTCTATACACAAGACCATGTCATCTGCAAATAGAGGGTAGTGTTACTTCATTTCTTCCAGTCTTGATGCCTTTTCTTTTTCTTGCCTATTGTCCCTGGCTAGAAACCAGAAGTGGAAAGAGCAGACATCCTTGTCATCTTCCTGATCATAGGCTGAAAGCATACAGTCTTTCATCATTAAACATGATTTTAGGACACACATGGTGACTCACACCTGTAATCTCAGCACTTTCGGAAGCCGAGGCAGAAGGATTACTTGAGTCCGGGAGTTCAAGACCAGCATAGGCAACATAAGGAGATCCTGTCTCTACAAAAATTAAAAAAAAAAAAAAATTAGCAAAGCATGGTGGCATGCGCCTGTCTGTAGTCCCAGCTACTTCGGAGGCTGAGGGGGGAGGATCACTTGGGCCCAGGAAGTCAAGGCTGCAGTGAGCCAGGATAGCAACACTGCACTCCAAGCCTGGGCTACAGAGTGAGACTTTGTCTCAAAATATATATATATGATTTTAGCTGTGGGTTTTTCATAAACCCCTTTACAGTGTTGAGGAGGAAGCTCTCTTCCATTGTTGGTAGAAGTCCTCTTCTGTTCTTGTTTTCATTTGTTTGTTTTATCATGAAAGAGTGGTGGGCCAGGCATGGTGGCTCATGTCTATAATCTCAGCACTTTGGGTGGCCAAGGCAGGCAGATCACAAGGTCAAGAGTTTGAGACCAGCCTGGCCAACATGGTGAAACCCCATCTCTACTAAAAATACAAAAATTAGCTGGGCATGGTGGCGCATGCTTGTAGTCCCAGCTACTCGGGAGGCTAAAGCATGATGATCGCTTGAACCTGGGAGGCAGAGGTTGCAGTGAGCCAAGATCGTGCCACTGCACTCCAGCCTGGATGACAGAGTGAGACTCCATCTCAAAAAAAAAAAAAATAGTGGTGAATTTTGTCAAATGCTTTTTCTATGTCTGTTGAAATGTCCATATGAGTTTTGTCCTTCAGTGTATTAATGTAGTGTATTACAGTGATTGATGTTAATATATTATACCAACCTTGCATTCCTGGGATAAATCCCACTTCAATGTGGTATATAATCCTTTGTATATGTTGCTGGATTAGGCTGCTAGTAATTAGTTGAGGATTTTTGTGTATATTCATAAGAGATGTTGGCTGTAATTTTTCATCCATCTCCTTTGTGCTGTTACTGTTAAATAACATTTTGACAAAATGTTGACACATATTACATTCCTATATGTGCATAGCCCATAAAAAGTTACATGCATATTTTCTTATGCAATTACTTTTTAGATCAGTTAAGAGGAGAAGAAGAAATATGCAATTATACTTTATATTGTAATTATCTACTTTTACCAACACTTTTGTTTTTCATGTGGATTCAAATTAGTTTCTGGTGTCACTTGCTTTCTATCTGAAAAACCTTAAATATTTCTTGTTACTCAGGACTGGTAGCAATAAATTCAGTCAGATTTTATTTATTTTGGAGTGCTTTTTATTTTGCCATTATTGTTGAAAGATAGTTTTGTTGGGTATGGAATTATTGGTTAACAGGTTTTTTGTTGTTGTTTTGTTTTTACTGTTAAGCACTTTGAACATGTCATACCACGGCTTTCTAGCCCCCATTGCTTCTGATGAGACATCATTTGTCAATATTATTGTACTACTGGTACACAATGAATTGTATTCCTTTTGCTGCATTTAAGATTTTATCTTTATCTTTGGCTTTCAAAATTTGACTATAATATGTCTGAGTGTGAATGCCTTTGTGTTCATCCTACTTGAAATTCATTGTTTCTCAGATGTTTAGAATAATGTTTTTCATCAAAGTTGGGGAAATTGGTCAGGCACAGTGGCTCTTGCCTTTAGGTGATGAGTAAGCTCAGGACTTTAGGAGGCTGAAGTGGGATGATCATTTGAGGCTAGGAGTTCAAGACCAGCCTAGGAAATACAGCAAGACCCTGTCTTTACAAAAAACTTGAAAATTAGCTGAGCATTGGGGTGCATGCCTGTAGTCCTAGCTACTTGGGAGGTTGAGGCAGGAAGAATGCTTGAGCCCAGGGAGTCAAAGTTAGAGTGAGCTATGCTTGTGCCACTGCCTTCCAGGCTGGGTGACAGAGCAAGACTCTTTCTATAAACATGATAATATTAATAAATTTTAAATAAATAAGCAAATAATTTGGGGAAATTTTCAGCCATTGTGCCTTCTAATAATTTTTATGTCCCTTTCTCTCACTTCTCTCCATTATTCTTATGTGTATTAGTCCATTTTTACATTGCTATAAAGAAATACCTGAGACTGGGTAATTTATAAAGAAAGGAGATTTAATTGGCTCACAGTTCTGCAGGCTGTACAGGAAGTGTGGCAGCATCTGCTTGGCTTCTGGGGAGGCCTTAGGAAACTTATACTCATGGCAGAAGGTGAAGGAGAAACAGGCACATCTTACATGGCCAGAGCAGAAGGAAAAGAGAAGGAGCAGGGAGGTGCTACTTTTTTTTTTTTTTTTGAGCTGGAGTCTCACTCTGGCCTAGGCTGGAGTGCAGTGGTGCAATCTCTGCTCACTGCAACCTCTGCCTCCCAGGTTCAAGTAATTCTCCTGCCTCAGCCTTCCAAGTAGCTGGGATTACAGGCACCCACCACCATACTCAACTAATTTTTGTGTTTTTAGTAAAGACAGGGTTTCACCATGTTGGCCAGGCTGGTCTTGAACTCCTGGCCTCAGGTGATCTGCCCCCCCTTAGCCCCCCAAAGTGCTGGGATTACAGGTGTGAGTCACTGTGCCTGGCCCAGACTTGTAAATGACCAGATTTTATGAGAACTCACTATTATGACTAAGGAGGATGGTGCTAAACCACTGGAAACTGCCCCCATGATCCAGTCACCTCCCACCAGGCCCCACCTCTAACACTGGGAATTATAATTTAACACGAGATTTGGGTGGGGACACAAACCATATCATTTTGCCGCCGGCCCCTCCCAAATCTCATGTCCTTCTGATATTTCAAAATATAATCATGCAGTCTCACAAAGTGTTAACTTATTCCAGCATTAACTCAAAAGTCCAAAATCTCATCTGAGACAAGGCAAGTTCCTTCCACCTATGAGCCTGTAAAATCAAAAACAAGTTAGTTACTTCCAATGGGGGTACAGTCATTGGTTAAATACTCCCATTCCAAAAGGGAGAAATCAGCCAAAAGAAAGGGGCTTCAGGCCCCATGCAAGTTCAAAACCCAGCAGGGTAGTCGTTCAATCTTAAAGGTCCAAAATAATCTCATTTGACACCATGCCCCACATCCAGGGGACACTAGTGTGAGAGCTGGGCTCCCAAGGCCTTGGGAAGCTCTCCCCCTGTGGCTTTGCAGGGTTCAGCCCACATGGCTGCTCTCAAGGGATGGTCTTGAGTGCCTGTGGCTTTTCCAGGTGCAGGATGCAAGCAGCCAGTGGATCTACCATTCTGAGGTCTGGAAGACAGAGGTCCTCATCTCACAGCTCCACTAGGTAGTCCCCCAGTGGGGAGTCTGTGTGGGGGCTCCAACCCCACATTTCCACACTGCCTTAGTAGAGGTTCTGTATGAGGGCTTTGCCCCTGCAGCAGGTTTCTGCCTGAACATCCAGGCATTTCCATACATCCTCTGAAATTTAGGCAGAGGCTCCCAAGCCTAAACTCTTGCATTCTGTGCACCTGCAGGCTTAACACCACATGAAAGTTGCCAAGTTTAATGGCTTGCACCCTCTGAAACAGTGGCCAGGGCCCCTTTCAGCCAGCTGGAGCTGGAGCAGCTGGGATGCAGGGAGTAGAGTCTCAAGGCTGTGCAGGGCAGCAGGGCCCTGGGCCTGACCTAGAAAACCATTCAGTCCTCTGAAGCATCCAGGCCTGTGCTGGGAGGGGCTGCCACGAAGGTCTCTGAAATGCCTTCTAGACCTTTTCCCCATTGTCTTGGCTATTAGCACTTGGGCTCCTCTTTACTTATGCAAATTTCTGCAGCCTGCTTGAATTCCTCCCCCGAAAATTAGCTTTTCTTTTCTACCACATGGCCAGGCTACAAATTTTCCAAACTTTTACACTCTGCTTCCCTTTTAAATATAAGTTCCAGGTTCAGGTCATTTCTTTGCTCACACATATGAGCGTAGGTTGTTAGAAGCAGCCAGGCCAATCCGTAAACACTTTGCAGCTTAAAAATTTCTTCCACCAGATACCCTAAATCATCACTCTCAAGTTCAGAGTGCCACAGATCCCTAGGGCAGGGGCACAACACCACCAGGTTCTGTTGCGAATATGTAACAAAGGTTATCTTTGCTCCAGTTCCCATTAAGTTCCTTATTTCCATCTGAGACCTCCTCACCCTGGCCTTCACTATCCATATTACTATCAGCATTTTGGTCACAACCATTTAACCAGTCCGTAGGGAGTTCCAAATTTCCCCTCATCTTCCTGTCTTCTTCTGAGCCCTCCAAACTCTTCCAACCTCTGCTCATTACCCAGTTCCAAAGTCACTTCCACATTTTCAGGTATTTTTATAGCAATGTCCCACTCCTCAGTACCAATTTTCTATATTAGTCCATTCTTGCATAGCTATAAAGAAATTCCAGAGACTGGGTAATTTATAAAGAAGAGAGGTTTAATTGGCTCATGGTCCTGCAGGCTGTACAGGAAGCATGGCAGCATCTGCTCAGCTTCTGGGGAGGCCTCAGAAAACTTACAATCATGGCAGAGTGCAAATGGGGAACAGGCATGTCTTACATGGCCAGTGCAGGAGGAAGAAACAGGGAGGGGGGAGGTGCTACACACTTTTAAATGACAAGATCTCACAAAAACACACTCACTATCACAACCAAGGGGGATGCTAAATCATTGGAAACCACCCCCATGATCCAATCACTTCCCACCAGGCCCCACTTCCAACATCGTGGATTACAATTTGATATAAGAGTTGGGTGGGGACACAAAGCTAAACCATATCAATATGCTGGTGCACTTAGTGGTGTCCCATATTGCTCTGATGCTCTGCTCATTTTTCTTCATATTTTTCTCTATTTTTCAGATTGCATTATTTCTACTGATGTGTCAAGTTCACTGATTCTTTTCTCTGCCAACTCAAATCTACTGTTTATCCTATCCAGTGAATTTTTCATTTTGTTTTTGTTTTGTTTTGTTTTAGAGGTGAGGTCTCACTATGTTGCCCAGGCTGTTCTCGAACTTCTGGGCTCAAGCAATCCTCCTGCCTTAGCCTCCCAGAGTGCCAGGATTACAGATGTGAGCCACCACTCCTGGCCTTTTCATTTTGTTTATTGTACTTTTCATCTCCAGAATTTTTTATTTGGTTCATTTTTATAATTTCTACTCCTTTATTGATACTCTCCAATGAGACATTGTCATTTAATCTTCATTTAGTTTTTTTTTTTTTTTTAAGAGACAGGGTTTCATTCTATTGCTCAGGCTAGAGTGCAGTGGTGCAATCATAGCTCACTGCAGTCTTGAATTCCTGGACTCAAGCAATCCTTCCACCTCAGCCTACCAAGTAGCTAGGGCTACAGGTGTGTATCACCACACCTGGCTAATTATATTTTTTTGTAAAGACAAGGTCTCACTGTGTCTCCCAGTCTGTTCTCAAACTACAGGCCTCAAGCAATCCTCTCACTTCGGCCTCCTGAAGTGCTGGAATTACAGGCATGAGCCACCACACTTAGCCATAACCAGATATTAATGGAAACAGGAAGAATGAAAAATTTGGTAATGATTGACAGTATGGGCAAAGTAGCAGGATCCAGTCCTATTAGCAGCTAGGTGTCAAAATCTATTCTGCTACATTGAGGAAGAATCTCTACCAGACAAGGGAGTGTTTACATATGCATCAGTTACTTGTGATTTACAAAGAGGTAAAGTAGATTAAATACAATGAACAAGGCTAGAAACTGTAACCTAGAAAAATGTGCTAGGAAGTGTGCATAGCTTTCCATTGAAACACAAGTATTTTTCTTCAATCTCCCTCATTTTGATAAGAATAACCTCAAAGAAAGCTTATTATCGACCCCCCGCCCCCGGTCCCCTACCACCATACACACACCACATCAGACAAAGTTAGTCTGATTAGATTTGGCCTGGTTATTTTTATAGGTACAGCAAGAATGGCCATTTACCATAGGCCTTCTGAGTTTGCTTTATTAGGATTTTGCATAAGGAGTGAAATTTTAAAAACCACTGAGGCCAAGAAGCCAACTTAAGAACTCAACACCAGATCTCACTGGCAGTATCTATAGATTTGAGCAAATTCCTCTCTTAGAAGGGTTCCCAAAATATCCTAAGTTTCCTGGGTTGGCCAGGAAAGGAAAGTAAGGAAGGTCGACCTTCCTTACTCACTTATAATTCTGGGAACACTGTAAGCCAGATACCAGGCTGGTTTTTCCAAGAGGGCTTTGTAAGTGTTGGCTCCATAAAGTCAACCTTAGCTCCTTAAAAGTGTCTGGTCATATATGATTAAATGAGCATCATCCTCAAGTATGACATTCCAGACAAGGCCTTGGTTGTATCTTCAATGTTTCCAACTATTTCCCATTAACAAGAAGGACATATTCTTACTGAATTTATGACAATAACTTCCATTTCCATGAAAATAAGAATACTCAGTAAGCGTTTTGAATTCTAGAAGGGTCAGGCATGAAGAAATCACTTTACAAACAGTTCATTTCTGTTTACAAAAGTATAGTCTACTAAATTGTTATGAATTATAGATAACTTATGAGAAAAATAGAAAGGGGGAATTCCTTATCTAGCCAGATAATATTCAAATACAAAAGACTAGATGACAGTTCATTACAACAATAGTGCAACTGACAAGGAAATATGGTTGTTTCTGCATCCTGCAAAATGAGATAATAAAGTCAAAATTTTTTGACAAAATAATTATAAACATGATTAACCTCATTTTTTTTTTGAGATGGAGTCTCGCTCTGTCGCCCAGGCTGGAGCGCAGTGGCGCAATCTCACCTCACTGCAGCCTCTGCCTCCTGGGTTCAAGCAATTCTCCTGCCTCAGCCTCCCAAGTAGCTGGGATTACAGGCATGCACCACCACGCCCAGCAAATTTTTTTGTATTTTTAGTGGAGACCGGATTTCACCATATTTGCCAGGCTGGCCTCGAACTCCTGACCTTGTGATCCGCCCACCTCGGCCTCCCAAAGTGCTGGGATTACAGGCGTGAGTCACTGCGCCCGGCCCTTATTAACCTCATTTTCAAAGAATAGACAACAAGACAACAAGTGCTTTCAGGGACCCTCTGGGAAATTCAAAGAGTGTTTAGACATCAAAGCTATCCCAAATGAATGCCATTCTCAAAAATGACGTTCCAGGCAAAACCTGGGGAATTTTATCTTATTTTATTTTACATTAGGACTCAATATTGGGAAGGCAAAAAGCAAAGTTATCAAGAGATTTAACCACTTAAAATAGAAGTCAAATCATGAGAAACTATTTGGCTATTCATTTCAAACTGACAATAATTTCTGGTTTTTTTGTCTTTGTTTTTGTTTTAGACTGAGTCTCGCTCTGTCGCCAAGCTGGAGTGCAGTGGCGCGATCTCAGCTCACTGCAACCTCCACCTCCTTGGTTCAAGGGATTCTCCTGCCTCAGCCTCCGGAGTAGCTGGGACTACAGGCGCGCACCACCACGCCCAGCTAATTCTTGTATTTTTGGTAGAGACAGGGTTTCCGCATGTTGGCCAGGATGGTCTTGATCTCTTGACCTCGTGATCCGCCCACCTCGGCCTCCCAAAGTGCTGGGATTACAGGCGTGAGCCACTGCATCTGGCCATGACAATAAAGTATTTAAATGTTTATTTAAAATCAACAGAGAAGGAAAATAATTGTACAGAAATTAGCCCTTTCTAAATGAGTTTTTTCTTTCCTTTTTTTTTTTTTTTTTTTTTGATTTAGGGTCTCCCTCTGTCGCCCAGGCTGAAGTGCAGTGGTTAAGATCTAGGCTCACTGCAGCCTTGACTTCCCCAGCTCAAGCAACCCTCTCGCCTCAGCCTCTGCAGAAGCTGGGACCACAGGCGCGCGCCACTGTGCCCGGCTAATTTCTTGTATTTTTGTAGAGACGGGGTTTCATCATGTTGGCCAGGCTGGTCTTGAACTCCTGGGCTCATGACCTGCTGGCTTCAGCCTCCCAAAGTGCTGAGATTACAGGCGTGAGTCACTGCGCCTGGCCCATAGCTGTTTTTATTAAGCCAAAAATATTAACCCAGTCACATTTGTCTAAATAACAAGATTTTGAATTCTTAAAACATTTCTGAGTCAGTTTTTATGAAAATAATTTTCCTTTTTGACCATTAACATATTAGAAGTTACATTTCCCCAACTTCTGAAAAATTCGGGACTATTCCATTTATATAAGGTGCTTATTTATCTCTAAGGCTATCAGAACAGGGCCCCTTTAGCGATTTTAAATCTAATCTAGCGGGGTAGGGCTGCAGCCAAAAGCACGTGAGAGCGGCCCGCGGCCGGCGGGGTCCCGGGACAGGCCCGCGCGGGGCCGAGGTGCCAGGGCCCCCAGAGAGCGGGACGGGCGGTGCCAACTGGACAAGCCGACGCTACGAAGGCCTGAGGGACAGCGAGGCATCCTGGGAGGCGCCCTGGCTCAGACGCTCCTGTGGGAGGGCGTCTGCGTCCTCAGTTTCCCCAGGACGCGTAAGGAGAAAACCGGGGGAGGGCCCCGCACGCCGCTGCCCCCCCACGTCCAAGAGCCCGACCGTTCGCCCGCGCCCCTCGAGGAGTCTGCCCATCCCCAGCAGCACGCGAGCGCCGCCAGCGCTCCCTGGGCACCCGCTCGCACTCAAGTGCAGGCAGCGTGGTGACAATGCCAACTGCGCCCCCTATCTCTGACAGGCTCCAGAGGGGCAGTGGGAATACAGTAGCTACATGTGGCTATGATAAATATATATTAATAGTATATTATGTATGTTACATATAATAATGTGGGTACATTATGATGTTTTAAATATAATTCAATATAAATAATGAATTAACTAAAGTTAATTAAAATTTAAAATTCAGTTCCTCAGCTGCCCCGCAGGTGCAGAGGCTACATGTGGCTGCTGGTCACTGCCTTGGCCGGAGCACCTCCCTCAGTGCAGAAGCTCTATGAGCCAGTGGCCACGGAGAGGCTCTGCTGCCCCAAGGTCGGGGGGACAGGAGACATCATTTTGTGGCAAGTGCTTTGGCACTGTGCCTGAGGAAGATCACCAGGGCCAGGCGACCAACCCAGACAGTGACTGAGCCATGATGAATCAGCCTGGTGAGCCAACATTTGCCACAAAGCCTGAGCCACCCAACTTGAGGTCACCCGGAAAAGCCAAGGCAATGAAGACAGTGACAGGGGCTGGGAAGCAGGACTCAAAGAAATGAGACTTGAGAAGACCATCACCACGCAAGCAGTTAGGTATTCTTTTAAAAATTAGTAAATAAAAGAAGAAACTATAACTGCGAGACCAGCGCATACTGGGCCTACCTTGTTGATGACAGAATGTCGCATTGCTTTGTAGGTACAACAGAGCCAAAACTGCAAGCCATGTTGCCCAGGCATGCACAATGGAACAAGCTTTGACCTCTAACAATACCCAGAACCAATGACTCCTCCCCTCGGAACAAAGAAGACCAGGACAGGACTGGAACCTGAACATGGAAATCTTTCAGAAGCAGGGATGCGTCAGCCTGGGAGACTGGGGCCCAAATCTACCTTGACAAACCTTTCCATAAATCGTTAAATTTGAAGCCCGCCAATCAGACCCTGCCAAGCCAACACTGCTCAATCACTTCCCTTGCCCTCTGATCCCTTAAAGCTTACCCCAGACCTCAAACTGGGGAGACAGATTTGAGCCCCACTCCTGCCTCCTTGCTTGTCAGTTTTGCAATGAAACCTTTCTTTTCTCAAAAGCTGCTGCCAGTGTTACTGGTTTCGCTGTGCCTTGAGCAGTGAGCCCATTTGTTTGATAACAAAACTCCTCAAGGCATTGGCAATGTCACCAGTCAGTGACAGGGCTGTGTGGGCCCTGAGGACTGACCTGGAGGAAGGGGATGCTTGGGAGAGGGAGGGGAAGGAGCAGTAGACAGAGGTCCACCCAGCAGAGAGCCCAGGCTCAGCAAAGCCACAGAAGAAGGGAGTCTCCAAACTGCTAGGTCCAGAGGGACCCCACAGAGCATCGGGGAGAGCCACAGGGGCGTAAGGCAGGGCCTAGAAGGCTGGGTGGCAGGCAGGGAATTAGAATTTAATCTGTAGGAAATAAGGAGCCACTGAAGAATAGTAGATAAAGAGGACATTACTAGATTTCAGTTTTGAAAGGGGGCACTGGTGGGCCTGGTGCGGTAGCTCATGCCTGTAATCCCAGCACTTTGGGAGGCTGAGGTGGGCGGATCACTTGAGCTCTGAAGTTGGAGACCACCTGCACCATCTGTGGAAACCCCGTCTACAGGCAGGCGCCTGTAATCTCAGCTACTCCAGAGGCTGAGGTGGGAGAATCGCTTGAACCCGGGAGGCGGAGTTTGCAGTGAGCCAAGATCGCACCATTGCATTCCAGCCTGGGCAGCAGAGCAAGATCCTGTCTCAAAAATGAGGGGGTGGTTGGCGCTAGCTGACCCGCCACACTGAAGGAAGGGAGAATGTAGTTCAGGTTGCGGCCCGGCAGGGGACAAGTAAACCCAGCTGAACAGAGAGGGCCATGACAGACAGGGAAGGGAGGCAGACGCCACTCTGGAAAGCCCTCAAAAGAAGCGTGGATAACACTTGCTGGGCTCTGGGAGAAAATATAATTTCCTGCAAGTGGGAGAGGATTTGGTGCGAAGGGTGCTGCTTCCTCAGGTCAAGGTGAAAGACCTCGGCAGAAGAAAAGGCTGGCTGTGGCCCCTTCCCCTTGGGGAGGTGGGAGCTGGGACCTGCCTGACCTTATGCTAAAGTCCAACAATACTGGAAGGGAGGACGCGGGCATCTGAAGAGCCCCTGCCCAGGATGTGCAGATGCGGTGGCTGCGAGAGCTGAGGCCAGGCCCTGCCTGGTGCTGACACGGTGAAATCTAAAGCTCCTGAAAAGCCAGGCTTCTCCCCGTGGGGACAAGGCCATCGAGTACCACAGAGAAATAGGGTTTCAGAACAAGAAATTAAAAAAAAAATCCTTTCAGGGCCCTGCTGCATGTGTGTGAGTCTGGGTCCTTTGCATCTCCATCCACATCAACGTCCACTGTGAATGGAGCCCAGAAGGAAGGACAGGCTCAAAATGAAGGATCGGGAGGGAGGGAGGGCTCAGAAAGGCATTTGCCTGTTCTTAGACCACCCAGGAAACGAGTGTGCTACCGTCCATTATGCTTGTGAGTGGAAAGGGTGGAGGGTGATGGGAGCTGCTGCTTCGGGGAAGTCAGGGAAAGACATTTTGAAAAGTGACATTGAAGTAGAGACCTGAAGGAATGAGGGAGGGCGCTGTGAAGATATTTGGGGTGAGGAGGAATGCTCTAGGCCGAGAACAGCAAGGACAAAGGCACCGAAGTGGGAACATGTTTGACAGATCCAGAAACAACCCAAAGGCCACCAGTCATAGACTGGCATGGAGTGGGGAGAAAGCAGGGGAGTAGAGGCAGACAGGTCCCGGCCATTCCACAGGGCAGCGTGGGCGAGGTGAGGAAGTTGCTTCTGTGAGTGTGAGGTGGGGAGCACTGGGGGAGTGACATCATCTGACTCAGTGGACAAAGGTCCCTCAGGCCGATGTGTGAACAACCGTGAGGAAAGCATGGACCAAAACAGGGGCTCCGTGGTGGGGTGCAGGGGGGCGCCCAGATGTGGGGTTAGTGGTGGAGGAGAGAATCGGCTGGTACTGGATCTGTTTCCAAGGTAGAGCTGGTGGGACTTGCTGATGGGGTGCGATTTCTTGAGGTGCGGAAGGAGGGGTTAGCTACAGGTTTTGGGGGATGAGGAGGGGAAGTCAGGAGTGAAGTGTTTGGTTCTGCATGTCACCTCCAGGGTGTCTATTAGATGCCCGGTGGAGAAGTGGGGGACGCTCTGCACGCAGAGGGTTTTAACAACACGGGCTGGGCCAGAGGGTGCCGAGAGAGAAAAGAGGGGATATCCCAGGCGCAACAACGCTGAGGTCTCAGGAGGAGGAACAGTCAAGAGAGGAGCCCACGGTGCCGTCCTGGGGCTGAGGGCCGAAACTCACCGCACTAGCCGACAGCGTCTGGCGATTTTGTAATGAACAATTTTGCTGGCACGGTGGAACGAAGGCCTGGTTGAAGGGCTTCAAGGGAGACAGGGAAGCAAGTGAAGATGATTGTTAGGATGAGTTTTGCTGCAGTGCTAGAGGAGAGTGGGTTTTGTTAATGACCTTCCCTCCCTGCAACCAAACCACAGCAGAAAGCGCATCCAGGGCTCACACAGAGGGACCCTCAGTGAAGGCCTCTTTCTGCAATGGGAAGCCCACAAGGTTAGAAACCAGGAATCACAACCTAACGCTGCCCTATCGTCAGTTTTGTAGGTGACCTTGAGTAGGTTACCTCACTTCTTGGTATTTCTCAGCTTCCCTCACCTATAAAATGAGCAGCACACTCCTGCCTTTTCTATACGGTAGCTGCATAAATGATTAGGTAACATCACTGATGGGCATTTATGCACCCAGTCCACTTTCTAGCTCTGTGTATTTGACTACTCTAAGTACCTCACAGAAGTGGAATCATGCAGTATTGGTCCTTTTTGTGACTGGCTTATTTCCCTCAGCCTAATGTCCTCAAGGTTCATCCATGTCGTAGCATGTGTCAGAATCTCCTTCCTTTTTAAGGCTGCGTAACAGTCCGTTGTATGCATATATCACATTTTATTGATCTGCTGGTGGACACTTGGGTTGCTTCCATCTCTTGACTGACATGAATAGTTCTGCTGTGAAGAGTTATACAAATCTCTGAGACCCTGCTTTCAATTCTTTGGGGTATATATCCAGAGTGGAACTGCTGGATTGGATTGTAATTATATACACACATACACACATAACTGTATACAAATATGTGTGTATATACGTTTATATGTGTCTGTGTGTGTGTGTGTGTATATATATATATATATATTTTTTTTTTATAGTAACTTCCATACTGTTTTCCACAGCGGATATAGCATTTTACATTCCCACCAACGGTGCACAAGGCTTCTAGTTTCTCCACATCCTTGACAGCACTTGTAACTTTCTGGTGTGTTTTTGTTTTTTTGTTTTGATTGTAGCCATCCTAATGGTTTAGCCCATGCTAAGTGATCAGGCTGGTCACTATTATTATCAAGTGAGATAACAAATCAGAATATATTTTGAAAAAGAATTGCATCTGCCAGGATCCAACCAAGAAAACAGAAAGCATTAAAAGGAACTTAATGGGGGAGATTAGTTACACACAGGGGATGGAAAGGCTGAGAAGCCAAACAGCAGGAAGCCGTTAACCTTACATCCACCTAGGGCAGAGGACAAAGGACACAGGGCCACCCAGGGGAAGCCAAGGTGGTGAGGGGAGCTGTGGAGGCAGCTGGAAGAATCTGGAGGAATCTGACCTGTGAGAGGAACCACAAGCAAACACCCTCTAGGAGGCTCTGAGAAACAGCAGGGCACGTGGGTGCGGCCTGGGAACAGATCAGGATTGACCTGCGTGCGAGCCAGCTTGTCACAGTGATGTGACGATGAGTCAGGACACCTGGGCGTGGCGCTGTCCAGAGCACGAGAGTGACACCAAACACATGGGACAGCAGCACCGAGTCTTGGACAAGGGGCGCGAAGGAGTCAAGGATGTTGCCAGGCCTGTGGCCGAAACTGAGAACAGAATAGAGAAGCAGGTTGAGGGTGCTGGGTGTCAACCCTTCCTTTATCAACCCCATGGTAAATGATCAGGATGGTCACTATTACTACAAGTGAGGTAACTAATCAGAACGCAACTTTCCCCAAAAAACCCACCTGAGTTACACAGGTCTGAACTTTTTTAAAAATTAAATTTTTATTTTGAGATCACTGTTTGTGTTCAGTTGTAAGAAACAAGAGAGATTCTGTGTACCCTTTACCCATTCCTCCATGTTGCAAAACTAGCACAATATCACCGCCACGGTAGACGCAGTGAGGCCATAAGACATTTCCGTCAGCAAAAGGGTCACTTCTTGTGCCCCTTTAGAACCACACCCACCCCTGCCTTCCAACTATTAATGCTGGCAGGACTTAGCCAGACCGCAAGGGCGCCTACTCCGAACAAGGAAGAGGGTCAGGCGCTGGGAGGGCGACTGCAAGCGGACAGGCAGCACCTGCGACCACGGTACTTGGGGACACCACAAAAGTCCGCAGAGCAGGCACCGCGGCACTTCCGCGAGCGCCGCAGGCCCTGCCCCTTTCGCCGTCGCCGACCAATTGCCGCCCGAAGACCGAACCGCTTCAGCGGAGGGCCGGAAGTGAGCCGCAGCTTTTCCTTTCTGCCACCGCCTTGTCCAAGATGGCGGACCTCCACCGCCAGCTGCAGGAGTACCTGGCGCAGGGGAAAGCTGGCGGCCCGGCGGCCGCGGAGCCGCTGCTCGCCGCGGAGAAGGCGGAGGAGCCCGGGGACCGGCCGGCGGAGGAGTGGCTGGGCCGCGCGGGCTTGCGCTGGACGTGGGCGCGGAGCCCTGCGGAGTCGGCAGCGGCCGGCCTGACGTGCCTCCCGAGCGTGACGCGCGGGCAGCGGCTGGCGGCGGGCGGCGGGTGCCTGCTGCTGGCTGCACTGTGTTTCGGCCTAGCCGCGCTCTACGCACCGGTGTTGCTGCTGCGCGCGCGCAAGTTCGCGCTGCTCTGGTCACTGGGCTCGGCGCTGGCGTTGGCGGGAAGCGCGCTGCTGCGGGGCGGCGCGGCGTGCGGACGCCTGCTGCGCTGCGAAGAAGCGCCGTCCCGGCCCGCGCTGCTCTACATGGCAGCGCTGGGCGCCACGCTGTTCGCCGCGCTGGGCCTTCGCAGCACGCTGCTCACGGTGCTGGGCGCGGGCGCGCAGGTGGCCGCGCTGCTGGCCGCGCTGGTTGGGCTGCTGCCCTGGGGCGGCGGCACCGCGCTGCGCCTCGCACTGGGTCGCCTGGGCCGCGGCGCCGGCCTCGCCAAGGTGCTGCCCGTGTGAGGACCTCGCGCCCTCGCCGCTGGGGAAGTACGCGGAGCCAGCGCCGTCGGAGACCGCGCCGGCCGAGCTGAGGACTGCACGCCGCTGTGCGGAAGCCCGTGGCGAAGGCCCTGCCCTAACAGCCTGCGAGTCTAATCCGGGAGCGGCTGCTGCCAGCGGAGGCGACAGCAGCGTTGGGAGCTCCTCGATGTCAGCTTTTTGTGCTGGACTTGGCACACGCTCTGAAAACTGAGATTTTGTCATTGAACTGGTGACAGGATGTGAGACGGTTATTAGAAGTTGCTTTCGAAGTAACTGTGGTCTTAGGTTCGGCTGAGTAAAGAAAAAGGATTTTTCTTCGAGTTAGCTGCTCTTGTGATTTTTCTCAGGCTGTTTTGTCATTTTAAAATCCAGTGGTAGATGTAGCTTAGCGACGGTAGTTTTTTGTTTTGGCTATACTAAGACTTGGAAATTATTCTCTCCAGTGTCAGCGAATCCAGAAGGGTATCAGATTAAACACCGAATTCAGCCACTGGACTTTTAAAAGTACTTAAGATGGTTTATCTCGGGTTTTTTCTTCAGTTAACAAAATCATAAATATGGTGCCTTATAACATGAAAGGAAAATTAGTTGTGTATTTCACGACGAAAGCGACGGACCAAAAGAAATTTCCTGCCCCAAGAAGCATGGGATCCAGGAAGGGGCGCGTAGATGCTTAACGGTCTCTTCGGAAATCCTGCAAATAGAAAGATAATTCTAGATCCGGAATACCTGTATCTGGTGGAAACCATGGATTTCTACAAGCTCGAATTATTCCTCATTGTATAGCCTGCTTTGTAAACTAGTTTACAATTTGCAGGCTGATCTTAAGATTTTTTTATATCTAATTGCTGCTGCCTTCATTTTAGGTTCAGCAGTTACTTTTAACTACCTTAATTTATTGCCAGAAGGTATGAGCCTAACATTCTGATGAGTCCAGAAAACTACGTTTTGTCAGTAGCAATACACTAGGAAGTAAAATATATTTAGAATTTAAACATTGTGTGCCAGTGGTCCTCGCGCTTGACTGCACATCAGTTACTTGAAGAGCCACACCTCAGATCAATGCAGTCAGAACCTGGGAAGTAGGTCCCAGACATCAGGACCTTTTTAAAGCTCCCCAAGTGATTCTACGTTCCCCAAGTTTGAGGACCACTTTTCTGTGCATTGGCTTGCACAATTTGAAAGTAATGCTTTTCCTGAGCTGGATCCCAGTGTTGCCTTAACAGGGTGTCTGTCGTGCCGCAGTAGAGCACTGCTGCTTCCTCCAACCCCAAAATTTATGTTCCTAAGTAAGTCAGGTCCCTAAGCCCCGTCCCAAGAAGTGACACAAGTGGCCAACATCCACACTGTAGGCTTGCAGGCTACCCGCCCTGAGATTTGGTAAAGAACACTGCCTTGTTCCCCATCAGTAAACAAGGTTACCTACCTCAGGAGGCTGCTTGTGAGAGAGCAAATGCAGTATCTTCAGAATGATTTATTTTTTTAATTAATTGTAAAGACTTGTGCCATTGGCTGCTCTTTCTAGTCCCCTAAATTTCTGTTCTAGTTTTAAATTTCTCTAGAACTTGCAATAGTTGGGGGTTTTATAATGATGTTTTACAATGTTTATTTCTTAAATAAAAACTTAAAAATTCAACATTTCTCAGCTGGTGGCTCACACCTGTAATCCCAGCATTTTGGGAGGCCAAGGCGGGAGGATCACTTGAGGCCAGGAGTTCAAGACCAGCCTGGGCAACACAGTTAAACCCCATCGCCACAGAAAATCTTCAAAAAATTTGCCAGATATGGTGGCACACAACTGTGATCCCAGCTACTTGGGGTGGGGCTGAGGTGGGAAGATCACTTGAGCCCAGGAGGTTGAGGCTGCAGTGAACTGTGATCACACCACTGCACCACAGCCTAGGCAACAGCGAGACCTTGTCTCAAAAATTTTTTCTCAAATCAAACATCATTGAAAATCTACTTTTTATAAGCTTCAAATCACAACATCTAGTATGTATGCTGACAGTGATGTTTTTAAATGCCATATATATTTAATAAGTATAATGTAGAGGTTTATTGTTTAAATGAATTCACTCTCAAAATGTGATCTGTCAAGTCCAGTAGAGCTTCAAGGTAAAATGAAAATTTTTAAATGTGATCTGGTTATCTGCTTACTGAGATACTATGTTTCTAAAGTTAAAGCCCAAAATAATGAAAATTTTTCCACTAGAATCTCAGGGAAAAAAAGTCTAATCTTGATATGGGTTTGGTCTCTGGATCCGGTTTTAGCTTCATGAAATTTGATTACAGTTTCTCTCTCTTTAAGCTATACCAGTTGGGGGTGAGTGAAGAAATACCCATAACCTAAAGCAATCTTGAGCCTCCTAATAGCATGTTTATGGTGGAGCGCTGATTAAATAAGCTGTAATTTCAAAGTTAAAAAAAAAATAGTCTCTAGATTCTAACACTGAAAAGCAGTGTATATGGCTGACATTTTCTCACTCCACAGAAATCAATTAGCTTTTGCTGTTTTTTACATTCATAGAGAACCAGTTAAATTTTCATATCCTGTTAAACTATATCAGTATGCCTTTTCTAAGCAACCATTGAAACTTCCAGCACCAGCGGCCAGGTACTGTGGCTCAGATCTGCAATCCCAGCACTTTGGGAGGCCACAGCAGGTGGACCGCTTGAGCCCAGGAGTTTGAAACCAGCATAGACAAAGTGGTGAAACTCCATCTCTACAAAAAACACACACACAAAAAATTAGCTGGGCATGGTGGCATATGCCTGTAGTCCTAGCTACTAGGGAGGCTGAGGCAGGGTCAAAGCTGAAGTGAGCCGTGATTGCACCACTGCACTCCTGGCTGGGTGACAGAGCAAGACTCTGTCAAAAAAGGAAAAGAAAAAAAGAAACTTCCAGCACCACTAAATTTGCCAAATAAATTTGACTGATGCCAAAACTGAAGCTGCCAATGTAATGAAATGTTAAGGTGGCCATAGGACAGTCCTTTTAATAAAAGCTTCCATGTAAAACCAAAATAAAGGTCAGTATAGAAAGTATCATGGGGTATATAACAAACTGAATTTTTGGCTTCCAATCCAAACTGGGCTAAATGGTATGTTTATTTTAAACAAGGAATTTGCCATGGACAAGATCTATCTGGCTTACTGTGAGTTAGAAGTACGCCCTGCCGTAACACTGGTATTTCCACATAGTATGGAAGAGGAAGAGAGGAAAACTTAATTAAGTGTTGCAAAATTGTTTGAGGACCTATTTTGGTCCATTCCTTATCAACTCCATGTGTGATTTCAAGTTATCTAAAGGGCATGTGACTTTATTTCTGACTAACATCAAGTTCCTCTCCTCATCATAACAAGGCGATTCAAACCTAAACTGTGATTCTTAGGAGATGCTTCCAAGGGGAAGCTCCCTCGTTGGACATCCAGAAGATTGCATTTTCTCTTCAGAGTACAATTTTCCATCTGTCAGAGCATGTCTGAATAAAAATTTGAACCTACTACAAACTACATTAGAATAATTTTCAAGTATTTTTCTGTCACAAAAATGGTGTGACAGAATGTGTTGAAAAACACAAAGTTCACAGCTGAGATTAATTTAGATAACCTAGTGGTTAATATGCTCATGAACATCAGCAACAACCGTGCATTCCTTGGCAGATGGGATGCGATGGAAACCAAAGGTTTCCTTAAGGCAAGCACTTCACAACTAGTTTTCTGTCAATTCTTGCGTAAATCACATTCTGTATTCATACAAAAACTTTGTTTTTCTCTGACAAACTGTACACATAGAAACAAATTTCCAAATGGACAGGAACTTAAATTTGTGGAGATGCCCCATGTCTTGTGAGACTTAAAAAAAAGAAAAAGATCCCAGCTTTTATCTTCACAAAACAACATGGGAGTTGGGGCAATGAGGGTGGACAGGACAGGGCCAGCCAGGCTGGTAGCTGGCAGCAGTCTCTTCATCTTGAAGACCTCATTGAGGGTTCCTGGGATTCAGGTGCCCAGAAAAGAGTTCAGGGCTACAATGGTGCAGGCTTCCTTTTGTTTCTCTTGGTGAGTCCACAAGAAGTTCTTACATACTGTCCAGAGAGGCCTCAGGGTACTCAGTTCCAGCTTCTACCGACCCCTTCCACCACCCCGTGAAGCTCCTCGCCTCGGCGGGCCAGAGTTCATGTTACTCCCTCTACCCCAGTTACTGCCACTCCGGCCCCCTCGAGAAGGGGTGCCACTGCCTGGAGGGCCCCCAAAAGGTTCATCTCTGTGGTATCCATCGTGGTGCTCTCCGTCTAAGGAGCTGGAACGCCCAGATTTGGGCACTCTCTGAGCAGGTCCTGGGCCCCCTCGGCCTGAAACAAAGAAAATTTCACATGGGACTTTTTGTATTAGCAACTGTTTGTCAGTAACTCCCAGTACAAACTTTACTCTCTGATGACAATGGACCAGTTCTGGTGGGTGCCAGGGAGACTGGCAGTGGTATTCAGCGTACTGAGAGGTGTGCCTCTACCCTTTCCTGACCCTGCCTCCCCCTTCCTGGCTCATGGCCATGGGCCTCAGCATCAGCCAGATCCATGCCCCCAGGGCTGTGTGACAGACGACAGGAAGCCAAGAGATGAGCAAGGAGCACCTTCAGGGAGACCCGGGCCACACTGGGCCATGTCCCAGGCCATGGGAAGTGTATCTGCCTGCTCCCAGCCACCAGGGTATATTGAGGGAAGGTTTGAATATACTGACTTAACTTTGGAAGTACACACTGCTAATGTTAATAAAAAGTGCTCCAACTAGGACAAGCGTTCACTGGGACTGTCCCGTGACATGTGGCACTTTTGGCTTCCTTTTCATAATTAGTAAAATAAAGTATTTCTTGAAAAAACAAAAGAAAAGCACAAAAACCCAAAAACCCCACAAAACACTGGCTTTCAGGTTCTATCACCGAGGCACAGCTTAACCTGCTTCAGACTAGTATGCACAAATGTTTAGGTACTATTAAAATTCTTTCATTCTGTTGCAGCTTGAGAATATATTTAAAAAAAAAAAAAAAAGAAAAAAAAGAAAGGAAAAGGAAAAAAAATTCTATCTTGTAAGATTTTTTTCCTCAGGAAATGATAGGATTTGGTCACATCTCCCATAATGCACTCTCAGAAGATGACTGCAAACTCTCCGCTGTCTCATATTTTGTAATAGAATATGAATCTAGCTGAGATGAAGTTAGGAGAGCCAGCCAAAGGAACAATCTTGGCTTCTTTTCTTAGAAAGTGCAGCTTCAACCCACCTGAGGCACCTGGGCAGAGTGTCAGCTACTACATCATTCCCATGCTAACTGCATGTCCTTGACCAGAGGGACCTAATAATGGTGTGCTGAGTGCCCAAGAAAGTCAGCCAAGGTCACAGCACACTGGCTAGTAGTACAATGTGTTTATGCAGGGTGATCTATTGATGATACATAAGGTAATTTCTGAGGGTTTTGTTGAGACAAACAACTATCAAGATCAAATGGCAGGCCAGGCATGGTGGCTCATGAGAGGCCAAGGCAGGTGGATCACTTGAGGCCAGGAGTTCGAGACCAGCCTAGCCAACATGGCAAAAGCCCATCTCTCTAAAAACACAAAAGCATGGTGGCGCACACCTGTAGTTCCAGCTACTGGGGAGACTGAGGCACAAGAATCACTTGAACCTGGGAGGCGGGGGTTGCTTGCAGTAAGCCAAGATCACACCACTGCACTCCAGCCTGGGCGACAGAAAAAAACCCAAAAAGACCAAATGGCAGAACTCTGTACTGGAAGGACCGTCCATACAGACAGGCCAACTTCAGGAGCAGAGCACAAGCTGGGGCATGCGGGGAGCAGCCTTCCCAGAAGCTTCCGAGCCACACCACCTATGCACCTCCCCCGCTGCCTTGCAACCAGAGTTGTATAGTCAGCCTTCAGAGGCAACTACTCCTGGCTAAAGTTAGTGCTGCCTATAACATAAAGCTCCACAGTTCCCAGTTGAGGAGATAATCTACTGTGCCCCTGGAAACACTGCCCATAGACCATGTTTCCCAAAGTCTCTGTGACTTTGAGCACAAGCAGTGTTCCTCTAGACCCAGGCTAAAAAAACCAACAGACCACCCAGGAGAGGACAACTCTTCCCCTCCCACTGAGAGCCCTTGAGGGTTCCAAGCAGCCTTGTGGAGGGCAGACTGCCAAGGAGAGCAGGGCTCCCAGACAGCAAGCCGAGCAGAGAGTGCTGGGGCATCTTGGCAGAGGGCTGAAGTGAAAACCTCAAGTGAACAGGGATTCCCGGAGGCAAGTGGAGTCCTGTGCAGGGCTGAGTTGCAGTCCACCAGATGACAGCTCGTGTGGCACTGGCACCACATTTAGGAGCATGTGCCTCTGCACAGCCCAGGCTGCAAGGGCATGTGCAGCAGATACAGGCAAGGCCTCCATCGGCCCCTGCATCTCCTGGAACCATAACCACTGGCCTGCTCTTACCTTTGCCTCCTCGGTCTTCAGAAGGGCCTCCTGGGGCCTCCATCTCTCTGTGCTCAGAAGTGCCTGGGCCATCATGCCAGGGGCGCTTTCGGGGAGGTAGGGATGCCATGTCCATGCCTTGGAGAGAAGAGGAGCGTTCTCTGCTGGCTGGGGAATGACCGTCGTGAGGGGGATGATCAGGGCGGGGAGTATCACGAAAATGTTCATGACCTGGCCCTGAAACAAGAAACAAATCTCCTTACAGGAAAGCACAGTGTGACCAGAAGTAGATGGGAATGACACTGTGAGAGTAAGGAGCAACTCGAGAGCCACCGTTCACTCATGCTGAATGCCCGCCAGAGGCCAAAGGGTAAGCCACCCAGACATCAGGGTGCCTCCTCATGTAAGAGGGGCAGGTAAGATCCAGAGAACTCGTTCTCAGGCATTGTAGTATCAAGACGTCTTTACAGTCTCAAATTACTGAGGACTCCTAAGAGATTTTGTTAATGAGAGTTGTAACTGCGAATATTTACCATATTAGCAATTGAGACTGGGGAAATTTTAATTCACTTAACTTTATTCTCCAAAAGCAATTTAGTGGAAAGAGCAGTCCCGTTTTATACTCAGATAGATCCCTGTAATGTCTGGCGGATTCCTCTGCTCTGCATTCCACCTGCTGAGATCAAGTGCTGCGGCTGCAGGACAGGAGACAGCCCAGCCCCCCGGGAGACATGAGCTGGAAAGAGGAGACCCGGTGCACCCCAGAGAGGGCCCTCAGAACTCACTTTGTGAACTGCAGTCTAGAGTTACCCAACAAGCGGTTCTTTTCCTTACCAGGCTCTCTGTTTCCATCCCAGGAATCTGGCTTCCGCCCTCCTTCAAAGCGAGGGAACTCGTCAGGAGTGGGAAGTAAACCCTTCCTTCCTCCTACACAACAGAGCAAACAATGCTGCACTCAGACTGTTCCTGGTGTATTCACAACCAGTGTATTCTGCACCCTATCCTTCCAGACCAGGTGTCTTTAGTAACTCGCTCACCTCGTGGGGTACCCCGACCTCGACCTCTGAGATCTCGTCCTCGGGCCGCTTCCTCAGAAGCATCAAAATTCTCCTCTGGACCAAAGTCTTCAGGACCAGGAAAACCATCCCTTCCTCTGGGGGGAGCACGGCCCTCATGCCTCGGCGGGGCTCCTCTTCTGAAACTGTAAAGAGAAAACAGCAGAATGTCCATCTCAGAGAACACCTTGCCACTCTAAGTTCATGTTTCAAAGAAGCATATGATATGAGAAAGCATGATACAATGTTAATTGGGAGGAAAACAAAATAAAACTATATATTTTTGAAAGGATACATTATATAATCCTATTAATACTATCAGAGGCAAAAACAGACCAGAAGGAAACACACCAGAGTGTGGAGTTACTTTAAGCTTCTTTTAGGCTTTTAGGTATATACAAGTATTACTTCATTTCATTCATTTCATTTTCACAGCCACCATATGAAGCTGGTATTATCAGCAGTTCCACTGATGAGAACACTGAGGCCCAGATTGCTGACATCATTTATTCAAGGACACAGAGTAAGTGCTGGTGATCTGAACTCAGCCAGTCTTGACCCTCGGCCCAGGTTCTGTATCACTGCCTCACAAATACTTATCATTATCATCTACATTTGTATGATGAACATTTATGACATATAATCAGAAAAATGGGGGCACAGATCGTGTCTGCCAACCATACTGGACCTGTCTGTAGGTAGGGGCTCTGCCATCTGCCCCAGCCCACAGCCTCCACCCAGGGGCAGGCCTCCATGACCACGAGTGGCACTCATGGCCCGAGTCCACAGCTGATGGGCACACAGGTCAGCATCTGGTTTACAGGCAGCGATCCACTGGCTAGCTGGCAGTCTGGAGCCCTGCTTAGTGAACAGCTTCCCCTTCTCTCAGGAATTTTGGAGCCAGGAGACTACACTGACTGGGAGTATTGCTGAGGCAGAGAGGGTACCAGGAGGTCTGTGCGAAAGAAGAGAAAGTGACCTTCTGGCAGCGCTCACTGAGAGGCGGTGGCGCCACCCTGCAGGGCCCCTCTGCATGAGCTGCATGGCCTCCTCCCAGGCCAGGCCTCTGCTCTTCCTCAGGTTTCCATTCCATTGCCTTTATCCTAATCTTCTACTTGGAAGATTTTCAAACTTACAGTAAAGCTGAAAGAACAGTACAATGAACATCCCAGATCCTCCACCCAGATCAATCCCTTCTTAATATTTTGCCACACGTGCTTTATCTTCTCCGTCCAGCTACTCACAAACATGTTTTCTAAACCATTTGAAAATCAGTTGCCAACACGAGCTTTACCCCTAAATCCTTCAGTCCATTTCTTCTAAGAACAAGAACTTTCTCCTATATAATCACAATACCTTTACACTCTCACACACCAGCCTAGGCTATGGGTCTGCACTGACAGATGAAACACAATACAAATCAAGACAGGATGGCCGGGCACAGTGGCTCACACCTGTAATCCCAGCACTTTGGGAGGCCGAGGCAGGCAGATCACTTGAGGCCAGGAGTTCGAGACCAGCCTGGCCAACATGGCTAAACCCCATCTTTACTAAAAATACAAAAATTAGCTGGGCGTGGTGGCGCGTGCCTGTAATCCCAGCTACTCGGGAGGCTGAAGCACAAGAATCGCTTGAACCCAGGAGGTGGAGGCTGCAGTGAGCCGAGATCATGCCACTGCACTCCAGCCTGAGCGACAAAGCAAGATTCCCTCTCAAAAAAAAAAAAAAAAAAAGACAAGGTAAAATGTAACATTTTGCACAAGATGCAGAGATTCAATAAGTCAGTGAACATTACGCAGATGTAAAGCTCTTCTAGTCATAAAAAGCCATGTCAAAGGTAATGCTTGGATATCATTAAGAGAGGGTCTTAAAAACACTGGGAGCCCTTACGTCTTTATTTTTAACCTCCCTATCTCCCCTCCCCCAAAACAATTGCTTCCTTAGCCCCGACTATGTCATGCTTCTGAGCCTGTCATCAGCCTTGCTTTTCTCACCACCCCTGAGGGTGGGCTGGCCAACCCTAACTCAACCACATATACAGATATATATATATATATATATATATATATATTTTTTTTTTGAGACAGAGTCTCGCCCTGTCACCCAGGCTGGAGTGCAGTGGTGCAATCTTGGCTCACTGCTATCTCTGCCTCCCAGATTCAGACGATTCTCCTGCCTCAGCCTTCCGAGTAGCTGGGATTACAGGCACGCACCACCATGCCCGGCTAATTTTTTGTATCTTTAGTAGAGACAGGGTTTCACCATGTTGGCCAGGCTGGTCTCGAACTCCTGACCTCGTGATACACCCACCTCGGCCTCCCAAAGTGCTGGGATTACAAGCGTGAGCCACTGTGCCCGGCCTTAACCATCTATTCACAAGAAGAGTAAGAAATGGAATGAAAGGACCAGGCGCAGTGGCTCACGCCTATAATCCCTGCACTCTGGGGGGGCTGAAGAACGTGGATCACTTGAGGTCAGGAGTTCAAGACGAGCCTGGCCAACATGGTGAAACCTCATCTCTACTAAAAATACAAAAATTAGCCAGGCAAGGTGGTGTGAGCCTGTATCCCAGCTCCTCAAGAGGCTGAGACAGGAGAATCACTTGAACCTGGAAGGTGGAGGCTGCAGTGAGCCGAGATCGTGCCACTGCACTCCAGCCTGGCAACAGAGCAAGACTCCGTCTCAAGAAGAAAAAAAAAAAAAAAGAAATGGGATGAAAGGACACGGAAGGCTAAGGAGTAATCAGAGACTATAGTAAAAGCTGAAGTGCTGAACAGCATGGGCCTGAAGCCCAGCTCTGACACCTACCACCTGCCAGACCTCGGAAAGTCAAGACACTGCTCTTATTCTGTCTGAATCAGCATAAGATGCTGACAGTCGCACCTATCTCACAAATTCTTTAAATAAAATGAGTTAATTTCCTAAATTAAAACAAATTCCTCAATTTAAATGAGGTAACAACATCTGATACAAAATACTCAATTATCATCATCTTTAATTATTCTGAGTCTCACTTGAGATTTTACTATTTCCTGGTGTTTTTTTGTTTTGTTTTGTTTTTCTTTTAAGAGACAGGGTCTTGCTCTGTAGCCCAGGCTGAAGTGCAATGGCATAATCATAACTCACTGCAGCCTCCTGGCCTCAGCTGATCCTCCCACCTCAGCTTCCTGAGTAGCTAGGACTACAGGCATGCACCACCAAACCCAGCTAATTAAAAAATTTTTTTTGTAGAGATGGAGTTACACTATGTCGTTCAGGCTGTTCTTCAATTCCTGGCCTCAAGCGATCCTCCTGCCTCAGCCACCCAAAGTGCTGGGATTACAGGCGTGAGCCACTGGTCCTGGGCTAATTCCTGTTTCTTTCTCCACATTTCTTCTGTTCCTTAAACTCCCCAAGAATGCTGAGATGAGTGTTCAAGCCTGATCTAAGTTTAACAGGAAGACTGTTTTTCAGTTTAAGTTTGTTAAGATTATTGGGCAATTACACAAAAATTGTATCTATTTCACAACCCCTTTATTTCCAATCTAGGTAGCTGCCTCATATTTCCTTATTCTAATCAAGAAGAACCTGGAAATTTTAAGTCAGATCCCAGCAAGTCTTGTAGTACACTGATCCTCCCATCTCTTTAGAAAGGACCAAAATATAAAAAAATAAACAAAACGAAAAAGATTTCTAGACAGCAAAGATTAAAACAAGACTAAGGTTAAAAAGCACACTTTTTTTAAACGTCCAAATGCAAACTCTACAGAGTGCAGGGCTGGTAATTGATATAATTCTCTTTCCTCAAGAAAAAGAAGAAAGAGACCTTTGTGGAGACAGCAGATAAAAAGCTCCACTGAAGATGGAATGGGCCCACAAAGTATCTGTCCCACCTTTCTTCTCTGCGCCCTCGAAAACGTGGGTCCTCGGGATCCCGGGGGAAACGTTCATCTCCGGGCCTGCGGCCTTCCCATGCCCCCGGAGGGCCTCGGGCTGCACCCCGGCCATCCCCCTCGCTGAATTCCCTGTGATCAGGGGGAAACGGAGGCCCAGGGCCCCCTCGCCTCCACTTCTCTTCTTGCGGTAAAGGTCCTCCTCGCCCCTCAAATTCACGTAACCGGTGGCCAAAGCGCTTGTCAGGGTGGAAGTCATCTGGTCTGCTGAAGTCATCGGGGAAGTCTGGGTGAGGGCCACGCCTATCAGGGGGACCCCTGCAGTCCTGGCCACCCCGGAAAGGCCCCCTCTCGGGCCCATGCTCAGGCCCGCCGCTCTGCTCATGCCGCCTCTCTGACATCGGGCCCATGTGATGGTTTGGAGGGCCGCGGGAGTCACCTAAAGGAAACAAAGCTGACTTTTACCATGTCTTCCAGGAAACCTGCCAACATAGGTCTGATCTGTAGCATCTCTACATTTCAGAATACATTCTTTATTGAGAATGTTTTCCCTCCTTGGTTCTCAGCTTAGTTAGGAGACAAATGTCCCTGAAGCATTGGGTAATAGAACAGGAGCTTTGGGGTGCAGATTTCAACTTCATCACCCACTAGCTAGGGCAAATTACTCATCTCAAATGAGATCAGCAGCATCTGTCCATCTCTTAGTATACACTGGAAAAATGAGAGAGCCTCCTGGGCTTCAGAAGGAGCTTCCTTTGTCTGCCCCTATTCTTTCAGGCATTTCATTAGGGCCACCTGCTCCACATCCAAGGAGGACACAACAGAGGAAATTAATGCTGCAGGCCAGGAAGCGTGCCAAGAATTCACCTCTGTACCCATCAACAGGGTGCCACTGCCACCCATGACATCCCTCCTCTAACCCCAGCTTGTTGCACTTGATTCCTCTGTAAGGTACATGCAATCACCAGCCTCTCAAATACCTGCCTGATGACCAAACAGCCCTGCTGGGCTTCAGTGTCGGGGTTTTCTGCACCTCTCTATGGATGTTGTTCCTCATCTACAATATTCTCACCATTCTTTGAAGACAGTGTTTGGAATCCCACTAAAGTTTTCTAAAATATGTGAAAATATGTACTGTAATGAAAGTACTGAATAAAAATGGAAAGATGCCAGTTAAATGTGTGATGGTTAACTTAGTTCACCTCCTAACTTGGAAGGGACTGTTTTTCCAGCTACTGAACTACTGCAGCTTTTATAAATGTTTACCTATTTTTGGTTAACATACAATTTAAATCAAACACTTTTTAAAAGTAGGTAGCGAAAGGATACTCTTGATTCTAAAAACAAAAACTGTGTTTTTAAAGTGAAATTCCTCCAATAGCCCAGTTCATGCCTTTTACTGCTTTTCCCTGGCTATAAAGACAAACCCCTCCTGTACCCCAGCCAACCATAATTCTCACCTCCCCCGCAACAGCATCCCTCTTCTTTCTTTTCTTTCTTTGTTTCTTTTTTTTTTTTTTTTTTTTTTGAGACAGAGGCTTACTCTGTCACCAGGCTGGAATGAAGTGGCGTGATCTCAGCTCACTGAAACCTCCACCTTAGGGATTCAAGCGATTCTCCTGCTTCAGCCTCCTGAGTAGCTGGGATTACAGGTACCACGCCCGGCTAATTTTTGTATTTTCAGTAGAGACGGGGTTTCACCATGTTGGCCAGGCTAGTCTTGAACTCCTGACCTCAAGTGATACACCCAGTCAGCCTCCCAAAGTGCTGGGATTACAGGCATGCGCCACTGCACCTGGCCCCTCCCTTTTCATTTTAGTTCATTTCTTTTGGCTATTTCAATTCCTCTTTACCATGCAATATATATAAAATGCTTGGAAATCTCAGGATAAAAATGTGCCATAAAGGAGTCTCTCTCTTCCAGCTCTTTTCCGTCTGTCTCATTTACTCGTCCTCTCCTCTCTACTCAGCAGTTTGCAAAGATCCTAGCTCCATTTCCTTCTGGTAGACAGGCTCCCTCACTTCTCAGTGTGTTCCTGCAGCTAATGGCTTCTTCACTGACATGATGTTGCTTGAACTTAGTGTAATCTCAGACACAGCAGACCTTTGGTGTAAGGAAGCTAAACATTTTCCGTTTGGACTTACCTATGAATATTAATCCTCCCATTACCTCTATCTGTTTAAAAGTACCCTGCTCTTCAAGGAAAGAAACCCACCACTACAAATTAGAAGGGATGTGGCCACCAGTGATGGGGCGGCGGCGGCGGTTATTCCAGTAGGGGATGGCAGGGCCACTTTCTCGGCTCTCCCTTCTCCCTTTGGTCCCTGGGAGGAGAAAGGAGGAAGAGAAAGAAAGGGGGCGGGGGATAAAGAGAAAAGGGAAAGAGCAAGGATGAGAGGGAAGGAGGTGGAGACAGACACAGGGCAGGGAGAGGAAGAGAGGCAGCTCTCAGTTTGCTGATGGCGATAACTCAGGGGGTAAAAGACTCTCCTTTTGTTTCTCTAGTTCGCTGTGGGCCACGTTCCTTCTGTATAGCCTCTGCTACCACTTCCACACAATGGGACAGAAATAAACACTCTCTAGTTCCCTTATCTCTTTCTTACCTCTAATATCACACATAAATTCAAGACTGAGCATAAATTCACAAAGTCCTAGGGCTGTAATGCTGACAAGGACTTTTCTTAATTGGATAAAACGGGGGCAAAAATCTTAACATGCACCACACAGTGCTATGGGCTTAGCCAATTAAAACTAAGAGAGTAAAGTTCTGTGAAGGGCAATCTCTGCGGTCCTCCTGATTCTCCGAGTTGTGGTTTCTCCCCGTTATGAAAGTGTGTGTCGAACATAACACAGTGTTTCCTCTCACTCCCCTCCATCCACTCCGAGTCACCCCCTGCAACTCTCCCCAACAGCGTGCTGCTCACCACGCTCCTGCTCCAACTCTGCAAGACAGGGGGGTCCCACCCATCTCAGGGGCCATGGTGCCCTGCGTGCTCTCCTTCAACCCTTAGGATTAACTCTAAACTTCCAAATAGCCCCACATCTAAATACTAATCATTCTCATCTCTTTCCTTTTCATATCAACAACCTGAGGAGCCACATATGGCTAGAGTGCTTTCTTCTTTTCAAATGGTGCACAACTACATAACCAGCTGAAGAGTTCAATGTGTGACAGGGTTTGGGAAGACAAGGATGTGATGACAAAAACACTGTCACACAATTCAAGCACAAACAGTCCATCTCTTCAGGGTGCTACAAACACACACTTGCACTCAGTGAGCACAGGAACCACCTGCATTGCCAACAGATGGGCAAGGCCAGCCTGCCACACAGGCACGACTGCTGGAGCCTGTGCGGGTGCCTTCATTGTCAGCCTCTGGGGTGAGGGGCTTACTAAACAGATCCAAGAACACAACCAAAGACAAAGCTCCTACCTGAATGACCACACCCTTATTTTGCCCAGAGGTTCAAATGACCAGTCTATCAATGACTGGCCAACAAAATTATTCACTGTAAAATGTGCACAAAGGTGGTAGAATATAATCTTTTATTCAGCTGAGCAGATATTTACCTTTGTTGGGGCCAGGTCCTTGTCCGGGGTTCAGAGGGGGAATGCGACCTTGTGCTCCCTGCTGCCCTAGGCCTGGTATCAGGGGTGGGGGGCCTGTGCTCTGTCCTTCCTGAAAATATGTTTTTAAAGTAAGGGTATGAAATCACAGGCTTGAGCTACATAAATAGTGATTGCATTATAACATGACAAGATAAAAATACCCAGTAAATATTTACCTAGTAAGATTACAGTAACATTGTCCTTAAATCAGGAGAAAGGAGATACTTCTTTTACTATAATAATTTTTTTAAAGCACCTGTATTTTAAACCTGTTGACAACTTTTATGTAAAATTAGATCTTTACTCGTAATGCCAAAAAAGAACATCAATGGAAAGTCAGAAATTCTAACACAGCAGCACTAAATTAAACCAATTAAAACAACTGGTTTAAGTAACTGGTCTGGTTAAAGTGAAGCAACTTAGATTTCAGCATATGAGAAATAAGAGCACAGATTTTCATCAGGCAACTTCTGAGATCTGAAATGCCCTACAAAGTATCAGATCTTCAGACTCATTCTACCAGTATTTCTATAGGTCAATTAAAATTTCAGAATCATGCTTCCCATGTATAAAATCTTTTACTACATGGTACAATAAAAAATCTCATTGAATTATCCCAGAAACTCAGGCATGTCCTTGTGACTCTGACATGTTTATAAATATTTCAGTTATAACACAGTAGCTAAAGTCCATTATTTTTTTAATCCTCCAAAATGAAAACTGTTAATTTACTACCAGAAAGTTAGGAAAATAACTTACAATAAATAATATTATACACACATACAACTGAGCAGTAAATTAATAAAATATATAATACTTCAAGTTTTAGGGCAATTTAGAATGGCAATCCTATACTTAATTCATCCTAACTTCTGAGAAGTGCTGAATAAAAATCTGGAAATAACTCAGACATCATCAGATTCTCCATGACTACGACACTTTTAGGTTCTGGAAGACCTACTTTAGAATAGTAGATAATTTATTTGTTTTAGCTTAGTAGTTGAGTTCAGGAAACCCAATGGTCATCTTTACATTAGGGATTCGTGGTGGTATTTGAAAAACCAAAACAGACTGTGCTTTCTACATCTGTAGCATCCCCTTTCTCCAAGTGTCTCAGGGAGTCAACATTAGCTGACTCGCTCACTTTTGGTCCACACTGGACCAAAAGTGAGTTTTCAGGGACAAAACTCAGTTATTCATACCCAAATAATGCCTCCAGACTAAGAACTTGAGAAAAGCATAAAATGCACATAGCTGAGCAGTATTACATCTATTTATGCTCATGCAATTCTTTTCGTAATTCACTCCCCCAAGCAACCTGAACTTTCCTCACACCATCTCTCAAGCACGAGCTCAGCGCATGAGCAATAAAAATTGGCTAACAAAAACAGAATCCTCAAAGAAGGAGAATTTCTACAGAAATGCTCCCCCCTGCAAATACTTTTATATGTGAGCTGAAAACAACTTGAGCAGAGTTTCATCCAAAGGGTCACCATTTCCAGAATGCTCAATTCTGGAATAACAGTCTCTTTATTTCTATTCACTGTAATAAACAGAGTGAGGTACAGAGTCTATAGTATACTCATGAGTTAAATATCCCATCCTATCTTTTAAAAGTAGAGTTGGCAGACAGGAAGTGATTCTGTGGCTGGCAGGCCCATGGAACACCAGGCTGCAATGTAAAGGGCCCAGAAAGGAGGCATGACAGCCTCAGAGCCGACCACCATGTAAAACATGCTTCCTCCTCAGGGCCACAGCTCTCCTGGAGCCCTGGGACAATTATCAGCTGTACTCAAATGAGAGTTGACCTTTTCTGAAGAAACTCTATTACCAAAAAAAGAAAAATGGTGAGAAGTAAAAATGAATACTGAGATGTACTTAATGGGAGTATAACCTAACTCATCATTCTTATGATTTCATTCTTCAGCCAGGATGCTAGTATCTTAAGCTACTGTCACTACTTGATAAGTATTTATATCCAGCTGTGACCATTTTCCACAATACTCAGCAGTATTACTTCTGTGCAGAGTGTATTTTCCCAATGTGCCCGTGAGTTGGAAATGAATAATACCTGGTTGAAGGGGGCCCGGGGCCCATCACCTAGCAGAGGCGTTTTCTGTTGCTGGAATGGTATTGGCCCTTGAGATGGATGTGGCCCTCTTGCTGGGTTCTGCTGTCCCTGAGGTCCGGGGGGTCCTTGCATGCCACCCTGGGGTGGAGGTCCTAAAGAGCCCTGGGGCGGCCCCTGCTGACTTTGTGAGCCTGGAGGCCCTCGCAATTCCTGGGGAGGTCCCAGCATTGATCCTTGGGGTGGAGGCCCCTGCATGCCTCGGATCTCCTGAGGACCTCTCATTTCCTGAGGGCCGTGTCCCAGTAGTCCACCTGGAGGGTGAGGTCCTCTCATCTCTTGAGGCGGGTGGCCCATAATCATCCCTTGGGGAGCAGGACCCTGGTTCTCCCGGGGGCCTGGAGGCCCCTGCATTCCTCTTGGATTCAATCCCATCAGAGGTCCCTGAGACACAGGACCTTGGATCCCTTGAGACCCTGGTCCGCCTTGGATCCCATGAGGATGAGGAGGCCCTTGCATTCCTCTGGGACCAGGTGGTCCCTGCATACCTTGAGTACCCGGAGGCCCCTGTGGGCCCAAGTGACCCTGAGGGCCAGGCGGGCCTTGGGGGCCTATGTGACCCTGTGGGCCAGGTGGACCCTGAGGACCCATATGACCTTGAGGACCAGAACTACCTTGTGGTCCAGGTGGCCCTTGAGGTCCCAAAGGGCCATGAGGTCCAGGATGCCTCTGCATTCCTTGGGGCCCATGCATGTCCTGAGGCCGTGGCAACCCCTGGGGCGGGCCCTGGGGCCCCTGTGGTCCCATGAATCCTTGTGGCCCCCCACCTCCCTGATGCAGTGGAGGACCTTGTGGTCCCATTTGTCCCTGGGGTCCAGGAGGCCTAAACTGTCCCTGTGGACCTGGAGGCCCCATTTGAGCCATGTTCATTGGCATCTGCTGAGATGGATGGGGCTGTTGAAAACCTTGAGGAATCTGAGACATTGGACCTTGTCCTGGAAAAGGCTGGGGTCCGAGGAGAGGGGTGCCAGATGAGGGAGGAGGCTGAATTTGCTCAACTTGTTTCTGTGCAAGTCTTTCAATTTTAAGTTGCTGGAAAGAAAGAAAGAAAAAAGCATGTTGAATAAACAGGCCAGAGCCCTTGAAGATGACAATATTGCTATCATGTATTCTGTTAGGGGACTCTCAAACATAAAAACTGCTCAAACTCTTCACGCTCCAGTGGTAATTAGAGTCCATGCAACACTCAAGCACTGTAAGGAGTTTTAGGTTCTTTCTCATTCTTTTTAAGTCCTGGGACACAGTAGTAAGGATTTTTTTTTCCTTATTTTTTTTTTCTGTCCCCCAAGCTGGAATGCAGTGGTACGATCGTGGTTCACTACAGCCTCACCCTCCTGGGCTCAAGTGATCCTCCCACCTCGGCCTCCGGAGTAGCTGGGACTACAGGCACATGCCACCACACCCAGCTAATTATTATTTGTAGAGACAGGGTCTTGCTATATTGCCCAGGCTGATCTCAAACTCCTGGGTTCAGCTGATCCTCCCGCCTCGCCTCCCAAAGTGCTGGGATTACAGGCGTGAGCCACTGTGCCTGGCCTAGTCAGGATTATTTTTGTCCATCTTGATCAGGGAAAGCCCAATAATTCACCACTAATTCATCATTCTTGGTAGCTAACATAGATAAGAAAAATAAGAACAAGCTACCTGCTATATGAGCAGACAAAAAGGAAAAACTCTTTCATAAACAGGTGAATTCAAATTAAAACTATGTTGGCTTTATCTTTTCTATTAAAAATGTATATTTAACTTAGATCTACTCACTGCCCCACTAATTCAGTTTTTTTATGTTGTTGTTGTTGTTTTTGAGACAGAGTCTCACTTTGTGGCACAGGCTGGAGTGCAGTGGTACGATCTCGGCTCACTGAAACTTCTGCCTCTGGAGTTCAAGCCATTTTCCTGCCTCAGCCGCCCATGTCACTGGGACCACAGGCATGCACCACCATGCCCAGCTAATTTTTGTATTTTCAGTAGAGGTGGGGTTTCACCATGTTGACCATGCTGGTCTCAAACTCCTGATCTCAGGTGATCTGTCTGCCTCGGCCTCCCAAAGTGCTGGGATTACAGGTGTAAGCCACCACGCCTGACCCTAATTGGGTTTTAAAAGTCCAAGATATGACTCAAGGAAGTCACTTAAAAAAAAATTAGTCAGACGTGATGGTGCATGCCTGTGGTCTCTGCCACTCAAGAGGCTTAATGTGGGAAGATCACTTGAGCCTGGGAGGCAGAGGTTGTAGCAAGCCGTGATCGCACCACTGCATTCCAGCCTGGGTGACAGGGCATGACTCTGTCTCTAAAATAAAATAAATAAAACAAAATACATAAATAACACATTTTAAAAAATTTTAAGAAACAGGATTCTTTTGGAAACTAGTCTTCTAGCATAGCAACAGGAAATGGCGGTGTTTGTCAGACCATGGGAGAGCCCCTTCCCTTTTCCTTAAGAGCCTATCAATAAAAATGTCACCACTACCCTCTTAGATCATCTTGAATTCCCCCCTACAGAGCTTCACACACCTCCAGAAGTTGTGGGTTAGTATATTGTAATGTAGCCATTTCTTGCTCAATTTCTGCTTGTGTTTTTTTCTTCTCTTCCAATTTAATGTCTTCTTTTCTGTCATTCAGCACCTCATTTGGAGCAGGAATTGGAACTTTATTTTGCATCCAAGCCTTGGGAAAGAAGAGAATATTAAAATGTACGCTAAGTATGAAAATTACAATGATAGAATGAGAAAACCACTCTACAATGTCATCTGCTCAATCTAACCTCTGAACCGATTTTATTTCTTTTTACCTTTTCTCCATGACTCAAGTACATGACTCATGCTAATTCTTACTGACATATTACTAGGTAGAAATTACTATGGTGATAAAAGCTGCAAGACACTGCATGTTATTAAGAATGCAAAGCTTGCCAGCCTCTTCACAGGGTACATGCACTTTGTGTTGAGGGGACAATTAAAGCACAAGATAGATAAACAATGGAGAAGAGAAGCAACATACTCCCATACTCCCTCTGCTCCATGCCTCTTTCTTCTATTTCCTCTCATAGCATGGATGATAATAAGCAGGTGAGGACAGAACAGAGAAGACTGATAACAAACTCAATACAACTGCAAAGCAGTAGATGAGAACCATGTCTAAGAGTACGTGAACATGGGAAAAATGCTCCAGTACAGAAACACCTTCAACAGTGAGATAATCCAAGAGAAACCTCAAACTAACCAACCAAAACCTCTCTGCGTGGATGAGGTGGAGTCACTTTTACTTACCTGCTGGAACTGAGCAGGAATGGGTTTTGCATAAGGAACTTTCTTCTGAGGTACTTTTTTCTGATCCTTTTGCATCACTTCCTCCATTCCCCAATCTAAACCTGGAATTGTCATTTCAATTTCATTTGATTCATCTTTCCCTGTAACCGTAAAGAAAAGTGGTTTGCCTCTTAAATAAAAGAAATTGGCCACTTGATCAATGAACACATTATTGGAAGAATAGATTTTAAGTATTATGTCATTTATATAATTTTTATCAACATTTCTCAACATAAATCATTTTGGTATTTCAATATATTTATCAGGAACATAAACGGGTCAAGAAAAAATTTGTAAAAATTAAATGTGTCTGTGTAACTTCTCTTACCCATCTGTTCTTGTTCCATAGCTAATTTTAGTTGTTCTGGTATTCCCATTCCTGGAATTACTGCCAGGCTATTAGGTTCGAGGTCATCTATAAATAGTAATACACCATTGTCAATAGAGAATTTACAAAAGTAGCGACTGATAAAATTAATGCTTTATAAAAATGAATGTCACTGATGATTTATAAATAAATCTACTATAAAATTAAAATTCATTTTGTATAATCTTCCCAACATCTAACACTTCTGTAATAGAATACCAGATTTCAAAGAAGGACAGATGTGCAAGAGTCTCACCATATTCTACTCCATCTTCAGACATTCCAGGTAAAAGGTTTAGATTATATCGATCTCGCATTTTATCACCTGGTCGGTTTCGAGTCCAGAATTTGCTGTAAAAATAATTAAAGGAGAAAAGAAGCATGGCTTCACTATTTTTTTGGGCACTAAACAGTACTAGGCAGACCCTTGGTAAACACAACACATTTTTACAATTTGTTTCTTCTACAAATTTAAAATGTGAGGTCATACACTTTGGCTCACATCTGTAATCCCAGCACTTTGGGAGGCTGTGGCAGGAGGATTAAGTCCAGGAGTCCAAGACCAGCCTGGGCAACATAGCGAAACCCTGTCTCTACAAAATAAAAATTAAAAAGTTAGCTGGGTGTGGTGGCACACACCTGTAGTCTCAGCTACTCACGAGGATAAGGCGGGAAGATGGCTTGAGCCCAGGAGTTTGAGGCTACAGTGAGCTGTGATCTCACCACAGAACTCTAGTCTCGGTGACAGAGTGAGACTCTGTCTCTTAAAATAATAATAAAAATAAAAATAAAATGTGGGGCCGGGCAAGGTGGCTCATGCCTGTAATCCCAGCACCTTGGGAGGCTGAGGCAGGAGGATTGCCTAAGCCCAGGAGTTTGACATCAGCCTGGGCAACATGGTGAAACCCCATCTCTACAAAAAATGCAAAAATTAGCCAGGTGTGGTGGTGTGCTCCTATAGTCTCAGCTACTCAGGAGGCTGAGGTAGGAGGATCACCTGAGCCCAGGAAGGTTGAGGCTATAGTGAGCTGAGACCGCACCATTGCACGCCAGCCTGGACAGAGACCCTGTCTCAAATAAATAAATAAATAAATAAATAAAAGTGGAAAACTTCTGTTTTAAGTCAGAAGGCAAAACAAAATTTGAATAGCCAAAACCATATTCAATACCCAATCTCTTTATTGCAATATAAGTATTTGTAAACCACTACAAAAATATTCCCAAGAATAAGTTGGAATATAAATTACTATATCAATCAACCAATAAAAATAAACACATACAGTATTTATTTCCTGTTGCTCCATATAAAGCTTTGCTATTTCAATATAAAGCTTACCTAGTATGGTCATTTGAGCCTGAGCAGAGAATATGCCCAAGAGGATGCCAAGCCAGACTCCAGATCATCCCTTCGTGAGCCATCTCCATCCCACCCACTTCCTTCTCTACCCTGCAACAGCACCAAAGAGAGAAGATTTGTTCACAAAAGTTACCCAGCTTCTCCCTCCCCCTCAAAAAAGACATTTTCTGTTACTCTTAAAATGAAGCTACCAAAGCCTGGACTTGGACTCTGGTGAATTCCACATGTCTCGGGGTATTGGCTTGTCATTGCCAAAGGACAGTTACCCTTTCATCCAAAGAGCACTTCACAGGGGAAAAGGCTGCAAGCATTTAGAAACTAGAAAATCTATTTTATTCCTCCTTAATGACTTCCATATCCACAAACAGAGGTACATTTTCTATTCCAAGCTGGATTTACAGAACTGAAAACTGCAAGCAGTCTCTGATATAGGATATATGAACACTTAGAAAAGCTACAAAACTATCATGTCTGCACACATTCACGTGCTCTCTTCACAAAATACACTACTTTTTCACATAAATCTTACATACCCAACATGCCAGAATAACAAAGAACCATCAGACCCTCCACTGGCAAAAAGTCCTTCATGAACAGGATGCCAGGCCACAGCTGCAGAACAAAAACATGGGAAAAGACACAATTATCAGGATCTGAGAATGTTACAGGTAACAGTGGTCAATGAGAAGCATATCACAGCCACTGACCTGTGGCTTCTTTCTTATGACCTCGGAAGACTTGAAGCTCTTCTTTTAGGTTTCTGATATCAAAAAGTTTACAGAGATGATCACGTGATGCTGTGAGTAGCCAATTGCCATTGAGGTTTAATTTCACTTCCATTACTGTGTTTTTATGGGCATGACTAGAAACAAAGTATCAAAAAAAAATGTCAGAATTCAAAACAAGTATAAATACAATGGCCATTTTTGTTGAAAAGCGAATTAATCAAGATGGCAAGAGGTTTGGCCTAGAAGCAATAAAGCCTGTAACATTAAAGGATCACAGTTATAAACACACTTGAAAGAAACAAGTCAACGACAGAAATAATATGCACTGCCCAGACAAAGACAGCTCTCATCAACCAGTTAAAAAAGCAGCAGAGGCTGGGCGTGATGGCTCACGCCTGTAATCCCAGCACTTTGGGAAGCCTAGGCGAGTGGATCACCTGAGGTCAGTTCAAGACCAGCCTGGCCAACATGGTGAAACCCAGACTCTACTAAAAATACAAAAATTAGCCAGGCGTGATGGCGCATGCCTGTAGTCCCAGCTACTCAGGAGGCTGAGGCAGGAGAATCACTTGAACCCAGGAGGCAGAGGTTGCAGTGAGCCGAGATTGCACCAATGCACTCTAGTCTGGGTGACAGAGCGAGACTCTGTCTCAAAATAATAATAATAATAATAATAATAATAATAATAATAATAATAATACAGTAGCAGAGCTTCCACTGAACAGTAAAATTTATCCGTGAAGCAGGGGAAGCACATGAACACAGAAATTAATATTCAATAAAGCTCATTACATTTTGAAACTTCCATAAAGTTTCTCTAATTAAGACAAAGCATAAAAATGGACTGGAAAGTCTGAAAGTTAATTTGAACTAAAGACAATGCAACAACCCCTGGCCTGCACAATGGATATCTCCAAGGGAGCATTCACAAGGCATTCCAGGTTGGCATGGTCATTGGGGTTGTACAACAAAGCAGCCTTGCTCCAACCAATTCACTCTGAATATGGTTCTCTTCCCAATCAGAAAGACCAGGAAATGGATGCTTGGTCAAAAAAATGTTAACATATGCATGTAGCTGTGAATGTTCACAAATAACTGAAAGAGAAAACTAGATTACATAGCTGCATCGTAAGTAAGCCCATCAGACAAAAAATGAGAAGTGGTTCAAAACCAGAAGAAAACCCTCTCGAAACAGATGTTGTGAGATGGAGAAGGCTGGGCCGTGTCTAGTAAGGGGCACACACGTCAACTCCTCACAGTGCCACAAGGTATTCTGATGACAGGCAATAGGCTAGAATAGTAACCACCTCCCTCCTCATCCTCCTCCCCACCCGTATATAACAACCAAATTAAACTTAGGTCTATGTGGCAGGACAAAAACAAGCCTTACTTCATTAAGAGTTCAGAGATGAATCATATTTAATTCATAAGAAGTCTATAGATCCAAGTCCATCTGTTGCCTAAATGACTCTTCCAGAAATACATAAGAGAAAACAAAGCTAAAAGTTAAAGGACACACTGCTTTGCTCCCCTTTGTTCAGGGGCCAAGGTGGGGTTCCTGTCACTTACAGTGTTGCAAGACTCTGCCCAGTCTTGGGATCCCAGAACTTGATTGGCTGTTGACTATCTTTACTTCCTGAAACAACTAACCCTTTGGTTGGATGCCAGTCTACACATTTCACATCAGCACCATGCCCTGTCGGAAACAAGTTAGGATTAAAACCTAATTAGTTACATGCATTTAAAGCAATTTAAACCAAAGTAGAGAAACCTAGTAAATGTTTTGCTCTCAGTGCTCAGTCAACTTAAAACTTGTTTTGTGAAGACTCTTTGGCCTCTGTGTGTCTGGAAATTTTTCAGATACAGTATCCTCTCCTCCTATGTCAAGACACACAGGAGCCAGTCCTCTCCTGGACCCAAGTGCATCTTCTCACCTACTTGCCGGGAGGTCAGTCGAGGCTTTTGGAGGCTGCACCCCTCAAGACCCCATTATGTAAAGATTTTGAAGTGTCTCATGTTGTTCCCGATTACCCTGATTATAGGGCACAATCCCTGTCACTCACTTCAGTTGTCCCACTTTGTGATAGTTCTTACAGACGAACTTGATTCAACCTGAATTTAGGACTTTGGGACCACCATTTAGGAATTTAGGACACCACTTTCTAGATGGAATGACAGGAAAAGCCAGCTTTCAGCTCCTGTTTACTGAAATGCAGGAGAAATACACTCTGCTTGATTCGCACATGTTGTGACAGTTAGATGAGGTAATAATAACAGCTATCCTACTGCAGGCCTGCTATATTTTAGGCAGTGTAATGAGCACTTATAAGCATCATCTTTTTAAATCTTCACAAAATCCTGAGGAAAGTATTAGCATTATCTCCATTTTACAAGTGAAGAAACAGAAGGGCTGGAAGGGTTAAATAACACATCCTAGATCCCAAAGCCAGTCAGCAAGAACAGGAGAGAGTCCCTGAGCCTGGTCCATGGGATTCCAAGGATGGTTACTTCAGTAACCACCGTGCTAGAGCATTAGCTCACTTCACAAGTGTAATAGATTAACTTACTAAAAGTCATAAACGTGAAAGTCAATTTGTAAATTTGAAAAAAATGGATATGATTTTTGAAAAACTGGATGCTGTACAAAGCCCCAAGGATATTTTACATAACAAATAAACTAAGAAGCAGATGAGGAGTGAGGAAGAACATTCAGAGCTTCCTTCTCTACCCTGGATCAAATCCAGCTTCTGTGAAGTTCTGAGGTGGAAACAAGGAAGGATACAGAAGAATACAGACAAAGGGAAGTGAAGTGGGAAAGAAGAGACGGGGTAGAGGCACCGACAGTGATTTGTACCCGTTCATAAGGGGAGACAATTTGGGTCTCAAATGGACATAGGTTTATCCCAACACAATACCCCGTACTGGCAAGCATGTAGGGAGGTGACAACAATCTGGAGAACAGTTTGGCTGTATGTATCAAAAGTATGAGAAAGTACATCTCCTACAACCCAATAATCTCATGTCTTAGATTTTATCATTAGGAAATAATGGATGTGCAAAGGGATTTATCTGCAAGGACATTTACTGACACAATTTGTTTTTAATAGAACACAAATATATTACAAAATAAATTGCAGTGTGGCATATGTACTTAAAGGAATGTGATGCACCTATTATAAATGACCCTATAGATGATTTAATGGCATGATTAAAATGTTCATAATTTATTTTAAAAAAATACACCAGTGTATACCATCACTGTAAAAGGCAAACAGTCAATAACATGAGTGACTGTGTGAGCTTATCTAAATTAAAGAAAAAAGCCAAGAAGTCTAGACACCGAATTGTTAACAGAAATAATATTAAGCTGGAAGGTGGTATTGATTCTCTCTCCCCATGTTTATTCTATATTTTTATATTTTCTACAATGAACATATTTTGTAACTGGGTGGGAAGGGGGAAGAGAGGTTTTGCTGTTGCTTTGTCTTTTAAAAAGAAAAATAACTGAAGATGGAATAATTGAAATATAAAAATACTTCAGTCCCCCTTGCCCCTTGTTTGCCTTAAGAAATTTTAATTAACTATTTGCCCCTGAAAAGGTAGGGAATTTTAAAACTCTATGGGCCATTGTCACCTAAAAATAAATATTATGTATAGCTATGTATGCATTAATCAATCAAATTTGGGATTATGAGAAATGCCTGAGAAAGCAGTTTCAAATTACAATGTACAATATGAAAAGTTCATATTCTTAACAGCCGTCTCTATCTACCCTCATCTTCTCTGGGACACGTTTATTACATAAAGAACGTATGTCTGTTTAGTTTTAAGGTATGTTTAAAGAAGCATACGTAAAAACAAAAAAACTATGAACCCAAAAGGAACCACAAAATAAACTTCAGCTGCTTTGCTTTCTAATGTTCTCTAAAATTTATTAAAGTAAAATTCAAGCAAGTGAGGAATCTCATGAATTTACCCATATCCATACACATCTCAAATATAAATCAAACTGATTGGTCCTGATTCTTGGATGTAATTTTATTCATCGCTGTTCTTAATAAAACGAATACTAGCAAGCACAAATACTTATGTATAGCGTTATTCTAAGCGAAGTATGTGTAGCGACTCATTTTACATCTGAAGACTGTAAAGCGCAGACAGATTAAAGAACTTGCTTGGGACCACACTGATGATATGGGGCAGAGCAGAGATCTGGAATGCAGGGAGCTGGCCCCAGGGCCTCTCCTCTTAAGGACTATGTGATACTGCTTTCTTAGATATGAAAAGGTTAGTTAAGAGTTACAAGAGCAGAAAAAACAAAACTGTGTCACTTCCTATTTGCTTCTCTATACATAAAGACTCAGTGAAGGATAGTACCTAGCAGACAGTGAATTGGAACAGGGAGAGACTATTCTTTTTTTTTTTTTTGAGATGGAGTCTCTCTCTGTCACCCAGGCTGGAGTGCAGTGGCGCCATCTCGGCTCACTGCAACCAACCTCCGCCTCCCGGGTTCAAGCGATTCTCCTGCCTCAGCCTCCCAAGTAGCTGGGACTACAGGCGCCCACCACCACGCCCGGCTAATTGTTTGTATTTTTGGTAGAGATATGGTTTCACTGTGTTAGCCAGGATGGTCTCAATCTCCTGGCCTCGTGATCCGCCCACCTCGGCCTCCCAAAGTGTTGGGATTACAGGCGTGAGCCACTGCACCCGGCCAACTATTCATTTTTTAGCCTTTACATCATTTTACTTTTGAACCACATGCATGTAGTATCTAATTTTACAAAACTGAATACAAATAATGAAATAAAGTTACTTAAGAAAATATATGAAAAAAGTATGTGTAGCATGCTAACATTTAGAACTTAAAAACAGAGGGACACACACCCACGCCCCTTTGCTCAAAAATGCATACCATGTGTGTCTGAAAGAATACAAAAGAATCTGATAACATCAACTGGCTCCAAGAACTAGGTAGCTTGGGACACAAGGGAAAGAAGGAGACTTTTCACGACACATAGTTTTGTAATTTTTCAACTTTGAAACACGTTAATGACCTATTGAGAAAATTCAATTAAAAAAAATTTACTAAACTTACTTGATAACAGTGGATTACCTCTGGAAAGTGGGTGGGAAATATTTACAGGCAGCATATATCATTAAAAGAATGTTTTAATGTAAAAGAGAAAAATAAATAGATTAAGCTGGAATAGAAGAAAATTGATATGCAATTGCTTCCTTCTTCAGGAAGAAGTGACTGAATTTTCAGTAAAGTGAAAAAAATTTTTCAAATGATAAAATTCTGACCTCACATGTCAATGTTGATATATTTAGATCCAGAGGAATAAGACCAGAAGAAATTCATCCTAATAATTTAAGTGGATTAAAAAAAAACCTTTGATATGTAAAAGATGGCACTTAAAGTCTTATTAATAATAGCAAAAAAATGGAAACAAATTTTAGAAGTGGAATTATTAAACAAACTTTGCCACAGCCAAAAACCATTAAAATGAAGATTTTTGAAACAAAAAAAGCTCATGAAATAATGTGAACTAAAAAGCAAGCAAAACACACAAACTATACATATACATACACATTTTTATAATCATCTTAACATATGTGTGTACATTTTGTACATTTTATACTTGTACATTTTGATATGGTTACCAAAATGCAGATACGGATAGGCAGAAGATGAAAATCACATTGAGAATAATGGAAACAAAGATGAACTTCTATCCACATTTCCTCTAGTATAATATTGTGGTTTTAAGAATAAACAACATGGATTATATTTTGTGTGTGTGTGAACTCTCGATTTTTTTTGTTTGTTTGTTTGTTTAGGTATGTTTTTAATATGAAGGAAAAAAAAAACACCACTGAATGCAAGTTACTTTGCTAAGTAGTATTTTCCCATCAAATTAACAAAAATTGATCAGGCACGGTGGCGCATGCCTGTAATCCCAGCACTTTGGGAGGCCAAGGTGGGTGGATTGCTTGAATCCAGAAGTTTTGAGACCAGCCTGGGAAACATAGTGAGATGCCATTTTTACAAAAAATACAAAAATTAGCTGGGCATGGTGATGCATGCCTGTAGTCCCAGTTGCTCAGGAGGCAGAGGTGGAGGATCGCCTGAGCCCAGGGAGGCGGAGGTTGCAGTGAGCCAAGATCACGCCACTGCACTCCAGCCTGGGCAACAGAGCAAGACCCTGCCTCAAAAAAAAAAAAAAAAAAAAAAAACACAGAAAAGCAAAAATTAAATTTGGTGGCACTCAGTGTTAATAAGAGAGAGAGTAATAGGCACTCTCATCTGTAATTGGTTGGGAAGTAAATTAGGACAACTTTTGGGCAAGGCCATATGGCCATTATCTATCACAATCTTAAAGGCATATAACCATTGATTCTATCAATCCTCTACTAGGAATTTACCCTATGACTGCAAAAGCACACCAAGATTTATGTACAAAGATATTTACTGCACCTTGTTTGAATTGCCAAAACTGGAAATAACCTAAACATGAATCAATGAGAGGTTATTTAAGAAAATTAAGGTAAAGACATATAATTGAATACAATCCAGCTCATAAAACTGAGGCAGAAATAAGGACCTTTTTGGGGGTTTTGGAAATGTTCTATATCTAGATTAGAATGTATTTATTTGTCAAATTTTATAGGACTGTAGACCTAAAAAGGGTACATATTACCTTATTTAAATTATACTGCAGGGCCAGGCACTGTGGCTCACACCTGTAATGCCAGTACTTTGGGAGGCTGAGGCCGAAGAATTCCTTGAGTCCAGGAGGTAGAGATCAGCCTGGGCAACATAGTGAGACCCTGTCTCTAGAAGAAAAACTTAAAAATTAGCCAAATATGGTGGTGCACACCCATGCTCCCAGCTTCTCAGGAGGCTGATGTGGGAGGACTGCTTGAGCCTGGGAGGTCAAGGCTGCAGTGAGTTGTGATTTTGCCATTACATTCCAGGCTGGGTGATGGAGAGCTTGTCTCAAAAATAAAACAAACAACATATACAACACACACACACACACACACACACACACACACACACACACACACACACAGACGGACACCCCAATAAGCCTTTTTAAAAATATAAGTAAAGCATCCATTTGTATAAAATAATACTTAAGCTAGTAACCGTTTTTTAGGGAGATGAAATGGTATGGGAATAAGAGTGGCATTTACTCTTCTATACTCTTGAACTTTTTTCTTTTTTTTTTGAGACAGGGTTGCACTCTATCGCCCAGGCTAGAGTGGAGTGGGAAGTTGAGCACAGGAGGCGGAGGCTGCAGTGAACTGATTGCAGCCTCTGACTCCTGGGCTCAAATAATCCTCCTACCTCAGCCTCCCCGGTAGCTGGGACTACAGGCATGCACTATCACGTCCAGGTAATTTTTTAATTTTTTGTAGAGATGGAGTCTCCCTATGTTGGACAGGCTGGTCAAACACTTCTTAACATGTGATTTTATTACTTTGTTTAATGGCAACTACTTTTGGTGTCCCTCTATTCAAAACTCAAGTGAATGGCTGATATCAATTAATGCTTTCATTTGCCAACAGAAGAAACCAGTGCCTGTGGTCCCAGGAAGATGTGCCTCAGATACTCAGCAGGGATGCAGCTTTTCACTGACAGCTCTCAGACGTGGTAGGGGTGCATTAAGTTTCAAGATACTGTGGGTTTTGTGAAGAGGCAAACCGTACATAGAAACTTAATCTTATCTAAATTATTATTTCATAGAAAAAAATGATTAAGTACCAAACACATGGTTTATTAATTTCAAACATTAAGCCTAAAGAATGCCTCTATACTAAATTTGATCATTTCATTTCTGAGGTACAGAATTTCATGATACAATCATTCCAGGCTCTTTGTGATTCCCCAAATGTGAAAATTCCAAGAATGTAGTGTTTGTAATACTGCAAGAATACAGACTTAATGGAAAATTCACCCAGGTAACGAGAGTTTTTGTAGCCTGGTGACTAGACGTTATAGTACTAAAAACATCTCCCTAAAGGCTAAAGATTTTAGTACTGAAAATTTCTTGCTGATGAAAGACCAGGCAGTTTTTCAAGTAATTAAACTTCTCAGAATCAAGCCCCTGACAACAAAAAAAAGGAAGATAAAATTCCGAACAGCACCAAATCTGCTCCAGACACTACAAAGTCCACTACAGGCACAAAGTGTGGCCCTGCAGGGGACTGACAGGAGTCTATAGGTAGACTGTGGTGGACATGCAGAATCCTCAGTAGGATGGCAGAGCTTAAAGAAGCCAGTGATATGGGCACATGAAAGATTCAGCAGTACGACTTGGACTTGGAGGTACAATTGCAAAATTCTAAAATTAAGACATTCCAGTTGTAGATCACTATATAAAGAAAAAGACCATTATAAATCTGTGTGGAATTCCCTCTGAACACAAATACTTAAGAATTTAACCTGCACTGTCCCATATGGCACCTATTAGCCATATACGGCTGTTTAAATTTGTTTTAGGGTTAAAATTTTAGTTTCTCAGTCATATCAGTGACATTTCAAGGGCTTAATAGTCACACGTGACTAGTGGCTAAGAATATCAGACAGGAGAGATATAGAATACTTCCGTCGTCACAAAACAAAAAACAAAAAACAAAAAAACCCTATTGGACAATAACTGGCCCTAAAGAAAGTGTCCCTTTAAATTTCCACAATCTTATTTTTATTTATCTCAGTTGTACAATGAACAGCAACAACAAAAAATTATCTTTCAATGATACCAGAGCTTGAGAAGACCTGCAGAACTATCCAGCCCTCTAACTCTGCAGATGAGAACACGGAAGCCTGAAAGGGTTAGGGCAGTGGTGGGAGGGGGCCCGGATTTTCTTCCTCCTCATCCAATCCTGTCTTCATCTCACTAAATATAACATCCAGATGAAGTGGATAGTCCCTTCTGTTCCAATTACAAATCAACTTTCACTTTCTCAACTGTAACTGAAGAGCTTGTATATGACAACTTCTATACTCCTTTCCACCTCTCAGAACTATATAAGAAAATAATTTAGGGATAAATACATAATTCTTTTGACTATTTAATAAGTAAACATATTGATTCTGAAGACCAGAGTCTTGTTCGGAATGAAGGAATGTGACAACCATAAACTAACTCCACCAAAAGAAATTCCAAATTAATCACACTGAGTTATTTTTAGATATTAAGCATTGAGAACAGTGAGTTTGCATCATTCCTTAGCTAGCTATCCAGCTAAACGTTCCTTCAGAGTCCTAGCTAAATGACCAGTGACAGAATTAGCATCTCCTGGAGACAGGTGATGCTGCTTTGTAGATTAACCTGTGTCTAATATGCCAGAAATGTTTGACTTACTACTTTGTAATAATTATTTGCAGAAAGTGACCATTAATAGCATTAAAATGTACAGCAAACAGGAAGTAAACGATTTCACTTATTCTACTCGTTCTTTCACATATTCATTTATGTACTCTTCCACTTCCACTCATTAATTCAAAATAAATGTGCATGATGCCAACGTTTATTGAGCTCCTGTTATTGGTGCTCAACCTCTCAAATATGTGGTCACCAAACAAAACAAGACCTGAATACTGGGGAGTATTTGTAGGGTTACATAGTGCTAGAACAACAGCTTTTTAAGAAAGTTAATACTTAGAATAAAAGTCTTCTGGATCAAGATTGAAATTAAGCTTTAAAAAAACATGAATGCACTTTTAAAGACCTTTCTCCACAAAATAAAAACAGAAAACTCTCTCCCCCTTTTAAAATATGCTATGTAACCACACTTGAAATAGCAAAGTGCAGAATGCAAACAAGATAATTTTCCTAATGAAAAAAATGCCTAATGTGTTAAAAAGGAGATTCTAGAAATAAAATGCAGACTCCTTAATAAACCTTAAAATTCTAAGAATAACATGATAAATGGATTAGGTATTAGATATTTGGTGAACAGACATTCTAGACTTGCTTTGTAGATAGTGAAGACTTCTTGTTCATTATTCCCTGTCCCAGAACCGTAAAGTGTAGTGCAGTGAAGGCTAGAACCAGTAAGGGCAGAAGGTCTGCTTTTTGACTATTCCCTTAAAGGAGGAGGTTCCCTGGCTTCTGTGAAACTGGATGTAAACTTTGTGCCCTGTGCATTTTTCTCAGGCCCTCACCCCTCCTCCACCTGATCACCCCTCCTCCACCTCATCAGATCCTAAGGAACCTGTTACCCCAAGCCCCTAAATAACCTGTCTTGAGACAGTCCATAGGATCCCAAAGCTCGGTGAACAGTCTGAAAACCAATACATAATAAGTTTTATTTGAAGGTCAGAAATGGTGTCCATGTTCCCATTTTATTTTTCCTGGATCAGACCATTTTATGAACAAATCTTAAAAAAAATTCTTTTATACAAAACTTATAAAAAGCACCAAGATTTTCTAATACAGGAAGAAAAAAGGCAAACAAAGAATTCAAGTACCATCTTGTACAATATTAACAGAACTGTTACTCAAGAAAATGTGTTAAACATTAACAGCAAACTCAGGCTACTTCTAGCCACAAGAACATAAAATGTAACAGATCAGTTTAAGACAAAGGGTATATGAGTACCCATGGCCCATAGCCAGATACTCCAGTTGGACAGAGGATTTAAGATTTTAAAAAATTAAGAAGCATAAGTAATCTGTGCTCTGGTCAAGGAATATGCAATTTATTAGTATTTTACCTTCCTTTAATGCAAAATGATTTCACCACAACCCAACAGTCAACATCAACTTGGAGTGATTACTATTAGTCATCTTTGTTGTCCAGTCTAGAAAGTTACATCAGTGAAAAACTATAGAATTAAATGGAAAGTTAATTCTGGAAAGGGGGTATGCCTAGGCAGGGCAGTGTTTTCACAATGTATGTTCCAACAATACAGTGCATAGAATCATGGGTGAAGGGGTCCGGCAGTCAGGTAAGTTGAGCAATGCTGAATTTTAAAATGGGTAAGTTTCTTTCCCAGTCTGAGAGCCTTCAGTCCTTTCAATATGTACATTATTACAAATCTGTGGGAGAATTTGGTCACGAGTCTTCTTTTCTCAAGAGTACTTCCAAGTCTGCCAGAAGGCTGATTTTGGAAATGTGAAACACTAGCTTACTACATTTGTCTGGCAATGATGAACCTGAATTCAGCAGAATGGACACTTCCGGGGGAGGAAGAGGAGACTGGGGAAGGGCATGTAAAGGGGCCTTTAACCTTTAATTTGTAATGTGTATTTCTTTACTGAAAATTCAGAAATGAGTGTTGCAAAATGTAAGGATTTGATCAGAACTGAGTGGTAGCACAGAAGTGTTTTTCAAGTTATAAAAAATTTTGAAATGTATAGTGTCAGGAGCAACCAATACACAAACATAAAAAAGCAAGCTCAAATGGATAAAAAGGTAGATGCACCATAAATCTGGCAGTCTCTAAGTCACACATTTACTTTGCCTATGTAGGTAAAATGGTTTCTATTGATTTGTACCAACTTGTATTTACATGGAAGACCAACAAAGGCTGACCTAAAAGAAACTGTCAAATAGGTTAGAAATTGAAATTAGGCATACAACTCATAAAATTAGTGCCGTGTAACTTCTTAAGTACTTCTGGCATCAAAGTGAGCAAATTCTTATGACTATATGGTAAAATATCTAATTTTTGAGTCAAATAAAAACATATACAGGTATAAGTTTTGCTGAAACTTACATATCAGGCTGCTGTTAAACTCTTTTACAATAACGTGGGGAAGGGTATAAACAGGAAAGTGCACAATTTCCATTTGAGTCAAATTTAAAGGCTGTATTTAGAAAAATCTTGAGAATTATGAAATGGAGAAAAACAGTTAATTGATAACAATTTGAAAAGGTACAATATTATTCCAAAACACTGCCTGAGGGTGTATAAAATGTGTGTCAATCTTCTATATTCTTCAGTTATAATAACCAGAAAGAAGCAATTTTGCAGTATGTTTTGTGCTAACCAGCAAATTCTCCTCTGTGGACTTTTTAAAAAATTTACATTTTTTTAAAGGCTACTTTGCAGAGTATTCATCAAAGATGCTTAAAGGAATGTGGCAATCAAATATTTTTCAACCTCAATTCTGTTGTATTCATTCAATTCTTTGATATTAACACCAATATCATAGAGAACATCAGCCATTTGTCTGAGACGGGAGATACCAGTGTCCCACACATGCAGAAAGCAGCAGCAAAGTCCGCTGTAAGAAAGAGTACTCTGAGGTGTGTGTGTACATATGTGTGTGTGTATGTTCGGGCACATGTTATTCAACAGTCACAGGTTCTCTAGTAAACATTTCTGCAGATATTCACAATTCAGTAACAATATATACAGTCAAGAAAAGCAGTATATAGTCATCACTTGAAAAGCTAGAAAAGTGCAAAAAGAAAAAGAAAAGACATTCAAAAGATTGATGGGAGTCTGGCACTAAATACCAAGACTATTAGAAAGGCCAGTACCTACACTACGTTAATAATAGATGTATTAGTGCCAGCAGACAACCCAGGCCAAGAATAAAGAGAAGCCATGACTGAAGCCCCTGGTAAGGAAGAAAACGCAGAACCAAGAAGGAAAACAAAAGATGTTTCAAATGATTCTTCTGGAGCACTTCCATGGTAAGCAGTCCTTTTGAAAGCAAGGTAGAGGTGAATGAACAAGTTCACTTTCAGTTGGCCAGATTAAGGATACACTTCTTTTTAATTGAGAATTTAGAAACATAAAAGCAACAAATAATCCGTGTCAAAGTAGAAGAGTAGTTAACCCATAGCCATCCACAGCATCAACTGTAATTTGAATCTATGTTTTGCCAGAATCTTCTTGGGTATATTCACAGAAGTTGGTAAATGTGGCTCCCTAAACTTTGTCCACCTACTGTTATTCACCTCTTGACAGAAAGGAAGTAACAACGGCAGTGATGAAAACATGTATCTATCAAAACAAGAAGGGTGCATGAACTCTTAAATACTGTGCAGGCAGGTATCTATCACATGAGCCCTGGCAGATTGTGTAATTTCCAGATATGACTGAGATTTTTTTCTATTAATGAGTAATCTGAGATAACATATGCTCCAACTGGATCTTAACAAACATCTCCATTTCTGTTTCAAAGAAAAATGTAATCTGAGAAAACTTCAACTGGGAGCTGGTTATATTATTAATTTCCACCATATTAAAAACATATTCCCATAAAATATCCATTTAGTCCATACTGATATAAGCAAATAACTGAATAAATAAGTGGAGAAGAGTGAAGTCTCCCATGCCTAAGAATTCCACATAATTTACACAGTTACTCCACCTGAAAAGAGGTGAGGTGTAATGCTCCACTCCTTAAGTGTGGGCTATATATTAATATTATGACTTCATTCCAAAGAGTACAGTATGAAAAGTGGGAAATAAGAGTAGCTGTTGTTGAAGAAACTTGACAAACTCTACCTCAAGCAGATGATCAAGATCAACATCAAGTCATACTGATAGTATACATCCATGACATGGTATGATGAAAATGGCACTTTACCTGTGTGATCTTCCTCTCAAAAACCGACAATTCCCTGTCTAATCATGAGAGAAATAGTAGATAAATCACAACTGAGGGACATTCTGCAATATACTATACAACTTCTCATCAACACACTAGCTGCAAGAAGAGAGTGGGGCTACTCAGGGCACACTGCCTATGGGTTAGTCCTGCCCCGCAAGCAGTCACTCTGTAAATAATTTTCTTGATTAAAATGAAGAGGAGGAGGAGAATGGAACAAAATCTTGAAAGTGCTGAAATAGGGGGAAAAGTTTTGAATCTAGCATTCAATATCCAACCAGTCCCGTTATAAATGTAAACATGAAATAAAAGACACACAAGAACCTTAAAAATTTTTGCCCACAGACCTCAGAAAAAAGATCTTACCATTCCAGAGATGTGAAAACCAAGGAATACTTAGTAGGAAAATCCAAACCAGTTCAAATTAAATTAAACATATTATAAACAATACCAGTATCTACTCGTGAAGGTGTTTAAAATCTGCCATGTTCTTTTTCTTTATTGAATGAATGAGGAAATGATGAGAGAGCAAAAAATAGACCTATATACACATTGTTTAAAATCCAAAAATAAGTTCTTCAGGAAAATAGATTAAGGGTTTATTCCACTTTCATCTCTGAGCCAGGACCAAGAGTAAATCATGAAAATTCTCATTTCCACTTACAGTCGACTATGATTTCCCCCCCGTAAGAAGAGAATAACCAAGTGATGAAAGTAGCTTTGTCCAATAAAAGCAGCAGTGTCAAATCAGTTACATTTGGAATCAAGAAAAGGGTATGTTACATGTAATTCAAATAGGTTCAGTGCTCATATGCTACATAATGGCTAATAGTAAAAAATTTCCAGTAAACTGGTTGTGTTTAAATCTCAGATGTCACTTACTAGTTACGTCCTTAAGTAATCTACTTAACCCTTGCCTAGCCTTAATATTTACATGTACAAAATGGAGATTATTACCCAATTATTGGCTTGTTTCAGGAATTAAATACATGAAGCACTTAGCATCATGCCTAGCATATATTTTGAACATTCAATGAATAAAAGCTTTCATTGTGATCCAATCTCTGCCCTGAAAAAGTTCACCATGGGGACAGCTATTTCCATATAGACTTAGTTATCCAGCAAGAGCTGTTACTACTATGAACAGAGTATGGGAAAGCAGAAAATGGCTCGATGTGAGAGCATGTTCCCAAAGTGCAACTTTTGTAAGACTGCTAAATTTCAGTTTTCAAATGACTCCAGAAAAAATAACACTGAATTCTGATTATGAACATTCACCCCAAGTAATACACTTGATGTAATGCCATTTACCTCTCAGAACTAGAAAACACAAAATGAGAGACCACCATTACATTCACTATGTTGATTATGTTTTTTTTTAAGAAAGACAGATACTACTAAGAAAAACAGCATTTAAGTCCTGAGTACTTAAGGTAATACTTTTAATGTAAGTACTGATTCCACTAGACTACAATGCCACCTCCAACACTGAGAAGATGATACCAATCACTTCCTTTTTACTTGTGGTGTGAATGTCTGATGGTTCCGTCTACATTTTCTCTACTGTTAAAGAATGTTAACTCATTTCTAGGGGGACAAAAAATCTACAGGAAAAATGCTGGGCCACCAGCGTTGGCACACGCCTATAATCCCAGCACTTTGGGAGGGATTTGTATTTCTCTACACACACACACACACACACACACACGGATTTGTATTTCTCTACACACACGCACACATACACACACGCTGGGTGTCATGGTGCCCAGGGGGACATGGGCAGTGGCTGAGGTGGGCTTGAGCCCGGGAGGTCAAGGATGCAGTGAGCTGAGATCACACCACCACACTTCCAGCCTGGGTGAGAGTGAGATCCTGTCTCTAAAAAAGAAAAGAGCTGGGTTCAACACAATCTTTCAATTATTTTAATTGATTACTCATCTCTAAATCCCCCAATGCCATGGATTACCTTAAGCTTCAAGTATACGATTAAAATTTAACTATGAAAGATGTCTTAAGAAATGGAAAAATGATGGAACTTGGGAGAATATCAGGAAAGAGGTAAGGAAGATTATTTCAACGCCACTAATGTGAAAAGGGAATTGTGCTTTGGAATAAAATCATGATTTAATACTAAGTAAAAACAAATATGCAAGCCTCTTCCTAAATTACTTTCAAAGGTTTGCAGAGGATGAACTTATTTCGCAAGACTGACATATGTTGGCTACAAATTTTAGGAAATTTTGAAAAAACTTCAACCAAAAAGTGGCCATTCTCTAAAAACAGATGGACCCTACCTATGAATAAACCAGAGTAGAGAAAAATGAAACCCAAAATACATAGACTGTAGTTGTCAGTGACAAAGGTTGTGGCAAAGGCTCAGTGACAAAGGCTGTGATGAAGTAATGAGGGTAATTATAGGGAGACTTGTCCAGGTTGTCCCTCCTGACTTCCTGTTTCTGTAGAACAGATGCTCTCAGTCAGACAAAGCAAATTATACAAAGCACATTTGTTACAAAAAGCACATTTCAGTCTGGGAAGAAACCCTAGAGCAGGATTTGAGGCTGAAGAGTAAAGCAGCACAAAGTCTGCAGAAATGCCACGGATGACACTGAAAATGGAAAGAAGTGGAGGGCAAAGAGAGAATGGGAGAGGAGGAGAAAAAGAGAAAAGAGAAGGGAGGGAGGAGAGAAAGATGGCAGTTCCACTTAAGAGTGGAATAAACTTAAGCACTCCACCTCAGAGTACAAACCACAACCCACTTACTTGATAAATGTGGCAGTGGCCTGTGCTTCTCCACTCACTTCATTAAACACACACAAACATGCACGTGTGTACACATGTACAAGCACACACACAGACACACGAATCCACAGTGAGATCTTCCATCCAGGAGAGGACCCTTGTAGGTAAGCGAACTTAACTGCAAAAAAATGCAAGATAGCTACTTATACTAACCAATACAAACCACCATTCAAATCTCTGGACAACCAAGGGTCACTGCGTTATTTGAGAAAAAGCAAGTACCAGGAAAGAGAAAAATACAGATTATATGACTTTAGGGAAAACAAACAGGAACAACAGATCAAACCAGACATCCACACAAACACCCCAATTACTATGTTAAAGGTTTTAAGGGGTATATTCCTTAAAAACAAACCAACTACAAAACAGGCTTCCTTGAAAAATGAAAAGATTAGAGAACCACTAGAAATTCTTGAAAAGTAAACATGCAGTTGATAAAAATAACACTTTCCGGCTGGGCACGGTGGCTCACACCTGTAATCCCAGCACTTTGGGAGGCCGAGGCGGGTGGATCACCTGAAGTCAGGAGTTCAAGATCAGCCTGGCCAACATAATGAAACTCTGTCTCTACTAAAAATACAAAAAATTAGCCAGGTGTGGTGGTGGGTGTCTGTAATCCCAGCCACTCCAGAGGCTGAGGCAGGAGAAACACTTGAACCCAGGATGAACTTGGGAGGCAGAGGTTGCAGTGAGCTGAGATCGTGCCATTGCACTCCAGCCTGGGCAACAAGAGCGAAACTCCATCTCAAAAAATAAAAATAAATAAAAATAAAAATTTCGGCTGGGCACAGTGGCTCAAGTCTGTAATCCCAGGACCTTGGGAGGCCAAGGTATGTGGATTGCTTGAGCTCAGGAGTTTGAGAACAGACTAGGCAACAAAAAATTAAAACTAAATAAAAATAAAAATAAAATTAGCTATGCATGGTGGCTCACACCTGTAGTTCCAGCTACCAAGGAAACAGAGGTGGGAGGATCGCTTCAGCCCAGGAGGTCATGCCTACAGTGAGCCATGATTGCACCGCTGCACTCCAGCCCAGGAGACAGAGACCCTGTCTCAAAAAAAAAAAAAAAAAAGGGAAGAAAAAATCACCAGAAGGGCTGAAAACCAGACTGGGCATGATTGAAAAGTAAATCAGTATTCCAGGAGACAAACAGAAATCTCCCAATACTTAGAGAAAGGGCAGGAACACAAAACATGTAAGAAAAAATAATACTAGATAGACAGCTCCAAACAGCCCAACAGTCATCTCCTAAGAATTCCGTAAGACAAGCAAAGACAATGGAAACAATCATCAAAGAAAGAAAAATCCTTTAAATGGAAAAAAGATAAGACTGCAGATGACAGTATGCCAAGAAAGATGAAGTTTAAAATATGTATACCTATACTCACAGTTAAAAAAAAAAAAACAAAAAAAAACACCCCTCAGAGAAAAGAGATCATTCAGAAAACATTCAGAGAGGAAAGTCAAGATATATATAAAATAATGAGACTCAGGATTATATTTGAGTTATCAGTAAAACTGATGGAAGATAATGAAGGACGTAAAAATTCAGAAGGCAAAGGATTTCAAACCCCAAACTATGAGTCAAGTATGATGGTAATTAAATACCTTTCCAGACTCAATAATTTTGATTTACCTCCTAAGCGCTATTTCTGAGAAAAATGTTTGAGGATTTTCAACTGAACTGGGAAAAAATAAAAAAAGAGTGGACTTAAAAGAATGCCTTCAAAAACAAAAACCATTTACTCAAATTGAAAAATTAAAAACCTAAAAATTTGCTATGATAAAGGTTTTAGTGACATTGATTTTTAAAAACAGGAAAGGTAATAATAAATTGCAAGACAAAAGTGAATTAAACTATGGCATTATTTTCAACAGTTGACAGCATGACAGACTTAATACAAAAGCAGCATACTTGATCTTGACACTGTCCAAGCAGAACAACTTTTCATTAACTACCACAAGATTATCACTCTTTCTGCAAGGCCCCATTATACTGCTTGGTTCTGTTATCAATAGTATCATTCATAGCAGAAATGCTATCTTTTTTGTTCTCATTGTTTAGAATTTTAAAATATGAAGAAAACAAAAGTAGCCATAATTCAAGAACAGAATAAAATTGGCTTAAAATCCTTGACAATTCAGAAGTAAAGGAAGACAAACGGCAGAAGTGGAAACACATTGAGAGGCACAGATTTCCTTCTGTAACCTAGTGGTGAGCCAAGGAATATTGGCTAAAGTTGGCAGTCCCCTTAAAAATAAAGGTTTAAGAACATTTAAAGCTATAAAGAAAACCACTGAAACTACAATTCATTATGACAAAAACGAGGAGGTAGGAGGCATGGTTGGTGGTGTGAATAACACTCAATTCCTCACCTTTGATGACAGAAAGAGGCACTACGTCAGACAGATATACCAAAATACATATTATGTGAAATTCTGATGACCACAAGAATAGAAACAATTAGTTTTAAGAAACTACCTCTGGGGAGAGGTAAAGGATTGGCAGATTTTTAAATTTCATATTCCATCCCTCTATGGGGCTGGAGGAAAGACTTTTTACCATGTGTGCTTATTATTAGTGATTTTTAAAAATAAGGTTAAATATTTAGGTGGTGACAATTTCCTAAAATGTTAATCCTGTGTTATTTTCAGTTTGGCTAGATGACAAGAACTTTCTTAAACTTCATCGTTGATGACTTCCTGGACAGTGAAGACAACTCATCTTCCAAAAGTTTAAATGTTCATACCCTTTGCTCCATTGAGTTTATTCTTAGGAGTCTAACCTAATGGAAAATTTACGTAAGTAACACAAATATAAAGGTATTAGGAAGCTTAGTGCACAACTGTGTCTTGGCAAAAACTTCTTGCAAATCCCAAAGGCCTATCAGTGAGGAATAGTTAAATAAATTACAGTAGATACATGCAGTCAAAAAGACTGGGGTAGTAATGATGCAGAAAAATGACCTTAATATACAGTATAGTGAGAAAAGCAAATAGCAAAAGAATATACGTAGTATAATCTCCTTTCATGTAGTGATTTTTAAAAGCATCTTTTTGTATATGTATAGGAATTCTAAAAAGATATACACCAAGCTTCAACAGAACAGTGCTTACCTCTGGATGTGAAATTGGGAAATAAGAGGGGAAAGACGTTGACTTTTTACTTCTAAGTGAACCTTTTATGAATGTTTATTACCTTTGTAAAAGGCAGAAGTTCTCAAGAAAAACAACTCTTAATCCCACCCAATTCTTTCCTTACCTTTCCACCCTTACATTCCCCAGTACTCTTCCACCACAGATCTCAGGCTTCCATATGGCATATTGTGTAGGTGTGAATACACCTTCATCCTGCACTTCATATTTTTTCAAGATATTGTAAACCTACCAAAAAGTACTGTCTCCAATTCTTACTTCCATGCAATTCATAGAATATACCTTTCACCATGCATGACTGATGAAAAAAATGCATCTCAGTGTTGCATTTGGTCTTCGGCTTGATTGGTTAGAGAATGGCACTGCTAACGAAGCCAGGTTGCGAGATCCCCATATACATCAGTTATTGTTATGCAGTCAGCTTGCCTTTGTACTTATCATCTTCCTGATCACAGGACCAGATATAGAAGGATCAATGTAAATCCATTTTAACTAGTGGAAACACTTCTTTAAAACGCATACTGAGAGCGGCCTTCAGTGGCATAGTTGTTGTATTCTGAAGAACACATTTGTGTAAATGTACGACCCAGAGTTTATTTGTTCAACCCAGTCAAGCATATAAAAATCACATAACTGTGCTATCGATCCTTCCCAGAGAGAATTCTGGTTAATCAGATATCTGCAGCAGCATTACTGCCTCTGTGCTCTTTGGGACCAGTGTGATGTTGGAATACATGGGACCACGAAGTTCCCAGTGTCTGGTCTGTACTTCTCATCTTCAACCAACATACTGAACACAAAATCAAAGAAATATGGCGGAGTGAAGGTTTCTCACCCTTAACTGTATTTAAACAATGGTTTTTCTTTCATGATTCCTTTACAGAAACAGCAACAAAGAAAATCAAAGACTGAAGAAAAACAGATTAAATGAGGACTTGTGAAGCAACCAAAGTGCTGGTTATATAAATATTTCTAACAATGAAGTATCTGATTTTGATCCAACTTAAAATGACTATTAAAAATGTCCAAATAAACAGCTCATACCACAGACATACCACTTTATGGGCTTCATATTTTTTCAAGATATTGTAAACCTACCAAAAAGTACAAGTGGAAAGAATGCTCCAAGTCTGTAGAGTAACTCGGTATGTCTTACACTCATCCAACATGAATTTACCTAACTAGAACTCAAAAAACAGCACGTCGTTCTCCAGAAAGATTCAAATATATTATCTATTCAAAAAACAATCTGTGGCTGGGCATGGTGGCAAGCTCCTGTAGTCCCAGCTACTCAGGAGGCTGAGGCAGGAGAATTACTTGAGCCCTGGAGTTCAAGGTTGCAGTGAACTATGATCATACCATTGCATGCCAGCCTGGGAGACAGAGCGAGACTCTGTCTCTAAAACATAAAATAATTAAAAAAAAAAAAAAAAAAAGGTAAGCAAGCAAAGGCAATGAAGAGAACAACTCTAATGCAGGGTGTGAAGGATTGCCTTCTGGCACTCCTGTGGTTCTGAGATGATAGTGGAAATAAAATATGAGGACTTACATAAATAAAGCTTTAAAAAGAAGTCATAGTTCTATTTCAATATAATGTTATCTATTTAAATGTGGCTTACAACTTTATCAATCACACTTCTAAACCTAAAAATCACTACTGAAAAGATAATCATATTCCAATACTAATTTTTGATCCAATAATCTCCTCCCATAAATACCTTTCCTTAATACCTTTAATACCTCTCTTTTAATACCTTTCCTACTCAATTCCAATCTCCTCTTAAATCAAATTAAGTAAAATATGTTATTTTCTTTACTCCTATCTTGTCTTTTAGCATCTTTCCTTGATATTTATGACTTTAGCAACAAACATTTGCTTCATCCTGCACTGTGCAGAGTATGTCTGTGGTCCTCACAACAGCCCTGTGAGGTAGGTATCATTAGCTCTCCTTTACAGACGAGGAGAGGCAAGCTGAGAAAGACTTGACTTGCCCAGTGGCAAAGCGGGGATTCAAAGCCAAACTTGCTGACTCTCAGCTGAGTGATGTTTAAAGTTCCCCAGAGGAAATACGGAGATTGTGCCAAGCAGAAACTACCACTGTAACTAGAATTTTGGAGCAGCTAAAGAGGAGGTTTAACAACATTAATAATTTCTTCTTTGTCACTTAACCACTGTAAACAGTAATTACACTATATTCTTCTATCATTACATTTTAAAGTTAACAATACACAATAGTTACCCTTCTTTTTATAGAAAAAATACTTATTACAAATAGACTTGCACTCATCATTGCCTATGAAAAGACACAGTAAACTGGTACTATTCAGCATCAATTCTGGTAAATGGATGTTATTTAAAAAAATGTAAATATACGATTATAGAAGATGATCAAAACCAGTGAATTTTGTGGAGATCACCAAAGTGAGTTTCGCCCAAACAGATTTAGTTTCAAAATACAAAGCCTTATTTTCAAGGCACTTTAACCAAGAGAATACACCACAAATCTATGTGTCTAAATTATATGAAAATTAATTCTGGCATCTACACAATTTAGACACAGGCACAAATGGTATTTATCTACCAATCCTGAAATCTGTGGTAACTCTGGAATATGCTGTTTTTTCCATACGAAATTATGTACTGTACCTAATAAATAAAATACAAACAACAGTTTAACATACAGTGTTTAAAACCTAAAATGAACAAATATTTCTGTGTGAAATAGTCTTTAGGAGAAAAATCTTATTCTGAAAACATTTTATCCTCAGTTTGGTCCAAATCAACAATATTTTAGGGCTACCGCTGCTCTACCGAAAAAAAAAAAAAAGTAAAAACTTTTACAATCTAAAACCTTTATTTAAAGATTTTGAGGTTCCCATGAGCACTCAACGTTAGCATAAAAGCAACTATGAAGATTTCAATGATGATACATGATGACATTCTCTATTTCTATGGGAAAATTCTATACGCCAGTGGCAAAACTAGTGGTACTATCTGAAGAGGCTGCTTTTGCCTATAATGTATCCTGCTTGTCTAATGCTGGTTAACATGCCACCAAATTCTCCCCAATTGCTCCGTTTTGTAAAAACATACTGCTGGCATCATTTCAGCTGGTTCCAACCTGTGCCTGCCGAGCATGTCGCTGCTACTAAATCCTGACCTCAAGTCTGTCTGGATTTCAATATGTTCAAGAAAGTAAAAAGCAGCAGCCCCTGACCTCTGAGAACTAATCTGATGTTCAAGCTAAGCCTTGGTGTTACTACAAACTGTTCTGACATGTACAGCTTAAACATTCCACGCTCCTGTTGGACAATCTCACTGAACGTCAATATCAAAAGTAGTCACTCCAAGACCATGGCAAAGTGAGAAAAAACTAGGTCACTGTACAACCCACAAAATACAAAATTCTCTTTCTTGCTGAATGAGTGACAGCTATTTCTTCACCAATTACAGCTTTAACCTCAATCTACTTGACCCCCTCTATAAGATCTGTTGATACCCAATCATAGAATTGCCTCTGTTTTCCGACAGCACCCTATCTAGAGCAAGCCCTCATGTCCTTAGACCTTCCCCCCAAAATTATCCAAAGCCCAAATCCTATAATACATTATAACACCCTGTTACTAGGACACCCCATGGTTCCCTGCGGTCTGTGTTCTTTGCTGCAATGAGCAATAAATCCAACCTGCTCTATGACAGGTGTACTCCTAGTGGTCTTTAACTGAAGGGTATTCACACTTGTAAATACTAACAGTGAAATGAAAATAGACTAAATGTTCTAGGCTTAGAAAATGACTCTAAAACTATAATTCACAGGGAGGGCAGCTTTGGATGATGCTGGTGTAAGATTTCTTCAGTTTTGCTTTTAATGTCAAGACCATGGTAAAATGTTTTAAATGGCTCAGGTAAAGTAAAAAGCATTAAAAACTGTTAAAGCAGAGGAGAAGCTTTTACAGCCAAATTGATCAAGAGAATAAGCAGGAGTTAATCAAGGATCATTTCAATTGGCGGCAGCACATCCAAGTATCTGGGTTATGTCTAGATTTAGAGGTACTTTAAACAAGGGATGCAGGAAAATGCTCATCAACAATAAAGCTGAAGCTATAAGGAAAACATGAAAGTGAGTAATATCTTTTTTCCTGAGACAGGGTCTCATTCTGTCACCCAGGCCTGGGTGCAGTGGTGCATGGCTCATTACTGTCTCGATCTCCTGGGCTCAAGTGATCCTCCTAACAGGGCCTCCTAGGTAGCTGAAACTTAAAAAAAAAAAAAAAAAAAAAAGTGCTCACCTTAACTACTGGAATTATCTGGATAGTATGTTAGCTGTGAGAAGAAAATAAAGCAAGATTTTCATATGCACTCTTTTGATGAAAGATTTTTAAAATTTCTATAAGTATTAATCATATCTACAAGTACAAAACCAAAAATGTGGCCGGGCTTGGTGGCTCACGCCTGTAATCCAGTACTTTGGGAGGCCAAGATGGGAAAATCTCTTAGCCTAGGAGTTTGAGATCAGCTTAAGCAACATAGTGACATCTTGTATCTATTAAAAATAAAATAAAGTTAGACAGGCATAGTGGCATGCAACTGCAGTCCCAGCTACTCAGAAAGCTCAGGTGGATCGCATAAGCCCAGGCAGTTGAGGCTCCAGTGAGTTGTGATCGTGCCACTGCACTCCAACCTGGGTGACTGAGTGAAACGGTCTCAATAAAACAAAACAAAATAAATAAAATGATGATGAAGAAACACCATAAGGGCAGGTGTGGTGGCTCGTGTCTGTAATCCCAGCACTTTGGGAGGCTGAGGCAGGTGGATCACCCGAGGTCAGGGGTTTGAGACCAGCCTGGCCAACATGGTGAAACCCCGTCTCTACTAAAAATACAAAAATTAGCTGGGCATGGTGGCAGACACCTGTATTCCCAGCTATTCGGGAGGCTGAGGCAGGAGAATCACTTGAGCCAGGGAGGCGGAGATTGCAGTGAGCTGAGATTGTGCCACTACACTCCAGCCTGGGCAACAGAGTAGGACTCCACCTCAAAAAAAAAAAAAAAAAGAAATGCCATAGTGTTGACTACTTCCTCTTTCAAGACAAGCCCTCAGCAACTGTGCCAAACCTTAACCTTTACAATTATCACAGTCCTCAGTGTTTCTCGTCAGCAAGAACTGAAACTCTCCATCATACTGAGTCTTTCAAATACCTTTCATTTCACAGGCTTTTTTTTTTTTTTGAGACGGAGTCTCACTCTGCCACCCAGGCTGGAGTACAGTGGCCCAATCTCAGCTCACTGCAAGCTCCACCTCTCGGGTTCACACCATTCTCTCACAGGCTGTAATTTCTAATATCTGCTTCTTCTTAAGTCAAAAATGTTATCAGCTTATTTCTCATTGTAGGAGAACAGGCATTTGTGGGGAGGGAGGGACAGGGTCTCATTCTGCCACCCAGGCTTGAGTGCAGTGGCGAAATCTTGGCTCACTGCAGCCTCAGATTTCCCAGGTTCAAGAGATCCTCCTACCTCAGCCTCCCTGGTATCAGGGACCACAGGCACACGCCACCACACCCAGTTAACTTTTTGTATTTGTTTTGTACAAATGGGGTTTTGCCATGTTGCCAAGGCTGGTCTCAAACTCCTGGGCTCAAGTGATCTGCCTGCCTTGGCCTCCCAAAGTGCTGGGATTACTGGCATGAGCCACCGCACCCAGCTGAGAACAGACTTTTTTTGAGTCAAAAATATAAGGGAAGGCCAGGCACAGTAGCTCACACCAGTAATCCCAGCACTTTGGGAGACTGAGGCAGATGAATCACTTGAGGTTAGGAGCTCGAGACCAGCCTGGGCAACATGGTGAAACCCCATCGCTACTTAAAATACAAAAATTAGCCAGGCATGGTGGCACGTGCCTATAATCCCAGCTACCCGAGAGGCTGAGGCACTTGAGAATTGTTTGAACCCGAGAGGCGGAAGTTGCAGTGAGTCGAGATTGTAATCATTGCACTCCAGCCTGGGCAACAAGAGTGAAACTCCATCTTAAAAAAAAAAAAAAAAAAAAAAAAAAAATATATATATATATATATATATATATATATATATATGTATGTATGCATACATATATATGTATGCATACATATATATGTATACATACATATATATACACATATATATACACACATATGGAAAAAACTATCTTTAAAACAGCTAATTTTATTTCTTTCAGAGGTTAAAATGTAAAAATAAATAAAACAGCTAATTCAAAAACTGAAGGTATTTTACAGTAATTGATTTAATGATTCACCTGCTAGAATTTAAAAAACTACACAAAATGTCTAGTGAATACTCTTGATAAATTTTTGTTTTAATAAACATTTCCACCCAGAAGACCCTTGGGAACTTACATTTGCATGGCACATTAAAACCTAAAAACTGTAAAACTAAAAATGTTCTAAAAAATCAGATTGATGGCAAGGCACGGTGGCTCATGCCTATAATCTCAGTACTTTGGAAGGCAGAGGCGGGAGGATCACTTGAGCCCAGGAGTTCAAGACCAGCCTAGGCAACATGGTGAAACCCTATCTCTACTAAAAATACAAAAGTTAGCCACACATGGTGGCATGCACCTGTAGCCCCAGCTTCTCAGGAGGCTGACGTGGGAGGATCACTTGAGCCTGGCAGGTGGAGGCTGCGGTAAGCCAAGATCATGCCACTGCACTCCAGCCTGAGTGACAGAGCAAGACCTTATCTCAAAATAATAATAATAATAATAATAATAATAATAATAATAATATTGATATTTAGAGTGAAGATGCTCTATTTAAAAAAAAAAAAAAACAGGTTGGGCAGGAGGATGGCTTAGGGCCAGGAGTTTGAGGTTATGGTGAGCTATGATCATGCCAGTGTACTCCAACCTGGGCAACAGAGCGAAATCCTGTCTCTGAAAAATAATAATAAATTTTAAAATCAGAATACACTTAAAAAAGATACAAATGGAATAATTTGCATAGATTTCAGGAAATGAAATGATCTGATTTAACTATTGCAAAAAAATTTTTTTAATATTACCACCACCAAAGTTTTGAAGTATTTAATATTCAGGTTCTACAGAAAGAACATTAAAACTGAGTGCTGTACTATACGACCTCAAGAAAGGAGCAGGATTTTAGTTCAGAAATCACTAAACTTAAAATGCTCTTTTTATTCCAGATGCCACCTCTCTGATCTTAGAGTCACTCAATCAGACCCACATCTGCTATGTCACAGGTAAGGTTTCGGCTCCTACCCTCCAACAAACTACACGGAAGACTCTGAGGACGCAGTAAGTCCCCAAAGTCAAGTCCCCAAAGTCAGCTAGTCCGTTTGGTCAAACTGACAAGTTTCACGGGGTGGACGCAGAGGGTAACAAGGAGAGTCCAAACAAGACATTAGATTTCTATATTTGAATCTTGTCTACTGCAACAAAAATATATGTATAGTACATTTGCCCCAAGATTCCTACCTTACTGCTGACACATTACTCATCCAAGATGGCAAAAAGAAATAACATTTTACCAGAGCTATCACTTGTTCATCCAACTTCCTTATCACTAAATGGAGTTAGGGATTAATTCTTGTGCTTAAGGTTGGTCAGCAGGATAAAACCTGTTCTTACCCCCCAAAAAACTAAATGCTGTCCTGATGAAACAGTCTAGGCACCGGCCGGGCGCGGTGGCTCACGCCTGTAATCCCAGCACTTTGGGAGGCCGAGGCGGGTGGATCATGAGGTCAGGAGATCGAGACCATCCTGGCTAACAAGGTGAAACCCCGTCTCTACTAAAAATACAAAAAATTAGCCGGGCGCGGTGGCGGGCGCCTGTAGTCCCAGCTACTCGGGAGGCTGAGGCAGGAGAATGGCGTGAACCCGGGAAGCGGAGCTTGCAGTGAGCCGAGATTGCGCCACTGCAGTCCGCAGTCCGGCCTGGGCGACAGAGCGAGACTCCGTCTCAAAAAAAAAAAAAAAAAAAAAAAAGAAACAGTCTAGGCACCAATGACAGCAGCCTGCTGCTATGAGCTGTGAAGACTACTCACTGTCAATGTAAAACAGCATTCCTGGTTGATATGGTATTTCATCAATCCACAAAACATTTCTGAAGAAATAAGATAACTAGGAAAATGTTGGACATGGTGCTAAAGGGAAGAGGTCATGTCTTCTAAATTTTTATCAGCAAAAGAACCAATGATAGCACATTGGCCACAGCGTGTCATCATTAATTATCTGATGCATCTAACAACTAAGATAAACTATTTAAATCCACTTATAAGACTTTATTTATTTATTTATTTATTTATGAGATGGAGTTTTGCTCTTGTTGCCCAGGCTGGAATGCAATGGCACACTGTCGGTTCATTGCAACCTCCTCTGCCTCCTGGGTTCAAGCAATTCTCTTGCCTCAGCCTCCCGAGAAGCTGGGATTACAGGCATGTGCCACCACGCCCAGCTAATTTTTGTATTTTTAGTAGAGACGGGGTTTCACCATGTTGGCCAGGCTGGTCTCAAATGCCTGACCTCAAGTGATCCACCTGCCTTGGCCTCCCAAAGTGCTGGGATTACAGGCATGAGCCACCACGCATAGCCCTTTTAAAGGACTTCAAAAAGACCAATTCTAAGTTCATATCTGTTGAATTTTTTACATCTAAAAACACTAAAAAATCATGACAGCTTTGTTTAAACAAGTAGTCATATTTATAGATTGCTTATAAATATAAAAGCCTATATATACTACTGTCATAACAGTGGCTGAAAAATATTCAAATGAGAAAAGTTCTGAAATAACCACTTTTATCCTAAAATAGTCCAGAGATTTGGAAGCAGGCTCTGAAATTCACTTTGGAAATGACATATCAATGAGTTCAACACCTCACTTCACAGATGAGGACACAAAATATTGTAACTTGCCCCAGTGTCACATGGCTGCTAAGAGCTGAAACTGTGACTAACATTCAGCTTCTAGAGTTTGTGATTGTAATCATATGCAATAGTGTCTCTTTATATACTTCCAAAGAATTGGTTTTAGTAGCAGGAGACTAGCAGAAGAAACTGATCAGAAAAAGTAATAAAACAGCATTTTTAAAAGAATATGGAGGCATCTAGATTCAGGACTGCATCTATTTTTTAAAAAAGAATATAGACTCAAATCAACGAAAGGTAATTAAGACAACTCTACACAGAGGAAGGTGAGATAAAAACCACAAAAATCACAAAATGTAAAGAACAGTAAAGAAAAAGAAAAATAACTTAATGAAAGTATCTTTCAAAGCCTAACCTACCTAGTAAAAAGCTAAGGTGGGAAAGGGGCATGAAGAAATCTTTGACTCCTAAAATTATTCCATTTCTTATCTAGAGGTAGTTAGGCAAGTGTATAAATACAAAAAATCCATTATACTGTACATTTAAGACTTGTGCATTTACTGTATATATACAATTAAAAAGTATAAATACTTCAAAAAATGTTTGGAAGATTAGGTGAATTTTGAGACTCCATTCACTACTTCAAACAATAGTGTTAATAACATTATCCAATGTCTCAACAGAGGTTGGCAACATCTCCTTATGGGATACAACCTAGTCACTTAACTCTTTGCAATGCTTGACTTTCAGACTTTAGGTCTGCCCTGAAACATAAAACTAACGTTAATATTATCAAATCCGACCATCCGTCTGAAAAGGAAATGCTTTCTATAACTTCCCTGACAGGTAGGTGGCAAGCTAAATGTGGCAAAATTTCATGAAAGGGAAGCCCAATAGCTCACACAACAGTCCGTTCTCTTTTCTTTTATGGGGGAAAAACACAGGGTCTCCCTCTGTCATTCAGGAAGGAGTGCAGTGGCGCGATCTCGGCTCACTGCAGCCTTGGATTCCTAGACTCGAGCAATCCTCCTGCCTCAGCCTTCTGAGTAGCTGGGACTACATGTGCATGCCACCATGTTTTTCATTTTTTTTTTTTTTTTTTTTGTAGAAACAGGGTCTCACTTTGTTGCCCAGGCTGGTCTCAAACTCCTGGCTTTAAGCAACCTTCCCACCTTAGCCTCCCAAAGAGCTGGGATTACAGGTGTGAGCTATTGTGCCTGGCCACATTCTCTTATCTTTCCACAGGAAAAAAATTTCCATAATGAAATCCAAATATGATGTCCTATATCCTTCTCATCCCCTATATTCTAGGCCTATATAAAATAAATCAAATCCTACTTCCAAAAAATATTCTTTAAATATCTGAAAATAACTATAATCGCAAGTCTCTTTTAACCCAGCTAAATACTAATCTTCCCTTTACTGTTCTTCATGATTTCCAGACCATTCTCCCTTCTAGTAAACTCCCCTCAAAAATGAAGCTCCACCACTCTGAACATCTATTAAGTATTCTATTAAGTGGGGAAGAACATGACACCTCAAGAGTTCACACCAATCATCTAAAACACAGGATTGTTTTTATGAACTCTAATTAACCAATCTAACAAACCCTGGAATTGAGGTTGGTAAGCAAAGTACAGAACTTCCTATTTATCTTTATTTAACTTTTACAGTTTAAGTTTCTGTTAAGTTTAACATCAAAATATCTTCTCAAATCCTGAAATCTAGTGAACTTCTACTTGTCGTTTTGAATCAGCTATAAATTACAAAGCAAGACCATCTACATTAATATAAACTGTTAAATAGGACGGGGCCAAGTAAAGAATCTTACAGCACTCTCTGCATACTTGTCTCACAGGTAACAAACATCCAGGGAAAACTTACTTTGGGAATGACCTTTCACTCATGCAGCTAAAAAGCCATGTTCCTCTACCATGATCCACAAATTAGCTCAAAAGGTTGCCTGTATTGTTCTGGCTACAATGTCCTTGACCACTCCAGCAATCCTATTAAAAAAATAGGATTATTTTAGCATGATTTATTCCAGACCACTATTTCTCAATGGAAGCAGTAAGGCTTTCTCCAAGCCTGCGCGTGCATGCATGTGTGCGTACCTGTGGTGGTGCCTTTTTTAGAAATTTGTGTGTGGCAGTCATCAATGAAGTTCACTTCAGAAGTGTACAGACTACAAATTATTTATTCAAAAAAGCAGTTATCTGGCCTGATGGGATTAAGAACTACTAATCTAATCTTTGATGACTCATGGCATCACAAACTACTTTTGTTTAATAACATTAAAAATGTCTGTTGGAGACAAAATATTGAGCTTCCTGACAAGGAGTTCCTAAAACCCACCCTTTTACTCCTTGTTTCTATATTCATGCTGACTTCCTTCAGTATTTTCTAATGTTTCAATATGGTAGAATACTTACAATTTCCATTCGTGACAAAACAAACAGAAATCCTCACTCTGGTCTCTTTACAACTAAAGAGATCATAGGTGCTTCTCAGAAATTGCTGAGCTACAGTTTTCTGGTATACCATAAAAAAGTGGCCAGGCACAGTGGCTCACACCCGTAATGACTACACTTTGGGAGGCTGAGACGAGCGGATCACTTGAGGTCAGGAGTTCGAGACCAGCCTGGCTGACATGGTGAAACGCTGTCTCCACTAAAAATACAAAAATTAGCTGGGTCTTGTGGTGCATGCCTGTAGTCCCAGCTACTCAGGAGGCTGAGACACGAGAATTGCTTGAACCCGGGAGGCAGAGGTTGCAATGAGCTGAGATCATGCCACTGCACTCCAGCCTGGGCAACAGAGCAAGATTCCAACTCCAAAAAAAAAAAAAAAGGTAATTAAAGGGGAAAAAAATTACTATGAAAAAAAAAAACCAAACCCAGTATTTGTTCTGATACTCCCCTCGTTGACAAAACTTACTATATTATACCACATTTTAATCATATACTTTATTAAAGAATCTACTCACCGAAAATGAAAAAGCCAAGACATATTATACATTTATCTAACTGTATCAGCCTTTCCAAAGCTCAGAATTTTAACTTTAAAAACTATCAAAGACCTGATAAGCTGAGATTTATAAAAGAACAGGGTAACTAATTCATCAGAACAAAAATTTAAACCTCACTCAAAACGAACTGAAGCATACAATTATAGAACAGACAACTACAGAATAAAATTTATATCTTTAATAAATGTAAAGATAGAAAGGCTCTTTCTGAAAACTGACTGCCTAAATTAATAATCATAGGGATTTGTCACTGCTAAGAAATCTGAATCTTCGGCCAGGCATGGTGGCTTATGCCTGTAATCCCAGCACTTTGGGAGGCCAAGTTGGGCAGATCACCTGAGATCAAGAGACCAGCCTGTCCAACATGGTGAAAGCCCATCTCTACCAAAAAATTAAAAAATTAGCCAGGTGTGGTGGTGCATGCCTGTAGTCCCAGCTACCAGGGAGGCTGAGGTGGGAGAATTGCTTGAACCTGCAAGGTGGAGGTTGCAGTGGGCCAGTATTGCGCCACTGCACTCCAGCCTGGGTGACAGACCAAGAACCTGTCTCCAAAAAAAAAAAAAAAAAGTCGAATCTTCACATACAAAAGAGTGCCTGGGAGTGGCTCTTGACTCTTAATTAAGACACTAAATATACTAGCAGCAGCATGCAACTCTGCACCCCAAGAAAGGTACAGATTTATATTCAATAAGTTTTGGTCATATTATGTACAATATTTTAAATAAGCATAGCGATTAAAAGAACAAAGCCCATCATAAAAATTTTAAACAATTCCTGTAAAAATATGAACACATCACATAAAATGAATATTTCAGAACCCTACTACACAAACTTGTTTAAATAATGTGCTTTAGATGTTAAATATCAAGTCTTTTTCTCTCTTATGATATAATTATTTACATAATAAGACAACCTACCATGATCTAGTCTTTTCAGGATAGCACAGAGCCTTAAAGAAACGCTTCCTCAAAGTAAGAAACTGGATACAGAATACAGGCAGCTAGCTGTAGTAAAATGGGTCCAGGTGGTTGTTTGGATATATGCTTGAAGTGCTTTTAATACTAAAAGCATGCTAAGTCAACGTAAGGAATTATTCTGCTATGGGCTACTTTAAAGGAAGCTGGGTTTTTTGTCTTGGGGGAAAACAGAATTCTGGGGAGTGTTTTGTAAAACCTTATAGAAATAAATTAGGTTTATTATCATAAACTACATGGTTTACCAATTTTACTTTAATAATAAAGTTATTTCCAATAAAAAGCACCCATTTTTTGGAACATTCAAACTTTGTAAATGTGTCTTCACACAGTTCAAAAACACACTGCCAAACGAAAAGATCTTTGTGTAGACAGCAGTCATCTCATGTAGTATAAACCACCAATGCAATCATGAAGGGGCACACAGAGACTTAACAAAAGTATTAGTAATCATATTACTTTTCTTAATCTGTGTGGTGAGTACGTAAGTGTTCATTTCCATTCCATTAGTATTATATTTGAAAACTAAAAACTCCTGCGTAAGTCTCAATATAACTGCTTATGTCCATGTTCTATTTAATACACCTTATAACCCATGTGTAGTGTGAACCAATAGCTGTGTTTTAATATTTTTGCTAAATATATTATACATTCACTATAACCTCTACAGTTTTAAAGAATGTTAAAATGAACCTGAATACCTAGTTTCCTCTACCCACACCCTTCTCCCCCATACCAATCTTTACTTCACAATTCTGTCAATTACAGCTTAGGAAGGTACTGTTGCTGACATTCCTTTTAAAACATAAAAGAGGCAGTTTAACATAGTAGTTAACAGCATGAATATTGGAGCCAAACAGGCTTCAAATCCTAGCCTCAACTCTTATAAATTATATGACCTCTGACAGGTTTATTTAACTTTTTGGTGCCTTGGTTTACTCATTTGTAAAATGGGAAACAATCAGTACTGCTCTGGTAGGGCTACTGGGAAGATTAAATAAAGTACTTACAATATGCCTTACAATTACAGTAAGTATAATGTGTCAGCTGTTATTATTGTTAAAATCAAGAAGGTAAAACAAAATTAAAGCACGCTGAAACTTGTTAACTGATTCTCTTTATGAGTATAATGGGGAGGGGTGAGGCTGTGGGAGAAAATTAAAAATAAAATATGATGTCTCTCAGTAAAATTTATTTCCATATCCTTACTGATTCCGTATTTTCAACCTGCCAGTAGTTAAGTGATCTGCTTCCATATGCCCATAAAACTACACTTCTAGCACTCACACAGCTCTCCCCCCTTATTATCAAACGTCTTTAACGATTGTGAAAATATCTCACCTTCCTATTAAACATGAGGATAGGGGTTATACCTTATAAAACAGTCTCCTAGGTAACTTGCATATAGGATACTCGTTGTTTATTAAATAGATTTTAATGGTACTATTTCAGTTGGAGTCAAATGTGTAAACATAACCTATAGGCTCATTTAGTCTCGCATATTTCTCGTGTGTACAATGTTATTTTATCATAAGCTTGGGAAGCTAGGGGAAATTTCTTTTTAATTTTTAATAAAAACTTTAAAAAATGTTATTTTAATCCCAGTCCATAAGTTGCCATAATTAATACTAGAAAAAAAGGAGAAATGGAACTATGGTGACTTACACATCCTTTGTAATGGTGGACATATACATAGTGCTTCTCAATGCTGCAGTATATTCTATTTCATAAATGTCTGTTTTTTCAACTTATGTACCAACAAGGACTTTTGTATAACAAATCCACCGTCAACAGATCTATGCTCATTTTACACCTTAGAAAATACTGAGTATTTTTCTCTTCTGTAACTTCAACCTTTTCTAAGCGTAAGAACAATCTCAGAAATACTATAATAAAAAGCAACTACAGGCCAGGCACGGTGGCTCACGCCTGTAATACCAGCACTTTGGGAGGCCGAGGAGCATGGATCACGTGAGGTCAGCAGCTCTAGACCAGCCTGGTCAACATGGTGAAACTCTGTCTCTACTAAAAATACAAAAATTAGCCGGGCATGGTGACACATGCCTGTAATCCCAGTTACTCAGGAGGCTGAGGCAGGAGACTCACTTGAACCCGAGAGGCGGAGGTTGCAGTGAGCCAAGATCACACCACTGCACTCCAGCCTGGGCAACAGAGGAAGACTTGGTCTCAAAAATATTTTTAAAATAGTAAGAAAATAAAAATAAAAAGCAACTATAAATTCTGCATTCAAAAGTACAAGTCCAGTGTGGTGGCTCACAGTATAATCCTAGCACTTTGGGAGGCCGAGGCAGGAGGATCCCTTGAGCCCAGGAGTTTGAGACCAGCCTGGGCAACACAGGGAGAGCCTGACTCTATTTTTTTAAAAAAAATTAAAAATTAAGAAGTATAGTATCATGACTTCTGTTATGTACAGGAACACTGTATGCTTAAAGCTGAAAAACTCAGTCAAGAAGACCCAACAGCTGTCTCTTCATACTTAACGGCCTGCCATGTGAATTAAGTGCAGACTTAATTTTTGGTATTCCCGTAGGCAAGACAAGTTGTAAGGAAGCAGGTTTCTGATATAAAGAAAGAATTTCCTGAAAATTAGAGCTATTTAAGGAATTCATGTGAAGTAAGGAATATTACATCACTGAGAATGTCTGTGAGTAGAAGGCTAGTTTTTAGGAATGTTGTAGAAAAGTATTTGATAAGAGTTTGACTGTATGATCACAAACTCCCCTTAAATAGAATTATTTTGGATTTTCTGAATACTTAACTCCAAAAGTAATGACTTGATACACAACACTAACAATGCAAAGGAGTATGCTTATCTACCTGATGCCATAGAGTCTATGCGTGTTACATGAACATCATCCTTAATAAAGGGCAACTGATATTTTAGAGGTTAGACTATCCTGTCCCTATTTGTTTGACTTTGTGATCCAGTTTTCTCTGAGTAGAGCTAAGTAAGTTCACTTCACATTTTATTTAAAGAACTCTCATCATCCCTTGAAACCACTACCAATCCACCAACCCTCTGACCCCACAACTCACTAAGGGGAGGATGGGAAGCTCTTAGATGCATAAAATTTGGAAAAGTGAGAAATGACAGAAAACAGACAACTGGAATCTAATAACTCTTCTCCTACAGCAGACCTGCTATCAGAATTACTGCTTGGGTGGTATAATCAACTTAATTCAATATATTCATGTCTCATATACTGAAGTGTCTTGGGGTACTAAAAATATTGTTACTGTAAAGTAAGTAGAATTTTTTTAAAAAGAATCAAAAGATATTAAAAAGCTAGAATGTAAACCCTAAAAGTACCTGAAGGCTCATTATACCTTTGTACATGTTTGAAATTTCCATAGTAAAAACCTAAAATAAAGAGACCTCATACAAAAATCTCAACTCTCATTTATGATTCAGCATCTACTTAACTTCATCTAAATTTACCTGGACTTATCTGAAAATACTTAACTGCTAGTTAATATCCCCTGCACACTCTAAATTTCAAAGGAAAGTTCTTAATGAAACACATTCATTACCAAAATTGAATAATGCTTCACTGGATCATGGGACTCAAAAACGTTATCACATAGATTTCCTTCTTTTTAAAATCCAAGCAGCAAAGTGGTTTTAGATCAGACTTCAGTTAATACAGTCCACTGTAAAATTAGTTGTTTTAATACTCTAGAATTACTTTTTTTTTTGAGACAGAGTCTCACTCTGTTGCCCAGGCTGAAGTGCAGTGGTGCAAACTCCGCTCACTGCAAGCTCCGCCACCTGGATTCACACCAGTCTCCTGCCTCAGCCTCCCGAGTAGCTGGGACTACAGGCGCCCACCACGACACCCAGCTAATTTTTTGTATTTTCAGTAGAGACAGAGTTTCATGGTGTTAGCCAGGATGGTCTTGATCTCCTGACCTCGTGATCCGCCCACCTCGGCCTCCCAAAGTGCTGGGATTACAGGCGTGAGCCACCGCGCCCAGCTACTCTAGAATTACTTTTAATAAATAAAATTATTTCATTTTCTCTAAGTTTCCAGGATTTTAAAAACTTAGAAAATGTTTCACTTATTTCTGTTTAACAGCCAAGACTAATAGTGAGGAAAGATTCAACATAAGTGTGGCATTAGGCTGGGAGTCAAATGATAAGATTCTAGTCCTGGCTCTGAACCTATTTTGCTTTGAACATGTCACTTCCACCCTTGGCATCATGGAGCTCATCCATAAAATAACTCAGACATGATCATCTCAAAGTCTCTGTCTCGTTCTGAAGTTATACAATATTATGACCTTTATAGTGAGTAAACTCCCTCAATGTGACAGGTTCCCTATTCTTACAAAAGCTACAGTCATACAGTACTGTGGATAAACCCAAACAAAATGTGCCAAGTCAGGAGTGTTGAAGCAAATGTGATGGAAGATACTGGCTTGAAATATGGGCTGAAATACACATTAAAGTATCTCAAGAGTCTTTCCTGTCTACAAAACATCAACATTATATGCTACAGCTAAAGCTCTGAAAAACTGTGAGAAACTTAACGATTCAACCAAGACAACGATCTCTGCTGACTCTTGAACATAAGGGAAAAGCTCTGAATAATAATTTGACACCCAACACCCGTAGCACCCATCCTCCCACCCTGTATTTATGTGTCAGAGAAAGATGGTACTTTTGTGGCATCCTGGAATCAAGGGTACGGAGTAGAAGGTACTGTTTGTTAAACAGTACATTCAAAAGGTTCAAATTAAGCACTGGAGAAAACTACCTTCCTACTTAATAAACTAACAGGATCCAGTTAGAAGTGTCTTTGTTGTGATGTTTGTATTGCATATATACAACAAATTCCTTAACTCTACCACCACTGAATTCACGTAACTCACATTGATGTACTGTTAATATTTCAACAGTCCCACTTTATAAAGTCCAATATTCTAATGCATAATCTAAAATAATCGAAGTGAGAATATGGACTTCAGTTACGGAATGAAGTAATTTCATAGAGGTTTATTAATTATAAAATCAACAAAAGTAAACAAGCAGCAATGCCACCCGAACTTAGTAACAAGCCGGCCATGTAGTACAAATGTGGTGTACTGAAAAACCAACTGCTTTCAAAAATAGTAACACTAAGAAGTGTAGCTTTGATACCTCTATCTTGTCGGTTAATTCATATTGTAAAAGGACTGCCAGGAGAATGACGGCTATCTAAATCAAACCACAGTGTCAATATGTTGGGAACAAGTACCCTGGCTACAAGGAAGGAAAAGGAATACAGCCCTAAAAGATGCATACAGATAAGCAAGTAAGGGGGAGGCACTCTTGTATTTAATTTACAGCTGAAAAATTCAAAGATAACACTGGTAGTAAAAACCTACAAAATGACTGTGAGTCAGAGAAAGTGCTGGGTTTTTTTGAAGAGCCTGAGACGGTGTGTATATGTAAAAAAAATTGAATGGAGGTGTAAGCCAGTATTGTGGTTTTGTGATGATTTAACCACAAATGTCTTCCCTATTTAAATATTCCAATCAGTACTGTTAGTACACGTACCTCGGAGAATTCTTTCCTCATGGCAACGAAGAAAGTCCCAGATTCTAACAGTGCCGTCATCAGAGCATGTAGCAAATTTATTATCCGTGGGTGAGAAACTGTTACATGAAGACACACAGCAGGGGAAAGAAGTCAGCATTTAACAGATAATCTGTGCTTCTCAGACAGGGAAAAATAAAAACACTGTGCTGCATTATAAACAGGAGAGGGAAGAATCCAGTGAAGAAGCCCTTAAAGTGAATGTCGTCAGCTAACATAGGCATCTCATCAAAAGAAGACTTCAACAGAGCAGTTGTTTGAGTTTTCAATCATCAGTATTCTGAGAACTTCAAGTGTGTATTATTAGTGCTAATGCTATCCATGTTCCTTCTCTATTTTCTATGATACGAGGAAATCACATGAAGCTGCCTTAAGTGGTGAAAATAAATGGATTCTATTTTTGCAGTATTCCTGCAGTCTTTTAAATCACACACGAATACTGCTCCCAAAATTATCATCAGCTTCTGCCTCAGACACTTCATGAAATAAGCTGAAACAATGTGGGCTGTCTATTAAAAGACTGATTGCTAAACATCCCTACATACAATGTTTCTCATCCATTTCAAAGGTCTGTAGAAAAGTTTCACATCTTCCTGGCAAGCTATTCCATGAATGTTGCACCTTTGAGGAAAACTTTAAAATAAGGACATTCAGACTTGTGTGTAAAGCCAAAGAATCTGCTGCAAGAAGGAGTCAGTTTTTCCCAGCAGTGAAAGATCATCAAGTTTCTCAACTAACTCTAAAAACTCCCTTGAACTTTGGAATCCTATGAAGGACCAGCTGTGTAAACTCAATGTATGGGCATGACACTAAGGCAAAATCTACAAAGCAGAAGCATGTTCATCCAACAATTTCTGTTAAGATTCTGAAAGTATGAACAAATGACTACAGTGGATGATGTTTCCATAAAGATGTCAACCTCCTCCCACACATGGGTGGCACAACCTTAAAGAATGCTGCTTAGCTTTATTCTGAGGCTGCAGCAATTCTTCAGGCTTGTATTTGGAACTTTTTCCCCCAGTTTTACTATACATACCTCACTGATGTGTAAAAATATACAACTCACTGAAAATATTTTAAACTCCACTTATTGTATACATTTGCATAAGTGATGTTATCAACAGTGAATCAGAAGAAAAGTCCTAGAGTCTTCTTGACAATGATCTGCTTACAGCTGCAAAGCTTGAAGAACCCATTCATTACTCCGTTAATGTTTGCCACATCCAGTTATCTGTGAGGGTTTTAGTCCTATACTTTCCTTTGGAAGTCGTGGCATAACCAAGCCAACCAGGTCTTCACTTAAGCCTTTTTCCACTTTGTGTGAATTCTGAAGTTGTTTTCTGTAGGCTTTAGATTTTATTCAGTTGCATAATTAAAGACTGAATTCTTTATTTGGAATGAAATATTCTTGTCTTACACAGTAGATAATAAAAAGGAATAACGTATACACATTATTAATCATAAATGAAAAGAGAAAACCAGTGCAAAATGCGGCAGACAGTACATCTCTAACATATTGCAAAGGCTGATACCGGGACAACACTACTTCAGAAAGGTGCCAGCAAAATGGTGAATGTGTGAAAACAAAGAAAAATATTGTGTTTATAGGGTGCAGAAAGTTTCCCAGAAACTGACAGAGCCCATGCATCTCTGCACCCAGAATACACTTAGAGAATAATTTAACCATGACAATAGGGACTACAGAAAATGGTATATTGTGTATAAACCTGGCCTCTCTAATCGCCTCCTTATGTGCCTGGAACATCTTGACGTTGTTCATGTTCGACTGCCAATATTTCACATATCCTCCGTGGTCTGCTGTCAACATCCACATGTCATTATGTGACCACGTCATGGCCCTCACTGGGCTGTCGTGAGCCTGTGAAAGCAGAAAACATTAATTAGTAAGGTGCTGCTTCAAAGAATATATGACTAAAGGCTTACAAGAGCATATAACTGACTCGAGGTAATAATTCGTCCCAATTCTAAGTTTAACAATGCCAATGAAATGACTATATCTCAAGTTCTTTACAGTACCACAGGATGATGATACCATCTGGTGATTATCATTACCTGTAATATTGTTTCAAAATTGAAAGTGAGTCCATTCCACAGGGTAAACTCCCCACTAGAAGCTCCAGTGACCAAGCGTCTTCCTTCTGGAGTCCACTAAGGGAGAAAAAAAGACAGGTTATACATCCTCCAACTTCACTAATTTTGAAAAACATATTAAAGGTATTTGTAAAACATGCAATAACTGACATTAAATAATGATACTGACTTTCACTTAAATGTAGCTCAGCTTTATCAGAAGTACTTTGTCAGAAAACAACTTAACACTGTGCAAGGAAAGCTCTAGTCCTTTGGTTTATTAGCTAAATTAAAGACAGTAAGTACATTATGAGTATACGCACCTACTCACTAAATTACACACACGTATGCATGCTAAAGACCATTTCAAAACAGAATATGCAAAGACCTCATTTCCCTAGGCTATACGATAGACTAACATAAATAAGGTGATCAGTCACCAGAACAACTCAAAGACTGAATAAAGGATATGGTGCTTACAAGTAAGAGAGGACAAATTCAGAAAGAAAAGTTACCAGTGTTTAATTAAAAAAACAAGATAATAATAAGTACCGATTTAAGGACACTGAGGCTTTCAAACTCTTCCTGCAGCTAAACATATTTAAAAAAAAAAAAAAAAGTAAGCTCTCCTCCATTCAAAGTACCAAGCAGTGATAACTCTTACGCTGATCTACTCTCAAAAAAAACCATAATAGTGCCATGACTAATTAACACTACACCAAAAGTTTTAATTCTAATGGATACACATAGATGTATATATTTTCAGGGAATGACTATGCCAATAACTTTTTTTGCACTTTTAAGTGCACCTTTTCTCTTTTTAAATTAAACCTAAAGTCCTTTATTACTTTTTGCACTTAAGGCCCTTTAAATATTTTTACATCAGTATTTTGATGTCACAATTTGCATACTAAAGGAAATCTGTGGCATATGTGCTGGTTAATTTGAAACATTCAAATTTTTTGTTTTTACTTTTTATTTTCAAGTTTCTATGATGGATCACACACTCATTTTCCTTAAAAGATGTAAATATACAAAATGGCAATACAACAATCCTATTTTCCAAAAACTCCGACAAAGTTGAAAAATACAAATACATATGTGCTTATAGAAACAGTAAGGATATATAAAATGAAGGTTATTTCTTAAATTACACAAATATATATGACAATTTGGCTTTTCATTGCTTACCTGTAAGTCACAGTTTTGATTATCAGATTAAAAGCCTCCCCTCTTTCTAGTTTCTGTTATCTGGTATGGATCCTAACCCGGTCAATACTACAGACAACCAAACTGTAGACACAGAGCCCACAGTCTTTATACCTTAATACCTTTTGATTTTGACTGTGCCTCTACTATGTGCAAATTCTTCCTCAAACCTTATAGCGTAATCCCCAAATGAGAACATTTACCCACCTTATAAGATATGGATGCTCGGATTTTATTCTTTTCAAAAAGGTTTTCCATGCTATGCTAAGAGGATATTAAAATTAGCTGCACATCATACCCCTTTAACCAAATTCCCTGATTAAAAAAAAAATTAGACTACACACTGGTTGCTTCTACTCACATAACAATGTTTCTTTTTTTTTTTTGAAACAGAGTTTCGATCTTGTCGCCCAGGCTAGAGTGCAGTGGCACAATCTAGGCTCACTGCAACCTCCACCTCCCAGGTTCAAGTGATTCCCCTGTCTCAGCCTCCTCTCTCAGGCACGTGCCACCACACCCGGCTAATTTTTGTATTTTTAGTAAACACGAGGTTTCATCATATTGGTCAGGCTGGTCTCAAACTCCCGACCGCAGGTGATCCACCCACTTCAGCCTCTCAAAGTGCTGGGATTACAGGTGTGAGTGATGTGTCTACTGCCTAAGGCCTCTCAGGCAAATAAGAGGCCTAAGACTAAATGCAGCTATTTCTATGGAGTTCAGACTGACATCTCTCTCCCAGGACTTCTTGGTTCTCCCTGCTCTCTATCATACTCCTCTGATATCAGAAGATCTGCTTATTTTCCTCATCTGCCACTAATGTTTGACACAATCGTCTTTTCTCGGTCTCATTTTTTTTCAACTGTTATTTGCTCAACTTAAGACTGTTAACCAACAAGTGCATTAGCTAGGAAATGGAATAATCGAAACACAAAGAAGAAAATGATTACATTATCATCTATGAAAATCGGGGTTATAACTAAAAATTATATTTTTTAAATTTAGTTTCAGTTTTAAAATTAGTTTCAGTTTAAGGCCGGGCACGGTGGCTCATGCCTGTAATCCCAGCACTTTGGGAGGCTGAGGTGGGCAGATCACGAGGTCAAGAGATTGAGACTATCCTGGCTAACACGGTGAAACCCCGTCTCTACTAAAAATACAAAAAAAAGTAGCCGGGCATGGTGGCAGGCGCCTGTAGTCCCAGCTACTAGGGAGGCTGAGGCAGGAGAATGGCGTGAACCCGGGGGGCGGAGCTTGCAGTGAGCCGAGATCACGCCACTGCACTCCAGCCTGGGTGACCGAGTGAGACTCTGTCTAAAAAAAATAAAAAAATAAAATAAAATTTCAGTTTAAATGTATTAAGTGCCTACTAGGTACCTTCATAGAGCTAAAAATTACGGTACACCACAGTTCTTCAGCTCTCAGATGTTTTCCTGTCTGTTAACTCCTAAGTATTTTTCATTTACCTTGGGATGCTGCTTTCTAAATAGTTAATAAAAGCATTCCTACTCAAACGCAACTCTGAGACCTGCTACAACATGTATCCATCTATTCAGAGAGAATTCTACAGAAATTGCCACATGAAGAAAAACAATCCAAAAGTGGTATCTCACTCAATGGTGATAAAGTAGATAAACAACTGGATATTCCAAAATAAAATTACTAGCAATAAACCAATTATAAGCCCAGATATACTTTTAAAATAATGTTTAATTTTCTTTGCCCTGTCAAATACATTTGCTATATAACGCAGGATTAATTTTCCCCCAAAATATCCAACAGATTACTTACCCTAACAACAAATACAGGACACTTTACTTTATTTGTTGATGTCCGAACAAATTTTGTTGTTACTGCATTCATAGGATTATTCAACATTCCTATAGGTGGGACCAGCTACAAAAAAGGAAAATTGGGTTCTTAGAGCTCCTGATTACATACAAGGCAGAAACCAGAAACACGGCAAGGTAATTATTTCAACATTTAAAGACAAATTTGGGACCATATAGAACTTTCCCATAAAAACTATTATAAAGTATTACAATTAGTCTATTAATTAAGTGAAGAAAAGTGAGATACAGGAAAGTTAAATACCCATTATTACTAAACAAACAAGAAAATCAAGTACCAGTACTAACCCAGTACAAGTTAGTACAAGTACTAACCCAGTTAGTACTTAAAGTCAACATATTTAAACATGTCCACATAAAGCTAATTAAGTTCAAATTTAAGTTTTAAGAAATTTAAAATTAACTTTCCAATTACAAGACTTTAGATTACTCAACTTCTTTTTGGACACTGCTTTAAGCCCCAAATCAAAAATTCACCCATCATTAGATTAAAAGGAAAATCTAAATTGAGACAAACACATAATCCATGGCTTACACAGATGTGTTATATTATCCCTTTGGGAATATTTTAATTATAAAAATGTAAAAAGAAAAGACCATTTTGGACTTGAAGTCACACAGTGAAGGCTAAAATATTCAAGCAAGGAAGTGTTTATTAAGCTAGTATGACACATCATGTACTTACATCATTGTAATAACCTGCATCAGGCTGAATTGCCCGCATATCTCTCTGGTCTCTTTGCCATATTCTGTTCTGTTAAATAAATAAATAAATAAATAAATAAATAAATAGATCAATTAATGACTATATGGTCTGATTATACTCAATTTGAAATTAACAAAATGTAAGCTATATTAAAAATGGATAAACAGAATTAAAAAATATTATTTTCTAAAACAAATAGTGGGTGCCTTAGAGAGCTTTCCCTTCTGATCCTACTAACATTGCTTAGAACTTCCCTCCTCGAGGTGCCTCATGCCTGTAATCCTAGCACTTTGTGAGGGCGAGGCAGGCAGATCACCTGAGGTCAGGAGTTTAAGACCAGCCTGGCCAACATGGTGAAACCCTGTCTCTACTAAAACTACAAGCCAGAAATCACTTGAACCAGGGAGGCGGAGGTTGCAGTGAGCTGAGATGGTGCCACTGCACTCCAGCCTGCGCAACAGAGCGAGATTCCATCTCAAAAAAACAAACAAACAAAAAAAAAACCTTCCCTCCTCATGTTATCATATTAGTCCCCACCCACTCATCCAAGATACTGTCGACTCCAACACAGTCTCCCTGATGCTACCTTAAGAAAAGGAAACAGCAGAGAGGGTAGAAAGACATCCCCAATTCCTTCAAAGCCCTCAGCACAAAACAATTCCTCATATCTTGCCCTTGGTCTTAATTCCTCTCAAACTCTCTCCTAGCCTACTTTCCCAATTGAAATTCCCAGAAAAATCAAAATCTGTCTTTATCTCTGAATCTCTTTCTCCTGTATGCCTGCAACATATTAACTAGGCCCAATATGCAAATAGGTCTTTAACCACAGATCTAAGGTAATGAAAAACAGACAAATTTTCATAGGAGGCCAGACCTAAACCCAATGAACCTAATAGGTAATATTAGTAATAAGGCTAATTCCTACATTAACACAAGTAAATAAAGAACTCTAACGGGAAACTGCAGGTAGACCCCTGCCTTGCCTTTACTTACTATCTAAGTTGCTTTTACCCTGTAGGACTGCAGTAGGCGTTCAATCCTCAAGAACGTAAAGCCCTTTTCCTGACTCTAAGAAATACCTACCACCAGGGCTTGGAAGTGGGAGAATCCATGTTCTCCAAGCCAGTGTCTCACAAAAATATTCCTATGTTGGTAGTCTTTTATGATTTCATATACACTGCAGGTTTAACAAGTGTTTTAAGACTGGCCTAGCGATTAAAGTACTCCCTTCTAATTTGTGAACTTTTAGAGCAAATCCTATTTCTAAAATGGAGTCTAACTTTAATAATTTTTTAGAAGATGATACAGGCACAGAATTTTATAAAGTATTAGTGGTTTGAGGTTCTTCCTAAATTAGCCAATTTGAAATTCCACCGTGTCCCACTAATTCAACTAACACAGGTATACATACTTACTACACTACATCTAGAAAATCATCTTCTTTTAAATAACCAGGCCGGGCGCAGTGGCTCATGCCTGTAATCCCAGCACTTTGGGAGACTGAGGCAGGTGGATCACCTGAGGTTAGGAGTTTGAGACCAGCCTGGCCAACATGGTTGAAATTACGTCTCTACTAAAACTACAAAAATTAGCCGGGCATGGTAGCAGGTGCCTATAATCCCAGCTACTTGGGAAGCTGAGGCAGGAGAATCACTTGAACCCGGGAGGCAGAGGTTGCAGTGAGCCAAAACCACACCACTGCACTCTGGCCTGGGCAACAAGAAAGAAACTCCATCTCAAAATAAATAAATAAATAAATAAATAAATAAATAAATAAATAAATAACCAAAGTTTGGTCATCTGAAGCACATAAATCAGGCTTACCTCCAAATACTTAATTACAGATGGATTGTAGTCTATGGTTTTTCGGTTCACAGCTTTTCTCATTCGTTTTCCATCAAAAGTAAGCTGTTGCATTGCTTGCTGTTGTGCAAAATCAGGTCGCTTATAAAACAGCTGTCGAGGTGCCTGGTGCTGGAACCTTGGCATATGGAAAAAACGAGGAGGAGAACCAATTTCTGTAGCCATGGTGATGTTTTCCTTCTAGGATACTAGGATAAGGAAAAAGTACTTTCACTACAAATATCAGCACTGCAACACTGCCTGAAAACATTTTTAAATGAACACTTTTTACATTTCTTTTCCCTTATCTAACGTGCATCATTTCCACTTACACAATGAACTACAGTCATGAGTCACTTAACAACGGGCGTATGTTCTCAGAGATGCATCCTTAGGCAATTTCATCACTGTACAAACTTCACAGAGTTGTACTTACACAAACCTAGATGGTATATACAGCCTACTACACACGTAGGCTACACGGTACAGCCTAATGCTCTTAGGTTACAAACCTGCACAGCATGTTACTTTACTGAATGCTGGTGGCAACCGTAACACAATAAGTATTCATGTGTCTAAACATAGAAAAAGACACCATAGAAAAGTATGATAAAAATACTATATTATAATCTTATGAGACCACCATCATATATGTGGTCCAGCATTGACCACAATGTCATTTTGTGGTGCATGACTATATTAGATCAATGACAGAGACCAGTTACACATCTGAAAAAGACTACGGTCAAGGCGGAAGGATCGCTTGAGGCCAGGAGTTTAAGATCAGGCTGGGGAACATAGTGAGATTCCCATCTCTACAAAAAATAAAAACACTAGCTGGACATGATGGCATGCACCTGTAGTCCTAGCTATTTGGGAGGCTGAGACAGGAGAATCACTTGAGTCCAGAATTTTGAGGTTGCACTGAGCCATGATCATGCCACCGCACTCCAGCCTGAGTGACAGGGAGAGACCCTGTTGGAAAGAAGGAAGGAGGGAGGGAGGGAGGGAGGGGGCAGGGGAAGACTAATTCACAGAATAAGTGCTAAGAGGCATTTGATGTAAAATTCAGCCTCGTGAAGAAAAAAAGCACAATTCATAACAGCTTGAGGCAGGGTGTGTATGTGTGAGTCAGTGGATGGGTACGTGTTTATGCTTAGGGAATAAAAGAAGGTAGGATCACTGGGAATTGTTCACTTTTTCTTTTTTTTCTCCTAGAGATAATATCTAACTGTGTTGCCCAGTCTGGTCTCAGACTCTTGGGCTCAAGAGATCCTCACACTTTGGCCTCCTAAAGTGCTGGGATTACAGGCATGAGCCACCAAGCCTGGCCTTACATTTTTAAAATTAAAATTTCACAGCTGGGCGCAGTGGCTCATGCCTGTAATCCCAGCACTTTGGGAGGCCGAGATGGGCGGATCACCGGAGGTCAGGAGTTCAAGACCAGCCTGGCCAACATGGTGAAACCCCGTCTCTACTAAAAATACAAAAAAATTAGCTGGGCGTGGTGGCAGTCTCCTGTAATCCCAGCTACTCAGGAGGCTGAGGCAGGAGAATCGTTTGAACCCGGGAGGGAGAGGTTGCAGTGGGCCAAAATCACCTCACTGCACTCCAGCCTGGGCGACAAGGCAAGACTGTCTTAAAAAAAAAAATTCCACTTAGATGTTTGATTATAAAACTAATTATTTTCATGTTTATTAAGACTCCATTTTATACAAGTCATTAAATGCTCTTTAAAATTTGACTTTTGTTCTTTTAAATTTCCCAGGACTAGTGTAGAAAGAGGAATAAACTACCTTATTTCATATCTATAATGAACAAAAAAAGTACGTATGCCCAAATTTCAGGAGCAAAGTACCACAGAAACTTATTTCTCAGTATGTGTTATTTACATATTTACAAAGGTAACATTAAGTTTATATCTGAAGAGGAAAATGTTAAGACCTTATAGTTTTTCAGCTTCAATGCTCTACATTTAAACTTACATGCCAATAATACAAATATGCATGATTTTAAAATAAATTTTAAGCACATTTTAAAAATCAGGCCAGGCATGGTGGCTCACATCTGTTATCCCAGCACTTTGGGGGGCCAAGCAGGAGGACTGCACTTGAGGCCAAAAGTTCAACACCAGCCTGTGCACATAGTGAGACTCCATCTCTACAAAAAAAAAAAAAAAAAATTGTTTTAATTAGCCCAGTGTGCTGGTGCGCACCTGTAGTCCCAACTACTCAGGAGACTGAGGTGGGAGGATCACTTGAGCCTGGGAAGTCAAAGATGCAGTGAACCATGATAGCACCACTGCACTCCAACCTGGGTGACAGAACAAGACCCTGTCTCCAAAAATAAAATAAAAGAATAAAATTAAAAACTATTACAAATACAATAAAGGAGAGAAGTTACAAACATTTCCACAATTGCTTTTGTTTCAAAACCAGAAAAGATTGTGGCCACCATTATTTGTCTGTATTCTTAAAACTGCCTTATCTCACTCTCTAGACACTAAATAATGAGCCTGAAAAAATTTATGATTTCCTTTTGATGAAATATTCTTGGTAGTACTTCATTCAGCCTTGTCACGTTGGTCCCTCCTAAGACCATTAAATTTGAATAATAATAACAACAAGGAGGAGGAGGGGTGGAGGGAAAAGAAATCCTGACTTTCGCACACCAAAAATAAATAGTGCAATAAAATATGCATTTAACCTGTGTTATTTCCACCACTCTGAAGCAATCCCAGAAGGTCCTTGGCAAACATTAACTTGAAATAAGATGAAAAATATTCTATGTCTTAGAGCTGTGTGTGAATTAAACGGCAGAAAAGAACTAAGCAGTTGATTCAATAAGGCTGGTGGAAGACTGTTTACTCAGTTATTCCATGAATCCAATTAAGTTTCAGCACCCCAATTTCAATTACCAGCTTCAATTCAGATGTCTGGGCCAGTAATTCTAAAATAAAGCAGTTCTGGTAAGCATTTTTTTATTTGAGATGGGGTCTCGCTCTGTTGCCCAGGCTGGAGTGCAGTGGTGCGATCTCGGCTCACTGCAATCTCTGCCTCCCACGCTTAAGCAACCCTCCCACCTCAGCCTCCTGAGTAGCTGGGACCATTAGGTGCATGCCACCATGCCCAGGTAATTTTTTTTGTATTTTAGTAGGCTGGTCTTGAACTCCTGAGCCCAAGCAGTCCACCTGCTTGAGTCTCCAAAAGTGCTGGGATTACAGGCATGAGCCACCACGCCCAGCCCAAAAGCCTTTTTTTTTTTTTTTTTTTTTAAGACAGAGTCTCACTCTGTTGCCCTGGCTAGAGTGCAGTGGCATGATCTTGGCTCACTGCAACCTCTGCCTCCCGGGTTCAAGCAATTCTGCTGCCTCAGCCTCCCGAGTAGGTGGGATTACAGGCATCTGCCACCATGCCTGGCTAATTTTTGTATTTTCAGTAAAGACAGGGTTTCACCATGTTGGCCAGGCTGGTCTCAAACTTCTGGCCTCGGATGATCCGCCCGCCTCAGTTTCCCAAAGTGCTGGGATTACAGGCATGAGTCACAGATCCTGGCCCAAAAGCATATTTTAAAATTATGACTTCCAAATCAAATACCTAATTATATTAGAATAAAATTATTCTAACAGTATAGTTTCTATTACTATAAAATGAGAATAGATTTTTTCACAAGTCAAAAGGGATTTAAATATTCAGCTGCAAAAAAGAAATTAAGTTGATATAAATACAACATGAATATCAAAACCATTATGCTGCCAGGCGCGGCGGCTCACGCCTGTAATCCCAGCACTTTGGGAGGCCCAGGCTGGCGGATCACAAGGTCAGGAGATCGAGACCATCCCGGCTAACATGGTGAAACCCCGTCTCTACTAAAAATACAAAAAAATTAGCCAGGCGTGGTGGCGGGCGCCTGTAGTCCCGGCTACTCGGGAGGCTGAGGCAGGAGAATGGCGTGAACCCGGGAGGCGGAGCTTGCAGTGAGCAGAGATTCCGCCACTGCACTCCAGCCTGGGCGACAGAGTGAGACTCCGTCTCAAAAAAAAAGAAAAAAAAAAATTATGCTAAGTGAAAGAAGTCAGCCACAAAAAGTCACATATTGTGTGATTATGTTTATATGAAAAATCCAGAACATGCTAATATACAGCGACAAAAAGCTAAAAGATTAGTGTTTGCCACGGGCTGGGGAATGAGAGGAATGGAGAATGACTGCTTAATTAAAATAGAATTTCCTTTTGGGATGATGAAAATGTCTTGCAACCTGACAGAGATGGTGGCTGCAAAAAACTGAATTTACCAAATCCCACTGAATTATACACTTTAAAATGGCTACAACAGTGAATTCTCTGTTATGCGACTTTTATCTCAATTAAAGAATAATGGGCTTAATCTATTAAAAAAAAAAATTTTTTTTTGAGACGGAGTCTCACTGTATTGCCCAGGCAGGAGTGCAGTGGCGTGATCCCAGCTCACTGTAACCTCCGCCTCCCAGGTTCAAGCAATTCTCCTACCTCTGCCTCCCAAGTAGCTGGGACTATAAGTGCACTCCACCACTTCCAGCTAATTTTTGTCTTTTTAATAGAGCCGGGGTTTTGCCATGTTGGTCAGGCTAGTCTCAAACTCCTGACCTCAGGTGATCCACCGGCCTTGGCCTCCCAAGGTGCTGGGATTACAGGCGTGAGCCATCGTGCCTGGCCCACTGCAAAAAAATTTTTAAGGGACAGCAGATGAAACAACAAAAAGTTGATGACTGTTGAAGCTGGGTGGAGAGTACCTGGATACAAAGCACTAATCAAAAGACACATCAAGGATATTTACTCTACAAATATGAGGAAAATGACTGAAGTCAAATGCAAAAAAAGTATTGTTACTTACACTCTTTGGAATAATTCACACGTTAAAGCTACAGAAAAATATCAATCCTTCATTTAAGACCTCATAGAGGATGGGGAAATAATCTTTCCATTTACAAATTTGTTCAGTAAAACGGGTTCTGAAAAGGGGCTTTTAACTTTTCCTTGAATGATCAAGTACCAATGGTGTTTCAGAAATAAAGGTCAAGAATGAAGAAAACGAGAAAAAAAAAAGTACAATTATATCTGAAACAAACATCCAGCCTAAAATAAAATTAAAACAAAAAATCTCTTCACAATACAGTGACCAGGCTCCATCTATACCTTATACACTTCAGCTTCACATCCTGCAAACTATAAAGTTACTTGGCCAAAATCACAACAGTCTTGGCCGCTGTTAGGGGCTGAAATGTGTCCCCTCAAAAATTCACAAATGTAAGTCCTAACCTCCAGTACCTCACAATGTGATTCTATTTAGATTTAGGGCCCTAATCCAATCTAACTGGTATCCTTTTAAATGAAGATTAGGACACAGACAACACAGACAAAAGAATGACCATGTGAGGACAGAGAGAGAAGACAGCCATCTAGAAGCCAAGAGGAGAGGCTCTCCAGGAACCAGCCCTGCTCACATCCTGATCTCAGACTTTCAGCCTCCAGAACTGAGAAGATACATTTCTACTGTTTAATCCACCCCCGCACCCAGTCTATGGTATTTTGTTATGGCAGCCCTAGCTAAGAGAGTGGCAGTCAAGGCAAAATACCTCCTGACTCTCCTTCAACAGAGGTTGACAGAAACATTGAGCAATCACAACTGTAATCCTAGCACTTTGGGAGGCCGATACAGGTGGACTGCTTGAGCCCAGGAGTTCAAGACCACCCAGTAAGACCCTGTTTCTACAAAAAACACAAAAATTAGCCGGGCCTGGTGGTGCACACCTATAGTCCCAGCTACTCAGGAGGCTGAGATGGCAGCCTGGGAGGTCAAGGCTGCAGTGAACCAATGTTGCACCACTGCACTCCAGCCTGGGTGTCACAGTGAGACCCCATCTCAAAAAAAGAAAAAATATTTGAGCAAAAATGATACAATAGCTTTCTCTGAGAGCAGAAAACTTGACATGTGAGGCTGAAAAGTTATTGACCACGACAGAAAGAACCAATCCTCAAACAAGTCATTACAACTATCCTCTACGCTTTACTTGGGATTATACTCCAAAGATCTAGATTTATGACCAAACACAGAGAAAGCAGAGCTTTGTCCTTTATAAAGGTAATTAATGTGATTTGTACTCACTGCAGTATTGACTTGAGGTATGCTAACAGAACAACACAATTTAAAGTACTTAGTCCCCAAAACATACTCATCTTACATCCAGGGTGGAGAGGGAGGAGAGACAAAGAGTTTGGGAAAGGAGGGTGCAAGAGAGAGGAACTGAGGTAGAGAAAAGACAAATAATTTGCCTATTGTTGAATTCAGTATACACTAACAATACAACCAAATTGCTAAGGACAAGAATCTGTGTGAAACACTGAATTCATCATGCCTTTCTCCTATACATAAACCTTCAATGTTTCAAGCAATCAGCACAGTTTTATCAAGAGCCTACTTTACATGCATACACTGCCTCAGGTACAGCGCACAATTCTGATTCACTAAATATCACTCCTAATTTCGCAGAACAGTAGTTTTCAGACTTTGTGGTGCCTGGCCCCCTCTCTATTTTTAGCATATATAAAGATCCTGAGTACACAAAAGTTTGCATCGCATCCTTAGCCTTAGGCTTTCAACTGCTCAAGAAAACCAGGAAGGCCAGTCAATTTCTCCATTATTTTCTCAACCTGTAAAATGAGTTCCATGCCTCAAAAATATTATTTTGCATTAAATTTGTATCTTTCAACAATGTGGTGACTATACTATTGAACAGAATGGAACACTCAGACTTAGTGTGTCAATGTTTGTATGCACAAGTCTATACCAACGTTATAATTCTGCTTTTTTGAGACAGGGTCTTGCTGTGTTGCTCAGGATGGAATACAGTGGCACTACCACAGCTCACTGCAGCTCAAGTGATTCTCCTGTCTCAGCCTCCCAAGTATGTGGGACTACACATGTGTGCCACCTGGGCTCAGCTAATTTTTTTCATTTTTTGTAGAGACAGATCTTGCTTTGTTGCCCAGGCTGGTCCAGAACTCCTGAGCTCAAGCGATCCTCCCACCTCAGCCTCTCAAAGTGGTGGGATTATAGGCATAAGCCACTGCACCTGGTCAATTCTGCTTCTTGTCCCAAATGCTCACAAGATAACTTCTTGTATAATCTTAGTCATGTGATGATACTGAAATTATAGCTGAAGATAAAAGTTAAAAATGAGCCGGGTGTGGTGGCTCATGCTTGTAATCCCAAAACTTTGAGAGGCCAAGGCAGGAGGATCTCTTGAGGCCAGGAGTTGGAGACAAGCCTAGGCAGAATAGCAAGACCCCCATCTCTGCAAAAAAATTTTAAAAAATTATTGGCTGGGTGCAGTGGCTCACGCCTGTAATCCCAGCACTTTGGGAGGCCGAGGTGGGTGGGATCACCTGAGGTCAGGAGTTCGAGACCAGCCTGGCCAACATGGCAAAACCCCATCTCTACTAAAAATACAAAAATTAGCTGGGCGTGGTGGCTGACGCCTGTAATCCCAGCTACTCAGGGGACTGAGGCAGGAGAATCGCTTGACCCCAAGAAGCAAAGACTGCAATGAGCCAAGATCATGCCACTGAACTCTAGCCTGGGCAACAGAGCAAGACTCCATCTCAAGAAAAAAAAAAAAAAGAAAAAAGAAACAAACAAAAACAAAAAAACTGATGAGCCCTGACTACCTGCCAGACAATGAACACACACACACACACACATTCTGTTCTCAAGAGTCTGACCGTTTCTCAGTACAGAAGAGCTCAAAAGAACAATGTGAGAAGTTACTACTACACTGAGACACTACTACGCTGTGTGAGAGGCACTATTACAAGGGATATAGCACAGGAAACTTACAGCACCAATCAGCCTTAAGAAGCTTAAATTCTGAGTAAAGTGAGGGAGGCAAGGGCAGGGGGTGTCAGGGGAGAGACACTTGAGAAAAAAAAGTAAATAAAGCTCTCTAATTCACTCAGCATACCAAGGCCAGCATAATTTTTCCCCAACCAAACATAATTCAAAATAATCTTTCACCAACCAAATTTCTGACTACCATTTGAATTATTTTACCATAATAGATCTCCAACTAAAACACATAGGAAAATGACCTAGCTAGCACTCAACTAATTCCTCAGCTTCAATACAAAATGAATTTACTGAATGCTTCATACAAATGAGTAAAAAGAGTTTTAAACTAAGATTCCTGGGGGTAGAGCGAGGCTCTGGCATCAAAAAAATGCTGACATGAAATATCATGAATGAGCCTAAAGCGGTGCTTTTTCTTTAAACCAGAAATCACATCCCATTGATGGTTCCTGAAATCAATGTGGCTGACAAGCAGCATTATTTTAATAATTAAAAAAAAAAAAAATAGGGCCAGGGTGGTGGCTCATGCCTGTAATCCTAGCACTTTGGGAGGCCAAGGCAGATGGATCACTTGAGGTCAGGAGTTCGAGACGAGCCTGGCTAATATGGTGAAACCCCATCTCTACTACATACAAAAATTAGCTAGGTGTGGTGGCGCACACCTGTAGTCCCAGCTACTTGGGAGGCTGGGGCAGGAGAATAGCTTGAAACTCAGAGGCAGAGGTTGCAGGGAGCCAAGATCACGACACTGCACTCTAGCCTGGGCAACAGGGCGAGACTCCGTTTCAAAAAAAAAGTTAAAAAAAATAGAACATATGATAGAACTGCGCATTTGAAAGAACTGTTTTTGTGCAACTACTGTTTCTATTGTGTTTGTGTGTATGCATACAGGGTCACAATATTTACAAAGTATTTTCTTCCTAGGAATCTGTCAATTGAAAGCCAAGGGCTTGCTGTTAGTAACACTGTGAGGTATTCCCTTCCTGTGTATTTTCTGTTTATTATCACCTAATGTCTGCTGCCACTGCATATCCATAGCCAAAGAAGATCACATATAGCATCTGTCCAGTATGAATACTGTGGCTGATCACAGTAGCTATGGTACCAGAATTTGATCCAATTATCAAATCCAACAATTCCTACCATGTCAGCCACTAATCAGAGCTTCCAATCAGAACAAGAAAGCTTGTTTTCCCAAACTGAGATAACAGAATTCTAACCAAAAGCAAATTATTGATGCATTAACTAGCTAGCAATTCATATAGGACTTTTAAAAATAATAAAAAGGTTTTTTTGATTTTTTTTTTTTTTTTGAGACGGAGTCTCGCTCTGTCGCCCAGGCTAGAGTGCAGTGGTGCGATCTCGGCTCACTGCAAGCTCCGCCTCCCGGGTTCACGCCATTCTCCTGCCTCAGCCTCTCGAGTAGCTGGGAATACAGGCCCCCGCCACCACGCCCAGCTAATTTTTTGTACTTTTAGTAGAGACGGGGTTTCACCGTGTTAGCCAGGATGGTCTCGATCTCCTGACCTCGTGATCCGCCCACCTCGGCCTCCCAAAGTGTAAAAATAATAAAAAGTTTTAAGATTCCCACCTCCATTAACACTCCTGACCCCAGGGTCAAAACCTCAGCCTGGAAACCTGTTTTAGATTATTTATGTATAGTCCACTAGGTTCTAAGATAATCAATCTACTCTAAAAGAAATTTGATACCCAATCTGTCATTGAACTTTGAGGGGATCTTCATGAGCGGCAGGCTAGACCAGTAACAAAATGATCAACATGCTCTTTCTCTTCATTGTCCAACTTTAATTAATATGAATCCTGAAAAATCAGGAGAAATTACATGGAGACCATTCAATCTGTTAAAGAATAATCAATGAAGCTGTTTAAATAAGTAGGTTTTGGCCAGGCACAGAGGCTCATGACTGTAACCCCAGCATTTTGGGTGGCCAAGGTGGGAGGATCACTTGAGGCCAGGATTTGGAGACCAGCCAACACAGTGAGACCCTCCTCCTTCAAAAGTAAACTTTCACCTCCAGTCCCGTCTACTCAAAAGGCTGAAGCAGGAGGATCCCTTGAGCCCAGGAGTTTGAGACTGCAGTGAGCCATGATCACACCACTGCACTCCAGCCTGGGCAGCAGAATGAGACCCTATCTCAAAATAATTAATTTATTAATAGCTTTTTATTTTTTACTTTTTGAGAGACAGTCTCACTCTGTTACCCAGGCTGGAGTGCAGTGGCACCATCTCAGCTCACTACAACCTTCATCTCACAGGTTCAAGCAATTCTCCCACCTCAGCCTCCCAAGTAGCTGGGACTACAAGCGTGCCCCACCACACCCGGCTAATTTTTTTCGTATCTCTAATAGAGACGGGATTTCACCATGTTGGCCAGGCTGGTCTCAAACTCCTGACCTCAAGTGATCCACCTGCCGCAGCCTCCCGAAGTGCTGGGATTATAGGTGTGAGCCACCATGCCCGGCCCAATTAATAGCTTTTTAAAGTTCGAGATTCTATTATCTTGACTGTGGTAATAGACACATGAACATATCCAAGAGATTGCATATTGTACGCTTCATTTATATGACATTCTTAAAATGCCAAAACAATAGAAATGACTGCCAAGAGTTAGGGGGGTAGGAGAGGGTGGATGGGTGTGGTTATAAAAAAGGTAACTCTTGTAGTGATAAACTGTTAATATCTTGATTATGGTGGCGAACACAGGAACATAAACATATAGTAAGATTGCAGAAAACTATAGATACACACAAATAAGTACAGTAAAACTGGAGGAAATCTAAATAAGATCTGCAGACCATATCACTATCAATGCTCTGCTTGTGACAATGTACTACAGTTTTACAATTTGTTATCATTGGGAGAAACTGGGTAACATAAATAGAATCTCTGTATTAAGGATCTCTCTGTATTATTTCTTAAAAATGCATGTGAATCTACAATTATCTCAATAAAAATTTCTACCTTAAAAGTTAACATGAGCAATTCACTAGCTGGTTAAAAAAAAAATCCATGCTGAGGCCGGGTGCAGTGGCTCATGCCTATAATCCTAGCACTTCCGGAGGCCGAGGTAGGCAGATCACCTGAGGTCGGGAGTTTGAGACTAGCCTGAGCAACATGGAGAAACCCCGTCTCTACTAAAAATACAAAATTAACCAGGCGTGGTGGCACACGCCTGTAATCTCAGCTACTCGGGAGGCTGAGGCAGGAGAATTGCCTGAACCCGGGAGGTGGAGGTTGCGGTGAGCCAAGATTGCGCCATTGCACTCCAGCCTGGGCAAGAAGAGCGAAACTCTTTTTCTAAAAAAAAAAAAAAAAAAAAAAATCCATGCTGAGAACACACATATGGAATATTCAAAGTCAAGTGTTTTACAACTGCTGCTACAAATTTGTGGATCACTAAACTTGACATTAAAAATCAATTTTCAGCCGGGCGCAGTGGCTCATGCCTGTCATCCCAGCACTTCAGGAGACCAAGGCAGGAGGGTCATTTGAGGTCAGCAATTCACGACCAGCCTGACCAACATGGTGACACCCTGTCTCTACTAAAAATACAAAAAATTAGCCAGGGAAAGTTGCGCACATCTGTAATATCAGCTACTCAAGAGGCTGAGGCAGGAGAATCGCTTGAACCTGGGAGGCAGGGGTTGCGGCGAGCCGAGATTGCACCACTGCACTCCAGCCTGGGCATGATCTCAAATTTGCAGATCAATTTTGAGAAAATTGATCTCAAAAAGAAGATCAATTTTCATTAACCAAATGTGGCAGTTTTCTAGCTTTCTAGCGTTCAGGTACGGCCTTAGTTGCATAATTTTTCATAACTTGGGGGAAGCAGCTTCCACTCTGTACAGTAGGCTCTCTGTATCTATCTGTTCTGCATCCATGGATTCAACCGAGGAAGAAAAATATTAGACGGGAATAAATGGATGGTTGCATCTGTACTAAACAATATAGTACAACAACTATTTACACAACATTCACATAGTATTAGGTATAAGCAATCTAAAGAAAATTTAAAGTATACAGCAGGAGCCAGGAGCGGTGGCTCACGCCTGCAATCCCAACACTTTGGGAGGCCGAGGCAGGTGGATCACAAGGTCAGGAGATCGAGACCATCCTGGCTAACATGGTGAAACCCCATCTCTACTAAAAATACAAAAAATTAGCCAGGTGTGGTGGCAGGCGCCTGTAGTCCCAGCTACTTGGGAGACTGAGGCGGGAGAATGGCAGGAAGCCGGCAGACAGAGCTTGCAGTGAGCCGAGATCATGCCACTGCACACCAGCCTGGGCAACAGAGTGAGACTCTGTCTCAAAAACTAATAATAATAAAATAAAGTATACAGCAGGATATGTGTATGTTATATGCAAATGCTACACCATTTTATTTAAAGGACTTGAGCATCTGTGGATTTTGGTATTGTTGGGGATTCCTAGTACTACTCCCCCATGCATACTAAGGGACTACTAAGCTATAAAATTACTGAAGTATTTTAGTGAATACTACTTTAGACATGTTTAATCCATGTTACCTGATACTGTACTGGGCATTTACATTCAGTTTTCTGTGCCATTTCAAAAGCTAACTTTAACATATGAAGCACATGACCACAAACATGGCTGTCTTCCTCATTAGAAGTAATAACTCAGTATTTCAAAAGTGTGATACTAGGATAGAGAAACCAGCACTTTTTTGTCAAGTTTTCAGTGGAGACTAATGTCAGGGGTTACTGGATGTGGTTTTCTGCCTTTCATCAGCACACAAAGCAAAAGGGTTTTCCTACCCAGGTGATTTTAAAGTGCAACAAAATTTGGGAACAACTGGATTAAGTAATTTGGACAGTCTACTTCTGAAACAGCTTCCTTACAAAAGCAAGTTCTTCAGCTATTTTATTTCAGGACTCCTTTTTTTTTTTTTTTTTTTTTTTTTGAGACAGTCTCGCTCTGGTGCCCAGGCTGGAGTACAGTGGTGTGATCTCGGCTCACTGCGACCTCCGCCTCCTAGGTTCAAGTGATTCTCCTGCCTCAGTCTCCCGAGTAGATGAGATTACAGGCGTGCACCACCACCCCCAGCTAATTTTTTGTATTTTTAGTAGAGACAAGGTTTCACCATGTTGGTCAGGCTGGTCTTGAATTGCTGACCTCAAATGACCCTCCTGCCTCGGTCTCCCAAAATGCTGGGATTACAAGAGTGAGCCACCGCACCTGGCCAGCACTTCCTTATTCTTTTAAACACTGAAGATTCCCCAAAATTTTTGTTTACTGTGGTATTGGATACTGGCCATATTAGAAATGAAAAAAAAAAAGTTTTTAAAATATTAATTCATTTTTAAATAACGATAAACTCATTACCTTTCCTTTCCCAAAAGCAATTAGTGAGAAAAGTAGCATTGTTTTTCACATTTCTGCTTATCTTTTTAGTATCTAGCTTAATTGAAAACAGCTGCTTTCTCATGTTTGCTTCTGCATTCAGTCTGCTGCAATATGTTATTTAAGTATATGAAAAATAGCCGGGCATATATGAAATATATTATGAAAAAAAATCTGGATTCACACATTTATACATCTAGAAAAGAGTATTTTCACAGCCTTCTAAGACAACTGTAGATATTCTATGATACTCTTTCCCAAAAACAAGCACTAATTTATGAAATACTAACTGCAATGTGTCATCTGAAATCATATTTTTTATTCTTTTTTTGTTTTTCGAGACAGGGTCTCACTCTGTCACCCAGGCTGGAGTGCAGTGGTGCAATCACGGCACCCTGCAGCTTGACCATGTAGGCTCAGGTCATCTTCCACCTCAGCCTCCAGAGTAGCGGGGACTACAGGTACGTGACACCTCACCTGGCCAATTTTTATATTTTGTAGAGATGGGGTTTCACCATGTTGCCCCAGCTGGTCTTGAACTCCTGGGCTCAATCTATCTACTCACCTTGACCTCCCAAAGTACAGAGACTACACGTGTGAGCCACTGTGCATAGCCTTGAAATTGTATCAACAAGCTTTTTATACTCTGTTACATTAAAATCCATTGATTTGTCCTGCAATTTGAATGGAACTTTTACTCATGCATGATTTTTATAACATCATGCACTGACCATCTGGAAAATACTGGTTCCAGAGAATTACGTATATCATCCAATTTTTATCACATTCCTTATAAAATATAACTTTCCTTAAAATAACCATTGTTCTCATCTTAAAATGTATTAATTATTGGGAACCTCAATTTCACAATGGCAGATACAAGCTTTCCAAACTTCTTATCTTGAAAGCTCAGATTTTTATCACTGACAACAAGCTTTCCAAACTTACCTTGAAAGCTCAGATTTTTATCACTGGCAACAAATACTGTTTTCCTTGAATCAACAGGTTGCCTCCATTCATTTTCAAAAAAAATATTTGTCGTGTACCCAGGTATGAATGCCATAGTTTGTCATTCTTTTAATTTTTTTTCTATGGTCTTTGTTATTTAGAGTAGTTTTAGGTTCACAGCAAAATTGAACAGAAAGTACAAAGTTCCCATACATTCTCTCTCAACACACACAGCCCTCCCCACCCCTAACATCCCACATCAGTAGGGAACATTTGTTAGAATCAATGAACCAACACTGATGCATCATTATCACCCAAAGTCCATAGTACACATACGTATGTATTAGCATACATAGGTTCACTCTTGATGTGCTTTCTCTTGAGTTGTGACAAATGTCTAATGACATGTATCCACACAGAATAGTTTCTGCTGCCCTAAAAATCCTCTGCTCTATCTATTCATCCTTCCCTCCCCCAAGCTCCTGGCTATTTACTCATCTTTTTACTGTCTCCACAGTTTTGCCCTTTCCAGAATGTCATACAGTTGGAATCATACAGTGTGGAGCATTTTGAGACTGGCTTCTTTTACTTAGCAATATGCATTTAAGGTTCCTGCATGTCTTTTCAGGTCTTGATAGCTTTTTTTTGTTTTTACTACTATTACTTTTCGTTACTCTATGGATGTACCAAACTTTGTTTACCCACTCCCCTACTGAAAGACATCTGGGTTGCCTCCAAGTTTTGGCAATTATGAACAAAACTACTATAAACATTTGTGTGCACGTTTTTGGGTAGATGTTATTTTCAACTCATGTGACTCAAGGAGCCAGGTTGCTAGATCACATGATAAGGGTATGCTTGGTTTTGTAAGAAACTGCCTAACTATATTCTAAAGTAGGTGTACCATTCTGCATTCCAACTGGCAAAGTGAGAGTTCTTGCTGCTCCGTATCGTTGACAGCATTTGGTGTGGCAGCTGTTTTGAATTTTTGCCATTCTAAAAGGTCTGTAGTATTATCTCATTTATTTTATTCTATTTTTTGAGAGAGTCTCCCTCTGTCACCTAGCCTGAAGTGCAGTAGCACAATCACAGCTCACTGCAGCTTAAACCTCCTAGGCTCAAACAATCCTCTCACCTCAGCCTCCTGAGTAGCTAAGCCCACAGGCATGTGCCACCATGAGTGGTTAAACTGTTCTTTTTTTTGTAGAGACAGGGTCTCACTGTGTTGTCCAGGCTAGTCTGGAACTCCTAGGCTCAAGCGATCCTCCTGCTTTGGCTTTCCAAAGTGCTGTGATGACAGGCATGAGCCACAGTGCCCAGCCGATACTGTTTTTCTCTTATTTCCATATCCAGATGTTCACTATTACAATATAGAAATACAATATTTTGGCAGGACACGGTGGCTCACGCCTGTATTCTCAACACTTTGGGAGGCTGAGGCAGACGGATCACTTGAGGCCAGGAGTTCAAGACCAGCTCAGTCAACATGGCAAAACTTTGTCTCTACTAAAAATACAAACATTAGCTGGGCATGGTGGTGCACACCTGTGATCCCAGCTACACAGGAGGCTACAGCATGAGAATTGCTTGAACCTGGGAAGTTGGAGATTTCAGTGAGCCAAGATTGCGTCACTGCACTCCAGCCTGGGCAAAACAGCAAGACTCTGTCTCAAAATATATATATGTATTTTTTTTAAATATGCTGTCCATATATCCTATAACCTTGATAAACTCAATTTATTCTAGAAGCTTTCTTGTAGATTCCTTGGGATTTTCTAAATAGACATATATCATCTGCAAAGAGGTACAATTTTATTTCTTCCTTTCTGTTCTTTTTTTTTTTTTTTTTTTAATTTATTTTTTTATTGATAATTCTTGGGTGTTTCTCACAGAGGGGGATTTGGCAGGGTCATGGGACAATAGTGGAGGGAAGGTCAGCAGATAAACAAGTGAACAAAGGTCTCTGGTTTTCCTAGGCAGAGGACCCTGCGGCCTTCCGCAGTGTTTGTGTCCCTGATTACTTGAGATTAGGGATTGGTGATGACTCTTAACGAGCATGCTGCCTTCAAGCATCTGTTTAACAAAGCACATCTTGCACCGCCCTTAATCCATTTAACCCTGAGTGGACACAGCACATGTTTCAGAGAGCACAGGGTTGGGGGTAAGGTCACAGATCAACAGGATCCCAAGGCAGAGGAATTTTTCTTAGTGCAGAACAAAATGAAAAGTCTCCCATGTCTACTTCTTTCTACACAGACACGGCAACCATCCGATTTCTCAATCTTTTCCCCACCTTTCCTGCCTTTCTATTCCACAAAGCCGCCACTGTCATCCTGGCCCGTTCTCAATGAGCTGTTGGGCACACCTCCCAGACGGGGTGGTGGCCGGGCAGAGGGGCTCCTCACTTCCCAGTAGGGGTGGCCGGGCAGAGGCGCCCCTCACCTCCCGGACGGGGCAGCTGGCCGGGCGGGGGGCTGACCCCCCCCACCTCCCTCCCGGACGGGGCGGCTGGCCGGTCGGGGGGCTGACACCCCCACCTCCCTCCCGGACGGGGCGGCTGGCCGGGCAGAGGGGCTCCTCACTTCCCAGTAGGGGCGGCCGGGCAGAGGCGCCCCTCACCTCCCGGACGGGGCGGCTGGCCGGGCGGAGGGCTGACCCCCCCACCTCCCTCCCGGACGGGGCGGCTGGCCGGGCGGGGGGCTGACACCCCCACCTCCCTCCCGGACGGGGCGGCTGGCCGGGCAGAGGGGCTCCTCACTTCCCAGTAGGGGCGGCCGGGCAGAGGCGCCCCTCACCTCCCGGACGGGGCGGCTGGCCGGGCGGGGGGGCTGACCCCCCCCCACCTCCCTCCCGGACGGGGCGGCTGGCCGGGCGGGGGGCTGACACCCCCACCTCCCTCCCGGACGGGGCGGCTGGCCGGGCAGAGGGGCTCCTCACTTCCCAGTAGGGGCGGCCGGGCAGAGGCGCCCCTCACCTCCCGGACGGGTTGGCTGGCCGGGCGGGGGGGCTGACACCCCCCACCTCCCTCCCGGACGGGGCGGCTGGCCGGGCGGGGGGCCGACACCCCCACCTCCCTCCCGGACGGGGCGGCTGGCCGGGCTGAGGGGCTCCTCACTTCCCAGTAGGGGCGGCCGGGCAGAGGCGCCCCTCACCTCCCAGACGGGGCGGCTGGCCGGGCGGAGGGCTGACCCCCCCACCTCCCTCCCGGACAGGGCGGCTGGCCAGGCAGGGGGCTGACCCCCCCCACCTCCCTCCCGGACAGGGCGGCCGGCCGGGCGGGGGGCTGACCCCCCCACCTCCCTCCCGGACGGGGCGGCTGGCCGGGCAGAGGGGCTCCTCACTTCCCAGTAGGGGCGGCCGGGCAGAGGCGCTCCTCACCTCCCGGACGGGGCGGCTGGCCGGGCGGAGGGCTGACCCCCCCCACCTCCCTCCCGGACGGGGCGGCTGGCCGGGCGGGGGGCTGACACCCCCACCTCCCTCCCGGACGGGGCGGCTGGCCGGGTGGGGGGGCTGACCCCCCCATCTCCCTCCCGGACGGGGTGGCTGGCCGGGCTGAGGGGCTCCTCACTTCCCAGTAGGGGCGGCCGGGCAGAGGCACCCCTCACCTCCCGGACGGGGCGGCTGGCCGGGCGGGGGGCTGACCCCCCCACCTCCCTCCCGGACGGCACGGCTGGCCAGGTGGGGGGCTGACCCCCCCACCTCCCTCCCGGATGGCACGGCTGGCCGGTCGGGGGGGCTGACCCCCCACCTCCCTCCCAGATGGGGCGGCTGGCCGGGCGGGGGGTTGACCCCCCCCCACCTCCCTCCCGGACGGGGTGGCTGCCGGGCGGAGATGCTCCTCACTTCCCAGATGGGGTGGCTGCCGGGCGGAGAGGCTCCTCACTTCTCAGACGGGGCAGCTGCCGGGCGGAGGGGCTCCTCACTTCTCAGACGGGGTGGTTGCCAGGCAGAGGGTCTCCTCACTTCTCAGACGGGGCGGCCGGGCAGAGACGCTCCTCACCTCCCAGACGGGGTCTCGGCCGGGCAGAGGCACTCCTCACATCCCAGATGGGGCGGCGGGGCAGAGGCGCTCCCCACATCTCAGACGATGGGCGGCCGGGCAGAGACGCTCCTCACTTCCTAGATGTGATGGCGGCTGGGAAGAGGCGCTCCTCACTTCCTAGATGGGATGGCGGCCGGGCGGAGACGCTCCTCACTTTCCAGACTGGGCAGCCAGGCAGAGGGGCTCCTCACATCCCAGACGATGGGCGGCCAGGCAGAGACGCTCCTCACTTCCCAGACGGGGTGGCGGCCGGGCAGAGGCTGCAATCTCGGCACTTTGGGAGGCCAAGGCAGGCGGCTGGGAGGTGTAGGTTGTAGTGAGCCGAGATCACGCCACTGCACTCCAGCCTGGGCACCATTGAGCACTGAGTGAACGAGACTCCGTCTGCAATCCCGGCACCTCGGGAGGCTGAGGTTGGCGGGATCACTCGCGGTTAGGGGCTGGAGACCGGCCCGGCCAACACAGCGAAACCCCGTCTCCACCAAAACCAGTCAGGCGTGGCGGCGCGTGCCTGCAATGGCAGGCACTCGGCAGGCTGAGGCAGGAGAATCAGGCAGGGAGGTTGCAGTGAGCCGAGATGGCAGCAGTACAGTCCAGCTTCGGCTCCGCATCTTCCTTTCTGTTCTAAAAGCCTTTTCATTTCTTTTTCTTGCCTTATTGTACTGTTCCAAACTTTAGGGAGGAGGCATTTCTCCTTTACTATTAAGTATGACATAACTACAGATTTTTTGTAGATGCCCTTTATCAGACTGAAGTAAATCCTTTCTATTACTGGTTTGCTAAAAAAAAATTTTTTTTTGAGACAGGGTCTCACTCTGTCACCCAGGCTGGAGTGCAGTGGTGTGATCTCGGCTCACTGCAGCCTCCGCCTCCCAGGCTCAAGCAATCCTTTCACCTCAGCCTCCAGAATAGCTCGGACTACAGGTGCATGCCACCACGCCTGGCTAATTTTTTTTATTTTTAGTAGAGACAGGGTTTCGACATGTTGCCCTGGCTGGTCTCCATCTCCTAGGCTCAAGAGATACTCCTGCCTCAGCCTCCCAAAGTGATGGGATTACAGGCATGAGCCACCACGCTTGGCCTGTAAAAATTATCATGAAAGTATACTGGAGTTTGTCAAATACTTATTCTCCATCTAAAGAGATGATCATATGGTTTTCCTTAGTCTACTAATAGACTAAATTATCCTGACTGATTTTCAAATTTTGAACCAGCCTTGTATTCCCAGAATAAACCTCATTGATCACAATGTATTATCCTTTTTATACTATATATTGCTGGATTTGAGTTACTAATATTTTGTTGTGACTTCTGAATCTATATTCATGAGGGATACTGGTGTGGTTTTCTTTTCTTGTAATATCTGTATCTGGTTTTATATCAAGTCCCATAAAATGATTTGAGAGGTATGCCTTCTAATATTTCCTGGATGAGAGTATGTAGAATTGATATTATTCTTAAATATTTGGTAGAAGTGGCCAGCGAAACCATCTCAACCTCAACTTTCCTTTGGAAGATTTTTAACTATAAATTCAATTCATTTAACTATGAATTCAATTTTATTTTATTTTTGAAACCAGGTCTCACTCCATTGCCCAGGCTACAGCGCATGGCCAGAGGACCACAGTTCACTGCAGCCTCGAACTCCTGGGCTCAAGCGATCCTCCTGTCTCAGCCTCCCAAGTAGCTGGGACAATAAACACATGACCCACACCCAGCTTGAATTCGATTTCTTTAATAGATATAGGACTATTCAGGTTACATATTTTTTCTTGAGTGAGTTTTAGTTTGTGTCTTTGAAGGAGTTGATCAATTTCTCTTAAGTCATCAAATTTAGGGGCATGGAATTGTTCACGATATTCCCTTATCATCATTTTAATGTCTGTAAGATCTGTAGTAATATTCCCCCTCTTTCATTCCTGATATTGTTCACTTGGGCCCCCTCCTTAACCTCTCCCCATCTCTCTCAACAGTCTGTCATTCTTTCAAGTCAAAATTAGGCTCCATGGAAAAAGTAAATAGTACAATTATGTAAGTGCTTTCTCTCAAGAAAATTGCCCTACTTCTATAAATAGCAAAAGTACTTTATCCAAACTCTTTCCCCACCCCACCCCCCCCCCCAGCAACTGCGTCTCACTCTGTCACCCAGGCTGCAAGACAGTGGCACAATCATACCTCACTGCAGCCTCAAACTCCTGGGCTCAAGCAATCCTCCCGCCTCGGCCTCCCAAAGTACTGTGATTACAGACATGAGCCACCACAGCCAACCCACACTTCCCATTTCATCATGTGCTATGTATTAGTCTGCTTGGCTGCCATAAAAATACCATAGACTGGGTGGCTTTAAACCACAGAAATTTAGTTTTTCACAGTTCTAGAAGCTGGAAGTCCAAGATCAAGGTGCCAGCATAACCAGGTCCAAGTGAGGGCTCTCTTTCTGGCTTGACGGAAAGAGAAACAGCAAACTTTCTGGTGTTTCTGCTATTAAAGGTACTATTCCCATCATGAGGGCCCCAACCTCATGACCTCAGCTAAACCTAGTGATGTCACAGAGGCCCCCATCTCCAAATGTCATCACACTGGGGGTTACTACTTCAGCATATAAATATAAGGGAATACGACTCAATCCAAAGCATCCTGTATTAGAAATCATATGCTCAAGAGGTGACATTTAATAAAATTATATTTACCACTTCATCAGTGACATTCTTAAGTGAAATTGTCTTTTTTCTTTTCAACTACCAGCATGAGGTAAAAGTAACATACCTACTACAGTTTGGTAGCACTGCCTTGAATGATGCTAAGGAGCTAGTAGTTTTATCCATTACTGCTTTTATAACATAACTGCAAGCATCAACAGTAAAAAGGCCTTATAATGTCTTAGTATCTTTTTTTTTTTTTTGAGACGGAGTCTCATGCTGTCACCCAGGCTGGAGTGCAGTGGTGTGATCTCAGCTCACTGCAACCTCTGCCTCCCAAGTTCAAGCGATTCTCCTGCCTCAGCCTCCTGAGTAGCTGGGATTATAAGCATGCACCACCACGCCCGGCTAATTTTTGTATTTTTAGTAGAGACTGGGTTTCACCGTGTTGGTCAGGCTGGTCTCGAACTCCGGACCTCAGGTGATCCACCCGCCTCAGCCTCCCAAAGTGCTGGGATTACAAGCGTGAGCCACCACACTCAGCCATCTTAGTATCTTAGCAGTGGTATGAAAACAGTTCTGACCTCACTTTGAGAACTCACCACTGCCTTACAGAATTAAGTTCAACTAACAAAGGAAAAAAAATTTCCAAACTGAGATGTTTATTAGCAATTTAAGCTATTCTTGGCAGGGCAGGTGGCTCACGCCTATAATCCCAGCACTTTGGGAGGCTGAGGCGGGCAGATCACTTGAGGTCAGAAGTTCGAGACCAACTTGGCCAACATGGTGAAACCCCGTCTCTACTAAAAATAAAAAAATTAGATGGGCATGGTAGTGTGCAGTGTGCGCCTGTAATCCCAGCTACTCGGGAGGCTGAGGCAGGAGAATCGCTTGAACCTGGGAGGCGGAGGCAGAGGCTGCAGTGAGCCAAGATTGTGCCACTGAACTCCAGACTGGGCAAAAAAGAGTGAGACCCCGTCTCAAAAAGAAAAAAAAAAGGTATTATTACAAATAAATCATGAGAGATAGTAAAACTTGATCCATTCACAAACTTTCCAAATTTGATTATTAGGTAAATTAGCAAATTAGGTAAATGATCAAGCTATACTTTTCACTTGACGACTCTGTTATCTTAGGAGAAAATATAAAGTTCCATGGGGTCTAAAAAGGAAAAAAATAAAAACTACCTTGATTAGAGTACCTGGGTTGTGATGAAACAAACAAAGCAGGCCAGTGGTATACTATAAACACACTCATAGAGAGATACGTCAGAAACATTACCACAGATTGCCTCTGGGAAAAAAAATTAGATGAGTTAGCATAAAAGTGAGGAGAAATTTCAGGTGTACCTTTTGAATTTCATACATGTATGTGTATTCACTATCCCCCAAGATAAATTAAAATTTATTTCACAGGTAATATCTAATGATTTGGTACATCAAAAACTCAATTTAGGGCCTGGCACGGTGGCTCATGCCTGTAATCCTAGCACTTTGGGAGGCCGAGGCAGGTGGATCATCTGAGGTCAAGAGTTCGAGACCAGCCTGGCCAACATGGTGAAACCCCGTCTCCACTAAAAATATAAAAATTAGCCGGGCATGATGGCGGGTGCCTGTAATCCCACCTACTCGGGAGGCTAAGGCAGGAGAATCGCTTCAACCCGGGAGAAGGAGGTTGCAGTGAGCCGAGATCATACCACTGCACTCCAGCCTAGGCAACAGAGCAAGACTCTGTCTCAAGGAAAAAAAACAAAAAGCTCAATTTAGTCCAGGCAAGGTGGGTCAAGCCTGTAATCCCAGCACTTTGGGAGGCCAAGGCAGGAGGATCACTTGAGGCCAGGAGTTCAAGACCACCCTGAGCAACATACTGAGATCCCATCTCTACAAAAATAAAATAAATTAGCCGGGCATGGTGGCAGGTACTTGTGGTCCTAGCTACTTGGAAGGCTGAGGAAGTAGAATCACCTGAATCCAGGTGTTTGAGGCTGCAGTGAGTTATGATCATGCCACTATACTCCAGCCTGGGTGACAGAGCAAGACCCTGTCTCAAAAAAATGAAAACAAACAAAAAGACTCAATGTAAAACAGTATGAAATTTCACCACCTTACTCAACTTGGGAAATAGAAGCCAGAATTAAGTTTTAAGAAACTATATTGTTCGGGCAGGCACAGTGGCTCACGCCTGTAATCCCTGAACTTTGGGAGGCCAAGGCAGGAGGAAAGATTGAGCTCAGAAGTTCGAGACCAGCCTGGGCAAAATGGTGAAACCCTGTCTCTACCAAAATACAAAAAATTAGCCAGGAGTGGTGGCGCACCCGTGGCCCCAGCTACTTGGGTGGCTGAGGCGGGAGAATCATTTGAGCCCAGGAGGTCAAGGCTGCAGTGGTCGAGGCTACAGTGAGCCAAGATCATGCCACTGCACTCCAGCCTAGGTGACAGAGGGAGATCTTGTCAAGACAGACAGACAGACAGAAAGACAGACAGAGACAAGAAAGAAAGTAAGCAAGCAAGCAAGAAAGAAAGCCGGCCAGGCACGGTGGCTCATGCCTGTAATCCCAGCACTTTGGGAGGCAGAGGCAGGTGGATCACCTGAGGTCAGGAGTTCTAGACCAGCTTGGCCAACATGGTAAAACCCCATCTCTACTAAAAATACAAAAATTAGCTGGGTGTGGTGGCAGGTGCCTGTAATCCCAGCTACTCGGGGGGCTGAGGCAGGAGAATCACTTGAACTTGGGGGGGCAGAGGTTGCAGTGAGTCAAGATTGCACCATCGCACCCCAGCCTGGGGGACAAGAGCGAGACTTCATCAAAGGAAAGGAAAGGATAGGAAAAGAAAAGAGACAAAGACAAGACGAAAGAGGTCAGGCACAGTAGCTCATGCCTATAATCCCAGCACTTTGGGAAGCCAAGGAGGGCAGATCACTTGAGATCAGGAGTTCAAGACCAACCCGGCCAATATGGTGAAACCCCTGTCTCTACTAAAAATACAAAAATTAGCCAGGTGTAGTGGCGGGCAACTGTAGTTCCAGCTACTAAGGAGGCTAAGGCAGGAGAGTTGCTTGAACCCAGGAGGCAGAGGTTGCAGTGAGCCGAGATCATGCCACTGCACCCCAGCCTGGGCGACAAAGCGAGACTCCGTTTCAAAAAAAAAAAAAAAAAAAGAAAGAAAGAAAGAAATACTTTCAAGCTGGGTGTGGTGAATATGCACCTGTAATCCTAGCTACTGGGAGGCTGAGGCGGGAGGATCACTTGAGCCCAGTAGTTCAAGTCCTGAGCAACATGATAAGACCCTGGTGTCAAAACATAAAAATAAAATACTTTCTATTCTTAAACTGCATGCTACTAATCTGTAGGTTGATGGTGAACATGGAATCTGTACAAGGGAAGTAAGTTATGAAGCAATAACTTCTCTTTTTTTTTTTTTTTTGAGAGGGAGTCTCACTCTGTTGCCCAGGCTGGAGTGCAATGGTGCGATCTCGGCTTACTGCAACCTCTGCCTCTCGGGTTCAAGCAATTCTCCTGCCTCAGCCTCCTGAGTAGCTGAGACTACAGGCGTGTACCACCATGCCCGGCTAATTTTTGTATTTTTAATAGAGACAGGGTTTCACTATGTTGGCCAGGATGGTCCAGAACTCCTGACCTCGTGATCTGCCCACCTCAGCCTCCCAAAGTGTTGGGATTAAAGGCGTGAGCCATCGTGCCCTGCCTGAAACAATAACTTTTAATGCTGAAGGTCCTAATACCCTGATGGGTCCCAATCTCTAGAACACAGCTACACCTGTCAGGCAGGCAGAATTACATTTTTTTAGTCCATAACAATGGACAAATTAGTTAGATTTGCAGAATTATGTACTCCAGTTTAAAGAAAATACAGAGGAAAAAAGTTACCAAACCATAGGATACACAAACATACAAGAAATTCTACAAGATAACAGCCTAAGCAACATGGCAAAACCTCCTTTCTATAAAAAAAAAAAAAAAACACCAAAAAGTTAGCCAGGTGTGGTGGCATGCTCCTGTGGTCACAGCTACTCAGGAGGCTGAGATGGAGAGGATCACTTGTGCACAGGAGGTCCAGGCTGCAGCGAGCTGAGATGGAGCCACTGCACTCTAGCCTGGGCAACACAGCAAGGCTTTGTCTCCGGAAAAAAAAAAACTGTCTTGAAACCTCCAGAAGTTAATGCAAGAAGGAGAAAATGGGGAGGGGAGAGCTATTCTAGATGAGACTAAAAGATAAAAGCAACCTTGATGGAATGTTAGTTCTTTAAAAAAAAGTTGCCTAAGATATTTTGGGGCAATTAGGTAAACTTGGTATACATAATAGATTTACCTAGGTAAATTAGGTAAATAGAACAGGTATTAATATTAGGTGATTACTGTTAATTTTTTTTTTTTTTTTTGAGACAGTCTTGCTCTGTCACCCAGACTGGAGTGCAGTGGCACCATCATAGCTCACTGCAACCTTGACCTCCTGGGCTCAAGTGATCCTCCCACCTCAGCCTCCTGAGTAGCTGGGACTATACAGCATGTGCCACCACATCTGGCTAATTTTTGTATATTTTTTTAGAGACAGGGTTTCAACATGTTGCCCAGGCTGGTCTCAAACTCCTGGCCTCAAGGGATCTGCCCGACTCAGCCTCCCAAAGTACTGGGATTACGGGCATAAACCACCACACCTGGCTGTTAATTTTCTCATGTGTGAGAGATAGCACTACTGTGGTTAAGGAAAATCTCTACTGCAGCAAGCACAGTGGCTCACGCCTATAATCCCAGCACTTTGGGAGACCAAGATAGGTCCCATTGCTTGAGCTCAAGAGTTCAAGTTCAAGCCCAGCCTGAGCAACAAAATGAGACCCTGACTCTACAAAAAAATCATTTCTTGGGCTCTTTCCCAGCATACATACACATACTCTCTCTCTCTCTCATTTCCTCTTTCCTGTTTCAATTTTAGTTTTCTTCATTACATGCTTTTTTATTCCATTTTATTAACCAGTTTTATTCCCACATTTTATGTACACTATCTTCATGTCCTTTGTATACTGCCTTCAGGGAAAACAATCTACATTAATGTCTTTGTATTTCGGTCTCCTAAATGACTAGGTTCAGGGGAAAAGTTTCAGTACACATTCTGGTTGTTTGAATTTTGAATTAAAAAGCATACTTCTTATATCCTTGGAGTTAACAACAAAAAATAATTAACCGGAAAAACTGTCTGTTTCCCCAAGGTCAAACCATAATCAATCCTCATTAGCCCCAGATTCTGCAATTGCGAATTTACCTACTTGCTAAAATTGACCTGTAGCCCCAAAATCAATACTCACAGTGCACCACCAGTCATTCCACCACACAAAGCACATGAATGTCCATGAATGATCACCATGGCAGGGAAAATTTTCCTTGCAAATCACAAAATAATTAATGTAACCAGTTGATTCCTGATGGATGATTTTCCTATTTTATACCTTTTAGCTACAAAATATAACTGATAAATGTTAGCTCTCTCTCAAAGACATTAAACCAGGCCAGGCGCAGTGGCTCGTGTCTGTAATCCCAGAACTTTGGGAGGCTGAGGTAGGCAGATCATGAGGTCAGAAGTTCGATACCAGCCTGGCCAACATGGTGAAACCCCGTCTCTACTAAAAATACAAAAATTAGCTGGGCGTGGTGGCGCACACCTGTAATCCCAGCTACTTAGGAGGCTGAGGCAGGAGAATCACTTGAACCCAGGAGGCAGAGGTTGCAGTCAGCCAAGATCACACCACTGCACTCCACCCTGGGTGACAGAACAAGACTACGTCACACACAAAAAAAGATATTAAGCCAAAAAACCCCTCCAAGCTATATTATGAAATGTTTTAGTGGCTTTTTTTGTAAAAGTGGGAACACTAAACTGGTATTCAGGTGACCTGAATTCTGCCACTCTGTAATTATGAACAAATTTAATCTCTCCAGTGTTGTTTATCTTCAAATTAAAGGGTCTAGATTTGATGATCTCTAGAGGCAAAATAATTTCATAATTTCAAGATCACAAGCCAACAGGCCAGGCACGGTGGTTCAAGCCTGTAATCCCAACACTTCGGGAGGCTGAGGAAGGTGGATCACCCGAGCTCAGAAGTTCGAGACCAGTCTGGGCAACATGGCAAAACCCTGTCTCTACCAAAAACACAAAAACTTAGCCGGGCATGGTGGTACACAACTGTGGGTCCCAGCTACTCAGGGGGCTGAAGCAGGAGGACTGCTTGAGCCCAGGAAGTCGAGGTTCCAGTAAGCCAAGATGACACCACTGCACTTCAACCTGGTGACAGAGTGAGACCCCATCTCAAAAGATTATGTAGAAAGCAGGTAGGAAATTTCCAAAATTCCTTTCTTAAACCTTGCTTAACAAATGAATTTAAGCCGGGCGTGGTGGCTCATGTCTGTAATCCCAGCACTCTGGGAGGCCGAGGCAGGTGGATCACCTGAGATCAGGAGTTCAAGACCAGCCTGGCCAACATGGTGAAACCCTGTCTCTACTGAAAATACAAAATTTAGCCGGGCATGGTGGCACATGCCTGTAATCCCAGCTACCAGGGGGGCTGAGGCAGGAGGATCGCTTGAACCTGGGAAACAGAGGTTGCAGTGAGCCAAGATCGTGCCACTGCACTCCAGCCTAGGCAACAGGGCGAGACACCGTCGCAAAAAAAAAAAAAAAAAAAAAAAAAAAATGAATTTAAAAGCATTTAACAAAATAGGAAAAGACAATCATTCCCAAAGGAACAATCCTAAAGAGCTGGTTGGCCCTGAATATTTCAAATCTGTCAATAGCAAGATAAAATGATAAGCTTAAGCTTTTATGAGCCTCTTGATTTCAGAACTATGGTTCTCAGGTTCTAGTTCTACTATCTACACAGACCTAAAAGCCTAACCAGTTAACTAGTTCCTCAGTATATCTGGAATTTATGATGTCTTTTAATTACCTTATGACACATACCATCTTAACAGTTTGATATTTCCCTCCAAACAAGTCAGTTTAGATTTCAAAAAAAACAGTGTTATTAGAGATACGATGAACTGAAAGTTAAACAAATATCTAAAAAAGTCGTGAAAAAAAATTCACCAATGAAACCTGTCCTTAATTTTTACTTGAACCTCCCTCTACTAAGTAAAATTTAAGTTATTGAAAACTGCTTTTATTAGACCAAAACTAAAGCTTATAGCTTTCTTTTTTTTTTTTTAAGCCAGTCAAATTTAGCAGTTGGGGGTTGTATATCAACTTCAGTGACACTAATGTTAATGAGTTCTGATAACCCACTACCATCGGACCAGCCAAAAGCTTATAGCTTTCTAACCACAAGGTCAAACTCACTATAGCTGCTTTCTAATAAAAAAGTCAAACTCATATTCACATTTATACCAATGGAGGAGAATCTACATTCTCAAATGAGAAAAATCAGTTGCTTAACCAATTGCCAACTGCATTAAATACAGAGAATACATTCAGGACCTTGGGTTAGGCAAAGCTGCCTTAGATGTAATACCAATGCACAATAAACAAAAGAAAAAGTAGGTAAATTGGACATAATCAAAATTGGAAACTTCTTTGCTTCAATGACACCATAAAAAAATCAAAACACTGTCTTCCTACACATGACTTGGGAAAAAAAGTTAAAAAAAGGAAAACAAATCCACAAAAAGGGTAAAAATTTCTGCAAATCATGTATCCGATGAGACTTGCATCCAGAATACACGAAGAACTCTTAAAACTCAATAATAACAAGAAATAACCCAATTTCTTAAATGGGCAAAGAATGTGAATAGTTATTTCTCCAAAGAAGATATACAGGCTGGACACGGTGGCTCACGCCTGTAATCCCAGCACTTTGGGAGGCCAAGGCAGGTGGATCACTTGGGGTCAGGAGTTTAAGACCAGCCTGCGCAACATGGCGAAACCCCATATCTACTAAAAATACAAAAATTAGCCGGACATGGTGGCAGGCACCTGTAATCCCAGCTACTCAGGAGGCTGAAGCAGGAGAATCGCATCAATAGAAAAATGCAAAACAAAACCACGATGAGCACCAGGAACAGTGGTTCCAGCTACTCGAACCACCTCCTGCTGGAGTTCAGGCAGGAGGACTGCTTGAGCCCAAGAGTTCGAGGCTGCAGTGCACTGTGATCACACCTGCACTCCTGCCTGGGCAACAGAGTGAGACCCCGTCTCTAAAATATATAAATAAATGAATACCACAATTAGATAACACTTCACATCCACTGGGATGGCTATGGTCAAAAAGAGGGAAAATAAGAAGTGTTAGTGAGAATGTGGAGAAACAGTAACCCTCATGAGAAGTCCATCTGGATTACAAAAGAATAGTGGTTGTTAGGCATAAAATAAACTGAAAATTAGGTGGGAAAATAGTCAAGAATTTCCTCAAATGTTAAATGTCAAAATACCATGTGACCCAGCAATTCTACGCCTAGGTAAATTCCCAAGGGAACTGAAAGCATTATGTCCACACAAATATTTGTACGTGAATGTTTACAGCAGCGTTATTAATAATAATCAAAAAGTGAAAACAATCCTAATGTCCATCAACTGAATCATAAAAATTACAGCTTCTGATCCCAAATCACCATCAACACTTAACAAAAATAATCTTTCTCCTTAAAAACAAGAAGCAAGCCTGGGCGCAGTGGCTCATGCCTGTACTCCCAGCACTTTGGGAGGCCGCGGCAGGCGGATCATGAGGTCAGGAGATCAAGACCATCCTGGCTAACATGGTGAAACCCCGTCTCTGTTAAAAAAATTCAAAAAAATTAGCCAGGCGTGGTGGAGGGCGCCTGTAGTCCCAACTACTCGAGAGGCTGAGGCAGGAGAATGGCATGAACCCAGGAGTCGGAGCTTGCAGTGAGCTGAGATCGCATCACTGCACTCCAGCCTGGGCAACATAATGAGACTCCGTCTCAAAAAAAAAAAAAAAAAACCAACAAGCAAAAAAATTCAAATGTTATGAAGGAATTGCAGAGGGAAAAAAATAATAATAAAACCATAGACTTTACAAAGCCTATTTCTGTAAACTGTACTTGGCCCTGAGTTTTAATTTAAATCTATTCCTGTATATGAAACTGAAACTTTATTAAAGCTATTTAAGACAGAAATCTCCTTCCTTTTACAAAAAATAATTGTGTACACAGTATTGCCACAATAAACTGGTTAAAGCTCTTTACTGAAACTTTTAACAGTCTAACTTCTGAAACTCAATGATAGCTGTAGTGATGGAATATTACTATTATTGGGCTGTAAAACTTTAGGATGGGCATAGTGGCTCATGCCTATTGTAATCTCAGCACTTCAGGAAGCCGAAGTGGGAAGATGGAGCCCAGGAGTTTGAGACCAGCCAGGACAGACAACATAGTGAGACCCTGTCTCTAGGAAAAAAAAAAAAAAGAAAAGAAAAACAAAATTAGCCAGGCATGGTGACATACACCTGTTGTCCCAGCCGCTCGGGAGGCTAAGGCAGGAGGTTTGCTTGAGCCCGGGACGTTGAGGCACAGTGAGCTATGATTATACCACTGTACTCCAGCAGGGGTAACAGAAGGAGACCTTTTCTCAGAGGAAAAACACACACAGACACAGAAAATAATAACTGTTGGTAAGAACATGAAGAAATTGGAACCATTGTGTACTGACTGTAAAATGGTACAATGAGGCTGGGCATGGTGGCTCACACCTGTAATCCTAGCACTTTGGGAGGCCATGGTGGGAGGATCACTTTGAGGCGAAGACCAGCCTGAGCAACACAGTGAGACTCTGTCTCTAAAAAACAAACAAACAAACAAAAAACACACAACAAAAAAAAAAAAAACAGTACAATCACTATGAAAAACAGTATAGAGGTTCTTCAAAAATGTTAAAAACAGAATTACATTATGAGCCAGGTGCAGTGGTTCATGCCTATCTCAGGACTTTGTGGAGCGGAGGCATGTGCATCACTTGAGGTTAGGAGTTCAAGACCAGCCTAGCCAACATGGTGAAATCCCATCTCTACTAAAAATACAAAAAATTAGCTGGGCGTGGTGGTGCACACCTGTAGTGCCAGCTACTCGGGAGACTGAGGCAGGATAATTGTTTGAACCCAGGAGACGGATGCTGCAGTGAGCCGAGATCGTGCCACTGCACTCCTGCCTGGGTGATACAGTGAGACTCCATCTCAAAAAAAATGGTTAAGGCCAGGCACAGTGGCTCCTGCTTGTAATCCCAGCACTTTGGGAGGCTGAGGCAGGCAGATCACTTGAGGTCAGGAATTCCAGACCACCCTGGCCAACATGGTAAAACCCCGTCTCTACTAAAAATACAAAAATTAGCCAGGTGTGGTGGCATGCACCTGTAGTCCCAGCTACTCAGGAGGCTGAGGCAGGAGAATCACTTGAACCCAGGAGTGAGCTGAGATCACGCCACTGCACTCCAGCCTGGAGGAGAGAGCAAGACTCCGACTCAAAAAAAAAAAATTAAGACAGTAAAATTTTGCTATGCATTTATCACAATTTATAAAAAAAAAAATCAAGTGTCACAAGCATATACAGCATGCCAACTTTCTTCTAAGAATGTGAAAATAAGAATATACACAGTAAAAACTGGAATGAACTCCAGAGCTCAGAGACAGAAGCAAGACTTAACTACTTTTTCTTCAGCCTCCGTCTCCTGGGTGCAAGCAATTCTCCTGCCTCATCCTTCAGAGTAGCTGGGATTACAGGCATGTGCCACCACGCCTGGCTAATTTTTGTATTTTTAGTAGAGATGGGGTTTCACCATGTTGGCCAGGCTGGTCTCAAACTCCTGACCCCAGGTGATCTGCCCCCCTCGGCCTCCCAAAGTGCTGGGATTACAGATGTGAGCCACCACGCCCAGCCAGTACTTTTTCAATATAGTATTTAATTTTATTCCTTCTTGGTCACAGGTGCTTAAAAATTTTTTTTCAGTAGATTTTAAACCATGTAAATAACGTATTAAAAAAACTAAATTACGTCTGGGTGCAGTGGCTCATGCCTTGTAATCCTAGTATTTTGGGAGGCTGAGGAGGGAGGAACCGATGACCCCAGGAGTTCGAGCCCAGACTGGGCAACATGGCAAAACCCAGACTATACCAAAAAACACAAAAAATTAGCCAGGCATGGTGGTGCGCACTTGTCGTTCCAGCTACTTGGGAGGCTGAGGTGGGAGGATCACCCAAACCTGCGAGGTTGAGGCTACAGGGAGCCAAAACTGCACCACTACACTCCAGCCTAGGTAACAGATTGAGATCTTGTCTCAAAAACAAACAAACAAAAAAACTAAATTAAGAGGGAGAAAAAGCAAACCCTAATAATGAATACAAACAAAAACTGTGAAATTTGATAATCAAAATAAACAAATTCAACAAACAAGCTGAAAAATGTTATTTCAAGTAACTTTTGAAGAAAGTTCATCTTTAATGCAGTATACGCTAAGAAAAAAAAGGACTGGAAAAAAAACTGCACTTGGTAGGGTTATTGTTAGTAAAATACTGGCATTATAAATCTGACTCTGTTTTCTGTGTAGAAAATGCCACTAATGTTAACTTTGATTAGGAATTTAAAATACCAATGTAGGCCAGGCACAGTGGCTCACGTCTGTAATCCCAACACTTTGAGAGGCCAAAGTGAGCGGATCACTTAAGGCCAGGGGTTCGAGACCAGCCTGGCCAATATGGTAAAACCCCATCTCTACTAAAAATACAAAAATTAGCCAGACGCCTGTAATCCTAGCTGCTCGGGAGGCTGAGGCACAAGAATCGCTTCAACCCAGGAGGCAGAGGTTGCAATGAGCCAAGATTGCACAACTGCACTCCAGCCTAGGTGACAGAGGGAGACTGTCTCAAAAAATAAATAAAATAAAATACCAATGTAAGCTGATGATTTTTAATATCATGTTTTCTAGCTCTGTCCACTGAAAAGGGCATACAAGCAAATGCATACACCACCAAGCATCCAAATCCTGGTTTATAAATAATATTTTCTACCAAAAGAACTGGGACTCCTTGGAGAAATGGGAAGATACAAAAGGAAAGGAAAAGACAAGAAGGACTTGGGTTATTGTTTTGCCAAAAAAGCAAAGGAGCCCTCAAATTAACTGGGGTTAGTGCCAGGTGCTTGGGAGACTGAGGTAGGAGAATCACTTGAGCCCAGGAGTTCCAGGCTGCAGGCAGCTATGATCTTGCCACTGCACTCTAGCCTGGGCAACGAAGTGAGACCCAGTCTCAAAAAAAAAAAAAAAAAAAAAGACCAAAAGCAATAAGGGCCAAATACCTGCTCCTGCTTAAAGACTAAAGAGATACGAAATATCTAGATTGGGACCGGGTGCGGTGGCTCACACCCGTAATCCCAGCACTTTGGGAGGCCGAGGAGGGTGGATCACAAGGTCAGGAGATCGAGACCATCCTGGCTAACACGGTGAAACCCTGTCTCTACTAAAAATACAAAAAATTAGCCAGGCATGGTGGCGGGCGCCTGTAGTCCCAGCTACTCGGGAGGTTGAGGCAGGAGAATGGCGTGAACCCGGGAGGCGGAGCTTGCAGTGAGCCAAGATCATCCCAGCCTGGGAGACAGAGCGAGACTCTGTCTCAAAAAATAAATAAAAAAAGAAAAGAAATATCTAGATTGGATACTGGATTAGAGAAAGAAAAATTCTGTGAGATGTTACTGAGACAACTAGAGAAATTTGAGTATGAATTTTCAATACTATATAAATGTTCAATGTCCAGAATTAGTTAATATTGCGGGTACTTAACTTGTTCTTGAGCAGAGAAGTGCGGAGAAGTGCATATCTGTGAATAACACTAAATGGCTCCGAAAATAATACATGAGGGGCTGGGAGGCAGGAAGGGAGGAATAAAGCAAATGTGACAAAATGTTAAAAATGGGTGAATCAGAATAAAAAGTACATAGGAGTTCTTTGAACTATTCTTCCAACTCTTCTGTTAGTTCATATTTATTTCAAAATTTAAACATTTAAACACGAAAGGGGGAAAGCAAAAGCTCTTTATTACAGAAAACAGTTAATGAATATAAACAAATAACAAAATTAGAAAACCCCCAATAAATGACTCAGCTAATAATCATCAATCATTAAGTGAAAAATATTTTGAGAAGTGAGGTACTCACATGATGCTAAAGTTATCACCCCACAGATCAAGTATAACTGCAAAGGGAAAAATATACCTCTTTGATGAAGAAATCCAATGGACACATTAACCAGGTAAATTTGGCATTGTAAATAACGCAAGCTAACATCTGGCAGTCCCTACCACCTTATTGAAGGCTCATAGCTAGAAGTATATCCTCACAACATAAATCACGTATCATCACCTGTGAAGTTTTTTCTTTTTTTTTTTTTTTTTTTTTTTTTTTTTGAGACAGGGTTCTCTTGTCGCCTAGGCTGGAGTACAGCAGCAGGATGTCGGCTCACTGCAGCCTCCACCTCTCTGGCTCAAGCCATCCTCCTGTCTCAACCTCCCAAGTAGCTGGGACTACAGGCGCAGGCCACCAAACCCAGCATTTTTTTTTCTTTTTTTAAAATAGAGACAGGGTTTTGCCAAATTGTCCAGGCTGGTCTTGAACTCCTGGGCTCTAGCAATCCATCTGCCTCAGCCTCTCAAAGTGCTGGGATTACAGACATGAGCCAGCGCACCTGGCCTCTATGAAGTATTTTTGCCAAAAATATTTGACCCAAATTTAGTCAAACCTCTCTAGATCTAACTTCTAGTTTACAGGAAATAAAAGGAATAGAGAAACAACAGGAATTGAGAAACAAAATACATGACATTTTAAGCATACAATAAGAAATTCCAAAATATGGAACGTTCTTTAAAAAGATGAGGCTAGCTGTTTGTGGTGACAGAGTCAGGAAGGGGCAGCAGGTGCCAGGTCCGGCCTCAAAGGTGGCAAGAAGAACCCTTTGAAACTGCCCAAAAAGCAGGCCAAGAAGATGAATAAGGCTTTCAAGCAGAAACAAGAAAAGGAACGAAAGAAACACAAGGAGCTAAAAGCGAAAGCCTCCTGGAAGGGGCTCCGGCCACAGGTGGAATTTAAAAATCTGGCAGAAAGTAAGCTGTGCCCTGTGCCTGAAGCAATGGTGACCCTTGATTTCATTCGTATTTAAACATCTGTATTCCCTGCCATAATATCTGTTGCCACCTATAGCTGGAATGAAGTGTCGTCTTGAAGCTGGAGTCTACTGCACATTAAAGAATAAACTTTTGTTTAAAAAAAAAAAAAAAACCGCAGGTGTGGTGGCTCACACCTGTAATCCTAGCACTTTGTGAGGCCAAGGTGGGCAGATTGCTTGAGCTGGGAGGTTGAGGCTGCAGTGAGCTGTGATTGTGCCACTGCACTCCAACCTGGATGACAAAGTAAGACCCTGTCTCAAAATAAACAAAATTTTAAAATTTTAAATAAAAAATATTAATAAAATAAATTAAAATGCTTACAGTGGCTCATCATCTCTTTAGTTGTTTTTCTTTTTCTTTTTTTTTTTTTTTTTGAGACAGTCTCGCTCTGTTGCCCTGGCTGCAGTGCAGTGGCACAATTTCAGCTCACTACAACCTCCACCTCCTGGGTTCAAGCGATTCTCATGCCTCAGTCTCCCGAGTAGCTGGGACTACAGGCATGCGCAACCACACCCGGCTAATTTTTGTATTTTTAGTAGAGACGAGGTTACACAATGTTGGCCAGGCTGGTCTCAAACTCCTGACCTCAGGTGATCTGCTCACCTCAGCCTCCCAAGTGCTGGGATTACAGGCGTGAGCCACTGCGCCCGGCCTCTCTTTAGTTGTTTTCACTCCATTCCTGCCTTAGCTATGAATTTAAAGTAAAACCAGCCCAGAATCTTGCCAGAGACTGCTCTTTGGTCTTTGTTCTACCCTAAACTCTGTGTAACCTAGAATTAAACCAACTCTTCAACAACTGTGGAACAAAGCCAAAAAAAAATAGAACTACACCAACTCATTCGAAAAAAAAAAAAAGATGATGCTAAAGATTTCATGCTAATTGCCTTAGGTATGATAATGATTTTATATGTTTTCAGCTGGAGACTGGCTTGAAATAAAAATGTAGAAAAGCGTAGGAAAAAGCATTATTTCAAAGACATGCATCCTGAGGTATTACAGGGAAAAGCAGTATATCTGCAATTTAATTTCAAATCATTCAAGAAAGGGAGGATATAGAGTTAAAGCAAAATGGTTAAATGTTGGTTAACAGTCGAATCCAAACAGAAGGCATATGGGTGTTCACTGTAGTATTCTTTCACCTTTGCTGCATGTTTGAAATTTTTTTTTTTAAGACGGCATTTCACTCTTGTTGCCCAGGCTGAAGTACAATGCGCAATCTCAGCTCACTGCAACCTCCGCCTCCAAGGTTGAAGCAATTCTCTTGCCTCAGCTTCCCAAGTAGCTGGGATTACAGGAATGTGCCACCACGCCCAGCTAATTTTTTTTGTATTTAGTAGGGATGGGGTTTCACCATGTTGGCCAGGCTGGTCTTGAACTCCTGACCTCAGGTGATCCACCTGCCTCGGCCTCCCAAAGTGCTGGGATTACAGATGTGAGCCACTGCACCTGGCTTGAAATTTCTTAAAGTTGCAAAAAAGTTACCAGAATATTCCATATACCAAAAAAGGAAAATTGCTGCTCCACCTACTAAGTTGAGAGCAAACAGAGTAGAGAGCAGGTGCCTATAACAACAAACTGCCTAAAGCACAGTTTTGCACGTATCATCCCACTCAAGGATCTGCTCAAAATGGTAAGGCATAGAGGCAGGTACTAATGGGACACAAAGTAACAGAAGGCAGTCACACAGACACTAGACTAACTAAACAAGTTATGAATAAATGAGAGTCACTGAAGACCTCATTAATTGGATTTAGCTGGATTTTAAGGACTGAACAGAATAGGAATAGTGTGAAAGGAAGGAGAATACAATCTAGGCAAAGAGTTAATAAGCAACAGCCAAAGATCAGAAATAAACCAAGTCATGAGGGGAATTTTTGTAGAAAATTCATTCTTCAATTTGTATAATGCCTAGGTTTTAGGAATACAAAAATATAAGGTACTATAGCACGTCTTCAACGTGCTCACAAAGAGCTGGCAGCAGGGACTCATGACTCCCAAGACTTTGAAAGGCTGAAGTGGGAGGATCGCTTGAGCCTAGGAATTAGAGGCTACAGTGAGCCATGATCATGCCACTGTATTCCAGCCTGGGTGACAAAGTGAGACCCTGTCTCAGAAAACAAACAAACAAACTAAAAACCAAAGTATTCACAAGTAGTGGAGAAGGTATAGTCAAAATACATTAAAGATATATACAAAATGCTTTAATAGCAGAGAAAGGAGTGATTAACTTATCAGAGGAATGAGATTGTCAGTAAATTTCAACAAAGATATTTGAGTTAATGTTTAAAACTGAAAATGATGTCACCAATTAAATTCATCACAGAAAGAAAAAAAATGTTAACATTTAAAGAATGCCTACTATATATGAGGCACTTTTTACCTTTAGGTTTTATAGTTAACATTCTTATATACAAAGAAACTGAAGCTTAGAGAGTTTAATTAACTGACCCAATATAAAAAAGGTAGTTAATGGTGAGCCTGGCATTCAAACCTAGGTCCATTTGCTGCTGAAACCCATACATGCCCTTTCCAATACTACCTAGCTCTGGGAATTTATAAGCACACAAATCATGAGTACAAGATACAATACAACTTTAGAAAGTCAGTCACTACCAGAAAATTAGTAAAATGTTTAAGGGCCAGACAGATGAGAGTAGCACTGCTCAGATTTTCCAATACACTGAAGAGCTTCAGTCTCTAGGACTAATGTAAATGGTTTGAAATGGGGAGATAAATGTTACCAAAGAAAAATCATTTTCAGCAGAGCGCGGTGGCTCATGCCTGTAATCCCAGCACTTTGGGAGGCCCAGACAGGTGGATCATTTGAGGTCAGGAGTTTGAGACCAGCCTGGCCAACATGGTGAAACCCCGCCTCTACTAAAAAATACAAAAATTGGCCAGGTGCGGTGGCTCACGCCTGTAATCCCAGCACTTTGGGAGGCCGAGATGGGCGGATCACGAGGTCAGGAGATCGAGACCATCCTAGCTAACACGGTGAAATCCCGTCTCTACTAAAAATACAAAAAATTAGCCGGACGCGGTGGCGGGCGCCTATAGTCCCAGCTACTCGGGAGGCTCAGGCAGGAGAATGGCGTGAACCCGGGAGGCGGAGCTTGCAGCGAGCCAAAGATCGCGCCACTGCACTCCAGCCTGGGCGACAGAGCGAAACTCTTGTCTCAAAAAAAAAAAAAAAAAAAAAAGAATTCCAGAAACACATTTATAAGTGAAAATTTTTCACTAATATCTTTGTCGTAATCATAAAGCTTTTCTGTAACCTTACTATCCTATTCTGAAATATGAAGCAGTTCAAACTTCAGCCATAATCAAATAATATTCCACCGCAAAGTAATGGGAAAAGTATATGAACTTATTACTTAGCAAAGAGAGCTCTGAATAAATACCTTAAGTGCTTAGTAAAAATATAATTAAAGCCTTACGTCAATATAAAACCGTGATGGCAAAATCTGTTTAGTATTTTTCACCAACCAAAGAAAATTATCCAAGTTAAGCCATCAGCTTCACAGATAAACATTTATTTTTGTCTAAACCATTGTAATATATGTAAGCCAAATTCCTTTTTTTTTTTTTTTTTTTTTTTTTGAGACGGAGTCTCGCTCTGTTGCCCAGGCTAGAGTGCAATGGCGCGATCTTGGCTCACTGCAACCTCTGCCTCCGGGGTTCAAGTGATTCTCTTGCCTCAGCCTCCCGAGTAGCTGGGATTACAGGCGCCCACCACCACACCCAGCTAATTTTTGTATTTTTAGTAGAGACGGGGTTCCGCCATGTTGGTCAGGCTGGTCTCGAACTCCTGACCTCAGGTGATCCGCCCACCCTGGCGTCCCAAAGTGCTGGGATTACAGGCGTGAGCCACCGCGCCCGGCCATAAGCCAACTTTCTACCAAAATTCTTCCTAGGAGTACAGGAAAGACAAGTTAAAATTTCTCCCCAAGTTTCAAGAAGATAGTCTAAATATGGAACTTCAAGTCTCAGCAAAAACTCAAATCTATACAATATTTTATCTTCTCCCGGTCAAGGAGACAAAAAAAGCAAAAGTATCTTACAGTAATAAAAAATGGGTAAAATGCAATTAAGGCGAGGAAATGAAAAATGCCACAAGAGGTACAACTAGCATAACTGTCACTAAAAGGTTTGAATTAAGTAGGTTTACCACTGCACCATATTCACAGGCTATATATACATACACACACACATATATACACATATATATGTATATATAGCATGCATTAGCTCTCCAGAGTGTACTAAAAAAGTAAAGTCTACGCTCCCCAGAGTTGTTCCTTTCAGTGCAGGCTTTTTGTTCATATTCTAATGTCTTCCAAAGTTCCTGAACAGTCAACTTAAGATCATGTGTGTAGAAACTACTTTAAAACATTCTTGACAGGCTTTCTACAAGTAGCCCGTATTTTTCTGATTTGATTTAAATAGATCCAATTACGGAATTCCCTACCGACCTGCCGCCGCCGCCTCCTCCTTACTCCGGAAGGGGCCACTAATCCCAAGGGTTACAACCAAGTACAAACATTCATTGTCATTTCTTTTAAGAAGGCATGCTAAGATCCTCACTACTTAGTTGCCAGAAGACAACTTAAAATCAGAAACAGGGATCTAGCACAAACCAAATAGAAATACAACTATTCCAAAAAAGCAGGGCTTTGCCTGTCAAGCTGTAGCCTCATCCTTATAATAAGCACCGATTTCAAGCCACGATAACATCACGGCTAAGTCTTCAGCTGTTTTGCAGATTTCACGTTAACTTCCCTTGACCCTTTCAACCAACTACTTCAACTCGGCCCACTTCTTTCCACTCCCGCCCCAAACCTCAGTTAAAATGCATTTCCCTCCAAACTTCACGTCTTAACTGTGGCCTGACTTACGTCTTCTCGTCGCCACCGCTCCCAGTCAGGGCCTTAGTTCTAACCATGGCCGCTTTTCCCGGTTGGCCTCCAGCCTCCAGCCCCCTCCCATAAGTCTCGAACCTGCCTCGAACAGCCGCCCCGAGGTCGATTCTCCCAGTTCCTCCAACCTGTGCCCAGGCGCCCGTCCAGGCCCCCAAAGCACGCAACGGCCGAGCCCGAAAATGGCGGAGAGTGCCGCTGCCTGCTGCAGGCGAGCAGTCCCGTGTCGCCGCCGCACTCACCGTCTGGCTTTGAGCAGAGCTCCTAAATGGCCAGCGAAGCGTTCGCCTTCAGAGCCAGAAATGTCTCTCTTGTTTGGTCTCCCCACCCCGATCCTCTCAATCCCGCTCCTCCAAAGGAGCAGCCGCCATCTTCCCCTATGGGCCACCGAACGCACGCTCTGGGGTCATCACGCACTGGCGGGACGGCGCTACGTCACGCGCGCCTGGACCGCGGGCCTCTGTGAGGTTCGATCTGCGCATGTGCCTAGGTGAGGTGCCGAGCCGCGAGACCCTGCAGAGCGCTTCCTTTGTTCCGGAGCGAGTAGGACGCGCTACCTCCTGGAGGAAAGAAGCGACTGCGTTTCGCAGTGCTGACTTTTTTTTACAGTGTGAGCTAACGTGTATGCTCTGAAAAACACCCCGTTTTCCAGTATGTGAATGAGTATATTTGTACGGGGCCAGTACGGCAGACATAGCGGGTCGTTGGACCGAGCCCACCGAGAGTGGATCTGTGGGAAGCCACTGTGGCACCTTGCTGAGTCTGTTCACCCGTGCAGCTAGCTGGTGGCAGCCCTGGCAGATCCCGGCACACAGTCAGGCTCCACGCCTTACCCGAGCCAGTTGTGCCTCTAGATTACGCCTCGCTTAAAGTCCAGCGACCAAGATAGAAAAACAGCCCCACGATGCAACCATTTTGGAAAACCGCTGCAGTTTCTGCCAAAGCTAAATGTACGCTTACCTTGTGACCCCAGAAATTTCACTTCAAGAGGAATGAGTGCATACGTCCACCAAAGGCATGTGCAAGAATGTCCATAGCACGTTTATTCGTAGTAGTAAAAAACTGGTAACCTAAATGTCCATCAGCAGTTGAGTGGCTAAATTGTGGTGTATCATACAGTGGATTTCTACAGAGAAATAGGAAGTTACGGATAAACGCAACAGCCTGAACGAATAGCAGCTACTGTTAACTTAGGCACAAAGAAGAGGACGCTGTATGATTCCATTTTGATGAGGTTCAAAATATAACTGCACAGCAAGTTGTTCTCCAGTATGAATCAGGAATCGTACCAGCCTGGGGAACATGGCGAGATCCCATCTTTGCGCGTCGGGGTGCGTTCCTGTGACCGCCTTCCTGTGATCGTTCCTGTGATGGGTACTTGGGAGACTGGGGTGGGAGGATCACTTGAGCCCAGGAGTTGGAGGGCGCAGTGAGCCAAGATCGTGCCAGTGCACTTAAGTCTTGGAAGCAGAGTAAGACCCTGTCTCAAAGAAGTCTTACTTTTGACTCCATAATCCCCTTCCAAAAATCTATTCTAAGGATAGCCTCAGAGATGTGAGTAAGATTTGTGTACTAATCTTTGAGGTATTAATGATAGCAAAAAAAAAAGGAAACAGTAGCAGACAGTGATTAAATAATGGCACATCCATACGTAGACTATCATGCAGACATTACACAGTATCTAAAGTTTTTATGATAACATCAGAAATGTTTATAAACTTCTATATTTTTTCTTTTTTTAGAGACAAGGTCTCTCACCCAGGGTGATCATAACTCACTGCAGCCTCAACCTCCCGGGCTCAAGTGATCCTCTCACCTCAGCCTCCCTAGTAGCTCAGACTAATGACCTGTACCAGGACACCCATACCCAGCTAATTTTAGTAGAGACTGTCAGGCCTCAGAGCCCAAGCTAAGCCATCATATCCCCAGTGACTTGCACGTATACATCCAGATGGCCTGAAGCAACTGAAGATCCACAAAAGTGAAAATAGCCTTAACTGATGACATTCCACCATTGTAATTTGTTTCTGCCCCACCCTAACTGATCAATGTACTTTGTAATTTCCCCGACCCTTAAGAAGGTTCTTTATAATTCTCCCACCCTTGAGAATGTACTTTGTGAGATCCACCCCCTGCCCACAAAACATTGCTCCAAACTCCAATGCCTATCCCAAAACCTGTAAGAACTAATGATAATCCCACCACCCTTTGCTGACTCTCTTTTCGGACTCAGCCCACCTGCACCCAGGTGAAATAAACAGCCTTGTTGCTCACACAAAGCCTGTTTGGTGGTCTCTTCACACGGACACGTGAGACAGAGACAAGATCTGATTATGTTGCCCAGGGCGGTCTCAAACTCCTGGGTTCAAGCAATCCTCCTGCCTCAGCCTCCCAAAGTGCTGGGATTACAGGCCATGCGCCACCACGCCCAGCCCCTATAATCTTATTTTGATATGTGTCTAGAAATATGTAAGGAGGCCAGACAATTCCAGTTCTGTGTGATGAGCTTAGGTTAGGATGGAAGGAAGCCATGGACACCCTGAGTGCAAGGCAGGAAAGCCAGGATAGAAGGCAGGATTCTCAAGGGCTGAAGGTAGGGAATGGGGTCAGGAAGGTAACGCTAAGAAGTCCGCTCATCAATTGGGTTTAGAAGTTAGGCAGAAAAGACAAGCAAGTGGTCAGTTCCTAGAAATTATACTGGGAGTGGTAGAGGAGGCATTCAGGCAGTGTCCTGATCCCTGAAAATCTTTAAAATGTACTGAATTGGAGGAGCAGTCTAATCAAGGGCAAAAATCCTTCACACCTGTAACCTCACAGGCCCCTTCCTGGAAAATTGTTTTTTAAATTGACCAGGAGACAAATGAATCTGTTAAGTATACTGCAAGGATGCAGTCAGCCATATTCTATATTTTATAAAATTTTACATGTGATACATTTTCTTCCAATAAAAATTTAAAAACTGAGGAAAGAAACTGTTAGAGATTATCTGTTACAGGTTAGAGACTTAAGAGGCATATCAACCAAATGGAATGTGTACTCCCTATTTGGGTCCCAATTGAACAAACTGGGGGGAAAAGACATTTTAAAGAGTTTTTAAATTTGTTATATGTAACAACTATATTTTCATTATTTATTTATTTATTTTGAGACGGAGTCTTGCTCTGTCGCCCAGGCTGGAGTGCAGTGGCGCGATCTCAGCTCACTGCAACCTCCGCCTCCCAGGTTCAAGTAATTCTTCTGCCTCAGCCTCCTGAGTAGTTGGAATTACAGGCTTGCACCATCATACCCGGCTAATTTTTGTATTTTTAGTAGAGACGGGGTTTCACTATCTTGGCCAGGCTGGTCTTGAATTCCTTACCTTGTGATGCACCTGCCTCGGCCTCCCAAAGTGCTGGGATTACAGGCGTGAGCCACTGCGCCCGGCCTTTTCATTAATTTTTTAAAATCTTTACCTGTTGGCTGGGCACCGTGGCTCACACCTGTAATCCCAGTACTTTGGGAGGCTGAGGTGGGTGGATCACATGAGGTCAGGATTTCAAGACCAACCTGGTCAACGTGGTGAAATCCCATCTCTACTAAAAATACAAAAAAAAAAAAAAAAAATAGCTGGGCATGGTGGTGGGCACCTGTAATCCCAGCTACTCAGGAGGCTGAGGCAGCAGAATCGCTTGAACCCCGGAGGCGGAAGTTGCAGTGAGCCAAGATTGTGTCACTTCATTCCAGCCTGGGCAACAAAGCAAGACTCCATCTCAAAAATAAATAAGTAAAATCTTTACCTGTTGTGTCCTGAAGTATGTATGAGTTAAATGATATGATGTCTGGAATTGGCTTTAAGTGATTCCAGCCAAGCACATCAGCAGAAATGGTTGAGTAAGAACATCTGAAAATCTTCTCCTTCATAAAAGCCACAAAACACTGGCAAAATTTTGTCAAAATCAATTTTTTCAGTGTTCAGAGTGCTGGAAATTAACCAAGGTCTTTCAACAAGATAAGGATTGTTTATTCAAGAAAAAAAATGGCTAAATCTCCACTAAGTTACAAGGGAGGAGAGAGGGACATAGACACAAGATTGGCTAGGTGATAGGTAAATGACAGTTCACTATCCTGATTTATTTATTTACTTCTTTTTTTAGGGACATAGCGTCTCCCTATGTTGCCCAGGCTGGCCTTGAACTCCTGGCCTCAAGTGATCCTCCCATTTGAGCCTTCCAAATAGCTGGGACTATAGGGGTGCACCACCACACCTGGTTAATTTTCTCAATTTTTTATAGAGATGAGATCTCACTATGTTGCCTATGCTGATCTTGAACTCCTATCCTTAACTGATCCTCCCACTTCAGCCTCTCAAAACACTAGTATTACTGGCATTAGCCATAGCACCCAGCCACTATTGTCTTTACACATACATGAAAATATTGTATACAAGTACATTTTTCCTACACAGATAGGATACTATCCAAATTGTACTCTTTTGGCAATATATCTTGGCACCTTTCCTTCTCAGTTCACGTGTAGACATATCTTCGTTCTTTGTAACAGCTTCTCAGGCCTGAAGCGGTGGCTCATGCCTGTAATCCCAGAACTTTGGGAGGCCTAGGTGGGAGGATCACTTGAGCTCAGGAAATCAAAACCAGCTAATACAAATAATGCTGCAATCACCATCCCTGTGCATTCTTTATATGTAAATACAGCTGAGTATGCCACCTCCCACTGGATTAGCATAGACTATTTCTACGCATCCTGTTCTCATCATCTCTGCATAATACAGCTTTCTCCCCCCTTTCTAGAGGCAGAGAAAGCAAGCCTGCTAACAAAAAAAATCAGAAACAAACTACGCCAGGTGTGGTGGCTCATGCCTGTAATCCTAGCACTTTGGGAGGCCGAAGCGGGCGGATCAACTAAGATCAGGAGTTCGAGACCAGCCTGGCCAGCATATGGTGAAACCCCATCTCTACTAAAAAATACAAAAATTAGCTGGGCATGGTGGTGCATGCCTGTAGTCCCAGTTACTTGGGAAGCTGAGGCAGAAGAATCACTTGAACCCGGGAGGCAGAGGTTGCAGTGAGCCGAGATCGTACCACTGCACTCCAGCCTGAGCCACACAGCAAAACTCTGTCCCTAAAAAAAAAATAAAAGGAGGCCAGGCGCAGTGGCTCACACCTGTAATCCCAGCACTTTGGGAGGCCAAGGCGGGCAGATCACGAGGTCAGGAGATCAAGACCATCCTGTCTAACATGGTGAAACCCCATCTCTACTGAAAATACAAAAAATTAGCCAGGCGTGGTGGCGGGTGCCTGTAGTCCCAGCTACTCGGGAGGCTGAGGCAAGAGAATGGCATGAACCCGGGAGGTGAAGCTTGCAGTGAGCAGAGATCGTGCCACTGCACTCCAGCCTGGGCAACAGAGCGAGACTCCGTCTCAAAAAAAAAAAAGAACAAACTAAACTAGAGTCTGAATGAAAGACCAAAGAAGACATTACATAAAGTTTATTTAAACATGCATTTCAGATACTTCAAGAAAACAAAAACTGCCTATTAGAATACTGCGTACACAACTACATGTCTAGACTGCAAAGCATGAGGGGGAAAAAAAAGAACACTGGACCCATGTCAGTAGGCTCAGGTCAGAGTCCTGGTTTTGCCACCAGTAAACTGAGGTTGGCCTCTGTTTACTCCATTACAATGCTGTTACAGAAATTCTAGAACACTTGGCAAATTCCAATACCCAGCCCAGAGTTTGCCCTAAGCTTTGGGAATACTTGAATGCTGCCAGTAAAGCCTCATCCCCATGTGTTAAATACTTTTCTATCTCTAGGAATTCCATTAGTCCTATAGTCCTGAGTTCAAATCTTTTCTGGAATTTTCATCTTACCTCTAACTTGCTGATTGCATAATACTGATTTTTCTGAATTTTATCTTGCTCCTTGGTAAAATTGAATAACATGATTCAGTCTTGAAAGTAAGGCCAGGCGCAGTGGCTCACACCTGTAATCCCAGCACTTTGGGAGGCCAAGGTGGGCAGATCACCTGAGGTCAGGAGTTCAAGACCAGCCTGGCCAACATGGCAAAACCCTGTCTCTACAAAAATACAAAAATTAGCCGAGTGTGGTGGCGCACTCCTGTAGTCCCAGCTACTCAGGACACTGAGGCAGGAGAATTGCTTGAACCCGGGAAGCAGAGGTTGCAGTGAGCTGAGATTGCGCCACTGCACTCCAGCCTGGGCATCTCAAAAGAAAAAAAAATAGAAAGTAAATTGTTAATCTGACCACATTTCACCTACACTGCTGTCATTCTGGTCTGGATATCAACAGACTGTGCCTGAAGTCTAGTTAAGAATGGCTTTTACATTTCTGAAGGGTTGTTTAAAGAAAAAAAAAAAAAAGAAGAAGAAGAAGAAGGTGGCCATGGTGATCTGCACCTGTAGTCCCAGCTACTCAAGAGACTTGAGGCACAGGGATCCCTTCAGTCCAAAAGTTTGATGCCAGTCTGTGCGACATAGCAAGACCTCCATCCCTAAAAATAAGTAAATGAAAAGAAAAAAAAAAGACTAAGAGCATATGACAAACCATAAGTAGCCCACAAAGCCTGAAATGTTCTCTGACCCTTTACAAAAGAAAGGGATGTTGAGCCCTGCTCTAATCCAATCCATTCTTGCTTACTGCTGTAATGGTCACCTATCCTCCCTGATTCCGTTTTCATCAGTTTCCCCTCCTGCAATGCACTTTCTATATTGCAGCCAGAATCACCTGGTTAAAACAAAATCAGTTCTGGTGTGGTGGCTCATGCCTGTCATCCTAACACTTCGGGAGCCCAAGACAGGTAGATCACTTTAGGTCAGGAGTTTGAGACCAGCTGGCCAACATGGCAAAAACCCACCTCTACTAAAAATGCAAAAATTAGCCGGCCATCATAGCACATGCCTGTAATCCCAGCTACTCAGGAGGCTGAGGCAGGAGAATCGCTTGAACCTGGGAGGTGGAGGTTGCAGTGAGCCGAGATCGTGCCACTGCTCTCCAGCCTGGGTGACAGAGCGAGATTCAATCTCAAAAAAAGAAAAATCAGATCTCATTCTCCTCCTTGCTTAGAACCTCCAAACAATGTACCAATGTGCTGGGTGTGAAATCCAAACCTCATGAGCCATAATCCAAGTCTGTTTACACCTGAAACAGGTGTTTTCATTTTTCCCTGACTCGAGAAGCTCCAGCCACTCCAGCTTATTTCTTCTGCACTCATACTTCCACCCATTCTACCTCCCAGTAGCTTTTCTCATAACTGGATCCTTGTGATACAGGAGCTAGAAATAATTTATTTAGGCAGATAGTGAGGGTAGAGGAGTCTTTGGCAAGGCTTTTCTTTTAACAAAAAGCAGCCCCAAAATAACTTCTTTTCTAACAAAGAGCAGACTGAAAAATCAAGTTGCAGACATTGATAAGCAAGCTAGAAGCTTGCACAGGTGAATGCCGGCAACTGTGCCAATAGTAAAGGGCTACCTTGAAGCCAGGTATGTTCAACATAGAAGCTCCGTCCTCCCTTTTCTTTTTTTTTTTTTTCGATCCTCCCTTTTCTTTGTCACCGTGTGTACAGTAAAGAACCAGGCAACATGGTGCCAGCCAGATAGAGAACCCATCTGCATAATAAAAGATTAGGGTGGGGCGGCCAGCCTCTTTGCACAGTATGCAAATGGCACACCTGGTCCGACCAATCTTTCATACCCTATGTAAATCAAACACCACCTCTTCAAGCTCATCTATAAAACCTCCTGCACTTCATTGCAGAAGCAGCAACCCATTTTCTCCAGGACACCTCTCTGTGAAGAGATCTCTTCTCTTTCTTTCACCTGTTAAATTTCTGCTCTGAACCTCACTCATTGTGTGTCTGCGTCCTAGTGTTCTGTGGCTGTGAGACAATGAATCTCAGGTATTTACCCCAGCCAATGACGCCACTTCATTGTGGAGGCTCATCCAAGATCCAAGGTAGATTCATTGGAAGGGTGAGTATAAGAGCAGACCCCAACCCTTTCCTTTTATTTCGCGGCCTCTCATTCTCCATTTTAAAATTAAACAAAATGCTGGGCATCTGATGGCCATCTATATGCCTTTAGGGCATGCCACCAATCTCAAGACTCAGGCAGGAAGCTTTCTGGGGAGAATTTAGTGAATCCTTCAGTGCCCTCAGGGTGCTGTGAATGTGGGCTTTGTTTCAAACTGGTTTCCTTTCACGGAGAGCCTAGCCATCATGTGGGGCTGGAAGAGGTCTAGAGGCAACTCATAGTTCCTGTCCACGGCAACACCCTGGTGTTACCCAAAGGCTTCTGGACTAACATCAGCCACTGACTGCCTGTTGGGTGTCAGCAACAGGATCTCCAGCTTCTTCTATCACAGTTTTCCTCCCTTCCTATTTTTGACAGCCACGTCTCCTAAGCCCTCTCTGTATGCAGTGCTGCAGGAACTTTTACAGTTCAGGGAAGTAATTCTGTTACGCAAGACCAGCCAATGCCATAGTAACCGGGAATATAGATCAAGGGATTGCCATTTTTGTGATTTTATAGGAACAGAGGGTTCCCTCCCACCCCCATTGAATGTGTCTTTCTTTACCCTTGGCCCAGAGAGCACATGGCATTTCAAGGTCAACAGAGCCACCGAGTGGAATAGGAATCCTCTCCATGAAGCACACTGCAGGTCCTTTGCCAAAACACTCTAGCTTCCCAATTCTTTTCCCTTTTTGTGCTCCTCTACTAGAAACCAGGCTTTATGTCCCCTTCTCCGAACAGGAAAACTCTGCCTTCAACAGTAAGGAGAAAAATGTCCTCCAAAACCAAATTTTAGTCTTGATACTGTCCCATCAGCAGAAAAACTGCCATTTGGTCCCTACATTCTTTTAAAGCACCTACTCTGCCTCAAGTCAAAATGGTACTTCAATATTAAGGGAATTTTATGTCCAGAAGTTAACCACAGTCACTGCCTAAGAATAAATCCTTTTTTTTTTTTTTTTGAGATGGAGTCTCGCTCTGTCACCCAGGCTGGAGTGCAGTGGCACGATCTTGGCTCACTGTAACCTCCGCCTCCCGGGTTCAAGCGATTCTCCTACCTCAACCTCCCGAGTAGCTGGGACTACAGGCAGCCACCACCACACCCAGCTAATTTTTGTATTTTTAGTAGAGATGGGTTTCACCATATTGGTCAGGCTGGTCTCGAACTCCTGACATCAGGTGATCCATCCACCTCGGCCTCCCAAAGTGCTGGAATTACAGGCGTGGGCCACCATGCCCAGCAAGAATAAATACTTTAGTCCAGGACATAATAGCTATTTATAGAGCTCAAACCAGCACACTCCCTCCATTAAGGGGCCTTGCCCAAAAGCAACTGTTACATAGTCTTTCCCAAGATCCATTTATCAGAGAATCACATGGATCACACAAGTCTAAGAAGTCAAAGGAAAATCACAAGTGGAGGACTGGAGCTGCATGGGTGAGCGTGACTAATACTAATCGCTTAGTTCCTCCGGTTCCATGGCTGAGGATCAAGTCTGCATCCACAGGCAGCACCTTTAATGGATGCCAGCGCTCAGGAACCAAGGAAGAAAAACAGTTGGGGGAACAACCCCACTGTCTTCTCATCCACCCTGGGCCATTCCAAAGGAAAGGAAGGAGACCAAAGGAACACCTTTTTCTTGCTTCTCTTTTTCAATGGGTAACAGACCATCTTTGGCCTGCACTCCTCTGGAGTGCATACTGAAGCACTGCGACTCCTTTAACCCCAAGACTTTGAAGAAAAACGTGGTGGCTCATTTTCTTTTGCACAAGGGTATGGCCTTACTAGACCTTTGGAGGTGTTACACAATGGACCCCACTCTTTTAGCAGTCATATCAGGCAGGCCCAAAGGGAATGAATCCCCAAAACTAGAGAAGCAACTTCCAGGGGAATCATCTGAGGCAGCTGTTCAGTGTATGAACCACTTTTTCCCTCCTTATTTGGGGATCCCTCCAACTGCACCATCAGCCCCTCCAGCTCCACTATCTCTAAAACTCTCCACTCCCCCAGCTTCATTCTTACCCCTACAAGAAATGCCCAATGGAGGTAATGCCACTAGGGTTCAAGTTCCCTTCTCATTGCAGGACTTTAGGCAAATAAAGGGAGGCTTGGGCTGATTTTCTGATGATCCCAATAAGTAGATCCCAATAAGTAGCAGCTTTCCAAAACTTAACTCAGGTATTTTACCTCTCATGGAGGGATGTTATGCTGCTCTTAAGCCAAAACCTGATCACAGCTGAAAAACAGGCAGCTCTCCAGGCAGCAGATAAGTTCAGAGATGAGCAATATGTCTCCTATAGTAGGCCAAAAAGGAAAAGAGTAAATAGGGAAAGTCAAGAAATAGGGGAACGATAATTCCCAATGGGAAGAGAGGCAGTACCTTTTGACAACCCTGATTGGAACCCCAATAACTCCACAGAATGGAACCCTTTTTCTATTCCACAGAATGGAAAAGGAAACACTTTTCAATGTGCATATTGGAGGGCCTATGAAAACCTAGGACCAAACCTCTTAGTTAAACTGTGCATGTTAGACCAAAAGCCAGATAAGAATCCCACAGCCTTTATGGAAAAGCTGAGAGAGGCACTAATAAAACACATCTCTTTATTCCCTGATTCAGTCAAGGAACAGCTCATCCTCAAGGACAAGTTTATTATATAGGCAGCTCCCAGTATTAGAAGGAAATTGCAGAAGCAGGCTATAGGACCAGATAGCACCTTGGAAAACCTCCTGAGGGAGGCCACCTCGGTCTTTTATAAAAGAGACCAGGAGGACGCCCAAGATAAAGAAAGGAAACACAAGAGGAAGACAGAGGCTTCTAGTAGCTGCTCTGCGGGCTTGCAAAGTCCAGGATCCCCAAGGTGCATCCACTAGTTGCTACTGGTGTGGCAAGTCAGAGCACTTTAAGAAGGAGTGCCCAGGCAACAAGAGGAAGCAACCTTGACCCTGTCCAGTCTGTGGCAGAGACCACTGGAAACTGGACTGCCCCTGGAGATGGAGGTCACTGGGTTCAGAACCAGTCTCACAGATTGTCCAACAGGACTAACTGGTCCTGGAGCTCAAACCCCCAGCTCCAGCAGCTTGAACTGCCATTACTGCACAGGAGCCCCAGGTGATTCTGGAAATCGAAGGAAGGAGGGTGACCTCCTTCTGGACACTGGAGCCAGCTTCTCTCATCTTCCCTTTAATCCAAGACTCCCCTCTTCCCGTAGCACAACTGTGATGGGTGTCTCAGGAAAGGTTCTAACCTGATATTTTTCTCAACCCCTTCGTTGTAGTTGGGGGGGACCTATTATTTACACATGCCTTTTTAATTATGCCTGAAAAATCCCACTCCTTTATTAGGTAAAGACATTTTAGCTTGCATGGGGGCCAGCATCCTTATAGCCCCAGACAAACTCTTCCCCCTGGTGGAAGCTAATATTAATCCAGAAGTGTGGGCAACTCAAGGAAAAATAGGTCAAGCTATTAACTACTAGGCCAGTTCGGATCCATCATAAGGCTCCTACTTCTTTTCCTAACCAGAAACAAGATCCCCTAAAGCCAGAAGCTAGGAAAGTGCTAGAAGCCATTATGAACCTAAAGATGTAGGACCTCCTGAAACCCTGTAACAGGTCCTGCACTGTTAAGGTCCTGCACCCCAATATTAGGAGTGCAAAAACCCAGTGGGGAATGGAGATTAGTTCAGGAACCTCACCTCATTAATGAGGCTGTAGTCCCAATTCATCCAGACTGTACCCTCTTCACGGATGGAAGTTCCATTCTGAAGCAGGGAGTCCAGAAGGCAGGATGTGCAGCAGTCACTCTGAATGATGTTATTAAAAGTGTACCCCTCTCTCCAGGCCCAAGCACTCAACTAGCTAAACTAATAGCTCTTACAACAGCACTTGAATTAAGCAAGGGAAAGCTAGTTAACATTTACAGACTCCAGGTATGCTTTCTTAGTTCTTCATGCTCACGCTGCCGTTTGGAAGGAAAGACACTTTCTTACTGCTAATGGATCCCCTATAAAATACTGCCAGGAAATTAACAGGTTATTATCCTCAGTTTTCCTTCCATGAGAGGTAGCAGTGATGCATTGTAAGGGACACCAGAAGGGAACAAATTAAATAGCTGAAGGAAACAAGTTAGCTCATCAGGCAGCCAAGTCAGCAGTAAGGAAGCCTCAGAGCATCAACACACTTGAAGCCCCTCTCATCTGCGAAGGCTCCATAAGAGAAATTAAGCCTCAGTACTCCCCTGCAGAGATAGAATAGGCCATCTCTCCAGGGTAAACTTTTCAGCCCTCAGGATGGCTACAGTCAGAGGATAGCAAGCTCCACTTGCCAGCCTCCAGCCAGTGGAAAGTCCTTAAAGTTCTTCACCAAGCTTTTCACTTGGGAAAGGATAAAACTTACCAGTGTGCTCAGAGTTTTTTTTCAGGAGAGAGCTTAATAAAAACAGTCAAACAGGTTGTTAATGCTTGTGAAGTCTGTCTTAAAAATAGTCCCCTTGGCCATGCACGGTGGCTCACACCTGCAATCCCAGCACTTTGGGAGGCCGAGGCAGGTGGATCACCTGAGGTCAGGAGTTTGAGACCAGCCTGGTCTATATGGTGAAACACCATCTCTACTGAAAATACAAGAATTAGCCAGGCATGGTGGCATGCACCTGTAATCCCAGTTATTCAGGAGGCTGAGGCAGGAGAATAGATTGAACCTGGAAGGTGGAGGTTGCAGTGAACTGAGATCACACCACTGCACTCCAGTCTGGGCAACAGAGTAAGACTCTGTCTCAAAGAATAATAATAAAAATAAAATAATAAAATATAAAAATAAAGTTACTCTAGCCACCCAATCCAATGCCACTTATCCACTTAAAAAAATGTTACTTTTAGGCCGGTCGCGGTGGCACATGCCTGTAATCCCAGCACTTTGGGAGGCTGAGGTGGGCGGATCACAAGGTCAGGAGTTCGAAATCAGCCTAGCCAACATGGTAAAACTCCATCTCTACTAAAAATACAAAAATTAACTGTGCATGGTGGTGCATGCCTGTAGTCCCAGCTACTCTGGAGGCTGAGGCAGAAGAATTGCTTGAACCCAGGAGGCAGAGGTTGCTGTGAGCTGAGATCATGCCACTGCACTCCAGCTTGGGCGACAAAGCAAGACTCCATCTCAAAAAAAAAATGTGACTTTTATATTAATGCTTCTGATAAAGTACAGTAACACCTGCTGAAAGGAAACCAGTAGTATAACCCATCAGAATGGCTAGCAGGTATCAAACTCTACTGTCATGGTTGTAGTCTATAGTACTCCCAATAATAGTGGTAATTTTTTTTTTTTAATTTGATGGAGTCTTGCTCTGCCACCCAGGCTGGAGTGCATTGGCGCGATCTTGGCTCACTGCAGCCTCTGCCTCCTGAGTTCCAGTGATTCTCTTTCCTCAGCTTCCCGGGTAGCTGGGATTAAAGGTGCACGCCACCATGCCCAGCTAATTTTTTTATTTTTAGTAGAGACAGGGTATCACCATGTTGGCCAGGCTGGTCTCAAACTCCTGACCTCAGATGATCTGCCGGCCTTGGCCTCCTGAAGTGCTGAGATTACAGGCGTCAGCCACCACACCTGGCCAACAGTGGAAATTTTAATACTCATATTTAAATGCTATATTCTGGGCCAGGCACAGTGGCTCATGCCTGTAATCCCAGCATTTGGGGAGGCCAAAGCAAGGAGATCACGAGGTCACGAGTTCAAGACCAGCCTGGCCAAGATGGTGAAAGCCCGTCTCTACTAAAAATACAAAAATTAGCTGGGCATGGTGGTGGGTGCCTGTAATCCCAGCTACTCAGGAGGCTGAGGCAGAGAATTGCTTGAACCCAGGAGGCAGAGGTTGCAGCAAGCCGAGATTGTGCCACTGCACTCCAGCCTGGGCGACAGAGCAAGATTCTGTCTGGAAAAAAAACAAAAAACACACAAAAAAAAACCCATGAAAAATAAGATAAAATAAAAATAAATAAATGCTATATTCTTTTTTTTTTTTTTTTTTTGACAGTCTCACTCTGTCACCCAGGCTGGAGTGCAGTGGCGTGATCTCAGCTCACTGCAAGCTCCGCCTCCCAGGTTCATGCCATTCTCCTGCCTCAGCCTCCCGAGTACCTGGGAATACAGGTGTCTGCCACCACACCTGGCTAATTTTTTTGTATTTTTTAGTAGAGACGGGGTTTCACTGTGTTAGCCAGGATGGTCTCGATCTCCTGACCTCATGATCTGCCTGCTTTGGCCTCCCAAAGTGCTGGGATTACAGGCATGAACCACTGCACCCGGCCACAATAAATGCTATATTCTAAACCTTAGTGTAAAATTTGTCTCTTATTGCCTAGAAGCAATTGAACTCCAAATGGTGCTGCAGATGGAACCACATATGGACACGCCCTTCTTCCGAGGACCCTTAAATCAACCCCAGGAAAAGCCCTAGATGCTGTTCCCCACGAGATGTGCCTCTTCAGCAGAAAGTAGCCAAAAAAAAAAAGGTTGTCATCCAACACCCCCTAACAACAGTTAGGGTTACCACTCCTGAGGGGGGAGATATGATACAGGATCTAGAAGAAATTATTTAAGCAGATAGTGAGGGGAAAGGAATCCTTGGAAAGGCTTTCCTTTTAACAAAAAGCACCCACAAAATCATTTCTTTTCTAACAAAGGGCAGCCTGAAAAAGCGAGTTGCAGACATTGATAAGCAAGCTAGAAGCTTGCACAGGTGAATACTGGCAACTGTGCCAATAGAAAAGGGCTACCTGGAAGCCAGGTATGTTCAACATGGAAGCGCCGTCTTCCTTTTCTTTGTTACCACATGTACAGTAAAGGAACAGGCAACATGGTGCCGGCCAGGTAGAGCACCTATTTTCATAATAAAAGATTAGGGTGGAGGTGGCCAGCTTCTTCACATGCTATGCAAATGGAACACCTGTTCCAACCAATCTTTCGTGTCCTATGTAAATCAAACACCACCTCCTTAAGCTCATCTGTAAAACCTTCTGCACTTCACTGTGGAGGCAGCAACCCATTTTTTTTTGTTTTATAGATGAAGTCTCACTTTGTCACCCATACTGGAGTGAACTGGCATGATCTCAGCTCACTGCAACCTCCACCTCCCGAGTTCAAGAAATTCTCCTGCCTTGGCCTCACAGGTAGCTGGGACTACAGGCATGTGCCACCATGCCCAGCTAATTTTTGTATTTTTAGTAGAGACAGGGTTTCATCATGTTGGCCAGGCTTGTCTTGAACTCCTTACCTCAAGTAATCCGCCCTCCTCGGCTTCCGAAAGTGCTGGGATTACAGGTGTGAGCCGCTGCGCGTCACCACCAATCCATTTTCTCCAGGACCTCTCTCTGTGCAGAGAGCTCTTCTCTTTCACCTATTAAACTTCCACTCTGAACCTCACTCTTTGTATATCCGCATCCTAGTGTTCTGTGGCTTTAGACAAGGAACCTCGAGTATTTACCCAAGACGATGATATCGTTTCATTGGCAGCTCAGATACATCTCTGTAAGGAGAGCAATCTCAAGTGCCGTGATATGGTTTGGCTGTGTTCCCACTCAAATCTCATCTTGAATTGTAACTCCCACAATTCCCACGTGTCATAGGAGGAACCTAGTGGAAGGTTATTGAATTATGGGATGGGTCTTTCCTGCACCGTTCTCATGATAGTCAATAAGTCTCATGAGATCTGATGGTTTTAAAAATGGGAGTTTCTGGCCGGGCGCAGTGGCTTATGCCTGTAATCCTAGCACTTTGGGAGGCCGAGGCAGGTGGATAACTTGAGGTCAGGAGTTCGAAACCAACCTGGCCAACATGGTGAAACCCTGTCTCTAATAAAAATACAGAAAAATCAGCCAGGCATGGTGGTGGACACCTGTAATCCCAGCTACTGGGAGGCTGAGGCAGGAGAATTGCTTGAACCTGGGAGGCAGAGGTTGCAGTGAGCCAAGATTGCACCACTGCACTCCACCCTCAGCAACAGAGTGAAACTCCATCTCAGAGAAAAACAACAACAAACAAAGAAACAAAAAACCCAGGAGTTGCCCTGCACAAGCTCTCTCTGCCTGTCACCAGCCATGTAAGATGTGACTTGCTCCTCTTTACCTACTGCCATGATCGTAAGGCCTCTTCAGCCATGTGGAACTGTAAGTCCAATAAACCTCTTTCTTTTATAAGTTACCCAGCCTCTGGTATGTCTTTATCAGCAGCATGAAAACAGACTAATACAGTAAATTGGTACCGGTAGAGTGGGGCATTGCTGAAAAGATACCCAAAATGTGGAAGCCATTTTGGAAATGGAGAACAGGCAGAGGTTGCAACAGTTTGGAGGGCTCAGAAGAAGACAGAAAAATGTGGGAAAGTTTGGAACTCCCTAGAGACTTGTTGAATGGCTTTGAGCAAAATGCTGATAATGACATGGACAATGAAATCCAAGCTGAGGTGGTCTCGGATGGAGATGCAGAGCTTGTTGGAAACTGGAGCAAAGGTGACTCTCGTTTTGTATTAGCAAAGAGACTGGTTGCATTTTGGCCCCGCCCTAGAGTTTTGTGGAACTTTGAACTTGAGAAAAATTATTTAGGTTATCTGGCAGAAGAAATTTCTAAGAAGCAAAGTATTCAAGAGGTGACTTAGATGCTGTTAAAAGCATTCAATTTTTTTTGTTTTGTTTTTGTTTTTGTTTTTGTTTTTGAGACAGAGTCTCACTCTGTCAAGCCAGGCTTGAGTGCAGTGGCATGATCTCAGCTCACTGCAGCCTCTGCCTCCCGGGATCCAGTGATTCTCCTGCCTCAGCCTCCTAGGTAGCTAGGATTACAGGCACATGCCACCACGCCTGGCTAATTTTTGTATTTTTACTAGAGGCGGGGTTTCACCATGTTGGCCAGGCTGGTCTCGAACTCCTGATCTCAGGTGATCGCCCGCCTCAGCCTCCCAAAGTGCTGGTATTACAGGCATGAGCCACCATGCCTGGCCAAAAGCAGTTTTTTTTTTTTTTTTTTTTTTTGGAGACAGAGTTTCACTCTTGTTGCCCAGGCTGGAGTGCAATGGCATGATCTCAGCTCACAGCAACCCCTGCCTCCCAGGTTCAAGCAATTCTCCTGCCTCAGCCTTCCAGAGTAGCTGGGATTACAGGCATGCACCACCATGCCTGGCTAATTTTTGTATTTTTAGTAGAGATGGGGTTTCTCCATGTTGGTCAGGCTGGTCTCGAACTCCCGACCTGAGATGATCTGCCCACCTCGGCCTCCCAAAGTGCTGGGATTACAGGTGTGAGCCACTGCGCCTGGCAGCATTCAGTTTTAAAAGGGAAACAGAGTATAAAAGTTTGGAAAATTTGCAGACTGACCATGTGATAGAAAAGAAAATCCCATTTTCTGAGGAGAAATTCAAGCCAGCTGCAGAAATATCCACAAGTAACGAGGAGCCAAATGTTAATCACCAAAACAATGAGGAAAATGTCTCCAGGGCATATCAGAGACCCCCTGCTACAGCCCCTTCCATCACAGGCCCAGAGGTTTAAGAGGAAAAAATGGTTTCATGGACTGGGCCCAGGGTCTCTCTGCTGTGTGTAGTCTAGGGACTTGGTGCCCTGCATCCCAGCCACTGCATTCATGACTAAAAGAGGCTAAGGTACAGTTCAAGCTGTTGCTTCAGAGGGCAGAAGCCCCAAGCCTTGGCAGCTTCCATGTGGTGTTGAGCCTGCGGGTGCACGGAAGTCACAAATTGAGGTTTGGGAACCTCTGTCTAGATTTCAGAGGATGTATGGAAATGCCTGGATGCCCAGTCAGAAGTTTGCTGCAGGGGCAGGGCCTTCGTGGAGAACCTCTGCTAGGGCAGTATGGGAGAGAAATATGGGGTCAGAGCCCCCACACAGAATTCCTACTGGGCACCACCTAGTGGAGCTGTGAGAAGAGAGCCACCATCCTCCAGACCCCAGAATGGTAGATCCATCGACAGCTTGCACTGTGTGCCTGGAAAAGCTGCAGACACTCAAGGTCAGCCTGTGAAAGTAGCTGGGAGGAAGGCTGTACCCGGCAAAACCACAGGGGTGGACCTGCCCAAGACCATGGGAACCCACCTCTTGCATTAGTGAGATCTGGATGTGAGACCAGAAGTCAAAGAGATCATTTTGGACCTTTAAAATTTGACTGCCACACTGGATTTCAGACTTGCCCTGTTACCCCTTTGTTTTGGCCAACTTCTCCCATTCTGAATGGCTGTATTTATCCAATACTTGTACCCGCATTGTACCTAGGAAGTAACTAGCTTGCTTTTGATTTTACAGGCTCATAGGTGGAAGAGATTTGCCTTGTCTCAGATGAGATGTTGGACTGTGGGCTTTTGAGTTAATTCTGAAACTAGTTAAGACTTAGGGGGGCTGTTGGGAAGGCATGATTGGTTTTGAAATGTGAGGACATGAGATTTGGGAGGGGTCAGGGGTGGATTGTTGTGGTTTGCCTGTGTCCCCACCCAAATCTCATCTTGAATTATAACTCCCACAATTCTCACATGTCTTAAGAGGAACCAGGTGGGAGGTGATTGAATTATGGGGGTGGGTTCTTTCCTGTGCTGTTCTCATGATAGTGAATGAGTCTCACGAGATCTGATGGTTTTAAAAATGGGATTTTCCCTGCATAAGCTCTCTTTGCCTGCCACCATCCATGTAAGATGTGACTTGATCCTCCTTACCTTCTGCCATGTTTGTGAGGCCTCCCCAGCCATGTGAAACTGCAAGTCGAATAAAGCTCTTTATTTTGTAAATTGCCGAGTCTCGGGAATGTCTGTATCAGCAGCGTGGAAACAGACTAATACACACCATATCTAATGTAATACATATTCCCAGGCTACTCTAATTAGCTGCTTTTTTTAGGTCTGTCTCTCCCCACCAGAATATAGGCTGTGGGAGATCTGGAAGCTTGTCATCTTGTTCTCCTCTTTTGTAGGCTAATCAAGTGAAGCAATGGGAATGGAGAAGGAACAAAGAAATCTGTAAGTGGTTATAATCAATCAACCAGTTGTAAACACCACTGCACTTGGCCCAGCCTTGTTCTCCATTTTTGTCCCAGTCTATATGGTGGGTACGCAATAAACTATGTTTAATTCATGAAATATCAAATAATGAGAAGGTTATAAGAGCACTAGATCATAAGAGCAGGAAGGCCGGTCTTAGAGTGTTTTTTAAAATGCCCCAAGGGTTGCAAGTGCTGTTTCAATCAGATACAGGAAACACTTAACAGTGGCTAACCACAAACACCTGGGCTCAATGACGGTGGGCCCTACTCCTCCTCTATTTCCAATGCAAATGAAGCTGGAAGTTACAAGGCCTCTGTGCCTTTGTGAGAAAGAGTGAGAGATTCAGCCAGGGAGTTCCCCGGCGGCTATAAAAGTTATAAAAGTATTGAAATATTTCCATAACTAACCTCTGACCACCCCATCTCAGGATCTCACATCCAGCAATTGGAGGGCTAATGCCTGACCTTACTAAGGCCAGCAGCCCCTAGGTTGTTAAATATTTTGAAAACCACCTCTGTTTTCTGAGAATTTGTTTACTGGCAGAAGCAAGTTTCGGAAAAGGTCAGTTTGAACTAGACCCTGAAGAACTCAAGTTTTGCCAACAGCTGCTCCATAGGATTTATTTATTTTTTATTTTATTTATTTATTTTTGAGATGGAGTCTCACTCTGTCACCCAGGCTGGAGTACAGTGGCGCAATCTCAGCTCACTGCAACTTCCACCTCAGCCTCCAGAGTAGCTGGGATTACAGGCCCATGCCACCATGCCCAGCTAAGTTTTATATTTTTAGTAGACATGGAGTTTCACCATGTTGGCCAGGCTGGTCTCGAACTCCTGGCCTCATATGATCCACCCACCTTGGCCTTCCAAAGTGCTAGGAATACAGGTGTGAGCCACCGTGCCCAACCGTAGGATCTTATATAGGTTGGCATAGGTTGGCAACCTATTATTTACACTAGCTCCCTTTTTTTTTGTTTTTTTTTTTGTTTTTTTGTTTTGTTTTGTTTTGTTTTTTAGATGAAGCCTTCTTATGTTGCCCAGGCTGAGGCTGGAGGGCAGAGATGTAAGGAAAAAGGATGTGCTGTGATCAAGAATAGGCCGAGGCAGACATCCAGTCCAGGATGACTCAGTGAGTTTGGAGCACAGGCGCACAACTCCGCTCATTATGTAACCACGCCACGTGAGGCGCATTATGTGATCACCCACATGGGCTCGTGCTTGGCTTGGAGCCACTATTGTCTCTAAAAGGTATAACTACCCTGCTGACACTGTACCTATGGCTCACGCCCAGGCTCGCTCACACTTGAAGGGTAAAGCCATGTCAAACTGCTTCCTTGAGTGTTTTTCCAGCTACTCACCACCTCACCGACTCCCTTAGGACCTCAGTTTGGGCTAAAACCTGACAATTGGCATCACAAACAGGATCCTGGGATAAGTGACCCTTTGGTCTCTGCTGATTTTGGGTCTGCCATGTGGCTGCAACATGGGTTGTGGTACCCGGTGGCAGCTGTGCTGCTCCGATGGGCTCCGGTAGTAAACTGAGCAGCAGTGGATGGGTCCCCCGCCAGCATGGAGAAGGCACTGGGGCAGCTGGAAGCATGGAGCACTGAGAAAGAGCAAGCTCTTGCCGGCAGAGTTGGTGGGCATTTTTACTGCGCTAGGAGAAGTACACACCCAGTCCCTGAGGGATGCAGTGCAGGTGAGGGCCCTCCAGGTACAGGCAGGGCGCCTGGAGGCCCAGCTACACGGCTCAGAAAATGAGTTAGAAGCTTCTGTGAATGCAGGCCTGGGTCCATCGTCTTGGCCAGAGACCCCCACTTGGTGTGATACTGAGGGGGAAGAACCCCCGTTGTGGAGTGGCCCAGTGGTCCATCAGAAGGCTGTCAGCAGGACCCAGGGGTCCATGCCGTAAAGAAGGGGAAGATGCCCCACGCACAAGGGGCCTCCCCATGGGAGAAAGGGGGACCCAAAGAGTGACATGTTCACAGGTGTGGGTGGATTTGATTTTGGCCAGTGTTGACTGAGAAAACAATCTATAAGCAGCCCTATGAAGTACTCCTAACTTTGTGAGAACAGTTGTCTCCGGAGCAGCAATTCCAGAAAATGCCCAAGCGGGAGAAGGACATTGATATGCAACCCAGTCCCACCCAGGCACTTCAGCTCAAAGACTACATGCTGCAGCCAGGCAGTGGTATAGATTCTTTTCTGTTTAATTTGTACAGCAGGTGCTTGCGCTGGTAGGTACCAGTGCAGGTTGTACCCTTTTCTATGGGAACCTGGATAAGTTTCCAGGCAAGGCTTCATAGACAGCTATGAAAACTGATCAATGAAAGTGAAACCTGTATCTTTGCACCTTGGCATTGGCCACTTATGTAAATACATTCTAGGTGTGGATATTTTACATGGCTTGGCAGCTGTGCTGTCTATCACAAACTTGATGGACTGCCTGACAACAGAATTGGGACAGTAGCACTATGTGGTGGACTTGGCTAATCCATTCTTTTCCAGAGAGCCAAGAACAGTTTGACTTCATGGGACGGTGACAATGAAATTTCAGTGTTGCTCAGGGCTATATGCATAGCCCCACCATATGTCATGGTCTCATTGACAATATTATGTTAACCTCTGATTCTCTTGCAGATTTAGAAGCATCAATGCCCCTCTTGCCTGAGATTGGTATGGTGTGGCTGAGACCGCCTTCCTAGCAGCCAAGCAGGCTATTTAGCAGGCACAAGCTCTACGGGTAGTTGACCAGGGGCACCCATTTGAGCTGGATGTGCATGTGACCACAGATGGTTTCGGTTGGAGCCTGTGGCAGCACATGGAGCGCTTGAGAATGCCAGGAGGCTTTTGGTCCCACTATGGAAGGGAGCTGAGCTCCAGTATTCTTTGATAGAGAAACAGCTAGCAGCTGTATATGTCGTTCTTCAGGCTTATGAAAGCATGCAGGACGGGCTACAGTCATCATGCAGATGATTTACTCAACAGTGGGATGGATACGTTCATGGGTAACAACTCGTGGAATGGGACAGTGCAGACATCCACTTTGGCAAAGGGGGGCGCCTACTTAGAGCAGCGGAATACGCTGGGTACAAGTCCCTTAGCGGCAGAGTTGCAAGAGGTCTTGGGACCTGTAGTCCTAATGCAAGATAAGGCCGTGGGGCCTGTGGCACCCCCAGACCCTGGGCCTTCACCATTTAAGGAAGGGTGTCCCCCCATTCCTGATGATGCATGGTATACAGATGGGTCTAGCTGGGGTGCTACTGCTCCCTGGGTTGCTGTCACAGTCCACCCTAGTACTGACACCATATGGTTTGATACCAGGTGTGGACAAAGTAGCCAATGGGCTGAACTCAAAGCCGTGTGGATGGTGAACACCAAAGAGGTGACACCTATGGTAATCTGCACCAATAGCTGGGCAGTTTATTGAGGCTTAACCTTGTGGTTAACCACCTAGAAGTTACAGAAGTGGCCAGTTGGTCACCGGCCCATGTAAGGCCAAGCCATGTGGCAAGACCTACAGGAGGAAAGATGACCTCCTCTGACTAGGTATGGGGAAGGCCATACCTGGGAGGCCAAAGCAGGAGGATTGCTTGGGCCCAGGAGTTTGAGACCAGTCTGGGCAAAAAAGTGAGACCCCCATTTCTACAACAAAATATAAAAACTTGGCTGGGTGCAGTGGCTCACGCCTGTAATCCCAGCACTTTAGGAGTGCTGAGATTTGGGAGTGCAGCACTTTGGAGTGCCGACTGAGGTGGGCGGATCACCTGAGGTCAGGAGTTCAAGACCAGCCTGGCCAACATGGTGAAACCTCACCTATACTAAAAATACAAAAATTAGAGAATTGCTTGAACCTTGGAGGCAGAGGTTGTGGTGAGCCAAGATTATGCCACTACACACCAGCCTGGGCAACAGAGTGAGACTCTATCTCAAAAAATAAAAGTAAAAATGAATAAATAGTAACTTATCATGGTTGCACAACTCTGTCAATATGCTACAGATCATTAGTGTACCTTAAATGAATGAACTTTGTGGTATGTAAATTATATTTCAACAAAACTGTTTATTTTATTTATTTATTTTTGAGATAGAGTCTCACTCTGTTGCCCAGGCTGGAGTGCATTGGCACAATCTCGGCTCACTGCAGCCTCCACCTCGCAGGTTCAAGCGAGTCTCCCACCTCAGCCTCTCATGTAGCTAGGATTACAGGTGCCCACCACCACACTCCACTAATTTTTGCATTTTTAGTAGAGTATTGCACTATGTTGCCCAGGCTGGTCTCGAACTCCTGACTTCAGGTAATCCACCTGCCTCAGCCTCCCAAAGTGCTGAGATTACAGGTGTGAGCCACTGTGTCCTATCAAAGCTGTTTAAAAAATAAAAATAAAGGCCAGGCGCAGTGGCTTACACCTGTAATCCCAGCACTATGGGAGGCTGAGATGGGCAGATCACAAGGTCAAGAGTTCGAGACCAGCCTGGCCAAGATAGTGAAACCCTGTCTCTGCTAAAAATACAAAAAAAAAAAAAAATTAGCCGGGCATGGTGGCACACGCCTGTAATCCCAACTACTCAGGAAGCTGAGGCAGGAGAATGACTTGAACCCGGGAGGCGGAGGTTGTGGTGAGTTGAGATCGCACCACTGCACTCCAGCCTGGGCGACAGAGGCAGACTCTGTCTCAAAAAAAATAAAAAAATTTTAAAAAATACAAATAAAAACCCTCAGTGGATACATTAAAGAGGAGATTAGTCATAGCTGAATAAAGACTTAGTGGTTTAAAAGATAGATTCAGGGAAATCACTCAAAATACAGCACCAAGAGATTTTTAAAAATACAAAATATGTAAGAAAGGCTGAGATATACAGAGAATAAGAAAGTTAAATACAGTATAGATAGAATAAAAGTCAAGAAGGAAAGAAGAGGGAGGCTAGGCGTAGTGGCTCATGCCTGAAACCCCAGAACTTTTGGAGGCTGAGGCAGGCAGATCACCTGAGGTCAGGAGTTTGAGACCAGCCTTGCCAACATGGTGAAACCCCACCTCTACTAAAAATGCAAAACGTAGCCGGCCATGGCGGTGCCCACCTGTGATCCCAGCTACTCAGGAGGCTGAGGCAGGAGAATAGCTTGAACCCAGGAGGCAGGGGTTGCAGTGAGCCCAGATCACGCCACTGCACTGCAGCCTGGGCAACAGAGAGAGACTTCGTCTCAAAGAAAAAAAAAAAAGTAGAGAAGAGTGAGAATGAAAAAATTGCTGCGGTTAATATGACAATGCTAAGAACTGTCCTAAAGTATAAGCCATGAATCCACAGATGGAAGAAGCACAGTAACACTCAAATAGGATAAACAAAAATAAAGCCATACTCAGACATCTTGTGGTGAGGTTGTAAAACACAAAAAACAAGGACAAAACCATAAAAGCAACCAGGAACAACAGATTATCTATGAATGAATAATATTGAGACTGTCAGATTTCTTTTTCTTTCTTTTTTTTTTTTTTTGAGAAGTAATCTCACTCTGTCACCCAGGCTGGAGTGCAGTGGCAGGATCTCGGCTCACTGCGACCTCCACCTCCTGGGTTCAAGCGATTCTCCTGCCTCAGCCTCCCAAGTAGCTAGAATTACAGGCATCCACCACCATGCCCAGCTAATTTTTGTATTTTCAGTAGAGATGGAGTTTCACCATGTTAGTCAGGCTGGTCTCCAACTCCTGACCTCGTGATCCGCCCACCTTGGCCTCCCAAAGTGCTGGGATTACAGGTGTGAGCCACCACACCCGGCCCTAGACTGTGAGATTTCTTATCAGCAACAATAGAGGTCAAAAGACAATGGTGGCCGGGAGCTGAGGCTCATACCTAGAATCCCAAGACTTTGGGAGGCTGAGGCGGGTGGATCACCTGAGGTCAGGAGTTCGAGACCAGCCCAGGCAAGATGGCAAAACCCCATTTCTACACAAAAAAATACAAAAAAATTAGCCAGGTATGGTTGTGTGCACCTGTGGTCCCAGCTACTCAGGAGGCTGAGGCAGGAGGATCGCCTTAGCCCCAGGGGCAGAGGTTGCAATGAGCCGAGATCTTGCCACTGCACTCCAGCCTGGACAACAGAGTAAGACCCTGTCTCAAAAAAAAAAAAAAAATGAGTGTTAAAAATTTAACAATAGCTGGTAAAAAAAAATATATAGAAGGCATAAAACTTCCAAAATGGTACAAGAAAGAAAATGGTGGCCAGGCGCAGTGGCTCACGCCTGTAATCCCAGCACTTTGGGAAGCCGAGGTGGGCAGATCACCTGAGGTCAGGAGTTCGAGACCAGCATGGCCAACATGGTGAAACCTTGTCTCTACTAAAAGTACAAAAATTAGCTGGGCATGGTGGTGGGCACCTGTAATCCCAGCTACTCGGGAGGCTGAGGCAGGACAATCGCTTGAACCTGGGAGGCAGAGGTTGCAATGAGCAGAGATCCTGCCACTGCACTCTAGCCTGGGTGACAGAGACAGACTCTGTCTCAAAGAAAAAAAGAAAATGACAAGGGAATAAATAACACTCTACTGGAAATTGGAAAAGGAAAACAGTTAACAGAGGAAACCATGGAAACAGCACATTTTCTTTATATATATATATGTATCTTGCCACACTGAGGCTGTAGACTCTGAGAGCTGGCATCCTGTCTTGTTATATCCCCATGTGTATACAACAGCACCTGACACAAAGAAGTTGCTCATTAGCCCAGTGCAGTGGCTCATGCCTGTTATCCCAGCACTTTGGGAGGCTGAGGCGGGAAGATCACTTGAGCCAAGGAGTTTGAGACCAGTCTGGGTAACATAGGGAAACTCTGTCTTTACAAAAAAAACAAAACCAAAAAATAGCAGGCATGGTGGCACGTGCCTGTAGTCACAGCTACCTGGGAAGCTGAGGTGGGAAGATCACCTGAGCCCAAGAGTTCGAGGCTGCAGCGAGCAACAATCACACACTACACTCCAGCCTGAGCTGGAGACAGTGGAGTCAAAAAAAATTTTGTCCCCCCAAATTCTGGTATCTAAACATGTATGTCACTTTCTATATATTACTGAGTTCTATTTTTCTCTATAACGTAACTTTCAAGATCCTGTCTCAAAAAAAATAAAAAAAAATCCCATTCCAGCAGATACAGCTTAAAAAAAAAAGAATATAAATAAAAATTGAGGTCATGCCTGGCACAGAGGCTCACACCTGTAATCCCAGCATTTTGGGAGGCCGAGGTGGGCGAATCACTTGAGATCAGGAGTTCGAGACCAGCCAGGCCAACATGGTGAAACCCTGTATCTACCAAAAATGCAAAAAAATTAGCCAGGCTTGGTGGCTCGCACCTGTAATCCCAGCTAATCGGGATGCTGAGGCAGGAGAATCACTTGAACGCGGAAGGCGGAGTTTGTAGTGAGCCAAGATCGTGCCACTGCACTCCACCCCAAACCCCGTCTCAAAAAAAAAAAAAAAAAAAGCCGGCCGTGATGGCTCACGCTCATAATCTCAGCACTTTGGGAGGCCGAGTAGAACAGACCATTTGAGCCCCAGAGTTCAAGACCAGCCTGCGCAACATGGTGAAACCCCATCTCTACTAAAAATACAAAAATTAGCCGGGCATGGTGGCGGGCGCCTGTGGTCTCAGCTACTTGGGAGGCTGAGGCAGGAGAATCGCTTGAACCCCGGAGTCGGAGGTTGCAGTGAGCCCAGATCGTGCCACTGCACTCCAGCCTGGTGACAGAGCAAGACTCCATCTCAAAAAAAAAAAAAAAAGGTCTTTTTTTTTTGAGACAGGGTCTTGCTCTGTCACCCAGGCTGCAATGTGGAATGCAGTGGTGCAATCATAGCCCACTGCAGCTCTGACTTTCTGGGCTCAAGAAATCCTCCCACCTCAGCCTCCCAAGTAGCTGGGACCAAAAGCATGCACCACTATGCCTGGCTAAGTTTTCTTTGTGTGTGTGTGTGTGTGTGTGTGTGTGTGTGTGTGTGTGTGTGTGTGTGTGTGTGTGTGTGTGTAGAGATGGGGTCTTACTATGTTGCTCAGGCTGGCCTTGAACTCCTGGCCACAAGCAATCCTCTGGCCTTGGCCTCCTGAAGTGCTGGGATTACAGGCATAAGTGACTGTACCCAGCCAAGGTCTTGATGTACACATCTTTCTTTCTTTCTTTCTTTTTTTTTTTTTAAGACGGAGTTTTGCGCTGTTGCCCGGGCTGAAGTGCAATGGCGTGATCTCGGCTCACTGCAACCTCTGCCTTCCTGCCTCAGCCTCTCGAGTAGCTGGGATTACAGGCATGGCCACCACACAGGGCTAATTTTTTGTATTTTTAGTACAGACAGGGTTTCACTATGTTGGCCAAGCTGATCTCGAACTCCTGACATCGTGATCCTCCCACCTCGGCCTCCCAAAGTGCTGGATTATAGGCGTGAGCCACTGCACCCAGCCCACATCTTTTTGTTGTTGTTGTTGGAGATGGAGTCTCGCTCTGTTGCCCAGGCTGGAGTACAATGGCACAATCTCAGCTCACTGCAACCTCCACCTCCCAGGTTCAAGCAATTCTCCTGCCTCAGCCTTCCAAGTAGCTGGGATTACAGTTGCCCACCACCACGCTTGGCTAAGTTTTGTATTTTTAGTAGAGACCAGGTTTTGCCATGTTGGCCAGGCTGGTCTTGAACTCCTGACCTCAGGTGATCCGCCCGCCTCGGACTCCCAAAGTGCTGGGATTACAGGTGTGAGCCACCCCACCGCGCCCAGCCACAAATAAATATCCTCACCCTTGTCTGTGTTCTCTGCTATACATCTTATCAAATCTTTAGACAGTCTATTGACTTCCTAAAAAGTTAATGATTTTGGTTGTGTGCAATGGCTCATGCCTGTAATCCCAGTACTTTGGGAGACTGAAATGGGTGGTTTCCCAGGAGTTCAAGACCAGCCTGGACAACAGAGTGAGACCATCTCCAAAAAAAAGTGACTTTTAAGTTTTAAATTTTTACATGATCAAGTCTTTCCATCGTTTATTTCTTCTGTCATTGCTGAGTTTAAAAAGTATTGGTTTTCAAATATCTCATAACTTCCAGTTCCCTTTGAATATGAGGATGTGTTAAACTCTGTATTAATAAGGAGAATACATTTGGGACATGCATGGTCTCAGGGTGTTTATATGACTTGGGAAACAGAAGTTGGTCTGAATTTACAAAGACATCAGTCTGTGAATCTGGAAGTATTCCTGTGCAGGGCCCATATTAGTAGCATTACAAAATATAGATATTGGAAACCTAAAAGGTGAACATGTTGGGTTTGTTTCCTTCTTCTGTCTTCCTTTCCTTCTTTTTGCTTTTTAATCAGACGGGGTCTTGCTATGCTTCCCAGGCTGGTCTCTAACTCCTGGGCTCAAGCAATACTCCTGCTTTCGCCTCTGAAAGTGCTGGAATTACAGGCATGAGCCATGGTGCCCAGACTGAAATTCAACAGACAGGTTATATGCCCACTGAAAAGGCAAAATTAATTAGAAAAGAGGTTATTGGCTGGGTGCAGTGGCTCATACCAGCACTTTGGGAGGCTGAGGTGGCCGTATCACTTGAGACCAGGAGTTCAAGCCCAACCTGGCCAACATGGTGAAACCCCGTCTCTACCAAAAATATAAAAATTGGCTAGGCGTGGTGGTGCGTGGCTGTAATCCTTGTTACTCCGGGTGCTGAGGCAGGAGAATGGCTTGAACCCGGGAGGTGAGACTCCATCTCAAAACAAACAAACAAACAAAAGGTTATCATCAAAAGATTAATCTTTTCACTATTCCCCAATGTTTCCTTAAAACAGTTTTCATAATTTTGTTTGACAGCATTAGTGATAAAGAGGCAGACTTTATTTATTTATTTATTTTGAGACAGAGTCTTGCTCTGTCACCCAGGCTGGAGTGCAGCAGTGCCATCTCAGTTCACTGCAACCTCCGCCTCCCGGGTTCAAGCAATTCTCTGCCTCAGCCTCCCGAGTAGCTGAGATTACAGGCACCCGCCATCACACCCAACTAATTTTTGTATTTTTAGTAGAGACGAGGTTTCACCATCTTGGCCAGTCTGGTCTTGAACTCCTGACCTTGTTATCCGCCCACCTCAGCCTCCCAAAGTGTTGGGATTACAGGTGTGAGCCACCGCGCCTGGACTAAGAGGCAGACTTTAATTTTTGCTTTATTTATTTATTTATTTATTTATTTGAGACGGAGTCTCGCTCTGTGGCCCAGGCTGGAGTGCAGTGGCGCCATCTCGGCTCACTGCAAGCTCCACCTCCTGGGTTCATGCCATTCTCCTGCCTCAGCCTCCCGAGTAGCTGGGACTACAGGCGCCCGCCACCACACTCAGCTAATTTTTTGTATTTTTAGTAGAGATGGGGTTTCACCATGTTAGCCAGGATGGTCTTCATCTCCTGACCTCGTGATCCATCCACCTCGGCCTCCCAGAGTGCTGGGATTACAGGCGTGAGCCACCGCGTGTGCCCGGCCTTAATTATTTATCTTTTTGAGACAGAGTCTCACTCTTGTCGCCCAGGCTGGAGTGCAGTGGCATGATCCCGGCTCACTGCAACCTCTGCCTCATGGGTTCAAGCAATTCTCCCACCTCAGTCTCCCGGGTAGCTGGGACTACAGGTATGGACCACCACGCCCAGCTAATTTTTGTATTTTTAGTAGAGATGGGGTTTCACCATGTTGGCCAGGGTGGTCTCGAACTTCTGACCTCAGGCGATCCACCCGCCTTGACCTCCCAAAGTGCTGGGATTACAGGTATGGGCCACCGCGCCCGGCCTCATGCTTCTTTATGTGCCAATTAAGAGACGCCTTTTGCCGATAAGTAAATTTACAGATCTCACATTGTAATAACGGCTTCTCGCCAATGTGAACAATCTGGTGCACTACCAGATTGTGGGAACTCTTGAAGGCCTGAGCACAGTATTCACAGACAGAATCCCTTTGATCTGTATGATGTTTGGCATGTCATAGAAGTTGCTTCTGGAGCCTACAGAGTAGTCCACAGGAGGGATGCAGACATACGTATTTTTTCTTCAACAAATGCTATTTAACGTGGTGCTGTCAATAGCCAGGATGGGCAAGGACAGTTCCACATCCTTCCATCTCACAACGGACATACTGGGTTGCAGGCTTTTTTCTCCTTCTGGGTAAATGTGGACTTCTGCCATCTTTCCATCTTCTTCCTCTCTTCCTCAGAGGTTCCTTATCCTCCCTAATTTCATTCTCCTCTTCTTTCACCTCTACCTCTACTTCCACTTTAATTTCCCTCCTCTCCTTCTCTCCTTTCACCTTCCCTGATTTTCGCGTGGCTTTGGGGTTTCCCTTTCTAAGAGGGGTTTGTAGGTCTCATCTCTTGGGTCAACTTTGAATAGCATCTCCTCTTCACTGATTAATCTCTTCTTCTTCCTCCTTGCTAATGCCACCTGGAGACTGATGCTCTTCTCCAACATCATAATCGAGTTGGTCTGTACTTGGTTCTGATTTGCAGATGAGCTGCAATGAACCAGTCTTGCACCGAGAGCTTCAGGTGTTCTCTGTATCACCATGAGGAGAAACACATGTCCTGCTCCTACTGCACCATCCCCAGCTAGGTCTGGATGCAGCAATGTAAACTTCCCGAGGGAGGGCAGAATCATCTTCCTCTTTTTCTTCTTTGCAATCTTTATCAGTTGTTGGCATAGGAGTCGTGGACTCTTCTTGCCCTGAACTGGAGGTAGGGATTTTGCAGCCTGGGGCTGCTGCCTGGGGACATCGGGAGGCCTGGCACGGGGGGCTGCTCCTCCCGCGCTGGGATACTCGGCCTTCCTCTGGTGGGATACAGCAGCCCTGCCTCGGTCCCGACCTCCCCTCAGCCCGCGGCTGCTAGTGGTCCCTGCAGGCGCCACCGCCGCCTCAGGCGGCCTTTGTTGGGGGGCTTGTCAGGAGCTGCCTTGGCCGAAGAGGCAGACTTCTAAAAACAGAATTTAGGGTACATCGAAATATAGGACTCAGTGAAAGTGACATGCATCTTTTGATCTCAGAATTTGGGGGATCGACGTTTGATTAATGTTCCTGTTATCACTGCTGCTCTTGTGGGCATTGTTCATCTTGCTGAAATTCTCTTTGATCTCAGTGCCCTGCAGGTCATTGTTGGTAGCTAAGAGCTGCACTGTCCAATACATTAGTCACTCACCATATGTGACTATGAGAATTTTAAACTTATGGTCGGGTGTGGTGGCTCACACCTATAATACCAGCACTTTGGGAGGCCAAGGCAGGCAGATCACCTGAGGTGAGGAGTTCAAGACCAGCCTGGCTAACATGGTGAAACCCTGTCTCTACTAAAAAAATACAAAAATCAGCTGGGCGTGGTAGCGGGTGCCTGTAATCCCAGCTACTCAGGAGGCTAAGGCAGGAGAATCGTTTGAACCTCGGAGGCGGAGGTTGCAGTGAGCTGGGATCGTGCCACTGCACTCCAGCCTGGTTGACAAAGGGAGACTGTCTCAAAAATAAATAAAATTTAAGCTTAAAATCCAGTTCCTAAGTCATTAGCCTACCATATGCAGAAGCTCCATGCAGCCAGTGGCTAGTACACTGGACAGTTCAGATATGGGATGTGCCCATCTCAAAGGAAGCTGTCTGACAGCTTTGCCTTGCGAATCTTTCAAAATTCCCAGTTGTCTCCTAGGCTGTTCCCCTCACCCCTATCTCACGGAGCTCTCTCCTCAAATTCTGTAATTTCAGGTATTCTTGTTTCTCCTTGTAGCTCCACACCGACGCTATTCAAAATGGGGGCTCAATAAACATTTGCTAGTAAGTACGCAGTGCAGGCCGGGCACGGTGGCTCATGCCTGTAATCCCAGCACTTTGGGAGGCCGAGGCAGGCGGATCATGGGGTCAGGAGATACAGACCATCCTGGCTAACATGGTGAAACCCCGTCTCTACTAAAAATACAAAAAAATTAGCTGGGTGTGGTGGCATACGCCTGTAATCCCAGCTCTCGGGAGGCTGAAGCAGGAGAATCGCTTGAACCTGGGAGGCGGAGGTTGCAGTGAGCCGAGATCGTGCCATTGCACTCCAGCCTGGGCAACAAGAGTGAAACTCCATCTCAAAAAAAAAAAAAAAAAATACACAGTGCCACACAACGGAAGGGAGGCATACACCGCTGCTTTGAACCTGCTCCATGTTTGATGGACTCTAGCAGATCTGCCCCTACTCTGCTGTCATTGAATGTGCATTCTCCTTGTTTAGTTCCAAACTGCTCTTCCGCTGATGAAGAGAGGAGAGCCGGGTGTAGGCACAAATACTGATCAGAATCTACCCAGGACCTGCAGTCTCCCTAGTCCCATCTCCCATTCAGGAGTTGCAAACAGGTACTTTTATCTAGTCAAAGATCTTTACAGAAACTTGAGAGCTGTAACCACATATATTTCCTCAATATTTCTCACCGCAATTGTTAGGTTAGACCCTGACAACTGAGCCACACCACTACTGGGACTGACCCTTGACCCAGAACTCTCCCCAAGGAAAACTTCAATATGAGCTGGATATTCAATAACATGCAATACTTGTCAATGTTCCTAAGTGCTATAATGCCCCATTCCTAGCAATGAAATACAGATAAAGCAAATAGCATGTTATCCGTTACATCAAGATGGTGAACACACAGGTATCAATGTACTAGTCTTTCCAGGTTTTCTGTTAAGTATAAAATTTTTTGTAAAAAAATTATCTGACACCAGTGGCATATTTAGTGCTTTTTATTAACAGTATTACTAAGGCAACTCATCGATGCTGAAGTCCCATCCAGTATGCTATTTTTCATGCCTCAGGTCTAATAAATCTTAATAAAACCAGAATGACTAGATGCTATGGTCTGAATGTGCCCCCTCCCACCCAATTGATACATTGAACCCATCACTGATGTAGTATTAAGAGGTGGGGTCTTTGGCAGGTGATTAAGTCATGAGAGAATATCCCTCATGAAGGGGATTAATGCCCTTATAAAAGAGGCTGCGGGCTGGGTGCAGTGACTCATGCCTCTAATCTCAGCATTTGGGAGGCGGAAACAGGTGGACTGCTAGAGGTCAGAAATTCCAGACCAGCCTGGGCAACATGGCGAAACCCCGTCTCTACAAAAAATAAATTAGCCAGGCATGGTAGCTCGTGCCTGTGGTCCCAGCTATCCAAGAGGCTGAGGTGGGATGATCGCTGGAGAGTGGGAGATTGAGGCTGCAGTGAACCTTAATCATGCCACTGCACTCCAGCCTGGGCGACAGAGCAAGATCCTGCTGTATCCAAAAAAAAAAAAAAAAAAAGCCTGGTCCTTCCATCCCTTCTACCATAAGGAGTGTTCATTCCCTATGGAAGATGCAGAAAAAAAGGCACCATCTTGGACCAGAAAGCCGCCCTTGCCAGACACTGAACGTACCAGCACCTGGATCTTGCATTTGCCAGCCTCCAAAACTGTGAGAAATAAATTCCTATTATTTATAGGTTACCCAGTCTAAGGTATTCTGTTACAGCGCAGGAACAAACTAAGACACTAAAACTTTCAGAAAGACTTATCTGGTTAATTTAGCTTTCTGGTGAAGTGAGGGTTTGACAACCTATCTTTTTGTTGTATCAGTATGTTCCCAAATTCTTTCCTGATTTTACACAGTACAATGAGCCTAACAATGTTTCACAAATTGTGCAAGGTCTCCTAATAGCTATTTTTCAATAGCAATATGCTGTCCAGCCCTGTAAACAATTTTTGACTGTCTTGCAGAATAGCTGACCAGGCTTTCAACCTACAACAGCATGAGGTTGCTTTACCAAGTTCCCTAGTATGAGCTGCTTTTTATTATTTTATTTTTTTTCAAGATGGAGTCTCGCTCTTGTTGCCCAGGCTGGAGTGCAATGGCATGATCTTGGCTCACTGCAACCTCCACCTCCCGGGTTCAAGCAATTCTCCTGTCTCAGCTTCCCAAGTAGCTAGGATTACAGGTGCCCGCCACCACACGTGGCCAATTTTTGTATTTTTAGTAGAGACAGGGTTTCACAACGTTGGCCAGGCTGGTCTCGAACTTCTGACCTCTGGTGATCCACCCGCCTCGGCCTCCCAAAGTGCTGGGATTACAGGTGTGAGCCACCGCGCCCAACTGTGAGCTGCTTTTTAAATCTGCTTTTAATCACCTTGATAAATACCACTGATTAGTGCCTAACTATGTGCCAGAGCATTATATACTTCAGTATTCTCAGGTAGCTCACAGAACCCCTGGCACATAGGTGGAAACACCAGTAAAGATGGTAGCACCGTGCTCCTCAGTTGCCATCTAGCACACGCCTGGATCGTCTGGGCTGCCTTCCAAGTCTCTTCTTCCCATTCCACTGCTTTAGTGCCAATCAGCACATGTAAGTGCCTCTCTCAAGAAATAATTCTGCAGTACTCACTTTGGCAGCACATATACCCAAATTGGAACAATACAGAGAAGACAGCATGGCCACTGCCCAAGAATGACATGCAAATTCATCAAGCATTAAAAAACGAAAGTTAACTGTAGATTTGGGTAAGCAATTTCACTTTTTTTTTTTTTTTTTTTTTGAGACAGTTTCGCTCTTGTTGCCTAGGCTGGAGTACAATGGTGCAATCTTGGCTCGCCACCCCCTCTGCCTCCCAGGTTCAAGCAATTCTCCTGCCTCAGCCTCCAGAGTAGCTGAGATTACAGGCATGCGCCACCACGCCCCGCTAATTTTGTATTTTAAGTAGAGACGGGGTTTCTCCATGTTGGTCAGGATGGTCTCAAACTCCCAACCTCAGGTGATCCGCCTGCCTCGGCCTCTGAAAGCGCTGGGATTACAAGGGTGAGCCACCACGCCTGGCCCAATTTCATTTATTTTCCAAGTCTGATACTATCAGTTGGTAGGCTAACAAATTCTTGCACTAATTTCTATGAAGCAAGCTGACTTAATCATCTATCTATACTAGCTCATCTGCCTGAGATGCTAAGAATAGTGAACATTTACTGGAACATACTATATATCAGACACCTCTAGGCTCTTTGTAATAATTTCCTGTTCATTCAACCTTCTCAAAATACCCATGGGGCAGATACTATTATCCATATTTCACAATTGAGAACACCAATGAGGCTCAAAGAAGCGAAGTTGCTCAAGGATAAAAAGATTGGCCGGTGGCTCACGCCTGTAATCCCAGCACTTTGGGAAGCCGAGGTGGGAGGATCACTTGAGGTCAGTTCAAGACTAGCCTGGCGAACGTGGTGAAACCCTGTCTCTACTAAAAACACAAAAAATTAGCCAGGCGTGGTGGCAGGTACCTGTAATCCCAGCTACTTGGGAGGCTGAGGCAGGAGAATCACTTGAACCCAGAAGGCAGAGGTTGCAGTGAGCCAAGATTGCGCCATTGCATCCTGGGCAACACAGCCAGACTCTATCTCAAAAAATAAATAAATAAATAAAAATAAGAATTTTTTATTCTTGCCTTATTTCGTAGCAAACATAAAACCATCCTGATTTTAAAAGCCAACACTGTTCTTTCTCCTTTTTCCTTGGATCACAAGTTCATACAGAGTCAAGCAAGTGCCCCAAAGAAAAACCCCAAAATTGAAAACAAGTGTATTCCCTTCAGAAAAATCAAAGCTAGAATGTTTAGCTATTGAAGTGTTTTCCCCCAGACTGAGATCAAGTGACTTCACTGCAGTGGCTCAAGAGTGGATGACTCCCTCCTTCCAAATAAAGCACTTATTGCTAATTAGCAGGCCAGAGGCTTAGACTGGATCTCTCATAATTGGAGACTTCAAAGTGTTCAGAACTTCAAGCCTGGCCTATGAAGTAAAAAAAAAAAAAAATTTTTTTAAGTAGAATTGCAATTTTATTTTTCTCCAGAGAAGTTTTTCTTCAGTCCTTAACAACTCCGCTCCTTATATGGGCTTTGGTGGAGGTCATGGGGCAGCACCTGCAGGTCTACGTTGGGGTGGAGGTGTTCGGTCCTTGCCTGCTTCATGAGCTCAATTCCTCACCACTGTGCTGTGAATGGCACAACTCACATGGTAATGTAGCTTCACATCCAGCCTGGGAAGTACACAGGCGTCAAGGATGCTCATTTCAGAAACATCGCTGACTGCTGCGGCCTCTACGTTTCAAATGATGAATTTCTTAGTAGCCTTGTCATTGGGCACACAACAACCACAGTTCATACAGCAAATGGGCTGCAGTGAACAGTGCACACCTGGTTGTGGACCTCTTTGGCACGACCATTGCTTCTTCTTTGTTATCTTGGAGGTGCAGGCCCAAGAAAGATGAAGTAAAAATCTTAATTTGAGGGTGACTAAATGAATCCTTCAAGACCACTTACCCCAAATCCACATTCTGCAAGACAGTTCAAGAAGAAAGGCAAAGTAGCCATCTATCTCAAGGGGCTATGGGCTCCACAATACTTAGCACTTGTCCCCAAGTGTAAACACTTCCCATGGCGTGCTTCTTCCGTCTCCCAGGTTAGGCACAACGATGCCAAGGTGCTGTCATCGACACTCCCATCCTTTAAGAATTTCAGGCCAGTTGTGGTGGCTCATGCCTGTAATCTCACCAGTTTGGGAGGCCAAGGCAGGGGGATCACTTGAGCCCAGGAGTTTAAGACCAGTCTGGACAGCATAGTAAAACCCCACCTCTATAAAAAATTTTAAAAATTAGCTGAGAGTTGTGGTGCACACCTGTGGCCCCAGTTATTTGGGAGGCTGAGGCAGCGGGGTCAAGACTTCAGTGAGCCATGACTGTACGACTGCACTCCTCCAGCCTGGACAAGAGTTAAGACCCTATCTCCATTTAAAAAAAAAAAAAAAAAGCATTTCAAACTAACAGCGGTTTAATTCTTCCTTTAGTATCTAGGTAAAACTGGTCTTTCTCTATAAAGTCTACTATCTTCTGGTCTAGTTTCAAAAAGTATAAACACCCTGAAATTAAAACATGAAATATTAAGAAAAAAGATGATGTGGAGGCCAAAAACCAGGAATGAGGTAGTCAACAGTGTGGTTATGTGACCCCTCATCTCACACTTCGCAGAGGCACGTTCAGGAAGCCACTGGCTGCCACTGCACAAGGCTGCTCCAAGATTCCATGTCACCTGGGCCTGTGAGTTATTTGAAACAGCAACCTAACCCCACGCCAAGCTGGGCTGTTTTCTCCAAAGGAATTCTCAACTGTCTTCAACAGAATTTCTGTGCAAGTCAGCCCCAGACAGTGGGAAGGTGGTGTTATGCCTGGGGATGTGGTTTCTCCGAGCAGCAGTGATGTTTGGAGATTAATACTGAAAGCTGCGCTTTGTCTGGATATCATCAAGAATCTGCTGCAGCTCCTCATCTTCAAACCGTCCCTCCAAGCTACAAGAAAATGAAAAGAAATGAGTGATTTGGCGACTGGCAATTTCCCCGCACTCTTCTTTGAGGCGTGCTAATCTACTGCCCACATCTCTAACACCTTTACCTTTCATCTGGATTTCTTTTCCACTTTTCCTGATAAAACATTACAAAATATTTCAAACATATAAAAGATAAAAGGTATAAAAAATATACCTTTACAGTTAGCCCCACTTGACTTAGAGGTTTTTTTTTTTCTTTTTTTTGAGATGGAGTTTCGCTCTTGCCTCTTAGGCTAGAGTGAAGTGGCATGATCTCGGCTCACCAAAACCTCCACCTCCAGGGTTCAAGTGATTCTCCTGTCTCAGCCTACCAAACGGAGTCTTGCTCTGTCGCCCAGGCTGGAGTGCAGTGGCGCAATCTCGGCTCACTGCAAGCTCCGCCTTCCGGATTCCCACCATTCTCCTGCCTCAGCCTCCCAAGTAGCTGGGACTGCAGGTGCCCGCCACCACGCCCAGCTAATTTTTTGTATTTTTAGTAGAGACAGGGTTTCACTGTGTTATCCAGGACGGTCTCGATCTCCTGACCTCGTGATCCGCCCGCCTCAGCCTCCCAAAGTGCTGGGATTACAGGCGTAAGCCACCACACCCAGCCCTCACCCAGCTAATTTTTATATTTTTAGTAGAGACGGGGTTTCACCACTGGCGAGGCTGGTCTCGAACTCCTGACCTCAGGTGATCCTCCTGTCTCAACCTCCCAAAGTGCTGGGATTACAGGCATGAGCCACCACGCCCGGCCCTGCATTTTTTCATTTACTGTCTTCATGTTTTCTAATGGTATCAACCTCCCAAAGTGCTGGGATGACAGGTGTGAGCCACCACACCTGGCCAGAGTTTTTTTTTGGGACAGAGTGTCGCTCTATTGCCAAACTGGAGTGCAGTGGCGCAATCTCGGCTCACTGCAACCATCACCTCTCGGGTTCCAGTGATTCCCCTACTTCAGCCTCCCGAGTAGCCGGGACTACAGTCGCACACCACCACACCCAGCTAATTTTGTATTTTAGTAGAGATGGAGTTCCACCATGTTGGCCAGGATGGTCTCAACCTCCTGACCTTGTGATCCACCTGCCTCGGCCTCCCAAAGTGCTGGGATTACAGGCTTAAACCACTGCGCCCAGCCCAGAGTTCTTTAATAAGCAGGAAAAGTGGATGGCTGTGTATACTCTCCTAGACCAGTACCTTCCCTCCTTCCCCAGAAATAACCACCATCCTCAATTTAGTATTTATCATTGCCATACATTTAAAAAAAATTTGTTTTGCCATACATATTTTTATACTCACTACACATTTATGGATACGTAAATAATATGCAGCATAGTTTCAAACTTTATAAGAAATGGCATCATACTGTATTTATCCTTCTGCAATTTTTTTCCTCAAAATTCATTCTGGCATATGTTGATATTCCATGTGGTTCTAGTTCATTGATTTTTTTTTTACTGCTGTATAATAAACATTGTATGATTATACAATGATTCATTTATCCATTTTCTTACTGGCCAAGAGATTATCAAATTTCTGCTATCATTAGCAGTGGAGCATGAGGCTGGGCACCGCGGCTCATGCCTGTAATCCCAGCACTTGTGAGGCTGAGGCAGGCAGATCACTTGAGGCCAGAAGTTTGAGACCAGCCTGGCCAACACGGTGAAACCCCATGTCTACTAAAAACAAAACAATGCAGCAATGAACACTAAAATATACGTCTCCTTCTAAATTTGTGTGAGTTACCTTTAGGATATGTACCAGGAATGGATTTTTGGAACTTGGAGTATATTCATCTTTACCAGACATAGCCAAATCACTCTCCAAAATGATTGTTCTAATTAACACTCACAATCCTACCATCAGCGTACAGAAGTTCCAGCTGTTTCATATTTTTGCTATCACTTGGTGTGGTATAAAACCATCATTCTCACACACTGTTAAAAGGGCACTTTTGGCTGGGCACGGTGGCTCACGCCTGTAATCCCAGCACTCTGGGAGGCCGAGGCGGGTGGATCAACTGAGGCTGGGAGTTCGCGACTAGCCTGACCAACATGGAGATACCCCATCTCTACTAAAAACACAAAATTAGCCAAGTGTGGTGGTGCGTGCCTGTAATCCCAGCTACTCGGGAGGCTGAGGCAGGAGAATCGCTTGAACCCAGGAGACAGAGGTTGTGGTGAGCCGAGATCACACCACTGCACTCCAGCCTGGGCAACAAGAGCGAAACTCCGTCTCAAAAAAAAAAAAAAAAAAAAAAAAGGCACTTTCATTCAATATTGGCAATTATGTACCCAAATATATAACGCATACACATTTTAGACACACCAATTCTATTTGTAGGAATTTATCCAGTATACAGAGAACTTATCACAACTGGTACTAACCTTGGGATTAGAGCCTTGGACTCCTCAGCAGTCTCTGGGCAAAGGTTGGCCAAACAGGCCAACTCAAACTTATGAAGCTTTTTCTGGAGTAGCAAGCTAATCAAAAGGAAAAAAAAAAAATCAAAATAATCAAAAACAAATAAACAACAAAAATCAAAGAGTAATCAACAGGAAAAAAGGGATCAAACGTAGCTAGTATTTAAAAATAGCTAGACGGCCAGGTGTAGTGGCTCACACCTGTAATTCCAGCACTCTGAGAGGCCAAGGTGGGTAATCACTTGACGTGAGGAGTTCGAGACCAGCCTGAGCACCATGGCGAAACCCCGTCTCTACTAAAAATACAAAAATTGCCAAGGCGCAGTGGCTCACGCCTGTAATCCCAGCACTTTGGGAGGCCGAGGCGGGTGGATCAACGGAGGTCAGGAGTTCAAGACCAGCCTGGCCAACGTGGTGAAACCCCGTCTCTACTAAAAACACAAAAATTAGCTGGGTGCAGTGGCGGGCTACTCCCAGCTACTCGGGAGGCTGAGGCAGGAGAATTGCTTGAACCCGGGAGGCGGAGGCTGCAGTGAGCCAAGATCACGCCACTGCACTCCAGCCTGGGTGACAGAACTAGACTCCGTCTCAAAACAGACAAACAAACAAACAAACAAAACCAAAAAAACAAAAAACTAAAAAAATTAGCCGGGTGTGGTGGTGTGTGTCTGTAGTCCCAGCTATTTGGAAGGCTGAGGCATGAGAACTGCTTTAACCTGGGAGGTGGAGGTTGCAGTGAGCCAAGACCGCACCACTACACTCCAATCTGGGTGATGAAGTGAGACTGTCTCAAAACAAAACGAAACAAAACAAAAAAAAGGTAGAAGAGGCCAGGCTTAGCAGCTCATGCCTGTAATCCTAGCACTTTGGGAGGCCAAGGCAGGAGGATCACTTGAGTCCAGGAGTTCAAGACGTCTTCAGCCTGGGCAACACAGTGAGACCTTGTCTCTAAAATCAATGAATAAATACATAAAATAAAAATAGCTAAGGGAGACTTGACATGTTCCTAATACATAGAAATGATCAATACCCTCAATACCCTAACATACTCATTACACATTCTAAGTAACAAAATATCATATGTACCTCATACATAGGTACAAATACTATTATCTATCTATCTATCTATCTATAGGCTGGACATGGTGGCTTACCTCTAATTCGAGGACTTTGTTTTTTTTGAGATGGAGTCTCACTCTATGTCACCCGGGCTGCAGTGCAGTGGCACGATCTTGGCTGACTGCTACCTCCCTCTCCCGGGTTCAAGCAATTCTCCTTTCTCAGGCTCCCAAGTAGCTGGGACTACAGGCATGCGCTACCACGCCCAGCTAATTTTTGTATTTTTAGTAGACGAGATTTCACCATTTTGGTCAGGCTGGTCTTGAACTCCTGACCGCAAGAGATGTGCCCATCTTGGTCTCCCAAAGTGCTGGAATTACAGGCATGAGCCACTGCACCCGGCCAATCCCAGCACTTTGGGGGGCTAAGGTTGGAGGATCAATTGAGGCCAGGAGTTTGAGACCAGCCTGGACAACATAGTAAGTCTCCCCATCTCTAAAAAAAATAACAAAAAAAGTTACTTCCCCACTAACAGTACCATTTAGATCACACATACTGGACTTACACAAAATATGACAGATTCATATTTGAATCTGTTCCCAGACTGGAGTACAGTGGCACAATCACAGCTCACTAAAGCCTCAACCTCCCAGGCTCACATGATCCTCCCACTTCAGCCTCCCAAGTAACTAGGACCACAGGTACCTGCCACCACACCTGGCTAATTTCTGTATTTTTTTTGTAGGGACACGAGTTTCACCATGTTGCACATGCTGGTCTTGAACTCCTGGCCTCAAGAGACTGGTCCACCTCAGCTCCACAAAGTGTGGATTACAGGTGTAAGCCACCACACCTGGCTGAAATTCTGGTCTTCTAAGTTGCCCAGGTTGGAGTGCAGTTGCGCAATCTCGGCTCACTGCAACCTTGGCCTACAGATTCAAGCGATTCTCCCGCCTCGGCCTCCTGAGCAGCTAGGATTAATGGTGTGTACCACCAGCTAATTTTTTGCATTTTTAGCAGAGACGGGTTTTTGCTATATCGACCAGGCTGGTCTTGAACACCTGGCCTCAAGTGATCTGCTGCCTCAACCTTCCAAAGTGCTGGGTGTGAGCCACCATGCCCAGCCTAACATTATTTTACTTAAATTCACAAGTGACACCTGGGAAAGGGGGAGGGGACAGCATTCTACATGCAGTTGTCCAATGGTTTGGATTAATAAAAACTTTCTTTTAGCACTCACCTACGAACACTGGCAATGGTCTCTCTGTTTTTGAAACGACTGAAACGGGCTGTGTAGTTTAATGTTTTCATGAAGACTTCTGAGAGCTCCTGTTCGTCCTCTGCACTCTCATTCTGCTGCTTTCGATGTTCCAGAAGCATATGAACTTCTGAATTTAGAAGTGTCTCAGCTGTTTCAAACTCTATTTGTAAGAAGCATAAATGGCAGCTGAAAATACTCCTTCAAAAGTTTGCTTCTAAATGTTCACTGTGCATTTGAACATTTCTCTGCCCCTGCAGAAATCGAGGGGTTTCCTACTCCACATCTGCTTTTTTTTGAACTTTTATTTTAGGTTCAGAGTGCATGTGCAGGTCTGTACTACAGGGAAAATGGGTGTTGTGAAGGTTTGGCGAACAGACTATTTTGTCATCCAAGTGATAAGCATAGTACTGATACATAGTTTTTCAATCTGCACCACCCACCCCCTCAACTAGGCCTCAGTGTCTGTTGTTCCCTTCTGTCCATATGTACTCAAGGTTTAACTCCCACTTATAAGAATGTGAGGTGCTTGGTCTTTTGTTCCTGTGTTAATTGCTTAAGTGAATGGCCTCCAGCTCCATCCATGTTGCTGCAAAAGATATGATTTCGTTCTTTTATTTTTTTTTTTGAGACAGAGTCTCAATCTGTCACCCAGGCTGGAGTGTAGTGGCATGAATACAATTCACTGCAGCCTTGACCTCCCTGAGCTCAGGTGATGCCCCATCCCCATCTCGGCCTCCCAGGTAGCTGGACTGCAGGCACACGCCACCACACCCTGTGTGTTGTTGGTAGAGATGGGGGTTTCACCACACTGCCCAGGCTGGGATCTCCTTCCTTTTTATGCCTGCAGCTACTCCACATCTTTAAGTTCACCCACAGTTACATACCACAAGGCACAGTTACATACCACAAGGCACAGTGGAGTTCACGAGACACTAACATTTAGCTTGTCTGAGCTAGATTCTGACACCAAAAACCTGACCTAGACATGCTACTAAGTAATGACACATAGACTAGTTACTGATTTCAAGAGTACACTGACAATTCCTTCCCTCTAGCCGGCATCAGCTCATCATCTTCCTACTTCCATAATGCTAGTATTATACTCTCAATTTTAAGAATTGTTACATGTTAAATAGGGCCAAGTGTCTGGAAATAAATATAATGTACCCCAAAATCTATTTTTGTGCACACACAAATGTTATAAGCAATTTTTAAGAATTAGGTTTGAGAGAAAAAGAAACCCATGGCCCCTTTTCATAATATACGGCGACCTTCTACATTTCTACAATAGTTCTGTTAAAAAATGCTGTTACCCTTGGGAAAATCATTCTCTCCCTTACGTTCCTGCAGGATCTTATGTTCCTAATGTTTATCTCAAAGTATTAGAGATAGTTTTTATCTGCCTTTCTCTTAACAGTGAGTTCCCTTAGAGTAGGAACCATTCATAAACATGAATTCATGTTTATAACCCCACACTGAAGAGGAAGCAACAGTGAGGAAAAGCCAAAACGACTTGCAATTTCACATTTAGATGTGCTATGGGTCTGTTTACTATCAGGGAAATCACTAACACCTCCCTCAGAGTAATGCCTTCCCATTTCTCAAGCCAGGTAACTGACAAGAGCTTCATTTTCCTTTTACAACACAGATAGTTTTAAGTGGTGGGTCAGGAGGAAACTGTATTTTTATTTGAAAGGTACTCATTGCTACTAAATAGAATAGGCTGCCAATACAGTTGGAGCACTATTGAAATAAAATTAAAATATAAATTAAAAAATAGGTAACCAAAAACTGTTTTCTACCTGAGGGCAGGAGAGTTTAAACGAAAACCTCAGAACACCTTCTTTTTCAGTCTTCTAGCCTATAACAGGGGATTTACTACAGTGAGAGCCTATTTGTATACCAGGAAAGTTACCTCTTTTAATCCTTAACACTGAGGCAGTGTAGGTACAGAAGAAACTACTGCCTCACAGCAATGAGTAGAGGAAAAGGCATTATGTATCAGGACTGCAGAACCTCCAAACTCTGAAGTGACAGTAACAAATGACATCAGGCCAAAAAAAAAAAAAAAAAAAAGGGAAGCAGCAGCTAATCAGTTACAAATCTGTTTGTTGGAACTTTGATGCTTTTACAGGTCCTGGAAAAATCAATGTTAAGAGATGCCTCCCAGGCTAAGCGCAGTGGCTCACGCCTGTAATCCCAACACTTTGGGAGGCCAAGGCAGGTGAATCACCTGAGGTCAGGAGTTCGAGACCAGCCTAACATGGTGAAACCCCATCTCTACTAAAAATACAAAAATTAGTCGGGAGTGGTGGCACATGACTGTACTCCCACCTACTCAGGAGGCCGAGGCAGGAGAATTGCTTGAACCCGGGAGGTGGAGGTTGCAGTGAGCCGAGATTGTGCCACTGCACTCCAGCCTAAGGCAACAACAGTGAAACTCCGTCTCAAAAAAAAAAAAAAAAAAAAAAAAGAGAGATGGTCCCTTTCTGCACTAAACCAAATTACTTGTTAAATGGAAAGGAATGGAACTTTTAGGACACCAGGAAACTGGTCAACTGTCCCTATTTCTCATTAAGAACAATACCCAAGTACTACTAATACATTACCCTCACTCCCTTCAACCAAGGAAGGTCGAGGCAGCCAAACTGTAACTCAGAGTGCCTAGGAAAGTGGTGTCTGAGACCTACCACAGAGCTTTTGGGAGGCATTCCCAGGATTCAGCATCAACAAAATGGGGATGGGGGAGGCAGTTCAGACACTTTTGTGTAACTATGGAGAGGAGGGATCCAAGACTTCTCCCCATGGCTAATCCCAAGGAACATTTTCAAGTGAAGGCGCGCACACGCGCGCACATACACACACACACACACACACAATTTATTTAGAAACAAAAGGAAATAGATCAGGGGATCTGCCTGTTATTTTCTCTTGTGCAAATATTTTAAGAACAATGGCCATAATTAATCTCTGTTGCTAAAAAAGGAAAAACAACTCCTTGGCTGTATGTCATCTGGAAATTTTACCGAGGATACGTCATTACGACCATTAATAGGCCAGGTGCAGTGGCTCACACCTATACTTTCTAACACTTTGGGTGGTCGAGGCGGGCAGATTACCTGAGCCCAGGAGTTCAAGACCAGCCTGGGCCACATGGTGAAACCTTGTCTCCACAAAAAAATACAAAAATTAGCCAGGAGTGGTGGCCTGCACTTGTAGTCCCAAGTATTCCAGAGGCTGAAGTGAGGTGAGAGGATAACCTGAGCCTAGGGAAGGTTGAGGCTGCAGTGAGCTGTGATCACACCACTGCACTCCAACCTAGGTAGCAGAATGAGATCCCGTCTCAAAAAAAAAAAAAAAAAAAGGCAGGGTGAGGTGGCTCACACCTGTAATCTCAGCACTGGGAGGCCAAGGTGGGTGGATCACTTGAGGTCAGGAGTTCGAGACCAGCCTGGCCAACATGGTGAAACACCGTCCCTACTAAAAACACAAAAATTAGCTGGGCATGGTGGCAGGCGCCTGTAGTCCCAGCTACTTGGGAGGCTGAGGCAGGATGGCTTGAAACTAGGAGGGGTAGGTTGCAGTGAGCCGAGATCACATCACTGCACTCCAGCCTGGGTGACAGAGTGAAACCCTATCTCAAAATAAAATTAAAAAAAAAATTAAAAAAAATAAATTAACAACTAAAATAGTAAGTTCTAACGTATTAAACCATAAAATACAAAAAACACATAATAAACATTTTTTCATTTTTATATTTTTTATTTCTTAGAGGGTAGTATTTCCGTTTTAATTTTAAATTTATTATTTTGCCAGGCAATGGCTCACATCAGTAATCCCAGCACTCTGGGAGGCCGAGCTGGGTGGATCACCTGAGGTCACGAGTTCGAGAACAGGCTGGCCAACATGGTGAAACCCCAGCTCTACTGAAAATACAAAAATTAGCCGGGTGTGGTGGTGGGCACCTGTAATCCCAGCTACTCGGGAGGCTGAGGCAGGATAATCACTTGAGCCCAGGAGACGGAGGTTGCAGTGAGCCGAGTTCGTACCACTGCACCCCAGCCTGGGCAACAGAGTGAGACTCTGTCTCTAAATAAGTAAATGAATGAATGAATAAAAGAATAAGATAGGTCAGGTGCCGTGATTAACTTAAGCCCAGGAGTTTGAGACCAGCCTGGGCGACATAGTGAGACCCTGTCTTTACGAAAAAAATTTTTTTAATGGGCCAGGTATGGGGGCGTGCATCTGTGGTCTCAGCTACTTGGGAGGCTGAGGTGGGAGGATAGCTTGAGCGGTTGAGAGGTTGAGGTTGCAGTGGGCTCTGATCATGCCACTATACTCCAGCCTCAACAAGAGGGCGAGACCCTATCTCAATCAATAAATCAATAAATCAATAAAGTGTAAGACAGCTGTATACATTTTCAAGTTTTTGAGCTGAAGACCTCATCCCTAGGAATACCCTCCCCAACCACTTAAAGTGCGTGCGTGAGAAAACTCAAGGCTGCCAAAATAATTTGTTCCAGCCAACAGCTGAAGATAGGACTCTGTCTCTCTGCCTCTGTGGGAGGGTAGGGGCCTAACTTCGACAGGTGCGCCAGTCAACAAACCAAGCTGCGTTCACACGGACCAATCCTCCTCTTCCCGCTTTTTTACATTTCTCACTTCCCCGACTCCCCCGAGCTCCCGCTCACCACATCCTTATTCCCTAATTCTCCGTTAAAACGCCCAGAGGTTCTGTACTAATCGAAGTTGAGTTCGGTTCACGCTGGGCTCTTTTCCCTAGTGCAACAGTATATTACTGTTTAAAAATCTGTCCTTACCACCTGAGTGTCCGGCTTTGTTTATCTTTGACACAGGTCCCCGGAACTTCGCAGTTTATCACATAAAATAACCCAGTTGCCCAGGCGGTCCCTCCCAAGGCCATGGTCCCTCCCAAGGCCATGTTCCCTCCCCAGCCCCACGCCGCGCTGGGGCTTGCCCAAGCCGCCGCTGAGGCAGGGCCTTGGGCGAAGCGCGCATAACGCCAGGCCTGCGGCGACCACGCGAAGTGGCGCGGGGGAGTCTGGCAGCCCCGAGCCCAACCTTTAGGAAAGATGAGCTGTGAGGCGTCCTCCTCTACGTCGCCAGCCCGCGGATCGCTGCCACCCGCCGCCATCGCCGCGCCGCGCCGCGCGCCACCACCAGCGCCGCCGGAAGCAGAAGCGCGGAGCAACGGCCGCGGAAGGGGCGTGGTCTCGGGAGGGGCCCCGAGGGGTGGGCGGGGCCGGGAGTGCGAGCCGGACGGGGCGCAGCGAGGGGACCGGTTGGTGAGGTCCTGGAGGCTCCCCGCCACCGAGGGGCGCCCTGCACTCCCTCTCTTCTCCCATGCTCCTCGCCGCGCAGACGTCCTGGGGCAGGTCCCTACGCCTTTCTGGACGGAGGAGGTCAGATGAGATGCAGGAACGCCTGCTGATGGAGAGCAGGGCAGCCGGCTCCGAAAGTACCGGGTCCAATTTCCTTCACCGACTTAAACTTCTAAAATTTTATTGATTTGTGGTGGATTATCTGATACTTCTGAGTACGCGGACAATGATATTCAGAGGCTTTTACCACACGTCTGTTGGAACATTTGGGTGATGCGTAGAAAATTAAGCAAATGACGGCCGGGCGCAGTGGCTCACGCCTGTAATCCCAGCACTTTGGGAGGCCGAGGCGAGGGGATCACCTGAGGTCAGGAGTTTGAAACCAGCCTGGGCAACATAGTGAAACCCTATCTCTACTAAAAATACAAAAATTAGCCGGGCATGGTGGTGGGCGCTTGTGATCCCAGCTACTGGGGAGGCTGAGGCAGGAGAATCGCTTGAACCCGGGAGGCGGAAGTTGCAGGGAGCTGAGATCGCGCCACTGCACACCAGCCTGGACGACAGAGTAAGACTCCGTCTCAAAAAATATATTAAAAAAAAAAAAAAAGCAAATAAAAAATGATGCTGTTTTCGACACTGGAGAAAACAAAAGGTTGTACAATAAGGTAAATAATCATAGCTTATTAGTCAACAATATCTTAGCTCATTAGTCAACAATGTTTAGATGGTCATATTGTAAACTCTGTTGATTTAATAAAAAATGAATTGTGCCGGGCACGGTGGCTCACGCCTGTAATCCCAGCACTTTGGGAGGCCGAGGCTGGAGGATCGCTTTAGCTCCGGAGTTGAAGACCAGCCTAGACAACATAGTGAGACCTCGTCTCTAAAAAATACAAAAATTAGCCGGGCGTTGTGGCGCGTGCCTGTAGTCACAGGGATCGGGGAGGCCGAGGCGGGTGGATCGCTTGAGGGATGCAGTGAACTATGATTGCCTCACTGCACTCCAGCCTGGGCAACAGAGACCCTGCCAAAAAAAAAAAAAAGGCAAAGTCCAGGCGCGGGGGCTCACGCCTGTAATCCCAGTACTTTGGGAGGCCGGTGGGGGTGGGGGGGGCAGATCACCTGAGGTCAGGAGTTCGAAAGCAGCCTGGCCAACATGGTGAAATCACGTCTCTACAGAAAAAAAAAAAAAAAAAAAAAGCCGGGGCGTGGTGGCGGGCGCCTTTAATCCCAGCTACTCGGGAGGCTGAGGCGGAGGTTGCAGTGAGCCGAGATCGCGCCACTGCATTCCAGCCTGGGCGACAGCGACAGAGTGAGACTCTGTCTCAAATAATAATTTTTAAAAAGACTTAAAAAATTAAAAAGTAAAAATTTTAAAACTAAAGAAAAAGAAAACCTTTAGAAGGCAGTCCTGGGAATCCTGTCTGGCCTGTGCAGCCTGATCTCCTGCGAGGGCTCGTCCACAGCGTCTTGCTGTCTTGCAGTGCCGGCAATGTGGTCTCCCACCACCTGAGAAGTTCCCTCCTCCAGGGCATGCTCTTTGCTTCAGCACTGCTTCTCTAAGGAACCTGCCCAGACCTGAAGGGCTGGCCACGCCCCCTTTCACGTGCTCAGAGAAGCTGAAGGTTCCGGAGGGTTTGATGCTTGCCGGTGTTCCCTTGTACACCCAGCACTGAGTGACAGGCCAGATAACCACAGCTGCCCAGCCACTGCACCATGTGCTGGGGTCTGGGCAAAACATTTACTATTTTTACTTTTTACCTATGACTTCTCTAAGGTCAGGTTACTTTGGAGATTCACAGTCCTGTCACAAAGTAGGAAATGCCTTATAAATGGCAGGACCAAGATTTGCGCTTAGGCCTGTGGGACTGCCAGCCAGAAAAGATTCTAGCTGTCACCCGCCCTGGGTTATTTCTTTGGTTGGGAGCCACGATGTGATCACAGAATAGCCATACTGGGGGAGGGGGTCTGATTGGCAGCAGGAACTTGAGGGACTGATGGTGAACTGGAGACCTCTCTTTTCTGTTTTCCAATAGTTTCGAAATTGCAGTCCTCCCCCCACCAATTTTCCAGGGCATACAGAATCTGTGTGAGTAGAAATAATGCATAAGCGGCAGGAAGAGGCCCTTGAATCCTTGTCTGAGCTTGATTTTAATGAGGAAAACAGACACAGAAGGGACAGGACTTGCATTACATTCCTCAGGCTGCTACTCTGATTCTTGTACAGCATTGGTTCAGTCAAGCCATTCAACCAGCCCACTTAGTATTTCAGTCAGATTATTCAAGCCAAGGTTACAGACCTAGATTGATCTAAAAGCAGCTGTAGAGCACCTCCCCCACCCCCACTCCCACAATTAGCACCACTGACCTCTGATCAGATGGTTTATTTCACACTCCAGAAGTCAACAGTGATGGCTAAAATTACAAATGTTGTTTTATCACCAATCACACTCTCCCCCAAAATCAGTCATAGGCAACTCTACGCTGTTTAATTACAGGTACTATGGAATGTAATCTCTAGAACATTAATTTCTCTTGAAGAAACGAATTCCTCTTCACACACATCAGTTATTAACAAAGCCTGTAAACGTCTAACCAGCTGCTGGTAGTCAGTTTTCAAAATTACCTAACCCTGATAGCACGTTTTTATCTGTAGCCATGTGTTTTTGAGCTTTGCTAAGCGCTAAGGGCCTCAGAATTGAGTACCTTAAAAAAAAATTCTACCTCCCTGCAAATAGTGTGTCAACTGCTGATCTTTGGGTGGGTTGGGTTAGTGGGCTGGAGCCAGGGAGGGACAAGCAGACCCCAGGGTGCTGCCCAGATGGAATACTGAATTATTTTTGCCAAGTTAAAAAAAAAAAAAAGCGTAAACTGAAGATGTCCTTTCCTCCAAACACATCTCATCTTTTCTGGGCCATCCAAAAACAAAACTTCACTGGTTAGGTCAGACTGCACCAGTATGTCCCAGGGTCTTTGCTTGAATTAATTAACATCACCAAATTATATTAAATTTTAGTGTTTTTTTCCTCTCCAAGAGATTTTGGCTTTTTTTGGTAAGGTCAGTCTCATTTGAAAATCTAACAAAAACAACGAACCTGTCTGGAAAAACCCAAATCTTAAAGGGCTAATGAATGATTGCTCATGGAACTTGGCTCTAAAACACCAGTGACATTGCCACCAACCATAAAAATATACACAAGGGTGGGGTCACGAGCACCACACAAAATATCCAAGCTGACCGAATACTATCTTGTTGCCTGTCTTCAAAAATAAAACAACTGTTATCACCATTCCATATAAATCAAGTCACATGGTTAAAAAAGAAAAAGCAGAACAAAACGATTTTTATCCATTATGATTTATTCTCTACAATACTTCGTTAAAGTGTTCAATGATTTGCACTCAGAAGTTATATAGCCAAGAGGCAACCAAGTGTAATACAAAGAATTGGTCTGAAGTCTTTGCACTGAAGGCCATATAGTCTCTTGCTTCAGGGAAGTAAGAACGAAATGAACAAAAAGAACACATAGCTCCCTAGGCTCCAGAATCTCAATAGAAAATAACGTCAACAGTTAGTGAAATTGTAGATGTCAACACATCATGGAAAACAGATCTTGTGCAAAATATTAACACCCAGGACTTCTTTTGTATAGATGATTTTTATTATAAACAATAAAATATATGTAATGTCTCAACTACAAACCTTTCATGTTGAAAGGGTCTCTAACATGAGTTGTTTTATTATTATGAAGCAAAAAAGTTTTAAGAATCTCACAGTGGAAATAATCCAACACCGACAGACTCTAGTGATCAAAGACATTCTCTTTTAATGTAAAACAAGGACAATTCATAATTACAGAGAGAATGTCCTAGCTGTGGGTATTATGAGACAAGCCAACTTTCCAGACCAAAAGGCACTCACAGCTAGGGATGAAACGAACTCCGAACCAAGCCAGAGAAATTGGGCTGGTCCTTGAAAACAGTGGTTACCTACTGTCCAGCTCGAGCAGCCCAAGGACAAAGGAAACACTCAGCAGAAAACATTCCCTTTTCTTTAAACCTACCACGCACACCGCAGGTACTGGCCGCCCTCATCACTGCTTTGGTCAAGCGTGCAGAGAAGGCAGTTCAGTTCCAGTTCGGAGCTATCCTCTCCCTATGCAAAGCTGCCACATGGATGATCCAGACTTGGTATTTTTCCTGAGAGCCACCTGCTACACACTTTCATGAGGCGACCGTGACCGTACACTTCTAGACCGCTTCCTGACTAGGCCCCGTTCAGGACGGATACTGACAATGCCCATTCCTCACGGGGCCAAATGGTTTCCCTTGGTCGACTCCTGAGTCCCCTGACAAAGCAAGAGGAACCCAAGCATTTCCATTGCTGGACTTGTGTGGGAGCATGAGGGAATGTGCAGGGAGTAAGGCTTCTTCACTCCAAAAACCACTGAGCCCACTTCAGTGTGGTGCTGGGCCTAACCAGCCCAATTCTTGTGCACTGATTTTTTTTTCCCCATTTCTCGGGTTTTAAAATTTTCTATTCATTTTCTTAAATGGCAGGTATCGTACCCCCCCTCGATAAAATAAAATAAAATAAAATAAAATAATAAAATAAAATAACATACCATACATTGGAGAAGACAAATAGGGCAACATTTCTACAAGAAAAAATCGGCTTGAGGAGCATGGCACTGTAAATGCTTGCATGACCAGTCTCACTGAGCGTGCTCAGGGGTGAAGGTTTAGCACCAATTTTTTTGCTTTTTTTAATCTTTAGAAATTAAACACAACTCTTAACATAGAACACTTGAACAGTAATGAGTGTAGCCCTATGTATCAATACTGTTGTACAAATTGGAGGTGGGTGGCTTAGTCCAGAGCTGACCACCCTGACATCGATCCATGGCACCTAAGAGTAACCGTTGCCACGTTTTTAACAAGACATTTATTCTCAGCAGCAGGAAATCACGAAACGACCCCTCCATCTTCATTTACATTGCCAAGGGAAACGTAGCAGGCTGCAGGAACCCAGCACAGCAGTGAAGGGCCGCAGCCTAGGCACCGTCACCCACGTTTCCCTCGCACGTCCCAGGTCCTCTCGAGCAGCACAGGACGGTGTGGAGCAAACCCACTCACCCTTGCCCATCCCTTCCCACAAACTTGCCAGCGATGCCTAGAACAGCACAGGTGTCCTTTCTCAGATTGTGCCCCCACTCCCCTTCCCCATTCCTGACAGAAGAAAATGCAAAAGATCTTCTGAATATTTGCCCATTTCGGAAAGCCACACCATCACCACATAAACTTCAAAAAATAAATTAAATAAAAACATGTTCACTGGGTTGACACCCAATCCACTTCATGAGTTCTCTAAGCATGTTGTTGAAAACCAGTGTCACATCCTTAGGATCCTTCTTCCAACTGGCCACTCTCCCTGTGAATCATTTTAGCAGTGCCTTTGTAACAATATTTTCAAAGCATCTTCCAAGTCCCCTAGTTCTATGAACTTTGCCACCAAATGAGTGAAGAATAGGCAAGGAGAGAGGAAAAAATTGCTGACAGCGATTTGGAAATCAGCAACAATGGGAAAGGGAAATATGTCACATGAAAGTTTGAAAGACCTAGAATAAAATGAGCTATTTGGAAATTTGCCCTGGTGGGGTGAAGATTCCCAGCATGTCAGGCAAGATAAAGGTCCACCTTGTGTAATTACACAACTGTTTCCTAATGTCCTGTAAAGGACAGAAACACCAACAGTCTTCCCACCTCTACAGGCAAACTAGAAAAAGGAGCTCCCCTGCTTACAGGCCCCTCAGGATGTCACCTGAAAAGAAAACCAGCTTACAGACCCTGGATTCTCTCCTATGATGTGTCCTCCTAAAGCCCAACTCAATCGCTTGTTTGCACATCTACGCTTCTGAGAACTTAGGTCCAGCTATAGGCACTGCTACCAGCAGAGGAGTGAGGTAGCCAGGCGGTGCAGAAGAGGTCTCTCCTCTCACACCTGCGTGCAGTGATGACATCAGGACCTCCTGTGGGCATCTCCATTCCATTCCATTCCTCAGCAGGCTACATGACGGAGCTCTGTTCAGTAATCAGGAGACTCAATGCAGGAAGAGTGCCAGAAAATCCAACTGAGAGTGGGATGAGGATGAAAATCTTCACGGCCTACTGAGCAATGAGATCTGCAACGCCACCCAAAGGGCTTCCGATCTTGATGTGGGTCTCTGTCCAGGAGCCTCAAAGGACTCGTGGTGCCCACGTCCAACCCTAACGTGGCGTCCGCTTATGAAGCATGGAGGTTGTAATCAACTCTTGGTACGCAATAAACTGGAAGTTTAAAAAAAGGAATTTAAAACAACCTAAAAATGTTTCTTGGTCTCCGTTGCCCAGACTGCCAGGGGAATACACCTACTTCATCTGGGGAGGCTGCAGGGGTGTGTGTGGGTTCAACCTTCAGGGATCATCAATTTCAGCTTCCAGCGTGTGGCCAATACCCCATGTGGCAAATACCAGACAAGGGTCTTCTGAACCCACAGTAATTCCCACTAGTCATGGAGGAGCCCCAATCCAACGGAACCCCATATTGAGGAAAGGCTGAGATAAGGCTTGGGCCCCTCAAGTTCTGTTTCGTTCAAGGTAACCCTACCCTCCCTCAGTCAGCGGGAGGCAGACTTGGCAACGGAAGCTAGCATCATAAAATGGTGCAGTAATAGAAGTAACTGGACCAGGAAGAGGAGGCATCTGCTCCAATGATGTCATAGCCATTGGTGGCCACGGGGGGGTGGGACTGGTCATGCAGCCGTGTGTCAGGAGTAATGATTGTAGAGGGGCGGGGCATGAAGAGTGCCGTTCTGGAAACAGTGCTGTCGGGAAGCAATATACTCTGCGTAACTGATTGTCACCTTCTCACTTCGGTACCTGTATGAGGAAACAGGAAAGGGTATTAGGAACCCCAAACGCTTCATTTTGTAAAGTCACTCAGCAGAGAAAAACCAAAAGCTTATTCCACATTTTGAAAGAATAAAATGGAAGACCAAGAGCAATCTTACTTACAGAAAATGAAAGACAGCACAAGAAAACAATGTTGTTATTACAAATGAACAAGATGAAAAAGCACAATCACAATTCCCCCGAGAATGTGTTTCAGCACATCCCACCTTGAAACACTACACGTGCTTATCATCAGGCTGCTCGTAAGCAATCCGCTACTGGGGTCTGGATGAAGAATTTCAAGGTCAAATTACTCGGGTGGCAGATTGGAAGATGGCTGCACCAAAACCCAGTGCAAACTGCACATCTACTTCCAGAGTAAATGTGATACATTTGACAGAAATGCAACCTCAATTCGCGTAAGAGCAACAAACAAGTTATTATAACTAAAAGGGACACAGATACCTAATTCTGGGTCAAAGTCTGCTGAAGCAGGTTAAAGGATCCTTGGGGCTATATAGGTCTCACTCCCCAGATGAATATGCCATATCACAGGGTCGTCAGAACAGAATTCATAGCACTTTGGCTGTGCTCTGGAAAGAGCCATGAGTCAGGATGCGAAGCATGGGGTGTTACAAACCTATGGAGCCTACTACAGACCACAGGAGCTGGGTGTGACAATCCTTACCCAGAGCCATCTCTTTCCCACTGTAATCACTCCTCCACTGCAAGGTGATTATTCCTGAATTTTGACAGGGAAATGGCTGTTCAAATAAATTATAATAATAATAATAATGCTTTGTATTTGAAGAGTTTTTTGTTGTTTTTTAAAAATTTTTGGAATCCAAAGCATTTAAAAAACACTGGGTCATCTTCCAAACAGACCTGTGAGATTAGTATATGATTATTCAGCATTTTACAGATGAGGGGCCCAAAAGAGGCCCACAAAAGCCCATAGAAGCTAAACCTCTCAGTGTTTCTGATTTCAATAGGGATGAGAAGAGAACTAACATCTCCTGATCACCTACAATGTTGACTGGCCACAGGCTAGAAATTTTCCATACATTACCTTAGCACAGCCTCAAACAACTCTAAGGTATTATCATTCACATCTTACAGACAGGGAACAGGCTCAGAGAGGCAGAATAACTGGCTCAGGTCACACAGCTAGTACATGTTGAGCTGGGATTCCAACTCCAAGTCCATCTGCATTCTACTACACTAGGCAGCCTCCTCCTAGAAGTATTCCCCACAAATGAGAGGCATTTCCTTTTAACTTTTTGTAAAAGCATTTTCTTACTCTCCTGTATCTCCTGCCGTCTGACTACATGTGCAGTCAGAAAGCAGCACCTCAACTGACTCTGGACTTCCAGAGAGCCTTGTCTCCTAATCTCAGTCTCCCCCTCAGCCTCCCAACCACGTGGGTCTGGCAAAGCCATCCACAGCCTGCAGGGCAGACCTGCCCTGCTCCAACTGTGCCCCCAGCTCAGCTATGGAGACACACAGGATGCTGGGAGAGTCTCTGCCTTTGCTGCCACTGCTTCCTCAAAATGTGAACTTCACCCACACTTCTTTGATTTAGGGACATTCACAGAGAACACTTCTTCTCCATCCCATCAAAATTATCCTCCATTCAACCCCAACTAAATTGAAATGATAAGGAAAACAAGACAATGGCTTACCTGGTGAGTTTGATCGTTTTTCTGAATTCACTGGTAATTGGAGCTTTAAAGCCACCTTTCCTGAGCAAGGAGTCTATTGTCTGGATCTGATCCCAGTCTGGGGAGGAGAAAGGCCACACTGAGGTCAATGCACATGCAAGAGTAAGGCATGCTCTCACATGGCCCGTGCAAGAAGAGAAATGGGACTCGAGAAGCAGCCGAGTCTGCTAAGGCAGAGGAAGCCCTGGGCACTGACCCCCACGTACCTGGCGCCCAGTCTGTCTGCCAGTCCCGTGGAGACTCTGAGACATGAGATGATAGCCCGACACATGCCATAATGGCTGTCCCCAGGCTCCCTGCTCCTGCGTCCTTCCTGTCAGATGTTACCCCAGTATAATTATCTAGGAACAAACATGGTTCCAACTTAGACCAGCCTATTGGCCTAGTGCTGGTACCCAAGGCTGCTCTGTGGGAAGAGAGGAATTTAAATTCTGCAACTTATATTCCTTTGTGTGATCTTCCTTCAATCTGATGATTTTTGGAGTCCTGTTTTCTATGGTAAAAAATTGACAGTGAGAAAGAAGCTGGCTGGGTGTGGTGGCTCACACCTGTAATCCCAGCACTTTGGGAGGCTGAGGCAGGAGGATCACTTGAGCCCATGAGTTCAAGGACAGCCTAGGCAATATGGTTAAACCTCATCCCTACTAAGAACGCAAAAATTAAGTGAGCGTGTGGGATGCGCCTGTAGTCCCAGCTACTCAGGAGGCTGAGGTGGGAGAATCATCTGAGCCCAGGAGGTCAAGACTGCAGTGAGCCAGGATCACACCACCGCACTCCAGCCTGGGTGACAGGAGGAGACCCTGTCTTAAGGAAGAAATAAAAAGGGAAAGACAGGAAGAGGAAGAGGAAGAGGAAGGAAAGGAAGGAAGGAAGGAAGGAGCTGTTCCTTCAGGAAGGGCAGACAAGTTGCTCATGCATATACTATTGTTATTCTTGCACATTCTTTTTTTTGAGACAGGTTCTCACTCCTGTCACCCAGGCTGAAGCGCAGTGGCGCAATATTGGCTCACTGCAACCTCCACCTCCCAGGCTCATGTGATCCTCCCACCTCAGCCACCCAACTAGCTGTTGACTGTCAGGTGTGTGCCACCACACCCAGCTGAATTTGTATTTTTTGTAGAGACGAGGTTTCGCCACCAGACTAGTCTTGAACTCCTGGGCTCCAGTATCCACCTACCTTGCCCTCCCAAAGTGCTGGGATCACAGATGTGAGCAAACGTGCCCAGCCTCATTCTTAACAGATAAAACCAACTTCATCAAATTGAAAAACCAAAGAAAATCCCCTAAATTACTATGCTAGGTGCTCCGAAGTTTTTATTTTTCCAACCAACTTTCAAATGGCAAAAGTAATTTAATTATTTACTTAAGTTATTATTTACACCTCCCCATTACAAAACATGGTATGCCTCCTTGTACAGAGTGTGTTAGGTTTATGACCTAAAAGAGGTGGCTAAAAGGTTTGCTATTATGCCACATATACACTGCTCTTGAAAAAGTTTAAGCACAAGCAAAATAAAAACCAACCAGGCAATCGTTTTCCATGTTTGCTCATGATATACACTTCACCGGGTATTTTTTCTCTATTCTAGGCTCATACCCAACAAATACTGTGTTTCACATATTATTTTCAAAATCAGACTAATTCCAAGAAAGAAGGAAAACTGCACTACGTATCACAGAATGCACAAGCAACATGTAAAGGTACCCTTCTAGATATTCTTTTAAAGACAAAATCTGCTCGATCCACCCTACCTTTAACGTCCCCATCAGAAGAACTTATAGGCTACTGAGTTTTTTTTTTTTTGGAGATGGAGGCTCGCTCTGTCACCAGGCTGGAGTGTAATGGCACGATCTTGGCTCACTGCAACCTCTGCCTCCTGGGTTCAAGTGATTCTCCTGCCTCAGCCTCCTGAGTAGCTGGGTCTACAGGCATGCACCACCATGCCCAGCTAATTTTTATATTTTTAGTAGAGACGGGGTTTCACCATGCTGGCCAGGATGGTCTCAATCTCTTGACCTTGTGATCCGCCCACCTTGGCCTCCCAAAATGCTGGGATTATAGGAGTAAGCCACCACGCCTGGCCGACTACTGAGTTCTTTAAAAAACAGTAGGGACTATGTTTACACCCTTTGCCATGTATAATATTGTTTAATGATTTGTGATCCAAAGTTCGGTACCTACTGAATTCTACAATATGGTCAGGTTGATTGGTGGTATTTTGCTACAATTGCCACTGTAGTTTAAGGGGCTAAGAAATAAAACTATTCATTGAAAAGAAGTGTTTGAAATATCAGGCGAGTAAGTGAACGATTTACCCTTTTGCTTTTCCCAGCTCCTAAACCTTTTTGGAAGTTTACCCTTGGTTCTATAGGAATTTGACAGGTATTAAGAGGCAGAAAGGCCCTCATTCTCAGCTGCAGTTGGGCTGCAAGATGACACACTTCACTTTCTTGCCCTTTAACTGGCACCACTGTGAATGATACTTGTCATTAAAATCCCATTCATCCAACTCACCTTGTTCCTTAGCAACCTCAGGTAAATATGTGGCTGTGCGTTTGACACCTTTTTCATTAATGAATTCAATTCGAATCCCATGGACCCCTACCTATAGAAAAAAGTACAACCAAGTAAATGGCATTTACTTACTCTAATGGAACTTCAGTCCCCACATATAAATCAACATTGTTCCCTGACCAGCTTAACACAGGCCTGGAAAAGGGAGACCTTCTCGCATTTCATGACTAATTCTATCTCAGGAGGTATAGAGGCCAAAGAAAGTTCTGCTTTTAGGGAAGGGTCGAGAGTATGTGCAGCCAACTCTGAGAATATGAAGGTAGGAGAAATGCATTCTTTAAGTAATTCATCCAGGAATTGTGAATATGTTCCTTGACCCTATTCCATTAAATAAACATGCCACAAGGTTTTTATCTGGGGTCATGATCCTTCACATCTGATTCCTAATAAAAACTTTTATTTGGCCAGGCGCGGTGGCTCATGCCTGTAATCCCAACAATTTGGGAGGCCAAGGCCGTCAGGAGTTTGAGACCAGGCTGGCCAACATGGTGAAACCCTGTCTCTACTAAAAAAATACAAATGGCTGGGCATGGTGGCTCACGCCTATAATCCCAGCACTTTGGGAGTCCAAGGCAGGTGGATCACGAGGTCAAGAGATTGAGACCATCCTGGCTAACACGGTGAAACCCCATCTCTACTAAAAATACAAAAATTAGCTGGGTGTGGTGGCACGCGACTGTAGTCCCAGCTACTCAGGAAGCTGAGGCAGAAGAATCACTTGAACCCAGGGGTGGAGGTTGCAGTGAGCTGAGATTGCACCACTGCACTCCAGCCTGGCGACAGAGCGAGACTCTGTCTCAAAAAAAAAAAAAATAGCTGGGCATGGTGGTGGGCACCTGTAATCCCAGCTACTTGGGACACTGAGGCAGGAGAATCCCTTGAACTCGGGAGGCAGAGGTTGCAGTAAGCCGAGATCACGTCACTGCACTCCAGCCTGGGGAACAAGAACGAAATTCCATCTCAAAAAAAAAAACAAGCAAACAAAAACTTTTACTCCAGGGCTTGCCAAGAAGGATCTGGAATATTTTCTTTTACCCCATTATCTCTTATTAGACATGGGAGAAGGATGTAAACCAAGCAGACTAGGGAGAATCAGGAGAAGCGAGCCTTTCCACTGACACTTCTGCCTACTCCTGGTATAGCAGCACCTCTTCTGTCACCTATGTTGCCCACAATTGGTTCCAAACTCAGCCTTCACATTCTTATACCCTTTCTCTCAATGAAGGAGATACATTGCCATGTACTAACCCGAACCCAAATGCAACGAGAGATGCAGAGTTCCAAATGCGGCTGTTCTCACCTCCCAGTCCAGGTAATCACTGGCATCCTCAAAGTTAGTAAGGAGGGAGACAGAGCAGAAAAGTTTAGGCAGCTCCTCTCGGGTCAGGGGGGGAAATCGGCTGTCCTTAAGTGCACTGGAGGGGGACAGAAAACATAGGTAAGGCTGCTCTGGAGTCAGGAGCCAATATCAGGTGCCATAGAGCCCACATATTTATGAATCTTGAGCTATGCAGAGAGTATCTATTGTTCATCAACACTAACATGTTAAAAACAACTCGATGCTATTAACTGTCTGTACTTGAACTGATAACTGACTCACCAGATTAAGCCCCTTACATTTCCTGATTACCAAAAAGAGAAAGCTCAACGTACATCACTTAGAAGAAATAAAGTCAGGCAGCTATTTCTGATTCTAGCCAATTTATCTACAGTTCTTAATGTCTGGTGTCATTACCTGGTTAACGTGTATTCCCTGAGTCCTGAATGAAGATTCATGGCTGAGAAGGTCCCAATGCAGCCACGAAGCCGCTTGTCCCGCCCTGTCTTCCACGTCACAAAGAGCGGACTAAAAAAAGCAAAACACAAAACATTCTCCAGCCCCAAATTAATCATGGATAAGAACAAAACCTTTTGGCTTTGTCCCTATTCATTTCTGTTATTGCCAAAAATCCCTGTTTTTGGACTTGCCAGCTACCCGAAGGACTCTCTGCCTTTCTGAAAACGGCACAGCCCCTGGCTGGAAACGGGAAACCTACAAGGCAGCATAAGGAAAGGCTCCGTGTAGTGGTTCCCATGTTCCATGCTGACAGCTTTAATTCACTTTGCCGCCAAATTTACATGCTACTTTCCTCTTTCTCTGCCCAAGACTCAACTTTTCCTTCGAATTCTCCAGTTTCCTCTTCCCTAAGTCTATTTATCCAGGTAGCCATGCTCCCCCGCTCCGTCTTTCATGATGACACGCCTCACCTGCACAGCCCCGTTCATCTGCAAACCCATGTTGCTTCCATGATCATGTCTGCCCCTGACAACTACAAATATTTCCACTCACAAATTTTCAGAAAAAAAAGTTCCCTCAAAAAACATTTTTTAATTTTTAAAAAAAGATTTAAAAAGGCCGGGTGCAGTGGCTCATGCCTGTAATCCCAGCACTTTGGGAGGCCAAGGTGGGCGGATCACTTGAGGTAAGGAGTTCTAGACCAGCCTGGTCATCATGGCGAAACCCCGCCTCTACTAGAAATATAAAAATTGGCTGGGCGTGGTGGCAGGCTCCTGTAATCTCAGCTACTCGGGAGGCTGAGGTGGGAGAATCACTTGATCCTGAAAGGCAGAGGTTGCAGTGAACCGAGATTGTGCCACTGCACTCCAGCCTCGACAAGACTGAGACTCTGTCTCAAAAAGAAAAAAAAAAAAAAAGATTAAAAAAAAATAGAGGGGGGCCTCACTATGTTGCCCAGGCTAATCTTGAACTCCTGGGCTCAAGCGATCCTCCCACCTCAGCCTCCCGAAGTGCTGAGAGATTACAGATTACAGGCATGAGCCACCGCGCCCAGCCAAGGAACCTTTTTATTAGCTGAGTTGCCATTTTCTGTTTCTAGGCCAAAGTCACACTTCATTAAGGCTATATCAGATTGACAGTGACAGATTTTTTAGCAAGAGGTTTCAAGGCCTGTTCCCTCTTCCTGAAATCCCTCCACACTCTAATGTCCTTACCTCTTAGATTGAGTTAATCATTTCTAGAGGCAACTTAAGTTTTCAAAGTTATCTGCTTTGATCACTGTCACAAAGGTCCCCACAGCAGCTGTCCCATCTAGCCATCTTTTCCTCCCAATAAAGCACCTGCACAGCACCAGCCAAAGCTGCAGCCCCAAAGCCTACTGAAAAATCCTTCAAGACAAGGCCTCCATTGCCTGCAGGATGGAAATGCAAAGCCTTGAATACAACAGTCTAAACCTTCCCTAAACACCCACATCATCACCTGTTCTTCCAAACTGCATCTCTCTCTTACGTGGGGCACCCTGGATCTCACTCAGGCTTGGGATCTCCACCTGCTCAGTCAGGTGTTTTCTAACCATGTTACCCCAGGGTGACGGTTCCCAAAAAACCGAGCACACTTCCCTCCAGGTTTCCTCTCCTCTGACACACTCACAGAGAACAACTTCCCCTTAGCTCTGTGCGTGTGTGATTTGCCAACCTGACAGGCCTCCCAAGGGAAGAGGCTCCTTTTCTTCACACCCTCTCCATGCCCCAGCCAAGGTTTTGTAGTCTCCGTATGGCAATCAACAACTGAGGAATGAATAATCTCATATCAATGAACACTCCAAAAGCATACCCCCAAAACAAAAATAAAAAAACAGCAATGCTCTTCAAAGCCAGCTCAGAGCGGCTTCCAATTCTGAGGAAGAAGAAAATGCTAGCATGGAATTCTTCAGTTTACTTTATACATATTGCTTATTTAAGTCACTGAGACCAGTAGAGGGCTTGGGACAAGCAACAAAGAATCTTGAACTAAAAATACTGAAGCAGATTCTGACTTCTTGATGGGATGTGAGTGGCCCTACAGGTTTACCAAGGGATTTCTCATGAACAAAGTGAGGGGACCCCTGTTAACCAAATCGCAGATCCCAGTGAATGAGAGCTCCTAGTCTCCAGCCTGGCCCTCAGACTTCCAACTCACCTGGACTTCAACACTATGGGTGTCCCCAATGGTATGGCGTGACTTCCCCACTTGAGAGGTTAAATGCCATACCCACTGCCATGTGAACCAACAGAAGAGCCAAGAATGAACTCACTTGATTTCCAGAACATTACTTTAACAACAAGCCTACAGCCTCCTCCAAATGTGAACTGCTCCCTTCCATTACTGAATCCACTGAATGTTTTAAATATTCTCTGGACATTTCTTATCATTCTCTTCCCATTACCCTTTCCTCAAATGATAATAAAGACTTCCAAGTAGCAGACCCTCTCAAGAGAATCACCCCAGAAAGATGTCACCATGCCTTCCTCAGTGCCCCCAGCACATGATTTACTCACTAGGGGTCATTGGTGAATCTAGGAAGTCGTGGCTGTGGGAAGCCATAGAGGTGACAGTAGAGTACGTCGAAGCAGTAGCAGCACATCTCTGCAGTCACCACCAGATTCTTAGTGGTGTTGGCAGTTCCATTAGGCCGGGGAAGAGGGCTCAGCGCTCCCGATGCGGGATTCATTCGTGTGATGGGAGAGTTTCCAGGTCCCAGAGTTAAGTCTGACACATTCTCCCGTCCACTGCTGCTGTCCACATGCTGGTGGTTTTGAAGAGGTCCTGAACTAGAGCCGGGGACAGTTGTGGACTGATTCCCGTGACTGTGCGTTCCACTTCCAGATAATTTGGGCTTCTTGACCCCACAACAGCCTGCTGCCAACTTGGGCTCGAGTGGAGGAACACAACGTCTTTTTCCCATCCTGATTCAGTGCTCAAGGTCTGGAATGCTGCAGAACCCTAACCAAAATGAGAAGTTAAGCATTAATTTGACTGGTTAGTTAAAAGGAGAGGAAAAAACATCAAAGATAGAGAGTCTGCATTGACCAGCTAAGAGCTGTCAAATTCTTTCTCCCACTCAACCTCCAGGTCACAGACCAGGAGAAGAAACCCCTAACCTTTTCCTAAAAGAGAATTTTTATTTTCCATAAAATTTCCAGATGACTACCATGGATGGAGGCAGGCACCAAGCAGCTCCCTGTTCCCCAAGAGTCCCCAGGGCAGAAGACAGGGTGGGGCACCAGCCAGCGTGAAGCTGGCTGAGGACATTTCCAGACTGCCTGGAGGGCTGCGCACGACCTGTCAGACTCATCATCATGATGTCTCTACCTTTTTTAGAGGCTCCAAATTGAACCATCCTATTTTTAAAGAACTCCAGAGGAACTTTCATGATTTTCCTTGTTAACCACATCCTTCTGTATTTTCCTCATCACTAACTACAATCTATCTTCGTACTTTCAGCCCCAAACCACAGCAAGGATGAAAAGCAGTTGGCTGTCACTCTGAAGAGGGCACATCTTCTAACACAAGGCTCCCACCTTTCTGTCTCTGCAGCTCTCCTCCTCCAGCCCCCTCATTCTCTTTGGTTCCCCTCTGAACTCACTCCAATTTCTATACATCTCCCTATCCTTTCAAGACCCCATTCAGAAAACCTGCAACCTAGCAGAAACCTTTATTCACATGAATGACCCAAGCTTCACAGCCCTTTTGTGAGGTGGCAGTTTCTGCCCTGTCATAGCCAGCCAGACAGATACAAAGCCACCCAGCTTAACAAAATGTGGTGTCACATGGGCTGGGGAGCCACAGCCTCCTCCCAGCTGATGATGCGAAGGGAAGGAAGGGATTTTTTTTTTAATTGTTTTTTTCTTTAAAAGCCCGCGGTAAAAATGTATAGCCATAACACAACTAAGGTCCTCTCTGTTGTCTGAAAAGTGTCACTCCTCAACAGAATCAGGAAAATAGAGCCTAGTTATTTCAATGTTGACAATACTGAAGTTTCTAAGTACAGAAAACTAAGTTTTCTCTCAAGTCATTGTATGTTATTGTTTTGGCTGGAAAGAGAGAGAAAGAAGGGCAAGTGGGGGGAGGGAGAGAGAGAAGAGAGATTTGCGCTGTCCTACCTAAATTTTCCCCTGTGATTTGGACATGTCATATAATTATCTTTTTAGGCATTGATCTACAAATAGTATTTCAGGTGTAAATTCTTCAACCTTTTAAATTTCAAATTAAATATTTACACACCCATCTGCAATGCCATTATTTCTAAACAACTTGTCACTTTACGTTGAATGATATAAACATTTTACAAGGATTATTTATGTTCTTCATATATGCTGATCCATAACAAAATACACATCAAGGGCATTTCCGATTGAGATCAAAGCTCTCTGTGGCCGAAGAATAATAGCTTGTACATTCTCATGCCTTGCTTGAAATAGGGGCTTCTCTCTTTCCCTCTCCTCCCCTCTCCTCTTCTCTCTCTCTCTCTCTTTTTCTTTAAGAGACAGGTCTCATTCTGTCACCCACCCTGGAGTGCAGTGGCACAATCATAGCTTACCACAGCCTCCAACTCCTGGACTCAAGTGATCCTCCCGCCTCAGCTTCCCAAAGTGCTAGGACTGCAGGTACACACCACTATGCCCAGCTATCTTTTTTTTTTTGGAGATATGGGGGTCTCACTATGTTGTCCAGGCTGGTCTCAAATTCCTGGCCACAAGGGAGGGATCCGCTCCCCGCCCCGCCCCCCCACCCGCTGGCTGGACACAGTGGCTCATATCTGTAATCCCAGCATGTTGGGAGGCCGAGGCAGGAGGATTCCTTGAGCCGAGGAGTTTGAGACCAGTATAGGCAACACAGGGAGACCCAGTCTCTACAAAAAATAAAAAAAATTAGCTGAGCATGGTGGCACATGTCTGTGGTCCCAGCTACTTGGGAGGCTAAGGAGCGAGGATTGCCTGAGCCCAGGGGGTTGAGGCTGCAGTGAGCTATGACCATGCCACTGCACTCCAGCCTGGGCAACAGAGCAAGGCCCTGTCTCAAAAAAAAAAAAAAAAAAAGGTGGTAGGGGGGCGGTGCGGTGTGCGGTGGGGATCCTCTCACTACAGCCTCCCCAGTAGCTGTCATTATAGGTGTGAGCCACACCTGGCTTCTTTTTGAGAAAGTCTTACATACTCAATATAATAAAACCTCCAATGACTACACTGTTTCTGACCATGGATGTCACTGTCTTATTTGGACTGTTGAGAGGGGAAGCAGAGTGCCTTGGTTTTTTAAAATGCTGCCTCCAAAGCCAGGTGGCCTGGGCTCAAATCCTGGTTCCTCCACGATTAACCTCTTTCTGCCTCAGTTTACTCAAAACAGGAATAATAATAGTATTTGCTTCCTAGGGTTAGGTGAATTAAATGAGTTTAACATATGTAAAGAGGCCAGGCGCCCTGGCTCACGCCTATGAACCCAGTACTTTGGGAGGCCGAGGTGGGCGGATCACCTGAGGTCAGGAGCTTGAGACCAGCCTGACCAACATGGAGAAACCTCATCTCTACTAAAAATACAAAATTAGCTGGGCATGGTGGTGCATGCCTGTAATCCTAGCTACCCGGGAGGCTGAGACAGGAGAATCACTTGAACTCTGGAGGTGGAAGTTGCAGTAAGCTGAGATCGCACCACTGCACTCCAGCCTGGGCAATAAGAGCGAAACTCTGTCTCCAAATATATATATATATACATATATATATATATATATATGTACATAAAGGGCTTAAAACAGTGACTAGTATGTGTTAAGCATCAATACTTTTAGCTGCTCTTATCATCTGGGTTCTTGTTCCACTGTTCTCTAGGAGGGCAACTCCTGGGGGGCCAGTACTTGGCTGTGCACTCTGGGCTTACAGCAGAGCTTGCACAGAGCACACACTCTTCAAAAAGGGCTTCACTGAATCCTCTAAAGCACTCAACAAGGCAGATGATGCTACCATCATTTTACATTTTACAGCATCCACACTGCCACTAAGTGGCAGCGCTAGAATTTTTTTTTTTTTTTTTGAGACAAAGTCTCACTCTGTCACCCAGGCTGCAGTGCAGTGGCATGCTCTTGGCTCACTGCAACCTCTGCCTCCCAGGTTCAAGCAATTCTCCTTACTTGGCCTCCTGAGTGGCTGGGACTACCAGCACGTGCCATCATGTCTGGCTAATTTTTGTATTTTTAGTAGAGATGGTGTTTCACCATGTTGGCCAGGCTGGTCTTGAACTCCTGACTTCAGGTGATCTGCCCACCTCAGCCTCCCAAAATGCTGGGATTACAGGCATGAGCCACCGCACCTGGGCCAGAACTAGGATTTAGATCACAATCTATGTATCAGGCTGTATGGCCTGGAACTACAAGAAAGAATGAGTTCTGCCAATAATATCCACTGGATTCAGTCTTTCTTTAGGGCAGGATTAAAAAATAAATAAATAAATTCTGGGCTGGGAGTGGTGACTCACACCTATAATCCCAACACTTTGGGAGGTCGATCGAGGTGGGAGGATGGCTTGAGCCCAGGAGTTGGAGACCAGCCTGGGCAACAAAGTGAGACATCTGTCTCTACATAAAATAAATTAGCTGGGCATGGTGGCACGCACCTATGGTCCCAGCTACACAGGAGGCTGAAGCAAGAGGATCCCCTTGAGCCCAGGAGGTTGAGGCTGCAGTGAGCCATGTTTGTACCACTGCACTCCAGCCTGGGTGACAGAGTAAGACCCTGTCTCAAAATAAATAAATAAATAAATAAAAATTTAATTTCTAGGGTATGTTAAGAACTAATCTAACAGCTTATAGAATCTTGCCAACAAAAATGGAGCCAGGAAAACAATATGAAAAACCAAGCCCAAAGTCAACATCTCAGCCATCACCTGGAAAATTATCCCCTCATCCAGGGTCATTTGAATCCACGATGGGTGTCACCAGCCTGAGTTCTCACTTGACTCTACTTTGTGTGCAACTGTGGGCAGCGAGCTAGAGATACAGGTCAGATGAAGCAGCAGGACCGCATTCCCAGAGAGCTGGTGTTTTAATAGGGCTCTGAGGCTCTGCACCTCTAGAGCCTCAGAATTCAAAGAATCGAAGGGAAAGAATAAAATGCAAAAGCTAAAAAAACCTTTCATCATTCTCATTACACCAAACCACACCTGAAGGAAAAGCTAAATGTCGTGAGATAGAGGCAACAACTCAGACATTCTCTTCCAGGTGGTATCAGCCACCTGACTGGTGAAACACTCCATCACAGAGCAACAGAAGGGATTTTCAAACCACACCAATGCAGATGAACTCAAGTCCAGAAGATTCTGCCTACATGCCACATACAATCACTGATCCGCAGTGGGTCATAATCACAGTTGATTTTACACAGTTGTGTTTACAGTTCCCCAACATCTTCCAACTATGATTTGCAATGAACAGAACCAACCACAATCTTTGGCCCTTTAGATCCAAGCATTTCTCTGGAGGCCACTAAATAACCAATTCAACTGATAGTCTCAGTTGAGTTTTAGTGACCAAAAGCAGAGTTAGATATTTTCTGCATCAAAAATATATTAGAAGGCATTTCTTTAAAAGCTTATTCCATAAATTCAAATCTATGGGAAATTTCAAACATGACCAAAGTGGAGAAAATAGTATACTCCACAAATAGTATAATGAGCCCAATATTTAAAAATTTCCAACCTATGGCCAATCTTACTTCATCTATACCTCTGTGCATTACCTACTCTCTCCACCTCCCATCCCTCTATGGAATTATTTAAGGCAGTTTTTTGAGGGGTCCAATATTTTACTTATCTGCCAACAAAAAGCAAATATTAACTTGATACAGTTTGCGTGTTTGTCGCCACCCAAGTCTCATGCTGAATTGTAATCCCCAGTGTTAGCTGTGGGGCCTGGTGGGAGCTGACTGGATCACGGGGGTGGATTTCTCATGAATGATTTAGGACCAACCTTTGGTGCTGCACTCCTGATAGTGATGACAGTGAGCGCCTTCTCTCAAGATCTGGGCATTTAAAAGTGTGTGGCACCTCCTCCCAACTCTCTCCTGCTCCTGCATTTGTTATGTTATGTGCCCGCTCCTGCTTTGCCTTCCGCCATGAGTAAAACCTCCAAGGCCTCCCCAGAAGCAGATGCTGCTATGCTGTCTGTACAGCCTGCAGAACCCTGAGCCAATTAAGCCTTTTTTTTAAATAAGTTACCAGTCCCAGGTATTTATAGCAATGCAAAAATGGACTAATATATAACAACTACAGGCAAAGAATGTAAACCAAGGTGCTGGTAATAAACAAAGACTTCTTAAACATCAACCACTATCAACAAATTTCATCGAAATTTTCTCTTTAGGTTCGAGATTCTCTAGTCCTATTCCAACAATGTAGGTATCTCATCCACAACTAAGTAGTTCCCGACTCAGCTCTCAGCACTGCCCTACAGTGATCAAGAGACACCTGGTCCTCCAGCAGCCCGGCTTTGTGAGTACTAGGTAAGGTACTTCAGAATAATAGCATTCTAATAGATCAGACTATCCTTCTGATCAGCCAAAAACAAATGCTCCACTTAATGACATACTTACCTCTTCTAAATCTGTGCCCGCCAAACTTCCCTGCCAAACTTTATAAAAACTACCAAGGATGGTACTGTGAGCATAGTACAAATTACTGTGAAGCTGGTTCATTTGAAATAAGAGAAGCCAGGCGCAGGAGCTCACGCCTGTAATCCCTACACTTAGAGAGGCAGAGGCAGGCGGATAGCTTGAGCCCTGGAGTTTGAGACCTGCCTGGGCAACACAGTAAGATCCCATTCTCCACAAAAACGGAAGGAAAAAGACAAAGTTTGAAATCAGGTGTAAAAACCCTTGCTTTATGAAAGTATATATAACCAAGACCCTTCCAGGCCTTCAGCTGGTTACTTGCACAAAGCTCAGCTCAAGGGCCATGGTGAGAGTCCCTTTTCTTCCTGTTCATCCATTAGGACCACCAATAAGAATAAGCTAGTTAAAACTAGGTTTCCACCAGATGGAAACAATACTCATACCTCAACAAAAAGCTGGCAGAAATCACAGCAACCACTGTTTTACCTCTTAAGACCTCCTAACCTTGCAGGTGTCAAATAAAGTGTGCCCTTAGTGCTTAAAGTCACCAGCCTTCCTCAGTGATGCTGCGGCGTCCTCATCTGCCCTGTGCTTGCAGGACGTTCTCTCTTCTCCACCTGATGTACACACTCAAGGGGGCCCTGAACTTCATTAGGGCCTGCAACAAGGGCCACTCAGTGACTCTTCCTCCCTCTCTGTGGGGACGCTGAGCACTGCCCTGCTATTTGGAGCAGCTTACAACTTAAAAATTTCAGCCAGCACTGAACTCGGCATCACCCTGAGCCTGAGAGGCCGCAGGGCATCTGTTTCATCTTTCACTGCACCTAACATGGTGCCCTACATACAGTATACACACACACACACACACACACACACTCCTGATTGTCACCAACAATCTTATCTACACATCTAATAATTTAAGTTTGCCTGCTGACAGTGGAGTATCGCAGAACCTGAGGATGACTGAATTACAAGCACCTATTCTTATCAACAATCTCCATTCTATTCAGCCCAAACCAAGGGATAGTTTAATAATTATTCATAGCAAAATGGATAGCCACTGTGGATAATTCATTTTAAAAATTAGGTCAACTATCACCTAAATTCACTTCTTGGTCCAATGTATGCTGGTAGCTGTCATCCTTGCTAAAACATACCAGTAGCTGTCAGTTCTGAACTGGCTTCAGGTGCCACTTCGAGGTGGCTCAAGGCTTTCTTTTGATAGGTCAGACAATCTAAACTGCAGTTGGGAAGAATCATTTTTTCCTTTTTCAATGATAGAGCACTTTCAGAACTACCCACTGGAGAATTTATTTGCCTGGGTGGCCATTTGTGGTTTCAGGGATTAATACAAACTATTTCTCATACACTGCTAGTATTTACAAACCAGGTATTGAGACTGCTATTGACACAAAGATGTGATGATGCCCCCACTCATGTGTCTGGCTGGGCAAAAGGACCTTCCTCTCTCACTGCAGGTCCCTTCCAAGGCTACTAAGTCCACTGAAAAAAATAACTCCCATTTTCCCAGAGCAGCTCCCCTCTTCAGGGGACAGAACCTAGATTTTGAGGTTACAATCTCAGCTCAGATCCCAAGTCTGACTTGCCACGTACCAGCTACGCAACTCAGGCAAGTTTTCACATCTCTGTGGACTTGGGCTCCTGCTACCACAGAGGTTTATTTGTGAGCTGTGAAAGACACGAAAAGCACCTGGCAGTTCTGTGGCACATAACTACTATCTATTAAGTGTCTGCTGTTACCAATACTTCCCTACCCCACTGATAAAAGTAGCGTTGGTTATAAAAATAACACAGCTCTGAGTGCTTACAATTTCTAGAGGAATAATGCCCTCCTAATACAATTCCATTAAGAATGACCTTGTAATCTAAAAGATCATATTATTAACATGGGATTATTACTCTCATGACCTTGATGGTTTCCTTCTTTGGAGAGCAATGGCTTCTAATAAATCATCCACTGTTTCTTTTCATTCTGAGATGCCAGAAAACACAGAGAAAAATACTTGGCTGCCTTGAGAGTTGTACAGTTTTATTCCACTAGAGTCCTCATTTAAGCTTACAGACATACACTAAAATAGAGACTAAATTTGCTTAAAATGCTATTATTGTAGACATCTTGATAGATACTGAATACCAATTTTAAAAACTGTTGTCAAAGTAGTTAGGTTTCACACAACCACCAGATTAAAATATCTAGAAAAGCCTAAAGGTGGGGGGAAAAATCTAGATTCACCTTTTGAAGACAAGCCTCAAAACAGCTTATTCGAGGGCACGATCTCATAAAGATTTGGGAGGTGGGAAAAAGGCCAAGAAAAAGGGGGTCTCTGCATTTTCTTCTGTTATCATTTAGCATTTAGATGTTTGCTCAAATCAAGCTTTTCACAGAAGGGAACAAGCTGTTGTTTCCTTTGTGACACAGAGTTGACTTGAAATTCAATTTAATAATTACATTATGGGTACTGAAATGGCACCTGAGCTATAATTCTGTCCTACTTATGGAACTATTCCAGGAAACAGTCAGAAAAACCCACATACATTCTGGTAACCATACCAAATAATCATTTATTTTTGAAACCCCCATCATACACACATCCAAAACATTTGGTGTGTGAAAATTTTCCCCCACAAATCACAGATATACCTATACAATTGTTCCTTTTTGTTTTGGAGACAGGGTCTCCGTCTGCGGTCCAGGCTGGAGTGCAGTGGTACAATCACAGCTCAATGCGGCTTTGAACTTCTGTGCTCAAGAGATCCTCCTGCCTCAGCCTCCCAAGTAGCTGGGACCACCGCCATGCACCACCACACTCGGCCAATTTTTAAAAATTTTTTCCTTTTGTAGAGACAGGGTCTCCTTATGTTACTAAGCTGGTTTTGAACTTCTGGCTTCAAGCAATCCTCCTGCCTTGGCTTCCCAGTTTTGGGATTTACACAGGCATGAGTGACTGTGCCCAGAATTTTTTTTTTTTTTTTTTTTTTAAAGAGATGAAGTCTTGCTATGCTGCCCAGGCTGAAGTGGCTATTTACAGGGCTCAAGCGATCCTCCTGCCTCAGCTTCTCAAGTTGCTGGGGCTACAGATGCACGCCACCATGCCTGGCAACAATTGTTTTTAAGCTTTATAGATTTTTAAAAACATAAAGAACTGCAAATTTCTTTTCTTTTTTTTTTTTTAGACAGAGTCTCGCTCTGTCGTCAGGCTGGAGTACAGTGGCATGATCTCAGCTCACTGCAACCTCCACCTCCCGGGTTCAAGCGATTCTCCTGCCTCAGCCTCCCAAGTAGCTGAGGACTACAGGCACATGCCACCACACCTGGCTAATTTTTGTATTTTCAGTAGAGACGGGGTTTCACCATGTTGGCCAGGATGTCTTGATCTCTTGACCTCGTTATCCACCTGCCTCGGCCTCCCAAAGTGCTGGGATTACAGGCTTGAGCCACTGCGCCTGGCCAGAACTATACATTTTCATTTCAACTTAGCTTAAAGAAAAACATGTACCTAGGAGTCAAAACTCTTTTCACCTCCCCTCTGTTTTCTATGTGACCTGTAGCAAGGTGCCACATTTTTCTGGGCCTCAGTTCTTTCATTTGTAAAATAAAAACATTTATCCCCTGTGTCCCTCAGAGGGGCTGGGAGGCTTCACCAAGAAGTGAAACACTCTGAAAACTCTCTCCTAAGTGTTAGCATACTATCATTAATCAACTCAAGAGGGCACAGCAGTCATAATTTTTCCCCAGAACTTTGTTTCAAGTTTACAGTGAAAAATTTTAATTATCTTCAAATCTGTGATGGGATTTTCAAGAAAATATCTTCACTATTGCAAATTTAGGACAAAATGTTCCAAAAGTCTCTCAGGACTGAAACTATAGAAAAGAGAACCAATAATTGACTTTGATCAGGAACTGCATTAACCTCTGAGTTAATTACCCTAAAACTTAAGACAACCTCTTTGGTTGTATTGAGAAACTCATTTGGGAAGGGTGAGGAGCCAGACCTTACAAACTAGAAATATAAAGGAAAGATCATGCCACGCCACCACCTAGCTCACTCTAATGGGAGTATGAAAAACAAACTTGCCTTTGCATATTTAAATTATTTTAAAAGGGAACAAGCGGAAAAACTTCATCAACATTAGGACCCCCTCATGGAAGTAGAAAAATACAAATGAAAACACACCTACATCCCAAAATCCTAGCACATGCCTAAAATCAAAAACTACAACGATGCTCTACTCTAAATATGCCCAAGATAATACTCACTGAAAGCAGAAAGTTTGTATTGCCAGAGGAACAGCTACAACAGAGGAGGGGAGCTATTTTGTCTCTGGAATGAATTTTCTTCCTTCCGATTCCATTCCTTCTTCCTGTACCTAAGACGGAAATGCAGGTGCAGTGAACAAACACCCAGGTAGTGCAGAGGTAAGATAGATACGGTTTCTGAAAAATCACAACTCGACAGAGCAATTTCGGGGGGGTGGGGGGCACAGCAAATAGCTAGAGAACAGGCTCTCCTTATTTCAAAACCTTGCAAACTCTAAATCTGAGGCAGCCGTGAAGTCCCATGCCCTGAATCATCTCATCCTTAGCGTCATCAGCAAGAAGGGAGGACACTGAGAATCAAAGGTTTTATTTATTGAACTCGAGCATGAGACGCACATTAAAACTTCCCCACCACAGATGCAGAGCAAAAGTTGCTCTCAGGCCAGAAGAGACCATTTAAAAGCTCTCCGCCGGTTTCAGAACACAAATAAATTTCCCAATCCTCTGCAAAGACAGAACTGAAGAATTACTGGACAGCACGCCAGAGGCAGGGACCTGAGGGCAGGCCATCTTGCTATGCCGGGAGGAGACGGTCACTGTTGCTAAGGGTCATCCATCCTTAGTCTCGAAGAAATCTCTTCCTGATCTCTTCACCAACTCTCCCCACTACTAGAGAATTGAGCTACTCCCAAAGATGTAAGTAAACAGGAGACTGTTTACATCTCCTGTGGGTGGGAGAGGCCCCACCCACTCTATCCTAGGAGAGGGCAGTGAAAGAGGATAAGGCCCAGAGGGATAAGGGTGAGGGAGCATGGCAAGGAGAGGAGTTCAGATCAGGACAGGGAATGTAGGAGGGCAAGGAGTGAAGGGCACAACCCACAGCCTGGGAAAGAGAGGCATGAAACCCAGCGTGTCAGGTGGACGGATCATGGAATGGGGGGCCAGCGGAGGTTAAGGAAGGAGGGCCCAAGAGTAGGGGTGCGAAAAAGAGAAGAGGAGGAGGAGAAAGTGCGCGTGTGAAGAGTGTTAAGAAAACGACAGGACAGAGCGGGGAGGGGAAAAGCGGGCCGAGGGACAGGGTGAAAGGTGAGAAACGAGGGTATGAGGAAAGAGGGTCCGGGGCGCTGGGGAGTTGGGGAGACGATGGAGCGACGGGTAGAGCAGCTTGGGCCGAGCCGCGGGGGTGGAATCCAGACGCCGGGCGGGGGAGGGGGCGGCGGGGCGGCGGGACGGTGGGTGGGGGCCACCAGGCGGCGCCGGAGACCACCAAACTTTACAGCGAGCGAGCCTGCTTCCTGGAGGGAGTGCAGACAAGGACCAGGAGCGGGAGCCGAGCCTCGCGGCCCGGGGCACGGCGCCGCCCGCCCCTCCCCGGCAGTGCCTCCCGACCCCCTGCCCTCCGCTGGGACATGGCCTGAGGCCCCGCCCGCCGCCCGGGACTCCTCCCCCCCGCTGCCCCCGGACCCTCGCCCCAGGACCGCGGGGTCTCTTCCCGGCCCCGCCGCCCGCCCCGGCGAGAACAGGCCCGGCGGGCAAGGCGGCGGCGGACCGAGGGAGGCCTGGCCCGGCAGCGGGGAGAAGGGTGCGGCGCAGCCCGAGTTTCCCACCTTTTCTCCTGGCCCAGACGCGGCTGGGGCGGACGGGACCTCTCGCGCTCTGCCTCCTCCTCTTGCTTCATGGAGCCATGCGCCTGGGTGGGGGCTCCCGAGAGAAGCTGGCCTGCGGGCGGGCCGGACGCGCTGCGCGGACGGGGCGGGGCGAAGGAGGCCGGCGGGCGGAGGAGGAAGCGGCGGGGCGGCGGCGGCGGCGGCGGCCGGGAAGAACTAGAGGTATTCCCCGGGCGGCTGGAGGACTGAGTCGAGCCGGGACCCGAGTCCTCCGGTATCCCAGCAGCCACCGGAGGCAGTGAGGTAATGGAGGAAGAATGTAGGGAGTCCTCCAGTGGACCACACTCCTTCTAGCGAGCCGCGGAAACCATAGAGATCAGGGCTCAGCCGGAGGGCCGGCCCACTGCTGTCACGTGGCCTCCATCCGTGCGCTTTATTGGCTGGTGCTGGCTTTACGGGGTTGAATTTTGGACGCTGCCTGCCATTCGTGGGACCGAGTTTCAGGCAGCTGGAATAAAGAGAGACATCGGGGGAAAGCCGCGAGAAGGCCAGCGTCCCTGGCTGGGAGCAGAGCTAGCCGAGTAGGGCGCCCGGCTGTCAAAACTGGCCGGCGCAGTGCACGCTGGGCCGCCCCGGAGCGGTCGCAGAGCCCGTCGGGAGTCGTAGTCCGGGACGGGCCCGCAGCATTGTCCGCGACGCAGCTCGGGATCCGCGTCGGGTTGTCGGCCGGGTTGCTGCCAGGCACCGTCGAGCGTTAGCCACCCAGCATTGAGCTGCCAGCGGCTGTTCTCCCTAAGCACCCTCGCTCACGTCGCCTCGCCTCGCCTCGCCTGACCGGCCGCAGCCTTGGATACCAGCCTTAAATCGAGCCGACTACGGCCCAGCCCCGCCCGCGGCGAAGTGCGCGGGGTTCGGTGCCAGCCGCTCGCCCCTGGCCGGGCCAGCCTCTTGATGCACCGGGGACGGGCGCGCCCATCCGACTCTTCGAGGGGCGGCAGGGCCCCATCTGTGTCTTTCGCTCTCGAGCCCCCAGCTAGAGTTGGCTTCAGCGGAATACCTACTGTGCAGGATTATTCAACAAGCCGATTGATCACATTCTTCAGCTCTAGCAGTGCAAAGGCTTCACTGAAAAAGAACATTACAAATTTTTTTTGAAAGAAATTTGGGGGTAAATTTAATTTTAAATACTGATTTTTGATAACATTTGATCTTATGACAGCATTTGTATTTTTAATTACAGATAGGATTACACTAAAAGTCATTTCTGACCTGCTCCCTTACCCTTATGGCTAAAATAAACTGCTAGGCCCTGAAGCAAAGGCGAGCCATGTTCTAGAGCAATGTCTTTCTTGTATTAAAATACGGCCCCATGCTCACATATAGGCTGTTTTGTGTTTTGCTTTTCTGTTGATGCACAAAGGAATCCTTGATATGTTTGTCCTCAAAGACCAAAGACAAGTATCTAGTAAAAAATGCAAATCATATCTAACAGTGAAGCTTTCCAGCAAAAACCTTCTGCTCTAGAATGCATAATTATGCGAGCATAAGATCTACTACTCTAGACTTTTAGCATAATTACCTATAGGCAGCAAAACCCTAGTCAATTGAGTGTCTGGTGCCTCTTGGACCTGGACTTCTCCAAGAGAATGGGCAAGGAGGACGAAAAGGAAGAGACAGCTATGCTTTGTGAAACAGGAGGTGACTTAAAAAAAAAATTCTATAGCAGTCTTCTTAATTCCTGTTACAGACTTGATACGCTTATCTGCTGTTGAGGACACGGTTGCCAGTTTCTAACCTTCTCTGTCTGCCTGAAAAACTAGAAATTAGATGATCATATGGCCTAGAGCCAGAAGTGCAGGAGGCAGAAAGCCAGGGGCCAGTTTTTTTCTTTTTGTTTCTGAATAAGAAGGCCAAATCCTGACTTAAAATAATCAAAATAAATTTTACGGAGTGACGGTCTTTCCAGCTGAAAACCTTAAAACATGGCATCTGGAAGAAGGCCTTAGTCTATTGCTCCCAGGATGGTACTATATAGTCATTAAATAGCCCACAGATAAGGGAGTTATTGCCCCCTCGTTATTGGGCTGCCAGGAATTAAATGATGGAACTAAGTTTCACTTGAAACATTCCCAAATTAAAACAAAAACAAGCCTTGCTTTGAGCTGTTGAAAAGGCATTTTACTGAGAAGATCCAGATGCTATTGCTGTTCTTAAATGATGTTGAAAGGCAAAGGGTCAGGACTTTCAAAAAGTCACTTTGAGGTCACCTCACATAAGCAAGCAACAGTTTGAACTGATGCAAAAACAAACAATGAAATTATGAACAGGAGGAAGAAACTAAAATGAGGGCAGTATATGCCATAAATATGGAAGAGGCTGTCTCTTATTTATCTTCTCATTTCCTGTACATAATACAGAAACCTGGTATGTAATAGGCATACAATTATTTGTGGCTCAACTGAATAAACGAAGATGGAAACCAGCAAGCAGCGGGCAGATAATATACTTGGGAAAGGAGAACTGCAGAGACGCTGGGTGGTTCAAGGCTTCTGCATGATCCTCAAATGTCACCCCAATCTGCTGTGACATAGCTATACCACTCATCAGAATACCCCAAAACAAATTGTCTGCCTCCCTTATGTACAACTTTTATTATTTCTTATCTCGGTTGGTTAAGAATATGTAGTAATGGCCGGGCGCGGTGGCTCACGCCTGTAATCCCAGCACTTTGGGAGGCCGAGGCAGGAGGATCACCTGAGGTCAGGAGTTCGAGACCAGCCTCAACATGGAGAAACCCCGTCTCTACTAAAAATACAAAATTAGCCGGGCGTGGTGGTGCATACCTGTAATTCCAGCTACTCGGGAGGCTGAGGCAGGAGAATTGCTTGAACCTGGGAGGCAGAGTTTGCGGTGAGCTGAGATCGCGCCATTGCACTCCATCCAGCCTGGGCAACAAGAGCGAAACTCCATCTCAAAAAAAAAAAAAAAAAAAAAAGAATATGTAGTAATGGTTAAGAGTCCACTGTGGAATCAGCCTGCATAGGTCCAAATCCCAGCCCTGACTGAATACCTGTGAACAAGTTATATCAGTGACTCAGGCTTATTATCTGTAAAATGGGGATTATAGCATTCCTGCCTCATAGGGATGTTATGAGATTTAAATACCAATAAGTCTGTACATTATAAACCTTATCAGATTGGTGTGGTGAAAATGCTCAGTAACTGAGCCTCGTGAGCATTAGAATGTTGAGATCAGCATGAAGTTAGCCTGTATACTGGGCATACACATTCTTCTGGATTTGCTCCTTTTGTGAGCAATCAATGATGAGCTAAAGGCATTTGCTAACTAGTAGGAATGAAATAAGGTTTCAGACAGGATCTTGGTGGGTGATGTAGATTTTATCTGTCCCATTTGTCCCATTTCTCAACTGGAAGTGAGTCTGGCCTTGGTCTGCATCTGTGCTCTCCCCTTCACAAAAGGCAGGCCCAGAGAGACTCCAGAGATGGCCCCTGTCTCCTGTGTGTCCTCCGCCGCTGTGTCCACTTGGGCACGTCAAAGGTATGATCGGTACTTATCTGATGAAAACAAATCTTTGTATATACAGTTGTCTACCTGGGTTGAATATTTCAGAGGTATAAAGTAGTTTAAATAAATAAGCCCTCTAGTGTTTTGTTTGTTAAGCCACATTACTCAGAAGGTTTTCTTTCTTTTTTTTTTTTTTCTGAGACAGGGTTTTGCTTTGTTGCCCAGGCTGGAGTGTGGCTGCAGTGCAGTGGCAGCACGACCATAGCTCACTGCACCCTTTACCTCCTTGGCTCAAGCAGTCCTCCTGTCTCAGCCTCCCAAATAGCTGAGATCACAGGTACGCACGACCACACCCAGCTAATTTTTGTAGAAAATGGAGTCTCCTTATGTTGCCCAGACTGGTCTCCAAACTCCTGGGCTCAAGCAGTCCTCCCACCTTGGCTTCCCAAAGTGTTGGGATTGCAGGCATTAGCCACTGCGCCCAGCCTGAGAAGATGTGTTTTAAACTTTGTATGTCACTTGGGTGTAGAATTTAACATTTAAAAAGTTCTAAACTTTTGGTACTAGCAGCCGGGCGCAGTGGCTCATGCCTGTAATCCCAGCACTTTGGGAGGCCGAAGCGGGCGGATCACAAGGTCAGGAGATTGAGACCATCCTGGCTAACACAGTGAAACCCCGTCTCTACCAAAAATACAAAAAATTAGCCAGGCATGGTGGCGGTTGCCTGTAGTCCCAGCTACTCGGGAGGCCGAGGCAGGAGAATGGCGTGAACCCAGGAGGTGGAGCTTGCAGTGAGCCAAGATCACGCCACTGCACCCCAGCCTGGGCAACAGAGCCAGACTCTGTCTCAAAAAAAAAAAAAAAAAAAAAAACTAGTACTACCAATGAAATAAATGCAACAGAGTTGGAGAGCTCAAGTCACGTATTCATTTATTCTACAAATACTCTCTAAATGGCTACTCTGTAACCAAGCATTTTATATTGCTTTTTTATTGAGAGAGGACATACATGTTTAGAATTCACACAGCTCAAGTATACAGCTTGACCAATTCTTACATTAGTGTCCATCCATGTAACCATCATCCAATTTAAGATGTGGAATATTTCTAGCAGCTCAGAAGGTTCTCTTGTGCCTTCTCCCCGTTCCTAATCCCCTCCAAAAGATACCCATTATTTTGACTTCTATCACTGTGGGATAGTTTTGCCTGCTCTTGAATTCACGGACATTCAAATCGACTCATCCAGTACATACTCCTTTGGGTCTGGTCTGTTTCGTTCAACATTATGTCCAGGAAATTCATCCCTTTGCTTATGTGCAACTATAGTTCATTCTTTTTCTTTGATGCACAGAATACTATGCCATTCAATACACATTGAACAATATGCCACAATTTGTTTGTCCGGCATTATTTTTAAAGCAATCTTGTTCTCTTCCCTGAATCTAGAGATTTAAGCTTTTTACAAGATCTCCTGTTGTTTTACAACCTCAGTGAGGGGATTGAGATGGAAGGTAGGAAAAATATGGTTCCTTCATGCACACTAAATGTAGCTCACTCTCAGATTTTCATGATTAAAGATGTTGGGCCAAGGCTGGGCGCGGTGGCTCACGCCTGTAATCCTAGCACTTTGGGAGGTCGAGACGGGTATATCACCTGAGGTCAGGAGTCAAGACCAGCCTGGCCAACATGGCAAAATGCCATCTCTACTAAAAATACAAAAATTAGCCAGGCATGGTGGCCCATGCCTGTAATCCCAGCTGCTTGGGAGGCTGAGGCAAGAGAATCGCTTGAACCCAGGGGGCCAAGGTTGCGGTGAGCCAAGATTGCGCCCCTTCACTCCAGCCTGGGCGAGAGAGCGAAATTCCGTCTCAAAAAAAAAAAAAAAAAGATGTTGAGCCTAGCATGGTGGCTCATGCCTGTAATCCCAGCACTTTGGGAGGTTGAGGCGGGAGGATTGCTTGAGGCCAGGAGCTTGAGACTAGCCTGGACAACATAGTGAGACACTGTCTCTATAAAAATAAGTAAATAAATAAAGATACTTGTATCTACCAGGGTCCAGTCTACAAGGAGTTATTTCAGAGATAGCAATGCACTTTGTCTAGCCTCAGGGCTATGCTACATACCCTTCTGTCCACCATAATCTTACCTGCAGAGACTTTAAGCCTCCTGACATCCCACAGAATATCACATTGATTCATTACATTGGTGCCATGTTGTTGAATGGACCCAATGAGCAGGAAGTGGTAAGTACCTTAGATTCATCTGAAAATCGTATGTGTTCCAGAAGGTTTTAAATAAACTCTAATTCTGATTCCAAGTACTGTATCAGTTAGGGTTCAGGAAAGAAAAACCACACCAGGCATTGCAAACAAAAGGAGATTTTTGGTCACATGGTTAGAAGGCTAAAAGAATGAAGCAGATGTTGAGGTAACCCAAAAATGAGCAACTGTAGGAAGGAGCTAGCACCCTTAGGGCTGAGAGAACAAAAAGGAAGAATTAGCATTACTAGCACCCGGGAGCTTGGGAGGACAGGTCACCATGGGGCTGCTGCTGAGAACTCTTAAGGGGTGCCCTTGGGCCGGTGTCAAAGAGCCTGAGAAGTGGGGAGCTGGAACTTCCTGCACTTGCTGGAGGGGTGCCATCGTTGCTGAAATCAGGAGGAGATGTCTTTTTTTTTTCTCCTTCTACCGTCTGGTCTTTCCCCAGCACCTCCCACTGGCGGAATCTAAAAGGAACTCAAGTGGTGAGAGTATCTGGGAAATGTAGTTGTAGACTCCTGCAACACATGTTGCAAGGACTCTCAATATAGTGAGTTTTAAGTTCAGAGAAGGAAACAAATGAGAACAAAAGACTGTTTTATTCTCCCTCACTTTTTTGGTAGGAGGCCTTGATGTGCAGACGCGATGGGGCAACGATGAGACCGAATAAACAATTGACATCTAACCCCAGAAGAAGAGCAAGGACCTGGGACCCAGAAGGAAGAGGCTGTGAGAGGTACAAACTGCAGGCATGGACATGATGCATATAGAGGACAGCCACACTAAGCTTTGAGGCTTCTGGAGGCAACACAGAGTAACCATTTGAATGGAAATCACTGAACAGACACAGAGAAAGAGAAACCATCCAATGACTTGAGGGTGACACCAAGTTTGCCTGGTGGCCTCAGGACTCCTGGCTCACTGGTCCCACTGTCTCCCCCCGCCCATCAGAATACATGAAGGCTGGTGGGGCACGGTGGCCCATGTCTGTAATCCCAACACTTTGGGAGGCCAAGGCGGGCAGATCACCTGAGTTCGAGACCAGCCTGGCCAACATGGTGAAACCTCGGCTCTACTAAAAATACAAAATTAGCTGAGTGTGGTGGCACATGCCTGTAATCCCAGCTACTCGGGAGGCTGAGGCAGGAGAATCACTTGAACCCAGGAGGCTGAGGTTGCAGTGAGCTGGGATCATGCCACTGCACTCCAGCCTGGCGACAGAGTGAGACTCCATCTCCAAAAAAAAAAAAAAAAAAAATACGTGAAGGCTTTCCTACCACACCATGCATGTGGGACACGTCAGAGTGGGAAGCTCCATGGATCTACAGCAAGGCTGTTCGACTAAGAGTGAATAAATGGGTGAATTCCATGGGCTGAACATGTCAGGAATATTTTCTTCTTAGGGCAGCGATCTTAACTTCTGGAGAAATTGAGTTCCTAAGCTGTAGAGCCTTAGAACCCTGGCATACATTTCTGTGGAGAAACAGAAAGCCCAGACATCCCAGTCCACACACGTCTTTCTTCTGACCAACACCAGCCATAGGAAGCAAGGCCCGGGAGAGCACTGGGGACAGGGCATGTCCGCCCGGAGCAGGGCAGGAGAGCACAGGCATGTGATGCAGCCCTGGGTCTGTCGTCCCGTTTGCGCCGGGAATGAATCGGGTTTTTCTAGCCTCTAAGCACAGAGGTATTTTTGACTCAGCACCGTGAAGAGACGACAATAGCTCAGCTTCTGCCAGCTGCCCGATTTAGACACGAGACCTTCACTACATATTTCTGTCTCTTGCCCTACTCAGAAGAAGGACTTAAAAATCCCCCAAGACGGAACTGAGTTTTCCTCTGTTCATTTTTTTAAATTACACTACTTGAAGAACCCCAAACAAATAAGGCTCTGGGCCTCCAAGACCATGTAATCCATTGTGCTCGTGTGGAAGAGCTGCCCCCAGTAGAGGCAACAGGAATGGCCTGGTCACTCAGCAGGTCCCCTGCCCATCTTCCCACCACCCCTTGCCCCACCCACCGGGAAGGAGGAGGGAGCACAGGCTGCTTTGAGCAGTCATCGTGCCTCTACCTGGAGCCTGTACTCACTGTCTTGGGGGCCGGTATTTCCCAGGAGGGCTATTGTGTGTTTCCTTGTCTGTTTCTCTTTCTGGAATGCGAGCTGTTTCAAAATGAACTGAAGATCATTCACCTCCACCCCTCAGCTCTCAGCATAGAGGTGTGCACAGAGTACATGCTCAGTAAATGTTTAACAGATATATTTTTAACTTATTTTATTTTACTTTTTTTTTCTTTTTCTTTTTTTTTTTTTTTTTGAGACAAGAGTCTTGCTCCATCACCCAGGCTGGAGTGCAGTGGCCTGATCTTGGCTCACTGCAACCTTCACCTCCCGGGTTCAAGTGATTTTCCTGCCTCAGCCTCCCAAGCAGCTGAGATTACAGGCATGCACTACCGCGCTTGGCTAATTTTTGTATTTTTAGTAGAGATGGGGTTTCACCACGTTGGCCAGGCTGGCCTCGAACTCCAGACCTCAAGTAATCTTCCCATCTCGGCCTCCCAAAGTGCTGGGATTACAGGCATGAGCCACTGCACCTGGTCTATTTATTTATTTATTTTTGAGACGGAGTTTTGCTCTTGTTGCCCAGGCTGGAGTACTGCCCAGGTGATCTGTCTGCCTTGGCCTCCCAAAATGCTGGGATTACAGGCGTGAGCCACCGTACCCGGCCTGTATCTTGTAGTCTTGCTGAACTCACTTATTAGTTCTAGGAGGTTTTTTTGTAGACTCCTTGGGATATTCATGTGAACGGTCATATCATCTGCAAACAGGGACAATTTTTTTATTGCTTTCCAATCTGTATTCCTTTTCTTTTCTTTCTTCTCTTTTTCTTTTTGTGTCATATTGCACTAACTATTTCCAGCTCCATGTTGAATACATACTTTACTTTTAAAATAGAATTTTAAAAATCTTTTCTTTCTTTTACAAGTTGCAAAACACTTTTTCTCCTAAACCATCTTCAGCATTTTAAAAATGCATCTGTTAGGCTGGGGATGGTGGCTCATGCCTGTAATCCCAGCACTTCGGGAAGCCAAGGCAGGCAGATCACCTGAGGTCAGGAGTTTGAGACCAGCCTGGCCAACATGGTGAAACCCCTCTCTACTAAAAATACACAAAATTAGCCGGGTATGGCGGTGGGCACCTGTAATCCCAGCTACTCAGAAGGCTGAGGCAGGAGAATCACTTGAACCTGGGAGGCGGAGGTTGCAGTGAGCCGAGATCGCGCCATTGCACTTCAGCCTGGGCAACAAGAGCGAAACTCCATCTCAAAAAAAAAAGAAAAGCTATTCTAAAATTCCTGTGGAAAGACATGGAAACTATAATAGCTAAAAAAATTTTTGGAAAAAAAAAAGACAGTGGGAGGACTAACTCTACCTGATATTAAGGCTCACTCTGTAACTATAGCAGGCAAGACCATGTGGTACTGGCTGAGGGACAGACACAGAGATCACAGAATAGAGGGCTCAGAGAGAGCCCATGTTAGTGCAGCCAATTGGTTTTTTTTGGGGGGGAGTGTGGTGGGAGGGTAGGTAGTTTGTTTGTTTTGAGATGGACTCTCCTTCTGTCACCCAGGCTAGAGTGCAGTGGCGTGATCTCGGCTCGCTGCAACCTATACCTCCCGGGCTCAAGTGATTGTCCTGCCTCAACCACCCAAGTAGCTGGGACTATAGTCGTACGCTACCACACCCAGCTATTTTTTCTATTTTTTGAGACAAGGTTTTCCCATGTTGGCTAGGTTGGTCTCGAACTCCTGACCTCAGGTGATCCGCCTGCCTTGGCCTCCCAAAGTGCTGGGATTACAGGCATGAGCTACTGCGCCCAGCCACCAATTGTTTTTTGATAAAGGTGCAAAAACTGTTCAATGTTGAAAAGAGATTCTTTTTTTTTTTTTGAGATGGAGTCTCACTCTGTTGCCCAGGCTAGAGTGCAGTGGCACGATCTCAGCTCACTGCAACCTCCGCCTCCCGGGTTCAAGCGATTCTCCTGCCTCAGCCTTCCACGTAGCTGGGACTACAGGCGCCCGCCACCATGCCCGCCTAATTTTTTGTATTTTTAGTAGAGACAGGGTTTCACCATGTTAGCCACGATGGTCTCAATCTCCTGACCTTGTGATCTGCCCACCTTAGCCTCCCAAAGTGCTGGGATTACAGGCGTGAGCCACCGTGCCCAGCCTAAAAGAGATTTCTTTTCTTTTCTTTTTTTTGAGACGGAGTTTCGTTCTTGTTGCCCAGGCTGGAGGGCAGTGGCGCCATCTCAGCTCACTGCAAACTCCGCCTCCCAGGTTCAAGTGATTCTCCTGCCCCAGCCTCCCGAGTAGCTGGGATTACAGGCACTGCCACCACGCCTGGCTAATTTTTGTATTTTTAGTACAGATGGGGTTTCACCATGTTGGCCACGCTGGTCTCAAACTCCCAACCTCAGGTGATCCGCCCACCTCAGCCTCCCAAAGTGCTGGGATTACAAGCGTGAGCCACTGCGCCCCACCAAAAAGAGAGTCTTTTCAACAAATAATGCTGCAGTAGTTAGAAATCCACAGGGAAAAAAAAACTGTGGCCTAAACCTCACACTTTCTATAATAATTCAAAATGGGCTGGGTGTGGTGGCTCACGCCTGTAATCCCAGCACTTTGGGAGGCTGAGGTGGGCAGACCACGAGGTCAAGAGATTAAGACCAGCCTGGCCAACATGGTGAAACCCCTTTTCTACTAAAAATCCGAAAATTAGCCGGGTGTGGTGGTGCGTGCCTTTAGTCCCAGCTACTCGGGAGGCTGAGGCAGGAGAATTGCTTGAACCCAGGAGGCAGAGGTTGCAGTGAGCCGAGATAGCCTGGTGACACAGCGAGAATCCATCTCAAAAAAAAAAAAAAAAAATTCAAAATGGATTGTAGCTTTAAATGTAAAAAATAAAACTATGAAACTATGAGTGGGACCTCATCAAAACTTTTGCTCTGTGAAAGTCCCTCAAAGAGGACAAAAATACAGGCTACAGAGAAAATACTGATAAAGGACACATATCTACAATATATAAAGAACTCTGAAGACAGTAAAAAAAACAAGTGATCCAATTAGAGAATGGACAAAAGGCTTGCAGAGACATTTCACTGAAGAGGACATATGGAAGGAAATTAAGCATGTGAAAAGTTGCATCACTAGTAATTAGCAAAATGCGAATTAAGATCACACTAAGATGTTACTACACATCTTTCAGAACAGCTGAAATAAACCTTGGTAATACTGAATGTTGGCAAGGATGTGCAGAAACGATCCTTCATAGACAGCTGATGGGAATGGAAGACGGTACGACCTTTTTGGAAAATTGTTTGGCTTTTTCTTTCTTTCTTTGTTTTTTTTTTTTTTGAAGCAGAGTCTCACTGTGTTGCCCAGGAGTGCAGTGGTGCAATGTGGGCTCACTGCAACCTCAGTCTCCTGGGTTCAAGCAATTCTTCTACCTCAACCTCACGAGTAACTGGGATTACAGGCGTGTGCCACCTTGCCCGACTAATTTTTGTATTTTTAGTAGAGACGAGGTTTCGCCATGTTGGCCAGGCTGGTCTGGAACTCCTGACCTCAGGTAATCCGCATGCCTCAGCTTCCTAAAGTGCTGGGATTACAGGCGTGAACCACTGCACCCAGTCTTTTTTTTCTTTTTTTTTTTTTTGAGACAGGGTCCCAATCTGTCCCCTAGGCTGGAGTACAGTGACTTGATCACAGCTCACTGCAGCCTTGAACTCCTGAGCTTAAGCAATCCTCCTGCCTCAGCCTCCCGAGTACGTGGGACTACAGGTGTGTACCACTACACCTGGCTTTTTTTTTTAACTTTTAGTAGAGATGAGGCCTCTCTATGTTTCCCAGGCTGGTCTCAAACTACTGGCCTCCCAAAATGCTGGGATTACAGACATGAGCCACCTTGCCCAGCCAACATTTTCTTAAAACCTAAACATATACTACAATATGACCTGGTAGTTGCACCTCTGGACACTTATCCCAAAGCAATGAAAACTTAGGTCTGCACAGAAACCCTTACATAATTGTTCATAGCAGCTTTATTTGCAATAGTGGAAAACTGGAAAGAGCCCAGATGTCCTTCAACAGGTGAGTTGTTAAACAAGCCAGTACATCCACACCATGGAATACTACTCAGCAACAAGAAGGAATAAACTCTTGATAAACCCAACAACTTGGATGGATCTCAAGGGCATTATGCTGAGTGAAAAAGCCCATTTTGACCTAAAGGGTGTAATTGCCTTTATATAACATTCTTGAAAGGACAAAATTTTTGGAGACCAGATTAGTGGTTGCCAGGAATTAGGGATGGTAGGGAGAAGAGGGTGTAGGTGTGACTATAAAGGCATTGCTCAAGGGAGATCTTTGACCACAGTTGTGGTCACCCTGATCTACCTACGTGATGAAATGACATTGAACTATACACACTATCTCTGCCAGTGTCAATTTCCTGCTTTTGATATAGTTATGGAAAATACAACCAATGGGAGAAAGTGGATTGGTCCATGGGACCAACTGAAAATGCTGTTTCTTTGCAACTTTCAGTGAATCCATAATTATTTCAAAATAAAAAGTGAAAAAACAAAAACAAAACAAAACAAAAAACCTTAGCGAAAAACAAAAGAAATGTAGCTTGCATCGGTATCAGGTAGGAGCAGCTATATAAATTGTGGGGCCACCCAGCCTCGTCTTTGTACCAGGGAGAGCAGAGCAACTCTTATCATTGACGGCAGGAAGTCAACACCAAGATGAGTTTAAATAAACAGACCTTATTAAAATAGCCCTTAACTTCCCCAATCTATTTCCTGGTCACTTTCCCACAGTTTATCATCTTTGAAGCCCAAATCCTCTCTCCTCTGTTAAAAGGGTATAAAGCCTCCAGTATAACCACGTCTTTGAGTTTCACTTCTGTTAATTCCCCTACACGTAATAATAAAAACTATGTGCTGCCGGGCGGAGTGGCTCACGCCTGTAATCCCAGCACTTTGGGAGGCCGAGGCAGGCGGATCACCTAAGGTCAGGAGTTCGAGACCAGCCTGGCCAAGATGGTGAAACCCCATCTCTACTAAAATACAAAAAATTAGCTGGGTGTGGTGGCGCACGCCTGTAGTCCCAGCTACTTGGGAGGCTGAGGCAGGGGAATCGCATGAACCCGGGAGGTGGAGTTTGCAGTGACCTGAGATCGCACCACTGCACTCCAGCCTGGCAACAGAGTAAGACTCCGTCTCAAAAAAACAAGCAAACAAGAAAACAAAAACCCAAAACCAAAACTATGTGCCTTTTCTCCTGTTAATCTGCCTTTTGTTATTTTAATCCACAGGCCCACAGACACTGAACCTAAGACGAAAGGAAAAGTTTTTCCTCCTTGACACCCCTAAAACTACTGTATTATAACAAGCTATATCACTGGATTTTATACTTCAGTCCCATAGACTTCAACTACTTTAGCAGACAGTTACTCCTCAAATTCTTGTTACAAAGGGACACTTTTCTTGAGCTATTTCAGGAACCTTAGCAGGAGGAGGGAACTGTCCCGAGATATCCTAATTAAATACCTTATCACATAATTGTAAAAGAAGCGATTCTAAAAAAATAAATACCCTGGCTAGTGCTGCGTGCGGCACAGCCCAGTAATTCCAGCACTTTCGGAGGCCTAGGCAGGAGGATAGCTTGAGCCCAGGAGTTTGAGACCAGCATAGGCCATATAGGGAGACCTTATCTCTACAGAAAATTTAGGTGTGGTGGTGTGCACCTGTAGTCTCAGCTACCAGGGGATGCTGAGGTGGGAGATTTGCTTGAGTCTGGGACTTCCAGGCTGCAGTGAACCATGATTGCACCACTGCACTCCAGCTTGGGAGGCAAAGCGAGACCCTGCTTCAAAATAAATAGATAAATAAATACCCCCCTTGAATTCTTTTATTACAGGAAAAGAGGCAAGATTGAAGATGTGTTTGAGCATCTGCTTGTTCATTCATGCATTGATTCAAAAGGCTTTTTGAGATGGAGTCTTGCTCTGTTGCCCAGGCTGGAGCACAGTGGCATGATCTTGGCTCACTGCAACCTCTGCCTCCTGGGTTCAAGTGATTCTCCTGCCTCAGCCTCCAGAGTAACTGGGACTATAGGCGTCTGCCACCACGCCTGGCTAATTTTTGTATTTTTAGTAGAGATGAGATTTCACCATGTTGGCCAGGCTGGTGTCAAACTCTTGACCTCAGATGATCTGCCTGCCTCGGCCTCCCAAAGTGCTGGGATTATAGGCGTGAGCCACCACACCTGGTCATCAATCAAAAGGCTTTTTTAAAGAAGGTTATAAAAATTGATACATTATGTTTTCTTTTATTAATACCGATTTTAGTTTTGTGAAAGTTGTCAGGATAAAAATGAAGTCACCTGTGTTTTGGAAAACCCTGACACATAGAATCAGAGAAGGCTATGAAGAGAGGGTTCAAGCTTGTCTGCCTGATAACAAAAACTATCACGAAAGACTCTGCAAGCCTGGGCGTGGTGGCTCACGCCTGTAATCCCAGCACTTTGGGAAGCCAAGGTGGGAGGACCACTTGAAGCCTAGAGTATGAGACCAGCCTGGCCAACATGGTGAGACCTCATCTGTATTTTTTTTTTTTTTTTAAGAAAAAAGACTGCAAAAACCACAGCATTGCACAAAGACTGTTGCGATCTTGCACAAAAGATACTTCTGCAGGGACATCTAGGCAGCAACTGCCTGTGTAACCTTGGGCTGGTGCCACCCTACTATTAATCCTTGCGGCCAAGGATCATGAGCTCAAAACAATGTGTAATCATTATTCTTTCCTTTTTTTTTTTTTTTTTGAGATGGAGCTTTGCTCTGTTGCCCAGGCTGGAGTGCAGTGGCATGATCTTGGCTCACTGCAACCTCCGCCTCCCGGGTTCGAGCAATTCTCCTGCCTCAGCCTCCTGAATAGCTGGGATTACAGGCACATGCCACCATGCCTGGCTAATTTTTTTGTATTTTTAGTAGAGACGGGATTTCAACTTGTTGGCCAGGCTGGTCTTGAACTCCCAACCTCAGGTGATCTGCTCGCCTTGGCCTCCCAAAGTGCTGGGATTACAGACTTGAGCCACCGCGCATGGCAAAAACATATTATGTATATATATATATATATATATATATATATATACACACACACATAATTTTATATAGACACAGGGTCTCACTATGTCACCCAGGCTGGTCTTGAGCTCCTGGGCTCAAGCGATCCACCTGCCTTGGCCTTCCAAAGTGCTGGAATTACAGGTGTGAGCCACCGCGCCCGGCCTGTCCAGGGGATTCTAAAGCCACCAAGGTTTGAGAAGCATGAGCTGCTGTTATGGACTGAATTGTGTCTCCCAGCACCACACAATCTGTCGGTTAAAGCCCTAGACCCTAGTGCAACTGTATCTGGAGGTAGGATCTTCAGGAGGTAATTAAGGTTAAATGAGGCCATCAGGGTGGAGCTCTAATCTGACAGGATTGTAGCCTTATAAGAAGAGGAAGGAGTGGCCGGGTGCAGTGGCTCATGCCTGTAATACCAGCACTTTGGGAGGTCAAGGTGGGTGGATCACGAGGTCAGGAGTTCAAGACCAGCCTGGCCAATATGGCAAAACCCTGTCTCTACTAAAAATACAAAATTAGCCAGGCATGGTGGCTTGCATCTGTAATCCCAGCTACTTGGGAGGCTGAGGCAGGAGAATCGCTTGAACCGGGGAGGCGGAGGTTACAGTGAGCCGAGGTTGAACCACTGCACTCCAGCCTAGCCTAGGCAACAAAGTGAGATTCCACCTAAAAAAAAAAAAAAAAAAAGAAGAGGAAGGGAGATATCCCCACCCCAGTCCTGCCCTGTGACGACACAGGGAGAAGGCTGCTGCCAGCAAGCCAGGAAGAGGGTCCTCAGCAGAGCCAAGTTGGCCAGTGCCCTGATCTTGGATTGCTGGCCCCCAGAACTGCAAGAAACGAATGCCTGTTGCTTGACCATTCAGTCTGCAGGATTTTGTTAAAGCAGCCCAGGATGGCCAAGACAGCTTTGGAAATGAAAATGGCCACTGTTCGCTACGGAGAAGAGACCCTCATTCTAGACTTGTGACTCTCCAATTCTGCACTCCCATTTAATTTCCCCAGTGCTCTATTTAGAACATATCCTCAGGGCCTGCCGATGCTAGTCACTCTCTGGAAGCCTTGCTTCTAGAACTCCTGGGAAATTTCAGCTCTGGCACAGACAGCTCTGGCCTTCACGTCAGGAGGCCTGGATTTGTGCCCGAGCTTTGCTGCTTTGCCTTCAAATAAGACTCTTTCCAGCTCTGGTCTCAGTCTCCTCATTTGTAGAATAAAGGAATTGGATTAAATTTAGGGTATTTAACCAAACACCGCATGTTCTCACTCATAGGTGGGAATTGAACATGAGAACACTTGGACACAGGGTGGGGAACATCACACACCAGGGCCTGTCGTGGGGTGGGGGTAGGGGGGAGGGATAGCATTAGGAGATATACCTAATGTAAACGATGAGTTAATGGGTGCAGCACACCAACATGGCACATGTATACATATGTAACAAACCTGCACGTTGTGCACATGTACCCTAGAACTTAAAGTATAATAATAAAAAAAATTTAGGGTTTTTAACTCCTGAGCAGCAAAATCCTCTTTTCAAAAAAAATCTTCTGTGGACTCCAAATATGAATACCCAACAGTAGGCCGGGCGCAGTGGCTCACACCTGCAATCCCAGCACTTTGGGAGGCCAAGGCGGGTGGATCACAAGGTTAGGAGTTCAAGACCAGCCTGGCCAACATAGTGAAACCCCGTCTCTACTAAAAATACAAAAATTAGCTAGGTGTGGTGGTGGGTGCCTGTAATCCCAGCTATTTGGGAGGCTGAGGCAGGAGAATCGCTTGAACCCAGGAGTCGGAGGTTGCACTGAGCCGAGATCGCGCCACTGCACTCCAGCCTGGGCGACATACTGAGACTATGTCTCAAAAAAAAAAACAGTCAGGCCTCCTGAGTGGAGGAAGGAGAAGGGTGCGGCTTCTGGCTCTCTGGCACCTGGGGGCTCCTGAGAAATGGTTCCTATGGCTTGTGGCTGGGGCAGACTTGCCTGGTGCCCGATGTCCTGGCATAGTGAGGAATGACACACGTGTCACTCTGAAAGCCCCTGGGGTGGACACTGGCACATCAGCACAGGATGCCACCCGGCGTGCACCCCACTCTGCCTGCCAGCCATTTCTCAAGTTGGCTTGGCTATTACCGGATGAGAAGGGAACCCCAGAATACACCCAAAACAATCTCTCAAGTTCAAGAAAAACTATGTGGCTGAGCTTCCCCTTAACCGAAAAGGAGTCAGCTAACAAAAGAGAGAGGAATAAAGCCCCAAAGAAAAAAACATAATAAAAAACCCTCAAGGATATTACAAGTGTTCCCTCCATCACTTTATTCAGCCATCAAAAATTATGCTGGAAAGACTCATTCCATGATATGGAAAACTGTGTCTTTGATGTAAGTTTCAGTCAAGAAAGAATAAAAAAATTTATGTACAGTTTTATCACAACTATAAAAAAAGGCATATATGGCTGGGCACGGTGGCCCACACCTGTAATCCCAGTACTTTGGGAGGCCGAGGCGGACGGATCACCTGAGGTCAGGAGTTCAAGAGCAGCCTGGCCAACGTGGTGAAACCCCGTCTCTACTAATAATACAAAAATTAGCTGTGTGTGGTGGCCGGCGCCTGTAATCCCAGCTACTTGAGAGGCTGAGGTAGGAGAATCGCTTGAACCTGGGAGGTGGAGGTTGCAGTGAGCCAAGATCACGCCACTGCATTCCAGCCTGGGTGACAGAGCAAGACTTTCTCAAAAAAAAAAAAAGAAAAGAAAAGAAAAGAAAAAAGGCATATATACACTTTATTTTTATTTATTTATTTTTTTAAAGACAGGATCTGGCTGTGTCTCCCAGGCTGAAGTGGCCAATCTTGGCTCACTGCAACCTCTGCCTCCCAGGTTCAAGTGATCCTCCCATCTCAGCCTCTCGAGTAGCTGGGACCACAGGCATGCGCCACCACACCTGGCTATTTTTTAAATTTTTTGTAAAGATGGGGTTTCACTATGTTGCCCAGGCTGGTCTTGAACTCCTGGGCTCAAGCACTCGGGCTGCCTTGGCCTCCCAAAGTGCTGGGATTACAGGTGTGAGCCACCATGCCCGGCCATTTACATATTTTAAAGAGACAGAAGGAAACAGAATAATGGCCACAAACAAGGGCTTTGTGGAGACCCAAGATCAAAGTCCCATCTCTGCAATTTTATTAGTTGTATGACTTGGGGCAAGTCAGTTCCCCACAATAAGTCTCAGTATTCGCACCTGAAAAATGGGTACAGATGGTAATGGAGACAGAACATCACAACAGTGTTGGCTGCACACATAACAAGTAATAGCAGCTCTATTGCTATGAGTGATGATAAGATATTACTAGTGTTTATCCCTGCATAAGGTTTTAAGAGACTTATTTGTCCTCTCAATTCCTATAATGGGCATACATTTATAATAGTTTAAAAAGAAAGAAGTTAAAAGAAGTGCTCTGCCAGGCATGACGGCTCACATCCGCAATCCCAGCACTTTGGGAGGCCAAGGCAGGAGGATCACTTGAGACCAGAAGTTCAAGACCAGCCTGGGAAAAATAATAAGACCTCATCTCTCCAAAAAAATTTAAAAATTAGCCAGGCGTGGTGGTGTGCGCCTATAGTCCCAGCTACTCGGGAGGATTGCTTGAGCCCAGGAGTCCGAGGCTACAGTGAGCTATGATTGTGCCACTGCACTCCAGACTGGGTAAGAGAGTGAGACCCTGTCTCTAAAAACAAAAGGAAGTGCTCTAGGAAGAAATGCTGTGCCTGTATGAGAACCTGTCTTCCTGCCAGAATGAGAAGAGCCCAGAGCCTGCAGCACTCTGGAAGGAGAAGCAGGGTGCTCTGGGCTCCGGACTCTGGAGTTAAGTTGGAGGCAGGGGATGTGACAGTGCATGCACAAGCCAAGGGCAGGTGATGGCAACAATCCCCACTTGCTCCTTTCACTTAGAAATAAATTGTGGGGGCCGGGCTCGGTGGCCCGCGCCTGTAATCCCAGCACTTTGGGAGGCTGAGGCAGGCGGATCACCTGAGGTCAGGAGTTCAAGACCAGCCTGGACAACATGGTGAAACCCCATCTCTAAAAAAAATACAAAAATTAGCCGGGCTGGTAGTGTGTGCCTGTAATCCCAGCTACTCGGGAGGCTGAGGCAGGAGAATCGCTTGAACCCGGGAGGCGGAGGTTGCAGTGAGCCAAGATTGCACTGCTGCACTCTAGCCTGGGTGACAGAGTGAGACTCTGTCTCAAAAAAAAGAAAAAAAGAAGCAAATTGTGGAGTAGTCCAACTAATTGGAGGGAGTAGCTGTCTACGGACAGTGAAAAAAAGTAAAACCAAAAAAGCCCAGTGAAAGCGGAGGTAAAACAGGGGAACGTGAGAGATGTGATCCAACTCATGGCCCCGTGGGAGGGCAGCGCTCCCGAACCCAAGCTGAGCTGGTGTTCATAGGCACCCAGTGCTGGGCTCACAGCATCTGGCAAATATTAGGCAAGCTGACAGGAAAACACTGATGTTGGATCTGACAGGTGTATTCATTTGCTACTGTGGTTTAACCAGCAGAAATTTATTTTTTTCACTGTGCTGAAACTGGAAGTAAAAGAGAAAGGTCTCGGCAGGTCGGTTTTTCCCGAGGCCTCTGCCCTCGGTTTGCAGCTGGCACCTTCTTGCTGTTCCTCACACAGTCACCCTTGGATCTGTGTGGTGTCTGTGTCCTAATCGCCCCTGCTTACAAGGCCACCAGCTACACTGGACTACCCGCTCACATGATCTCATTTTACCTTACTTATCTCTTTAAAGCCCCGTCTCCAAATACAATCACACAGTGGGGTACTAGGGCTGGGAATGCCACATGTGAATTTGGGTGGGGAGGCAGGTCCGTCAAGAACAACAAGCATAACCAGACCCACTGAGTGAGGCTCAGGCACTTCCGCTAGAAAAAATGACACCAGGGTGGTCCCATGATAGGACAAACCCTATGAGACATAACATTGTATAAAACACAATTTGCCGGCCAGGCGCGGTGACTCAAACCTGTAATCCCAGCACTTTGGGAGGCTGAGGCGGGTGGATCACATGGTCAGGAAATCAAGACCATCCTGGCCAACGTGGTGAAACCCCGTCTCTACTAAAAATACAAAAAAATTGGTTGGGTGTGGTGGCGGGTGCCTGTAATCCCAGCTACTCGGGATGCTGAGGCAGGAGAATTGCTCAAACCAGGGAGTCGGAGGATGCAGTGAGCTGAGATCACACCACTGCACCCCAGCCTGGCAACAGAGCGAAACTCCGTCTCAAAAACAAAAAACAATTTGCTATCCCTTGTTTGTGGGAGGGAGTCTCTAAATCTTCAGAATTTTCTCAGTAATAGGATGTCTTTGTTATTCGTGGGCCCCTTTGAAACGACCTGAGTGTATGCTGAAGGCAGATGATTCAGGATGGGGCTGGTCCTAGAAAGACCAACGGTGTGATTGGAGGGCTGGGGTTTGAGCCAGCCGGAACTCCGCAGAGGCGAGGGGCTGTAGAGCATGTGCAATCAGGTGGCCATCGTTCAATCACGCCTACACGGTGCAACCCCAAGCTCGGTGGAGCTTCCAGGTTGGTTAGCACATCAGTGTGCCAGGAGGGCGCTGCATCCCAATTCCACAGGGAGAGGGCTGGGAAGCTCCGCATCCAGGAGTCCCCGCCTCTCCCTCCGTGGCTCCCCACGTGGCTGTTCTTGTTGTATCGTTTGTAATTAAACTGTCATTGTATGTGTAGTGCTTTCCTGAGTTCTGTGAGTCATTTTAGTGAACTATCAAGCCTGATGGGGATCCTGGGCATCTCCCAGATTTGTACCCAGTCCGTCAGAAGTGCAGATGTCCTGGGGACCCCGCTTGTGGGTGGTGTCTGCAGTACGGAAGTCTTATTAGGGCCCACGTCCTTAACGCTGTGGAGTCTGATGCTCATCACGTGGGTGGTTAGTGTCAGAAGAGAGTTGCAGTACGCCAAGCCCTGAGTTGTCTCTAAGCTGCCAGAATAGGTGGTGATGTTGGAAGGCTGTCAACTCCACAAAAGTCCAGCAGGGCACAAATTTACCTGATGGCATCCAGAGGCTTGAAATCATTGTTGAAGTCTACATATAACATGTAGAGTTAATTTAACAGAAACTCCTACTCTGCTTTCCACCTAATCTGAGTATCTGAGAGGTAAAGAGAGTTTTTTGTTTGGTTGTGTTGTGTTTTGTTTGAGACAGGGTCTCCCTCTGTCACCCAGGCTGGAGTACAGTGGTGTGATCTCAGCTCACTGCAACCTCCGCCACCCAGGTTCAAGCGATTCTCGTGCCTCAGCCTCCCGAGTAGCTGGGACTAGAGGCGCACACCGCCATGCTCAGCGAATTTTTTTTTTTTTTTTTTTTTTTTTTTTTTTTTGGTAATTTTAGTGGAGACGGGGTTTCACCATGTTGGCCAGGCTGGTCTCAAACTCCTGATCTCAAGTGATCCACCCACCCCAGCCTCTCAAAGTGCTGAGATTGCTTACAGGCATGAGCCACCATGCCCGGCCAAGAGATTTAGCTCCATGCACTTTCTGAATTTATCTAGGAGGTAATGGCAGATGCTGTGGTATGATGTGAAGAGCTGGATTCAAATCGTTACTCTGGGTCCTTGGCCAAACTGCTCAATCTTTTTGGGTGTCAGTTTTCTTCAGTCTTAACATCAGGATAAATGCCTGTCTCTCATAACCCAAATGCCCATCGACAGTGGAATGGATAGATCGTTTGTGGCATATTCACACGTGGGACAAAAGCAATGAGAATGGGCTGGGTGTGGTGGCTCACATCTGTAATCACAGCACTTCGGGAAGCCGAGGCAGGAGGATCACTTGAGCCTAGGAGTTCAAGACCAGCCTGGGCAACAGAGGGAGACCCTGTCTCTGGAGGGCGGTCAGACAAAAGTGTAAAACAACATGCACAATATGGATGAATTTTACGTAATGTTGAACAAAAGAGGTAGACACACTGTACCTTTACATAAAGTTCAAAAACCAGGTGCATCAAATCTATGGTGTTAAGGGCCAGGTATGTGGCTATCCCTGGGCTGGCAGCTGGGACTAATGGCTGGGAGCTTCAGGAATGTTGGTAATGTTCTGTTTCTTGATCTGGGTGTGATTACACAGGTGTGTTCACTTGGTGAAAATCCAGTGGGCGGTATACTTAGGATTTGTGCTCTTTTATGTATGTAGTTACTACTCACAAAGTCAACAATATCCAGGCTGGGCATGGTGTCCTCCACCTGTAATCCCAGCCCTTTGGGAGGCTGAAGCAGGAGAATCACTGGAGCCAGGAGCTCCAGACCAGCCTGGGTAATATGGTGAGAAACAAAAACTTTTTAAAAATGTATTTATTTATGTTTTTTAGACAGAGTCTTGCTCTATCGCCCAGGCTGGAGTGCAGCGGCGCGATCTCGGCTCACTGCAACCTCCGCTGCCCAGGTTCAAGTGATTCTCATGCCTCAGCCTCCCAAGTAGCTAGGACTACAGGCGTCCACCACCACGCCCGGCTATTTTTTTTTTTTTTTTGTATTTTTAGTGGAGACAGGGTTTCGCCATGTTGGCCAGACTGGTCTCGAACTCCTGACCTCAGGTGATCCACCTGCCTTGGCCTCCCAAAGTGCTGGGATTACAGGTGTGAACCACCGTGCCTGGCCTCACAAAAGCTGTTTAAAAGCCAGGTGTGGAGGTGTGCACCTGTAGTCTCAGCTAATCAGGAGGCTGAAGTGGGAGGATCATTTGAACCTAGGAGTTCGAGGCTGCAGTGAGCCATGACTGTGTCACTGCACTCCACCCTGAATGACAGAGCAAGACCCTGTCTCTTAAAAAATACATACATAGGCCAGGCGCGGTGGGTCAAGTCTTCTAATCCCAGCACTTTGAGAGGCTGAGGCAGGCAGATCACGAGGTCAGGGTTTCAAGACCAGCCTGACCAACATGGTGAAACCCTGTCTCTATTAAAAATATAAAAATTAGCCAGGCATGGTGGCGCATGCCTGTAATCCCAGCTACTCAAGAGGCTAAGGCAGGAGAATCGCTTGAACCCGGGAGGGGAGGTTGTGGTGAGCCGAGATCGCGCCACTGCACTGCAGCGTGGGCAACAGAGCGAGACTCTGTCTCGGAAAAAAAAAAAAAGAAGAAGAAGAAAGGCCAGATGAATGTGCCAAGGAGCACACTGGGCAGGGAAAGAATCATCAGTGTATAGGGAAGAGTAGAATGATGCCAGGAGAGAAGGGCACAGACTGGGGGTTTGCATTTACACTCCACCACTGACCAAGCAGGTCACTTAACCGCTCTGAGCTTCAGCCTTCTCATCTGACTCACAACTGTCCAACAGGTGAGTTGTTAGATTAAATGACCTATGTGAAGCCACCATCTGGGCACCTGAGGAGCTGCACACACAGGACAGCTCAGCAAGCTGTAAGCACGGTGGTGAGGATGCGGGAGTGCCATGGCCTTGCAGTTGGCAGCCTCATCCACTGGACCCATTCGTGGCTCCAACTGTGATGGCCAAGGTGACAGGCAGGCTCGGACTGGCATGGTCAGCAGGCAGCTGCAAAAAGAGGCTCTCCACAGCTCCTGACCCTTCTGCATTTGTCAGCTGAAGCTTTCCACGTTGCTCTAGAAAGCCAACTTTCCAAGAAATGCTGTTCACAATTTGCCTTCAAGGAAATCATTTGCAGTTATAGCTGCCATGTCCTCACATTAAGCTTATTGCTGGTAACGATGGTGCCAAGACAGTGGTGCCAAATACAGTCTTCCTGAGTGGCCTTAAAAAATTAAGCTAATGGCAATTTTATGTCTTATGGAAGCTGTTCTTATCTATTAACTGCCAACATCTCAGCCTGGACATTTCAGGAAACTCAGCAGGAAATTTTGTTTTTAATTTTTGTGGGTACATAGTATGGGGTACATGAGATTTTTTTTTTTTTTTTTTGAGACAGAGTTTCACTCTTATTGCCCAGGTTGGAGTGCAATGGCACGATCTTGGCTCACTGCAACCTCTGCGTCCTGGGTTCAAGCAATTCTCCTGCCTCAGCCTCCCGAGTAGCTGAGACTACAGGCACCTGCCACCACACCCAGCTAATTTTCGTAGTTTTAGTAGAGACAGGGTTTCACCGTGTTGGCCAGGCTGGTCTCAAACTCCTTACCTCAGGTGATCCTCCCGCCTTGGCCTCCCGAAGTGCTGGGATTACAGGCGTGAGCCACTGGGCCCAGCCAAGATATTTTGATACACATATATAATGCATAATGATCACATCAGGGTAAATGGGGTATCCATCACCTCAAGCATTTATCTTTTCTTTGTGTTACAGACAATCCAATTATACTATTTTTGTTATTTGTTTATTTTTATTTCTATTTCTTTCTCTTTTTTTTTTTTGTTTTTTTTTGAGACACAGTCTTGCTCTGTTGCCCAGGGTGAAGTACAGTGCACCATCTCAGCTCACTACACCCTCAACTTCCTGGGCTCAAGTTATCCTCCCACCTCAGCCTCCTGAGTAGCTGGGACTATAGGTGTGCACCACCACACCTGGGTACTTCTTATTGTTGTTGTTGTTGTTTTTTGGTAGAGATGGGGTTTTGCTATGTTGCCCCCATGTTGCTCAAGCAATCTGCCCACCTTGGCTTCCCAAAGTGTGGGGATTACAGGCATAAGCCACTGCACCCAGCCTGGTAACCGGCATTCTATTCTCTATCTCCATGAGTTCAATCATTTTAATTTTTAGCTTACACAAATAAGTGAGAACATGCAGTTTGTCTTTCTATGCCTGGATTATTCTAATTAACACAATGACCTCCAGTTCCATCCATGTTGTTGCAAATCACGGGATCTCATTCTTTTTTATGGCTGAATAGTACTCCATTGTGTATATGCATGTCAGCAGGAAATGATGTATGTGCAGATTCAGATGCCACTGAGTTGTCCTGTGAATTTTAGGAGGTAAAGTCATACAACTAAGTTCCCATGGAAATACAACATCAAATGTACATTAACATGCATAACAGCCGTCACTTGCTCAGGTCCTGCTAGAAGGCAGACATAATGGCAGGCAGTTTCCATATGTTTCTTCAACAATTTCCAATGTTTAGCCACCAGAGGTGCCGAGGAGCCCCTGTCCCTCTCATGTCACTGTGGTTCTGCAAGATTAAGAGGCCACACATCATAGTTTGCGAGGTATATCAGGTCAATATAATACACTCGTAGAATACATACATTAGAGACCAAGAATGAACGGTCTTAGGACCGGGCACAGTGCCTCATGCCTTTGGGAGACCAAGGTGGGAGGATCACTTGAGCTTGGGAGTTTGAAACCAGCCTGAGCAACACACCAAGATCCTGCCTCTACAAAAAATAAAAATAGCCAGGTGTGGTGGTGCACACCTGTGGTCCCAGCTATTCTAGAGGCTGAGGTGTGAGGATCACTTAGCCCAGGAGGTTGAGGTTGCAGTGAGCTGTGATTGCACTGCGGGTCTCCAGCCTAGGCAACAGAGTGAAATCCTTTCATAGGAAAGAAAAAAAAGAAAAGAAAAGAAAAGAAAATGGGCCGGGCGCGGTGGCTCACCCTTGTAATCCCAGCACTTTGGGCGGCCGAGGCGGGCAGATCATGAGGTCAGGAGATTGAGACCAGCCTGGCTAACATGTAGAAACCCCGTCTCTACTAAAAAATACAAAAACATTAGCCGGGCATGGTGGCGGGCGCCTGTAGTCCCAGTTACTCGGGAGGCTGAGGCAGGAGAATGGCGTGAACCTGGGAGGTGGAGCTTGCAGTGAGCCGAGATCACGCCACTGTACTCCAGCCTGGGCGACAGAGCGAGACTCCATCTCAAAAAAAAAAAAAAAAGATAAAAAGAAAAAAAAGAAATGCTTTTAGGAAGTGCTAACTTACATGAATGTTTCATATTCAGACATAAGAGAACCTACTTAGTATTTAAAAATGAGAGCAAATTAGGAACTTAGTTTTTCTTTTGTTTTTTCTTGAAGTGAGATGATGACATTATAGTTAATGTTTGCTAACGTGATGGTGAATGAAAAGGAAGTAGCAAAACTGTTAGGAAAACTAAGCCGAAGAGAAAGTTCTACCCTGGGAAATATATTTGCAACATGTTTAACAGTCAAAAGGTTAATTTCCAGAGTGATTATAGATTATTGATTGCAAATCAATAAGACAAAAAAAAAAGAGAAACTGGCCATCACATGAATAGGCAATGCATAGCACAAGTAATGTTAATGGCTAATAAACTACACTAAAATGACTGATCCTCTTGGCAACCAGGAAGGTGTAAATTAGAACATTTTTCCAACTTAGGCTTTTAAAATTTAAAACCATTGACACTTGCCAATGTAAGGGAGGGTGGAGAAGTGGGGAATTGGAGGTGTGGCCTTTTTGGAAGGCAACTTGGCAACACCTATCAAAATCCAACCACGATTCTGCTTTCGTGACTACACAGACACTATGATGTATTTCTCTGTATGTATGTATGTATTTGTATACTTTTCTATTTGCACGCCACAGCCTGGAAAAAGAAAAAAAGACTGGAAGGACACATAGCAGCTGTTAACAGCAGTTTCCTCTGGAGAGCTGTCACGGCATCATTTCTTTCTTTCTTTTTTTTTTTTTTGAGATGAAGTCTTGCTCTTGTCCCCCCAGGCTGGAGTGCAATGGCGCGATCTCGGCTTACTGCGACCTCCGCCTCCCGGGTTCAAGCGATTCTCCTGCCTCAGCCTCCCAAGTAGCTGGGATTATAGGCGCCTGCCACCACGCCCAGCTAATTTTTGTATTTTTAGTAGAGACGGGGTTTCACCATGTTGGTCAGGCTGGTCTCGAACTCCTGACCTCAGGTGATCCACCCGCCTCGGCCTTCCAAAGTGCTGGGATTACAGGCGTGAGCCACCACACCCGGCCCACAACATCATTTTTTTTTTTTTTGAGACGGAGTCTTGCTCTGTTGCCCAGGCTGGAGTGCAGTGGCACAATCGGCTCACTGTAACCTCTGCCTCCTGGGTTCAAGCAACTCCTCTGCCTCAGCCTCCCGAGCAGCTGGGACTACATGCCACCACGCCTGGCTAATTTTTGTATTTTTAGTAGAGAAGGGGTTTCACCATATTGGCCAGGCTGGTCTCAAACCCCTGACCTTGTGATCCACCTGCCTCGGCCTCCCAAAGTGCTGGGATTACAAGCGTGAGCCACCGCGCCTGGACCCCACAACATCATTTCTAAGTGTCATGCACATGTGCACAATCACCAATACTAGGTGCATGATGCAAAAAAGAATTTTTGCCACTTGATTTTATCTTTAAGGGAGAGCTTCATCACTAGGGAAAATGAGTCCTGATTTCACTATGACCTGTTTTGTTTTGTTTTGTTTTTTGAGACAGAGTTTCCCTCTTGTTGCCTAGGGTAGAGTGCAATGGCACAATCTTGGCTCACAGCAACCTCTGCCTCCCAGGTTCAAGTGATCCTCCTGCCTTAGCCCCACTAGTAGCTGGGATTACAGGCATGCGCCACCATGTCCAGCTAATTTTTGTATTTATAGTAGAGACGGGGTTTCGCCATGTTGGCCAGGCTGGTCTCAAACTCCTGACCTCAGGTGATCTGCCTGCCTTGGCCTCCCAAAGTGCTGGGATTACAGGCATGAGCCACTGCACCCAGCCTATGACGTGTTTATATAAGAAAACTGGGCTGGGAGCTGTGGCTCACGCCTGTAATCCCAGCACTTTGAGAGGCCGAGGTGGGTGGATCACCTGAGGTCAAGAGATCGAGAACATCCTGGGCAACATGGTGAAACCCCGTCTCTACTAAAAATGCAAAAAAGTAGCCAGACTACTACAGTAGCGGGCGCCTGTAGTCCCAGCTACTGAGGAGGCTGAGGCAGGAGAATCACTTGAACCCGGGAGGTGGAGGTTGCAGTGAGCCGAGACTGCACCACTACACTCTAGCCTGGCGACAGAGCGGGACTCCGTCTCAAAAAAAAAATAAAAAAAAAAAAAAGAAGAAAAAAGAAAAGAAAAGAAAAGAAAGGAAAACTATACATTTGGGAAAAAGAGCCAGGTAGATCTCTACACCCTGATAAAGAAATTTTACAGTGAAAAATTTCTGTACAGTGAAAAAGCTGTACGACAATAACTCAGCCTCATTTATTAGTATGAAATAACTGCTATATGTCTCCGTACAGGCATACTTCAGAGACATTGCAGGTTCTGTTCCAGATGACCACAAGAAAGCAAATATTGTAATAAAGTGAGTCACGCAATTTTTTTTTTTTTGGTTTCCCAGAGCGTATAAAAGTTATACTGGCTGGGTGTGGTGGCTCACGGTTGTAATCCCAACAATTTGGGAGGCCAAGGTGGAAGGATCACTTGAGGCCAGTTGTTCAAGACCAGCCTAGGCAACGTAGTGGGACCCCATCTCTACAAAAAATGAAAAACTTAGCCAGTTGTGGTGGTCCACACCTACAGTCCTAGCTACTCAGGAGGCCGAGGCAGGAAGATCGCTTGAGCCCAGGAGTTTGAGGCTACAGTCAGCTGTGACTGCACCAATGCACTCCATCCTGGATGACAAAGAGACACCTTGTCTCAGAAAAAAAATTGTTTTCACTATACTGTAATCTGTTAAGTGTGAAGTAACATTATGTCTAATAACCACAATGTACATACCTTAATGAAAAATACTTTATTGCTAAAAAATGCTAATGATCATTTGAATCTTCAGTGAGTCCCAATCTTTTTGCTGCTGGGGGGGGTCTTGCCTTGTTGACGGCTGCTGACTGATCAGGGTGGTGGCTGCTGAAGTCTGGGGTGGCTGTGGCCATTTCTTAAAATTAGACAACAATAATGTTTGCCACATTGATGAACTCTTCCTTTTGTGAAAGATTTCTCTCTAACATGCAATGCTGTCTGATAGCATTTTATCCACAGTACAACTTTGTTTCAAAATTGAAGTCAATCCTCTCAAACCCCGTCACAGCTTTATCAACTAAATTTATGTCATACTCTAAATCCTTTGTTGTCGTTTCAACAGTGTTCACAGCATCTTCCCTGGGAGTAGATTTCATCTCAAGAAGCCACTTTTGGCCAGGCAGAGTGGCTCATGCCTGTTATCCCAGCACTTTGGGAGGCTGAGACGGGAGGATTGCTTGGGCCCAGGAGTTTGAGAGTAGCCTGGGCAACATAGTGAGACCCTGTCTGTATGAAAAATAAAAAAATTAGCCAGGAATGATGGTGGTGCGCCTGTAGTCCCAGCTACTTGGGAGGTTAAGGCAGGAGAATCACTTGAACCCAAGAGGTCAAGGCTGCAGGGAGCTGTAGTCACACCACTGCAAGATCCTGCTTCAAAAAAAAAGCCTCTTTCTTTGCTTATTCCATAAGAAGCAACTCCTCATCCATACAGTTTTTGTTTGTTTGTTTTTTGTTTTTTTGAGACTGGGGTCTCCCTCTGTCACCCAGGCTGGAGTGCAGTGGCGCCATCTCGGCTCACCACAATCTCTGCCTCCCAGGCTCAAGAGATCCTCCCACCTCAGCCTTCCACGTAGCTGGGACTACAGGCGTGCACCACCATGCCCAGTTAATTTTTGTATTTTTTTTGTAGAGATGGGGTTTCACCATGCTACCTAGGCTAGTTTCGAACTCCTGAGCTCAAGTGATCCACCCACCTTGGCCTCCCAATGTGCTGGCTTTACAGGCATAAGCCACTGCGCTCGGCATCCACACAGGTTGTTTGTTTTTTTTTTTTTTTTTGGTTGTTGTTGTTTTTTGAGACAGAGTCTCACTGTGTTGCCCAGGCTGGAGTCCAGTAGCGCGATCTCGGCTCACTGCAACCTCCGCCTCCCAGGCTCGAGAGATTCTCCTGCCTCAGCCTCTTGAGTAGCTGGGATTACAGGCGCCTGTCGCCACACCTGGCTAACTTTTTATATTTTTGGTAGAGATGGGGTTTTACCATGTTGGCCAGGCTGGTCTCAAACTCCTGACCTCAAGTGATCCGCCTGTCTCGGCCTCCCAAAGTGCTGGGATTACAGGTGTGAGCCACTGCGCCCGGCCCTCCATACAGTTTTATAATGAGACTGCAGCAATTCAGTCACATTTTCCGGCTCCACTTCTAATTCTAGTTCTCTTGCTATTTCCACCACATCAGCAATTACTTTCTCCACTGAAGTCTTGAACCTCTCGAAGTCACCCATGAGGGTTCTACTACTTCCAAAATCAACTACTTCCAAAATCCTGTCAGTGTTGCTATTTTGACCTTCTCCCATGAATACAAATGTCCTTAATGGCATCTAGAATGGTGAATCCTTTCCAGAAGGTTTTCAATTTACTTTGCCCAGATCCATCAGAGGAATCACTATCCGTGGCAGCTATAGCCTACAAAATGCATTTCTCAAATAAGACTTGAAAATCAACATTAGTCTTTCATGGCTGGGCACCGTGGCTCAAGCCTGTAATCCTAAGCACTTTGGGAGGCCGAGATGGGCAGATTGCTTCAGCTCACTGAGTTTGAGACCAGCCTGGGCAACATGGTGAAACTCTGTCTCTGCAAAAAATACAAAAAATTAGCCGGGTGTGGTGGTGGTGTGCCTGTAGTCCCAGCTACTTGGGAAGATAAGGGAGGAGGATCACTTGAACCCAGGAGGTCAAGGCTGCAGGAAGCCATGGTCACACCACTGCATTCCAGGCTGGGTGACACAGTGAGACCCTCTCTCAAAAAATAAAATAAAATAAAAGGCCAGGTGCAGTGGCTCATGTCTGTAATTCCAGCACTTTGGGAGGCCGAGGTGAGTGGATCACCTGAGGTCAGGAGTTTGAGACCAGCCTGACCAACATGGTGAACCGCCCCCGTCTCTACTAATTTAAAAATAAAAAATTAGCCGGTGTGGTGGCATGCACCTGTAATCCCAGTTACTTGGGAGGCTGAGGCAGGAGAATCGCTTGAGTCCAGGAGGCAGAGGTTGCAGTGAGCTGAGATCGTGCTATTGCAATCCAGCCTGGGCAAAAAGAGCGAAACTCTGTCTCAAAAAAAAAAAAAAAAAAAATCTCAGGTTGTCCTTTGAAGCTTTGAAGCCAGGCATTGACTTCTCCTCTTTAGCTATGCTAGATGGCATCTTTTCCGTCTATGAGGCTGCTTTGTCTACATGGAAAATCTGCTGTTTAGTGTTGCCACCTTAATCAATGATCTTAGCTAGATGCTCTGGATAACTTGCTGTAGCTCCTACATCAGCACTTGCTGCTTCGCCATTAGCTTTTACGCCATGGAAATGGCTTCTTTCCTTAAACCTCATGAACCAGCTTGTGCTAGTTTCAGAGTTTTCTTCTGCAGCTTCCTCACCTCTCTCAGCCTTCACAGAATTGAAGTGTTGTAGGATCTTGCTGTGGATTAGGCTTTGGCTTAAGGGAATGTTGTGGCAGGTTTGATCTATCTAGACCACTCAAACTTTTTCCATATCAGCAATAAGGCTGTTTTGCTTTCTTATTATTTGTGTGTTCACTGGAGCAGCACTTAATTCCCTTCAATGACTTTCCCTTTGCATTACAGCTTGGCTGGTGCCAGGAGGCCTCACTTCCAGTCGATCCTGGCTTTCATCAGGCCTTCCTCACTAACCTTCATCACTTCTTTTTTCTTTCTTTTTTTTTTTTTTTTTTTTTGAGATGGAGTCTTGCTTTGTCTCCCAGGCTGGAGTGCAGTGGCGCGATCTCGGCTCACTGCAAGCTCCACCTCCCAGGTTCACGCCATTCTCCTGCCTCAGCCTCCCGAGCAGCTGGGACTACAGGCGCCCGCCACCACGCCCGGCTAATTTTTTGTATTTTTAGTAGAGATGGGGTTTCACCATGTTATCCAGGATGGTCTCTATCTCCTGACCTTGTGATCCACCTGCCTCGACCTCCCAAAGTGCTGGGATTACAGGCTTGAGCCACCGTGCCCGGCCCAGCTTCATCATTTCTAGCTTTTGATTTAAAGTGAGAGTTGTGGGAATCTTCCTTTCACTTGAACACTTAGAGGCCATGGTAGGGTTATTAATTGGCCTAATTTCCATATTGTTGTGTCTCAGAGAGTACGGAGACCGGAGGAGAGGGAGAGAGACATTGGGCAGGGGGCTAATGGCCGGTTAGTGGAGCACCCAGGACACCCACAACATGGATTATTTGCCATCTTATATGGGCACAGTTGGTGGCACCCCAAAACAATTACAATAGTAACATCAAAGATCACTGATCACAGATCACCACAACAGATATAATAATAATAAAAAAGTTTGAAATATTGTAAGAATTACCAACATGTGACACAAAGTGAGCACATGCTGTTGGAATGCCATGGCACCAATAGACTTGCTTGATGCAATGTTGCCACAAACCTTCAAATCACAAAAATGCAGTAGCTGCGAATCGCAATAAAGTGAAACAATGAAACGAGGCCTGCTCTTGTATACTGATCTACTGGAAAAAGATGGGAAGGGCACATACAACTGCTTACAGGAGTTTCCTCTACAGATCAGAGGGCTACGCACACAGGGTCTCACCCTGTTCTCCAGGCTGCAGTGCAGTGGTGCGATCATAGCTCACTGCAGCCTCCCACGCCTGGCCTCAAGTGATCCTCCTGCCTCAGCCTCCCAAAGTGCTGGGATTACAGGTGTGAGCCACCATGTCCAGCTGATTTTTTAAACTTTTTGTAGAGATGGAGTCTCACTATGTTGCCTGCAATAGGGCTCTTGTTTTGTCCCCTTCCTGTGACTCACCTCGGTCCCTCATTGCAGGGGGGAGCAGACTCTCATCATGCAAATTAGCCAATGTATCTTTGAGTGTTTTTACTCCTTTAATAAGAATAAAACTAAATATTACTGGTATAAATTAATAAACACAAAGTAAGTATCCAGAATTGATATTAATTTTTATTAAAACAAGAAAATAGGGCCAGGCACAGTGACTCACGCCTGTAATCCCAGCACTTTGGGAGGCCGAGGTGGGTGAATCACGAGGTCAGGAGATCCAGACTAGTCTGGCCAACATGGTGAAACCCCGTCTCTACTAAAAATGCAAAAAATTAGCTGGGTGTAGTGGTGGGCACCTATAATCCCAGCTACTCAGGAGGCTGAGGCAGGAGAATCTCTTGAACCCTGGAGGCGGAGGTTGCACTGAGCCAAGATTGCACCACTGTACTCCAGCCTGGGTGACAGAGTGAGACTCCATCTCAAAAAAAAGAAAATAGATATATTTATAAAAGAACAGAAGGAAATCCAAAATTTGAATATTGGTCTTAGTTGCCATAATCATACATAACTGTATCTATTATAGAGAGAAGTGTAATCCCAGAGTTAGAAATTACCTGGTCCAAAATGTTTGTTGTGCCGATCAGGAATTGAGCCCCAGAAGGTACAGCGACCCCAACTCACAAAATCTTGGTCAGCAATGCCAGGAGCACTGGCCAGGTCTCAGAACCCAGGCGAACACTTATTCCAATGTTTTAAAGCTGTTTTTCCTAAAATGCAGCATGTTCCATCCAAATATTAACCATCCTGCCCTTGGTGAACTTTGGTGATCACAGGAGATTTGTTAAAATTTTTTTTTTTTTTGAGATGGAGTTTTGCTCTTGTTGCCCAGGCTGGAGTGCAATGGTGTGATCTCAGCTAACTGCAACCTCTGCCTCCTGGGTCCAAGCAATTCTCCTGCCTCAGCCTCCCGAGTAGCTAGGATTACAGGCGTGTGCCACCACGCCCAGCTAATTTTTGCATTATTAGTAGAGACGGGCCAACCACGTTGGCCAGGCTGGTCTCTAACTCCTGACCTCAGGCGATCTGCCCGCCTCGGCCTCCCAAAGTGCTGGGATTACAGGCATGAACCACTGCACCCGGCCGAGATTTGTTAAATTAAAGGGGCATTGCTGCATTTCAAGATTAGGTCTTCAGGCCAGCCACTAATTTCGAATGCATTGGTGGTAGGACTAGAAAGGAAATCTCAGGTGTTCCGTACAGAAATCTGGAATGCAGATATTTCTTTCTAAATGATCTGTAAAGCTTCAGGTCCCAGGATACCAGTGGAAAGGGTTTTTGAGGTCATTCCTCCACCCTGGCCATGAGGTCAGGCAAGTGCTCATTTCAGTCTTTGGAATATGCTTCTTTGACGAGAGAGGCTGATGCAGAGGTGGAGAGTTAAGCACAATATACATTTAATATGTATGACATTTAATATGACTTAGGCCCAAACTAACCTGTTATTCCCAAAGTAAAATTTTTTTTTCTTTTTTGAGATAGGGTTTCACCCTGTCTTCCAGGATGGCAGTGGTGCCATCATAGCTCACTGCAACCTCCACCTCCCGGGCTCAGGTGACCCTCCCATCTCAGCCTCACGAGAATCTGAGACTACAGGCATGTGCCACCACGCCTAGCTAATTTTAATATTTTTAGTAGAGACAGGGTTTCACCATGTTGGCCAGGATGGTCTTGATCTCTTGACCTCGTGATCCGCCTGCCTCGGCCTCCCAAAGTGCTGGGATTACAGGTGTGAGCCACTGCGCCCAGCTAATTTTTGTATTTTTTTTTAGTAGAGACGGGGTTTCACCATGTTGGCCAGGATGGTCTCGAGCTCTTGACCTCATGATCCACCTGCCTCAGCCTCCCGAAGTGCTGGGATTACAGGCATGAGCCACCGTGCCTGGCCCCATTTTTTTGTATTTTTAATAGAGGCGGGGTTTCACCATATTGGCCAGGCTGGTCTCGAACTCCTGACCTCAGGTGATCTGCCCGCCTCAGTCTCCCAAAGTGCTGGGATTACAGGTGTGAGCCACTGTGCCCGGCCTTCCCTGTTAACTATTTCTACAGCACATGCACGTTAAGCAGTCGTCCCCAAAGCAAGAACCAAAAAGTTAAATACATGGATTTTGCTGATAACTCAGAAGACTGAGCTCTTTATTATTATTTTTATTATTATTATTAGAGACAGAGTCTCACTTTGTCACCCAGGCTGGATGGAGTAAAGGGGCACAATCATGGCTCACTGCAGCCTCGACCGCCCGGGTTCAGGTCATCCTCCCACCTCAGCCTCCCGAGTAGCTGGGACTATAAGTATGTGCCACCATGCCTGGCTCATTTTTTCTATTTTTTGTAGAGATGAAGGTCTCACTATGTTGCCCAGGCTGGTCTCAAACTCATGGACTCAAGCAATCTGCCAGCCTTGGCCTCCCAAAGTGCTGGGATTACAGGCATGAGCCACCATGCTGGGCCCTCTGTTTATTATTAAACCAACAATATTAAACTCGTCTTATTTACCAAAGATTCCAAGTTATGTGAATTCAAAAGCATTTGTGTCCATTTCTGCACTTTCAAGAGCTTACATGCAGACAGATGCAAGGATCTATAGTTTTCATTAAGGTTTTTCTCTTTTTTTTTTTTCTTTTTAGATGGGGTCTCACTCTGCCATCTAGGCTGGAGTGCAGTGGTGCGATCTCGGCTTGCTGCAACCTCTGCCTCATGGGTTCAAGCGATTCTCCTGCCTCAGCAGGAGATTACAGGCATGGATCACCACATTCAGCTAATTTTTTTTGTATTTTTAGTAGAGACGGGGTTTCAGCATGTTGGCCAGGCTGGTCTCGAACTCCTGACCTCAGGTAACCCTCCCACCTCAGCCTCCTGAAGTGCTGGGATTACAGGCGTGAGCCACCGCACCCAGCCTCTCTTTTTCTTTTTATGAGGGTGTTTCTGTGGAAACATTAAGGTTTTTCATTTGCCTATTCCTAAACAGTACCCTCTGCCTGCAGACTACCAATCTTTCAATTGACTTACTTTTCTATCAAACAATTGGTCTACAGATGTCTTGTCTTCACCACCTGACTGCCTTACTCACTCTAGCAGGGGCCGAATCAAAGATCCCTGCCCCATTTTCAATCCTTATCTCTAGTGACCTGCCTGATGATTGCCCTAAGTAATTTCAGATTAGACTTTTCATTGTAATCTTTTTCTTCTGTTTTTTAAAATTTCTCCAAACTGGGATCAATAGAGCAGACTGGTTTGGGGCTCTGTAATGTTGGGGACCTGGCAGGAGGTCCCTCTGGCATGCCCAACATTTGGTAGATTAGACCTTGGTTTCAACCTCATTAACGTCTGTTTTATTTAGCCCCTTTTTTTTTTTTTGAGACAGGGTCTCACTCTGTCACTTAGGTTGGAGTGCAGTGGCACAATCTGGGTTTAGTGCAGGCTTGACCTCTTGGGTTCAGGTGATCCTTTGACCTCAGTCCCCAGAGTAGCTGGGACTACAGGCATGCACCACTACGCTCAGCTCATTTTAAAATTTTTTGTAGAGATGGGGTCTTACCATGTTGCCCAGGCTGGTCTCAAACTCCTGGGCTCAAACAATCCTCCCGCCTTGGCTGCCCAAAGTGTTGGGATTACAGGCAGCCATTGCGCATGGCCTGGCACATTTTCAATCAGCATCTAAAACTTTTCCTCCCTACATTTGCATTTCCAACGGGATAGCTCTTAGGTAAAACAAGGGCAGAAAATTTATATCTTAAAGGAGTACAGTTTACACTTTAGGTCTAAACACCATCATTTGCCAAAACAAAGAAGGGTATGGGTAAAAAGCCCAGTTAAGACAAGATGGTCAGCAAAGGTAAGGCTTGCTACGTCGATTTTCTTTTTTATTTTTTTTTGAGATGGAGTCTCGCTCTGTTGCCCAGGCTGGAGTGCAGTGGCGCGATCTCGACTCACTGCAAGTTCCACCTCCCGGGTTCCCGCCATTCTCCCGAGTAGCTGGGATTACAGGCACCTGCCACCACGCCCGGCTAATTTTTTTTGTATTTTTAGTAGAGACGGGGTTTCACCATGTTAGCCAGGAGTTATGTCGATTTTCAAAATAACTGGCTGAGGGCCAAGAAAGGCATATTTTGGATAATAATTTAGTTAGATAGGAAGCTTTTCAGTTTAGCCTCTAGTTTTGTTTTTTGTAACCAGATTGTTGGGTTCAGGGCAGAGCTCATTAACAAACAGGGCAGACAAAGCTTTTCCTCTGCCTAGACTCAGCATGGATGGTTCTGAGCTCAGGAATTTGGCCAGAGCAGAAAAGTAAAGAAGCAAGCTTTCTTGACCTAGTGGCCTAACCTGTATAAACACTTTATCTAGCGTTCTATTAGTCTTGGGGCGGGGGGAAGGTCACTAAGCCAAAAGGTTAGTAAATAAACTCATTTTTTTTCTCATCAGTTAGTTGCTTAAGATTCTTTTTTATTTTTAGTTTTAGAAACAGGGTCTCACTTTGTTGCCCAGGCTGGAGTGCAGTGGCATGATCAGAGCTCACTGCAGCCTTGAACTGCCGGGCTCAAGTGATCCTCCCACCTCAGCCTCCTGAGTACCTATGGCTACAGGCACATGCCACCATACCTGGCTAATTTTTTAATATTTTATAGAGGCAGGGTCTTGCTATGTTGCCCAGGCTGGTCTCAAACTCCTGGGTTCAAGCAATCCTCCCTCCTGAAGTGCTAGGATTACAGGCATGAGCCATTACACCCAGCCTGCTTAAGATTCTTATTTGCCTTTTTAAAAGAGTATTTTAAATAAGCAAAAAAATTTTGGGGGGGGGTCCTGCTGTTTTACTTATTTACTTTTTTTTTGACATGAAGTCTCGCTCTGTCACCCAGGCTGGAGTGCAGTGGCGCCATCTTGGCTCCCTGTAACCTCTGCCTCGCCGGTTCAAGCGATTCTCCTGCCTCAGCCACCTGAGTAGCTGGGATTACAGGTGCCTACCACCATGCCTGGCTATTTGATCTGCATGACAAATAAAATAGCTGTCCCTGGGTGAATCTAATTTGGGAGCACTTCGTTTCTTTTCTTTCTTTCCTTTTTTTTTTTTTTTTTTTTTTGAGGCAGGGTCTCACTCAGTTGTCCAGGCTAGTGCGGTGGCCTGATCATGGCTCACTGCAGCCTCGACCTCCTGGGCTCAAGTGATCCTTCCACCTCAGCCTTCTGAGTAGCTGGGACTACAGGCATGAGTCACCATGCTCTGCCCCTCATTTTCTTTTCTTTCTTTCTTTTTTTTTTTTTTTTGAGATGGAGTCTTGCTCTGTCGCCCAGGCTGGAGTGCAATGGCACAATCTCGGCTCACTGAAACCTCTGCCTCCTGGGTTCAAGTGATTCTCCTGCTTCGGCCTCCCAAATAGCTGGGATTACAGGTGCCCACCGCTGTGCCTGGCTAATCTTTTTATTTTTAGTAGAGATGGGGTTTCACCATGTTGGCAGGCTGGTCTTGAACGCCTGACCTCAGGTGATCTGCCTTCCTCAGCCTCCCAAAGTGCTGGGATTACAGGCATGAGCCACCGCGCCTGGACTTGAACCACCCAACGTGTCCGGACTCCTCATTTTCAAATGTACTTCTTAGATGGATGATCTTGTCCAACTGTAATGTTCTTTATAATGACCACTGTAATTCTCAATTATCAATGGGTAAGATTTTATCATTTTTCTAAGTCTTTATGAAAAATGGGCTTCCAGCCGGATGTGGTGACTCACACTTTAATCCCAGCACTTTGGGAGGCCAAGGCGGGTGGATCACTTGAGGTCAGGAGTTTGAGACCAGCCTGACCAAGATGGTGAAACCCCGTTTCTACTAAAAATACAAAAATTAGCTGGGTGCAGTGGCAGGCACCTCTAATCCCAGCTACTTGGGAGGCTGAGGCAGGAGAATCACTTGAACCCAGGAGGTGGAGGTTGCAGTGGGCAGAGATGGCACCACTGCAATCTAGCCTGGGCAACAAAGCAAGACTCCATCTCAAAAAAAAAAAAAAAAGAAAAAAGAAAAAAAAACCAACAACAACTACAAAAAAGGGCTTCCAGGGCAATAATTCTTATCCATGTAAAAGGTAGACATAGCAGGACTGTGGAGTGCTCAGTTCTTTAAATATCAAGGATATGTGGCCCGGTCTTGTGCCTCCTGCCTCTAATCCCAGCACTCTGGGAGGCTGAGTGGGAGGATCACTTGACCCCAGGAGTTTGAGGTTACAGTGAGCTGTGAACGCACCACTACATTTCAGCCTAGGTGACGGAGCAAGACTGTTTCTAAAAAATAAAAGAAAGAAAAGAAAAAACGGAAGGACCGGGTCTGGTGGCTCGTGCTTGTAATCCCAGCACTTTGGGAGGCCGAGGAGGACAGATCATTTGAGCCTCAAGAGTTCGGGACCAGTCTGCACAACATGGTGAGTCCACATCTCTACAAAATACAAAAATTAGCCAAGCATGGTGGCGAATGCTTGTAGTGCCAGCTACTCGGGAGGCTGCGGTGGGAGGATCACCTGAGCCTGGGGAGGTCATGCTGCAGTAGCCATGATAGTCCCACTGCACTCCAGCTAGGGTCATAGAGTGAGACGCTGTCTCAAAAAAATAAAAAATAAAAAAAAGGAAATTAAGGATCCCATTTTTTACATCCAATCTTGGGTCTCTGAGAGCCAAAATAAAAGCCTAACAGGGAATTATATGGGGGTGGGGTCATCTGAAGTTTTCAGTGTTTCTTATTGCATAGAAATTTTCTTGCCAGGCGTGGTGGCTCACACTTATAATCCCAGTCCTTTCAAAAGCCGAGGGGAGAGGATTGCTTGAGCCCAGGTGTTTGAGACCAGCCTGGGGAACAGGGTGAGACACCATCTCTAACAAAAAAAAAAAAAAGAAAAATTAGCCAGACATGGTGGCATGTGCCTGTAGTCCCAGCTACGTGGGAGGCTGAGGTGGGAGGATCGCTTGAGCCTGGGAGGTCAAGCCTGCAGTGAGCCCAGATCACACCACTGCACTCCAGCCTCGGCGGCAGGGCGAGATCTTGCTTCAAAAAAGAAAAAAAAGAAGTTGTCTTGAAGCTGTGGGTGACCTAGTGTCAAACTGACCCACTCTATGAACCTTTCACTGGAGGCCTCTTTGTAGGTGGCGTGCACTCTATGAGCTTTTAGGATCCCTTCCTGTGCTCATCAGTTCAAGTCCGAGAGTCCCTTGAACAATTTAGCCAGTTTTTTCCCTAATTCAGAGGAGACAACCCAAATCCCTGCAAACGTCTGAAAACTGGAATCACCAGCTAGTAGTAATTATCACTTACTGCAGCTGCCACCAGTTACCTTTAAACATTGGCACTTGTCAGTGATCCCTTGGTCACCATAAACCCCAAAAGGACATTTGCCCCCTCACAGCACTAATGAATTCTTGGTACTTGTATTGTCCATTCTTACATTGCTATAAAGAAGTATCTGGCCAGGGATGGTGGTTCCTGCCTGTAATCCCAGCACTTTGGGAGGCTGAGGTGGGTGGATCACTTGAGGTCAGGAGTTTGAGACCAGCCTGGCCAACATGGTGAAACCCCATCTCTACAAAAAAATTCAAAAATTAGCTGGGCGTGATGGCGCGTGCCCATAATCGCAGCTACTTGGGAGGCTGAGGGACAAGAATCGCTTGAACCCAGGAGGTGGAGTTTGTGGTGAACCAAGATTGCGCCACTGCACTCCAAGCTGGGTGACAGAGAGAGACTGTCTCCAAAAAAGTAATATTAAAAAAGAAATATATGAGACTGGGTAATTTATAAAGAAAAGAAGTTTAATTGGCTTGCAGGTCTGCAGGCTGTACAGGAAGCATGATGCTGGCATCTGCTTGGCTTCTGGGGGCCTCAGGAAGCTTACAATCATGGCGGAAGGTGAACAGAGAGCAGGCATGTCTTACATGGCAGGAGCAGGAGCAAGAGAGAGTGAGAAGGGGGAGGTGCCACCCTCTTTTAAACAACCAGATCTCATGAGAACTCACTCACTATCATGAGAACAGCACCAAGAGGCGATGGTGCTAAACCCTTCATGAGAAATCCACCCCCATGATCCAATCACCTCCCACTAGGCCCCACCTCCAACGCTGAAGATTACAATTCTGCATGCGATTTGGGCGGGGACACAGATTCAAACCCTATCAGTATCTAAAGGTCATGTGTTCTCTCACAGCACGAATGGACCTTGGATACAAAAGCCAAAAGGATTAGGCTCAACGCAGCCCAGACCTGAGAGGAACCTACTCATGACCCCAGGGCTCTGTGAGAAAGAGAGGACCCAGCAGGAGTCAGTGGCGTCTTGCCTGTGTTCCTTAGGGACCTCAAGGGCCATCAGAAATCTCCTTCGGGTTGCTTCACAGATCATCAGAACTGTCAAAAGCCAAAATCGCAAATAATTTGGTTAAATGAGCCAATTGGCTTTTATTAGCAATTCATGAATAAGGGCAGCATTTACTCTAAAAATTTAGAAAAGGTGCTTTGATAAGCTGAGCAGAAGAGATTGGCTTTATAGGTAGAAAAAGGGCTGAAGAAGGCAGAAATAGAAAGCCAGAGGCAGGCCCGGAGCGGTGGCCCCCGCCTGTAATCCCAGCACTTTGGGAGGTCGAGGCGGGCGGATCACGAGGTCAGGAGATCAAGACCATCCTGGCCAACATGCTGAAACCCCGTCTCTAATAAAAATACAAAAAATTAGCTGGGCGTGGTGGCGGGCGCCTGTAATCCCAGCTACTCCGGAGGCTGAGGCAGGAGAATTGCTTGAACCCGGGAGGCAGAAGTTGCAGTGAGCCGAGATCGCGCCACTGCACTCCAGCCTGGGTGACAGTACGAGACTCAGTCTCAAAAAAAAAAAAAAAAACCAAAGGCAGATTGGTCAGCATCAGGTTACTTCAAGGTATTTTCTTTGTAAGAGTTAAAGCGGGGGGACTTCCTCAGCAAGCTGGCTAAAACTGGCTTGTTTGGAGATGTGGTTATTATCTTTCTCTCTCCTGATTTCCCAGAAGGTCAGATAAATAACTTAGTTTCACTTTGGTGACATGAAACTTTAGCATGAGTGACTCCATTTTGGTTTGGTCTACTGGGGTCTGGTTCAGAAGCTCAATACAAACCAATGGCTTCCCATACATTTTATTTAACGTATATTATTGAAACTAAGTTGGTATTATTCAGAGTATCGTCATAAGTTTAGGATCTTAACTGAAATACCCAAGGTAACACCTAAGAACTTTAAAAACATACAGAAAAGTAAAGAAGAAGGGAATCAAAATGGTATATTATAAAAAATCAGCTAACTACAAGAAAAGGTAGTAATGGAGGAATTAAGAAACAAAACTAGAAGATGCACAGAAAAAAAAATAGCTAAATAACAGAGGTAAATCCTTCTTTATCAGCAATCACCTTCAATGCAAGCTGAGTAAACTCTCCTTTTAAAAGACAGAATGGGGTGGGCAGGTGTGGTGGTTTGCATTTTTGTATTCCCAGCACTTTGGGAGGCTGAGGGGGGAGGATTGCTTGAGCCCGGGAATTTGAGACCAGCCTGAGCAACATAGTGGGACCCTGTCTGTACAAATAATTTAAAAAATTAGCCAGTTGTGGTGGCAGGTGCCTGTAGTTCTAGCTTCTCAGGAGGCTGAGGTGGGAGGATAGCTTGAGCCCGGGAGGTTGAGGCTTCAGTGAGCTGTGATTGTGCCACTGCACTCTAGCCTGGCTGACAGAGACCCTGACTCAAAAAAAGAAAAGGAAGGCAGAGAATAAGGGGATGAAGAGAGGCTGGTTAATGGGTATAAACATAGAGTTAGAAGGAACAAGGTCTTGTGTTCAACAGAACAGTACAGTGACTATAGTTAATAATATACTGTACATTTCAAAGATAACTAGAAGATTTGAAATGTTCCCAACACAAATGTTTGAGACGATGAATATCCTAAATATCCTGATTCAATCATCACATATTACATACATGTATCATAACACTACGTGTACCCCATAAATATGCAATTATTATGTATCAATAAAAAAATAAAGAAACATAAAAAAACAGGTTGGCTCTGGTGGCTCATGCCTATAATCCCAGCACTTTGGGAGGCCGAGGTGGGCGGATCACCTGAGGTCAGGAGTTCGAGACTAGCCTGGTCAACACGGTGAAACCCCGTCTTTACTAAAAATACAAAATTAGCTGGGCATAGTGGCGCGTGCCTGTAATCCCAGCTACTCAGGAGGCTGAGGCAGGAAAAAAGCTTGAACCCGGGAGGCAGAGATTCAAGCGATTCGCACCATTGCACTCCAGCCTGGGCAACAAGAGTGAAACTCCGTCTAAAAAAAAAAAACCAGAGACTAGCAGAATGAATTAAAAAAAAAAATCTGGCAGGGCATGGTGGCTCATGCCTGTAATGCCAGCACTTTGGGAGGCTGAGGCAGGTGAATCACCTGAGGTCAGGAGTTCGAGACCAGCCTGGCAAACATAGCAAAACCCTGTCTCTACTAAAAATACAAAACTAGCCAGGCCTGGTGGTGGGTGCCTGTAATCCCAGCTACTCAGGAAGCTGAGGCAGGAGAATCACTTGAACCTGGGAGGTGGAGGTTGCAGTGAGTCGAGATCGTGCCACTGCACTCCAGCCTGGCAACAGAGCGAGGCTCTGTCTCAAAAAAAAAAAAAAAAATCTATATGCTGTCCACAAGATACTCGTATATAAAAAAACAAGGAAGCTGAAAATGCAAGGATGGAAAAAGATATTCCATGCAAATAATAACCAAAAGGGAGCCAAAGTGACTGTATCATTGTTAAACAAAATTGACTCTAAATGAAAAATGGTTTCAAGAGAGAAGGGACATTTCATATTGTTATAATGTTAACTATAGCAAAAAGATATAACACTTATAAACATATTTATAACTAATAATACAGTCCTCAAATGTACAGAGCAAAAATGGATAGAATTGAAGAGAGAAACTATTCTTCAATAATAGTTAGACACTTCAATATCCCCCTCTCAGTAATAGATACAACAGACAGATCAATAAGGAAATCAGGAAACTGAACAATACTATAAACCAGTCTGAGCTAACAGACATATATAGAGTACCAAGCAACAGCAAAATACACATTCTTCTCCAGTGTATATGGAACATTCTCCAGCATAAACCATGTGTTAGGCCATAAAACAAATCTCAATAAATTTAAAAAGACTAACATCAGGCCAGGCGTGGTGGCTCATGCCTGTAATTCCAGCACTTTGGAAGGCCAAGGTGGGTGGATCACTTGAGGCCAGGAGTTCAAGACCAGCCTGGCCAACATGGTGAAACCGTGTCTCTACTAAAAATACAAAAATCAGCCAGGCATGGTGACACATACCTGTAATCCCAGCTACTTGGGAGGCTGAGGCATGATTTTGCTTTAACCCTGGAGGCAGAGGTTGCAGTGAGCTGCGATTGTGCCACTGCACTCTAGCCTTGGCGACAGAATGAGAATGTCTCAAAAGAAAAAGAGAGAGACAGAAGGGGAAAAAGACTAACAGTATACACAACATCTTTTCCAATTACAATGGAATAAAACTAGAAATGAATAACACCAGGAAAACCAGAAAATTCACAAATATGTGGAAATTAAAGTCTTAAACAACCAGTGGGTAAAAGAAGAAATCACAAGGGAAATTAAAAAGTATTTTGAGACGAATAAAAACAAAACACAACATAGCAGTGCTAAGAGGAACTTATAGCTGTAAATGTATATGTTGAAAAAGAAGAAATATCTCCAATCAATAAACTAATTCTACACCTATGGAACTAGTAGAAGCAAACTAATGGAGAAAGAAGGAATCATAGTGGTAGGGCATAGATTAAGTACAGAATCAAAACTCAATAGAGAAAATCAATGAAACTAAAAGTTGATTCTTAAAAAGATCAACAAAACTGACAAATCTTGACTAGGAAAAAAGGGAGGAGACAAATTACTAAAATCTTTCATTCTCGAAAGGGGAAATAAAAAAAGAAAAATTATTACTGAAATTAGAAAATGAAAGTAGAGATACTACTACCAATTTTATAGAAATGGAAAAGACCATAAGAGAATGTTATGAATAGTTACAAACCCACAAATTAGATAACCCAACCTAGGCACAACTTAAGACGCCTAATTAGATGAAATAAATAAATTCTAGAAACACACAATCTACCCAAACTGACTCAAGAAATGAATGCAGGCGGGGGTCCCATGGAAGGCAAGCTGGCAGTGTCGAGGGCTGTTGGGGGTGAAGGCATCTCATACAACAGGGCCAGGCGCAGACATGCATGTCTTTGTAAAGTGAAACATTCAGTGATAATCTCCTTCTGTAAACATGCTAAAGACTGTTCTCATGCCAAAGAACACAGCATGTATATCCCAGTATCAGAGCTCAGATACTGGGGAAGACTGTTCTATGAAAGCAGGCTTCCAACCAGACAGTGATCACTTTGGACTCACTAGCCTACATTTTCAGTCAGCTTGAGAGGAAGGCTTCTGAAGATTGAACAGTTTTCTATGATCCTTACAGGAGAAATGCCCCAGAGAAATGCAGTATTTATGTATAGTCCATTGGTATGTATTGGATCTCTAGGAAATACCAGAATTATCAGTGTAGAATATGTTCAATGGTTCATGGGCCACTACGAAGCGTTATTCTATAGCTTGACAGTACAACTCCCGGAACCAGCTCCTATTTCTGCAATGAGGTGTTCTTTCAGAGTCGGTGATAATGTACCAAACCTGGAAATTCATGTAGGGCACATTCTGAAGTGAAAAAAACAAAAAGGAAACCTAAAGATGCATTCTATGTTGCAGGGATAACAATGATTGATCTTAACCCAAGAGACACCTGGAATTTTGTGTTTGGACAGGCTTCTTTGACAGATGGTGTGGGGAATTCAGCTTTGCCAGGTATGGCAGTGATTTTTATTGTTCATGATATAAAAGCAATGTGAAGAGGTCCCAGAGAACATCTTCAAGTGACAATTACAGTCCTGGAATGGCGAGTATTTTGCCACTTCAATGCTGCAAGACTTGAGCGGGAGATGGATGACTTGCTTAGTAGGTACAGTGTGTGTTGCTCCAAGGATGGATGCACTGAGGGCCCTGTCTTCACCACAACACAATATATTACAGTGTAGCAGAACTGCGTTTTTATTCCTTGAATATATACAAAGAAAGAAAGAAAGAAAAGAAAGTTTTTCTATAAGAATAATTTAGGCTGGGCATGGTGGCTCAGGCCTATAATCCCAGCACTTTGGGAGGCTGAGGTGGGTGGATCGCCTGAGGTGAGGAGTTCGAGACCAGCCTGGCCAACATAGAGAAACCCTGTTTCTACTAAAAATACAAAAATCAGCCGGGCGTGATGGTGATCCCAGCTACTTGGGAGGCTGAGGCAGGATAATCACTTGAACCTGGGAGGCGGAGGTTGCAGTGAGCTGAGATCACACCACTGCACTCCAGCCTGGGCAACAAGAGCAAGACTCCATTTCAAAAAAAAAAAAAGGAATTTAAACCCGCAAGGCGTAAAAGTGTAACAACTCACCCTCTCTACATATCATAAAATTCTGAAATTTCCAAAAAAAAAAAAAAAAAAAAAAGGCCAGGTGCACTGGCTCACACCTGAAATCGTAGTACTTTGGGAGTCCAGGACAGGAGTTCAAAACCAGCCTGAGCAAGAAAGCAAGACCCCATTTCTATAGAAAATTAAAAAATTAGCTGGGCATGGTGGCATGTGCTTGTAGAGCAGCTACTCAGGAGGCTCAGTGGCACAATCGCAGCTCATTGCAGCCCATCTATTTGCCCATCTATTTCTGCAAGTTGCAATGTGCTACGGTTTCAACACTAGAAAGGTAACCAAGTGCTTGATGATGAAATCTCCTGACATTCCTGGAGTCACTCTGAAACATCATCATGGGAATAATGTGAATTTACCAGACCCATGGAAACTTTTAAGAAAAGAGTGGATAATAAAATGCCTTGCAGCCCTCCAAAATAAACAATCTTTTAATAGGAGTAATTAAAATGAAATAGTTGCACACAAAAGAAAAAAGAAATAGAAAATCTGCAAACAGTCATCTGCCACATAATGACGTTTTGGGCGAGTCAGACCTCATAAATGACTGTGGTCCCATAAGCTTTAATGGAGCTGCAAAATTCCTATTGCCTGGTAATATCGTAGCCATTGTTGAGCAACGCATTACTCACGTGTCTGTGGTGATGCTTGTGTAAACAAATCTACTGCACTGTCAATCATAAAAGCATAGCACATACAATTAAGTACAGTACATAATACTTGATGATAATAAACAACTATGTTATTGGTTTATGTATTTACTACACTATACTTTTAATCATTGTTTTAGAGTATATTTGTTATGTTTTTTGAAACAGGGTCTCACTCTGTCACCCAGGCTGGAGTGCAGTGGTGTGATCACAGCTCACTGCAGCCTCGACCTCCCAGGCTCAAGCAATCTTCCCACCTTAGCCTCCCAAGCAGCTGGGACTACAGGCACGCACCATCATGCCCGGTTAATTTTTTGTATTTTTAGTAGAGACGAGGTTTCGCCATGTTGACCAGGCTGGTCTTGAACTCCTGAGCTCAAGGGATCCACCTGCCTTGCCTCCCAAAGTGCTGGGATTACAGGCGTGAGCCACTTGTGTCTGGTCAGAAAAAATTTGTAAATTAATTTAGTGTAGCCTAAGTGTACAGTGTTTATAAAGCCCACAGTAGTGTAGAGTAATGTCCTAGGCCTTCACATTCACTCATCCCTCACTCACCAAAGCAGTTTCTAGTTCTGCAAGCTCCATTCGTGGAGAGTGCCCTATATACAAGTACCATTTAAAAATCTTTTACACCATATTTTTACTGTACCTTTCTTATGTTTAGATATGCTTAGATACACAAATACTTACCATTATGTTACCACTGCCTACAGTATTCAGTACAGTAACATGCTGTACTGGTTTGTAGCCTAGGAGCAATAGTCTATGCCATATAGCCTAAGTTGGTGTAAGTACAACCTGTGATGTTTGCACAACAATGAAATTGACCAATAACACATTTCTCAGAATGTATCCCTGTCATTGAGGGATACATAACTATAGACCTAGAACTATTAAGGAAATTGAATCAATAACAAAAAACCTCTCAACAAATAAACGCAACCAAATGGCTTCTCTGATAAATTATAATAATTCTACAACAATTACTCACAAACACTTCCAACATACTAGGGAAAAGGGAACACTTTCTATATCACCCTACAAGTCCAGTATTACCCTGATGCTCAGATTAGACAAAAGTACAAGAGAGATATAGACTAATATCCTTTATGAATATACATAAAAATACTCAGTAAATACTAGTAAACTAAATTCAGTGGCATGTAAAACAGATTATACACCATGACTGAGTGGGATTTATCCTTAGAAAGCAAGGATGGTTCAACATACTAAAGTTAATGTAATATATCATATTAATAGAAGGAAGGAATAAAACCATATAATGACATTTTAAGCTAGATGATTAAAACAAACAAGTAAAAAAAAAAACAAAAAAAAAAACTATATGATCATCTCAAATGATGCAGATTTGAAAAAATTTAACCTCCTTTTATTATAAAAATACTCAATGAACCAGGAATAGCAAGAAACTTCCTAAACATGATAAAGCCAATATGAGAAAAATTTACAACTAACATAATAATCAATGGTGAAAGACTGAATGCTTTCCCTCTAAGGTCAGGATCAAAGCAATGGTGCCCACTTTCACCTCTTCTCTTAGAGTCTCACTCTGTCGCTCAGGCTGGAGTGCAGTGGCATGATCTCTGCTCACTGCAACCTCTGCCTCCTGGTTTCAAGTGATTCTCCTGCCTCAGCCTCCTGAGTAGCTGGGATTACAGGCAAGTGCCACCACGCCCAGCTAATTTTTGTACTTTTGTAGAGACAAGGTTTTGCCACATTGGCAAGGCTGGTCTTGAACTCCTGACTTCAGTGATCCACCCGCCTCAGCCTCCCAAAGTGCTGGGATTACAGGTGTAAGCCACCACACCCAGCCCACTTTCACCTCTTCTATTCAATGTAGTAGTGGATGTTCTAAGAAGAACAATTAGGTAAGAACAAGAAAATGCATCTAAATTAGAAAACAAAATAAAGTTATCACTGTTTGCAGATGACAGAATCTTTTTTTGATGATCTTATTTGTAGAAAAACCTAACAACTCCACAAAAACTATTAGAGATAATTTGAAAATTCAGCAAACCTGCAGGATACAAATTAACTCCCAAAAAGCAGTTGTATTTTTATACTTTTGCAATAAATAGTCTGAAAGTAAATTTTATTTATTTTATTTTTGGAGACAGAGTCTTGTTCTGTTGCTCAGGCTGGAGTGGAGTGGTGCGATCTCAGCTCACTGCAACCTCCACCTCCCAGGTTCAAGTGATTCTCCTGCCTCAGCCTCCCAAATAGCTGGGATTACAGGTGTGTACCACCACACTCCCCCACCTAATTTTTGTATTTTTAGTAGAGAAGGGGTTTTGCCATGTTGGCTAGGCTGGTCTCGAACTCCTGACCTCAGGTGATCCACCCGCCTTGGCTTCCCAAAGTGCTGAGACTACAGGTGTAAGCCACCATGCCTGGCCTGAAAGCAAATTTTTAGAAACAATTCCATTTATAATAGCTTCAAAAGAATACTTAAGAATGTAAAATGGGGCTGGGCGCAGTGGCTCATGCCTGTAATCCCAGCACTTCAGGAGGCTGAGGCAGGTGATCGCCTGAGCCCAGGAGTTCGAGACCAGCCTGGGTAACATGGCAAAACCCTGTCTTTACAAAAAGTACAAAAGTTAGCCGGGCGTGGTGGCACGTGCCTGTGGTCCCAGCTACTTGGGAAGCTGAGTTGGGGGGATCACTTGATCCCAGGAGGTTGAGACTGCAGTGAGCCAAGATTGTAACGCTGCACTCTAGCCTGGGCGATAGAGTGAGACTCTGTCTTAAATAAATAAATAAATAAATAAATAAATAAATAAATAAAAGAATTTAAAATGTTGCAGCTACTATAAAAAATAGTTTGGTGGCTATCCACAGAATTATCATATGATACAGCAATTCCATTCACAGATATAGATCCAAAGGAATTAGCCACTTAAACAGACGCTTGTATGCCAGTGTTCACTGCAGTATTACTTAAAACAGCCAAAAGGTAGAAACAACCAAGTATCCATCAACACATAAATTAATTAAAAAAGTGATATATACAGTGATATATACTTACAATGGAATATTATTCAGATTTTAAAAGGAATGAAGTCCTGATGTGTGCTACAACATGGATGGACCCTGAAAACCATCTGCTACATGAAATAAGCCCAACACAGAAGAACATATATTGTACAATTCTAGTTATACAAGGTATCTAGAACAGGCAAATTTGTAAAAATAAAGTCGATTAGAGATTACCAGGGGCTTATTGGTTACAAAGGAGTAATGAAAAACTCTTAGAATTAGATAATGGTAATGTTGCACAACATGGTGAGTATAATGATTGCCACTGAATTGTACCGTTAAAATGGCAAATTTTATGTTACATATATTAATAGTTTTAAAAATTAGTAATTTAATGTATCAAAAATCTTTGAACTGTATACTTACAATGGGTAAGTTGCATGATATATGAATTGTATCTCAATAAAGCTGTTTAAATTTTTTTTTTTGAGATGGAGTCTGCATGAGCCACTGTGCCTGGCCAAAAATGTAAAAAAAAAAAAAATCAATTGTATTTCTATTGTATACTCATTGGTTTTGTAGTACCAATGAGTACACCAAATATGAAATTAAGAAAACAATTAAGAAAACAATTCCGGCCGGGCACAGTGGCTCATGCCTATAATCCAAGCACTTTGGGAGGCCAAAGCGGACGGATCACCTGAGGTCAGGAGCCTGGGTGACAGAGTGAGGCTCTGTCTCAAAAAAAAAAAAAAAAAAAAAAAAAAGTCAATTGCTTTTTCTATATACCACCAGTGAGCAACTGGAATTTGAAACTGAAAACATAGTGCCATTTACAATAGTACCAAAAAAATCAAACACTTACAAATCTTAGTGAAATACATATAGGATGTATACGAGGAAAACTGCGAAAACTCTAGTGAAAGAAATCAAATATATAGATAAATGAAGGGATAGTTCATATTTGTGGATTAGAACACACAACACTGTTATCAATTATTTCCAACTTGATCTACAAAGTCTACATAAAGCTAATCAAAGTCTCAGCAAACTATTCTGTAGATGTCAACAGTCTATAATTTATAGGAAAAGACAAAAGACCTGAATAGCCAACACAAGAATGAAGAACAAAGATGAAGAACCGACATTGCCCAACTTTAGGACTCCCTATAAAACTACACTAATGTGCTATTCATCAAGGAAGTGGATCCATGGAACAGAAGAGAAAGCCGCACAAATACAGTCAATTGATCTCTGACAAGGGAGCCAAGGCTTATTAGCAAAGGCTTCAAAGAGAAATCTTACTAGGATTTCAATGGAGCAAGGAGAGGCTTTTCAACAAATGGTGCTGGAACACAACTGGATATTCATATGACAAAACAAAACACAAAAACCCTGGCTGGGCGCAGTGGCTCACGCCTGTAATCCCAACACTTTGGGAGGCAGAGGAGGGTGGATTGTTTGAGCTCAGGAGTTTAGGACCAGCCTGGACGACATGGTGAAATGCTATCTCTAAAAAAATACAAAAATTAGCTGGACATGGTGGCATGCGCCTGTAGTCCCAGACACTTTGGAGGCTGAGGTGGGAGGATCGCTTAGGTCCAGAAGATTGAGGCTGCAGTGAGCCATGATCATGCCACTGCACTCCAGCCTGGGTGAGAAAGCAAGACCTTGTCTCAAACAAAAACAAAAACAAAAACAAAAAGTCCTTGACAGACCTTACATCTTTCATAAAAATCAACTCAAAATGGGTCATAAACCTAAATATAAAACATAAAAATATAAAATTCATAGAAAACAGGAGAAAACCTAGGTGCCTTAGGTTTAGCAATATCTTTAGATATAATGTCCAAGGCACAATTCATGAAAGAAAAAATTAAAAAGTTGTATTTTACTAAAATTAAAAACTTCTGTTCTTCAAAAGGTACTACTGGCCAGGCACAGTGCTGTAATCCCAGCACTTTGGGAGGCTGAGAGGCTGAGATAGGAGATTCCTTGAGCCCATGAGTTTGAGACCAGCTTGGGCAACATAGTGAGACCCCATCTCTACAAAAAATACAAAAATGAGCTGGGTGTGGTGGCACATGCCTGAAGTCTCAGCTACTCGGGAGACTGAGGTGGGAGGTTTGCTTGAGCCCGGGAGGTTGAGGTTACAGTGATCTGTGATCATGCCACTGCACTCCAGCCTGGGAAACAGAACAAGACCCTGTCTCAATTCAAAATAATAATAATAATAAAAAAGGCAAAGATGTGAATAGATATTTCACCTGAGAGGATACTAAAGAAGGCAAATGAACACATGAAAATGCTCAACATCATATATCACCAGGGAACTGCAAATGAAAATGAAATACCACTACACACCTATTAGAAAGACTAAAATCCAAAAAGCACTGACAACACCGAATACAGGAACTCTCATTCATTGCTGGTTGCAATGTAAAATGATACACCCCTATTAGAGGACAGTTTTGCAGTTCCTTACAAAACTAAACAGTTTTTCACCTTACAACCCAGCAATCACACTCCTAGGTTTTTACCCAAACGATCTGAAAAGTGATTTACACATAAAAACCTGCACACAAATGTTTATAGCAGCTTTATTCATAATAGCCAAAAATGGAAAGCAAACCAATGGGTCCTTCAATAGGGAAGTGGACAAACTGTTGCATCCTCACACAGAATACCACTCAGCAAGAGAAACAACATACTGATACTCATGACAAATGGATGAAGCTCAAATTATGTTGAGCAAAATAAGCCAAACACAAGTGTGTACTGCATGAATCTATTAAATGAAGTTAACGAACAGACAAAACTAATCTGTGTTAACAGGTGGTAGATGAGTATTTACCTTTTTTTGTGGGGGGCGGGCTGAGGCAGAGGGGTACTGACTACAAAGAGGTGCTCCTTTGGGATTATAGAAATGTCATGTGTCTTTATTTGGGTGTTGGCGATGGGTGTATATATTTGTCAAAACACAAGATTTTGACAAATCTTATTAGGATTTGAGCATTCGACTCTGTACTACAATAAAAATGATTATTTGGAAAAGTTAGTGGGGCACTGGAGGGCTGTGATTACATGTGGCAGTGGCGAAGCTTCTGGAGATGACTGACAAGTTTCTATTTCTTACCATGGGGGTGATTTGAAAGTTGTTCTTAAGAATTGATGAATCTATACATTTGCTTCATGTACTAGGCTTTTGGATGTGTGGTATTTTATAATGTAAAAAGAAAAAAAATTGTTTTTAAGGAGTCCATTTCATCATTGGTTGGGTTGGACTACATAATCTGTAAATAAATATTCAATCCTGTAATTGTATGACTCTCTATTATTACTATGACAAAATCAGTAGGTCAGGTGCAGTGGCTCACGCCTGTAATCCCAGCACTTTGGGAGGCTGAGGCAGGAGGACTGCTTGAGGTCAGGAGTTTGAGACTGGCCTGGGCAACATAGTGAGATCCCGCCTCTACAAAAAATTAAAAAACTAGCTAGGCACGGTGGCGTGCACCTGTAGTCCCAGCTGCTCAGGAAACTAAGGCAGGAAGATTGCTTGCACTTGGGAGGTTGAGGTTGTAGTGAGCTGTGTTCGCCTCACTGTATTCCAGCCTGAGTGACACCAAGACCATCTCAAAAAAAAAAAAAAATCACTCGTTATGAAGACATAAAAATATTACAAGCCATTTTCTTTTTAAATGTTTTCTTGTAGAAGTGGGGTCTCACTATGTTACCTAGGCTGGCCTCGAACCCCTGGGCTCAAGAGATCTTCCTGCTTCGGCCTTCCAAAGTGTTCAGATTACAGGCGTGGGCCACTATTCCTCTTTAATAAAACTGTATTTTTGTTTGTTTTTAGACAGGGTCTCACTCTGTCACCCACGCTGGAGTGCAGTGGTGTGATCTTGGCTCACTGCAGCCTCTGCCTACCAGGTACAAGTGATTCTCCTGCCTCAGCCTCCCAAGTAGCTGGGACTACAGGCATGCGCCACCACACCTGGCTAATTTTTATTTTTTTTAGTAGAGACGGGGTTTCACCATGTTGGCCAGGCTGGTCTTGAACTCCTGAGCTCAAGTGATCTGCCTGCCTTGGCATCCCAAAGTGCTGGGATTACAGGTGTGAGCCACTGCGCCCAGCCAATAAAACTATATTCAAAAACCATTGTTTGTAGGCAAGAATCATCCCCTTTGCCTCTAACTTCTGACTGCATTGTCCTCATAAGGGGAAGAAATCCTGAAAACACTATTTTCTTACCTGCACTGACTTCGAGGCTTGTACTGACAAGCTTTCTTCAAAAAAGTAATCTCTAGCCTGAGCAACACAGTGAGATCCCATCTCTTAAAAAGAAAAATAAAAAAAAAAATAGCTGGGTATGGTGGCAAGCACTGGTAGTCCCAGATACTCAAGAGACTGAGGCAGAAAAATCGCTTGAGCCCAGGAGTTGGAGGCTGCAGTGAACCACGATTGAGCCACTGCACTCCAGCCTGGGTGATAGAGTGAGATCCAGTCTCAAAACAAAACAAAACAAACAAAAAAAAAGCCATAGAGAATTATGTCTATAATATAGGATCCCACATACCTGAATCCTTTCCTGCTCTAACCAAAGACCACATGTGACCACTAAGGCAATGTGTGTACTGATGAGAAACTGCAGCAAAGGAACACTATTCTAGGAGTTATGCTAGATTGGCACCTAGTAAAACCTTCTCAAGTTTTCTCCATATCCTCATCGAATACTCTAGTCAAGCAGCCTCGATTGCGCCCAGGCTGTCTTTAGCCTAGGCTCTGCAGGCCTGGGTGGTCTTCCCAATCCCACAGATGACAGCTTACCATTCTACTATGAGGAAGGCTGTCTCAGGTGAGCCAGGGCATTGGTCCCAAAGGCATGGGTAGAAATGGAACACGGCCCATCTCAAATCTGTTCAACTCAGAGCAAAGGGAAGCACTCTAGCCCCAACCTGGTAGCTGAAAGCAGGTGTCCTAAGGAAGGAGGGTGGTCACGTCGTGTCTGCAGAGGCAGAAGCCTCTGAGAAAAATCTTTCCTGGTCTGTTACATGGAGGCCAGATGGAGACGGTTGGTCTTGTGCCCAAAGGAAGCCGATCTGAGCTGCCTTTCCACTCAGGTTAGTTCAGACGAAGAGCAATGTGTGGAGAGGATCCACCCGCCCGAAAGCTCCGCCCCCAGTACTGCAGCCTTAATAGTCCTGTAATCGGACCAATTTTTATCCGCACTGGGCCACAATACAGGCTCGTATTTAAGGGAGCCAAGATCCAACAGGTTTCACCACTGTAGCATATTTAGACTACCCTCTAAGAGGAACTCTATGCGAACAGCATAACTTCAACAAACAAAGTAGGCTCCCAACAATGTGTGAAAAACTGAAGCAGGGTAAACATTTCAGTGAGGGTCAGTATGGCACTGATTCACTTTACAAAAAGATGCAAACTGCGCAAGTACAAAAACCTCTTTGAGTCCTTTATTAACGTCTGGAGATGTGTGGTACATACAATTAACAGCATCACACCAGCTACAGAAGTACAGATAACCAAGAATGTACTTCAGAACAAGGATCTGAGAGCAACTTATGGTGTTGCCTGCTCTGAACCTCCACAAAAACCCAGTTCTGACACACGCAAGACAGACGATATAACAATTTCACTTGGGAATGGTTTTTTTTAAAAAATGACAAGAACTAATAGTTCAAACCCTTTAGAGTGTGAGATGTGGCAGCTCGCTTGGTGCCGTGGCACTGCTGTAAAAGGCCAACATGGGCATTTGAAGGTCAGGCAGAAGAACCGAATGGGGTGGGTGGAAGAGGTTTTATTTTCAGTGTAGAGAGATAACAGATGGTCCGAGTGGATACTTTCAGTCCAGGCTCAGTATGGGGCCTGCAGGAATCCACTAGATAAATACAGTCTATAAACCGGAAGGCTGAAAAACACCAGCCAGCCATCCTTGTCATTGCTTCCAACTGGTGGACACTGATGCATCCGGAGTCACTTATGACACAGATCAGGTTTAACAGGGGTGCACCCGAACGCAAGAAGGCAGCTCACTATGTCCAGTCAGCTCTGATCCTTTCACGCCCTTGGATGTCATGGGTTCCTCTGCTTTCACACGGGAACTAAGGAACACTTCCTTTATTTCAATGTTCCACTTTGGAAAAAACCAAAACCCTCCCCCCACCCCCACCATCATTCTTCATAAATTTGCTTCCAATCTCCTGATTGTTCTGGGTCTAGACTTTTTCCTTTCGCTTCAATTTGGACACTTTTTTGACAGTCCCGTTCTTGTTAAGCAGCTTCAGGACACGGTCTTTATGATCTAAAACCTTAAGCATGGAGTCTCTGGCTTCACTGATTTGATCCATCACAAGTTTACACCTCTGCATATTTCCCTGAAACAGAAGACATTGCATCATCAATCAGTGACCATGAGGATAGTACAGCTTTTAAAAAACTGCTTGCCTTTGGGCAGAGGCCATGTTGAGGCTTCCACAACAGAGAAAATGTCTTTTTGTTTCTCAGGAGTGCAGGCTGAAGCACGTATGTTTTTACTGAAGATATGAGGGAGACGGGGGGAAACGGGAGAAGTAGGGCTTTACAGAAAGCAACTTCATAAAGTAGATGATCAGAAGGGAAGGGGCGCACTCAAACCTGTATCAGTTCGTTTATTCGGTGGAGATCATCATCTGTTGCTGCTTTTTTCTTTGGGATAATCCCTTCCTGCAGGTTAGTAAGTCTTTCATAGACATCATGTTCTAGATTCGTCTGCAACACACAAAAGGGAGGGTATCATAAGCTCGGAAATATTTTTCTATGTCAACCCCAGGCAAATGAACCCACCTTCAATCACCTTTGTAAACTGTCTAAGAGTTGTTTGGGTGACAACGTCCTTTCTCCTAAGGACTAAGATACTAAGGTTTAAAAACAGTAAAGGGGCTGGGCGCGGTGGCTCACGCCTATAATCCCAGCACTTTGGGAGGTCGAGGCGGGTGGATCACCTGAGGTCCAGAGTTTGAGACCAGCCTGACCAACAAGGTGAAACGCCATCTCTATTAAAAATACAAAATTAGCTGGGCGTGGTGGCGCATGCCTGCAATCCCAGTTACTCGGGAGGCTGAGGCAGGAGAATCGCTTGAACCCGGGAGGCAGAGGTTGCAGTGAGCTGAGATCCCGCCATTGCACTCCAGCCTGGGCAACAAGAGCGAAATTCCATCTAAAAAATAAATAAATAAATAAATAAATAAAATAAAAACAGTAAAGGAAACTGATCAACAAAGATTTACATTATAATTTGCCATAGTTCAGAGCCTATCTTCAAGGATAACTTTTGAATACTGCCTTGAATCCACAATTCTTCTGAAACACAAGTCTCCAAGTTTCATAGAAGTGATTTCTGCTAAGTCAGAAGTAGCCAAGGCACTACATTTTTTTAGATACTGACAACAGACAATGTTCTTCAGGTCACTGCTACTGAAGAGGAAAAACTTTATGAGGTTGTTGCCTCCTCTTCACCTGCTGGTGAAGGAGGGATTCTTGCCCTAGGGTTATAGAAATGGCCAAACATATAAGATCCAACACTGGATGGATAAGATTAACAGCAGTTTATGAGTCACAAATACAGTCATGCTCTGCTTAATGACAGGGATACGTTCTGAGAAATGTCTTTAGGAAATTTTATTGTTGTGTGACCATCACAGAATGTACTTACACAAACCTAGATGTTATGAACTACCACATATTTAGACTATATGATAGAGCCTACTGCTCCTAGGCTACAAACATGTACACCATGTTACTGCAAGGAATAGTGCGGGAAACTGAAACACAGTGTTAAGTATTTGTGTATCTAAACGTATCTATACATAGAAAAGGTACAGCAAAAATACGGCATGACAGATTAAAAATGGTAAAGAGCACTTACATGAATGCAGTCTACCAGGACTGTTAAGTTGCTCTGTGTGAGTCAGTGGGTGAGCAGGGAGTGAATGTGAAGGTCTAAGACATCACTGTACACTACTGTAGGCTTTATAAGCACTGTGCCCTTAGGCTACACTAAATCTATTAAAAATATTCTTCTTTCTTCAATAACAAATTAACCGTAGCATACTCTTTTTACTTTATAAACTTTTAAATTGTTTTAAACTTTTTGACTCCTTTGCAATAAAACTTAGCTTAAAACACATATTGTTGGACAAATGTGGATACTGTTGGGCGGTTACAAAAAATATTTTCTTTCTTTGTATCTTTATTCTATAAACTTTGTTTTCTTCCTTTTTTTTGAGAGTGTCTTACTCTGTTATCCAGGATGGAGTGCAGTGGTGCGATCATGGCTAAGGGCAGCCTTGGTCTTCCGGGCTCAAGAGTTCCTCCCACCTCAGCTTCCCAGGTAGCTGGGACTAGGGGGTGTGCACCACTACACCCGGCTAATTAAAACACTTTTTTTTGTAGAGACAGGGTCCCACTATGTTGTCCAGGTGGGCCTCAAACTCCTGGGCCCAAGCAATCCTCTTGCCCCAGCCTTCCAAAGTACTGGGATCACAGGCCTGAGCCACTGAACCTGGCCCCTTATGTTCTATTAAAAAAAAATTTTAACTTTTTATACTTGTTAAAAATTAAGACACAGTACAGCCTGGGCAACATAGTGAGACCCTGTCTCTACAATTTTTTTTTTCCCCGAGAGGGAGTTTTGCTCTTTCGCCCAGGCTTGAGTGCAGTGGCATGATCTCTGCTCACTGCAACCTCCACCTTCTGGTTTCAAGCAATTCTCCTACCTCAGCCTCCCGAGTAGCTGGCATTACAGGCGCCTGCCACCACGCCCAGCTTATTTTTGTATTTTTAGTAGAGACAGGGGTTTCACCATGTTGGCCATGGTCTCGAACTCCTGACCTCGTGATCTGTCCACCTCGGCCTCCCAAAGTGCTGGGATTACAGATGTGAGCCACCGTGCCTGGCCTCTACAAAAAATTTTAAAAAATCAGCTGTGTGCAGTGGCTCACACCTGCAGTCCCAGCTGTTTGGGGGTGCTGAGGTGAGAGGATTAACTTAAGCCCAGCAGGTTGATCATGGCTGTAGTAAGCCATGGTCGTGCCACTGCACTCCAACCTGGGTAACAGAGCAAGACCTTGTCTCAAAAAAAAAAAAAAAAAAAAAAAGAACAGGAGAGAGGGAGAGGTATGCCCCGGTCTCTGAATGATGATGTGTGTGACTGGCTTATCTGAGTAACATTGGAAATTGGAATACTGGAAGCTGGCAGGGAACTGGAGCCTACTACTCAGCAAGGAGCAGGAATTGTGTGCCTGGTCCCTGTGGTATGAAGGGTTGTTTGCCTAGGAGACTTCATCTGAGGGAGCAGAGTTGGGAGGAGGGACTCTCGGTTAGGCCGTTTGAGGCTCCCCCTATTTCAGATGTCACAATATCACATAACACTGAATCTTAAATTTAGGTCTTACACCACAGTTGTTCCATATATTTTGGATCTGGATACCAGAACTTAGATATATTTCAATTTTAATCACATGTAACTGACACAGTGTGATATTACATAGCACACATAAAAATTCTATCATAACCCATGTTAGCTGGGAATGCTTCAGAGTTACTTTTAAAAAGTTCTATGAACTCAGCTATCTGCAGTGTCTTCTCCTCTCTTCAGCATGATGAACAACTGCTAGAACTCCACCTACCAGCTGTAGTAACTGGGCAGCACAGAGGTGGACTTTCCAGCCTTGAGCACGACAGGATACTCCTTTCTGATTAGCTATTTCCTGCAGCATAGCTTTCTTCTCCTCTGGAACCATAAAAAATAAAAATACATGTATTTCAGTGTTTAAAAAGGTAAATGATTTGTGTTCGAGCAGTGTAAATGCCATTATTTTAACAAGAATTTTATTTTTTTTTTGAGACAGTGTCTGGCTCTGTCACCCAGGCTGAAGTGCAGTGGTACAATCTCAGGTCACTGCAACCCCTGCCTCCTAGGCTCAAATGATTCTCCCACTTCGGCCTCCCAAGTAGCTGGGACTACAGGTGTGCGCCATCATGCTGGGCTCACTTTTGTATTTTTTGTAGAGATGAGGTCTTGCTATGTTGCCCAGGTTGGTCTTGAACTCCTGGGCTCAAGCAATTTGCCTGCCATGGCCTCCCAAAGTGTTGGGATTATAGGCATGAGCTGCCGTACCTGGCCATAAGAACTTTTTTATTTGAGGTAATGGTTTCATCTAGGAGAGGCAAGCCAAGAGGACACCAGGCTGCTTACTCCCCTCCTTTACCTCCACTAAGTGCTACCTCCTAAAGCAGGGCTGTCACTCAGAGAGAAGCTTGCCACGTGTCAAGCCAGGGCCTCCCCCATCTCTAAGGCCCTGGTTCAAACATTTTGCCGGAAGAAGTGGGCTGTAAAACAGATACCTTCTAATTTCTTCCTGAAGGAAGTGAGTCCATTTGCAAGAGTGTGAAGAAGTTCAAACCTAAAGGTGCTCCCCATAACAGTGGAGGCTGTGGCAAAGGGAATTGGGGGAGATTTGTGAACTAATGAAGATATAGCCTAGACTATGTGCAGGCTGGTTTGAAGGAAAGAACAAAGCATAAGACAGCTGGGGGAGCCTTTCCAAGGGCAGAACAACTTTATCAAATCAAGGAAGAACCCTTCTTTTTCTGTTTTTGAACACTGTTTATCATGAAAAGGTGTTTAATTTTGTCAAATTTTCTATATTGATTGATACAATCATGTGATTTTTCTTCTTTAGCTTTTGTTGTGGGTTGAATGGTTTTCCCCCCAAAGACATGTTGAAGATCCTTGGTACCTGTGACTATAACTATATTAGAATGTAATGTAGTCTGACCGCAGTGGCTCACACCTGTAATCCCAGCACTTTGGGAGGCCGAGGCAGGTGGATCACTTGAGGTCAGGAGTTCGAGACCAGCCTGGCCAACATGGTGAAACCCTGTCTCTACTAAAAATACAAAAAATTAGCGGGGTGTGGTGGTGGGCGCCTATAATCCCAGCTACTCAGGAGGCTGAGGCAGGAGAATTGCTTGAACCCAGGAGGCGGAGGTTGCAGTGAGCTAAGATCGCACCATTGTACTGCAGCCTGGGGGACAGAGCGAGACTCCGTCACAAGAAAAAACAAACAAAAAAGGTAATTTGGTTAAGAAGTCATACTAGATTAAGGTGAGCTGTAAATCCAATGACTGGTGTCCATACAAGGAGGGAGGGAGACAGAGAAGTAGAGAGAGAGAGAGAAAAGGAAGGGGAGAGAAGGAGAGAGAGAGAGAAAGGAGGATGGGAGAGGCAGAGAGACACAGAGAAGAATGCCATTTGAAGATGGAGGCAGGGACTGGAGTGGTGCAGGTGCAAGCCAGGAACACCAAAGATCGCTGGCAATCACAAGAAACCAAAGAGACAAGGAAGGATTCTCCTCTACTGCTTTCACAGAGAACATGATCCTATCAGACCTTTATTCTGGACTTCTAGCCCCCAGAACCATGAGAATAATTTGTACTGTTTTATGCCACCCAGTTCACAGTACTTTGTTATGGCAACCCTAGGAAATTAATAAGGCCAGTTAATATGGTGGATTACTTTGGTTTTCAAATGTTGAACCAGCTTTGCACAGCAAGAAAAAATTCTACTTGGTCAAGGTATATACTGCTGGATCTGATTTGCTAATATTTTATTAATGCATTTTTACATCTATATTCATGAGGAATATTGATCTGTCATTTTCTATATTTGTACACTCTGTCTGGTGTTGATAGCATGAAAATATTGGCTTCATAAAATAAATTTGGAATGTCCTTGCCTATATTTTAAAAGACACTGCAGAGAAATGGATCATTACCTGGTCAGCCGATTATCTTATCAGTATGTAATATCCCTCTGTGTCTCTAGCAATTTTCTTTCCTCAGAATTTTACTCTATGTGACATTAATATAGCCACTCCTGCTTTTCTGTAAATTAATTTCATATTGTGTGAATTAATTTTGTATTGTGTGTGTCTGTGTGTGTGTGTGTGTGTGTGTGTGTGTGTGTGTGTTTTGAGACGGAGTCTCACTCTGTCACCTAGGCTGAAGAGCAGTAGCATGATCTCGGCTTACTGCAAACCTCCACTTCCCGGGGATTCATGCAATTCTCCTGCCTCAGCCTCCTGAATAGTTGAAATTACAGGTGTGTACCACCATGCCTGGCTAATTTTTATATTTTCAGTAGGGACGAGGTTTCACCATGTTGGCCAAGCTGGTCTTGAACTCCTGACCTCAGGTGATCCAGCCATCTTGGCCTCCCAAAGTGCTGGGATTACAGGCGTGAGTCACCACACCTGGCTTGTATGTATTTTTCCAGTCTTTTACTGTCAATCTACCTATGCCACTGCATTCAAAGTGAGTTTCTTGTACACAGCACATAGTTGGACTGTGTTTTTTCACTGATTCTGCCAATCTGTGTTTAATTGGTATGTTTAGACTATTTACATTTATGACAATAACTAGTATGTAAGGCTTAGGTCTGCCACATTACTATGTGTTTTCTGTACTTCTTTTTTGTTTCTCTTTTCTTTCCTGTGAGTTTTTTTTTTTTTTTTTTTTTTTGAGACAGAGTCTTGCTCGGTCACCCAGGATGGAGTGTGGTAGCGGTGGTGCGATCTTGGCTCACTGCAACCTTTGCCTCCCGGGTTCAAGAGATTCTCCTGCCTCAGCCTCCTGAGTAGCTGGGATTACAGGCACCCGCCATCATGCCTGGCTAATTTTTTTGTGTTTTTAGTAGAGACAGGGTTTTACCATGTTGGCCAGGCTGATTTTGAACTCCTGACCTCCAGTGATCCGCCCGCCTCGGCCTCACAAAGTGCTGGGATTACAGGCGTGAATCACCGCGCCTGGCCTCCTGTGAGTTTTAGTCTATCTTGATGTATTTATATATAATTTATGTTATTTTATAGGTGAGGCAAAATAGCTGCACTAAAGTTTCATAGTCAAGAGGCACTGTGTAAAGGAGGTTAGTATGAATATATTGAAACAGAAGATTTAGGGATCATAAACCTTTCAGCTGTCAAGTTATCTTTCTTGAGATAGTTTTTGAAGAGCGAGTCCCAATAAGCATTTAGACTCTTGTAGTGTGGCTTGAAATGCTACCAGGCAAATTCCTAAATATTTTTTCTATGGAATTCTTGTGGCATGAAGAGATGTTTAGTGGTTCATATCCTACTTCCACTAAAAGGCAACACTCCTTGACCTCTGGAAATCTCACCCTCTTTCCAAACCTCAGAGTACACTTGTGAGGAAGAAAAGCTGGGAAATGTAGCCGCCTCTGTAATTCCATTCAGAAACTGAACTGTTAGCATGTCCACCTCTGCTTACTTAGTCAGTACTCCATCCAAGTTAGACTCATCTTGAGCCTTCAAGAAAACCCTTAGAGCAGTTTCCAAATGGGATTTATGTAAGAGAATGGGAAATGTGACCAATTATCTAGAGGCTCACATTTCTTTGTACATATATTATATTTGAGATTAATGGCACTTAAAGTCCATCCGTAGAAATATTTGCAGGTATTTGCAAAGTACTATCAGCATTTTCAATCATATGTGGGTTTATTAAAATGTTATTCTCAGGTTCCACCAGAACAACAGAACATTCATTGAGGGCTTACCTTAGACCACTCCAAGAGCGTTGCATATTTGTTAAACAAAAGATCTTTTGGCAGAAATGCTTACAATGCATGCGTATTTTTAGCATCTTAGGAACTACTGTGGACTGAGAACTGTGTTACACAGTAACCCAGTACAGCTCTTCCACAATGACTCTGGAAGCCACAGGTATCCTCTATCAGTACTTTGGGAGCTGTTAACATGTGGGTTTTACAAAAACCAAGGCTGTCACTTAACCATTAAACTGCAATTCCAATAAATACACACAGCTTGCTAGGGCAAAGGGTAATTTTCTAGGTTTTATATTCTACAGGATATACTTAAACACTAAAGCCTCAAGATTTTGTAACAAAAACTTATGGTTTTTTTGAAACCGGAAAATTGTGGTTCTGTTTTTCTCTTCTATTTTAATTAAGTTTACACCAATTTCATGCATTAATATCAAGTGTTTCTGGGGAAACTAACCTTTGACCCGGACGTCACTGTACCTCTGAAAGTGGTGGTAAGCAGCTTTCCAGGGGTTCCGATAGTGACGAAGCAAAGTAATGGGGGGTCTTGGACGCACTGGGACATATCTCACACCTTCCTCATCTGTTAAAGAGAAGACATTAAACAACTTAGTAACACTGTCAACAATCCTCAAAGTTCATTTCCAGTAAGTGAGGTACGAGTGAGGCTGACTATGTAACGAGCCTCTGGGTTGGACTCTGACTTTATTGGGAAGCATCATAACACAAGTCAGCCTGTGACCATTACCAATATACTCCTTGGGAGGAGACTTGCGCTTCTCAGCCTTCACCAGAAGACTCTTGGCAGTGGACTTCTCATCATCAGTGCTGTTTGTCTCCATCATGTCACCTTCTTCTGTTGAGATCACATGCTGTTGCTTTCGAGGCTTTTTCCTTGGGGAGGCACCAGGTGGTAGGTCACTTGTAGGCATGGACAAGTTGTTTGCCAGCAATGCAAGAGATGGAGACACAGTGTTGGTAGCCAGTGGAGGAACTGCTGTCATAGGAAAAGGAGCACACATATCTGTAAGAACTCAAAGATAACAGAAAGTTTCACTTCCTTCCTTCCAACAAAGATGATTAAGAAGACAGCACAGAGCACCAACATTTATTGTCTTCCTATGTGTCTGGCACTGTGCTAAGCACTCTGTGGCAGAAGCTGCAAACTCCTCCCTTATAGCCCATATCTTCATCTTCCTTAGGTCCAGGACGTCCTTTGACAAGGACACAATGATATTCAGCTAAAGAATGTACTTCCTAGCCTCCATTACAGGTGTGGTCATCTAAGATGGAAGTAGAAGTGTTTTGTAGCACTTTTAGCAAATTTCCAGGAGGGAGAGAGAGAGCAGGTGTGATCTCCTTGTCTTCTTTCTGTGATCCTGGAACTCAGACGAGATGGCTGCAGCATCAGCAGCTGTCCTGAATTAAGAGCATGAAGGTCAAATCCTAGGGGTGGTGGAGCAAAGAGGTGGAAGGAGCCTGGCTTTCTAATAATTTGATGAAGTCCACACACCATCCCTGAACTGTTTGCCTCAGGACTTGCTCCAAAGGAGATAACAGGACCTTATGAGTTAAGCTACTATTTTTCACACTTTTTAAACATAAATGCCTAGCAGGTAACCTATTAACTCATTATCGTAAAAATCATCTGAATAAGTAGGCATTATTATTATCCTCCAATTCACAGATGAGAAAATATGGCACAAGTCACACAAGTATGAAGTGGGCAAGCTGGGATTGACAGAGGCAGTCTGGCTTCAGAGCTTGCACTCTCACCGACCGCAGTGTGCTACCTCCAGATAAAAAGCATGTGTTGTGAGGACGTAAACATTTGCTTGAGCTTGTATGAATCATACATCTAGGAATTTAAAAATCATGTTAAGGGCTCACCTTAACTCTTATTTTCACTCTACCACATACTTGCCCTATTTTCCTCTACCCACTCTGCTGCCCACTCCCAACAGTCATACCCTAAACTTTCCTGTCACCATTAAATAGAAACTGCCTCACACCCAATCTGAATTTCTAGCATCCAACTCCCTAGGTAAATCCAACTCCCTTTCTAGGTTCCTCCCCTCGGTACTCAGCCTCCAGCACTTCTTAGGCCTACAAGGAACCTGTTCATCCGACCATGTTCCTGCAGTCACTCATCCCTCTCATGTCTATCCTCCCCCATCGCTAGGTCTGAACCCTATAATCACTGTATTCCTTTTCTTCCTTCATTGTCCCTTCCTTTTCTTGCTTTACTGTGCTCATTTAGCAAAAGGCCAAGAGGTTAAATCCTGTTCTCCAACCAGTCTGCACCTACGCAACTGAATGTCGCCAGAGGGAGACACACTACCATGCTGACTGGCCTCACTTGGACAACCCTATCTGTTAAGTCCAGTCTCTCTTGGGATGACTACTTCACACCTTCTTCTCCCTCAAACACTCGATGCCTCCTCCACCATCTGTACTCTCAGTGGATGGCCTTGCTTTCTATTTTACTGAAAAAGATAGATGCAATCACAAGAACATGTTCATCAAGTCCCACCACCTTATCTCCCCATCTCCACTGTGTCCCTATATTCTCCTTCTCTCCATGCTTTCAGCAAAGGCCAAACTCTTCAGCTACACACAAATCCCACCCACTCTCGCCTCCTCAAACAGTGCTCCAGGAATTCACAACTTTCTCCTGCATCATCAATTCTTCTCACTCTACTGGATCATTCCTATTAACATACAAAACTCTTATTTGTCCCATCTTAAAAAAATCTTCTTCTTGGCCAGGTGTGGTGGCTCACATAACCCTAGCACTTTGGGAGGCTGAGGCGGGCAGATCATAAGATCAGGAGTTCGAGACCAGCCTGGCCAACATGGTGAAACCCCATCTCTACTAAAAATATAAAAATTGGCTGGGTGTGGTGGCAGGTGCTTGTAATCCCCGCTACTCAGGAGGCTGAGGCAGGAGAATTGCTTGAAACCAGAAGGCAGAGGTTGCAGTGAGCCAAGATCACGCCACTGCACTCTAGCCTGGGCAAAAGAGCACAACTCCATCTTAAAAAAAAAAAAAAAAAAAATCTTCTTGACATCATGTCACTTCAAACACCTTTTTTCTCTTCCTTTAGAACAAATGCCTCAAACGTGCTGTTTATATATAATGTCTCTATCTCTCCTGGCTTTCTCCTGAACTTGCCCCCAGTCATGCTTTTACCCCATCATTACAGAAAAACTGCTTTTCTCAAGACCTCTGTGACTTCTGTTTGCCAAATCCAAAGGTCACTGCTCAGACCTCATCTTCCTTGATCTCTCAAGAGCATGTGATCCACCTGATCATTGTCTCCTCTCTGAAATATTTTTGTTCTTGCAACTTCCAGGACACCACATACTATAAGTGATATTCCTACCCTGTGTTCCCTCCATTCAGCCTCCTTTGCTGGACTTTACTTCCTCCCCCATCTCATGATAGCACAACACCATCCTAAGACTAGATCATGGACTGCTTCTGTCTTTATCAACATTCATTCCCTAGGTGATGTGAACGACTCATCCAGGCTCATGACTTTAAATACAATTTATATATATAATGACAACTCCCAAATTTGTATCTGCAACTTCATTTTCTATTCCAAAAGCCAGCCTCATAGATCCAACTATTTATTTGATGTCTACATTTGAAATGTCTAACAGACATCTGAAACTTACCCTATCAAAAACTAAACTCCTAATCTTTCCCTACAAAACATGGTCCTCCTGCAGGCTTTCCTAATTCAGCCAATGGCAACTCTATGGCTTCCAGTTGCTAAGGCCAAAAATCTTGGAAATTGTCCCAGATACTGTTCTCTCACACTCAACATCCAATCATTACACACTCTTAGCTCTACCTTAAAAACATAAACAGAATCCTACCACCTCACACCACTTCCGCTACTACTACCCTGGTTGAGCCTTCATTGCTCCTGGCAATTAATGCAACAGCCGCTTGACAGGTCTCCCCGATTCCATCCCTGTTCCCAGAGTCTGTTCTTTCCCCAGCAGCCAGAGTGTTTATCTTCAGTCCTAAGTGAGTGCTTGGCACTGCTCTGCTCACACTCCCTGCTCTGCTCCAACAGCTCCCTGCCAACCCCAGCAAAGCCAAAACCTTTACAACAGCCTGTGGGCCCTGTTCTACCATGATCTGATCCTGCTGCCTGCCACTCCCCTTATTACTTAGCTCCAGCGACCTTTGGTTCTTTGCTATATTTTGAGCACATCACGCATGCTCCTATCTCAAGATTTTTGTACTTACTGCTCTCTGGCCTGGAATACCCTTTCCCCGGATATCCTCATGGCCAGGAACTTCATTTCTTTAATGTCTCTACTCAATGGTCACTTCCTCAGTGAGGCTTTCTCCTAAAACTCTTTACACACATTCCAGCCCTGGCTACAGCTTTCCTTATATTTTGTCCCTGCTTTGTTTCTCCATAGAACTTATCACCCAAACATATATATACATACATACATACATATATAATTTAGTCATCTTTTTGCTTTTGTCTCCCTTGCTAGAATGTAAGACCTAAGAGGATAAAGCTGCATTTGTCTTACACAAAGTTGCATCGTCAGTGCCCAGAACAATTCCTGGAATAGACTCCTATAGGTTGAGGTAGGATTACAGGCAGTTTCCTAGCACAGAGAGGTAAAGGGAACCAGCGAAAAAGAGCAGGTGAGTAGCATAACTGAGGGTGCTTCATTTTTCCCTTCTGGATTACTCATGGTATCTTTTGAAGAAAGTGCCAAGGGTAAATATACCCACAGAAAGAGATTTCATGGCAGAATAAACAGATGAATAAATAAACAGTAGATTAAAAAAACTACAGACACAGCACAATCACACCTCTATCGGGCAAACAGCATGAGAAAGAAATGGAGGACTTCTCACTGAAATAGCAGGTAATACTGGGTACCAGAGCACAAATAACTTGCTTTCTTCTTTGGATTTGTTTATACTTCACACAGTTTGTATACTGAATATGTTACTTTTGTAGGAAAAACAAAATTCCACATAAATTATTAAAAAAAAAAAAGAAAGAAAACCTCTCAAGTGACTTGACTTTCTCAAACCGGAAGTTTGGAGTTAAGATGAAGTGGTAAAGGGAGAAATGAATTGTTTTAAGATTTTACTAATCACATATAGGTTTTTCAGCAACACAAATCTTACTTGATTGTATAACAAGGCAATGAAACTTGGAATAAATAGTACTAAAGCCATATTGTGCCTCCTTTTACATAGTAGTATTTTCTTAATACTACTTTCTTAATACTACTAGGCATGGAAGGAAACTATGTTGAAGGATATCCATGGGGAAATATTAATCTCTTTCATGATTTTGGCCAGAAATTAAACTTTATTACAAAAGGGAAGCAAAGTAGTTTTACTTTTCACAATGAGTTTACTGCTTTCTTCTACTTATCAAAAACTAATGACATGCAACATCTAAAATGGGTTATCAGGGAGTCTTGGCTGAGGGTTACAGAAGAATCTGGATGCTGGAGGAGAATTAGGGAAGGGGAAGAGGCAATTGCCAATGGAGAGTATTCTATGGACGGACTTACCAGAAACTGGCCTCATGATATCCATTGGTTCTACTTCTTCTTTCACTTTAATTTCAGGAACGGGAGGGCCCAAGACGGAGGAAAGACTGCCACCCACAGTGACTGATGGAGGTGGTGCAGCTGCAATGGTGGTGATGGGTGGAGTGATGGGGACCGCTCCAGGAATGGTTGAAAGGGCAACGGCTGGTTGTGACGGGGGACTGGCTGCTGCAATCATAGTTGGAATGGTCGGTGGGGGCTGCTGGGCAGTTGGAGGGACGGCAATGGTAGGCTGATCATTATTTTGATTGGATACAGTCTCCATGGACACAGTGACCGGAGTGGCCATAGACACGTGGATTTCAGACTTGGGTTTGGCACTAAAACACAAAAGAAAAGCACATGTAGCAAATAAGAAAAAAACTGCCTTCATCTACAACATCTCAGAGGATGAGTATTTGTCCAATTATTTCTGTCCAGCACACTGCACAATTTATACTCTATTTCCTTTTTTTAAATTTTTAATTTTAAAAAAATTTTGAGACAGGGTCTCACTCTGTTACCCATGCTGGAGTGAAGTGGCGTGATCTTGGCTCACCGCAACCTCTGTCTTCTGGGCTCGAGGGATTCTCCCACCTCATCCTCCCGAGTAGCTGAGACTACAGGTGTGTGCCACCATGCCAGGCTAATTTTTGTATTTTTTTGTGGAGATGGGGTTTCACCATGTTGCCCAGGCTGATCTCCAACTCCTGAACTCAAGTGATCCGCCTGCCTCGGCCTCCCAAAGTGATGGGATTACAGGTGTGAGCCACCACACCCAGCTCTAATACTCTATTCCTTGACTTTAAAGTTTAACAAAGCAATTTTAAATGGAAATCAGGTTTTAAAGATATACTGTATGTCCTGCTCCCAAGTTTTTATAAGCAGTAATAAAATTAACTAAGAAAATAACACTTTAAAGAACTCAAAGTCATATCGTCATAGCACAACCAATTTTCATAATATTAATGTATCTTTTCTCCCAGAATTCCTTAATATATATGTTGTCTTTGGAGTTGTTATTTTTCTGTTTTTTTTTCTTTTCTTTCTCTTTAGCTACAGTTGTAATTGAGAGGGACTGAGGTTGAGCTGATTACTAATGGCCAATGCCTAATCAACCATTCCTGTATAAATGGAATTTCCATAAAAACTCTAAAAGACTGGGTTCAGGAGCTTCTGGGATAGCTAGCACGTGGAAATTCCTGGAGGGCAGGCGTGCCTGGAGAGGCCATGGAAGCTTCATGTCCCTTCTCCCAGGCCTTATGCTTCTGTTCCATTTGGTTGGTCATCTGCATCCTCTGTAATAGCCTTTATGAAAATAGGTTAGTGTACGTAAAGTGTTTTCCTGAGTTCTGTGTGCTGTTCTAGCAAATTAATCAAACTTATGCATGGGAACTAGCTGGTCAGAAGAACAAGTAAAACCACCTGGGGCTTGCATTTGGCGTTGAAAGTTGGGTGCAGTCTTCCGCATGTTCTCACTCATAGGTGGGAATTGAATAATGAGAACACTTGGACACAGGAAGGGGAACATCACACACCAGGGCCTGTCATGGGGTGGGGGGAGGGGGAGGGACAGCATTAGGAGATCTACCTAATGTAAATGATGAGTTAATGGGTGCAGCACACCGACATGGCGCATGTAGACATATGTAACAAACCTGCACATTGTGCACATGTACCCTAGAACTTAAAGTATAATAAAAAAAAAAAAAAAAAAAAAGAAAGTTGGGTGCAGTCTTGTGGGACTGAGCCCTCAACCTGTGAGATCTGACACTATCTCCAAGTGTCATAATTGAATTGGAGGGCACCCACCTGGTGTCTTCTGCAAAACTGATTGGTTGGTTGCTGGGGAGAAATCCTTCCCCACTTCTTACTAACCAAAGGTCACAGAAGTTTCTGTGTTGTTGTTGAGTGAGAGAAGACAAAAACAAAAACATTTTGGTTTTTACTCTTATATTCTCAGATGAGAAATTGTATACTTGGGATTTTCAACCTATAGAAATGAAAATATTGAGTTGGGCACAGTGGCTCATGCCTATAAATTCCCAGCAGTTTGGGAAGCTGAGGCGGAAGAATCATCTGAGGCCAGGAGATCGAGACCAGCCTGGGCAAAATAGTAAGACCCCATTTCTTAAAAAATTTTTTTTAATTAGCCAGGTGCACTGGCATACACCTGTAGTTCCAGCTACTAAGGAGGCTGAGGCAGGAGAATTACTAGTGCCCAGGAGTCTGAAGTTGCAATGAGCTATAATTGTAACACTGGCACTCCAGCCTGGGCAACAGAGGGACTAGAAGTTCTGGAATACAAAAGTGTAAAGGCTGAAAGGGGAAAAAAAAGAAAAAACACTAGAGTCTGAACTGTATATTTGAATAGGCATAAGAAAGAACTGGCTAGGCGTGGTGACTCACGCCTATAATCCCAGTGCTTTGGGAGGCCATGGCAGGAAGATCGCTTGAGCCCAGGAATTTGACACCAGCCTAGTTAACATAGGGAAACCCCAAAACTACAAAAACAGAAACACTAGCTGGGCGTGGTGGTGTATGCCTGTGGTCCTAGCGACTCTGGAGGCTGAAGAGCAGGAGGACTGCTTGAGCCTGGGAGGTTGAGGCCGCAATGAGTTATGATGGCACCACTGAACTCCAGCCACAACAGAGCGAGACCCTGCCTCTTAAAAAAAAAAAAAAGATAAGTTATGGCAAAATATTAAAAGTTACATATGTTTGATTACTATTATTTTCTCTATTTTCTCAGACATTTACAGATTTTCATATTGAGAAGGCTTTAAGATAAAGTTGAAGATATCTAGAAAGAAAAAGAGAGAAGAGAGACAGTAAATAAGAGAGAAAAAATAAAAAAAATCAATTCTAGAAGTTCACCTGACAAATAAGAGTTTCCCCAAAAAAAGGAGGAGATGGAAATTGAGTAGCAGAAAACAAATCATGAAAGAAATAATACATTAAGATTTCCCTGTACCGACCAATACAAGTTTTCAGACTGAAGAGACCACTGAGTATACAGCACATATAAAACCAACCAACTGGTACAACAAACCACCATGGCACATGTATACCTATGTAACAAACCTGCATGTTCTGCACATGTATCCCAGAACTTAAAGTATAAAAAAAGGCTGGGCACAGTGGCTCACGCCTGTAATCCCACCACTTTGGGAGGCCAAAGCAGGAGGATCACGAGGTCAGGAGTTCGAGACCAGCCTGGCCAACATGGGGAAACCCTGTCTCTACTAAAGATACAAAAAATTAGTGGGGCGCAGTGGCGAGCGCCTGTAATCCCAGCTACTCAGGAGGCTGAGGCAGAAGAATCGCTTGAACCCAGGAGGCAGAGGTTACAGTGAGCTGAGATCATGCCACTGCACTCCAGCCTGGGTGACAGGGCGAGACTCCGTCTCAAAAAACAACCAACCCAAATTCTACTGTCAAGTTTTTGAACATTGAGAACAAAGATCATTAAAGCGTTCAGAAAGAAATGAACACATAAGATATAAAGATCAGCACTCAAAAATCATATCTGGGTTTTCAAAAATAAAAACAAAATGTAGAAGACAACAGAGTAATACCTTTATATGTATGCCACACACTCTCTCTCTCATATATATGAGAGTGAGACAGATGAGAGAGAGAGAGAGAGAGAGAGAGAGAGAGAGAGAGAGAGAGAGAGAGAATCTCTCACTGTGTTGCCTAGGCTGGTGTGCAGTGGCATGATCATGGCTCACTGCAGCCTTAAACTCCCAGATTCAGGTGATCCTCCTGCCTGAACCTCAGTAGCTGGGACTAAAGGTATGTGCCACCATCCTTGACTAAGTTTTGTATTTTTTGTAAAGGCGGGGTTTCACCATATTGACCAGGCTGGTCTTGTACTCCAGGACTGAAGCAATCTGCCTGCCTTGGTCTCCTGAAGCTGTGGGGTGAGCCGCCACACCCGGCTAATATTTTTAAAGAGAAATGATTTCCCATCTAAAATTCTGCCTGCCATTCTATCATTTAAGAGTGAGGAGTTGTGTTTCAGGCATGATGGAGTAGACATACTTTTTCCTATTCCTCCCACAAAGTATAGCTGAAAATTGTGTTATATATAAACCAAGCACAACGAGCTGCTGAAAAGTGAGGAGAAAAAGGCACATTGTCTAGGACCTCGGGACCCCAGGAATGGCACGGCAGTCAGTTCCCTGGATTTGCTTTTTTCCTTGTGTGTCCCGGACAGGGCGCTGGAGAAGCTGATAACATGGAAATGCAAAAGAGCAGAGACAAAAAAAAGTCCCAAGAAAAGCCTACTCTGTCTAGCCCAAGAACCAAGAAAAAGGGGTGGCTTGGCATGACGAAAATCCTGTAGACAATAATTGCTATACTCCAGTGAAACGTCACAGAAACAACTGCGGCCTTGGCAAAGGCTGAGAAGAGTCTAGACTTACCCGGCCAGGTTGTAATGAGAGACCTCAATCTCCTCCCCATCCCACTACTCATGTGGTATCATCAGAGGCCAACCGGGAACCTGGCCTTCACTGATCACCTGGCAGTAACAAGGCAATGCCCCCTCTTCCCTGCTGGTGTAGTTTGAGAGGAGGCCTGCTAAAGTATAACCTATATATAAATCCAGTCTTATAACTTAACACTTAAAATGTCCAGTTCCAAACAGAAAATCACTCATCAAGAAACAGGAAAAATCACAACTTGAGTAAGACAAGAGATAAATGATGAAGCAAATTACCTGACAAGGACTTTAAAGTAGATATCATAAATATGTGTTAATATGCAATTACTAATTCACTTGAAATGAATCAAAAAGATAGAAAAAACTTAGTAAAAAAAAACCCCAAAGTTATAAAAATTTTGGAACCAAATAGAAATTAAAGAAATAAAAAATGTAATAACTGAAATAAGACGGTCTTGCTGTGTTGGTGAGGCTGGAGTGCAGTGGCTCTTCACAGGCATGATCATTGAGCACTACAGCCTCCAACTCTTGGCCTCAAATGATCCTCCCTCCTCAGCCTCCTGAGTAGCTGGGACTGTACAGGTAAGAGCCATCGCATCTGCCTTAGAATCAATGAGGCCGAAGATGGATCAGTATTATTAGCCTAATCTGAACAATATAGAGAAAACAGACTGAAGAGTGTGGATAGAATAAAGATGTTTTCTGATATGCCAAGTATCAAAAACTGACATCTTGGGCATTCTGTCCCTACTACTGAAGAGGTGCTCTTACAAATCAAGGGGGTAAATCAAGAAAAAGGAAGCATACAGGCTCCAGGTGACAAGGTGAAGGGAATTCAGAGCCTGGCGGAGAAAGGAGGCACCAGGAACAACAGCTGGGCACCGAGTCCAGACAGGCACCGATACAGACTGCGGCAGGCAGAAGCAGGGCTTCAAGGAGGGATATGATCAAGAAAAACCAAAAATGACAGAGATCTGACAGGTTTAACTCATTGAGAGCAGTTCTGTAGGTTTGGTGGAAAGTTTGAAGATGAACTAGTGATATCTAGAAAAGCCTACACAAACATTATAAGCCTTGTAGTACTACATAACTTAAAAAAATTACATTTACTTATATTGACAGCTATTGGATTTCCTTTTCAAATCTATTTTATATTTTCCAATATATTAATTTTCCTTAAGTTTTTTTGTTTGGAATTAGTAATGCATTCACATGTTTCAAACGATATATCAAGAAAGCTCCCTTTTTCTAACCCATCTACTATTATCTTCCACACAATACCACTATATCTCAGCATTCTACTGACTCTAAGATGGCAACAGTTATAAAATGAACCATTATTTTGTGCATACTTAAAAATGCAATAACTGAATTCTAGAATATTAAGATGTCATCAGTTTTAAGATACTGATTTTAGAGATGCTATGGTTTTAAAACCTTGTTTCTCACAATCAATGAAATATAATAATTTCTTGTATGACCTTATAATACTTATGAATGAGACATAAGCAAATACAAATGTTTTTTCTTTCTTTCTTTCTTTTTTTTTTTTTTTTGAGACAGGGTCTGGCTGTCGCCCAGACTGGAGTACAGTGGCACGATCAGGACTCACTGCAGCCTCGACCTCCCAGACTCAAGCAATCCTCCCACCTCAGCCTCCCAGTAGCTTGGGACCACAGGTGTGCACCACCACACCCAACTAATTTTTGTATTTTTTGTAGAGATAGAGTTTCGCCATGTTGTCCAGGCTAGTCTCAAACTCCTGGGCTCAAGCGATCCACCCATCTCAGCCTCCCCTCCCCAACCCCTCTAGCAGCTGAGACTACAGGGGTGTACCACCATGCCCAGCTAATTTTTTTTTTTTTTTTAATTTTAGTAGAGACAAGGTCTTGCTATGTTGCCCAGGCTGGTCTCAAACTCCTGAGCTCAACTGATCCTCCCATCTTGGCCTCCCAAAATGCTGAGATTACAAGTGTGAGCCACTGCACCTGGCCCAAATGTTATTTTCTTACCCAACTTCCCTGCTTATTTCAAAACTGTCATAGCATATACCTCATACCTTGCTTTTTTTTTTTTTTTTGACTCAATTGGGTTGCTTTTTTGACTTGTAACCATATTTTATTTACCCAGTCCCCTATTTGTGGAGTAGAGTATAAAGACCAATACAGGTAACAACATTCAACAGACTAAAAAACTATAAATTTAACTGGGAATATTTGGAGGCGGAAGGTGAGCGGAATGCACGCACTTCCCCAGGCTCCCCATCCTACCAAGAAATGCAATGCCCAGCCACAGTGGACGAACCACTTGCTGTCAGAGCCAGACTTCCCAAAGTATGTTGCTTCCTTGGTTCTCTACACTAAGGAATTTGGGGAACGTGAGGGTGGCATGAAAACTATGGGGGTGGGAGGAGGTATTTCTGAGCTCTGGTGCTGACTGTTCAGGAGAGCTGCATTTCAGAGTGGAGCTGTCCAGGGAGCAGCAAGCCAGCTATCTTTCAACAGAGCCCTTCCAACTCTGGCGTGTTAGCTCTCAGCACGTTGACACCTCTGTCATCTGATATATGTGCTAGTGTATCTGAATAATAAATTACCACACATACCTGGGAAAGAAAAATGCCTCTGTAATTTTGGTAAGTATTGCGAAGTTGCCTTTCCATAAGGGTTATAACAGTTTGCACTCTCACCAAGAATAAAAGCACCCAATTATCCACAGCTCTTCCAACAGCATATTTCAAACTCCTGGGATTTTGCCAGTATGAAAGGTAAACGTTGATGTCTCAGTGTGCTCTCAGTTGCTCATCTCTTGATATAAAGCATCATTCCACATGTTATGGACCACTGATACTTCTTGACCTGTGAACTACTTGTTCCTCAGGGATCTAGAACTAGAAATACCATTTGACCCAGCCATCCCATTACTGGGTATATACCCAAAGGATTATAAATCATGCTGCTATAAAGACACATGCACACGTATGTTTATAGCGGCACTATTCACAATAGCAAAGACTCAGAACCAACCTAAATGTCCAAAAACGATAGACTGGATTAAGCAAATGTGGCACATATACACCATGGAATACTATGCAGCCATAAAAAATGATGAGTTCATGTCCTTTGTAGGGACATGGATGAAACTGGAAACCATCATTCTCAGCAAACTGTCACAAGGACAAAAAACCAAATACCGCATGTTCTCACTCATAGGTGGGAATTGAACAATGAGAACACATGGACACAGGAAGGGGAACATCACACACCGGGGACTGTTGTGGGGTGGGGGGAGGGGGCAGGGATAGCATTAGGAGATATACCTAATGCTAAATGACAAGTTAATGGGTGCAGCATACCAACACGGCACATGTATACATATGTAACAAACCTGCACGTTGTGCACATGTACCCTAAAACTTAAAGTATAATAATAATAAAATTAAAAAAAAAAAAGATGACTGGCTTGATGTCATAGAATAAACTAGAAATAATCACATAAACCTTAAGTGTTGCTGCTTCAAAGAAACTGAATAAAAATAAATTGTATATAAATGTCTGAAAAAAAAAAGAAAAAACAAAAAGGTTGTTCATTTTTCTACTGGACTTACTTCTTTATTCTTCATTTCTGGCAGTTATTTATATACTATGAAGATTAGCCGTTAGACTGTGATATGAGTTGGAAATATATCTTCCCAATTCATCATTTGTCTTCCACTTTGCTTATCAAGTTTTTTCTTGACAAAAGTAGTTTGTTTTTTAAATAATTTTTACTGAGTCAAATTTCTCTCTCTCTTATTAAAGACAGGGTCTCACTCTATCACCCAGACTGGAGTACAGCGGCATGATGCTGGCTCACTGTAGCCTCGACCTCCCAGACTCAAGCAATCCTTCCACCTAAGCCTCCTGAGTAGCCAGGACCACAGGTGCGTGCCACCATGCCCGGCTCATTTTTGTATCTTTTGTAGAGATGGAGTTTGGCCATGTTGCCCAAGCCGGTCTCGAACTCCTGGGTTAGAAGCAATCTGCCCACCTTGGCCTCCCAAATTACTGGGATTACAGGTGTCAGCCACCATAACCAGCCCTGAGTCAAATTTCCCAAAACTTTCTTTTTATAGATTCTGAATTTTGAGTCATAATGTGTTATGGTTTGGCTCTGTGTCCCCACACAAATCTCATCTTGTAGCTCCCATGATTCCTATGTGTTACGAGAGGGACCCTGTGGGAGATGACTGAATCACGGGGGCGGGTCTTTCTTGTGCTGTTCTCGTGATAGTAACTAAGTCTCATGAGATCTGACGGTTTTAAAAAGGGAGAGTTTCCCTGCACAAGCTCTCTCTTTGCCTGCCACCATCCACGTAAGATGTGACTTGCTCCTCCTTGCCTTCTGCCATGAATGTGGGGCCTCCCCAGCCACATAAATTTATGCATGGTTTTTTCTATCATTATTTGCATAGAACTACGTAAGTTCAATGTAAAAAACTCCTTTTTAATTTTTTTATGGGTTATCTTGATTGGGATAGTGTTAGGCAGGCAAACTAGAAATAGGAATGAAAGGAGAAAACAGAAAGCCCTTTTTACCCATTTTAAAATGTTCTCTGAGAGCTGAGCATAGTGGTATGTGCCTGTAGTCCCCTACTCAGGAGCCTGAGGCAGGACGATGACCTGAGCCGAGGAGTTCAAGGCTTCAGTGAACTGTTTCACACCCATTGCACTCCAGCCTGGATGACACGGTGAGACCCTATCTAAAAAATAAGGAAATTTAGGCTGGGCGCAGTGGCTCACGCCTGTAATCCCAGCACTTTGGGAGGCCAAGGAAGGCAGATCACTTGAGGTCAGGAGTTCGAGACCAGCCTGGCCAACATGGTAAAACCCCACCTCTACTAAAAGTACAAAAATTAGCTGGGCGTGTTGGTGGATGCCTGTAATCCCAGCTACTCGGGAGGCTGAGGCAGGAGAATCACTTGAATCCAGGAGGTGGAGTTTGCAGTAAGCTGAGATTGTGTCACTGCACTCCAGCCTGGGCGACAAGAGCGAAACTCCATCTCAAAAAAAAAAAAAAAAAAAAAAAAGTAAATTAAAAAAGCCACAATGAAAGCATTATACAGCAGAATCAGTGGGCTGCAATGAAAGCATTATTTAGAAGAAAGTTCATGGCCTTAAATACTGAAAACTGTTAGGCTGAAAAACTAGAAAACAAACAAAAAAAAATAAAGGAAACAATAAATATAAAAACAGAAACTAATAACTTAGAAAAGAGACTAACACTGGCTGGGCGTGGTGGCTCACGCCTGTAATGCCAACACTTTGAAGGCTGAGGCGGGTGGATCACCTGAGGCCAGAAGTTCGAGACCAGCCTGGCCAACATGGTGAAACCCCGTCTCTACTAAAAATTCAAAAATTAGCCAGGTTTGGTGGCACACACGCCTGTGATCCCAGCTACTCAGGAGACTGAGACACAAGAATCACTTGAACCCGGGAGGCGGAAGTTGCAGTGAGCCGAGAACGCGCCACTGCGCTCCAGCCTGGGTGACAGAATGAGACTCTGTCTCAAAAAAAAAAAAAACAGGCTGGGTGTGGTGGCTCATGCCTGTAATCCCAGCCCTTTGGGAGGCCAAGGTGGGCAGATCGCGAGGTCAGGAGATCAAGACCATCCTGGCCAACATGGTAAAACCCTGTCTCTACTAAAAATACAAATAAATTAGCTGGGCATGGTGGTGTGCACCTGTAGTCCCAGCTACTTGGGAGGCTGAGGCAGGAGAATCGCTTGAACCTGGGAGGCAGAGGTTGTGGTGAGCCGAGATTGCGCCACTGCACTCCAGCCTGGCAACAGAGCGAGACTCCGTCTCTAAACAAAACAAAACGAACAGAAAAACCCAGACTAACACTAACCCAAGTAGTCCCAGCTACTTTGGAGGCAGAACAGGGAGGATCACTCAAGCCTGGGAGGTCAAGGCTGCAGTGAGCCAAGCCAGGATTGTGCCACTGCACTCCAGCTTGAGTGACACAGTGAGATTCTGTCTCAAAAACAAAAAAAGTGAGGGGTGGAGGGCGGGGCAGGGAGTGGGCATGGTGGCTCACGCCTGTAATCCCAGCACTTTGGGAGGCTGAAGCGAGTGGATCATTTGAGATTAGGAGTTTGAGACCAGCCTAACCAATATGGGAAAACCCTGTCTCTACTAAAAATACAAAAATTAGCTGGGCATAGTGGCACACGCCTGTAATCTCAGCCACTCGGGAGGCTAAGGCATGAGAATTGCTTGAACCAGGGAGGTGAAGATTACAGTGAGCCGAGATCATGCCACTGCACTCCAGACTGGGCGACAGAGCGAGACTGTCTCAAAAAAGAGAGAGAGAGAAAAAGAAAAAGTGTAATTAACACAGGGAATTTAATATTATCTATTTCCCCTTATTATTATTTCGATTTATTATTATATCCTATTTATTTGTTGTCTGCTAGAACTGATGAGGCCTAAAAAACGTGAATTAAAGCCCTTTTGCTCCTAAGCTGCTCTTTGAAACTCTCCTCATACTTCTTGTAAATTCTGCTTTATGAGTCTTAATGCTACATTATTTGGTACACAGATATTCTTAACTGTTAAAACTTCCTTGTAGGCTAGGTGTGGTGGCTCACGTCTGTAACCACAGCACTTTGGGAGGCTGAGGCGGGCGGATCACAAGGTCAGGAGTTCAAGACCAGCCTGACCAACATGGTGAAACCCAGTCTCTACTAAAAATACAAAAAAATAAGCCAGGCATGGTGGCGTGCGCCTGTAATCCCAGCTACTCAGGAGGCTGAGGCAGGAGATTCTCACTTGAACCTGCGAGGTGGAGGTTGCAGTGAGCCGAGATCGTGCCATTGTACTCCAGCCTGGGGGACAGAGCGAGACTCCGTCTCAAAAAAATAAAAATAAATAAAACAAACAAACTTCATTGTAAATTAGATTCTTCAGCATTATAAAGGACCCTCTGTGGGCCGGGTGTGATGGCTCACACCTGTAATCCTAGCACTCTGGGAGGCCGAGGCGGGCAGATCATCTGAGGTCAGGAGTTCGAGACAAGCCTGGCCAACATGGTGAAACCCTGTCTCTACTAAAAATACAAAAATTAGCCGGATGTGGTGGCGCATGCTTGTAATCCCAGCTACTCAGGAGGCTGAGGCAGGAGAATCGCTTGAACCCAGGAGGCGGAGGCGGCAGTGAGCTGAGACTGCGCCACTGCACTCCAACCTGGGCAATAGGAGTGAAATTCCGTCTCATGAAAAGAAAGAAAAAGGACCCTCTGTGTTTTGCTTTTAAGCTGAATTCCACCTTTTCTGATAAGATTTCAATTTGTTTACCTTTGCTTGATAAATCTTTTGAAAAAATATTTGTGTAATTTGAGTCCTCAGATGACATTATCTTTTTTCACTGGTATTTTAAAACTGGTTACCATGGGATTACAATCAACATTCTAAATTCATATCAATCTAGTTTGCATTGATACCAACTTAACTTCAATAACATACAAAATGTGAAACGATGGAAAAAGATATTTCATGAAAACAGTAAGTAAAAGAAAGCTACGGGCCTATATCAATATCAGAGAAAATGGATGTTAAATCCAAAACAAGACAAAGGACATACTATATTAATAAAAGATTCATCAAGAAGATCAAAGAACTTGGAGAAATGAGCAGTTACTAATTAAAGGGCATAAAGTTTCAGTTAAGCAAAATGAAGAAGTTCTAGAGCTCTGTTGTGTGACACCGTGCCTACAATGAACAACAATGTACATTTTAACTTCTCCCTACCAGGGCAGAACTCATGTTAAGTGTTCATACCACAATAAAGAGAAAAAGAAACAGCAATTATAAACCTTCGCACATCAAAGAATAGTGCCCCATGTGACAGAATAAAGGAGATACTGACAGAATTAAAGGGAGAGACAGAGAGGATGACAAGAATAGCTGGAGATTTCTTTTCTTTTTTTGAGACGGAGTCTCGCTCTGTTGCCCAGGCTGGAGTGCAGTGGCGCAGTCTCAGCTCATGGCAAACTCTGCCTCCGGTTTTCAAGTAATTCTCTGCCTTAGCCTCCCGAGTAGCTGGGATTACAAGCATCCACCACCATGCGCAGCTAATTTTTGTATTTTTAGTAGAGACGGGTTTCACCATCTTGGCCAAGCTGGTCTTGAACTCCTGACCTTGTGATCCACCTGCCTTGGCCTCCCAAAGCACTGGGATTACAGGCGTGAGCCACTGTGCCCGGCCATAGCTGGAGATTTCAATAACCCCACTTTCAATAATGGATGAAACATCCAGACAGAATCTTGGCAAGGACACAGAGGACTGGAACACTAAACAAACTAGACCTAACAGATATATAGAATACTCCACCCAACAACAGTGATTGTACATTCTTCTCGAGGGCACATGGGACATTCTCCAGGATAGACCATATGTTAGGTCAAAATTCAAACTTCAAAAAATTCATAAAGTCTGAATCCAAACTAAAGATCTTTTCCAAGTACAATGGAAAGGACCTAAAAAATCAATGAGGGAAAATGGAAAAATTCACAATGACAGGTGAGACTTCTTCCCTGAGTCAGGTAACGGTTTTGAACATATGCAGAACACTTCCTTAAACTTTTGGCGTCTTCATAATGTAACAGCTATAGTAAAGCATTTTTTTTTTTTTTTTTAGGCAGAGTTTCACTCTTATTGCCCAAACTGGAGTGCAATGGCACCATCTTGGCTCACTGCAGCCTCTGCCTCCTAGGTTCAAGAGATTCTCCTGCCACAGCCTCCGGAGTAGCTGGGGATTACAGGCGGCCCCCACCATGTCCAGCTAATTTTTTGTATTTTTAGTAGAGACAGGGTTTCATCACGTTGGCCAGGCTGGTCTTGAACTCCTGGCCTTAGGTGATCTGTCCGCATCGGCCTCCCAAAGTGTTGAGATTACAGACGTGAGCCACCATGCCCGGAGTTGGTTTTTTTTTTTTTTTTTTTTTTTTAAAGACAGGGTCTTGGGAGGAGGAGGTTGCAGTGAGCAGAGATCGCACCACCGCACTCCAGCCTGGGTGACAAGAGCAAAACTCCGTCTCAAAAACAAAAAAAAGACAGGGTCTCACTCTGTTGCCCAGGCTGGAGTGCAGTGGTACGATCTTGGCTCACTGCAGAGATCTGCCTCCCAGGCTCAAGCAAATCTCCCACCTCCCGAGTAGCTGGGACAACAGGTGCACCACTACGCCTGGCTAATTTTTGTATTTTTAGTACAGACAGGGTTTCACCATGTTGGCCAGGCTAGTCTCAAACTCCTGACCTCAAGTAATCCACCCACCTCAGCCTCCCAAAGCGCTGGGATTAGTGAGGGCACTGTGCCCAGCCTGACAAGCACTTTCAAGTTCTGTATGACTAACGTTTTCTCCATTACTTTCTTACGTCTAGACCAGGCGTTGACAAACTATATCCCAGCCCAACATCAGTTTTGCAGATGAAATCTTTCAGTACAGCTACACCAGACATGAGGACTCATGACAGAGACTACGCGACTCACAAAACCTAAAATAACTTACTATTTATCTTTCCCCTTATTGAAAACGCTTACCAATCTCTGCTTAGATGATCAACAAAACAGTAAACAAAGTGCTATTGATAATTTCTGTGGAACAAGTGCTCCAACTGGGGCCAATTTCAAGCTGCCAATGCTAAATGACTCAGTGTGGAGTGGGGTGGAGGTTGGCGGGGGGAGAGGGAGACATGAAACAGCACACCATTCTACATAATTATTCCATGGGAAGAAGGATAAAATGTAGTTGAATAATTAGCAAGTACTGGGTATTTTAATTTAATTACGAGTTTTTACCCAGGATTATAGTTTTTTCAATGGCTGTGTCTAACACTCACCTCATAAAATTCCTGATAATGTATCAATCTACTCTTGTGAGTTAGCACAAGTCAAGTTCAGCATCCCTTTACTTAATGTTTCATTCTGACCTTCCTGAATCACTTTGTGTTTGGCCTGCCTCTGAATACAAGGCAGAGCAGAAGTGGGTTCTGCTTTGCAATGCAATCTGGAAACAGGTGAGTTAAGACCTGTATTAGATTGCTAGAGCTACCACAACAAATCATCACAAACTGTGTGGCTTAAACAGAAGTAGCTTGTCTCACAGTTCTGGAGGCCAGAAGTCTGAGATCAAAGAGTTGGCAGGGCTGGTTCTTTCTGCGGGCTTGAAGGACAGACTATTCCATGCCTCCTCTCCCAGCTTCTGGTGGCTTTGCTGGAAATCTTTGTTATTCCTCGGCGCCTTCCCGATCTCTGCCTTCATGTTCACATAATGTATTTGTCTGTGTCCTAATTTCCCCTTTTTCTAAGAATACTAGTCATGGGTCAGGTATGGTGGCTCATGCCTGTAATCCCAGCATTTTGGGAGGCCAAGGCAAGAGGATCACTTGAAGCCAGGAGGTTGAGACCAGCCTGTGCCATATAGCAAGACCTTGTCTCTACTAAAAAAATTTATTTAGGCCAGACGCAGTGGCTCACGCCTGTAATACCAGCACTCTGGGAGGCCGAGGTGGGCGGATCACGAGGTCAAGAGATCGAGACCATCCTGGCCAACATGGTGAAACCCTGTCTCTACTAAAAATACAAAAATTAGCTGGGCATGGTAGCTCGCACCTGTAGTTGCAGCTACTTGGGAGGCTGAGGCAGGAGAATCTCTTGAACCTGGGAGGCAGAGGTTGCAGTAAGCCGAGATTACCTCACTGCACTCCAGCCTGGGTGGGAGACTCCGTCTCAAAAAAAAAAAAAAAAAAATTTTAAATTAGCTGGGCATGGGCCAGGTACAGTGGCTCATGCCTGTAATCCCAGCACTTTGGGAGGCCGAGGCGGAGGGATCATGAGATCAGGAGATCAAGACCATCCTGGCCAACATGGTGAAACCCTGTCTCTACTAAAAATACAAAAATTAGCTGGGCATGGTGATGCGTGCCTGTAATCCCAGCTGCTCAGGAGGCTGAGGCAGGAGAATAACTTGAACCAGGGTGTTGGAGGTTGCAGTGAGCCGAGATCGTACCACTGCACTCCAGCCTGGCGACAGAGAGCAAGACTCTGTCTTAAAAAAAAAAAAAAAAAAAAAAAAATTAGCCGGGCATGGTGATGCATGCCTGGAGTCCCAGGTACTCGGAAGGCTAATGTGGAAGGACCACTTGAGCCTAGATCACACCGCTCACTGTACTCCAGCTTGGGTAACAGAGCAAGACACTGTCTCCAAACAAAACAAAACAAAACAAAAAAAAGACCAGTCATATTCAATTGAGGATTCACCCTACTCCAGTAGGGCTTCATCTTGACTAACCACATCTGCAATGACCCTATTTCCAAATAAGGCTGCATTCCGAGGTACTGGGAGTTGACTTTTGGGGGACACAACTCAACCCACAACAAAGTCACTGACATGACATGATATGACGCATGCTTGGTCTTACTTCTATCACGATATGCTCTGTATGGTTTTTCTTTTATCTTTCTCTCTTTTTTTTTTTTAGACAGGTTCTTATTCTGTCACTCAGGCTGCAGTGGAATGACATGAACACAACTCACTATAAACTCAACCTGCCAGGCTCAAGCAATCCTCCCACCTCAGCCTCCTGTGTAGCTGGGACTACAGGCCCATACCACCACACCTGGCCAATTTTTTTATTTTGTTTTTAGAGCTGGGGTTTCGCCATATTGCCCAGGCTGATATCGAACCCCCGGGCTCCCCCCATCTGTTGACCTCGGCCTCCTAAGGTGCTAGAATTATAGGCATGAACCACAACACACGACTATCTTTCTTTGTATTTTATCCACTTTTTCATTTCTTTTTTTTTTTTTTTTTGAGACGGAGTCTCGCTCTGTCACCCAGGCTGGAGTGCAGTGGTGCAATCTCGGCTCACTGCAAGCTCCACCTCCAGGGTTCACACCATTCTCCTGCCTCAGCCTCCCGAGTAGCTGGGACTACCGGCACCCGCCACCACGCCTGGCTAATTTTTTGTATGTTTTTAGTAGAGACGGGGTTTCACCGTGTTAGCCAGGATGGTCTCGATCTCCTGACCTCGTGATCTACCCGCCTTGGCCTCCCAAAGTGCTGGGATTACAGGCATGAGCCACCGTGCCCCGCCACCCACTTTCTCATTTCTATCTTCCACGGCCAATACTCTCTTGTGCAGTTTTAATTTTGCCTTCCTTCTGTGGTATCTTCATTAGTTCTCTACTGAGTCCTGTCAAGTCCTGTGTCATCACTTCATGTTTTGCCATTTACTCCAGGAGTCTTTTGTATTTGAACTTTGTGTTTTTCTTCATAGAGGTGGTTATTTTGTTATGTTATTTAAATTCATGGTGGCATGTTTCATTATAAATTTCATCTGTCCCCTGTCAACATCTTTTGGTCAGTGTCTTAAGGAACAGATTAATATACTTTGTTGTTCTTTTCCTATGTTTTAATTTTAATTATCTTCATATTAATCCTTTTTTGTTACTCATCAGTGAATGGAGTTGGCTATTTCTAAAACAGCCATTTATATGAGATTACTTTTACTTGGGTGTGGGAGTGTGGGGGGTTTATTCTTCCAGCTAGTTATTTCTTCACAATCCAAATGCTCTCTTCTTTCAGGTGCCACAGATTGACTACTGCAAATAAAGCCAGTCTGAGTGCCTGTGTGGGCCCTACCTCCACAACTTCTCTGAAGCACAGCAAATCCAAGAAAGAGTCTAAAAAAGAGACCCTGCTCACCCTATTTCTGCACCTGCTGTTGCTCACAGGGAGACTTTGGTACCTCATGGCAGGTTCTTCACCTTCAGGACCAACACTTGAAAACTAAGTCCATATGAGACTTTGTTTTGAAAAAGACAAAAACAGAAACAGACCAGGTGCAGTGGCTCATGCCTGTAATCCCAATATTTTGGGAGGCCAAAGTGGGAAGATCAGTTGAGGCCAGGAGTTCAAGACCAGCCTGGGCTACACAGTGAGACTGCCATCTCTACAAAAACAATATGAAAATCAGCTTAGCAGGCTGGGCGTGGTGGCTCACCCCTGTAATCCCAGCACTTTGGGAGGCAAAGGTGGGCAGATCATTTGAGGTCAGGAGTTCGAGACCAGCCTGGCCAACATGGTGAAACTCCGTCTCTACTAAAAACACAAAAATTAGCCAGGTGTGATGGTGGGTGCCTTTAATCCCAGTTACTTGGGAGGCTGAGGCAGGAGAATCACCTGAGCCTGGGAGGCAGAGGCTGTTGTGAGCCAATATGGTGCCAGTGCACTCCAGCCTGGGCAACAGAGTGAGATTCTGTCTAAAAAAAAAGTAAATTAAAAAAATAAAAATAGCTGGGCATAATGATGACTACCTGCAGTCCCAGCTACTCAGGAGGCTAAGGTGGGAGGATCCTTGCACCCAGGAGTTCAAGGCTGCAGTGAGCTATGATCACGCCACTGCACTCCAGCCGGGGTGACTGGGCAAGACCCTGTCTCTAAAAATAAAACAAAAATAAGCAAACAAAAACCCGAAGTGTTCATTAGCTGAAGACTAACTGTGGCACCAACACACCTCAGAACATCACACAGTATAGGGAAACAGTCACTTTTTCTGGTTTTTCATTTTCCTGACCTCTAAAGATGCTATGTCCTCAAGCCTGGTCCTTGCACCACTTCTGTTCTATTTATACTACCTTCCACTCTCATGGCTCTAAAGAACATCTACCTGCTTACAATTCCCAAATCTCTATCACCAGCACGGACTTCTACTTCAATTCTAGAGCTGTATTACTTCAGAATTTTTTTGTTGTTGTGAGATGAACTTTCGCTCTTGTTGCCCAGGCTGGAGTGCAATGGCGTGATCTCTGCTCACTGCAACCTCTGCCTCCTGGGTTCAAGAGATTCTCCTGCTTCAGCCTCCCAAGTAGCTGGGATTACAGGCATGCGCCACCACGCTCGGCTAATTTTGTATTTTTAGTAGAGAGGGGGTTTCTCCATGTTGGTCAGGCCGATCTCAAACTCCTGACCTCGGGTGATCCGCCCGCCTGACTCCCAAAGTCCGAGGGAGTGCTGGGATTCCAGGCGTGAGCCCCTGTGCCCGGCTTCCTTCAGAATTTTCTATCTGTCTATTTGACATCTCCACTTGGGTATCCAATCATCTAGATATTGCAAAAGTAAAACGACTGAAACTAACCTGATTTTTTTCCTGCTATTCTCATAGCTTTCCTCATTTTAGAATGCTCAGGTAAAATTTGGGAGCTATCCTTGACTCCTCTCTTTCTCTCCATTCCATCAGAAAATTTTGTCAGCTGTACCTTCAAATCATATCAAGAATCCAAACACTTTTAAGACATATGGGCAGGGTGCGGTGCTCATGTCTGTAATCCCAGCACTTTGTGAGGCTGAGGTGGGAATACTGCTTGAGCCCAGGAGTTCCAGACCAGCCTGGGCAACATGGTGAAACCCCGTTTCGACAAAAAAATACAAAAATGAGCTGGGTATGGTGGCTCTTAAGTAGTCCTAACTACTCAGGAGGTTAAGGTTGCAGTGAGCTGAGATTGCACCACTACACTCCAGCCTGGGTGACAGAGTGAGACCCTATTTCATTAAAACAAACAAACAAACAGACAAACAAAAAACACTACCTCCATGCAGGTTCAAGCCATGAAGATAGTTAACGATTTTATCAGCTCTCACCTGGTCTTCCTGCTTCCACCCTTGCTCTGCTGCAGTTTATTCTCAGCACAGTAGCCAGAGTGATTCTTTTAAAATAAGTCAGATCATGTCACTCCTATGCCTTAACCCTCCAATGGCTCTCCGTCTTAGAATAAAATCCAAAGGCTTCTGAATAGCCCACAAGGCCCTAAATAATCTAGCTCTCAATGTCATCTCTAAGCCATCTTGTACAACTCTCACCTCTGGTTCCAGGCTAGTCTTCCTTGCTGGTCCTGTGATATTATTCCTAATATACAGGGAGTCCTCACTGAGCACGAAGCTCACACATGTAAATATCAGATATAGTCATGCAGCACATAAGGATTTTCAATGAACAAAGGACCATACACATGACAGTGGTCCCATAAGATTATAATTTCTGGCCGGGCGCGGTGGTGCACGCCTGTAATCCCAGCACTTGGGGAGGCCGAGGTGGGTGGATCACCTGAGGTCGGGAGTTCAAGATCAGCCTGACCAACATGGAGAAACCCTGTCTCTACTAAAAATACAAAATCAGCCAGGCATGGTGGTGCATGCCTGTAATCCCAGCTACTCGGGAGGCTGAGGCAGGAGAATCGGTTGAACATGGGAGGCAGAGGTTGTGGGGAGCCGAGATTGAGCTACTGCACTCTAGCCTGGGCAGCAAGAGTGAAACTCTGTCTCAAAAATAAATAAAGATTATAATTTCTATGTTTAGATACACAAATATGTACCACTGTGTTACCACTGCCTATAGTATTCAGTACAGTAAAGTCCTGTACAGATTTTTAGCCTAGGAGCAATAGGTTGTACCACATAGTCTAGGTATGCAGTAGGCCATCCCATATAGGTTTGTACAAGGACACTCATGATGTTCATACAACAATGAAATTGCCTAGGGATGTATCTCTCAGAACGTATCCCCATTGTTATGTGGCTAGCTCTATGGTCCCCAAATCACCATGTAACTAACAGATGCCCATCATGATCAGTAACCAGTCACATCACTTCTTAAGTCTGGTAATGATCAATCACTGACCATAAACAGTTCTGCATAAACAGTTCATAAAGAAAACAAAGCATGTAGTTGTGTTGCTCTGGCATCCTAGTGATAAACCAATGTGAAATTTTAAGAAAATGGAAGACTGAATGTGAGAATGGGTCAACCAAGATGAAAATGCAACAAAAGACCAAAAAGGGATAAGGCCAGAAGTGAAATTGTATGTGATTTGAAGATTTCAAAATGGCCCAGCAAAAAGAAAAAAGGATAAGACCTAGACTTGTAAAAAGCTGTATGGACCATATTGAAAAAGTCTAGTGAATATAAAAAGGAAGGTAAAGTAGCTTTAATATAATCTTTCAGTTTAAACTGCATCAGGAAAGCCACCTATGGCAGAAATAGTTTATTTCTATTTTGGATTGACAATAGTAATAACCAAAAAAAATTACAATTATTCAAGGCTGAAGCGTTGAAGTTAGCTGTCACACTGAAAGAAAATGGTAATTAGGAAAATGAATTACTGCTAGTGAAGGCTGGTTTTAGCATTTCAGAAGTCAGTATGACTATGAGTGGTGTTGAGTGAATCAGCTAACTGCCATCACACAGAAAGATGGTACTATAAAGTGTGTACCCAGAGTCCGAGGAGAAGTGAAGGCAAAGTGGTTTTGAGGAAAAAGATGAAGGGGTCTCAGAAGTTACGCCGGCAAAAACCTTCACATTTAATGAAGTCTTGGAGATGTTCCACGACACTGTCACCCAGGCTGGAGTGCAGTGGTGCGATCTTGGCTCACTGCAAGCTCCGCCTCCTGGGTTCACGCCATTCTCCTGCCTCAGCCTCCTGAGTAGCTGGGACTACAGGCACCCGCCACCATGCCCGGCTAATTTTTTGTGTGTTTTTAGTAGAGACAGGGTTTCACCATGTTAGCCAGGATGGTCTCTATCTCCTGACCTTGTGATCTGCCCGCCTCGGCCTCCCAAAGTTCTGGGATTACAGGTGTGAGCCACTGCGCCCGGCTGGTCATTTTTATGTTACTGCACTAATGTGCAAACTGACAACTGCAAGTATCCTTATATCAAAGCCTTGGTTCCTCTTTCCTCTGCCTGACACATTCCAGCATCAAGGAGCACATGGCTTATTCCTTCATACTCTTCTCAGAGAAGCCTTTTTCTGTAAATCATCACCTCTTCCTCCCATTACTTTTTATTCCCTTTACTCTGTCTCCCTTTCTTCTTATATTTATTATTTCTTCACATCCACTAGAAAGTAAACTGAAAGGGAATGGACACATTACATCTATTTTTGTGACTGCTCTATAGCCCCACATCCTAAAATAATACCAGGCACAAACAAGGCATTCACAATTTTTTTTTCTCAAATGCGGTTTTATGAAGAAGTAAATCTAAATATACTAACATGGCAAACTATTACTGATATAAGTAAAAGTGCGAGACATAAAACAATATAATCAGTAAGATCTCTTTTAAGAATCTATCAACTGGGGCCGGGCACGGTGGCTCACGCCTGTAATCCCAACACTTTGGGAGGCCAAGGCGGGCGGTTCACGAGGTCAAGTGATAGAGACCATCCTGGCCAACATGGTGAAACTCCGTCTCTACTAAAAATACAAAAATTAGCTGGGTGTGGTAGCACGCTCCTGTAGTCCCAGATACTCAGGAGGCTGAGGCAGGAGAATTACTTGAACCTGGGAGGCGGAGGTTGCAGTGAGGGCCACTGCACTCCAGCCTGGTGACAGAGCAAGACTCTGTCTCAAAACAAACGAACAAACAAAAAGAATCTATCAATCTATCTACATGTGTATGCAGAAAAAGACGTGGAAAGATACTTATCAGAACTATTATCTTGATCATAGAGGAAGTCTACAGGAAAAAACAAACAAACAAAACCCCAAAACTGTTACCAGTCAACATTATTCTAGGAAGTGGGATTGGCAATGTGGGTAGAGAATGAGACAATAATTTTCACTTTATACTTTAAGTATTTTTATATAATCTAATTACTTTTTCCAGTATAATATTACTTGTGGAATTAAGAAGAGAAAGAACAAATACTGTCATAAGGCCCGGCATGGTGGTTCATGCATATAATCCCAGCACTTTGGGAGGCTGAGGCACGTGGATCAATTGAGGTCAGGAGTTTGAGACCAGCCTGGCCGACATGGCGAAATCCTGACTCTACTTAAAATACAAAAAAAAAAAAAAAAAAGCCAGGTGTGGTGGCACATGCCTGTAATCCCAGCTACTCCGGTGGCCGAGGCAGGAGAATTGCTTGAACATGGGAGGCCGAAGTTGCAGTGAGCCGAGATAGTGCCACTGCACTCCAGCCTGGGCAACAGAGCAAAACTCTGTCTCAAAAACAGAAAAAACAAAAATAAATACTGTCACGATGTCATTTTTGAATGCCATAGCAACTGGGTGTTTGCTATAAGGCACATACAAAGTGTTTTAAAAGTATCATTTTGTTTAAATACACAAAAATTCTATGAGGTAGATGTTATAGGAATGCGCAATGCCCACTTTATAAATGAGGCAAATGGGAATCAGAGAGGTTGAAAAATGCGTTCAGGTCATGCAGCTAGAAAGTGCATATAAGTTGGGAGTGGTGGCACACGTCTATAGTCCCAGCTACTCAAGAGGCTGAGGCTGATCACTTGAGCCCAGGAGTTCAAGGCTGTCGTGTGTTACAATTTTCTATGATGGCGGCTGAGAATAGCCACTGCACTCCAGCCTGGGCTATATAACCTAACAAGACTATGTCATGCAGGAATATTAGACTCTCCCCAACTGCAACGATGTGTGGGTAAAAGCAAGAGTGCGAAGAACACTTAGGTGCTCACCCTGCAGGCCTAGGTGACCCAGACGTACTCCGCATAGAGCTTTCCACTCGAGGACTAGCAACATCAGGAGGCTGAGGAGGAATGAGGGTTTTCCGAACTGCCATTCTGAAAGAGACAAGAGACAAACCCGGAGAACAGCAGTCCAAGGGCATTCAAGGCTAAGAAATACAGGATGCACATTTGCCAGGCATACCTAGGACAAAATAAAGCCCTACATTGACTAAGTATTTTTAAAATGGATTTTCATTTTCTCGGATACCACAGACACATTACCAAAAAACTCAAATAGTACACAAAATCTTAAAAAAAAAAAGAGCAGGTCCCTTCCCCATTCCTGCTCACTTCCTGCCAGGCTCCCTCCAGGAAGCAACCATTGTGACTCTTTTAGCCGCTGCTTCTAGCATGCCACATCTCCTTTCTACTTAATGTTATTAACACTGACATCCATATTAAGTGTTTACAATTATTATTATGCCTATGGTGTTTATAAAGACCCCGAAGCCAAGTGAAAAAACCTGATCCAGGAAGAGTTGGAGATCAATTGTGCTGTGCAGCAGAGAGGCCACGTAAGGCTCTGACAGAGAATTATCCATCAGGTTAGCACTTTGAAAACATGAGCAATCTTGACATGTTTAGTTTTGACAGAGTGGTGGGAACAAATACCAGTTGAGAGTGGATCTGAGAGAAAATAACTAGACAGGAATATACCAGTTTACAACACATAATCACTAATGGATCCAGGTACTGATCTTCAGAGCCACTAACATCTCAAAAAGGGTGAGCACCAGACATCATGTGTCTTCTGGTAAGAGACTAATCACCAAACTATGAAGTAGTCTTGCCATAAGAAGAAATTAAAAAAAAGAAAAATCAGATCAAACCTTCAGAGTCAAGTAACAACTTACAGAAAATGTGGAAGATAGAACAAGTGAAATTACTCTACGGGTGCAGTCAGTTGAACTGAGTTCTTTAAGAAGATACATGTAAGTCCCAATCTTTAGTAACTGTGAATGTGACCTTACTTGAAAAAAGGGCCTTTGCAAATGTAATTAAGGATCTCAAGATAAGAGATTCTTAATTACATTTAGATGTAGAGTTTTGGATGTAGAGTTTAGTTTAAAATCCAGTGACAAGTATCCTAGTAACAGAAAGGGAAGGGAGATTTGAGACACAGGTACGAGGGCAAGGCCATGTGACGACGGAGGCAGAGATTGGGGTGCTGTGCCTGCAAGCCAAAGAACACAAAGATCAACAGCAGCCACTGGCAGCCAGCACAAGTGGATTCTCCCTGAGAACCTCCGGGGGAACTGACCCTGATGACACCTTCATTTCAGATTTCTAGCTACTGGAACTATAAGATAATACATGTCTGTTGCCTTAAGCCAGAAGATTTATGGTAGTTTGTTACAGCAGCCCTAGGAAATGAATACATTGGGGATGCCATCAACAAAATCCAGAGGGGGTATGGCCCAGAAGACCAAGTTTCTTCAACAAATAAACTGCAGGAAAAAAAAAAGATAGAGGAAACCTCGATAATAAAATGGCTTTTAAAGTCATATTAACTAATCACAATGTATGCATCTTATCAGAATACTCATTCAAATAGATAATATAAAATATAACAAATTGTGTGACATTTCAGACCATTGGAAACCTGAACAATGACTGGCTATTTGATATTAAGGGGTTATTGGTTTTTTAATGTTATGTATCTCTCCATAGGAACATGCTGAAATACATACAAATGAAATGACATGGTATCTAGGATTTGCTTCAAAATAATATGATACGAGCAGGTAGGTAAGCATATAGGTGAAGCAAAATTAGCCAAGAGCTGATAAGCTGAGAACTAAAGTTGGGTGACAGGCATATATTCCTATGTTCAAAATTTTTTTCTTTTTTTTTTTTTTTGAGACAGAGTCTCGCTCTGTTGTCCAGGCTGGAGTGTGGTGGCACGATCTCAGCTCACTGCAATCTCCGCCTCCTGGGTTCAAGTGATTCTCCCGCCTCAGCCTCCCGAGTAGCTGGGATTATAGGTGCCTGCCACCATGCCCTAGCTAATTTTTGTATTTTTACTAGAGACGGGGTTTCACCATGTTGGCCAGGCTGGTCTCGATCTCCTGACCTCAGATGATCTGCCCGCCTTGGCCTCCCAAAGTGCTGGGATTACAGGCTTGACCCACCGTGCCTGGCCACAGGATTTTCTTATGTTTAAACTTTTCCATAACAAAAATAAGGATAAAAGTTAAAAAAGCAAGACCAACTGCATTGCTGCCAACCCTCCCACCCCCAACACTGGCCAAAAACTAACCAAACCAAAAACAAATTTAAAAAAAAGAACCTAATGCGAAACATCACTATAAACCGACAGAATGACCAAACTCACAAAGACTGCCCAGAACAAGTGTTGGTGAGGATGAAACAATGATTACTCCTGGTGAGAGTGTAAATGGGTAAAACCACGCAGAAAACCATGCTCCATGAAAGTTTAAAACAAGCACACCCTATGACATAGCAAATCCCTCAGTATTTAACAGAAACGTACTCATGCATGAATCAAAAGTCATGCACAAAAATGTTCAGGGTATCATTACAGGAAAACATGGAAGCAACCCAAATAACCATGGATAAAACACGGTACTGTTATACATGGTATTTTATACAATTAAAAAATTACAATCAAGGCCAGGTGCTCACGCATGTAATCCTAGCACTTTGGGAGGCTGAACCAGGTGGAATGCTTCAGCCCGGGAGTTCGAGACCAGCCGGGGCAACATGGTGAAATCCCATCTCTACTAAAAATACAAAAACTGAGGTGGGAGGATCACCTGAGCCTGGGGAGGTAAATGCTGCAGTAAGCTGTGATCGCGCCACCACAGTCCAACCTGGGAGACAGAGTGAGACCCCCATCTCAACAACAACAACAACAAATTCATAGGCAATAATGCAGATGAATTACATAAAACCGAGTGATGAAAGTCAGACTCACACAAAAAAATGCACATCATATGATTCTATCTATCCATTGGTTAGTTACCTTTGGGAAAAGATGTTGGTAACTGTTAAGGTCACCACGACCAGACCATTTCCTTCCCCTCCCACAGGCCTTACAATACAGTCCCTTGCACTCTCCTCACAGCTACCCGAGGGCAAAAGACAAACCCCCACCCCACCCTTCACTGACCCCTCCAGTAACTGTCCAGTTACAGGATGCGGTTAACATGTCTGTTCACCTCGCACAACAAAGCTGGCAAAAAACATCTCCAGGATGCGGGTAAAGACACCTGTACCCGACTCAGCACTCCCACCCTGACCCAGTCCTCCTGCACCCCCAATTCAGCTCCCCCACCCCAACCCAGTCCTCCTGTACCCTCGACTCAGCTCCCTCACCCCGACCCAGTCCTCCTGCACCCCCGACTCAGCTCCCGCACTCCGACCTAGTCCTCCTGCACCCGACTCAGCTCCCTCACCCCAACCTAGTCCTCCTGCACCCCCGACTCAGCTCCCTCACCCCGACCCAGTCCTCTTGCACCCCTGACTCAGTTCCCCCACCCCGACTCAGTCCTCCTGCACCCCTGACTCAGCTCCCCCACCCCGACCCAGTCCTCCTGCACCCCCGACTCAGCTCCCTCACCCTGACCCAGTCCTCCTGCACCCCCGACTCAGCTCCCCCACCCCGACCCAGTCCTCCTGCACCCCCGACTCAGCTCCCCCACCCCGACCCAGTCCTCCTGCACCCCCGACAGCTCCCTCACCCCGACGCAGTCCTCCTGCACCCCGACTCAGCTCCCCTACCCCGACCCAGTCCTCCTGCACCCTCGACTCAGCTCTCCCACCCCGACCCAGTCCTCTTGCACCCGACTCAGCTCCCCGACCCCGACCCAGTTCTGGCCCTACAAAACCCTGCTATAGTCTGTAAGGGGGGCTGCCTCCTCTAACTGTGGTGGAGCAGCCAAGCAGCTCAATAAAGCTTGCTTGCCTGACTTTGGGTCTCCTCATCCTTTCTCTTGGCTGACCTTACAGTAACATTGTTTCTTGACCTATACAGTGGTTGGACACTGTTTATTTTGAGACTATACATGCGTCTGTGACATTTTCTATATACTTCCATGAAAATGATGAAAAAAAGACGGACAGAAGAACTGGACACAGCAAACACAGACAATTTCTTTTTACAAAGAAGAGCAAAAAAAAAAAATTTAGGGTGGTAGATAGTAGAGCAAAGTGAGCTCAACAGAAGGATATTTCATACAGAAGAAATGACGGCATGTTTATACTGTTTATGTGAATGATCTACTAACAAGAAAAAGCTGAGGCCGTAGGAGAGAGGGGGAGAAGAACTAGAGCATCATTCTTGAATAGACAAGAGAGGAGGAGACAGGGCATGTTGGAGAGGAGCCCATAGAGCTTGTCTAGAGGAACAGACAGAGGCAGGACATGGGGTACTGCCACCGTAAGTATTATAGATGTGATAGCTGCAGACTGTGGAAGTTGTCTTTTGATTTTCTTTTTCTCAAAAAAGGAGCAATTTGTCGACTAACAGTGAAGACGGAAGAAGCCTGGGAGTTTTGAGAGAAGGAAACGTAAAATAGTTATCTGGAGTGGTGCAAGAGAGTATACTTTGATGGGCTGCTTTAAGACCTTAGTGCGTCTGCGAGGCTAAGCAAGACCAGTTGGCAAAGTGGCTTTCCCTGCTGCAATTTGCTGTACATGTGCCAGCGTAAATGAAGCAGAAAGTTGGATTTAAGTCTGGTTTTGACAAAGCGAAGTGGGATGGGGGTTAAGGAAATGACTGCAAGTGACCACAGACTCTGAATCAGGAAGAGCAGAGAAAGAGGCCATGAGAGGCAGTGAAGAACATGAAAAGGTGGATCAATGGACTGGAGGCTGCTGGGGTCCCTCTGGAGCTGGAGTTCCATTGGGAGGGAGGTGGGAAGAAAGAAGATGGGCTAGGGGCATGGGAGCACAGAGACAAGGTCAGGAAGGCTCACTGAGCTTATGTGCTAAGTGCCCAAACTGGTGGGGAGGGTGGAGGCAGGAGAAGCATTCAAGCACCTGAGGGGCCAGGGAGCTGGAAAATCATTTCTGATCATTAAAGGTGAAGAGAGGGTTCCACTATCACTAAAAAGTGCCAGACATCATGTCCTTCCAAAAGGCATACAGATACACCTGCAAAATCTAACTTGACTCTGCGCCTCTAGATCTGCCCTGCCCAACAAGAAGGCCATATGGTACTACTGAGCAACTGAAATGTGGCAAGCGCAACTCAGGAACAAAATTTTTAATGTTATTTCATTTTAATTAATTTGAATTTTATAATGGATACTCGATCCAGTTACTGAGAAACTTTTTATTGTCTGGAATAACTTGGCTATGTGAAACTACTTTTTCAACTGTACATTTTATGAAATCTAAATACAGATCAAGTGCTTTTGAGGAGAAATGGTCTGAAAATGGCAGTGAGGCATGACAAGGACACCCTGCCTACCTCCAGGCTGAGTGACAGTAGGGATGTGGAAGAGAGGCAGGGACCACTTTAGACAGCTGCAGGGCAAGTTGAGTCCCAGGTTTAAAGCAAGAAGGCGTGGAGAAAGAAGAGACAAGGGCACTGGGGTGGAGGTTGGAGTGTCATGTGATGACAGGCTGTGAATTAGAGGGCACAGTACAAGGGTCTTTGGGAGGAAGTACGGGAGAAGCAGGCACATCTCTTTGTCTCCAGTGCTGCCAAATTTCAAAATACTGGCCTGAGTTTATTGCATCCATTGAATACTGTGCAGGGCATTTCTGTAACCAGGAAACTCATTTCTTTCAGTTTTGGTAATTTTCTATTACTTTGTTGTTTTTTTTTTTTTTTTTTTTTTTAAACATTTATCTATGTATTCAGAATCACACACAAGTTACCTTTACAGTTCAATTTACTATATAGAAATCATTGGGTTTTATATTTGCAGTTAACTTTTGAACTGAGATTACAATATTATAACAAACTCCTTACTTTGTAATCCCTGTTCCTTTTCTCTGATCTCTCTTGTTGAAACCCATTACCTGGAGGCTGGATTTCCTGACCTGGTTCTTTTTATTGTTGTTTTAAATTTTCTCCTATCGTTTTCTCCAATTTTCTTGTCTTTTTGTTCCACGTTTGAGATTTCTTCAATTTTATCTTCCAACTCTTCTACTGATCTTTCAATTTCTGCTATCTTATTTCAGGACCGGTTCTTTTCTCCTCTGAATGTTCTTTTTGCATAGCACTGTGTTACTGTTTTGTGGATGCAACCTTTTCTTTTGTCTTTCTGAAGGCATCACGGATACTGTTTGCTTATCCTTGCTCATTTGTTTTGTGTTTTATTCTCCCTGCCAGGCCTCTACATCTTCCAAGGTGCTTTGGGCATGTATTTATTGTGGTTTCTGTCTTCCACCGTTAGAGGTCCCCTCAGATATGTGCCTATCTTTGGTTGTATGTTCATGATTAAGAGTCGGGGAGAGGGACTGAAATGCTGGCTGGGAGCTCTGAGCTTTGGAAGGGCATGTCTACTATGAGGTCCACTGTAGGGTAATCTAACCCTGTCCTTAAGGAAGCCCTAGTGTCAGTATCTTTAGAGCTTCCCCTTGGGCTGGATAGACTCCCCAGAAGGAAAGTAGAGTCCTCTTCTCATTTTCTATCTAGAATCAAGTTCACCTGCCAGAGTTCTATCAGCTGAAAGCAGGGAGTGGACTGGGAAGTGTTCAGCACTCCACACACACACGGTGAGTCACAATCTCTTTCTGGTAAAATACTCATGACCTCTATAGTGCTGGGTGACCCTAGCGGACCATCTGCAGAGTTTGAACTTTCAGGCTCCTGCTAAAGTCGGGAAGGGGCAGTACACCACATGGCATAGGTAGAAAATGGGATTCTGGGCTCTAACTTTAACACTTTTCAAACTCAAAGGTTTTAACTTATCCTCCTTAAAGGACAGAGCCCCTTCCTTCGCCCCCAGGATTTGCCTGTTGTTGGTCCTTTTGAAGATTTTCCAATTTTAAAAGAGGATGGTTCTCAACTTTCCCCTACGCAAGCTTCACATTTAGCTTTCTCAGAGCCAGGACGCCATCGCGTGATGGTCTGCTTCCCAGCTTCAGTTGCTACTGTGTCCTCTCCTGTTCTCCCCATCCTTGTGTGTTTACAACTTTTTTGAAAAAAAGTTATATAGGGTTATGAGACAGAAAGATTTTAGATGTGTGTAATCAATCTGTCATCTTAACCACAAGCTTTGCCTTGTGTTTTTACTAATAAGGTAACTTTGTCATGGACTGACTTATCCTTTAAAAAAGTACAAAGTATTCATAAACAGCAAAGATAGGGACTCTGGTATATGCACAGCTCTGTGCAAATAAAAACCCTGCATGGACCCTAGTCCCAGCAATTTAAGTTTGCACTTGCTTTAATCTTTTGATGTTGATGCTATTAGCTCAGCTGAGCCACAGAAACTCTGCTCTCTGAAACATGTCTGCTCATCTCCCACCTCCAGAATGTTTAACTCAAACAGCACAGCACATACCTTCCTGCCTATGATCCACCAACTGAGAAGCTTACATGGCAACACAAAACACTATCTGCTACCAAATATGACCCTTACTACACTTCAGAATTTGTTTGCCCACAGTGACATAGAAGGGGAGTAGGGAAGTGCTGGGAAGGGGCGGGTCCCTGGTGAGGGCTCCACCCCCAGCCTGTGCCCACGGATCTAGGTGAGGACAGGCATTTTTGTTTTCCTGCCCAAATGTTGCATTTCCCCCAGACCACCCTGGCCTGCTACGCCCTGATCCTGTGCCTGTAAAAACCTCCGAGACCCTAGCAGACAGGCACACAAGTGGCTGGACGTCAAGAGGAACGCATTGGCAAAAGACACAAGCAGCTGGACGGCGAGAGGACAGCAAGGGGAGCATGCCGGTGGAAGAGCACATGACAGACGCTGGCATGCCAGCAGGCCCCCGACCAGCAGAACGACGCAGTTTGGCCAGGGCAGTCAAGAGAGCTGGGGCCGCTCCATCTCCCTTCTGGCTTCCCCCATCTGCTGAGAGCTACTTCTACTCAGTAAAACCCTACACTCATTCTCCAAGCCCACGTGTGATCCCATTCTTCCAGTACACCAAGGCAAGAACCCTGGGATACAGAAAGCTCTCTGTCCTTGCCATAAGGCAGGGGTCTAATTGAGCTGGTTAATGCAAGCCATCTATGGATGGCTAAACTAAAAGAGCACTCTGTAACACATGCCCACTGGGGTTTCAGCTGTAAACATTCACCTCTAGACACTGCTGTAGGGTTGGAGCGACACAGCCTGCCTGTCTGTATGCTCCCCTAGAGGTTTGAGTAGCAGGGCAATGAAGAAGCGAGCCACTCCCACTGTTGCACGCCCTGCGAGGGGGACAAGGGAACTTTTCCCGTTTCAACAGCAACGATTCATGCTGAATGAAGTTTATAGTATGAGTTAAGGTAACTACCTACACAAGCCCAAGAGTTACTTATAAACTACTTTAAAAGTTCTATGATTGAAGTTCCAGAACTAGAGAGAATTAAAGCAGTATGCAACAGATGCTTACAAACTAACACCTCACTGACTCCAGGATTTGTTAAGATCTTACAGTCTCAGCTGGGTAAGGCTCTACTGAATAATCCTGTGGTCAAGTTGTTTTGGAGGAAATTTTAACACACCACAGAAAATGAGAGATGAGTTTGATACCAGCATTAGATAAGAGTGCCTATTATGTATACCAGTTATATCCAGAACCAGAGGTGTCATTCGGCACTACCAGGTCTACTCACCCATCTGTGGCAGGTTTCTTCCGGAGTATGCTTGGCCGTGGCGATGAGCCCTGGGCGGGAGCGTTGGTGCTAGCACTCTGGCTGTGGGTCTGCACCACGGTTGTTGCTGCTGGAGCAGCACTGAATGGATTGCTAATAGGGTTGGCCACAATTGTGGCTCCATCTGCCAACACCACTGCTACAGGAGAGAGGCAACAGGAAAGAACATTGAAGAGAGGGAAACAAAATGCCATAGAAGACATAAATAAAAATGATGAGACCACTAGAATTAGGTATCCATGTTCTAACTGTCCAATTTCAAACTGATAAGGGACAGGAGCACAATGTTCATCCGACAAAGAGCAGATAGCTAAATGGGAGCAGTTACTAAGTCTACTGATGCATGATCCATACCATTATTTTTTCTTTTTCTTTGTTTGAAAGAGAGTCTTGCTCTCTTGCCCAGGCTGGAATACAGTGGTGCAATCTCAGCTCACTGCAACCTCCACCTCCCAGGTTCAAGTGATTCTCCTGCCTTAACCACAAGAGTAGCTGGGATTACAGGCGTGCACCACCACACCTGGATAATTTTTGTATTTTTTAGTAGAGACGGGGTTTCACCGTGTTGGCCAGGCTAGTCTCGAATTCCTGACCTTAAGTGATCCACCTGCCTTGGCCTCCCAAAGTGCTGGGATTACAGGCGTGAGCCACCACACTTGGCCCATACCATTATTTTTTCTTTGCTCTATAATCACAGTTACTAATAAATGAGATAAGGTGAACAAAGTACATAGTATCTAGTATAGTCTCTCACTCTACTAGTTACTTTACATTTTTTACTGATATAATTCTTACCATCATTGTAATTTCCATTTTAGAGATAAGAAAACTGACAGACAAGAAAGGCTTAATACAAGAGCCACAAATAGAAAACACTATCTACCAGCCTGATAGCATGCTCCAATGTACACTTCAAGAAATGTACTCATTCAGTTTTTGTAAAATACCAATCTCTCTCAACCCTCAATAATGGTACCCTCCCCAGTCTATCTTTAGAAACACATTCAACTAACAGATATTTTAACTATACACTTAAAGTTAGCATCAAAATACTGGTGAGCATGAGATCATAATCAGAAAATACCTGTGTTTGACAGTTTTTGACCTATAAAAATGGCAATTTCATAGGAGTCAACTTAATATCATGAGTTTTCTGGCAGGTGCCCTTAAATATGTAGTACACCATCCTACCGGGTGGGTCATCATGGGTAAATTGCATCTCTATCATAGACATTTAGTTTAGTAATAAAAAATCAGAGAGACTTTGATTAAATAGTTGAATTCAAGGTCTACAGAACAATTAAAATTCATAGCTCCAGCCAGGCACAGTGGCTGATGCCTGCAATCGCAGCACTTTGGGAGGACAAGGCTGAAGGATAGCTTGAACTCTGGAGTTCGAGACCAGCCTGGGCAACAAGCAATATCCTGTTTCTACAAAAAATCAAAAATAATTACCCAGGTGTGGTGGCATGCACTTGTAGTCCTTGCTACACGGGTGTCTGAGGCATAAGGACTGCTTGAGCCCAGAAGGTCAAGGCTACAGTGAGCCATGATTGTACCACTGTGTTCCAGCTGGGCAACAGAGTGAGTGAGACCTTGTCTTTTTAAAAAAAAAAAAAAAAAAAAAATCAGTGCCTTGGCTGAGAAACAGCCATTTTGTTTTTTTAAACTACATTAGAGAAATGGCTAATCAATAATAATCCAAGTACATGGAATCTTAAATTCAGCCAAAAAAAAAATAACCTAGCTGGTGTAATGACTCATGCTTGTAATCCCAGCACTTTGTGAGGCCAAAGTGAGTAGACTACTTGAGCCCAGGAGTTTGAGACCAGCCTGGGCAACATGGCAAAACTCTGTCTCTATTAAAAATACAAAAATTAGCCAGGCATGGTAGCTTGCACCTATAGTCCCAGTTACTCAGGCGGCTGAGGTGGGAGGATCACTTGAGCCCAGGAGGATGAGGCTGTGGTGAGCCAAGATCACACACCACTGCACTCTAGCCTGGGTGACAGAGTGAGAATCTGTCTCAAAAAGATCTAAATACAGTGACTTATTCCATTTTTCAAAATGTTATTCCACTAGTATTTCTTTTTAAGAATTCATAATATTAGCTAACATCAGCATAAGGTTTTACAGCTTTATGTACAACTCTGAAGAAAATCTTCAATGAGAATACTACTTATAAGGTGAATTTTTTCCCACAACTAGGAGCTTTTAAAAAAGATAACACTTCTCATTATGTTCAAATGAATACTAGGGCTGTTGATGTATACTGTATCTTTTTTTTTTTTTGGAGACAGAGTCTCACTCTGTGGCCCAGGCTGGAGTGCAGTGGCGTGATCTCGGCTCACTGCAAGCTCCACATCCCCAGTTCACGCCATTCTCTCGCCTCAGCCTCCCGAGTAGCTAGGACTACAGGCCCCCGCCACCACGCCTGGCTAATTTTTTTGTATTTTTAGTAGACAGGGTTTTACCACGTTAGCCTGGATAGTCTTGATCTCCTGACCTCGTGATCCACCCGCCTCAGCCTCCCAAAGTGCTGGGATTACAGTGAGGTATATTATTTCTAACGTTTACAGTGACCCTGAAACTCTAAGTTCTAAGCAACTCATATTATTAATACAAAGAAGAAAAGGCCTAGAGAAATTATAAGACGACAAAGCCAGTGGCAGAGAAAGGATTTAAACCCAAATGTATTTCTTTTCTCCAAACCACCTTCTATGCAAAAATTTAAAATTACCTGAAGTCTTTCCTTCAGGCTGAGGCTGCTGAGTACCCATAGGTGCAGGCTGAAGCCCTTGTGTGTTGATTGGGGTTGCTGAGTGAATTCCCTGTGTGCCAAGTGGTGCAGGCTGTATCCCTGGGGTCCCAATGGGGGCCGGCTGGATACCCTGGGTACTGATGGGTGCTGGCTGGATCCCTTGAATATGTCGAGCATGCGATGCATCCACTGTCATCAACTGCATGGGGTTTAGGTGGACGGTAGACGCTACCCCAACACCAGTCTGAGCTGTGATGGCAGAGTTTGGAGCCTGAGCTGAAACTAAAAATGATGCGAAAGGTAACTATAAGAAGGTTAGCTTCATTTCACACAGTCCACATAAAGAGAGAAACACTAAAAACGGATTTCCTCCACTGTATAAGATCTAAATCCATGGTTTGAAAAAAAATAAATAAATAAACATTGTTACTTGAAACTTACTATACTTGGGATTGTTATTTCCTTTCACTTCCTACCAATATGATGTTGTTTTTCTACAGACTACTAGAAATATGATTAAAACAAGAAAAAAGGCAATCAGCTATTAAATTGCAAATATTAGCCAGGAAACCATGCTAAATAATTAATATAAAACGTCAGAAATACACCCAGAGGTCCCAGGTCAAGAACCTCTGCTTTAATTGATAGGGCCACTATCACAGGTGGTTTTGAAATACAGTAGTTATGAATTTCAAATGGCATGTATCCACCAGAAACAGAGAACAAGCAAGTGTCCTGTGTCTTACAAGGCAAACACCCCATCTACTGTGTATATTGAAAAAAAAAAAAGAAAACAAGAGCATTCACAGAAAGCAACAAAAAAGGAGGAATTTCTTACTATCTGTGGAAAGAAAATAAACACAGAGGACTTTTTCCTCAGTCATCAAAACAATCCAGAGATGTTGGAACTTGTTTTCAAAGCTATTTAAATATCTTACACTTATAAGCTACCTTTTCCCTAAATAAACAAGTATCTTACAATGTTTGAAATTTTAGACCGGCACTGTTCAATGGCATAGTGGGTCACTCACACAACTTTAAATTTGCCAGTGGCTACAATAAAAAAGTAAAAACAGCCCGGTGTGATGATTTGTACCGATGATCCCAACGCTTTGGGAGACTGAGGTATGAGGAATGCTTGAACCCAGGAGTTGGAGACCAGCCTGGGCAACATGGCAAGACCCTATCTCTATAAAAAATTAAAGAATTAGCTTGGCATCATAACACATGCCTGTGGTTCCAGCTACTCAGGAGGCTGAGATGGGAGGATTCCCTTGAACTCAGGAATTTGAGGAGGCAGTGAGGTATGATTGCACCACTGCACCCAGCCTGAGTGACAGAGAAAGACTGTCTCAAAAAAAAAAAAAAAAAAGTAAAAGAAACAGGCCAGGCACGGTGGCTCACGCCTGTGATCCCAGCACTTTGGGAGGCCGAGGCAGGCGATCATTTGAGAGCAGGAGTTCAAAACCAGCCTGGTCAACAGGGTGAAACCCCATCTCTACTAAAAATACAAAAATTAGCTGGGTGTGCTGGCGCATACCTATAATACTATCCACTGGGGACAGTGAAGCAGGAGAATCACTTGAAGCTGGGAGGTGGAGGTTGCAGTGAGCCAAGATCACACTACTACACTCCAGCCTGGGCAACAGAGTGAAACTCCGTCTCAAAAAAAAAGAGACAGACCAAATTAATTTTGATCATATATTTTATTTAACCCAATATATTCAAAATATTACCATTTCAATATGTCATTAATAAACATTTTTTTTGGGACAAGGGTCTCGCTTTCTTGACTAGACTTGAGTGCGGTGGTGCAAACAACATGGCTCACTGCAGCCTCAACCTCCTGGGGCCAAGCAATCCTCCTGCCTCAGCCTCCCAAGCAGCTGGGACTACAGCACGCACCACACCATGCCTGGCTAATTTTTGTATTTTTGGTAGAGACTAGGTCTCATCTAGCTTGATCTCAAACTCCTGGTCTCAAGCGACCTTCCTCCTCAGCCTCCCAAAGTGCTAGGGTTATAGGCATGAGCCACCGCACCTGGCCTAAAAATTCTTAACAAGATATTTTACATTCTCTTTTCTATATTATGTCTTCAAAATCTAGGGTATATTTTACTCTTCGAGTACATCTCATGAATTTTTATCAGAAATGCTTAATCTGTATTTTGATTTCATAAAGCCTACAACTGAAAAAGTAGTTTTGCATTGCTAAGTTGTTCCAAACATACTTGAAATTTCTTGAAATTAAACAAAATTAACAATCGAGTTTTTCATGTACTAATCTACTTCAAGTGCTCTGTGGCCACACATGCCGCTGGCTGCCATATAGCACCGTGTGGCAGGAGGGCAATGTCCACAATCCAGGCAGCAATAACACTTTCTTTTGTCTTTTTTGTTTTTTTGAGACAGGCTCTCACTTTGTTACCTAGGCTGGAGTGCAGTGGCGCCATCATGGCTCACTGCAGCTTCAACCTCCTAGGCTCAGGCAATCCTCCCACCTTAGCTTCCTTAGTAGTTGGGACTAGAGGCACGCACCACCATGCCCACCTAATTTTTTAATTTTTTGTAGAGATGGGGTCTCCTTATATTGCCCAGGCTGGTCTCAAACTTTTGGGCCCAAGTGATCTGCCCACCATGGCCTCCCAAAGTGCTGGGATTACAGGCATCAGCCACAGCGCCCGGCCCCAGGCAATAAGGCTTTTTTTTTTTTTTTGAGATAGTTTCACTCTGTCACCCAGACTGGAGTGCAGTGGCACAATAGTGGCTCACTGCAGCCTCCGCCTCCCAAGTTCAAGTGATTTTCCTGCTTTATCCTCCCAAGTAGCTGGGATTATAGGCATGTGCCACCGTGCCTGGCTAATTTTGTATTTTTAGTAGAGACAGGGTTTCTCCATGTTGGCCAGGCTGGTCTCGAACTCCTGACCTCAAGTGATCTGCCTGCCCTGCCTCAGCCTCCCAAAGTGCTGGGATTACAGGCATGAGCCACTGCACCTGGCTGGAAATAAGGCTTTCTGATGCCCAGAGTGACCTGAGGGTTCCACAGTAAAAGACTACACAGACTCTGACATTTAAGGATTGTTTTTCCTGGATTAGCAAAAAGAACACTATTCACACGTCATCATGATGAGAGGAGAGCATAACAACTAAAAAACATATAACTGGTACACCAAATCCCTGTGCATGCAATTTATCAATATAACAAACCTGCACAAGTACCATGGAACCTAAAGTAAAAGTTATTATAAACAAACCTTTATAAATTTTTTAAAAATATAGCCAAGATTTGCATAAAACAATGGAAACCCTATAAAAGTGCAGCTCTATTCATTGTAACTACTGTCATTTTAAGGAGTAACAAAAATTGTTAACATGAGTATCCTCAGGGTGGCATAATACTATGCAAATATCACTAATGAGTAACAACTTTTATAGATCACAAAGATGATTATTTAAGACCTTCAAGCTTCACATTTTATCTGAATCTGAAAACAGAAGCTGAAATAATTAATCTCATACAAAAAATAACCCCTCATCAATTTCTACATTATTGTTGGCAAAAGTTAAACTGTGAAAAGTCATCTAAAAAGCAGGGCTCATACCTGGATACTGTCGGATAGTGGACACGGAACTGGTGATTGGGGTGTAGGTATGTGCCGCCAGTGGGTATGCAGAAGGGGGGTAAGTTGGCAAAAAATATTGGAACTGAACGGGAACAGACGGTCTAGAGACAGAACAGATGATAGCAAACAAAATAGTCATTTTCTTCTTTACTTTCAAATGATCCTATACCCCAGTTCCTCTTTGTGTCCTTCAGAACTGTCAAACAAGCTTTGCTCAAATTGTGTCCCAAACAAACTCTTACATCACAGGACACACACCAAGAATGCAAAATTAAAAAAAAAAAAAGTGGATACTATAAATACCTATATCAATAAATGTAAAAACATAGATAATATTCTATGGGTGATTTTTGAGAGTAAGTCTGAAAACCAGTTCACAAAATCTCAGTAATCAAATCTTCCCTGCTCAATTCCTCATGAACTACACTCAACTCAAATTGGTTTTACTGGCCAATTTCATTAAAAATACATAAAACAAATAATCCCAATTTCATTCAAACTGCTTCAGAAACAATGGAAAGAAAAAATGGGATCCAATTTATTTTTATTTTTTTAGAGACAGGGTCTTGCTATGTTGCCCAGGCTGGAGCGTAGTGGTTATTCACCAGCACAATCATGGTACACTATAACCTTGAACTCCTAGGTTCAATCAAGCCTCCTGCCTCAGCTGCCTGAATTCTGGGACTACAGACATGTGCCACCGTACCTGGCTCCTAGTTTAGTTTTTGAGCTTAATATAGCCTTGTTACTAATATTGGAACAGGAGAATATGACAAAAGAAAGATTATAAACAAATCTAACTCACTACAACAACAAAAAAACCTACATAAAATTGAATTAAGTACCATATAAAGTTAAATACATCATGATCAAATAAAGTTTATCATAGGGAGAGAAATACTTCAACATCAAAATGTCTATTCATGTTTTAGATAAATTTTAAAAATTAAAAGAGAACAATAATTTAAAACCTAAAAGATAAAAATATTCGACAGCAGTCAATAGTTATTCATGATATAAATGCCTAAGAAAATAGAAGTAGGCCAGGCACAGTGGCTCATGCCTGCTATCCTAGCACTTTGGGAGACTGAGGCAGGTGAATCATTTGAGCTCAGGAGTTCGAGACCAGCCTGAGCACTCTGGGAGGCTGAGGCAGGCAGGCTATTTGAGGCCAGAAGTTCAAGACCAGCCTGGCCAACATGGCGAAACTCCGTCTTCTACTAAAAATACAAAAATTAGCCAGGTGTGGTGGCACACGCCTATAATCCCAGTTACTCAGGAGGCTGAGGTATGAGAATCACTTGAACCTGGGAGGCAGGGATTGCAGTGAGCCGAGACTGCACCACTGCACTACAGCCTGGGCAACAGTGTGAGACCTCATCTCTACAAAAAATAAAAAAACTTCGCCAGGCATGATTGCATGTGCCTGCAGTCCCAGCTACTCGGGAGGCTGAGGTGGGAGGATCATTTGAGCCCGGAAGTCGAGGCTGCAGTGAGTTATGATGGTGCCACTGCACTCCAGCCTGGGCAACAGAGCAAGATCCTGTCTCAAAAACAAAACATAAAAACAAATGAAAATGATAAGACCCTCTTGCTTTCCCCTCAAACTGTCCTTATTTGTAGGCAAAATAAACATGTACATAGGAAATTCATAAATCTATAAACATTTAGAGCTAATTTACAGAATTATTTAGAGAATCTATAAACATTTAGAGCTAACAGGAGTATTCAACAAGGGGGATGGACATATCAATGTATCAAAATCTGTAAGCATTCCTAGACACAAATGATCAAATTAGAACACTTAACAATAACCTGTTTTTGAAACTACTTTGTGTATACTGTATAGGGTTCTTTATGGGAGAGGCAGATACAAACATGGAATGGGGGAAGCGATGGGGTTGAACTAGAGATATCAGCATGAACTCAAATGTTCTTAAAATATTATATACTTTCTACCTCTGCCTGCTCAAAGGGCCTAGAAGAATGACAACCCATAGCAACAAGCAGGGCTAATGCCCAGATCTTGGTTTGTAAATGACAAGGGGCTCCTTGGAGAAACAGCAGATTTCACAGCCAGACAGATAAAGTTCAATAGGAATCTAGAATATCTCGTCATTGGAAAATAAGGAAAGGCTAGAATAGAGGGGATGGGGCGAAATCCACAGAAGCAGACAGAAAGAACCCCCAAAGACCAAATGAGATCATGTGAGCACCAAAATAGATGACAGCAATGGATTCTAATAATGAATAAAAGCAAATCTACAAGGCCGAGCCGATTAAAAAACAGTAAAATGCTCAACATAATAAATAAATGGGGGTGGATAAGAGAAAGTTTCTTTACGTCAGAATGCCAGCTAATATATATAGACAACACGTTAGAAAAACTCACTATTTTGCAACTATCATATTAATAATTGATTCAGCCAGGAATTAATAATAGATCTACAACTATTGAATGAATGTTTACTGGAGAACAGGATATTTATACTCAGATATTTCCATACAGATTACTTGTTTACAAAGGAGAAAAACATGCTTTTCCAGTAGAAAAAACCAGCAAACATCACCTTCACTAAGTAATGAATGTTAACATAACCAATACGGGAAAAACAGACAGCATGAGCTCTCTGATGCAATGGGAAGAACACACTGCTTACCTGGTATAACCTGAATGTAACCATGAAGAAACAACGTGACAGTACCAAATTCCCTAAAACAACTGGCCTCTCCACACTCTTTAAAAATATCCATGAGTGAAAGAGAAGGGAGAGCTCGGAATCCTTTCAGATAGCTGTACCGCGGTGACATCAAAGAATGTCTTTACTCTTCCGTGCTACAAATGGAGGTACTTACGGATAAATGGTCATAATGCTGCAACCCTTACTCTCAAAATGGCCAAAAAATGTTAAACACACAAAACCCAAAAAATGGATACTAGGAAAACATCCATCAAAAGGAGACTGGCTTGAAAAAAATCGCACATAAAAAAAGGAATTATACGAAGTGTTACTTTCAGGGGAAAATCTGAAAACATGAGTAATAAATATAGGCCATATTTGTGGGACACTTTGTTTTATGCTGATAAAGCAGAACGATTAATGACACAGTGAGGCAGAATAACTGACACACAGCCTCCTACCTGTTGTCACTTCGGGTTTCCATGGCCACAGGATTGGGAGAGGCCCGATGTCCGGAGATGGGAATCAGGCTACTCCTCTCGGCAGGGTAGTCTGGCTGGATCCGAGGAGAAGTGTGCGTGATCTGCTGGGGCACCACCTTGGCTGCAAACAGTAAATGCCAATTCCATGACCATTCTACACTTTTTTTTGGCATGCCAAAACATTCTTGGCTAGCAGCAATCTTAGGAAAGCAAACAATTAAAATAAGCCTGGATTTTTAATCAAAATAAAAAATGAAAAATAAGTACAAAGTTCAACAGAATTATTTCAATCCTATCATTCACTGATATACTCCTACTGTTATTAAAGCAGGGTTCAACATTAATACTGAAACAAAGATAGAAGTGACCAGGCTCTTTTCTCCCAACCTGGCTTTTTAATGACAGATGCGGTGGCTCACATCTGTCATCTCAGCACTGTGGGAGGCTGAGGCGGGAGGATCACTTGAGTTCAGGAGTTCAAGGCTACAGTGAGCCATGACTGCACCACTATACTCCAGCCTCACTCACAGACTGGGACCCTGTCTCAAAATAAATAAATAAACACACAATTTTGGATTAAAAAACGGAAAAAACAAACAAACAAAAAACCTTGGATTCTACTCCAGGTCCATAATTATAAAATGTAGCTAATTAGCAATGAGAAAACGACTTTAATTCCCAAGTCTGTTTCTTTACCTATAAGGACACCTTCTCTAGATCACTTAATAATTTCTAAGGTCCTTTGAATGTCCTACGATTTTATATAATACTTTAGAGCAAAATTAAAATCAATGACCATAGAGTTTTCAAATTCAATCTGAGGCTCCAAATGTGTACTCCTTTAAAACTTGCAATCCAATTTTGTTTGGAAGGTATAGCTGAACTAGAATACACTTGACACTATTTTTTATAGATCTATCTATTAACAGTATGCCTGGGAATTCAGAAAGAAAAGCCATGATCTATATCAGAAATATAGACAGACAGCTTCCATCTTTGTAAAAACCCGTTACACCAGTGAGAGGCACATTAACAAAGAGACTAGACTAGGAGGATGCCAACATATTACCCTAAATGCAGAACATTTAACACCAAAGGTAAGCTGCACAGACCCACTGTGATGCCCAGCCAGCTCCTGTGGGAGGCAGCTGGAGAAGTTTTCGCAGGGTGATAACAGGAATGCCCATCTGACCACTGAAGATCGCATCTATTGGCCAATGCAAAGAGAAGTTGGCATGATAGGGTTTTCCATCAGGGAGGTAAGCAGTGGGGATGGTGAGCAGGGGGCAACTAAGCCTTGTTTTTTTCACTGAGCCCCATGAAAGGTAGAAGAAAATGATGCTTCCAGTAGGAATGAAGCTGCCATGTGACAGAGTAGCTAACCAGCGGTTGGTAACCAGACATACCCCACCACTCAGCCATTAATTTAAATCTTTGTTTTCTAATTTAAAAAGCCATAAAGGCTGGATGCAGTGGCTCATGCCTATAATCCCAACACTTTGGGAGGCCGAGGCGAGCAGATCAACTGAGGTCAGGAGTTCGAGACCAGCCTGGCCAACATGGTGAAACCCTGTTTCTACTAAAAAGACAAAAATCAGCCAGGCGTGGTGGTATGTGCCTGTGATCCCAGCTACTCGGAAGGCTGAGGCAGGAGAATTACTTGAACCTGGGAGATTGCAGTGAGCTGAGAGCATGCCACTGCACTCCAGCCTGCATAATAGAGTGAGACTCCATCTCAAAAAAAAAAAAAGAAAAAAAACCATACATTCTCAATAGTTAAATAAAAACCAAGGAACTATATAGCACAGAAAACATTAAGTCTGCCATAATGTTATCTCCAAAACTTATCCCTATTTTCTGAATGATGTGATCACCAGATTTTGCTTTCCATAATTCTGAGAACATGATCATATGTTGACCAGAACATGAAGAAAATAAGAATGGTATTCCATTGGAATAGAGGCAAAAACCTTATACTTGTGATTTATTAGGCTTTTTTTCTGAGCCAACATATTCCTAATAAGAATAGCTGAATTCGATTTAATATCACCTGGAGAGGGCAAGCTCACTTGGAAAAAGTCACTTAGGTGATTTTAATATGTATGTTTTACTTCCCAACTTGAAAATCAGTGGTCTAGGGTTATATCAGGTTTCCCTTCTCAACTGAGCTACCTTTCTTAGAGAGATCCTATTATAATACAGAAATATTGGGGTTAGCATAAAAGAGAAAAACAAAATGACAGCATAAACCCCATGGAACATAGGAATACATGTATGTACGTTTCCTGGTACTTTTTAGTGAGTCTACTTCCACAGTGGGATCTCTTAGGAAGATAGAAGGACATTCACAAGAACCAATCTCTAAAAAATTCTTCATGGTGGAGGGTCAGGAGGAAACTAGACAGTCCCTCTGGGCCACAAGGGCCCCTCTTTATTGGTCTGACTTTCGATCATAGATACAAATACCCGAGTGAGGCTCCTGACTTGATAAACGTTAAGCGTCTGGGCTTGGCTCTGCCGTGATAGCACTCAGGAGAGCTGATGACGCAGGCAGAGGAAGGAAATGGGCTGAGATGGCAATATGGACAATTTACTACCTTTTCAACAGGTGTGTTATGCTAAACAGATACAAACAAAACAAACTTCTTTTGACAAATATGAATTAAATTCAGAAGGTTACGGGAAAAATTTGGTCTCTCCAATGGCAAGTCATGGTGAGCAGTGATGCAGAAAAGACCCAATAGTAGCACCCTCTGTGCTAAAAGACTTCTGTGAGGCTGAGCACCTACTTAAGGGCTGGTGTAGGCTGGTCACCCTAGAACAGGAGTAGGGACTTCCTGGGTACTACCATTATTCCAGAAAATGGGCTTCAAAGTTTGCTCAGAGGGGCTGGAACCCACACTTTACGTCCAGTCACCAGTATGTCAGGGTGTCCTCTTCACAAAAACTGCCTTATCTCAGCTGAGTGCGGTGGCTCATGCCTGTAATCCCAGCACTTTGGGAGGCCGAGGCGGGCAGATCATGAGGTCAAGACCAGCCTGGCCAACGTAGCGAAACCCCATCTCTACTAAAAATACAAAAAAATTAGCCAGGCATGGTGGCATGTGCCTGTAGTCTCAGCTACTTGGGAGGCTGAGGCAGGAGAACTGCTTGAACCCAGGAGGTGGAGGTTGCAGTGAGTCGAGATCACGTCACTGCACTCCAGTTTGGGCAACAGAGTGAGACTTAAGGAAAGAAAAAGAAAAGAAAAAAAAAAAAAAGAGGAAATCAACAATGGTAAAAATCAATACTAGCCATCACCATGAAGGCCTAGTCTGAGGGGTTACAGCACTCCTGGTAAGCTTCTGTCCGAAGGCAGCAGGCCACTTACCGACTGGGATGTTTGAGGTGGTCACAGCAGTAGCATGGGAGGAATGGGAGGGTACTGTCATGGTAACAATGGTACTTGTGGGAGCTTGCGTGTGTGACACAGATCCTGAAATAGGGGAAAAAAGGAAATTCTTTAACAAGAACTTCTCTGCACACGTTACAGATTCTCAAAAACCTGGGAAATCTCCTGGAAAAAGTTAAGAGAATTTTTCTAGCCCGTTGTTTTTCTCTGACTGAAGGTGAGAAATGAAAAATTAACCCATCACTCTTGCCTCCTTTTTCCCCAGTAGAAGGAAGAGGAGGGTCGTGGACTTACCAGCTGTGGTCGCTGAAGGAATGGTGTTGGTTGCCAAAATAGGTGCTACTGTGGCTGCAGCCACTGGCGTGCCAGTACTGAAGATTGTTTTCTGTGAGGGAAACCCCACAACACAGTTATAAGAACATTATCCACTGCGTCCAGGGTAAACACAATCAATGCCTTCGGTATCACCAGGCCCTCAGCACATTTTGCCCACTTTTGGTTTTACCCAACAAAGTACACAGGTGGTTCTCCACTTTTGGTTTTACCTGAGCCATTGTATGAAGCTGCTGTTTTGGCGTCCCTAATGCAGGGTGAGATGGTAGTGTGATTCTTGTTGTGACATCTCGTGACTGGGCAGGACGCTGAATACTGATTGCTGCAGATGGAGGATGCTGGATAGACAAGGTTGGCCTACTGAAAAGATAACAAAGACACAATGCAGATGGGCAAGGTCATTTACAATCTTCTCCTAGGTTAGTCATGCAAGTTATACTTTTTCATAGGTCTATGAAGTTCGGAGTTAAACCAATACTTGGTCTTTAATCACACCAATGTGGCAAAAGGTGCACTGAGTTTGTCTTGTTTTAAAAGGCATCAATTTGTACCACAAACTGAAGAAATTAACCCTTACTTGTTCTCAGAATCCTTGATGTAGTTAATCAACACTCCGTAACAAACTTGAGTTAATATCATTATAATAATTGCACTTCAGGTCAGGTGCGGTGGCTCACACCTGTAGACACAGTGCTTTTGGGGGGCGCAAAGGCTGAAGGATAGCTTGTGCCCAGGAAGTCAGGGTTACAGTGAGCGATGACTGCCACTGCACTCCAGCCTGGGGGACAGAGTAAGACCTTGTCTACATAAAAAATAAAAATAAAATAATTGCACTGAACTCTGTGGATAAATCTGAAAATATACTATAAATTTACATGCTGTAAGTTTTTGACAAATTTCCTGAAGAAAGATCAGAGACAATTTGGATTAACAGCAGCTTAAACTATGACCCTTGAAGCATGGACCTTCCTCCCAATTTTACATCATTCCTTAGCAAATGTAAGAACACTCCTAAAATGATAAAAAGTTAGTTATGGCTGCCTCAGGATTGGAAGGGAAATCAACAGAGGATGCCAAATTAATTGGTAGCAAGCTACTGAAATGGCAACACTGGCAAGAAAATTTGACAGTATAACAAAGTTGGCTATTCAAATCAGAGGGGAGGCCACAGGCGGCAGCTCACACCAGTAATCCCAGCAGGAGGACCGCTTAAGCCTGGGAGGCCAAGGCTAAAGTGAGCTCTCCAGCCTGGGCGACAGAGTGAGACCCTGTCTCCAATAAAATAAAATGCAAAGAATCACTTCAGGTGACATTCAAACACATTGCCACTCTGGTTAGTGGGATCTAGCTGGAGGACAAAAAGAACTGTGAAGTTAGTTACTCGGTATTCTTATTGTTAGTAGTAATCTACAAATAGCAAGAGGTTAATTTGTGTCAGATGGACAAATGATACAGGTGCCTCTTTTTTAATCTTTTACACTGTATTTTTACTGTACCTTTTCTGTATTTAGATATACAAATACCATAGTGTTACAACTGCCTACAGTATTCAGTACAGTAACAGGCTGTATAGGTCTACAAACTAGGAGCAATAGTTATAGCATCATAGCCTCGGTGTGTAGTAGGTAACACCATCTAGGTTTGTGTAAGTATACTCTTATGATGTTTGCATGTCAAGACTGCCTAACTATTCATTTCTCAGACTGTATCCCCATCATTAAGTAATGAATGAGTGTAAAACCTCAGAAAGCAAAAAAAAACCAAAACAAAACTGTAATGTTAAATTTCATCTGTAAATACCAATATGCGTCCATTACCAGAGAAGGAGTGAAAAAAACTTTTTTTTTTTTTGAGATGGAGTCTCACTCTGTCACTAGGCTGGAGTGCAATGGCATGATCTCAGCTGACTGCAACCTCCACCTCCCAGGCAGAGGCAATTCTCCTGCCTTAGCCTCCTGAGTAGCTGGGACTACAGGCGCGTGCCACAATGCCTGGCTAATTTTTGTATTTTTAGTAGAGACGTGGTTTCACAATGTTGGCCAAGATGGTCTTGATCTCTTGATCCGCCCGCCCTGGCCTCCCAAAGTGCTGGGATTATAGGCATGAGCCAATGTGCCCGGCCAAAACTTTTTAATTAACATAAGATTTAAAATAACATAAGATTTTAAAACAGGTGGTGGCTCACGTCTGTAATCCTAGCATTTTGGGAGGCTGAGGCAAGTGGATCAAGTTCAAGACCAGCCTGGCCAACATGGTAAAACCCCATCTCTACTAAAAATACAAAATTAACCGGGTGCGGTGGTACGTGCCTGTAGTCCCAACTACTCCAGAGGCTGAGGGAGGAGAATCACTTGAACCTGGGAGGCAGAGGTTGCAGTGAGCCAAGATTGTACCACTGCACTCTAGCCTGGGTGACAGCGCAAGAGTCTGTCTCAAAAAAATAAATAAAAAAATAAAGAGGAAAATATCAGCAGGAAGACATGACTATCTTTACTATACTGAGTACCTCTGTCCCCAGAAAGAGCCCAAAAGCAATGACACACCAGAAACAATGAACACTTCTAACACCCAGAACTTGGGTGTTCTACTCTCCACTAAAAAGAACCAAGGAGAATTGGCTTATTTGAAAACTAAAACAAAAAACAAAAAACAAACAAAAAAAACAGGAGAAAGCATGAGACATCGTGTATCAAAAACAATAAAGTACTCAAAGGCTAACGGGAGTCATCAAAAGGAAACTTGGGCCAGGCCTGGTACAGTGGCTCACGCTTGTAATCCCAGCAGCACTTTGGGAGGCCAAGGCAGGCAGATTGCTTGAGTCCAGGAGTTCAAGACTGGCGTAGGCAACATGGCGAAATTCCACCTCTACTAAAAATATAAAAATTAGCTGGGCATGGCACCACACACCTGTAGTCTCAGCTACTTGGGAGGCCGAAGTGGGAGGATCGCTTGAGAGCCCAGGAGGCAGAGGTTACAGTGAGCTGAGACTGTGCCACTGCACTCCAGCCTGGGCGACACATGAGAGGGTCTCAAAAAAAAAAAGACACTTGAGCCAGCAAAAAGGGGTTCTCACTAGCCCAATTTGGGGCACTGGGAGCAAAAGAAAGAGACTTTGATTAAAATATTTTGAGGCTGGGCGCAGTGGCTCACATCTGTAAGCCCTAGCACTTTGGGAGCTGAGGCAGGAGGACTGCTTGAGCCCAGGAATTTGAGACCAGCCTGAGCAACATGGCAAGGCCCAGTCTCTATGAAAAATAAAACAACTAACCAGGCATCTTGGCATACACCTATGGTCCCAGGTACTCAGGAGGCTGAGGTGGGAGGACAGCTTGAAGCCCAGAGGTTAAGGTTGCAGTGAGCTGTGACTGCGCCACTGCAACCTTGACTTCTGGGGTTCAAGGTCTCCTCCCACCTCAGCCTCCTGAGTACCTGGGACTACAGGTGGGCGTCAAGATGTGATTCAGCCTGGGTGACAGAGTGAGACGTTGTCTCAAAAACAAAAACAAATGACAACAAAAAAAATCCAGTCTGAATATTTAACATCGACAGGTCCATAGTGACTCACCCACACGTACCAAAAACAGTCAGAGGGAGTAAGTAAGGTCATTCAGAAAGTGCTCCCTAATCTGTTGTCTAATCACCATATTACAGGTTGAGTATACCTTATCTAAAACGTTTGAGATGAGAAGTGTTTGAGATTTTGGAATTATATACTTACAGACTCAGCATCCCCAATCCAAAAAGCAGAAATGCTTCAAGGAACATTTCCTTTGAGTGTCATGGCAGTGCTCAGTTTCAGATTTTGGCATATTACGGATTTTGGTTTAGGGATACCCAACTGTGTAGTTCTCCCACAGATCAGCTTTTTTTTTTTTTTTTTTTTTTTTTTTTTTTTGTTGACAGCCTGAAAGGCAACTCCAAGGATAGAGCCCCAATTCAGTGATCTGACATCTACAGAAAATACAGGGGTTAAATGATAAATGGACTTGTGATTATCCTCCAGTGTTCAGATGGGTCCTTGTATGACTAGCTTATTTGGAGGACAAGGGGATTGTAGGCAGAGACTGCCAGTGTGGTATTTTCTCCTTCTCCTCTCAGAGGATAGTAAGGAAATAGTAAGGAAAACAAAAAAGAGAAATACAGTATCCTCCTTTCGCAAAATTAGGAGACATCTGAAATCTCAAACCACAGGACAGAAGAACTGCCAAAGGTAGGGACAACCAAACAGGGACTCAGGAGCCAGTGAAAGGAGGATTGCTTTCTTTCCTTTTTTTTTTTTTTTTTTTTTTTTTTTAAAGCGATAGATTCTCACTATGTTGCTCAGGCTGGTCTTGAATTCCTAGGCTCAGACAATCCTCCTGCCTCAGCCTCCCAAAGTGTACGATTACAGACATGAGCCACCCTGCCCAGCCTGAAGAGAGAATTTCTGGGGCTATAATTCTGGGGATAAAATCCAGTAAGGAAGTATAATACTCCAAAATGAGGAGCATAAACTGACAGAGAAAACCAAAATCTTTTGTGTAACAGTGGAAATGAAGCTGGCAGTGAAGGAGCATTTGGACCAGTTCCAAGGGTTAAAAAGCAAAGGATCTAGGGTTAAACCAGGAATCAGACACAGACACAGATAAGCCCCGTCTGTGGGGAATAGTGTGCGGGGGACCTAGGGAAGAGAGGCTTTGCCATTTTAAGTGGTCTATCTGCACTGACAGGAGTGAAGTAATGGCCAACAAAATTCAAACACAGGACACTGAGTCATTTGGAAAATTTATCCAAACCCAGTATATAGTCCAGGCTACAATAAGAACCAATTACAAATGGGGATCCAGAATAAAGCCAATCCAATCAAAGATGAATACTCAGAAAGGATCCAAAACAGGATCTATTTAAAGATGCTAAAAGACAAAAGGTGGAACAAAACACACCAGAAGTGCTTTCACTACGCAGATGAACACTGTACCATGAATTTAAAAACTTAATGAAGTAACTGCTTCTATGAAATGGAAACACAAAGCAAAGACATAAGAACTCAGTGGAAATGATGAGAGAACAACAGAAGAAGACAAAATATATGGGCAGAGCTCCAGAGAGAAACAGAAGGCAACTGCTCAGCAGTTTCAAGAATGAAGGCAAAATTAGAAGTGGAACATGAGAGACAATGCTGAAAATGCAGTCAAGGGCGGAGAAGAGTATGAAAGCAACATTAAAGGGAACAGTTAAAAAAATTACATAGGAGTGCAAAAAGATTCAACACTTGGGAATCACCTGTAATCCCAACACTCTGGAAGGCTGAGGTGGGTAAATCACCTGAGGTCAGGAGTTCGAGACCAGCCTGGCCAACATGGCAAACCCCCATCTACTAAAAATACAAAAATTAGCCAGGGGTGGTGGTGGGTGTCTGTAATCCCAGCTACTCGGAAGACTGAGGCAAGAGAATGGCTTGAACCCGGGGGGTGGAGACTGCAGTGAGCTGAGACCGCGCCACTGAACTCCAGCCTGAGCAAGACTAGGTCTCAAAAGAAAAAAAAACAAACAAACTGTTCATATAGTTTTTCTTTCTTTTTTTTTTTTTTGAGACAGTGTCTCGCTCTGTTGCCCAGGCTGGAGCGCAGTGGCGCGATCTTGGCTCACTGCAACCTCCGCCTCCCAGGTTCAAGCGATTCTCCCGCCTCAGCTTCCCAAGTAGCTGGGATTACAGGCATCCGGCCCCATGCCCAGCTGACAGACAGGGTTTCACCATGTTGGCCAGGCTGGTCTCAAACTCCTGACCTCAAGTGATCTGCCTGCCTCAGCCTCCCAGAGTGCTGGGATTAGAGGCATGAGCCACCATGCCTGGCCAATGAATAGTTTTATGCTACAGATTGAAAAGGCACACCATGTTTAGAACAAAACCATAAATAATGGTCATTACAAAATAAATGCTATGAAATTTGCTGATATTCAACGAAAAAGAATCAGGCAATAAGGCAAAAAGACTAAGGCCTTTGTAAGCGGTTAAAAAAAAAAAAAACAGACTCCAGTAACATCCAGATCTAGAAGACGGGAAAAATTACCCATCAAGTAATCATGGAAAGAATATAGAAACAATAAAACACTCAATCAGCCAAACTATTGCCTAAGTATAAATGGGAAATGATTCTCAGCACGTAAACTTTCAAAATATTGGTGCTTTAAATTTTGCCCTTTTTGAAGAAAGTGATAGAAAATAAATTTCATTCAACCAAGTAATGACTGAAAAGACAAGGGTCAAAGAACTGACAGACTGAATGTATTTAGTAGAAAAATTAAGATATGACTTACATTTTTCTGGAATTTTACTTTTTTTCTATACCTTGAACCAATTTCATTATCACTGATTTATCTGGCCCCTTTGAAGGTTTGGTAGAATTCTATGAAACCAAGGCTGGGTGTGGTGGCTCACAATTGTAATCCCAGCACTTTGGGAGGCTGAGGCAGATGGATCGCTTGAGCCCAGGAGTTTGACACCAGCCTGGGCAACATAGGGAGACCCTGTCTCTACAAAACATTTTAAAATTAGCCAGGCATGGTGCATGGTGGCACGTGCCCGTAGTCCCAGCTTTGGGAGGCTGAGGTAGAAGGATCACTTGGGCCTAGGAGGTCAAGGCTGCAGTGAGCCGTGATCAAGCCACTGTTCTCCAACCTGGCTGGCGGAGCAAGACGTTGTCTCAAAAAAGAATTCTATGAAACCAGCTGGATCTGGTGCTTTTGTGAGAGATAGTGCTTAAAATTTTTTTCTATTTCTTCTAAGGAAATTGGTCTGTTGAAGAAGTTCTATCTTAATTCCAAAAAAGTTAGACATTAGGAATTTATTGTAGTTGTAGATATAAAGAGAAAAATCATCTGATTAGGGTTTTTGTCTGTTTCATTCACTACTTGTAGTATATTGCTAGTGTTATATGAGTGAATGCTAAAAATGCATTCAACAAAATTCAATATCCAGGTTTTATTAAAACAATCAACACAATGGAAAAGATACTTTGACAAAACGATTAAAAATAAAAAGCCTACCCCTAGTTTTCATCATACAGTTGGCCCTCAGTTTCATAGGTGCCACATCTATGGATTCAACCAAGCATGGATTGAAAATATTCAAAGGGGAAAACAATTTCCCCAAATTCCAAAAAGCAAAACTTGCATTAGCTGAGCACCAAGTACTATACGGAATCCACATGAATGAAGTGATGTGCAGGCATCATAATAGGCACTCCAAGTAACCTGGAGATGATTTAGAGTACATGGGAGGAGGTGCGTAGGTTATACGCAAATACTATGCTACTTTATATGAAGGAACTTGAGCGTCCTTGGATTTCAGCATCTGCAGGGGCTCCTGGAGCCAAGACCCCATAGATAGAGATGACTGTATATCCATTTATACCTTGTGAATTTCCTCATACCATCTGAATACATTAACTTTTATAAAGTTAAAATGAGCAACAACAAGTAGTCTATTTTATGTTGGGTAGTTCTGTCTCTTTGTACCTCAGGCAACATATTTATTAATAACTGCCACAAAGTAAAGTATCCCTTTTATTGAAGAGAGAACAAAGGATCAGGGGAGTTGAAAACCTGCTTAATGTCACACAAGTAGATAACAGAGCTAATGGCTTAAGATAAGTTCCAGGTATTGCTGTTCATTTAAACATAATTTTCTTCAGAGTTCTGTTCTAGGCCCTCTTCTCACTCTCTAGTACCCCTGGATAGACACCTGAAGGCTTTCATTGTGGCCCACACATTGATCACTCCTAAACCCATTATCTCTAGCACAGACATCTCTTCAACCACATACTGACAACAGCCACTTGGTTGTTACACAGATAAACTCAGTATCCCAAAGCTCAAGCTTTTCTAAAACCTGCTTTCCTTCCCTTGTTTTGATTTTCATTTACTCGGACAAGTAAGGAGGAAATCAAAGAGGCATCTCCGATTCCTCTTTCTTCCTCACCACTCTGCCCTGCTTTTAGCTGACAGGTCCTAGTGGTGCCCCGCCAGCTTCTAACAATTCCTCTCTCCACACCTACTATCCTTGCTTTGATTCAGTGAATCTCTTCTTGTCTGCACTATTGCCAAAGGCTCCCTTCCCTCAACATAACCAATGGCAAGAATCAACTGCCCTCCCTAACCTCCCTGTAATGTGACTTGGAGATCATGAGGAAAAACAGCATGATGTCATCCCTGATTGTGTCACTCACAAAAAGCCTTTAAGATCATCCCTCATCAACCACACTTTATCCCTGTATGGCTCTACAAATCTTTCTTGCTTCTTTTTTTTCAGAGTCAGGATCTCGCTCTGTTGCCCAGACTAGAGAGTAGTGGCACAATCATAGCTCCTAGTAATCTCAAACTCCTGTGGTCACATGATCCTCCCACTTCCGTCTCCAAGTACCTAGGGCTATAGGTACATGCCACCACGCTTACCTTTTTTTTTTTTTTTTTTAATTTGTTGAAATGGGATCTTGGTATGTTGCTGGGGCTGGTCTTGAATTCCTGGCCTCAAGTGATTCTCCCACCTTGGCCTCCAAAAGCACTGGGGTTACGGGCACGAGCCACTGCACCTAGCCTAAATCCTTTTCCTGTTTGTTTTTTTTTTGGTGGAGATGGGGTCTCGCTCTGTTGCCCCAGCTGGAATGCAGTGACATGATCACAGCTCACTATAGACTCAATCTCCAGGGCTCAAGTCATCCTCCCACCTCAGCTTCCCATGTAGCTGGGACCATAGGTACACACCACCATGCCTGGCTACTTTTTTATTTTTTAAAGAGATGGGGTCTCCCTATGTTGCCCAGGCTGGTCTCAAACTCCTGGACTCCGGTGATCCTCCTGCCTCAGCCTCCCAAAGTGCTGAGATTACATGCATGAGCCATTATATCTTGCCATCACAATCTTAAAATGCCTAAAATCAAAGTATAAAACTCCTTTCCTAAACCTCCCACTGTCCTCCACCCTGTTAGGTATACAGGCCAACTAGCACTGGCAAATAATCGTGACTCCTCTCCTTCTTTCACACTCCCACACCCCCACCGCCTGCCCCAGTGATTCCTCAGAAATCTTCTTGACTCTATCCTTCAAAATCTACCCAGGGCCAGGTGTGGTGGCTGGCTCATGCCTATAATCCCAGCACTTAGGGCGATGCGAGGATCACTTGAGCCCAGGAGTTCACGACCAACCTGGGCAACAAAGTGAGAACCTGTCTCTACAAGAAAATAAAAAAATTAGTTAGGCATGGTGGTGCACATCTGGAGTTCCAGCTACTTGGGAGGCTGAGGCAAGAGGATCACTTGAGCCTGAGAGTTTGAGGCTGCAGTGAGCCATGATCGTGCCACTATACTCCAGCCTGGGTGACAGAGTGAGACCCTGTCTCCAAAAAATAATAATAATCTACCCAGAATCTAATCATGTCTTTCTACATCCATTTTCATCTCTCCTACATGCTGGCTATACCCTTCTACCCAACTCTGCTTCTAACTTGGCCTCTCCAGAGCCTATTCTATCCAGCAACCAGGCTGAACCAACTGAAACTTCAGATCATTGCATCGGTCTGCTAAAAACTCCACTAAGGCTTTCCATCATGCCCCAGCCGAGTCCATGTCCTTAGTGTGGCTCCTAAGGGCCTATGTGATCTGGAGACCCTGCTACCTCCCCAAATCTAACTCTTGCCACCTTGGCCTCACTGGTGGTCCTTATAAGTGGCAAACACAATCCTGTCTCAGAGCCTTTGCGCTCACTGTTCCCACTGCCTAGAATACTCTTCTCTCCGATAACCATATAGCTCACTCACTTCATTATATCTTTTCATTTTCTACTGAAATGTATTCTTATCAACAAAGCCCTCTCCGACCACATTACATGAAACTGTAAGTCCCCTGCACCACCCACCCTGTCACTCCCAATCCCTTTTACCCTTATTTTTTTCCAAAGCACTTTTCACCATCTAAAAAGCTACATATTTATCGCGTCTCCAGCCTGTAAAAACAGAAGCTCTGTGTGGGCAGCAATTTCTTTGTTCACAGCTTTAGCCCCAGGATTTAGAACACTACATAGCTCATTATAAAAAAAAAAAGCCACTCAATAAATATTTACTTAAATGAAGGAACGAAAGAAAAAAGAGTGAAGGAGGAGGATGGCAGGAAGGTTCAAACTTCATACTCCCCATGTATACCTAAGTGCTGAATCAGTAGCATGCGCCGCTGTCGTAGTGATGACTGGAGACTGAGCTCTGGTGGCTGAGACAGTTGCTACCACAGCAGGAGGGATGGCATTGGAGGTGGTCACAGGTGGCCGAGACTACCAAAAGAGAAAAAACAGTTCATTTAAAACAAAAATAAAATAGAGGAAGTCAAATACTAAATGTGTAATTTGAAACTTGAGCCTACAGATAAGCATGTTTCTGCCCAAGTAAAAATAAATTCTCACCATTCCAATTAAGGAATTCTCTTTTCAGATAGGTTGTTATAAGACCAAGAGCCAGGCCGGGCACGGTGGCTCACGCCTGTAATTCCCAGCACTTTGGGAGGCTGAGGTGGGCAGATCAACTGAGATCAGGAGTTAAAAGACCAGCCTGGCTAACACAGTAAAACCCTGTCTTGACTAAAAATACAAAAAAAATTAGCCGGGTGTGGTGGCACGCGCCTGTAATCCCAGCTACTCAGGAGGTTGAGGCAGGAGAATCGCTTGAACCTGGGAGGCAGAGGTTGCAGTGAGCCAAGACCGCACCATTGCGCTCCAGCTTGAGCAACAAGAGAGAAACTGTCTTGAAAAAATAGAAAAGAAAAAAAAAAAAGACTAAGAGTCAGAATTATTAAAAAAAAAAAATCCCTTAAGATACCACTGACAAGTGTTTTGAAAAAAAAAAAAAAATCCCATTTTGATTGAACAGTACATGAGTCCCTCCTGTACAAATGTGATTGGAGTCAAAATTCTGCCCTACTATTGGTACCAATGGGATCTCACCCTTCAATCTAGAGTTGCCACAGGTCTGTTGTTGGTCCTGGTGTAGACATTTTACGCTGCCATCCAACCCAGCACCTCCACAGAGGGCCTACTCAGCTGCTGAATAGAGCTGTTGGCTCTCAGGCCATCTACGTTAGTGAGTACAAGGGCAACTCAAGGTAACAGTATTCTTTTCTAGGTAATCGTTCAGGGTGCCCATATCCTTTCTGGATGTTTTCACATGGACAGAGTGCCCTTATCACACTTACGTGTGAAATCTTCCTCTAAAAAATAAGCTCCACACTGGGCTTCATCCACATACCCACCATTATTCTTCGAATCACCTGAGTTCTGATTCTTCCCTTGCTCTTAACCCTGAAACATGCATCTAAATGGCCGAGCTCTGCCCATTCCTCATCCTTGCTTTTCATCTACAGCCCTTTTACCTGCCGCTTCTACCATGTGCAGGTGCGTGTCTCACACTAGGGCTACAGCACCAGCTTCCTCACTCGGGAGCTCCTTGTCTTGGTTCTCGTCTTCCTCCAACCCTTCATATGTATCACATATACTACTAGAGGCCTAATACTCCTCCGACTCTGTTTTCTTGGCCAGAAAAGTATTTATCTTGAAAGCTGTAGGCTAGACAGATACTACCCAGTATCATAATCAAGACTTCCTTATTATCTTAAACCCAGTTGTTTCATACATCTGTCTGTCCCCTGAAAGTGCTTAAGGGGACAGACCTCCTGTATGTGATTCAGCTAGATTAATCTTATCTTTCTTATTTTTTGTGAGATGGAGTCTCACTCTCTCGTCCCAGCTAGAGTGCAGTGGCACGATCTTGGCTCACTGCAACCTCTGCCTCTCGGACTCAAGTGATTCTCCCACCTCAGCCTCCCAGGTAGCTGGGATTACAGGCACGCACCACCATGCCCAGCTAATTTTTTGGCATTTTAGTAGAGACAGGGTTTCACCATGTTGCCCAAGGCGGTTTCAAACTCCTGATCTCAGACAATCCGCCCGCCTTGGCCTCCCAAAATGCTGGGAATTACAGGTGTGAGCCACTGCGCCTGGCCTAATCTCATCTTTCAACAGTATTACTTTAATGATACACAGAGCCATTGTGTTAAAAAGACAAAAATGATTTTTGGCCGGGCACAGTAGCTCACGCCTGTAATCCTAGCACTTCAGGAGGCCGAGGCAGGCAGATCACTTGAGGTCAGGAGTTCGAGACCAGCCTGGCCAACAGGGTGAAATCCTGTCTCTACTAAAAGTATAAAAATTAGCCGGGCATGGTGGTGCACACCTGTAGTCCCAAGTACTTGGAAGGCTGAGGCAGGAGAATCGCTTGAACCCAGGAAGCAGAGGTTGCAGTGAGCTGGGATCGCACCACTGCACTTCAGCCTGGGCAACAGAGTGAGACTGTCTCAAAAAACAAAAACAAATAAACAAAAAAACGCAGTGGCTCTCTACTGTATATAAAGTCTAGTTTATACTCCATATCCTAGAGAACCCAATTTATAGATACTATATTTCCTGCAAATATATTATACTTCAGTAATAATGAGGTCATAGATTTCCTTAAGAAAAAGCTGAATGGCATGGACCATGTTCTTGGAATATACATAGATATACACCTAACTTTTAGGAGTCCACAGATCCCCCCAATCCAAATTAAAATCCCTCAATCCTAGCTAGCCTTTACTAACTGCTGTCTACAACCATCACTCCCTTCCTTGCCACTGTTCATTTCCCCCTTCACTTCCTCTTCACTTCTCTGATTCCTCGTTAGCACAGCCTTTCCAACAGGAAGGCTTCCCACCATCTCTCCTCTGCATTCTTACAGCTTGCCACATGACACTGTGCATCTTTCAAACTTCCCTATGTCTTGGCAACTAGATGGAAAGTCCCTGAGGTCAAGGATGTGCCTAGTGCCTGGCAGAATGAATAACTCCAATGAGGCCCTTAATGCACCCCAGGCTCCGACGTGCCTGGATTGGTTGGTGAATGATGTGCTGTACTGCTGGCTGAGCAGTAGCAGCATTTGGCAGCTGTGAGGTCGGCCTCAGGACTGTGGTTACTTTAGAACTGGACATCACAGCAGCAGCAGCTGCACCTGAAAAAAAAAAAGTGTTTATTATATTTATTCTAGTTATATTCCCTGGGAAAATAATCAGTATGTTTCCCAAAACTCAGATAGCATGTCAATATCGAGCTGAAGTATGGTATGTATACTTCCCATTTCATCACAGAGAAAACAAAGAAAATGTGTATTCAAGAGATTTAATAATAATTTATATTGCCTCTTCACAGACAACCTTAAGTGAAACTAGCTGCTGTTTTTTGTTTCTGTTAACTGCAAGTGTGCACAGTGGTAAAGCACACAGGGAACAGCAGTGTGATGCCACTGCCTCAGCTCTGACGAGGCTCGGACACTTTGCCTTCCAGTCTTTGTTCCATTAGAGCAGACGTCGACATTGCCAAAGGGACACATTATGAACCTTAACCTTAAACCTAACCCTGCACTTTTCACCCTGCAGACCCCCATAAGGGCCTGTGAACCACATTTGGAGAACTGCTGAGTTATGCTATAACCAAGCAAACCTGGTCTTGCGTTTGCTAACTTGATTTTGCCAACAATCTCCAATTGTTGTAAAGTCTCCAATAAAAGGTAAAAATTTCTAGTCAAAATTCATTTATTACCTCACAACCTATTAGAACTTAAGGGTAAAAATAAATTAATCTTAGCCATGTGGTGGCTCACACCTGTAGTCCCAGCCACTCAGGAGGCTAAAGTGGGAAGATCGCTTGTGCCCCAGAAATCTGAAACCAGCCTGGGTAACCCAGTGAGGCCCCATCTCAAAAAATAATTATCATCATCATTTTATTGTTACATAAGTTAAAAAACTGAGTAAAGATCATCACTGAACTTTAAAAATATTCAGTATTAATATTTGTGACTTATGTATTAAAAATAAAGACCATGTTGCAGATAAGCAGTCTAATAATAAAGACCATGTTGAGATTATCAAAGCTTGGGCAGTTCCTCAATATATAGGACAATTTTAGACCATATTAAACACTTTAATTGCATAAATATACACACTTGTAATACAACTATAATAAGCACATATTAAACCATGCTAAAAACATGGATTGCTCTAAGTTTATTTCTACTGTCTTGCGATTTTTTTTCTTTTTCTTGAGACAGGTTCTCGCTCTGTCACCCAGGCTGGAGTGCAGCGGCGCAATCTCAACTCATTTCAACCTCTGCCTCCCGAGCTCAAGCCATCCTCCCATCTCAGCCTCCTGAGTGCCATCCTCCCATCTCAGCCTCCTGAGTGCCATCCTCCTATCTCAGCCTCCTGAGTGCCATCCTCCCATCTCAGCCTCCTGAGTGCCATCCTCCCATCTCAGCCTCCTGAGTAGATGGGACTACAGACGCATGCCACCACACCTGGCTAATTTTTTGTATTTTTGTAGAGACAGGGTTTCGCCATGTTGCCCAGGCTGGTCTCAAATTCCTGGACTCAAGTGAACCTACCACCTCAGCCTCCCAAAGTGTTGGGTTTATAGACATGAACCGCAGCACCTGGCCTTTTTTTCTTTTTAAATAAAAGAGGTTTATTTGGTTCACGGTTCTGCAGACTGTTGTTCTGCAACTTTAACAAGCTGATTCTAGATACATTCTGTGTTACGTATTTTACCAAATGTATATCTACTACTACATTTTGAGAGTTTGAACAAAACTTGCAAGTCGTTACCTCGAGGTAAATGAGAAGCTCCAATGTGAAGAGGGGGCCCAGGAGCATTGCTGCGGATGATAGACATTTGCACATTTGTAGTCATGATGTGATGCAGGTTACTGGGATGGCCCTGAAAGAAAGAGGATAGAACGTTATTTTTACATGTTTGCTCTTAGCCATTGCCTCTAGGAAGTCACCTGCCTCCAAATGTGGGTCAGGTTGTTTTTTAGATAGTGAGTATCCCAAGAGAAAGGGCTAAGGACATTCAGCTTGAGCTACTTTTACATGCCATACCGTACAATGAACTGTGCTAACAGGCATGTGAGAAGTATGAGGACCCCACAACTGCTGCAGGCCCACATAATTACAGATAATATACTTCGATATCTACGTTTAGAAACTCTCATCTGCGATATTACCTTTCACACTTGTTTTCCCTGTTCTGGCCAAATGCTTATTTTTTTTCCCATTCTCACTATTTCCTTTACATACCACTGCATCCATCCATTCTTTAAGCTTTTTTGTTTCTAAGTAAATGTCAGTTGGTATCCAACAGGTGCTCCCTACCAGTTCTTCAGCTCAACCCTGAAATGTCCCTTACATTCTCCCAAACCACAGAGTTCAGGGCTTCTCAGCTAAGGGTTCTGGTACTTCTGAGAGTACTCAGCAGTATGACAAAAGGAAAAAACACAGTACACCTCTTTGGGATATAAATTTTTCTTGAAAATGTGAAGGGAAAGTTTTTAGATTTAGTTTTTTTCCCCAGGTAAAAAATGTAAAATATTTAATTAATCAGGTACACAGCAGAGTAGGATTGCAAAATTTCACAAAAAAACCTTAAAACAGAAGACTTCAGAATAAATGTTCGCAACTAAGGCTGGGTGCGGTGGCTCATGCCTGTAATCCCAGCACTTTGGGAGGCCGAGGCGGGCAGATCATTTGAGGTCAGGAGTTGGAGACCAGCCTGGCCAACATGGTGAAACCCCGTCTCTATTAAAATAAAAAAATTAGCTGGGGGTGGTGGTGCCCGCTTGTAATCCTAGCTACTCGGGAGGCTGAGGCAAGAGAATGGCTCGAACACGGGACGTGGACGTTGCTGTGAGCCAAGACTGCACCACTACACTCCAGCTTGGGTGACACCGTGAGATTCTGTCTCAAAAAAAAAAAAAAAAAAGTTTGGAACTAGAGAGCTGCTTGAGGTAACCTATCCCAAGAGATGCACATCTGCTCTCCTCAGAGAAACCACAGAGCAGCACTGCCTACCCCCGGAAGGCAGTTCTTGACGCTAAAACCAAACACGAACCGGACTCCGGACTCCTCAAGGACACGGACTGTTTTATCTAGATTTATATATCACACTAGGGTCGAATCGAGCATCTAGTAGCTGCTCAATAAATTCTAGCTAAATGACCACTATGGACACTGGCTTCTACTCCCTTTACAGTTATCCTTCTCTCTCAAACCTACTATCTTCACTTGCAGGTATCAGTGACTGTTTGATCTTTTTTTATTACCGTGACTAATGTACTGCTAGCATTCAATAAATCATGATCAACAGTTTGGCATTTCAGTTTGAAAATCAGCAAATTAAAAGGAAGAAAAACCTGTTGTCCACTGATTGTTGCCACAGGAATGGCTGAAGCTTGAGGGATGCTACTCTCCATGGTAACGGTAACCTGCCCTGGAACCTTGGGGGGAAGTGACAGGGTAGAAGGTGGAGCAGGAGCAATGGGACGGCTAGGCATGGTGGGCTTCGGGGGCGGCTGCAAACAGAAAACCACACAAAACATATCAATGGCCTCATACTGGTGATGCATTTCAATCCACAATTAAGAGTGCACAAATCGAACCTGGAAAGTGCCAGGAAAGATGCCGTAAGCTTTATACATTTTATCTATTATCATCACAGTGTTTCCACTGAAGTACTAGCATTTCTATTTCACAGATAAAGAAACATACAAAGCAAGGCTAACTGACTTGCTCAAAGCCACACACACAGTAAGAAGTAGAACTGGGAATAAAGCCCAGAGCTGTATGGCTCACAGCCCACACCCTTTCTTCTACATGATGCTGCCTCCCAAGTTTGGGTGGATTGAACAAAACTCCCAGTAACTGAAACACAACCCCAAGGTAATACACAGGCAATATTCTCAGAAACCCCCAAATTAACCAGTTATTAAAACAAACCTTAAAGAAGAGTGCCACTCCACTTGGTCCCATGGTACTGGGTTATCTGAACTTATAACATTACTGTCAGCTGGGCACAGTGGCTCACGCCTGTAATCCCAGCAATCTGGGAAGCTAAGGCGGGCAGACCACTTGAGGCCAGGAGTTTGAGACCAGCCTGGCCGACATGGTGAAACGCCATCTCTACTAAAAATACAAAAATTAGCCAGGCGTAGTGACGTGCGCCTGTAATACCAGCTACTTGGGAGGCTGAGGCTGCAGAACCGCTTGAACCTTGGAGGTGGAAGTTGCAGTGAGCCAAGATCGCACCACTGCACTCCAGCCTGGATGACAGAGAAAGACTCCGTCTCAAATAAAAACAGAAACAAAACATTAATGTCATTAAGCCCCCACTGCTAAATCTGACTGGCTTAAAAAAAAAAGAGGGTCCCTTCAAGATTGTATCTAACTTAACATGCCCATAAGTTGAATAATATCAGTATCAAAATGGATAACAGCAAAGATCCTATGATGCCAACTGCCCAGCAGCACAAGACAAGGCACTGCAGAAAATCAGGGCTGAGTTACAGAAAGGAGCTGAACTCATATGTCATAAAGAAAAAATGAAATGTGATCCTAAGATACAGCCTAAGATTTTATACAAATTGTTACAAACATTAGCCAGTCTCGAGCTCTGGTTCAGTGTGAAGTTTTAACCCTCTCCATTACCTTCATAAGTCCCTCCGAAAATGAAAGTGGCACTGCTGGCGTCAGGTGTGCTGGCGGGGCTGTCACTGCAACAGGTGTGGCTGATGCGACAGCATGGTGTGTCGACAACATCTGCACCTGTGGATAGGGCCTTACCACAACAGGCTCTTGCTTCTCCTCCCGGGACTGGAGGGAGCTGCTGGAACTCATGTGCTCCCTGGCACTGACTTCAGAATCTCGACCAGATTCATCATTGACTAGTAAAGACATTAAGAGTGAGACAGTATGTCACAGTCTCCCAGTGTAAGATAGCAGCACAGACAAGAGTGGTACCTGAAGTTAAATCTCAGGATTGACAAAGTGGCCATTTCCTTGTGATGTTTTCTTAACAAGGTCAATATGGGCACTGGATTCTCCTGATGGACATCAGACAAAAGAGCCACAACTGTGGAATATAGAATTTATTCTGGATATTGTAGCCTTATGAACAAACTACCTGAAAATCATCTAAAATGAGCTGAAATAGTTAAAAGTACAATACAGGATGTAAGACAATTTCATTTAAAACATCCTCTTAGAAAGTTATAAAAGCCTGACATTAAAAAGATATTTTATGCTGGCCAACATGGCAAAACCCTATCTCTACTAAAAATACAAAAAAAAAAAAAAAAAACAAACCAAAAACCAAAAACCACGTTTTTTTGTAATCCCAGCTACTTGGGAGGCTAAGGTGGGAGGATCACCTGAGCCCAAAAGGCAGAGGTTGCAGTGAGCCAAGATTCCGTCACTGCACTCTAGCCTGGGCGAGAGAGGAAGATTGTCTCCAAAAAAAAAAAAAAAAAAAAAAAGGATGGCTGGTGCAGTGGCTTGCACCTGCAATCCTAGCATTTTGAGAGGCCAAGGCAAACAGATCCCTTGAACCCAGGAGTTCAAGACCAGCCTTGGCAACACAGTAAGACTCCATCTCTGCAAAAAATTTTAAAATTAAATGGGCATGGTGGCATGCACCCGTAATCCCAGCTATATTGGAGGCAGAGGGAGGAGGATCACTTAACCCTGGGAGGTCAAGGCTGCAGTGAGCCAAGCCATGATTGTGCCACTGCACTCCAGCTTGGATGACACAGTGAGACTTTGTCTCAAAAAAAAAAAAAAAAGGTGGTTGGGGGCTGAGCACAGCCTGTAATCCTAGCACTTTGGGAAACCAAGGCAGGTGGATCATTTGAAGTCAGGAGTTCCAGGCCAGCCTGACCAACGTGGTGAAACCCCGTCTCTACTAAAAATACAAAAAAATTAGCCGGGCGTGGTGGTACACACCTATAATCTCAGCTACTAGGGAAGATGAGGCAGGAGAATCACTTGAACCCAGGAGATGGGAGGCTGCAGTGAGCTGAGATTGCGCCACTGCACTCCTACCTGGGTAACAAGAGTGAGGCTCCATCTCAAAAAAAAGAAAAAAAAAAGATATTTTAAGTACGGTTCCTAACTTTAAGAACATATAATTTTTCAAAACTGAGGGACAGAGATAGGAGAGATATTTTCCAATGTATGCTCTTTTTCTTTTGGTGTTTTGGTCTACCAGAAGACAATCTATTTAAAAATTTTTTTTAATTAAAAAAAATTTTTTTTTTGAGACAAGGTCTCACTCTGTCTCCCAGGCTGTAACGAAGTCACAGGATATCAGCTCACTGCAGCTTCAAACTCTTGGACTCAAGTGAGCCTCTGCCTCCGCTGCCCAAGCAGCTAAGACTACAGGCACATGCCACCACACCTGGCTAATTCTTTTATTTTTTTATGAAGAAAGAGTTCCACTATGTTGCCTGGTCTGGTCTTGAATACCTGGGATCGAGTGTTCCTCCCACCTCTGGCCTCCCAAAGTGCTGAGATTACAGGTGTGAGCCACTGCACCTGGCCTATTTAAAAATTAAGTATTTAAAAATTCAGTGGAGGCCGGGCGTGGTGGTTCACGCCTGTAATCCCAGCACTTTGGGAGGCCAAGGTGGGGAGATCACTTGAGGTCAGGAGTTCGAGATCAGCCTGTCCAACATGGTGAAACCCTGTCTCTACTAAAAATACAAAAAAATAGCCAGGTGTGATGGTGCACACCTGTAATCCCAGATACTCAGGAGGCTGAGGCCAGAGAATTGCTTGAGCCCGGGAGGTGGAGGTTGGGAGATCCTGCCACTGCACTCCAGCCTGGGGGACAAGAGCAAAACTCTGTGTCAAAAAAAAAAAATTAAGTGGAAAAAAATCAGAGAACAATACTGATGTAATAAAGGAAGAGCTTGTGAAAATATTAACTCATATTTGTCTATAATTTTTCCAAAATAATTTTTTTTCTGAGCATAAAGATAATATTTACTTATGTAGAGAATTTAAATTATTTGGAGTACCATAAACAAAGTAATGTTGCCCCCAAACTTACCCCACAAAGGCACCAACACTTAAAGTTTTGGTGACAGTTCTCGCTTCTTTTAAATTTTGGGTTTTTATTCATTTGACTTTTTTTTCTTGAAGTATGATTTTCATAAAGATAAGTGCACAAATGTTAGCTGTGCAGCTCAATGGACTTTCACAAACTGAATAAACCTGAGTAAATAGCACCCAGCTCAAGATAGAAAACATTATTGGTCCCCCAGAGACCCTTAGTTTGGCCCTATTCTAGCCACTATCCTCCGAAGGAAATCAATCTTCTACCTTGTAACACTATAGATTAGTATTGTCTGTTTTTTAACTTTACGTAAACAGACTTATAACAAATACACCCTATTGTGCTTTGCCTCTTTCACTTACAGGTATGAGATTCATTCACATTAGTGTACACAGCTGTAGATCTTTCATTCTCAATGCTGTATATAGTACGACACACGAGTAACGTACAAATTATCCATTTTACTCTTAAGAGGCACTTTAGTTTTCAGTTTGTTCCTATTTTGAATAGTGCTAGTAATGTTCTTGTACGTGTCTTTTGGTGAACATATGTACCACTTCTACTCAATATATACCTAGGATTAGAACTACTGGGTAGAGAATACTGCATCATTTTTTAAAGGTGAAATGGGGCCGGGCACAGTGGCTCATGTCTATAATCCCAGCACTTTGGGAGGCTGAGGCAGGTGGATCACCTGAGGTCAGGAGTTCAAGACCATCATCCAACATGGTGAAACCCCGTCTCCACAAAAATACAAAAATTAGCTGGGCATGATGGCGGTTGCCTGTAATCCCACCTACTCGGGAGGCTGAGGCGGAAGAATCACTTGAACCCAGGAGGCAGAGGTTGCAGCGAGCCAAGACTGTGCACTCCAGCCTGGGCAACGAAGCAAGACTCTGTCTCAAAAAAAAAGTGAAATGGGATTCTATTGTATAGATGTACTATAGCTTTTAAAATCACTGTATCATTGATGGGCTTTTAGGTTATTTCCAAATTTTTGCTTTTATCAACAATCTTGTCCAATGATCTCTTCAGGAAAAAATTCCTAAAAGTACAAGTGCTGGATGAAAAGAGTGATGTGGCCGGGCGTGGTGGCTCAAGCCTGTAATCCCAGCACTTTGGGAGGCCAAGGCGGGCGGATCACAAAGTCAGGAGTTTGAGACCAGCCTGGACAATATGGTGAAACCCTGTCTCTACTAAAAATACAAAAATTAGCTGGGCATGGTGGCGGGCGCCTATAGTCCCAGCTACTTGGGAGGCCGAGGCAGCAGAATTGCTTGAACCCGGGAGGTGGAGGTTGCAGTGAGTCGAGATCGCGCCACTGCACTACAGCCTGGGCGACAGAACAAGACTCCATCTCAAAAAAAAAAAAAAACAAAAAAACAGAGAGGAAAGAAAAGACTGATATACGTTTTCTTTTTCACTATATATTGACTTTTCTCCCAGGTCATTCAGAATTTTTAAAATTTTGATCTATAAAACCTCTTTATTGGGGAATAGATTACATAGAATACCACCACTGGTTTACAAGAAAAGTTCAATAATTTTTTTACAAATATCCTCAGCAACACCAAGGAGCAGAATGGTTGGGTCAAATGGTAAGTATATGTTTAACTTTGCCGAAGTCATTTCCAAAGTGATTGTAGCATTGCCTGTTCCCATTAGCAGTATACAAGCTGCTCCTCTTCCTTACTCATTGCTTGATATACAGCCATTCTAGTGGGTTGTAGTGTGTGTCTCACTGTAGTTTTAATTAGCATTTCCATGATGACTAGTAATGTTGAACATCTTTTTATGTGATCCCAGCCCATTCATATATATCTTCTTTAGTGAAGTGCATGTTTATCTTTTGTCCATTTTAATCAATTAGCTTTACTGAGGTACAATTTACATATAAAATTCACTAATTCTTTGTGTAACATTAGATAAGTGTTCGCAAAAGTATACAGCGGTATAACACAATCATGATACAGATCATTTCCTGTTACTCCAGTGAGTTCATTCACACCCCTTTGCAGTCAATTCCCTCCCCACAACCTCTATTCTCCAGAAACCACTGATCTGCTTTCTGTCACTATGGCATAGTCTTTTCTGGAATTTCACATAACACAATCATACCATCTGTAGTCCTATGTATCTGGATTCTCTCCTTAGTGTAATGTTACTGAGGGTTATCCATAATGTTGTGTATACTGGTAGTCTGGTCCTTTTTATTGCCAAGTAGCATTCCACTGCACGGATGGACACACAACAATTTGCTTATCCTGTCACCATCTGATAGACATTTGGTGAGAACCCTGTTTTGGCTATTATGAATACAGTTTCTACGAACATGTGAATATAAGTCCTTGTATAAACATATATTTTCATTTACCTTTGATAAATACCTATGGAATGAGATTGCTCAGTGGTGTGGTAAGTGTATATTTAATTTTATAAGATATTGCCAAATTGTTTCTTGAAGTGGCTAGCCATTTTGCATTCCCAACAATAAAGTATGAGTTCTATTTGCGCTACAACCATTCCAACACTTGGTATTGTCAGTCTTTGTAATTTCAGTCTTTCTACTGGATGTGCAGTAGTTTCTCACAGTGGTTTTAATGTGCACTGCCCTGAGGATTAATAATGGTGAGCATCTTCTCATGTGCTTCTTTGGCACTTATCTAGCTCTTCTGTACTCAAATATTTTCCCGTCTTAAAAAAAATCAGGTTGTTTGTCTTTTTACTACTGAGTTATAAGTTCTTGTTTTTTTTTTTCCTGGAGACAAGATCTCACTCCGTCACCCAGGCTGGGGTGCATTGGTAAGATCTCAGGTCACTGCAACCTCCGCTTCCCAGGCTCAAGCGATCCTCCCACCTCAGCCTCTCAAGTAGCTGGGACTATAGGCATGAGCCATCACACCTGGCTAATTTTTTTTTTTTTTTGAGACGGAATCTTGCTTTGTTGCCCAGGCTGAAGTGCAGTGGCGCTATCTTGGCTCACTGCAAGCTCTGCCTCCCAAAGTTCAAGTGACTGTCCTGCCTCAGCCTCCCGATTAGCCGGGATTACCGGCACCCACCACCACGCCCAGCTAATTTTTGTATTTTTAGTAGAGACAGGTTTCACCATGTTGGCCAAGCTGGTCTCGAACTCCTGGCCTCAGGTGATCTGCCCACCTCAGCCTTCCAAAATGCTAGGATTACAGGCATGAGCCACTGTACAATTAGCCTGGCCTCGGCTAATTTTTGTATTTGCTGTAGAAACGGGGATTTGCCATGTTGCCCAGGCTTATCTCAAACTCCTGAGCTCAAAGCGATCCACCTGCCTTGGCCTCCCATGGTGCTGGGATAACAGGCATGAGCCTACTGCACACAGCCTTTATTCCCCCATAATGATGTTATGATCTTCCAGCACTATTTTACTGAAAAGACCATCAGGCGCAGTGGCTCATGCCTGTAATCTCAGCACTTTGGGAGGCTGAGGCGGGCAGATCAAGAGGTCAGGAGATCGAGACTATCCTGGCTAACACAGTGAAACACCGTCTCTACTAAAAAATACAAAAAATTAGCCGGGCACGGTGGTGGGCGCCTGTAGTCCCAGCTACTCAGGAGGCTGAGGCAGAATGGTGTGAACCTGGGAGGCAGAGCTTGCAGTGAGCCGAGATCATGCTACTGCACTCCAGCCTGGGAGACAGAGTGAGACTCCGTCTCAGAAAAAAAGAAGACTATCATTTCCCTATTGAATTACTTAGGAACTTTTATCAAAAATCAATTGGCTATATATATCTGGTTCTATTTCTAGATTCTCTACCTGAGTTGTTATGGAAGATAGAGTCTTCTGTTATTCTAGAGAATAATAATATTCTCTAGAATATTCTAGAGAAAATAACATCTAAGTTGAAACTTGAAAAAAGAAGGAATTAGCCAAATAAGTAAGTATATGGAAAGAAACAAGGAAGACTATGGCAAAAGGAAAAGAATGTGCAAAGTCCCAAAGTCGTGAAATTGGGAATTTTTTAATCATTTATTTAGAAATATGAGTAGATACCATCGAGCAGGAGTCATAAGTAGCTTAAAGTCACTTCAAGTCTAAAGAGAACTAAAATAAATTTATAACAAAAACTAAGTTGGCGGCCACCCAAGTGGCTCACACCTGTAATCCCAGAATTTTGGGAGGCCTAGGCGGGAGGATTCCTTGAGGCCAGGAGTTTGAGACAAGCCTGGTCAACATAGCAAGACTCCATCTCCATTGGAAAAAAAAAAAATTAGGTTGGCAGGAGGAAGGCTAAATAGTAAGAAATGAGGCTGGAACATTAGACAAGGGCCATAGCTCATAAGAAAACGCAGAGCAATTAAAGATGCTTCCAGCTCAGCACAGTGACTCACACCTGTGATCCTAACACTTTGGGAGGCTGAGAACGGAGGATTACTTGAGTCCAGGAGTTTGAGACCAGCTTCGGCAACATTGTGAGATCCCCTCTTTACAAAAAAATTTAAAATTAGCTGAACATGTGGCTGGGTGTGGTGGCTCATGCCTGTAATCCCAGCACTTTGGGAGGCCAAGGAGGGTGGATCACTTGAAGTCTGGAGTCCGGAGTCCGAGATCAGCCTGGCCAACATGGTGAAACCCTGTCTCTACTAAAAATGCGAAAAAAAAAAAAAAAATTACCCAGGCATGGTAGCGCATGCCTGTAATCCCAGCTACTCAGAGGCTGAGGCACAAGAATCACTTAAACCCAGGAGGCAGAGACTGCAGTGAGCTGAGATCGCACCACTGCACTCCAGCCTGGGCCACAGAGTGACACTCTGTCTCAAAAAAATTAAAAAAATAAAAAATAAAATAAAATTAGCTGGGGAGCCCAAAAGATCGAGGCTGCAGTGAGCTGTGATTATGCCACTGTACTGCCGCTTGAGTGACAGAGTGAGACCCTATTGCGCAAAAAAAAAAAAAAAAAAGCCTCAGCTACTGGTTTGAGCAATGAGTAGACAGTGGTATCATTTACCATAAGGAACACCAGAATCCAGTGGTGAAGAAAAAGGAATAGAAAAGCATTTATTTCACTTTGCAATGTCATATATTTACTTAATACATAGAGAAAAAGAGTATTTGAAGGAATTCCTCAACTTCAGCACTGCTGACTGGACTGGATACTTCTCTGTTGTGGGGGGCTTCCCATTACCTTGCAGGATGTTAAGCAGTATCCCTGGCCTCTACCTATCAGATGCCAATAGTACTCTTTAGTTGTGACAACCAAACTGTCTTTAGATATTGCCAAGTACTCCCCTGGAGGAAAAATCACCTCCCCAAACACCTGTCACTGAGAACCACTAATTTCTACCACTCAAAGGGTATAAGACTAAAAACCAAGTTTTATCTATGTGTATACAATCAGCCCTCTGTATCCATGGGTTCCCTGATGTGAATTCAACCAACTTTGGATGTTAAATATTCAGGGGGGGAAAAAAACCCTGCTTGCATCTGTACTAAGCACATACAGACTTTTTTCTCTTGTCATTATTCCCTTAGCAATACAGTATAACAACTATTTACATACCATTTACATTGTAGGAGGTATTACAAGTAATCTAGAGATGATTTAAAATATACTGGAGGATAGGTATAGGTAATATGCAAACACTATACCATTTTACATCAGAAAGTGGAGCATCATGGATTTTGGTATCTAAGGTGGGTCCTGGAAACAATCCCCCACAGACACCATAGGGAAACCGCATATCCTTTGTTTTCCACTTCTTTTCCTAGATAATAAACCCCTAAAAGACAAGATCTGTTCCTTAAACACCTCTGGGCTCCCTCACAGCACTAATGCTATACTCCTGGACATTAATTAAACAAGAATATATTAATGCATTTCAAAAACAGTTCTTACAGGCACGCTTTGCTATAAGTTGCATGTGTACTCTATGTGAATGAAGTGGTTAAAACAGGAAGGAAAAAAAGCCTTGTTTAAATTAGAATAGTAATATACCCTTTCTTCAAATTCAAGAAACAAGAATTTACTAAAATCCTAGAAGAATCTGCTAATTTTTAAGTTAGAAAACTGGTAATATTCTTAAAGTAGGAAAAAATATATTAGAATATTACATATCTCACCTGTAGCAGCTGGGTTTATCAATCCAGCAGAACCACTGTTTGCAATCTGAGAAGGGGCCTGGCTCAGCCCGGTAGAAGGGGCTCCTAACCGAGGAAACTGTTGAGAACTCATTTCCACCTGTAGTACATACAGTTATATGGTTATTACTAGATTCTGAGATCTGAATCAATACTGAGAAATTAAAGCATCTTTAGTACCTATGAGATAGTCCCTTGGAAAAGCAAATGCTGCATCATTTATTTAAAAACAATAACTTGGGATCAATATAAATGCAGACATTATCTAAACTACCTAAGTTTTCTACAAATATTGTTTATACGGAGCTGGCGGGTACTATGACCCTCCATAAATACTTGTGGATTGCTATGCTAAAAAAATCACCATTGAATCCTGTACAAGAGTCACATGACAGGTATTACCACAATGCATGTGTATTTCTCTGTGTAAAGTTTTATGGAAAATGGCATGTCTCTTTGAAACACTCAAATCTCACACCAAGGTGAACAGAACTGTGATTAGTATGTCATAGGAACATTCGGAGGAAGATATCCAGCCCTAAGAAAAGATCCGATATCTTACATCCAGACCCGATGCAAAAGGAATTCTCCAATGCTTTTCGGCAAAGGCCTCCATTTACGGATTTCCTTTTCCTTCTCTTCCACAGATCCCCTCACAGAGCCAGAGGACCCTACACCTTCTCCATCTTCCCTAAAATCGCCCCCCACTTTTCCCTCAGGAGCCAAGCGATCTCCCGATTCGCCCGCAACCCCACCCCACCGCGAAGCCCCCGCTGAGACCGGAGGACGCCGGTTTCCAGACACCTCGGAGTGTGAGACCCCCGTCTCCGGGGTGGGGGTGCGGACGGGCGATCTGGGGACCCGACCACAAGACGAGCACTGTGCCTCTTTACCTGTAGCCGCCGCCCGCCGCCCGCACCGCCCGCTTCTATCTCGCCGGCCTGGGGGTGCCGCGGAGGGCCCATCTCGGCGGCGGCGATGTGCTCGGCGGGCGCGGGGAGGGATCGCGGCGGCGGCGCCCGGGGCCCGCTGCTGTCCAGCCCCGCTGGCCCCACTCACCCCCGCCACCCGGCCGCCGCTGTGCTCGCAGTCCTCTTCCCCCGAACCTGCCCCTGCCTCCCCCGCCCGCCCATTGGCCCCACGCCCGACGCGTCAGTGGAGGCCCAGGACCAATCCACAGCGACCTGCACGTTCAGAGCCCGCCCCACCCTCCCGCCGACTGCCAGCCAATCAGGCGCGAGCCTGGCCGGGGCAGCCCAAACCCCTCGAGGCTGAGCCAATGGCAGAGGAAGACAGGCGCCCCCGGCGAAGGGGGCGGGGAGCGGGGAGGCCCCGCCTCAGCCAGGGTCTGAAAGCGGCGGGCGCAGGGCCCGGATGTGGAGAGTCACTTTAAACTGCTCCAGGAGCCAAACTCCCTGGGCCGGCCGCCCGCCCGCCCGCCCGCCCGCGCTCCCCCGGCCGCTCTGCTTCCCCGCCAAGGCCCACGTCCGCCACGCCCCCACGCCCGGGTCAGCCCACCCCTCCCGGTGCCTCTCCCTTCCTCGCCACAGGACACCCAGCCCCTGTCGCCGGCCCAACCGCCGTGACCAGCTCGCGAAAGAGCCGCGGTCCGAGCCGCAGGAGACGAGGATCCTCTGCCCTTCCCCGGGGACGCGCAACGGGACGGACGCTGCAGCCCGGCTCAGCCGCCCCGCCCCCTCGTCTCCTCCCCTTCCCTCCCGGGCGCCCGTCCCGCCATTACCTGGGTGCTGCGCCCAGTGGCCGCCGCGCCGCCTTGAGCTCGCTCCCGCGCGCTCTCCGTCTGTGGGGCCGACGTCCCCAGGCTCCGGACCCGCAGCCACCGCCGGGGAGCTAGCACTCTGCCCCCCACCCCTCACTCCAGCGCCGCTGCTTCCGCCGCCGTAACGAGCCTCCCGTCTATTGGCTGGCGCAGGCCCCGCCCCCTGCCGAGTCAGCCAGTCGCCGGTGGTCGTGAGCGGGAGAGCGGACGGGCCCGCCCCTCTGAGCCGCGGCGTCCTGTGGGAAATGTAGTCGCCGGAGTCAGGAGGGCGGGCCGCGAAGGAGGTGGAGAGCGCCGGGGCGGGGCCGCAGGCGACCCGGCCAGGGCAACACACCCCTTTGCTGTCTGAAGTCGGTTCTGCCTTTTCTCTTGGCTAAGTGAGAAGACAGTGGATCCCACCCTATGCCTTAACCTGAGGGCACTGGGTTTCATTTTCCCCGCGGGGAGGCGCGGCGCGGGAAAGGGTAATGGAGGCCAACTGCGGCGGCCAAGGGATCCGCGGGCCGGGCCAGTGTCGTGACGGTGCCCGCCTCCCTATGCCGCGAGTGGGACTCGGTGTCCCCACCGGGAACCGCGGTCGGCACAGCCTACGCGCGGCGGGAGCCGCCAGGCGCAGCGCGGGCGCGGCTCTGTGAAAGCAGGCCGGCAGGGCGCAGGGCTCTGGGCGGCCGGGGCGCACCTGCGCGCGCTTTCCGGATTATAAAGGAGCTGAAGGGGGCAGTTTTATTTTGTCATTTTGCTTGGGGTTCAGGGTTGGAGTTTATGCACCTGTAGAAGACTTAGCCATATCTTTTGAGGCCACATTTGTGTCTGATAAGAGATTAAGTCTCCCTCTTCCCTTACCAGATGGTAATTTAGGCCTGGAGTTTTGTGATTAGTTAGGAAATAAATGGGGCTCAAACCCCCCTCTTCCTATCATGCACAGCTGTGTAAGACAACTGCTTGGTTAGAAGAGAGTAGCTCCTGGCTATAGCCCAGGGATGAGTCTCAGATACTCCTCCTCTTCAAGCCACTTTCCTTTTCCACCTTCATGCCTTCATTCTCAAACTTCTAAAGAGTGACTCCTGTGATAGACTTCAGCCTCCTCTCTGCCTAGGCAGTCCTTATCCCTTTTGGAGTTGCCACTCTTCTCAGACTGCTCCCCAAAAGTTGCCAACACCTACTCAACTTCAAACCCATCGGTCCTCACTTAGATCTCATCTTGTTTAGCTTACTGACCAGTAGTAATTCCTCCTCATGTCTTCCCTTGGCCTCTAGAACCAGGCTGTCTCCTGCTTCTACTCCTATGTCAAGCTCCATTATACCTCCTCTTTCTCATAAATACAGCATTCTTCAGGGCTCCAACACGCTAATGCTATACTGCCTTCCTAAATGGTTTAATGTATTTCCACAGTTTCAAATGTCATCCTTTTTGTTTTTTGTTTTTTTGAGACAGGTTCTCAGTTCAGCCCAAGCTGAAGTCCAGTGGCGTGATCACAGCTCATTGCAGCCTCGACTTCCTTGTCTCAACTAACTTATTGCCTCAGCCTCCTGAGTAGCCAGGACTGCAGGCGCATGCCACCACACCCCACTAAACATATATATATGCCAGGCACGTGGCTCATGCCTGTAATCCCAGCACTTTGGGAGGCCGAGGCAGGCGAATCACCTGAGGTCAGGAGTTCGAGACCAGCCTGACCAACATGGGAAAGACCCCATCTCTACTAAAGATACAAAATTAGCCGGGAATGGTGGCAAATTCCTGTAATCCCAGCTACTCAGGAGGCTAAGGCAGGAAAATTGCTTGAACCCGGGAGGCAGAAGTTGCTGTGAGCCCAGATCAAGCCATTGCACTCCAGCCTGGGCAACAAGAGCGAAACTCTGTCTCAAAAATATATATTTATATATGAATACATATATTTTATATATATAATATATATTTTTGAGATGGAGTTGTATGTATATATATGTATATATGTATATATATGTATATATACGTGTGTGTGTGTGTGTGTGTGTGTGTGTGTATATATATATTTTTTTTTTTTTGAATAGAGACAGGGTTCCACCATATGCCCAGGCTGGTCTTGAACTCCTGGGCTTAAGCGATCTGCCCACCTCAGCCTCCCAATGTGCTGGCATTATAGGCATGAGCCACTACACCCAGCCTCAAATATCTTTGAAAATGTTACCTATGCATAGGTGACCTCTCCGAGTTGTATACCTATATTTCCGCCTGATGGGCCAATCCACACAGAAGTCTTAACAAGCCCCTCAAAGTTAATGTATTGAACACCTTTATTGGTTTGCCTCCCCTGTGTACTCCCCTTGATACCTGGGTTTACTTACTGGCATCACCATCCTTTCTGTCTTCAGCTTCATATATGTTCCACACTCTTCCATCTCCCACAGCCGCCATATTACATTGATATGCACCTCTGCCTCCTTTTCTATTGTTTCCATAGCTGTGGCTCAAGCTGCCATTATTTCTTATCTGAATTGCAGCAATGCTGCTGCCCCCACTGAAATCTCTTCCTACACCCACTATGTCCTCCAGAATTCTTTTTCTAAATCACTAATCTGGATCTATCCTTCCCATCCACGATGTTTCCATATCTTCGGAATATATTCCAAATCCCTATGCCCATTATCCAAAGGCCTTAATAATTTAGTCTCTCCTGCCTCTCCAGACACTGGATACTCTGCCAACAACAGTTTCTACTAGTTATCTGCGCAGTTTGGCTTCCAGCATTTTGCTCTGGCCTGAAGTGCCTTCTAATAGGCTAGGATGCTCAGCAATCATCTAGAAGAGTTCTGCCAATTCTATAATGCCTAACCGGAAATAAAACTGTTTCTCTTCGGCAAGAAGCCTTCCTCCAATTCCTCTCTTTTCCCCACCCTCTAGAATATTTCCATAGAACTTCCTCAGTACCTCTCTTACAGCACTGATCTGTGTCTGCCCATATTCCTCCTGGAGTAGGCAAACAGAGAAATTATTTGTCTTTATATCTCCTGTCAACAGGGTTTTAGATCCAGGAAGCATTCAATAAATGTTTGCTAAATATAATCACAAACACATCGGCGTTACTATATGATTGAAATTGGAGTTTTCCTGAGTTACTTGGGACAGTAGCTATGGCTTTATTCATCCATGTCTCTGGTCCTGCACATAGTGGACACTTAAAGGAAAACAGGTGCTTCACCCATCTTTTATCACTAGGGTTTAGAATTCCCATCAACTGAACTTGGTGTGCAGAAAACACACCTTGTGCCCCAGCCAGACTGAACCTTCTACACTCCTCAAGTATTCAAGCCCTATGCCAGTTTCAGGAGCTTACTAGTATTTGAGGTTCTTGAAAATTGGCCAGGCGCGGTGGCTCACACCTGTAATCCCAGCACTTTGGGAGGCTAAGGCGGACAGATCACTTGAGGTCAGGAGTTCGAGACCAGCCTAGCCAACATGGTGAAACTCCATCTCTACTAAAAGTACAAAAAGTACAAAAATTAATCCCAGCTACATGGGAGGTTGAGGCAGGAGAATCATTTGAACTTGGGAGGTGGAGGTTGCAGTGAACCAAGGTTGCACCACTACACTGCAGCCTGGGCGACAAAGCAAGTCTCAAAAAATAAAAAAATTAAAAAAAAGTGTTGTCCACCCATGATCTTTTGAATAGATTAAGCAGATATACAATAGGCATCATATCTGCTCGGTGATTTTCTAGAGAAAAGCAGATTCTCCACGTGAGTGTTCTGTGGAAGTCAGTCAGATGTCAGCGAATGGTCCCTGAGACTTGGTGATGTGATTGAAACCACTTTTGCAAAATCGTGACAGTGAGAGATATCTAACATAGTTGACTCCATCCTACTTCTGACCTCCACGCTGTCTTTGGTTATTCCTGGGTATAGACTCAGCTATGTTTCACAATTTATAGTTTAACTTGAAAGCAAGGATGATAATAGTCCCTTTCTAAAACTAACCCCCTCCTTGCTTGGGGACCAAAACCACCTTTGTAAACCAACGAAAGACCACAAGAATAGGATTATGAGAGGGGCCTGAACTCTGCTAAAAAGTAGTCAGTTTCTATAATCCTTTACTGCTCAGGAGTCATGTGGCCAGAGGTCTCAGATTTATGACTTCCCCAGTTGCTCCTATAGATAACATCACTGTTGTAAAGATTTTTTTTTGAGATATCTTTCATACTGATCCGATCTGAACTCGTGACTCATGGCTCTACTGGTCCTGTGGCCCTACCTAGAGGCAGACTCAGCACACGAGGAATGTCTTCCACACCCCTATGGTTTCATCCCCAACCAATCAGTAGCACTCATTCCCTATCCCCCTGCTTACCAAATTGTTCATAAAAACCCTAAGCTCTGAGCCTTCAGGGAGACTGGTTTGAGTGATAACTCTAATTCTTCCCTGTTGCCCACCTCCTGTCAATTAAACACTTTCTCTGCTGCAATGCCACGGTCTCAGTGGATTGATTTTGTCTGTACAGTGGACAGGAAGAACCCACTGGGTGATCCAACACTTTGTTGCATTTTTTTCTCTTAAAGAAATTTTTTTTTAAGAATTCCAGGGCAAACTGGTGGTAGTAGCCTGCAACTTTTTATTGAATAGTACTGCTCCTTGTGGAGCAGGGCTAACTCATAGGCAGTATGCCCAGTCAGCCAGGTAATTACACTTTGGTGGGCCTCTTTACCATCGGACCCAGACGGTTCTCACTTAGTCACTGCGTGAGCAGTCTAACGATACTGACTCTCTGCAGTTGCCCTCTGTCCAAATACTCCCCTTGACTCAACCTCCCAGTCAAGGAAAGCCTAGTTTCTTCCAGGTCACTTGTGTAACATGAGCATAACCTTATTTATCTCCAGCTTGTTGTGTAGATTAAATGAGCCATACACATAAAGGATGTGTTGCTTTTGAGCTTGCCTGTATCCATCGTTTTTACAACTTCCATCTGTTTATTACCCTGGGCAAACTCAAGAATCTCTCTCTTCCTGGTATCACATTCTATACCACTGTCCCCACCCCAGCAGCACCTATGCCAGGTGTGGCAGGAGACTCTAGGATGGTCCCGCGTGATCTCTTCCCAGTGGTCCTACCCTTATGTAGGAACCAAGGCAAAGGGATCATTCCTTTGCCTTGAGTGTGGGTAGGACCTGCGACTTTCTACTAACCAATGGCAAATGGCAGAGGTGGTGGGATGGCACTTCCTGTACGATGTTAACTTATACAGCCATGTAGTCCATGGCAATATTTTGGTCAAGGACAGACTGCATATATGACTAGTTCCATGAGATTATAATGGAGCTGAAAAATTCCTGTCATCTAGTGACCTTCTAGCTGTCATAATATCTAGTGCAAAGCATTACTCATATATTTGCGGTAATGTTGGTGTAAACAAAACAAAATGTTGGTGTAAAAAAAACTGAGCCAGGTGTGGTGGCTCATGCCTGTAATCCCAGCACTTTGAGAGGCTGAGGCAAGAGGATCCCTTGAGCCAAGGAGTTCGAGACCAGCCTGGGCAGCATCATGAGACGCCATATCTATTTTAATTTTTTTTTTTTCAAGACACAGTCTTGCTCTGTCACCCAGGCTAGAGTGCAGTGGCGTGATCTCGGCTCACTGCAACCTCCGCCTCCTGGGTTCAAGCGATTCTCCTGTCTCAGCCTCCCGAGTAGCTGGGATTAAAGGTGTGCACCACCACGCCTGGCTAATTTTTGTATTTTTAATAGAGATGGGGTTTCACCATGTTGGCCAGGCTGGTCTTGAACTCCTGACCTCAGGTGATCCTCCTGCCTTAGCTTCCCAAAGTGCTGGGATTACAGGCTTGAGCCAGTGTACCCGGCTGCCATATCTATTTTAAGAGACAAAACAACAAATAAAACTACTGCTCTGCCAGTTGTATAAAAGTATATAGCATACAATTTTTTTGTAGAGATGGGGTCTTGATATGTTGCCCAATCCGGTCTTGAACTCCTATGCTCAATCAATCTTCCCACCTCGGCCTCCTGAAATGCTGGGATTACAGGCGTGAGCCACCATGCCTGGCTTGTTTTCTTACCATAATATTTTTATATACCACAGTACCTATGTTGACAAAAAAAGCCAATCTTGGCCAGGCATGGTGGCTCACGCCTGTAATCTCAGCACTTTAGGAGGCTAAGGCTGGCACATCACTTGAGGTCAGGAGTTCGAGACCAGTCTGGCCAACATGGTGAAACCCCGTCTCTACTAAAAAATACAAAAATTAGCCAGATGTGGCAGCGTGGACCTATAGTCCCAGCTACTGGGGAGGGTGAGGCATAAGAATCCCTTGAACCTGAATGGCAGAGGTTGCAGTGACCCGAGATGGCGCCATTGCATTCCAGCCTGGGTAACAGAGTGAGACTCAATCTCAAAAAAAAAAAAAAGCCAAACTCTGTAAATTTTTTATTTTTTTATTTTTTTGAGACAGAGTCTCACTCTGTCACCCAGGCTGGAGTGCAGTGGCGCCATCTCAGCTCATTGCAACCTCTGCCTCCTGGGTTCAAGTGATTCTCCTGCCTTAGCCTCCCAAGTAGCTGGGATTATAGGTGCCTGCCACCAAGCCTGGCTAATTTTTGTATTTTTATTTTTATTTTTTATTTTTTTATTTTTTTGAGATGGAGTCTTGCTCTGCTGCCCAGGCTGGAGTGCAGTGGTGTGATCTTGGCTCACTGCAAGCTCTGCCTCACGGGTTCATGCCATTCTCCTGCCTCAGCCTCCGGAGTAGCTGGGACTACAGGTGCCTGCCACCACGGCCAGCTAATTTTTTTTTTTTTTTGGTATTTTTAGTAGAGACAGGGTTTCACCATGTTAGCCAGGATGGTCTCGATCTCCTGACCTCATGATCCACCTGCCTCGGCCTCCCAAAGTGCTGGGATTGCAGGCGTGAGCCACCTCATCTGGCCTAGTTTTGTATTTTTAATAGAGATGGGGTTTCACTATGTTGGCCAGACTGGTCTCAAACTCCTCACCTCAGGTGATCTGCCTGCCTTGGCCTCCCAAAGTGCTGGGATTACAGGTGTGAGCCACTGCGCCCGGCCCAAACTCTGTAAAATATTTAAACAGGTTTATTCTGAGCAAAGTATGATATAACAATGGCCTGAGGCACAGTCTCAAGTGGTCCTGAGAACATGTGCCCAAGGTGGTTGAGTTACAGCTTGGTTGTATATGTTTTAGGGAGACGGATGACATCAACCTATACATGTGATGTATACATTAGTTCAATCTGGAAAGGCAGAAAAACTCGAAGCAGGGGAAGGGGTGCTTACAGGTTATAGGTGGATTCAAAGATTTTCTTTTTGTTGTTGTTGAGACAGGGTCTTACTCTGTTGCCCAGGTTGGACTGCAGTGGTGTAATGATGGCTTGCTGCAACCTCAATCTCCTTGGCTCAGGTGATCCTCCCACATCATCCTCTGCAGTAGCTGAGACTACAGACACGTGTAACCATGCCTGGCTAATTTTTTGCTGTTATTGTATTTTCAGTAGAGACAAGGTTTCGCCATGTTGCCCAGGCTGGTCTTGAACTCCTGGGCTCAAGCAATCCACCTGCTTCAGCTTCCCAACATGCTGGGATTACAGGAATGAACCACTGTGTCCAGCCAGATTAAAAGGTTTTCTGATTGGCAATTAGTTGAAAGAGATAAGTTATTATCTAGCCAGGCATGTTGGGATATGCCTGTAATTCCAGCACTTTGGTATGCCAAGGTGGGAGGATCCCTAAAGCCTAAGAGATTGAGACCTGGCTGGGCAACATGGTGAAACCCTGTCTCTACCAAAAACAAACAAACAAACAAAAAAACAAAAAAAAAGCCAGGCACGGTGGTGCATGTCTATAGTCCTAGCTACTCAGGAGGCTGAGGGTGGTGGGGGCATCACTGGAGCCCAGGAGATCTAGGTTTCAGTGAGCTATGATCATGCCACTGTACTCCAGCCTGGGCAACATGGCAAGAACCTGGTCCCTCCAACCACCCCCCCCAAAAAAGTGATTATCTAAAAACCTGGAATCAAGAGAAAGGAGTCTTTGGATTAAGATCAGGGATTGTGGAGATCAAGGTTCTTACTATGTAGATGAAGTCTACATAGGTGGTCACCCTTAGAGAGAGATGGCAAATGTTTTGGGTTTTTTTTTTTTTTTTTTTTTTTTTTTTGTATTTTTAGTAGACAGGGTTTCAGGGTTTCACCATGTTGGCCAGGCTGGTCTCAAACTCCTGACCTCAAGTGATCCACTTGCCTTGGCCTCCCATAGTGCTGGGATTACAGGTGTGAGCCACTGTGCCTGGCCAAATGCTTCTTATTTAGACCTTTAAAGGATGCTGAACTCTTAGTTACTCTCTTCAGGATTGGGAGGACCTGCAAGGGGAAAAAAAATCTAGTTATATTGATAGAGATTTTTCACAGATGCAAATTTCTCCCTGCAAAATATGGCTTTGCAGGGTCATCTCAAAGTATGGCAAAGAAATATATTTTGAGGTAAAATATTTTCATTTCCTTCTTTGTCATGTCATGATATAGTAGAGTCAGGTTGGAATTTGCTATTTTCTTGCTACAAATAATCTGTTTTGTCAGTCTTATGATCTCTGTTTCAATGTTAATGCTGGTCAGTTGTGCCCAAATTGGAAGGGAAGGAGAGTACAATGAGGCATGTCCAAACGTCCCATTCCTGTCACAGCCTGAACTAGTTTTTCAGGTGTCTTTGGGTCCCCTTGGTGGAGAGGGGGCTCCGTTCAGTCAGTTGGAGGACTTAGAATTTTGTTTTTGATTTACATCCGCATTTTTGTTGTAACACCTCTAATTCAGACATTGGTCAACTGCCTTTTGACCTTCCTAGCGTCAGAGATGATAAATTCCTCTTCAAAAGTTTTTAATTCCCTGTTCTTCCAGTTCTTTGTTTCTCTGGTTTCTATAGTTGCCCATGCTGTAAACAACTCATCCCACCCTTGCTGCACCCTGACATGCCTGACAGGCCTAGACATGCATTATGTCATAAAGGATAGCCTTCCCCTTCCCACCTAGATAGCTGTGTTCAATTTCAAAGATTAGCCAATCAGGTCAGTTTAGACTGTGCGGTCCCACCCCAGCCAATGAAGACAGAACACAGCAGTAGGAACCAATTGCATTAGGGATAAAAACCCCTGCCCCACCCTGCTCAGTGTGCTCTTGCAATCGTGACTGGCGCAAGCTGCACACTTCTGCGGAAGTAAATTTGCCTTGCTGAGAAAATTTCTGTTTGAGTGCTATTTCTTTTGCAGCACTGAAGCTTGTTTCTAACAAATTTGGGGGTTCGTCCAGGATTCCCATTCTCCTCTGGGGAAGGGTCCAGTCCTCTCCTGTGAGGAGGTGTGCCCTGCTGCCTCATTGCAGTGGACTCAGGGGTAAGGAATCAAGACCCACCTGGTGTGACGAATAAACCTGGACTCTCAGCAATGCAGGAAAAAACAGACCAACAACTTGGGAAAAAAAAAGAAAAAGATCATCATATACCATGGCAACCAGGTAACTCTGTGCACAGACCAAGGTAAGAAACATTACTGGGTTGACAACGTATTTCCTTGATTGTTGGGAGATCTTGGAGGTTGAAAGCTGTAAGTGTGTGAATAAGCACTACTAGCGTGCAGAGTGAGTTGAGTTCAATCTGTGGTTCCATGGTCACCTCATATGGCGGCCTTTCGAGGGTCCCATCAGGGGTTTATACTGATTCGCCAACGTTAAGAGGGACCCGATGTTCCCTTTGGGGAAGTGGCCAGAGAGGATGAAATGAAAGGAAAAGAGTGCAAGAAGCCCCCACCAGGGAGGGTTGAGCCTCTAGAGAAAAGGAAGGCAAGAAATCCCTAATACGAGGCATTGAGCCTCTAGAAGAAAGGAAAGGTGAGAAATCTCCAGTAGGGGGCACTGAGCCTCACACAAACCTCTAGTATTAGGGAAGGCAAAAAAATTTCCAGTAGGGGAAGTTAAGGTTCACCCCAAAACCATCAAGATTGGAAATACCCCAAGTAAGACAGGAAGTAAAAAGGATAAACCTAACAGCAATGATATTCCCCTTGATAGTCCCTTAGGTCTCATGTTAAAGTATTTGAAAGATAATAAAGGACTAAGCATAAGATAAAGCAACGAATGATAAAATAGTTTTATTTGGACCCAGGAACCAATCCTCAAACCCTCAGTTTTGTGGACAAAATTTGGGTCAAATGAGTACTGGATTTGTCAGCTTCTAATAGAACATGTTAATATCAAGAGTCTTGTTTCCCAAGAAGAGATAGATTATGCCTTGTTTTGGTGACAAGGACCTGTTCTTCTCTACCCCCCAAAACTCTAAAAGATAAGCGTAAGCCAGAGAATGTTTCCCCTAAGGAAACTGAAACTCTTAACCCCAAGCAATCTACACCTCGGACCTGCTAAATCACCTTCCCCCACCAAACACTCCTAACTTTCCTCCCCCTCAAGCAGCTGCTGTCCCAGACCCTTCTCCTACCCCCGTTGTTCCCCCTCCTTATAACCCTGCCTCTTGGGAATCATCCCAAGAGCCCAATCACTACCAGCCTAAGTACCCTTCCCTAAAGGGACTTCAACGTGAAATAGAGAAATGTAAAAAAGATATTCAAAACTTCCCCAAACTTTCCCTTCCCCTCTGCCTTAGGGGAATCAGCTCCAGCTCTCTTCCCCTTGAGGGAGGTGCCCCTAGGAGGAGGAGGCATTGGCTTTGTAAATGCTCCTTTAACCAGCTCAGAAGTACAAAACCTAAAAAGAGAGCTTAAGCCACTATTAGACAACCCTTACGGGGTAGCAAACCAAATTGACCACTTTCTAGGACCACAGTTACATACTTAGGCTGAGCTAATGTCCATCCTAGGCAACTTCTTCTCAGGAGAAGAAAGAAGCATCATTCGTAGAGCTGCTATGGTAGTCTGGGAACGTGAACACCCTCCTGGCCAAAACGTTCCTGCAGCAGATCAAAAATTCCCCTCCCAAGACCCCTGGTTGGACAATAACAATGCAGCCCACCAAGAAAATATGCAAGACCTTAGGGAAATGATAATAAAAGGAATTAAAAATCAGTACCCTGAACCTAGAATCTTACCCAGGCATTTCATATTCAGCAAGGGAAAGATAAAGGGCCTATAGAATTTTTAGACAGATTAAAAGAACAAATGAGAAAGTATGCAGGTCTAGATCTCGAGGATCCTCTTGGGCAGGGAATGTTAAAACTTCATTTTCTTACTAACAGTTGGACAGATATTTCAAAGAAATTACAAAAGATAGAAAATTGGAAAAACCGTCCCATGAGTAAACTTCTTAGGGAGACTCAAAAGTGTACGTAAGAAGGGACGAAAAGAAACAACAGACAAAGCAGAAGGCAAAACTTCTGCTGTCAACCGTACCACACAGTACTCAGGGGGCGAGAACCTATAAAGAGCCTAGGCCCCCACTTTCCAAGCCATATAAAGAGCACCAAAAAGCGAAGCCTTCGAACTTAAAATTAGAAAAGGAAGAAAGGATCTCTTTGAAGGCTATAATGCTTTGAAAACTGTGTTGGCAGTGTGGCATGACTGTTTAAAGTAGATAAAAGCTTGTCCTTTTACCCCATCCCGGCATGACTGTGAAGCTGGCAAGGAAAGAGGAAGAAAGGCAAGTTCGGCTGCAAGCTGGGCGGCTGGGACAGGTTGGCTGAGGGACCACTCTGGAGGGCTCTTGCGCCCGGCATTGCCCACTTCAGCCCAGCTGTGTGTTTACGGCAACCAGAGTCCCTGCAAAGGTGTGGCTGGCTGCAGTCAGGGCCTACTAGGACCGTCAGCACACTCCCGTCAGCGGCTCAGCTCCTCTCTGCTAGGCCAACTAATAGTGCTTTGTCCTGGGTAGGACATAGGGGCTGAGAGAGATGGGGGGAGACATAACACCCAGGAATGAAAATATGGATTTAAAGAAGGAACCAGTAAGTAGGAGACACAAGTGAAATATAAAAACCGATCAGCTAGTATCAAATTTCTATTAATTCCAGAAGCAGGGACAAATCTATTAGGAAGGGATTTCATGCTAAAATTAGGCTTAGGACTCCAAATCAATCATGGAAAATTCCTCCCCTCTCTAAACTTGCTCACCACCGCAGATGAAGAACACATTCATCCCGAGGTATGGTCAAAAGACGGGAATAGAGGAAAGTTACAGATTCCTCCAATTCTTGTTAAATTAAAAACCCCTGGGGAAGTAGTAAAGCGAAAGCAATACCCTATTCCTTTAGAAGCCAGGGTAAATTTAAAACCTATAATTAAAGGTCTCCTCCGTGATGGGCTTCTTGAACCCTGTATGTCTCCCTATAACACTCCGATACTGCCTGTAAAGAAGCCAGACAGGTCATACCGGTTAGTGCAAGACCTTAGAGCTATTAATCAGATAGTCCAAACTACACACACTGTTGTTCCCAATCCTTATACTGTTATCAGTAGGATCCCATACAGTCACCAGTGGCTTACAGTAATAGATTTAAAAGATGCCTTCTGGGCTTGTCCAATAGCAGAGGACAGCCGAGACCTATTTGCCTTTGAGTGAGAAAACCCTCACTCAGTTTCTCAAAAACTATATATTAGGTCTGCCTTCTGCCCTTTCCTCCCTTAAGACTCAAGGCATTCTAGCCCAGACTCCACCTCTTGAATTTCCAGTTCACCAACACCAGCCTAGAGATCACGTCCTCATCAGGAGTTGGAAAGAAGGGAAGCTTGAGCCCACTTGGGAAGGACCTTATTTAGTGCTCTTAACAACTGAGACAGCAGTTCGGACCACCGAGAAGAGCTGGACTCATGACACTCAAGTTAAGCAGGCACCACCGTTCCCAGAATCATGCACCATTGTTCCAGGACCAACTGTTTCCAAACTAAGTCTAAAGCAGGTTTAACCCTCTTATTCTGTATTTCTTTCCTTCCCTGCCCCCCACCATCGCTAGTCCCCTTATCATTAATGTAACCAAGTCAAGCTCACCCCAAACTATTACCTTTGATGCTTGCCTTGTTATACCCCACAGAGATTTGTCAAGTCAAAAGCAACTCTCCACCTCAGAAAAGTATCTCTGTCCTTCCTGGCTCTCTTCAGATTGGGCATTTGTTAACTGGGATAAGTTAGTTAGGGAAAAGTTTGACAAAGATTCCAGTGTGAACCAGGAATCTTGTCCTCTTAGAGCAGAGCTTCTCTGCTGAAGTTGGTCCAATGTTCTATGAAATACTAAAGAGCAAGTATGAACCACCCCAACGAGTACTTGCAGTTTCTTAAAACCATATATTCATTTTACTAAAGGAATTACCCCTCCCCATTGTCAGCTGAACCAATGTAATCCAGCACAGATTACCATCTCTGCTCCCCAGAGTTCTTCCCCTTCATTAAGCCATTTTTATGATATAGGAGCAGAAGTCTCAGGGAAGGACCCCATAGGATCCTTTGAAATGTGCTTCATTGCTTCCCCACCTCCTGCACCCCCTTCTCCCTCTCCTAAGTTCTCTGCTAACCAAACCTTTTCTCGTTATATATCCAATGATAAAACCAAAGTAGCTGTTGTAGTGGTTAAAGATTTAAAACAAATTATAGCAATTGAAACACGGTATCAGGATGCAAATGCTTGTCTGGAATGGATTAAATATTCTGTTCACAAGCTAAACAAAAGTGACTGTTATGCTTGTGCGACAGGCAGGCCAGAGACCCGAATTGTCCCCTTTCCACTTGGGTGGTCCACTCATGGACTCTCATGACCAGGCATGAGCTGTATGGTAGCTCTCTTTCAGAACCCCACAGCCTGGGGTGATGAGTCATGCAAGACTCTTTCACTGCTGTTCCCTGAGGTCAAGAGCCCTGTGGGTCAGCCCTGAGGGCCATCTGGCCTCCAGTCCCTGATGTTAACTTCACCTCATGCCTTTCATGGCAGGGGGAAATGTTAGAATTCCTTGGAGACTTAACAGGGTGCAGTGAAACCAAGCCTTTTCAAGAGCTTACCAAGCAGTCTGCCCTTGTTCATCCCCGAGCAGGTACGTGGTGGTATTGCGGGGGACTATTGCTGGGTACTCTGCCAAGTAACTGGAGCGGCACTTACACTCTAATTCAATTGGCTATCCCTTTCACCTTGACATTTCATCAACCAAGAAAGTTGAAAACAGAATATTTTAAAAAGAGAGATGTCTCTCACGGATCATTTGATCCTCATATTTATATAGACGCTACCAGAGTACCGTGAGGGATACCAGATGAATTCAAATCCTGAAATCAAATAGCTGCAGGATTCGAGTCTATATTGTTCTGGTGGTCAACTGTAAACAAGAATGTAGCTTAGATAAATTATATCTATTATAATCAACAACACTTTGTTAATTATACTAGAGATGCTGTTAAAGGAATAGTTGAACAATTAGGCCATACCAGCTAAATGGCCTGGGAAAATAGAATAGCCCTTGACATGATATTAGCTGAAAAATGTGGGGGTTGTGTCATGTTTGGAGTCCATTGTTGTACTTTTATTCCTAATAACACCATCCCCAATGGGACAATAAAAAAAGCCTTACAAGGTCTTACCTCCTTATCAAATTAGTTAGCTAAAAATTCTAGAATAAATGACCTCTTTACAAAGCCTCATGGAAAAATGGTTTGGAAAATGGAAAGGAATTATGACCTCAATACTCACCTCCCTTGTAATCATTATAGGCGTGCTCATTCTTGTAGGATGCTGTATCATATACTGCATTCATGGTTTAGTGCAAAGATTATAGAAACAGCTCTCACCAAAACCTCCCTTAGTTCACCCCCACCTTATTCAGATAAACTCTTCCTTCCAGATGCCCAAGAAGAACAACAGAGCTGAGATATGCTAATACATTTTGAAGAGGAAAAACTATAAAATCTAGAGGGGGAAATTGGCAGAGATGATAAATTCCTCTTCAAAAGGTTTTAATTCCCTGTTCTTCCATTTCTTTGTTTCTCTAGTTTCTCTAGTTACCCCTGCTGTAAACAACTCTTCCCACCCCTGCCGTGCCCTGACATGCCCTGAGAAGCCTAGATATGCCTTCGGATATGCCTAGACATGCATAATGGATAGCCTTCCCCTTCCCACCTAGATAGCTGTGTTCAATTTCAAACATTAGCCAATTGGGTTAGTTTAGACTGTGCAGTCCCACCCCAGCCAATGAAGAAAGAACACAGCAGTAGGAACCAATTTCATTAGGGATAAAAACCCCTGCCCTACCCTGCTCGGTGTGCTCTAGCAATCGTGACTGATGCAAGTTGCATCCTTCTGCAGAAGTAAATTTGCCTTGCTGAGAAAATTTCTGTTCCAGTGCTATTTCTTTTGTGACACAAAAACTTGTTTCTAACGCTAGCTCAGTCTTCAGTCCCCCTGCCACTTGCTAAATATCCTTGATGCTCTTCTAGTCTCTCTTTATTCTTCAACTCTGACAACTTCCCAGCCCTGTCTCTGGCCCCATAAACAAACAAAGACTAAGGCTAAGCAGGAACATAGCAGAGGAATCCTCTGGGGAAGAGGAGGCATCAGAATATGTGAAAAGCCAGATGTTGGCATGGAGAAATGCAGAAATTATTCTCTAAAACATGGCACTTGGGCATGCTGAGTATTTCTGAAAATTGAAATGCCTCGGAAATAAGCCCCAGAATCAAGGACCCTCTAATCTTGTATTGTTCTTTCTCCCCTCCCCTCCCCCAAAGTGCACAGACGGACTCTCTCTGAAATTTTCTTATCTAAACTAAGAAAGCTTCTTATCAAAAGAAACACAATTGCCTTCTAAACCCCTTACTGAAATCTCATTTCAGACCTAGGGATGTTTGAATTCCTAGGTGCAAAAGTAATTGCAGTTTTTGCATTTTTGGAATTTGCCATTTGATATTGGAATTCATTCTTAAATAAATGTGGTTATGGGCTGGGCACGGTGGCTCACGCCTGTAATCCCAGCACTTTGGGAGGCCGAGTTGGGTGGATCACTTGAGGTCAGGAGTTTGAGACCAGCCTGACCAACATGGTGAAACCTTGCCTCTACTAAAAATACAAAAAGGTGTGGTGGTGGGTGCCTGTAAGCCCAGCTGCTCAGGAGGCTGAGGCTGGAGAATTGCTTGAGCCCGGGAGGCAGAGATTGCAGTGAGCTGAGATTGTGCCATTGCACTCCAGCCTGGGCAACAGAGGGAGACTCTGTCTCGATAAATAAATAAATGAATAAATAAATGTGGTTATGTTATGCATCATTTTAGCACACATTTCTCGCTTCATTTTTTTGCTAATGACTTATTACTTGATGCTTATTTTATGTTTATTTTAGACTGTGGAAATAATGTTAGACAAAAAGCAAATTTGAGTGATTTTCTTATTTGATTTCAAAATGGATCATAAAGTAATGGAGACAACTCACAATGTCAGCAACGCATTTGGCCCAGGAACTACTAATGAACAGTGCAGTGTTGGTTCAAGAAGTTTTGCAAAGGAGATGAGAACGTTGAAGATGAGGAGCATAGTGGCCGGTCATCGGAAGTTGACAATGACCAGTTAAGACCACTCATTGAAGCTGATTCTCTCATAACTACTCGAAAAGTTGCTGAAGAACTCAACATCGAACATTCTATGGTTGTTAGGCATTTGAAGCAAATTGGAAAGGTGAAAAAGCTCAAAAGTGGGTGCCTCTCGAGCTGAGGGAAAATTTAAAAAATTGTCATTTTGAAATGTCATATTTTCTTATTCTATGCAACAGTGGTGAACCATTTCTCAATTTAATTATGACAGTAAAAATTGGATTTTAGATCACTTGAGGTCAGGAGTTTGAGACCAGCCTGACCAACATGGAGAAAGCTTGTCTCTACTAAAAATACAAAATTAGCTGGGCATGGTGGCGCATGCCTGTAATCCCAGCTACTCGGGAGGCTGAGGCAGGAGGATCAATTGAACCCAGGAGGCGGAGGTTGTTGTGAGCCCAGATCGAGCCATTGCACTCCAGCCTGGGCAACAAGAGTGAGACTCCATCTCAAAAAAAAAAAAAAAAGAAAAGAAAGAAAAGTGGATTTTATACAATGACCAGTGATAACCAGCTCAGTGGTTAGACCAAGAAGAAGCTCCAAAGCACTTCTCAAGCCAAACTTGCACCAAAAAAAGGTCATGGTCACTCTTTGGTGGTCTTCTGCCAGTCTGATCCACTACAGCTTTCTTTCTTTCTTTTTAATTATTATTTTTTATTTCCATAGGTTATTGGGGAACAGGTGGTGTTTGGTTACATGAGTAGGTTCTTTGGTGGTGATTTGTGAGGTTTTGGTGCACCCATCACCCGAGCAGCATACACTGCACCCAATTTGTGGTCTTTTATCCCTCACTCTCTTCTCACCCTTTCCCCCTGAGCCTGCAAAGTCCATTGTGTCTTTCTTATGCCTTTGCATCCTCATAGCTTAGCTCCCACATATGAGTGAGAACATACAATGTTTGGTTTTCCATTCCTGAGTTAATTCACTTAGAATAATAGTCTCCAGAGGCCAGGAGTGGTGGCTCATGCCTTTAATCCCAGCACTTTGGGAGGCTGAGGTGAGTGGATCACCTGAGGTCGGGAGTTTGAGACTAGCCTGACCAACATGGAGAAACCTCATCTCTACTAAAAATACAAAATTAGCTGGGAGTGGTGGCACGTGCCTGTAATCCCAGCTATTCGGGAGGCTGAGGCAGGAGAATTGCTTGAACCCAGGAGGTGGAGGTTGCAGTGAGCCGAGATTGCACCACTGCACTCTAGCCTGGGCAACAAGAGCAAAACCCCGTCTCAAAAAAAAAAGAAAAACAAAAAGAGGAATAGTCTCCAATCTCATTCAGATGACTGCAAATGCCATTAATTCATTCCTTTTTTTTTTTTTTTTTTTGAGACAGAGTCTTACTCTGTTGCCTAGACTGGAGTACAGTGGCGCAATCTTGGCTCACTGCAACCTCTGCCTCCCAAGTTCAAGTGATTCTCCTGCCTCAGCCTCCCAAGTAGCTGGAACTATGGAACTAGATGCATCTGCCACCATGCCTGGCTAATTTTTTGTTTTTTTTAGTAGAGACGGGGTTTCACCATATTAGCCAGGATGGTCTTGATCTCCTGACCTCGTGATCCTCCCGCCTCGGCCTCCCAAAGTGCTGGGATTACTCGCGTGAGCCACTGTGCCCAGCCTAATTTTTGTATTTTTAGTAGAGACAGGGTTTCACCATGTTGGCCAGGATGGTCTCGATCTCCTGACCTTGTGATCTGCCCACCTCAGCCTCCCAAAGTGCTGGGATTACAGGCCTGAGCCACCACACCCAGCCAGTTCATTCCATTTTATGACTGAGTAGTATTCCATCGTATATGTTTACACCACAGTTTCTTTCTTCTTTTTTTTTTTTTTGATGGAGTCTCGCTCTGTTGCCGAGGCTGGAGTGCAATGGCACGATCTTGGCTCACCCAACCTCTGCCTCCCAGGTTCAAGCAATTCTCCTGCCTCAGCTTCCCAAGTAGCTGGGATTATAGGCACCTGCCACCACACCCAGCTAATTTTTGTGTTTTCAGTAGAGATGGGGTTTCACCATCCTGGCCAGGCTGGTCTCGAATTCCCCACCTCATGCGATCTGCCTGCCTCAGCCTCCCAAAGTGCTGGGATTACAGCTGTGAGTCACTGCGCCCAGCCATATATACCACAGTTTCTTTATCCACTCATTGATTGATGGGCATTTTGTTTGGTTCCACGTTTTTGCAATTGCAAATTTTGCTGCTATAAACATGCATGTGCAAGTATCTTTTTCATATAATGACTTCTTTTCCTTTGGGTAGATACGCAGTAGTGGGATTGCTGGATCAAATGGTAGTTCTACTTTTAGTTCTTTAAGGAATCTCCAAACTGTTTTCCATAGTGGTTGTACTAGTTTACATTCCCACCAGCAGTGTAGAAGTGTTCCCTGTTCACCACACCCATGCCAATATCTATTATTTTTTTTTCAGTTATCTTTTCATTATTATTTTTTTCCATAAGTTATTGGGGTACAGGTGGTATTTGGTTACATGAGTAAGTTCTTTTTTTTTTTTTTTTTTCTGAGACAGAGTCTCTCTCTGTCGCCCAGGCTAGAGTGCAGTGGTGCGATCTTGGCTCACTGCAAGCTCCGCCTCCTGGGTTCACGCCATTATCCTGCCTCAGCCTCTCGAGTAGCTGGGACTACAGGTGCCCGCCACCACGCCCAGCTAATTTTTTGTATTTTTAGTAGAGACAGGGTTTCACTATGTTAGCCGGGATGGTCTCGATCTCCTGACCTCGTGATCCACCCACCTGAGTCTCCCAAAGTGCTGGGATTACAGGCATGAGCCACTGCACCCGGCCCGAGTAAGTTCTTTAGTAGTGATTTGTGAGATCCTGGTGCACACCCATTACCCGAGCAGTATACACTGCACCATATATGTTGTCTGTTATCCCTTGTCCCCCTCCCACTATTCCCCCCAAGTCCCCAAAGTCCATTGTATCATTCTTATGCCTTTGCCTCCTCATAGCTTAGCTCCCACGTATCAGTGAGAACATACAATGTTTGGTTTTTTATTCCCGAGTTACTTCACTTAGAATAATAGTCTCCAGTCCATCTAGGTCATTGCAAATGCTATTAATTCATTCCTTTTTACAGGTGAGTAGTATTCCATCATATATATATATCACAGTTCTTTATCCACTCATTGATTGATGGGCATTTGGGTTGGTTCCAGAATTTTGCAGTTGTGAATTGTGCTGCTATAAACACGCGTGTGCAATTATCTTTTTGCTATAATGACTTCTTTTCCTCTGGGTGGATACCCAGTAGTGGGATTGCTGGATCAAATGGTAGTTCTACTTTTAGTTCTTTAAGGAATCTCCACACTGTTTTCCACAGTGACTGTACTAGTTTACATTCCCACCAGCAGTGCAGAAGTGTTCCCTGTTCACCACATCCACGCCAACATCTACTGTTTTTTGATTTTTTGATTATGGCCATTCTTGCAGGAGTAAGGTGGTATTGCATTGTAGTTTTGATTTGCATTTCCCTGATTATTATGATGGTGGCCGTTTTTTCATATGTTTGTTGGCCATTTGTATATCTTCTTTTGAGAATTTTCTATTCACGTCCTTAGCACACTTTTTGATGGGATGGTTTTTTTCTTACTGATTTGTTTGAGTTCATTGTAGATTCAGGTTATTAGTCCTTTGTCAGATGTACAGATTGTGAAGATTTTTCTCCCACTCTGTGGGTTGTCAGTTTACTCTGCTGACTGTTCCTTTTGCCATGCAAAAGCTCTTTAGTTTAATTAGGTCCCAGCTATTTATCTTTCTTTTTATTGCACTTGCTTTTGGGTTTTTAGTCATGAAATCCTTGCCTAAGCCAATGTCTAGAAGGGTTTTTCCAATGTTAACTTCTGGAATTTTTATAGTTTCAGGTCTTATGTTTAAGCCCTTAATCCATTTTCAGTTGCTTTTTGTATAAGGTGAAAGGTGAGGATCCTGTTTCATTCTCCTACATGTGGCTAGCCAATTATCCCAGCACTATTTGTTGAAAAGGGTGTCCTTCCCCCCTTTATGTTTTTGTTTGCTTTGTCAAAGATCAGTTGGCTGTAAGTATTTGGGTTTATTTCTGGATTGTTTATTCTGTTCCATTGGTCTATGTGCCTATTTTTATACCAGTACCATGCTGTTTTGGTGACTATGGCCTTATAGTATAGTTTGAAATCAGGTAGTGTGATGCCTGCAGATTTGTTCTTTCTGCTTCTTAGTCTTGCCTTGGCTATGTGGGCTTTTTTTTGGTTCCATATGAATTTTAGAATTGTTTTTTCTAACTCTGTGAAGAATGATGGTGGTATTTGGATGGGGACTGTGTTGAATTTGTAGATTGCTTTTGGCAGTATGATCATTTTCACAATATTGATTCTACCCATCCATGAATATGGGATGTGTTTCCCTTTGTGTCGTCTATGATTTCTTTCAGCAGTGTTTTGTAGTTTTCCTTGTAGAGGTCTTTTGACTCCTTTGTTAGGTATATTCCTAAGTATTTTATCTTAGTTTATTTTATTTATTTATTTATTTATTTATTTATTTTTTGAGATGGAGTCTCACTCTGCTGCCCAGGCTAGAGTGCAGTGGCATGATCTCAGCTCACTGCAACCTCTGCCTCCCAGGTTCAAGCGATTCTCCTGCCTCAGCCTCCCAAGTAGCTGAGATTACAGGTGACTGCCACCATGCCTGGCTAATTTTTGTATTTTTAGTAGAGATGGGGTTTCACCATGTTGGTCAGGCTGGTCTCGAACTCCTGACCACAGATGATCTGCCCACCTTGGCCTCCCAAAGTGCTGGGATTACAGGCATGAACCACCATGCCTGGCCAGTATTTTTTTTCTTTTTTTGCAGCTATTGTAAATGGGATTGAGTTCTTGATTTGATTTTCAGCCTGGTCACTGTTGGTGTATGGAAGAGCTACTGATTTGTGTACATTAATCTTGTATCCAGAAACTTTGCTGAATTCTTTTATCAGCTCTAGGAACTTTCTAGAGGAGTCCTTAGGATTTTCAAGGTAAATGATCATATTGTCAGCAAACACAGATATTTTGACTTCCTTTTTACCGATTTGGATGCCCTTTATTTATCTTGTCTGATTGCTCTGTCTAGGACTTCCAGTACTATGTTGAAGAGGAGTGGTTGGAGTGGGCATCCTTGTCTTGTTCCCATTCTCAGAGAGAATGCTTCCAACTTTTCCCCATTCAGTATTATGTTGGCTGAGTTTGTCATAGATGGCTTTTATCACATGAAAGTATGTCCCTTGTATGCCGATTTTGCTGATTTTATGCGATTTTAATCATAAAGGGATACTGATTTTGTTGAATGCTTTTTCTGCATCTATTGAAATAATCATGTGATTTTTGTTTTTAATTCTGTTTATGTGGTGCATCACATTTATTGACTTGCATATGTTAAACCATCCCTGCATTCTTGTTATGAAACCCACTTGATCATGGTGGATTATCTTTGTGATATGTTGTTGGATTCAGTTAGCTAGTATTTTGTTAAGGATTTTAGCATCTATGTTCATCAAGGATATTGGTCTTTAGTTTTCTTTTTTGGTTGTGTCCTTTCCTGGTTTTGGCCTCATAGAATGAATTAGGGAGGGTTCCTTCTTTCTCTATCTTGTGGGATTGTGTCAAAAGGATTGGTACCAATTCTTCTTTGAACATCTGTAGAATTCTGCTGTGAATCCATCTGGTCCTGGGCATTTTGTTGTTGGTAATTTTTAAATTACTGTTTCAATTTCGCTTCTTGTTATTTGTCTGTTCAGGGTATCTAATTCTCCCTGATTTAAGCTAAGAGGGTTGTGTTTTTCCAGAAATTTCTCCATCTTTTCTAGGTTTTCTAGTTTATTCACGTAAAGGTGTTCACAGTAGCCTTGAATGATCTCTTGTATTTCAGTGGTGTCAGTTGTAATAACTCCTGTTTCATTTCTCAGTGAGGTTATCTGGATTTTCTCTCTTCTTTTCTTGGTTAATCTTGCTAATGGTCTATCGATTTTATTTATCTTTTCAAAGAAACAGTTTGTTGTTTCATTTATCTTTTGTATTATATATATAACTATATATGTATAATATATAATTACATATGTATAATATATAATTATATATGTATAATATATATATATTTATATATATATAATTTTTTTTTATTTGAGACAGAGTCTCACTCTGTCACCCAGGCTGGAGTACAGTGGTGCAATCTTGCCTCACTGCAACCTCCACCTCCTGGGTTCAAGAGTTTCTCCTGTCTCAGCCTCCCAAGTAGCTGGGATTACAGGCATGCAACACCACACTTGGCTAATTTTTGCACTTTTAGTAGAGACGGGGTGTCACCATGTTGGCCAGGCTGGTCTCAAACTCCTGACCTCAGGTGATCTGCCCACCTCAGCCTCCCAAAGTGCCAGAATTACAGGTGTGAGCCACCGAGTCTGGCCCTCTTTGTTTCTTTTAACTGCTGTTGCTTTAAAGTTTGTTTTGCCTGATATAAGAATAACTACCCCTGCTCTCTTTTGGTGTCCATTTGCATGAAGTGCCTTTTCCCTCCCCTTTACTTTAAGTTTATATGAGTCCTTATGTGTTAGGTGAGTCTTCTGAAGAAAGCAGATAGTTGGTTAGTGAGTTCTTATCCATTCTGCTGTTCTGTATCTTTTATTTTTGAGATGGAGTTTTGCTCTTGTTGTCCAGGCTAGAGTGCAATGGCATGATCTCAGCTCAGTGTAACTTCTGCCTCCTGGGTTCAAGAAATTCTCCTGCCTCAGCCTCCCTCGTAGCTGAGATTGCAGGTGTGTGCCACCAAGCCCAGCTAATTTTTGTATTTTTAGTAGAGACGGAGTTTCACCATGTTGGTCAGTCTGGTCTTGAACTCCTGACCTCAGGTGTTCAACATTCTCTCTACCCGCCTTGACCTCCCAAAGTGCTGGGATTACAGGTGTGAGCCACCATGCCCAGCCATCTGTATCATTGAAGTGGAGCATTTAGGCCATTTGCATTCAGTGTTAGTATAGAAATGTGAGGTACTGTTGCATTCATCATGCTTTTTGTTGGCCTGTGTACTTAGTTTTGTTTTTTGTTTTTGTTTTTTAACTTGTATTTTTGTTTTATAGGTCCTATGTAATGTATGCTTTAAAGAGATTCATTTTGATGTGTTTTCAGGACTTGTTTCAAGATTTAGAGCTCCTTTTAGCAGTTCTTGTAGTGGTGGCTTGGTAATGGCAAATTCTCTCAGCATTTGTTTGTCTGAAAACAACTGTATCTTTCCTTCATATATGATGCTTAGTTTCACTGGATGCAAAATTCTTGGCTGATGATTATTTTGTTTGAGGAGGCTGAAGATAGGGCCCCAATCCCTTCTAGCTTGTGGGGTTTCTGCTGAGAAATCTGCAGTGAATCTGATAGATTTTCCTTTATGGGGTACCCAGTGCTTCCTTCTGTCTCACAGCTCTTAAGATTCTTTCCTTCATCTTAACTTTGGATAACCTGATGACAATGTGCCTAGGTGAAGATCTGTTTTCAATGAATTTACCGGGTGTTCTTTGTGCTTCTTGTATTTGGATGTCTAGGTCTATAGCAAGACTGGGGACGTTTTCCTCGATTATTCCGCAAATATGTTTTCTAAGCTTTTAGAATTGTCTCCTTCCTCAGGAACACCGATTTTTCTTAGTTTGGTCATTTAACATAATCCCAGACTTCTTGGAGGCTTTGTTTATATGTTCTTATTCTTCTTTGTCTGTGTTGGATTGGGTTAATTGGAAGACCTTGTGCTTGAGCTCTGAATTTCTTTCTTCTATTCATTCAGTTCTATTGTTGAGACTTTCCAGAGCATTTTGCATTTCTAAAAGTGTGTCCAAAGTTTCCTGAATTTTTTGTTTTTTCTTTAAGCTATCAATTTCATTGAATATTTCTCCCTTCACTTCTTGTGTCATTTTTTCGATTTCCTTGCATAAGGCTTTGCCTTTTTCTGGTCCCTCCCTGATTAGCTTAATAACTAACCTCCTGAATTATTTTTCAGGTAAATCAGGGATTTCTTCTTGGTTTGGAGCCACTGCTGGTGAACTAGTGCGATTTTTGGGGGGTGTTGACGAGCCTTGTTTTATCATATTACCAGGGTTGGTTTTCTGGTTCCTTCTCATTTGGGTAGGCTCTGTCAGAGGGAAGGTCTAGGGCTGAAGGCTGTTGTTCAGATTTTTTTGACCCACAGGGTGTTCCCTTTAGGTAGCACTCTCCCCCTTTTCCTACAGATGTGGCTTCCTGTGAGCCAAACTGCAGTGATTGTTGTCTCTCTTCTGGGTCTAGCCTCCCAGCAAGTCTACCAGGGTCCGGGACTGGTACTGGTGATTGTCTGCACAGAGTTCTGTAATGTGAACTGTCTATGGGTCTCTCAGCCATAGATACTAGCGCCTGTTCCGGTGTAGGTGGCAGGGGAGTGCAGTGGACTCCAGGAAGGTCCTTAGCTTTGGTGGTTTAGTGCTCTATTTTTGTGCTGGTTGGCCTCCTGTTAGGAGGTGGTGTTTTCTAGAAAGCATCAGCTGTAGCAGTGTGGAGAGGGACCAGTGATAGGCAGCATCCTAGAACTCCCAAGATTATATGCCCTTTGTCTTCCGCTACCAGGGTGGGTAGGGAAGGACCATCAGGTGGGGACAGGGCTAGGCATGTCTGAGCTCAGACTCTCCTTGGGTGGTTCTTGCTTCAGCTGCTGTAGGGGACGGAGGTGAGGTTCCCAGGTCACTGGAGTTGTGTACCCAGGAGGATTATGGCTGTCTCTGCTGAGCCATGCAGGTTGTCAGGGAAGTTGGGGAAAGCTGGCAGTCACAGGCCTCACCCTACTCCCACGCAAACTGAAGGGCCAGTCTTACTCTCACTGTGCCCCCTGCAATAGCCCCAAGCCTGTTTCCATGTGGAGGGTAAAATGGGCTTGAAAATTTGCCCATGGCTTCCCACCTCCCAGTTGTGAAAGAATTGGGCTTTAGTTCTTCCTCTGCATGTGAATTCTGCCAGATTCACACCCTACCCGCCCCCGCCGCCGCCGCCCCAATTCTGGCCAGGAGGCTTCTTGCCCGGTTCAAACTGTTACTAAGTTCAGCTAAAGAATCCCTTCTCCCTGCGGAGTTTTACCCCCTTTGTGTCCGGAGTTGGTTCCTTCTGGTGGGTTCTTGGTCTTGCTGACTTCAAGAATGAAGTCACGGACCTTCGCGGTGTTACAGCTCTTAAAGGTGACATGGACCCAAAGAGTGAGCAGCAGCAAGATTTATTGTGAGGAGCAAAAGAACAAAGCTTCTGAGTGGGTTACTGCTGCTGGCTGAGGGGCTGGGGGTGGCCAGCTTTTATTCCCTTATTTGTCCCCACCCACGTCCTGCTGATTGGTCCATTTTACAGAGTGTTGATTGGTCCATTTTACAGAGTGTTGATTGGTCCATTTTAAAAACCTCTAGCTAGCCACAGAGCGCTGATTGGTGCACTTTTACAGAGCACTGATAGGTGCATTTTACAAACCTCTAACTAGCTGCAGAACGCTGATTGGTACATTTTACAATCCTCTTGTAAGACAAAAAAGTTCTCTACGTCCCCACTCAACCCAGAAGTCCAGCTGGCTTCACCTCTCACTTGCTCCTGTGGCCACCCTCCTAATGGATCCCTATGGTGCCAGGCAGGAAAGGGGTGCTTGGGGACCCAGTGAGCTACCAGGGCCTTTGTGCTGCTTCCTCTACCCCTGTGTTTCACTCAGCTTGGCTCTAACTTGACTCAGCTCCAGGTAAAGTCGGGAACTTCTCCTGCAAACAGACCTTCAGCTTCTCCAGTAGGGGGTGTATGTTCAGGAGAGTGGGGGGGGTCTCCCTTTCCCTCTTCTGTGGTTGGGATTGGGGCGCTCACAGTATTTGGGGTGTCTCCCAGGTCCTGCGGGAGCAGTCCACTTCCTTCAGAGGGTCTGTGGGTCCTCTCAGGATTGCGGTCTGTTCTTGTAGTGGATCTGGAGCTACAATTCACAGTGCAAGCCTCCACACACTGCTGTGTCCAGGGCTGCAATCTGGTCCTCCCTCCCATCCGCCATGATCCAGCCCCAGCTCAACATCTATTATTTTTTTATTCATTACAGCTTTCTGAATCCCAGCGAAACCATTAGGTCTGAGAAGAATGCTCAGCAAGTCAATGAGATGCACCGAAAACTGCCACGCCTGCAGCCAGCATTGATCAACAGAAAGGGTCCAATTCTCCATGACAATGCCCGACCTCATGTCGCACAGCCAACGCTTCAAAAGTTAAACAAGTTGGGCTATAAAGTTTTGTTTCATCTGCCACATTACCCTGACTTCTTGCCAACTGACTACCACTTCTTCAAGCATCTTGACAACTTTTTGCAGGAAAATGCTTCCATAACCAGCAGGATGCAGAAAATGCCTTCTAAGAATCATGAACTTTTTTTTTTTTTTTTGAGATGGAGTTTCACTCTTGTTACCCAGGCTGGAGTGCAATGGCGCCATCTTGGCTCACCGCAACCTCTGCCTCCTCGGTTCAAGCCATTCTCCTGCCTCAGCCTCCCAAGTAGCTGTTATTACAGGCATGTACCACCACGCCAGGCTAATTTTGTATTTTTAGTAAAGACGAGGTTTCTCCATGTTGGTCAGGCTGGTCTCGATCTCCCAGCCTCAGGTGATCCACTCGCTTTGGCCTCCAAAAGTGCTGAGATTACAGGCATGAGCCACCGCGCCTGGCCCTGAAGCATGGATTTTTATGCTACAGGAATAAACAAACTTATTTCTCATTGACAAATATGTGTTGATTGTAATGCTTCCTATTTTGATTAATAAAGATGTGTTTGAGCATAGTTATAATAATTTAAAATTCATGGTCCAAAACCACAATTACTTTTGCACCAACCTATACCTGGATGCACTTTTTCACAAGATTAACGCATGCCTCTGAGGCTCATTCAAGTTCCAAACAGAATCATTTGTAAGTGAATTTTTATCTCCCTTGTCCATTCATTCTCCCTAATCATCATTTACTGCCCTTCAAAAGAATTGTGTACATTCCCGTGTCCTCCCTCCCCTATGAAAAAGGGTAGGTACAGCCGGGCACGGTGGCTCCTGCCTGTCATCCCAGCACTTTGGGAGGTCGTGGCGGGCAGATCACCTGAGGTTGAAAGTTCGAGACCAGCCTGACCAACATGGAGAAACCCCATCTCTACTAAAAATACAAAATTAGCTGGGTGTGATGGCACATGCCTGTAATCCCAGTTAGTTGGGAGGCTGAGGCAGGAGAATCGCTTGAAGCCAGGAGGCAGAGGTTGCAATGAGCCGAGATCGTGCCACTCCACTTCTACTGCATCCGGGGTGCCAGAGCGAGTCTGTCTCAAAAAAAAAAAAAAGAAAGGCTGATCAAAGACTCAAAAGGATGCAGGCACTTGCCTCTTACCTACGCATACCCTTTTAAAAATTACTTCTCTCTCCAATACTCTCCCTTTTCCCTTTAAATATTGAGACCCCTTAGACTCTTTTTGGAAAAAGCGTAGACCACAGTTTTTCCTGAGGGCCTAAGGTCTTTCCTGGGAGTGTCCTTAACTTTGGCAAGTAAGCCTCCTAAAATATTCAGACTTACCTCAGTCATTTTCTTTGATTTACAAATGGGAGAAAAAGGTTTGTGTGACTAGTTGGGTATACAGACTCTGGATATTTTTGGTATGAATATTCGTATTGTCTGACCTTTTTCCTCCCAGAAATAGTCTTGTCATTTGCCATAGTCTTTCTATGTTGTTCCGTCATAAAGAGGGATATGATGGGGGTAGAACATGGCCTAAAACCCCGTAAGCCCATTGTTCCAGTTGGCTTTGCACACTGGTCAGTTTTGTGGTTCTGACCATACTGGCATCTATTTAGATAAACTTTGTTGTTGGTCCTCAAAATAAAAAGTCTCATCTTGTTTTAGGTCCTTGAGAATTTGATTTGTGACCAAGTTGGAACACTCTCTTGCTCTCCACCATCTGAAAGGTGTAATTTTTGGGTGATGTCAGGTGGCCAATCTAAAAATGGCTGAGAACCTGGAGACATGTAAGATTTTTTTTTTTTTTTTGAGACGGAGTCTCGCTCTGTCTCCCAGGCTGGAGTGCAGTGGCAAGATCTTGGCTCACTGCAAGGTCCACCTCCCGGGTTCACGCCATTCTCCTGCCTCAGCATCCTGAGTAGCTGGGACTACAGGCGCCTGCTGCCATGCCTGGCTAATTTTTTGTATTTTTAGTAGAGACGGGGTTTCACCATGTTAGCCAGGATGGTCTCGATCTCCTGACCTCGTGATCCGCTCACCTCAGTCTCCCAAAGTGCTGGGATTACAGGTTTGAGCCACTGTGCCCGGCCGAGACATGTAAGATTTTAACCAGCACACTCTTTGTTCTAATTCATAAGAGTCTGTCATCTCAACTCTTATTTCCTGGTTAGTCCTGGGGAAGTCCAAGCCCAGCAGGACCTACTGGGTGTCATAGATTAATGGGTCCATGACTGGTGGCCCTCCACAAATTTGTGGGATACTAGAGGTATTGTGTGCACAAGCACCATCCTTAACCTTTTGTGGCAACAAGTCTTTTCCCATCTTAGCCTGTTCCTGGGAATGAATTTCTTGAAGTGGGGGGGTTGGATCATCAGGACTGCCTCCTTGATGCCCTCTCCGGGAAACACCTAGTTTACATGGTAAAAACTTATGCTAAACCAGGAAAACTACCTCTATGTTTTCCATGAAGAAGCTTATTGAATTGAGTCACTATTGGAATGAGAACACCATGGGAAATTCTAATAACCAGTGGCCAAAAGATGAATCCTATCAATTAGAAAGACCCTTAAATTAAAAAAAAAAAAGATTTTAGCAAGATCTCTTGTTCTAAACAATCGCCTTTTTTTTTTTTTTTTTTTTTTTTTTGAGATGTTGCCCAGGCTGGAATGCAGTAGCTCCATCTGGGCTCACTGCAGCCTTGGCCTCCTGGGTTCAAAGGATTCTCTTGCCTCAGCTTCCAGAGTAGCTGGGACTACAGGCAGGCACCATTGCAACATACCACGCAGGGCCGGGAAGCATGATTTTAGCACATTCAGGATATTTAAGGGCTCAAAGGACAGTATTGTTACAGTAAGTTACAAAAAAAAAAAAGATGATTGCCTTAGCTACAATATGAAGAAAATATTACAATGAAGATAGGTTGAATAAACAAAATGGGAGGTATTGTTACATCTCACATTATCTGTCTTACTTTAACTTTTGCTCTTGCCATTCCACAAGAAAAATGTGAAACATTAAAGAAAAATATTGAGATAAAGTATCCACGTGTTGATAATTGAATTAAATGTGGAGCCTGAAGAACAAGCTGATTTCTTATTTACATTGAAGAATGATTATGAAACATTAAGATGAAAAAATGTAACTATCAAGTAGAAAGATTGTAATGTTATTATTATCACTGTTTCCAGTGACCTTCCAATGTCAAATACAAAGGCAACCCTGACCTGATTAAAGTCAAAAGCGAGTCCTGGCTCTTGTGCATGGTGTATTGTCCATGTGTTTCAGGCTGTACTGAATGTATCAAGAAGCAAGGACACTCATTACAATATATATAGAAAATATGAAGTAATATATACATTAATATATAACTATAAAATATATGATATAAGAAACTTTTTTTTCCGAGTGTAAGAGTGTGGATTTGTTTATCTGTTTGTTATGTACTGAATGGTTGTGTGTCTCCTCACATTCCTATGTCCCCATTGTGATGGGATTCAGAGGGGGGCCTTTGGGAGATAATGAGGTCATAAGTGCAGAGCCCTTATTATGGGATTAGTTCCCTTCTAAAAGAGTCATAAGACAGATGATCCATCTCTCTCTCTACCATTTGAGGATACAAGGAGCAGATGGCATTTGCAAACCAGGAAGAGCACCCTTAGGAGACACTGCATTTGCTAATGCCTTGATCCTGGACTTCCAGCCTCCAGAACTGTGAGAAATAAATGTCTGTTGTTAGCCACGTGTGGTGGCGTGCAACTGTAGTCTCAAGCTACTACTGGGACAGGAGTCCAGGAGTTCCAGGCTGCAGTGTGTTATGGTCATGCCTGTGAATAGCCACTGTACTCCAGCCTAGGCAATGTAGAGAGAGCCTGTCTCTTTGTTTTTTTGAGACAGGGTCTCACAATATTGCCCAGGCTGGAGTGCAGTGGCAGCATCACGGCTCACCGCAGCCTCAACTTCCCGGGTTCAAGTGATCCTCCCAACTCAACCTAACGAGTAGCTGGGACTACAGGCACATGCCAACAGCCCGGCTAATTTTTCTGTATTTTTTGTGGAGACAGGGTTTTTGCCTTGTTGGCAAGGCTAGTCTCAAACTCCAAACTCCTGACCTCAAGCAATCCACTCACCTTGGCCTCCCAAAGTGCTGGGATTATAGGTGAGAGCCAAGGGCCCAGCCAAGACCCTGTCTTTTTTTTTTTTTAAAGTCTGTTTTTTAAGCCACCCAGTCTATGGCATTCTGTTATAGTGGCCCAAATGGACTAAGACGCTGCTGTATTTAAAGAATATTTTGGGCCGGGCGCGGTGGCTCACGCCTGTAATCCCAGCACTTTGGGAGGCCGAGGCGGGCGGATCACGAGGTCAGAAGATCAAGACTATCCTGGCTAACAAGGTGAAACTCCGTCTCTACTAAAAATACAAAAAAAAATTAGCTGGGCGTGGTGGCAGGCGCCTGTAATCCCAGCCACTCGGGAGGCAGAGGCAGGAGAATGGCGTGAACCCGGGAGGCGGAGCTTGCAGTGAGCCGAGATAGCGTCACTGCACTCCAGCCTGGACGACGTCTGTAATCCTAGCACTTTGGGAGGCTGAGGTAGGCAGATTGCCTGAGCTCAAGAGTTCGAGACCAGCCTGGGCAAAAAGGTGAAACTTTGTCTCTACTAAAATACAAAAAATTAGATGGACGTGGCAGCGTATGCCTGTAGTCCCAGCTACTTGGGAGGCTGAGGCAGGGGAATTGCTTAAACCTGGGAGGTGGTTAAGCAAACCTGGGAGCCAAGATCACACCACTGCACTCCAGCCTGGGCAACAGAGTGAGACTCTGTCAAAAAAAAAAAAAAAAGAAGAAGAAGAAGAAGAATGTGGCCGGGTATGGAGTCTCATGCCTGCAATCCTAGCACTTTGGGAGGCCGAGGCGGGCAGATCACTTGAGGTCAGTAGTTCGAGACCAGCGTGGCCAACATGGTGAAACCCCATCTCTACTAAAAATACAAAAAAATTAGCCAGGTGTGGTGGTGGGTACCTGTAATCCCAGCTACTTGGGAAGCTGAGGCAGGAGAATTGCTTGAACCCAGGAGGCGGAGGTTGTAGTGAGCCGAGATCATGCCACTGCATGGCAGCCTGGGTGACAGGGCGAGACCCGGTCTCAAAAAAAAAAAAAAAACAAAGAATATTTTTATGTAAATATAGTTGTTTTTCCTTACTATATATTATGGGGAGGATGATGTTCCCCCTAAATTCGTATGTTGAAGTCCTAGCCCCAGGACATGAGAATATGACCATATTTGGAGGCACAGATTTTAGGTGATTAAGTTAAAATGAGGTCATTAGCACAGGCCCTAATAGAATCTAACTGGTGTCTTTTTTTTTTTTTTTTTTTTTTTTTTGAGACGGAGTTTTTTTCTTGTTGCCCAGGCTGGAGTGCAAAGGTGCGATCTCGGCTCACCGCAACCTCTGCCTCCCCGGTTTGACCAGTGTCTTTATAGGAAGAGGAAGTTTGGACACAGAGCAACTTCAGGAGCATCCAACTACATGGAGGAAAGATCATGCGAGGAAGTGGCTACCACAAGGAGAGAGGCCGGAGAAGAAACCAACTCTGCTGAGACCTTGATCTAGAACTTCCAGTCTGCAGAACTATGAGAAAACAAATTTCTGTCGTTTAAGCCCCCTAGTCTGTGGCATTTTGTTATGACAACGCTAGCAAATTAATGTACTATATGGAGTAGAATATTCTTTTCTGAAATTGCAGTTTCAGTTGTGAGTATGTGTGCTGGGTGTCAGTACAAGATGCATTTCTTTTTTTCTTTTCTTTTTTTTTTTGAGATGGAGTCTCACTGTGTCGCCCAGACTGGAGTGCAGTGGCACGATCTTGGCTCACTGCAACCTCCGCCTCTGGGTTCAAGCCATTCTCCTGCCTCAGCCTCCCAAGTAGCTGGGACTACAGGCATGTGCCACTACGCCTGGCTAATTTTTGTACTTTTAGTAGAAACGGGGTTTCACTGTGTTAGCCAGGCTGGTCTCAAACTCCTGACCCAAATAATCTGCCTGCCTCGGCCTCCCAAAATGCTGGGATTACAGACGTGAGCCACCACGCCCAGCCAAGATGCATTTCTTATTATGGGGTGTAGGTCAAAATGCATGGAAAATACTGAGCTAGAAGAAAGGAAAGCTTCTGCCTCTCCCTCTGAAGCAAGACAGTTGAAGTAGAACCTTCCACAAGGCAAACTTAGAGAAACCCTGGTCCCACATTTCCCAGGGAAGGACTAAGAAAAAGAAATGGCCTCTATGGCTTTGGGTTCTGTAGGTAAAAGACTCTAGAGCACTGATCTAAAGTGGAGGAGTCAAGATAGAATCTACTGGGTCTGTGAACTTGGATGGGAAAAAAGTGCATATTAATTTTCATCAATGTCTCTGAAAATTGCCATTTCCTTCCATTATACATACAAGAACAGATTTTGGTAATATTAGCAGTACCTGTAACTTTGTCACCAATAGAAATTACATGTATTTTCAAATCACATTGCACAAACTCTATGTCAAAATAGAAATTGGAATCATCACCATATTGAAGGTATATTGGTTATTAGATTTACTGATAGAGTTTGCTCCTTAAAACATTGATAAAGAGGCATAGGTATTAATATGCACAGATTTGCCTTGCCTTGCCTTTCGTTTCCCTTTCTTTCCTTTCTTTTTTTCTTTTCTTTTTCCTTCTCTTCCCTTCTCTTCTCTTCTCTTTCTTTGAGACAAGGGCTCCCTCTGCCACCCAGGCTGGAGTGCAATGAGGCGATATTGGCTCACTGCAACCTCCACCTCCCTGGCTCAAGCAATCCTTCTGCCTCAGCCTCCCAAGTAGCTGGGTCTACAGGTGTGCGCCACCACATCCGGCTAATTTTTGTATTTTAGTATAGATGGGGTTTCACCATGTTGGCCAGGCTGGTCTCGAACTCCTGACCTCAGGTGATCTGCCTGCCTTGGCCTCTCAAAGTGCTGGGATTACAGGCGTGAGCCACTGTGCCCAGCTAATTTTTAAATTTTTTTGTAGAGATAGGGTCTCATCATGTTGCCCAAACTGATCTTGAACTGCTGGGCTCAAGTGATCCACCCGCCTCAGCCTCCCAAAGTGCTGGGATTACAGGCATGAGCCACTGTGCCTGGCCCAGCTTTGTTTTTCATACATTTTGATAATAAACATGTGTGTATATAATTTGTTCCCTTTGGGGCCCTATGTATTTTATCTTACACACTTAAGGACATTTTTCTTTCTTTTCTTTTTTTTTTTTTCTTGAGACAGAGTCTCGCTCTGTCGCCCTGGCTGGAGTGCAGTGGCTCAATCTTGGCTCACTGCAACCTCCACCTCCAGGATTCAAGCGATTCTCCTGCCTCAGCCTTGCGAGTAGCTGGGACTACAGGCGCCTGCTACCATGCCCGGCTATTTTGTATTTTTAGTAGAGATGGGGTTTCACCATGTTGGCCAGGCTGGTCTTGAACTCCTGACCTTGTGATCCGCCCGCCTCGACCTCCCAAAGTGCTGAGATTATAGGCGTAAGCCACTGCACCGGGCCGAGGACATTTTTCTGAGAAGGATGACTGGGCTTCTTAAGACTGTCAAAGGTGGTCTGTGGCAAATGAAAGGTTAAGGACATCTCTACAGCTCTATTCTTAGAGACTCAGGCCCTGCCTCTTCTGTGCTTCACCTTGATTCTTGTCTTATCTGTTTCTTCCAGCTTCCATCCTTTTGGCGACTACCAAGATCTCCTTCTGACCAGTCTCTTTTAACTGAGGACTTCCTTGGTCCTAACATTGACTTGACATCTTCCTGAGGCTGCCTCTTCATTTTCCATCTCTGCTTTGGCAGTGCAGCTCAAGGGTAGTGGTCCTGCTCTGGCACCTGGCCCAGGCGATGATCCACAGTGCCATGACCTCAGGACTGCCATGCACCAGCCAGAAGGTATGTTAGCCACCCAAGGCCACAAGGCCACCCAAGAAGCCGATCGCCGTTAGAAAAACAGCTAATAGCATCAGGCCGGGAGCGGTGGCTCATGCCTGTAATCCTAGCAATTTGAGAGGCTGAGGCGGGTGGATCACCTGAGGTCAGGAGTTTCAAACCAGCCTGGCCAACATGGTGAAACCCTGTCTTTACTAAAAAAAAATACACAAAAAAATTAGCTAGGCATGGTTGCAAGAGGGAGGCTGAGGCAGAAGAATCGCTTGAACCCGGGAGGCGGAGGTTGCAGTGAGCCAAGATTGTGCCACTGTACTGCAGCTTGGGGGACACAGCGTGACTCTGTCTCAAAAAAAAAAAAAAAAAGAAAAAGAAAAACAGCTAACAGCATCAGCAGTACAGAATGGGAATTCCTGCAGTCCCACGTCCCGTGGACCTATTCCTGCCTCCTGAGGGTTTTGGCCCTACTTCTGTGGCTTCCCTGACCATATCATTTCATATTTTGATGGCTGGCTCATGACCTGCATTTGTAGTGCCACACATGGCCTTCTAGATTGAAGACGTCCGCATTTCCATTGCTCACTTAACCCCGTCAGTGGCCATATGGAACATATCCACCTCCCGCAGTGCATCCTTGCAGAGCCCGTCTGCCAGTTCACAGTAATTAGGTTTGCCACTCCCTTGGTTTTCCTTAGCATTCCCACTCTGGCACCTGCTCAACATTTGGAGGAATTCCATGCTCCCATAAGACCAGAATGATACCTTCAGGTGGCAGGAAAGAACCACTCTTAAATCTCCAACCAACCAACCTCATTTGTAGGAGAGGTCATCCCAGAGAGAACTCTGTGCAGCTCAGCTCCTGCACTCCCTGTGTGTCAGTGGCACACTCTGGCCTCTAGAGGGATCTCCAAGAACGAGGAAGAGAAGGAGGCTCCACACGGTCACAGAATGGGGGTCCAGGAGCTTAAATCATCAGCTGTCCTGGAAAAGGGGGCTCATGTCTTGACCGTATCTCCAAATGCACTGATGTCCTTTCGTATCCTTTGGGCAAGCACGTCCTACTTGATTTACCCTGCCTGGTCTGTTTTTTCTCTCTGGTTACTGGCAACATTCATCTATGACTGCTTAGGCTGAGCCTGGCCTCACCATCAGTACCCAAGCACTCCCTTAATGGAGACTCCAGAGTTTGGCCAGGCGCAGTGACTCACGCCTGTAATCCCAGCACTTTGGAAGGCTGATGCGGGTGGATCACCTGAGGTCAGGAGTTCGAGACCAGTCTGGCCAACATGGTGAAACCTTGTCTCTACTAAAAGTACAAAAATTAGCCAGGTGTAGTGGCGCATGCCTGTAATCCCAGCTACTCAGGAGGCTGAGGCAGGAGAATCACTTGAACCTGGGAGGTGGTTGCAGTGAGCTGAGATCATGCCACTGCACTCCATTCTGGGCGACAGAGTGAGACTCCGTCTCAAAAAAAAAAAAAAAAAATTCCAGAGTTTGACAAACAGGTACAGTGGATATATCTAGAAAGCAACCAGTCTGGGCAAATGGGCAAATGTACACATCCAATCTCATCTAGGCTTCTTCCTAGGATGAAACAGTGTTCTGCATTATGTTTAGTTTTGACTTTGTCCTTAAAGCTTACTGTCAGAAGTACTTAAAAATATGTTTCTTTTTCCATCTGATTTTGAAATTTTCAAACATCACAGAAGACATGGAAAAAAAGTATAATGAGCAGCTATATTCCACCCACCTAGAGTCAACTTTTTTTTTTTTTGAGACTGTTTCTGTTACCCAGGCTAGGCTGGAGTGCAGTGGCGCAATCATGGCTCATTGCAGCCTCAAACTCCTGGGCTCAAAAGATCCTCCTGTCTCAGCCTCCCAAGCAGCTGGGATTACAGGGTGCATGCCACCACACATGATTATTTGTTTGTTTTTTTTTAGAGATGGGGTCTCACCTTTTGTTTTTTGTTTTTTTTTGTCCAGGCTGGTCTCAAACTCCTGGGTTCAAGTGATCCTCCTGCCTTGGCCTCCCAGAGTACTGAGATTACAGGTGTGAGTCATCACGCCTGGCCGATTCAACAATTTTTAACATTTTGGACATCTGCATTTCTTGTGCCCTCAGTCATCCCCCATACATGTATATAATTGTGTACATTTTTATACGCCCACTTTTTCCCCCTGAACTGAATACACATTCAGGCATAGTTGCTTCACTATAAAATACTTCAGTAAGCATCCCCTAAGAAGGATAATTTTCTCCAACACTAACTTGCTACAATGAGCTCCAGAGTCCCCAGAGAAGCTGAGTCCTTTATTATTCAGTTATTCCCCCAGGTGGCTTCTCAGCAGGTGGATCAGTAGGGACAGGCAGGCACCCAGTGCCAGACTGTTGCCTCCAGCTATTCCCAAGGGCCAGCCATTGAGCCTGTCTTTTAATAGTTCGGTGGGGCCTAGTCCTGATTCTGTTAAGAGGCCAGAGTCCAGGCTTTCTAGGAACAAAAAACCCAGTAATCCCTTTATTTTATGTTTCACATTTTATTCTTTTTCAACAGGCCTTGCGGCTGGGCTCAGTGGCTCATGCCTGTAATCCCCGCACTTTGGGAGGCCGAGGCGGGTGGATCACGTGAGGTCAGGAGTTCGAGACCAGCCTGGCCAACATGGTGAAACCTCGCCTCTACTAAAAATACAAAAATTAGTCAGGCATGGTGGCGCACGCCTGTAATTCCAGCTACTTCAGGAGGCTAAGGAAGGAGAATCGCTCCAACCCAGGAGGCAGAGGTTGCAGTGAGCCGAGATCTGAGATCGTGCCACTGCACTTCCGCCTAGGTGACAGAGTGAGACTCCACCTCAAAAAGAAAAGGAAAAAAAAGGCCAGGTATGATGGCTTACACCTGTAATCCCAGCACACTTTGGGAGGCCAAGGCGGGCAGACCGCCTGAGGTAGGGAGTTCAAGACCAGCCTGGCCAACACGGTGAAACCCGATCTCTACTTAAAAAAAAAAAAAAAAATTAAAAACTTAGCCAGACGCAGTGGCTTGTGCCTATAGTCCCAGCTACTCGAGGGGCTGAGGCTGGAGAGTCGCTTGAACCAGGGAGGCAGAGGTTGTGGTGAGCCGAGATTGCACCATTGCACTCCAGCCTGGGTGACAGAGTGAGACTCTGTCTCAAAACAAAACAAACAAACGAAAAATAGGCCTTGCATTCACACATTATAAATGTGTGTACACGGCAAAGTCCTCCCACTTCTGTCTCTTGCTTCCTTACTTCTCTCTGGAGGAAAACAACGTTACCAGCTCTAGTGTGTCATTCCCAAGGTTGCCTACATGCTTACAAGAAAATCTGTGTGTATATATGGTTCCCTTTCGTTACAGAAACAGTAGCACATTATATATACTGTTCTGCACATGTTTCCAACAATACTTTAAAAGCATGTAACTAGAATGAGGGTCTAAGTCCACGCAGCCAAAGACCATGGTTAGCAAGATAAAGGTGTGCAGATGAGCTGGGCGTGGTGGCTCACGCTTCTAATCCCAGCACTTTGGGAGGCTGAGGCGGGCGGATTACCTGAGATCAAGAGTTCAAGACCAGCCTGGCCAACCAATATGGTGAAACCGGCTACTAAAAATACAAAAATTAGCCGGGCATGGTGGCAGGCGCCTGTAATCCCAGCTACTCGGGAGACTGAGGTGGGAGAATCGCTTGAAGCCGGGAGGTGGAATTTGCAGTGAGTCAAGATCAAGCCACTGCACTCCAGCCTGGGAGACAGAGCGAGACTCCTTTTCAAAAATAAAAATAAAAATAAGGCTGGGCACAGTGGCTCATGCCTGTAATCCCAGCACTTTGGGAGGCTGAGGCGGGCAGATCACAAGGGCAGGAGATCGAGACCATCCTGGCTAACACGGTGAAATCCCATCTCTACTAAAAATATAAAAAATTAGCCGGGCATGGTGGCACACGTCTGTAGTCCCAGCTACTCTGGAGGCTGAGGCAGGAGAATCGCTTGAACCCAGGAGGCGGAGGTTGCAGTGAGCCAAGATCATACCATTGCACTCCAGCCTGGGTGACAGAGTGAAGCTCCATCTCAAAATAAATAAATAAATAAATAAAAATAAAAGCATGTTACTAGAGTGAGGGTCTAAGTCCAGGCCACCAAAGAGTATATGGTTAACAAGATAAAGATGTGCAGATGAGCCGGGGAAGTGGCTGATGCCTGTACTCCTAACACTTTGGGAGGACAAGGCGGGCGGTTCACTTGAGGTCAAGAGTTCGAAACCAGCCTGGCCAACATGGGGAACCCTCATCTCTACTAAAAATACAAAAAATTAGCCTGGTGTGGTGGTGGACGCCTGTAATCCCAGCTACTTGGGGGCTGAGACAGGAGAATCGCTTGAACCTGGGAGGTGGAGTTTGCAGTGAGCCGAGATTGTGCCATTGCACTCCAGTCCAGCCTGGGCAACAGAGCAAGACTCCATCTAAAAAAAAAAAAAGTGCAGATGAGAGCAGCAATTAACCAAAAGTCAATAGAAACTGCTGAAAGAAAACACCTCAAAGAGTTGCTGAGAGCTAAATTAGCTGAATGTGGCTGGAATTGTAAAAGTAATCAGAAAGAAAGGACTGGAGCACATTACTGTTGATGACTTGGTGGTTGAAATTACTCCAAAAGGCAGAGCCCTGGTACCTGACAGTGTAAAGAAGGAGCTCCTGGCCAGGCGCAGTGGCTCATGCCTGTAACGTCCGCACTTTGGGAGGCCGAGTTACGTGGATGGCTTGAGCCCAGCAGATCAAGACCAGCCTGAGCAGCATGGCAAAACCTTGTCTCTATGAAAAAAAAAAAAATTAGCTTGACATGGTGGCACAAGCCTACAGTCCCATCTACTTGGGAGGCTGAGATAGCAGGATCACTTGAGCCCAAGAGTTTGAGGCTGCAGTGAGCTATGATCACTGCACTCAGCCTGGGTGATAGGGCAAGACCCTGTCTCAAAAAAACACACATGTAAAACAAAAAAGGCAACTGTGGTTTTGACTGCTGCTAGTTAGTTTCCAGAGTGTCAGAGGCCAAGTACAGGCCAAGCATCATTAGAAACAGGGTCATCTTGCTGGTCCAAGTGCAGTGGTGTTTACAACCAATTGATCACAGCCAGTTACAGATTTATTTGTTCCTTCTCCACTTCCACTGCATCTCTTGACTAGCCAAAAAAAGAAAAAAAAAAGAAATAGGGTCATCGTTATCGTAGTGGACAGTAAGCATGGATGGACAATAATCAGAATGGCTTTACTCAAGATATTCTCCCTGATGTCTCATTGATTGTGATGTCCCTAGGCATAAAACATATGGGAACTGCACTAAAGTCTTACTTGATTTTTTTTGTTTTGTTTTGTTTTTTGAGACGGAGTCTCGCACTCTCTGGAGTGCAGTGGCGTGATCTCGGCTCACTGCAACCCTGCCTCCTGAGTTCAAGCAATTCTCTGGTCTCAGCCTCCTGAGTAGCTGGGATTACATGTGTGTGCCACCATGCCTAGCTAACTTTTGTATTTTTAGTAGAGATGGGGTTTCACCATATTGGCCAGGCTGGTCTCGAACTCCTGACCCTCAGGTGACCCTACTGCCTCAGCCTCCCAAAGTGCTGGGATCACAGGTGTGAGCCACTGCACCTGGCCTTACTTGATATTAAGAAGTACAAATGTTCTTTTTTTCCCCCCCAATACAGGGTCTCGCTCTGTCACCCAGGCTAGAGTGCAGTAGCATGATCTTGGAACCTCTGCCTCCTGGGCCTCAAGCCATCCTCCTGCCTCGGCCTCCAGAGCAGCTGGGACTACAGGCATGTGCCACCACTCTCAGCTAATTTTTTTATTTTTTCAGCAGAGACAGGGTTTTGCCATGTTGCTCAGGCCTGGTCTCTAACTCTTGAGCTCAAGTGATTCACTCGACTTGACCTCCCAGAGGGCTTAAACTACAAGGATGAGCCAACGCACCTGGCTGAATATGTACAAATGTTATAATTATGGAGTCCCCAGACCTGATTGTAGGGTCATTATCTCTCATCCAATTCTCACACTTGAGCCGGTTTATAGACTTAGCGCTGCTTGAATAAAGGGGAGGAAAAGCCCCGGGGAGAATGACCCTGCAGTGTGGCCACACAGACAAACGGCCTCTTCTTCCTTGCCTTGCCACGCCACAGGAGATCTGTAGCCTTTTACCATAGTGGTTGTGTACTGTAGAAAGGAAAATACCCAGAACTGTCAGGGATTGCTGGATGCTGTCTCTTAATTGATGCAATGTCCTGAGGAATCTTTGTGTGGTGGGCTGAATAATATCCCCCCAAAATGTAGTCCACTTCCTAATCCCTGGAGTAGAAACTGGGAATACGTGGCTTGGCAGATGTCATTAAGCTGAGGATCTTAGACGGGGGGATTATCCTGGATTATCCATGTGGAGCCAACGTGATCGCAAAGGTCCTCATGAGAGGGAGTCGGGAAGGTCAGAGAGACAGGACATGTGACAACAAAGAAGAGATTGGAGCATGTGGGGCCACGATCCAAGCGATGCAGACAACCTCTAGAAGGTGGAAAAGGCAAGAAAACAGACTCTCCCCTAGAGCCTCCAAAAATAATGCAGCTGATCAACCCATTTTAAACTCCTGACCTCCAAAACCGTAAGACTTCAAATTCTAATTGTTTCCTGAAAGGGCCGTAGGCACTGTGCATGTTGACTCACGCCGGTAATTCTAGTATTTTGAGAGGCCAAGGTGGGATGACTGCTTGAGCCCAGGAGTTCAAGACCAGACTGGGCAACATAATGAGATCCCATCTCTTAAAAAAAATCAACTGGGTGGCTGGGCGCAGTGGCTCACGCCTGTAATCCCAGCACTTTGGGAGGCTGAGGCGGGCAGATCACCTGAGGTCGGGTGTTCGAGACCAGCCTGACCAACATGGAGAAACCCCATCTCTACTAAAAATACAAAATTAGCCGGGCGTGGTGGCACATGCCTGTAATCCCAGCTACTCGGGAAGCTGAGGCAGGAGAATCATTTGAACTTGGGAGGCAGAGGTTGCAGTGAGCCGAGATTGTACCACTGCACTTCAGCCTGGGTGACAGGGCGAGACTCCATCTCAAAAAAAAAAAAAAAAGAAAAGTGCAGGACAATTGAAGGCAACCCTCCAAGGAGAGTATATGAGTCATAGCCTATAATTTGATAACACCAAGGTTGGCATGCTCTTACACTAAAGACAGTAAATAAAGTGGAAATCCTGGAGGCATTCCCAGGACGTGGGTTAATCAGAAGTCAACATGGAAGATTAGCGTCCAAGATGGAGTCACTAGTGTCTCCACACTAGTCAAAGTGGCAACTTTTGGAGTCATGATAAATGGAGTTATCGTCTAAGTTCATCCCGCAGTAAGTCTAGTGGTCTGTGAACCCACTCTGTATTTTTTTTTCTATACTCAATAACTGGTAAAATCCTCACATTGGCTTTCTAACCCATGGAAGGAAGGCTGCTGTTATGGTAGGAAGTGCCAAGTGGAAGCCCTGAAATTGCCCCCACACGCCTTCAAAAGCAATATAGCATCCCTTGGGAAATTTCAGAGATTCATATCACTATTAAAGAACACAAAGATGTGGAATTAGTGATTCCCCACTTAATTTACCTATTAGTTCTGTGCAAAAAAATGATTTTGAGGAGATAATGGATTATTGTAAATTTAAATTCCAATTGCAGCCGGGCACGGTGGCTCATGCCTGTAATCCCAGCACTTTGGGAGGCCGAGGCAGGCACATCATGAGGTCAGGAGATCGAGACCATCCTGGCTAACACGGTGAAAGCCCGTCTCTACTAAAAATACAAAAAATTAGCCAGGCGTGGTGGCGGGTGCCTGTAGTCCCAGCTACTTGGGAGGGTGAGACAGGAGAATGGCGTGAACCCGGGAGGCGGAGCTTGCAGTGAGCTGAGATCGCGCCACTGCACTCCAGCCTGGGCGACAGAGCGAGACCCCCATCTCCAAAAAAAAATTCCTATTGCATCTTTTATTTATTTATTTATTTTGAGATGGAGTCTTGCTCTGTTACCCAGGCTGGAGTACACTGGTGTGATCTCGGCTCACTGCAACCTCTGCCTTCCGGGTTCAAGTGATTCTCCTGCCTCAGTCTCCCAAGTAACTGGGATCACAGGTGCCCACCACCAGGCCAGGCTCTTTTTTTTTGTATTTTTAGTAGAGATGAGGTTTCGCCATGTTGGCCAGGCTGGTCTCGAACTCCTGACCTCAGGTGATCCGCCTGCCTTGGCCTCCCAAAGTGCTGGGATTACAGGTGTGAGCCACCATGCAAATGCTTTTTTCTAACAACCAATTAAGAAAAACTGTAAGGTGTTGTTTTCACCTAGAAAGAATAGTGGCGTATCTTCACTTTCTTAGGCCTATGTTAAATCTTCGGCTCTATGTTATAATCTAGTCTGCAAGAAACTTGATCTTTTTTAATCAAGTCATCATTCTGATCTGCCATTGAAAATAATGTCAAAAACTGCGATAACTTTTGCACCAATGTAATACTGAATTCAGCATACAGGCTGGGCGTGGTGGCTCATGCCTGTAATCCCAGTACTTTGAGAGATCGAGGCAGGATCGCTTGAGCCCAGAAGTTCAAGACCAGCCTGAGCAACATAGTGAGACCTCATCTCTATAAAAAAATAAAAACAAAATTAGTCAGATGTGGTGGCATGTGCCTGTAGTCCCAGCTACTCGGAAGGCTGAGGTGGGAAGATCACTGGAGCCCAGGAGGTTGAGGCTGCAGTGAACTATGATGGCACAACTCCACTCCAGCCTGGGTGACAGAGCAAGACTCTGTCTCAAAATAAATAAATTAAAAATAAACAAATAAAAATAAATAAATTGAGCACATGATACTGTTGGACCTAATAATGAAAATACTTCAAATACCCTGGATGTCTTTCTAAGTAAGATACCTTCAAGACTGAGGATGGGTGATAAACCTCATAAAAATCCAAAAGTTTGCCACAGTGTTGAAGTTTCTAGAAATTCTGTGATGCGGAGTGTGTTGAGATAGCCCCTCTCAAATGAAAGGCGAGTTAGCGCATCTTCTACTCCTGCCACTAATAATGAGGCACAGCATTTGGTGGGCCAGTGTGGATTCTGGAGGCAGCGTATTCAGTTGAGTGTGTTTTCTGACCCATTTACTGACTAACCCATAATGTTTCAGTTTTGAATAAAAACTAGAGCACGACAAGGCACCACTGCAGCTGACTCAAGCTTTATTGCTAGCTGCTCTGCCACTTGAGCCTTATGATCCAGCAGATTCAACAGTTACCATGGTATATCCGGCAGATATGATGGAGCCTCTGAGAAAACCCAATCAAGAATGTCGACTCAGACTTGTAGAATTTGGGAGCAAAATCATGCCATCTTGGGAAGGCAACTATTCTTTTTTTGAGAAAGAGCTCTTGATTTATTCCTGAGCCCTGGTAGAGATCATAGAGAAACTTATCCTCTGACCTCAGCTGCTTATCATGGTGTGTTATTGAATCCATGAAGCCATAAGTTGATCATGCATACGAAAAATTCAGCATCCAGTGGAAACTGTATATTTGAGATTATGCCTGTACATGTTCTGAAGGCACAAGGCAGTTGTATGAGCAATAGCTTAGATTTCCATGGTAGCTACTACTGCTTTATTGACATCTCCCTCTCAACCCACGTTATGTGTTCATGGGCAATTGCCTATTACCAATTGGTGGAGAAGGATTGGTTTCTTTCTCAGACCTGGCGTATAGATACTTCTTTTTATTCCCACCCATCCCAGATACTTCTGCATGCTATATTAATATGTTAGTACTGATCTTAAGGCATATTTGTTAATGCTAACATTATAATTTGAGCTTTTTTTTTTTTTTGAGACAGTCTTACTGTGTAGCCCAGGCTGGAATGCAATGGTGTGATCTTGGCCCACTGCAACCTCCACCTCCCAGGCTCAAGCAATTCTTCTGCCTCAGCCTCCCAAGTAGCTGGGACTACAAGTGTGTGCCACCACAACTGGCTAATTTTTTGTATTTTTTCTTTCTTTCTTTTTTTTTTTTTTGCAGGGTGTTGGTGGACAAAGTTTCACTCTGTCACCCAGGCTGGAGTGCAGTGGCACGATCGTGGCTCACTGAAACGTCTGCCTCCCAGGTTCAAGCAATTCTCCTGCCTCAACCTCTCATGTAGCTGAGATTACAGGTATGCGCCACCACGCCCAGCTAATTTATTTTTGTATTTTTAGTAGAGATGGGGTTTTACCATGTTGCCCAAGCTGGTCTTGAACTTCTGAGCTCAGGCAATCTGCCCACCTTGGCCTCCCAAAGTGCCGGGATTACAGGCGTGAGCCACCGTGGCTGTCCTCAAAAATTTTTTTTTTTAGAGATGGCATCTCACTATGTTACCCAGGCTGGTCTTGAACTCCTGGCCTCAAGTGATCCTCCAGCCTCAGCCTTCCAAGTAAACTGGGATTACAGGTCCAAGCCACTGAGCCCAGCTTTGTATTTTTGGTAGAGATGGGGTTTCACCATGTTGCTCAGGCTGGCCTCAAACACCTGGGCTCAAGCAATCCTCCCATTTCAGCCTCCCAAAGTGCTGGGATTACAGGCATAAGCCACCGAGCCCAGCCAGCATTTTTTTTAAGCTCTATTGGACTTGATAATTTAGTCTTTAGATGACTGTATATCAGAAGTGGACTGTAATTGAGCTAGAAAAGTAATGAACATCACCTAGAGAGAGATTAACAGTGATTGATAGGCCTTGAGGTGTCTGCTTCTTAGGGAGAATACGGCAGCATCTCTAATGGCACAAGGTCTAGTAACAGGATGTTAGGCAGGACCTAGATGATGGGGTTACAGTTGTTTGTGGGCATATTAAATATGAGTAGATTAAAAATTATCTATGGAGGCCGGACATAGTGGCTAACACCTGGGTTCTCAGCACTTTGGGAGGCCAAGGTGGGAGGATCACTTGAGGCCAGGGGTTCGAGCCGGGGCAACACAGTGAAACACCATCTCTGACTCAGGAGGCTAAGGCATGAGAATCCCTTGAGCCCAGGAGGCTGAGGTTGCAGTGAGCAGAGATTGCACCACTGCACTCCAGCCTGGGTGACAGAGTTAGACCCTGTCTCAAAAAAAAAATTATTTATTGGGTAAAATGTTCACTATTTGGTAATGGATGCACTAGAACCCAAATGTCACCATTACACAATATAGCCATGCAACAATCTTGCACATGTACCTCCTGAATCTAAAAAAAAGTCAACGAATACACCTCTTCCCCAAAAAAATGTGCATAGAGGGCTGGGCGTGGTGGCTCACGCCTGTAATCCCAGCACTTTGGGAGGCCAAGGTGGGTGGATCACGAGGTCAGGAGATGGAGACCATCCTGACTAACACAGTGAAACCCCAGCTCTACTAAAAATATAAAAAAATTAGCCGGGCATGGTGGCGGGCACCTATAGTCCCAGCTACTCGAGAGGCTGAGGCAGGAGAATGGCATGAACCTGGGAGGCAGAGGTTGCAGTGAGCTGAGATCACACCACTGCACTCCAGCCTGGGCAACAGAGTGAGATTCTGCCTCAAAAAAAAAAAATTGTGCATAGAGGGTGGGTGTGTATGCTGAGCTCCCAAAGGGGTAGAAGATGCCACATGGTCTGTTGTGAAGTTCTCATCACTGCCAGGACCCTCTATATCACAGAGAGGGAGCCCGGAATTATAACACTCACAACCCCTTTCCCCATACTATTCCAAGTTAGAGTCTGCCAATGTGAAGAACTTGCATAAATATTTTTAACAATTTTTATTTTGAAAAAGTTTGGACTTACAGGAATTTGTGGAAATAGTATACAGAGTTCACATATACTCTTCACCCAACTTCCCCTAATTTTATTTATTTATTTATTTATTTATTTTTTGAGACAGAGTCTCATTCTGTTGCCCAGGCTGGAGTGTAGTGGTGCAATCTCTGCTCACTGCAACATCTGCCTCCCAGGTTCAAGCAATTCTCCTGCCTCAGCCTCCCAAGTAGCTGGGATTACAGGTGCATGCCAGCACGCCCGGCTAATTTTTGTATTTTTAGTAAAGATGGGGTTTCACCATGTTGGCCAGGCTGGTCTTGAACTCCTGGCCTCAAGTGATCTGCCCGCCTCAGCCTCCCAAACTACTAGGATTACAGGCATGAGTCACTGCCCCCGGCCTCAACTTCCCCTAATATTAACAACTTAATCACAGTAGAATTATTAAAATCAGGAAACTAACAATGGTACAATACTATTCACTAAACCGTAGGCCTTAACATTTTCCCAGCTTTCCCCTAATGGCCTTTTAATGTTTCAGGATCTAATCTAGAATCCCACATTGCATTTAGTTTTTGTATATCACTAGTCTCCTCCAATTTGTGTATCCTTATTCTTGAATTTATTTCCTTGTGTTTCATGACTTTGACACTTTGACGAGTATTGGTCAGACATTGTGTAGAGTGTTTCCCTGTGTGAGTCTGAAGTTTTCTCGTGGCTAGATTTAAGTTATGCATGTGATATTGTGCCCTTAGTGCATCCTATAAGGAGATAAATCTTTGTTTTTTCTTTTTCTTCGCTTTTTTCTTTTTCTTTTTTCTTTTTTTTTTTTTTGAGATGGAGTTTCGCTCTCGTTGCCCAGGATGGAGTACAATGGTGCGATCTTGGCTCACTGCAACCTCCGCCTCCCGGATTCAAGGATTCTCCTGCCTCGGCTTCCCGAGTAGCTGGGATTACAGGCATGTGCCACCACGCTCGGCTAATTTTGTATTTTTAGTAGAGACAGGGTTTCCCCATGTTGGTCAGGCTGGTCTCAAACTCATGAAGTCAGGTGATCCGCCTGCCTCAGCCTCCCAAAGTGTTGGGATTACAGGCGTGAGCCAATGTGCCTGGCCTGTTTTTTCTTTTTAAAGGAAAAATCTCTTTATTTTCAATAGTACAAGCAAAGCTTCATTTGTAACATAATAAACATATCTTCCACCAATTTTTTTACAGTCCAAAGAATAAGATCTCTAACATCTACTTTTTTTTCTTTTTTTTTTTTTTTGAGACGGAGTCTCACTCTGTTGTGCAGGCTGGAGTGCAGTGGAGCGATTTCGGCTTACTGCTATCTTCGCCTCCCGGGTTCAAGTGATTCTCCTGTCTCAGCCTTCCCAGTAGCTGGGATTACAGGTGCCCGCCACCATGCCTGGCTAATTTTTGTATTTTTAGTAGAGATGGGGTTTCACCATGTTGGCCGGGCTGATCTTGAACTCCTGACCTCAGGTGATCCACCTGCCTTGGCCTCCCAAAGTGCTGAAATCACAGGTGTGAGCCACTGCGCCCGGCCTAAAATTTACATTTTAAGACTGGGCAATACGGCGAGACTTCATCTCTACAAAAAAAAAATTAACCAGGCATGGTGGTGCATGCCGGTGATCTCAGCTACTCAGGAGGCTGAGGCAGGAGGATTGTTTGAGTTCAGGAGGTTGAGGCTACAGTGCGCCATAACCATGCCACTGCACTCCAGCCTGGGTGGCACAGTTAGATACTGTTTCAAAAAAAAAAAAACACCAAAAAAACAAAAAATTTACCTTGTGCCTTAAATATTCCAAAACCCATCCATGTCAATTTTGGAATTTTAACCTTGCCTGATACTATGGTATTTCTCTGCAGGGTAAACCTTGATTAGTGGCATATTCCTAATTGTTGCTGTTCAACCATTTTTCTTGCTCTTACTCTCTGATCCTGTAACAACCCAGTGGGTCCTCCTTGCCTGCTGCCCAGATAGAGCTAATTTATCAAGACAGGCGAACTGTAGTAGAGAAAGAGTTTAATTCACACAAAGCTGGCTCCACGGGAGACTGGAATTTTTTTATAATTTGGGGGAGGAGAGGGTGACTAGGGAATAGGTACTGCTGATTGGCTGGGAGTGAAATCATAGGGGTGTGGAAAATGGGCCTCTTGCTCACTGAGTCCGCTTCTGGGTGTGGCCACAGGACAAGTAGTTGGTGGGTCTGGGTAGAGCCATTGGCCTTTAGAAATGAAAAAACCTGAAAAGACATCTCAAAAGGTCAATCTTAGGTTCTAAATAGTGATGTTTTCTGCAGGAGTAATTGAGAAAGTTGCAAATCTTTTTTTTTTTTTTTTTTTTGAGACAGGATCTCACTCTGTTGCCCAGGCGGGAGAGCAGTGGCACAGTCACAGCTCACTGCAGCCTTGACTGCCTGGGCTCAAGTGATCCTCTCACCTCAGCCTCCTGAGGAAGTTGCAAATCTTTTTTTTTTTTTTTTTTTTTTTAGACAGAGTCTTGCTGTGTTGCTCAGGCTGGAGTAGTGCAGGGGTGAGATCTTGGCTCACTGCAACCTCCGCCTCCCGCGTTCAAGCAATTCTCCTGCCTCAGCCTCCAGAGTAGCTGGGATTACAGGCACGTGCCACCACGCCTGGCTAATTTTTGTATTTTTTTTCTTTTAGTAGAGATGGGGTTTCCCCATGTTGGTCAGGCTGGTCTTGAACGCCTGACCTTGTGATCCATCCGCCTCGGCCTCCCAAAGTGCTGGGATTACAGGCGTGAGCCACCCCACCCGGCAGGAAGTTGCAAATCTTGTGGCTAATTTGTTAGTTCTGCGAAGGCCATCTGGTCTCCAGGCAAGAAGGAGGTTTGTTTGGGGAAAGGGCTGTTACCATCTTTGTTTGAAAGTTAAACTGCAAACTAAGTTCCTCCCAAAGTTAGTTTGTCCTATGCCCACGAATGAACAAGGGCAGCTTGGAGGTTAGAAGCAAGATAGTGTTGGTTAGGTCAGGTCTCTGTCACTGTCACACTTTTGTCACTGTTATAATTTTTGCAAAGGCAGTTTCAATTCCACACATTTCAGACTGTTCAGTGGATTTGTAATAAACTTCCAAAATGATGGGAAATTTCTTGCTCATTATTTGCTTGAAATTGTGGCTTCTGTTCATCTAATTAAACAAAAAATATGCTCCCAAACTGCCCAAAGTTCAGCTTCTAAAAATCCTTTAAAGATCTTTTTTGCTCGTGGTTCTTTAGTGTGAGTTATGCAGGAGCACACGCAAGGGGAGCTGTGGGAGGCCAATCTTCATCTCTTGTTTCAGGTGGTATCTGCTGGGTGTTTCCAATGTAAAATCACTATTTTTTGGCCAGGCACAGCGGCTCACATCTATAATCCCAACCCTTTGGGAGGCTTGGGTGGGAGCCCAACAGTCAGAGACCAGCCTGTACAACATAGCAAGACCCCTGTCTCTAAAAGAAAAAAAGTTGGGGATGGGGGTGCATACCTGTAATCCCAGCTACTCTGGAGGTGGAGGTGGGAGGATCTTTTGGACCCAGGAGTTCAAGGCACCACTGCACTTTAGCCTGGGTGACAGAGTGAGACCTTGTTTCAAAAAAAAAAAAAATCACTATTTTTCTACATTATAATTGAGGAACTATCTTAGGGGAACTGTCTTGGGAGAGATACTTGGGATTATGTGAATATCCCGTTTTGCCCACGGATTTTAGCATTCCATTGTGAATCTTGCCTGGAACGATTGTTACCCTACTGTTTGCCTGATGGTTATTTTACATTTCTCTTATTACTTCTACAATTTTTTTGAGACGGAGTCTTGCCCTGTCGCCCAGGCTGGATGGAGTGCAGTGGTGTGGTTTCAGCTCACTGCAACCTCCACCTCCTGGGTTCAACCAATTCTCCTGTCTCAGCCTCCTGAGTAGCTGGGATTACAGGCATGTGCTACCACGCCTGGCTAATTTTTGTGTTTTTAGTAGAGACGGGGTTTCGCCATGTTGGCCAGGCTGGCCTCAAACTCCTGACCTCAGGTGATCCACCTACCTTGGCCTCCCAAAGAACACGGATTACAGGCGCGAGCCACTGCGCCCAGCCCCTTCTACATGTATAATTGGTATTCTTCCACAAGGCAGGGCTGTTTCTTCCCTCCTATCCCTCCTATTAATTTATTTATTCAATTATTTATTCATATCAGCATGTAATCATGGACTTTAAAAAAATTCTGTGTTGTTATCCATTACGCTCATTGTTTAGTTCATTTCTCAGATTGGTCTGGATTTGGGCATTGAGTACTACTTTGGTTGGCTCTGTGTCCTTTTGAGATTCCCCCATATTTATTCATGCACTACTTTATTTCATGGCATCACAAAACATTCATGACTCCTCTTTTTTTTTTTTTTTTTTTTTGAGACAATCTCGCTCTGTAGCCCAGACTGGAGTACAGTGGCGCGATCTTGGCTCACTGCAACCTCTGCCTCCTGGGTCCTAGTTCAAGCAATTTTCCTGCCTCAGCCTCCAGAGTAGCTGGGATTACAGGCATGTGCCACCATGCCCAGCTAATTTTTGTATTTTTAGTAGAGACGGGGTTTCGCCATGTTGGCCAGGCTGGTCTTGAACTCCTCACATCGTGATCTGCCTGCCTTGGCCTCTCAAAGTGCTGGAATTACAGGCATGAGCTACTGTGCCCGGCCGTGATTCATCTTTTATTTTCCCTTGTATTAGGTGGTTTTGTTGCTTTGCCACCTGGGCTGGAGTGCTGTGGTGGGATAATGGCTCACTGAAGCCTCAACCTCCCAGGCTGAAGTGATCATCCCAACTTAGCCTCCCGAGTAGCTGGGCCTGTAGGCACAAACCACTATGCCTGGCTAATTTTTGTATTTTTAGTAGAGGCAGGGTTTTGCCACGTTGCCCAGGGTGGTCTCGAACTCCTGGACTCAAGTGATCTGCCCTCCAAGGCCTCCCAAAGTGCTGGGATTACAGGTGTGAGCCACCTCATCTGGCCTGCATTAGGGTTTGAAGGCAGAAGAGACTCTATGGTGGCAATTTCAGGCAAATAGAGGGCAGGTGGTAAGTTTTTTTTTTTTTTTTTTTTTTTTTTTTTTTTTTTTTTGAGTCTCACTCTGTTGCCTAGACTGGAGCGCAGTGGCACAATCTTGGCTCACTGCAACCTCCACCTTCCGGGTTCAAGTGATTCTCCTGCCTCAGCCTCCCAAGTAGCTGGGATTACATGTGCGTGCCACCACACCTGGTTATTTTTTGTGTTTTTAGCAGAGACCGGGTTTTGCCATGTTGGCCAAGCTGATCTCAAATACCCTGACCTCAGGTGGTCCACCTACCTCAGCCTCCCAAAGTGCTGGGATTACAGGCATGAGCCACCATGCCCGGCCATAAAATAATTTGTAAAGCATTCATAGCAATAGCTGTCACAGAACAAATTAAAGGACTTGTGATCAAGTGTAGTGGATTCTGTGATGTGCCATTCAGATCACCCTTCAGAATGGAGGCACTCATTTTCTCACTGCTGGGAGTGTCAGTGGTTAACAACTTTCACTGAGTCTCTCTCCATTAGTCGGCCTCATCCAATGAGAGGGTCTTCCTCAAGGTCATATCCTCTCCCTCAGTGCAGCCTGCATCTAATGACTGATTTATGTTGACTGTAGTGGCCTGTGCCCCAAGGTGCGATCATTCTGAAGGACATCCTAACTCCAGAATTCTCTGTGAGATTAACGTTTAAGCAGTGACTGCCACCCACTCACTTCAAGCCCTTCTTGTCAAGAGACCAGCAGGCTAGGATTGAAGTCACTGTCCTGGCAGAAGTGCTTGACTCTGGTAATCACGAGGGCTGTTTATCAGGGCTGTTGTCACATCATGGGGCAAGGAAGACTATGTTTGCAGTTAGGTCACCTACTGTGTTTCTTTTGTACGCTTTGCCCAATTTTGATGGTAAATGGACGAATTGAACAGCCATCTCTGAGAAGAGCATGATGATGATAGGGGTTCAGACCCCTTAGAGATGGGGTTCTGGGTCACCCACAAGGTAAATCACTTAGACCAGCAGAGGTGCTAGCTCAGGTTGAGGAAATCCAGAAGGAAAGCAGGAAAACATGAGCGTCACTTGTGACCTTGAGACTAGTTACAATGGTAGGAGCTGTATCTTTTTCTACTAGTCTTCCTCTTGAAAGTTTGTTCTAGAAGAGAGACCCATCAGAATCCTGGAAGAGCTGATTCCAAAACTTATGTGAAAAAATGCATCTAAGTGAAAAAAGGGATACATTGGTGGATGTTGTAGTATGCCAACCACAGCTCCCCTTTAGGGTGGAGGCACTCGTTTCTCTAGTTTCTTGGGAATATTGGAGGCTGAAAGCTCTCTATTGAGTTGCTCTCTGAAAGTTGCCCTCAACTAGAGGGCAACTCAACCATCTCATTCAATGTCATCCCTCCTCTTCAGAGACAGTCTGCATCCGTCTACTGTAGATGCAGCACTAGAAAAGCATGGAACCCTATCTCAAGGTGGCTATTCCAGCTCCATAGCTCCATGTGAGATAAACTGAGCCCTCTGTTGCACCTGTACTGTAGTTCAGCTTTTCCCTCTTCCCAATTCCAGTTTCTACATTTCCCCAGGAGCTGATCCCAGGAGCACTTCTCCCAAACTTTTCATCTCCAGAGTCTTTTTTCCAGGGAATAGGATCAAATATACCAAGTCATAATACCATCCATTGAGGCAGACCTTTTACAGTAGTGAGAACCATGCATGACTGCATTTGAATCACAAGCTATAATAAGTATATTGTAGACATATAGTCTGTGTTGACATCCTAAGTGTGAATTCAGAAAGTACTCAGCCATTTTGTCTTTTTTTTTTTTTTTTTTTTTGAGTTGGAGCCTCGCTGTGTCCCCCAGGCTGGAGTGCAGTGACCGGATCTCAGTTCACTGCAACCTCCGCCCCCCGGGTTCAAGTGATTCTCCTGCCTCAGCTTTCCAAGTAGCTGGGATTACAGGTGCCTGCCACCGCGCCCGGCTAATTTTTGTATTTTTAGTAGAGACAGGGTTTCGCCATCTTGGCTAGGCTGGTCTTGAACTCCCGACCTCATGATGCACCTGCCTCGGCCTCCCAAACTGCTAGGATTACAGGCATGAGCCACTGTGCCTGGCCGCCATTTTTTCAAACTTTACAAAACTGCAAAACATTTAGCTGAGTAGATAGTTACTAATTACCTCCTAAGTGTATAAATAACCCTGTGGTAGTTGCTTCGGAGAATGAAAATAAATGCAGCATTATCCTTTCTTGTGTTGTCTGGTAGGAAAAACTAACTAAAACATGGGAAGGCTGAGGCAGGAGAATCGCTTGAACCTGGGAGGCAGAGGTGGCAGTGAGCTGAGATCATGCCACTACACTCCAGCCTGGGCAATAGAGCGAGACTCTGTCTCAAACAAACAAACAAACAAACAAAAACCCACCACCACCACCAACAAAAACCCAAACTTCTGGCTGCCTCGCACCTGTAATCCCAGCACTTTAAGAAGCTAAGGCAGGAGGACTGCTTGAGGCCAGGAGTTTGAGACCAGCCTGGGCAAAAAAGGGAGACTCTGTGTCTACAATAAATTACAAAAAAAATAAATTCCCAAATAAAAGGCCTTCTTTCCTGGCAATAATTGTTGTCTCAGTGATTGGCTTTCTTTCTTTTTTTTTTTGAGATGAAGTCTCTCTCTGTTGCCCAGGCTGGAGAGGCTGAAGTGCAGTGGCACAATCTCTGCTCATGGCAGGCTCCACCTCCTGAATTCAAGCAATTCTCCTGTCTCAGCCTCCCAAGTAGCTGGGATTACAGGCACATGCCACCACGCCTGGCTAGTTTTTTGTGTTTTTAGTAGAGACAGGGTTTCACCATGTTAGCCAGGATAGTCTTGATCTCCTGACCTTGTGATCTGCCCGCCTCGGCCTCCCAAAGTGCTGGGATTACAGGTGTGAGCCACGTGCCCAGCCAAGATAGGTGTAGTTTTTATAATCCCTCACAGCTCAGGAGTCATGTGGCCAGAGCTCACAAGATCTGTGACCTTCCCAATTGGTCCTATAGATAACATCACTATTGTAGAAACTAAGATTGAGTCTTTTTGAGATTTTTTTCAGACTGACCCCACCTGTGGGGGTCTGACTCAGCTGATTCTGTGGCCCCCACCTAAAGGTGGACTCAGTGCACAAGGACCATTTCCATACTCCTATAATTTCATCCCCAACCAATCAGCAGCACCCATTCCATAGACCCCCCAGTCACCAAATTGTCCATAAAATTCCCCAGGTTTCTGAGCCTTTAGGGAGACTGATTTGAGTGAGAACTCCAGTTTCCCTGTGTGGGCTGGCCTTGAGTCAAACTCTTTCTCTACTGCAATGCCCCAGTCTCAGTAAATTAATTTTGTCTGCACAGTAGGCAGGAAGAACCCTGTAGTCAGGTGATTACAATGTATGCAGATGATAGGGGTGATCTGACCAAGATGGACTGAAGGCAGGTGATGATTCCTGGGAAACTATGCATTAGTATCCTCTCAATTTGGGTAGGGCTCAACTGGGTCTCCCCCAAGAGGGCTGGGAAAGGAATGGTAATGAGGAGAGTCAGAGCTGTGCCTGGAGAGCTTGCTCACTCAGGAATACACACATGAAATAAGCTGGTGATCAGCAGGACCGATCCTGGAGTCCTGCCAGATGGTACAGCCGGCCCACCCCAGCACCATCATTGCCCTAAAGGTCAGGCTTTGTCATAAGCTCTGAGGGGCCATAGCTAGTTAGACTATAGAATCAGGGCTTCTTGTGCAGGGGAGAAGTCAGGTACATGTGGAACTCCTTGCTCATGCAGACCAGTCAAGCCAGTGCTCCAGTCTCACTGGTGGGGTGGATTGTAGGTGTTCTCTTTCCCTTGCAGCCTCCATCTGCATATTCTTTCTGCCTCTTCTCCTTTCTACTTTATTGTTTGGACCATGTTTGAAATATATTTTAAAAATAAGTTCAATTTTTTTAAGGTAGAGACAGGATCTCACTATGTTGCCCAGGCTGGTCTTGAACTCCTGACCTCAAGTGATCCTCCTGCCTTGGCTTTCCAAAGTGCTGGAATTACAGGCATGAGCCACTATGCCTGGCCAATTCCCCCCTCCCCCCCTTTTTTTTTGAGATGGAGTTTCACTCTTGCTCAGGCTGGAGTGAGATGGCACTATCTCCACTCACTGCAACCTCTGCCTCCCAGGTTCAAGACATTCTCCTGCCTCAGCCTCCCCAGTAGCTGGGATTATAGGTGCCTGCCACCATGCCCAGCTAATTTTTGTATTTTCAGTAGAGACAGGGTTTCACCATGTTGGCCAGGCTGGTCTTGAACCCCTGACCTCAGGTGATCCACCCCCCTCGGCCTCCCAAAATGCTGGGGATTACAGGAGTGACCCACCGTGCCCTGCCCATTCCCATTTTTTATGCAGGTGATATTTGCATGTTTTAAAATGCAAAAGCTAGGAAAGATAGAGTGAAATATTTCATTCCCTTCCAAGATTGGTAAGTATTTAACAATTTTTTTTTTTTTTTTGAGACAGGGTCTCACTCTGTCACCCAGGCTAGAGTGCAGTGGCGCGATCTGGGCTCACTGCAGCCTCCGCCTCCAGGTTTCAAGCAATTCTCCCACCTCAGCCTCCCGAGTAGCTGGGATTACAGAAGTGCGCCACTATGCCTGGTTAATTTTTGCATTTTTGGTAGAGACGGGGTTTCACCATGTTGGCCAGGCTGGTCTCAAATTCCTGACCTCAGGTGATCCACCCGCCTCAGCCTCCCAAAGTGCTGGGATTGCAGGCATGAGCCACTGTGCCCGGCCTAACAACTTGTTCTTAAACAAAAAGTGACCTCTTTCTCCAGCAGGGTAGCCTTGGGCTTCTCTACCTGGAGGTTGAGCCCTGAGAGCAAAAGTGGAAGCTGCCAGATCTCCAAAGGCTTGAGCTTAGAAGTCCTAGAATGACACATCCACTGCATTCTCTGGGTGAAAGCAAGTCACAAGGTTAGTCCAGATTCAAGGGGTAAGAAGACAGACTCCACTTCTGGATGGCAGGAATAGTAACATCACACAACAGAAAGACGTGATTCATGGAGGCCACAACACACAAAATGGATGTTGCTAATTTCTAGTCCAAGACAAAACATACAGAGTACCTGACAATGGGAGTGAGAGGGCTTTGGGACAGTAAGTGAGATTTTCTGGGAGGTTGTCCTACTTGCTAGAAAGCATTTAGCTCTTCTAAGGGACTCCACTTCAGTAGACAGACTGTTTGGCCATACTTTTCTCCTTCCTGCCCCAAAGTCTTGGAATTAGAAGGAAACAATCCCCAAATCTTTTTTCTTTTTTTTTTTTGAGATAGGGTCTTGCTCTGTTGTCCAGGCTGGAGGGCGTGGTGCAATCACGGCTCACTGCAGCCTCGACCTCTTCAGGCTCAGGTGATCCTCCCATCTGAGCATCCCAAGTAGCTGGGACTACAGACACAAGCCACCATGCTTGGCTAATTTTTTTGTATTTTTTTGTGGCGGGGGGGTGGTTCACCATGTTACCCTGGCTGGTCATAAACTCCTGGGCTCAAGTGACCCTCCTGCCTCGTCCTCCCAAAGTGTTGGGATTGCAGGTATGAGCCACCTTGCCCAGCCCCCAAATCTTGATCTCAGTGATTCCCCTCCTGTACCTCTGATGAACTCATCTTCCCCCTCTGGGTTACCCTCTGCTTTTCATGGCTGAACAAGTTTCCCCTGGAATGGGCAGTCTATGGAGAGTAATATTTTGGTGACCGTAACACTTTTTCGTTATTCTGTCTCACCAACTTGCAGTGCAAGTGATGGCCTTCTCATGTGTCACCTTTTGCACATGTGCAATCCAGCACTATACATTTTTTTTTTTTTTTTGAGATAGGAGTCTTGCTCTGTCACCCAGGCTGGAGTGCAGTGGTGTGATCTTGGCTCACCGCAACCTCCAACTCCCAGGTTCAAGCAATTCTCCTGCCTCAGCCTCTCAAGTAGGTGAGATTACAGGCATGCGCCACCACACCTGGATAATTTTTGTATTTTTGGTAGAGACAGGGTTTCACCATATTGGCCAGGCTGGTCTCGAACTCCTGACCTTGTGATCTGCCCACCTCTGCCTCCCAAAGTGCTAGGATTACAGGCGTGAGCCACTGCACTCGGCCTCATCACTATAAATCTCTTTGAGTTGCACTCCTTTTCCATCTGGAAATCAAACATTAAATGCCAACTTTGCTTTCCACAATCAATTTATTTGGCTATTGCATTAGGCCACTCTTGCATTGCTATAAAGAAATAACTGGGACTGGGTAATTTAAAAAGAAAACAGGTTTAATTGGCTCACAGTTCGGCTGGCTTTACAGGGAACATGATGCAGGCATCTGCATGGCTTCTAGGGAGGCCTCAGGAAGCTTACAATTATGACAGAAGGTGAAGGGGGAACAGGCATGTCACACGGTGAAAGCAGGAGCAAGTAAGAGAGAGAGTGGGGAGGGGTAAGGTGCCACACACTTGTAAATGACCAGATCTTGAGAGAACGCACTCAATATCATGAAGATAGCACCAAGCCTTGAAGGATCTGCCCCCACCCCAGACCCATACACCTCCCACAAGGCCCCACCTCCAGTACTGGGGATTATAGTTCAACATGAGATTTGGGTGGGAACTTAGAAACCTAGAGGATTCTATGCTGTGTCTCCAGCACCTCAAGGGGCATTTACTGATTTCAAGGCATGTCCTTTGCCCAGCAGCCACCTGGACGTGAACAGCAACAGCTGGCCATCTCAGCTGAGTGTACCTCATGGATAGAGGAGGGAGGTGCAGAGAGAAATGTTCATCCAATATTGGTTGAGCAATGTCCTAGGGGCTAAGGATGTAGCACTGAACTAAATGATGTCCCTGTCCTCATGGAGTGACACCTAGTGGGGGGTGCAAACTATCAACATACATAAAACAGAAAAAAATAGAAAAGGTGGAGGAGCGATAGTAATAGTTTGAGGACTGAACTTCAAAAAGTCAGGAAAGGCCCTTTGTTTTTGTTTGTTTTTTTGAGACAGAGTCTCGCTCTGTCACCCAGGATAGAGTGCAGTGGCGTGATCTCAGCTCACTGCAACCTCTGCCTCCCGGGTTCAAGTGATTCTCCTACCTTAGCCTCCAGAGTAGCTGGGATTACAGGCATGTGCCACCATGCCCAGCTCATTTTTGCATTTTTAGTGGAGACAGGGTTTCACTACATTGGCCAGACTGGTCTCGAACTCCTTTGAGCTCAGGCAACCTGCCCGCCTTGGCCTCCCAGTGTTGAGATTACAGGCATGAGCCACCGCGCCCGGCTCTAGTGAATAGTTCTTAGACATGTCACTAAAAGCAAGATCCATAAGAGAAAAATGGATAGACTGCACTTCACCAAAATTAAAAACTTTTGCTCTGAGAAAGATCCTGTTAAGGGCATGAGAATACAAGCTATACACAGGGAGAAAATGTTTCCAAATGGCATATCTGACAAATAACTTGTATCTAAAATATATAAAGTACCCTCAAAACTCAATGGTGGAAAACCAAATAATTAGAGAATAAGCTAGGGCATGACAAGGCATTCCACAAAAGGATACACAGATTGCAAATGACCATGTGAAAATATGCTCATCATCACCAGCCACTAGGGAAATGCAAATTGAAACCATGATGAGGAATTACTATGTGCCTATCAAAATAACAAAAATAAAAAAATAATGGCAGTACCAATTGTGGGTAAGAATGCAGAGAAAATGGATCTCTCATACACTGGTGGTGGGAATGTAAAATGGTACAGCCATTCTAGAAAATAGTTTGGCCTTTCCTTACAAGCAAAATGTACATTTACCATATGATCAAGTAATTGCACTCTTGGGCATTCATCCCAGATAAAAAAAAACTTAGGTCTAGGCCAGACATGGTGGCTCATGCCTGTAATCCCAACACTTTGGGAGGCTGAAGCAGGTGGATCACTTGAGGTCAGGGGTTTGAAAACAGCCTAGCCAACATGGCAAAACCCCATCTCTACTAAAAATAAAAAAATTACCCGGGTGTGGTGGCACACACTTGTAATTCCAGGTACTCAGGAGGCTGAGGCAGGAGAATTGCTTGAATCCAGAAGCAGAGGTTGCAGTGAGCCAGATCACACTACTGCACTCCAGCCTGGGTGACAGAGTGAGCGACACTCCTTCCCAACAAAAACAAACAAAAAACTTGTGTCTATGTAAAAAACCTTTACATAGGGCTGGGCGTGGTGGCTCATGACTGTAATCCCAGGACTTTGGGAGACCAAGTGGGGAGGATTGCTTGAGCCCAAGATTTTGAGACCAGCCTGGGTAACATGGTGAGACCTGATCTATTAAATAAATAAATAAATAAATAAATAATTTTTTTTTATTTGAGACAGAGTCTTGCTCCTCACCCAGGCTGGAGTGGAGTGGCGCAATCTCTACTCACTGCAACCTCTGCTTCCTGGGTGCAAGCAATTCTCCTGCCTCAGCCTCCCAAGTAGCTGGGATTACAGGCGCCCACCACCATGCCTGGCTGATTTTTGTAATTTTAAATAAATAAATAAATAAATATAAATACAAACCTGTACATGAATGTTAATAGGAGCTTTATTTGTAATAGTCCAGAACTGGAAAAAACCCAAATATCCTTCAATAGGTGATGCTAAAATGAATCTGTATGTTTGTACCATGGAATATTACTCAGTAATAAAAAGGAACAAACTACTGATATCTACAACTTGTATGGCTCCACAGGTGGTTATGCTGAGTGAATAAATAAATAAAAAAGCTACATACTATGTGATACTATTCATATAACATTCTAGAATTGAAAAATTTTATATTTAATGATCAAAATGATGGTTGCCACAGGCTAGGGGTTTTGGGGGTAGGAAAGTAGTTCTGACTTCATAAAGGGGTAGCACAAGGGAGATCTTTGTGGTGCTGCAATAGTTGTGGGTCTTCATTTTGGCAGTGGTTACACAAATGTACAGACATACACAAAATGATGGAAATATACCTGTCTCCCCCACACAATGTACCAAGTCAATTTCTGGTTTTCATACTTTAATATAGATATTTGAAATGTAATCATTGGGGGAATGGGCTTAAGGGTACAAAGTACCTCTGTGTACTATCTTTGCAACTTCTTGTGAATTTATAATTATTTCTAAATAAAAAGTTTAAAAAATTTTTTAAAATCTGTTTTTATTCAAATAAGGTAGCACTTTTCAGAGAAAGGTTTAGAAAAGGTGAAATCCAACTTTCCTAGAAGCTCTGTGCTACCACTTAGCTGTATTTTAAAACTAAGCAAACTTTGGTTTTGTTCATGGATCACATAGCAGAAGATCAAGATAAGGCCAAGAAAAAGTATATAATCAACTTTGTAATGAGGTGAATTAACAATTTCCTTTTTATTGAAGCATTAGCTGATGTGATTTAAAGAGGGCTAGAAAATACACTATGGAAAGCTAACACAACAGCTCCCTTGTGAAATAAATTTTAAAATGCTCATGTTTTTTTCTTTTCGTAGGTGTGTGTACACATTTAGTTTTATTGTAACAAAGCAACTTGTACACTTTTAACATTTAAAACTGAGCATGATCTTTCCTTTCCAGTGAAACAAAATTTAAAAATAAACAGGAACAAAATTACAATAGAGAATGTCAATTCCAAATAAGATCCTAGAGGTTCTGCTGATTCTCCCACTGAGTGGCAGGGCTCAAGTCATCATTAGGAGAGAATTTATTTTAAAAGCGTCATCTTAAACTGCAAGGATGTGTGTCAAACATCGCAATTAAACATGCCAAAGGAGAAGCCATGTTGTCAAAATGTCCGCTTAACCCACCCAAACATCTCAGACCCACCCTTTGCTGACTTCTAGAATCCCATTTTTTAAAGTTTTTTTCTTTTTTTAAACAAGAGAAAGTAGACAGAAAGATGTTGGTAAATGCTAACTGTCCATATTCACATAGAGACCCAGTGTACTCTCCGAGCCCAATATACAGAGAAAGCAGGAAGAAAGCTAGAATTGAATGCTCTGCTACACATGGGCCTAGAGCCCTCCAGCTTCCAGCAGGGCGAAGGGAGCAGGTTTTTCTTTTTTCCCACAGAGCTGGGGTGATGTTGATTCTATACAGTTTTTGCTCAGACAGGAAGGGATAAAAATGAATTTCGAACAGAAAGGGGTAGAGACTCTTTTCCCATTGTATTCTGCTGAAGTTATTTCCCCCAAAATAAGTTGAGAACTATAGTGTAGAGAAAAGAAACCTCAAGAACAGGGCGACTGAGCACAAGAGAGAAAAAACAAAAAACAAAAAAACAAAAAAACTGCAACTTGCTCCCAGGGACTGGAGAAAATGTAAAAAAAGGAAGGTTGGAATCCATCAGTGTTTTTTTGCTGTTGTTGTTGCTGTTTTTTTTTTTTTTGAGATGGAGTCTCCCTCTCTCGCCCAGGCTGGAGTGCAGTGATGCGATCTCTGCTCACTGCAAGCAACCTCCGCCTCCCGGGTTCACGCCATTCTCCTGCCTCAGCCTCCATCCTCAGCGTGAGCCACCGCGCCCGGCCTCCATCAGTGTTCCATTAGTCATCTCCTTCATCCTCCTCTCCTTCCTCCCCTTCATCATGTTGGCTCATGTTTATTTATTAAAATTATTTTGGGCCGGGCGCAGTGGGTCACGCCTGTAATCCCAGCACTTGGGAGGCCGAGGCGGGTGGATCATCTGAGGTCAGCAGTTCGAGACCAGCCTGGCCAACAGGGTGAAACCCTGTCTCTACTAAAAATACAAAAATTAGCCAGGCGCGGTGGCGCACGCCTGTAATCCCAGCTACTGGGGAGGCTGAGGTGGGAGAATCGCTTGAATGCGGGTCGGGGGGTTGGGGGGTGGGGGGCGCGGGCGGGGGCGCGGAGGTTGCAGTGAGCCGAGATCGCGCCACTGCATTCCAGCCTGGGAGACAGAGCGAGACTCCAACTCCAAAAAAATATTTTTGGCTTTTCATTCACTTTGACTTAATATACTTAAAAATATACCCTCCAAAGAGGTATTCATTTTTGGGTGGGTTAAATGCTACCTATTCCAAAACAATTTTAAACTGGTTTATATTAGTTAAAAAAAAAATACTAAAAGGACAAAGTAGTCCCTGTAGACTAAGCTGCCGCTGTCCGAATAAGAAAGCTCAAGCGGCTCATAAAATTTAAAAAGTCTTCCTTTCATCATGCCTCCTGGAAGGTAGCTATCAAAATTTTAGGGTTTAGTATAAAGTCTAAGATGCTCAGAAACATTAAGACAATTGTCCTTACTGTGCCACCGAAAGGCTAAAGGGAGTAAGCTTTTAACAAAGGTTTAAGGGAGTAAGTCCCAGAGTCCAAACTGGATTTCACCGACTGACTGTTGAAGCTTTCGGGTCTCAGCTGTTGGCCCAACGAACCTTCCCAAGACCTTGAAGACCGGCAGCCTACCCGCCACCCTGAAAGGCGGAAGTGAGGAGAGAGGCAGGACTCCCCCCTCCCCAACCCTCGGAGATGAGAGGGCGACCGCGCGACGCTCTGGGCTGCTAGGTCTCGACTCGGTATCCGGAAGTCCTCCAGCGTTCGCCTGCAGGAAGCGGAAGTAAAAGGGCGGCCGGCAGCTGGGCAATTGCTTTGCGAGGCTGGGTGTTGAGTCGAGCCGCGGGAAAGGCGCGTGTCGGCCTCTCACTGGCGCAGCCTGCACTGCCGCTGCCGCCTCGCCCCGCCCTGCCCTGGCGTTGTCTCTGGCACTGTGGCGGACTGACCACGGCCCGGGCATGGGCTGCAAGGGAGACGCGAGCGGTGCGTGTGCCGCGGGTGCGCTGCCGGTGACAGGTACCCAGGGGTGGCGTGAGGAGGCCTCGTGGACAAAGAGAGGGTTTGGGGCACAAGGCGACCCTGTGCCCCTGTCACATTGAGCTTCCGCCTCTACCGTGACTCAGTTTACCCTCTGGTGTCCTATCCCTTCCCCTATTCGCGAGCGCCCCGAGTTGCCCTCAGTGGTCTTCTTGGCAAGGTATCGCTTCCGCGGGGGTGGCGGCGGGCTCTGTTCAGCGGTCTTGAACCTTCTTTGAAGAGCTTTAGATCCTTGTGCCAAGTGCAGAAGGAAATGGGGGAGGTATCCTACCATGGATTTAGACCAAGCTTGATCCTCAGTGAGTTGAGAAGCAGCACTTTGCAGGACCCTGATTGCAGAACGACGTGCTTTTTAAAATAGATTTCAATTTTTCCTAAAATGAATTCGGGTTGATGCGTATTGGTTACTGTTTTCTTTTAACACTGTGATCTGTTGGCTGGAAATTGGATGATATGGTTTCACTTTTAGCGTGGGACCTGCCAGAATGAGATCTGCGTCCGTCGCCAATAACTTATAGATGTGAACTGTTTTTGTTCCTTGGCCAGAATCTGCAGTTGTTTTGCATTTCTTGCCAGATTTGAGAAGGAGCAATTTTGTTCGTTTGAAGTCCTGGGGTCTTTTGCCTTATTGTGCTACACTAACTGTTTTGGAAACATTCATTGATGTACTTGCCAGCCAATTTTAGTGTAAAGTGCCCTCTTTCCTTCAAGAATCTTACACTTGCAGGCGTTTGAAGACATTTTAAATAGCTATTTAACAGCACCACAAAACTTGGAATAATTGTAGCCTTTTCACTTTGCTTTTTTTTTTTTTAAGCCAGTCGAATTTAGCAACACTTGACTTGCTTTTGATAAACTTAGCTGAAGCTTATTTTAAAAAAATTCTTATTTATTTATTTATTTATTTATTTTGTAGAGATGAGGTCTTGTTACCTACCAGTCTGATCTTGAACTCCTGGCCACATGAAACTTATTAAAGGAAGTGACCATAATACTTTGTACAGTAGCATAGCACATTTATAATGCACATTGAACTTCAGGGGAATATATGAAAGTAAGAAGAAAATTTGCTTAGAACTTTCCTGCAGCTGTCTGTGAGCATTTTCTTTTTTTATCTAAGTTTCCCTGTAACAATACAAGATGATGTGATAATTTTCTTTCTTTCTTTCTTTTTTTTTTTTTTTTTGAGATGGAGTTTCACTCTTGTTACCCAGGCTGGAGTGCAATGGTGCAAGAGATAGTGTTTTAATTTATTTTTTTATTTTTTGTTGGTGAGGCAGAGTCTTGCTCTGTTGCCCAGGTTAGAGAATAGTGACATGATCTTGCTAGCTGCAGCCTCCACCTCCTGGGCTCAGGTGGTCCTCCTACCTCAGCCTCCTACGGATGGTTGTTGATAGTTGGGCCTAGAACTTGTTAAAGAGTGTTTTCTGTTTATTCATCATGCCGCAAGTATAATGCTTATCATGCAAAGCCACATGGCACATTCTGTTGGCCATTATCTCAGACTGTTTGTCTTTATAAGCAACATTTAAGAACCCCTAGGGTCAGAATGATAAGGGATCCTATAAAATGAAGACATACTCAAAGCAGAGACCACTTCAGTGAGATTCTTACGTCTGCTTCTCTGGACAGTCTTTTCCTCTGGTTTTACCTGTAGAGTTAAGAATGTGGGGTCAGAGTGGCAAAGCTCTTTTTTAATGTATAGCTTTCCTCCTTTTTTCATCTCAAATGGTGCTGCATCTCTCCCCAAGAACACGTACTCTCTCTCCTTTTTGAAAACAGTGTAGGGGGATCTCGAGGCAGGCCACAGGTTCATAGGATTTTCATTTTACCTATCTTGCAGTCCTAGGCATTTTATAGCATCTTCACTCTTGGTGCCACACTCCTTTCCTGTTGTTTCCATTCATGCCTTAATGAATGAGGCCTGTGTTTATTTCATTTTGAGAGCCTTCTATGTTTCAGGCATAATGCTAGGCGTGGAGACCATGATAGACAAAACACCCTGCTCTTGAGGAGCTCCCATCGGTCCCCAAAGCCAGCGTAAGTGTGGATCTGTCAGATTGGTTGGTTGGATTGCTTCGGTCCCAGCTTCAGGCCTCCTCCCTTGGTTTCAGGTTAAAACTATTCCTTTCTCAGCCACCTGTCTCCCAAGAACTGTGGCCACTGAAAATCCTTGGACTTGCCTTGGTTCTCACAAGCACTTTTCTCAGTCTGAGTCTGCACAGAGTATGGCTTTTTACCCTTTTGTAAAGCCAGAGAACCAGAGAAGAGAGCACGGTATTGTAGAACTTTAAAAGCAGGAAGGTGTGGGTTCTAAGCACTGCTATTTATTAGTTAGGCAAGGTACTCAGCATCTTCGAGCTTTCACTTATTTTTAAAGTGGAGATGCATGCAGCATATTCATGGACTGTCTTCTGAGTGCCAGGCATCATGCTGTGCACTTTGGTAAACGAAGTAGACATGGTTGCTCCCCTCAGAGAACGTTAGTGCCCTGGGTTGTTGTATGTAAGGATTAGATAACACTGTGTATGTAAAGCACCTAATACAATGTTTAGCTCAGAGTCATTGCTTGTTAAATGCTGGGGTTTCCTCAGGGGACTTTGTCATACCCCCAATTTCCTCCCCACTCTACATGCCATCCACCTGGGGTTACAGTGCAGTGGCGTCCAATTCGTCATCAGGAATCACCACTTTCTGGGGTGTACACATCTAGACCCCTTCAGGACAAATTGTAAACATAGCTAATAGCGTAATACTGCTAGACAGTTCATATGATGCGCTGTCTCCAGTTTATAAACTCATTGACTCAGGCCAGATTAAAAAAAAAAGAAAAACTCTGTAACTTTTGGGGAGAATTTTTTCTCTCAGCCACAGAGGATATATTTCCAATGTGTATTTTTGAGGCTATTTAATAACGATGATGTACTATTCTGTAATTTAGAAGATAGTTTTTTCTTACGATAAAATGTTTTACTACAACAATCAATTCTGGTATAGTACTTGGCACTTTACAAAGTGATTTTTTTATTGCCTCTTCATTTTCACATTGACCCTGTGAGGCAGATACTATTATTCCTACTTTGATAGTCTTCGAGACTAAGGGCCTGGGAAGTTAGGTAACATATATGTGGTTAAACTGCTAGTACGTAGCAAACTCAGGAATTGATCACAGCTGCCCTGATGCTAAAAGGTTCCCTTTTTTTACAAACCGTGTCTATTGTGTCCTGTAGAGCAGGTTTCTGAGGCTGCAGTCTGTGGGCCTGTGGGAAAGGGTGTCTATGGTTAGTCCTAAGAGAATGCTTTTTTTTTTTTTTTTTTTTTTTTTTTTTTGAGACGGAGTCTCTCTCTGTCGCCCAGGCTGGAGTGCAGTGGTGCGATCTCGACTTACTGAAACCTCCACCTCCCGGGTTCAAGCGATTCTCCTGCCTCAGCCTCCTGAGTAGCTGGGATTACAGGCACCTGCCACTATGCCTGGCTAATTTTTGTATTTTTAGTAGAGACGGGGTTTCACCACATTGGACAGACTGGTCTTGAACTCCTGACCTCAGGTGATCCACCCACCTCAGCCTCCTAAAGTGCTGGGATTACAGGCGTGAGCCACTGCGCTGGGCCAGTCCCAAGAGAATTCTTAAGTTGTACATAAAATTTGGGTCCTTGTTTGCTCCTCTGTGGGAAATGTCAGTAACTTTACTAGATTCCAGAAAAGGCCTATATCCTCTTCACTCAACCAGCCAGGAATCACTGCTATCAGGTTTCATTGTGTAAAATCTAGTTTGGTTATCTCTAATTTCAGTAGGTTTCATTTTTGTGTGTGTATTCTTTCATTTCTGCAGCCTCTATAGCAGTTTTTACAAACGTTGATTTTGAAAAACACTTCTGAGTGTTTTTATTTATAAGTGGGATGTTCTTCTTCTTCTCCTTCCTCTTCTTCTTCCTCTTCCCCTTCCCCTTCCCCTTCTCCTTCCCCTTCCCCTTTACCTTCCCCTTCCCCTCCTCCTTCTCTTCCTCCTTCTTTCTTCTTTCTTTCCTCTTCCTCCTCCTCCTCTTCCTCCTCCTCCTCCCCCACTCTCCTCCTGTCCTGCTCTCCTCCTGTCCCGTAACTCCTCCTGTCCCGCTCTGTTGCCCAGATGCAGCATGGACCTCCTAGGCCCAAGCTATCTTCCCACCTTAGCCTCCCAAGTAGCTGGGACCATAGGTGCATGCCACCATGCCTGGCTGATTTATTAATTTTTTTTGGTTTCCAAAGAAGCTGGCAGTGCCTGAACTTAAAATGCTTCTGAAAGCCACTTTTCTATTTGTTATAATTTATTTTGCTTTTGACCATCGTTCTTCAGAGATACTGTATGTTCTATGAAGCAGGATGTTAACACAAATGATGCTTTTTATAAAAAGCAGCTATTGACTAGTCCCCAATGTGGACAGCCTCCCTCAGTGATAGATTTTGTAACCAATATTAAAGAACTGGGATGAGACCGAAGTGAGCCTTACCAGAGCTAACATTCTGAAGCCCAAGGATAGCTTAGTGCTTCCCACATATTCACACCCCCTTTTAGTTCTCATTCAAATGGGTAGAGCTCAGGGGAGGTCCGATTAGGGTTCTGTTAGGTGGACTTTGGAGATGAAAATCAGAGAAATCTGCAGCTGGAGACCTTTTTCTGAAACTGTCTGGATGCTGTCTGAGAGGATCTTGACAGGCTTGGAGCGGCTGCGGAGGGTGTCAAGAGGCCTGCATTCTGTGGCCATCCACTTTGCCAGTGACCCTAGATCCCTCATTTTGTAGATGGGACAGTTGGCTTGGGAAGCCACTAAAATTTTACATTTCTTTATTTCAGAACCTGTCTGAGTTTACATTTGGGACCCATTATGTTAGTTTCCTAGGGCTACCACAACAAAGTATCACAAACTGGGTGGCTTAGAACAATAGATATTTACTGTCTCACAGTGCTAGAAATCCTTACTCAGGGTTTCACAGGACCACGTTCCCGCTGAAATCTTTGGAGGAAGAATCTTTCTTTGACTCTTCAGCTTCTGGTAGTTTCAGGCATTCCTTAGCTTACAGTATAATTTTAGTGTGTGCCTCTGTCTTCACCTGGTGGTCTCCTGTGTCTCTACATAGTTTTCCCTCTGTGCTGTCTTTCTCTGTCCAGATTTCTCCTCTTTATAACATCAGTCATTGGGTTAGTGCCCACCTAATAACCTTGTTTTAACTGATGACCTCTGTAAAGACTGTATTTACAAATAAGTTGACATTACGAGGTACCGGGGGATAGGATTTCCATATCTTTTTTGGGGGACACAGTTCAACCCTTAATACCTATCATTTATATTTTCATCTATCTCAGCTTTATTTGCTTTCATCCTTTATAAAATATGGTTGTGTGCAACCTGGTGTGCCACCAACTGATTTTTATACCCCTGTATGGTGTAGATTGCTTGGGAAATGAAGCAGAGCCTTTGTAGGAAAGAATGTAATAACCTAAGTGCCTTCAGTTACATATCAGTCACTCAGCAAATATCTGTTGGACTAGCTAGATATTAAGTGCTATTATATGTCAGAAGCATTTCTGTTTCGCTAACTTATGTTATTTTGTGTCTCCAAGTATTATTAGGATTGTTATTTTGTGTCTCCAAGTATGAGGTTAAAATTACCTTGTAGCAGGCCAGGCATGGTGGCTCATGCCTGTAATCCCAACACTTTGGGAGGCTGAGGCGGGCAGATCACGAGGTCAGGAGTTTGAGACCAGCCTGGCCAACATTGTGAAACCCTGTCTCTACTAAAGATACACAAAATTAGCAGGGTGTGGTGGTGCGTGCCTGTAATCCCAGCTACTGGGGAGGCTGAGGCAGGAGAATCGCTTGAACCTGGGAGGCAGAGGTTGCATGAGCCGAGATTGCACCACTGCACTCCAGCCTGGGCGACAGGGCGAGACTGCGTCTCAAAAAAAAAAAAAATTTCCTTGTAGCAAAACTTCTTTTCTTTTTTTCCTTTTAGGAGTTTGCTATAAAATGGGAGTTCTGGTTGTACTCACTGTTCTGTGGCTGTTCTCCTCAGTAAAGGCCGACTCAAAAGCCATTACAACCTCTCTTACAACAAAATGGTTTTCCACTCCATTGTTGTTAGAAGCCAGGTAAGAGAACATTTTTTTTCCCTTCGTGTATTTGAGTATAAATATAGGCTCTGACAGTGAACATTCAGGAGCTTTTTAAGGAGTGAGATTATCATCAAATGCATTTATGAAGAGCCTCTTTCAGTGTATACTGTAGGATGTATTGTACAAAGGCTGTTAGGACATAGCATCATTCAGTAGGACAAGGGCTATGTGGGTTTATAGAGCTATGTAGGAACTTTGGACAAATAACTGTGTTGGATAAGTTAGTATGTTACTTTCCAAAAAGCATAACAAGGAAAGAGAGGGTTATGTTTATTTATTTATTTATTTTTGGAGACAGGGTCTCGCTCTGTTGCCCAGGCTGGAGTGCAGTGGTGAGATCTTGGCTCACTGTGACCTCCGCCTCCTGGGTTCAAGGGATTCTCATGCCTCTGCCTCCTGAGTAGCTGGGATCACGGAAGTGCCCCACCACACCCTGCTAATCTTTGTATTTTTAGTAGAGAAGGGGTTTCGCCATGTTGGCCAGGCTGGTCTCAAACTCCTTAGCCTCATGTGATCTGCCTACCTTGGCCTCCCAAAGTGCTGGGATTACAGATGTGAGCCACTGTGCCTGGCCAGTTGTATTCAAATTTTCTCCTTATTTGAAGGAAGTTTTAAGAGGTGATTGATAAAAGGAAGAGAAGAGGGCTTAGCAACGTGGGGGAAAGAGGACATTTTTCCCTTAAGAACGTGGAAGAAGGCTGGGCACGGTGGCTCACGCCTATAATCCCAACACTTTGGGTGGACAAGGTGGGTGGATCACCTGAGGTCAGGAGTTCGAGACCAGCCTGGCAACAATTAGCTGAGCGTGCTGGCATGTGCCTGAGCATCAGATTAGGAGATTATGCCCATGCAGCTCAATCTTTCTTTTTAAATGATAAAACGGTGGCTAGGTACGGTGGCTCATGCCTGTAAATCCCAGCTCTTTGGGAGGCTGAGGTGGGTGGATTGCTTGAGTCCAGGAATTTGAGACCAGCCTGGGCAACATGGGGAAACCCCGTCTCTCCAGAAAAAAATAGCTGAGTGTGGTGGTTCGTGCCTATAGTCCCAGCTACTTGGGAGGCTGACCGGGAGGATCACTTGAGCCCAGGAGGCGGAGGTTGCAGTGAGCCCAGATCACGCCATTGCAGTCCAGCCTGGGCAGCAGAGCAAGACTCCGTCTCAAAAAAAAAAAAAAAGGGAAAGAAGTTATCTTACGATTAAAATGGGTAGAATTTTTCATAAAACAATAGTTGTCTTAAAATTAGTGAAACATAGTAATTTCATGAGAAATTTTGTATTCCAAGTGTGCTTTTTAGCTAGTGTTTGTAAATAAATATAATGAGATACCTGTCTGTATAGGTAGGGCTTAAATGCTTATGGATGGAAGGTTATTTGATTGTATCTCAAGTGATGTAGAGGTGGAACTAGCAGAGACTTTCCAAAGGATAAATGTGGGTAGATTGAGCAGCAAGCACTTGGTAAGTCTTAGTGTTTGAACGTGCTAGAAATTTGGACTGTCACATCACTCCAATCAGCCTTGTGGTCTGTCTTCTTCATCTTCAATTTATATATATATATTTTTTTGAGAGTTTTTGAGACAAGGCCTGTCTCTGTTGTTCAGGCTAGAGTGTAGTGGTGTGATCTCAGCTCCCTGTAACCTCTGCCTCCTGGACTCAAGCCATCCTCCCACCTAGGCCTCCCTAGTAGCTGGGACTACAGGTGTGAGCCACTACCCCTGGCTTATTTTTGTATGTTTTATAGAGATGGGCTTTCACCATCTTGGCCAGGCTGGTCTGGAACTCCTGAGCTCAAGTGATCTACCTGCCTTGGCCTCCCAAAGTGGTGGAATTACAGGTGTGAGCCACCATGCCTGGCCTCTAGAATTTTGTATTCTAACATTTTCCCCTTAATTCCTAGAAAAATGTGGATGAAGAATTTTGCCATGTTGATTGTGTGAACGAATGGTTGCACCTCTTAAGGAAAAAGCCTCATTTGATACTGCTAAAAGGACCAGTGGGAGGGGGCATGTGGCAGCCGGTCTTGGCTAGCTCAGGAGCCTAGCAGACTTTCTGCTAAATAGACTTCCTTCCATCGCCTCTCTCTGCCTTTCTTTCTCAGCATAGAAGTGGCAAAACAAAGACAAAACCATTGTATGTATTTCATGGTGATAACTAACTTGATAAATGGGTCAAGCTTGTCAAATGTCAGAACTTTATTTGATACAGCATAGTTGTAAAAGTGAAGTGGCTCTTTTTTAAGAGTTCTTATTATGGGGGAAAAAAGCCCAACAAAGCAAATAACAAACAAAAAAGCAGTGACTGAAGATATTTTGAGACTGCCTGAGCTGGACTGCCTGAGCTGGACTCTAAAAACTAAAGTTTTTCTTTTCCTTTTTGCTAATCTTATTTTGGATGATTTGTTTGGTATAAAATCTGTCATTGAGATTTACAACCCCCCCCCCCACCCTACTTATTTTTTTTGAGACAGAGTTTCATTTTGTCACCCAGACTGGAGTTCAGTGGCGCCATCTTGGCTCACTGCAACCTCTGCCTCCCAGGTTCAAGCCCATTCTCATTCTCCTGCCTTAGCCTCCCAAGTAGCTGGGATTACCGGCGTGTGCCAGCATGCCTGGCTAATTTTTATATTTTCAGTAGAGATGGGGTTTTACCATGTTGGCCGCCAGGCTGGTCTGAACTCCTGACCTCAGGTGATCTGCCCTCCTTGGCCTCCCAAAGTGCTGGGATTACAGGCGTGAGCCACCGGGCCTGGCCAAGATTTACTATCACTTTCTGAATCATTTTGTACAATTAACTGTAACAGGTGTTTTTGTGATATTCTGTTTAACATTCTTTTTTTGAGATGGAGTTTCGCTCTTGTTGCCCAGGCTGGAGTGCAATGGCGTGATCTCGGCTCACCGCAACCTCTGCCTCCCAGGTTCAAGCGATTCTCTTGCCTCAGCCTCCTGAGTAGCTGGGATTACAGGCATGCACCACCAAGTCCGGCTAATTTTGTATTTTTTTTTTTTTTTTTTTTTAGTAGCGATGGAGTTTCTCTATGTTGGTCAGGCTGGTCTGGAACTCCCCACCTCAGGTGATCCACCCATCTCGGCCTCCCAAAGTGCTGGGATTACAGGTGTGAGCCACCGCGCCAGGCCTCTGTTTAACATTCTTACCCTGAATTACATTTTGTTACTTTCACTTTTATTTACACTAATTTCTTGATAGTTGTACATTCTTGATCATTGTCCTAGAAGATTCTTACAGCATAAAACTATGGACTTTTGAGAAAGAATGCTAAAATTGCCAGCCCTAATTGCTCAATATTTTCAGTTTCTTTGATCACTGTGAAGTGGACAGGGTATACTGTTTTCTTCACCAACTTCCTTATCACAGACATCTCCCCCTTTCATGATATCCCTGGTCATTTGCCATTTTGTTTTATTTTTATTAATTTTTTTCCTTGGCATGTGAAGTAAGAGCTACATTTGCCCTTTTGGTTTACTATTTTTAGGCCCCTTCTCCTGTGGCTATTTGTATACAGTTTCCCAAGGTAATACGACATGTAGGCAACTCATAGAAATGAGCTATGCTTATTAGAATCCACTTAGTATTCACCTCCAGAGCTAGCAGAGCCCACCATTCTTCCTTCTTATGTCTGTGGGAGACCCTGATGTTGGATCAAGGTACTATGTCCATCTGGTTAAGGATGAAGGGTCAAAATATTTTACTACACTTTATGGCATGCCACCACCACAGATCTTTTGCCTTCCTTGCATCTATCCCTTAGGGACTAAAAATATTCCTGTTGTGTATTTTTAGATTGGACCTGATGTTTGTGAAGGAGTTGTAGCTTTGTGATTGTCTATGAAGTGATATTTATCTTTAATTGAAGTAAAACACTAAATATGTTTTCTGCAGCTGTAGCTACAGAAATATTATATAAGGAGGTATTATTAAAATCAAAACCAATAATCATTTACTGAGTGCTAAATTTTGTAATGACCCAAGAATGTAGCATGTTAGAGGTATAAATTAAATAGACATGAATTTATATTCCAGCTTTTCCATTGACTAACTCTATGTCCCTAAGAAAGTCAGTAGCATCTCTGAATGGCAGCTTCTTTATTTGAAAAACGGTTATATCTGAGGGTGGCTGTGTGGGTTTGCGGACACGAGTAAATATGCCAAGCTTAGTGACTGTAACATCGTAGAGCCTCCTTAAATATTAGTTTCTTCCCTCCTAGTTCCACATAGAAGGAAGACCAATGCTGATCTCCCGCAATAGCTTTGGAAATCTAAGAAAACAAGTTGTCACCTGATTTGTACTATCTTGTGGGCATTCATTCTGGTTGTTTGTAGTTTTTTTTGTGTTGTAGATTAAAAACTTGTCCTGGATTATGGCATTTCAAAACATTTATATATGGAGAGAATGGTATAATGTACTCTCTCTGTACCCATCATCCTGTTTTAACAATTATCAATTTAAGTACAATAACCACCATCACCACCCCCTTCTCTCCTCCCGCACTAGAATATTTTAAAGCAAATCCCAGACATCATATAGTTTGTAAAATCATAATTTTTTTTTTTTTTGGGATGGAGTTTCACTCTTGTTGCCCAGGCTGGAGTGCAATGGCACGATCTTGGCTCACTGCAACCTCCACCTCCTGGGTTCAAGCGATTCTCCTGCCTCAGCCTCCTGAGTAGCTGAGACTACAGGCGCCCGCCACCACCCTCGACTAATTTTTTGTATTTTTAGTAGAGATGGGGTTTCACCATGTTGGCCAGGCTGGTCTGGAACTCCTGACCTCAGGTGGTCCACCCACCTCAGCCTCCCAAAGTGCTGGGATTACAGGCGTGAGCCACGGCGCCTGGCCTGTAAAATCATAATTTATGCTCAGTGGAATAAGTATTATATAAGAAGCTAAAAAAACAAAAAGCAACAAAAATATGCTGTAAAAAAAGGCAGCATTTCTTTAATAATATCTTGTATTGTTATTCTCTCCTCTGGGTTGTTTCAGTGGATCTAGTAAGTAATATTAGGACTGTTCCAAGTTTAGACCTTGTAAGACCTTATGTATGCAGTGGGGTGAAAAGAATGTATGTTTCAAGAAGTTTCCCTGTAATTGTATGAAAAGCATGTATTTATTCGTGTGTGGCCTTTACTGGGAGAGTCTTAGTCTGATTGAATCTTAGTTCTCACCACACTGGTGAGTGTGTCACCTTGCCCCTCTCTGCTTATCTTGTGAATGTGCCTTTAATTAATTAATTTAGTGTTTATTTGCACATCCTGATGTATCTGTCTTAGGACTTGTTTTCTTAGACTATAAGCTATGCCAAGCTTGGTGTGGTGTCTATGTCAGTTACTAGAAAGCCTAGAAAAATACTACTTTCAAGGAGGCATTGAGAAATTTAATATATTATGATAATGGGTATTTTCAGAAACCTATTTTTAGAGAAGCTGTGCATTACCAGGAAATGTTTCTTATTTTTCCCATATTTCTGTGTCTAGCTGTGGAGTAGAGTGAGATTGTACACCCCAGTGTTCACAAGTAATGGGAAAGTCTTCCTTTGGCTAGGTAAGCTGAGATCCAGATCTGTAGTTTGCTTTAAGACAGTGAAAGATCACCACTGCATTAGTATTATGGCTCAGAGGAGAAGATAAGCAATTGACATGAATCATTCAATTACTACGTGCATTTCCTCGTAGGGGTTTTAGACTCTTGAATGAAGGGAAATTTAGACTGGCCATTATTTTAGTAGGATAAAGTCGAAAAAAATTAAGATGGCATTAAGTTCTTGGATCTGATTTTGTTAGATCAGTGCTAATTTTAAACTAAGTTTGGTGATCTTGAAAATTTGGATTTAAGAGTGTTAAAAGATTACAACATGCTGCCTTTATTCTCAGAAATTTTTCTACGGTTCATATTTTACTGTGGGAGAACTTTAGGCAAAACATATTTTTTGTTCTTTGTAAGGCCTTTCAGAAAATAAGTAAGCAGAACTAGTACTAGAATCATCAGTTCCTAATTCTTCTTCCACTACTCATAGTATTTTTGTCAATGGGGTTTCATAAGCTTTCTTTATATTGAGACTTCCCTTTTATGTTTTTATTATTCCAGGTTTCTTAAGAAATAGCTATTAAGTGAAAAAATTCATAGGCTAAGTTATTAATAACTAATAAGATAGGACTTGATTATCATTAAAAATATATATATTATACATAAAAGAGTATTATATATTATAGATTAAAAGTCAAACTATGGACATTTGGAAACTTCAAAACTTATTTTTACTCTCTTTAGTAATATAGTTTATATTAGAAAATTTTATTAAGTTGTTTTATTTCTGATCTTTTCTCCCAGTGAGTTTTTAGCAGAAGACAGTCAAGAGAAATTTTGGAATTTTGTAGAAGCCAGTCAAAATATTGGATCATCAGATCATGACGGTAAAATTGAAGCAAATGCTTCTTTGACTTTGGTGTCTGGGAAAATATTAGGAAAAAATTGTCTCTTTATAGTATGTGTGGCATGGCAGTTAATGGAAAACATTGTTGTCTTTAATGACTGGAGTTATGATGGTGGTCAGGAAGAGCCAACACAACACAAATTATTATTTTTGAAGCAATGTATACCTTTGGCTATAAGTGGTACCTTTGTTTTTTTCCCCTCTTGTTTTTGTTCTATCGTGATCCTTTATTAAAGTGCTATGTGAATATTTTGTGGAAGTACATTTCATTTTAAATCATTCAGTATTAATAACCATCTAATCTGATTCACTATTTTTGTTATGAACTACACAACTGAGCTATTATCTGTTAAGTTCATTATCATTAAGTTAGTATCATCCAGAGTGTTTTCCATTATGCCTGCCAGCCACCCACAACTTGAGTGTTAAGGTATCAAATGAATGATTATCCTGTAAAACCTCATTTGCAGTTTTTATGATGTGCTTTCACATTTTTTAAACTTCGTATAAGCTATATAGGGTGTAAACATTAATAGTTGGAGATGCTGATATGTGAGTAGTTAAAACCTTGAATATTAATTTACATTGACAGATATAGGTTATTATTATTTTTTTTTAATTTTTATTTTTTGAGATGAAGTCTTGCTTTGTTTCCAGGCTGGAGTGCAGTGGTACGATCTGGGCTCACTGCAACCTCCATCTCCCAGGTTCAATCATTTCTCCTGACTCAGCCTTGCAAGTAGCTGGGATTACAGGCATTCGCCACTACGCCTGGCTAATTTTTGTATTTTTAGTAGAGATGGGGTTTCCCCATGTTGGCCAGGCTGGTCTCGAACTTTTGACCTCAAGTGATCCACCCGCCTCAGCCTCCCAAAGTGCTGGGATTACAGGCATGAGCCACTGTGCCTGGCCAGATATAAGTTCTTACAGAAGAGGAAATGTTTCAAAATTGTGTGACTGCTGCTGATGTTAATGGGTTGTTTTTTTTTTCTTCTTTTAAAATTATTTAATTATTATTTTTTTAATACAACGGAGATGAGGTCTCACTGTGTTGCCCAGGCTGGTCTCAAACTTCTGGGCTCAAGTGATCCTCCCACCTCGGCCTCCTAAAGTTCTGGGATTACAGGCATGAACCACTGCACCTGGCCTGTATTGATTTTTTTAACTTTTTAATTTTTATTAAAATAATTCATATTTTAAAAATTGTCTGAATCTTTTTGTTTTATTTTTATTTTATTTCACTTTTTTCACTCTGTGATCTAGCCAAAGATTTATTTTATTTATTATTATTTTTTATTTGGGCTAATTAAAAAAATTTTTTTTTGTGGAGACAGGGTCTCGCTGTGTTGCCCAGGCTGGTCTCAGACTCCTAGGGCTCAAGCGATCCTCCTGCCTTGGCATTCCAAAGTGCTGGGATTACAGGCGTGAGTGACTGCACCCAGCTAGATTTTACTTTATTTTATTTTATTTTATTTTATTTTATTTTATTTATTTTTTCGAGACAGAGTCTTACTCTGTTGCCCAGGCTGGAGTGCAGTGGCGCGATCTCGACTCACTGCAATCTCTGCCACTTGAGCTCAAGCTGTTCTCCTGCCTCAGCCTCCCGAGTAGCTGGGATTACAGGTGCCCACCATCGCGCCCAGCTAATTTTTGTAGTTTTAGCAGAGACGGGGTTTCGCCATGCTGGCCACGCTGGTCTCAAACTCCTGACCTCAGGCAATCCACCCACCTCAGCCTCCCAAAGTGCTAGGATTATGGGTGTGAGTCACCAAGCCCGGCCTAGTTTTGATTTTAGAAACAGAGTCTGGCTCTGGAGGCTGGAGTGCAGTGGTGTAGTTCACTATAATCTTGAACTCCTGCTCAAGCAGTGTTCCTGCTTCATCTTCCTCAGTAGCTGGTATTATAGGTGTGTACAACCAGGCCTGGCTAATTTTTAAATTTTGTAAAGATGGGTCTAGCTGTGTTGCACATGCTGGTCTCAAACTCCTGGCCTCAAGACATCCCTGCCCTGCCTCTCGCCTTGGCCTCCTAAAGTGATGGGATTACAGGCGTGGGCCACCATGCCCAGCCTGAATCTTTTTTTTTTTTTTTTTTTGGAGATATAGATATGTAAATATTTTAAACAAGCATCTGTAGGTTTTACTAATTTAGAGGCAACTAGAATTAAGTTATCAAAAAATACTTTATTTTTAAGATTTTATAGAACAAATTTATCAAAGTGGGTTTATAATCAAATTTGAACTTTGACATTTAAAATAACATTTTTTCAGTAAAAATGATAATATTAATTAAAGCTATAGGAGTATGAATTCTATGAACAACATAAAAGCATGTTAAACATTTTATTTGTTTGAAATATTATTTATATTCCTGCCACCCAAAGATTGACACCATTAACATTCTGGCATCATTTTGAGATATTTCTTATCTAGTTTTACGTAGAGGATGCTGTTGCAGTATAAAACCTTTTATATTCTGGCTCATAAAATGTTAATATTTATATTTTGTTTTTTACATGGAACATTTTATTTTCATTATTTACTTATTTATTTTTTGAGACAGTCTCCTCTTGCTCAGGCTGGAGTGCAGTGGCGTAATCTCGCTGCAACCTCTGCCTCCCGGATTCAAGTGATTTTCCTGCCTCAGCTGGGATTACAGGTGCATGCCACCTCCCGTGGCTAATTTTTATATTTTTAATAGAGATGGGGTTTCACCATGTTGGCCAGGCTGGTCTTGAACTCCTGACCTCGGGTGATCCACCCACCTGCCCCTTCCAAAGTGCTGGGATTACAGGCATGAGCCACCGTGCCCTGCCTATTTCTATTTTTTTTAAAAAGAGACGCACTATGTTACCAAGGCTGATCTCTTGAGCTCCTGGGCTCAAGCAATCCTCCTGCCTCGGCCTCCTAAAGTTTTGGGATTACAAGCAAGAGCCACTGTGCTTGTCCTTTAAAATGGAAAATTTAAGTTTTTTGCATGGATATATGTGATTCCGAAGTCAAAGCTGTATAAAAGGTTATACACAGAGAAATCTTGTTTCTTCCTTGACCCTGTTCCTTCTGTTTCTTTCCTGCTTTTTATAACATTTTAAATTAATTTGTTTAGCCTTAAGTGTTTTTTACAGCAAATATATACATATGTATTCTTATTTCTCATTCTTTCTACTGGTTTAAAAAAAAAGTTACTATGTACATTGTTTTGTGCCTTTGCTTTTCATTTATCCTGGGGATTTTTTCACATTCGTATTTGGATTTTTTTTTCTTTAAAATAATTTGGTCCAACTTTTTGTTTAAATGCTTCTTTTCAAACTTTACAATTTCATTAGTATTCTTTAATACTGTGTAACTTCCTCATGACACTGCTCAGTTTTGTTTAGTTTTTGGAGTAGTTACCATATGCTAGGCATCATGGATATAAGGATAAATAGGTCATAGCCTCTTCCTCTGGGGACCAGAAGTCTAAGTGGGGTATAGATAGACAGTGAATAAATAATTTAGTAAATGATATGATAAGTGAAAGAGGTAAACAAAGACGTGTTCTGGGATTGAGGAAGAGGTTTAACTGGTCCATTGAAGCATGGGGTAGGGATTGTGGAGACTTTCTGGAGTAGGTAATTTCACAGCTGAATTATTTCTGAGGAAGTATGTAGCTGTAAGTCATCCAGGTAAGTGGGAAAATAGCGGTCCAGGGGAGGGAATAGTTCGAAAGGTGAGAAGAGAGGAAGAGCCCAACTGCATTTTGTACTCCAGGGAGTTTTAAGCATTTGTTGAGAGTTCAAGACAATATACTGGTAAAACTTGCCTTCACATACCTTTGTAAACACAGCTTTGTGCTTCATGAACTATCTTCTTTAGATATCTCTAGTCATACGCAATTACTTTGGTTAATGTTCTTCCTTGACAGGTACCGATTATTCCTACTATCATGCAATATTGGAGGCTGCATTTCAGTTTCTGTCACCCCTCCAGCAGAATTTGTTTAAATTTTGTCTGTCCCTTCGTTCTTACTCAGCTACAATCCAAGCCTTCCAGCAGGTGGGTCCAGTGCTCTTAAAGAACAGCATTTTAGAGTGTATATCATGATGAATGGATGGACCCCAGTTGTCCTGGAATTGAATTACAGAGCTATTATCACTTTTTTGCCTGAAATTTTCTAGGATTTATGATTTTTAAAAAAAATAATAAGCAAAATTGATGTTAAGTCTTCAACCCACAGATTTAAAAAAATAAAAGAATATCTATATAGAAAAAAGACAGCAATATTTTATTTATGCATTGCAGCCTGGGAGATGTAATCTTGTTAAACCAATGAGCCAGCATCTAATTACAGCCTGTAGTTCTAAAAGCAGTTCACAGGAAATACAGGAGGCAAGAAATGTTTAGCATCACCACAGGGATGCAGTCAGGAAAATCTAGAATTCAGGAATCGTTGTAGTAAAGTAATCTAGTTTCTTCAGTACATAAATTATGGAAATTTCTATTGTAATTGAAAAGAAAAAGAGGGACAGAGGAACCTCAAGTTAAGAGAGACTTAAGAAGAGACAGTCAAAGATGTCTTCACCAACTTGATATTTGATATAAAAGCAATGCTAATTTTAAAATTATTTTTTATTATAAAATAAAACATGGAAAAACTCCTCACAAAAAATATATAGTAATGGACTATTATAATGTGAACATCCTTGTAATTTTCACCCAAGTCAAGAAGCAGGACTTAGTCTGGCACCATGGAAAGCCCTCCGTGTACTTTGTCCTGATTGTGGCCACCTTTCACCCCTGAAACCAACCACCCTGTTAATTTCTGTTGGAATCACTTGCTTGTTACTGTATTGTATTGCCCAAAGGTACATCTTCACACAATAAAGTGATTTTTTTTTTCATTTTTCTTTATTTTGTGACACAGTCTCGCCCTGTCACCCAGGCTGGAGTGCAGTGGCGCAATCACAGCTCACTGCAACCTCCACCTCCTGGGTTTAAGTGATTCTCCTACCTGAGCTGGGGTAGCCTGCTACCACACCCAGCTAATTTTTGTATTTTTAGTAGAGACAGGATTTCGCCGTGTTGGCTAGGCTGGTCTCGATCTCCTGACCACAGGAGATCTGCCTGCCTCTGCCCCGCAAATTGCTGGGATTACAGGCATGAGCCACTGTGGCTGGCCTGTTTTTGCATTTATTGATTTTGTTTTTTTGAGACAGGGTCTTGTTCTGTTGCCCAGGCTGGAGTGTAGTTCTGTGATTACGGATCACTGCAGCCTCAACTTTTCAGGCTCAAGCAATCCTCCTACCTCAGCCTCCTTAGTAGCTGGGACTACAGGCGTATGCCACTGTGCCTAATTTTTTATTTTTTTTATTTTTTGTAGAGATGGGGTCTCACTATGCTGCCCAGGCTTAAGTGGCAGGCTTAACTGCCCAGGCTTGGGCTTAAGTGATGCTCCCACTCTGGTCTCCCAAAGTGCTGGGATTACAGGCACGAGCTACCACACTCAGCCAGTTTCAACAATGTTGTTTTGTCATAATTTAATCACCTATTTTGATTATACATGTCTTTATCTCGTCTTTGGTTAGAAATTTAAAAAGTATGTGTTGTGTCTTATGTGACAGATAGCAGCTGATGAACCTCCACCAGAAGGATGTAATTCGTTTTTTTCAGTGCATGGAAAGAAGACTTGTGAATCTGATACCCTTGAGGCTCTTCTACTGACAGCCTCTGAAAGGTAGATTATGTGTTTCTTTATTTTCATGTCATGCATTTCCAGTGCTGCTTCTGCATTTGGTCTACCTTCTGATTTTCTCATCTGTTTTGTATCATTAGGTGTAATGGTTTAGAGTATGGCTTCTGGAACCAGACTGACTATATTTGAATCTCAGCTCCGTCACTTAAAATAGTTTTGTGAAATGTGGCAAATTACTTTCTTTCCTAATCTCATTTCAAAATGGAGATGATACAAGTATTTAGTATTAACTGTTACTGTTTAGTAATGACTGCATCTGAGCAATGACATAGATTTTGTCATTGGCTTAGTAAGGAATACTGTGTGTATTAAAGCCAATGCCTGAAATAATGATATTAATGATAATATCTCTCAGGATATTATTAGTTTCAGACAAAGGAGGATATTTGAAAGATAATTGCAGGCTTGATTTGAATATTAATTTGGTAACTAATGTACCAGCTTTTTGCCCAAAGGTGGGTTTCCTGTGGTAGACAACTCTGCTATGTATCATTTTGCTGACTGGCTAGGGCAGCAAGCCCTCTGTACCTCCTCTAATGCTGTTCATAAACAGAACCGTGATCTCTCCGTGGGGTTGGCCGGCCCTCTCAGTACTGCTAATGGCAGTTAGGTGGTGTAGGTCTTCTTTAGTGAGATTGGCTCCCCAGCACCCATCCTCTGCCCACCAAATGGCATTAGTGCTTCTTACTCAGAGTGCCGACCAAAAAACAGCGTGCGTTCCAGCCATCTCCGGGTCAAGGCATGGACATTCAGAAATGGCTGCATGGTGATACAGTAGTGCTGTCTCTTGGGGGAAACAAAATTGATGGCTTTGTAATTCTTTTAAAAAACTTTAATTTGCTACAACAATAATGCACACCTTTATGAAGAAAAGAACAACGGTGTCTCCTCTCTCTGAGAGGCGGTAACTGCTTTTAATGGTTTGGCATATATACCTTCAGACTTTTTTCTATGGTTTTAAATTTATACATGTAGGTAGTTTTATTTTTATAAAAGGTATCTTTCAATTTAGTACAAGTGGGTATACCTCGTTATTTTTAACACATGCATAACCTAGGTAAGACTGTCCCGTAATTGGTAATTTACCTCTTACCGATGGATTTTTAAGTCATTTCCTCCTGTTACAATAAGGCTATATGGAGCATCTGTATTCATGTCTTTACTTTCTGCTGAGTTGTATAGTTTATTATAATAGAGACTGGTAGGTCATAAAGTCTGTGCATTAAGATCTGTTAATATCTTGATGCCATCCTTAGATAAGTTTTTTTGGGAGAAGTTTTAAAGTTTATGAGGAAAACTGAAATGTTAAGTCCATTGGGGGCACAAGCCTGTAGTCCCAGCACTTTGGCAGGCTGAGGCAGGAGGATCACTTGATCCCAGGAATTCCAGACCAACCGGTGCAACAAAGTGAGACCCAGTTTCTCCAAAAAGTAGCTGGGTGTGGTGGCAGTAACCACGCACACGCCTTTGGTCCCAGCTACTCGGGAGGCTGTGGTGGGAGGATCACTTTAGCCCAGGAGGTAGAGACTGCAGTGAGCCCTGTTCATGCCACTGCACTCTACCTTGGGCAACAGAGTGAGACCCTGACTCCAAAACAAAAACAGAAACAAAAACGTCCATTAGGAAGATCATAGTAGTAAAAATAGTAGAGGAGATAGACTTAGTAGAATTGGCAAGTAATATGCTGAATGTCATCCTGTGCTTTTTGCATTATTTATACTTATATTTTTATTTATTTATTTATTATTTATTTATTTTTGAGACGGAGTCTCGCTCTGTCGCCCAGGCTGGAGTGCAGTGGTGCCATCTTGGCTCACTGCAAGCTCCGCCTCCCAGGTTCATGCCATTCTCCTGCCTCAGCCTCCCAAGTACAGGCACCCACCACCATGCCCGGCTAGTTTTTTGTATTTTTAGTAGAGACGGGGTTTCACTGTGTTAGCCAGGATAGTCTTGATCTCCTGACCTCGTGATCCGCCCGCCTCGGCCTCCCAAAGTGCTGGGATTACAGGCGTGAGCCACCACGACCGGCCTATACTTATATTTTTAAATAAAAAGCTAATCATATTCTATTTATATGGTAGAAAAATATACTTGGCCAGCCGTGGTGGCTTACGCCTGTAATCCCAGAACTTTGGGAGGCTGAGGTGGGTGGATCGCTTGAGTCAGGAGTTTGAGACCAGCCTGGGCAACATGACAAAACCCATGTCTACAAAATATACAAAATTTAGTTGGGCATGATGTCGTGCACCTGTAGTCCCTCCTTGAGCTCTGGAGGTCGAGGCTGCAGTGAGCTGAGCGATCACGCGACTGTGCTCTAGCCTAAGTGACAGACTGAGGACTTCTCAAAATATAACATAATATAACATATTATATTGGCCAGGCCTGGTGGCTTTTGCCTGTAATGCCAGCACTTTGGGAAGCTGAGGTGGGTGGATCACCTGAGGTCAGGAGTTTGAGACCAGCCTGGCCAACATGATGAAACACTGTCTCTACTAAAAATACAAAAATTAGCCGGGTGTGGTGGTGGATGCCTGTAATCCCAGCTACTGAGGAGGCTGAGGCAGGAGAATCACTTGAACCCAGGAGGGAGAGTTGCAGTGAGCTGAGACCATGTCATTGCACTCCAGCCTGAGCAACAGGAATGAAACTCCATCTCCAAAAAAAAAAAAACCCCCCAAAAAATACTATGTTATATATATATATATATATTACATACATACATACTCAAGTTTTAGTAGTCATTTGAATATGTATCCTGTTTTGGCCCTTTTCCTCCCCTTTTAGGAATTGGTAGCTGTTATTAATTGAGATTTATTTTATTCGTTTTTTTTTTTTTGAGACAGGGTCCCGTTCTGTCACCCAGGGTGGAGTCCAGTGGAATGATCATGGATCACTGCACCCTCGACCTCTGGGGCTCAGGTGATCCTCTCACCTTAGCCTCCCAAGTAGCTAGGACTACAGGTGCATGCCACCATACCCAGCTAATTTTCGTTATTTATTGTAGAGTCGAGGTTTTGCTATGTTGCCCAGGCTTTGTCTTAGTTATGATTACAGGCATCATGCACTGGACCTGCCAGTGTTTACATTTTATAGTTAGTATTTTTTATAATGTACTTTTGTTATTTTTAATCATGAATAAATAAGACTCATACCTGATAGTAATCTTAGTAAGTGAAAAATATTTAAGATCATGCTACCCTTCATATTAAGATGCTTATAATCTTTATTTGAATTTTCATAACTGTACTTTATATTTTGTGACATTTTTAGTGTTTCACAATTATTTTTAAAGTTTTGAGCTTTTATTATTTATTTTCAGACCCAAACCTTTATTGTTCAAAGGAGATCACAGATATCCCTCGTCTAATCCTGAAAGCCCTGTGGTGATTTTCTACTCTGAGATTGGCTCTGAGGAATTTTCCAATTTTCACCGCCAGCTTATATCAAAAAGCAATGCAGGCAAAATCAATTATGTATTCAGACATTATATATTTGTAAGTATTGACTTATTTTACACCTGTTTTGAATGTAATTTGCCTAGCATGACTTTAGAACATAAGCTAATAATCTCCCTCTTTATAAAAAAATCTAGTTATTTGAATCCCTTTTTTGACAAATCCAGTAGTTTCATTGAGTCTATTATTTGCACATATGATGTGCTTTGCTTGGCTTTCTGAAGAAATATAAAACATGCTAAAAAAGTAGCTCGATAAAGTTTACATTTTATTTCAAAATGAACCATGTAAATAATCTTTTCTGATTTTAATATGGTCATCATACTATGGAACTGATTGTTGAATTCAGTTTCCTTTCCAACCTTTTTTCTTCTGTTTTCTCTTTGCCACCTTTTTATTTGGTGGAAGGGGGAGGATTTTCTAAACAGGCGATTCATAGGTAGACTTGATGTAATATTAAGCTTTTAAGACTCTGTGTAGGCCGGGCGCGGTGGCTCACGCCTGTAATCCCAGCACTTTGGGAGGCCGAGGCGGGCGGATCACGAGGTCAGGAGATCGAGACCATCCTGGCTAACACAGTGAAACCCCGTCTCTACTAAAAAATACAAAAAATTAGCCGGGCGTGGTGGCGGGCGCCTGTAGTCCCAGCTACGCGGGAGGCTGAGGCAGGAGAATGGCGTGAACCCGGGAGGCGGAGCTTGCAGTGAGCCGAGATCGCGCCACTGCACTCCAGCCTGGGCGACAGAGCGAGACTCCGTCTCAAAAAAAAAAAAAAAAAGACTCTGTGTAATATTTAGTCATTTAAAATATTTATATGTAAAGGTTGTTAGCCCTTTAAAGTTTCTATGTCATAATAAGCTCAGTACTAAGTTCATGCAAAAAAAATAAAATTTTATTTATTGATTTATTTATTTTTGAGACAGAGTCTCGCTCTGTCGCCCAGGCTGGAGCACAGTGGCGCGATTTCAGCTCACTGCAACCTCCGCCTCCTGAGTTCAAGTGACTCTCCTGCCTCAGCCTCCCGAGTAGCTGGGATTACAGGCACTCACCATCATGCCGGCTAATTTTTTGTATTTTTAGTAGAGAGGGGGTTTCACCATGTTGGCCAGGCTGGTCTCAAATTCCTGACCTCAGGTGATCTGACCGCCTCAGCCTCCCAAAGTGCTGGGATTACAGGCGTGAGTCACTGTGCTTGGCCATAAAATTTTAAATGAAAATTTGTACAAGCAGAAAGTTTTATTGAAGTCCAGTTTTTGATTCTCCCTCTGCCCCCTTCATTGCTGTTAGGATGGATGTTAATGTCTGAAGGGCCATCTTCAGTCAGGATGCTGGTGAGCCTGTGACATCTGGTCACTCCAAGCTCCGCTCGAAGGCATTTAAATTTAATAAAAAGCATACTCCCATGGGCCTCAAAAAACACCTCTGGGACTGAGACCTCACCAGCTTTCAACCCTGCTCTGTAGGTTCTGGAACTTCTTTTTCTCTTTCTCCATTTCTTATGGTTGGGACCATAGCACTTTCAGCTGTCCATTCATCTGGTTTTGCTTCTACCTTGGAATTCCATTCCCACAGTTGTGGCAGCCTACAACATGTAAAGGAGCCTAGGATTTTATAAGGAGAGAATATAGACTCTGGATTGATTTTTAAAACATATAATCAATATTTTAATGGTAGATACGTGCTTTTATTACTCTTGAGTTTTTGGTAGGTTTTGGACTAAAAAAATTTGTTTAGTGAACTTTCTTAGCCATATAGTTAATATCGTTAAAAAACAATTTAAAGATATTTTGAGGGCATAATCCGAGGTAATGGCTAGTAGATGCAACATTAACATGGTCATGCCATGTACACTGTGACATAGAAAGAGCTAGGTGGTAATGATGGAATTCTTGCTTTACTTGCAGAATCCCAGGAAGGAGCCTGTTTACCTCTCTGGCTATGGCGTGGAATTGGCCATTAAGAGCACTGAGTACAAGGCCAAGGATGATACTCAGGTGAAAGGTGAATTTGTAAAAATGGGACCAGTGTGCTTTCTTCAAATATGAGTTAAAGGGGAGTTTGTTTCCATATGAAAAATAATAGATTTAGGTGTATGCTGAACCTGTGTTTGCATCCTGGTTCTGTTACACCTGAGTGGGTGACCCTTAAGCAGATTCTCTAGATCCCAGTTTTCTCTTGTGTAAAGTACAGGTAATGATACATGTCTCTTCCAGTATTGGGGAGGAATAAATAAGGTGTGTAAGGAAAGAATTTTTTCATGTACTAAAAAAAAAAAAAAAAAAAAAACAAAAACCCTCAAAAAAAGAACCTGGCACAGTGGTTTGCCCAAAAACGTTCAGCAAGTAGTAGCTATTGTTGTTGATGTTATAGGGGATTTACAAATAGCCATTTATTTGTGACTCCAACGTGAAATCTTAAAGTATCCTATATTTAACAAACAATTTTATGTTGTTTATTATTTCTGTACATGGAACAGTTTACTGTGGATACTTTCTGTTGTAATACTCTAGGGTTTTGAATTTATTATTTTATCTACAAGTTTTAAATGCTATTTTTTCATTTCTTTTATGCTTATTTTAAAGATAAAAAATCAATTTGAGTAGTAAAGCAGATGGAAAATAAACTACTACCTCATTCTATTTTCTTCAATAATTGTATTAGGATTAAGTTGACTAATTATAAATTCTTCAGAATTTTAATATTGAAAAATTCTTTGTTCATAGTGTTTGACTATTAATTTCATAATTGTCCATAATGTTTAAATGTATTAATTTTGAAGTTTTTAGCATGTAAAATTTTCCAAAGTTTAAGGAAAAATGCATTCTTTATCCAGGAACACAGGAGATATTAAAATGCATTTATCCTGTTTGTTTAAAGAACCATTGCCAAAGGGTAATTGTGATAGTCAGCATTTTAAATGGTATAATTTCAGGGGTTTCTGATTTTTTTCACATTATTCAATTTTATGAAGTTTATGAGACTAGTAACGTTTTTGTTTCAAATCTGAGCAATTATTAATAATATGTATTTTCTATTCTTTCATAGGAACTGAGGTAAACACCACAGTGATTGGTGAAAATGATCCTATTGATGAGGTTCAGGGGTTCCTCTTTGGAAAATTAAGGTATGTATGTTCTGTGTATTTTGGGAAACGCCCTCATTTTCTTTAAGCCTCCAGGCTTTCTTGCATTTTAAGCATCATCTTACTCATTACTGTCTGAGTTTCTCATCTCCTAACAGTACTTTATGTATGCAATCCTACGTGGAGAGTCAACCACTTAGTTTATAGTACAGTTTATGATTTCACATTATTCTTTTTTTTTTGGAGACAGGGTCTCGCTGTGTCGCCCAGGTTGGTGCAGTGGCGTGATCTCGACTCACTGCAACCTCCACTTTCCACGTTCAAGTGATTATTCTGTCTCAGCCTCCCAAGTAGCTGGGATTACAGGCATGCACCACCACACCCGGCTAATTTTTGTATCTTTAGCAGAGATGGTGTTTCGCCACGTTGGCTAGGCTGGTCTCAAACTCCTGGCCTCAAGTGATCCACTCGCCTCAGCCTCCCAAAGTGCTGGGATTACAGGCATGAGCCACTGCGTCCAGCCTGAAGCACATTATTCTTAATTGATAGTATGGCTACCTGCCCACAGTTTAAGTGCGTTTTTCTTGCCTCTCAGTTGATGGCATTAAGTTACATACCATTTTTTGATTGCCATAAGAGGAGAAATTGAATTGTTTCACTTAATATTTTCCCAGGAAAAAATGTATTTAAAAGTTTTTTTCAAACATAGTCTGAGCAAAAATGCGAAATAGATATAGTAAATTTTATACATGCTCAATGGGAAAAACATTTTATTATTATTTTTTATTTATTTATTTATTTTTTTTGAGACAGAGTCTTGCTCTTTTGCCCAGGCTGGAGTGCAGTGGTGCAATCTCAGTTCACTGCAACCTCCGTCTCCTGGGTTCAAGTGATTCTCCTGCCTCAGCCCCCTGAGTAGCTAGGATTACAGGCACCCATCACCATGCCTGGCTAACTTTTGTATTTTTAGTAGAGACGGGGTTTCACCATGTTGGCCAGGCTGGTCTTGAACTCCTGGCCTCAAGTGGTCTGCCTGCTTCGCTCTCCCAGAGTGCTGGGAATACAGGCGTGAGCCATGGCCCCCAGCTCAGAAAAAACATTTTATTAGAATTTGCTTTATGTGAAAGGAAATGGTATTTTAAAAAATTCCATAATTATGTAATCATTTAATGAAAGCATCATCATAACCTGTTAATGTAAGCATCATAGTATTTTATAGCTGGAAAGTCTTCTTAACTGTTATTCTTTTTTTTTTTTTTTGAGACGGAGTCTTGCTCTGTTGCCTAGGCTGGAGTGCAGTGCCACGATCTTGGCTCACTGCAAGCTCCGCCTCCTGGGTTCACGCTATTCTCCTGCCTTAGCCTCCCAAGTAGTTGGAACTACAGGCATCCGCCACCACACCCGGCTAATTTTTTGTATTTTTTTTTTTAGTAGAGATGGGGTTTCACTGTGTTAGCCAGGATGATCTTGATCTCCTGACCTCCTGGTCCGCCCGCCTTGGCCTCCCAAAGTGCTGGGATTACAGGTGTGAGCCACCGTGCCTGGCCTGGAACGTCTTCTTAGCTGTTATTCTAAAAGTTGAAGTTATTTCCCTCATGGCTTGATAATTGTTTAGAGCCCTGAATTCTGCTTTATCTGGCAGTTTTTATTAGGACATTTTGTGTGTGTGTGTGTGTCTGTGTGTGTGTGTGTGAGAGAGAGAGAGAGAGAGAGAGGGAAAGAGAGAGAAAGTGATCAAATAGAAATAGTATATGCTAGACTCAGTTTTATATACTTCAGCTTTGAGATTTGGCCAAGTGAAATAACCAGATTAACAATTTAGAAGAGATATCTTAGTTTACATTGAATTACATGTTGAGTTCATCCTACATGTATATACATTTCTTCTCGTTTAACATCAGTTTTGACCTTGTTAGAATGTAATCATATTCTATTTTTATTTGACTCAGGCTTTCAGAATCCTTTTCTAAAAAAATTTTTTCGAGACAGGGCTTTGCTCTGTCACTCAGACTGGAGAGCAGTGGCACAATCACGGCTCACTGCAGCCTTGACTTCCTGGGCTCAAGGGATCCTCCTACCTCACCCTCTCGAATAGCTGGGACTACAGTTGTGTGCCACCATGCCTGGCTAATTTTCAAATGTTTTGTAGAGATAGAGTCTTGCTATATTGCCTAGGCTGGTCTTGAACTTTGGGTTCAAGTGATTGTCCTGCCTTGGCTTCCCAAAGTGTTAGAATTACAGGTGTGAGCTACCACTCCCAGCTTCAGAATCTTTTTTCACATTTGTGGTGTTTATGTTTATTTTTTGGGTAGCATGATGATTTTATGCATTCACAGCACAAAGGTATTATCAAGAATATTGAGGCTGTTTTACCTTTTGGACATTCAGAATAGTTATTTAGCTATCCAAAGTAATTAGACCTTTTTTTTTTGTTTGAGACAGGCTCAGTCTGTCACCAAGGCTGGAGTGCAGTGGCGCCATCATGGCCTGCTGCAGCCTCCACCTCCCGAGGCTCAGGTGATCCTCTCACTTCAGTTTTTGTATTTGTGGTAGAGATGGGGTTTTGCCATGTTGCCCAGGCTGGTCTTGAACTCCTGGGCTCAAGGGATCTGCCCACCTTGGCCTCCCAAAGTGCTAGGATTACAGGTGTGAGCCACCGCGCCTGGCCTCATTTTTGGTATTTAAGAGTTTGTATAGGTTGAGTGTCTTTTTTCTGAAATGCTTAAACTAGAACTAGAGTGTCAGATTTCAATTTTGGAATATTTGCATGATACTTACCAGTTGGGCACCCCAAGTCTGAAAATCTGAAACCTGAAATGCTTCAATGAACATTTACTTTGATGTCATGTTGACATTTAATGAGTTTTGGATTTTGGAGCATTTTGGATTTCAGAATTTCGGATTTGGGATGCTCAGGCTGTAGTAACTGACAGGAAGTGGGTTGGTTGGACAGTGAACAGTCTGAGGGAATTTTAATTTCTGTATGTTGTATTAAGAAATTTTGAGTTAGCCGGGCGCGGTAGCTCACGCCTGTAATCCCAGCACTTTGGGAGGCTGAGGCGGGCGGATCACGAGGTCAGGAGTTCACGCCATTGCACTCCAGCCTGGGCAACAAGAGTGAAACTCTGTCTCAAAGAAAAAAAAAAAGAAATTTTGAGTTTATGGCATTTAAAAGAAAAAAGTAATGTACTAGCCGTCTGTCTGATGTAAATGTTATATCTCTGCCCCAGATCACCTCTGCTTTACTATAGTGGAATATGCTATATTTAAAGATAAAACCCAGTAACTATGGTTAGCCTAAATTGTATTCATGTTACTAAGAGATTTATGAGCATGTAGGCTAAAGGAAACTCATTTTGGGACTGGCAGCAGTTTTTTTCCCTTCAGTTTTACTTTGAGAAATTACAGTGATTCACAAAAGCATAGAGAAAAATTTATTCCCACATACTTACAACCCAGAATAGATTGCTGTTGTCATACTTGCTTTTCTCTTCTATAGAACTATTTATTAAGCTTTCTTTTTTTCCCAGTATAAGCCTTTTTTTACTTTAAGAACAAAGGAAAACAAACAAAAAATAAAACAGGTCAGTAAACACTGCAGGTATAGCCGAAGTCTCCTTTGTTCCTTTCTTTCTTTCTTTTTTTCTTTTTTTTTTTAAGAGACAAGGTCTTGCTGTGTTGCACAGGCTGACCTGGAACTCCTGGGCTCAAGTGATCCTCCTGCCTTGGCCTCCTCAGTGGCTGGGATTACAGGCGTGAGCCACCACACCTGGCCTGAAAAGTCTCCTTTGTTAACCACTCTCAGTCTCCTTATCTACCTCATAGGGAATCACTATTCTAGCAATTTTTCTATAAATTTTATGAGTTTTAAACTAGCTTCTAATTTTCTATTTTTTTTAAAGAGGAATAATTATACTTCATTTTTTCCCCCTATGTCGTAGAAAATTTCCTAGGGTTGGGAGAGGAAAACCATGAAGATAAAGTTGGTTTACTTCTTCTTATGCTCCGGGAAAGAAAAAATAATGAAAAGGACTGATTTTTATGTTTCTTTTAGAGATCTGCACCCCGACCTGGAGGGACAGTTGAAAGAACTCAGAAAGCATCTTGTAGAGAGCACCAATGAAATGGCACCTTTAAAGGTTTGGCAGTTGCAAGGTAATGAAAACAGGGAGAGGTCATTGGCCTACTTTTTGGCTAAGTTTTATGGCTTTAAAAAATGCAAAATTTGAATTTAATTGTATGTAGTACGTGATTCTGAAGGTGCCTCAGATTTTAAAGATAAGAGTGATTAATTACGATTAATCAGGGAAGAAAGGAAGTCCTTTTGTAAACAGATAACACTAGGTAGAAGTAATATATATAAACAAATGGCAAGTCTTTCTGTGTGACCATACATAAACTTGTAATACGAGAAGCAGGTCATAGTCCTAAGTTCCTATATATATACATTTCTTCAACTGTTTATCTATAGAGTGTTTAAGACATGTCATTGTGGCAGGATGTATGTGTTTTTCTCTGTTCCAAAGAACTATTTTTCAAGTTTTTTTCCCCAACGTCATTTACTAAAAGTCTTCATGCTGTATTTTGTGATGTATTGTAAATTTAGAAAAGGGAAAAGGACTTGGGCCTGATTTAGCCTGTGCTACATGCGTTAGTGTAGCGTTAGTGTGTGCCCTAGTGTTTTCTGCAGATATATCAGAAACGGCTCAACTGAATACTCCAGAGATCTTTGAAGTGAATAAAACCTGAAATTAAATCATGGGCACTCTCTGGAATGGTTGCATTCGAAGATATTCTTAATTACCATGAAAAGAGTGGGAAGTAAATTTGGATTTTGTTTTCTGCTTCTCATTGCATTAGATTAATCCACTTTTAATTATATTTGACATTGTTGCAGATCTCAGTTTCCAGACTGCTGCTCGAATCTTGGCTTCTCCTGTTGAGTTGGCTTTGGTTGTCATGAAGGATCTTAGTCAGAATTTTCCTACCAAAGCCAGGTAATGTAGAATAATGCTCTTCTCCTTAACATCATACCCAGTCATCGTCATGTTCACTTGCCAAATGAGGTAATAACAATATGAAAATTCCTAGAAAATTAAGATTCTTTTTTTTTTTTTTTTTGAGATGGAGTCTCACTCTTGTTGCCGAGGCTAGAGTGCAGTGGTGCAATCTCGGCTTACCACAACCTCCGCCTCCCAGGTTCAAGCGATTCTCCTGCCTCAGCCTCCCAAGTAGCTGGTACTACAGACGTGCGTCACCATGCCCAGCTAAGTTTTTGTATTTTTAGTAGAGACAGGGTTTCACTGTGTTGGCCAGGCTAGTCTTGAATGCCTGACCTCAAGTGATCTGCCCGCCTTGGCCTCCCAAAGTGCTGAGATTACAGGCGTGAGCCACCACGCCTGGCGAAAATTAAGATTCTTTATGACCACCACCACTACTATTGCAGATGGTGCTCTGTGTCTTGAAGATGGCAAGACCATGCATTGTGTGGTTGAAGTGACAGATTTAGGTTATGTTCTTAGCACTTCCACTTATTAGTTGTGTGACCTTTGCAAATAAACAACCTCAGTTTCCTCAGCAGTGGAACGAGAATTAAAATACCTGCCTTTCAGGATTGGATGAGTCTTGCTCATATAACTAACTAATCTAGAGTCTGTCCCAGACCATAGTGGTTTTCTTCATGAAAGGTTTTACATATGTCATCTTATTGAATCTTGAAGAAACTGAGTCATAGAGGCTAAGTGACTAGTTCATAGTGACAGAATAAGATTTTGTTTGGACCGGGCTTGGTGGCTCATGCCTGTAATCCCAGCACTTTGGGAGGCCAAGGCCTGGCTAATTTTTGTATTTTTAGTAGAGACAGGGTTTTGCCATGTTGATCAGACTGGTCTGGAACTCCTGACCTCAGGTGATCCACCCGCCTTGTCTGGTGCTCAAAAGGGGGAAGTGGGCCAGGCATGGTGGCTCACACCTGTAATACCAGCACTTTGGGACGACAAGGTGGGTGGATCACTTGAGGTCAGGAGTTCCAGACCAGCCTGGCCAACATGGTGAAACCGCTTTTCTACTGAATATACAAAAAATTAGCTGGGCGTGGTGGCAGGGGTCTGTAATCCCAGTTACTCGGGAGTCTGATGCAGGAGAATCGCTTGAACCCGGGAGGTGAAGGTTACAGTGAGCCAAGATCATGCCATTGCACTCCAGCCTGAGCAACAAGAACGAAACTCCGTCTAAAAAAAAAAAAAAAGATTTTGTTTGTACGTTTTCTGACATTGCCTTCAATTCTGTAATATTGCTGCACATCTCATAAATGCAAGGCAAAATTGTTTTAAAAGCCACATTTTTAGAAACTATTGACTTGAATGGTTCCCAGTCATTTTCTTGAGTCACTGAATGAAGTGTTTTGACTTCTGATGTGAGATATTTTATAACTAAGTTTGTTTATTTGGGACTTAGACATCATGTAGTGAATTCTCATTTAGTCCAGCTGCTACTTGAAGGTATACATGAATGATTCCACCTCCACCATAAGTGCTTAAGTGGGAAGAGCAATCTGCTGCCTTGGTGTATTCAACATTATCCTTTTAGCCTGAGAGTAGTAGAGATCATATATAGAAATGGGGTGCATATGTTTTAAGAACTTGGAAACAACTGCACCTGTTTTATAATGCTATAGCTGCTACATTTCTTTGATTTTGTATCTTACAAAAAATATACACATCTGAGAAAGGAGAAATATATTTATCAATTATAAAAATTTAAGGTTTTTCCCATTCAGTTTTTTCTAATTTATTGAATAATGTGTTTCATATTTTAAAATATGGAAATTGAAGACTTTATATCAAATATTAAGCCAAGCACTCATAATGTTTTTATTTCCTTAGAGCAATAACAAAAACAGCTGTGAGCTCAGAACTTAGAACCGAAGTGGAAGAGAATCAGAAGGTATTCACCGATAGAAAATACTGACCTGTTTTGTATTCTATCTTTAAAGATAAGGAAATCTGAGTTTAATCAGCAGCATTTAACAGTGTCACTCTTCTTTTATCTAAGATGGTGATTTTTTCATTTCTGTGATCTTTGCATTTTTAGTTTTTAATGAAAGTTCAGTATGCACATAACTGAAAGCATGAAGTGGTGCTACCGTGTTGTTTAGGAAAGCAGCACCCCTAACATGTCTCACCCCGTTCCTGAAGACATTCACTTTCGACATTTAGCTGATTCTTCTGATATTTCTCTCCAGAATTCTAGCTTACATTGGTACTTTATTTTTCACGTTCAGACATTATATATTGGCCTCCTATTTAAACAGTGTGGTTTAACTTTCTTTCACTGCCTCCCCCTCAGTGTCCCACCACTATTCTATATTGGCACTGTTCCTGTCTATCCATCTTCTCAATATTGGATGTTGTGGTTTTACCTGGTTTTGATGTGGTCTGAGATGGACTGGTTGCTCTTTATGCCCAGGGCATGCCGGTCATCCTGAGACCTTCCTTTAACCTCCTTTGTTGGATCCTCTGTTGCTTGATTCCATGTCTTTTGTGTTTTTGGTTTATTTCCTTGTTTTGGTACAGCTCATCATTCTTTGTGAGAAAAGTTGCCTGGGAGGCAAATTTGAAATTCTGAGAAATCAACTTTCTACTTGTTTTTGTTTTTGTTTTGGAGATGGAGTTTTGCTCTGTCACCCAGGCTGGAGTGCAGTGGCGTGATCTCAGCTCACTGCAAGCTCCGCCTTCCAGGTTCACGCCATTCTTCTTCCTCAGCCTCCCAAGTAGCTGGGACCACAGGCGCCTGCTACCACTCCCGGCTAATTTTTTTGTATTTTTAGTAGAGACGGGGTTTCACCGTGTTAGCCAGGATAGTCTCGATCTCCTGACCTCATGATCCACCCGCCTCGGCCTCCCAAAGTGCTGGGATTACAGGCATGAGCCACCGCGCCCAGCCAACTTTCTACTTGTTTTTATTGATAGCTCGTTATACAATATTGGCAGGTTATACAATTTTAGGTTGGAAGTCATTTCAAAATTTGAAACAAGGCATCGCCTCTTGGAATTTTAGTTTCCATTGTGGCTGTTGAGAAATCTGAAGCCTTTGTATGAGATCTCTTAAGGATCTTTTCTTTGACTCTAGCTATCTGAAATTTCATAATTATGTGTGTTTTTAAAAAAATCTCTGTACTGTTAGGTGGTTCGTGGGCCCTTAAAATCTTGAAAATCATTTCCTTTAGCTTTGGGAAATTTTCTTAAATTCTTTGTTTGTGTTTCTTCTCTCTGGTTTCTCTTTCCTCTTTTCCTAGAAATATGTATTTATTTATTTTTTAAATGTTGCACCTCTGACTAGTTTGGCCTTTTAAAAGTCTCTTCTTTCCTATTCTTTTCTCTTTTTCAAAAAAAAAAAACACTTTCTGGTAAGAGTTTTTAACCTGTGTGTATCTTTTTTCCTTTAGTTGTCAAATATTTAATTTTCAGGGGTTTTTTTTGTTCTTTTTATGGTGTTCCCGTGTATCTCTGAAGATAATGGTGCTTGTGTTTTCTGTCTGCAAAGTCTGTTTCCTCTTAAGCTGCGTTTTTGGGTTTTGGTCTTTTCAGTGGTGGAGGCCTTCCTTAGGTGTCTGGTGATCACACTCAGAGTGAGGCACTAAGGACCTGGTTGGAAGTCCTAATGATGTGGCTTTGTGACTGTAAGGTGTTCTGTTGTGACCATTTCCTAGGGAACCCCAGTTACAGTATCTTTGTTCCTTTTCTTTTGGGTTGGTCAGTCCTTGTCAGTCTCCAGAAAAGGATCCGTCAGTCTTCTGGCTGGTGGGTGAAATCTGTTTGCTAGAGCTGTAGAAGCACAGTAGGGAAGAGCGTTTGGTGACTTGCCTTCGATTCCCCATTATGTGTGTGGGGTCCCTGTCCTCCTTGTGCTTGATTTGCCATTGTCCACAGATGTTCTGTTTTGTTCTTTTCCAGGGAATGAGCCTTCATTTTGCTGGAGTAGGGGGTAGCACCGACCTCAGGCACCTGGCTGTGGGAAATCAGTTGGGGGGCTGGGGGGTTTTGTCTTAAAGGGCTTTATATCAGAACTTAGCTAATAATCACCCCTTGTACATGTCCTGTGTGCTGCCAGTTCCTGAGCCTTTGGTGAGTTCCACAGGGTGACACAGGTTTCTTGTTGACCTTTCCTGTTGTTGGTCTAACATTCAGCTTTCTCAGGGCTGTTGGGACAGTGACTCCTCACCCACCTCTCTTCCAGCTTCCAAAATTTGGTGGCCTTTTTCTTTCCTGTTCTCTTTGTCTTTGTGGATTTATAACTGAAAAAGTAGCTCTAGTGACATTTCAGTAGAATTCAGGAGGGAAAAATGTTCTTATGTTCAATTCACTATCTTTACCCCAAATTTCCTTAATCTTTATATCTGAGATATTAGTGAATTAAGTACATCTGAGGGATAAATAAATGTTTCTCAAATGTTTACTAAATTGAAAAACCTTATTGGGAGTTTTTATTTACTTTTTAGTTTCCAAAGTAAAAATATCAAATATTATCTTAAATTTAGGGCCTTTTTCCCCACTAAGGAAGACAAAATTATACTATATTGCTGTTTCATGGAGTCTTAATTTTTTTTGAGTAAAACATTTTATTAAAGCATAAATATATACTTTTTTTTTTTTTTTTTTGAGATAGAGTCTTGCTGTGTCGCCCAGGCTGGAGTGCAGTGGCATGATCTCAGCTCACTGTAACCTTCGCCTCCCGGTTCAAGTGATTCTCCTGCCTCAGCCTCCCGAGTAGCTGGGACTACAGGCGCGTGCCACCACGCCCAGCTAATTTTTTTATATTTTTAGTAGAGACGGGGTTTCACCATGTTGGCCAGGATGATCTCGATCTCCTGACCTCATGATCTGCCTGCCTTGGCCTCCCAAAGTGGTGGGATTACAGGCATGAACCATCATGCTTGACCAAAATGTATTTTTTTTTTGAGACAGAGTCTTGCTCTGTTGCCCAGGCTGAATGCAGTGGCATGATCTAGGCTCATGGCAACCTCTGCCTCCCAGGTACAAGCAGTTATCCTGCCTCAGCCTCCTAAGTAGCTAGAATTACAGGTACCTGCCACCACGCCCAGCTAATTTTTTGTAATTTTAGTAGAGATGGGGTTTCACCATGTTGGTCAGGCTGGTCTCAAACTCCTGACCTCAGGTAATCCACCCGCCTCGGCCTCTCAAAGTGCTGGGATTACAGGCATGAGCCACTGTGCCCTGCCCAAAATGTATATATGAAACACAAAGAGGGAAGCACACAAATTCTCAGTCATTCGTTTGATGAACTTTCCCAAAATGAACCCATCTATATTACCAGTGTCCAGACCTAGAAATAGATATGCTATTCACCAGCTCAGGGTCAGTCTTTTTTTTTTTTTTTTTTGAGACAGTCTTGCTCTGTCGTTCAAGCTGGAGTGCAGTGGTGCTATCTCGGCTCACTGCAGCCTCTACCTCCTGGGTTCGAGCGGTTCTTGTGCCTCAGCCTCCTAGGCAGCTGGGACTATAGGAGTACACCACCATAGCTGGTTAATTTTTGTATTTTTAATAGAGACGGGGTTTTGCCACGTTGTCCAGGCTGGTCTCCAACTCCTGGCCTCAAGTGATCCACCTGCCTTGGCCTCCCCAAGTGCTGAGATTACAGGTGTGAGCCTCTGTGCCTGGCCTGGATCAGCCTTTTTTTATCGTCTGATGGTGCTGTGCACTCAGCCAGCGAGTGAGTAGATGTGAATTCCTCTCTCTCGGAAGAAATTCCAGTTCACAATTGATACACCTTTCCATGATCTCCTTATTTTTTTCTCTTCTTTTTAAAATCGAGAAGTAAAAATTGCATATTTTTGTGGTGTACAACATGTTTCGAAATGTGTATACACTGTGGTATTATCCCCTGTCTTACTTGCCATTGAATCCCAACAGCATCTTGAAGCAAATCTTAGCCCTGCCTTAGGATGCCAAGATTTGTACAGGTAGTGAAGCCCAGAAACAATAAAATTTTTTTTAAAACATTCTCTCACAGCTCCCTAATAATTATTAAAATTTTTCAGTATTTCAAGGGAACTTTAGGATTACAACCTGGAGATTCAGCCCTCTTCATCAATGGACTTCACATGGATTTAGATACACAGGATATATTCAGGTATGGATAATATTTTTCATTCTCTGAAAAGTTTTTGTAATGCGTAGCACCTTGTAACATGTTCATATTGCCGTTCCTTCTTGATATGGCATGATGCAAAGTCTGATGGCTTACCAGCCCCCACTGGGTGGACGTAGGTAGTAGGCACATGCCATGATGGGTAGGCAGGATGACATATCTCCATCTTGTGTTACAGTGTGTGTTCAAGGCCTGAGTGTTTTCTGAGGCTGTCCTTTTAGAAGCTATACTTTTCCACTTAACCATGGGAACATAGAAAAGAACAGGTTCTTTGGCTTTTGGAACAGTGTGAAGTAGATTTATTAAAAATAACTGCCTCTGGGCCTGGCACGGTGGCTCATGCCTGAAATCCCAGCACTTTGGGAGGCTGAGGCCGGCGGATCACTTGAGGTCAGGAGTTCAAGACCAGCCTGGCCAACATGGTGAAACCCCATCTCTGCTAAAAATACAAAAATTAGCCATGCCTAGTAGTGTGTATCTGTAGTACCAACTACTTGGAAGGCTGAGGCAGGAGGATCACTTGAACCTGGGAGGCGGAGGTTGCAGTGAGCTGAGATTGCACCCCTGCACTCCAGCCTGGGCAACAGAGTGAGAATCCATCTCAAAAAACAAAAAACAAAAAAAAACTGTCTCTTGTGTCTCAGAAGGTGTTCTGTCTACATATATTATTTGAATATCCACTTTTTGGTAAAATGTGGTTCAGTATTAAATTGCATTCGATTGTCTTCATGATTTTGGGGTGGGTAGCAGACAGGCACAATTCAGACTTTATTCATTTGTTGTTTTGAGATGGAGTCTCAAAAGAAATTTTTTTAATCACATCTTATTTCTCCTTCCTTTCTATCTTTTTTTTTTTTTGGAGACGGAGTCTCACTCTGTTGCCCAGGCTGGAGTCCAGTGGCATGGTCTTGGCTCACTGCAACCTCTGCCTCCCGGGTTCAAGAGATTCTCCTGCCTCACCCTTCTGAGTAGCTGGGATTACAGGCACCTGCCACCATGCCCAGCTATTTTTTTTGTATTTTTAGTGGAGATGGGGTTTCACCATGTTGGCCAGGCTGGTCTCGAACTACTGACCTTGTGATCCGCCCGCCTTGGCCTCCCAAAGTGCTGGGATTACAGGCATGAGCCACCGCGCCCAGCCCTTCATCTCTATCTCTTCTGTCTCTCCCAGCAAACCTCTAAGTTGGGTGTGGATTCTTTCAGGCTTTTTTCTGTGGTCATATGTTTGCCTCTGTGAATTGGTACTGACATTGAAACATATATTAAGCATATATAATGTAGTATCTCTTTTTAATCTTTATTTTGAGATAATTGTAAATACATATGCAGTTATAAGAAAGAATACAGAGAGATTAATGTACTGTTTTTAAAATCATGTGGTGTAAAAGTATAGATTTAGGGTTATTTTATCCTCAATTTGTGTGTTTATTGCTTTTTTAAATTTCTCAATTAATTTGATTTGGCATTGAGGTTGAACTGATACATTTTTTTTCATGGTGAGAATTTTTTTTAAAAGCTTTTTTTCCTAGTAAATATCTCTTTTTGTTTTTCCCCCCAGTCTGTTTGATGTGTTGAGGAATGAAGCTCGGGTAATGGAGGGTCTGCATAGATTGGGAATAGAAGGCCTTTCTCTGCATAATGTTTTGAAGCTGAACATCCAGCCCTCTGAGGCAGACTATGCCGTAGACATCCGGAGTCCTGCTATTTCAGTGAGTATTTTGTTAGGGTGATCAAAGGACTTTCTGACCAGGAATCTTTTTTATGGTTTCTGATTTGTCTCTTATGAGGGTGAAGTTACTCCCACCATCTCTTTTGTTGGTGTGAAAGATTTATAATTGCTTATATGGGACTTTGTGTATGTAATAAAGTAGGCCCTTAAATGCTTCAAAAAGTTGAGTTATTGTTGCTAATGTGGTTAAGACAGTGATTTTTTTTTTTTTTTTTTCAAGACAGAGTCTTGCTCTGTTGTCCAGGCTGGAGTGCAGTGGCGCGATCTTGGCTTACTGCAACCTCTGCCTCCCAGGTTCAAGCAATTCTCCTGCCTCAGCCTCCCGAGTAGCTGGCATTACAGGAGCCTGCCACCACGCCTGACTAATTTTTGTATTTTTAGTATAGACGGGGTTTCACAATATTGGTCAGGCTGGTCTCAAACTCCTGACCTCAGGTGATACACCCACCTCTGCCTCCCAAAGTGCTGCGATTATAGGCGTGAACCAGTGCGCCTGGCCAAGACAGTGATTTTTTTCACTTGAGCATGCCCCTGGTATTCAGCTGAGCATCTCTTGGGAAAAAGCGTTTAGTTTGTATTTTCTCAATTGCATACAGATCTTGTGTGATGTCGTGACATCTGTAAATTAAAACTACTATTGAAAATGTCACTTTTTAGCTAAGAACCTTCTTTAGTAGGATTTTGATATTTGAGATTTGAAGGATTTATATAGACTTTTGCCTGCCATATGATCTTTCTGAGCCTTTGTCTTGTCATCTGTCAGAGAATGTGGGGAATAGGGCTGGGCTTGGTGGCTCGTGCCTGTAATCCCAGCACTTTGGGAGGCCAAGGCGGGTGGATCACCTAAGGTCAGGAGATTGAGACCAGCCTGGCCAACATGGTGAAACCCCGTCTGTACTCAAAATACAAAAATTAGCCGGGTGTGGTGGCACACACCTCCTAATCTTAGCTATTCGGGAGGCTGAGGCAGGAGAATTGCTTCAACCTGGGGGTGGAGGTTACAGGTAGCTGAGATCACGCCACTGCGCTCCAGTCTGGGTGACAGAGCAAGACTCCGTCACAAAAAAAAAAAAAAAAATAGAGAATGTGGGGAATAGTGCCATCTTGGGCAGTTGTGGTAAAAAATAAGGTGAGTGGAGAGCTGATCTTATTTTTTCTTGGTTTCTGTACTGCATTCATTTTAGAAAAATTTTATTTAAGAGAAATAATGTAGAATGTAGATAATCATTACTTGAATTCATACTTGGTGATATAACTTATTTTGATGAAGACATTGTTAATGTCATTTGCTTTTCTGTTAAAAGTACTTATAAAGAGTAAAAGATAATAACATCAACATGACATGTTTATGCAAACATAAAGGGACTAACAACCATAGGACCCATCATCATGCTTACTAAATGTTAACATTTAATCATTTTGTGTCAGATTTAACTGTTTTCTTGGGGGAAGAAACAGTTTTAGTTGAAGCCCTTCTTTGTCCCTTACCAACCACCCCTCTCCTTCCTGAAGTTCATATCTTTTCTCAAGTTGGTGTGCATTCCCTTGTCCCTTATTTTATCCTTTTATTTTCTATCAAATATATTTTTCTTTCTTTCTTTTGTTTTTTTAGAGATGAGTCTCACTATGTTGCCCAGGCTGGACTCAAATTCCTGCGGTCAAGCAATCCTCTTGCTTCAGCTTCCTGAATAGCTGGAACCATAGGCATGCACCACCTTACCTGACTCCTATTTAATATTCTAAAAATTTGAGGCCAGGCACAGTGGCTCACGCCTGTAATCCCAGCACTTTGGGAGGCCGAGGTGGGTGGATCATTTGAGGTGAGGAGTTCGCGACCAGCCTGGGCAACATGGTGAAACCCCATCTCTACTAAAAATACAAAAATTAGCTGGGCGTGGTGGTACACACCTGTAATCCCAGCTCCTTGGGAGGCTGAGGCAGGAGAATTGCTTGAATTCGGGAGGCAGAGGTTGCAGTGAGCCGAGATCAAGCCACTGTACTCCAGCCTGGGCGACAGAGTGAGACTCTTGTCTCAAAAAAAAAAAAAAAAAAAAAAAAAATTGGGATAATCCAGTCAGGCGCGGTGGCTCACGCCAGTAATCCCAGCACTTTGGGAGGCCGTGGTGGGCGGATCACTTTAGCTCAGGAGTTGGAGACCTGCCTGGCCAACATGGTGAAACCCTGCTGGAATGCAGGAATGCAATCATAGCTCACCACAGCCTTAAACTCCTGTGTTTGAGAGGTCCTCCTGCCTCAGCCTCCTGAACAATTGCTCTTTGTGGACATGAAGTTGTTTCTGATGTTTTGCTGTTGTAAACACTACTTTAATTAGGCTCTTTTTTCCTCTCTTTTTGTGTATACATGTGAATTTATTTGGGGTAGATATCTGGAACTAGAGTATTGTATTGTGTTGTGTTGTGTTGCATTGTGTTGCATTGCGTTGTGTTGCATTGCAGTCTCGCTCTCTTGCCAGGCTGAAGTGCAGTGGTGTGATCTCAGCTCACTGCAACTTCCGCCTCCCAGGTTCAAACGATTCTCCTGCCTCAGCCTCCCGAGTAGCTGGGACTACAGGCGCACACCACCATGCCCAGCTAATTTTTGTATTTTTAATAGAGATGGGGCTTTCACCATGTTGGCCAGGATGGTCTCAATCTCTTGATCTCATGATCTGCCCACTTTGGCCTCCCAAAGTGCTGGGATTACAGGCGTGAGCCACCACACCCGGCAGTACTGCATTTATTTTAGAAAAATTAGTACTAATATAGTCTTCAACTTTATTAGATCCAGTTCTCTAAAGTGTTTGTCCACATACCAGCATTGCATGAGAGTTCTCTTTGCTCTATATCTTTTCCTATTCTTGGTCTTGACAAACTTTCACTTTTTCTGTCTAGCGAGTATGAAATTTCATTGAGGTCTTAGCTCATAGTTCCTAGATTACAATTGAGGGTGTACACATTTCTTATGTTTATTGCCCATTTGGGTTTCCGCTGTTTATTTTTCATATTCTTTTTTTTTTTCCGATTTTTTTTTACATTTTCTTTTTTCCTTTGTTCTTAAAAAGTTTAGGGCTGGGTGCTGTGGCTCACACCTGTAATCCCAGCACTTTGGGAGGCCGAGGTGGGCGGATCACTTGAGGTCAGGAGTTCAAGACCAGCCTGGCCAACATGGCGAAACCCCACCTCTACTAAAAGTACAAAAATTCACTGGGCGTGTTGGTGGGTGCCTGTAATTCCAGCTACTCGGGGGGCTGAGGCACGAGAATCGTTTGAACCCAGGAGGCAGAGGTTTCAGTGAGCCGAGATTGCTCCACTGCACTTCAGCCTCGTCAATAGAGAGACTTCATCTCAAAAACAAAAACAAACAAACAAAAAAAATTTCGCTTCTTTCTTTTATTTTTATGTCTTCTTCATTCTTGACGCTAGTCCTTTATTGGGTTTGTAGGTTACAAATGTCTTCATCTATTCTGTGGCTTATCTTTTAGTCACTCATTTTTCCACTCGATCTTTGTATCTTTTTTGTTTGTTTTTTTGAGATAGGGTCTTGCTCTGTTGTTCAGGCTGGAGTGCAGTGGCACAATCATGGCTCATTGCAGCCTCGAACCCCTTGGGCTCAGGTGATCATCCCGCCTCAGCCTCCTGAGTGGCTGGGACAGCAGCCACCATGCCTGGCTAATTTTTATATTTTTTTGCAGAGATGGGGGTCTCATAATATTGCCCAGGCTGGTCTTGAACTCCTGGGCTCAAGTGATCCTCCTGCCTTGTCCTTCCAAAGTGCTAGGATTACAGATGTGAGCCACTCACTGCAGCCAATCTTTTTATCTTTGAAAATGGTCTTGTCTCACATGATTCTTCTTAAAATATTTTAAAGTCTTATTGATATTATTGCAGGTTTTACTAACTGGTTCCTAATGTGCATGTATCCTGTTGTGTTATTTTTTGTAGTGGGTCAACAACCTGGAGGTTGATAGCAGATATAATTCGTGGCCTTCTAGTTTACAAGAGTTGCTTCGACCCACCTTTCCTGGTGTTATTCGGCAGATCAGGAAAAACTTACATAATATGGTAAGTAAAACTTATTGTCTGGCTGTGAACTCTGTTTCTCCCTTGCCTAGTCCCTCTTTTTTTGTCATGTAGAATGGTCACTTCTCACCTTTACTAGCTGCTTCCTCCCCCACCCTTCACCAAATACTCTTCCCTGTTCACACTGGAAAGGCTTTGTAGTGTACTGACCACTTGTGGGGCTGTGGGATGTAACAGGAGCATTACAGCCCCCCTCAGAGTGTGGGGAAATGCTCATTTTTAACACGAAGGTTTAGACTATTGTTTTAGTCTTTTAATTTGTTTTTAATTTTAAAACATTTTTAATTTTTTAATTTTTATTTTTTCTAATCAGCTTTTCCAGATTGAATAAGTTTCCTTTTCATACTCTTCACACCATTCAGTGATGTGTTTGTTTTTATTTTAAGACTTTATATTTTTTAGGGCAGTTTTAGTTTCATAGCAATATTGTTTTACTAGTTTTAAGATAGCTCTTTTTTTACAGTATATTACAGCATATTGCTACTGTTTTTCTTTAATATCTTAATCCCTAAAATTCAGCAGTTTAATTTATTCCCTTAAATATGGTTGTTTGCCAACTCCTACTTGTTATTCCTTCTTGCACTGCTTTAGAGAGAGAGAGAGAGAGGGTTCTTCATTGGCCCACTTTTTCCCTCTCATTTCTTTCCCTTCCCTCACACAGCCGGGAAAGAGATAGTGGTAGGGTTAGTGCCAAGGTTGGCCTCCTCAGAACTTGCAGGGAAGATTACCCTCTCTACTTTTCTTCTTGTCTGTCTCTTTTCTTCCCCCCACTCCCGCAGAAAGAGTCTTGCTCTGTTGCCCAGGCTGGAGTGCAGTGGCAGGATCTCGGCTCACTGCAACCTCTGCCCCCTGGGGTTCAAGTGATTCTCCTGCCTCACCTCCCAGTAGTGGGAATTACAGGTGCATGCCACCACACCTGGCTGATTTTTGTATTTTTAGTAGAGACGGGGTTTCACTACATTGGCTGGGCTGGTTTCAAACTCCTGAACTCAGGTGATCCACCTGCCTTGGCCTCCCAAAGTGCTGGGATTACAGGTGTGAGCCACCATGCCTGGCCACTTTTCTGTCTCTTGAAACCACTTCTTTCCTTTCTAGTCAGAATTTAAATCTCATTCTGTTTTACCACATGTCTGAACTTTATTAAGCGAGAGAATACGTCTAAGTTGCTTAACACGTAATACGTGTTTATATGCTTGCCTGACAGCTGTGGCTGTGGTCTAAGAATTAGGTTCTAAGTGAATTCTTAATTCAGAGATCCTCAGAAATGAATATACAAAAAGGCAGGCTCCATTTTTTAAGGTGAGAGAGTTGCTAAACTTGGTTTTCATTTGGTGTAGTAGAAAAAGCGGCATCATCACTTTGGAGTACAGTTCCCTTGTTATCAGCGTAAGTCCATGAGAAAATCACCTAGCCCTTCAGTACCAGGTTTTTTGAACATAGAGGGAGGTAGCTGCTATGTGTGTAATTCATCTTTTATGTGGTTCAAGCGTAGCTCGAAAAAGGTTGGCTTCATGTACAGTGACTCATAACATTTTTCTCGGCCCACAGATACTTGAATAAATGTCATTTCATGTGTTCTTTTCCCTTTCTTCAACAGGTTTTCATAGTTGATCCTGCACATGAGACCACAGCAGAGTTGATGAACACAGCTGAGATGTTCCTTAGTAATCATATACCACTAAGGTAACACTGGTATTGATTTGATGATGTATCTAATTTAGCTGAGGTTTTATTTGTCATTTTTAAATGCAAGTCTGGTGCTACTGAGTTGTAGGATAATTAATAGTGCACATCACTAATGGCAATTTTATCTTCTGGTCAGTATGAAGCCAGTGTCTTTTGGGACTGAGAATTTGCTTCTCAATGAATAGAAGCTTACCACCAATGAATTATCAATAAATAGCCCATGTAAAAATAGTTTCTGGCTGCAGCTTGCTTCCCAATGGAAGGGAATTTTCCTAGGTGAGTGTCCACATCACAAAACCTATTTCCACTTTCAGCAGAGATATAGAGCATTGCCAATAACTTGTTAGCCTGTCAAGGACTAAACATATACACAGCCTTTTGTAGATGCAAACAGTAACAGTTACTTCACTTGTGTTGCCAAACCTGCCTACAGGGTACTGAGTGGCTGGATTTCCACTGTCTTTTTAAGAACAGTTTTTTTTATTTTTTAAAGGTTTTACATATAAATGCTAAGATATTTTCACCTACATTCTAAATAATTCTGGTAATTTTACATGTTGGTGAAATTTTAATTCTTAGAAAATGTGAAAATAAAGAAGAAAATAACTCTTTATTCAATAAATATTACTGTGTGTTCCATGATTACTACTGGGCTAAATGCTGTAAACATGTATGCCTTATTCTACCTTCTTGGAAAAGATCCTCTGTATACTTTCAAACCCTTTAGGGAGATATATGATCAACTGCTAGGTTATGTCCTACTGGTTAGTTATAAGTGCGTTAGGATTTCAGGGAAACAAAAAAAATCATTGAGATATTTGGGAAGCCAAAGGTTTTTGGAGAAGTTGGATTTCAAATAGGCTTTGAGGAAAACAGAGGGTTCTGATAGTTGGAAATGCAGAGATTTTGAGTTTCATGACATTTTTCATATAAAGCATGAATACATCTGGTTAGATGGAAGAACCTATTACTGGATCACAACCAGAGCTATGTTTTGATCAAAAGAGAAATATAAGGACACAGAAGAAGTTGGGTCGTGGTACACAGTTGGCACTAATACAATATTTCTTGAATTGAGGGACGAGAAGAGGGCATGTGGTCTTCTGATTGCAAAGGCAGGTGAGAAGAAGGCACTTGAACTCCTAGGCAACTGAGAGATTGTGAATAGTTGGAGAGAGCCAGGCATACAGGCTGCTCTTTCCTTCTTTGTAGGAGCTCATGTGGTCCTGCATGTTGGCTGCTAAATATTGATACATTATTATTAACTAAACTCCATAGTTTACATTAAGATTTGTTATTTGTGTTGATGACACAAATGTATGATGTAAAGTATTCACATTACAATACAGTTTAATACAGATTAGTTTCACTGCCCTAAAAATCTCCTGTGCTTCACTTGTTTATCTCTTCCTCCCTTCCCCTAAATCTTTGGCAACTACTGATCTTTTTACTGTCTTCATAGTTTTGCATTTTCCAGAACTAGGTTGCAGTCATACGGCGTGTGCCTATTCAGATTGGTGTCTTTCACTGAGCAATGTGCATTTAAGCTTCCTCTGTGTCTTCTAGTGGCTTGATAGCTCATTTCTTCTTATCACTGGATAATAGTCATTATGTGGATGTCCCCCCATTTATTTATCCATTCACTTAATTGAAAGATACCTTGGTTGCCTACAAGTTTTGGCAGTTATGAATAAACCTGCTATAAACATCTGGGTGCAGGTATTTGTGTGGACATGTCTACAGCTTCTTCGGGTAAATACCGAGGAGCGTGATTGCTGCATCGTGTGTTAATAGTATGCTTAGTTTTGTAAGAGTATGCTTAGTTTTGTTCTAAAGTAGCGGTACCATTTTGCATTTCCACCAGCAATGAATGAGAGATCCTGTTGCTCCACAGCCTTGCCAGCATTTGGTTTTACCAGTATTTAGGATTTTGGTCATTCTGATAGGTGTGTGGTGGTATGTCATTGTTGTTTAATTTGCCGTTCCCTAATGACATATGATGTTCAGGATCTACTTATATTTATCACCTATCTGTATATCTTGTTTGGTGAAGTGTCTGTTCAGATTTTTTGTCCTTTTCTTTTTTCTTCTTTTTTTCCCCCTGCCCTTTTGTCTCCATTTTTAAAACTTTGGTTGTTTTCTTATTGTTGAGTTTTAAGAGTTCTTTGTAAGCCAGGTGCAATGGCTCATGCCTATAATCCCAGGACTTTGGGAGGCCAAGGTGGGAGGATCGCTTGAGGCCAGGATTTGAGATCACCATGGGCAACATGAGAAGACCTCCATCTCTACAGAGAACTAAAAAAGAGTAGCCAGGCGTGGTGGCACACACCTGTAGTCCCAGCTACTTGGGAGGCTGAAGTGGAGGATTGTTTGAGCCCAGAGGTTTGAGGCTGCAATGAGCTGATTGTGCCACTGCACTCTGGCCTCGGCAACAGAGCAAGGCCCTGTTGAAAAACAAACAAGAAGAGTTGCATATTTTGTTTACCTGTCCTTTATCAGATGGTTGTTTTGCAAAGATTTTCTGCCACTCTATGGCTTGTCCTTTCATTCTGTTAATAGTATCTTTCACAGGGCAGACATTTTTAATTTTAGTGAAGTCCAAATTAACCAAGTGTTGTCTTTCATGGATTGTGCTTTTGGATCTAACATCATTGCCAAGCTCGAGACCACCTAAATTTTCTTCTCTGCTATCGTCTGGGAATTTTTGTTTTTGTGTTTTACATTTAGACCTGTGATCCACTTTGAATGAATTTTTGTGAAAGATATAAAGTCTGGTCTAGACTGATTAATATGCATGTGCATGTCCAGTTGTTCAGCACCATTTATTGAAAAGATGATTCTTTGTCCATTGAAATGCCTTTGCCCCAGTATGTTCAGTGCAAAGTCTTTTTTGCCAGCCCATCTATAGATACATAATAGTATCTCTGTGGTTAATTCCTTTATTTTAAAATTTAAAATCTGATAAACTTTAACCTTGGTTATTGCTTTTTGTCGTGGGACAGTTGTAAACCTTTTTTGGCTTTTCTTTTACCAATAATTCTCATACTGCATGTGCTAAATGTCACAATCCCCCCCTTTCTGTTTACTTTGAAAGTGTGAAAATTTTTATTCTAGTTTTTGTTTAAAATCAGAAAAAAAAAATCTCTTAAAACTATAGCAACGCTCTTCATGTCAGTAAAGGAATCTTTTCATGACGTGGAAATGGCTTGCTTTAACAGTAGAAAGGCCTAAGCCACGTTTGAGAGCCTGCTTTTTTATTAATACTTTGTAAGTGGCCGGGCATGGTGGCTCATGCCTGTAATCCCAGCACTTTGGGAGGCCGAGGCTGATGGATCACCTGAGGTCAGGAGTTCGACACCAGCCTGGCCAACATGGTGAAACCCCATCTCTACTAAAAATACAAAAAATTAGCCAGGGGTAGTGGCGTATAATCGCAGCTACTTGGGAGGCTGAGGCAGGAGAATCGCTTGAACCTGGGAGACGGAGGTTGCAGTGAGCCGAGATTGCACCATTGCACTCCACCCTGGGCAACAAGAGTGAAACTCTGTCTAAAAAAAAAAAAAACCTTTGTAAGTGGTGTATGTATACCTTTGCCAATCATGTTAGAGTAGAGTAGGCTGTGAACTGTGCTTTTCACTCAAAGAGTTTTCCTCTGTTAGCTATAATGTATGAGAAGGGTACAAGGATGTCATTCTTTTTAACCATTTGCATTCTTTGACATGTTTCTTTTTTTCTTTTCCCTTTCCCTCCAGAATTGGTTTTATCTTTGTGGTTAATGACTCTGAAGATGTTGATGGGATGCAAGATGCTGGAGTGGCTGTTCTTAGAGCATATAATTATGTTGCCCAAGAAGTGGATGATTATCATGCCTTCCAGACTCTGACACATGTACGTTTTTGTTCAGAATGGCAAATAATTTTTTCAGATCTAACTTACTCTTAATAACAATGTGTGGTCATTGTATGCTAGGCAGCTGGGGTGTATAGAGCTCAGGGGTGGGTCCTGAATTTAAAAGTCATGTCTGCTGCAGTGTATAGAGATGGATCTGAGGAAGGGCAAAGCAAAGTGGCAGGGATGCCAGTTGATGAGCTGTTGCAGTGATCTCCATGAGAAGTAATGGGGAAGGTAGTTAAGCAGGGCTGCGGAGAATGAAATAGGTTCAAAAGAAGTCACTCAGAATAGTAAGTATTTTATACTTTGTTATTTTATTCACTTTATCTCTGCTAAAGGTTTGCTTTTGTTTGTTTGTTTGAATATATCTTCCACAACGGCTACCTTAAAATTTTATTTATTTATGTACTTTTTGAGACCAGATCTTGTTGTGTTGCTCAAGCTGGTCTCAAACTCCTAGGCTTAAGGGATCCTCCCATGTCAGTCCCAAATAGCTGGGATTACGGCCGTGCACCACCATGCCCAGAGAATATTTTAACTCTGCTTTTTAAAGTTTTTATTTATTTATTTATTCATTTATTTTTTATTGTTATAAGTACACATGTTTGATCGAGGGGGCCAAAGAAGATAGAGAGATGGTACTGTACACAGCTGGTATAGGCTTGGAGGCCGAATGTCACACAGAGACAGACACAGAAACAGTCCAGCACTCAGCAGGGAAAGCTGGGCAGTATTCTGAGGCTTGTAACACTTGGTTGGCAGGTGACAGTCAGCAGGGGATCTGGCCTAGGGCTGAAGGGGCGCAGGCATCCTGGAGGCTCCCAGATCTGAGATCCCGGGTGGCACCTGCTGTGGCGCCTGGGTTCAGCTCACATCATTCAGGGACTTGCAGGCAAACTTGGGCAGTACGAAGGCAGCACTGTACACATCTGAGCAGCTGCACCTGCTCCACCTGCTGCCGTGTCACTTGTTGCATGGGCTTCTGGAAGTTGGTGCTCGGGTTTTTGCTGCAGAGCATGAAGGCAATCTGGCCACTGGGATAGGTGGGGACAGTGCAGTAGGCGTGTGCCACCATGGAGAAGAGTGACTGGCAGAACTACCGTGTCTGCTTGATGAGGTCCAGGTGCAGCCACTGGTACTCGCCCTGGCAGCAGAGAATGCTGTCCTCGTTGAGGGCCATCTTCATGAGTGGTAATAGGATTCCTTGAAGAGGCTCTCAGCGGATCCCAGGAGTCAGTGATCATAATATTGAAGGCATCCTGGTTCTGCTTCACGAAATCAAAATCGTCACCCATATGCAGGGTCAGCTTAGAGCTAGAGAAGCCAATGGCCATACCCGGCAGGAATTTCTTAGAGACCTGAGTGCCATCCTTTTCAGTCTATCATCGGACCACAGACTCCACAGAGGGGTGCTTCACCACCTTGTGCAGGATGCCGTCTTTGTCCCCGACGATCAGCACCTTTTGTGGGATGGGGTGGTTGCTGAATGGCAGGTTGATTCTCATCTAGTAGGAGAACTTGTCCCTGTCCATGCAGGGGATGATGCCATCCAACACCAGCACACTGCTGTGGGTCTTACTGTGGAAAACAAGGATATCCTGGGAGCGTGAGCGCTGGCAGTGGAGCAGCTGCTCCATCTGTAGCAACAAGGCTTCCCTGGGCTCAGGCTGCAGATCTCATGGAACCAGCCCTCCTAAATGGCAGCGTGACCATTGAAGCCAGGCTCCATGTCTCTTGGGCTCTGCGGCCTGAGACTGCAGGCTGTGCAGAGCCACAGCACAACAGGACCAGCTACACCCACCACCCACTGTTTATTTTATTTTATTAAAAAATTTTTTTTAGAGACAGGATCTCACTGTTGCCCAGGCTGGATTGCAGCAGCGCAGTCAGGGTTTACTACAGCCTTGAACTCCTGGCCCTAAGTGATCCTCCTGCCTCAGCTTCCTGGAATAGCTGAGACTACAGGCATGCATCACCATACCCAGCTAATTTTGTTGTTGTTTTTAATTTTTGGTAGAGATGATGTCTCACTATGTTTCCCAGGCTGGTCTCGAACTACTGAGCTTAAACAATCTTACTGCCTTGGCCTCCCAAAGTGCTGGGATTTTACGTGTGAGCCACTGGGGCTTGGCTGCTGTTTTTTATTTCAGAAGTGAAGTAATACTGCTCACTGTAAAAACACTTGAGGCCAGGCGCAGTGGCTCACACCTATAATTCCAGCACTTTGGGAGGCCAAGGGAGGGAGATCACCTGAGGTCAGGAGTTTGAGACCAGCCTGGCCAACATGGTGAAACCCCGTTTCTACTAAAAATACAAAAATTGGCCATGTGTGGTGGCTCATGCCTGTAATTCCAGCACTTTGGGTGGCCGAGGTGGGTGGATCATTTGAGGTCAGGAATTCGAGACCAGCCTGGCCAACATGGGGAAACCTCATCTCTACTAAAAATACAAAAATTGGGCCGGGCACGGTGGCTCATGCCTGCAATCCTAGTACTTTGGGGAGGCCGAGGCAGGTGGATCACGAGATCAGGAGATCAAGAGATCAAGACCATCCTGGCTTTAACACAGTGAAACCTGTCTCTATTAAAAATTAAAAAAAATTAAATGGGCGTGGTGGCAGGCGCCTGTGGTCCCAGCTACTCGGGAGGCTGAGGCAGGAGAATGGCATGAACCTGGCAGGCAGAGCTTGCAATGAGCCAAGATCGAGCCACTGCACTCCAGCCTGGGTGACGAAGCGAGACTCCATCTCAAAAAACAAAACAAAAATTAACCAGACATAGTGGCAGGCACCATGTCTCAGCCTCCAGAATAGCTGGGATTAGACGCCTGCCACCACGCCCAGCTAATTGGGAGGCTGAGGCTGGAGAGTCTCTTGAACCCAGGAGGCGGAGGTAGCAGTGAGCCAAGATGGTGCCATTGCACTCCAGCCTGGGTGATGAGTGGAAACTCCATCTCAAAAAAAAAAAAAAATCAAATAAATAATACTGGAGTCAATTTAGATTTCTCTATCTCTCCCCTCTCCCTTTCCTCATCCCTCCTAAACATCGTGGATGTAGTTTTTATTTCAAGGACTACTTATAAGTGTTGAGATTTTTCTCTTTTTTTTGAGACAGTCTCACTCCATCATCCAAGCTAGAGTGCAGTTGTGTGATCTTGGCCCACAGCAACCTCTGCCTCCTGGGTTTAAGGGATTCGCCTGCTGCAGCCTCCTGAGTAGCTGGAATTACAGGTGTGCACTACCACGGCAGGCTAATTTTTGTGTTTTTAGTAGGGTTTCAGCATGTTGGCCAGGCTGTTCTCGAACTCCTGACCTCAAGTGATCCACCCGCCTCACCCTCCCAAAGTGCTGGGATTACAGGTGTGAGCCACCATGCCTGCCTGGCCTATTTAGATTTTTCTTAACTAATATATTTTTTCATTTGACACTTAACAAGACTGAGCTGATTCCGGCCAGGTGTGGTGGCTCATGCCTGTAATCCCAGCACTTTGGGAGGCCGAGGCGGGCGAATCACGAGGTCAGGAGTTCAAGACCAGCCTAGCCAGTATGGTGAAACCCCGTCTCTACTAAAAAATACAAAAATTAGCTGGGCGTGGAGGCGTGTGCCTGTAGTCCCAGCTACTCAGGAGGCTGAGGCAGGAGAAGCGCTTGAACCTGGGAGGTAGAGGTTGTAGTGAGCCAAGATTGTGCCACTGCACTCCAACCTGGGTGACAGAGTGAGACTCCATCTCAAAAAAAAAAAAAAAAAGAATATTTAATTTCCAACCTAGGAAGCCATCTTAGTAAGGTATATGGAAAAGGAAGAATTGCTAACATGTCCCAATTTGACCTTTCAAGAAAAGTAATTGGCCAGGCGCAGTGGCTCATGCCTGTAATCCCAGCACTTTGGGAGACTGAGGCGGGTGGATCACCTGAGGTCAGGGTTTCAAGACCAGCCTGGCCAACATGGTGAAACCTGTCTCTACTAAAAATACAAAAAATTAGCTGGGCGTGGTGGCAGGTGTCTAATCCCAGCTATTCTGGAGGCTGAGACAGGAGATTCACACGAATCCGGAAGGCGGAGGTTCAGTGAGCCGAGATTGTGCCATTGCACTCCAACCTGGGTGACAGCAAAACTCCGTCTCAAAAAAAAAAAAAGAAAAATAAGTATATTTTCCTCTAAATTCAGAAAAATGTGGAATAAACACTTTGAAATTTGAACTTAAAAGTGTAGTTAACCAACTGTTTTTTCTTTCTTCAGATCTATAACAAGGTGAGGACTGGAGAAAAAGTGAAAGTTGAACATGTGGTCAGTGTCCTGGAGAAGAAATATCCGTATGTAGAAGTGAATAGCATTTTGGGGATTGATTCTGCTTATGATCGGAATCGGAAGGTAAAAAATTTCTTTGTGTTTCTTATTTGATTGCAACATTGTACTGTCCTTAACCCCGTGTTTGGGGGCTTTGGTTAATAATGGCGATGGTGGTTAAAGTGTTTCAGTACTTAGCATTTAAAAGTTTAGAAACCAGATCACTTTTCAGTGTTTGAAAAAGTTTTTATTTCAGTCTTGTGAAGATATGACTGATTTTTAACTTGCTTATTAACTTTTAATGGAACTGTTTAAGTCTCATTTTCTCTTATCCTGTTGAAGAGAAAGTACCAGTAGCTTTTTATTGTGGATGATTATGATATCAAAAGTATTTACTTGAAAAATGATGAGTAGAGTGGACAAACTGGGGAAAGGAGTATTTTTATATCTTTACATGTGTCGAAATCTTGATTGTGCTGAAAAATTGAATGAGAGTATCACACACCATGCTCCTTAGTTTCCTAGACTTGGCCATCTGTACTGATTAGAGGCTCTTCTGTATACAAACAGGTCATATTATTTATATTTCATCCATTTAATTGTCTAGCTTTTTGAATAGAAGTACTCTTAAGGCAGGGATGTGGAGAGTATCCCAGAAGTCCTAACAATCTAATGACTAATGAGATTTTTTTTTTTTTTAACTACAGCAGCTTTACCCCTATACAAAAAGTCCAATGGAATGGATTCTTTTGAAATGGTTAATTTTAGGAAAAATGGCTGCTTCTAATAAATGTCATTGCACTTGTAAATCTGTTCCTTTTGTTATAGTGAAGCTATGATATCTTCTGTGTCTGAAAGAAGTAATTATTTTAAAAAGTAGGCAATGCAATTAAAGTAGAAATTTTAAACTGATGAGAATATATAGTCTGATAGGTATATATTTATATCTTTCAAAGCCAGTAAGATAATGATATTAGGAAAAGTTCTAACCTACGTGGGCAAACACTTTACCTTTAGCATATTATCTTCGAGTCCTTACTAATCTCAGTTGTTTGTGAGTGGCTCAGTATAAAACTACCAAAAATTAATGTTTGTTAATTATTTATCATTATTTAATATTTTTAGTTAGCTGTTGATAGAAAATTTGTCCATATGAATTTTCAGTTTGGCTGTTTGATAATTGTGCTGCATTCTGTTATTTGGTCTTGTAAACTATTTCTGAGTGGTGAAAAAGGAAGCTACATAGTCCAAACACCTCCCTGTCACTCCTGACTTCCACTCAGTTACTGTTTGCAGACAAAACCAATGTTATTTATCTTATTGTATCTTGGAATTATAATGTAAGTTTTCTGGTCTTGTTTTAATTGGTTGACAGGGATGATTTTCAAAACTAAAGTTAGATGAAAATTGAGTTTTAATGGATATCTATGAAATAGTCGAGATGTCAAAGAACAGAATTAACATGGTAAGAGTTTTAGGAGTGTATATTTAAAACATTTAAACTATGATGTAGAGAAGTGGCTTGAACCAACCTAGAAGGCTTTTTAGGCTGTGCCATGTTTTAGGCTGTCAGTTTCTGTGCTGTTACCTGTTATTGAGCTTGTCTGATTAGAAAGTAAGCAGTCTGTTACCGATGACTCGGATTAGTTACCCAATGGGAGTTCTTTTCTACTGGTGCTATCTAAAATGGTTATAAATAATTAAATTCTGCTATTTTCAGAAAATGGCAATTACAAGGTGTGCGATAGACATTTGTAAAGTTGCCCACTTTACATCTTGGGTGGTAATACAGTTTTTACTCTGAAAAGTTAATCTGAGGGACAAGCACCTATGTTGACAGTCAGGAAAAATGTCTGTCTTAGGTACATTTGCCGTTTTGTTGCCCCAGTATTTTCTGGCCAGTGAACCTCTTTTGTCCTGGAGAAGGGAAAAGATTGGATGTATTGTGTCTTAGAGCAATTGTTGAGCACTGTTTCCCCACAAACCTTGTTTTGTTTTCTGCAGGTGTAATTTCTTTGTTAGTGATATGGACCCTTATTTAGAATTGGGTGCAAATATTTACCTCAGGCTTTTTGCATAGAGCGCTTATAATTTATGGTAGCAAAACCTGTGCACCTCATTTTGGCAGCCCATGGTCACATGTAGATTTTAAAATGGAAATTAATTAAAGATTTAGTTACTTGGTCATAGTTGGCAGGTTTCAGGTGCTCAGTAGTTACATGAGGTTAGTGACTACTGCATTGGACAGCACAGACAAGCACAGATAGAATATTTCCATCATTGCAGAAAGTTCTGTTGTATAGTGCTGACCGTAGAATATGTAGTTCAGTTTTGACAGCCTGTGCTACACACACACACAAACACACACACACACACACACACATACACAAACACACGTACACACACACGCACTTCATAATTTGCAAGCTTTTGTGGTCTTGTAAAAACTTGAACTCAGTAATTCAATCTCAGATTTACATAGTAGGATATTAACTTTGATGTCATTTTTCATTTTTTTAAAAAGAAATATCTTGAGTTATTTTTTCTTTACAATATTTCTATTGATTGTTGTTAGAACAGGCATGTAAGAAAAATATGCTGTGTTCCATTTGTCTCACAAAAGGCAAAAATATACTGTTTTTGTGGTTACTTGTGTTTCAGGAAGCAAGAGGCTACTATGAGCAGACTGGAGTTGGACCTCTGCCCGTTGTGCTGTTCAATGGAATGCCCTTTGAAAGGGAACAGCTAGACCCTGATGAGTTAGAAACCATCACAATGCATAAAATCCTGGAGACCACCACCTTCTTCCAAAGAGCGGTGTACTTGGTGAGTCACGTTTCAAGGCTGATTTTTTAAAGAGAACAGTTGGCTTATATTTTTTGTTGCCTCTATAGTAGGCAGTAAAATTCTTAGTATCACTATTTGGGAGGCTGAGGCGAGAGGATGGTTTGAGGGTAGGAAGTCTGAGACCAACCTGGGCAATATGGCAAGACCCCATTTCTAAAAAAGAAATTAAAAAATTAGCTAGGCTTGGTGGTGCACGCCTGTAGTCCTAGCTACTCAGGAAGCTTAGGTGGAAGGATCGCTTGAGCCCAGGAGTTTAAGGTTGCAGTGAGCTGTGATTACCCCACTGTACCCCAGCCTGGGTGATGGAGTGAGACCCTGTCCCGTTAAAAAAAACAAAACAAAACAAAAAACTATTTTCTGTAAGTCACTTGTAATTGGTTTGCAAACTCTTGGCAAGTCCTATGATGAAAATATTCATAAATCTTCTATATATGGTAATTTAAATAACTAGTATTATTGATTTCAGGATTAAATGTTTATTTTAAAAATTGCAGGCAGTTCTAAGAAACATTTATTCTATTTGTAGGGAATTTTGGCTTTGGAGAGACTCAATATTATTTTTCATTTATATATAAATATTAATATATATAGTTCTTGAGATATAATTCAGACAGTATAAAAGTCAGTCTTTTGAACGGTACAATTCAGTAGTTTTTATTCTCTACACACAGTTATGTAACTACCACCTCTAATTTTCAGAACATTATCATCACCCCCAAAAGAAACCCCACATCCAGTAGCAATTACTCCTCTCCATTTTGCCCATTTTGTCCTACTCCCAGCCACCCTGCCATTGGCAAACACAAACCTACTTTCTGCTTAATAGATTTGCTTGTTCTGGACGTTGTATACAAATCAAATTTGCAGAGAACAGGATGATATTGGACAGATAGCTTGTTGCTCAGAACCCCAACTCTCTAATCATGTGGTTGGTCTTTCTAGTGTTACCAGCCCCCAACCTGAGTCATTGCATTAGCACAGACTCTCGGGCCCCACTGTGCATCAACCCGTAGTATAAACCACCATGTGTGTCCTAAGGGGCTCACCATGAATGACAAAGACACTCCTATCACTGGATTTAGAGTTTACATCCCAGAAACTAGGGCCAGCCAAATTATTTACCACACACAGTCCTTTTCTCTTCCCTCCTCTCATTCTGGAAATATGCACATGGTGGTACTCTCTCATGTCCCACAGATCTCTTTATGTTCCTCAGACTGGATAATCTCAGTTTATCTATCTTCAAATTCACTTATTCTTTCTTCTGTCAACTAAAATCTGCTATTGAGCCTCTCTAGTGAATGCTTCATTTCAGTTATTATAAATCCAGATTTCTATTTGGTTCTTTTTGATAATTTCCTTTGGTTTATAGATATTATTTGGTGAGATGTTGGTCTTAAACTTTACTTTGGTAGACATGGTTTCTTTTAGTTCTTGAATATATTTGAAATCATTTATTTAAATTCTTTTTCTAATTAAGTCCAATGTTTGGACTTACTCAGAATAATATGAACATAATGTAAGAATATACATTACACATTTTACTTATATAATAGTAAGAATAGTATGTCTTGGCCTCTTCTCTTCCTGAGTATACACCATACTTTTTTCTTTCTGCATGTCTTTTTTTTTTTGTTTCTGATACAGGGTCTCGCTCTGTCACCCGGGTTGGAGTACAGTGACATGATCTTAGCTCACTGTGGCCTCCAACTCCTGGACTTAAATGATCTTCCCAACTCAGCCTCTCGAGTAGCTGGGACTATAGGTGCATGCCACCATACATGGCTAATTTTTGTATCTTTTTGTGGAGATGAGATCTTTCTATGTTGCCCAGGCAGGTCTCAGGTCGCGAACTCCTGGGCCCAAGTGATCTTTCCGCCTTGGCCTCCCACAGTGCTGGGATTACAGGCATGAGCCACCATTTCTGCATATTTAATAATTTTGTTTTTGACAACTAGGAATTTGAAATAATATAATGTGACACTTCTTCACCGTACCAGGGTTTATGTTGTTCTTTGTTGTTGTTGTAACTGTTATTTGTTTAGTGACTTTCCTGAACCAATTCTTTCTTTTATTTTCTTTCCTTTTTTTGAGACAGAGTTTCGCTCTATTGCCCAGGCTGGAGTGCAGTGGTGCCATCTCAGCTCACTGCAACCTCCGCCTCCTGGGTTCAAGTGATTCTCCTGCCTCAGCCTCCCGAGTAGCTGGGATTACAGGAGCACACCACCACACCCAACTAATTTTTATATTTTTAGTAGAGATGGGGTTTTACCACATCGGCCAGGCTCTAATTTCAGAACATTGGTCTCGAACTCCTGTCCTCAAGTGATCCACTCACCTCGGCCTTCCAAAGTGCTGTGACTACAGGCATGTGCCACCATGCTCGGCCCTGAACCAATTCCTTAACATCTGTATTCTTTTTCATGTGTGGCTTCTGAAGTTTCAGCTTGTTTAACTTACTGGTCAGCTGATGAACGAACAGAGATTTCCTTTGATGCATGAATTCAAAAAGTCTCCCAGTTTTCCCCAAGGGTCTCTGTGTTGTGTTGGGGCACACTTTCCACACTCAACCAGGCAGTTGGCAACTCTGCCTTAGTCTTCCATTTTTGCTTGCACAGAGCCCCAAGGTTAGAGGCAAGGGTTTAAGACCTTCTAAGATTTTCCCTGGGCATTCACGTACCCCTGGGCATGGTGCTTATGGTCTCTCAAATTCCAAGAAGTTTGTCAGAGCTTTTCAAAGTCCCTTATGGACATCCCATTCCCCAGCCTTTTTTTTTCTTTGTTTTTTGACCAGCTTTGTGTTAGCCCATGTGTTATCTGCCACCTCAGGCAGCTAAGATGTTAAACAATTGCCCAGTTGTGTTTGACAGATACCCCCAGGGAAAAGGCTGTTGGCACTGAGTGAGGTCTGGTTCAGCCCAAATAAAGAGAACCCCTGAGAATTCTCTAGTGTCCTAGTTGTTTTATTTTGGGGCCATTGATTTTCAAGGCTTTGTGCAGCTGGGGAGATGTAAATAGTAGTGGGGCAAATTAATTGTTACAAAGGTCACTTTCCTTACCAAAACTTTTTTTGAGACAGGGTCTCTCTGTCACCCAGGCTGGAGTGTAGGGATTGTGATCATAGCTCACTGCAGCCTTGAACTTCTGGGCTCAAGCAGTCCTCCTGCCACAGCCTTCCAAGTAGCTGGGACCATAGGTGTATGCCACCACATGCAGCTAATTTTTGTATGTTTTGAAGAGTTGGGATTTTGCCAGGTTGCCCAGGCTGTTCTCCAACTCTTGGGCTCAAGCAATTTGTCTACCTTGGCCTCCCAAAGTGCTGGGATTATAGGCATGAGCCATCGTGCCTGGCCAGTATTCCATTATAAAAAATAGGCCGGGCGCGATGGCTCATGCCTGTAATCCCAGCACTTTGGGAGGCCGAGGCGGGCGGATAATGAGGTCAGGAGATTGAGACCATCCTGGCTAACACGGTGAAACCCTGTCTCTACTAAAAACACACAAAAAAAATTAGGCCGGGCGCGGTGGCTCACTTGGGAAACCGAGGTGGGCGGATCATGAGGTCAGGAGATCAAGATCATTCTGGCTAACATGGTGAAACCCCATCTCTACTAAAAATCCAAAAAAAAAAAAAATTAGCTGGACATGGTGGCGGGCGCCTGTAGTCCCAGCTACTCAGGAGGCTGAGGCAGGAGAATCGCTTGAACCTGGGAGGCAGAGGTTCCCTCTGGGAACCAAGTGCAGCCGAGATTGCGCCACTGCACTCCAGCCAGGGTGACAGAGCAAGACTCCGTCTCAAGAAAAAAAAAAAATAATAATAATAATTAGCTGGGCGTGGTGGCTCATGCCTGTAATCCCAGCTACTCGGGAGGCTGAGGCAGGAGAATCGCTTGAACGCAGGAGGCCGAGGTTGCAGTGAGCCAAGATCGTGACATTGCACTCCAGCCTGGGCGACAAGAGTGAAACTCTGTCTCAAAAAATATATAAGTAAAATAAAATAAACATTTACTTCATTCCCTAGTATTGGACATTACTTCTACATTTTCACTAGTTACAGACAGTGCTACAGTGAATATTCTAATATGTATATACCTTTGTACATTGTCTTGAAAAATACCAAGTACTGGAAAATTTGAACTAAATGCACTACAAAAAGATGTGTTATCAGCCAGTTGTGGTGGCTGACGCCTGTAATACAACACTTCGAGAGGCTGAGGCTGGAGGATTAGTTGAGCCCAGGAGATTGAGACCAGCCTGGCTAACATAACGAGACCTCATCTCTACAAAATAAAAAAAATTAGCCAGGCATTGTGGCATGCACCTGTAGTCTGAGCTACTTCGGGAGACTAAGGCAGGAGGGTTGCTTGAGGATTGAGGCTGTAGTGGGCTATAATCATGCCACTGCACTCTAGTCTGAGCAACAGGGCATGACCTTGTTTCTTTAAAAAGAATTAAGAGATATGCTATGCCAGTGGTATGAAATTCAAAACAGAAATGTAAATGAAGAGAAACTTTTAGCCATACACCCCTGTGCTGTACTACTCATGATTTCTTCCTCAAGACAACTACCATGTGTGTGTGTGTGTGTCTGTGTGTGCACGCATGTGTGCATGTGTGTGTATACAAGGGCTGGTCAGAAGGTGTTACATTTACAATTATTTATTTTTTTTAATTAATAACTTTTTTTTTTTTTTTTACAAATGTTTATTCTTATATGTACAACAGGCTTCAGGACAACACTTCATTCCAGCTATAGGTGGCAAAAGATGCTATGGCAGGGAATACAGATGTTTAAATATGAATGAAATCAAGGGTCACCATCTCCTCAGGCACAAGGCACAGCTTACTTGTTGCCAGATTTTTTTTTCTTTTCTGTTTTTGAGATGGAGCCTCGCTTTGTCACCCAGGCTAGAGTTCAGTGGTGTGATCTCGGTTTACTGCAACTTCTGCATCCCAGATTCAGGTGATTCACCTGCCTCAGGCTCCTGAGTAGCTGAGATTACAGGCGCCCGCCACCATGCCCGGCTAATTTTTGTATTTTTAGTAGAGACAGGGTTTTGCCATTTTGGCTAGGCTGGTCTTGAACTCCTGACCTCAGGTTATCCACCCGCCTCAGCCTCCCAAAGTGCTGGGATTATAGGCATGAGCCATTGCACCCGGCCCAGATTTCTTAATTTCACCTGCAGCCAGGGGTCCCTTCCCCATAGCCTTCTATTTTAGCTCCTATTTTTGTTTCTTCTGCTCCTCTTTTTGTTTCTGCTTGAAAGTCTTACCTTCCTCGTCCATCTCCTTGGCCTGCTTCTTGGGCTGTTTCAGCAGCACCTTCACAGGCAGACATGGCGCCTGCCACGCCTTCCCCAGGCCCTGCAACCCTACTTTTAAAATTTTTATAGACTTTGCCAAATTCCCCTCCTTGAACTCGATGGGCTTCTAATTGGAGTCAAGTAGATTTATAATATTGACCAAAGTTGTATACATGGGCCAACATGTACAGTGAGCCATCTAATATCTTTGTCTTTTGATTTGTATGATTGGTTCATATGCTCCTTATTAAATAGCTACAAATAATGTCTAATTGGAATTATTTAGACTTGAATGTGTATATTTGATTCACATCTTTTATCTTGAAAATGACTTCAGGTCGGGCACGGTGAGAGAGGATCTCTTGAGCCCAGGAGTTTGAGACTAGCCTGGGCAATGTGGTGAAACCCCATCTCTACAAAAATACAAAAATTAGCTGGGTGTGGTGGCACATGCCTGTAGTCCCAGCTATTTGGGAGGTTAAGGTAGGAAGATCCCTTGAGCCCTGGAGGTCAAGGCTGCAGTGAGCTGTGGTTTTGATTATACTACTACACTCCAGCCTGGATGAAAGAGCAAGACCTTGTCTCAAAGGAAAAAAAAAGAAAATGACTTTAAAGTATACCTGTGTGTTAAATATTTTAAGTTTGATAAATCTGCACATTTGCACAGTTGTTGACACATGGCTCTGAGATCACCTTCAAGAAGTATAACTATTTCTGTAATATTAGCTGTGCAAAAGGGAAGAATAAATGACAATGATTTCCTATCCTCTCATTGTAATTCTGACTCTGGAGATGTAAGTTTATTTGGATGGCTGAGATTGAACAAAGATGGGAGTGGTTTTTATTACAAAGTATATTAACTGCTTGAGAGAAGACCTTTTCCTATTTTTTTTTTTTCCTTGGGACAGAGTCTCACTCTGTAGCCCAGTGCAGTGGCATGATCTTGGCTCACTGCAACCTCTGCCTCCCAGGTTCAAGTGATTCTCCTGCCTCAGCTTCCTGAGAAGCTGGGATTACCGGCACCTGCCACCATGCCCGGCTACTTTTGTATTTTTAGTAAAGATGGCATGTTGGCCAGGCTGGTCTTGAACTCATAACCTCAAGTGATCTGCCTTCCTCAGCCTCCCAAAGTGCTGGGATTACAGGCATGAGCCACCATTCCTGGCCTGGGTTTGCATTTCATAATCACTTTGCATTAGCTTTGTGAGTTTGAGTAAGTTATTTAACCTTTCTGTGCCTTAGCTTCCTCATCTTTACAATGAATGTCAACAATATCTGCCTCACGTTGTTGATAGAGGTAGAGATGCTGTAGGTGATGTGCCCAGGTATACTCGGCAGTGACAGGGACCAATAACATAGTAACTTCTGTCTTAACTATTATTAGCACAGAGGAAGCCATTTATAAAGTTAATAATTTTTTGGTTCCTAATGAATTATTATTGCTAAAATTTGCTTTACCCTCCCCCCTCAACCTCCTTTTTTTTTCTTGCAGGGTGAACTGCCCCATGATCAAGATGTGGTAGAGTATATCATGAATCAGCCAAATGTTGTTCCACGAATCAATTCTAGGATTTTGACAGCTGAACGAGACTACCTGGATTTAACAGCGAGTAGTAAGGAGCATTTCAGGAACAACCTTATGCTTTTTTTGACTTGTGCTTCAGAATCTTTACATTTTTCAGATTTTAATATTCTGATTATCTTCTGCAGTGTTCAGAAGATAGCCCAAGATTGTGACAAAATTTTATGTGTAAACTCTTTGCACCTTTAGTTCATAATATGAGATTCTAAATTCACAAGAGTTTCCTCCTAAAGAAGAAAACATCTTCTGGGCAAAACCCTGTGAACTTTGAAAAATATTTAGTGCCATTTAAATGCCAACTAAACAGACAATAGATGATGAGAATGGACCTGGATTGTTCGCTTCTCTAGTCATAAAGCAGTTCTCTTTCTTCATCCTCATTCTAGAGTCAGTCAGCCATAATGTCAACAAATATCTCAGTGAATTTTACTCTGAGAACTTAGGAAGGCCTTTAGCAGCTTCATCAAGATATGATGTATATGCCATAAAACTCAACCTTTTAAAGTATACAATTCAATGGTTTTTTTAATGAAAAAAACCCCACAAAGTTTGTGCAGTCATCACCACTGTCTAATGATACATCATTATCATCACCCCCCAAAAATTCCCCAGAATTCCATGTACCTATTAGTAGTCACTCTCTGTTCCTCCCTTCCCCTATCCTCTGGCAACAACTAATCTACTTTCTGTGTCTATGGATTTGCCTATTCTAGACATTTCATATAATTGGAAGCCTTTTGTGCCTGGCTTGTTTAATTTAGCATATTGTTAAGGCTTATGCATGTTGTTGTGTATGTCAGCATTTCATTCCTTTTTATAGTCCACTTTATGGATAGTCCACATATATCTGTTCCTCAGTTGGTGGACAGTTGGCAGTTTTCTGCTAGAATACCTTATAAGAGCCAAATATGTTAAGCCCAGGTGCAATTTGTTCCTTGTGCCTTCCTCGAGATTCTGAGGCCTCTTCAGCAAACACCTGGAAATAAGATGGAACTGTCATCACTAGCCCATGAAATCTCACTGGGGAAGGAAAGATGTGTGTAATGAAGTCATAACCAGCTATTTATTGTTATAGTTGAGTATAATGAACATATCAATCTATTTATGGTTGTTAACGTAATGCACTATCTCTAATAGACTTGAAACTGAAAGTTTGTTTTAGGTAGAGGAAAAATACATGTATATATACACACACACACACACACACACACACTCCTATACATAAGCACACACACACTGAGGAAAAAGTGTAAATATAGGCTTATATTTGAGAAAGAAACTACCCAGAAAGTGAGCTTTTTCTTCACAGCCGGGTTTTCCTTTCTTCCCTGAAGTTTCAGTAGAGCAAGGTGAGCGTGTTGTGGCTCTTCATCCTAAGTGTTTATTGTTTTCATCATTTTTATTTAAATTTGAAGGGTTGTCTCTGGAATACACATGAATAAGGAACATAATAGCGGTTTTGTTTTTGAATTTCCTTTTCCATTGAGTGTTGCAGCAATGAGCTATGAAACAGTGCTAGTCCACAGTGGCAAAGTGCCACCTGTCAGCTGAACATAGTGCAGACATCAATTAGGAGGCTCTGGCATCCTCTTGACCTGGTGGTGGTGGCATTGTCACTCAGGTTTCTTTGGCTTTGGCTGTCCTGGAACCTTTTTAGTAGGATACTAATTTTTACCAGCATGGTAAAATTTTTAATTTTATACTAATTTTTATCGGCATGGTGTGCTCTCCCTTCCCCCACGTGATATCATGGACCGTGTGTGACTTATTTTCTACGGTTTTCCTGGATAGTATTCTATGGATAGTAGGTGTTCAGTGTGCATTGTCAAGTGACAGTGTAGATGGATGAGCATGTGCACAGATGAATAAATGAGTGGGTAGGCAGGCAAGCTGTGTCTGACAGACTGTGATGAGAAGACTGACATTTGTATAGGGTGCAATAATGTTTAAGATTGGGGAGATTGTTAGAGACAGAGAGTTTACAGTACTAGGCTGTAAGAAATTACTGGGTAGTTTAGAGCAAGAGAATGACTTGATGAAACTGGAATTCTAGGAATAATAATTTGAGGGAAAATGAGTAATGAGGATTGCCCTTTGACACTAATTGGAGAAGGGACATATGCAAAAAGAGTGAAAATGACCTTTTATTTCTGTTAAGGGTTTAAAAGGTGATATTTTGTTAGACCTGAAAAATAAAAATCAGTTTTCTTACGTATTTTCTCTTTTACCCCTGCTTCCTCTGTAGGAACAGGAAGAGCTTACTCCACTGGTTGGACTAGGGAAGGGAGAAATGAGTTAAGGGGATCTCTTTGAGATTGTCCTCCAGTTGACAAGTGACAGGAATGGGAATAGGATGAATTCAGCCATTAAACTGACACATACTTATATGATAGCTGTGTGAGATATGTATGTTTCCATCAACCTTGTGTCTTTGATGTGTGACTTCAGTAGGGATAGGGGCCATGTTGTGAAGTTGTTCAGTAAACATGGAACTTAATATACTTCACTCACGCATTTCTATAAATCTTATATTATGATCAAGTCAGGTTATCAGTTGAATATTAAGAATAGATTGAACTGGAACTAATATATACGTATTTCATTTTTTCTCCCAGATAACTTCTTTGTGGATGATTATGCTAGATTTACTATCTTGGATTCCCAAGGCAAGACTGCTGCTGTAGCCAATAGTATGAACTATCTGACAAAGAAAGGTAATCCATTTGAGGCTTATTATCTTGCATTCAACATTTTTTTGAAAGTATTTGCATATTCATCTTAATGTGCAAATTAAGAGAGAAAAGGGAAAGAGACTTCATAATTTTTCTTATTTCTTATAAAGCTTTGAGTCTAGAACATATCTATTTAAAGTTTAATTCTTTGTATATTTGTTGAAAGTATATATTTGTTTAAAAATTCAGATGTCTTCATAAATTTTGTATTACCTGTTTTACCTTTTGACTAAAGTCAAAAGGAAAAATATTTCATAGTTCAAATGGAAAAACATTTGTGATGTAAAAATGGGTTAATGAATTAAAAATGACTGTACAGGGTTAATATTATTTTGGGGTTTATAAGATAAAGTTGGTTTTAGAAAGCCTTGTATAATCTTTGAAGCTGATTTTATGCAGAGGTATTTATTTAGGCTAAGATTGTGTAAAATGACGCCCTGTAGTGGCGGACAGATTCTGTCGCCCTCGGGTCAGTGCTTCAGAAAAGCACTGGCTGTTATTTTAAGTCAGCTATTTTTACCGCCTTTTTAAATCCCCGCTGTGGTCTCTCCCCAAGAGAAGTTCTGGTTTCTCAGCTGTATGTAAAGTACAAGCAATTACTCCATTTGGTTCTTTAAAGAAACTGTTTCTTAGGGTACTGGGACAGCGCCATGACACCGACAGGACTAAGCAGCAGGAAGAACCATAGACCGTGTTAGCCATTGTTTAGACTTTCAATTTTTACAGTAGGCATTCATTCCAGAAATGATACTTTTTTTCTACTCTTTTCTCTTTACCTTTGTTCAGGAATGTCCTCCAAGGAAATCTATGGTAACTTAAAACTTCAGAATGTTCTATTTCTTAATTTTCTTCTTTGGTTTCAGTGACCATTGTAATTTAGAATTTATCAACACTTAATTGTACTGTTTCCGGAATCTGTGGGTAACAGGAAGCTATATCAATGTAGATAATTTTTTTTTTTTTTTTTTTTGAGACAGAGTCTCATTCTGTCACCCAGGCTGGAGTGCAGTACCATGATCTCGGCTCACTGCAAGCTCCGCCTTCTGGGTTCAAGTGATTTCAAGTGATTCTCCTGCCTCAGCCTTCCAAGTAGCTGGGATTACAGGCACCCGCCACCACGTCCAGCTAACTTTTTTGTATTTTTAGTAGGGATGGGGTTTTACCATTTTGGCCAGGCTGGTTTTGAACTCCTGACCTCAAGTGATCCACCCTCCTGAACCTCCCAAAGTGCTAGGATTACAGGCGTGAGCCACTGCACCCGGCCAATGTAGATAAATTTTGTATAAACATTTGTAAAGAATTAGTTTCAGAAAATTACAAATTAGTATGATTAAAAATGACAATATGTTACCCACATGTTCAAAGGCTGTTTTTCATTTTACATGCTAACAGATGCCCAGACCAGTGCATTAATCAGTAGAATTAATCAGTGCATGTTCCTAGTCTGTAACTAAACTCTGTGGAAGATTCCCCTGCTTTCCTATAGTAAAGGTTTACGACTTTTTCTTCTATCTTTATTAAGCTTGTCATTTTCTTCTTTTTGCATGGTTCTTACAAATTATTTGGTCAATTTCATTTTCAGAATGTTGAAACACAGAATGTGCTTCTCTCCTCTGACTCAATTAGCTGTTTTTGTTTTTCTACAGATGATTCTTTTATTAGGCCAGTAACTTTTTGGATTGTTGGGGATTTTGATAGCCCTTCTGGACGGCAGTTACTGTATGATGCCATCAAACATCAGGCAAGTATCTATGACTTCATTTTATATTTTTGTTTGTGGCTGTAGTTGTCTTCATGGGCTTCGCTGTGCGGCTAGGATTGTTCAGTGGGAGTTGGGAGTCCTGCTTTCTTAATGCTCGAGGGAACGGAGAATTGTATCTCTAGAGATCTGCCAGCTCTCAAGAAAAGAGATCTAAGACTACAGTATCCAGGCTTTGTTGAACGGGATAGATTCTTATAGAGAAAAAAATAAATAGCGAGATCCTCATCATAGACAAGTTTTATTGCATACCTGTTCATGTTCTTGGAGCAGAGTTGCTCCAACAATTGTGTTGTGTACTGTATCGGGGAGATGGGGTCCTTACCACGACAGAGGTCTGGACATGGGGGCAGTAGCACACAGGAATGGTAGTGTGTGTGTTTAGTAGAAGTAGATCCAGATGCACTGAGGGATACACACATAGGTGTTCTGAAAAGATATGCTGCCATTAATAGTTGGGCTTGAGTGAGTGGCAATGGCAGGTGGTTGGGAAGCAGCTGATTCTTCTGGAGAGTGTCATCGTTAGAGGATGAGATGTCAAAATTCTTTTTCCTGGGCTGTTTCAGTTTGCATCTTCATCCATACCTCACAACCCTCCTCATGGTCCCCTTTCCACCCTGTACCTGGGAAGGTTTACTGAAATAAAGAAATATCCAGGTGGTTTCAGTTTTACTCATATGCCGAGTTCCTTTATTGTTCAAGGAGTGGACCAAATGCTGTGGTCAATTTGAAGTTAGAACAGGGCAGTTCTAGCTAAGGGCGATAGTTATATGTGAAAGGCACTCTAACACAAATGCGTAAATCTTCAAATGGTAGTAGGGTAGGAGAATGGGGAAGGAGAGTTGCATTTTTTAATAACTATTTTAATTGAAGTAAAATGTAGGTTCACAAGAAGTGCTCAAATCATAGGACACACAGTGTCACAAAGAGAACACACTCTTGTGACCACCACTCAGGTCAAAAAATAGAGAATTCTCAAGTTCCTGAAAGCCCTCCCACACTTGTGCCCACCCACACTTGTGCCCAGACACTACGCCTCTTCCCTCTTCTCATATTAGGGAATAGGTTTGCCTATCTTTTAGTTTATTAAAATGGAATGTTATGCAATTTCATTTGTGTTTGGTTTCTTTACCCAATCTTTTGTAAGATTTATTCATGATGTTACAAGTAGGGGTATAGAGTCCTTTTTCATTCTGTAGTATTATATCATATGGCTGTACCACAAAGTTTTATTTGTTTAAGCTATTTGAAGGACAGTTGGGTTTTTAGCTTGGTGCTATTATAAGACTGCTGCAATGAATATTCTCGTATGTCTTTTGGTACACCCAAATATAAATGTCTGTTGCTTATGTTATTGGTACAAGCCCTTTTTTGGCTTTGTGTGTCCTGGGTGTATTCTTCCACTTGGATTCTTGTCTTTTCACCCAGGGAGAGATTGAATTGTACTAGGAATGTGGGAAGGCTGTATGAATGAAGAAGGGTTTGAGGAGAGCACTGAAAACACTTCTAAAACAAGTGCGTTAGAAGAATACAAAATGTGTGGCATAAGAATATAAACTGTGTTGGGTAAAGATAGGACTCTGAGGGTCTGTAATTTATGCTATATTTACCGGGAAGGTAAGAAATGAAGTTGGAAAGGTGGGCTGGGGGCCACTTCATGTAGGGTTTTGAATGCTTGATGATGGCATTTTTAATTTTATTTTGAATGAGGAGGAGAACTATCTGAGACTTTTTTTTTTTTTTTTTTTTTAATGAGACGGAGTCTTACTCTGTCATCCAGGCTGGAGTGCAGTGGTGTGATCTTGGCTCAGTGCAACCTCCACCTCCCGAGTTCAAGCGATTCTCCTGCCACAGCCTTGCGAGTAGCTGGAATTACAGGCGCCCACCACCATGCCTGGCTAATCTTTTGTATTTTTAGTAGAGACAGAGTTTCACTCTGTTGGCCAGGCTGGTCTCGAACTCCTGATCTCGTGGTCCGCCCGCTTTGGCTTTCCAAAGTGCTGGGATTACAGGCATGAGCCACTGCGCCCGGCCTGAGACTTTTAAGAGAGATATTATTTGCTACTTATTGAACATGACTGATGTTAATGCTGCTTTTTAAGTTCAAAAATATCTACAATATGACTCCCGTTTCCCATTTTGTGAACAGAAATCCAGTAACAATGTTAGAATAAGCATGATCAATAATCCTGCCAAAGAGATAAGCTATGAGAACACTCAGATCTCCAGAGCAATCTGGGCAGCTCTCCAAACTCAGACTTCCAACGCTGCTAAGAACTTCATCACCAAAATGGCCAAGGAGGGGGCTGCAGAGGCCCTGGCTGCAGGAGCTGACATTGCGGAGTTCTCTGTTGGGGTAAGGCTCTGAGCCTCTCATGAGGCTGCCCCATTTTGTCTGCCACGGAAGCTCACCCACTGCAGCTTACGTGTCCGGTTCATGATCACGATTTGTCATTTTAGTCCTGAGTCTCAGGGAATTTTTTTTTTTAATTTGGAAGTTTCCCTTTATTACTTTTAACCTTGCCTAGCTTTCATGTGGTGCATGATTTGAGTTTTTGTGTGTTTTAAGTATGGAGCCATTTGTTATGCACAGTTTTTAAGAGAGACAATATGGCTTATTTATAGAGCAAAAAACGGAGATTTGAACCACTTATAGGTTCAAGGCTTATATGTTCTTGATGTGTTTCCAGAATAAGCCTGTGTTTATTCATTTATATTTTATGTTACTTATTTTTTTGACACAGTTTTGTAGTTTTTAAATTTTTTACAGAATGATGAGTATATACTATTTGACGTTTGAGTTAGGAAAACAGGCTGTCACTGGAAATTAGCAGGATTTAAAAATGCAGAGTAAAGGAATGATGAATAGTCTGCTAGTCGAACAAATCACAGGAAAAGATAAGGAAATAGCAGTTACTCTAAGTAGTAGGGAGATGGCGGGGAGACTGGAGAATTGACACATCTTAATGTTAATTATGAAAATTAGTTATTACTTTCCAGGGAAAGAAATTTTTATGGTTTATTCACTGTGTTTATTTGTTTATATGGTTTGCTTAGTAACGACTATTTTTCCTTAATAATGATTACTTTCCTAGGGAATGGATTTCAGTCTTTTTAAAGAGGTCTTTGAGTCTTCCAAAATGGATTTCATTTTGTCTCATGCCGTGTACTGCAGGGATGTTCTGAAGCTGAAGAAGGGACAGAGGGCAGTGATCAGCAATGGAAGGGTGAGGATTTGTCAAGCTTGACTTCACATTAGATCCGTGAACAGTCTTTGCAGCATTCTCCTCTGAAGCTAGTAAACTCTTCAGACAGAGCCACTCTTTTTTCAAAGGTGATTGGGGCTTATGAAGTGCCATTGATGTTTCTGCCTCCTATTTCCAAGGAGCTGTGCTTTTTGACATAGACAAATATCCCCATATGGAGCCTTCCTGCTGTCGGTGAGAGTGTGGTGGCTCTCAGAAAGTCAGTCAGTATGGACTTTGACACATAAAGTAGCCTTTGTTGTTTTTATTCAGGTAGAATTAATGAAAACTACTTTACGATTTTATTTTACTTTGTCCTTGAGGAATTGATAAGTAAATAACTACAAGTATTTGCTTTGGGCTTCACTTTGTATTATTTCACTGATTTTATCTAAACATGTACCTGTCTCAGGTCTTTAAGATGTTCTGGCGTATGAGGTAGCCTGAGGACGCCAGAGGGTTCCTTACCAGCTTGCTGAGTGCAGGCAGCCTTCCAGAGCTAAGCGCCTGCTCTTCTCTCCTTCACAGATCATTGGGCCACTGGAGGATAGTGAGCTCTTTAATCAAGACGATTTCCACCTCCTCGAAAATATCATCTTAAAAACCTCAGGACAGAAAATAAAATCTCATATTCAACAGCTTCGGGTAGAAGAAGATGTGTAAGTTTTGCCATAGGAGGAATTACAGGGGTTATATAATTGGACTTTCCTCATTGATCAGTTAGAATTATATGTTGTTACTCATACTACATATCCCAAGGAGTTTTATTTCCAGTTTAAAATCTAATAATACTCTTCAATTCCAGTTTTAATGTATGCTTCTGTTGAAACAAGATAATTTATTTTGTAGGGTACTATTTAAGGAACTGAACTAGTTCTCTCTTTTTATTTTTATAATTTTTGGTTGTGGAAAATTTCAAATATATGCAGAAGTAAAGAGGCTAGTTTATTTATTACCTGGAATACTTATGTAAAGTGATACTTTTCATCATTATCTATTTGGTTACCCTTCAGTTTTATTTTGTTCAGGAAAGGAAAGGCAGTTTAAATGTTTCTTTTATTTACCAGTGCAGAATACTGAGTTGTTTCCCTTGTATCTTCAAAGGTGATGATGAATTGGTTGTTGTCGGTTTTTAATTTTAATTTTCAGTGTTATTATAAGCTGATGTGTTTTAGTGTGTTATTTTCTTAATGGAAGAAAATAAATTGTTTGGATGGACCCTGGAGTCCATTGTTACATATATGTAGTTTCTGCATTAAATATCAAATGACTATGTAGTTGGAGGATCTATTTCTATGTTTAATTGTTTGAGGAACCACAATACCTTTCCCACAGTGGCTGTACCATTTTACATTCCCACTGGCAATGCTCAAGGGTGCCGGTTTCTCCACATCCTCACAACACTTGTAATTTTCTGGGGGGTTTTTTGTTTGTTTGTTTGCTTTTTATAATAGCCATCCTCGTGGGTATGAAGTGCTGTCTCCTTGTGGTTTGATTCACATTTCCCTAATGATTGGTGATGTTGAGCATCTTGTCATGTGCAGATTGGCCATTTATATATCTTTGGGAAAATGTCTATTCAAGTCTTTTGCCCATTTTTAATTGCGTTTTTTTTTTTTGTCGTTGAGATGTAGCAGTTCTTTATACATTTTGGATGTCACTTTCTTACTAGATACATGATTTGTAAACATTTTCTCCTATTCTGTGGAGATGTGTTCTTTGATGCATAGTTGGAGGATATAAAATTTTAAAGTTCTGCTTGCGAGGTTGCAATGAGCTGAGATTGCGCCACTGCACTCCAGCTTGGGTGACAAAGTGAGACTGTGTCTCCAAAAAAAAAAAGTTCTGCTGGGTTTTTTTCTTACATCATCATGCTGCAGAGTTCAAGAGCATGTTTTAGAGAAGTGTTGACTTGGATAGCTGTCAAAGTCAGCTGTTGCCATGTCTTGTATGACCTGGGAAGAAATCTTTTCTCATTTTGGCCAATACTGGGGCTACAAATAAGGAGGATCCATCCCTCTTACCTCAGTGGCTCCTGAGTGATGCCCCTTGTCCCGACCTGTGAAATGCTTCCCTGATGTAGGTCAGGAGGTACTCGTGACTCGAAGCAGCCATGTCACAGGCATAGGCTTGGTGTGGCATGCTGTTGGACCACTGCAGGGAGCTCCTTGGGGTCTTCTTGGGCTATATAACTGCCAGACTGTGCCTAGAAGACTTGCCTTTTGCCAATGAGAGATGGCTCTCGATCTTTCCTGGGTGAATTTAGGGAAATCAGGTAGTCATGGGGCCAAAAGACTAATGCTAAAACTCTTAGGCTTCCCAAAATTACCTTGTCTGCATCAGGTTTTCATTAGCGCCAGAGCTGCTCCACCTTGGAGTGGCCCCCTTCCCCGTGACAGCCACAGCTATCATTCATGACCCAGTCTGCATCCCCAAGGCTGCCCTGAAGCTTGGCTGTGTATACTTTGATCATTGTTCTTCATCAGCCTTCAGGGAGTTTCTTGTTGGCCTGCTCACTCCAGTCCACGTAACCAAGTGCCCCTTGACATGTTTTGTAACCGTGTTGACACATCACAGGAAGAGAATGGCCTGTATTATATATATTTGGCATTTATATTGAGAAGTTGAACCAAAATAGTTAATTTTATATATTTGCTGGGTTCATAGGAAATGTATGTAGGCTTAATTACAGTTCAAATACATTCACAGTGCTCTTTTAAAATTCTTATTCAGGATTTAGTCTTTGGTTCAGCAAATTGGAGTGTTTTTTTTTTTTTTTTTTCAGGTTTAGTTCAAGATCTTTTTCAGTTAGAAATCAATTTTAGGCTGGGCGTGGTGGCTCACACCTGTAATCCCAGCACTTGGGAAGGCCGAGGCGGGCGGATCATGAGGTCAGGAGATCGAGACCATCTTGGCTAACACGGTGAAACCCCGTCTCTACTAAAAATACAAAAAATTAGCCGGGCATGGTGGCGGGCGCCTGTGATCCCAGCTACTCAGGAGGCTGAGGCAGGAGAATGGCGTGAACCCGGGAGGCAGAGCTTGCAGTGAGCGAGATCGCGCCACTGCACTCCAGCCTGGGCGATAGAGTGAGACTCCGTCTCAAAAAAAAAAAAATTAATTTTAGAAGAGGCAGGGACAATAAAATTCTTTTTAAAGTGGTTTACTTCAGTGTTAATTGTAATAGTGAAATTAGAAACAACACAGATGTTCAGTAGTTGGCTTAATATTTAGATTATTTTGTATCCATAAATGTAACATTATGCAGTCATAAATATATTGAAATAGGCTGGGCACGGTGGCTCACACCTGTAATCCCAGCACTTTGGGAGGTTGAGATGGGCAGATTGTGTGAGCCCAGGAGTTCAAGACCAGCCTGGCCTGTACTAAAACCCTGTCTGTACTAAAAATACATAAAAATTAGCTGGGCCTGGTGCTGCATGCCTGTAGTCCCAGCCAGTCGGGAGGCTGAGGTGGGAGAATCACCTGAGCCTGGAAGGTCGAGGATGCTGAGATCAAGCCCTGGGCAACTAGAGTGAGACCCTGACTCAAACAAACAAACAAACAAACAAAAATATTGAAATATCACTGTATTTATTAACCAAGGAAAGGATTTTTATAATATGTTTTTAAGTGAAAAAGCAGGCTGCCAGTATAATTTGTTTATATGTATTTAAAAGTATAGAATTATGAGCCAAAATATCAGACCTTGTTACTTGATATTATGTGTAATTTCAATTTTTGGCTTTTATGTTTATTTTCCAGTGAATTATTACTCTAATAGTCATAAAAAGTAATAGTTTTAAAAGGACAAGGGAGAATGTAAATAATACTGACAGCCTGTAATGGGCCAGGGCCTCAGCTAGGTGCATTGCAGAGTTGTGCAGTTTTACTAGAGTCATGCAGCGTGGGTGCTGTCTCCATTTCACATGTGGGAAAGTGAGTAACTTCTCCAAGGTTATACCACTAATCACTCTTTCTCATGCCTATCAGTACGGACTTTATACCTTGTTCAAACCATCTTGTTAGAATTCAGTATTTGGGCTGATGATATGTTTGGCAATAATTGGAAAACTTTCAGTTAAAAAGATGTTAAGATTTCTCTAACCCCTTCTTTCAGGGCAAGCGACTTGGTAATGAAGGTGGATGCTCTTCTGTCAGCGCAACCAAAAGGAGATCCAAGAATCGAGTACCAGTTTTTTGAAGACAGACACAGGTATAGAATTAATGTTGAATTTGTGCATATTCTTGAATATTAAACTCTTATGTTTGCTTTACCTCAGCTCCTTCATTTTTCCATATAAGATTTATATATAAGTTCTTACAGGAATTGAACATTTGTTTGGTGTGCAGTTTTCACATGTATATATTTGTGTTCATATATAAAATTCATATGCAAATCTCAGTTGTATGAAAACTGACATTTATTTCTAAATGAATCTGAAATAACTCTGAGTGCACCCTTGTAGTAGAAAATAGACTGCATTTAATTAAACAGAGAAGTTGTACTTTTCTTAAATTCGAGAATAAACACAGGCAGGTCAAGATAGCTCATGCTTGTAATTCCAGCACTTTGGGAGGCCAGTGTGGGAGGATCGCTTGAGCCCAGAAGCTCGAGACCAGCAAACAAAGGGAGACCCTGTCTCTACAAAAAAATTTTAAAACATTAGCTGGGTGTGGTGGCATGTGCATGTTGTCCCAGCTACTCTGGAGGTAGAGGCTGCAGTGAGCCATGATCTCATCACTGCACTTCCAGCCTGAGCAACAGACTGAGACCCTGTCTCACAAAAAAATTAAACAGAGATTGGCTGGGCGTGGTGGCTCATGCCTGTAATCCCAGCACTTTGCGAGGCTGAGGCCAGCGGATCACCTGAGGTCAGGAGTTTGAGACCAGCCTGGCCAACATGGTGAAACCCCATCTCTACAAAAATACAAAAATTAGCCAGTCATGGTGGCAGATGCCTGTAATACCAGCTACTCAGGAGCCTGAGACAGGAGAATCGCTTGAACCCAGGAGGTAGAGGTTGCAGTGAGCAGAGATCGTGCCATTGCACTCCAGCCTTGGAGACAGAGCAAGACTCCATCTCAAAATCATAATAATAGTAAGATAAACAGATTATTAAAGTACTTGTCTCATTCATCTTTTATTGAAAACTTTTTTTAAAAAAAAAAAACAGGGTTTCATTCTGTCATCTGGGCTAGAATGCAGTAGCGTGATCTCAGCTCACTGCACCTTCCGCCTTCTGGGCTCAAGTGATCTTCCTACCTCAACCTCCTGTGTGGAAGAGACCACAGGCGCTTGCCACCATGCCTGGCTAGTTTTTGTATTTTTTATAGAGATGGGGTCTCACTGTGTTGCCCAGGCTGGTCTCAAACTCCTAGGCTCAAGTTATTCATCTGCCTCAGCCTCCCAAGGTGCTTGGCCGAAAACTTTTGTTTTAAATAAGCTTAGCATAGTGAGGGAGTTTGCCTTTTTGTTCTTCACTTTTTTGTTTTGAAAAGTTTAAAACCTAGAAATAGTTGAAAGACTAATATAATGAGCACCCAAATATCCTTCACTTAGATTCACCAGTTGTTGGTGTGTCACATTTGCTTTATCTCTGTCATCTGCACACGTGCATGTTGTGTGCGTGTGTCTGCATGTGTGTGTTTGTGTAGTACTTCTAGTAACTGCTTTAGTAGTTTATTTATATGTTTGCATACACACGGTCATATTTTTTCCTGCACCATTTGGAAATACGTTGCAGACATCCTGATGTAACATGTCTGACGTTTTCCGCATGTGTATCCTGAGTGCTAGGACTTCTCCGCAGTACTGTTAGCTGACCTCAGAAATGTAACCTTGATACAGTAATATTAAAACACAATTTCTGTTCACATGACTCCAGTATCTTTGTAATGACCTTCTACAACTGTTTTTTGTATTTGTTTTGGTCCAGATTACATATTACAGAGTTGTGTCTCTTTGGTCTCCTTTAATCTGGAAGAGTTCTTTGCCATTTTTTTTCCTAGTCTTTTGTCTTTTATGATGACATTTTTTAAGAGTCCAGGACAGTTGTCTTATGGAATGTCTCACAGTCTGAGTTGCTTCCTCATGATTAGATTTAATTGTTTCTAGGAAAGAGCCCTGCGCAGTAATGTATATAGCCTTTGCTGTAGCTGGCAAGTATATACATATACACTGATTGTGCCTCGGAATCCCCAGGGAGGCTTTAAATATAGATGCCTGTGTCCTATTCCTCTGTGTTTCTGAGCTGATCAGTCTGGCATGGATTGGACTTTGGTTTAGTGGGCCTGTGTTTTTTATGACCCATCCTTGTGGGGATCAGGTGTGCGTGGTGAGATCATTTGATGATTGTAGGCTGGAATGGAGGCCCTCTCTGTTTGCACTGGTTGTGTGTCCTAATTTTTTATGTCAGCAGTGGGTGAAGATTCTTATGGCTCCTGGATAATCCTTGTTGAATTTGGCCATTAGCACCCAGATTGCACCCATTTTCTCAACATTTTGTGAACTTTCAGGAAGTAACTCATTAGTCACCAGCGGGAGGAAACCTTTCCTAATCAACCTGCCATCTTGTTTACCCTTCTTGCCCAAGGTAGCGAGTCCTGAGCAAAGACCTCTTCCCTTTTCAGAAATCTTCTTCTCCATGGGTCTCCATGTTTTGTATAATTAAAATACCTTAATTATAAATTCTATTATGAGACAAATTATAATTCCTATTAGAGAAGTTCCTCTTATTGGGAGTTGTGTCAGTTAAATGAATGTTTATTACATTTAACTCAGAAGTTTCTCATTTATGCTAGAAATAGAAAGATCTGAACCATCAGTTATGTATATTCTTGCCCTCAAAGTGTGGTCCATGGACCAGCAGCAAGACATTGTCTGGGAGCCTGTTGGAAATGCAGGCTTTGGACCCACCCCAGTCCTGAGGAATCAGCACCTGCATTTTAACAAGTTGCTCCTGGGGGATTCCCGTGTGCATTCATGCTACTAAGCACAGTATTCGTTGACATTTACTCTACGAACCATAGGCAAATGTGTATAATCTCCAAATCTTGTTCCTGTCTCTGTCACTTTTAGTTTTATTCTGGTCTTTTCTCTGCACAATATAGTGAATACATTTAAACATGATGTTGTTCATATTGTTCCCATTTCCACACAAATACTCCTCTTTCCTTGTTTTTTTTCGAGTCCCTTTTTCTTGTTCTAGAGATGTGGGGTAAGTAAAGGACCTCACAAGGTCAATTTGTGGTGTGCCTGTTGCTGATCACCTAGAACACTGCTGGCTCAGAATGTGAACATGTTGTGTGAATCTCTACCCCAAACCTGGTGTGGGCAGGCATGACCAGATGTTACACTCTTGTGTAGAGTCCTTTTTGAGACTCTCTCTCTGGTTCCCTTGTGAGCCTTTGTATAATGCTATTTTCTAATGAGTTTTTCCTTCTAGAATTCTAGAATAGCAGAGAGGTGCAAATTATATTAGGGCAGTGGCTCTCAAAATTTGGCTTTTACTTAGAGTTTGTTAAAATGCAGATTGCTGGACCCGTCCCCAGAGTTTCTGATTCAGTAAGTCTGGGTTGGATCCTGACTTGCTTCTCACAAATGCCCAGGGGAAGCTGATGCCACTGCTCTGGAGTCACACTTTGAGAACAGTTGTATTAGAGTAACAGAAGTTTTGTTGTGTTAGAAGAATAATGATTGGCAGTGGACTTAATCTGAAATTGTTAATAATGCCAGAGATCGAAAGCACCTACCTCAACACAGATACAAAGCTATTCTCATGGTTATTTCCAAAGCAGTGAAGATGTGAAGTAACCTCCATGAGCATGTAAATTGTTTCCAGTTTTCTTCGTTATGCTGTTTTGTGGTATTCTTTTGTATTCATCCCACTTAGGTAAATGTTGTTTGGTAAAAAAAAAGTAAAAGTAGTGGTTAGTATTGTAACCACATTATAGTATTGTTCAGAGCAAACAAAGTATAATGGTTTAAACAGTTAATGGTTTTCAAAAATTGGGTATAATTTTAAATCCTTTCAAGTTGAGTCCTTTTAAAAGTTCATTAGAGGTTCCTGCTCCTTTTAAGTCACCAGTCTGTGTGACTTCACAGGGAGTCCATGCAACAGGAAGTTACCATTCAGTTAAGAACAGACAAGGGGGCTGGGCATGATGGCTCATGCCTGTAATCCCAGTGCTTTGGGAGGCCAAGGCAGGCAGATCACTTGAGGCCAGGAGTTCAAGACCAGCCTGGCCAACATGGCAAAACACCGTCTCTACTAACAATACACAAATTAGCTGGGCATGGTGGCATGTGCCTGTAATCCCAGCTACTTTGGTGGCTGGGGCGCGAGGATTGCTTGAGCCGGGGAGGTGGAGGTTGCAGTGAACCGAGATCACGCCACTATACTCCCAGCCTGGGTGAATGAGCGAGACTCTGTCTTTAAAAAAAAAAAAAAAAAAAAAAAAAAAAAAAAAAAAAAAAAAAGACAAGGACCAGGTGTGGTGGCTTATGCCATTGCTTTGAGAAGCCAAGGCAGGAGGATCACTTGAGGCCAGGAGTTTGAGACTAGTCTGGTCAATATGGTGAGACCCGTATCTCTACAAAAAAATATAAATTAGCCCGGCATGGTGGCATGTGTCTGTAGTCCTAGCTACTTAGGAGGCTAAGTTGAGAGGATCATTTCAACCCAGAAGTTAGAGGCTTCAGTGAACCATGATCACGCCACTGCACTCCAGCCTGGGCCACAGAGTGAGACCTTGTCTCTAAAAAAGTAAATAAGGAAAAGAACAGGCAAAATATCTATCTATAACTTAATGCTGACGAAGGATGTGGTGAAATTTATTTTTTGGCCTTGTAAATTTGTTTAGTTCTTCAGGAAATGTGGTTGACAATACTTATTAGCCGCAAAGTATTTGTATCCTTTGTCTCCATAATCTCATGTCTAGCACTTCCTTGACTCTAAAGAAATTTCCAAATGTGGAGAAAGTTGGTTGTACAAATTGTTTACAGGTTGAAAGCCATCTCTATGTCCAGCAGTAAAGAAAAGCTGGAGTAAACTCTGACAGCTTCATTTGGTGAATAGCATATTATTTCTTATAGAGGATGCTTGTTGTGTAACAGCATGTGGAAATCTTTATGCTACAGTAGTGAGAGACGGAAGGAAATTGTTTTGAAATTGCTAATCTGTATCTACAACTAATGTTTATACAGGCATCTAGAAAGGATTACGTAGAGATGCAGCTAAGTGGGCTGGGATAGTGAATATTTTGTGATTATATTTTTCCTTTTTCTTTGTTTTGCAGGTTTTCTGGAATGTTCTTTCATTATTTTTTAAAAATTGATTTATTCCTTTTCTTTTTGTACTCTTCTTGCCAAGAAGTAAAAACTGGCATAATGTTATCAGAAGCTAACTTCAGTAGCTTTTCTCAGTTTTTGGTTAAATACAGTTTCAAGCTGCTTTTCCTCTCTTTACATGGACCTTTCAGTCCATTTCAGATCCATTATTAAGGTTTTGCAATCTTTGGGATAGACAGAATCATATAGTTGGCCACTGTCATAGTCTAGTCTTTCTAGATCTAAAGTTCTTTGAAATGCTAAGAAGGTTGAAGGTTATATTGTACAAAAAAAACTTTTGTTTCCTGTGTCCTCCAGGTTAATGTTTTATCCTTGTGATCTTTCAGTGCAATCAAACTGAGGCCGAAGGAAGGGGAGACATACTTTGATGTTGTGGCTGTCGTTGACCCTGTCACCAGAGAAGCACAGAGACTTGCTCCTTTGCTCTTGGTAGGAACGCTGTGCAGGAAGTGTACATCACCTTTGTTTGAAGTTGTCACATGCTCTGAAATTCACTGAGAGCTTCGTTTTCCTTGAGTTGCCTTCAACAGGCACTGGACAATGCTATGGGGTTCTAGGGCAGAGCAATCTTTACAAAGATTGACAGTGGCTGTGAAACAGCCTCACAGCCCTAGAAAGTTGGTGCAAGTGTGGTTGGCTGCCTCATGTAATTTAAAAAAGTGATTAACATCCTCATTTAGAGTAAAACATCCTGGAATTAAGGTATGCTATATTTTAATTTATAATATCAGAGATAAAATAAATATGTTTTTTCATTTTTCCTTTTTTATAACTACCATGGATTTTTTGTCTTGGCATGTCTTTTAGACATGTACAGTGTGTTACAATTTTAGGACATTTAAAAGACCTTTGACAAAGACAGTCGCTCCAACATTCATTGCCGAATAAATCTCTAACCTTTTTTGTGAGTATTGGTATCTCTGTTTTTTCATCCTTTGGCATGTGAGCGGTGACTCTGAGGCCTGTAGTTTTTCCATGATCTGCCTGCTGCTTCCCCACAGGAACTGCCTTCGTGTGAGGAGCAGTGAGCTGCAGCAGCCTACTTCCCATTGCTTTTGGCCACGTCCTATGTATGTGTGATGTAGATTGTGCAGTAGAGTTGTGATTTCCAGAAGTTTCGCCAGTGCAGACTCTGTGGCTGTTATCTTTATATCTTTTCTTGAGATATTAATAGCTCAGTGTCAAATAATAAATTTCTGAAGAAAAAAATCCTAAATATTTTGTCATCTGGTTTTCCTTCTAGGTTTTGGCTCAGCTGATAAACATGAATCTGAGAGTATTTATGAACTGCCAATCCAAACTTTCTGACATGCCTTTAAAAAGGTAAAACATGCTATGTAAGAAAACAGTTGAAGAAATTGTACTGAATCCAAGTTCTGATATTGCATGTTAGAGGATCAGATGGATTTATAGGTGGACATCATGTTTGAAATGGTCATTTACTAAATGTTCAGTTTTGCCAAATTTCATTCTAATCAGAAGTTCTAAGAACATAGTGTGTTTGTAGCATTTAGGTGGCATTAACCCAGGCTGCTTGCATTTGTGCCTTTTCTTTCTTTTTTTCGAGATGGAGTCTCGCTCTGTCGCCCAGATTGGAGTGCAGTGGCATGATCTTGGCTCACTGCAGCCTCTGCCTCCCGGGTTCAAGGGATTCTCCTGCTTCAGCCTCCTTAGTAGCTGGGATTACAGGTGCACACTACCATGCCCAGCTAATTTTTGTATTTTTAGTAGAGACGGGGTTTCACCATGTTGACCAGCCTGGTCTCGAACTCCTGACCTCAAGTGATCCGTCTGCCTCACTTCCCAAAGTGCTGGGTTTACAGGTGTGAGCTACCACGCCTGGCCCCATTTGTGCTTTTCATCTTAAAAGAAGAATATTCATTTCAAGTTGGAATATACATGTTAGAGGAAGCTTGCTTAGCTATATATTGTCATGAGCTTTGGAATGGTCATTTATGAAAAAAGTGATACAGAAAGCAGTTAGCGTTGTGGCTATGGGAAATTTCTAACTTGCCAGTGTGCTGTGTTTTATAGGTTAGCTTCTAAGTGGATTGAAACAGCATTTGAAAGTAACCAAAGGGTTCCCAGCTTCCACCATTATTCTCGTATAGGGGAAATGTTTACATTATTAGTGTTTTCAGGACTAGCCTGAGAGCCCAATCAGTATTTAGGAATTGGTTTTAAAGAGAAAAATGAGTCCTCCTTGAAGGGAGGAAAATGCCCAGGACCTAACTGTGACCCTGACAGCCATCCATGTGAACGAGTGGCCTCCGTTCAAGTGATTGGATTTTGGCTTGCAGGTGGACAGTATAGTGGCTGCTGAGTATGAGCTAGAGTACCTGTTACTAGAAGGTCATTGCTACGACATCACCACAGGCCACCACTGAGCACTCCTCCTCAGTGCTGTCCTTGTTTGCCTTTTCTTGCATCTGCAGCAACCACAAGGAGGCATCATAAGGTCAAAGATGGTTTTGGAAACACTTTTCCCAATCTGGAAGGGTACTCCTCCAAATCTAATTTGTTTTAACCAGTTGTTACCTGTGTAAGGGCTGTGCACTCAAGTCCTGTTGTCACATCGAAAATTATCTAACACTTTCCTTTTCAATTTCAGCTTTTACCGTTATGTCTTAGAACCAGAGATTTCTTTCACTTCAGACAATAGTTTTGCTAAGGGTCCAATCGCAAAATTTTTGGATATGCCTCAGTCTCCACTGTTCACTCTGAATTTGAACACACCTGAGAGCTGGATGGTAGAATCTGTCAGAACACCATATGATCTTGATAATATTTATTTAGAAGAGGTAAGACCATATCTATTGCTTCCAAATACCTAATCATGTATAATACAGCAGATTGAATCATAGTCTAGGTGGGCCTCTGAGACATCAGTGTTCAGGTATGATATTTTTTTAAACAACAGCTTTATTCACATGGAACTCATATACCATAAAATTCTCCCCATTAACGTGTACAGTTGAGAGGTTTTAGTATCTTCACGGAGTTGTGCAGCCATCACCACTATGTAATTGTAGGATGTTTTCAGCATCCCCAGTGAAAGCCCCATACTCATTAGCAGTCACTCTTCATTTCCCCAGCCCCTGGCAACTGCTGGTCTACTTTGTATCTCTATGGATTTGCCTATTCTGACATTTTGTCTAAATAGAATCAAATGTGGTCTTCTGTAACTGGCTTCTTTCACATAACAAATTGTTTTCAAGATCCATCCATGCTGTAGTATGTATCGACGCTTCACTCTTTTTAACTTGCCAGATAATATTTTATTTATGGACATATCACGTTTCATTTATCCTTTCACGAATGGACATTTGAGTTGTTTTCACTTTTTGGTTGTTATGAATAATGCTGCTATGAATGTTGTGTGCAAGTTTTTCTACTGATACGTGAGTACAGGATGTCTTTGCATTTAGGTCTTTAATTTTTTTCAACATTTAGTATCTTATCCTCGTTCGTATTTTTAGAATAACGTCCTTATTGTTTTTTTCTCCTTTCTCTTTCCAACCTAGTTTTTATAATTGTATACAGTCATTAACCACCACTATAGCCACGATGCAGAACATTTCCATTACCCCAAAAAGTTCTTTTATACCCCTTTGCAGACAGTAGCCTCCTCTCGCCTGGTTTCAGGCAACAACTGATCTGCTTTCTGTCATTATACTTTTGTCTTTTCTTGAATTTCTTAAAATATGATCATATATTATGTAAGTCCTTTTTGTCTGCTTCCTTTACTTTGCATAATGCATTTCAGATTTATTCATGTTGTCTCTGAGTGCATTCAAGTGATTGGATTTTGGCTTGCAGGTGGACAGTGTAGTGGCTGCTGAGTATGAGCTGGAATACCTGTTACTGGAAGGTCATTGCTACGACATCACCACAGGCCAGCCTCCACGGGGACTACAGTTTACCTTAGGAACTTCAGCCAACCCGGTCATTGTGGACACCATTGTTATGGCCAATCTGGTAAATAATCTGTTCATCAGATAGTGATATTGTAGTTACGTTAATTTGGGCACTATAATTTATGATGGAGCAATTAGCATTCTTAACCATAGAGTGAGATTAAAATTCATTATGGGCTGAATTTGGTCAATATAGAAATCATTAGTTCAGCTAAATTTGTAGGTTAGAATTACATGTCAAAAGAAAAAACATGCTGGAATACTCAGCTATAACTGAATTGGCCCCCTGAAAATAGATTGCTCATGAGCTGACAGCCTTTTTCTTTTCTTTGGAAGTGCAACACTTATTCATGCATCACACGTTGATTCTTCCCTGAAGCACAGCTAAAGAGCAGATGATTTATTGGTGTGACTGGCCTTTATTGTACTAGTTTTTTTTTTTTTTTTTTTGAGACTCCTGCCCAGGCTGGAGTGCAGTGGTGTGATCTCAGCTCACTGCAACCTCCGCCTCCCAGGTTCAAGCAATTCTCCTGCCCCAGCCTCCTGAGTAGCTGGGATTACGGGCACCCACCACCATGCCCGGCTAATTTTTGTCCTTTTTTAGTAGAGATGGGGTTTCACCATGTTAGCCAGGCTGGTCTCGAACTCCTCACCTCAGTTGATCCACCTGCCGTGGTCTCCCGAAGTGCTGGGATTACAGGCGTGAGCCACCGCACCTGGTCTGTGCTAGAGTTTTTAATGTGTAGTTTTGGTTTTTTAAGAGTTGCATTGATTTGTTTACTGTGTTATTCACATTATAGTTGATTGATATTTCAGAAATAGAAGTAACTGTTCCTCAGAAATAACATTTTGGTGTTTTGAAGAGAGCTAACTGGACTTTTCTTCTTGTCCTAGGGCTACTTTCAGCTGAAAGCCAACCCAGGAGCTTGGATCCTCAGACTTAGGAAGGGACGCTCTGAAGATATTTATAGAATTTACAGGTAGGAGTAAGTGATGCAGTTACATTATCCCAGAACTTTTAGAAATGAGCATTAGCTCTAATTGAATACTACCCTGGCAGTTAGCCAGGCAACATGAATTTAATTTGCAGTTGTATGTGATGAAACAGTGGTTTTTCCAGGAAATTAAATATGGAAGAATTGTTAGAATAGAATTAGATAATAAGAGGTATAGATGCTAATGAGTATAGTCAGGCTTTATTCTTTAATTATTCCTTTGTGCTAACAATATCCCAGAATCAAATCATTCTATCAGTGTGATGCGGCTCATAGATAGGCAGATGAGAAACTTGAAGAAAGGAGAAAAGAAAGAAAGAACAGCCACACTTTTCTGCCCAGAGAGTGTATGTGTTGACCCTGAGTGATTTGCAAATGCACAGTACATGGAAGCTTTGGTCTTGAAGCTGTGCTGTTAGTGCTGGTATTCCTTGGTCTGTGGTGGCATAGTAAGAACATTCCCTCTATAGCCAGCTTTTACCTTAAGGTTTACTGCACATATTTATTAGTTTAAAAATAATTATGTTGCCTTTAAAAAAGTTTGATATAAATTCTGCTTAACACAATTTAAATTAGTTTTAAACTGTGTGAAGAGGCTTCCCGTCAGGTTGTGTAGGGGATGATTTCCATTAGGGCACATTTGAAGCACTCTGTAGTATGTCCTTGCCTTAATTAGCTCCGTAGCGACACACATGAAACAGTGGATTAGTGCCTGGTTCTTACCCAGGAAATAGAAGAATTCTGTATTATAATAACACCATTGTAAACAGTAGAAGGTTTTTTCCCACATAACATTTTCCTCAGATAAGGTTTTACAAAATTTGGGATGCACTTCCGAACTCCTTCCCTTTTGGATGCCCTGGCCCTTGCCAGCCCTCCCCTTCCCAGGAGCATGGTGCCCCCTCTTCCTAGCTGTTCAGGGCCCCACCCCCATTAGAATCTTCCTTTGCCTGAGAACCCTACTCTCTGCTAGATGACAGCAAATGCAGTGAATTCATGTTGTAATTATGACTTTCTGCACCTTGAAATTTGGTGACTGGAAATTTTAGGCATTGCTGTTGATTAGTAGGGAAACATACATTTAATTTTTCTTCCTCTGCTCCTGTCTGCCTGCAAATAGAATTTGTTACAGTTTTTCTGGTAGCGTATAGACACCAGGTTGAGTACAGGGCCTATTGTTGACTGATTGTTGCCTCCGGCAGAAAGAGCGAGCAGATTTCCTTTACAACACTATTCCAGTTAAAGAGTAGTGGCCGGGAGTGATGGGTGATGGCTCACGCCTGTAATCCCAACACTTTGGGAGGCCGAGGAGGGTGGATCACTTAAGGTCAGGAGTTTGAGACCAGCCTAGCCACTATGGTGAAACCCTGTCTCTACTAAAATACAAAAATTAGCCAGGCGTGGTGGTGGGTGCCTGTAAACTCAGCTACCTGAAGGCTGAAGCAGGAGAATCACTTGAACCCCGGAGGTGGAGGTTGCATTGAGCCGAGATTGCTCTACTGCACTCCAGGGCAACAGAGCAAAACTCTGTCTCAAAAAAAAAAAAAAAAAAAAAAAAGAGCGGAGGCAGTGTGGTTCCAATAATGGTTCAGGGGGCCTGTTCCCTGCATTCCTTTATCGAAGGCTCTGTGCTTGGCTCAGAGCTTGTGAACACAGGCGGTTGTTTAGTACTCACCATGTGGTTACCACACATGGGTGCCTCTCACTACGTGATGGGTAATTTGCAAGAGGACTCACAAAGGAGGTTTGGGCATGCACCTTATATAAAGAGAGGTTTCAACACGTGCTTCTGTGCAGCTCGAAGGAGCTTAAGGAGCAAGAAGATAGCTGGATCTGGAAAACTCCTTTATGAGAAGGATGATGGACTCAGATGCTCTGAGAGCATTTGCTGCCTTTTGAGAATTGTGCCTTGTAATATTGATCTTTCTTTTCTCGCAAAGCCACGATGGCACTGATTCTCCCCCTGATGCTGATGAGGTGGTTATCGTCCTCAACAACTTCAAAAGCAAAATTATTAAAGTGAAGGTGAGTTTGGTAAAAGTAGTGGCATTCTGTTATTGGACAGCTGTCATTTAAAAATATGTATCTTGGAACCAGCCCAAGAGTCTCTTTGGAATTTGCTATGGCAATTATAGGGATACTGCTTTAAGGCAAAATGTCTTTGTAACTGTGAGTTTGTGGCTTCCCTCAACTGAAAGATTGTACCTTTTGGGTAATCTCGGTGTGCAGAACATGTCCCATCTTATATAAAATATTCTCATAGATGCTATGTTGTTTATATAGCCACAATTCATAGTGTTGTTGATGATTCTTTTCTCAATATTGGGGGAACTGGCAATGGAAATTTTCAACAATAATAAAATGATAGTCCTATTTAATTTCTTTTGACTTGTACTTTCCGTTCTCTGAATGTTGAAGCTCTTAGTGCCTTAAATTCAAGTACAGTATATTCTTGAAGAAAGAATCATTACACACAGTGAAACCTAAAATAGGCCATCCATTGTTGAGAAGAAAAATGGTCACTGTACTGCCAAGAAGAAACCCCTGTTTGTGCTAGTGAATCCTGAAAACTGGTCATAACATGAAATACCTCCCTCCCAACAGCTAGAGCCCCCAGCAGCCACACTCTTCCCTGGAACTAGCTGTTGACTCATTGAATCGTGCTTCTGGTTTCACTGCACAGTTGAGTTTGCGGCTCTTTGCCTATGTTGCAAGCTGAAAATGGGGTTCATCTAATTAAAAGAGGTTGCTGTCTCCTCACATAAGGTTATGATGTGAATGTCCTGGCGAAGATACTTCTATTGAATCCTTCTAGACTCTGGGTGGGGTTGTGCCTGTTTGTGAGAGAATTGATTGATAATTCCCTATTGATGACAGGCTCACAGTGTATATCCAGTGAGAGGCAGTTTTATGCCTGTGAGACATACTGGGAGTAAGGTTTATCACATTTGATTGCAGGTTCAGAAGAAGGCAGATATGGTGAACGAAGACTTGCTGAGTGATGGAACGAGTGAGAATGAATCTGGATTTTGGGATTCCTTCAAATGGTAAGTTGACATTGTAAGAGTTATGTTTTTAAGGAAAAACTGAGATATAAGCACCATCCATCCCTCCTTTTTGCATCTTGTGATTCTGTCTGGGCCTTTCACATTCTACTTTGTGCAGCTACATCTCACACTTATATTTGGCATAGATGAGTATTTTCCACTCGATTGATCCAAAAGAGGTTCATGTCTCCTAGTGGGGAAGTTACTTCTGCTCCATACTTTGTGACTCTCATTGCCTGTACCTGCTCTTTGGAAATTTGACTGCTCCCTGCTCAGTTTACTTCCCGTTGTGTAAGTTGCATTCTGGTGCAGCCTGTGTTCAGTCTCTTCCTAAAACAACACTGTCGGAGAGTGAACATTCTTTTTGTAGGTTGGTTTTGTCAGTCTTGTGGTCTCTCCAGGGTGTGAGGGAAGCTTCATAACCACTCCTGCTGCAGCTCACCCGCTAGGGAAGGATGGGAAGCGCAGTCTCTTTCCTCTTACTTTCAAAGGCCGTGTGTCTGTATGAGTGTTTCAAGTGGTCTTTTTTTTACCCTTATTGTTATAGGGGCTTTACAGGACAGAAGACTGAGGAAGTGAAGCAAGATAAAGATGACATAATTAATATTTTCTCCGTTGCATCTGGTCATCTCTACGAAAGATTTCTTCGGTCAGTCTTGTTGATTATTTCATTATATATGATGAATGAATTGGTCAGTGTTCTTATTTAGAGAGGAAAGGTTTTGTGGGATTCTGCTCATTATACTCCTGTGTCTTTGAAGCACTCTGAGCATTGTGACTGGCTTGCCATTTATCATTGGATTTGTTTTGATCCCGCCGTCTCTGTGAAGTTGAACTATGTAGTGAGTGCTTCTGGATATTACAAGGCTGCAGCCCTTTAACGTCACTGTACACATTCATAGACTGTACTGTTTACTGCCTGCCAAACATTGCTTAACCCAGAGATTAGGAGGTTGACATAGAGAATAGAATCAGAACAGAACCATGGAATACTTCACTGCCTTGTAAAGATTCACAGGATTTTAGAGCCAGGAGAGAGCTTAGTTCTTACATGTGAACACTTCTGTTTTATAAACAGGCTGAGGCCCCGAGTGTGAAGGGACTTGTCTAAGGTCACACAGCTACAGCCAGAAGAGGCCACGGGCTAGGGCTGCCTGATGTAGTGGTCACCAGAGGCACTGTCAGGAAGGCCTGAGAGTCACTTTTCTCATTGCCAGGGCTCTGTTCACTCTTAATTTTTCACTACAGATCTAGTATAGAAAATCAAAATGTCATTTGTCTCATTTTTAGCCCTCTTATTTCCAAGAAATAATATCCTACCTAAAATAGTGACAATAATAACAACCGAATTTGGTTAAATTCCTCCATTCAAAAATGTGGTTTTGTTTTCTGAGTAAGGAGGCCGGAGCTGGTAGCCTTCCTCTCTAAAGCAGGGCCTCTGTGTAGGCTGCAGGAGGCGCTGTGGTTACACATTCTTCCCTTAGCACCAGATGCTGATGTCATGTGACAGGAGTTTTGGGGAGTGATGTCAGTTACCCCGATTTCCAGGGTTCATCTGGACCATAACTAATATATCAGTTCATGAAGCAGTTTATTTAGAGGTGTAACAGAATTAAAACATTTGCCTCTGTCAGTTAAGTGTAGTTTTATAGGTGAGGAATGCCCCTTCTCTTTAGTGATAACTTCATAAGTTGGAGTAAGTACAATTTTTCATTTTCCATCACTGAGCGTCTCCCTCGGCCTAATTGAGCCATTAGTTAGCTCTGCCGTAAAGAGCATTTAGGTGTCTCGTGATTGACTCTACATAATGTTGAGGTTAAATAACATTGGAAAGCTGTTATTAATTACCTGCTTTTGTTTGGCAGCATAATGATGCTATCCGTGCTGAAGAATACCAAGACTCCTGTGAAATTCTGGTTCTTGAAGAATTACTTGTCCCCCACATTTAAGGTTTGTTTCACAGAGAAAGGGAAAACATTCTTATTAAGGAGATATTTACTGTATATTTTTCATGACTTTTGTTTTATCTGTATACTTTAGCAAATTTTCCATTTACTAAGATACCCTAATTTGGTTGCATATTTTTATTTTGATTATTCTTCCAGATTGGTCTATTTGAAGGAAACAGTTAAATTGTGTTTAAAAACTTGGATGATATGGTAGGAGAGTCTTTTGTTGTTGTTATTATTAGCAGTGTCTTACTGAGATAACGTTTCCTTCCTCTGAAGCCTGCATGCTTGCTTTAATTTAGAAAGCACAGCGATGGTTTACATTGAAGAGAATGATTGGTGTTAGCATGAACCACTCCTAGATGATGTATGGAAGTAGTGCTTCCTCTGTGCAAAACAAAACACGTACTTGGAATGTTTTCTGCATTACTTATATCAGTCAGTATTTGTCATCTAAGTTGATTTATTTGCATCCTTTTTTTTTCTTGTAGAATTTACTAAGTGACTTTTAATATATTCAATAACCATTCTCCTTGATAAGCACTTTACTGCTGGCGCCTAAAGGTGCTTATACTTAGAATCTGAAAGACTTATTCAAAAAGGACAACACATTTGTCCAGAGTTCTGGCTTTGCAGTGTTATTCCCTGGGTTAGATCTGGCCTCGAGGAAGGCTTGTCATCAAGCTCAGTAAATGCCTTACTGAAATCAAGTTTAGACAAATGGACTTAAAGTTCATGTGCTGTAAAAACACACACAGAGGGATATACATCTAAAATCCTTCTCTTGAACATTCTGTCATTTCATGTGGTGACCAGAAGTCATAAAGAAATGGGGATTTGACAAAGGTTTATATCTGTTCTTCTATGTAGTCATGAGTGGGTCACGGCCGGTCTTTGTAAGACCACTGTTTTGGTAAATGTGTTTTATTTGTCCCGTATCATGGTGGTTGGCTTACATTATGAAAGCAGTTTTCTTAATCAGAAGAAATGATTATTTGTTGTTCCCATGTCTAAAAATAGGAGTTTATACCTTACATGGCAAATGAATACAATTTCCAGTATGAGCTTGTTCAGTACAAATGGCCCCGGTGGCTTCATCAACAAACTGAAAAACAGCGTATCATCTGGGGTTACAAGATCCTCTTCCTGGATGTACTTTTCCCACTAGTTGTTGACAAGTTCCTGTTTGTGGATGCTGATCAGGTAGGCCCTTAAAGGCCAAGTTTTGACAGTTTGTATTAAAAGCAACAAATTGCTTCTTTTTAAATGCTATTTTTTCCACTTATGGAAAAGGACATGCTTATTTTACATTTAGAAAATATGAAAATATGTATCACATAGATGTCATCACTTTTTAAATTTGCATTTAGCTTATCTCCTTTACATCTTTTTCTCTGTCTTTTTAACATCATTGTGATGACATAATGTGTGCAGTTTTGTATCTGACTTAATTCATTTAACATGAAAACTAAAAATTAGAAAATTAACATTTAGCAGTGCTTGCCATCATCTCTAATTATCTGCCCAAAAGATAGGAGTTATTGTCATGGGTAATAGACGAAGCTTAAGTGGATACATGGCTTTGGCAGTAGGGAACCTCCGGATATTCTTCCGGCCGTCAGGGTTTGACTTAGTGAAAGGGAACATGTGATTTTAGAGCATACAAACTCAAACAGCATAAGTGTACGTCTGCCCACAGCCTTCCACTTCAGCCCGAGCGGGCGGAAACCCAAGTCAGCCACCTGAGTGGAAGGATGTAATGTGTGTGAAAGTCACTGGGACAGAGACTTCACTCACCTCTTTGGAATTCTCTTCCACTGGCTTAGCCTGAAGTGTGCCTTCCTGATTGTAACATAGCCACATTTAATCCTTGTTGAGTACTTACGATGGGCAAGGCATTATTCTACATCTGTCCATCCATATGTTAACTTACATAATCCTCCCAGCAACCCTGTGAGATAGGTACTGTCATTATCATTATCTCCATTTTACAGATGAAGAAACTGAGGCACAGAAAGGCTAAGCAGTTGAAATTTGTTTTATTCCTACTCCCACACACCTTGCTAAGAAGTGTCTTACATGTTAGTGAGTCAACCAGGTAATAAGTGGAGCAATCAAAGTGCATCTGCCCCTAGTGCCTGTGCCACTAACCACGGAGCAGCCTTCCATGCTGCCTTAAGCGAGCCACTCTGTATCTGAAGGAAACCGCATTAGAGCTGTCTGCATGGTTGCTTAACAAATGACTTTTTATATTCTCCAGATTGTACGAACAGATCTGAAAGAGTTAAGAGATTTCAATTTGGATGGTGCTCCTTATGGTTACACTCCTTTCTGTGACAGCCGAAGAGAAATGGACGGCTACAGGTTCTGGAAGTCAGGGTACTGGGCCAGTCATTTAGCCGGGCGAAAGTATCATATCAGGTACTGAAAAGAAGCACTCCTAACACTGTTACGGGGTTTTCCTTAAAATTGATTTTGTGTGGTTAAAATTGTGAATAGGTAATACATTGGTATGGTTGAAAAATAAAAATGATAAAAAATACACAGTGGCTGGGTGCAGTGGCTCATGCCTTAATCCCAGCACTTTGGGATGCCAAGGCAGGTGGATCACCTGAGGTCAGGATTTCAAGACCAGCCTGGCCAACATGGCGAAACCCCGTCTCTACTAAAAATACAAAAATTAGCTGGGCATGGTGGTGGGCGCCTGTAATCCCAGCTACTCGGGAGGCTAAGGCAGGAGAATTGCTTGAACCCAGGAGGCGGAGGTTGCAGTGAGCTGAGATCACGCCGCTGCACTCCAGCCTGGATGACAGAGTGAGATTCCATCTCAAAAAAAAAAAAAAATACAGTGTAAAAAAAACTTCCTAATCCTGTCTCTCTCTTTCCTACTCAGTTCCTGTTCTCACAGCAGATAACCTCCCAACTTATTGACTGTCTATCCTTCCAGATTTTCTTAATTCTTACAGAAACAGCTGTGAATGTGTATTCTTTTTTTTTTTACACAAAATATGCTACCTATTTATACATTTTGTAACTTGGCTTTTTTTTTTTTTTTTTTACTTAATGTCATATACATCTTCTCAGTGAATAGAGAGAGACCTGATTCCTTTTCATAGCTGCATATTATTCCAGTGTGTGAGTGTTATTTATAGTTTTCCCTGTGACCTACAATGTTGCAATGAATAATCTACTAAATAATTTTTCATATCTCATATATTTGTGAGATAAATTCCTAGACGTAGACCTTTTAGGTCGAACAGTGTGTGTGTTGTTACATTTCTAATGAGCACCCCATTCTCTTCTCTGCGAGAAGTGTGATTTGAAGATGTGCAGGGAAGAGGAACGTGTAGGAAGCGGCACATGCAGAGATCACTGCTGGGGTTTAGTGATGGTGGCTTCATTCTTTACATTCCTGGTCCAAAAGAACTGTAAGGACTGTAACACTCTGGGGTTTTCCCCCCCCTGTAACATTGAAGACATCATCAGGATATCATTGAATAATGGTTGTTTATCAGTTACTATGGCTTTTGTTACTGCCGCATATGCTAGAAATCTTTGGTCTGAGATTATTTCTTTCGGATGGCAAATACAGAACAGTAACAAAAGCATAGCACAGTATAGATTTTGCAGTGACTTTCTTAGAGATCTTTAAAGTAGCACACTTTAACTCCACTGTAGGGCTGTAGCATACCTTTTCAAAGAAAAGCCAGAATATTTGGCTAGTGGCCTGTTCCATTATTCATTGGGTTTAGTTTTCCTGTCGTAATCCATGGTTGGTTGTAACAAGCGGGTCTTCTTTATTCAGTGCACTATATGTTGTGGATCTGAAGAAGTTTAGGAAAATAGCTGCTGGTGACAGACTCAGGGGACAGTACCAAGGTCTGAGTCAGGACCCTAACAGCCTTTCAAATCTTGATCAAGTAAGTGTCCATTTTTTATGGTTAACTGTGAGTGACGGGTATACAGTGTTGCATCAGAAAATGAAGTATTACTTGTGTCTTCAGTCCTCTCCTCACAGGATGGCGTCTTGTTTTTTCATGGTGTGTGTGTGTGTGTGTGTGTGTGTGTGAGAGAGAGAGAGAGAGAGAGAGATTTTTATCTGCCCTCAAGACATATCAGCGTGAAAAATGTCATAGATTTGATGCTGGCTGGGGAGAGAGATGGAAGGAGAATGCTGCCTCTCTGAACCATTAGCATATCTTTGTATTTTGTACTCAAACTAATCTCATAGGTTTGTTTCTCTACCTACTAGGGTCAGTTTGTTTTTCTGCTGTAGGAACTAAATAGCTCAGGATTCGTAGTATAGAATCACAGTATAGTATCACAGCTTCCCCTTTTTCTATGTCAGAAACCATGATGTGTTTCAAGGCTAGCTAAATTACTGTTTGTTAATGTTAAGCATTTTTCAGAGGTGAGATTGTAGTTTAAGGGTTTTGGATACATATTTCACATATTTTAAGCATTTTATTTTGCTTAAGTCTACTTAAATGTTTTTAAACCTTTATTGTGATATGTAGCATCCATAAAGAAAAGTATACAAAAAACATACATACATATTCACATACATCCAGGAATTATTATGAAGCAAATACCCAGATACCACAACCTAGTTCAAGAACTAGAACATTATCAGCATCCCAGAAGCCATCCTTCCTCCCTAACAAAAGTGTCTAGCATCACGACTTTTATGGTAATCATTTTTGTTTCTTTATAGATTTACTGTTTAAGCATGTATCCATAAACACTAGTTTAATTTGCTCATTTTCTTCTCCTCTATCTCAATGGAATAATAAAAGGTAAACTTTTTTGTTTGTTTGTTTGTTTTGAGACAGAATCTCACTCTGTTTCCCAGGCTGGAGTGCAGTGGCATGCTCTGGGTTGCACTCACTGCAACCTCCACCTCCCGGGTTCAAGTGATCCTCCTGCCTCAGCCTCCTGAGTAACTAGGATTACAGGCACGCACCACCACTCCTGGCTAATTTTTGTATTTTCAGTAGAGACAGGGTTTCACCATGTTGGCCAGGCTGGTCTCAAACTCCTGACCTCAAGTGATCCACCCGCTTTGGCCTCCCAAAGTGCCGGGATTACAATCACGAGCCACAGTGCCCGGCTCTACTTACTTTAAAATTTGTGTGATACCTGGTATCTTCTAATTTATGGAGCTACTATGGATCTGATTCTGTTGTATTATTTCTGTTATTCTTTTGTTCATACTGTCTATCACATATTTGTTTATCTTCTGTAGTGTGTCAGGCGTTGTTTTTGCAGAATTATTTTGGGGAATAATTTGAGTTCAAAAATGGTATCACCCAACAGTATTTGTTTCTCTCTTTTTTTTTTTTTTTTGGAGATGGAGCTTTGTTCTTGTAGCCCAGGCTGGAGTGCAGTGGCGTAATCTCAGCTCACTGCAACCTCAGCCTCCCGAGCAGGTGGGATTACAGAGGCGTGCCACCACACCCAGCTAATTTTTCTGTATTTTTAGTTGAGACAGGGTTTCACCATGTTGGCCAGGCTGGTCTTGAACTCCTGACCTCAGGTGATCCACCCACCTTGGCCTCCCAAAGTGCTGGGATTGCAGGTGTGAGCCACCGTGCCCGGCCTTTTTTTTTTTTTTTTTTTTTTTAGACAAGGTCTCACTCTGTCACCCAGGCTGGAGTGCAGTGATGCGATCATGGCTCACTGCAGCCTCGAACTCCCAGGCTCAGGCGATCCTCCCACCTCAGCCTCCTGAGCAGCTGGGACGACAGGCTCACACCACCAGGCCCAGCTAATTTTTTGTATTTTTTATAGAGATGGGGTTTTGCCATGTTGCCCTGGCCAGTCTTGGAACTCCCGGGCTCAAGCGATCTACCCACTTCAGCAGCTATTTTTAAATTTTAGTCTGTTGGCAGGGTTTTGTAGAGAAGTATCATCTATTTATTTTTGTACCATCATGGAACATTCTTTACAAGTATCGCAGTCAATCATTTCTGTACATTTCCTTGTTCCATGTAAGTCTTAGGACAATGGAACATTTTATTGTGGCAAAGTCAGAAGGACTCCACAGGAAAAAGGTTTAAAGCATAGGGTAGCATTGGCTAGAAAAAATGTCGTCTATTTGGGAGCAAGTCTCAATAGACAAGGTAGATTCAGAACTTCCTTGACAGAAGCCTGCAAAATTTACGAACCACCACTCTATTTAGTTGACTTTCAGAAGTCAGTAGGAGTATTTTTCTCAGGATTGCCCTAATGAAGGGAGGGTTAGGTGCAGGCTGTTTGTAAGTTTTAAGCCAAAGCTTTTCAGTTGCTTATTATGGGCAGATGTTTTATGGATCCTCTAAAATTTGTAGTTTTGAATAACTTCTCTAAGGCATTGGTAAGGACCTTTTCCATTTTAAACATTTGTGATTGGCATGTGATCTGTAACGAGCAGCTGTACATCACTGATGTTCTATACGTTTGTCTCCACACGAACTGGCTGGGTGCAGTGGCTCATGCCTATAATCTCAGCACTTTGTGAGGCTAAGGTGGGTGGATCGCCTAAGCTCAGCAGTTTGAGACCAACCTGGGGCAACATGGCAAAACGCATCTCTAGTAAAAATACAAAAATTGGCCAGGCATGGTGGCGGGCCCCTGTAGTCCCAGCTACTCAGGAGGCTGAGGCAGGAGAATCTCTTGAACCTGGGAGGTGGAGGCTGCAGTGAGCCGAGATCGTACTACTGCACTCCAACCTGGGTGACAGAGTGGGACCCCATCTCTCAATAAATAAATAAATAAATATCGCCAGAACTTTAGATACATGTATTTTATTTTTATTTTTTTTTAACCAAACAGGATCTGCCCAATAACATGATTCATCAGGTGCCAATTAAATCCCTCCCTCAAGAATGGCTTTGGTGTGAAACGTGGTGTGATGACGCCTCTAAGAAAAGGGCAAAAACCATTGATTTGGTAAGCCGTATGTGGTGTGCTTCTGCATGTTCATCCACTGGATGTGTGAGTGAATCACGATTAATGATTTTTATTTAGATTCTTAAATTTAAGAATTTCCTAGATTCTTATTTAGACTTTCTCTGTAATTGTGTAGTTTGTCGGGGCTATTCTTATCTTACAGAATATTCTTATAAATATTCTTATCTTATAGAATTAGTATCGTTTGTTGTATAGTAAGCATAAGTATATAGTTTGTTGGGGCTATTCTTATAGAATATTCTTATAAATATTCTTATCTTATAGAATATTTCACTGGTTTTATTTCCCTGCTTACATTAGGAAACCAAATCCCTTAGCACTTAATGGGACTGTTTTCACAACTTACAATCTGCTGAGTCACTCCTTGGCTTCCAGTTTATCTCTGTGCCTTGTAATTTTTCCAAATGGACTTTCACTTTTCCTGCCTTCCATTAGCCACTCACACATTCTTTGTAGATGTAAATACAGCTTTACATAGCCCACTACCATATTGCTTCTGGTAGTATATCATTTGGTTCCTTACTATTGTTTTCTTGTCCAGTTAGGACTTGTAACCCAAGAACCTTTGAATTCTCTATCATGTGGCCTTTCTTCAACTCAGCTGAAGTGTGTTCTTTTGGTTTCACAGTGTAATAATCCGATGACCAAAGAGCCGAAACTGGAAGCAGCTGTGCGGATTGTCCCGGAGTGGCAGGACTACGACCAAGAGATCAAACAGCTACAGATCCGCTTTCAGAAGGAGAAAGAAACGGGAGCACTGTACAAAGAGAAGACAAAAGAACCAAGCCGAGAAGGTAAGCACAAACCGTTGGTTTTAGGACAGTACTTCTTTCCATTTCTGATTTCTGCTTGTTGTAAAGACAATAGAATAATGGATAAAAGGAAGAGAAAAATCTCCTATTAATCCTTCCATTCTAACATCAACCAGTATATATTTTTCATTTTCCTTTTATGTTGGTCTTCTAAACAGTATTTATTAGTGCAATTGCTATGTTTTTTTTTTTTTCTCGTTTTTCTGGTGAGGGGGAGAAAGGGTATTTTAATTGTGATTATAGTTATTTAGGTTCATGAGTTTTGTGATACATAAACCAAACCTTTTGCAGAGTTCTTCTTAGATTCCTTGTTTTTTTTTTCATTAAATCTGTCAGTGTACTAGTGAATGAAAAAATTTAGATCAACACAAATATGTAGTTGAAGAAACTTTTTTTTTTTTTTTTTGAGACAGAGTCTCACTCTGTTGCCCAGGCTGGAGTGCAGTGGCATGATCTTGGCTCACTGCAGCCTCCACCTCCCAGGTTCATGTGTTTCTCATGCCTCAGCCTCCCAAGTAGCTGGAATTACAGGCATGCACCACCACACCCAGCTATTTTTAAATTTTATTTATTTTTTATTTTTTGTAGTTTTAGTAGAGACAGGGTTTCACCATGTTGCCCAGGCTGGTCTCAAACTCCTGACCCAAGTGATCCGCCCGCCTCAGCCTCCCAAAGTGCTAGGATTACAGACGTGAGGCACTGCGCCTGGCCGAAAAAAGTATTCTTTAAAACAAGCATGTTGGGATGGAGATGGAATGCTTGTATTTAATTTAGTGTTAAGTCTTTAATGTCTTCCCTGTTGTGTGTGTCTTGAATGATAGCTACTTGAAAAAATCATTAGAATACGAAATTGACTTTTTAAAATATTAATAAGTTGGGCTCTAGATTTAAGAAAAATTTTAAATGTATTTATTTTTAAATTGTCACGTAATAATTGTACATATTTGTGGAGTCCATAGTGATGTTTTGGTATGTACATGGGCTCTGGATTTTTAAGATTTATTCTGCTTTAGACTAATTCTAAAAAAGTGGCTGGGCACAGTGGCTCATGCCTATAATCCTAGCCTCTCAGGAGGCTGAAGTCGGAGGATTGCTTGAGCCTGGAGGTCAAGGTTGCAGTGAGCGACTGCACTCCAGCCTAGGTAACAGAGAGAGAACCTGTGACCAAGCAAGACCCTGTCTCAAAATAAAAAAATCCAGAACATGGATCTTGGGTGATTTGCCTATACATCCCTCAGACTGTACTATGATATTAAATATCACAGCTGGAAGGTTATATAGTAACCATAAAAGTAATTAATTCCGATTCATCAGTAAAACCCTGAGGATTTCCATAGATAAATGGGCAAAGAATGTGGACACACTGTTCAAGTAAGAGGAAACACAAATAATAAATGAATTTGAGGAAACAGTAATCAAATTAAAGCAGTCTATCACTAGTATCTGCTACATGGAAGAAAACAGACATAGTGATAATGCCATTTGTTTGGGAGGCGGTGATGAAACCGTTGTGGATGTAGCTTGATGAAGCTTTGTGTATTGGAATAGCCCTTGTTACAAAGCAGTACATCTGCCATTAGAAGCCCGTAAGGCGTTTATATACCCTCAAGAATTACTCTCTTGAGAATATATCTGAAAGAAATAATTCAACAGAAAAAACAAAGTTGTATACATGAAAAAATTTATTTTACTATTACTTATAAGCCAGAAGCATCAAAAACAGTTTAAACATCCAAGAATGAGCTACACTGATACATAGAAAATGTTTAGATGCTATTAAATGATAAAAGAAAAATCCCGACTAAAAAAATGCATGCAACGTTTACTGAAAGTAAATATTGTATTTGTGAAAACAATTCAGTTGGAGTGGGGTTTACAGATAGTTTCCATTTTTAAAAAATCTTTAATTTAGTTTTTGCTTTCAAAATACAGTACAAAAGCACAAATCCCAAAGATTTAGTAAGTGAGATAAGATGAAGGTGGAGGTACAAAGAATAGGTTCCAGTGATGAAAAATGCCCACTCAGTGGTGTTTGTAATTTGAAGATCATCTGTTTTCTTTTCTGTGGTTCTCCTTTTCCTTAGGTCCTCAGAAACGTGAAGAATTATGATCTCTGGAGAAGGACAGGAAATCACCCCATTTGAAAAACAGTTTTTATAATAAATGCTAGTTTTTTCTGATCTGTCTATACAACTGCTGATAAGCCGGCTGGGCAGGAGTGCCACACCTTTTGATTCTGAGCATTTGATTCTGACTTCTGTACTCTGGTGGCCACTGGATCTTTGGGATTAAAGCTCTGTTGGATTTGTACCTCAGAGGAAGACCAAGTGGCTGATCCTTTGGACTCTGTAAAGAGCATTCTTCTAGTCAGAGGGTGGAATGGCAGCAGCAACTGGAAGAAAATGAGTTTTTTGGTGCCCACACCCAAGAGCACACACATGCTGCACTGTCTCGGAAAGCAGGGCCAGCTAGAGCCACCATGTTCTTCCTTACCTCAGTTTACCTGCGGCCTGCGCTGCACTGCAGATGCCCACCCTGCCCTGGGTCTGGCCGGCGGAAGCTCTGTCCAAGGTCCACACACCTCCAGGTTTACGCCAACATCCTTGTGCCCTCCCCACCTTCTCTTCCAACGCATTAGGTGCATTGTTTAATTGAAATCCAACCAACAATTGTGTGTCAAGGCTGGTTTGGTGCAGTGGCTGGGCAAATTAATTTTGGGCCAGGATGGGGGTGGGTTGCAGTGAGGGTAGGGAAAATGTCAGGAGTAGGAAGGTTCGGGGGTTAAGGGAAGGGAAGGAAGACCAGAACTGGCCATCCTCTTTTATAATCCATTAGTAGCACCATGGCTCATTTGAAATGAAAATATTACACTTATTCCCCACCCAACCGCAGTGAACTTTCTAGGTAATTGTTTTGAAAACAATTTTTGTATCTGTGAAAGTCTTTGCTTTTTCTTTCCACCTTCTAGAAAAGTCTGCTACCAGTTTCCTTACTGAATACAGCCATACTCAGCCCCTCTCGCATCCAGCCCGTCAGGGTCAGGGTCAGGGTCAGGCTCCCTCAAGACGAGCACCGCATTGTCTGCCCTCTTTTGCGTAGGATTTTTCTCTCAGACCCAGGGGACATTGCCTTGGACTTTTCTCTACAAATGCCCTCAGATGTAAGACCAGAAATGATTCTGCTTGTGGAACTCGTGGCTTTCTGTCCTATTTTCCTTTTATGTGAGCCCTGCAGGTTGCCTTTGGCGCCCACACCAGTTCTGTCTTCATGTCGCTGCATCGTGAAGCCCCATTTGCCTTTAGTCCCTGCTTTGTGTGTCTTCACTTCCACAGCCAGTGTTGCCCCTCAGGGCATACTTTGCTGGTGAACGGGCTGTAGAGTCTTGAGTATGTTATTGGCCTAAGTGGGCATGAGGCCCCAGCATCCGACTCCATCTGCCAGGCTGCAGGGCACAGCAGCACTGGCATAGACAGGCACGCTCTGTCTTCCAACGTGCACCAGCCTTTTCTTACATATTTTGCCTGTTTTTAAAAAATACGAGGAGAGGGTGCAGATGGATACTGTGCCCTCACCCTCCTAAGCCAGGTAATATATTGATGTGCAGACTTTTAAGAAATCTTAGTCTTATCACAAATATCAAGTAATTTATTTTTTCCATTTTCAAATGCAAAAGTTAGCCTAGGAAGCCTCCCAGTCATCCTGAAGGACCTTTTGACTTTGCTTTTATAATTCTGTTAAAAATTGAGGAGGGGATTAATGAGTACAATGAAAACAAAACAAAACAAAAAATTAAGAAGAGGAAAGCTCAAAAGAGGATAAGAGACTGAAAAGGCACCTCAGAATGGCTGCTGTGGGCAGAGTCTGTGACATGACTTTCCCCGCCCTGCCCCTCTGTTCAGAGCAGCTGGAAAGATGGGATCAGTAAGATTAAAAAACTTTTGTTCGGCCAGGCGTGGTGGCTCACACCTGTAATCCCAGCACTTTGGGAGGCTGAGGCGGACGGATCATGAGGTCAGGAGTTCAAGACCAGCCTGGCCAATATGGTGAAACCCCGTCTCTACTAAAAATACAAAAATTAGCCGGGTGTTGTGGCTCACCCTCTATTCCCAGCTACTCGGGAGGCAGAGACAGGAGAATCGCCTGAACCCAGGAGGCAGAGGTTGCAGTGAGCTGAGATCGTGCCACTGCACTCCAGCCTGGGTGACAGAGCGAGACTCCATCTCAGAAAACAAACAAACAAAAAGAAACTTTTGTTCAAGCTGCATCTTCACATTGAATGAAAGCATTCAGACGGGTGACTGCTGCTGTCCACAACTGTGGGCGGAAGTGTGCCTTTTCCCAGTTTCTCGTCCAGGAGGTTGCATAGCAAATACTCAAGTCACTGGGATATATGCTTTCCAAATGCTGGCCCCCATAGCACCTTTCCCCATGTCTTTCTACCAAGCCTCTTATGTTTAATCTGTGCAGGGAAGACAAGAGTAGACCATATTCTCTGTGTGCTGTGCATGTCCTGGTGTCACTCATTGCCTCTTATCTGTCGCCATTCTAATATAAGTCAGCTTAATAGTTGACTCTGAATAATGCAAAACCCAGCTTGCTTCCAGAATGGCCTAGGACCCTCCTCCTCCTGCCAGTTTTTTTTTTTTTTTTTGGTTCATGTGGCATAATCATCTTTCAAAATTAACCAAATGCCCCAGAAAATGATGTTACCACTAAAATATTTTCTCCAAGAAGGCATACTGTAACAGAAAAGATAGGTAAGATATTTTTTTCCCAAGAAGTAAGAATTGATTGTGCTGAATGTTCAAACTCTGGAAACTGTTCACAGTATGTTGTTCTTAGCTGTTATTTATATAAAGTGAATTATTTTCTCTCTCAATCATGCCATAGTGGAGACTTTTGTTTGTGAGTAAGTGACAGAGTAATATGAAATAATGTGATATGTCAGAGTGACATGCAGCATCCTGAGCCTGTTTTTATGTTCTGTGTACAGTGGCATTTGATTGAGATCAAAGCCTGTCACAGCCTGCTGCTGGGGGTGTGGGGATATGCCAGAGTCCTGTGTTTGGTTTTAGAAGTTTACTGAATGTTTCCCACATGGAGAATAATGGATGGCATGTTAGTTTCTTTAAGAGTGGTAAAGTTGTACATCTGTCATTGTTGCATTTCGAATTGAACACATAGATGCTTGCCTGTCTGCTTGGGTGAATGCCTCTTGGGAGAGCGAAGATTACGTGCATGATGTATGTTAAGAAACAGTTTCCGGTCAGGCACAGTGGCTTACACCTGTAATCCCAGCACTTTGGGAAGCCGAGGCGGGCGGATTATGAGGTCAAGAGATAGAGACCATCCTGGCCAACACGGTGAAACCCCGTCTCTACTAAAAATACAAAAATTAGCTGGGCATGGTGGCACACACCTGTAGTCCCAGCTACTCGGGAGGCTGAGGCAGGAGAATCACTTGAACCCGGGAGGTGGAGGTTGCAGTGAGCCGAGATCATGCCACTGCACTCCAGCCTGGCAATAGAGCGAGACTCCGTCTCAAAAAAAAAAAAAAAAAAAAAAAAAAAATTAAAACAGTTTCCATAAATGGAGCTTAATTTGCTCTGCTGTCCTTAAGCCCTCGTGGGTTTTTTTTTAAGAGAGTCTCATTCTGTCACCCAGGCTGGAGTGCAGTGGTGCGATCTTGGCTCACTTCAACCTCTGCCTCCCAAGTTCAAACAATTCTCCTGCCTCAGCCTCCTGAGTAGCTGGGATTACAGGCGCCTGCCACCATGCCTGGTTAATTTTTGTATTTTTAGTAGAGATGGGGTTTTACCATGTTGGTTGGCCAGGCTGATCTCAAACTCCTGACCTCAGGTGGTGATCTGCCCACCTCGGCCTCCCAAAGTGCTGGGATTACAGGCGTGAGCCACTATGTCCGGTCAAGCCCTCGTGTTCTGAACCTTGTCAAGGCTCTGCCTGAATGAGTTTTCATCTGATTGTGGGGACCAAGTCCCTGAGTAGAGGGCCAAGAGCTAGGGACAGGGGGAAGAGACTGGCCCAGGTGGTAGGGAGGAAAGAACTCCCAGAGTTTCCTTTAGCCAGGAAACCTGCTCTACTGACCCCGTGACTTGGACAGTCAGACATCACCCTGAGAGTGACAAGTGTAAAATGACTCCCTTCCTCCCCCGCCCTCCGGAAGTATATTTAGATACTTGAAAGCAGTCCTTTTCTAAAATGGCCTTACCTATGTGGCCTGAACGATTAAAAGAAAGAACTCAGAGTTACAAGGGAAAAAGAAAAAGAGTTACAAGGGAATTGTAGTCTTTTTCTGAATAGAATATTAGTACTGTGGTATTGCATTTCATGGGAATGGAAATGTATTGGTAAAGCTACCTGATGGAAGCTTTCTCTTGGTAACAAAAATGGAGGGTGTATTATGTGCAGTTATTTAAATATATGTATTCCATTGTTGCGTGGTTTTTTTCCCCCCTCAAGACAGAGATTTGCTCTTGTTGCCCAGGGTGGAGTACAATGGTGTGACCTTGGCTCACTGCAACCTCTGCCTCCTGGGTTCAGGTGATTCTCCTGCCTCAGCCTTCCGAGTAGCTGGGATTACAGGTGTGCGCCACCACACCCGGCTAATTTTTGCTTTTTTTTTTTTTGAGACAGAATCTCGCTCTGTTGCTCAGGCTGGAGTGGAGTGCAGTGGCACAATCTCAGCTCACTGCAGCCTCTGCCTCCCGGGTTCAAGAGATTCTCCTGACTCAACCTCCTGAGTAGCTGGGATTACAGGTGCCTGCCACTATGCCTAGCTAATTTTTGTATTTTTAGTAGAGACGGGGTTTTGCCATGTTGGCCAGGGTGGTCTCGAACTCCTGACCTCAAGTGATCCACCCGCATCGGCCCCCCAAAGTGCTGGGATTATAGGCGTGAACCACCGCGCCTGTCCCATTGTTGTGTAATTTTAATAATTAGTTTTTTAAGTACTTGATTTTATGGGCACATTTTTGTGGGATGATTGGAGTTAATCAAATAAAGCTTGTCATGTGTGTAGTTTGGTAAGATAACTTCTTTAAATTCATGTTTTCTCTGCCTTGAGGTAGTGAGGGAAAGATCTTAATCAGTATTTTGGTAATTAACTGATTGAATTCAAGCAAATGAGACATCATGAACTTCAGTGGTTATTGATATTTCAGGGTATATACCTGAAATGCCTAGAGGATACAGATTTCTCATTTCATTCTTTGGTCTTTCATTTCTCTATATACAGAAATGAAATGACACTTCTGGGAGGCAGTAGAAGCAGGAAGTCAATGAATTGAGTAGAGGGTCCCATTCCCTCAGGCTGTCATTGATCAGTGACAATTTATAAAAACAAACTGCAAAGTCTGTGGCAAGTGGCTGCCTGCTTCCTAGAAGGAGCCCATGAAGGTTAAACTCTGTGGTCGGTATTTGCAAGCGCCGGGCGTGGTGGCTCACGCCTGTAATCCTAGCACCTTGGGAGGCCAAGGCAGGCGGATCACCCGAGGTCAGGAGTTTGAGGATTTGCAAGCAAAAGGTCCTCTCCTGAGTCTTTCCCAGATACCCAGCAGTGCAGAGGCTAGCTGTGGAAGGTTGCAGTGGGACAGGAATGTATTGTATGCCTTGCCTTACTTGTCACCATTGAGATTTCCAGAGAAATGGGCATAACGTCTCTTAACAACAACAGCAGAAAGCAAAATACATTAACTTAAGGTTGACAACAAAAGATTATCAAGTACCATGTTTTCCAACCAACCAGTTATTCGTGGTAATAATAAAATAAAGGTGGGAAAATGTTATAATTTTTAAGGAAACTGTGTACTTTAAAAATCTTCTTTATGAATATCCAATGTTACTGTAATCCTGCTCCATTAAATGCAGCATTGTTGTCAGGTGCTGCCTCTTGCTTGGGAACAGCATTGGGCTTTTAAATGTCTGCAGAATCTCTGCGTTCGAAGGGAATTGAGAATGAACTTCCTGGTACTGTAATGAAAATAAGGTCTGCTCAACACAGTAAACGTTTCCTCTCTTCTTTAAAACTGCGCAGTCATTTGGCCTTTGTGTTTAGGAAGGGCAGATTGATAGAGCACAAAGTCCAACCCCTTCATCTAGCAGAAGCTGCAAACCCAGACAGAGGAACGAGGGCTTTACCTGAGTCTTGTCTGCTGCTGGGGCTGGCTTCGGGTTGCATCCAGTTCTTTGGATTCTGAGGATCCAAAGCACCCAGGTCTCCTCCAGGTCCTCAACCTCTGGGAGCTGCCCCAGGCAGAACTTGGCAGGCAGGCATAACAGGTGGGGTGGGAGGGGGAACCTCAAGGCAAGAAGGTGTCATGAGACCCCTGGGCCGGCAGAGTTCCTTAGGAGGGTGGCATGGACTTTGCATTTTGCCAGTTCTCTGAGCTCCTACTCCGGGGTGGATATGCATTGAGGATGTAGTCTCTGTGTGATGATGGGGAGGGCGGGGAGGGGCACCTGGTGCCTGTGAAGGCGCAAGAGAGGGCCCTAAGGTGCAGGACCAGGACTAAGCTGCTACAAGGAGGTGGTGCTTAGGTTGAAGCCTGAGGACTAAGTAGGGGCGAGGGGTGGGCAGAGGGGAGGAGCTTGAGCTAGTGTTTTTGAGGGAGCTGCATGGAAGCCTGCACGTGGCCAGGAGAGGGGGAATGGGTTTGATCCTGGGGGCACAAGAAGGCCCTTCAGGGGTTTAAACTGGGTGCTGGCACTAAATGGGTTTTTTCTTGTAATAAACTTTGTGTTGAGGTCTGTAGCACATACTGAAAAGTACATAAACACACACCTTGATAGTTTTTCACAAAGTGAAAGCACTAGCATATCCATCATCCAGATAAAGAAAAGGAAGTTGGAGTTTATTTTAACACTTAAACATCTGATTACAGTCTGGCATCCAGGAAGGGCAGAGCAGCATGTGTCAGACCAGCCTACGCCTGATCATTACACACACTATTTGAAAAGCACTAGAGCCTGCTGAGATACCGGCAAGAGAGGGAGAGCACGAACCATCAGAAGAAGTGAAACCTCATGTGGCTCACAGGGAATAAAACAGAAGGTGGCAGGCTTACTAGGCCCAGGAGCCAAGTCACTTCAGGACGTTCTTGGCCGCTGCACACTTGTGTGGGGGCACATCCCAGAAAGGAGGAAGCCATAGAAGCCCCCAACTTTGCCTTGTATAGTCTCATCAAGTTCTTGGCGGGTTCCTGTATTATACATAAACAGGGCAGAATTCCAAATGGAAAGCAACACTTGGAAGGCTGGAAAAGCTGAGTAGAGATTTCAGAAGATGTGCTGGGGAGAAGAAGTTTAGAATTCATTTTCCATCAAATTAGAGGGATTTGGTAACTATTTCAGACTTTGCATCGAAAACCCAGGGTGTAGGCCTTAGGATTAGGACCACATCACAGAACTCAAATCTAGGGTCTAGGACTGAGGGCAACACTAAGATAGACCTACCCTCGTAAAGCCTAAAATGAAGGCTTAGCAGAATCAGGGTGATCGCTAGTAACCAAACTCTGCTAAAACAAAAGTTTTTGTGGGAAAAAACTGAATCCAGAGTGTCTATAGTATATTATTCAGAATGTCCTGTATATAACCACATCAGTAGGCACGACAGGAAGTGGGAACATATGACGTGATCAAGAAAAAAAATCAGGCTGGGTGCGGTGGTGCACACCTGTAACCCCAGGACTTTGGGAAGCCGAGGCGGTTGGATTGTTGGAGCCCAGGAGTTTGAGACCAGCCTCGGCAACATGGTGAAACCCCATCTCTACAAAAAATACAAAAAATTAGCCAGGCATGGTGGTATGTGCCTGTAGTCCCAGCTACTCAGAAGGCTGCGGTGGGAAGATCATTTGAGCCTGGGAGGTTGAGGCTGTGGTGAGCTGTGATAGTGCCATTGCACTCCAGCCTGGGTGACAGAGTGAGACCCTGTCTCAAAAAAACAAAATCAAAACAACCCATAAACCAAGGTGTTGAAATCATTCAATAAAAATGTTAAAATAATTATAAACGTTTTTCTCAGACATAAGTGGATGCTTTTTTATTGCCTTTTGATACGTCCTGAGTTTGTGTGTGTGTGTAGGTATATGTGTATATATATATTTATTAATTTAATTGACAAAGATTGTGTATATTCCAGGTGTCCCGTGTGATGATTTGCTACACATGTGCATTGTGTGATTATCACCACTGAATTAGGACACCCATCCCCACCTGTGCTGCACATTAGATCCCCAGAACTTATCTTTTTTTCTTTTTTTGAGACGGAGCCTCGGTCTGTCGCCCAGGCTGAAGTGCAGTGGTGTGATCTTAGCTCACTGCAACCGCCGCCTCCCAGATTCAAGCAATTCTCCTGCCTCAGCCTCCTGAGTAGCAGGGATTATAGGCGTGCGCCACCATGCCCGGCTAATTTTTGTATTTTTAGTAGAGACGGGGTTTCACCATGTTGTTCAGGCTGGTCTCAAATTCCTGACCTCATGATCCGCCCGCCTTGGCCTCCCAAAGTGCTAGGGTTAGAGGCGTGAGCCCCCACACCTGGCCTATCGCGCAGGCTTAAGTGCAATGTTGCGATCTGGCCTCACTGCAACCTCCACTTCCTGGGTTCAAGCAATTCTCCTGCCTCAGCCTCCTGAGTAGCTGGGATTACAGGCAACTGCCACTGCACCTGGCTAATTTTTGTATTTTTATTAGAGATGGAGTTTCACCATGTTGGTCAGGCTGGTCTCAAACTCCTGACCTTAGGCAATCTGCCCACCTTGGCCTCCCAAAGTGCTGGGATTACAGGCATGAACCACCACGCCCAGCCCCACAGAACTTATCTTTAAACTGAGAGTTTGTACTCTTTTGATCTGCATCTCCCCATTTCCCCATTTGCAGAAGAAAAGTCAGTGAACTTGAAGACACGTTAATAGAAATTATCTAAATTGAAAAACAAAGTGGAAGAAGAGATTGAAAAAGAATAAATGAGCAGAGACTCAGTAAACTGTGAGACAGTATAACAAATGCGTAACTAGAATCCCAGGAGAGGAGAGAAAATGTGGCAGAAAAAAAAATACGGAGAAATATTGGCCAAAATTGTTTGTTTTTTGAAAATGCGGTCTTGGCCCAGTTTTGAGGCCCTAGCTTTGAGGTCCTGGCTAGAGGCCAGTCAGTCCTCTAGAGCAGCCAATCAAGTTTACACCCTCAACTACCTCCCTTCTTCAGCTCAAGCTCCAGGCCAGCACTCTGACACCCCAGGGCAGTACCAGACATCCTGCAACAGCCCCTGTGGCCCAGCGCCAGCTGAGATTATTCCAGTCAGTCTCAGTCTGCTGCCCCTGCCTCACCTGTTCCTTCCTGGGAAACCACAATAAGGGGTCTTGCCCACATTCCCCTGCTCCCTGTGCCCCATAACCAGTGGTTGCTTCCACTGAGTGGCCCTGCGTGGAGTGCTGTTTCTCCCCAGGGAACTGAGTGCGACATGTCAAATTTACCGTTTCTCTCTTGATCTGCATCTGGCCTCACCGGAATCACCACTCCCTCCCCTTAAAAGCAGGATGAATATAAAGAAGGCCACACCTAGGTGCATCATAGTCAAATGCTGAAAATTAAAGATAAAATCATGAAAAAGTAGTAGCCAGGAAAACAAAAACACCTGATGTGGAGGGGAACAACAATGAAAATGACAGCTGACTTCCCATCAGGAACAGGGGAGTGACGTCATAGAATGCTGAAAGGAGCTAACATCCTACATGCAGGGAAAATATTCCTCAAAAATGAACCTGGGGCCAGGCGCGGTGCCTCACACCTGTAATCCCAGCACTTTGCGAGGCCGAGGCGGGTGGATCACCTGAGGTCAGGAGTTTTGAGACCAGCCTGGCCAACATTGTGAAACCCTGTCTCTACTAAAAATACAAAAATTAGCCGGGTGTGGTGGCAGGAACCTGTAATCTCAGCTACTCGGGAGGCTGAGGCAGGACAATCGCTTGAACCCGGCAGGCAGAGGTTGCAATGAGCCGAGATCATGCCATTGCACTGCGCCTGGGTGACCGAGGAAGACTGTCTCAAAAAAAAAAAAGAAGTTGGAATAAAAACATTTTGGGGTAACTGAATGCTGACAGCATTCATTGTAGGAGACAAGTACTACAAAATTGCTTTAAAAAAAAAGGCTCCCAGGGGGGTGGCCCCAAGAGTTGGGGTTCAGTGTCCTCCAAGCCCTGGTCCTCTCCAATAGGCCTGGGATCTGCCCCACCTGACCCGTTCTCCCGACCCTGAGGTTGGCTTCAATGCTAAGGAAGCCCACAATATTGTCAAAGAGTGTGTGCTGGTGAAGATTATAATCACATCATCAACCAAGCATAGTGGAACAATCCTTAACACATCTGGTTAAGTTGGGAAAAGCTTATACATATATTGTGACCTGTGCAGTGGTCCAGAAGAGCGCATATGGCTTTCATACAGCCAGCTCCTGTTTTTGGGATACCACATCTGATGGAACCTGTACCATAAGATGGGAGAACTGGACCATGAACCGTATTGTCAACGTTTTTGCCATTGCTAGTGTTCTTTAACTTACTAAAAATGTTGGGCTAAAGCCATTAACTTAAAGAATTTGTCAGTGTATCTTTTCAAAAAATGAGTAATATTTATTAGTGTGCTAGATGACAAGCGTGCATTATATAAGCAAAATGCTGTAATCCCAGCACTCTGGGAGGCCGAGACGGGCGGATCACAAGGTCAGGAGATCGAGACCATCCTGGCTAACATGGTGAAACCCCGTCTGTACTAAAAAATACAAAAAAATTAACTTGGCCTGGTGGCGGGCGCCTGTAGTCCCAGCTACTTGGGAGGCTGAGGCAGGAGAATGGCGTGAACCCAGGAGGTGGAGCTTGCAGTGAGCCGAGATCGCGCCACTGCACTCCAGCCTGGGCCACAGAGCAAGACTCCGTCTCAAAAAAAAAAAAAAAAAAAAAAAGTAAGCAAAATGAAAAGCACTTAGTGCTTTCTGACAGAATTATAGATGTAATTTTAAGAGTTGCTCCTAGCAAGTTAAAAGTGCATATAAAATATGCAACTCTTAGTTAAAGGGTTTAGTATCAGTCTTATCTATACAAGTAGTAAATTTTGTCATTGCTTTAGTTACAACCATCTGTAAATAATTTTAAAGACTTATTACGTGGGGTTCAAATTGAGTGGAATAAAGTATAGATTAAAAGTATACAATTGGCTGGGTGCGGTGGCTCACACCTGTAATCCCAGCACTTTGGGAGGCTGAGGTGGGTGTATCACAAGGTCAGGAGATTGAGACCATCCTGGCTAACACAGTGAAACCCCATCTCTACTAAAAATACAAAAAATTATTCAGGCGTGGTGGTACGTGCCTGTAGTCCCAGCCACTCAGGAGGCTGAGGCAGGAGAATTGCTTGAACCCAGGAGGTGGAGGTTGCAATGAACTGAGATCGCACCGCTGTACTCCAGCCTTGGCAACAGAGCAAGACTCAGTCTCAAAATAAATAAATAAATAAAAGAATAATATTAACAAAATAAATGAGTTTAATGCAGTGATCTTTGTTTTTGGCACATCAGAAATTCTCAGTCATTACTCATGTTTCTTTATGCTGCTGGCTTTTGTGCCCTTGAAGATTATAATAGTGACCAAAATATATATGCAGACTTATTTTTTATTGTTGTTGAAGCCTGGTTTAAGAAAAAAAAATTCATACCTCGTGAACTTGCTATCTTCTGTGTTTCTAATTAAAATATAATAAATATTATCTTCCTGTGCTGAAAAAAAAAGGGCCAGGCACAGTGGCTCGCGCCTGTAATGCCAGCACTTTTGGAGGCCGAGGCAGTCAGGTCCCCTGAGGTCAGGAGTTAGAAACCACCCTGGCCAACATGGTGAAACTCCATCTCTACTAAAAAAAAAAGTACAAAAATTGCTGGGCACGGTGGCTCACACCTGTAATCCCAGCACTTTGGGAGGCCGAGGCGGGCGGATCACAAGGTCAGGAGATCGAGACCATCCTGGCTAACACGGTGAAATACCGTCTCTACTAAAAATACAAAAAAAAAAAAAAAAAAAAAAAAAATTAGCTGGGCGTGGGCGTGGTGACGGGCGCCTGTAGTCCCAGCTGGAGGCTGAGGCAGGAGAATGGCATGAACCCGGGAAGCGGAGCTTGCAGTGAGCCGAGATCGCGCCACTGCACTCCAGCCTGGGCGACAAGAGTGAGACTTCGTCTCAAAAAAGAAAAAAAGGGAAATGATGCCAAATATAAATTCAAACCTCCAGGGAGGAAGGGAGCACTGGAAATAGTAAATATGTGGGTAAATACACTATTTTTTTCTTTACTTGAGTTATTTACAAGACCATTGATTGCTTAAAACAGAAATAACATTGGTATATTGCGGGGTGTATAGCATGTAGAGTAAAATATATGACAACCACACAAAGGATGGGAGTTGTAAGTTTCTTAAATCTACTGTGATTTGTTTTGAGGACAGGGCAGGAGAAACTGATAAGCTAAGGCAGCATATTGCTTTCTGTAGCGCAGCCATCTGAAAAATGCAAAGTGTTATAGCCAAAAAGCAAAAGAAGAGGTACAATGGAACTGCTTAAAACTTTTTAAAAATTAGGGCCGGTGGGTGCGGTGGCTCATGCCTGTAATCCCAGCACTTTGGGAGCCAAGGCGGGCAGATCACCTGAAGTCAGGAGTTTGAGACCAGCCTGGCCAACATGGTGAAACCCCATCTCTACTGAAAATACAAAAGCTAGCCGGGTGTGGTGACGGGCACCTGTAGTCCCAGCTACTTGGGAGGCTGAGGCAGGAGAATCACTTGAACCCGGGAGGCAGAGGTTGCACCGAGCTGAGATCATACCACTGCACTCCAGTGAGACTCTGTCTCAAAAAAAATTAAGGCTGGGCACACTGGCTCTTGCCTGTAATTCCAGCACTTTGAGAGGCCAAGGTGGGAGGATCACTTGAGCCCAGGAGTTCGAGACCAGCCTGGGCAACATAGCGAGACTCCATCTCTACAAAACAAGTTAAAAATGAAAAAAAGTTTTTTTAATTAAAAAATTCCCCTGAAACATAAAACTTGATCAACCCAATAGAAGACAGGAATGGAAGGACAAAAGAATCAGTACAGAGGAGACAAATGACTAACTAGTAGCCATCAAACTCAAAACTAAAAAATATCAGTAATTACAAGTTAATTTTCTTAAACACTCTAAATAAAAGGCTGAGATTTTCACATTGGACTTTAAAAAGGAATTTACCAGAATTGCACGTTAAATGAAAGTAGATAGGGTGAAAGAGATCTAGGGGGTGGTCACTGCACTGAGTCATTGATCTGGCAAGATCAACTGGAAGCAACTATTCTGGAGCTCTGGACCATGTTCAAACACTTACAACCACCAGGGAAGCACTTCCTGAAGGAAGAGACTGCTGATTTGTGAGTGAGTGGCATATGTGACCCACCACCATCCTCCCTCCTCAGTGCCACCTCAGCTGTAGGGTTGGCTGCCTGCACTCTTGGAACATCTCACTGGTGCCAGTGTAGGCAGTACTGATCTCCTCCTCCAAAAAAATTGGATCTGTAAATTTTGGCTGGTCTGGTGTACCCTGAGGAAGCAGCACAGGCACCTGCTTTAGTTTGCCCTCTTGGCAGTGGTGGCAGCTGCTTCTGCTTACCCTTCTATCAGACGATTTAGCTTCTTGATGGGCGCCACCAACATGGTGTTCAGGCACTTTGTGGAGGTTGGCCAAGTGGCTTACATCTCTGGACCTCATGCTGGAAAGCTGGTTGCGATTATAGATGTTGTTGATGAGAACAGGGCTTTGGTTGGTGGAGCTTGCACTCAGGTAAGGAGACAGGCCATGCCATTTAAATGCATGCAGCTCACTGACTTTATCCTCAAGTTCCCACCCAGTGCCCACCCCAGAGGCATGGCCAAGAAGCCTGGCAGAAGGCAACCATCAATACAAAATGGACAGGCACACAATGGGCCAAGAAGAGTGAAGCCAAAGAAGGGGAAGCCAAAATGATAGATTTTGATCATTTTAGTCATGAAGGCAAAGAAAATGAGGAACAGAATGATCAAGAATTAAATTAAGAAGCTTCAAAAGGCTGCTGTCCTGAAAGCTTCTCCCCATATAGCACCTGTTGCCCAGGCTGGCGTGCCAGTGGCATGATCTTGGTTCACTGCAACCTCTGCATCCCAGGTTCAAGCAGTCCTCCCACCTCAGCCTCCTGAGTAGCTGGGACTACAGGCACTTGCCACCAGGCCTGGCTAGATTTTTTTGTATTTTTGGTAGAGACGGGATTTAGCTATGTTGGCCAGGCTGGTCTCAAACTCCTGACCTCAAGTGATCTACTGGTCTCTGCCTCCCAAAGTGCTGGAATTATAGGCATGAGCCACTGGACCCAGCCAAGGACAAATTTCTATAAACATACAAACTAACAAAACTGGGAAAAAAGAACTAGAAAATCAGACTAAACCTATAACAAGTAAGGAGAGTGAACCAATAAGCAAAAACCTCCCAAAAAAGAAATTCCCAGGACCAGATAGCTTTACTGGTGATCTCTACTGAATATTTAGAGATTAATGTACCACTGTTTCTCAAACTCATCCAGAAAATCAAAGAGAGAAGAACACTTCTGAACTCATTCTATGAGGCCAGCATTACCCTGATACCAAAGCTTTGTATCTTGTAGGGTACAAAGATCCTATAAGAAAAGTGGAGGCTAACCTTCCTTATGAAGAAGCAAAAATTCTCAACAAAATACTACCGAACCAAATTCAGCAGTATATTAAATTGATTATATGCCATGGGCAAGTGGAATTTATCCCCAGAGCAAAGGTAGTTGAACATAGAAAAATCTTTCACTGTACCATGCCATATTAATAGAATGAAGGAAAAATACTAGATTCAGCCAGGCGTGGTGTTTCATGCCTGTAATCCCAGCACGTTGGGAGGCTGAGGTTGGTGGATCACTTGAGGCCCAGAGTTCAAGACCAGCTTGGCCAACATGGTGAAACCCCATCTCTAGTAAAAATACAAAAATTAGCCAGGTGTGGTGGCAGGCGCCTGTAATCCCAGCTACTTGGGAGCTGAGGCAGGAGAATCACTTGAACTCGGGAGGTGGAGGTTGCAGTGAGCCAGGATTGTGCCACTGCACTCCAGCCTGAGTGACAGAGTGAGACTTCATCTAAAAAAAAAAAAAAGATGATCTCAGTTGTTTTTAAAAATTGATTAAATTTGATACCCTTTCATGATAAAAACACTCAATAAACTAGGAATAGAAGGGAATATTCCCTGCATGATAAAGACCGTATGTGAAAAATCCACATCATACTCAGTGGTGTAAGACTAAAAGCTTTCCCCCTAAGATCAGGAAAAAGACAATGATACCCACTTTTGCCACCTCTATTCAACATAGTACTGAAAGTTGTGGCTGGAGAAATTAGGCAAGAAAAAGAAATAAAAGACACCCAACTCTTTTTGTGTATGAGACAGGGTCTCATTCTGTCACCCAGGCTGGGGTGCAGTGACATGATCACAGCCCACCGTGGCCTCAGCCTCCTGGGCTCAGGTGATTATCCCACCTCAGCCTCCCTAGTAGCTGAGACTACAAGCACGTGCCACCACGCCTGGCTAATTTTTCTATTTTTTATTGAGATAGTGTTTTGCCATGTTGTCCAGGCTGGTCTCGAACTCCTGGGCTCAAACAATCCTCCCACCTCAGCCTCCCAAAGTGCTGGGGCTACAGGCATGAACCACTGTGCCTGAATATACCCAGATTGGAAAAGAAGTTATCTCTGTTCACAGATCATATGACCTTATATATAGAATACCCTAAGGAATCCACAAAAATTGTTAGCACTAAATAATGAATTCAGCCATGTTGTAGGATACAAAAATCAACACACAAATAGTAGTATTTCTAAACACTAGCAATGAACAATCCAAAAAGGAATTCCACTTACATATCATCAAAAAAGAATAAAATGCTTAGGAGTAAAACAAAAGGTGAGAAAGGCTATACACTAAACTACACAACATTAGTGAAAGAAATTAAAGTTCTAAATAAATATAAAGACATACTGTGTTCATGAATTGGAAGATGTAATGTTGTTAAAATGACAATACTCTGCAAATTGATCTAAAGATTCAATGTATTTTTGTCAAAATCCCACTGTTGTTTTCTGCAAAAATATAAAAATTCATCCTAAAATACATATAGAATTTCAGCAGACCCTGACTAGGCATTCTTGATAAAACAGAACAATGTTGATAAAAACAGAACAATATTGGAGAACACATACTTCCCAATTTGAAAACTTACTACAAAGCTACAGTATTCAAAACAGTATGGTACGAGCATAAGAATAAACATGTAGACAGATGGAACTGAAAGAAAAACCCTTATATATGTGGTCAATTCACTTTTGATGTGGGTGCCAAAACAATTAAATAAAGTAAGAACAGGCTGGGCACGGTGGCTCATGCCTATAATTCCAGCACTTTGGGAGGCCAAGATGGGTGGATCACGAGGTCAGGAGTTCAAGACCAGCCTGGCCAAGATGATGAAACCCTGTCTCTACTAAAAATACAAAAAAATTAGCCGGGCATGGTGGCAGGCACCTGTAATCCCAGCTACTCGGGAGGCTGAGGCAGAGAATTGCTTGAACCTGGGAGGCAGAATCTGCAGTGAGCTGAGATCATGCCACTGTACTCCAGCCTGGGCAACAGCGAGACTCCATCTTGGATAAAAAAACAAAAAGTAAGAACAGTCTTTTCAAAAATAGTGCTGAGACAGCTGAATAGCCACATGCAAGAGGATGAAGTTTAACTCTACTAAGTTGGCAATGGTTTCTTCAGTATACCACCAAAAGCACAGGTAACAGAAGAAAAAAACAGATAAATTGGGATTCATTAAAATAAAAAACTTGTGTGCACCAAGGGACATCATGAGAGTGAAAAGACAACTTAGGGAATAAGAATAATATTTGTGCCTCATACATCTGATGACAGATTAATACCAGATCATATAGGAAACTCCTACAACTGAGCAGAAAAGAAAAAACAAAAAAAGCAAACAAAAGACCTGCCCAGTGAAAAACTGGGTGAAGGATTTGAATAGATATTTCCCAAAGAAGAGATACAAATGAACAATAAGCCCATGAAAAGATCTTCAATATCATTAGTCATTAAAAAATTGCAAATCAAAATCTCAATTTAAAAACTCCAACTATAATTATGCAGTAACATGTATATTTCCCTTTTTAGCTGTCAATTATTGCTCCATGTTTTTATTATTTTTAGAGATGAGGTCTTGTTATGTTGCTGAGGATGGACTTGAACTCCTGGGCTCAAATGATCCCCCCACCTTAGCCTCCTGAGTAGCTGGTAGTACAGGTGCCCACCAGCATGCCTGGCTTGCTCCATGTATTTTTTTGGTTGCAATTTTATTGTGGTGCAATTCATATAACATAAAATTTACCATTTTAACCATTTTTACATGTACAGTTTAGTGATCTTAAGTACATTCACAGTGTTGTGCAACCATCACCACTATTCATTCCCAGCACTTTTTCATCATCCTATACAGAAACTCTGTGCCCTTTAAATCATCATTCCCCCTTCTCTTCTCTCTCCAAGTCCCTAGAAACTTCTTCTTCTTTTTGTTTTTGAGATAGAGTCTTACTCGATCGCCCAGGCTGGAGTGCAGTGGCGCCATCTCTGCTCATTGCAACCTCCATCTCCCGGGTTCAAGGAGGCATGTCCCCTCGTGCCTCAGCCTCCCAAGTAGCTGAGATTACAGGTGCGTGCCACTACACCCGTCTAATTTTTGTATTTTTAGTAGAGATGGGTTTTCACCATGTTGGCCAGCCTGGTCTTGAACTCCTGACCTCAGGTGATCCACCCGCCTTGGCCCCCCAAAGTGCTGGGATTGCAGGGGTGAACCACCGCGCCGGGCCCAGCCCCTAGTAATTCCTGTCTATATGAATTTGCCTATTCTGGGTACCTCATGTAGGTGGGATCGCAATATTTGCCCTTTTATGTCTGGCTTAATTTCACTTAGCATAGTGTCCTCAAAGTTCATCCACTTTGTAGCATGCCTTAGTCAGCTCTGCCCTTAGTCAGCTCTGCTGCCATAACAAAATGCCACAGACTGGGTGGCTTCAACCAGCGGTCCCCAACCTTTTTGGCAGCAGGGACTGGTTTGGTGGAAGACAATATTTCCACGGGGTGTTGGTGAGGGTATGGTTTCAGGATGAAACTGTTCCACCTCAGATCATCAGGCATTCGTTAGATTCTGATAAGTAGTGCGCAACCTGGATCCCTCGCATGGGCAGTTCACGATGAGGTTTGCGCTCCTGTGAGAATCTAGCGGGGTGGCTGAACTGAGAGGGGGTGGAGCTCGTGCGGTGATGCTCGCTCACCCGCCTCCCCGCTCCTGCTGTGCGGCCTGCTTCCTAACAGGCCAGAGACCCGTACCCGGCCACAGCCCCGGGCTCGGAGACCCTGGCTTAAACGACGTAAATGTATTTCTCCACCATCCGGGAAGTGAGGAGCGCCTCTGCCCAGCTGCCCAACTGAGGGGATGTGAGGAGCGCCTCTGCCCGGCCGCCACACCGCGTGGGATGTGAGGAGTGCCTCTGCCCAGCTGCCCAACTGGGAAGTGAGGAGAGCCTCTGCCCGGCTGCCCACCATCTGGCAAGTGAAGAGCGCCTCTGCCTGGCTGCCCACCATCTGGGAAGTGAGGAGCGCCTCTGCCCAGCTGCCCACTGTCTGGGAAGTGAGGAGCGCCTCTGCCAGGCTTCCGCCCTGTCTGGGAAGTGAGGAGAGTCTCTTCCTGGCTGCCCACCGTCTGGAAGTCAGGAGCATCTCTGCCCAGCTGCCGCCCCATTTGGGAAGTCAGGAGTGCCTCTGTCCTGCCGCCGCCCGGTCTGGTATTTGGGGAGTGCCTCTGCCCAGCTGCCAACCATCTGGGAAGTGAGGAGCGTCTCTGCCCAGCTGCCCACAGTCTGCAAAGTGAGGAATGCCTCTGCCCAGCTGCCAACCGTCTGGGAAGTGAGGAGCTCCTCTGCCCTGCCACCACCCCGTCTGGAAAGTGAGAAGCGCCTCTGCCCTGACGCCCAACTGTCTGGGAAGTGAGAAGTGCCTCGACCCAGCCGCCCACCCTCTGGCAAGCGAGGAGCGCCTCTGCCCGGCTGCCGCCCCATCTGGGAGGTGAAGAGCGCCTCTGCCTGGCTGCCCACCATCTGGGAAGTGAGGAGCGCCTCTGCCCGGCTGTCCACTGTCTGGGAAGTGAGGAGAGCCTCTGCCTGACTGCCCACCATCTGGGAAATGAGGAGCGCCTCTGCCCAGCTGCCCACTGTCTGGGAAGTGAGGAGCACCTCTGCCAGGCTTCCGCCCTATCTGGGAAGTGAGGAGAGTCTTTTCCTGGCTGCCCACCGTCTGGAAGTCAGGAGCATCTCTGCCCAGCTGCCGCCCCGTTTGGGAAGTCAGGAGTGCCTCTGCCCTGCCGCTGCCTGGTCTGGGATTTGGGGAGTGCCTCTACCCAGCTGCCAACCATCTGGGAAGTGAGGAGCGTCTCTGCCCAGCTGCCCACAGTCTGCAAAGTGAGGAATGCCTCTGCCCAGCTGCCAACCATCTGGGAAGTGAGGAGCCCCTCTGCCCTGCCGCCACCCCGTCTGGAAAGTGAGAAGCGCCTCTGCCCTGACGCCCAACTGTCTGGGAAGTGAGAAGTGCCTCGACCCAGCCGCCCACCCTCTGGCAAGCGAGGAGCGCCTCTGCCCGGCTGCCGCCCCATCTGGGAAGTGAAGAGCGCCTATGCCCGGCTGCCCACCATCTGGGAAGTGATGAGGGCCTCTGCCTGGCTGCCAACTGTCTGGGCAGTGAGAAGTGCCTTTGCCTGGCTGCCCACCGTCTGGCAAGTGAGGACTGCCTCTGCCCAGCCACCCTGTCTGGCAAGTGAGGAGTGCCTTTGCCCAGCTGCTGCCCTGTCTAGGAAGTGAGGAGCGTCTCTGTCTGGCTGCCGCCCTGTCTGGGAAATGAGGAGTGCCTCTGCCCAGCTGCTGTGCGACCTTCCAAGTGTGAAGTGACAGCCTTGTGTGTGATCTTTTCTGTCTTCCCCAAGTTTGCATTTTCGACATTAAAGTTTACTTTTTAGTTAAAAGTTTTAAATTGGAGAATATAAAATAAAAATTAAAATTAAAAAAATGTATTTCTCTCAGTTCTAAAGGCTGGAAGGCTGAGATCAGAATGCCAGCATGACTGGGTTTGCTGAGGGCTTTCTTTTAGGCTTGCAGAGGTTGCCTTCTTGCTGTGTCCCCATCTGGCACAGGGGAGAGTACTCATGGCTCTTCCTCTTCTTATGGGGCACTCATTCCATCATGGGGTCCTGCCCCCATCACCTCATCTAAACCTAATTTTCTTCCAAAGGCCCCATCTCCAATGCCATCATATTGGGGGCTAGGCCTTCCATACACATTTTGAGGGGGCACAGTTAAGTCCATAGCATGTATCAGAATTTCATTCCTTTTTAAAGCTGAGTAATATTCTGTTGCATGTGACATACCGCATTTTGCTTATCCATTCATATGCTGATGGACTTTTGGATGGTTGCCACCTTTTGGCTATTGTGAATAATACTGCTATGAACACTGATGTACAGTATCTGAGTCTCAGCTTCCCATTATTTTGGGTAAATACCTAGGAGTGGAATTTCTGGATCATATAATAATTATATGTTCAACTTTTTTTTTTTTTTTGAGACAGAGTCTTGCTCTGTTGCCAGGCTTGAGTGCAGTGGCACAATCTTGGCTCACTGCAACCTCTGTCTCCTGGGTTCAAGCGATTCTCCTGCCTCAGCCTCTTGAGTAGCTGGGATTACAGGCTGTGATCCACCTGCCTCGGCCTCTCACAGTGCTGAGATTACTGGTGTGAGCCACCACTCCCGGCCCTCTATGTTCAACTTTTTAAGAAACCACCATGCTATTTTCCACAGCAGCTGCACCATTTTACATTCCAACCAACAATGCTCAAGAGTTCTAATTTCTCCACATTTTCATTAACAGTGGTAATTTTTTTTCTTTTTCCTTCTCGCCTTCCTACAACTGTGCTACTGGGTGTGAAGTGGTATTTTACTGTGCTTTTTTTTTTTTTTTTTTTTGAGACAGAGTCTTACTGTGTCACCCAGGTTGGAGTGCAGTGATGCGATCACAGCTCACCTCAGCCTCGACCTTTTCTGGCTCAAGTGATCCTCCCACTGCAGCCTCTAGAGTAGCTGGGACCACAGGCGCACACCACCACACCCACTAATCTTTGTATTTGTGTTGAGACAGGGTTTCACCATGTTGCCCAGGCTGGTCTGAAACTCCTGGGCTCAAGTGATCTGCCCACCTTGGCCTCCCAAAGTGCTAGGATTACAGGTGTGAGCCACCACACCTGGCCAAGCATCTTTTCATTTGCTTTTTTACCATTTGTATATCTTCATTGGAAAAATTACTCAGATCTTTTGCCTATTTCAAAAAATGGGCTATTTTTCATTATTGAATGGAGAGGGTTCTATATATAGTCTAGATACAAGGCTCTTATCAAACATGTACATATCTATATACATATATCTTGATGTGTCGCTGAGGCTGGAGTGCTGTGGCTCAGTCATGGTTCACTGCAGCCTCAACATCCTGGGCCTGAGTGATCATCTCGTGTTAGCCTCGCCAGTAGTTGGGACCACACGTGTGCCAGCACGCCTGGCTAATTTTTGTATTTTTTTGAACACATTTTTGAATTTGTTGAGGATTTCTTTTGTCTCTACACATAAGAAATATTTCTCTGTAGTTTTGTGTTGTAATGTTTCTGTTTGAATCCCACATTGAATGGGAGTTAGCAGTATTTATTTTGGGAAAATAAATCCACATTTATAATGCCTTTACCAAATAATATAAAATATATTTTTATAAAACTTAAAAAGGTTAACAATCAGCAAAGCAAGGGGCAGAATGTGACAAAGTTATCTGATCACACAAGTAATACTTGTTATGTTGAAAACTTAATGAACAGAGAAAAGTAAAAAGAAAAAACTGCTATCAGTGATTACTACTATTAACATTTTCACATATTTGCATCTATATCCACATATACATATATATTAAAAAGTAGGACATATTGTATCTGCTACTTTTCATTTATATTTATTTATTTATTTTTGAGACAGAGTCTTGCCTTGTTGCCCAGGCTGGAATGCAGTGGCACAATCTCAGCTCACTGTACCCTCTGACTCCCGGGCTCAAGCGATTCTCCTGCTTCAGCCTCCCGAGTAGCTGGGACTACAGGTGCATGCCACCACGCCTGGCTAATTTTTGTATTTTTGGTAGATACAGGGTTTCACCATGTTGGCCAGGCTGGTCTCGAACTCCTGACCTCAAATGATCCCCCTGCCTCAGCCTCCCAAAGGGCTGGGATTACAGACGTGAGCCACTGCGGCTAGCCTTGTATCTACTACTTTTTAACATACAGTTTTACTTAGCAATTTTGTATATGAATGCAGTTGTGTGTCTCTTCGGGCGCTTTAAGCTGTGTGTAAGAGGAAGCCCTCCTCAGGCTGGCACACCCACTCAGAAAATATTCTAATGCTTACATATCAGAAGCCAGAGCAAGGACGGTCTTCTGTCTGAAAGGTTCAGGTGTTCCAAGATGTCCTTAGGTCTCAGGTTCTTCCTGCCTCCCTGCCCCATCATCCATAGCATCAGCTCTGTGTTAGGACGGCTGCCCGCAGTGTGGGGCGCTACATGCTCCCTTGTCCGCACGGTGGGAGGACCTGGCTTCCTGCAGTGATCACCCTGGATTTAGTGTCAGGAGAGACCTTTCCCAAAGACTGGGCAAGCCTCTCCTGTTCCAGAGCCAGCCACTGGGCACCAGCCAAGCCTGTCCCTTGAGCCGAGGCTAATTACTCAGCCTCATTACTGCTATTTTGGGTGGGCTGGGAGAGGGGTGTGGCTTTAGCATGTCCATCGCAGTGTGCACCACGAAAGTTAAAAAAGTCAAATAGTGCTTAAAAATATCAATGAGTCGGCCAGGCGTGGTGGCTCACGCCTGTAATCCCAGCACTTTGGGAGGCTGAGGTGGGTGGATCACCTGAGGTCAGGAGTTCCAGACCAGCGTGTCCAACATGGTGAAATCTCATCTCTACTAAAAATACAAAACTTAGCCTGGCTTGCTGGCGTGCGCCCATAGTCTCAGCTACTTGGTAGGCTGAGGCAGGAGAATTACTTGAACCCAGGAGGCGGAGGTTGCAGTGAGCAGAGAGCACGCCTTTGCACTCCAGCCTGGGCAACAAGAGCGAAACTCCATCTCAAAAAAAGAAAAGAAAAAAATATATATATCCATGAGTCTGGGCGCTGTGGCTCACACCTGCAGTCCCAGCATTTTGGGAGGCCAGGGAGAGCAGATCACTAAAGCCTGGAAGTTTGAGACCAACCTGGGCAACATAGCGAGACCCTGTCTCTATTTTTTAAAAGTCACACACACACACACACACTCACTCACACACACACACACACACACACACGCACCAGCAAGTTGCTGACCCACTCTGTTTCATTTAGAGGCAAATATTTTTCAATTCTTTATGCTATTTTTCCCAGGATTCCCCTCCAAGTTTCTCAAGCATATCCTTCTATCTTCCTGCATTACCATTGCTTGATACCTAGTGTGGAGACTGAGGACTCCCTCTGCTCCCCTACAGCTGCATCTCCCGCCTCCCCACTTCCCCTCCTACGGCATCAAGCTTAGGAGCTATTATGACTGGAATTGTGTTCCCCTATATATGTTGAAGCCCCAAGCCCCCATGTGACTGTATTCCGGGGTAGGGCTTTTAAAGAGGTAATTACGCTTAAATAAGGTCATAAGGGACCATATGAGAGGAAGAGACACTGGGCTTGGGTGTACACAGAGAAGGGCCACGTTAGGATACAGGGAGAAGACAGAAGACGGCTGGCTGCAAGTCAAGGAGAGCAGCCCCAGGGAAAAACAACCCTGCCAGCACATCGAACGTCGGCCTCCAGCCTCCAGAACTGTGAGCAAATCAACATCTACTGTTTAAGCCTCCCCGTCTGTGGTATTTTGTTATGGCAGTCCTAGGAGACTAATACAGTGTTAATCATTAGTAATTAGTAGACAAATACAGTAACAATTTGGCTAAATCAATAGTGATTTTATAATTGTAATTATGCAAATGTTGTTTGCTGCTGAAACAAGCTGTGTACTATAACTTTTTTCCTTTCTGGAATAACTTATTTTGTTTTAACTGGAGGGTAAAATCTCTCTGTCTTTGTCTCTGTCTCTTTTGTGTCTAGTTTTCTTTTTTTTTTTTTGTTTGAGATGGAGTCTCACTCTGTTGCCCAGACTGGAGTGCAGTGGCATAATCTCAGCTCACTGCAACCTCTGCCTCCCGAGTTCAAGCGACTCTCCTGCCTCAGCCTCCTGAGGAGCTGGGATTACAGGTGCCTGCCATCATGCCCAGCTAATTTATATATTTTTAGGAGAGATGTGGTTTCCCCATGTTGGTTAGGCTGGTCTCGAACTCCTGACCTCAAGTGATCCACCCGCCTTGGCCTCCCAAAGTGCTGGGATTGCAGGCGTGAGCCACCACACTGGGCCTCGTGTCCAGTTTCCTATACATCAGTTTCCCCCTAAGTGGTCCAGCAAAAAATGCCTTTCTATCTTCTTCCCGACTCCACACCTCAAATCGGCGGTTTGCGCCTTCCACCCTCCATCCTCAGGTGGGCTCTGTCCTGGCCGGTGGGCTCGAGGCCAGGGTTCTACCGCCCCTCCCCAACCCACCCTTCCGTTTGCCTCTCCCCTGGTGGAACCTGTGTTCTGGGTTCCACGGCTTCCTGTCTTTCGGCTTCCCACCTTGTTTTCCCAAAGGACATCCTTTGTGAACAAGAATGCATGGCAGGTATCTTGGAGTCCTTGCACGTCTGAAGACGTTTTAAGTCTCCCTGACCCTTGGCTGAAAATGAAATTTGAGGCTGGGAGTTATTTTCCTACATTATTGTTATTTTCGGTTATTTCTATTTTTTCATATTATAAAGACTGTGTTAGGTGCTGCCTATTTTATTATTTTATTTTATTTTTTTATTGTAAGAAACAAGGTCTGGCTCTGTAGCCCAGGCTGGAGCACAGTGGGGCCATCATAGCTCAATGTGATCCCTAACTCCTGGGCTCAAGTGATCCTCCTGCCTCGGCCTCCCAAAGCACAGGACACCACGATGCCCAGCCTAGTGTTTTTGGTTTTTTTTATATATATACAGCTAAACCAGTTCTCTAGGATAAAGTCCTAAATGGGTCAAAGGTCGACACATTTTTAAAGGTTTAAAACAATACATGTTGCACAATGCCATCCGGCACCACCCTATTTCAGTGCCTTTGTTCTGTGCTGCTTTTGTATTTTCATCAGACCTGGATATCAACACTTTAAAAAGTTGTTTGCCAGTTTGATGAGAAAAATGATGTTTAGACAGCTGGCTCTAGAAGGGTGGGAGGTGCCGGGAGGTGTGAGGCAGGACCTGGGCCTGCTCCCACCTTCCTTGCCATCTCTGCTGCGCTCTCAGGGCTGGCGGGAGGACGGGGCAGGACAAGCGCTGGAGGCAGCCTCTCCCAGGTGTCCCCGGCACGCTCTGCTTCCTGTTATCCCTCTGTGCAAGCATAAATACGAACATGAAGATGGGAGTAAACCTAAGCTCTACACATGACCTGAGAGGGAATTCCAGGGCGAAAATGTACCCCACCCCGCCCTGGCCATGGAACCCTGGATAAGTCATGGTGGCAGCCGGCTATTACAAATAAAGCTGTCACGGACATTCATGTGCGACCCTTTGCATGGACGTGGGTTTTCATTCCTCCCAGGTACATATTTAGGAATGGGAAGCTGGGATTATATGAAAGGTAAATGTTTAACTTTTTAAGAGACTGCCTAGCTGATTTCCAAAAATAATTTTACCATTTTTCATTTCCACCAGCAGGGTATAAGACTTGCTGTTCTGCTGCACTTTTGCCCACACTTGGTATGGCCAGTGTTTTACAATTTTAGCCATTCTGGGGCTGGGCATGATGGCTCATGCCTGTAATCTCAGTGCCTGGGAGGCCAAGGCGGGAGAATCCTTGAGGCCAGGAGTTGGAGAACAACCTGGGCAACATAGCAACACCCTGTCTCTAGAAAACAAAAATAAATAAATAAAATAAAATGAAAAATTAGCCCACACAACTGTAGTCCTAGTAAAAGGTGAAGCCAGCTGGACTTCCTGGGTCAAGTGGGGACTTGGAGAAATTTTCTGTCTTAAAAGAGGATTGTAAAACGCACCAATCAGCACTCCGTAGCTGAGATTGTAAAACGCACCCATTAGTGTTCTGTAGCTAGCAAGAGGATTGTAAAATGCACCAATCAGCACTCTGTAAAATGCACCAATCAGCACTCTGTAAAACGCACCAATCCGCACTCTGTAAAACATCCTGATCAGCAGGATCCTAAAAGTAGCCCATCGGCAGGGAGGATTGAAAAAAGGGCATTCTGATAGGACAGAAATGGAACATGGGTGGGGACAAATAAGGGAATAAAAGCTGGCCACCCCTGGAGCCAGCAGTGGCAACTTGCTCGGGTCCCTTTCCTTGCTGTTGAGGATTTGTTCTTTTGTTCTTCACAATAAATCTTGCTGCTGCTCACTCTTTGGGTCCATGCCACTTTTAAGAGCTGTGCTGTAACACTCACCACAAATACCGCGAAGATCTGTGGCTTCATTCTTGAAGTCAGCAAGACCATGAACCCCCACCGGCAGGAACCAAACTCCAGATACACTAGCTACTCTGGAAGCTGAGGCAGGAGGATCACTTGAGACCAGAAGTTGCAGGTTACAGCAAGCTTCTGTCACTGCACTCTAGCCTGGGCCACACAGTGAGACCCTGTTTCTCAAAATGAAAATTAGCCTTTCTAGTGGAGATATAGTGGTATCTTATAGACGTTTTTGTTTTCGCTGAAGTTTTAATCTGCATTTCCCTAATGATAGTGAGATTATTTTTTCATGTCCTTATTTGCCACCTGTAGATCATCTCTGGTGAAATCTCTGTTCAAAATTTTGCCCTTTAAAAAAAATTAAACTGGCCGGGCTCAGTGGCTCACATTTGTAATCCCAGCACTTTGGGAGGCCGAGGAGGGTGGATCACCTGAGGTCAGGAGTTCAAGACCACCCTGGCCAACATGATGAAACCCCGTCTCTACTAAACATACAAAAATCTGCCAGGTGTGGTGACATGTACCTGTAATCCCAGCTACTTGGGAGGCTGAGACAGGAGAATCGCTTGAACCCGGGAGGCGAAGAGGTTGCAGTGAGCCAAGATGGCACCACTACACTCCAGCCTGGGTAACAGGGAAACTCCATCTAAAAAAAATAAAAAATGAACTGTTTGTCTTACTATGTTATAATAGCTGTAAATATGTATTCTAGGTACGAGTATATGTTTTGGAAATAATTTCCATTTGTGGCTTGCTTTTCCATTTTTGTAATTTTTTTTTCTTTTAAAAACTTTTTATTTTAAAATAACTGTAGGCCAGGCATGGTGGCTCATGCCTGTAATCCCAGCACTTTGGGAGGCTGAGGAGAATGAATCACCTGAGGTCGGGAGTTCGAGACCAGCCTGACCAACGTGGTGAAACCCTGTCTCTACTAAACATACAAAAATTAGCTGTGCGTGGTGGTGCATGCCTGTAATCCCAGCTACTAGGGATGCTGAGGCAAGAGAATCGCTTGAATCTGGGAGATGGAGGTTGCAGTGAGCTGAGATCGTGCCATTGCACTCCAGCCTGGGCAACAAGAGCGAAACTCTGTCTCAAAAAAATAAAGTAACTATAACTTTTTCGGCTGGCACCATCTTCCAGTAATTCGCCAAAATGACAAACACAGAGGGAAAGAGGAGAGGCACCTGATGTATGTTCTCTAGGCCTTTTGGAAAACATGCCGTTTTTCCTTTGGTCACGTATATGTGAATCTATAAGAAAGGTGATATTGTAGACATCAAGGGAATGGGTACTCTTCAAAAAGGAGTGCCCACAAGTGTTACCATGGCAAAACTGGAAGAGTTTACAATGTTACTCAGCATGCTGTTGGCATTGTTGTAAACAAACAAGTTCAGGGCAAGATTCTTGCCAAGAGAATTAGTGTGCATATTGAGCACAGTAAGCACTCTAAGAGCCGAGATAACTTCCTGAAATGCATGAACTTCCTGAAATGATCAGAAAAACAAAGAAGCCAAAGAGAAAGGTGCCTGGGTTCAACTGAAGCGCCAGCCTGTTCCACCCGGAGAAGCACACTGTGTGAGAACCAACCAATGGGAAGGAGCCTGAGCTGCTGGAACCTATTCCCTGTGGATTCATGGCATCATAGGTGTTAACAAAATAAAAGACTTCTGGACTGTGAAAATATTTCTCTTCATTGAGTAAGAGTGTGGTGTCCTCTCCCCCAAAGAAATATTTAAAGCAAATTTTAACTGGGTCCTAATTCATTCTGTAATGTCTTTACTTTTCAAATTTAATGTATTTATTGCTGAAAAATGTGAGGTAGCTTTATTGTGCAACATATTACTCGATTGGTTAGAAAATGGCCAGATACCGGGTGTGGTGGCTCATGCCTGTAGTGCCAGCACTTTGGGAGCCTGAGGTGGGTGGATCACGAGGTCAGGAGTTAGAGACCAGCCTTGCCAACATGGTGAAACCACATCGCTACTAAAAATACAAAAATTAGCCGGGTGTGGTGGCGGGCGCCTGTAATCCCAGCTGCTTGGGAGGCTAAGGCAGGAGAATCGCTTGAGCCCGGGAGACAGAGGTTGCAGTGAGCTAAGATCACTCCATTGCACTCCAGCCTGGAAGACAGAGCAAGACTCCATCTCAAAAGAAAAGAAAAGAAAAGAAAAAGGCCAGATATTATTTATGAAATATTTTTACTGGTTTGAAGATATTCCCTCATGGGTTCCATCATGGAAGAAATAAAATAATTTTTAAAAATAAAATAACTATAGACTCACATGAAGTTGCAAAATCAGTACATAGAGTGCCATTACCCTTCCTCATCTTCCCTCAAGTGTTGCTGCTTATGTAACTGCAGTACAATAGCTAACTCAGGAAACTGACATGGTACCATCCCGGTAATTAGACTACAGACCTCATTCAGCTTTCATGAGTTTTGATATGTACTCATTTGTGTGTGTGGTTCTTTGTGATTTAATCTCGTGTATAGAATGACGGGACCACCGCCACAATCAATATGGAAGTAGTTCATCACCATGAAGACATTCCCTGGGCTACCCTTTATAGTTGCACTCACCTCCTGCACCCCGCCCCTGTCTCTCAGCAACTATTAATCTGTACTTTATTTCTATAGTTTGATCATTTTCAAGATGTTATACAGAATACGGACTCGTACTACAGTATGTAACCTTTTGTTACTGACTTTCTTCTAGCAAACATGGTTGCCTTGAGATCAGTCTAAGTGGTTGAATGGATCAAGAGTTGCTACTTTGTACTGCTGAGTAGTATTCCGCTGTATGGATGTATACTGCATCCAGAGTGTATATCCAGAGATTTTTTTTTTCTTTTGAGATAGGTCTCACTCTGCTGCTCAGGCTGAAGTGCAGTGGTACGATCTTTTTTTTTTTATTGTTATCTTTTATTTTCATATGAAAAATAGATTTTAAGCAAAATTCAAAAATAACTTGACACTATAAATAAAGAGGGCCCCTTTTTTTTGTTTTTTGAGACGGAGTCTCCCTCTGTCACCCACGCTGCAGTGCCGTGGTGCGATCTCGGCTCACTGCAAGCTCCGCCTCCCGGGTTCACGCTATTCTCCTGCCTCAGCCTCCCGAGTAGCTGGGACTACAGGCGCCCACCATCAAGCCAGGCTATTTTTTTTTTGTATTTTTAGTAGATACGGGGTTTCGTCGTGTTAACCAGGATGGTCTCGATCTCCTGACCTCGTGATCCGCCCGCCTCGGCCTCCCAAAGTGCTGGGATTACAGGCGTAAGCCACTGCTCCCGGCAAAGAGAGCCTTAAGTACATTCAGTGGTATGATCTTTAGGTTGGCTCACTGCAGCCTCTACCTTCAGGCTCAAACGATCCTCTCACTTCAGTCTCCTGAGTAGCTGGGACCACAGGGGCATGCCACTGTTACAAGTAGTTAGACAGGCATGGGTGGGGCAGGAGAGGACTCTTTTCCCCCACCCACTAGAAATGTCAGGTGATGGTTTGACAATATTCACAATACCTCTCTAAAAACAATTCGGCAGCCAGCACCAAAAAGAGACAAGCTCCTGCTGATCCACAGCTGTTAACCTTAAAGTGTTAATTGAATGCAGGCGCTAGGGAGAAGCAAAAAGGGCTTCCAATAAAATCTCAGGGATTGGGCCAGTGAGCCTGGGCATGCGCATTAAGAGACAAGATGGCAAAGTAGGGTTTTCCAGGAGCCGTCTGCCAGAAAAGGGAAGAAAGCCTCAGATACAACTTGCTACTAAACCCACTGTGGGTGCTCGCCTCCCACGGGTGAGGAGGGCAGTGCATGCGGGCAGCCCACCCTGAGGGAAGAATCATGGGAAAGGGGCGCAGGATGCTGGAGGTGGGCCAGCCTATAAAGTCCCAGCTGCAAGGTTCAGCACTGCACTTGTTCTTCATGCTGCCTGTCTGGGTCTCTTCCAAGCATACCTTCCTTTCTTTCCTGTTCTAAAGCCTTTTCAATAAACTTCCACTCCTGTTCTGAAACTTGCCTCGGTCTCTTTTTCTGCCTTATGCCCCTCATTTGAATTCTTTCTTCTGAGGAGGCAAGAATCGAGGGTGCTGCAGACCTGTCAGGATTCGCCGTTGGTAACTCAGATACCGGCCGCCGGTAACACCACCACAGCTGGCTAATTTTTGGTATTTTTTGTAGAGATGGGGTTTTGCCATGTTGCCCAGGCTTGTCTAGAATACCTGAGCTCAAGCGATCCTCTCGCCTCGGCCTCCCAAAGTGCTGGATTACAGGCATGAGCTACTGTGCCCAGCCTTATCCAGAGATTTTTAAACCATTCACCTATTGAAGGACTTTTTGGTTGTTTTTTCGGTTTCTGAATATTATTGTTGACAAAGAAAATCGAACTCCATAAAGTATTTGAAGACTTTTATTCTGAGCCAAATGTGAGTGACCATGGTCTGCAACACAGCCGCAGGAGATCCTGAGAACGTGGTCAGTCTACAGGTTGGTTTTATACGTTTTAGGGAGACTTAAGACATCAATTAATACATGTAAGATGTACGTTGGTTGGGAAAGACGGGACAACTGGAAGTAGAGGTGGGTGGGATGGGGTGGGGTTCTGGGTCATAGGCCGATTGAAGGATTTTCTGATTGGCAATTGGTTGAGAGTTTATCTAAAGCCTTGGAATCAGTAAAAGGGAGTGACCACCGCACTCCCGTGATGGCCTGGACTAGTGTTTCAGGTTTATTTTAGAAAGCCCTTGGCCGATAGGAGGGGTCCATTCAGTTGGTTGAGGGGCTTATAATTTTATTTTTGGTTTACGTTATGAATAAGGTTGGAAGAACATTCGTGCACAGGTTTTTTGTTTGTTTGAGACAGGTTCTGGCTCTGTGGCCCAGGCTGGAGTGCAACGGCATGATCACAGCTCACTGCAACCTCCGCCTCCCAGGCTCAAGCAATCCTCCCACCTCAGCCTCCTAAGTAGCTGGGACTGCAGGTGTGTGCCACCATGCCTGGCTATTTTTTTTTTCTTTTGTATTTTTAGTAGAGACGGGGTTTCACCATGTTGACCAGGCTGGTCTCAAACTCCTGAGCTCAAAGCGATCTGCCTGCCTCGGCCTCCCAAAGTGTTGAGATTACAGGTGTGAGCCAGCACACCTGGCTCTGTGCACAGGTTTTTGTGTGAGCATGAGTTTTCATTTCTTTGGGATAAATGTCCAAGAGTGTGAGTGCTGGTTGTTTTATAGGTACATGTTTAGTTTATAATGTAAACCAAAAATAAAGTTCTAAGGCCCCCAACCATCAAAGGGACTTCCTCCTCAGCCAGAGCACTCTAAAATTTAATCTGAGAGACTGGTCATGATAGGAAGTGGGAGTCAGACATGCTTCATTATACCTCTCTGGCATTCACATCAACACAGACCTTAAGTCTGATAAGAAACATTTACAATCTATTATCTCTGAAGCCTGTTACCTGGAGACTTCATCTGTGTGATAAAACCTTGGTCTCCACAACTCCTGATCTTAACCCAGACATTCCTTTCTATTGATAACTCTTTCAACCAATTGCTAATTAGAAAAATTTTAAATTTACCTATAACCTGGAATTCCACTCCCACACTTCAAGTTGTCCTGCCTTTCTGGACCGAACCAATGTTATTTCCTAAATGTATTTGATTGAAGTTTCATGTCTTCCTAAAATGTATAAAACCAACCTACATCCCGACTCCCTTAGGCACCATGTTCAGGACCTCCTGAGGGTCGTGTCATGGGCCATGGTCACTCATATTTGGCTCAGAATAAATCTCTTCAAACATTTTACAGAGTTTGACTCTTTGTTGACAATAAGAAACCATCGAATTATTTTGCAGACTGGCTGTACCATTTTCCATTCCAGTTTATTTGCTTCTGTGCCAGCATTTGGTATTATCCCTATTTTTTATTTGAACTATTCTAATAAATGTGTAGTGACATTTTATTCTGGCCTCCATTTGCATTTTTCTTTCTTTCTTTGTTTTTTTGAGAAGAATTTCACTCTATCACCGAGGCTGGAGTGCAGTGGTGCGATCTCGGCTCACTGCAACCTCTGCCTCCTGGGTTCAAGCGATTCTCCTACCTCAGCCTTCCAGGTAGCTGGGATTACAGGTGTGCACCACCACGCCTGGCTAATTTTTGTATTTTTAGTAGAGATGGGGGTTTTATTATGTTGGCCAGGCTGGTCTCAAACTCCTGACCTCAGGTGATCTGCCCGCCTCTGCCTCCCAAAGTGCTGGGATTACAGGCGTGAGCCACCGTGCTCAGCCTGTTTGCATTTTTCTAATGGCTGATGGTGTTGAACATCTTTTCATTTGCCTATTTTCCATCTCTATCTCCCAGACTAGTCTATTTTCTGTTGCTTTAATGCGTAGGGGAGCCAAGGGGAAACATCCCCTTTGCCCTCAGAAGGTTTGCTGAACAATCACTGATATGAGGCAGATTAATAGGAGAAAAGGCACACACATTTAATCAACGTGTACCTATGGGAGCCTTCAGAACGAAGACTCAATCTCCCAATAAGGTATAGAAGCTTCCATACCATCTTGCAGTTACAATAAGATTGGGAGCTTGGATCTTGGCAAAAACAGGTCCTGGGAGGGAGAAAGGAAGAGGCCTGGCTGGCAGAGGTGGCCTTGTTATGCCGACGAAGCCTTACAGGTAGCAGAACTCAGAGAGAATAGATGGTAAATGGCTGTGTTCAGACCTTTAAAGGCGTCAGAGTGAGTTAATCTCTCTTTGATCCAGGAAAGGGCTAGAAAGGGAAGGCCTGGCATTTAGGAAGATTTTCTTTTCTTTTCTTTTTTTTTTTGAGATGGAGTTTCGCTCTTGTTGCCCAGGCTGGAGTGCAATGGCGCAAACTTGGCTCACTGCAACCTCTGCCTCCCGGGTTTATGCGGTTCTTCTATCTCAGCCTCCTGAGTAGCTGGGATTACAGGTCCATGCCACTGCGCCTGGCTAATTTTTGTATTTTTAGTACAGATGGGGTTTTATCATATTGGTCAGGCTGGTCTCGAACTCCTGACCTCAGGTGATCCACCCACCTCGGCCTCCCAAAGTGCTGGGATTACAGGAGTGAGCCACAGCACCCGGCCTTAGGGAGATTTTCTACAGATGCAAGAGTCGCCCCCAAAAGACAGCTTTGCAAGGCCAACTTAGTCTGCTGGCCCTGAGGCAGCCATTTCAAAATACGGCAAACAAATATATCTGGGGTAAAATATTTTGATTTCCTTCTACAGAATCCCTGAAACTGGGTAATTTATGAAGAAAAGAAACTTGTATCTTACATTTATAGAGACTGAGAAGTCCAAGTTCGAGAGGTTGCGTTTGGTGGGAGCCTTCTGGCTGGTGGGGTAATTTTGTGTCTAAGTTTATAAGATATTGGCCTATAGTTTTATTTTTATTTATTTATGTTTTAGTACTGTCTTTGTCCGTTTGTGATTTCAGGGTCTCATAAAATGAGATTGGAAGTGTTCCCAACTCTTCTGTTTTCTGGAAGAAATTGTATAAAATTGGTGTTAATTCTTTAAATGTTTTGGAGAACGCTCTGGTGAAACTATCTGGGCATGGAGACTTTTTTTTTTTTTTTTTAATGAGACAAGATTTTGCTCTGTCACCCAGGCTTGAGTGCTGTGGAATGATCTTGGCTCACTGCAGCCTTGACCTCCTCGGTTCAAGTGATCCTCCCTCCTCAGCCTCCTGAGTAGTTGGGACTACAGGCACATGCCATCATGTCCAGCTAATTTTTGTATTTTTTGTAGAGATGGGGTTTTGCCATGTTGCCTAGGCTGGTCTTGGACTCTTGGGCTCAAGTGATCCACCTGCCTTGGCCTGCCAAAGTGCTGGGATTACGAGCATGAACTATTGTGCCTGGCCCCTTTTTCAATTTCATTGAATTCTGCTTTTTTTTTTTTTTTTTTTTTTTTTTGAGACAGAGTCTTTCTCTGTCACTGAGGCTGGAGTGCAATGGGTGTGATCTTGGCTCTGCCTTGGCCTTCCAAAGTGCTGGGATTACAGGCATGAGCCACCATGCCCAGCCTCTGCTCTTATTTTTATTTCCTTCTTTCTTCTTGCTTTGAGATTATTTTACTCTTCTCCTCCTGGTTTCTTGAGGTCAGAGCTTAGATTATTGATATAAATCCTATCATGCTTTCTAATGTAAGCATTGAATGCTATAAGTTTTCTTCTCAGCCGGGTGCAGTGGTTCACGCCTGTAATCCCAGCACTTTGGGAGGCCGAGGCAGGCAGATTGCCTGAGCTCAGGAGATCGAAACCAGAATGGGCAACATGGTGAAACCCCATCTCTACTAAAAATACAAAAAATTAGCTGGGCGTGGTGATGGGCGCCTGTAGTCCCAGCTACTCAGGAGGCTGAGGCAGGAGAATCACTTGAACCCAGCAGGTGGAGGTCGCAGTGAGCCGAGATCACGCCACTGCACTCCAGCCTGGGCGACAGAGTGAGACTCCGTCTAAAAAAACAAAATAAAAATTTCTTCTCAGCAGTGCTTTAGAAGTATCCCACCAATTTTGATATGTTGTATTTTCATTTGCATTTAGTTCTATTTTTTTTGTTTTGTTTTCTGAGACAGAGTCTCCCTCTGTCGCCCAGGCTGGAGTGCAATGGCACGATCTTGGCTCACTGCAACCTCCGCCTCCCACGTTGAAGTGATTTTCCTGCCTCAGCCTCCTGAGTAGCTGGGATTACAGGGGCTGCCACCATGCCCAGCTAATTTTTGTATTTTTCGTAGAGACAGGGTTTCACCATGTTGGCCAGGCTGGTCTCGAACTCCTGACCTCCGGTGATCCACCTGCCTTGGCCTCCCAAAGTGCTGGGATTACAGGCATGAGCCACTGTGCCTGGCTATGTATGTTTTATTTTATTTGAGGCTTTCTTTTTTACTTACGAATTATTCAGAAGTGTGTTGGTTAATTACCAAGCATTTGGCGATTTTTCCTGTTTTCTTTCTGTTATTGATTTCTAGTTTAAGTCCATTATGGTCAGGGAATATACTCTACATGATTTTAATTATTTTAAGTTTGTTAAGTTTGCTTTATGACCCAAGATATGCTCTATCTTGATTAATATTATATAGGCACTTAAAAAGACTGTATTCTGCTGTTGTTGGCTAGGCTGTCTTATAAACGTCAGTTAAATCCTGTTTGATAGTGTTGCTCAGTTTTTACATGTCTGATACTGTTTGGATGTTTGTCCTCTCCAAATCTCATGCTGAAATGTAATTTCCAATGTTGGAAGTGGGATCTGGTGGGAGGCGAATTGGATCATGGGAGCAGATCCCTCATGAATGGGCGAATTGGATCATGGGAGCAGATCCCTCATGAATGGGCAAATTGGATCATGGGAGCAGATCCCTCATGAATGGGCAAATTGGATCATGGGAGCAGATCCCTCATGAATGGGCAAATTGGATCATGGGAGCAGATCCCTCATGAATGGGCGAATTGGATCATGGGAGCAGATCCCTCATGAATGGGCGAATTGGATCATGGGAGCAGATCCCTCATGAATGGGCGAATTGGATCATGGGAGCAGATCCCTCATGAATGGGCGAATTGGATCATGGGAGCAGATCCCTCATGAATGGGCGAATTGGATCATGGGAGCAGATCCCTCATGAATGGGCGAATTGGATCATGGGAGCAGATCCCTCATGAATGGGCGAATTGGATCATGGGAGCAGATCCCTCATGAATGGCTTAGCACCATCCCCTTGGTGATGAGTGAGTTCTCAATTAGTTCACATGAAATCTAGTTATTTAAAAGTTTGTGGCATTGGCTGGACATAGTGGCTCATGCCTGTAATCCCAGCACTTTGGGAGGCTAAGGCAGAAGGATCACTTGAGCTCAGGAGTTTGAGACTGGCCTAGGCAACATACCCAGACCTCATCTCTACTAGAAATCAAAAACACTAGCTGGGCGTGGTGGTGTGTGCTTGGAGTCCCAGCCACTCGGGAGGCTGAGGTGGGAGAATTACTTGAGCCCAGGAGGTAGAGGCTGCAGTGAGCTGTGATAGTGCCACTGCACTCCAGCCTGGGCAACAGAGTGAGACCCTGTCTCAAGCAAAAAAAAAAAAAAAAAAAATGTGTGTGGCATCTCCCTCCTCTCTTTCTTGCTCCTGCTCTTGCTGTGTGATACACTGGCTCCTCCTTTGCCTTCTGCCATGATTGGAAGCCTCCTGAGGCCCTTACCACAAGCAGATGCTGGCACCATGTTTCCTGTGCAGCCTACAGAACTGTGAGCCAATTAGACATTTTTAAAAATAAATTACATAGTCTCAGCTATTTCTTTATAGTAATACAAAAATGGCCTAATACAATGTCCTTACTGATTTTCTATCTAATTTCTATGTATTTCCAACTGTAACTGTGGATTTGTCTACTCCTTTCAGCTCAGTTTTTGCTTCATGTATTTTGGGGCTCTGTTGTTTGGTGCATATGTATTTGGGATTGTTTTCTTCCTGGTGGATTGATTCTTTTATCATTATACAATATCGCTCTTTGTTTCCAGTAATTTTTTCTCTGAAGTCTACTTTATGTGATATTAATATAGTGACTCCTGATTTTTTAAAAAATAATGTTTTTATGCTGCTATGATTTGAATGTCTCCTTCAAAACTGATGTTGAAATGTAATTCCCAATGTGGCAGTATTGAGTGGTGGGACCTTTAAGAGGTGACTGGATCATGAGGCCTCTGCCTTAATGAATGGATTAATGGGTTAATGGATTAATGGTTTATCATGGGAGGGAAACTGGTGGCTTTACAGGAAGAGGAAGGGAAACCTGGGCGAGCACATTAGCACCTCAGTCCCTCACCGTGTGATACACTGCATTGCCTTGGGGCTCCGTAGAGAGTCCCCACCAGCCAGAATGCTCTCACCAGATGTGTCCTCTTGACCTTGGGCTTCCCAGCCTCCAGAGCTATAAGAAATAAGTTTTATTTATTATAAATTAGTCAGTTTCAGATATCCCATTATAAGCAACAGAAAATGGACCAAAATGCATATATCTTTTTTCCTCCTTTTTCAGCCTACCTATATTGTTATGTTTGAAGTCAGTAGGTAGCACATAGTTGGGTTGCGTTTTAAAAATCCCCTTTGCAATCTTTGTCTTAATTGGTGTATTTGAACTATTTACACTTAAAAATAATTACTAATGTGAGTTTTTGTTGGTTTTTTTTTTTTTTTTTTGAGACAGAGTCTCGCTCTGTCACCCAGGCTGGAGGGCAGTGGCGCAATCTTGGCTCACTGCAACCTCTGCCTCTCAGGTTCAAGCAATTCTCCTGCCTCAGCCTCCCGAGTAGCTGGAACTACAGGCGTGCACCACTACGCCCAGTTAATTTTTGTATTTTTAGTACAGATGGGGTTTCACCATGTTGGCCAGGGTGGTCTCGAACTCTTGACTTCAGGTGATCCACCTGCCTCGGCCTCCCAAAGTGCTGAAATTCCATCTACTTTGGAGGCTGAGGCATGAGAATTGTTTGAACCCAGGATATGGAGGTTGCAATGAGCTGAGATCATGCCACTGCACTCCAGCCTAAGCAACAGGGCCAGACTCAGTCTCAAAATAAATAAATAAATAAATAAATAAATAAATAAATAAATAATATAAATAAATAAATAAATAAAGTTTAGTGGTTAGGAATCTTGGTCCAAAAGAGGTTATTATTATGTGCATATTTGAATAAGAGAGTTAAGGATCATCTGTATTTCTAATATTTCAATATTTCCAATATTTTTGTAGTTTTTTTTTTTTTCTGTGTCTTTTCCTGTTTCCTTTTCTTGCTCTCCTCTGGGCTACTTAGGGGAGTGGTCTACATTACAATTTCTCTATAGTTTTTTTTTTTTAGGAGTTTGGGAGGGGAGGTTCAATAGGCAAGAGAGAGAGAGAAAGACAGAGAAAGGAAAAAGAGAGAGGGGGCCGGGTGCAATGGCTCAAACCTGTAATCCCAGCACTTTGGGAGGCTGAGGTTGGTGGATCACGAGGTCAGGAGATCGAGACCATCCTGGCAAACACGGTGAAACCCCGTCTCTACTAGAAATACAAAAAAAAAAAATTAGCTGGGCGTGGTGGCTGGCACTTGTAGTCCCAGCTACTTGGGAGGTTGAGGCAGGAGAATGGCATGAACCCAGGAGGCAGAGCTTGCAGTGAGCTGAGATTGTGCCACTGCGCTCCAGCCTGGGCGATAGAGTGAGACTCCATCTCAAACCAAAAAAAAAAAAAAAAAAAGAGAGAGGGGACTTCCAAGAGGAAAGGGCCATATAGTTTTTTTTTTAAATTAGCTTTCTATGTATACTTTTTGTGTATGTGGTTGCTCTAGGTATGACAATATACATATGCAACTTATCACAGTTGACTGGTACTGATATTTTACCATTGCAAGTAAAATGTAGAAAGCTTATTCCCATTTATGTTCTTTTTTCCTCCTCACTTTAAAAATATAATTGTATTAGTGTCACATAAACACATTTAGGTCAACTGACCACATATATAACAGCTGTCCCATAAGATTATAGTACCTCTTCTATGTTTAGATATGTTTAAATAAACAAATGCTTACCATTGTGTTATAATTGCCTATAATATTCAGTATAATCACATGCCATTATACTCTATGATGTTTGCACAATGACAGAATTGCCTAATGACTCATTTCTGAGAATGTATCCCTGTCATTAAGTGACACATGACTATGTTTCCTGTACATATATTGAGCATCACATTAGACCATTTTTAAAATCAAACATGATTTTAAAAACTATAAGGACAGTTATTATATTTAACCCTATTTTTTAAACCAATTTCTTTGTTCTTTCTTTTCTTTTTCTTTTTTTTTTTTTGAGACAGGGTCTCACTCGGTCACCTAGGTTGGAGTATAGTGGTGCAATCTCGGTTCACTGTAACCTCTGCCTGTTGGGCTCAAGCAATTCTCCCACTTCAGCCTCCCGAGTAGCTGGGACTACAGGCATGTGCCACCACATCTGGCTAACTTTTGTATTTTTTGTAGAGGTAGAGTTTTGCCAAGTTCCCCAGTCTGGTCTCAAATTCCTGACCTCAAGCGATCTGCCCGCCTTGACTTCCGAAATTGCTGGGATTACAGGTGTAAGCCACTGCGCCCCACCTTTCTTTTCTTTTTGATATTCCAGGATTCCTTTTGTTGCACTTACTTTTTGTTCAGAAAATAACTTTTGTTGTTGTTGTTTTGAAATGGAGCCTCGCTCTGTCGCCCAGGCTGGAATGCAGTGGCACGGTCTCGGCTCACTGCAACCTCTGCCTCCCAGGTTCAAGCGATTCTCCTGCCTCGGCCTCCTGAGTAGCTAGGATCACAGGTGCATGCCACCACGCGTGGCTAAGTTTTTGTATTTTTAGTAGAGACAGGGTTTCACCATGTTAGCCAGGATGGTCTCGATCTCCTGACCTCGTGATCTGCCCACCTCAGCCTCCCAAAATGCTGGGATTACAGGCATGAGCCACTGTCCAATTCCCAGAGAATGGCTTTTAAGCGTTCTTTAGGAGTAGGTCAGCTGGTGACAAATTTGCTTGTGCTCCTCTGCCTGACAGACTTAATTTCTCCTCATTCCTAATGGAAATTTTTATTCGCCATGGAGTTGACATTGATAGTTTTTTTCATTCAGCACTGGAAAATGGTTTTGCCACTTCCTCCTTGCCTCCATGGTTTCAGATAAGAAATCTGCTGTTGTTTGACTTTTTTAAAAATTTTTTTGAGATGGAGTCTCGCTCTGTCGCCCAGGCTGGAGTACAATGGCACAATCTCGGCTCACTGCAACCTCTGTCTCCCAGGTTCAAGCAATTCTCCTGCCTCAGCCAACTGAGTAGCTGGGATTACAGGTGGGTGCCATCACCGTGGCCGGCTAATTTTTGTATTTTTAGTAGAGACGGGGTTTCACCCTGTTGGTCAGGCTGGTCTTAAACTCCTGACCTCGTGATCCCCCCCACACCCCTGCCTTGGCCTCCCAAAATGCTGGGATTACAGGCATGAGCCACTGTACCTGGCCGATTTTGTTTTTTTTTTAAGACGGAGTCTTGCTCTGTTGCCCATGCTGGAGTGCAGTGGTACCTCTGCCTCCTGGGTTCAATTAATTCTCCTGCCTCAGACTCCTGAGTAGCTGGGATTACAGGCAGGCGCCACCATGCCTGGCTAATTTTTTATTTTTTGTAGAGATGGGGTTTCTCTATGTTGGTCAGGCTGGTCTCGAACTCCTGACCTCAGGTAATCTGCCCGCCTCAGCCTCCCAAAGTGCTGGGACTACAGGAGTGAGCCACCATGCCCAGCGTAATTTTTTGTATTTTTAGTAGAGACGGGGTTTCACCATGTTAGCCAGAATGATCTCGATCTCGTGACTTGGCGATCTACCCGCCTCGGCCTCCCAAAGTGCTGGGATTACAGGCGTGAGCCACCGCGCTTGGCCCAGGGGAGGTGATTTTTAAAAAGGTTGAGAAACATTGGTTTAACCTAAATATTATTTACTGTTACCTGTTTTTTGAATCGTATATAACTGGAGTCCTCTGCAGCAGGCAGTTTTGAGGGTCACGCATGCCTGTGCATTCATTCCTTTTCCTTGCTGTCTACTTACCAGTTTCTTACCTGCTCCCTCCAGTGAATAGCCACTTGGATTGTTTTCAGGTTTCTGCTTTACAGACAAGGCTCCTGCACACATTCTTCTATGTGGGTCCTGGCCCACATGTGCCAGGGTCTCCCGGGTGTATACACTCAGAGGAGTGGGCTTGCAGGGCCCTAGGAAAGCAGCTTTACTGGTTGCCCACATTTACTGGGTCCTGCCAATCTGTGTTTCAAAGTCAGTGCACAGTTTACATTCCCGCCAGTTGTGTATGCAAGTTCCTTTTTCTCTAAGTCTTCCCCAACACTTTATGTTGACAAGAGATTTTAAATTTTGCTGATTTAGTGGGTGTGGAATGGCATGTCCTTGTTTTAGTTTACATTTCGTTGATAATAAATGAAGTTGGACATCTTTTCACACATTTAATGGGCCTCCTGGTTGCTCTCTAGGAAGATCTGTTCTGGGTTTTAATTCTTTGAGTTTTGCCTTTTTCCTCTTAGTTAATAAACGAAAAACAAATACATAAAAAATATATAGTCTCGATATGACTCCTTTTCAGGTATATGTATTGCCAATAATATCTTTTTTCCAGTTTGTTGCTTTTTTTTTATTCTCTTTGTGTTGTCTTTTTTTTTTTTTTGAGATGAGCCTCTCTCTGTCACCCAGGCTGGAGTGCAGTGGCGCGATCTTGGCTCACTGCAACCTCCACCTCCCGGGTTCAAGTGATTCTCCTGCCTCAGCCTCCCGAATAGCTGGGTTTACAGGCGCCAGCCACCGTACCCAGCTAATTTTTGTATTTTTAGTAGAGACGGGGTTTCACCCTGTTGGCCAGGATGATCTCGATCTCCTGACCTCGTAATCTGCCCGCCTCGGCCTCCCAAAATGCTGAGATTACAGGCGTGAGCCACCACAATCGGCCTGTGGTGTCTTTTTTTTTTGAAACAGAGTCTTGTTCTGTTGCCAGGCTGGAGTGCAGTGGCACAATCTCGGCTCACTGCCACCTCCGCCTCCCAGGTTCAAACTATTCTTCTGCCTCAGCCTCCCGAGTAGCTGGGACTACAGGCTCGCGCCACCAAACCCGGCTAATTCTTGTATTTTTAGCAGAGACCAGATTTCACCATATTGGCCAGGCTGGTCTTGAACCTCCTGACCTCGTGATCCGTCCGCCTCGGCCTCCCAAAGTGCTGGGATTACAGATGTTCGCCACGGCGCCCGGCCCTGTGGTATCTTTTTTTTTGAGATGGAGTCTCACTTTGTCACCCAGCCTGGAGTGCAGTGGCGCGATCTCGGCTCACTGCAACCTCCGCCTCCCGGGTTCAAGCTATTCTGCCTTAGCCTCCCGAGTAGCTGGGACTACAGGCGCGCACCACCATGCCCGGCTAATTCTTGTATTTTTAGTAGAGACCGGCTTTCACCATATTGGCCAGGCTGGTCTCGAACTCCTGACCTCATGATCCACCGGCCTCCGCCTCCCAAAGTGCTGGGATTACAGGTGTGTGCCACCGCACCCAGCCCTGTGGTGTCTTTTTAAACAACAGAACTTGGGGCTAGGTGTGGTGGCTCACGGTTGTAATCTCAGCACTTTGGGAGACCGGGGCAGGAGGAGTGCTCGAGCCCAGGAGTTGGAGACCAGCCTGGGCGCTCTCACAGCTCACTGCAGCCTCGACCTCCTGGGCACAAGTGATCCTCCTGCCACAGCGCCTCCCAAAGTGCTGGGATTACAGGCGTGGGCCACCGCGCCCGGCTAAAAATCAGTCTTTTCCTTTGGCTTCTGGTCTCTTCGCCTCGTTTAAGAACTCCTAGCTGCGGCCGTCCGGACTCTCCCTGGTGCTGGTGGAAGTTTCTGGGGCGCACTCTCATGTTGCTGCCTGGGGAGTCTTGCACCCCACAAGTGCGCCTCTCTCCTCCCGCGTGAGGCTGGGGGGCCGGCTTGGTTGTGCAGGGGAGAGGAGGCCCAAGGGGCTGCGCCCGGTCACCCGCGCGACCACCGCGGGCCGAGGCGGGAGCGCGGCGGCGGCTGTGGCGGAGTCACCTTGCGCTCTACCTCCCTGCTCTTCCCTTCCAGGCGAGCTTGGGGACGAGGAAGGCCGAGCCCGGCGGCGCGGCCCGAGCGCCCGCTTCCTCGCCAGCATTGGGTTCCCTGAGGGGCCGCCCTGCCCCGCGTCAGCCTCTGCAGCCTCCAACCCTCCCGGGGAGCACAGCGGGACGCTGGAAGCCCCACTGCCTTAGGAGGCCGTTCTCGGGAGGGCCGCCCCGTTTAGAAGATGGGAAAGGTGCAGAAAAAGAAGACCAATAGACGATGTCCCCACTCGCACACAGGGCCAGGTTCCCTGCCCGCCCTGCCCTTCGCTCTCCCGGCGGCGACGGCCGCGCGACCTTTCCGGGGACGGTCTCGGGAGTGCCATGGGGTCCCTGGGGCTCGGATCTCGGCGCCCGCGTCTCCGCCGGGGGCGACCCCACAGCCAGGCTCCTTCTTCGGCACAGAACCCGCCTCGGCTACCGGCCTCCAGCCCCCTTTCTAAATTCCTGCCGGCCTCGGGGTTCGGGTGACAGGGCCCGGGGACTGGGTGGCGAGGAGAGAGGACAGGTTTCCTCCGGTCGGGCGGGGTGGCGCGGCTGCGCGAGGGGTTCTGTTTGGAGGGCAGCGCGGAGCCCTCTGCTGGCCGCGGTGGGGACCGCTGGCTCCCCTGAAGTCACCAGGCCGGCGACGCTGCAGCCAGTCCTTCCTCGTCCTCCTTCCTCCCTGTGCAAAGGTGGGCTCAGTACCACGTGGAAATCACCGTGGCACAGGCACCAGGTGGGTGGGTTTGAGAAGCTGTGCAGTGTCCAACATCCTGTTACAAAGGAATTGCAGGTATTTAAGAATTAAAGAAAAACTATTCTCTTTTCTACTTACGTGTATCACTTTCTCAAACGCCAGCTGAGTAATTAGCATATACGTGCTTGTTGGGTGGCTTGGACCTAACTACTTAATAAATGCACCTGCCAGGTGTTGCCTGCGCCTAGGAGGCCCTGCAAATTTTCGAAGACACGGAGGGCTCCATGAACTGAAGTTGGGAACTGGAGGTTCCCAAATTTAAACATTAACATCTTCCTCAGGAGGGTGGCCACAGGTGCATTTTGGCAGTTCCCTTTGGTCAGGCGGGACACCAGAGGGGCCTGATGTCAGGCAGGAACTGGAAGGGGTGGATGTCTAAGCTACCTTTGCCCTGCTGAACCCTGATGGGCAGCATTTCTTTTCTGAAAGCAAAACTCAAAAGAAGAATTCAGGCGGGATGTGAACTCACCCCTGTAATCTCAGCACTTTGGGAGGCCAATGCGGGCAGATCACCTGAGGTCAGGAGTTCAAGACCAGCCTGGCCAACATGGTGAAACCCTGTCTCTACAAAAATACAAAAATTAGCCAGGCATGATGGCAGGTGCCTGTAATCCCAGCTACTTGGTAGGCTGTGGTGGGAGAATTGCTGGAACCCAGGAGGCATAAGTGGCAGTGAGCTGAGATCGCGCCATTGCCCTCCAGCCTGGGCAAATAGAGTGAGACTCCGTCTCTAAAAAAAAAAAAAAAAAAAAAAAAAGAGGAATTCAGGTGTGCATTTTGTCTATACCCACGTGGTGTTGACCAGCCTGTGAAGTGTACTTGGGCCTGAGAAAAATTGGAGAAACAACAGGACATGGATTTGCTGAAGGCTTCACACTGAGCTGTGTTGATTGTGTGGGGACTCCATGAGGCCGGTGATAGCCTGGCACAGCTGGAAGGCCCTGTGTCCACAGCACGAAAAAGCTCAGGTCTTCCCAGGGCCAGACATCAGGCCATGTGGAAAGCAGCAGGGCAGCATCTGTTGAAATTTAACATGCCTCTGTCTTCGGGCCAGCAGCCCCACTCTGGGCAACCAGACGTAGAAATAAAGCACAAGTGAGTGAGGCTGTGTACAGGGACTTTACCATGGGGCCCCAAATTGGTAACAAAGTGACTGTTTGTCACCCAGGGCTGGGTGAGTAAATTGCAGTCCCTTACAGCATGGAATATTGTGCAGCCACAAAAAGGATCCAGTGAGGCTGTGAGCAGTAGATTTCACAGGGATTTCTACAAGGCATCATTGACTGAGAAAATCATGATACAGAAAAATGTGTGAAACAAGATGCCACTGTGCAATGAATTAACTGAATACCTCTATGTATGCATATGTGTAGAGGTATATACGCATCAATATGCACACGTGTGCTTGATTATTATATGTAAGGATAAAGGAAAATACGGAGAATAGATGGAATACAAATTAGGTTATTGACAGGGTATCTGGGTGGTAAGACAGAGATGGGAGAGGAAAGGGGAGTATACAGCCAAGAAAAGAAAGAAATGAAGACTAATTAAAGTAAATTAAAGCAAAGTTCTTGCTTATCTATTTCTATAAGGTGTTACACACATACACACATATATATGCGCACATATACACACTTCAATGTGTATACAGATATGTTTATGACAGAGGGAGATTACACACAGTTCTGTGGCAAGACATAGTGGCATGAGAAAAAAACCATTATTTTTCTTTCAAAATAAATGTATGATGGCCATGGAGTCTGTGGGTCAGGCGCTGGGGAAAAGTTCAGCTGGAGTTTCCACTTGGAGTCAGATGCCATCCAAAGGCTTACCTGTGCTGGGGACCCCCGTTCCAAGGTGGAGCCTCACACAGCTGGCAGTGTGGTGTTAACTGCTGGCTTCTTCATGGGGCTACTTGATGTCTTCGTGGCAGTGCTGGGCAGCCGCAGGTGAACCGTGGTAGACAGATAGTAGCCATAGATAGGGCAATTGAATGCGTGTGGCTGTGGGCTTTAGTTTGCTGACCCCTGACGTAGCCTTGGAGCCATGGTTAAGACTTTGACTTTTTCTTTGAGAGACATGGAGAGGCGCTGGGGAGCTTGAGCAAAGAAATAACCTGGCTTGGCTCAGTTTTTTTTTTTTTTTTTTGAGACAGAGTTTCACTCTTGTTTCCTAGGCTGGAGTACAATGGCACGATCTCGGCTCGGTGCAATCTGCGCCTCCTGGGTTCAAGTGATTCTCCTGCCCTAGCCTCCTGAGTAGCCGTGCACCACCACGCCCAGCTAATTTTGTATTTTTAGTAGATACAGGGTTTCTTCATGTCGGTCAGGTTGGTCTCGAACTCCCGACCTCAGGTGATTCACTCGCCTCAGCCTCCCAAAGTGCTGGGATTACAGGCGTGAGCCACTGCACCTAGGCCTGGCTCAGTTTTAAGAGGGGCACTCTGGCTGCTGTGTGGGGGTCACACAGAGGGGCCAAGAGGGAAGCCAGAAGACCGGGGTGGGTGTGATCTTGCTGTGATCTTGGGGGACAAGGGTGGTGAAGATGGGGTGAGAAGGGGCTCCTGGATGTACTTTGAGGGTAGACTCGGGTTGGTTGATTAATTCATTTACTCAGGAAGAAACACAAATCAAAATGCTCTGTTACAGTTGGCCCCATGTGGTCATCCTGAACTCAGCTCAGATGGCCAAGAAGCTCAGGGGGTGAGTGTGAGGTGGCTGCTCGCGAGTGGGGCGGGGCAGCCGCAGCCAGGGAGATGGAGTGAGGTGGAGCAATTCTACCTAACAGGGAGGCCGGTGTCTGGGGAGAGGGCCTGGGGCCAGGCTGCCCTAGTGCTGAGGGCTGGTTTGCCAGCTGTGTGGGGTCCAAGGAGCAGGCAGCCATTCTGTCAAGGGCTGGCCATCTGTGGCCATGGAGCACAGTGGCAGGGCTGTCCAGCTTGGACAAGCCACAGTTGGCCGATCCTCGACTCTTACGCACTGCTCTGTACAAAGAAATATGTAGATACATAAATTAAAATGAAGCTGTGGGTTTTGTGATTCAAGCTGGTGATTCATGTTCTGCCACTGCTGGTCAGTGCTGTGTTTAAGTAAAAATGCAGGTCCAGCATTTTTTCCCAACTTCTTATCCTGACAATTTTCTGACATGGAGAAAAGTTGAGAAAATAGTTGAACATCCATACACCCACAACCTAGATTCAGCACCTAACTTTTGCCATAGTTGATTCATCTATATATTTTTTTAACCCAATCCCAGATATAATGAGGAGGTTGAACAAGAACTATTGCTCAACAAATGTCAGCTTTCCCCAGTTATCTAATAAAAAAAGTTATTGGTGAAAATAAGATGTGACATAGTTACTTTAGGATTTTGCTCTTGGTATTTATATAACAGTCTGAGGCCTTGATTTGAACCTTCCTGGTGAGCGATTGAATGAATATACAAACAGACAATGGCCAGAGCATGTATAAAAATAGAACTCAGACCCGCAATCTGCAGCAACCAGGCCAGGAAACTGACCCATTATCTGCAGGAGCCAGCCCAGGAAGCCAGCCTGCTGCCTATATGTCAGTCTGATAGAAAGTTGGCCCACCATCTCTAGCAAACAGTCCAGGAAGCTACACAATGACACCTGTGACAATCAGCCCCAAATGGCCAGGATTAATGACTGCCTGCCTCTGTAATTTAATTTTTTTTTTGAGATATAGTCTCATTCCATCACCCCAGCTATAGTGCGGTGGCATGATCTTGGCTCACTGTAACCTCCACCTCCTGGGTTCAAGCAATTTTTCTGTCTCAGTCTCCCAAGTAGCTGGGATTACAGGCACATGCCACCATACCCAGGGAATTTTGTATTTTTAATAGAGATGGGGTTTTGCCATGCTGGCCAGGCTGGTCTTCAACTCCTGACCTCAAGTGATCCACCCACCTCGGCCTCCCAAAGTGCTGGGATTACAGCGTGCCACCACACCCGGCTAATTTTTGTATTTTTAGTAGAGACAGGGTTTTGCCATGTTGGCCAGGCTAGTCTTGAACTCCTGACTTCAAGTGATCCACCTGCCTCAGCCTCAGCCTCTGTAACTTTTGTCCCCCCTTTTAACTTAGGACCAGCCAAAGAAAACCAAGTATTTGCCCCTAACCAAAATCCCATAAAATGCCCTCTTCTAGTTAGCTGCCTCCAGTTTCTCCATGCCGGCAGCATCCATCAGGGCACCCCTGAAGCCTCCCTTTTTCCACCATGAGGCTTCCCCTCCTCAGCCTGCCTTTGAGTCTCTGCCAAACAAAAGTGACAATGGCCGACTCCCTTGCTAGAGCAAGCTCTGAATCAATAGCCTTGCTGTTCTCATTTGGCTGGTCTTTGTATATTTCCACAATGGGATTATAATTTTCTTCTGCATGAAATTTTCTGAGTAAATCTACCTTTTAAAGCCAGGGAAAAAATGGTGGTTTCCAAATTGGATCTAGAGGCCTGGAAGATGAGCAGATGTTGTGGGCAGCGTGCGGTGGGAAGGAACTGGATTTGGAGGTGGGGGTTCAGAAGGGACCTCACTCTCCCAGGCAAGGGGCAGAGGGACGACCTGGTTGAGAGGAACATGGAACATAGAGCCAGGTGGGGGAGGCCGGGCCCTGTGGATGCAACACTCTCCTGCATTCCAGCCTCCCACCCCCGATCCTAGCAGTTCAGAGCAAACCTCAGGCTGCGTGGGCACTAAAGTTAGTCTGCTCAGGCTGCCAGAACTAAGACCATAGACTGGGTGAATTCAACAACAGGAGTTTATTTCCCCAAAGCTCTGGAGACTGGAAGTCCAAGATCAAGGTGTGAGCAGGTTTGGTTTCTCCGGCGCCTTCCTTCCTTGGCTGGTAGACAGCCATCTTCCCGCTGTGTCCGCACGTGGTCTATTCCCTGTGCACACCCCTCCCTGCTGTCTCTTTCTCTTCTTATAAGGACATCAGTCCTGTTGAATTAGGGCCCCATCTTATGACTTCATTTAACCTTAATTACCTCTTTTTTTTTTTTTTTTTTTAAAGATGGAGTCTCGCTCTCTCGCCCAGGCTGGAGTACAGTGGTGTGATCTCGGCTCACTGCAAGCTCCGCCTCCCGGGTTCAAGCGATTCCCCTGCCTCAGCCTCCCGAGTAGCTGGGATTACAGGCATCCACCACCACATCTGGCTAATTTTAATTACTTCTTTAAAGGCCCTGTCTTTGAATACCATTACATTCTAAAATACTGGGGAATAGAGCTTCACCACAGGAATTTTGGGGGAACAGAATTCAGTCCATAACAGGTGGTCAGAGACATCTTCCCAAGGTGTCCATGAGCAATCCTGGTTCCTTTTTTATTTCTTATTCTGAGACAGGGTCTCACTCTGTCACTCAGGTGGAGTGCTGTGGTGCAATCAGGGCTCACAGCAGCCTTGAACTCCTGGGCTCAAGCGATCCTCCAGCCTCAGTCTCCTGAGTAGCTGGGACTACAGGCGCGCGCCACCACACCTGGCTAATTTTCAAATTTTTTTGTAGAGATGAGGCCTCTTTATGTTCCTCAGGCTGGCCTTGAACTCCTGGCCTCAAGTGATCCTCCCACCTTGGCCTCCCAAAGTGTCAGGATTACAAACGTGAGCTACCATGCCTAACTAGCAGTCCCAGTTCTGAGGACTTGGCACTCATGGGTTTATGCTCTGCCACCTTCTAGATAGCAGATTGTCCCACTGCCTGGAGTGGCTGCTCTCTCTCTGGTCCTAGTGGAGTGGTATTCTATAGAACCAGTGTCCTTACTTTACGTCCCTAGTGGGCTTCCTGACTATAGTGAACCCCAGGCTGTGGCATATTTTGTGGACAAGTGAGTCTATGCCTTTTGCACTTTTCAGGGAGAAGATGAACGACGTTCACTTTATTCTCCAAGGGAAAATCGATAGGGACCATTGCTCCAGGTGGCTGGGGCTGGTGAGTCGACATGAAGCCCCGGAAGGAGTAAGGCTGTGCATGGGGTCCTTTAGAACGCTGCGTGGTGGAGGACAGAATCTCTGACATGCCTGTGGTACAGAGATGTCAGAAACACACTTGGGCGTTATACACAAGGCACTTTAAAAGCCATTATTTTAGGCTGGGCACAGTGGCTCACACCTGTAATCCCAGTACTTTGGTAGGCCAAGGTGGGTGGATCATTTGAGGTCAGGAGTTTAAGACCAGCCTGGCCAACATGGTGAAACCCCATCTCTACTAAGAATACAAAGATTAGCCGGGTGGGGTTGGCTCAAGCCTGTAGTCCCAGATGCTTGGGAGGCTGAGGCTGGAGAATTGCTTGAACCTGGGAGGTGGAGGTTGCAACGAGGCGAGATGGTGCCATTGCACTCCAGCCTGGGTGACAAGACAAAATTCTGTCTCAAAAAGAAAAAAAAATCCATTACTTTATATGATCCTCACAACAATCCAGGGTGAGGCAGGCAGCTGTTACTGATAGACCCCCTGAGACCCCTGTTTCAAAGGAGGAAGTAGGCTCACAGAGGTTATAATTGGCCCAGGGTCATCCCACCAGGAGCCTAGAGCTGCTGGCTGCCGATCCCAGGGCTCCACGGCCTCACACTGCCTGTGCACTCTAAGTAAGCTGATGTGCTTGTGTGGCTGGCTCACGCCTATATTTCAAGGCATGAGTTAGGACCCATGAGTTCAATTCTATTTGTACTTCATAAATCTCTGTATGTTGGTTCTTTTCCCACCAGAGGCCAAAGCACAGACACGTAGACCACTGTGCTCACACTTCCATGCCAAGAGCAGAACATCGACTCGAAGCACCAATTCTCAACCTTGGTAATCCATGTAGGGTCCCTTGGGGAGACTGAAAACTAGGAAGCCTGGGCCTCCTCACTCAGGGCCAACCTGACTCAGGGCTTTCCCCCAACCATTTTTTTTTTTTTTTGAGATGGAGTTTCGCTCACAGGCGTGAGCCACTGTGCCCGGCTGCTTTTCCACTTTTTATAGGCTCACTAGGTAACTGTGATGGACATGGAGGATTAAAACCCACTGATTTAGAGAAAGTTTTGAAACTGAAGTGGAAACAGAAGAGTAACTAGTGAGTTTGCTAACTGATCTTTCTTTATACATCAGTTATGATTAAGTTCAGCTGTGAGGAACAAAGTCTTAAATAATAGAGGGTTACACAAGATAGAAGTTTATTCTGGCGGGGCACGGTGGCTCGCGCCTGTAATCCCAGCACTTTGGGAGACTGAGGCAGGCAGATCACCTGAGGTCGGGAGTTCTAGACCAGCCTGACCAATATGGTGAAACCCCGTCTCTACTAAAAATACAAAAATTAGCCGGGCATGGTGGTGCATGCCTGTAATTCCAGCTACTCAGGAGGCAGAGGCAGGAGAATGGCTTGAACCTGGAAAGCTGAGGTTGCATTGAGCCGAGATCGAGCCACTGCACTCCAGCTTGGGTGACAGAGGGAGACCTTGTCTCAAAAAAAAAAAAAAAAGAAAGAAAGACGTTATTCTGTCCCATCTAAATGAAGTCTGGAAGTAGACAGTTTCAGGGCTAGTATAGCATCTTCATGATGTCTTAGGCTTCTTTGATCTTGTGACTTCTATTCCCAAGATCACCTCCTTCTCAAGGTCTAACATGGGTGCTAGTGCTCCAGCCATCATATGTATGTTCCAGGCAGCAGGACAGGGGAAAGAAGGATGAAGGGCATGCCTTTTTTTTTTTAAAGGAGGCTTCCTAGAAGTATTATATAACATTTATGTTTACATTTCTTCAGCCAAAAAGACACAAAAAGCACTAACCATAAAACAAACAAAAAATTAATAGACTATTAAAACGGAAAACTTCGCTTTATCAGGAGTTCATGAAAAGAGTAGACAATCAAGTCAAAGACTAGGAGAAGACATTCAGAAAACATATATCTGACAAAGTATTCTTAATAAAAATGTTTAAAGAATTCCTACAAATGAATAAGAAAAAGCCAAATGATCCAATTTTTTAAAAAGAACAGAAGAGGAAATGGGGACTTTTTATTTCCAGTTCCACATGTAAGGAGGTTAGAAGCCACCACTCCATCCTAGCAACAAGTACACAGTTGAACAGACTGAAGAATAAAAGAACTCTTCTTGGATCCTTAAGAGAGGTGAGGACACAGGGTAGACCATCATCCCCAGCACTGGAGGGACTGACAGGCAGACACAGGGAGTGTAGCTGACTGGAGCGGAGACCATGGGCAGAAACAACCACGGGAACCAGTGCCGGGAGGAAACCTGAACTGCCAGTGGCCAATTGCTGGAGGCTAATGGGGATGAGTCTGAGAGTTCAGAACTCCAGGGGACCCATTCATGGGATGAGGGGAAGAATACTGTGAGATTTACCTCCAGGACCTTGAACAGATTCCCACAGTGGATATCAGAGAAAAAGCTTGTGTTTCTAGCAGGAGGAGGGGAAAAGGAAAAATTTTGAAATAAGACATAGCACTCTGTTCTTCTTAACAGACCTGCCATCAGGAGAACTATTTAGCCAGAGTCTGCCTGCCGGGTTATTTTATTTTCAATTTTTTTTTGAGACAAGGTCTTGCTCTATTGTCCAGGCTGAAGTGCAGTGGCATGATCATGGCTCATTGTAGCCTTGGCCTCCCAGACTCAAGCAGTCCTCCCATCTCAGCCTCCCTCATAGCTGTGACTACAGGTCACATGGACTAATTAAAAAACAAATTATTGTAGAGATATGGTTTCACTATGTTGCCCAGGCTTGTCTCGAACTCCTGTGCTCAAGTGATCCTCCTGCCTTGACTTCCCAAAGTGCTGAGATTACAGGCATGAGGCACCACGCCCGGCCCTAATTTTTTTTAATGATACCTTATATTTGTACATATTTAAGGGGTATATGTGATATTTTGTTACATGCACAGAATGTGTAATGATCAAGTCAGGGTATTTGGGGTGCCCATCACCTGGAATATTGATCACTTCTTTGTGTTGGGAACATTTCAAGTTCTCTCTTCTAGCTGTTTTGAAATACGCAACACACCGTTGTTGACTAGTCACTGTACTCTGCTATTGAACATTGAAACTTATTCCTTCTATGTAATTGTATGTTTCCATGCATTAATCAACTTTTCTTCATCCCCTCACCCACCTGCCACACACACACACAGCTTCACCTGCTGGGGTATTATTAGAGCTTAACTGACTTGGAGGAAGGGAAGTAGCAACTCCAGCCCACGGTAGCTATTCTGCCCCACTTAAGGGGGAAGACAAGAACCTGTGAAGTTCATGGTACAGAGCGATAGACTCACAAAAAGTCCTAATCACAGTAGGACACGTCCTCTCCCCGCAACATTACCACATCACTGAAGGCTGAGCAGTTCCTTTTACTCAGCACACTGTGTACACCATGAAGAAAAATATACAAGGCATACGACAAGGCAAAAAACACAATTTGAAGAGACAGAGCATTCGAATGAGACGTGGCCGGAATGTTAGAATTATCAGACCAGGAATTTAAAACAACTATGATTAATATGCTAAGGGCTCTAATGGATAAAGCAGACAGCGTGCAAGAACAGATGAGTAATATAAGTAGAGAGATGAAAATCCTAAGAAAGAACCAAAAAGAAATGCTATAGATTAAAAACAACAACAACAACAAAAAACCACACCACTGTAACAGGAATGAAGAATGCCTTGATAAGCTCATTAGTAGACCGGACACAGCTGAGGAAAGAATCTCTCAGCTTAAGGATATGTCAATAGAAACTTCCAAAACTGTGAAGCAAAGAGAACAAAGACTGAAAAAAAGAAAAAAGAAAAGAAAAGAAAAAAACACGCCCCAAACCAAATCAGAACAGAATATCCAAGGACTACGGGGCCAACTATAGAAAAGTGTAACATATGTGTAATGAGAATACCAGAAAGAGAAGAAAGAAGAAATATCTGAAACAATAATGACAGGATTTCCCCAGGTTAATGTCAGACATCAAACCACAGATCCAGGAAGCTCAGAGAACACTAGCCAGGATAAATGCCCCCGAAACCCCCACACCTAGGCATATCATTTAGAACATACAGAAAATCAAATATAGAGGAAAATTCTTGAAAGAAGCCAGAGGAAAAAAGTGCCATACCTACAAGGAACAAAGATAATAATTACATCTGACTTCTCTTTAAAAACAATGCAAGCAAGAAGAGAGTGGAGTGAAATATTTAAAATGTTGGGAGAAAAAAAGCACCAACCTAGAATTCTTCATGCTGTGAAATTGTGCTTCAAAAGTAAAGGAAAAACGAAAACTTTCTCAGACAAACAAAAAGCGAAGGATTATGTTGCTGGTAGAACTGACTTGCAGAAATGTTAAAAGAAGTCTTAAGAAGAAAAATAATATAGGTCAGAAACTCAAGCTCTACATAAAGAAAGGAAGAGGGCTGGGCGCAGTGGCTCAAGCCTGTAATCCCAGCACTTTGGGAGGCCAAGGCAGGCAGATCACCTGAGGTCAGGAGTTTGAGACCAGCCTGGCCAACATGGCAAAACCCAGCCTGGGTGACACAGCGAGATTCCATCTAAAAAAAAAAAAAACAAAAACCTTTAATTTTTCTTATTCTTAATTGATCTAACAGAGCAATACAGCTACATACTGTAAGTTTACATCCATAAGTAAAATGAATGACAGCAATGACACAAAGCTCAGGAGAGAAGAGTTAGTATTATTTTGTTACAAGGGACTCACGCTGACTGTGAGGTGGTACAGTGTTATTTGAAGGTAGACTTGGATTAGTTATAAATGTATATTGCAAACTGTAGGGCAACCACTAAAAAAAGTTTAAAAAGGAGATAACTGATATGCTAACAGTCTAGAGAAAACAGAATCATATATGATCTCTTTTTTTTTTCTTTTTTTTTGAGATGGAGTCTCGCTCTGTTGCCCAGGCTGGAGTGCAATGGCGCAATCTCTGCTCACTGCAGCCTCTGCCTCCTGAGTTCAAGAGATTCTCCTGCCTCAACCTCCTGAGTAGCTGGGATTACAGGCACCCACCATCATGCCTGGCTAATTTTTGTATTTTTGTAGAGGTAGGGTTTCACCATGTTGGCCAGGCTGGTCTTGAACTCCTGACCTCATGTGATCTTCCCACCTCGGCCTCCCAAAGTGCTGGGATTACAAGCGTGGGTCACTGCGCCCAGCATACAATCTCAATTAAAACCTCAAAAGGCAGAAAAAGAGTGGAAGGCAAAAATAGGCATGAAGAACGAGGGCAACTAATAGAAAATAGTAAAAAATATATGGTAAATATTAATCTAACTATATCAATATTCACTTTGAACATCAGTGGTTTAAATACACCAATTAAAATATAGAGATTGTTGGCCGGGCGCGGAGGCTCATGCCTGTAATCCCAGCACTTTGGGAGGCCAAGGTGGGTGGATCACCTGAGGTCAGGAGCTGGAGACCAGCCTGACCAACATGGAGAAACCCCGTCTCTACTAAACATACAAAATTAGCCGGGCGTGGTGGCACATGCCTGTAATCCTAGCTGCTAGGGAGGCTGAGGCAGGAGAATTACTTGAACCTGGGAGGTGGAGGTTGCGGTGAGCTGAGATCGTGCTATTACACTCCAGCCTGGGCAACAACAGCGAAACTCTGTCTCAAAAAAAAAAAAATATATCTATATCTATCTATCTATATATATATACATACACACACACACACACACACATATATACACACACACACACACACACACACACACATATATACACATATATATACACACATACTCCAGCCTGGGTGACAGAGCGAGACTCCATCTCAAAAAAAAAAAAAAGTAAATGGATGAAGAGAAATACACCATGCTAACACTGATCAAAAGAGATCAGTAGTAGCTCTATTAATTTGAGACAGAGCAGACTCAAAGCAAGGAAATTTATCAAGGATAAAGAAGGGCAATACATAATGACAAAGGGGGTCATTTGTCCCATGGTCATTATGTAATGCCCTCTTTTATCCACTGAGGTTCTCCAATCCTTAACATGTATACAACTGACAACAGAGCAAAAACATGAGGCAGAAACTAATAAAACTGAAAGGAAAATTGATAAATCCATGAACACAGTTGAACACTTTAACCACATTTTATCAGAAATGGCCAGATCCAGCAAGCAGCAAATCAGTGAAGGTGTAGTTGAACTCAAAACACCATCAATCATTAGATATAATTAACATCTCTAGACTACTTCCTTCAGCAACAGCAAAATATTGTCAAGCTCACATAGAACATTCACCAAGATAGACCACATTTCAGGCCATAAAGCATTCCTTAACAACTTTAAAAGAATAGTAATCATGCAGTGTTTGCTTTCAGATCACAATGGAATCAAACTACAAATCTGTAACAGAAAGATAACTGGAAAATGCCAAAATACATGGAAATTAAAAACAACATGCTTCCTTAGGAAAAAAACCAACAAACACATGGATTAAAGGAGAAATCTCAAGATAAATTTTAAAATATTTTGAGCCAAATGAAAATGAAAATACAACTTGTCTTAGCCCATTTTATGTTGCTATTATAGAATACCACAGACTGGGTAATTTGTAATGAACGGAAATTTATTTGACTCACAATTCTGGAGGCTAAGAAGTCCAAGAGTATGGTGATGGCGTCTGGCAAAGGCCTTTGTGCTATGTCATCCTGTGGCAGAAGGTAGAAGGGCAAGAGAGGGTGAGAGCAAGAGAGCAAGAAGGGGGCCAAACTCACTTTTATGACAAACCTACTTTTGAGATAACTGCTAGCCCATCCCCGTGATCACGACATTAATCCATTAATGAGAGCAGAGCCTTCAGGACTGAATCATCTCTTATTAGGCCCCAGCTCCCAAAACTGTCACATTGGGGATTGTTTCCAACACATGACCTTTGAGGGGTATATTCAAACCATAGCACAATTTATCCAAGATCGCGGGATGCAGCAAAAGTAGTACATAAAGGGAATTTATAGCATTGGATGCATACATCAGGAAAGAAGAAAAATCTAAAATCAATAATCTAAATTTCCACATTAGAAAACTAGAGAAAGAAGAGCAAATTAATTCCAAAGTAATCAGAAGAAAAGAAATAAAATAATTCGAGCAGGAAGCAATGAAATTGAACACAGGAAATCAGTAGAGGAAATCCACAAAAGCAAAAGCAGTTCTTTGAAGAGATTAATAATATCAATAAGTCTCTTGCCAGGCTAAGAAAAAAAGAGAGAATGTAAATTACTAACATCAGAAATGAAAGATACTATGGACATTATAAGATTAATAAAGGAATACTATGAAGAACTCTGTCCACAAATTTGATAACACAGATGAAATGAACCAATTCATTGAAAGACACAATCTGTCAAAACTCACCAAGAAAAAAATAGACATTCTGAATAGGCCTATAGCTATTCAAGTGATTGAATCAATAATTAATAATCTTCTAAAAAATAAAGCACTAGGCCCAGATAAGTGCAACTTCTACCAAACTTTTTTTTTTTTTGAGATAGAGTCTTGCTCTGTCACCCAGGCTGGAGTGTAGTGGCATGATCTCGGTTCACTGCAACCTCCACCTCCCAGATTCAAATGATCCTCGTGCCTCAGCCTCCTGAGTAGCTAAACTACAGGCATGTGCCACCATACCTGGCTAATATTTGTTTGTTTGTTTGTTTTTGAGATGGAGTTTTGCTCTTGTTGCCCAGGCTGGAGTGCAATGGTGCGATGTCGGCTCACCACAACCTCCACCTCCCGGGTTCAAGTGATTCTCCTGCCTTAGCCATCTGAGTAGCTGGGATTACAGGCATGTGCCACCACATCTGGCAAATTTTGTATTTTTAGTACAGACCGGGTTTCTCCATGTTGATCAGGCTAGTCTCTAACTCCTGACCTCAGGTAATCCACCCGCCACGGCCTCCCAAAGTACTAGGATTACAGGTGTGAGCCACCGCGCCTGGCCTTAATATTTGTATTTTTAGTAGAGATGGGGTTCTGCCATGTTGGCCAGGTTGGTCTCAAACTCCTGGCCTCAACTGATCTGCCCACCTCAACCACCCAAAGTACTGGGATGACAGGTGTGAGCCACCTCACTCAGCCCGTAACACACATTTAAGGAAGAAATTATACAAATTGTCTACAATGTCTTTCAGAGAATAGAAACAGAGAGAATACTTCCTAACTCTTTATGAGGACAGCATTACCAGAATATCAAAACCAGACAAAGATAATACCAGAAAAGAAAACTAATATCCCTCATTAACAAAGAGGCAAAAACTCTCAACAAAATATTAATAAATTAAATCCAACAATGTATACAAAGAATTATTTACTAAACCCACTGAGGTTTATCCTAGGTATACAAGGCTGGTTTGACATTTGAAAATTAATTAATGTAATGCATATATCAACAGGCTAAGAAAAAAATTATGATCATATCTATACAGAAAAAACATTTGACAAAATGCTGTTTATAGTAGCTTTACCCATAATTACTAAAACTTGGAAGCAGCCAAGATGTCTTTCAGTAGGTGATTGGATAACATGGTGGTACATGCATAATAATGGAATATTATTTAGCACTAAAAAGATTTTAGCTATCAAGCCACAAAAGCACATAGAGAATCCTTTTTTTTTTTTTTTTTTTTTTGAGATGGAGTCTGGCTCTGTCATTCAAGCTGGAGTGTAGTGGCGCGATCTCGGCTCACTGCAACCTCTGCCTCCCGGGTTCAAGCGATTCTCCTGCCTCAGCCTCCTGAGTAGCTGGGATTACAGGCGCCCACCACCATGCCCAGCTAATTTTTGTACTATTAGTAGAGACGGGGGTTTCACCATGTTGGGCAGGCTAGTCTCGAACTCCTGACCTCAGGTGATCCGCCCACCTTGGCCTCCCAAAGTGCTGGGATTACAGGCATGAGCTACCGCGCCCAGCCGAGGATCCTTAAATGCATCTTACTAAGTGAAAGAAGCTAATTTGAAAAGGCTGCCTAGTGTATGATTCCAACACCCTGGAGAAGGCAGAGCCATGGAGACAGTGAAAAGAGCAGTGGTTGTTAGGCATTAGTGGGGAGGGAAAGATGAGTAGGCAGAGCAGAGGAGATTTTTAAGGCAGTGAAAATACTCTGTGTGATGCTCTAATGGTGGATCCATGTCATTATGCATTTGTCCAACCCATAGAATATCCAACACCAAGAGTGAGCCCTCAGGTAAACCGTGAACTTTGGAGGATAATGATGTCGCCGTAGGGTCATCAACTCTAACAAATGTACCACACTGTTTGGGGATGTGGATAATGGCCAGCGTGGTGGCAGGGGTTATATGAGAAATCTCTGTACCTTCCTCTTAATTTTGCTATGATATCCAAAGATATCCAGATGGCCCACAGCATATGAAAAAGTGTTCAACATCATTACTTATTTGAGTAATAAAAATTAAAAACTAGAATGAAATTCCACTATGCAATTAGAATGACTAAAATGGAAAAGATTGGCATCAACAAAGGTTGGCAAGGATGTGGAGCAATGGAAACTCTCATCCACTGTCTACACAGGTAAATCAGTTCCAACACTTTGGAAAACTACAAATTTGGTGTAAAGTTAAAATTCACTTTTATATGGCCCAGAAATCGTATTCTTTGGTATTTACACAAAAGGAATAAAAAGATAGGTCTACAGAGAGAATTTAATGTCAACTTTATTTATAAATAGGTAAAAACTCAAAAGAACCCTATGTCCAATAACAGGAGAATGGGTAAACAAATTACGGTACATTCATATATGACACAGATTAAAAAAACAGCAAAGATCTCTTGCTGCTAGCCAGGCCCTGGCCAGGCCCAGCTAGTAGCACCAGCTGTCCTGACCCCTGAAAGGCTCTGGGCCTGGCCTAGGATCTTGTAGCAGCATCTTGGCAGGCAGAGTTGAGCCCAGAGGGAGCTCAGAGTTGGAGATGGTGCAGCCTGTAGCAGCCAATGGCACCTCTTCTAGGGAGACTGGACTTAGCCAGCTAGCGTCTGTGAGGAGTCACATGTAATACACATGGTGCCCAACATGAATAGCATGAAACATATATAGCATGTAGTATATGCTGCATATAACATATATAGCATGCATACATGCATAGCATGTAACACACATACATGTGCAACACTAGTACACAATATATACAGCATATATAACACAAGCTGCATGACATGTAACAGACATAGCATGTGTACATGTATGGCATGCAACATGCATAGTAAACAACATGTACACTACATAACTCATAGCATACATATAGAATGCATAACAGACACATGCATGTTTAACGTATAACACACAAGCATATAATATGTATAGCAAGTAATACACATACTGCTTGATAGGTATAACATGTATATAGCGTGCACCACATGCAGCAGACACCATGTATAGCATGTCACAGATATAGCACGTATACATGGATGGCACATACCATGCATAGCATAGAACCTTGGCCTGTGGTCTGTTCTTCCATGAGGAACATCCCCTCCCCTGGTTGGACTGGCCTGAGGGTGGGAATAGCTCTTCCCAGCAGGCATAATTAGGCTTATTTTGCCCCACCCTTCACCCTCCACCCTTTATTTCCTTCTTGGGACATGGCCTGAATAAGCTGGGATAAAGAAGGGGCCTTTTGTAATGTGGCTGTGAGTGGAGAACAGCCCAGGAGGCTCTTTTCTATACCGGCCCCTGGAGTCACTAGAAGAGGTCACTTGGCTGCACCAGGCCTCTGGCTGCCTTGCAGCCAGGCCTCCAGGCTGAGGGTGTGAAGAAGGCTGGCTTCCTTCTCAGTCCTGCAATGCTTCTGTCAAGGGAGAAGCAACTTGGCAAGAGGGCTTCTGGTGACTGCCCTGAAATCAGGGTGTCTTGGTTTGTGTTCCCCCAGGAGCAGACTCAGCAAGGCTTCAATTGCAGGTGGCTTATTCAGGAGGTCATCTCAGGAACCTCCAGTATGCAAATGGGGAAGTGAGGGAGGACAAAGCAGGCGTCTTATCACGCAGGCTCCACCAGGCAAGTGGGGTTAATCCCTGCGGGGATCCTGGAGACTTATCCTTGTCTGTCGTGGAGCCACCAGTTCTCAAGGAGTGATCTACTCCCAGCCCTCATTTTACAGTACAGAGTTTTGATGAAAAGAGCCTAACTCAGCAGGGTGCAGCGGCTCATGGCTGTAATCCCAGCACTTTGGGAGGCCAAGGCAGGTGGATCACCTGAGGTCAGGAGTTCAAGACCAGCCTGGCCAATATGGTGAAACCCCATCTCTACTAAAAATACAAAAATTAGCTGGGCATGGTGGCAAGCACCTGTAATCCCAGCTACTCGGGAGGCTGAGGCAGGAGAATCACTTGAACCCAGGAGGCAGAAGTTGCAGTGAGCCGAGATTGCACCATTGCACTCCAGCCCAGGCAACAAGAGCAAAACTCCATCTCAAAAAAAAAAAGAGTCAAACTCTGTAAAATATTTGAAGATATTTATATAAGCAGAGCCAAATATGAGTGACCATGGCCCATGACACAGCCCTCAGGAGGTCCTGAGAGCATGTGCCCAAGGTGGTCGGAGCGCAGCTTGGTTTTATACATTTTAGGGAGGCATGAGACATCAATCGAATACATTTAAGAATTACACTGGTTTGGTCCAGAAAGGTGGGACAACTCCAAATGAGGGGGCTTCCAGACTATAGGTAATTTTTTTTTTTTTTTTTGAGACGGAGTCTCACTCTGTCACCCAGGCTGGAGTGCTGTGGCTTGATCTTGGCTCACTGCAACCTCTGCCTCCCAGGTTCAAACGATTCTCCTGCCTCAGCCACCGTAGCTGGGATTACAGGTGCCTGCCACCACGTCTGGCTAATTTTTGTATTTTTAGTAGAGATGGGTTTCACCATGTTGGACAGGCTGGTCTCGAATTCCTGGCCTCCAGTGATCCACCTACCTCAGCCTCCCAAATTGCTGGGATTACAGGCATGAGCCACTGTGCCCAGCCAGCTATAGGTAAATTTAAACATTTTCTGGATGATGATTGGTTGAGTTTGTCTGAAGACCTGGGATCAGTAGAAAGGAATGTCTGGGTTGCCATAAGAGGTGGTGGAGAGCAAAGTTTTACTATGCAAATGAGACTTTTTTTTTTTTTTTGGAGACAGAGTCTGACTCTGTCGTCCAGGCTGGAGTGCAGTGGCATGAACTCAGCTCGCTGCAACCTCCGCCTCCTGAGTTCAAGCGATTCTCCTGCCTCAGCCTCCTGAGTAGCTGGGATTAAAAGTGCGGACAACCATGCCCAGCTAATCTTTGTATTTTCAGTAGGGATGGGGTTTCACTATGTTGGCCAGGCTGGTCTTGAACTCCTGACCTCAGGTGATCCTCCCGCCTTGGCCTCCCAAAGTCCTGGGATTACAGGCGTGATCCACCACACCCGGCCTGTAAAATGTTTCTTATCAGACTTAAGGTCTGTATTGATGTTAATGCTGGAGAGGTGTAATGAGGTGTGTTCGGCCCCACTCGTCCCTTCATGGCCTGAACCAGTCTCTCAGGTTACATTTGAAGAGCCCTGGCTGAGGAGGAAGTTCATTCAGATGGTTGGGGGGCCTTAGAATTTTATTTCTGGTTTACAAAATACATGATCAGGGAGAATAAGTGTTTTACCCACAAAGCTGGAAAGTGGAGGAGCTGGAGGTAGAATTTCCACACATAGGTTCAGGGCTGGAGTGATTGAGGTGAGTGTGAAGGACAGCAGATAAGGGCTGGGCTCAGGCAGTGGGAACATCCACGCGGGGGCCTTTCCTTCCTGACCCATGAGAATGTAGGTAGTGGGCCTGGGGCATCAGCCGTGGTGCCCCTGCTCAGTGCCACCTCCTGGAACTGGCTCCTACCTAACCTGACCCCATATGACGAGGCCCTGCAGTGTGCCAGCCCCGAAGAGAGGGCAGGCCCCCATGCAGGAGAAGCCAGTGCTTAAAAGCTCACGGTGGCTTTCCAAGGAATAGGTCCCCTAAATGAGCTGAGAAAAGAAGCAAAAAGATTGTGGCAGAGGGAAGATGGTGGCAGTCTGGACTCTTGCCTGATCTCATACAGATGCCACAGTTCTCCTTGCTGGGGAAAATTGGACATGGTCAGCATGTGAGGAGGGCCTGGCCAGATGGTGGGATGCTGCAGCCATTGTTTATGGCCTCACAGCCACTTTCTCAGTGACTGTCAGAAAGGGCCTTCTGAATGGAGCCTCCCTGAATTGACTGAAGGAAATGTGGATGCCTGTCCTGGGTTAAGAATAGGCATGTTCCAGGCCGGGTGCGGTGGCTCATGCCTGTAATCCCAGCACTTTGGGAGGCCGAGGAGGGTGGATCACCTGAGGCCAAGAGTTTGAGACCAGCCTGGACAACATGGCAACACCCCGTCTCTACTAAAAATACAAAAAATATTAGCCGGGTGTGGTAGCGCATGCCTGCAATCCCAGCTACTCAGGAGACTGAGGCAGGAGAATCGCTTGAACATGCGAGGCAGAGGCTGCAGTGAGCCGAGATCACACTCTAGCCTGGGCAACAAGAGCAAGACTCCATCTCAAAAACAAAACAAAACAAAACAAAACAAACAAAACAAACAAACAAAAAAACCAGCCATGTCCTAAAGGTGGGTTAATTAAAATAAAAGTCTTCTAGATAGGAAACTTACACCTCTGGTAATATGGGAATATGGATAGACAAGTTTTTCCCTCCGCCTGCTAAGTAAAACTAAAACCTCTGTCCATCATATATATACTCTGAAAGGTGGAGAGAAGACGGGCCAGCTAGGGACCTTGAGACCCAAGGAATGATGTATTAATCCATTCTCATGCTGTGAATAAAGACATACCCAAGATGGGGTCATTTACAAAGGAAAGACGTTTAATTGACTCAGTTCTTCAGGGCTGGGGAGGCCTTAGGAAACTTACAATCATGGCAGAAGGGGTAGCAAACACATCCTTCTTCGCATGATGGTAGGAAAGAGAAGTGCTGAGCAAAAGTGGAAAAGCCCCATATATATATATATATATATTTTTTTTTTTTTTTTGAGACTGAGTTTCGCTCTTGTTGCCTAGGCTGGAGTGCAATGGTGTGATCTCAGCTCACCACAACCTCCACCTCCCATGTTCAAGTGATTCTGCTGCCTCAGCCTCCCTAGTAGCTGGGATTACAGGCATGTGCCACCATGCCCGACTAATTTTGTATTTTAGTAGAGACGGGGTTTCTCCATGTTGGTCAGCCTGGTCTCGAACTCCCAACCTCAGGTGATCCACCCACCTCGGCCTCCCAAAGTGCTGGGATGACAGGCGTGAGCCACCATGCCTGGCCAAGGAAAAGCCCCTTATATTAATAAAACCATCAGATCTCATGAGAACTCACTATCACAAGAACAGCATGATGGTAACTGCCCCCATAATTAAGTTACCTCCCACTGGGTCCCTTCCACAACACATGGGGATTATGGGAACTACAATTCAAGGTGAGATTTGATGTGGACACAGAGTCAAATCATATCAAATGAAATAGTGGTGAGTCCCTGAGTTTTCTTTTTGGCCTCATGTGTCCCAGACTTGGAGGAGAAGCAGCTGGCAACCCAGAAATGCTCATTGGCACAGAAAAAACAAAAGCCCCAAGAAAGTCTGCTGTCTTAGTCCAAAGACCAGGAAAGGTGTAGCTTACCAGAACAGAAAACTCTCAGGCAATAATCATTCTACCCCAGCTGAACACCACAGAAAAATCTGTGGTCCCCCAACCCCCACCAGCAAAGGCCAAGGTGAGATCCTAAACTATAACAAAGCACCCCAACGTCTGCTGGGATGGTGTCAGAGAAGGCCAGGTAAGGGGCTGGGACTTCTATCCCCAGTGGCTGGTTATGAGCCCCTCCCAGGTTTCAGTAACATTGAGCCCCTCACCTCAGGTGTCAGGAGAACCAAGCGAGGAACCTGCATCTACACCTGGAAGTGCCGGGACAGCAACAGCACCTCCCCTGTTTCCCCGCCAGAGCCATGTCAGTGACTGGAAGCTGAAACAGAAAGATTCAGTAAGATCCAGAGTCTTATATAGGAAAAATGTCCATATTTCAAGAGAAAATCACTCATCATATCAAGAACCAGGAAAATCTCAAGTTGAATGAAAAAAGACAATCAGTAGATGCCAATACCAAGATGACAGGGATGTTAGAATTATTTGAGAAGTTTGACAATAATTCTTAAAACAGCCATGATAAAAATGCTTCAATGAATAATTACAAGCACTCTTGAAACACAGGATAAAATAGAATGTCTCAGCAAAGAAATAGAAGCTATAAAGAAGAACCAGGCTGGGTGCGGTGGCTCACGTCTGTACTCCCAGTGCTTTGGGAGGCCGGGGCAGGTGGATTGCTTGAGGCCAGGAGTTCGAGACCAGCCTGGGAAATACAGCAAGACCCTGTCTCTACTAAAAATACAAAAATTAGCCAGGTGTGGTGGCACATGCCGGTAGTCCCAGCTTCTTGGGAGGCACGAGAATTGCTTGAAGCTGGGAGACAGGGGTTGCATGAGCCAAGATCATCCCACTGCACTCCAGCTTGCACTACAGAGCAAGACTCTGTTTCTCAAAAAACAAAAACAAACAAACAAACAAACAAACAAACTAGAACCAAATGGAAATTTCAGAACTGAAAACACAATGACTGAAGTAAAAATTTCAGCAGATGGTCTCAATAGCAAATGGAGGGGACAGAGGAAAGAACTAATGAACCGATGAACTGGAAGCCAGAACAAAAGGAATTACCCAATCTGAAAACAGAGATAAAAAGCAGATTTAAAAAAATGAGCAGAACCTTGTGGGCCTATAACAAGATCTTACATTAATGCCATCCAAATCCTGGAAGGAGAGAAGAAAGAGGGTGGAGCTGGCAAAGTATGCGATGAAATAATGGCTGAAAACTTGTCAAATTTGGCAAGAGACATAAACTTATGTATTCAAGAAGCTGAATGAATGCCCAACAGGATAAGTTCAGAGTAATCCACTCCAACATACATCATAATTAAATTCCTGAAAATGAAAGATAAAAAAAATCTTAATAAGTAGCCAGAGAAAACAATACATTACCCCTAGAGGAAGAAACAACTGAAATGACAGTGTATTTCTCATCAGAAACCATGGAAGCCAGGAGAAAGTGGCATAATTTTTTTTCAAGTGCTGAAAGAAAGGAATTGTCAACCCAAAATCTCATTACTACCCCCGCTCCCCAAATCTTTCAGGAATAAACCAAGACATTCTCAGATGAAGGAAAACCAAGAGAGGTGGTCACGAGCACACCTACCCTAAAAGAGTGGCTAAAGGAAAGTCTCTAAACATGAAAGGAAACAATAAAATAAGGAACCCTGAAACACCAGGAAGGAAGAAAGAACATGGTAAGCGGAAATATGGGTGACTACAATAGGCTTTTCTCTTCTTGAGTTTTCCAAATTGTATCTGATGGTTGAAGCAAAAATTGTAACATTGATGTGGTTCTAAGTGTATGGAGAAGAAGTATTTATTAAGACAATTATAAATGGGGGAGAAAAAAGGGATATAAAAAAGGGAGGTAAGGTTTCTATACTTTATGCAAACTGGTAAAATGATGACACTAGTAGACCGTGATAAATTCTGTATACTGATGTAATACTAGAGCACCCACTAAAAAAGCTATATCTAGAGATACACTCAAAAACACTACAGATAAATGAAAATAGAATTCTAAAGAATTGTTCAGCCAAACCACACCAAGGCAAGAAAAAGAAAATAGAAAAATGAAAAAAGAGAGGACAAACAGAAAACAAAATATGAAGTGTTAGACTTAAGCCCTACCTAACATGTCAATAATTATATTAAGTGTAAGCGGTGTAAATACACGAATTAAAAGACAAAAAAAAATGGATTAAAAAACATGCCCCAATTCTATGTTGCTTACAAGCAACTAACTTCAAATAAAACAATATAGGCTGGCCAGGTGTGGTAGCTTACACCTGTAATCACAGCACTTTGGGAGGCTGAGGCAGAAGGATTGCTTGAGGCCAGGGGTTTGAGACCAGCCTTGGCAATATGGTGAAACCCCATCTCTACAAAAAATGCAAAAATTAGCCAAGTGTAGCAGCATGTGCCTGTGGTCCCACGTACTTGGGAGGCTGAGGTGGGAGGCTGAGGTGGGAGGATCACTTGAGCCCTGGAGGTAGAGGCTGCAGTGAGCTATGATTGTGCCACTGCACTCCAGCCTGGGCGAGAAAACGAGACCATGTCTCAAAAAGCAAAAAACCAACCAAAGAAAACCAACCAACCAAACAAAAAAACCCCAAAACCAACAACAACAAAACAATATAGGCAAGTTGAGAGTAAAAGGATGAAAAATGATATATCATGTGAAGATTAATCAAAAGAAAGCAGGAGTGACAATATTAATATCAGAAGGCAAACTTCAGAGCAAAGACAATTACCAGACATAGTGTGGGACAGTATATAATGCTAAACTGGTCAAAATCCACCAGGAAGGCATTGTAATTTTAAATGTGTATGCACCAGACAAGACACTTACAAAATATGTGAAACAAAACTGAGAAAAGAGAAATAGATAAATCCACAATTATAGTTAGAATCTTTAATATTCCTCTCTCAAAAATTGATAGAACAGCTAGACAGAAATTGGCAAGGATATAGAAGAATTCAACAATGAACAGACTTAATTGGCATTTGTAAAACACTCCACACAACAACAGCAGTATATATACCTTCTTTCCAAGTGTCCATGGAATATATACCAAGACAGACCATAGACGGGGTGATAAATCTCAACAAGTTTAAAATAATTGAAATCATACAGAGCATGTTCTCTGACCACAATGGAATAAAACTAGAAATCAATAACGGAAAGATAACAGAAAAATCTCCCAACATTTGGGAACTAAACAATGTCATTCTAAGTATTCCATGAGTTAAAGAGGAAGCCTTAAAGTGAAATTTAAACACTGAACTAAGAATAAAAATGTAACATTAAAATTTATAGAAGGCAGCTTAAGCAGTGTTGAGAGGCAAATGTACGGCAAGAAATGTTTCCATTAGAGAAGAGGAAAAGATTCAAAACAAGAATCTAAACTCCCGGACCAGGCGCGGTGGCTTACGCCTGTAATCCCAGCACTTTGGGAGGCCAAGGTGGGTGGATCACCTGAGGTCAGGGGTTCAAGACCAGCCTGGCCAACATAGCCAAACTTTATCTCTACTAAAAATACCAAAAAAAAAAAAAAAATTACCTGGGCTTGGTAGTGCGCCTGTAATCCCAGCTACTTGGGAGGCTGAGGCACGAGAATTGCTTGAACCCAGGTGGTGGAGGCTGCAGAGAGCCAAGATCATGCCACAGCACTCCAGCCTGGGGGCAGACCAAGACTCCATCTGAAAAAAATAAAAATCTTAAATAAGAAATCCTGGGCAGTGATCTGATTGGTTCTGCTTGTGTCATGTGCCACAAGAAGGCCACAGGGTCGGCCGGGAGGCAGGGCCCTTTCCACCAAGGTGTCCCCCTCAGCATTGCTGGCTCAGTGGACGTCCCCTCACCCAGGCAGCGCTGTGTGCAGTGGGGCTGTGGCAGCTGGTCTTGGGGGCTCTTGTGAAAAGGGACAAAACAGATGTGTGGGGGAACAGAGATGTGTTCCCCAGGGGAACCAGGACTGGTGTCACCATTGCTCCATGATTAATCCAGCAACATGGTGTGGAACAGCTTAAAGCCCGTGTCCCTCGGCTCCCCTGACTTCATGGCACCTGGCCACCCAGGAGGTGCCAACCAGCCTGGTCCTCTGTCCATGTCCTAGGAGTGCTTGGACCTGACTGTGGGTGCCAGGTCCCTTCCTGTTTCGGGAGCTGGTAGCCTGAGGTAGTCCAGGCTTCTGCACTGAACTCACAGGCAGGCTTGTTCAAATTATGACTTTATTTTGAGACACATAACCACACAGGAAAGTCCAAAGAACAACATGTATCCTTAGTATGTATTTATGCTTTATTATATGTATTTATATTGTTAATATATACTATTGTTATATAAGATATATACACATTTATATAAGATTCAAATATTTATACATATTAATAGATTTATAAATTTATAAATTTTTATATATAAATGTACCTATCACTCAGAGGTGATGATTGTTCTTCTTGTCTTATTTTCTAATCAAAATATGTAAAGTGTTACAGATAAAGTTGATGTTCCCTTATTCCTCCAGCCTGAGAAGTCCCCATTTTGCAATTTTGAGAAAATTCCTGTCATGAATTTGTGTTTATCTTCCCTTCCATTTTGCTTTTGTTTTTATTTCCAGCTATTTATGTTTTGAATGGGTAATTCATGCATGTTTCATTGTCTTCATCTTTCCTTTCCTTTCTTTCTTTCTTTCTTTTTTTCTTTCTTTCTCTCTTTCTCTCTCTTTTCTTTTCCTTCTCCTCCCCCTCCCCTCCCGTTCTTTTCCCTTTCTTTCTTTTCTGTGAGACAGGGTCTCATTCTGTTGCCCAGGCTGGAATGAAGTGGCTTGATCTCGGCTCACGACAACCTCCAACTCCTCAGCTCAATTGATACTCCCGCCTCAGCCTCCCAAGCAGCTGGGATTACAGGCATGCAGCACCACTGCTGTCTAATCTTATTTTATTTTTTTGTAGAGACAAGGTCTTGCTATGTTGCCCAGATTGGTCTGGAACTCTTGACTTCAAGCAATCCTCCCGCCTCAGCCTCCCAAAGTGCAGGGATTATAGGTGTGAGCCACTGCATTCGGCCTCATTCACATGTTTCAAAAATCAAAAGGTACAAAAGGAAAAAGCGCCTTTCCCCTCTCTGGGCCTTTTAACACTTCCACATAAATGAAGCCAGGAACAGCAGCAGTGTCTTGAGTAGTTGGTGGAAAGAAGGTGTTGTTACATGGGCTGCAGCCTCCAGCTATGCTCTTTGCAGGAATTTGATCTTTAGTGGCCGGACCATTGTTAGCATTAGGTTCAGCTGAGAGTGACAGAAACCCCAAGCAACAGTGGCCTTAACAAGGTACACATTTCTTTCTTTCTTTCTTTTTTTTTTTTAGACGGAGTTTCACTCTGTTACCCAGCCTGGAGTGCAGTGGTGCAATCTCGGCTTACTGCAACCTCTGCCTCCTGAGTTCAAGCAATTCTCCTGCCTCAGCCTCCTGAGTAGCTGGGACTACAGGTGCCCACTACCACGCCCAGCTAATTTTTGTAGTTTTAGTAGAGACGGGGTTTTACCATATTGGTCAGGTTCTTAACTCCTGACCTCAGGTGATCCACCTGCCTTGGCCTCCCAAAGTGCTGGGATTACAGATGTGAGCCACTGCACCCGGCCAGAACACACTTATTTCTATTTTACATGGATAAAGTCTTAAGGTAGGCATCCCAAAGCTATTAGGGTGGTTCCACAATCATCAAGGACCTATCTTGTTGCTCGACCACCCTCACCACATGGCATCTACTTCATGGTCCAACATGGCTGCTTGAGCTCCAGCCATTACATCCTCATTGTAGCCATTCAGTAGGAGAAAGGGAGGAAGTTGCTTCTGTTTCAGGATTGTCTCCCAAAGCTGCAAGGAACATTTCCTCTTGCAAACTGTTGGCCACAGGGTGTAGTGACAGCACATGTCATTGTAAAGGGGGCTGGGAAGTGTAGTCTTGATTCTGGCTTGCTGTGTCACCGCTGATATGTAGTGGTTCTACTACTAAGGAAGGAGAGGAGAACAACTACCAAGGCACAGCTAGCAGGCTCTGCCACGATGCCTGAGTTTCAGATCTTCCAGGTAGAAAAACCCCTGCCCTCATGGAGTGCCCGCTGGAAAGGGACCGACTTCAGGCCACTTCCCGAGCGGCACTTCTCGGCAGATCCCAGAAGCAGCAGCCAGGCTGTGCAGGGCCGCTTCCTAAGCAAGGGCGTGAGTCACACAAGCGGCCTTTGTTAGCTCAGCCAGCTCTCCTGGAAGTCCTTCTCCCAGAGCCGAGGGCCCCTTCCAGCTCTTGCTGTGCCTGAGGCATCATCAGGCGGTGCTGCCCGGAGAGGACGCTGTGCAGCAGTGGGCCCACCCGCTCAGCCCTCACGAGCAACGTTGCCTGGTGCTCCCCGGGTTGGGACCCGGGCCTTCTCGGCTTCTGGGGCTGGGCGGGCACCGCAGGGAACAAAGAAGCATTCCTGAGCCTGAGCCACACGGCTCCAGGCTGACTCCCTGGAGTCTTGGAGAGGCTTGTCTTGAATGCCTGGCTTTTTGTTTGAGAAAGAAAAGTGTTTTCCAAAGTCCCCAGGCTTCCTCTTGCATAGAAATCACAGGGCTCCGAGGAGCCACAGAGCAGGGTGGGAGGACAGGGCAGTCAGGACGCCCTGTCGCAGGGGACAGTGAGAAGGTGCAAGGGGTGGGGAAGTCTCGGGGCACAGGTGAAAGGGAAGACACCCCACCTCAGCCCTCCATGGCTGTGGCCTCTGCTGGGACCGGGCGCTGGGAGATGGGCTGTGGCGCCCACCTGGAATCCTGCGAGGGGCGTCTGGCAGGCCTGGCTGGGTGCAGTGCAGTAGACACGGCAGTGGGCGCTCAGACACGGTTGGGGTGCGAGGGGGACCTGGGGCTGAGGTGGGGGCTCAGGGCAGGGCATCCATTAGAGGGGACAGACTGGGCCCCAGAAGGGGTCTCTGTGTCTCGCCCGAGCCAAGAGACTAGACTCTGAGTTCCTGCCGCCCTGGACACCCCTGCAGTGGAGCTGCTGAAGGCAGAAGCTGGCGGTCCTGGCGAGACCAATGATCCCTCTACAAGGTGGGGTGAGGGGGACCATGTGTGAGCGCCCTGTCCCTGCTAGGGGACGAGTGGCTTAACAGGATGTAAGTAGTTTCTTTAAAGAGGCCACGTTTTGGGCAAGTCTGGGCAGTGCTGAATGAATTCAGACCCTCCTCTGGGTCTGCCCCAGGAGCCCAAGTCCCCCCTGAAGCCCGAGGCCCGGGGCTGAGCTGGGAGTGTTGGTGCAGACAGAGCTGGAGGCCAGTGAAAGGCAGCAGGGAGCAGGGCCGGCAGGAGGGAGGCAGACAGGTGTCCTCTCAGCGTGGGGCTGGGAGCAGGATGGCAGGGCCGGGCAGGGCTGCATGGAAAACGGTCATGGCCCTTTGGGGGAAAGAAAGGGGAGAGAGAGGGACAGTGTGTGGGTGTGCCCACAGGAGAGGCTGGGCCCACATGGTTTTGCTGGGCAGCGGCAAGGCAGTGGGTGGGGCCAGGATTCCGTGCTTTCAACAAGCCCCCAGGTGGCTCATTTGTGGTCAGTGTTTTGTCCGCCTTTGTGGGCAGGTGTGGGGCCAGGCCTGGCTCCCCCGATGCAGCCAGATCCTCACAGCAGCCTTTCCATTTCTTTTTTTTATTTTTTTGAGACGAAGTCTGTTGCCAGGCTGGAGTGCAGTGACGTGATCTTGGCTCACTGCAACCTCCGCCTCCTGGGTTCAAGTGATCTCCTGCCTCAGCCTCCCGAGTAGCTGGTATGACAGGTGCCCGCCACCACTCCTGGCTAATTTTTAATATTTTTAGTAGAGGTGGGGTTTTGCCATGTTGGCCAGGCTGGTTTCGAACTCCTGGCCTCAGATGACCCGCCTGCCTCGGCCTCCCAAAGTGCTGATATTACAGGCGTGAGCCACCACACCTGGCCCAGCCTTCCCATTTCACAGAGAAGGAAATGGAGGCACAGGAGCAAACAGCAGCCAGTGGTCCACTTGGAACCCAAGACCTCATCTGACAAAGCGACTCCTGCAGGTTTCTCTGCTGCTGCTGCTACATGTCAGGGGACCCAGACCCAGGCTCTCCCCGCCAGGGGTGTCCTTGGAGCCCTGAGGTGAGGCCCTCCTAGGAAGGTGTCCTCATGTCATGAATACACTGTGTGCCCTCCGAGTCCTCCTAGGCTGGAAGCTCCCCGAGTCCAGGTGTACACTCCCGGGAGAGGACTTAGGGCTCCCACCTTTGCGAGGGTGGCCTGAGGATGGGTTCCTCTCTGTGCCACAATGAAGGGGACCAGGGGCCCCAAGCCAGGCACCTAGACCACGTCTAGGTAGGGTTAGTTGGGGCCCAGCTTCCCCAAGGAAGAGAACCCAGCGCTGTGTGCAAAGGTGCCCCCAGCTGAACAGGGTGTGAGGACTGATACTGGCCTGATGGCTTTGGCATGAAGCCCAAGGGGAGCAGTGGGGAGCAGGCCTAACAGGCCCATCCAGGGACAGGGCCGTGGCTGGCCATGGCTGGAGCAACTGGTGTGAAGACAGAACGCCGGGGCAGGAGGGATGAGGCATATGGCGCTGGCCACGAGGCTGGGTGGTAGAGGAGCTGCCTTTGTCCAAACCCACAGGCCCGGGAGCAAGGGCAGATGTGGGTTTCCCTGGCAGGATAGAAGGGGGCAGGGGACCTCGGAGGATCGGGTGAGCCTGACGCTCACAGTGGGGACTCTGTGGCAGTGGGCAGGAAGTGGGGATGAGAGCTGGGCAGGGGGCAGGCCTGAGCCTCCTGAGTCTTTGGCTCAGGTGGACTTCATTCATTTATTTATTTATTGAGACAGAGACTTGCTCTGTTGCCCAGGCTGGAGTACAATGGCATGATCTCCGCTCACTGCAACCTCTGCCACCTGGGTTCAAGCGATTCTCCTGCCTCAGCCTCTCCAGTAGCTAGGATTACAGGCGCATGCCACCACGCCCGACTATATATTTTTGGTTAGAGACAGGGTTTTACCATGTTGGCCAGGCTGGTCTCGAACTCCTGACCTCAAGTGATCTGCCTGCCTCGGCCTCCCAAAGTGCTGGGATTACAGGCGTGAGCCACCGCACCTGGCCTCAGGTGGACTTTAATAAAGTGGCCTTCGGCCAGGTAACAGAACAAGACTCTGTCTTTAAAAACAAAAAAAGGTGGCCTTCAACTCTAAAGAGAAGCAGGAAGAGGAAAACCCCCATTCTGGGTGAGGTATTTTCAGGTCTGATTTCACCTTTGATCATGACACTGGCCCTACAGAGTCCAGTGGTACTATCAGAAGGTGGAGGAAGCTTCCATCTTGGCTCCCCCGAGGGAGAAGCCAGGCTGAGGGCTGGTCCACACCCCAAATAAACCTCCGCATGAAGTGTCCAGGAAGGACTCGGGAGTTCCTCTTGGCGTCTGGCCTCTGCTCCTCCCTTCCGCACTCTACCTAGGCATGAGCAGGTGTTGACGTGGAGTCTGAGACTGGGGTTTTAAGAAGGCAGCTACGTTCTGACTCCTGCCCTACTTGTGCCGTGACCCTCCCAGAAACACCTTGATGACCTTTGTCACTGGGATGGTGGCAGGTAGAAGCCGTGACCCTCCCAGAAACACCCTGGTGACCTTTGTCACTGGGATGGTGGCAGGTATGAGCTGGCAGGTGACCACTATGGCTGGGTTTCCCCAGGGGCTGAGTGGGGAGGCTGGACTTCCCTCATCTGGGGAACAGAGCCACAGGACACCTGGGCTGATGGAAGGTGCCTCACCCGAGGGCCTTCCTACCCAATTTCACCGAATCTGACCACTAGGAAACTGACATCTGTAGTTTTTTTTCTTTTTTTTCTTTTTTTTTTTTTTAGGAATCTTGCTCTGTTGCCCAGGCTGGAGTGCAGTGGCGCAATCTCAGCTCACTGCAAGCTCTGCCTCCCGGGTTCATGCCATTCTCCTGCCTCAGCCTCCTGAGTAGCTGAGGCTACAGGTGCCCGCCACCAAGCCCGGCTAATTTTTTGTATTTTTAGTAGAGACGGGGTTTCACCGCGTTAGCCAGGATGGTCTCGATCTCCTGACCTCGTGATCCGCCCGCCTCAGCCTCCCCAAGTGCTGGGATTACAGGTGTGAGCCACCACGCCCGGCCAACATCAGCAGACCTTTTAAGACAACTGGTCTCTACTAGTCAAATATGTCAATCCTAAGAAAGACGGAAAAAAGAAGGGGTAGCTGGGACCCTCTCCTCCATTCAAGGAGACAGGAGAGGCACATGGGGCACCGTGTGGTCCTGGGGCTACAAAATGCTCTGAAGACATCTCTAGGACAACCAGAAGATCTGGATATTGGAAAATACTGTATTGTTATAAAATCTGGGGGGGGGGCTGGGATAACAGGGTTGAGTTTTGTGGCAGAACGTCCTTAGGAGACACGAGCTGATGGATTTAGGAGTGCAGTATTCTGATGATCACAACCTACTTTCAGATGTTTCAGAAAAGCGCGCGTGTGTGCGTGTATGAGAAAGTGTGGGCACAGGATAAGAGAAGGTGAAAAATTTAGGCCAAGAGCATGTGGGTGTCCATGAACTATTCCTCCACTCTCTTTGTCATTTGAAATCTTTCAAAATTTCCAAAGACAGGGAGGGAAGAGGTTAATGAGAATGTAACTCAGTGGCACCTGCCTCCCTCTCAACTGGTGTCATCTTCCCAAATACTATCACTAATGATTAATAAACGGTTACTCTTTATGGTGATGACAAAGTCCCATTTTTTCTTTCAGAATGCCTTACTTAATGGGACTTTCCTCACTGAGCCTCCTGCACCTGTGCAAAGCACCCCGCCCTTGGGACGTGGTGTGAGACCCCACTGGGAGGGGCAGCTATGCCCGCAGAGACCACAGCACACCCGCCACTCCTTGTCAGGGTTTATTTCATCAGCTAACATTCATTCTCGACCTAGACAAAAACAATTAGATGATTATGACTTGCTTTTCCATCATCAACTCATTTTTTTGTATGAATAACCAAAAAATTTCTTCAACACTTTTTTTTAAGAAGAAGCTATAAATAAATAAAGCTTTAAACAATCCTGGGTTCAAGTTAAACAGTTCCAGTTCCCGAAAAGTTCACAGCCTTGTTTTGTGGGCAGTTCTGCTGTTCCTGGCTTCCCCTTCCAGGAGGGGACGTTTGCAGGTCTGGGGGTCCTGGTGACTAAGCTGTTAGCTCCACTCCCTGCCTGTTTCCGTCCTCACAGCCCTGGGAGGGCCCCGGTGGACAGAGTCCTTACAATTTAGGAGATGCTGCTGGCAAAGGAACTGTTGACCCAAAGCAGGTGGCCTGAATGGGAAGTGCCAGGCTGGACACTTGGGGGCTGAGGGCACTGCCAGCTGCCGCCGCCTCTGGACACCTCAGCCCGGCGCTGGCCCGAGAGGAGACTGCTTTCCAAATGCAGCGAAGAGACTGAGACAAGACCCGTGCTTCCGTGTGAGTTGGGATGCGGGGCATAAGTTAACACATATTCCAATATGTACAAAACAACCTGCGCTCAGGCCCGCGCACCCAGGAAGCCCATGGTGAAGGTGAGGTCACCTTGAGCCAGGCCTCTGGCTGGGTGTCCACCTCCTGCCGGGAAGCCAAGGTGCCCCACGTGGCTTGTGCAAGACCTCACAATCCCCTGAACGTGTTCCTCCTCCTCCAAGGAGTGCACCCACCCCCATGTTGAGTGTCCGAGCAGATTCCCATTGACCCTGACCTCCCTTTGAAAGAACCACACCACTAAATCCCCTTGGCACTCACTTCCTTAGTGTGATGCATCCACCCAGGGAGGTGGCCCTGCGCGGCGCTGGCACGCTGTCCACCCTGCCCTGTTGACCATCCTGTCCTTGGACCCCAAAGTAAAATGGGGCCAGTGTAGGAGACCTGAGGGTGGGGCCCTTATGCCAGACCTCCAGGGGTAGCGACCTCACCTGACCCCAGCTTCGGCTTCCTGTGCTGCAGAAGGCGCTTGCTCCCAAGCCCGTGGTGACCCACGTCTCCACCCCATGGTGTGGCAACTGTGGTGGCTGAGTGGAAGCTGGGGCAGGAGAGAGGACCCCCACCAACCCCAGCCAGGTGGCCTGCAGAGCCCACTGCCCTACCTCTGAGTCAGCCTGCGGCCTGAGCACACCAATCTACTCTCTGGGGGATCCAGGGTGCCTGTGTGGGCCCTCCTAGAGACACCAGCTTGGCCTCCTAGGGCATAAGGAATGGGGACAGGGCACAGGGCACGTGCTTACAACGGATATGCAACATGGCTTTTGGTAGGGCCATTGCAGCCAGTGGGGAAACCTGCGCGGCTGCTGGGAACAGAGCATGGCCAGCCTTTTGCCAGGGGGTGGGGAGCATGGGGAAATGCAAGGAGAGCCAGGGTGGGGAGGGCTGAGTGTCTGTTGTCAGGGAGGCCACCTACAGCTGTTTTGCCAAGGCTAGTTGAGAATCTGAAAGCTCGAGTCCCAGTTCCTGGCCATACAGAGCCACTGTGGTCCGAGGGTACGGCTCCTGGGCAGGGGCTATGGTCCCATGCTCCAGCCGATGGAAGCCTGATGAACTTAATCCGTACGCTGGTGGGAGCAGTGGTATTTGAGCTCTTGAGTATGTGTTTCGGTGATGGGGCTGGGGCAGCCTGCTAGCAAATCCCAGTGGGTCAGAAAGGAGAACAGAGGCAGGGGAGCCCTCGGTCCCCAGCCCTTCCAGTCTGAGCCAGGCCTGCCTGGATGGTCACCTCCAAGGGCCAGCCGCGGACTCACGCACAAGTGGCAGCATCCCTGGCCAAAGCCTCCCCACTCCTGGGCTGCCAGTTGGCCCGAGGAAGGCCGGCAATGCAGCTCGGGCCTACTACCCAAACCCCTCCTTGGTCTGAGGACTGTAGGGAGTGGGTGGGGCCTGAACATCAGCTTTGGCCTCCTGACCCAAAGCATGAAGCAGGACCATGGGCCAGAGAGGGGAGCAGGCTTCCTGGGGGCTGGACTCGAGTCTTCTCTGCCTCAGATGGGGTGGGCCCTGACTTTGAGGGAGCTACAGATGGGTGAGCTGGGGGCTCCCCAGGCCTCGGGGCATTGGGGGCAGCCAGAAGAGGAGGGGCTATGGGATGGCCTGGAGCTGGGGCAGTTGCCAGAAGCTGGTCTCACTCCTAGTAGCCCGGACAGAGGAGCTAAGAGCGAGTGCTGTGTGCATAGTTGGTGAGGGACACACTCCCGGCCTGGCAGGTCCACTTTCCGCTGTCCTCGTCTCTTGCGCAAACCTTCAGTTTTTGCGATAAATCCAAGGAGGCCAGGAGAGCAGCTCCAGGCACAACACCTGCTCTGGAGGCCCTGCCCTGACCATGGCATCCTTCGAGCACGCTTTCCTCTGACCCACTGGGCTGCACCTGTTGATTTCTCAAGCCCCCATCCCTGCCCAGCCCCACTACATCCCTGCTCTGTTTTTTTTCAGGACGCAGCTACCTCTGTGGAGCAGGTTTGGGATGCTCATCCCTTGACAGTCTTGGGTGGACCTGTCGTCTGTCCTGTTTTATCCCCCACACCCCCCAAGAGGCCTCCCCGTGGCCACCACCGCCACTACCACTTCTCAATGATGTGGCTCATGTAGTCCTCGGTGGGCACGCGGCCCGGCTCGTCGGCATCCTCCCGCGGCAGTGCCTCCTTGGCCCGGTGCAGCAGACGCTCCTCGCGGCTCCTCAGGCGCTGCTCCCTGCGCTCCAGCTGCCGCTTGTACTGGTAGCGCTGCTGGAAGAGGTCCTTGGCGTAGTCGTACAGCTGCATGTCCAGGTCGTTGAGCTCCTCGATGCGCCGGATGGTGTCTTCATCCACCTCCACGCCGCCCGCCCGCGTGCTATTGTACTGCATGAAGGGCCGGATGAACTTGAGGTTGAACGTCCGCTCGAACAGGTACTGCGTCTTGCGCTGGAACTCGGTCAGGCCGAAGAAGGCCATGCCCCGCAGGTTCTTCTTGGCGCTCTCGAGCAGCAGCTGGGCCCGCTTGCCCTCGGGGATGAAGGACAGGTTGTAGCAGCCCACCAGGCTCAGGTCGGCCAGCATGCGCACCTGGCGGTTGTTGGCCAGGTTGTACGGGCAGTCCATGAACTCCTGTAGCGTGCAGCCCGACCAGTCCGTGCCCTCGTAGCAGGGCGGCAGCTCCTCAGGCGTGGGCGTGCGCCCATCACACATATGCAACGACGTCTTCCACGTGGCACCCCTCTGCACATGCCGCCACTCGCTCAGGTAGCGGGACACGGGGTCTCGTAGCAGGGTGATGTAGTAGAACTTCCTGCAAGGAGACGGGGAGAGGAGGTGAGGGCTGTGACGCAGCATGAGGGGGGCTACCAGGGCTGCTCTGAGTCAAAGTCCCCACTACAGGAGTTTGGGCTTCGCCTCTAATGCCAACCAACTCCTGCACTTAGCTCTCAGTCGTTTCAAAACCCGGTATCAGAGATGCCAAGGAGCATGCCACGGTCACATGGCTACCCAGGATGACCACCACAGTGCCCTGCAGCGCCTGGCCTGGCTCCTCTGGAGGGACAACCTGACTTTTTCCTGCTGGTGGGTGGAGCCACCAATACCGCATCCAGAGAAGTCGCAGAGCCACAGCCGCCTGAGGCCAGCAGTCTTCACCAGCTGTTTACAGCCTGGGCATGGTGCCACCCAAAGAGCCACTCAGCAGGAACAGAAGGTGGGCAGGGGCCAGCGAGGGTCACCTCCAGTCCCAGTCCCAGGGTCCTGCCAAGGCCTGGTGGTGGTTGGGGGGGGGGTGCCCAGCGGACCAGCCAGCCCAGGACCCCAGAGGAAGCCATGACGTATACACCAACTCTACTTGCTGGGTTGTCCCCCAAGACACCAACGCATTGCACAGTATGTAACGGTGCGTGCACAAGGGAGAAACGACCCAAGGAAGACTCCACCTCCCACCCTCCCCTGCGCGGCAGGAGCCCAGCATGAAGCATGTCCTTGCCAGGCTCGCTATGACGCTGGGCTGGAGGCGTCAGGACACTGGACAGGTGGGTAAAACGTGGTGGCGGCTGTGGATATGCCCGGTGTGTGTGTGTGGGCTCAGCCCCGGGAGAGGCTGCAGTCATTCTTAGAGGGCTCCTCCTCCTGGCTCCTGTCCACGCTGGGGTGGGTGGGCTTCAGGCCAAGTAGAACCAGGGCCAGGCAGGCAGCCTAGGAGCCCACAGGGCCCCTCACTGCCCGGGGGAGCAGCTCCAGAAGGGCCCTGACCCCCCGCCAGGATTCCCCAGATGGCAACATGGAAGTGTACCCACACTGCTCCCCTCCTCCCCTCACACTGCCCTGGGCAGGGGTGGGGGTGGGGGGCATGGAGGGACCCCGGGGAGCACAAAGCGCTTCTTGGTGTCCGCTGGCAACTGCCTGATCTGACCGCACACCTCCCTGCAGGGAGGGAGGCACAGTGCCTGGCAAGTGGTGCGGTGCCACTGCAGGCCACCCCCGCCTATGAGGACATGTCAGAAAGCCCCAGGGGTGGCAGCTCTGAAGCAGGCGGGGTAGCCAGTGATGGCTCCAGGGGCAGGCAGCAAGGCCAGCACTACTGCATGCAGACTGCCGAGGAAGGGACAGGCAGCTGTCATCCGCCCAGTGTTTTCTGTGGCCTGGCAGGCTCAGACCCTGCCCTGGAGGAGCTCTCAGCAGATGGGGTGGAGGAAGGACCCAGCAGGACTGAGCTGACGACCCCAGGGTCAGGCACGGCTGGTCTCCAGGGGGCAGATAAGCTGTGGGCAGCAGGGGCGAGAGCAGGCCTCAGTTTCCCTGCTCCAGGCTCCCACTTCACACGTCCCAAGGCACACCTGGCCCTCCCCAAGCACCCTGCACCCACAGCCTGCCTGGTACCACCCATCCATGCTGATGGCAGCAGCTCCTGGGCACTCGGGGCCTCAAGGGCCAGAGGGCGGGACCTTCTTCAGGTAGCAGGTGAGACAAACGTTTTAGAAACAATAATGACCAAGGGCCAGGGAGTAAGGGCCCGAGGCGGCCGGGGCAGGCTTCTGTCTCCTGCCTCAGGCTCACGAGGCCCTGACTGCTCAGAAGAGGCTATCCATATCCTTCCTAGCTGACCCTGTGTCCAGGGGAGGCATAGGGCCGCATGGACCTCCGCTCCCCACTCCTGTGGGGCCGTGACCAAATGGATGGAGACAGGCCAGTGTGGCAGGTTTCTTCTGAACACAAAAAACCACAGTGTGATGTGTCCACCAACAGAGAAGCTTGCCCTCCTAGCCCCAGCCAATGACCCTGTGAGTTACAGCCACAAGGACTCTGGCCCCAAGGGTGACTCTGAGGGCAAGGACACGCTGTGCACAGTGCAGCAGGCCCCATCTGGGAAACACAAATGGCTCAGTTCCTCTCCCATTTTCAGCGCCCCAGCCCACAGGCGGGTCCTTCAGCCCCAGCCCCACACCCATTCAGGGACCATCCCCTGAAGCCCAAGGCATGCCTCCATCATGAGCTCCTCTGCCCATGGCCCAGAGAGGGTGTGTGACTTGCCCAGGGCCACAGAGTCATGACACTGGCCAGGGTCTGTGCTAGCTGACTGGAAGACCTGCAGAGCAAGCTGCCCTGTGCCTGGTTAGCAGCGGGGACAGATCCCGTCAGAGGCCCAAGCATGCAAGGGCTTGGCACCCTGCAGATGGGGTCTCCCATGGTGTAGCCTGTGCCTGTGTGTGTATCGTGCAGGCTCCAGAAGACGCTGATGAGCCTTAGAGCCTGCTGGTCATGTCTGGAGCCACCTAGCCAGCGCTGGGCCTAATGACTGAGGGAGCAGGCAGAAGTGGTGTGAGGCCCCTCGGTGGAAGGGCTGCTTCTGGGCTGGTGGAGGGTCCGGGTCACCTGCCTGGCTCCCACCTGGGAATGCATGCAGGCACCAGGCCTCGATCCAGCCTGTTCCTGGACAAGGGCCCTGGCTCCTCAGCTCTGGGGGTGCAGAACACGGGGAAATGCGAGGGAGGGAGCACAAAGCGGGGAGCTCGTGGCCAGGCTGTGAAGTGTTTCTGCTCAGTTCTGTCCGCCCCTGCTGTCAAAGCCTCCAGCTTCATGGCAGGACAGACTCTACCTGCCCTCACCCTCCTGCTCACAGTGGGCGGCTGCAGCCCCAGAAGACGCAGCACTCAAAGCTGGGGTTGCCACCTGCCACGATCCTGGCCTGCAGTGACGGGTGGGCACGAGGGCCCCGATTGACCCGAGGGCTTTCCCCTCCTGGGAGGAACTCATTCCTCAGCCGCACACAGTGGTCTGACCACACCGTGGGTCTTGGCAGCCAAGCTCGAGCGGCTGCCACTAGGGCACATAACTGCAAATGCCAGGTCAGCACCAGAGCACAGAGGGATGGAGGTGAAGCCGGCACCTTGGGAAGGGCCAAGACATGGTCTACACCAACCCCATACCCAGGTCCCCTGGGCGTTCAGATGGCCCCTGGCCACCTGAAGGCAGGAGCCTGGTGGTGAGGGCAGCCATGGGCCACAGCCACAAGGCTCCCTTCTCTAAGTCCCTTCTCCCTGGCAGCGACGTTTCTGAATGACAGCCTCCTCACCCCTGCAAAGCTCAGGGCCTCTGCCGTGGAGGGGCTGGAGCGTCTACCTGCTGCCCTCCCGATGTGGCCTGGTGCCCCCTCCCCTCCCCAGCACCGTCACGGTCTGCAGGTAGGAGGACACGGGTATATCACCCCTGGTCTCTGCATGGGCCATGCCCTTCACTGGAATGCCAGTGTGAGTGACCGCCCCTTGGTCAGACCTCTCCACCTTTAAGACCCAGCTCAAAAAGATAAGCGGTTGCCAGTGCAGGAGTGCGAGAAGAGCCCAGAGCACCCAGCAGGCACATGTAGTATGCACAGTGGGCCGGCTCTAGTAGCCCCAGATGGCACGCGACCTACTGACCATCACGGGTGGGGGTGGCAGCAGGCTCAGTTACCACGTGTCCGACGGCAGCATCCTCTCTACACAGCTGAGGGGACACAGCTGAGGGGAACAAAGGCCTCTCTGCCTGCGCCTGCAGGGGCAGTGTCTTGAGGGGACAGTGAGACCCCAGGGCAACTGAGGCAGAGTTGGGGGCCAGAGACAGGGAGGAGAGAAGAGGGCTCGATTTTCTGGGTCCAGCCATTGAAATGACTCGGGTTTTTTGTGTGTGAGCCACTTAGAGAAGCCGTGAGCAATTTACTCTTTGGTTTCTGAAAAAGCTGGGAGGGTGAGCTGCTGAAGACAGACACTCATTTGAAAGCCATCTAAGTCCGGGGCCCTCAGAGGACTGGAGGGGAAGCTTTCTCCTTTACTGCCCCAGGCCTGGCTCTCTCCTCTGCCAAGGCCTTCTGTGCACAGGAGGTCTAGCAGGCACCAACAGGGGCAACGGCAGGGGAAAGGGGCACCTGAGCCAGCGAAAGCCCTCATGGTCCCTGGAATGACCAAGCCTGTCAGCCTCACCTGTCCTTCCTGCGCCCATGTCCCACATAACCCTTCTGGACCAAGGCCTCCCGCTGCAGGGACAGCTGCTGGGGAACCACACCAGGGAGGCGGGTGTGTTCAAAGATATTAGCAGTGCTGGCCCAGCGGCTCTGCGTCTTGTAATAAAATGGCGCAACGGACACTGCACCTGGGGGAGCCTTAGGAGCTGACCGAGGCCCCTGCCCTAAGGCCCAATGGCTTACGCTGTCCCCACGGCTCCCTGTGCACCTTCTCTGCTCAGAACATTGCCATGCCCTGGGTCCCCTTGTTCTGTCCCCTAGACACGGCCTGTGGTATAGACAAAGGGCCAGCCAGACTCTAGAAGCTGCCTGTGAGGCCAGCAGCCAAATGTGGGTGTTCCTGCCCCTTTCTGCAGATGTGACAGCTGATCCAGGCAGGGTGACCTGCCCTTGGCCACCGTCCAGTTCCTACCTACACCTGCCTGAACGGTATGGAAGCCACTACCTGGCACGCCCCTCCATAGCCGGTGGGACTCTTTAGGAGCCAGAGGCGTCCAGTCCCATGCCCAACACGCAGAGCCCTCCCCTCCCCTCTGCCTTGTCCCCTTCCCTCTGCCAAACACTGCAGGCACTGCTGGCCACAGGCACGTCCTGGCCATCCTCTGGTCTGGTGCCCCAGCTGCGCCTTGCCCTGTCCCACCTCCTGTGCTCCGTCCTCTTTCCTCCATTGCATGCGTTGCCAGACGCATCTGCTGTTTACTCTCCAGTCTGTCATCTGCCAAAAGGCGGGGTGGAGGTGTCAAACAGAAGCAGGAAGAGGGCGGGGTGTGGCGAGGTGCAGAGGACTCCCCAAATGGCCCACCCCAGATCTAGGCAGCTCTCTGACATGTGCTCTCTGGAGGTGCCAAGGGGGCGGCTCATGGCTCAGAGGTTTGAGGAATGGTCTGCACACTCACGGTGGTCCCCAGCCCCTGCCCTCAGGAGCCCAGGCTCATCTAATCCCTGCCTCGCACCCCCTGCTGAAGGGTCTGTGCCCCAGAGCAGTCTTCCCTGCACTGACACCTGGGACCCCACAAAGCAGGGGCTTTGTGCCTATCACTATCCAGCAGGGTCTATCCATTCAGGTGCTCCAAGTGCCTGCCAGCAAGGCTTCCAGAAAGAGGGGAGAGAGAAAATAGAGGAGATGATGACAGAAATAACCAGAATTGGAGTACATCATTCACGGAGACTGAAATGGCTGACCAAGTGCCGAGCAAATGAATGTGGGGAATGAACAGAGGACTAAAAAGTTGACCCTTGAAGCATCTGGACAAAAAAAACAATACATAAATGGCATGCTTCTCCATTGCAACGCCGTATGTTAGAAACCATTGGAGCACGGTCTTCAAAAGGCAGAAGGAAAATGACCAATCTCATACCCAGCCAAACTATCAATCAAGTATGGACAGTAGAGATGTGTTCAGACATACAAAGACTTAGGAAATTTACCTTCTGTGAATCTTATTTTAGGAAGATCCTGGAGTAGGCATCTCATTTAGCAAAAAAGGAAAAGAAAAAACAGAACAAACAAACAAACAAACAAACTTGGAAGCCAGGAGCTCCAACCCAGGGGACGGTTCCAGGATGTCAGCAAAACATCCCACTGGGCCTGTCAGGAGCAGGGGGACAGAAGCTCTAGGAAAAAAGGGGCAAAGGCCAGGCGTGGTGACTCACACCTGTAATCCCAACACTTTGGGAGGCCGAGGTGGGTGGATCACTTGAGGTCAGGAGTTTGAGGCTAGCCTGGCCAATGGTGGCAAAACCCCATCTCTACTAAAAATACAAAAATTAGCCGGGAGTGGTGGCACATGTCTGTGTTCCCAGCTACTTGGGAGGTTGAGGCAGGAGAATCACTTGAATGCAGGAGATAGAGGCTGCAGTGAGCTGAGATCGCATCTGGGTGACAGAGCGAGACTCCGTCTCAAAAAAAAAAAAAAAAAAAAAAAAAAGGAGTTGGGGTGGAGGGGGAATGGACAGATGGCCTGACACAACTGAGCATTTGGTGGGAAAAAATGAATGGTAGGTGTGTGGCAGATTCTGGAATCATTTGGAAAAAATTAATCCATGAAGATAGAAAATAAAGCAAGTAAAAAGACATAGCAATAATTAATTCCAGGAAAAACAAAAAGTTACATAGAAAAGAAAATGAAGTACACTACTTGCCTCAGCGGTAAATGATGGTTTTGAAGGCATCATCATGTAAACAGTGATTACTGATTTAATAAAAACGTGAGTTTTAACTGTATGTGGGTGATGGGTGGGGTGAGGACAGACTGTGTGAGGGTGTAAGAACGCTTCACCTTCATCTATCGAAACAAAGTAAACAGAGAATATCTAAATCAATAAATTAAGAAATAGCACTATATGTTATTTAGAAATATGAAGGTAAACACCGGAAGTATACTGAGAAAGCCACAAATGGTTGTCTGGAGAGGTTGGAAAGAGAAAGCGGATCTGCTGGCTTTCATCATAAGCCAACTGGAACTACCTGTTTTTAAGTATGTGTATGAATTACTTTAAAAAAATTAAAAGTAAAAGAAAACGAGGAAACTGACCAACAAAGTGTATGGAAAGAGGCTCCACTGCATCAGTTACCAAGGCAGAGGCACAGGAAGCCACAGGCAATACCAGGAGAGCGGTGGGAAGGCAAAGCCGGGCAGCAGCAAGAGTAGGCACGAATGCAGGGCGATCTGCTTACGGATGTGAACGAGACGGTGAGAACAGTCATCTCCAAGTGTCTTCACTGGAAAGCAGAAGGTACACATTCCCCAAGATGTGGTCAGTCCTCTCCCAGATGCACGTCGCAGAGGAACCTTGCTGTTCACACCAGGAGGTGTTGGGGAGGCTGCAGCAGCCTTCTGGTAACAGTGCCAAATGCCCACCACGGTGGCGTGCTCACCTCCACGGTGGCATACTCCACTCAGCAATAAAAATGAACAAACAGTAGCTACTCACAACACCATGGGAAAGGTGACGAAGAAGGCACTGCACATCAGGACTGGATTATGATGGTAACGTGTATTTTATCAAGTTCTCAAAAACAAACAAATCCCCAGAAAACACTATTCAGGGACACACATATACATGTTGAAATTATTATTATTATTGAGACAGTCTCGCTCTGTTGCCCAGGCTGGAGTGCAGTGGTGTGATCTTGGCTCACTGCAACCTCCGCCTCCTGGGTTCAATCAATTCTCCCGCCTCAGCCTCCCGAGTAGCTGGGATTACTCGTGGTGGCATGCACCACCACGTCCGGCTAATTTTTTCGTATTTTTAGTAGAGATGGGATTTCACCATGTTGGCCAGGCTGGTCTCGAACTCCTGACCTCAGGTGATTAGCCTGCCTCGGCCTCCCAAAGTGTTGGGATGACAGGCGTGAGCCACTGAGCCCGGCCTGTTTTTTTAAAAAAGTGATGAGCTGAAACAGGAAAATTCAAGTCAGAGGCTAGCCCTGGGGTGTGGGGCTGGGATGGCGCTGGGTGCTCACAGTGGCTTACGTGGTGCTGATCATGTCCTCGTGCCTCCGGTGAGCAGCTGGGGGTACAGGTGTTCACTGTTATCCTATGTACATTATGCAAGTTCTTTTGTATGTCCCAAACACTTCGTGTGAATAAAAGTTTAAAGAAAGGAAGAAAGACAAATTGAGACTCTAGAAGGCAGCCTGAGAGGCCCAGCTGGCCTTCCAGGTGAACCAGTCTTGTAAAGCCAGAGCCTCCGTCCCCAGAGCTCCCCGCCAGTCTCTACCCTTTGCTCTGCTTGCAATCCCCTGCTACCTCCAGGCCCAGCAGATTCCAGGCGTCTTCAGCACTTCCTCTCCCCTCTCCTCCCCTCCTACGAGCTACGCTGCTGTGGTGAGCAAGACAGGCTCCACAAAAGGGGTGGAGGGCCCCTGTGGGTATCAGTGAAGGAGGACCACCTCAAGGGTGGCCGGTTTCCAGGGCAGTGGGGGTTGCCCTGAGGTTTAGTAACTAACCATGAATTAATGAGTCTGAATGCTCCGTGGCCACACTGGAAGGAACCACAGGTCCTGCCCGGCCCAAGCATCCGGCTGGTGGTTGGTTCACCGTCCAGGAGTAGGAGTGCCTTGGGGATGCAAACAGGGCCACTTCTCTCCTAAGGGATCTCCCTCATTGCTGCCAACCTGATGCGGGGGGCTGGGGACCCTGCCCAGTGACTTTGCTGGCAAATGAGGTTCTTTCAGGGTGGCAAACCTCTGGCCTCTTCTGTGAGCACAGCCCTAAGCTGCGGTCCTGCTGCATGGCCCCCACAGCACCCTGACATCCATAGCAGATCTCTGTGGACACCTATACGTGCCATGTACTGGGACAGACTCAGGGCTCCCAGCGTTCACCCCTGAATGGGGCACACACTGGTCACTTGAGGGTGACGGGGAGACCCTGTCTGCACCACTGGCTGCTCACTACCACCATCCAGTCAGTGAGCAGCAGCTGTGATGTGTGGCCATCCCCGAGGCGCCCTATCTGTAGTGGGGGTCACCTGTGTCTGTGCAGCCGGCCTACGTCCCTCCCTCTCACAAGTAGCGGGAGGGGTCAGCCCCTGAGACCCTCTGTGGGTAACAGGGCAGCTTCTCCGAGGAGGGTGAGGACATGGCCAGTGAGGCTAAGGCACACAGGCAGGGCCAGACCAAGGAGGGTCCGGTTCACTCTATAGGAAAACGAGGTTGAACGAGTAATGGCCTTGAGTGTGAAACTCACATGGATTTCAAAGATGAAGCATGAAACATCAAAGAACTCGAAATGCGCTATGAAATAATTCTAGTCTGCACGAACTGCAGCTTCTTGTGAAAGCCCACAGAATGATCGCCTGGATCATGCACTTCGGCATTTAATTATGCTTGGTTTAATGCCTTCTGTGACCTGAAGCTGTTCTGACATTTTTCTGGGCACTGGTTTAGTGTGCCCCACAATCAGGTAAGATCTAGGCACTGCTGTCAGGGCGTGGCCACTTCTAAAGTCCAGAGTCTGGATTCTTACAGGACAAACTTAGAACTGGCCTGGGAGCCCCACTCAAACATACAGCACCCCAGGGAAAATCCTGCAGGTACAGCCCATGAGCTCTGAGTGCCTTCCAGGCAGGAGGGCGGGGCAGGCAGGCACGAGCTGAGGCCAGCATCAACCAGGCCGGGCACTGCAGCCCATGGTGCCTGTCTCTCACTCCTCCAGTGGGTCATGCCCATGGCTGCAGGCGGCTTCATTTTGTCTCCTCTGCCTTCGAGTGCTGATCTGACCCAAACTCATGCCTGCATCTTCTTATTGCTGACTCTGCCTTCCGGAAGCTCAGGACTCCAGCCAGAAATGAGACTTCAAACCTGGTTCAGGGCATGTGGGAAGTCTGGGGCGGGCGAAGGAGGGGCACAGGAGATTGGAGCCTGGTGAGGGGCTGGTGCAGTAACTCCACCTCTGGGAAGGTGCTGGCCCTGGAGGGAAGGGCTGAGACATGGCAGGGCTGCCTCAGAGGGTGTGCACTGGAGTGTGAGCTGTCACAGGGAGTCATGGCCATGCAGGCGGAGGCCGACGGCAGGCACACAGTGGATGGTCCTGCGGCTCACGGAGGGGGAGCTGACAAGTCCTGAAGATGTGGAGAAAGGCCTGCACCAACCCCTGGAGCTGACTGTGGGGTTCCACGAGCAAGGGTCTATCCCCCTCCAATGTGCAGGACAACAGCACTCTGTGGTCATGGTTTTGTAAGATATATACATGTTCAGAAAAAACACCACCCAGGACAGAAATGGACTACTCAGTGGCTGTCTCGGCAGTGAGATAATGAATTTTTTTCAACATTTTACTATAAAAATGTTTGAACTGACAGGAGTTGAGAGTTCGGTGAAAACCCATAAGCCCAAATGTGACCATAACATTTTCTTTATATATTTCTATATTGTCTGTAATTAAACATTACATAAACAACCTAATAGGAAATATGACCCAAGAAGAAATGATTTATAAGAAATAATGTAATGAAGATCACAAAAGCCTCCCCGCTGCATGGGACAGGGTGTAGGCTGCAAAGGGGCCATTAGACGGGGCCGGCCGCACCAGTCCTGCTTGCACTGCATTTGTCCAGGGTGAGCCCTGTTCCTCAGGCCCCTCCCCTCCCATGCCCGAAGCTGATGGGGGTGCGGGGGTGGGTTCCATGAAACAAGGGTCTAACCCACAAGTTTCTAAACTCAGACCCTGAAACAATGGCAATTTTTATACCAGTGCCAACAGAGGGGAAGCTCCCTAAATGTGGGTGAGGACGCTGTCATTTAGAGTCAGAATGACAGAACCTTTTTTTTTTTTTTTTTTTTTTAAGAAATACTGTTGCATTACTTCTGACTCAGTTACTGAAAGAAAATGAATGGTTTTCCGTGGCTCAGAGGAAGAGTCCTTGGGGGGCCGGCTTCAGCGAAACAACAAGCATGCCTGTCACATTCTAGCCCCCAAGGACAAGGACATGGCGTGGTGAGGAAAGCTCTGAGAGGGGCTCTATTCCAATGGTGTGCTTTGATCTCCCAGGGACCAGGGGTCCCACCATGAGGACAGAGGCCACACCATGAAGGTTGCATCTCAGTGATTAGTTTTAAAAACCCTACTCCAGGTCAGGCACGGTGATGCACACCTCCAGGTAGTCCCAGCTACCTGGAGGCTGAGGTGGGAGGATCACTTGAGCTCAGGATCAGGAGTTCAAGGCTGCAGTGAGCTGTGATTGTGCGACTGCACTCCAACCTGGGCAACAGAGCGAGACTTTGTCTCTCAACAGAACAAAACCTGGACTCCAAGGGCACCAGAAATTCAGAGAGGCAACCTGGGAGAACATTCCTCTGAGGACCGCGTGAGCACCCGGCCACACTCAGCGACAGCACCTGCTTCCCCAGCCTACCCTGACTGCTGGCCTTGCCCCAGACCCATGGGACACCACAGGGTACCAGGATGGCTCTCTCCGGAAAGCGACCGGGCCTCACTGAGGCCTGGATCCTCATCACAGGAAGGAAATGAGAACCTTCAGGAGGACGCCAAAGCTGGGAGCTCACGGCATAACACACCACCGTCACCCTCATCAGCATTGCCTGCTGCCAACCCCACCAGGGGCCCCCGGTGCCCATGCCTCTGACAGCACCAAGCAGTCCGGCTTCTGCCCAGTTTGTTAGAAAAAGTGGAAGTCTGATTTTGGCTCCAAGTCCCACTGTGGGGTGGAAGCCGCTGAGCGCCCCACTTGGGGCGGGTGGCTGCCTCCTCTTTCCTGTGGCAGGAAGCAGCCCTCAGGCGCAGCTCTCCAGGGCCACAAGGCCGGGCTGGCTGTCCATGGTGTCATTCCTTCTGAGAGGGGGCACCTGCAGGTCCAGGAGGGCAGGGGATTGGGAGACAGCCCAGAGGAGACGACCCGCTCCCAGGAGGCACAGGCATGTGAGCCACTGCCTGAGAGGGAATGGCTTCCCCACCGCTCTGGTGTGCCTGCACCTGACCCAGTGCCGCAGCACCAGGCCTGGCTTGGCCCAAGGGCAGGCAGCCCCTCCCCTCTGCCTGCAGAAAAACCCAGATCATCAAGTTCTGAGCTGGCGGCAGCAGGCTGGGGAGCCCCTCTACAAATGCAACACAGAAAATGCTGGGCTAAGGCTGTCCCTTCTTGGTGACGTCTGTAGAAGAGTAGTCAGATTTTTTTTTTTTCATTAACTCAATCTGCTTCCAAACATACCCAGGTCTGGAGAGGGGCCCCATGACATCAGTGGTCAGGTGCTGTGTGGGCACAGGGGGCAGTCCTCACCCATGTGCTTCCTGGGAAGGCTGTGCTGCCCACACCCCTTCCAGAGAGCCCCCTCTTGCCTCAGGACACACACAGGGCAGGCAGAGCCTGCAGCTGATGGGACCTTTGGCAGGACACCCGGATGGACAGGTGAGGCTGACCCAACCCCAGGGAGCCCCTCACCAGTGACCTGACAGCCTGGGCGTGTCCCAGCTGGAGAGATGAGGAAGCAACACCAGAGAGGCCAAGGCTACTCACCCCCTCAAGCATGGGCTGGGCTTGGAGCTGGGTCAGCTGAGATCCAGCCTCAGCCCAGCCCCTTGGCAGGAAGGGAGCAGCAGGGCTGAGGCCCATCTCCCTGCCCTGCCCCCTCTGGCAGACGGAGGCACCTGGGTCTGGACAGGACTGGCCAGCTGGTGCCTGCTGGCCTCATGACGCTGCTTCTGCTCTGCCTACCTCTAGCAAAGTGTGGCATGGGGGGTGGGGGTGCCTCCTTGGTTCACCCAGGGGAGCTGAATTCTTACGGATGGGTGGAAAGGCAGTCCAGGTGGTACAGGGCTCTGTGCTCATGTGGCCCTCAAGAGAGAGGCTTAGAAAACAGTGCAGAAAGTCCCTGAGGAGGAAGACGCCCAGGAGATGATGTGCAGCCAGGTGTGGCTGTGTGACTGTCCGGCCATCAGGATGTCCTTAGAGACAGCCTTCTTTGCCCTGTTTTCCTGCTGCTGACCGGAAAGCGGATGTGACCGCGGAGCACCAGCAGTCACCTTGGACCATGAGGCAGAAGCCCCACTTTGTAGAGCGAAGAGAAAGAGCCTGGGTTCTTGGTGTTTCCTTGGCGTTCCACCAGCCTGGTCTGCTTATGCTGGGCTCCCTTCCAAAGGGAGGGAAATAAAAAATAAACTGCTGCCCTGTTTTGGCCTCTGAACCTAATCCATCTATTCAGGGAGATACACCAGGGACCTGAATGAGATGACAGGGTGGGCTCCCGGGCGGGGCCAGGAGGGCCTGGCAGCAGCCTGGGCTCAGGAGTAACTGAATTATTAATTTACTGAACTCCTGGCGCTTTACCCAGTCACCCCATAGGCATGAATTATTCTCATTCTGCAGATGAGGAAACTGAGACCCAGAGAGGTTCAATAACTAGCCCAGGCCACATGGCTGGTCAGGGCAGCACTGGGATTGGAGCCCATGTCCACCTGGACCCAGGCTGTGACTGACTGAAGAGAACTATTCACCTGCTGAGCCACAGCCTCCAGGCTGGAAGGGCAGGCTGACCTTGCCAGTCCCCAGAGGCTAGGCAGATACAATGGCCTGGCAATGCTGCTCAGGACGCCCTGCTGACTACTGCCCAAACCATGGCCAGGGTGGTGTTTTCTGACTAGGAACAAAAATCACAGCCCGTTTCCTTAGAGCACAGTGCATCAGTGAAGAGTCAGAGTGGTCTGCATAAAGAAAAAACCACCTTTAGCCCTGCAGTGAAGACGCGGCAGTACTGGGCTGAACCACTGTAAACAGAAACTGCGGCTGTCCAGCAGCACCAGAGGGACAGAGCCGAAGCCCTGGACTCTGGCCCAACCTGGTGGTACCTCACTGTGGGTCACTGGGCGGGCCTTCCTCTGGCCTCCTGGACAGGGTCTGTCTGGTCCCTCACAGCCCTACCCAGCCCCCACCGGCCCGCGGCAGATGGTTGAAAACGCTGCGGGTGCAGAGCTGGGCTGCGGCCTGAGGAGCTGAGGGCAGCTCCGCCAGCGTCCTAATGGCACTGCCAGCCCCTGCTGGGAAGCCAGATGGGCAGAGACCCCGAGGCAGGAGGGCATGTCGGGGGCAGGCCTGTGTGTCCCTGCAAGGCAGGAAGTGGCAGGGTGGGGACAAGGCTGCTTGAGCCCCACCTCTGTGCCTCTGCAACTGCCCCAGCCCCTTCCTGCTCCCACCAACCGGTGGAGGCCTGGAATCCAGGGAAGACGCTTGTGCCTGCCAGGATCTCCTACCTGGAGGGGAGCTGGGCACTGCGGAGGAGCAGAGGGCCCAGCCTGGAAGCCTGAGCGTGCCCAGGGCGCACAGCCCAGCCCGGCATGTTGGGCTCCAGGTGCTGCAGGCCACAGCTCCTAACACAGGCGGTGCTGACCGCCCCACATCTGGGGCCTCTGGACCTCAGGGGACCAGACACCCTGGGGAGGGGCTCACGGATTCCATCCTCACTGCCAGGGGGCTGTCATCTCCACTTTGACTCACTCAGCTCCTCCTCCAAAGTCACCTCTCCAGCAAATAAAAACAGCTGTCCTATCAGATCCAAGCACCTGGCTCCAGGCCCACAGCTGTGTGTCCTGGGCAGGCCACCCCTGCGAGCCCACTTTCCTGCAGTTGAAAAAGGCCAGGACTCTCTGGCTCCCCAACACAGTGCTGGGGCAGTGTCCCCCGAGCCCAGGGTGACTGCTTAGGGGCTCTGGGGCACTGCACAGAAATCCGCTCACAGCAGGGGTCACTGCAGGCCTCTGTCACTGCAACAGCTCCCAGTCTGGACAGAAGGGGCCCTGGTAGGTTTCCAGCCCCAGAGCTCAGCAGTGCTCACATCTCTGTCTTCCCACTGGCCTAGTTCTTCCTTGGTGGCAGGGACCCCAAATGACGGGGAGCAATCCCAGTGACCCCCTGGCAGAGGACATAGTGGTTTAGGAGTTACTGTGCAGCTATGCTGTGAGATGGTCTGCTCCACTTGGAGCAGCCAGGGAGGTGTCCATGGAGGAGGTGACCCCGGGCCAGGTCTCTCAGGTGAGGTGGTGGCCTCCAGCAGTGCCACTTACACCTGGAACTCTGTGACAGCTGGAGGTTGTTGGGCCCCATGTCCTGGTCCTCGTGAGCATGTCTTCTGCAGCCTCGGCCTCCCCCTCGCTCCTCCCTCCCCCATTATAGGGATGGCAGGGGTGGGCTTTGGCCAGGCTGCTGGAGTGTGGGTCTACCCCTGTGGGTGAGGTGCCTGCTGGCAGGAAGTCCTCAGCTCCCTCCTGAGGAAGATGCAGGGAGCTCTTGGGGGCTTCCTGAGTTCTAGAGCTATCGCCACTCCTGCCGAAACATCTCTCCCACTGCAAGCCTGGGTTAAAATGCAACTGACTCCTGGGACTGTGGAGATTTGGATACAAAAATGGCAAAAATGGACCCCACAACTGTAAATCCCACATTCCAGGTCAAGAAATGGAGGCTGGGTGGCCCTTTCACCTGCCGAGGGACACAGGCCTGGACGGAGCTGGAGCAGGGGGGCTGAGTCAGACCCACGGGGCAGCCCCCCACCCTCACCCCACTTCCAGGGCCCCACAGCCACCCTCCTGCCGGCCCTGTTCCCGGGGGCTTTCCTGCAAGGATGTAGGCTTCCTGGCTGGACCCTGCTCTCAGGCTCCCACAGCCAACTCTGCAACTAGGTGCTCAGACAGGGCAGGGGCACCCAGCTTAGGCATCTCGGCTCCACCCTCCGATGGCCCGTGCCCAGGTTGCCAACACAGGCACCTGGTCCCCTCATCCACAGGCGGCCCCCCACCCTAGGGGCCTTCTCTTGCCTCCCTCCCACCTGTTGCCACCTGTCCCCAGTCACACAAGGCCCCAAGTCTCTGCCATCCCTCCCACATTACACCCATGGGCACACACCAGCCTGTGCCCCAGCTACTCATCCCTTTGTCCCAGGTGCTGTGCACACAGCAACGCCTACCATACTGTGGAGGTGACATCGTCCCTCTTTTTTTTTTTTTTTGAGACGGAGTCTTGCTTTGTCGCCCAGGCTGGAATGCAGTGGCGTGATCTTGGTCACTGCAACCTTTGCCTCCTGGGCTCAAGCAATTCTCCTGCTTCAGCCTTCCGAGGCTAAGGCTCCATGATACCCAGCTAATTTTTGTATTTTTAGTAGAGATGGGGTTTTGCCATGTTGGCCAAGCTGGTCTTGAACTCCTGACTTCAGGTGATCCACCTGCCTCAGCCTCCCAAAGTGCTGGGATTACAGGCGTGAGCCACTGTGCCCAGCCCCATCGTCCCTCTTAACGGGGCTGACTGAGCCCCTGAGAGGTTGTGACTTTCCCAGGGCCAGAGCCAGAAACGGAGAGGGACCCCACGGCTGCAGACCCCCACCCCCCACCTGGTGGTTTGGGCCTAAATGCTGAGCTCAGTTTTTCTGGACCTGCCAGTGCTCCTCCTTGGAGGCTTCCAGGATGTCATCACTGTGGCCCCACTGGCAGGCCTGGTGCCCGGGCCTCACCAGAGCACCCTGTGCTGCGACCCGACCTCTGGCCTCCAGGAAACAGGCGGCATGCCAGAGAACACACGCTGATGGAGTGCCTACTGCGTGCTCTAGGTCGCCGACCACCAGCCAAGCCCTGGGGCAGCAGTCCCCATCTAGCCTGTTTTCCAGTAAGGGAAATGAGTGTTCCACGCTCTCTGGGTTCTACCCTTCTTCTTTGTAGCCTCCCAGCCAGGGGTCTGGTGGAGGTCTGACTCCTCTGTCCTGTGCCCTTGGATGTGGTATGGAGGAGGGGAGAATAAGGCAGCCCCCAGGTTCTGGGCGCACCCCACTCCCTACGTGGGAAGGGCAGGTGGCTCCCTCTCTAGCCTGCCGTGGTGGCAGGGTCCACAGACCCCACTGGGGCCCAACAACGTGAGGCCCTGCCTTGCCCTGCACTGGGCGCCTGTGTACCCAGTCTCCCAAGGCCTTGTCCCACCTCACAGCCAAGCTGCTCACCTGGATGCCTGCCGCTACGGCCCAGCTCTGCTACCCTGAGGACTCAGCTGCACTGTGCAGGGAAGGTTCTAGGACCAGGGGAAGCCTTGGGGGATGGGCAGGGCTGTCTGCCAGCACCTGGGCCAGTGAGGCTCGAGGAAAGGCCCGTCTGTGGCACCCCTGTCTCTGCCTCCACCCTGCCAGGCTGACTCCTGCCTGGGGGTCCATACACTGTCTCCCTTCCCATGGTGGGTGTCCCTGCCTGCCAGTTACTGCTCCCAGCTGGCTCGGACAACCATCCCCATGGGCCAGGGCCTTTCTCCACTGATGGGTGGTACTGGGAGCTGAGGGCCTCCACCCCACCCTCAGGCCGGCAGTGGGACAGGTGCCGTCTGCCCCAAAATAGCTCTGTCCGGCAAGGGGGCTGAGGAATTGGATGAGACAGCCAGAGGGGACACAGGTCCCAGTGTCAGATGGATGAACAGGTGGGATTCCTGCTCTGCCAGCTGTCCTGTGTGGCCTGGGGACAGTCACCCTGGCCCCTCTGAGCCCCAGGGACTGTCTCCATAAAACTCGTAGACAGAAAGCCACTTCCCAGACTGGCGATCTGGTGTGTGGCGTATGTAGGGAGACTTAGAGCCTACAGCACCCTGCAGGGGTGAGGGCTCATCCAGCCCAGGACTGGCGTGGGGGACCCCAGCAGGTGCAGCAGATGTGAGCTGTGTGATCTCACCTTGTCACAGTCCCTGTCCCATCCAATCTGCCATTCCTATTCCTCCCTCCCAGGGGGAATCTATCGTGGCCGAGGTCTGCGGGCTGGAGCCAGGGTCCTGCTCTCACAGCATCCTGCAGGGCCAGGAACATAGACACTAAAGACCCAGGCAAGCAAGCGCCAGGGAGGGGTGGGTCAGGGGGCCTCATCAGACTGCAGGTCAGGAGCTTGGAGGACGAGGAGGAGCAGGCCTGGCAAGGGGGCTGGGGAATGAATTCCAGACAAACCTGCAGAGCAGCAGAGGACAGGCAGGAGGCCGGGCAGGGCCCCTGGGAGCTTGCACTGCACGCCCAGGCTTTGCAGGCCATCCAAATGCACGGGTTGGTCAGAAGAGGAAATGAGTTCATGGTTTCAAGGACAGGACACTGCTATTAAATGGTGGGAAAAAGGAAAACTTCTGACCTTGTGTCAAAATACTGACTTGTTAAAAAATAAAAAACAAGAGGCTTTATTAGCGTAGGTTTAGGAAATACCTCCTCAGCCCCTTCCCTAACAACGTCTGCAAGCGGGTGAAAATCTTTGCTGGCTTTACAAACAAGGTCAGCAAAGGTTTCAGAAAACAGAGCAGGCTGCTGGCCACGATACGCCTTGCCTCCTGCAAAGCTGTGCCCACCCAGATAGAGAAACCAAGGCCCCACCTGGTTGCCTGGGGAACAGCATCCCCCAAAGCAGGAGGCCCCTCTGAATGCCTCCTAGGAGCCTGAGACTCCCACCTTCCCCTTGGGGTGGTCGGGGAGCAAGTGACCAGGAAGCAGAGGCCCCACACTGGGGGAAGCCCAAAGCTTTTCCTTCAAAGCCCCCTGACCTGCATGATCTCATTGCGCCCTGACAAGGAACCCTCTGGGGCAGGGGGTGGCTTAGCCATCAGGTGGACACACACTGTGGGGTGCCATGCAGGCCACACCCGCCACACCTCCACAAAGGCACTGATGGGAAGGAAGCGCCCAACCCCTCCTGGTCCCAGGAATGGTCACTCCCATTCCTGACCAGGGCAGTCCCCCTGCAAGAGCACCTCAGTGGATATATCCAGGGCCCAGGGCACTCCCCCAGAGAAGGTGCAGGTGAGGCCCCTTCCCCTGAGATGCACTGCCCAGCTGTGGGCAGGGACAGCTGCCCCCCCTACTCAGTGAGGGTGAACGAGACCCCCAGCAGGTCCCCTGACGGGCTGCTTCTCCAACAGCACTGAAGTGGGGGTGCACAGAGAACTGGGCAGAGAGCCGGGATGTGAGGCTTAGGACTGCCTCCACCTAGCAGGTGTCAGGTAAGGCTGTGACTTCTGGAGGTCCTAGAAGTCACCCCCAGGGTAGGGGCCACAAGAGGAGGTGCTGACAATGTCCTCCCAGCAGGGCCAGCTAGAGACGCCGGGTCCAGGGGTGCTCTGCACCAGCCCTCTTCAATGAGGGGAGAACAGGCGGATGGCTTTCTGGGAGCTTGACCCTGTCCAAAAGCCCAGCATGGCTGTGAGCAGCCCGGGCCCAGATGCTGCTGACTGGACACCTGGAATGGGGCTCTGCCGAGGTCTTCCATGAGCAGAAGGGGTGAGGACCACCTCCTCACCTGTGTCCCACTGCCCTTCAGACTCTCCTGCCTGCTGCTCCAAGGCAGGGCTCCAGCAAGGCCATGAGGGCCCTGCGGGGCTGCTCGCCGGTCATGAAGGCTGCCCATTCATATTTCACACCTGCCTGCCTGGCACTTTCTGGCTTCTGACACCGGCAGGCGAGATGTCACTTATGCCTGAACGCACACACTCATACCTTGGGGTCAGGAGAAGGTGACAGTGCCCTGCTTCTTCACAGGGCACGCAGTCGAGCAGCAGGGCAGCTGACTAGGGGCGGGCTGGCTCGGCCTGAGACCTGTCTCCAGAGCCATGGCCTCCTCTTGTCCTGGCCAAGAGCTCTGGGGCTCACTCCTTCTGCTTCTAGGCCTTTTGCTGAGGCTATTGCGAGGACTCACGTGGCCCTTCCTCTTCCTTACAGCCTGTAACTACACATCCACCATGGCTGCTTGGGCCCACCAAGAGAGACGTGGAGGCCCGAGAGGGAGGCTGGCGGCAGCGTCAGGTCCTGCCGGGGTGTGCAGTATTTGTACCCTGCTATGAAACTGTCCCTGCCAGGTGAGAAAGTGCTCAGGGCCCTGAGGCCAGCCAGCACGACTTGATACCTACGCCCGGTGACTCCATGGCAGTAGAAAAGCACAGCCCTTCTGGGGACTCTGCATTAACACAGAAGCTCATATCTGTGTGCACAATGGGCAAAAGAGCCACATCAAAGCTTGTGGGTACAGCCTGATGCCAACTCTGGAAAACACATCAACTGGAGAGATGGAGCAGAAATGCAACCCGCGCCAGGTGCCCTGGGCCTAGTGCCCTGGGCCATTTTTTCTTTTACTTTTTCTGTATTTTTCCGATTTTATATAACCATGCATGTATTAGAAAACAAACAAACAAACAAAACAATCTAATCTGACTTTCTCACAGGAGGTAGGAGAGTCAGGGAGGCCTGGGAGGCTCAGGGCCTCCCCAGCAGCCTCTCAGGACATCTCCAAAGCCACAGGATCATCACCAGTAATCAGCCTTTCTCGGGGTCAGGAGGGCGAGAGCTCATCTGAGGATCACTGGGGGTGTCCCTGGGACCCCTCCAGGCTCCACCTCCTGCTGACCCCACAGCAACTCATGTCAGGGTCCGAGGCAAAGTCCTGGTTCTCACCCACGACCCCACAGAGCCTCTCTGCAGCGAAGAGGGGCTGACACCTGCTCCCTCAACCCCCGAGTCCATATAAACACAGAGGCGGCCGCGGAGAGATGGCCTTGCATGCTCTTGAATGTAGACTATTCTTCCCCAGACAGGGAAATTCAGAGCCTAAACAGCCCACCCCAGAGATAAGCCATTCTGTGCCCAAGCTAACTGCAGTATCCAACTCTATACTCCCATGGCCCTGGCTCTACTTACAAGGAGGGCGACAGCTCCGGGTGATGCACTGAGAAAGCTGTCACCTGAGCAGTGACCCTGGGGACTCGGGAATGCTGACTCTCCAGAACCAGCCATTTTATGGCCCCCCATCAAGCACTTCTGTGGTTGGTGCCTCCAAAAAAGGTTAGGGCCCAGCAGGCATTTGCTCATTTTATTCCTGCAACCCCGGTACGGTCGCCACTATTAGATCCCCCTGCAGATGGGCAAATGGAGACTCAGAGATCCTTCTGCAGCCAAAGTCTCCCAGATACCAGAGGTGTCTGACTTCATAGGCCACAAGGCATGTCTGCTGCTCACCCACGTGCACGGTCCCTGAGATGAGCAGCACGAAGCTCCCAGGAGAACCCGGCGCGCCATTGGCAGCACCAGAAAACAGGTCTCCAGCTTGCTAAGGGATCTGCCATCCAGCAGCTGTGTGGCCCTGACGAGTTCCCCAAGGAATGCATCTGTCATCTGTTTCCTCCTTGCACAAAACAAGACAATATGCCTCCTGGAGGTCACAGCATGACGCTCGGCATGAGGATGGGCCCACCCCAGCTGGCAGGGAAAGAGAGGAAGCTGCCGGAACAGACCTACCTGCTTTCACCAACCACAGGCCAGAGGCACCAGGAGAACATGTAAGAGATAGAGAGAGGATAGCTGTCAGTCAAATTATTTGTATAAAATGTCCAAATATAAGTCACAAATAGCCCGATAATCTCAAAAAGCAAAAATCAAAGCAGTAGTTTAAAATCTTCCTAAAATATTGAGGAAATGCCTGCAGCTTACATTCAAATGATTCTACTAAAATGCAAAAGCATGTATATAACTACATATATAAATATACATGTAAGTACACATGTATCTACAGATATACATATATGTAAACAGCAAGTGAGAGCACCCACTCACAAGCACAAATATTGCAAAATGTTAACAAGCAGTGGGTCTCGGTGAAAGGTATGAGGTTCACTTTACTACCATTTCAACGACTTTGTAAGTTTGACATTTTTCAAGATAAAAAGTTAGGGGTAAAATTCCTACAAAGAAAGTGCTGGGCTATTTCTACCAAATTTTAAAAGAACCAGATTTTTGTAAGCAAACCCTCCTAGACAAGAGTAAAGCAGTGGACACTCCCAATTCATTCTATGAGGCCAACATAATCCTAATACCGAAGTTGGACAAATGCACAAGAGAGGAAAATTGCAGCCTGGTGGACACATCTGCTAAGCTCAGAGTTCAAATATAGATACAAAAATTCCTCAACAAAAATCTTATCAAATCCAACCCAATTGAGCATATAAAAGATATTACACTACGACCATACTTAGTAACCCCAGGTATGCAAGGATGGCTTAACAGGAGAAAATCCATACATGTGACTCATCACAGCAACAGACTACAGAGCTCAGTAAATGTGTAAGAAGCATCTGCTAAAAACACTATTCATAATAAAAACTCTCAGGAAACTAGGAATAGAAGTCCCTTAATTTGGCCAGGCGTGGTAGCTCACACTTGTAATCCCAGCACTTTGGGAGGCTGAGGCAGGTGGATGACTTGAGGTCAGGAGTTCAAGACCAGCCTTGCCAACATGGCGAAACACCGTCTCTACTAAAAATACAAAAAAAAAAAAAAAAAAAAAAAAAAAATTTAGCATGCATGATGGCACGCACCTATAAAGAGGCTGAGGCGTAAGAATCACTTGAACCCAGGAAGTGGAGGTTGCAGTGAGCGGAGATCGTGTCATAGCACTCCAGCCTGGGCAAAAGAGTGAAACTGTCTCAAATTAAAAAAAAAAGTTCCTTAATTTGATAAAGTATCCCCAAAACCTAGAGCAAGCATGGTCCCCATGGGGAAGAGTCAGATGCATTCCCTCTAAGATCATGAATAAGACAAAGATGTCCACTCTCTCTAAGGCAATTCTGCATGTACTGGGGATCTCAGCTGACACAATAAAACAAGGAGGAACTAGGGACCTAACTGTCCCAGTAGAGTCCCCTTGCCTGTCCTTCTTGTCTTTAGTGAGTACCCCGTGCAGGCATTACTAGGCTGGGGGCTTCACACACCCTCTCAGACAGCCGGAGTCCCGGCATGGGGGAGGGCTACTTTTCTTGCCCACTGCCCTTGCCCTGGGTCCAGAGCACCCCATAGTTAAGGCTGTGGGTTTGCGCTCAGTGAGGTGTGAGTCCTGGAGGTTTGGGGCGGCCATGGCACTGGAGCAGCAGAAGGAAGCATTAGCCTCCTCAGTCTGGATCCTCACTGTGTCTCTTGGGGGCTAGACCTCTGGCAGGGAGGGCCCCAGGCACTGGGTGAGCTCAGAAGGTGCGTCAGCGGGAGCAGCTGGCTTCTAAATGAGCTCACCAGGGCCTGAGGGAGAGCCCCTGGCTGCAGGACCTGGGTCCTCCACAGGCTGACGCCATGCCTGGGGCAAGGTGGACCTCAAGGGAGCCAGGGCACAGGCTGTGTGCCTCACCTGGCCTGGCCTCTCCAGCCTGGGGCTCTTGTTGCCTCATACCAGTCCTGCTGCTTTCCATCACTTGGCCCCTCCTCTTTCCACGGGGAGGCCCTGGACAGACCTCACGGAGGCAACCCAGCAAGGATGTGGCTAACAGCTGTGCAGGGGCGCCGGCGGGCATCTGTCCACAGGCTCTTCCCCAAGGGCATACACAGGCTTCCCTATAGGTGCTTCTTGCCCTCCATTCCTTCCGTCCAACACCCTCCCTGCTCAGGGCTGACAGGCTCCTCTGAATGCACACTCTTCTCAACGCCAGGGGAGACCCTGCCAAGCTCCTCCATCCTAGGGTGGCTGTGTGGGGAAGGGTCCGGCTCAGGAGAAGGCCCCTGGATGCCAGGAGAGGGGCCTGGATGGAGCCGGCAGGGGAGGCGGCACAGGGCAACAGTGAGGAGGGTGAACTGAGGCCGGGGGGGCTGGGCCCAGCAAGAGTGCCAGGGATTCCTGGCCCTGCCCAGCTCTAGGCCCTCTCAGTGCCACAGAGACCACCTGGTGAAGGTGTGGGGAGAGGGATCCCCAGAGGGTCCATGCCAGGCAGTCTGGGCCTGCTCACACCATGTGTATCCTTCCATAGGGCCCACGCCTGGCAGGACCCTGGCTTGGAGCGGCTTTAACTGTGGCTGGGCTCCTGAGGAGGTAAGGTGGGCCCTGTGTTCCACGCCCAGCTACCCACCCAACACCTTCTCAGGGCAGGGACGCCCACACCAGTCTGGACACAGAACAACCCGGGGCGAGACACGTACTGGAGAAGACTGTGCTCCTCACCCCGGCGCTCTGGGACCTTGCTTCCCAGAAGCTGGAAGGAACCAGCCAGGCATCCCGGCGAGGATGTGGAGGGTGGTGGTGGGCCCACCCCTGCCTCAGGGAGGGCGGCCAGGCTCACGGGGAGGCTGTGGCATGTGGGCATGTGAGTGGGCAGGGACAGCCCAGCAAGGGCTGTGGGAAGCCGGGAGGGCAGTGCCCTGTGCAGTGGCTCCAGATTCAGGGCATTCAGTGTGCAGCAGGCCAGGGCAAATGGCACGGGGGGAATGGGGCGGAGGGGAGGGGCGGTGACTCACAAGGCCATGGGGGCGGGCAGAGGAACAAGGGCAGCAGGAAGGGCAGGCAGGGGTGCTATCAGCTGACGGGCTCCTGCTGGAAAAGACGGCTCGACTCACAGGAGGGCACCTGAGACATGGGGTGTGGGGGAAGGCAGCGGTCGGGGAGAGCCTAGGCAGGCCTCCCACTTGTCAGCCTCCCCAACTCTGTTGCCACTCCTACTGCAAAAGAGCCCTGGAGACCACCCTGGGTCTGGGGTCCTTGCCGTGGCTGCAGCCCCCCGCTGCCCACAGCCTGTGTGGTTCCACCCATGGGCCTGGTGGAGCTGGTCCCTGCTCTGCTCCGCCACACCAGGCCTCCCTCCCCAAAGGCTGGGCCTTGCTCTGCATGCAGTGGGGCCCAAACCAGCCAGGCACTCCAGCGTCCCACCCGCACACCCTGTCTCCTGCGGAAGGGCACCGCTCCCAGGCACAGCCCGCTCTGAGCCAGGGGCATGTCACACAATATGGCGCTTTTCTCCTCTTCTGGCCTGGCTCCCCATAAGCCTGCCCAAGGGCCAGCCTGGGCCTGGGCAGAGCAAGGCCTGGGAATGGCTAAGGCTTTGAGGCCTGGAATGAAGCATGACCGTCACTCCCTAAAGCCATGAGTAAAGCTAGTCTGAGGAGTAACTGTGGCGGCTGCCACCACCTGCTGGGCACTTTCCTTGCAAACACTGGGGTGGCTCCAGATTTCCCAGAAACCACTGTTCCTCATACCCCAGGACGGGAGGGGACCTTCGAAGTTGGAAGGAGAGCAGCAGCAGACCATGGTCCGAGGGGCGCTTCCCGGGGCCACAGCTTTGGGGGATGTTTAGCAAAACCAGGGGCTGGTATGGCCTGGAGGGCCCGGAGTCAGAGGAGGAACATGCTCCCAGATTCTTTGGGGCCCACGGGGACAGAGGGCAAAGAGAGACCATCAGGTGGCCTCAGGTCACCAGTGAAGGAAGGCGAGTTACATTTATACCAAGCACCTGTTTTGGGGGTCCTCTGGGGGATGAGGAAGGTTGGATTAACCACCAGCTCAGAAGGCCAGTGCTATGTGAGCAGGGTCTGTGGCCACATAGGATCCAGTTAGTCCTGTGGTCAGCCTCTAAGTGTGGAATGGCCATGCTGAGCCAGGCAGAAGCTGACCCAGTCCTGCTGAACATCCCAGGGCAATGGTTTCACCACAGGTTGGGGGTCCATGCTGAGACCACGCTGCAGGGACACAGGGGCACCATGTGGGTCCCGAAGCCAGTAGGCTTGGCTCTGTACCTCCTTGAGGGCAGGGCCCTGCCCTCTCCTCTCTGCACCTGCCCTGCTGGCCCAGACCCTCTGCTGGAAACCTGCCCCAAACTCCATGAAGCACTGTCCTTCACATCACAGCTTCTGAGCCTGGACTTGACAGCCTCCTCCTGAGACCCCACATGGCTCTTCTGTCATACACGCCCTGTGCCCGGCCCTGGCACTGTGCTCTGGATGGCCTGCACCAGGCTAGTGACAATTCACTGACTCTACTGCATCAGAGGGGGCACAGGGCGGGGTGGGCTGTGATGGAGGGCCCCGGGCCCTGCCCATGAAGTGCCGCAGTCCCCGAGGGAGGGGAGGGCTCTCCTTGCTAGTGCTTGGGTCTTCCTTTGTTCTCAGCCTGTCTACTGGGTAGGTGGGACTTGCCACCTTTAGAAACTTGTTCACCCTGGGGCAGCCTGTCAGAGTCAAGAGGCGCTGGCTGTCCTTAAGATGACACCAGTTTCAATAGGTTGGTGGCCCAGGTAGGATGGAGACGCTGTCACACTCCCACCTGGGAGCTGCGGCCCCTCTGAGGACAAGTGCTCTGGGGCCTGGAGAGCTGGGAGAAGAAGGTGGGCTACTGGGCAGTAAAGAGGCTCCACCGCAAAGAAGGGAGGCGTGTGTGTGTGTGTGTGTGTGTGTGTGTGTGTGTGTGTGTGTGTGGAGGGGGAGACAAAAGAGGTCTTCGGACCACCCTCCCACACCCAGGCTCTGGGATTTCCTGACTGTGGCCCACAAGGTACAGGGGTGTCAGCCTGGGTGGGCAGGCCCTGGAGCCTCCTGCTTCCTGAAACTCCTTCCTTCAGGCACATTTGTGCTGATTCTCCATGGACACAGCCCTAGCACCCCCAGAGAGGCTCCAAGGAACAAGGAAAATAAGAAGCAGTTGCCAGGATACCCAAGGCTCAGTGGGCCCCATGACCTACTCCAAACCACCTCCCCCTCTTGGTTTTCCTGTGTGGCAAGGCAGAAATGCAGGAGTCTGAAGGCAGAGGGGTCTGGATGTGCCCAGTGAGGAACCAGCAACTGAGTGACCATGCGCAGATCCAGTGCCCTCTGAGCCCTGGGTCCCTCTGTCCTGAAGGGCTACTGTGAACACCGTGAGATGTTGCCGGCTGATGGCACAGGCAGCATCCTTGCTGCCTCCCCTGTGCTGGGCACACCCATACTGGCTCATTTGGTTCTCTCCTCACTCCAGGGCAATGGGTACCATTCTTCTCTCCACTTCAGGGCAGGGGGTACCACTCCTCTCCGTTTATAGTTGAGGAGTCAGGCACAGTGAGGTGAAGGCCCTTGCTCAGGGCCACACAGCTAGGCAGCTGCCTGGGTGTCCACACCCTTGACTGCCAGGGCTTGTGACTAGGCTCCCAGCACATGCTGGGACCTGAGAGGCTCTCCTGGGACTAACACAAATCTTTCCCAAACTTTTCCAAAAATCTGAAGTGAAAAGAATACTTCCTAACTCATTCTATGAGGTCAGTATTATCCTGATATCAAAGCCAGACAAAGATATAACAAGAAAATTACACACTGATGTCCTTTATAAATACTGATGAAAATATCCTCAGCAAAATACTTGCAAATTGAATTGAACAGCATATAAAAATGATTATGTATCATGACCAAGTGAGATTTATCCCTAGAATGAAAGGATGGTTCAAAATATGAAAATCAATGTAGTATGCCACATTAACAGAATGAAGGAAAAAAACACATGATCATCTCAACTGATGCAGAAACATCATTTGACAAAATTCAATGCACCTGCATAATAAAAACTTTCAACAAACTAGAACCAGAAGGAAACTACCTCAGTGTAATAAAGGCCATTGCTATGGACTGAATGTGTGTGTTCCACCAAAACTCATGTTGAAGTCCTAATCTCCAACGTGATGGCATTTGGAGGTGGCGACTCTGAGAGGTAATTAGGTCATGAGGGTGGAGCCATAATGAATGGGACCAGTGGCTTCATAAGAGAAGACATGAGAGATGATTTCTTCTCTCTTGGCCATGGGAGATGCAGGGGATACAAGACAGGCAACAAGCCCTCACCAGTTCCACATCTGCTGGCTCCTTCATCTGGGACTTGGGTCTCAAGAACTGTGAGAAATAAACACTTGCTGCTTGAGCCACCCAGGCTATAGTGTTTGTAATAGAGGCTGAGCTAAGACAGCCAGATATGAAAAACTCACAGTTAACATCATATTCAATGGTGAAACACCAAAAGCTTTCCTCTACTTTGGGAACAAGGCAAAGATGTCTACTTTTGCCACAGCTATTCATCAGAGTACCGGAAGTTCTAGCCTGAGCAATCAGGTAAGAAAAATAAGTAAAAGGTATTCAGATTGGAAAGAAAAAAGGAAAGTTATCTCTCTTCTCAGATGACATAATCTTATATGTAGATAATGCTAAAGAATCCACTTCCACACACAAAAACCTGTTAGAGCTAATAAACTAACTTAACAATGTTGTTAAAGTAAAAATTAAAAGAAATCAGTTGTATTTCTATTCACTAGCAACAAACAATACAAGAAGGAAATTAACAAAACAATTATGTTTTTGTTGGCATCAGAAAGTGTAAAATATTTAGGAGGAGACTTAACCAATGAAGTGAAATACTTGTAAACTAAAAACTACAAAACACTGATGAAAGAAATTAAAGACAACCCCAGTAAATGGAAAATCATCCCATGTCCATGAACTGAAAGACCTACTATCATTAAGATGTAAATACTACTCATGTAATCTACAGATTTAATGAAATCCCTATCACAACCCCAACAGTATTTGCTGCATAAATAGAGTAACTTAACCTAAAATTCATATGAAATTTCAAGGGATTTTGAATAGCTAAAGTACTTGACAAAAAAGAATGGCTCATGTCTGTAATCCCAGCACTTTGGGAGGCCAATGAGGGAGGATTGTTTGAGCCTGGGAGGTTAAGGCTGCAGTGAGCCAGGTTCACATCACTGCACCTTAGCCTGGATGACAAAGCGAGACCCTGTCTCAAAAACAAACAAAAAAAACCCCAAACCAAAACAAATACAAAACAAAGTTGGACTCCCATTTCCTGATTTCAAAACTTAACTACAAAGCTATGGTAGTCAAATCAGTGTGGTACTGTCATAAAGATAGGCATATAGACCAATGGAATACGATAAAGAGCCCAGAAATCAACCCTTGCATATATGGTCAAATGGTGCCAAGACCATTCAATGGGGAAAACACACTCTTTTCAACAAATGGTGCTGGGGAAACTGGATTTCCACATGTAAAAGAAGGAAATTGGACCCTTATCTAACATTATACATAGAAATTAACTCAAAATGGATTAATGACCAATGGTAAGACCTAAAACTGTCAACTCTTAGAACACAGGAAAAAAGCTTTATGATACTAGATTTGGCAATGATCTCTTGAATATGACATCCAAACACAGGTAACAAAAGAAAAGCTAGATTAATTGGGCTTCATCAAAATTAAAAACATTTAGGCTGGGCATGGTGGCTTATGCCTATAATTCTAGCACTTTGGGAGGCCGAGGTGGGTGATCCACCTGATCATGAGGTCAGGAGTTCGAGACCAGCCTGACCAACATGGAGAAACCCCGTCTCTACTAAAAATACAGAAATTAGCTGGGCGTGGTGGCACATGCCTGTAATCCCAGCGACTCAGGAGGCTGAGGCACGAGAATCGCTTGAACCTGGGAAGCAGAGGTTGCGGTGAGCCGAGATGACACCATTGCACTACAGCCTGGGCAACAAGAGTGAAACTCTGTTTCAAAAACAAAACAAAACAAAAAATTGAAAATATTTGTGCATCAAAGGATAGTATCAACAGAGTGAAACGCAACCCACAGAATGGAAGAAAATATTTGTAAATCATATATCTGATAAGAGATTAATATCCAGAATATATAAAGAACTCCTATAACTTAACAACCCAATTAAAAAATGTGCGACATTTGAGTAGACATTTCCCCAAAGAAGACAGACCAATGGCCAACAAGCAGATATAAGATGAACATCGTTAGCCATTAGGGAAATGCAAATCAATACCACAATGAGATTCCACTTCACATCCATCAGACTGGCTATTATCAAAAAACAGGAAGAAATGTTAGCAAGGATGTAGAGAAACTGGAACCCTTCTGCAGTGCTGGTGGGAAGGTAAAATGGTACAGCTACTGTAGAAAGCAGTATGGTGGTTTCTCAAAAAAAATGAGATACAGAATTACCATATGATCTAGCAATTCCTCTTTTAGATATATTCCCAAACAATCTAAAAGCAGAGACTTAAACAGATATTTGTACACCCATGTTCCCAGCAGCATCATTCACAATAGCAAGAAGGGAGCAGCCAAGAGTCCACTGACAGATGAAGGGATGATGAGCAAAATATGGTACATATAGACGATGGAGTATTACTCAGCCCTAAAAAGGAAGGCGATTCTGACACAGGATAAAATATGGATGAACCTTAAAGACATTATGCTAAGCCAGTCGTGAAAAGACAGTATCATATAATTCCACTTAAATCCGCTATCTAGAGTAGCCAAATTCATAGTCAGGAAGTAGGATGGACGGCGTGAGAGGCTGGAGGGAGGGGAATGAGGAGTTCGTGTTTAATGGGGTCAGAGCTCAGTTTGGGAAGATGAAAAAGTTCTGGAGACGGATGATGGTGATGACTGTACAATGTGAATGTACTTCATGCCACTGAACTGTACACTCAAAAATGGTTAGAATGGTAAATTTTATGTTATGCATACTTCACCACAATAAAAAACAAAAAAAGGCTTTCCCACAACGAGTGTCCTCAAGAGCCAAGTCCCAACAGCTTCTCAGGAGGGAAAGCAGCACGTCCCTGGGCGCGGCCACCCTGGGCCCACCAGTGGGGCTGGCCCAGGCCTAACCCACCCCTCACTCCCTCTCCCTCCTGCATGACTGTGTGGGGTACTCCTCGGCTCTCGGAATGAGAGGACCAGAGGCCAAGGGCACCAGAATCGGCCTCAGATGGGGCAGAAACACACCTGGACGTGGCCCAGGGCCGAGGTGTGACCTAGCCAAGGACCCAGTTTCTGTTCTTTGCAGGGACAGAGCAGGCTTCGCAAGTGCCTGCCTCCTGCCATGCAGCAGAGAGCACACAGCTCCCTCCTTGCTCTGCACCACAACTCCCCGACGCACCCCAACAGCATGGGAGGTGGTGTTCTGCTCTCCCGTCCTCCAAAGGAGCAAACTGAGGCCACAGCTGCACCCTTGGACACAGGCCCATCAGCAGGAGCGAGCCCTCTGCCCTGGCCGGCCCACTCTTAGCAAACTATAAGAGGTCAACACAACACAGATTGCAAATTATGCTGCTGAGGCTCTGCTGGCCCCAGTCTCAGTGTGACATGTGGGGAAACTGAGTGGATGGCAGGTCATGCCCTATCCTCCAGACCCCTACGCTGGACACTCCAGGCCCAATGAGGAAGAGCCACAGCAGCAGCTGAAGGCACATTGAGGCCCAGCCCCATGTGGTGGATGAGGAAACTGAAGCAGAGAGCTCACAAGCCGGTGAGGAGCACAGTGGATCTCTGTCTTTGAAGGCCACGCGTGACCTGTGCCAGGCCCCCGGCAGAAAGCTGGGGCACAGAGGGTAATCACAGTGGGCCAGGCCTGCCTGGAAAGACCCCAGCTGGCGGAGAGACAGAGGCACACAGGGTAGGGAGCTGTGGCTGAGAGGCTCATAACCCCTCCCCCATCCCGGCCCTGCTAACACAGCCCATCTGCCAGGCGGAGGCTGGGGGTGCTGGCGAGGGCAGCAGACCCCTGGGCTCTGAGCAGACGGAGGAAACACAGCTTGTGGCAGCACAAACACCAGCGCCAGCAAGGCAGGGTGGCTCTGGTGGGCAGAGGGCTACCCCACCTCCAGGCCGGGGTCTTGCCAGCCGCTTCCCATCAGCACTCAGATTGTCTTGTGAAGCCCAGGCTGGGGCAGCATGGGAGAGTCAGGCCTGGACCCGGGTGACACTCTGCTTATACTGCTGAATTCACCAAACCAAGGACCCCAGCGGCTTCCTCTGTAAAATGGGGGGCTTCTCCAAAGTTCCAAGCACACTCCAAGCTCCTGCAACCAGAACTACAGGCCCATCCCCAACCCACGGCATTAAGCTGAGGGCATAGCTGGCATGGACGAGGCTGTGCAGGAGGCCCACACAGCGGAGCCTGCCCTCCGGAGAGGGCCTGCAGCCCCAGGACACAGCTACCATCCCTACCTGGACCCTGGCAGGGATGGGACACTGGAGAAGAGGGGGGGACCACCCACCCTCTCCCAAACCAGCGCCGCCTTGGGCCATGCTGGTGACCAGGTGTGGCTTCCACAGTACGCCTGCCCCCAGCCCTGCACCTGGGCCACGTCAAGGGGGCCGTGTGTTCGCGGAGGTGTCTACCTGGGGCGCTGTGTGCACGGGGGTATCTCTGGGTTCTTGGGCCCTGAAGCTGAGCAGCTCCAGTCCCTCTCCCAGCAAGTAGGGAGGGACAGCTGGGACCCCCATAGGACTGTCTGTCTAGCACCTGTTGTAATTAATCTCTTCGGGGGAGGCTGTAACTAAGGGCAGGGTGGGCGGACCACCTTGAGTTACGCAGGTGGAGGACGAGGATGCCCAGGACTGGGCCCAACTTCTGCCCGGCAGCATCACCTGGCCACACCCAGGGCCCCTGCCATGCCAGCTGTGCCCACAGTCAATCCATGAGATGCCTAGGGCAGACCCTCCTCCCAGCTGCTCTGGGCGTGTCTCACCCTCCAGAGCAGCTAGCCCCACACCCCGTCTGAGCCTCCGCCAGTATCTTTCTCAAGGGAGAGCCGCCACCGTGTGCTGTGTGTGGTGGGGGTGGGTGCAATGGCACATGCCTAAGAAATGAGTGCCTCTGTCATTGTCATTAGCTGGGGAGGGCAAAAGAAAGGAATGGGAGCCCTGGGTCACAAAGTTTGAGGAGTCTGGGCTTTTGGCTGCTTGGGTACATGCAGCAACAGCCTCCTGAATGGTCTATAGAAACCAGCCTTCCCTCCCTCTGTGAGGGGCAGGGGTTTCTGGGGGCTGCGTAGCTCTAGCCGCCCCTCTGTGTGGGACTGGGGTCGCCGGGGGCTGCATGGCTCTAGCCACTCCTCTGTGAGGGGCAGGGGTTCCCGGGGGCTGCGTAGCTCTAGCCACCCCTCTGTGTGAGGCAGGGCTGCATGGCTCCTGTACCCCTCTGTGTTGGGCAGAGATCCCCAGGGGCTGCATGGCTCCTGCGCCCTGTGTGTCAGGCAGGGGTTCCCAGGGGCCATGTGGCTCCAGGCTACCCTTCCTGTGTCTGCAATGACAGCAGATCGTCTTTGGAAAAGCATCTCCTCTAATATCCTGGGACCATTTCAAAGACTTCTGAGAGCTCAGGATGGAAGAGCAGCCCAGCTCAGAATGGAAAATTGCTCAGCTCTTAAAGGGACCAGTGGGAAGGAATTTCAAATACGAAGAAACATCCCCAAGTGCCAACCACTTGTAAGGAAAAAAGGAATTCTTGTTCCAGAATGTTTCTGAGTCACCACTGGCGCCAAAGCATGAGCTACTGCTGGGGATGTGTGTATATGAGCGTGAGCGTGCGTGTGTGGGAGAGCGTGCGTGCTTTGTCAGCCCCTGGTCAACCCTGGGAGTTCTCCAGCCTCTCACCCTCAGGGGTACATGTGTGCTGGTTTGAAGCCTGCAGCTGATCCTGCCCGCTGGGCCCAGCCTCCATGGGGTCCCCGGCACTCATGGACATCGGGCAGCATGTGTTCCTGGGCCCCACTGGCTCACGCAGGCATCACGGCTGCCAGACAGTCAGGGACACCATGCTGGCCGGTGTCTCCCTAGTGGGAACAGCTCAGAGGCTCCAGCTTGGCCTGAGGGGAGGGAAGGCAGAGGACTGGGCTCTCCATGGTGCCGCCAGCTCCTCTCCCTGGATAAAGTCATGCCCCAATGAGAAGACATTCCCGCCAGAGCCCTGAAGCCAGTCCCATCCCTCAGGACACCCTGAGGCAGTAGGTGTCACTGCTCAGTGTGACCAGAGTGGAGGCTGTGCATGGGGACTTCTGGCCAGGTGCTGTGCTCCAAGCTGGCGCTGCTGCCTCAGGGAGTCTGAGAGGTGTAACTAGGGGAGGATACCTGGTCTCAGGCCCCATGACTCACTGGCCGCCTGCTAAACTGGGGACCTTGAGGTCAAAGAATGCCATGGGCAGCACACATGGGTCAGGCTGAGCTGGAGCTGTGCAGCCAAGGCTGGCGTGCATGTGTGTCTGCATGTTTACTGATGTGTACGTGGTGTGTTCACATGTGGGAGTGCATGTGTGGGACTCTCTCACTAAGCATCCAGCTGAAGACACTCCCATCTGATCCACTCCCTCCCAGCCCCAGCCCTGTGACCATCTGCAGCTCCTCTAGGTGTAGGGCTAACGGTTCCCCAAGGGTGGACCCAGTCCTCTCTTGGGGCCCAGGAATAGCTCTGCACGCAGGTGCTGGTGACTGAGTGGCTCCTTGACATGGTGGCTCCCTCCCAAACCCCCTGCTACTCCTGTGCCTGGTGGCTGGCTCCCCTCCCCTCACTCCCTCAAGCTGCACTTGGGATGCTCCCCACCAAGCCCCTGCCACCACGGGGCTTCAAGGCATTTCCTGATTCAGGCCCAGCCCTTGAGGCTAGGTCTCCCATTGTGGCTAGGTCTTCCATTCCAACGGCTCTGTGGTGGGGCCTCTTCCGCAACGGCCCCCATCTGAGTCCACCCTCCCAAGGCCTCTTTTGGGAAGACAGCCGGCCAGTTCCCTGCTCTGTACAGGGCAAGGCCTGGCCTCTCAGCTGCTCCAGCCTCTTCTCCCCCGACGGCCTGCCCTTGAGGTCCTTGCTCACGGCATCTTCTGCCTGCAACGCCCTCCTGTCCTCACCCCTCCCTGTGTGTTCCTCCAAAGTGCTGACCACATGTTTCTCTGGTCCCCCACAGTCTAAACCCCAGGAGCCAGGCCCACACATCCGACCTGCTGCCCATTCCCAGGAGGAAATGCCAGGCTTTTCTGGGGCCTGGGCCTGCCCCACCCCTGATGCCCAAGGGCGAGGCACACAGCCAGGACACCTCCACTCTCGACGTTCTCTGAAAGGATGCCCCAAGATGCAGACCAAACATGCAGCCAAGAGGTGCTTTGCAGCATCACAGAGGACAGTAAAGGCAGGGCCAGGAGGGCATGTGAAGTGCTCAGGGACACGGGGCCATGCAGAGGAGCTGGGAGCAGGCTGACCCTGACCCTAACAGCACAACACCCATGGGGCCACCCTGAGGGCTGAGGACAGCTCTATGTAGTGCCTCTGTGCTTGAGAACAAGTTCTAGAATCAGCATGCATTACTGTTACAGTAAGAACAAAACCGAAGAGAAGTACCTAAAACGTAGTTTCCAGATCTAGCACCCAATCATGCAAAACCCTGAGCTTAAAGTCCCACCTGCACACGCACCTGTCTGGGCCCAGATGCTCCTCCATACATGGTGGGGGGACACTGGCTGGCCAACCCCGTCAAGTGGGCACTTGCCACCTGTTGGCCAACATCCTTCTGCTTCATGACATCCAGGCTGCCTGCTAAAGGGGACATCTGGGAGGTGCCTAGAAATAAATGGCTGAGGCTCCCTTGGGAGAACGCTACTGCAGCCCAGTGTGGGTGCCCAGGTCCTCACCCAAAGGCCACTGTGGTGGCTACTTTTAGGTGTCAACTTCACTGGGTTAAAAGACACCAAGATTGCTGGTAAAGCTTTGTTTCTGGGTATGTCTGTGATTGGCATTTGAATGGGTGGATTGAGAAAAGAAGACTGACTTCTCCAGCGTGAGCAGAGATCTTCCAATCTACCGCACGCCTCAACAGAACAGGAAGGTGGAGGAAGGGTGAATCTCCTCTCTCTTCTGGAGCTGGGACACTCATCTTCTTGCCCTTGGACATCAGAACTCCAGGTTCTCGGGCCTTTGGGCTCTGGGACCTAACACCACAGCCCCCAGGTTCTCAGGCCTTTGGCCTTGGACTAAGCCTGCTCGCTGGCTTCCCTGGTTCTCCAGCTTGCAGATGGCAGATCTCGGGTCATCTTAGTCTCCCTAATTGCATAAGCCTATTCCCCCAATAAATCCTCTTTCACCTGTCTCTATATATCCTATAAGTTCTGTCCCTCTGGAGAACCCTAATATAGCTCCCCCTCCCCGACCCCTACGCTGGGGGATGCTGCCAGCCATGCTCGTCCTCTTGAAGTGTGTCCGAGCCTTTAGAAACTGGGTCTCCCTGTGTGGGTGCTCCCCAGGGACAGAGATGGTGCATGGTACAGGCCTGGTGAGAGGAGGGCCTCTAGCCCCTCAGGACCAGGACCACTGCCTGGGCACTAAGCTGTCTTTGGCTAAGGGGCAGGAGGACGAAACAAGTACCTGTCACAGACTGTAAGGCCCTGGCATCCCTCGGAGGCTGCCTTGCTAATGGACAGCTGCACAGGACTCCAGAAAGGTCCCTGGGTTGGCTGGTGACCTCTGCCCGTGGGTCCCCTCTCGGGAGAGCCCAGCACTGCAGCAATGCACACAGCCGCTGTAGTCAGATGCTGGCCAAAAACCCTCTGCCACTGGGAAGATATGGAGGCACCCATGTACCAGAGAACAGGGACAGTGACACTGTGTCCCATCAGAGTGCTCACAGCAGTGTCGCACAGCAGTGGCAGCCCTCACTGGGTCAGTGAGAGGACCCACCCTGGAGCACTCAGCATCTCATGACACTCAGGAATGGCTACCTTCCTCTCCTGCAGCTGGGCTGGGCTGCACTGGGGAGGGCGGGTGACTGAGCACCCACACACACTTGCAGGCCATCATCCCCTGGCTCTGTGGCAACCCATGGAACATGGTCCCCAGGGCCTTCCTGGTGGCCCAGGGCAGTGCCTGTGATCTGTGTGGAATGCACAGGGTCAGTGTCATGCAGGAGGCAGCTCCCTGCTATGAGGGCCTCCTAAGCTCTCCATTCTGGATTCTCCAGCCTTTGCTGGCCTGACCCATTGCCTGCCTGGGTCCCCATTTGACCCACTTGCTGAAGGATGGGGGTTTGCTCCTGTCCTGGAACAGCCACACCAATCCCAATACCTGCCTTTTACCCACTTGGCTGAAACCTGACACCCCTCTACTTTGTAAGAATGATGTTCTCTGCTGGGAACGTTGCCAGCCCAGCTTCCAGGAAAGCAGAGTAACAAACCCCTCCTTGCTGGGCCTGGCTTCCCGATGGGCCTGCTTGGACAGTTTTAAAGCATGACTTGGGAGGCCTGAACTTTTGCAGGGTTCAGGACGTGTGCCGACAAGCGGCCCTGCCTGGACTTGCGTGAGCTAAACCAACTGCTCAGACCTGCTCACCTTCCTGCCTGCCAGGAGGGAACAGAGGCAGAAGAGGAGGGGCCGAGCCCCTCCAACCGGGAGCCCTGGGGTCTGCAGTGGGCGGGAAGGAAGGAGGCTGTGGCAAGGGTTGGAGCCCGGCTGGCTGAGGCCCTTGTTCTCCAGGCAGAGCTGGAACCCACTCTCACTCTGGGGCCTACCTTCTCCCCGGCTTAGTGCCTGGGCAGAGCCTCTCCTTACGGGTGACATCACAACCCTCTCAACTCCCCCGGGAGACCATCTGCTCTGCCTGCCCTTGATCCTCTCAGGGGAGCTGAAGCATCACACCTGGTGACAGCTGCTTCCAGCAGGCCACTCATTCAGCTGGACCTTGAGGAGGGTGGGCCAGCAGTCCCTCAGGACCTGCCCAGGTTCCCTGCACCATCCTGGACTCCCTGGCGAGCCCACCTGCTCGCAGAGCAGCTGCGTTACCCTCCCAGAGGCAGGCACTGTGGCGGACATGAGCCACACGCCTGGCTCCCCCACTCTGGGGAGTGACCTGCCTGCGACTTGTCACTGGGAGGAGTTTGGGGGAAATCCTGCAGGCACAGGCCTGTGTGTGAATCCCAGCTCTGCCACCGGTGACCTTAGGTGATGAGTTATTTAGGCTCTTTGAGTCTCAGTTTACTCATCTGCAAAACAGCGCCCCTGACAGTGAGGCCTGAATGAGACTGTCACAGCCCCTCCCTGCTCCCAGACTGCACCCTCGGGACAGGAATGCCCTCCTTTGTGCCTCCGCTCCTCAGCAGGGCTAGCACGCTGGTGTCACTCCACAGGACAGTGCCTTCCCTGGCTTTCCCTCCATCAACTGTGGTCGGGCTGGAGGACGTGGCCGCGCCGCTGCGAAGATTTCTCTGCCAGGGAATGTGGACCAGGATTCCAGGGAGAACGCAGCTGCACGCTCCACAGCCTGGCTCCCTGCTCCAGGACGACACCCCCACCCCACCCTGGCCACGATGACGCAAACAGAAAACCTCAGTGCTTACAGATCCCGATCTCCCACGGTCACCAATGCTCTAGAGAGGTAAATATTTACACAGGAGCCTCTAAAGCTCATAACTCAGAGGGGAGATGCTCCCCCTGCCGCCTAGGGGCTGTAAACATTTGTTCCTGCAAGCCCTGCAGCAGAAGGCGCTTTCTAATTCTCAGGTGGATGGTGATGTGTAGGCCCTTCTGTCCCAAGCCAGTGGGGGCATGGCAGCAGGGGTACTGCAAATATGGGGCTGGGGTCACATGGGGTGGGGGCACATTCCAAGGCTGGGATGATGAGGGGGCTACCACCCCCATGCTCCTTTCTGAGGGGGTGCGAAAAGCTTTATCCATACAGCAGTGCCCCACAGGGACAGCCCTGGGTGCGCCCGCAGCAGACGGTGCCCAAGGGGCCTGGGGAGTGAGGGCAGGGCCAGGCACCAGGCTGGAGGCACAGACAGCAGTGTCGTCACTGTCATGGGGGGAGGCTGAGGCACAGGGCGTGGACATTCAGCTCTTTGGCCGGGCTTGGGGGGTGACACAGGCAGGCTTCCCTCTGGGAAACGCCCACCCAGATTTTCACTGGGAGTTGGGGTGGGGGGGTCCCTGTGACTTCAGAGCCGTGGGTTCCAGGCTCTGGTTTTAGGCGGTTTTAGTTGGGTTTCCTTCCAACTCAATCTCAAAGGGACTCCAACACATGCGGCAAAATCGCTGTGAGGGGCCCTGGCACGTGAGGAACTGTCTGCTTGTCTGGCCTTCCTGGGCTCAGGGCTGTGCAGGTGCCACCGTGGGCACTGCTGAGGATCTCCAGGGAAGGCCCTGGGGGGTGCACGCTGCAGGGAGGATGCTGGTCAGCTGCCATCTGTCCACCTGCTCACACTAACAAGCCCCCAGCTGAGCTCTCACCACCAGCAGGGTCCCATGGGGTTCAGAGGTCAGCAGGCATACCTCTTCTTGGCATGTGACTCAGCTGGAAGATGGGATGTACCTGGGCCAGCCTGGCCCTACCTGGTGCAGGCACCGGGATGCCACAGGCCCAAGTCCACACATGGAGAAATGATGAACAGGAGGAGAGAAGCGGGGAGCATGCTACCCATGGAACCTGGCACCAGGACACATAAAGAACGCTTACGAACCAATACGCGAAGCACAAACAACCCTGTAGGGGAAAACAGGCCAAAGACGTGAACAGGTCGGTGGAAGAGACCTCACTGACCGATAAACACATGGTAAGATGCTATCTCTCTGCCATGGGGAAACATGCACTAAGAGCACAGAGGTCCCATTTCCTGGCTCCTGGCCTGGCAGAAATGAGCCAAGAGTGCCCGCCCAAACAATCGGGAACCACGGGCACAGCATGGTGGTGAGGAGAACCTCCCTCTGACACACTCCTAGGGACACATAGGGACCATGAGCGAGCACCGTGGCCGCACCTGGACTGTGATGGCCAAAGTGAATTGCTCCCCGCAGCTGCATTAGAACCAAGCAGAGATCCGTCTGGACTACCTTGATGTTAAGTCCAGCAGTCAATGAATTAAACACGCATGTCAGGGACCAACAGGGATAAATCTCAAAACAAGGCTGAGTGAAGACGGCAAGTTGCAGAAGGTCAAGCAGAGTTTGATAAGGGTTCTGGAAAGTTAGTAACATCAAAACAGCACTGTGTATCATTTAAGGAATACACACATCTACAGCGAAAGCATAAACACAAGGGCAGGAAACATGTGAAACGCAGGACAGTGGTGCTGAGCGAGGCTGCAGGGAGGCAGGGGTGGGGTGGAGCACAGTGCATGGGGTCTTCACCTGCGAGCCGCACCCAGCTAAGCCTGCAGTGGGAACAGAGGTGAAACTCCACAAGGCTCCCCAGTTACACCCCTGGAGATACCATGTAGGGGGTGATAGCAGCTGGTGGGGTCTAGGGAAGGGAGGAACCACTGCATCCGAGGAACAAGGCCTGGGCCCTCAGCCAGGCGAGCCTCTGTGCAGGGCCAGCATCACGTGGCATCCACCCCTTCCTCCTCTTGACCCTGGGTTCCTCTTGGTTGGGTCTCGAGGTTCTCAGATGGCTGGGGGTGGGGTCAGGCTGCCACCCACAGGGTCTCACGACCTGGGCACCAGGACAGATGTGCACAGTCTCTACATCCTGGCTGCTGGCCAGAGAGGGCCAGAGCTTTCTGGAGATCCTGGTAGAGACAGCCTTTTGTCAAATGGGCACAGTCAGGAAGGCACTGGGTGGTCCCAAGGCCATAGCCCAAGGTGAGCAGGAGACCCCCACAGCCAAAACACAGCATGCTCCAGGTCATCACCTTGGAAGGCCAGTGATGACACTTGGTGATGTCCCAGATAACAGGACCCAACCTGCACAGACTTCAGCTGCTTTGAGGGAAGCTCCCTGCAAACCAACTAATTCATGGAGTGAGAACAAGAGCTGACTTCCTAGCTGGCTCTGGAGGTCTCTTCCCTGTCTCCAGGACAGATGGGTCAGATTCTAGCCTCTTATAGTACAGAGGCCACAGTGGAACTGTGGGTATAATTCCAACTGTCTACCTCCTGCACAGGCACTATGAGTATGCCCATTTTACAGATGGGGAACCTGAGCTGCAGAAGCCTGTGAGATGCAAAGCCAGGATTTGGCCCAGCTGGTCTGACTGCAAGCCTGGGGCCTCTCTTTTGCTCTGCTGACACCCCTGGTATGGTCCCGGGGTTTCCCAGCCCCGAGGTGGGTCTTGGCCAGCCTCACCTGCCCTCCTTGTTGCTGGGTTACCCATAGAACCTTCTGTCCTAGTTTGCTGTGGAGGGTGAAGGATAGTGTGGAGCTTACAGAGTGAACTCTCATCTCCTACCACTCCGTGAGGTGGGAAAAGAAAATGAGGTTGAATGTTCCCAACTTCTCCAGGCAGGAATGGGGCCAGAGCTAGAATGCAAACTGGGCTGGCCCCAGAGATGTCCACCTGATACAGCTTCTGAGCAGCGGCCTGGGCTGACCAGTGGAGAGCCCCTCCTAGGGAACAGCTGGGATCCTGGACAAGGACCAGGCCTGCCCCAGCAGGAGGCCCTGTCACAGGGAGATAACAGGCCCCTGCCCCTGCCCATGACCACCGGGGGCGGTCACCCACGGCCACTGACCTCTGTGGCCTTCAAAGCTTCGTAAACAATTAACTCCAGAGTTTCAATCTCTCCAGTTTGTATCTTTCCAGACAATTAGTGATTTGCTCTGATGGCCCTCCTGTTGGGCCTTTTAACGTTCTCTGTGTAAATAATCCTAGGCAGCTGTGCTGGTCACGTGTGGCCTTCAAAGGCAGGCCAGGTGCAGGCTGTCGGGAGCTGCCTCTCACTGAAGCCCTGGCCCCGCGGTCAGTCTCCCCATGGCACGCGGACAGCTGCTGACGGCTCGCTCTCCAGATGAGGAACTGGGCCTGCACTAGGCTGCAGAATGCTAAGGGGTTATGAGTGGCCATGGCTCCCATAAGACATGGACACAGTCCGTGGCTGAGGGATCATGCGGTCACCACGGTCACAGTTAATAAGTCACTGGTTCCTCTACAGAACCAAATGGCAGACTGCCACCCCCCTTTTAGAGATGGGAAGACTGAGGCTCAGACAGGTATCTATCTGGGCCCATGAGACCCACCGGCTCCAGCCACAAGGTAGGAGGGGCTGCCCAGGGCACTCCTCTCTTCCTTGGACTCCCAGCAGAGCTTTCCAGAAGCCCACCCAACACACAGCCCAGGGCCTGAGCAGGCAGCTGAATCCCTATGGATTCCCTGCCCTCCACCGCAGCCTCAGCGCCTGGTCTGCACAGAGAGGACCCAAGACCTCCCGAGGTGGCCCCGTGGAACTTGCGGCGTGTCACCCCCACAGGCATCCCCCCGCAGTGAGCTGGGCCCCAGCCCCAGCCCCAGACCACACGCTGTGTGAGTCAAGGAATCAAGGACCAACAGTGGGGTAGGTGTGAGGCCCCAAAGGTCCTGAGCCCTAGAGGGAGTTCAGGGCAGAGGCACCGCGGCAGCAGAAGGCCACAAGCTGGTGGGGACAGGTGCAAATCCTTAGCGCAGCTCCCAGCACCCACAGAGCTGGCTCAGGAGCAACTGGTGGCATGGAGGGGGAGAGCTGTCCTGGATGGTTTTTGCTCCATGGTCAAGGAAAACAGCCCCATCTTCACCACGGCTGGGGTAGGATGTGTGTGGTCTCTGGTGGCTGGACATCCTCCCTCTGCCCACCTGTGGATCCTAAATGTCCTCTAACAGCCTCCACCCTGGGTTGGGTGGTCTGGGATCAGCACTTGAACACTCCTGTGTGGGCGTGTACCTGCCATGTTTTTCCAAAACAACATCCCTTGCAAGCTGGGGACTTGGGACAATGCCCTATCAGGAAAGGGGCACTTTCAGGAAAGGAACAAAGAGATTAGGCCACAAGTCCCACAGTCAGAAAGCAACTGGCCTGCTTGCAGGGGCCCCTCTCCACTCATGCCGTCCCATCTCCACTGCCCCCCCTTGCTGTGAGTGGCGGGGTCTCGCATGATGTGTCTGAAACCCAACTGTGCTTTCTGAGTGCTGCTTCCACTCCACACCCCGCTCATCCTGCAAAACCCTGTGTGTGGGAGGCTTTTCCACTCCCTCAGGGCACTGCAGCCCACACCTCTGGCTACCACCAGCTCACTGTCATTTGGCTGGAGCAACCTCATCCCCTAGGTCTAGGACTATTTTTTTCAGCATAACATACCCCACCCAAACCCAAAACAGACAGCAAATCTTCACAGAGCCAACTGAGTTTCTGAGAAGGCAAGAACAGTCTTAAGAGATGAAAACCTTCTTGCAAACAAAATGTCACCTCACCTATAAATACTGCTGTGGAGTGGGCCTCAAGGAGAGGAGAGCAGGTGCCAGTGAGTGTCCAGGTGGCTGCAGAGAAGTGCCCGAAAAGTGCTGGCAGGGGATGGCCCGAGTCTGCCTCCCGCCTGAATCATGCAGCCCTTCCAGTGGGGCTCCCATCTGACTGGGCCCCACATGCTACCACTCAGTAACTGCTCCCCAGAGCTCGGCTTCTCATGCTCTTCCCGCCTCAAACCCAAAGACCCACCACACGCTACCACCAAGTGGGGATTGAGCCCAGTCCTGCTGCCTCCGTGATGCTTGAGGTCTGACCTAGAAACACCCCACAGTCTTTCATAGAGGGGGTATGCAGCCCCACAAAATGCCACATGGGATGGTGATGGCACCCAGAGAGGGAAGCTGAGGGGTTGGGGAGACTCCTGGGTTTCCCATCTCCTCACCCTCCAGCATTCACTGGGGCAGAGCAAGGACACTGGAGCAGAGGGATGGCCTAGACCCACCTGCACCCACACAGGCTCACAGCACTGCCTCCTGCAGGGCTGATCCTCCCTGGGCCGGTGGTGGCATCGGTGGTGCAGGACCAGAGGAGTACCTGAAAACAGCCCAATCTTATGGGGGAGGTGGCAGAAGGGGTGGCCACACTGCGCCAGGAGCCAAGCACCGCCATGGGCAGTCTCTGCTGCCAGGGGCCGACTCTCAGGCAGCCTTGCCAGCACTACCTTTGCAGAGCCCAGAGCCCAGGCATGATGCCTGTCCTTCTGCTCTGAGTGAAGGCTGCCAGGTGTCTTCCAGTAAACGCAACGACACAGGCCTACATGTGAAACTGCCCATGTCTGCCCAGGTCTCAGAAGCCCTAGTGTTCTACATCTGGCTGGTCTGGGCCAGCGGCAATCGCCCCCACCTGCAGACAGCCTTCCATGCGCATGCAGGGGTTGCTGGGAGCAGAGGGCTGGGTGCGGCATACAGCCTTCAGGACAGACAGACAGATGTCCACATGCTAGCTCCTGGCCCTCCAGGCTGAGGGACTGACACATTCTCCACCTTCTCTGGGGCCTGACTTCCTTGTGTGGAAAATGGGGCTGCTCTTCATATACTTGTCTTGGGGGAGTGTTGGGTCCAAACAAGATGACCCATTCCAAGTGCCTGCTAAGTGTGCAGGGGACAAGAGTCACCCTGCCAGCCTCTCTACATGCCCCCATGGCTTGTCACGCCTGTTCCTCATAGAGGCGGAATTCAGTCCCGCAAAATGCCACATGGGATGGTGATGGGCACCCAGAGAGGGTGCACCCCAGGCCCCTGGGAGCTGCACCCCTCTCTCAGCAGGGGTGAAACTCAGCCACCTGTGAGCAGGTGGCGACATGTGGGTGACTGGGCATGGCTGCTCCCAAGTGCCCTACATAGATGGGCCACCCCAAGGGTGTACTCATTGGGCAAGGCTTTGCAATAAAAACCATAAGATTAGCACTTTTCGGTGATTTAAGAGAATAAATTTAAAAAAAAATTCACAATAGGCTGGTGCGGTGGCTCACACCTGTCATCCCAGCACTTTGGCAGGCGAAGTCGGGCAGATCACCTGAGGTCCCGAGTTCGAGACTAGCCTGGCCAACATGGTGAAACCCCGTCTTTACTAAAAATATAAAAAAAATTAGCCAAGTGTAGTGACGGGCACCTGTAATCCCAGCTACGTGGGAGGCTGAGGTCGGACAATCGCTTGAAACTGGTAGGCAGAGGTTGCAGTGAGCTGAGATCGTGCCATCATTGTCCAGACTGCACCGGACAGAGTGAGACTCCATCTCAAAAAAAAAATTCACATGCTATTCAGTACCAATGAGTGTGCCACTGACATGGGTGCTCACAGACCACAGGTGGGAGCATACCAGGAGTGGGTGTTCTGAAGAGGAAGGTAACATTTGTACCAAGAGCAGTAAAGACATTCAGACTATTCAACTCAGAAATTCCACTCCTAGGAATCTCCAGAGGAAATCAGAGCTATGCAGAACATTTACACACAAGGAGCAGTCCTGCAGCAGTCCCCACAGAGTACAGAATGAGCAACCTGCGCACTCACCCACTGCCAACCAGCGGTGGCACACTCAGAGCGGAGCAGCTGCAGCCACTCAAATATTAAGTTTTTAATGACAACAGACAACATTTATGGTGAAATTTATATGATGGCTTCAATTACAGTGGAAAAACCATGCATGGGGAATGGATGATTTTCCTTTTCTCCCTCTGCCTCATACTTTCCTCCCACTCATCTACCAAACAATCATTATAACCACAACAAAGCGGGGTGTGAGAGCAAAAGCCTCCAACTCCCCGAAGGACGACAAGACCAGGCCCCTTCTCCTCCTCCCTCCTGGGCCCTGGAGGATGCCAGACCCAAGGTGGCCACTCCCCCGTGTGGCAGCCAGAACTCCTGCTGAGAAAGAAACCTGGATTCCCTGGCCCTAGGGACCAAGGTGGGCACTGCACTCTCTGGGACTGGGCTCTCTGATCCAGGAGCAGGAGTCCCCAGGCCCCAGTTTTATGCGTGAAGTGCCTAGGACAGGAAGCTGTGGCTTGAAGACCACCAGAGCAGCATGGCAGAAATGATCCCCCAAGCTAGAGGACCATCTAAAACGATCCTGTCACCCAACCATTCGTAAGTTTGCCTTATCATGTGTTTGCTTAAAAAAAAAAAAAAAGGATTTTTTATCTATTTTTAGTGAAAATCTAGGAGCATCTTGACCACAGATTCCCTTCTCATCTTAACCAAAGGCCTCTCTAGGCAATGTAGGCACAGTGACACCCCCAGCCTGGTCCCCAGGTCCTGTTCATTGGCCCCAGTCACATGCTCTGGGTAACATCTGTCCCCATCACAGCAGATGAGGGTTTCTCCCTTGATCTCAAAGAAGAAAGCGATTATGAAGGTAAGGTGGAAACTGTCGCATGCCACAGAAACGAAGGCTCTCATCCAAGCCCACCCCTACCTGGTCTGCCCCACCAAGGAGTCCCCAGGTTCTCAGGGAACACCATGACACTCAAGACTGACTCCGTGAACCTGAGTCACAGGGAAAGGGCAGGGACAGAGCCCAGATCCTGCAGAGTCCAGGAAAAAAAAATTCCCATGGTGCCAGCATGAGGGCAGTGCCAAGGTGGCACGGTGTCAGATGGGACAGCAGTCGAGGCGCCTAAGGCAACAGGGGAGCCTAGGAACAGAAAGCCAGGGAAGATTTCCTGGAGGAAGGGGCATCTGAGCAGACTGAAGGGAGGGGAGGAGCAGGCAGAAAAGTGGGAGAGGAGAGCAGGCACACCAGGTGGACGGCACACAGGTCCAGCACCAGGCGGATTTCTGGAGTCTGAGAAGGCTTCAGGATCACGGAGGGCAGGTCAAAGGCGAGGCTGCGGGCTCCTGCGCCATCCCTCCAGCAAGGAAGCACTGGTCTCTGCAGGGCAACGTCACAGAGGCTGCGAGCCCACTAAGGGCTCCAGAGAGGCCCTGGTGCAGAGAGGATGTGAGCTGGTCCCGGGTTCCCGGCCAAGGTGGCCCAGATGCCACACTTGGGCTCCAGATGCCCTCCGTGGCCCCAAATGAAGCCCACATGATTTCAGGGACATTTCCAGGGTGGCCCGGGCAAGACCTTGACCATGCCTGTTCTTGCGTTGCCTTCAGGCAGACGGGAAGAGGAAGGAGGGAGGTTCTGGCTCTGGAGCACCATCTGGACCCTCTGAGTGACAGCGGAGTGTGGGGTGCTGAGACATTCTAACCGAGTGGTCCCTGGAATGGCTGGCCATTTGGCTGCTGCCTGGGGATGGCCACACCTCTTTAAGGCCAGCCAGCAAACGTCCTTCCAGTGGAGTCTTACAAGCACCCTGGCTGATGTCGGCAGATGAGGCAGCCCCCATGGTGAACACAGGACTAAACAGGGACCCGCCAATGCTCTGCTCACTCTTGTTCCTTTCTACCAAGGCAGCCAAGCACTAACAGCCACTAGAAGTTCCAAACCATATTCCAGGAAGACATCAAAAACCTGTCCATCTCCATGGATGCCCAGCTCAGAGCAGCCCAGGCTGATACTGTGCAATGGGGAGGCTGGCAGCCGGGAAGAGCCCCACCTCTCTTACGCGCACCACAGGCCCACTGAGACCCTCCCAAACCGCAGCAGGGAATGGGAGGGGCTTGGTGGAGAGGTTCCAGGAGCCAGCCTTGGGCAGGGAGGCAGGCAGAGATAGAAGGAAAAGAGGGTCTCAGTCCCCAGAGAACACGGAGATGGCAGTGCAGAGCCAGAGTGAAGACATCGCAGGAGGGCCAGGGTGACACCTGAGTCTCCTGACACCAAGCCCACTTAACATGAGGCACCCCAGCAGGGATGGGCACTGCCCCTGATAGAGAGTTGCTGGGTCCCTGGGCAGATGGGGGAAGTGCATCCCAACCGCCACAGCAGAGCAGCTTAGCCCAGCTCCAGCCTGGGCCAGAAGACTCAGGTGGCGGGGCAGCGCTCAGCAGGTGGACCTCAGTGCAGCTTGGCCCTGCGAGCACAAAGGCAAGATTACCTTGGCCTCCTGATGAAGCTCATTAAAAAAGCAATCTACCTAGTGCCTGCAACAGAACTGAAGGGAGTGGAGGCGGAGAAGAGGGACTCGGAGGGTGGGGTGCTGTCACCTGCCCGGTAGCACAACCCACTTCCAGAGTGGGTGGCAGAGGGGGCCTCCTGACGGCCCTGGAAGCCCCTCCCAACCCTGGCGCATGCTGCTGAGCTAGCAATTTCCAGGCTGGCAGCCCACCTCCGCCAGAGGCATCTGCGTTTTCCATTCTTGCTCCACACATGCTCCCTGGGCAGGGGGAGCCGGGCCTTCCTGGTGTAGCACCTGGGGCCCCATCGGCCCCACCTGGTCCTCCCACTCTCATGGACAAACTCCAGAGAAAGGAGGCCAAGGCTCTTCACCCTGGGGACCCACAGGCGTGCGGGGCTGCAGGAAGAGCATCCTGGTTGCAATCTAGGGCTGAGGTGGCCTCTGCTGAGCAGGCTTGTTTCAAAAGCTCCGGCTTCTTGGCGGCCCGAAGCTTCCACGCAATCCTCTTAGGCTGCCGAGCTAAGTCCCTCTGGCAAAGGGGGTGACCCCCATCCTTGCACCCCCCACAGGTAGGGAGGCGTCTGTTGGTATTGGTCAGTGACCAACTCTGGGAGCCTACTGCTCTGACTGGTGGAAGGGTGGGTGGGGGCATGGCTGTGGTCCCAGGCACAGCTGAGCCTAGCACAGAGAAGCTGGACCAGGGTTAGGGGGGCCCTGCAGCAGGAACGTGCATCTGTGCAGAGCAGACTAAGTGCTGGGCCGGAAGCAATCCTTCAGGGGCCCTAGACAGGCAGCTCTGTGACCGCCAAGTGTAGAATGTGGCTGTAAGAGGCTCAGAACATCACCTCCCAGGCTGGGAGCTGCAGTGTGTGTGTGTGTGTGGGTGTGTGTGTGTACAGTTGGGGGAGGGGGGAGAAAGAAAAGTGGGAAGATGCCCCTCCAACTCTAGGACCCCAATTTCCTGACAGCCTGAGAAAGACCACAGAGCAAGGATTGAGGTCTGTGCAGGGGAGCAGTGTCTCGGACTCTGCTCAGCTCCAGGCTGGCTGGACCTTCCAGGCTCCCCAGGCACACCTGAGAGCCTACAGCCTCTGGACCCAAGAGTGCCAGCCAACACGCCTACAACCGCCCAGCCTCCTACCACCAGCCTGTCTGCAAATTCAGTCCTAAGGCAAATTTGGAAGAGAAACAAAAGGCAGACAAGAAGCCCTGCTCCTGGCCCTTCCCAGCCCAGACTTTGGGGAGAAAGGCCCCGCAGGGCATCCCTGCAGGACGAATGGGCACCAACAGGAACAGGAGGAAAATAACCCCAACTTTAACTGCTGGAAACCCAGCAGCACCCCAGGTTCCCCTACAAACGGCTTCCCAGAAGAGCTGCCCCGGCACCCCTCCCATGCTCTGTGTCCTCACGCAGCTCAGCTCTGACATGGGGCTGGGGGACCCCAGAGAAGGGGTGTGGCAGCACAGGTTCCCTGGACCAGCTCAACTACCCCCAACCTGGCTGGTAGCTTCCTGGGGAAGGTGGTCCCCCATCGGGTGGCTTTTGTTCCTCTCTCCAGGCAAGCCTGTGCCTGGAAGAATTCGGCTGGCAGGCCCCACTGGGAGGACAGGCGGTACTGCCTCCTCCCCGCCCCCAGCCCCAGGTCAACAGGGCCTTTGTTCTACCTGCACACACCGGCAGGCAGGCGGGCAGAGCCAGCCCCCTTCCCTGGCAGCTCCCCCACCCTCTGAAGGCAGGCACTCCAGGCACAGGGGCGGCACCTCACTACTCTCACTTCCACTTTTGGGACCACAGCACCGAAGCGGCACGGGGAAGCCAACACTCCAGGTAGGCCACGCACACACCCAGAAGCCCGCGTCCCCAAGTCCGGCGGGCCAGACCTCACGGCGCACAGCAGGTAAGGTGGCCCGAGGGCAGCGGGCGGGGACCCTGGAGAAAACCCGGGCGCTGCGCAGTCAAGCCGGCAGTAGGGCAGCACAAGGCAAGGAAGAGAGTGAGAGCGAGGTCAGAAAGCGCGGTGACAGCCGGCTCACCCAGAGGAGCTGGGAGCCTCGGGCGCTCGGCAGGTCGGGAGGGGTGCCGGCGAGTGGGGGCCCCCAAGAGGGCAGAAGGGGGTAGGGAAGGCAGGGCCGACCCAGTACAGCACGGCGGGCATACGGCCCGGCCTCGGGGGCGCAGCTGCGCGAGGATCCCGCCGCCCGGGCGCTCACCTGGGCGTGCGCAGCGCGGCGGAGTCGCGGCGGTCCAGCACGCCGGGCACGCAGTTGGTGAGCTCGGTCCAGTCGGCGTGCAGCCCGCAGCTCCAGCCGGTGGAGAAGCGGGAGAAGAGCCAAGTCTCGCGGCGGTTGGGCCGGTAGCAGGTGCACTTCTTCTGGCCGGGCCGGCAGTCGCACGGCACCTCGAGGCGTACGTTCTGCACGAGGTGGCGGCCGAAGGTGGTGCCGCCCGTCTTCTGGATGTGCAGGAAGACGATCACGTCGTCGCCCTTCATGTCGAAGCGCAGCGAGCGCTCCAGCTCGCGGACCGGGAAGTAGTACTTCTTCTCGTAGTGGGGGTCGGGTGTGGGGAACAGGTCCAGGTCGTCGGGCGGCGCGCGGCCGCCGGGCGCGCCCAGGCTCAGTCCTGGGCCCGCGTACTGGTACAAGATGAGCATGAAGCACACCGAGCCCGCCACCACCAGCACGAACTTGCTGGCGCGCTCAACCATGGTCCTGCCGCCGGCGCGCCGCCGCCGCATGTGTCACCATCGCCGGGGCCCGGGCGCGGGGCGCGGGGCCTGGGAGGGCAGGAGGCGCGGGCGCAGCTGCCTCCGCCGCCGCCCGCGCTCCGGCCCGGCCCGGCTACTCGGCGCCCAGGCCGCCCGCAGCGGCGCGGGCCCCGACCCTCCGCGGTGCCATGGCTGCTCCCCGCCCGGCCCCGGCTCCCCGGGCCCGACGCCCGACTCCGCTCCCGCTCGGCCCCGCTCCCGGCCCCGGCCAGCACAGCGCTCTCCGCGCCCCCAGCACCAGCCCGCTCCGCTCCACTCCGCGCCGAGAACGCTCTGCGCCGCCCCGCGCGCCGCCGCGTCTCCGCAGTCCGCCGCCGCCGCCCCGCCCCGGTCCGCCCCTGGCCCGCCCCCGTGGCGTCTCTTGCCGTCGCCGCCCGCGCCGATCCTCGGCCCCGCCTCCGGAGTGCCGGGGTTCGCCGCGGGTGCTGGGCGCGGGACCTGGGTCTGCTGCGGTGGCGAGGCCGCTAGCAGGCGGGCAGCCAGCGACTGGGAAGTGATTCCGCCCTCAGGGGAGTGGGGGACCAACCGGCAGTGCGGAGCCGAGGCGTGGGAGGCTCTCCTGGCGGGGGCCGCGGTGAGGGGGCGCGGCGGCTGGCGCTTCTGGAGCCTGGGTCCGTACCCCCTCCTCCCCAAGTCCCAGCCGCCCACGTCCCCGCAGCCCGCGCGGGAGGAAAGGCCTTGACCTTGCACGCTGGGGCGCTGAAGTTAGACGCTAGCCTACTGGGCTGCACTTCCAGGGACCAGGGCGGCGGGGGCCGCCCACCACCAGGACCGAGAGGGAAAGCGAGGCTTTCCTTTCCTGCTCGACCCCCTCACCCCTGCGGCTGGCTTTGGGACAGTGCCCCGCAGCCCCGCATTGAAGAGATGTTGGGCTGTCTGCAGAGGCCTGCGGAGCGGCTTTATGGCTTCCTCCTTGTTTGAAAAGAATATCAGACGAGGTGCATTTTCCCCCATCCATGTTTATTATACTCCAATGAAAGAGTTATAAAACATTGAGCCAATTCTTAAGAATCGTGAGTGCCCACCAAATATTCTGTCTTTCGTGGGTTGGTTGGAGAGTCCAGCGGCCCGGGCCCAACCTGGCTGCGGAGGGCTCGCTCCACGTTGGCTCGTGTGTGGGCCGGGTGGTGCGGGCTCCTCACTCGCCGCCGCCCAGCCTGGCAAGCACGCGCGGCATTCGTGGGGCGGGGGGTCCCGCCAGGTGCCCACTCACACTGCTTGGGCTCTGGCAGTACTCGGAGGCTGCAGCCCGTCGGAAGCGCAGGAGTGGGGCTGGGACCTGCCAGGATCTCACAGCTGCAGGGCCGGCCGCGGTGGGCCCTAGTGTGTTGGTTCAGGCCAGCGAGGGCTCTGGGAGCGAGTCTGGCTGCCAGGCGTGGGCTCCCAGTGTCCACGTCAAGCCCTGCCGGGGACGGGGTGGGGGGGGAGGCGGGGTGGTGCCCTGCCTTCCGTTCTGTTAGGGACCGGAAGCGATCATGGGGTGTCAATTATGCCTCAGTAAAGCTGTTAAACGTAGACAACATCACACCAGAAAGCCCTCCTGGAAGCAAACCCAGAGAGCTGGAAAAACCAACACCCCAAACCCAGCTGAGCGGGCGGCATGCATTTTCCAAAGGGACCGCAAGAATATCCGCTGTGGACAGGCGGGTGCAGAACCCTCAACACAGCCCAGCGCACCCTGGAGTCCATGGTGTGGGGTCCTCAGTGGGACCTAGGGCCCCAAAGCCCCTGCTCATCTTGTAGGCTGCTTTAAAACTGTCCCTGGCCCGAGGGTCCTGGGGGCAGCTTGGACAAGCTTCTCCAGAAGTGACTCATTCCTATAGGAGTGGGGGTGCAGTCCCCATGGGACACAGGTGGGGCCGCCCTGCAGTGTGCTTGGACCTGCCTGCAGCCCCTTGACGCAGTCTGTGCCTGAGCCCTGGGGAGCCTTCCTGTGTGGCCTAGGGGAGCACAGCTGCCCCGGGTCCACCCCCCAGATGTCCTTACCCAGATAAGGATCCTCGTGCTACATCATAATTAAGGCTGCTCTTTTGGAGACCTGCTGGGTGCCAGGCATTGTAGAGGTGTCATTTCCAATTCCATCAGCAAATCTGCGGGGGTAGGCTGTGATATCCATTTACAGAAGAGAAAACTGAGGTTCAAAGGGGTTAAGACCCTGGTTCCAAGGTCAACCACTCTCACCCCATGAGAGTCAGCAGAGCTGGGATCCTGATTCCTGCTGTGAGCCCCAGAACCCTCCCCTTCCCCACCTCTGCACTTGCCCCAGCTCCCTAGGCCAGGGATGAGAGCGTCTACAGGGGCCACTCCTGAGAGCCTGGTGACCGTCACTGCCACCAAGGGGGAACGTGGGCCCAGAGTGTTCAAGGGAAAGCTGGAGCAGCTCCGAAGGCCAACGAAGCCATCGGTACTTGGGCCATGGCTCCACCCTGTGATGATCTCACTGTCCCAAGGGGGAAACTGAGGCCCAGGCAGGGACGAAGTGCCTGTGATAAGGTCCCACCCTTGAATGGGAGCCAGAGCAGCCTGACCCATGGAGCAACATCTCCCAGAACAAGCTATTTAATCCAACTTCATACCTGCCACACTGGCTGATGGGAAGCACTCACATTAGCCAGGAAGCCCTTTCTTTCTAGAATTCTTTTAAGAGGAGGGAAATCTGCCTGGCTGGCTACAGGACTTTGCTCAGTCTTCCACTTTGATTGAAGCCCTGCACAGGCACCTGAGACCCTAAGGCTGTAGGTGAGTTTCTGGGCTCTGAAAGTCAAGTCAGATGAGCCACCCATCAATCAGTGGACACTTGAGCCGAGTGGAAGGCAGCTCGAGCCCTCGTTGGCGGGGCAGCTTGCATCACGCTACTCCCCACCACTTCCCGCTACTCCCCGCGATGAGTCCTCAGTGTCATGTCTTGGAAAATGGATAGAAACGCACAGTCTGGGGCTGGCGTGGGGTTCCAGGAGGTCAGCGGACACAGCCAGGGTCTCAGGAGGCGCGCTCTGCGCGCTGTTTCCTTTCTTCCCTGGGTGATCTCCTGCGTGGCCAAGGTTTGCCCCAGCCCCGAGAGTGCATATGAGCTAAGTGTTTGCTAGGGGCAGCTTCTGGCCCTGACTGCTTGTGGGGTCCAAGGAAAAGCACTGGCAGCTCTTCTGCTCAGTGGCTTTGTCCCCTGAAGATCCACTTCACCAATTCTTTAATGCGTGATCTCTGACTTAATGGCAAAGAAAAGTAAAAGAACACGGCTTAGTGGCAGGCTGTGATGATCCCAGAAGAGGCATTAACATTCGGCTTCAGGAATGAAGCCTCATTCCCGGCCCACCGTGCGGTCTCAGAGTCTGAGAACCACGAGATCAACAGCGGCGCCCCCTCCCGGCGCACAGTCCCGCGGACGGCCGCGCGGGGGCAGCACGCGGCCCGGCCCCCGAGCGCCCGCGGTTGACTTTGCAAAAAATTGGGGGATTTTCCACACTCGCTTCCCTCGTCGTTCGTCCGGCGGCCGCCCATTGTTGTTTGCCAAGGGGTGGAGGAGGGCAGTCGTGTCTGTCCTCAGAGCCTCCCGTGGGGCTGGCCCCGCTGCCCACGCGGGGCAGAGAGAGGGGTTTCGTTTGGGGACAAACTTTTAGAGGGGACTCCGGCTCGCGCGGACCCGCGGGGCCCGGCCCCGGCCCCGACCCCGACCCGGCGGCAGGCTTGGGGCGCCGGGCTGCGCGCCGTGGACGCCACCTTCTCCGAGGTCGCCAGGCCCCGTCCGCAGCCGCCTCCTCCAGGGAGCCCGCGGCCCCTTTGCCGCCCAGCGGCCCCGTGCCGGGCTCCTCCCCCAGCACCGCGGGGCGCCTGGGCTCCCAGGCAGCCCGCAGACGCGGCAGGTCTTCCCAGGACCCGAGGGACGCGCTCCGGCCGCTGCCCGGGGACAGCAGGGGTCCTGCGGTTCGGTTCGAGGACCGCGCTGGAAGAGGCCCGGGGCTTCGGAAGGGCCATTCCCCTCCCTCCACGCCCGCCCAGGGCCTCGCTGTTCTTTGTGCCCTTTCTCTAGGCCCTCCAGGCCCGCTTCAGTCCTTAGGGGAAGAGGGTAGGATAAACAGAAGAGGAGAACCTGAGCAATTCGTAGGGGCAGCGTGGTCCTGGGCTTCCCCGGCCCTTGCCCGCCCCCCCCGCCCTGCTGGCTCGGTGACCTCCCCCTGGCTGGCCCCCTGCCCTCGCGTGTGACGTGGGGTTGTTGGCAAGTGGGGGGCTTGGACTGCTGCCTGGCCGGGATTCGGAGTCTGTCCAGTGGAGCCCACCCTCCTCCCCGGGCAGCGGGACTGTGGGCAGGCCTGGCGGGTTCTGCCAGCTTGGGAGGCAGGACAGGGACCTGGTAACGTTGCCCCAAGGGCATCGTCCTGGTTCTTCTGCTTGAAACTTCCCAAGGGACATGTCTTTAGACGACTAGGGTGGAGGCGGGATCACAGCCTGGATGGGGTGGGGGGTGACTGCTCGCAGCTTCCGGTGGCCAGTGGGTCTCCTCCCAGATGGCTGTCATTCACTGCCCAGAGGGGTTCCGACTCGGCCGGGTCGGGGGAGCCACCAGAGAGGGCACTGAGCAGCTTGACAAGCTCCACTGTTGGGGATGTTCCCTGGGGGTGGGGTGGGGTGGATGGCGGCTCTTTTGAGGGTGAAATGTTCTAGTCCGAGAAAAGTCACTCAACCATGGGGTGCTTGCTGCTCCCACCCCAGCTGCCTAAGCCACCAGGGGCCGGGGCACAGGTGGAAGAAGGTGGCCTCAGTCCTGGGCCCTGATGCCTAGAAGGGCATGGTCAGTGCCCTCCAGGCAGCCTTGCCTGATCGTTGGGGCTCGGGACCAGCTCCCACTCTGCTCCACTCTCTGCTGGCTGGACTGGCCACCCCTCTGTCTGTGGAATTCACTTGGTGCCAGTGCCCTTCCTGGAGGATGATGGCCGGCCCCCATGCTCCTCGTCACCAGGTCCTGCTCTTTTTACCTCCATTCATCGCCACTGCTATTAAAGAGTCGCCCTCTTGCTAGATTACAGTTGGCTTGACAAGTCAGTTGACTGTTCTGATGGAAGCTTCTTCTTGGGCAGGGCCCCAGGGCCTTGGTGGGACCCGGGCCCTGGGTGGGGGCACAGAGGTGGGACACAATGATGGCTTTATGGAGCAGGCCCTGCCCGCCCCTGTGGCACTGTGGGGAGGGGGCTCACCTGTCCCTAGGCCAGGGCTCAGCACGGCAGCGGTAAACCTGGCTGGCCTTGACACTTCCTGGAATCTCTCAGTGACCACGTTTCTTTTTGCACCAAATAGCTATGGTTCTTGCTGTTCGTTTCTCTCCCTGCCCTCCTTTAAGAAGGAGAGTTCGTGGGAATTAGACACTCAGGGTTGGGGGAGGGTAACCTTGGCTCCTGGTGGGAGGAGTCTGCGTCCTTCTCTGGGCCCAGGGCCTATGGGGCAGCAACAGCATCTCCTCTATTCTCAGAGCATCCAGGGACAGGGTCACACCATGGGTGTGTGGTACACCAGGTCGTCCACCTGGCTGAAGGCCTGGGCTGGTGACAAGTGCTGTGGTGCTGTTCAGGCCAGCAGAAAAGAGGGAGGCACATTTCTGTCAGCAGACGGGATGGGGTATGGCTCACACCTGCTGGGCTGGAGGCTGTGCTCCACCCAGGGCCTCAGGCTGTGTCTTTGACAACAATAATCACCCTATGGGCAAGGTCTGCGTGCTGAGCCCTTGTCAGTCACATCTCTTATAATCCAACAGCAGCTCTGTGGGCCTCTCCTTACAGATGGGGAGGCTGAGCCCCAGGGACATGAGGCCACTTGCCAAGGTCACAGAGCCAGTGGGTGCTCAGCTGAGGCCGCGAGGCTGGGAGAGGCACCCCTCAGGTAAGGGGGCTGGAGAAGGGAGTCCACACCAATGCCACCCACGTCTATACCGTCGTGACTGCCATGCAGTCTTGACCAGCCTTGGGCCGGGTGAGGGCCTCCTGGTACGTGTTTTGCCCTTGACTTTGGCTTTTGGGTGACTGGGGTTGGGACACTCCTCCTACCCTCAGGCTGGTCCCTGGAGGGACCACCTGGGCTGGGGGCCAAGGAGGAAGGTCTCAGCCTCAGTTGTAGGAAAACAAAGTTAAACATTATCATTAGGAGTAAAGGTGCTATGTTCACACCCCAGCTCTGTCTAACCAGCTGTGTGGCCTTCACCAAGTTACTTAACCTCTCTGAGCCTTGGTTTCCTCATCTGTAAAGTGAGGATAATAATGGGACCTACTTCATAGGGTCATGGTAAGCAATAAGCAAGCAAACGCTTATTCCACAGCCCTGTCTACGCCAAGGGCTAGGTATTCCTACTGTCGATTTGTGGGAAGCACCCTATCAGCATCCGCATATTCAAAACCAGCTACTCGGCTTCTCCTGTGTGCCAGGCCCTCCTGTGCGCTGGCCTCCTCTGTGCATGATTGTATTCAGTGCTCTCGGCTGCCCTATGGGCATAATTCCCTCATTTCTCAGGTCAGGGAGCTGAGGCTGAGCAGAGGATAGTGACTTGGCCAAGGGGACAGTGTCCCCTCCCTGGTGAGAGCCTTGGTTGAGGGTCCTCTCCACCTTCCCATTTCCCGACTCCCAGCCCTTGGAGAAACCCAAGTCCTGGGCTCCTGGGCAGAGCCTAGCCCCCAGCCCCCAGCCCGGCCTGGACCACGTCCTCCTGCCGGGTGGGGTTGTAAGGTGCCCTGCTGCTGGGCTGTTCCTCCTGTCCTAGGGTCTTGACGCGCTTACCTTCCTCTTCCATCTTTCCACGCCCTCCTTTGACTCTATCTCTGGTGCCATTTCCAGGGTTTGTAGCTGAGCTTAGAAGAGGGGAGCTGGAGAAATGGGTCTATACCTCCTTGTCCAGACCAGAACTCAATCATAGCTTTTTCTTTTTATCTGCTCCCATCTTCTTGAGAGCCCATCCCACTGTGTGGCAGAGAAAACCTGTATTACTTCCATCCTGTAATCCCAGTCTGATCCAATAATTGTTAGGCTCTATTTGATTTCTTGACTTTTGTTTACGAAGAGTTTAAATTCACACAGAAGTAGAGAGGGTAGCACAGTGAGCCAATTCCTGCCCTTACCCGGAGTCTCCGGCTTCCACGGCTGGCAGCACGTGCCTGTCCCTGCTGCAGCCTGCCCTCTCCAGCGGAGCACCAAAAGCCAACCCAGGACAACACAGGCTTTCCCTGCTAGTGCTGCCCTCTGCTTTCTAGCTTCAGGTCACCCTCGGGCCCTGTCTCAAGGCTGCTTGGTCCCTACTCACACACCCCAAGAGAATGTGTGGTCTTCCGAGATCTGAATTCTTTGGGAGTCCCAGAGGGCCCCAAAGCAAGAGCAAAGGGCGAGGTTCATAGGCAGCGGCTGGCCCCGGTGTGAGCTGGCCACTGTCCAGCTAGGGAGGCTGATGGAGCCTGCTTGGCGTGCCATGGGCACAGGCACCAGGCCTGCAGCTGGCAGGACTCTGGGCCTTACCACAACCCCCAGACCTGGCTGTCATGGGAAAAGCCCAGCCCCGGTGGGCCATGGGGGGGCCAGCCTGCCCCTGCCCATACCTCAGTCAAGCTCTGCATCCCCATTTGAGGCATAAGAAGCCTCTGGGCTCTATTTCTGCCACAGAGAAACCCAGGAAGGACAAACTCAGCCCCTCTGCTCCACCGTGTCTATCCTGCTGGGCCTGCCCTGCAGAGCAGCCTATACCCAGAGGCTCCTAAGGGCAGACAGAGCCCCTCACAGACACCTCTGTATTCCAGGACATCTACTCCTATCTTGAAATATTAAGAGATAAAAGATTTACAAAATCCTCATCTCAACAAAGTCTGCCTTTCAAGCCCGTGGGCCAGGTGCAAACTCAGAAAGCCTGGTTTTGGAATTCTAAAGCCGAGTTTTCATTCTTGAGAGTCCAGGCCGCCTGAGGCAAAAAGATGCCTCCTGCAGAAGAGGGAGGTGGCAGGACCAGGAGATGCAAATGAGATGGGTGTATTCACATATTTCAAACAATGTGATCAAGTTGTACAGAACTGAACACACACACACCAATGAGAGCAGGCAGAACTGGGGAAATCTGAACAAGGTTGCTGCTGTCCCCGTGTTATAGCCTGCTTGAAATACTGTGCTGTATTTCCACAGGATGTTAGCCACTTGCCACTGGGGGAGACTGGTGAAGGAACTCAACTGCGTGCAAACCCACAGTTATAATAAAAAGTTTAACGTGAAGAAAAGCACATCTGACCAGGTGCAGTGGCTCCCGCCTGTAATCCCAGCACTTTGGGAGGCCGAGGCGGGCGGATTACCTGAGGTTGGGAGTTTGAGACCAGCCTGACCAACATAGAGAAACCCCGTCTCTACTAAAAATGCAAAATCAGCTGGGCATGGTGGCACATGCCTGTAATCTCAGCTACTTGGGAGGCTGAGGCAGGAGAATCGCTTGAACCCGGGAGGTGGAGGTTGTGGTGAGCCGAGATTGCGCCATTGCACTCCAGCCTGGGCAACAAGAGTGAAACTCTGTCTCAAAAAAAAAAAAAAGAAAGAAAGAAAAGTACATCTGCGTCTGGAGGGAGTGGGCATCACGGTGCCAGTCTCCTGGCCCTGTGAGGCCTACAGGGTGCACCGTGTGGGCCCTGCCCACCTGCCGTCTGATCAGTACTCATCAAAGGTGGGTATGAATGATGGAAGAGCAGTCCTGTCCAGGCACCTGCTCTGTTCGCCCGAGACTCCCTGTGACTGCAGCCCAGTGCTGGCCTGCGCCTCCCAGCCTTGGCCTGTGGGGCCTGGTCTGGCTTGCTGCCCTGGCTGGGACTGCCAATGAGAGGGGCAGTCCTGCTCCCAGGTTCAGGCAAGTGGCACAGGCCCAGTCCAAGCACCCTCCGACCATCCTCCGCCATCTCTAGCCCTCTGGTTTTTGTGCCCCTTTTACCAGGATTTTACTTCCCCAGCAGGGCTAGGCCCTGGGCAAAGAGAATCAGATGGATAACTTTGAAATGCTGGCTCCAGGGCCAGCCAGAGTCTGTAGGGGGCCTCTTGTAGGGGGCCTGGGCACCAAGTTTGAAATGCTTGTGAGTGATTGTGACATGGAGCTAGGGCTGAGAACACCCATTCCACCTGCCCACCTGTCCCTGGAACAGGGGTGGTGGCTTGGGCCTGGCTCTATGCTGGGCTGGAATCTGTAGGAGCTAGTGGGCAAGCCTCCTTCCAGGAGCTAGGCTCAGGGGAGGAGAGTGGCCGTTTTATTCCTGCCCTGCAGCCACGTCACCCGCCCCCTTCAGATGCACCCATTTCCCACTGTAGCACCTGGGCCTGGGCTGGGGCAGAGTGGAATAGCAAGCTGAAGCGTATTCAGTTTCTGAAATTTTTAACAGGTGGATTTTTTTTTTTTGTAATTATCAACTCTGGAAAACATTTAAACTGTAGGGAAGTAGAAAACTGTTGTAAGGAAAAAATGCCATTCATCTATACTTTAATTATTTAGAATGAACTCCTAATGATGTTTTTATTTCTTTCTGGTCTTTTTTCTTTTGCATGTTCATGTAGCAGTTGAGAGCACACCACATGCATGGTGTTGAATCTTGCTTTATTTCGCTTAATATTTTATCCCAAGCATTTTCGTAAATTGCTAAGAATAACTTCATAAACATAATATTTGACTACTCAATATTTCCAATTTTGGACATACCATAATTTACTTCACTGTTTCCTTAGTGTTGGGCCTTTACACTTCTTTGGTATTTCACTTTTTTGTTTCTGATTGTTCATTTTTTTCTCATTTAAAAGAATGCTGTAAGGAACACTCTTATGCACAAATTGTTGTCTGCATTTCAGGCTTTTTTGGATACTTTATTAAAGGAGCATTTGCTGGACCAAATGGGGGCTGGGGGGAGGAATCATTTGAAGAGCCTTAATTCTTAGTGCCAAGCTCCTTTCCAGGATGGTTCAAGTTTGGCCTCCCATAAGCAGTAAATGGCAGTGCCGCCTCACCCCCTTACAGCATAGACTATTGTCATTTCTTAAAATCTTTCTGAATTTGAAAAGAGCAAAAAATTTATTTATTTATTTATTTTGAAATGCAGTCTTGCTCTGTCGCCCTGGCTAGAGTGCAGTGGTGCCATCTTGGCTCGCTGCAACCTCTGCCTCCTGGGTTCAAGCAATTCTCTGCCTCAGCCTCCCAAGTAGCTGGGATTATAAGGCACCCGCCACCATGCCCTGCTAATTTTTTGTATTTTTAGTAGAGATGGGGTTTCGCCATCTTGGCCAGGCTGGTCTTGAACTCCCAACCTTGTGATCCACCCGCCTCATCCTCCCAAAGTGCTGGGATTACAGACATGAGCCACCGTGCCCAGCCAAATTTAAAAATGTTTAAAAGAGTTTTCTGTTGTAGAATTAATTTTCTCAGAATCCTAATCATGGCATTTGCAGTTACTAATGTTTGTGCCAGAATAAAGGGATTCTAGAACATGAGGCTTATAATAAGCTGTTTCTCCCTCTGCCCCACCATGGGGTCTACAAAAAGAGAAACAGCAAGAAGTGGTGGATTCTACTTCTAACTCTTTTTTATAACTAAAAAAAAAAAAAAATTATCAACTAACTCATGTTCACTAATGACCATAAGATTAGGAGATTATGCCCATGCAGCTCAATCTTTCTTTCTTTCTTTCTTTCTTTTTTCTGTGATGGAGTCTTGCTCTGTCACCCAGGCTGGAATCTCGGCTCACTGCAACCTCCACCTTCTGGGTTCAAGCAGTTCTTCTGCCTCAGCCTTCCAAGTAGCTGGGATTACAAGCACATGCCACCACGTCTGGCTAAGTTTTGTATTTTTAGTAGAGACGGGGTTTCACCATGTTGGCCAGGATGGTCTCCAGCTCTTGACCTCGTGATCTGCCCGCCTCGGCCTCCCAAAGTGCTGGGATTACAGGCGTGAGCCACCGTGCCCAGCCCATTGATCTTAATGGCTATATAGAATTCTGTTTCATGACTTATACCACAATTTAAATAGTCACAGATGTTGAACATTTAGGTTGTTTCCAATTGTAAATTCCTGCTATAATGGACATTCTTGTATGTACATCTTTGTGCACTGGTTATTGCATCAGAATACATTCAGGAAATTTGAAATTTGGAGTCAAAGAATGTGTGTGGTTTAAAGCTTCTTGTAAATAGTGTTGAGTTGTCCTTCAAAAGGGGTTGCCAGTGAATATTTCCACCAGCAGTCTATGATAGTCCTCGTTTCCAGGAATAACATAGCTCTGACTCCATTGTACGTGCCGCCAACTCTCTCAGTTTCAGCCACGATGACTTTCCTACTGTTTCCTCAATGTGTCAGGCATGTTCTCACCTCAGCAGCCTTTGCACGTGCTAATCCCTCTGCCTGAAATATGTTTCCCAGGACATCCAAATGGCTACACCGTCACTTTCTTCAGGTGTCTGCTCAGATACCATTTTATCAGAATTGCCTCCCTGTTCATCCTATGTGAAAGAATAACACCTTTTTCTCCATTGCTTCCCCACTCCCTTATTATTCCTTATCTTTCTTCCTAACACCTATCACCTTGTGTCTCTCCACACTAGAAGAGAAGGTCTTAAGGGCAGACACTGTCAAGGGCATTTCTGGAGTCCAGTGCCCAGGGATACATATGGATCTCCCATGTAGAACGTGCCCAACAAATATTTATTGCAGTCAAATGCTCTACCACTGAGCTATACCCCATATATATATATATATATATATATATATATATATATATATATATATAATTTTTTTTTCTTTTTTTGAGATGGAGTTTCACTCTTGTTGCCCAGGCTGGAGTGCAAAGGCACGATCTCAGCTCACTGCAACCTCTGCCTCCCAGGTTCAAGCGATTCTCCTGCCTCAGCCTCCTGAGTAGCTGGGATTATAGGCACCTGCTACCACGCCCAGCTAATTTTTTGTATTTTCAGTAGAGATGGGGTTTCACTATTTTGGCCAGGCTGGTCGCAGATTCCTGACCTCAGGCGATCTACCTGCCTTGGCCTCCGAAAGTGCTGGAAATACAGGTGTGAGCCAACACCCCCAGCCCCAAACAAATATTTATGGAATAAAGGATTATTATTATTCTCAAATTTCACTAGATCAATAAGTGAAAAATGGTATCTTACTGTGGTTTCAATTCACATCAATTTAATTGCTAATTAAAATGAATTATTTTCATTATTTTTGGCCATTTATTTTTCTCCTTTTGCAAATTATTCATTTCCTTAGTTCATTTTCTATTGAGGTGTTTGTCTTTTTATTTTTTATTTTATTTATTTATTTATTGAGATGGAGTCTCGCTCTGTCGCCAGGCTGGAGTGCAGTGGCACAATCTCGGCTCACTTCCACCTCAACTTCCCAGGTTCAAGGGATTCTCCTGCCTCGAGTAGCTGGGACTACAGGCATGAGCCACCATGCCCAGTTAATTTTTGTATTTTTAGTAGAGATGGGATTTCACCGTGTTGGCCAGGATGGTCTCAATCTCTTGACCTCATGATCCTCCAGCATTGGCCTCCCAACGTGCTAGGATTACAGGTGTGAGCCACTGTGTCTGGCCTCTTTTTATTTTTAATAGTTCTTTAAATGTTAATGGTATTAACCCCTCATCTCTCATAGATTTTAGAAATAATTTCTCACAAATTTTCATTTACGTTTTAATTCTTTTATATATTTTTGCCATATATAAGTTCTAGGTTTCTGTTTAGTCAAATCCATCAATTTGCTTTGTTTTCTCATCTTGGGGTCACGTTTAGACAATCTCTCCATACCTGAAGACTATAAGAAGCCCATCTTTAAATTCTTTTAATATCTTTCATGTATCCTTTTTTAACACTTAAAATTAAAATCTGTCGAATTTATTTTGCTATAACATATGAGATAGAGATAACTTTTTAAAATTATGAGTCTATTTTCTTAATAACATTTATGAATTCATCCTAACAGTGAGAACAAGTAGATAAGCTACATAAGTCATAGTTTAAAAAACTCATCAGAGAGCTGAGATTATAAAGAAATGTAAATGTACTAAATTCCAGAGAGCAGACTAGGCATATGACTGCTTTTGTCCCTGGTAGATTGAGGAGGGAAGGGAGAATATGCTATGGGGAAAGAGGAAACAGCCAACATTTTATTGAACATTTAGTGGTCACTTGTGGCCTGGCAGACTACGTGTGTATCTTGTATATCTTGAGTTCTCACATTAGTACTCATATTAGTATCTTAAGACACCCAATCACATAATGAGTCTGAACCCACCTGCCAACTGAAGCTGCACTGAAGTCAAAACCTAGGTCAACCCTCCACAGTAGTGGTTTGATAAAAGAAAGGGAACGTCCTGTATGGGTATGAACATCATTAACTTTAGTGTCAACTATTATTTTACAGACAAAGCCAGATATAAAAAAATGACAAGGGACACACACAAAAAACCAAAATGTGCTCATGGTCAAGAGGAGAAATAATCAATAGAATCAGATGCAGAGATGGCCTAGATGTTGGAATTATCAGACAGAGATGTTAATATAGCTATAAAACATATGTTAAATAATCCATCCAAAAAGATGGACAACATGTGTAAGTATATGGGGTTATTTCAACAGCGATATGAAATTACAACAAAGAACCAAATGCAAATTTTAGAAATGCAAAATACTTTATTAGAAATGCAAAATCTGCTGAGCTCATCAGCAGACTGGGAACAACAGAGGGAACAACCAATCAGTGAATTTGAAGACAGGTTAAGAGAAATTATTCAAACTGAAACACAAAGAGAAAAGGATATAACAAAACAGAGGGGATCTCTGGGGTGATAGCAAATGGTCCAATATATGTGTAAGTGGAGCACTAAAAGGGGAAGTGAGAGGATGGAGCAGAAGATATATTTAGCAGAAATAATAGCAGAGAATTGAACAAGATTAATGAAGGAAACCCGCAGATCTAAGACTCAGTGAATTTCAAATGGAATAAACACAAATAAAACCACACTTAGATACATCATATTCAAATGGCTAAAAGCCATGGATAAAGATAAAATCTTTTTTTTTTCTTTTTTGAGATGTAGTCTCACTCTGTCACCAGGCTGGAGTGCAGTGGCGCAATCTCGGCTCACTGCAACCTCCACCTCCTGGGTTCAAGCGATTCTTGTGCTTCAGCCTCTTGAGTAGCTGGAATTACAGGGATGCGCCACCACACCCAGCTAATTTTTTGTATTTTTAGTAGAGACTGGGTTTCACCATGTTGAGCAGGATGGTCTCGATCTTCTGACCTCCTGATCTGCCCACCTTGGCCTCCCAAAGTGCTGGGATTACAGGCGAGAGCCACTGTGCCCGGCCAAGATAAAATCTTAAAATCAGCTAGAGAGAAAAAACACATACACAGAGGAACGATGATAAGAGTCAATTTTCATTGATTATTTTTATTAGAACCGATGGAGGGCAGATGACAATGGAACAATATTAAATTTTAAATGAAAAAATAAAAAGACAAAATTAAAAACCCTTTCCAGCAAGAAACATATATCCAGAAAAAAAGTATCTTTAAATAAAGGCAAATACAAATTTTCAAACAAAGACTGAGAGAATTAATCACAAGTAGATCTACACTTCAAGAAATGCTAAAAGAAGGTCTTCAAGCTGAAGAGTAATGATGCCAGATGAAATCCCAGATCTGCAGGAAGGTACGAAGAGTATTAGAAAGATGTATGTATACCTCTAGACCTATGTCTACTTATAAATGTTGACCAAAGCAAAACAATAACAAGGAATTGTGGGATTTATAGAATAAATAAAAGTAAAATATATGAAAACAAAAGCACAAGACAGGAGGGAGTAAATGAAATATATTGCTCTAATATTTTAGGGGAAAATAGACAAATCCTTGATCATAGCTAGGCATTTTAACACCACTCTCTGAGTGACAGATAGAATTAGCAGCCAAAATCAGTCAAATGTTTTATAAAAATGTGCCTTTTAATCTCTAGAGCAAGCTTGTCCACCCGTGGCCACATGTATCCCAGGATGACTTTGAAGGCAGCCCAACACAAATTTGTAAACTTTCTTAAAACCTTAAGAGTTTTTTTTTTTTTTGAGACAGAGTCGCACTGTGTCACCCAGGCTGGAGTGCAGTGGTGCTATCTTGGCTCACTGCAATCTCTGCCTCCCAGGCTCAAGTGATTCGCCTGCCTCAGCCTCCCGAGTAGCTGGGATTACAGGCAAACAGCGCCACGCCCAGCTTTGTATTTTTAGTAGAGACGGGGTTTCACCATGTCGGCCAGGCTGGTCTTAAACTCCTGGCCTCAAGTGATCTGCCCCCGTCAGCTTCCCAAAGTGCTGGGATTACAGGCATGTGCCCGGCACATTATGAGATTTTTTTTGCGATTTTTTTTTTTTTTTTGCTCATCAGCTAAAATGTTAGTATTAGTGTATTTTATGTGTAGCCCAAGGCAATTCTTCTTCTTCCAATGTGGCCCAGAGAAGAAAGAAGATTGGACACCCCTGCCTAGAGTAACTAAAGTAAACCTCACTTAATGTTATCAGTAGGTTTTTGGAAAATGTGACTGAGTAAAATGACATATAATAAAACCATTTTTTCATCATTATGATGAAATAATGTTGAACACGACGACATTATTTGAGAACCTGCTGTACATTGTTTCACTTGAAGTCAGTTTCCAAGAACCTATTGATGATATTAAGTGAGAGCTTACTTTACTAAAAAAGTGTGAAGAGTTATATCTAAAAGTTCAATAGATGACATTAAAACACACAAAAAAATACTTGATTGACCCCTAAAAAACTCAGGAAAAGTGGAGCAGAGCACAAAACAAAACAAAACAAAGGTGACAAATAGAAAACATACCAAGATGGTAGACTCAAGCCAAAGCATAACAGTTACTACATTGGGTGTAAATAGAAAAACTCTCCAATTAAAATGCAGAGACTGCCAGGCTGGATAAAGAAGAAAGATCCAACTGTACATTGTTTATATAATAAGAAACAACTTAAATATAAAGACAGGTTGAAAGTAAAAGGGTGGAACAAGATATACCGTGAAAACCCTAACCACAAGAAAGCTGGGGTGGCTATATCAATATCAGAAGAGGTAGCCTTCAAAATAAAGATATAAATGCCAAAAGGGACATTTCATAAATATAAAAGGAAAATTCATGAAACCGTAATAATCCTAAATGTGTATTCACCTAATAACAGAGCCCCAAATACATGAAGCAAAAGCTGACAGAATTAAAGGGGAAAATGACAAATCCATTATCATACTTAGTCACTTCAACACCACTCTCTGAGTAACTGATAGAATGAGCAGACAAAACCAGTAAGGTTACAGAATATTTGAATGACATCATCAAAATGACTTTGACATTTTGAACACTATATCCAACAATAGTAGAATACTTGTTCTTTTTAAGTGCACATGGAAAATTCATTGAGAAATGAAATGATATTGGGCCGGGCGCGGTGGCTCACGCCTGTAATCCCAGCACTTTGGGAGGCTGAGGCGGGCAGATAACTTGAGGTCAGGAGTTTGAGACCAGCCTGGCCAACATGGTGAAACCCTGTCTCTACTAAAAAATACAAAAATTAGCTGGGCATGGTGGCAGGTGCCTGTAGTCCCAGCTACTTGAGAGGTTGAGGCAGGAGAATAGCTTGAACATGGGAAGCAGAGGTTACAGTGAGCTGAGATTGTGCCATTGTACTCGAGCCTGGGTGACAAGAATGAAACTCCATCTCAAAAAAAAAAGGAAATGATGTTGAACAAAATGACATTATTGGAGAACCTGCTTTACGTCGTTTCACTTAAAGTCACAGTTTCCAAAAACCTATTGAAGACATTAAGTGAGCGCTTACTGTACTAAAAAGTAATGTGAAGAGTTATATCTAAAAGTTCAATAGATGACACTAAAACACACAAAAAATACTTGATCGACCCCTAAAAAATGTAAAGATGCCACAAAATAAGTTTCAATAAATTTAAGTGTTTTGATTTTTATATAGAATCTATTCTCTGACCACAATATGACTAAAATAGAAATCAATGACAAAAGGTTATCGAGAAAATTCATAAATATTTGGAAATTAAATAATACACTTCTAAATAACCTATGGGTCAATAGGAAATCATAAAATAACTTAGCAAATATTTTCACCTGAGTAATAATGAAAAGATACTATATTAAAATTTGTGGCTGGGAATGGTTGCCCCCAGCACTTTGGGAGGCAAAGGTGGGCAGATCGCTTGAGCCCAGGAGTTCAACATCAGCCTAGGCAACATGGCAAGACCCTGTCTCTACAAAAGACCAAAAATTAGTCAGGCATGGTGGCATGTGCCTATAGTCCCAGCCACTTGGGAGGTGGAGGTGGTAGGGTCACCTGAGCCTGGGATGTCGAGCTTGCAGTGAGCCAAAATTGCTCCTCTCCACTCCAGCCTGGGCAACAGAATGACACACTATCTCGGAAAAAAAAAAAAAAAAAATTCTGAGATGCAGCTACAGCAGTGTTTAGAGGAAACTTTATAGCTTTAAACACATATTAGGAAAAAAAGGTTCAAATTCACTGATTTAAACTTCTACATTAAGAAGCTAGAAAAACAAGAGTACATTAAACCCAAGGTAGAAAAGAGAGTGAAAAGTAATGAACTAGAAAACAGTAGAGAAAAACCTATTAAACCAATAGCTGCTTCTTTGAAAATATTAACAAAATGCCCTAGAAAGACTAATAAAGAAAATATAAAAAAAATTATCACTATCAGGAATTAAAGAGAGGCCACCACTGCAGATTATATAGACATTAAAGTGATAATGAGGGAATATTAAGGATGACTTCATGACAGTAAGTTCAACAACTTTGATGAAATCAACAAATTTCTTGAAAATTGCAGATTACCAAAACTTACACAAGAATAGAAAGTCTAAATAGCCCTATGTCTTATCAAAGACATTAAACTTATAATAAAAAATCTTCTTACAAAAAATCTTCAGGCTCAAATGGCTTCTCCAGAAAATTCTATCGAATATCTAAGGAAGAAATAATACCACAAAATAATCCTACAAAACTCTGGAGGAAACAGAGGAGGAGGGAATACTTCTCAATTTGTTTTATGAAGTCAGCATAATCCTGGTATGAAAACCTAACAAGAAAATTATAGACCAATATCCCTTAATAACATATTTGCAAAAATTCTTAATAAAATATTAGCCAATTGAATCCAGCAATACATAGAAAGAATAGTATATAATGACCAAGTGCGATTTACCCCAGGTGTGAAAAGTTTATTTACTACTCCAATAGAAATCGATGTAATTCATCACTATGAGGTGGTGGCTAAAGGAGACTAAAGAACTAAAGGAGAAAAACCATACCATCATCTCAATAAATACAGAAAAAGCATCTGATAAAATTCAAACACATATATGATTAAACACTTTCAACTAACTAGAAATAAACAGGAACTTCTTTGATCTGATAAAGAAGGTATCCAAAAACCTACAAAAGTGAGATTAAAAATACTTTTAAAAATAGCATTAAAACCCACCAAATACCTAGGAATGTGTCTGAAGAAAGATGCACAAGACCTCCATGTTGACCACTGCACAAACATCATTGAGAGAAATGAAATAACACCTGCGTTAATGGAGAAATATACCATGTTCATAGATTAGAGTTCTTGGATATTGAGAAGAAGTTGATTTTCTCCAAATTGCTTTGTAGATTCAACACAATCTCAAGAAAAAATGTCAGTGTCTTTTTGAAGAAAGCTGATTCTAAATTTTTAAAAGTGGACAACTTACACTAACTGCTTTTCAGACTTCCTATAAGGCTACAGTAATCAAGATGGTATCGTACTGACATAAGGATAGACAAATGGATCCATGGAACAGAGTAGAGAGTTAGGCAATAAATCTCCACAATATGGTTAATTGATTTTTGAACAAGGAATCAAATTAATTCAAAGCAGAAAAGAAAACCTTTTAAACAAATGGTGCTAAAACAAACCGGATATTTATATAAAAAATAAACTTAACCCCCACGGAAAATAATTTAAGATGAATCATTGACCTAAAATGTAAACTTAGAACCCTGAATCTTTTAGAAAAAAATATAGCAGGGTATTTGCAAATTTGGGGAATGCAAAGACACCAACCAAATTAGCACAAAAAACTTTAACTATAAATAAAAAAAATAAGAATTGGACATCATCAGGATGAACATTTCTACTCATCAAAAGATACAATTAAGAAAATGAACAAGCAAGCCACAGATGAGGAAATATTCACAGTGATAAAGAATCCATATTCATAATATGTAAAGAATTACTAAAAATAATAAAAAGGCAGACAGCCCAGTTAAAATGGTAATAAGACTCATAGACACTTTACAATGCAAGATATGTAAATGGCCAATAAGCACATGAAAAGATATTCAACATTGTTGAAAAGCAAAGTGAAAATCATGATGAATTCCCGTTATACAAATATTAGAATGACTAAAATTAAAATAACTGACAATATCATATATCGGTGAGAGTGTGGAGGAACTGGAACTCATACTTTGTTGGTGGGCATGTAAAATGGGACGGTAACTTTGGAGGACTCTCTGACAGTTCCTTATAAAGCTAAAACATACACCTACCCGTGACCCAGCAATTTGACTTCTAGGTATTTACCCAGGAGTCCTTAAAAATATCTGTACATGAATGTGCATTGCAGCTTTATTCAAATAATCATATGCTAAAAACATCTTAGATCCATCCATAGGTGAATGAATTACACAATTTTTGATACAGTCAAACAATGGCCTACTTAGCAATAAAACAGAATCACTTATTGATACATACAGCTATATGGCTGAAGCACAAAATTATTTTGCTGTGTGAAAGAAACCAGACACAAAAGAGTTCAAACAGAATGTTTCCATTTATATACATTTTTAGGACAAGCAAAACTAATCTCTGGTGATAGAAATCAGAACAGTGGTTGATTCTGTGGGGTATCAACAGCAAAAGAGCATGAGGGAAATTTCGGGGTGATAGACATATTCTAGATCTTGATTTGGCTGTTTGCAACTGTCACAATTCATTGAACTGAGCAGTAAAGATCTGCGTATTTTGTTGTATGTAAATTGTACATCAATTTATACATACAAATGAAAAAGAACAGTATTATGGAGGGAAATTTATATCTAGATATTTATTTTTATTGCTGTTATAAATATAATACTTTTTTCTATTACCTTTTCTCACTTGTCCAAGCAATTTTATAGTCAAAGTCTGTCAAACTTTTAATAAATAATTCCCTTCAAATTTCCTTGATGTCAAAACTTGATAAAGTCAGACACAAAACTGTAGACCAAGTTCATTTTTGAAAATAAATGTAAAAACACAAAATAGTAGAAAATTAAATTGGATAACACTACACCATGACAAACCAGGATTTATTCCAGGAATAGCAGGAGGAAAAGCATGTGATTATCTGAAAATATGCAAGAAAAGCTTTGGAAAAGGCTGTGACAGGCTCGCCGGACACGTTGAGGCTGAACGTCACACTGCGTGGGAACGTCAGCACCTCAGGGAAGAGCCTCTCTGTGCCCCTGACCTCCCCGTGCACTGCAGAGCAGGGCCATTGCGTCCTAGATGCTCACGAGGCACTGATGGGGTAGAGGAATGAAGTCAACAATCAGTCTCATTGGGGCCACCAGACACATGTGACCTCTGCAGCCTGTCCTCCCACAAACTCCTCTACACAGCCACATGGTCCCTTGGACCTTTCTTTTTAAAAACTCTCCTAGTGGCCGGGGGTGGTTGCTCACACCTGTAATCCCAGCGCTCTGGGAGGCTGAGGTGGTTGGATCTCCTGAGGTCAGGAGTTTGAGACCAGCCTGGCCAACATGGTGAAACACCGTCTATACTGAAAATACAAAAAAATTAGATGGGCGTGGTGGTGGGCACCTGTAATTCCAGCTACTCAGGAGGCTGAGGCAGGAGAATCGCTTGAACCCGGTGTGGGGGCGGAGTTTGCAGTGAGCTGAGATCATGCTACTGCACTCCAGCCTGGGCAATAAGAGTGAAACTCCATCTTAAAAAAATAATAACAATAAAAAAAAATAAAAACTCTCCTAGCAGCAGCCAACAATGCTTGAGCTCTTGCTCTGGGCCAGGTCCTGCTGCCAAGGTTTTGTGTGGTTCAGCTCATGAAATCCACAGAGGTGCCTGCCCAGGGTGCTGTCCCTCTCCTGACCACTGGCTGTTGGGAAGTGGGGGCAATGTTTCTAGGGTGATGGATGTTGTGGTCACACACTTGGCTGCTTCCTTTTCATTGGCTGGAGGCGTTTGGTGGCAACACCACTCTGCTAGGCAAGAACTCCTGGGAGCACCCTGCTTGGAGGAACACTGGGAAAGCCTCTAAGTACTTCATATGGAGACACGGGAGGGAAGGGAGAGGAGAGGGGAATGTGCATTGACTACCCCAGCCTGGGCGGCTGCGCTGGACTGTCCTAGGCGCATTTGCTGATATTGTCCTCACAGCAGCTCACTAAAGTGGCACTTCTGTTTCCTGTTTCCAGTTTCCTGTTTCCACCAGTCCCATGTACGGCTGGTGACTGGAGTGTTGTTGCAAGGTGTTTTTCTGGGACTATCTGGTCTGTGGTGGCTTTGTGCGAGGATTTGGGCTGCAGACGGTTGAAGACCTTAGTATGAGGGGAGCCAAGGAGTCACAGAGCAGTGGTGATGGTGATGATGTTGTGGTGGTGATGGTGATGATGGTGGTGGTGGTGATGGTGATGATGGTGGTGGTGGTGGTGGTGGTGGAAGTGGCGGTGATGGTGATGATGGTGATGATAGTGGTCATGGTGGTGGAAATGATGATGGTGCTGGTGCTGGTGGTGGGGATAGTGGTAGTGGTAGTGGTGGTAGTGGTGGTGGTGGTGGAAATGATGGTGATGGTGGTGGTGGTGGTGGTGTTGGTGGTGGTGGTGGTGGTGGTGGTGGTGGTGGTGGTGGTGGTGGTGGTGGTGGTGGTGGTGGTGGTGGTGGTGGTGGTGGTGGTGGTGGTGGTGGTGGTGGTGGTGGTGGTGGTGGTGGTGGTGGTGGTGGTGGTGGTGGTGGTGGTGGTGGTGGTGGTGGTGGTGGTGGTGGTGGTGGTGGTGGTGGTGGTGGTGGTGGTGGTGGTGGTGGTGGTGGTGGTGGTGGTGGTGGTGGTGGTGGTGGTGGTGGTGGTGGTGGTGGTGGTGGTGGTGGTGGTGGTGGTGGTGGTGGTGGTGGTGGTGGTGGTGGTGGTGGTGGTGGTGGTGGTGGTGGTGGTGGTGGTGGTGGTGGTGGTGGTGGTGGTGGTGGTGGTGGTGGTGGTGGTGGTGGTGGTGGTGGTGGTGGTGGTGGTGGTGGTGGTGGTGGTGGTGGTGGTGGTGGTGGTGGTGGTGGTGGTGGTGGTGGTGGTGGTGGTGGTGGTGGTGGTGGTGGTGGTGGTGGTGGTGGTGGTGGTGGTGGTGGTGGTGGTGGTGGTGGTGGTGGTGGTGGTGGTGGTGGTGGTGGTGGTGGTGGTGGTGGTGGTGGTGGTGGTGGTGGTGGTGGTGGTGGTGGTGGTGGTGGTGGTGGTGATGGTGATGATAGTGGCCATGGTGGTGGAAATGATGGTGGTGCTGGTGCTGGTGGTGGGGATAGTGGTAGTGGTAGTGGTGGTAGTGGTGGTGGTGGTGGAAATAATGATGATAGTGCTGGTGATGGTGGTATTGGTAGTGGTGGTGATGGTGATGATGGTGGTGGTGGTGGTGATGGCGGTAGTGGTGGTAGTTTGCTATAAGCAGGGACATATGTAGTTGGCTCTTCGTCCTTCACCTCTTCCCTTCCCACTTTTGCAGTTACATGATATCTGAAGAGGTAGCAGTCATTGAAATCTTGAGGTAGCAAGGACAATCATAAAAAATGATTTACTAAAGGAGGCCAAGTGCAGTGATGGCAGCCTGGGCCCTAGATGCCACAGATGAATGGTTGAGCCAATGCCAACAGAAGCCCACCTCTAAACTGGTAGGTTTTTGAAAAAAATAATCTCTGCTTGTTTCAGGCACTGTTGGTCAGTAGGTTTTCTGTTATTTGCAGTCAAACATGATACTGATAGAGGCATCCTCTTGGGGTGTGAGCAATGCCTGATATCATCGCACATAGCCATGGATGTTTGCTGAGCTCCTCCTGCTCCTCTCTTTTTACACAACAATCTGTTCTTCAATGTTTTGCATTTCTTTACTTACGTATTCCATAGTTTTAGACACTTCATAGTACTTATCAGATAATCTCATTATGTGAAGTATTTGAAGGCCTAATTCTCTATTTGTTGTTTCTTTTGACTCCTCTCCTTATGGTTCACTTCCTCAACAGCTTTCTAATTTTGACGAGGGAGCTCATCTGCACTGGGGCTTTATCTGTAGGACTTCCTTGTGGCCTGGATTGAGAGGATGACTGTTACTTCTGCCGGTGTCCAGGGGGTGTTACCAACCCAGGGATATTTCTCATGTTAATTTATTTGTTTTGCGGTACCTAGGCCATGAGGTACAATACGTTTGAACCCCAAACCCTGAACTCTAAACGATGTGGACATTGTTTGCAGAGTTTACAAATTCTCAGGAATCATTTTTCCTTTTTTTCAGCACTCAAGCTAAAACGGACAAGCTTCCTTCTTCTCTCTCTTTGTTAGGGTGCAATCTGCTCTTTTACCAAATATGGAGCTTCTTGTGGATGTCACCTTCTGCAGGGATCTCAGACACAGCTCTCCATCCTGATCTGGCTTATGAGACTTCTTCTCCTATATTTGTACGGCTATAAACCCAAGCCCCAGGGTACATAAATGGACTCCCATCTTCTTTCCACCTCCGGATATCTGAAATGCTTACACCTATTTAGTCTACTGGTTTCCATGTTTCTTTCTGTTTTTGGCCCCTGATACCCTCATTTCTTTTTGAACTCAGTTTTGCACTTAAGAAGGCATTTATTATATCTTGTCTAGCACCTATCAGAATCACAAGTCAGGCAGATTCGGCACAAAGAGGTAGCTTTAAGGATGTTCTTTGCATCACTAGTCACTAATGATAACAGCCCTGCACCCCTCCCCCGAGGGCAAGAACCTGAATATCCCCTGGGAGACAGTGAAGGGTTAGCGCCTGAGGGCTGGGCCAGGCCTGATTTTGTCATCAGTTTATCACTAGCACTAGCTCAGTGCATGGCATGTAGTAAATTCTCAGTAATTTTGTGGTTTGATTTTGAACCAGGAATTAGTAATTTAATTGCTACACATTCATATGTGCCTTACTAAGCTGCATTAAAATTATTTTGTAGGAAAACATTTAATAAAGTAGGAAAATGTTCTTGACATATTTTTAGTTAAAAGAAAAAATAATAAGAAAGGCAAACGCAGGTTGCCTGACAGCTATGTGCAGTACAAGTTCTACTTGGAAAAATAAAATGGTGCAAGAAAAATGGATGAGAAGAATACATACAAAAATATTAAAAGAGGTTAACTCTGACGTGGGATTACAGAACATTTTTGTTATTTTCTTTATATTTTTATATGTTTTCTGATTTTTCATGGACAACATGCATGACTTTTATAATAGAATTTGTTTTAAAGAAGGCAGATAGGGCAATTGCCATCAAAGAGAGAGTGTTGCAACCAAGTCACCTCCAGAGCTGACTGCTCCTCAGAAGACCTGGCCTCACCTTTGCCCTCCGCTTTTATTGGGGCATTGGGGCTTATGCAGGAAACATTTTAAAAAAGAACAACAGCAAGAACAACATTCATAATAATAGTTACATAGAAGAAGAACAGCATTAATGATAACAGTTAACACATACAAGGTATACTATGTGTCAGGCACATATGTAATCATTTATATGTATTTATTCAGTTAATCCTCATGATATATTACCCTATTTTATAGATGAGAAGAGTGATGCAAATACATATTATAGTATATGTATAGAAAGTATACTGTTCTCAAATATGTTATTGTATCAGTTAGGATAGGCTAGAATTTGCTGCTGTAACAAGCATCCTCAAATCTCTGCAACTAGAAGCAACATATTTCTCCCTTATACCACATGCTCATTGTAGATCAGCTGGGGGCTGATCCTCCTGACTAAGGGAAAACCCAGGCTCTATCTCTTTGTCTCTGACTTTGTGAACACAAGACAAAAGAGACTACAAGACTATTGTGAACTGGCTCTTACGATTTTCTCCAGGAAGTGGCATAAGTCACTTCTGCTAACTGGCAAAAGTGAGTCACATGACCAAGCCTACTCCAAGAGGCCCAAGGCATGGCCTCCTACCACATGTCGGCAAAGGAGACCCAGACTATTTGGAAAACAGCACAAATGACTACCATAGATATCTAAATTGACCCTCATAAAATCTTATCCTATTTTAGATTAGAATGGTTGGTTAGTGGACTCTCCAGAGATCTAGCCAGAAAAGAGGGTGGAGTGTGGCACCAGTGCCTGGGTTCCAAGGCCTTAGAATAGCTGTAGAATTCTACACTGTTCTAATGTAGGAGTCATCATGAGACGGGCCCCTAACATCTTGTTCCTTCATTCCTTTCACTGTATTTTATTCATTCCAAGAAAAAGGTTCTTATTGGTCTTATCACAGGGGCAACACTTCCCCAAGTGAAGGAGCAGTGATGTTTCACAGCCCAGAGGGGATGAAAGGGCTTAGCGATGTGATAAGCCAAACCATGGTTCAGCTCCATTCTCTAGCTGTGTGACCTGGGCAAACACCCAACACTCAGAGCTTCACTTTCCTTATCTGTAAAATGGGCCAAGGTACCCACCTCCACTTCTAAGGGTTCTTATGAGGATAAAATTAGAGCAGATTACTGACGGGAGTGGTCACTCACCAGTATGTTTCTTTTCTTTGTGCACTAACCCAAGTTATTTGACAATGTAACCCTCAGTTTTGTCATTTATGTAATGGAGATATTTTTATTTTTGTTTTTCGTTTTTTTTTTTTTTTTTTTAAGACCCAGTCTCCTTTATTGCCCAGGCTGGAGTGCACTGGTGCAATCTTGGCTCACTGCAACCTCCACCTCCTGGGTTCAAGTGATTCTCCTGTCTCAGCCTCCCCAGTAGCTCGGATTACAGGCGTGCGCCACGCTGCCTGGCTAAGTTTTGTATTTTTAGTAAAGACGGGGTTTCGCCATGTTGGCCAGGATGGTCTCGAACTCCTGACCTCAAGTGATCCAGCCACCTCAGGCTCCCAAAGTCCTGGGATTACAGGTGTGAGCCACCGTGCCCAGCCTTATAATGGAGTTCTTAATGGTGGCTACGCTTCTCTCAGGCAGTTGTATGAACTGATGTAGGTGTGAACGTTTTTAAAAGCTAAAAGCACTTTAGAAAATGCAAATTAAAGGCCTGGCATGGTAGCTCAGGCCAGTAATCCCAGCACTTTGGGAGGCTGAGGCGAGCGGATCATGAGGTCAAGAGATGGAGACCATCCTGGCAAACATGGTGAAACCCCATCTCTGCTAAAAATATAAAAATTGGGTGGGATGGCATGCGCCTATAGTCCCAGCTACTTGGGAGGCTGAGACAGGAGAATCACTTGAACCCTGGAAGGGGAGGTTGCAGTGAGCCCAGATTGCACCACTGCACTCCATGCACTCCAGCCTGGTAACAGAGTGAGATTCCATCTCAAAAAAAAAAAAAAAAAAAAAAAAAGAAGAAGAACATGCGAATTAAAAAGTGTTCATGATAAATGTAAGTACGCTGAACTTTTAGAAGGTGTATCTTAATCAATGGACTACTGTTTTTAAAACAGGAGTCACATTTGGCTGGTATTTTCACCTCAAGTACAAAATCCAGGCTGGGGGCCATCCCTCACGCAGTGAAGGTGAGGGGCTCTTCTACCTGACCGGGAGGCGCTCGTTGTTCACGCTGCGGTGGGCAGCGCTGGCTTTCAGGATCACTATCCAGCAGCAGCTCCGACTTCCAGATTCCGCGGCTGAGCGGCGAGTCCCCGCGAAGGGTGCACAGGAAGGTGCCACCGGCCCAGGACGCTCTGTCACCGGAGTGCAGGAGGGAAGGGAAAGGCGGAGGGCCAGTGGGGAGGGGTGGGTGGTGTGGCCGGTGGCTCTGCCTTACTCTTCTCTTCCTGGAAGGGAACCTGTGGGGCGGAGAGAGTCCCCAACCCCGGCCCTGAGGCCGCTCTGGGGGTCCTGCAGGCAGCGAGGTGGCCTCTCTTTACCCAGGGACGCGCGCGGGGATCATCGTCTCCCGGGGGCGAGCATATAAGACGGACCCTGCCCCAGACCCCTTGCCTTCCTCCACAGGGGGATGGGAGCTAGGGCTGGGGGCGCTGAGAGGAGGGGGTCTGCACGCTGGCTTGGTGGTCCCCTCTGGCGGGGACAGTGAAGGCTTGGGGGCCTTCGAGACAGGTGCCCACGTTGCCCAAACCACGTGTTGGTGCCACGTGGCAGTGAAGGTTTTAAAATGGGGGTTGGGGTTGTGAGGCTGGGCCGGCGGGGTGAGATGGGGCTTGGGCATCTGCACTTGCCCGGGCGTGCGGGGGCTCCTAAGGAGGAGGCTGAACCGGTTGTTGGGGTGGCCTAGGGGGAGGAAGGCGCCCAGGCCCAGGAACAGCCTGGGAGGCCCCAGGGGCAGGGGCAGGTGGGCTGGAAGGAAGTCGTCCGTTGTGGTGGAGACAGGAAAGGGCTGGAAAGGTGAGGACCCGTTCCCGCCCCGTCCCTTCTTCTCCGCGGCCTGCAGACCCTGGGCCAGGTGGGAATCAGCCTGCTCGCGGCGCTCGGAAGGCGGGCTCCTCCGTGAGAAGCCGGCCCCTGAGGTGCCAGGAGGACCGCGCCGCCTGCTTGGCATCCATCCATTTGTTCTAATGAGAGAAGGAATGAACGGGTTGACTCTGCAGGGCTGCGCCAAGGCCTGCGTCTGCGGGGCAGCGGTGCGGTGTGGGGTCTGTGCGCTGAGCCCCGCCAGGGTTTCTTCTAGATGAAGCCCGCAGGCCTTCTCTCCTGCGCACGTGTCCCACGGCAACCGGGAGTGCGAGGTCCTCACGGCTCAGCCCTGTCCCTCCGTTCCTGGAGAGCGCATCGCCCCATGGGCAGAGCGGGCAGACAGAGGGTAGAAGTAGGCTTGCCCCTGGGGTGGGTCAGGGAGGTCTCTCTGAAGAGCTGAGCTGTCTGTCAAGCAAGCCTAGAATGATGAGGACCAGCAGCAGAGAGCAGCCTTGGAAACACCCCCGCCTCACCCCGGGCCGGGGAGCGGCTGGAGCAAAGATCCTGGGGCGCAGATAAGTGTGGGCTGCCCATGTGGAGCCCCCTGAGCAGAGGGAAGCAGCGGCGGGCGGGGGGCGGGTGCCAGGGCTCGGATCCGGGAAGAGGGCCTTCTGGGCGATGGCGAGTGGTTTGGCTTTATCCCAAGCCTGAGAGGAAGCCGCCGCGCGGGGCTAGGCAGAGGGAGAACTCCTGTACTGTACTCTCTTGTTTTTCCCCTCTGGAAACTAGGTGGGGTGGGGAGGACAGCCATGTGGTTCGTCCTCCAGGCAGGAGCGGGCCTGGTGGGTGAGGGCAGACGTGGTGAGTGAGGAGGGCAAGCCTCGTGGTTGCTGCGGCTCAGTGAGGCCTCCTGGAGGGTGAGGCTCCTGTGAACTGGGCACACACAGGCGGCCACCACGGTGCCTCAGCTGGGCTGTCACCTCTCACCCTGGGCCTCTCCACCTGCCCCAAGCCAGGCGCTGTGTGGGACGGTGGGCCACAAGCCCTGCCTATGGTCAGCCCATGGGGGAAAATCATGCACTTTTAGGACCATCAGCTAGGCCAGAGAGGAAGCCAGAAAAGAAGGCACAGACTCCAGCCACTGCGGCCCACTCCCTGGCGTCGCCGTCACCGAGCTGCTGCCTCTCTGCTTCGTATTTTCAGTGACTCCTCGCCATAACCTTGTGTTACACATAAAGCGACTAAAGTTAAAGGACTAACAGAATTTTCTAGAGACCCAGCTAACAAATGACAAAGCAGGGTTGGCCAAGCAGGGGTTGGAATCCACAGAAGAATCACATGCCTGTTCCCAACACCCCTTGAGGCGTGGAGCCCCAGAGGCAGGCCTGCTGCACAGCCAGGCATCTCCCACAAGCACCAGGGGGTCTGTTCCACATATGCACATGTACCCAAATGTGCACACACATGTGCACACACACGCCCGCTCACCCCGACCCTCCTGTACGCACCCATTCACGTGCACACCCACAGTTCCCCTACGTCTGTCTGATCCTGCGTCACAAGGCTGTGTTTTCTGAGCACACCTCTGCACTCCCAGCTACCACCTCAGCCACAGATGTTTGCCAGGAAGCTGGACGTGCTCTTCCCTGCAGTCTTCTTTCTCTGCTCCTCGTTGCTTGGCTTGGCTGCCACAGGGAGAGAGGATTTGCAGTGCAGAGGTAAAGAGGTTTTTCCTAATTTGCTCCATGTCCAAACCATTGTCTGCAGATGCAGCCTCACGGCCACCACATTTTTCACAGACGGTGGCTTGCCAAGAAAAAGAGCCTCCTCTGCCAGCCACCAAGGGGGAGGAGAAATTCCAGGGAAGCTGCACGGCCCAGTGGGCCTGGCTTCCGCAGGCCTCCTGTGAGGGCTCCTGCCAGGGCAGCTTTAGGAAGGCAGGGACTGGGAGGCAGGGCTGGCCTCCTGCCCAGGATGGGCACAGCCCCCTCTTCATGCTCCTGGGTTCTCCCGGTCCTGGCCCAGCTGGGTAGATGTGCTCCCTCAGGCCGTCTACGCCTTGTTCTTTCTTTTCTTTTTTTCTTAAAACAATTGTTTTGGTTTTGTGAGCAGGCAGGCTGTTCACATGGCTCCAAAGCTGAAAGCTGCCAGAAGCTCCCAGGGAAGGGTTTCTCCTGCCCTGAACCTCCAGCAGGCCTTCCTCCCTGCTAGGGCCAATATCACACAGCTTTTGCAGGTCCTTTTAGAGCTATTTTCTGCACATTCAAGCAAATATGTGCATACATTTCTCTTTCCCTCCAATTTTGTAGAAAAGATGACACATGTCACATGCTTGTTTCATGTTGCCTTTTTCACTCGATGGTGTGACAGTGGGGCCCACTCTAGACCAGGATATAAGGAGTTTCCTTAGGAATTTGAGACGCATAGTTCACAGTGTGGAGAAGTCATAATTTATCTAACCTGTAATGCATCCAGTTGTTCAAAACTCCTTTGGGCAGCACCCACTGCGTGCCCAGCTCTGTGCCCAGGTCCTGAGGGCTGCTGTTGGTTGTAACGTTTCATGGAAAGAACAGGGCTTGCTGCTGTACAGCAGCTCAGATGACGCTGGGCCAAAGACCCCACGTTTGTGTGGGTGAGGTCCAGCTGGACACAGGCAAAATGGGAACTGACAGCAGCTTAGATCACTCTTGCAGGAGTGACTGTTGCAGTTATGCTGAGGGGGAGTTATAGGATGTTTATAGTTTTAACACATCACATTGTTTCCCTTTTATTTTTAAAGTTTTTGTGGGTACAGAGTAAGTATTTATGGGTTACATGAGATATTTTGATGCAGGCATGCATTGCATAATAATTATATCAGGGTAAATGGGGTATCCATCACCTCAAGTATTTATTATTTCTTTGTGTTGCAAACAATCCAATTACACTCTTTTAGTTATTTTGAAATGTACGACAAATTATTGTTGACTGTAGTCACTCTATTATGCCATCAAATACTAGATATTATTCATTCTTTCTAACCATATTTTTGTACCCTTTAACCATTCTCACTCCTCCTCCACGACCCTTCCCAGCCTCTGGTAACCATCCTTCTACTCTCTAGCTCCATGAGTTCATTGTTTTAATTTTTAACTCCCACAAATGAGTGAGAACATGTGAAGTTTGTCTTTCTGTGCCTGGCTTATTTCACTCAACACACCAATCTCCAGTTCCATCCATGCTGCTGTGTAAAGCTCTTCCTCTTGACCCCTCTGCCCCTATGGGATTGGGACTATCTCTGCTCTCCTCCTCCATGCCGGTGTCTATGTGGTATGCTGAGTTCAGGTGAACATCACGTGGCCTGCGCAATCCACATGGTGATAGGCTTCCCAACCCACCATGTTCTGATGATCAATCCCTCTACCCATCCCTCTTCAACAAAGTTGCCAGGGGCTGGGCGTGGTGGCTCACACCTGTAATTCCAGCACTTTGGGAGGCCGAAGTGGGTGGATCACCTGAGGTCAGGAGTTCGAGACCAGCCTGGCCAACATGGTGAAACCCTGTCTCTAATTAAAATACAAAAATTAGCTGAGTTTGGTGGTGGGCACTTGTAATCCCAGCTACTCGAAAGGCTGAGGCAGGAGAATCACTTGAACCTGGGAGGTGGAGGCTGCAGTGAGCTGAGACGACACCATTGCACTCCAGCCTAAGCAACAAGAGCAAAACTCCATCTCAAAAACAAAAACAAAACAAAATAAAACAAAATCAAAGTCACCAGGACTTCTGGGGACCACTTCACTACCTCCTGTCTCCCCTAGCAGCCCTCCTGTAGCTCAATTCTAGGGCTCTCCCTGTTTTCCAAAGCAGAGGAAAGGGAGGACACCAAGATTTCATAAACAGCCACTTTGTATGCCACAGTAGAGGGAAAATGTGGGCTGGGCCATCAGTCAAGGCCAGTGGTAAATTGGTGTTCAGAAATCACGTCATAAAGTCCAACACAATTGTTGAAAATGGAAAGCAAATTTGAAAACTAATTTCTTGGTGGCCAAAGCAGATCAGCTGAAAACACTCAGACCTGTGAATATGTGCACTTTTGATTTATGACAAAGCTGGCCAAGCAGTAGGAAAGGAAAGGCTTTTTAATAAATGGTGCTGGGATTATTGAGTATCTAAATAGAAGAAAGCAAAACAAAATTCTTGACCCCTACCTCACACCATCCACAAAAAAAGCAACTCCAGGTAGATTTAGATTTAAATGAGAAAGGCAAAACAATGTAGCTTTAGAAGATAATATAGGAGTATCAGTGAGGGCTCAACCAGAGAAGCAGGGCCAGTCAGTGATCCTCTGTGTGTGTGTTTACATGGAATTGGCTCATACAATTGTGGGCGCAGGCTAAGGACATCTGAAGTTTGATGGGCAGGCTGTCAGGGGCTGTTTGGAGTGTGGCTCAGGGAATGCCTAAACCCTTTTAACAAAGCCTTTCAATTAACTGAGTCAGGCCCATCCAGGATAATCTCTCCCCACTTTTTTTTAGATTAATCAAGTGCAGTAGTGAGAAGTGGAGGATGAGTGGAACAAGGAGTTCGATCTGTAACTGACTGTGAGCAATAATCTCCCTTTTGATTATCTTAATGTCAACTGACTTGGGACTTTAATCACATTGCAAAATCTCTTTGCAGCAGCATGAAGGCCAGGGCTCAAGTGAGTAACTGGAGAAAGTGTGTGCATGCTTGAAAGGCCACTGCTTCCCTGTTGTCCTCCTGCTCTCAGTAGAGAATACCCCTGGTTGCCCATCCCATCCCTGTACCCTCCCTAACTGAATGCACACTAGAAAGGGCATTCCAGGGAAATATAGCTCAGCCTAGGCAAGGTCACACATCAGAAAGCCACCCAAATAGGAAAATAGCTTTATGACTTTGCTTCTTAAGCAAGATATAAAAAGCACAGTCCATAAAGAAAAAGACTGATAATTTAGGCTATGCTAAAATTAAGAAAGTTTGTTTATCAAAGAGACCATTAAGAATGTACAAAAAGCAATCTAGGAGTGGGAGAAAGTATTTGCAGCACATATAACTGACAAGAGACTCATATCTAGAATATAGAAAGAACTCTTACAAATCAATGAGAAAAACTAAAAAAAAAAAAAAAACAAACCAGAAAATTATGAAAGAGACTTGAACAGGTACTGTGTGAAAGAGTTAATGGCCAGTAAACACATGAAAAAGTGTTCAACCTCATTTAGTCAGAGAAATACAAATTAAAACCATAGTGAGTTTCCTGTGGTAGTGTTAAAATATGTCCACAAATTCTTTAGTACTCTTCATTTCAAGAGGTGGAACTTAATTCCCCTCCCCTTGAGTGTGGCTGGACTTGAGTGATTCACCTTAATAAATAGGATATGGCAAAAGTAATGGTGTATCACTTGCAACACTAAGTCGTGAGACAATGTGGCCTCTCTCTCTCTTTCTCTCTCTTCCCCACACCCCTCTCTCTCACAGCACTTGCTGATGCCATGAGGCATGACTCTCATGAGGACAGTCAAGCAGACCTGCTAAGAGGTGCATACAGCGAGAAACTGAGGCCTCTTGCCATCAGATCATGTGAGTGAGCCCTCTTGGAAGCAAATCCTATAGCCCCAGTTGAGCCTTCAGATGACAGCAGCCCTGGATAACATCTTGATGGAACCTTGTGAGAGACCAGAACCACCCAGACAAGCCACTCCTGGCTTTCTGACCCACACAAACCTTGAAATAATAAGTGTATATTGTTTTAGGCTACTACATTTTGAGGATAATTTGTTATGCAACACTAGATAACTAACACACTACCTTTACTCACCAGAATGGCTAATATTAAGAAGATTGATAGTAACAAGTGTTGATGAGAATGTGGAGCTACTGGAACTCTCACGGACTGCTGCTGGAAATGTAAATTGAAACAACCATTTTGGAAAACAATTTGGTATTATTTCTATTACTTTCTAAATAATTGAAGGTATGCATTTCCAATGACCCATCCCTGATGACCCAGCAATTACACTTATGGGAATATACCCAACGGAAAGGTGTATGTGTAAATGTGCGTATCAGGATACATATATAGAACATTCCTAACAGCATTATTTATAATAGCCCCAAGCAAAAAATGGACCAAAATTTCATTCACAGTTCATTCATACAATGGAATACTGTAAGCTATGAAAATTAAGGAATTATGACTATACACAATACCAGGAATAGGTCTCAGAAGCCTAATTTGAGTGAAAGCAGTCTGACACAGAAAAGTCCATGTTATATAATTCTATTTAAATGAAGTTACCCTTGGTGAGGTGGAGGGGCCTCAGGGAGTTGGCCTCCCACCTCACCAAATAAGACTCCATGTCTTATTCTTTACCTGGCTAGTGGTTACATGGCTGTTCACTACATGGTCTGCACATTTTTGTTTTGTACCTTTTTGTGCAAATGTACACTTTTAAAATGAATTACAAAACCACACAACCCAACAGCATAACACCAAAAACCACAGTCCCATGAGTCTGTCTTAACAGCCCTCAGAGTGGGCTCAGCAGATCATCCTGGTGTGAGTTCAGTGAGTGCTGTTTTATCAGGGCCAAACCATGCAGTTGGCCTGTGGTTCTCTAGGGGGCTTGACCTTCAGGAGTCCATGGAATGTGTATTTCTTGGGTAATTCTCCATGAAAAATATTGCTTTAATTAAAACTGGAGAACAGAGAGTTTGAGGTAACGTTCTCTGGTGATAGCCTGACGTCCTGTTCCTCAGCTCGGCTGATTCAAGGTCAATTGCTATTGTTTGAGTGTTTGTCCCCTCTAAAACTCATGTTGAGGCTGGGTGTGGTGGCTCATGCCTGTAATCCCAGCACCTTGGGAGGCTGAGGCAGGCAGATCACTTGAGGCCAGGAGTTTGAGACCAGCCTGGCCAACATGGTGAAACCCTGTCTCTACAAAAATACAAAAATTTGCTTGGCATGATGGCAGGTGCCTGTAATCCCAGCTACTTGGGAGGCTGAGGCAGGAGAATCGCTTGAACCTGGGAGGTGGAATCTACAGTGAGCCGAGATTGTGTCACTGTACTCCAACCTGGACGACAGAGTGAGACTCTGTCTCAAAACAAACAAACAAACAAAAAACAAAAAAAAACTCATGTTGAAACTTTGATCCCCAATGTGGCAGTATTGAGAGGTGGAGTCTTTAAGAGGTGATTGGGTCAGGAGGGTTCTGCCCTCAGGAATGGATTAACCCATTCGTGGATTAATGGGCTAATGGATTAATAGTTATCATGAGAGTGGGACTGGTGGCTTTACAAGAAGAGGAAGGGAGGCCTGAGTTAGCACCTCCGTCCCCTCACCATGCAATGCCCTGTGTTGCCTCAGAATGCTGTAGAGTCCCCACCAGCAAGAAGGCTCTCACCATGTGCTCCCTTGGCCTTGGAGTTTCCAGCCTCCATAACTGTAGGAAATATATTTCTTTTCTTTATAAGTTACCTAGTTTCAGATATTCTGTTATAGACAACAGAAAACAAATTAAGACACCAATCTGCCCACTTGAGAGAAGGAATGGTGTGATGGTAGAGCTGACACCCTTGAAAGAAGGCCAGGGAGTCTCAGCCTGATTCTTACCTGAACATGTAACAACATCCTGCCCTGGACTGGGGCTGCCTGCGATGTGTCTGCCAATGGGGCCATGAGTGCCTGGATTGTGTGCTCCCCCACTGTGGATGAGGGGATCCGAAAGCTGGCCACCACGCGATGTGGGTGGTGGGGATTTAGGCTGGATATTTCCAAAGCTGGAGTTACCAATTGCCCCAAGGCCCAAGAAACATCTCAACATACAGTTCTCATCATGTCTTTAATTTCAAACGGTGTAATTGGGTCTCTTCAGGATACTGCTGTGGAGTGACCGAGGTGACTGTATGGGGTCATGGCTCCAGTCACTTCCCACATCCTTCTGCTCATGGAAGCAGCCTCAGCTGTTCTGGCCCAGCGGACACCACTGATTTTACCACAAGGTCACCTGATCCCAGGCAGCCTGGCTCCCGGCTGCCCAGTGACCCATGGAGCAGGTGATGGTGGTTCCTGAACTGCTCTGATGTGATCCCTCTGTCATTCCTGATCCTTCAGGGCCAGAGAGGCAGCAGCCCCCACCCACAGCAAGACCCCGAAAATTTGGGCAAGAGCTTGGGGCTGTGTTCTCTCTCAGAAGCTGGGGGTACTCTGGTTCTGCACACAGCTGTCCCCAGTCTGTCCCATATTTCCTGGGTATATACCACAGAGTGGAATTGCTTGGCCAAATTGTCACTTTATGGTTAGTTTTTTGAGGGACTGCTAGACTGTTTTCCAAAGTGGCTGCACCATTTTACGTTCCCACCAGCAGTGTATGAAGGTTCCAGTTTCTCCACATCTGCACCAACACTCGTGAATTTTTATCTGTTTGATTAGTCATAGCTGGGCCTCATCTCCACCCATGCTCTAAGAGAAAGCCTGCCTGGGAGGAGAAGAAGTCAGCCAGCAGGGGAGGGTGTCCCACCAAGTATCAGGAGCTTTGGTTTGCAAGAAACAGCACATCTACCTCAAATTGGTTTGAACAGTAAGGATCATTTTTATAAGTAGAGATATTCACATACCATAAAAATCACCACTTAAAAGTGTACAATTCCGTGGTGTTTTTTTTTTTAGCTTATTCATAGAGTTGTGCAACAATCATCATTAATTCCAGAACATTTCATCCCCCCCAGATAGGAACCCTACTCCCATTCCTTTCTGCCCCCAGCTTCTGGCAACCATGAACCTATGATATGGTTTGGATGTTTGTCCCCTCCAAATCTCATGTTGAAATGTAATCCCCAGTGTTGGGGGGAGGCCCGGTGGGAGGTGTTTGGCTCATGGGGGCAGATCCCTCATGAATGGCTTAGTGCCATCCCCATGGTGATGAGTGAGTTGGTGAGATCTTGCTGTTTAAAATTGTGTGGCACCCACCCTCTGTCTCGCTCCTGTTCTCACCATGTGATGGACCTGCTCCCCCTTCACCTTCCACCATGATTGTAAGCTTCTTGAGGCCCTCGCTAGAAGCACATGCTGGAGCTATGCTGGTACAGCCTGCAGAACCGTGAGTCAATTAAACCTCTTTTCTTTATAAATTATCCAGCCTCAGGTATTTCTTGATCTGCAGTCCAATGCTCTACCACTGAGCTATACACTCTCCTTTTTTTTTTTTTGAGATGGAATTTCACTCTGTTGCCCAGGCTGGAGTGCAGTGGTGTGGTCTTGGCTCTCCTGGGTTCAAGCAATTGTCCTGCCTCAGCTTCCCAAGTAGCTAGGATTACATGTGTGTGCCACCATGCCTGGGTAATTTCTGTATTTTAAGTAGAGACGGGAGCTCACCATGTTGGCCAGGGTAGTCTTGAACTCCCGACCTCAAGTGATCCACTCACCTCGGCCTCCCAAAGTGCTGGGATTACAGGCGTGAGCCACCGCGCCCAGTGCAGCCTCAGATATTTCTTTATAGCTATGCAAGAATGGCCTAACACAAGGTACTTGCTGTTTCTTTTGATGTGCCTATACTTCATGCTTTATGTAAAATTGACAACTCTGTGCTTGGCTTCTTTCACTCAGCACTACAGGGTCTCAAGATTTATTTGTGTTGTCGCATGTATCAGTATTTCATTTCTTTATATTGCTGAATAGGATTCTATTGCATAAATATACCTCATTTCCTTTATCCATTCATCAGCTGATGACCATTTGGGTTGTTTCCACTTCTTGGCTATTATGAATAATGCTGCTATTGTGCAGGCAAACTTTCATTTTTCTTGGGTATATACCACAGAATGGAATTGCTTGGCTAAATTTGTTAACTCTATGGTTAGTTTTTTTGAGAAACTTCTAGACTGTTTTCCAAAGTGGCTGCATCATTTTACATTCCCACCAGCAGTGCGTGAAGGTTCCAGTTTCTCCACATCCTCACCAACACTTGTGAATTTTTATCTGTTTGATTAGAGCCATCTTAGCGTGTGTGTGAAGTGATGTTCCACTGGGGTGTTGATTTGCACTTTCCTAATAAATGGTGACATTGAGTACCATCCACTGTGTTCATAGGTCATTTGCATACCTTCTTTGGAGAAATGTTTATTCAAATACTTTGCCTGTTTTAAAATTAGATTACTTGCCTTTTTATATTCTGGTTATAGGCCCTTATCAATTATATGAGTTAAGAATATTTTTTCCCATTCTGTGGGTTGTTTTTTTCACTTTCTTGATAGTGTCCCTTGATAAACAAAGTTTTAAATTTTGATGAAGTCCAATTTATCTATTTTTTTCTTTGGTTACTTGTATTGTAGACATCATATCTAGGAAACCATGGCCAAACTCAAGGTCATGAAGATTTTCACCTGTGTTTTCTTCTAAGAGTTTTATAGTTTCAGCTCTTACTTTTAGACTTTGATTCATTTTGAATTAATTTTTGTATGTGGCATGAGGTAGGGGTTCAAATCAATTCTTTTGCATGTCACTATCTCGTTGTCCTACTGCCTTTGTTTAACTGTCTTGGCACCTGGTTGAAACTCAGATGACCACAAATGTATGAGTTTATTTCTGACTCTCAATTCTATTCCATTAATCTATTTGTCTGTCCTTGTGCCTGTACAACACAGTTTTGATTACTGTAGCTTTGTAGTAAGTTTTGAGATTGGGAAATGCAAATCCTCCAAATATTTCCTTCCTTTTCAAGATTGTTTTGACTACTCTGAGTTCCTTGGATTCTCATATGAATTTTAGAATCAGCTTGCCCATTTCTGTGAAAAAGACCTTTAGAATTTTGATAGGAATTGCATTGAGTCTGTTGATCAATTTGGGAAGTGCTGACATTTCAGCAATAGTAAGTCTTCTGATCCATGAACACCAGCTGTCTTTTCATTTACTTTAGTCTTCTTTATTCTTTTTCAATAATGTTTTGTAGTTTTTAATGTACAAGTTTTATACTTTTGTTAAACTTATTATATTTATTATATAGATGTTATATATATATTTTAAAGGACTTTTGCTATTGTAGTTTTTCTTATGGGCACATTACTACATTCATATTGCTGTGCAAAATCAAATTTCTGTTGCTAAGGACGATAGAGGAAAGCATGGATATTTTTGTAGGCAACCAGCGGTTCCGACCACATTGTCTGCTGTAAATGAAATTCAAGAACCCTGGCTTCATTGCTCCATGATTCTGCCTGTGCTTGACTCTGCAGCCAGTCTCATCTCAGGCCGACTTCCGTCATGGCAGCAACACAGCTACCACTGTTCCAGGCCTCACTCCTGCACGATGACATGAGCTAGAGCTAGAGGAAGCACCTGTGTCTTAGAATTCCTGGCATGGTGTCCTGAGATTCAGTCTGATGGGACCAACTTAGGTCTTATGCTCACGTCTGAACCAGCCGCCGAGGCCCAGTGAATGGAATTTGCTGTCACATGTCTCACCTCCTGGAACTGGGACAAACCAAGGTGTGGGCCCCTGTGTCCACTTACTTCTGCCACTCTCCAGCACTGAGACAGAGAGCCCGGGCTGCCTGGGCATGGAAGCCTTGTTGGAAGCCTTCTTATTCTCTTTCCTGGCTTCCAACCTAGTGAGCTGAGAGCTATTGCCTCAGTGGACCCCTCACCCCAACTCCATTCTGGCAGGAGTCTGGTCGTCCTTCCCACTGTCCCCAAAGTTCAAGTTGTGTGATGACCATGACTTACTTTACCCAATGAGTACAACATGCATGTCAAATGAGGATTTGGGAACTCCGCTTGTCTTTTCCATCTTCCAGCTTTTTCAGAGGTATATTCGTGTCCTGCCTCAGACTCCTGGGCTCTCACACTTGACCTTAGGTTTTGGTGGCTGAGAGGGTGGTGGTCAGGTAGCCTGTGAATCCTGGCCCCACCATCAACCAGCTGGGCACCCTTGGGCATGTCACTTACCCTTTCTAAGCCTCTGTTTTCTCAATTACGATGTATTTTGGGTGAAGGTTCTGCCTACCTTGCCGGGCTGGGAGAATGAAATGGGATGATTTTGTAAAGGGCACTCAATACGTTTCAAGTCTCAGTAGACAGAGGTGAAGGCAATGCTCTGCCAATCCTTTGCTGTCCGTCTGTTCACACTGAGCCCTGGAAGCTGTACATGCCCCTAGTTTAATGATCCCTTTCTCCTTTCCCCATTGCTGTCTATGCTTCTGCAAATGAAAATGTAACTTTTTGACCGGGAGCGGTGGCTCATGCCTGTAATCCCAGCACTTTGGGAAGCCAAGGCGGGTGGATCACCTGAGGTCTGGAGTTTGAGACCAGACTGGCCAACATGGCGAAACCCCATCTCTACTAAAAATACAAAATTAGCCGGGCGTGGTGGCGCATGCCTGTAATCCCAGCTACTCGGGAGGCTGAGGCAGGAGAATTGCTTGAACCCGGGAGGCGGAGGTTGTGGTGAGCGGAGATCGCGCCATTGCACTCCAGCCTGGACAACAAGAGAGAAACTGTGTCTCAAAAAAAAATAATAACTTTTAATAACTAGTCACTGAAGCCAAACCATCATCATCCTCTTGGGCAAAAGGTTTATTGGCATTTAGCTTCCTTCTGACAGCTCCTGCCTATGCGGGGGAAGGTAATGCCAGCAGCCTCACACTTACCTCCTCCCAGCCTGCTTCCTCCAAGGAGAGACTGCTCAGAAGCCCTGGGGAATGGGGAGGAATATGGAGCAGGCTAGGTCAAGTCTACCAAGAGTAACCAGAAGTAAGGGCGGGATAGGCTTTCAGAGTGGACCCCAAACCCCACCGCCACCAACCAGAGCACGGGAGACCAATGAGGACCAGGCTGTGGGGCCCTCTGGGACGGACCACTCCAGCAGCATTGAGTCTCTGGCTGGGTGAATTGACACTTGGCAGGGCGTGCCAGCCGTGGTTTTCTCGCGCCTTTCTCGCCTCATTGTGCTCTGGGCAGTCTCAGAGGTCCTGCCTCTCAGCCCTGAGGCTGTTTCACACCTCTGCCATTGCCTCTTCCTGCACCCAGGGCTTGCCTTTCCTTCTCCTGGGCATGAGGGCATCCTGGCTGCCCTCTCATAGCCTGGCTTCTGCTAGCCTTCTTCGTGGGGCTCCCAGCCCCTGGACCACAGCTGACTGGAGTAGATGCTTGGAAAAAGCTTGGTGGCCGCAGCTGGGTCGGGCAGCCGCTGCACCTCGGGCCTCAGCTAGACTGCTGCTAAAGGGCAGGGATATGGCTTGATGTGTGTTCTCTCCAAGCCTCACGTTGCCTGGTGGGAGGTGTTTGGGTCAGTGGGGTGGGGCCCTCATGACTGGCTTAGTGCCCTCCTTGTGGTAATGAGTTACCATGAGATCTGATTGTTAAAAAGCGTCTGGACCTCCCTCTCCTCTCTCTTGCTCCCCTCTCACCATGGGACATGCCTGCTCCCCTTTCCCCTTCTGTCATGTGTGAAAGCTCCTTGAGGCCTCCCCAGAAGCGGAGCAGATGCTCCCAGAGCCAATTAAACCCCCTTTCTGTATAAATTGTCCAGCTTCAGGTATTCCTTTACAGCAACACGAAGTGGATTGGCCGTCGGTTTTGGGGTCAGTGGACCACGTCAAGTCTAACCTGTTTGACTCAGTCCACTCCCTTCTGGAGGGGCCCTTGCCCTGTCAGTCTGCAAACCACCAGGCTTCTTGCTGCTCCACCTGTGTCCCTGCTCAGCATGCCTGGCGGCCGTGGGACCCTGAGTGTCCAGGGCACTGATGCCAATGGGGAGATCACAGCCGATTTCACCAGAAAGCAGGGCATCCTGACAACAGAGCCCAGGCTTCCCCATGGCACCAGCGCCCAGCTGATGGCCCGTGCCCCCGGGGCCTCTCCAGGCCACAGGCTCGTCCTCTCTCCAACCCTGGCCAGACATCTTCTCCCTTCACTTGCTTGAGTCCCATCAGGGGCTCCCCAGTTAGGCTGGTGCTTCCAGAAGGTGGAGACCAGATCCCCTGCCTCCCAAGTCCTGATGGCACCTCCTGCAGTTCTTTGCACCTTGTTCAGTCAGGGGTGATGTAGTAGTGTTCTCAAACTTTTTGATGCCAGCACCCCTTTACACCCTTAAAAATAGGGAGGACCCTAAAGAGCTCCTGTTTTGTGTGCGTCTTTTCAGTGATGTGCCTCAGCTGTCTCACCAGCTGGCAAGAACTGACTGTGCACTTTCTTTCCACCTCTGCACCCAGTGATGTTATTTTGGTGGCTTAACATCGATCATGGTGAAAATATTTACACCACGGAAAGTGGCAAATACTGCATAGTGGGGCCCTATGGCTTGGAGAGCTGGTGGTTTAACATCTTCCAGCACTCCGTGGTTACAACTGTGTTCACTACATTAGAGTTTAAAACTGATAAATTTGCAAAACACGGGAAGACAGAAGCACACGTTTTGTCAGCCATCAGGGTGAGGCTGCGTTATGCATCAAGAGCCTCTGAAAGCCCCCTGGATACCTCTGTGAGAAAATGCATGAGAAAGGCAAATCAGGGCTCCGTGTTACTGTGAAAGTAAGTCCGGTCTTTCTGATCCCTGGAAAGATCCTGAGACGCTGGGGGGTCCCCCAGGCCGCCTTTGGAACATCGCTGGTGTAGACTCAGATGTGGGTCAGGCTGTCTGCTTCATTCTGTGCTGGCTGAGTGACCTTGGGCAAATCACACACCTTCTCTCAGGGTCAGTTTCTTCATTGTGAAATGGAGATGATGGGGTTATTGAGGTCTACAGGAGAGAGACTGCAGAAAGCCCCAGGCAGAGCTCGGCCCTACAGAGGCTGCTCCGCCATTGCAGGTCTGCTCTGTCCTTCCCAGTCTCCTGCCCCAATGGCTGGAGGCCGCTGGGCAGAGCCCAGCTGGTTTTGCAGGAGGTGATACAAGTGTGACACCGTGTCATTCATACAATGCCCATCGTAATTTTCACAGTATCATGGGTATCTGTACTGTTATGGACTGAATGCTTGTGCCCCCCAAATTCATACATTGAAGCCCTAACTCCCAATGTGAAGATCTTAGGAGGAAGTGGAGCCTTTGGGAGGTGATTAGGCTTAGGGGAGGTCATGAGGCTGGGTCCTGACCTGATGATGGGATTAGCGCTCTTCTAAGAAGAGACACGGGAGACGATCTCTCTCCACCATGTGAGGATACAGTGAGAAGGTGGCCACCAGCAAACCAGGAAGCAGGCCTTCACCAGGCACCACATCTGCCAGCACCTTGATCTTGGACTTCAGCCTCCGGAACTGTGAGAAACACGCATCTGCTGCTAAGCCTCCCAGGCTGTGGTACTACCTTAGAGCAGGCAGAGCTGACCAGATAGCTCCCTGGGTGCATGTGCTTTATGGAAGCACTTCAGCAAGGGTGGTGGGGACAGCAGTGGTTGCCTTCATCCTGAGAGACAAGCTGAAAAGAGAATTGAGGGTACCCTGGGAGGTGAGGAGGGTCCTCGGTGGAAACTGGAGGGTCATGCAGGTAGGGGGCACGGGCCTTCCATCGCGTGGTGGCCCAGACTGATGTGCTGCTCTGTCCCCAGCTTCCTTGAGCAGGGAGAGGATTAAAGCGGGGCCAGGGCAGAGCCAGACACCTCTGTCCATCTGGTGTGTCCAGGAGGCTGGAGCTTCCTGTGAGTGCAGAGTGCACCACCGAGCGTGGCTGACCTGGTGCTGTGCTGTGGATGCACCCAGGAGGGCTGGGATCTGGCAGGCTTGGAACCTTGTCGGGTGTATCCTCAGGGGAAGAGGCCACCCCTAGTGCAGTCCCTGGCACTGCAGCCCTAAGCCTCTGCTCTGCCCTGAGACAGGAGCGTGGAGGGGAAATGCACATTTAACTAGACTCCAGTGCACGGACACCTTTTCTTCTGGACTGGATTTTTATACTTGGATGTGTCTAAAGAGAGATTTAACACATATGGCTGAAGGCAGTGATTGGAGGAAAAATAAAATTGTTTTGCACTTGAGCCACTGAGATGAGATTCTTAGGCAGGCTCACCGCACGTGTTTAACCTCCCAGCTCCTCTAGGCCCTGTGCAGAGTGTGGGAGGGCTCAGTCCAGGCAGGAGCTGCTGGAAAGATGCTTTTGTCCTGCCTGCTGTCCCCTGTCTGTCGTCCTGTCTACCATCCCATCTACTGTCCCCATCTGCCGTCTCCATCTACTGTCCCCTGTCTGCTGTCCCATCTACCGTCCTCTGACTACTGTCTCCTGTCTGCGGTCCCCTGTCTACTGTTCTGTCTGCTGTCCCCTGTCCACTGCCCCCTGTCCCCTGCCTGCTATCCCCTGTTCCCTGCGTGCAGTCCTCGTCTGCTGTCTCTTGCCTGCCATCCCCTGTCTGCTTTCCCTGTCTCCTGTTCCCTGTCTACGGTCCTCTGTCTGCCATATTCTGTCTGCTGTGGCCCCTGAGGGCTGGGCCTTCCTGAAGATCATGGCGTTGGGATGGTGTCCCCCAGGGCTGCATTACCAGCGATGATTAGAGCCAGTGTTCCTCCTTGGAGCTGCCCCACTGAGGCCTGCAGGCAGCTCTGGGGGTGCGCAGAGGAAATCTATGTGCTAGGTTGGGGGTGGGGCAGGAGTTCCACCCTGTCTTGGGAGGGTGGGGGGTGGGTTTTCCTTCCCAGACCACCCTGGAGCCCCAGCTCCACTCTCTGACTCCCAGGAGGCTGAGTGAGCTGCGGTGCAGGCAGAGGCCTGAGAAGGGGCACATTTTTGAGATTCCAAGCATGTCTGCATCCTTTCCAGACTCAGCTCCGGGGAAGGCAGGAGCGGTGCGGAGTTGGTGGCTTGGGCTCCAGTCAGTCTCCACCCCAAGCGACTGGGGTGGGGCTTTCCAGAATGTTGTCAGATGAAACTTGCTCCACAGGGGACTCAGGAAGGGGGTGGGAGACTTAGGCCCCAGGGCGTGTGGTACCAAGGAAAGGGCACCAAAAATGATGCTACTTAATTTGGAGACCAAAGTGTCATGGAAAAGTCTTTGTTTTTTTTTTAGATGGAGTCTCACTCGGGTCACCCGGGCTAGAGTGCAGTGGCACGATCTCAGCTCACTGCAGCCTCCACCTCCTGGGTTCAAGTGATTCTCCTGCCTCAGCCTCCTGAATAGCTGGGATTACAGGCGTGTAGAACCACGCCCAGCTAATTTTTGTATTTTTAGTAGAGACAAGGTTTCACCATGTTGGCCAGGCTGGTTTTGGACTCCTGACCTCAAGTGATCTGCCCGCCTCGGCCTCCCAAAGTGCTGAAATTACAGGTGTGAACCACTGCGCCCAGCCCAGAACATCCTTTTAAAGGAGATTTATTTGGGATATCATACTGAAACACTAAAAGTAACATTTTTTTAAAGCTCTATTTTAACTTAAATTTCGGGTATGATGATACCTACGCATTAACAAAGATAAGGTGTGTGTGTAAGATACTAGTGACACAGTGGTGAACTATGAATATGTCACTGGACATCTGGTTCTTGGGATATGATCTTAGAAAGGGTTGCTCAATTTCTTTGGACCCCCAGGAGCCTTGAACCCAGGTTGGTGGCCTGATGCCCCTACCACTGGGCCTGTGCCTGCCTTCTCACTGTGAGGGATTTCCTCCTCTTCGGCTGGCCACCCACCTATCCTGCTGAGCCCCCTTTGCAAGGGCTTGGAGCGTGAGGGGAGTAGCAGCTTTCCTGGACTTTACCACGTGCTGCAATTTTCCTTGTAAGATTGGCTGTTTCCCTCCACGAAGTCTCTGCAGAGCGTGCGCATTGTGCAGATGGGTAGTGAGAGAGGCTGGGATGACGTCTCACCCCTGCACCAGCGGGCTGTCTTGCCATCACTGCAGACACAGCAGCATCTCCACTCCTTCCTGCCCGTCCTTGCCTGGGGGTTGGTGGACTGGCATTCACTGCTGGAGGGGAGCTGCCTCATTATCAGATAACAAGTTTAAAATGACAAGAATTTGTTTTTCTCATGGAAACAATGGACAGCTGCGTGGGGGCAGTGCGTGAGAGGTTCTTTTGTGAGAGGGGCTTCCTGAAACTTGACCTTGGTTTTTCCGCCCATCCATGGGGAAATGGGCAGTGAAGGCTTGGAGGAAGAGGACTGGGACCTGCAGTACCTCTATGCCTCCATGCTCTCCATCCTCTGTGTCTGGGCCAGGCTGGCGCCAACTGGAATACCACTCTAGGAGCCCTTCTCCTCTTGCTCCTTCCAGGCCCGGCCAGGGAGCTGGAGTCCCATGTGGCTCAGGCCCCACTTGAACATGGCCGCTCTCCATGGGGTTGGCCCCGAGCAGCTCCCTCGGCGTGGGGGCTCTGGCGCCTCTCCACCTGCAGGTGAGCCCGGGAGGGTTGTCTGCAGCCAAAATCAAGTGTGCATTCTGTGCCAGGCCCTGCCCTCTCCAGCTGGGCACATGCTCTCAGGGCAGCTGTTATGAGACCCCCACACTGCCCCCACCCATGGCCCTGGGCTGGGCTCCAGGCTATAGCCTGGTGACTGCCCTGCCCAGTGCCCACACTCCCAGGGCCCCAGACCCTTGAAGACACCTTACCCCTGCACCAGTGGGCTCCCTTGCCTTTGCTGGAGACACAGCAGCACCTGTGGGCCACATCTGTAGGATGCCACATGGCCACTCCTTCCTGCCCCCCTGGCCTGTGGGTTGGTGGACTGGGGTTCACAGTGGGAGAACAGCATGTGGGAACCACATTATTATGGGGTAACAAGTTTAAAATGACAAGAATTTGTTTTTCTCATGAATCTTCAATTTGGGCTTGGCTAGGCAGAGACTGCCCCTCATGGTGTCACTGCGAGCCCCCTGACGGGGCCAGAGGGTCTCTTCCAAAAGGACACACTCGCTTGGCAGGCTGCTGCAGGCATCACCTGGGAGCTCATGTGAGCGCAGGTCTCTTCATAGGCTTCTTTAAGGCAGGGAGGCCGGTTCCAAGAGCGGGCATCTCCAGAAAACCAGGAAGCCTTAGAGGGCGCAGCACATCACTTCCACATGGGATATTGAGTGGAAAAGTCACAGTGGCTCCCTCAGGTGCGAGGAGTGGGGACACTGGCTCCACCTCTTGATGGCTGAGTGGCAGGGATTCTAGAAGAGCCCGTGGAATGGGATAGGCTATGGCTGACAGTTTTGGGAACGATCTGGCCGGCTCAAGGCTGCCCTGCTCTATTCATACCTTGTGTGATCCCCTCCCCTTGACTGTGGGCTGGACTCATTGACTCACTTCTGATGGACAAAATCTGGCAGAGGAATGGGGCATCACTTCCAAGATTCAACTATGAGAAGGTTGTGGCTTCTGTCCTGGGTGCTTTCTCTCACTCTGTCAGGTCACTCATCCTGGGGGAAAGCTGGCTGCCACGCTGTAAAGGAACCTTGCAGAGAAGTCCACACAGCAAGGGATCAGGCCTCTCAAAGCCACAGGGGAGCACTTGGAGGCTGATCCTTAGCTGGTCCTCCGGATGAGGCTGCAGTCCGCTGACAACTTGACTGCATCCTCCTGACCGACCTGGTGAGGGGCTCCCAGCAGAGCCAAGTTCAGGTTCCTGACTTGTGGAAACCGGGGGGTAATGAACTTGAATTTTTTTCAGCTGCTAATTTCTGGGTAGTTTGTTACAACACAGTTGATAACACAAGTGGTTTTACTGCAGAAAGTGGCTTGAGGCTGGGTGTGGTGGCTCACATCTGTAATCCCAGCACTTTGAGAGGCCGAGGTAGGTGGATCACCTGAAGTCGGGAGTTTGAAACCAGCCTGACCAACATGGAGAAACCCCATCTCTACCAAAAATACAAAATTAGCCGGGTGTGGTCGTGCACGTCTGTAATCCCAGCTACTCGGGAGGCTGAGGCAGGAGAATCGCTTGACACCGGGAGGTGGAGGTCGTGGTGAGCCGAGATCGCGCCATTGCACTCCAGCCTGGGCAACAAGAGCGAAACTCCATCTAAAAAAAAAAAAAAAGAAAAGAAAGAAAGAAAGAAAGAGGCTTGAACCCATGGCACACACGTGTGTCTTTCCCACCCAGAGAAGATGAAGGCCATTTCGTCACCTGACCTCCTCTTGCTTTTGCCCACCATGGGTCATAGTGACAGGGGTGAAAATTTCTCTGCATGAAGAAGAAAGGAAAAAAGGGGGTAAAACTGCATTTTGGTGAAAAGGATTCCGTATCAGCAAGGAGGTGTTTTCACTGAGATCCTGGCTCTCCACCAATTTGTGTTTATTCATGCAATCCACCCAACATCTGCTGGGCACCACCCCTGAGCGAGGCAGTGCAGGGGACAGAGTTGGCTCAGGTGACATGCTGGGTTGTGGGGGTTCCCCTTGAGGGATGGACCCTGTGGTGTGACAGAGAGACATGGGCCTTAAATGGCCTCCCAGGGTTGTTGAAGAGGCAGACATGGATGGGAAAATACCTTGAAACGGGCACCTGTCCTCCAAGGAGTGATGAGCTGAGCTCTTAGAAGTAACAGCTGGCATTCACACTCTGTGCTCTAGTTCACATTAGGTTCATAGGCAGGAAAGACAGATCCGAGGGTGGGGCAGGGCACATGCCTGGGTGCCTGAAGTGGCAGGATGAATGGGGACTGCAAGGGAGTATTGAGTGTCCCTGCAGTGGGAGGCCTGGCACTCTCTTCCTCATAGCAGCCTCAGGGCCTGTGTCCCGTGGAGCACAGCCTCTCCCAGCTCAGGAAAGGGCCAGAAGGCTGGTGATCACACTCCTAGCAGCAGGCTGCTGGGGACTGAAGGCTGCATCTCACAGCCCCCAGGGCCAGGAGCCTGGCCGAGAAGCCCACCGCCTGAATCAGCTCGCCAGCTGTGTTGTCTTTGGTGGGGGACAATGTGGGGAAAGGCACTGGGGAAGCCAGAGGAGTGTGTGCTCATCCCCCTACCTCCCTGAACACCTGCCTGGGAGCTTGGGCCAGTGAGGGCTGGTCCTGGGCCCAGCACCCTTCAGCTAGGCAACCAGACACTGCTAGGGTCCTGCCCTGCAAATGAGACAGCTGTGTCTTCCCTCCTCGCTGCAGCCCCCCTCGGTGTCCATGAGGCCCTGAGATGCCTGTTTCCTTTGCCAGGTCCCTGAGTGACTCTCGCCAGGAAAAGGCTGAGCAAAGGCAGTGGGGAAGGGCCTGGGCTCCCATCTCTTCTGCCCCCTGCATCTTCTGGGTGTGCTGCCTGCTGGGTGCAGGAAGTGGGGGTCCACTCCGGGTTCCTGGTTCTGAGATTGTTGTTGTGTCCTCAGCCTACTGCAGCCCCAGCTGCCTCGTTTCTTGGGTGCCGGGTGCATGAATACAATAAGAATAACAGCACTCAGCCTCAAAGATGCCTGCCCTGCACAGGGGCTGCCCGGAGGCTGGCCCACCTTCGCAGTCCCACTTTACAGGCAGGACAAGAGCCTGTGAGAGGAACAGCCTCTGCCTGCCGGCACACAGTGGCAGCCTGGGCACTCAGTGACTGCGCTGGGCAAAGAAGCTTGTGCTGGTTGCAGTGCTGGTCTTCGTCAGGTTCCGTGCCCGTGGTCGATCCATTGCCAGCACGCACAAGGCTGAGCCCTTGGTGGCGCCGCCAATCTGCCCACCCATCTGGGAGGCTAGGGGCTCCATGCCTTCGAGGTAGGAAGGGGTGGGTGTCCTCAGGGCGCTGGTTGTTCCGAAAGACTGGCTGTGGGCCCTGGGAGATGGCCCTGGGTTTGGGAAGCCCACGGGGGCACTGTGAGGGTGCAGAGGGGAAATGAGAAGTGTCTGAAGGGGAAACTTCAGAAGCGTCTTCTCTCCCTCTCTCCAGATTCTGAGAGAATGAAGGCTGTCTAGGGTGACCATCCTACAGAGGAAGGCCGGGGCAGGAGGGGCATGGGGCAGGGGTGTGGCTTCCCACGGGTGCCTGGGGAGAAGGGACCAGTCACATCTGGGGATAGGTCAGGATCATCGGGAGGGCCGGTGCGCTATGCACACGGGGAACACATGTCCCGCTTCCAATTATCAGCAGCAGTGTAAACATGGTGAGGTCTTCATCAAAATACAAAAGGAAAACTTGGCAAGTAACTTCCTGGTGCTTTGGTGGTGCCATGCTTGTGACCACCACACTGATGTCAAGAGATCTGGGTTCTACTTGTGTCTCTACCCGAAGCCAGCCTTGCATCTGATGCACTGTGGCAGGGTTGGCAAAAGCATGGCCTTAGCACTCATAACACTAGGGCCCGCCTGTGCCTGTGGCAGGCGTCGCTCATCCACCCCAGAGCACTTTTAGGCTGCACTGACAGGCAGCCTGGGGACCCTTCTCAACACGCTGCTTCGGGGAAAACGACTGAGGTTTTACAGCATGAGGTTGCTCACGGCCAGGCAGGAGCCACTCATTGGATCCTTCAGGCCCCAGCAGCCTGCCTGGCAGGGGCAGGCCCTTTGGAGACGCTGAACTGCCGCGCGGCAGGGCTGGTCAGTTTCCTTGTTTCATGCAGCGAGGATAATTCTTGCCTTGCTACAACTGAATCGCAGGTTGCCTTTAAGGTGGCCACGAGGGAGCAATTGTCCATTGTCACAGCTGCTTCAAGCACAGCAGTGCAGATGGGGCTTAGACCTGTTTGCTGCAGGTAGACTAGTGGCACGGATGGCCATAACTGCTAACACATGGGTGCTTCCTTCAAGCCAGGGCCTGCCTGAGTGGTTTTCCTGTGTGCTCCACTAAATGGGATGATGTCCATGAGAGACGGGAAACAAGGCGCGGAGAGGTGAAGCGACTCGCTAAGGTTCTGTGGAGGCAGGAGGGCAGGTAGAGAGGTATGTGTAGGGGCCCACGCTTGCCTCCTCCCAGGTCACCAGGGCCTTGTCCAAGCACCCAGAACTTTCTGACCAAAATGGTGCTGATGCTGGCCCGGCTGCTCAGGTCAGAGCCCTGGGCCAGGCCCCAGCTTGTCTGACTTGGTGGGGAGGAGAGAGATGGATGGGGATTGGGTGGGGTGCAGGACTGCAGCTGAATGTGGCCGCCAGCCTTGGGGGCGGTTCCCGGGCTGGGATCCGGACACAGCTCGGGTTTCTCTAGGGGAGGTTCGTGCCTGCACTTAGCAAGAGCATTGTTCCCAACGAGAAGGGCTTTTTATGTAGGTTCCCTGGGAAATCAGACAAGTCCAGGCTCCCCGCCGTGTGTCCGCACTCCCTGCAGGCTGGTGGGAGATGCCTGCCCATTTCTTAGCACTGGAGAAAAACACGCTTATAAACAAAACAAGACAAAACAAAACAATGTTATTGTTTCCTCTCCTCCTTTGATTTTAAAAGTAATACATGCTCTTTGCAGAGACTTTGGAAAATACAGAAGAGAATAAAGAGCAAGTGACGCCAGTGGTAAGCCCCCAGCCCGAACTGACTGTGGGGGCAACCTCTGGCACACAGGAGCGAACTCCCCATGAGCTGACCTTTCTGACCCATCCATTAGGGCCTGGTCGGAGCCAACCGTGGGAAAAGCCTGCCGGCAGGGCCTGGGAGGGGCAGGCATTGTCCCACACCCCTCCCACCCCGTAAATCCTTCTCAGCCGGAGCCTGCAATGCCCCGTGGGAAGATTGATGGGGACATTGAGCCTGTGGCTGTCCCTGCCCTGGGACACTTGTGATTTAATTCCTGCCCAGACTGAGGGAGCTTCTGAAGCTGTTCTTTGCAAAAACAATACCATTCCTGACCCTGAGAAGGAGGAGAGTGGAGAGCTTGGGTCACCCTCCAAGGTGACATGTAAGGTCAGGGGTGGCCAGAGGCCAGAGCCTAGCTAATCTGTCTGGCGGGAGGCGTCTCTGAATGACGAAACATTTACCTTCCTGCCACCATTCAGACCGTCCCTGTGGAGGAGGCCAAGGGGTGCAGAGGGACTCCCCGTAAACAGGGGGATGGACGCCCCCACCCCAGAGCAGGACACGTCTCTTCCAGCCTCCTGTCTGTGCTGTTGCAGTTTTGGAAGAGTCTCCCAGAATCTCAGGGAAGGAAAATTTGCACATTGAAAATGCCTCCATTTCTGATCTCTGCAGGGAGAGACTGGAATCTATAGGCTCCTCCTCCAGGAGGGGCTGGGGTCTGAGGAAGGGCTGGCTCCTTGGAGCCAGGTAGACCCACATTCTGGGCCTGATGGCCACTTCCTAGCCCCGTGGGCTTGGGCTACTTCCTTCCCTCTGTGAGCTTCAGTCATCTCATCTGTAAAACGGGAATGACCATCACGCTGCCTTTATACAGGAGGCTCGAGGCCCATCCGAGATGGCACAGTGCCCCGCCCATGCAGCCGTCAGGCCCCAGCAGTTGCAATATTATCTACATGTCTCATTGGCAAACACGTGATCTCATTTCATTCCATTGTACTGCTGGACAGGAATCCTCAGTTCCCGCGGATGGATGAGGAAAACGAATCTCAGGGAGCTGGAGCTGCTTGCCCGAGGTTCTGTGGTCAAGACTCAGGTCAGGCTTGAACCTGAGTCTGGTGACCTCAAGCCCTCACCTCTTACCCCCTCAGGATTGAATCTTCTTTTTCTGCACCGGCCTGTGGCCTGGTTGGCCTCCCAGGTGGCCCCCAGCCCGGTGACTGCACCTCCTGTGACTTGCATGGCAGTGGTGGGCTTGCTGGTCTCAAGGCCCGATGCGCAGGTGGCGGGGCAGGGTGGTGGACAAGCTCTCTGCCTGCTCAGCTGCACACAGCGGCCCGGGGCCGCCCACCACCCCAGCTCACCACAGGCCACACGGTCACATCGCTGTGCGGCTGCCCCGGCCAAGCTCACCGTCCTCCTTCTCTGGTCCCTCCACCCTGCCTCTTCTGTTCCTAAACTGTCTGTGACCTCAACTGTCCTCAGAGTTCTTGGGATGGCCTGGCAGGAGGGCAGATGGATAGGGTTGGGCTGCCTGCTCCACTCGACCAGGGAAACTTGGAGTCACCTCCGTGGGGCATCCCTTTCTCCCTGCTCCAAGACGGCTTTTCATCCTAACAGTGAAGTTGTTCTGGGAGGTGCACTTGTCAGGAAATAACAGCCTCTCAGCAGAGGGCAGCTCTTTGGGGCCCACATCAGAGTCCCCATTTCCCTGGCCTGGTGTCCTTCCCACGATGGCCGTGGCCCCTCCAGGGATGGCTCCAGGACTGGCCTAGAGTGCTGGTCCTGAAAAGCTCCCCCAAAAGCCTGGCGGGCCAGGGCCTGCAGATAAATTCACAGCCTGGCGGGGCCGGGGATCTGGAAACGTCCCCTCATGCCTGGGCAGGCTTCCTCCCAGGCCTCTGGGCACCTGTGGCTGTACGCCCATGGGAGGAGGGGAGTCATCTGCTCTCCACTGGCGCTTTGTCTTCTCATATACAGTGGACACATATAGTTCTTCATTATCTTTAAAAATATATGTAGCAAGAAACTATATACAGGGTCTTGTGTGTTAGTTAAAGGCATGACAATGACATAGACACGGCTGCCTCTGATTGTCATGGGTGTAAGGAGACACAGCTGGGGGACAATGAGGGGATGTGAGATCTGAATCTGAAACTGACTTCTGGCACTGACTACCTGTGTGGCCTTGGGAAGGTCACAGCTGCTCAGACCTGTGTCAACTGAAAATGGGTACACCAAAGGTTCAGGGCATCGTTGAGTAATAGGTCCTAAGACACCTGCAGAGCTTTTCTGTTTTTTGGCTGGGTGGGGGGAGCATCTTGGTCTGTGTATGCTTGTGAGTAGCGGGCACACAAGGTGCGTGAAGATGCAGGTGCTGGGTGGCTAATGTGGTGTTTGTCACCTGAGTATTAGTAGCTACCCTGCAGCAGGGTCATCCGGCCCAGCCTTGGTGATGTCACTGTCTCAAGGCACCTTTGATTTCTGCCAGCAGCAGGGAGGGCCATGCTGTCTCCAGGGGCTCCAGTGTGCTGGGGGCCAACCTTGGGTGTTTCTCACTTGGCGGCTGAGGAGGGCCCCCGCGGCGTTCCCAGCCGGCCGTCTGCTCAGGTGCTCACTCTGTCTGATGCTCAAGGATAGCTTGGCACAAGAATGGAATAAGCACTGCCTTTGCCTGGTCTTTCTGGATGCTGCTTCCTGGGCCCCTTTCCCATCACTTGCCACCTCCCTGCTGTCCTTCAGAGCATGGCAGAGCACATGGTGGCCATTCTCCCATGATGCCTCCTTGCAGCCATTGCTCTGCTCTTTGGGGGCTTGGAGTGTCCGGCCTTGGCCATAAATTACACACATCTAGTAATTTTATGAGAATTTATGAGCTCCTCTTTTGGCTGTGAACACACAACTCCCTTTTTCCTCCTCTGGAGCTGTGAGGTTGGCAGGCTGCACCCAGCTTCATTAATTCCCAGAATGTCAGCAGAACCTGTTGGGATAAGTGAAGACTCAAATATGTAGTTAAGAAATGGGAGAGGGCCATGGAGTCTTCATGGGGAGATGGGGCACAGCGTGCCGAGGGGACGCGCGTGTCTGTGTGCTGCACGTGCTGCAGGGGCCTGGATGCAGCAGGCTGGGGCTTCAGGACTAAGGTCCATGTGGCTGGGAGTGAGCCATGGTGGGTAGAGTGTGTGTGTCGCCCCGCTCACCTGGGCTGCAGCTGCCTGCCGCCCTGCGCCCTGCGTTCTTGCATGGGAACGTCATTTCTCTTGCTTCCTTCCCCTCATCTGTGCAGTCTGTTCTGTGGTTTCACACCTATGGCTACCTTGAAGCTTGAAGAAGGTAAATGAGGGCTGCGGTGGGACCCTGCGGTGGCACCGCGGCCGTGTTGGGGGTCCTGTTCCTGTCTGACATCCGGCAGTTTTTGTCCGCTGGTGTGGGGTTAGGGGAAGCCAGGGCGGGAGGAGCCACTTGCTCCTCAGGTCTCTGTGGGTATCGGGTAAGGCTGTGGGGACTGGGGGCCCAGGAAGGCTCTAGGGTTCTAGTGAAAGGAAGGGCCTGGAATCACTCACCCCCTGCCGCTGTCCCCTTTGGCTGCACCCCCAGAATTGTCCTTTGCACTGTGTGTAATTCTTAGATTCCTGTCCCATTTCCCAGTTCCGGGGGGAGCCCTGAGTGAGCATGTGCAGAGCGGTGGTCTGCATAGCAGTTGCTCAATGTTCCTTTATTGGATGCGATGCCAGAGGCCTTACCTGAGTCCAGTTCCCTTCAGCAACTTCCACCAAGGCCCTCCTGGGGCTGCTCCTGTGCCAAAGGCGTCACCCCCCCCACCCCACCCCACCCCCACCCCACACACACACAGCCCCTGCCAATCTGCACGGTACCTACCGGCTGTTCAACGCACCTCCTTGAGACCCTGCCCAAGCCACGGGCAGGAATTTGGAAAGAGTTTTCCAGGGCCTTCCCGAGCTTGCTCTTTCCCACTGTCTTCAGGATTTCCTCCTAGGCTGGGTTCCTCCAGTCCTCCACGGCTGTCCCAGGGATGTGTCTCAGATTCAAGTTGGAGCACGTTCCTCCTGGAGGCTAAAGCCTGCTGTGGATCCCCACTGCCCTCAGGGTGAAGCCTGTGCTCCCTTCCCAGCTGCAGGTCTTGGCCTTTCCATTCTCCCTGTCTTCTCACACCTTCTGCTGCAGCCAAGCAAGCTGTGGGGTGCACTGAACTGGGGAGACTGCTCTGTCCCCTGACCCTTCACTCACACCACCCTCTCTTCCTGGAGGACTTCGTAATCTGAAGAGCTCATCCTGGTGCTACACTTCTCTCGGAACCCTCTCCTGGTCCTCCTGGCAGGCCGGGTGCCCACCTTTTGTGCCCTGCTGGGTTCTTGCAGACCCCACTGCTGCCCCCGGGCATGCTGGTACATTTCCTCATTCGCTGGTGTGTCTCCCACAGGGCCCTGAGCTCCTTGAGGCGTCTCGGTGTCGCTGGAGCAAGCTGTGGGGCTGACACACACTTGGACACACGCATTGTCTGGCCCTCCATCCACTGCACAGACTCCAGCAGGGCCCACAGAGTGCTTGGGTGGTGCCTGGCCTCCCCTAGCAGTGGGCAGCGCTGCGGCAGGGCTGCGGGCAGAGGCAGCAGGAGCACCAAGGGCAGTGAGGGAGGTGCAGGCAGGGCAGGCTGGGGCTGCTGGGCCCCGACAAGCACTGTGGAATATTTGTGGCTGCCTAGGCTTTGAGTGGTGGTTGGAGAGGAATTGTAAGCATGCGTGCCGTGTAAACACATGTCACACTGAAATGCGCTGATGGGTGGGGAGTGCTGGGGTGGGGCTGTGTGGCCTCCCTCTCTGGCTCTCTGCTTTTGGGGGAAGTCTAACCTGACAGCAGAGGCCCAGGTGAAAGCTTTTCTTCCAGGAGATGATGGGTACTGGTTATGGGCTAGGCCCAGCTAGGCACAGGGCTGGGCATGGGGCAGATGTACCCACTCGGCACCCCTGTGGGGAATCCCGTCCACTTGCTGCTCTGCTCAGAGGGGAAGTGGAAGCTCCCACAGGTCAGGAGAGGTGGGACCAAGGTTCACACCTGGCTGTGTCTCTTGTCCAGCCTGGAGACTTTCCCTCAGATCATACCACACCTGGCTGAAGAGGAGCTGACCGTGGAGCCAGGCTCCGTCACCCCCCGTGATAGTGCATACCCTCAGGAACCATGCACAGTAGAGGGGCTCCGAGCCATCGGTCCTGGAGACCCTCTTCTAAGGGGGTGCCCCCGCCCCTGGCTGGACTGCCAGGAAGGAGGGCGCCTGTCTGTCATCCAAGGAGCAGGGTAGGTGGGTGGGGGAGAGGGGGTGGAGGCACAGGTGGTGCAGGGGAGGTGGTGTATGTGGCTTCTGGGCTGGCATGCCAGGGACATCGCAGGGCAGCTGGCGCTGGGGAGGGTGGCAGGAAAGCAGCGAGCTTTTGCATTTCATCCAGCTTATCCATTTTAAAGCTGGGACTCCATTTCTGTTTGCCCTGTAGACTTTCTCACTGCACCCCATACCCTCCCCTCCCTCCCCTCTCACCCTGTTGAGTCCAGAGTGTCGCCCCCAGCAGCGCTGGCTCAGGAGGCTGCCAGCGAGCCGTGCATGGGCCCAGGAAGGCCGTAAATCAAGCACGGCGGCGCACTCTCCATCTTGAGGAATTTGGAGGAAAAACAGATGGTTGTAGCTGGGCGACATTTACTTTCTGTCTGTCAATATTTGAGAGGTTTTATTACTTTGCAGTGCCAGGTTTTAGAATAAATTAAATGGCTAATGGAAATATTAAAATAGAATTAATTTAACTAAACAAATACAACTGGGAGAGTCAGTACGATTTGTTTAGAAGTTACTAAATTTATTTTCAAAATGAAGCCTCAGGGAAGGAAATAATTCCTTACCCCCTTGTGTCGGACCTCAGCCAGACAGACTTCACCAGGCACTCTCTGGGGGCCAGGACCTGGGCTGGTGTCAGGCAGCAGCTGGGCTGGCCTGGACAAGCCTGCCCGGGTGCTCACAGCCTGGCAGGGGAGACACGCACAAGCCCCAGCCTTGCCTGGGCTCCCATCAGGGACTTGCCAAGCACATGCGCAGGGCTGGGAGGTGGCTCTGGGGAGGCTGGACTCTGCCTGCCACATCTCCGTCCCATCCCCCTGTCCCTAAGCGCCTGAGGTTAAAGATTCAGAGGATACTTCAGTCCTATCCCTGCCCTCAGTGAGCTCACAATTGAGGGAGGGAAGCAAGAAGTTAACAGGTAACAGGCAAGATGCAGTCAAATGCCTCTAGCATTCTAGTGATGCTAGAGACATGCTCAGGGTGTGTTGGGAGAGCATAGGCCAAGATTTTTGTGTTTTTTATTAAAGAAATATTGATTTGGTGCCCATTTTAATGCTTTGAGACAAATATGGAAGCAATTCTTTGCCCAACAGCACTAACTGCCTCATGATGGCCATGCCTTTTTGCCAGAAACTCCACCATTAGAAAATCTTTTCTTAGACTACAGCATTGCCCTCTGTGTGTCTTTTACAATGCAAGTGGTGGGACCATCTACGTCCCCACCCTAATGCTTTCCTCAGAAGCAGAGAGGTGGGCCCTAGAGGCTGTGGTTCTTGAGAGGGGGTGAAGGTGCAGAGTGGGGAGGTGGCAGTCCAGAAGGTGGGAGGGAGCTGGCCTTCATCAAGGGTGGTCCAGGGCGTCTTTATTTATCACTCACGCAGTCCTGCCCTGGGCTGGGGTGCTGGGAGGGCCCAGTGATGTCTTCAGACTTCATCCCACATGGATGAGGACCCATGGGCAAGTGGGCCAGGGCGGGGAGGCCTGACTCACCCTCCAGGAAGATGAAGAGCCCTGCTACTCTGGGCCTGGGGCACTTCAGGTGCTCAGGATCACCCTCAACAGTCCTGGAGGGGCCTGGGCCTTCCTGTTTCTCCGGCACACTGCTGCCCCTTTGGGGAAGGACCCAGGAACGTGACTGGCCATCCTTGCCATGAGGTTGCAGGGCCTTCCTCCCAGGGACCGCCCTCTCCTCTGGCCGGTGCCTTAGCACCTGACACCAGGCGAGGGACCCACTGGCTTTCTAGAGCGCCTTTGCCCTCAGTGTCCTGGCTGTCTGTCTCAGTCGCTTAGTGTCGCTACAACAAAACACCCAAGGATGGGTAACTGATGAGGAACAGACAGGTCTCCTCTGGCAGCTCTGGAGGCTGGAAGTCCAGGATCAAGGGGCTGGCAGGTTGGGAGCCTGGTGAGGGCTGCTCGCCACTTCCAGGATGGCGCCTGGTGCTGAGTCATCCGGAGGCGAGGCACGCTGTGTCCCCTGCAGCAGAAGGTGGGAGAGTCAAGCCCTTTCATAAGCACAGTTAACCCCACTCGAGGGGGAGGAGCCCCCCAGCCTGGTCACCTCTTAAAGGCTCCACCTCTTGACAGGTTCAAGCTTACTGGCAATATCTGCACTTTGGAGGGGACATGTTCAAACCATTGTGTCCTCCAACCTTGATTTATTCTGATGGCAGACCTTAAGCGATTGCCTGGCTCTCGGCACTCGCTGGCCACTCAGCTCTTGTTCCTCATCATGCACTTATGCCTGCTTCTGGCTGTGGCACTGCCACCTGGCCTCCGCCAGGTTGGGCTCCTGTCCTTGCCCCTGCTGCTCACAGCCGAGGTCTGCAGCAGCGTCTCCTGCCATCAGCCCAACCTGCGAGGGCCTCCAAGAGTGCGCCACTCACCACTGGGGCCTTCTTATGGGGGTGCGGGACATCCCCCTGCCCTTCCTGGGAACATGGAATATGGTGGGTTTCCTTCCTATGCAGCCCATCTGCTCAAGCAGGCCCACTTCTGAGAGCCTCTGCTGTGCCTCTGCTGTCTGCTGTGGTAATGCTGGCATTTCCACTTCTCACAGGCCCTCGCTTCTTGCAAGCTTGCAGGAGCCAGGAGCCATAAGCATGAGCTCTGTAACCCGGGTCCTTTCAGGAGGCTAAAGCCCTCCATGCCAGCACTTCCTTCCTTACCCGTGGCTCTGAACCATGATGCGGCACCCCCAAATGGGCATGTATTCCCCTGCTACGGCATCTCCCCTAGCCTTGCAGCCCTCTGGGAACACAGGGAGGTGATCTTGTTCTTCCTCTCACAGACCAGCACCTTCCCACTGGGGTGTGCCAGCTGTGATACTGGTTGTAGGAGGGAGGGGGCACTTGTCTCCTCTGGCACCGCCTGGAACCTGCCTCATTTGAGCCGCTGCAGGCTCTTCAGTCAGGTGGGGCACTGTCTCTTCATAGGGGAGGGGGCTGCCCTGCCCTCTCCTCTTGGCGGATTCCAGGATCTAGGAGTTGCACCTCTAAGTCTCCACATCCCTGGCCTCGAGTCCCATTCTTTGCACATTGGAGCCCTGAATGTGTTGTGGGGAGTATGCCTGGGCTAGAATTCCATTTTTTCTGAAGCGTGGTGCTTGTGCAGTCGGGTCCTGAGCTCACTCTCTGCTCTCTGTCCTTGGCTCAGATTAGGGCTTCCCTCAGTGCTGTCAAGGAGGCCCCTGAGATTTCACCTTGTGCCTTGAATGGGTCATTGATCACCCTAAGCCTGTTTTCATTTTCAGTGAATTGGTGACCTCAGCCAAGTGCTGTCCAGTTCCCTGGTCCTATGTGACTACTTCTCTCAGGGCCAGCGATGCTGCCCTGGCCCCTGCGTCCTCCTCTGCAGGTCTCCCGGCCCTGCTCACCATGGGCATGATTCACCTTTTATGCCTTGGCAGCACCCAGAGCTCTCCAGTCTCCATCTCCCAGGAGTGGCGGGTCTCCATTGCCCCCGGGCTGGTCAGAGAGCCGGCTCCAACATCTGCCTTTGGAGTCGGCCTCCCAGGTCCGCTGCCAGAGCTGACTGTCCTAGGATGGGTTTCCTGGAAACAGATGCAGAGCTGGAGAGTTGGGTGGGGTGATTTCAGAAGGTATCTCTGCAGGGAAGCTGGCTGTGGGGCTGGGCAGAGGGAGGCTCTGGGCAGTTGAACTGAGGCTTTGGCTGGTCCTATGGCACTGAGAGTGGGGACAGCCCCCCAGAGCTGTGCCTCATGAATGCAAGGGGCTAGGCCTTTGGACCGCTCACCAGGCAGCCATGGGCCTGCAGACCAGCTCTGGAAGGGGCTGCAATCTTGGGCGAGGGGCTGCCGGCGAGGCATGCTTCTCACCTTCCCAAGCAGCTGGCTGGCACGGGCTCGCAGGAGAGGAGCTGCTCTCTAGATGCTGAAGAGTGGCTCACTTCCAGGAGGAGGAAGGGTCCAGCTTGTCCACTGCTGCTGAGGAGCAAGTGAGATGTGGACTGGGACTGTCCCTTGCTCCAGGGGAGGGGTGGGGCTGGGCACCCGAGCGGAGAGGTGTTTGGAGCAGGTCACCCCAGATGCTGAAGGCTGGTTGTGGGTGTCCTCTGTGCATTATGTAGGGGCCTTGCCCAACCTCGGGCTTCAGTGGACAGGACAACTCTTTCCTTTTGTTTCCCTTTATGTTCCTCTCTCCAGCCCACACATTCCAGGAAGATGGGGGAGGAGGAAAGGCAGAACAAAGCTACCAGGGCCAAAGAACATTGTGGTCTTAATTGAAGTGTTCAAAGAAACAATCCTGTCGGATTTGAAGCTGTAAACAAAGCAAGCTTGCACTCTCCCCGCCCTCTCGTTTACCCACGTTATCATCCTTCCCCCCTCTCGCCTCCCTCCTGTCCATTCACTCCTCCAGCTGTCTGCACGGGCCTGTCTGCAGCCAGCAGCCAGCTCCGTGGGGGAGAGGCTGCGCTTCCATGGGTGCGGGCGCTGGCTCTCCCTTCCCTGGGCTGGACCCAGCCTGTCTGAACGATGGCACAGCTCCAGCTTTCCTTACATCAAGAGAGGAAAATATTTTGGAAAGGGGCTAAATAGAACTTAATTTGCCATGTGGTTGGAATTAACAGAGAGCACTTCCCACCAGCCTTTGAAGGGCTTGGTGGTTGAGGCCTTGCTCTCTCTGCCTTAGTTCAAAGCCTCGTCGTCAGGGCCTGTGGACATCCCAGGCTGGGCCGGAGCCCGCATAGCACATTGTGGGTAAGTGTTTGCCTTCAGTGGCTACACTGAGGGGTGGCCGGAGCCCTGGAAAGCCTTCCTCCTCACGCTGGCAACGCCTCCCTGAACTTGCAGGAGCAACAGCTCGGGGCTCAGTTTCTCCAGGAAGGCAGACATCATAGAGAGGTGTCCAGGGACCCCTGGTGAGTGTGACTCACTGGGGCCTCAATCCAGACCCTCTGGTTTCCTCTGTCTTGCTCAGGTCTTGCTCCCAAACAGCTAGGAGCCCCATGCAGCTCGCAGGGGAAAAGGGATGTGGCGAGGAGAAGGGGGCACTGCAGAGAGCACTGGTCAGTGTCATTAAAAACTCATCCACACACACTTTAAAGCCCTGTGATATTGCGCCTTAGGGATCCACTGTTGTGCACCGACCCGCCTCCTGCTGCTGGGGGCTCCGGCCGCTTCAAGACCCGAGCATGTAATCGCCTCTTAGATGAGGTTCCTGGAGGCGAGCCTGCTGGGGTGAGGCATGAGTGCTGTCGCTGTGAACCTCGCATGGCTATGAGTTGCACACTCCACCTTGGCGGCTGAGTGCCACCTCAGCGTCCCCAGGCTCCCGCCCCCTGGGAGTGCCTCCCGACCTCCCCGGATGTGGCAGCTCCTGTTCTCCCTTCATCTCACACCCTTGCTCCTGACACTGGTGGAGCTGCAGGTCGTGAGGGCTGCCATCCGAGAGTCCCTGCCTGGGGAGTCTGGCCCACTGAGCCTAGTCTGCCATGGTGGAGAGCCTGGCCATGACTCCGTGCTGCAGCGGCTCCTGAGGGAGGGGATCTGTGAGCCCCACAGCCTTGGTAGCCGGGGGTGAAGATGTCATGCATGGTAAGATGATATTGCAGACACCAGGGATCCCTGCCTGTCAGTGAGGAACCCGCCAGGCCACCATCAGCTCTCTGGAGCCCGGCCCAGGCTTCTGCCTTCTCTCTGGAACAGTCTGGGGGTCCTTTCTACCCCAACAGCGTTCTGAGAGCTGTGGAGTCTGGCTGGTGCCAGGGACCCCGACCCACTGCATACATCAGGGCACGTGTGCAAAGGGGAGCCGCCCCCTCCTTGGGGTGTGTGAATGTCACCCTGAGAGTCCAGCTTGGTCTCTCACTCTGACCGACCCTGCCGCCCTGGGTCCCAGTGCAATGAGTCTCCTTTCTGGGCACAGAGTGTGGGAACCAGTGGGTCCCTGCTCCTCTCCCTCACCCTCCAGTTCATCCTGTGGGTGTCCCAAATATGTGTGAGGGTCCAAGCACCCAGTTTTAGGCCCAGCCCCAGTTCAGACAGGTCAGGGCCCTGAGGGGATGGTGGAGCCCTAGACTCTGACACATGGCCTGACTGTGTTCTGGGAGTGTGTCCTGGATGAGTGCAAATTGGTGATTCCCATGGGGATGGTGCTCACCCCCGCAGAGAGGGAGTCCCAGACACAGAACCGGAAAGTGAGCTGGGGAGGAGAGGATGAGCTTGGCCCAGGCCGGGCGCCCAGGCTGCTGGACATCCCCATGGCTGAGCTTAGGGGCAGAAGACACTCGTGCAGGCCTGTGTGGATCCCTGAGTCCAGGGAGGTCCTGTCAGAGTGTCCCTGCACATGTGACCTGCATATCCTCCCTAGTGTCTGGAGACCAGGCCTGAGGAGGGCTGGGCAGTGTCAGCACAGGGGTCAGGACTGCAGCGCCCTGGGAGCCTGTGAGCAGGAATGCAGAGTGAGCAGGGAGGGCGATGGCCAGCGGAAGTGGGCGTGGACCCGTCGCAGGCACAGCTGGCCTTGTGAGCCCCTGACAGGGCAGAGGTCTTTACCTCAGCTTTGTGACCATAGGCAACTCAGTTCCTCATCTGTGATGTGGAATGAGACTCACGGGGTGTTAGGAGAATTAAGAAAGAGGACAAGTTTGGAAGCTGCCTGACAGCTGGAGACACCCCACCTGGCTCCTTCCTCCCTGCGGTGACATCTCAGGGTCCCCCACCCCCTTTCCCTCTCCTTGGAACCAGGGACCCAGGACTCTCATGCTGTTGCTGCCCGGTCCTAGGGAGGGCGATGGCCGTGTCTGATGGTCTCCAAAGGCTCTGAGCACATGAGCCCCTCTGGGGAGACCTCTTAGACACAGATAACAGCTGCCACTTGGAAACCATAAGCAATTACACTAAATGCCTGCTGTGCTGGTTAAATAAGCTGCTGTGATGCCATGCTGAACTGAACTGCGTTTGCACGTGATGCTGTTTGATTTAGTTCCTATAACAATCCTGCCAGGTGTCTATTATCTTCCCTGCTTCATTGCACTCTGGACCAGAGAGTCCAGAGAGGCTAAGGAACTTTCCATAGGCTGCATAGCTACTTACAGGTGGAGCTGAGATTTAAACAGTTCCTTGATGCTGACCGGGGCTGGCCAGTTTCCTTCAGAGTGAGACCCTGGGCTGCACCAGGATTCAGACAGGACTCCGCCTCTCACTAACTGTGATGTACCCTTGAGCACATCAGGTGACCTTTGTGTGCCTTAGTTTCCTCATCAAGGACACGGGATTCTTGGGACTGCATGAGTTAACGCAGGTAAAGTGCTTACAACAGTGCCTGGTGCACAGGAAGCGCTCATCTCATTCAGCCCTTGCTGCTCTTTAGGACTAGGATCTCAGGTTGCTTTTTTTTCTGCAGCAAAAAGCCTGGTGAGTGAGCTCACTGAGCCCCTGTGGTTTGAGCTGAGCAAACAGGTGAGAAAAGCTCGGTCAACACCATGTGCTGGGTGAGGGCTGGGCCACCTGTGCACAGGTTTTGGTGGGGTCCTCTGTGGGCTGGTGGAGGCGAGGAGAGGGCTTCTGGGGGAATCCTGAGGGATTGGGGTCAGGCCCAGAGCTGAGCCTCAACTCTCGGCTGGGAGTACATGGATAGGGCACTGCTAGACAGAACCTGGAGGGGCAGGCATGGGGAAGTGCTCTTTCACCAGATCCTTGATTGTAGCTTACAAACGTGTTACTTGCTCTGCTAAACAATTTATTATACACTCCGTTCAAATGGTACTTTTTTTTTTTGAGACAGAGTCTCGCTCTGTCACCCACCCTGAAGTGCAATGGCGTGATCGCGGCTCACTGCAAACTCCACCTCCCAGGTTCAAGCGATTCTCCTGCCTCAGCCTCCTGAGTAGCTGGGATTATAGGTGCCAGCCACCACGCCCAGCTAATTTTGTATTTTTAGTAGAGACAGGGTTTCTCCATGTTGGTCAGGCTGGTCTCGAACTCCTGACCTCGTGATCCACCCACCTTGGTCTCCCAAAGTGCTGGGATTACAAGCGTGAGCCACCATGGCTGGCCAGTACATTTCTTTTTTATTTTAAGACAGGGTACAGGGTTTTGCTCTGTCACCCAGGCTGGAGTGCAGTGGCGTGATCACAACTCATTGCAGCCTCCACCTGCCAGACTCAAGTGATCCTCCCACTTCCACCTCCCAAATAGTTGGGAATACAGGTGTGCGCCACCACGCTTAGCTAATTTTTAAATGTTTTGTAGCAATGGGGGTCTCACTGTGTTGCCCAGGCTGATCTTGAACTCCTAGGTTCAAGTGATCCTCCCACCTCAGCCTCCCAAAGTGTTGGGATTATAAGCGTGAGCCACTGTGCCTGGCCTCAAATTGTACATTTTCTTATTGCCGAAAAGATTTTGTTTAAAATATACAGTTGACCCTTGAACAACATGAGTTCATTTATATGAGGATTTTTTCCATGTCTGCACCCCTGAGACAGCAAAGACCAACCCCTCTCCTCCTCAGTCTACTCAATGTGAAGATGTGAGGATGCAGACCTTTATGATGATCCACATCCACTTAAGAATAATAAATATATTTTCTCTTTATGATTTTCTCTAGCTTACTTTATTGTAGGGATAGAGTATGTAATACACAGAACATAGAAAATGTGTGTGAATCGACTGTGTGTGTTATCAGTAAGTCTCCTGGTCAACAATAGGGCATTTGTAGTTAAGTTTCGGGGGAGTCAAAAGTTATACACAAATTTTTTACTGTTAGAGGGGTTGGCATCCCTAACTCCCGTGTTGTTCAAGGGTCAACAGTGTTTTAATATATTTTCTTTAAATTATATTAAATTTCTTTCTTTTTTCTTTTGAGATGGAGTCTCAGTCTGTCACCCAGGCTGGAGTGCAGTGGCACAATCTCAACTCACTGCAACCTCTGCCTTCTGGGTTCAAGTAATTCTCCTGCCTCAACCTCCTGAGTAGCTGGGACTACAGGCACATGCCACTGCACACGGCTAATTTTGTAGTCTTAGTAGAGATGGGGTTAAACCGTCTATAATCCCAGCTCTTCAGGAGGCTGAGGCAGGAGAATTGCTTGAACCCAGGAGGTGGAGGTTGCAGTGAGCTGAGATTGTGCTACAGCAGTCCAGACTGGGTGACAGAGTGAGACTCCATCTCAAAAAAAAAAAAAAAAGGAAAAGAAAAAGAAAGCTTGAGGTCTTGCAGATTCAAGTATGTAGTGCAGTATTATTAGCATTATTAGCTTATTAGCTGTGGTCATCATGCTGAACATTCAATCCTCAGGCCTTACTCACCTTTTTTTTTTTTTTTTTTTGAGACACAGTCTTGCTCTGTCACCCAGGCTGTAGTGCAGTGGCGCGATCTCGGCTCATTGCAAACTCTGGCTCCTGGGTTCAAGCGATTCTCCTGTCTCAGCATCCTGAGTAGCTGAGATTACAGGCGCACACCACCACGCCCGGCTAATTTTTGTATTTTCAATAGAGACAGGGTTTCGCCATGTTGGCCAGGCTGGTCTCCAACTCCTGACCTCAGGTGATCTGCTGGCTTTGGCTTCCCAAAGTGCTGGGATTACAGGCGTGAGCCACTGCGCCCAGCCTCTTGCTCATCTTTGAACTGGAAGCTCATACCCTTCCACCAACATCTCTCTATTTCCCTCGCTCAGGCCTCTGGACCCCGCCAGCCACTCTCTGCTTCCCAACTGGCGTTTTCATCGGCATGAAGGTCTCCTTCAAGGCAGCACCCGGCCTTCCCTAGGGGCTCTTCCATGGTCTCCACCCAGCAGTTTCCCTGCAGCAGTGAGGACTGATAGGATCAGTATGGGAAGGGTTCAGGGCTGCCCCATGTATGGACAGTACTCTGTTGGGCCCGCTGCCTGCAGGGAGGCCGAGGTGATCTGCCTGGGCGTCCAGAGGAAAGGGAAATGGTTTGGCAAGCAATACATCTTCTCTCTTACCATCCCTCCCGGACTCTGCTCTAACATCATGGCTGCAGAGTAAGAGGGGGACATCCTGACCTCATCCCTCTGTGGTGTGGCTGTGTCCTTATTAAAACACCCAGGCTGCACCATGGACCCAGCACTGCGTGGCTAGAGCTGGTCTGCTCATGTCCTCTGCTGGGGTCCTGGGCGGGAGGTACTGTGGACGCATGAGTGATCATAGCCCTCTGGCCCACCCGAGCTTCAGAGGCTGCTTGCCAGGTGGCCACACCCAGGAAGGAGTCATGCTCAGGCTCCCCTGACACTTGACCCCAGTGCCTGCTGGGGTCCTGAGGGTTAGGGACGTGGACCTCCGACAGGCTGGGAAGCCCAGTGCCCACCAGTGCCTGAGACCCTCTGGAAACCACGGCGGGCCGCCAATGGAGGGCAGATGGGACAACAAACTTCCCTCCCCTCTGTCTCTAATCGAATCTGGTCTAATCTAATCTAAATGAATCTGTCTCAATCCATTTCTGACCTACCGCATGCCCTACATTTCCAAAGTTACTATTTGCCTTGGGGAAATGGGTTGGTAATGCCTGTGTGTGTGCATGCGTGTGTGTGCACACACAGGTCGGGGCACGGCGCTCAGGCTGTTAAGGGGCAGGAGATAAAGCTCTGTCTTCTGCTGTCCCTGACTGGGCAGTAGCTTCCACTGAGCTCCATTTGTGTTGCTAAGAATCCAGGCTCCAGGAGCCCCCAGCTCGTGGTGGTGGTCATCTTTCTGGGGCCAGGATGTGAGAGATGGCATCCCACCCCAGGTACATAGCAGAGCCCAGGGATGGCCTGGACAGTCTTCCACCCCACGACCCCAGAGCAAGCCCCAAACATAGTGTTTTCCATTTCAGATTGGAGACTCGTTTCCTCCATCCTGCATGTTGCTGGATAAGAGAAATACTTTGCATTTAATAGGATGTGATGTATTAGAAAATTTGGATCAACTAGGGGTAATACCTTTGCATTTCCCCAAGTGCTTGGAGATGTCTTACCTCATTTTGTCTGCTCTTGGACTAAGTGTCTGCCATGGAAATAATTTTCAACTTCTGTTTCAAAATGGTGGACTGAACTTAAGCTCCTCCCTCTAGAAATTATTTTAAAAGGAAACTAAGTAAATACACAAACGTGATCAAAAACAAACATGAGAACCCTCAGGGCACCAGACATTGCAAGGAATCCCTGCCAAGAAGAGAGCAGGCAGGGTTGGACGTACAGCGGCACGCTGCAGGGGCTGAGGAAGAGTACTGGAGAGGCAGAGGCCCGCAGGCAGGGCGTGGATCCACCCAAGAGGGAGGCTTAGCAGCTGCCTCCGAGGATCCATCTGGGCGCCCCAGCGGTGGCAAGTGGGAGCTGATAAGGTGCTTTTCCCCCTACTTCGCCCAGGCAGCAGTGATAGGGGCATCTGACTCCTGCTGGGAACAGGGATCTCGCCTTAGGGACAGGACGGTGCCCAAGGGCATGATGGGGGCTAGGTGGAACGGTGTCTTAGGTTGGGCTGCTGTAACAAAGCGCCACAGGCTGGGTGGCTGAAAGCGCAGAAATGCATTTCCTTAGGGTTCTGGAGGCTGGGAGTCTGCGATGAAGGTGTAGGTGAGGCTGGTTCCTTCTGAGGCTGTGAGCAAGAATCTACCGTGCTCCTCTGCTGGCTTCTGGTGGTTTGCTGGCCATCTTCGGCATTCCTTGGCTTGCCTCACTCCAGTCTGCCTTCATCTTCACAGGGTGTTCCCTCTGTGTGTGCATCTGGTTCGGAATTTTCCTGTCTGTTGTCTAAGGATACTAGTGAGATTGGATCAGGGCCCCTACATACCCCAGCACGACCTCATTTTTTTGAGACAGGAGTCTTGCTCTGTCGCCAGGCTGGAGTGCAGTGGTGCGATCTTGGCTCACTGCAACCTCTGCCTCCTGGGTTCAAGCGATTCTCCTGCCTCAGCCTCCTGAGTAGCTGGGACTACAGGCGTGTGCCACCACGCCCGGCTAATTTTTGTATTTTTAGTACAGACGGGGTTTCACCATGTTGGCCAGGATGGTCTTGATCTCTTGACCTCATGATCCACCCACCTCGGCCTCCCAAAGTGCTGGGATTACAGGTGTGAGCCACCGTGCCCAGCCAGCATGACCTCATTTTAACTTAACTAATTCTATCTGTAACAACTCTATTTCTAAACAAAGTCACATTCTGCAGACCTGGGGGTTAGTACTTCAACATATGCATTTTAGGGGGACACAATGAACCCATAAGAAAGAGGGCTGCCCAAATTTAGAAAAGGAGCTGTAGAAGTGTCCCCACCGATGGTACTTCCTGCTCCTCCCTGTTCACTGCAAAGCTCCCACATCTGCCCCCAGGCAGGCCTCTCACACTGAAGCAGACCGAGTGATTGGACCTCCACTACCAAGATTGCTGGAATTAAGAATCACCGAGGCAGGGCGTGGTGGCTCACGCCTGTAATCCCAGCACTTTGGGAGGCTGAGGCGGGCAGATCACCTGAGGTCAGAAGTTCGATACCAGCCTGGCCAACATGGTGAAACCCCATCTCTACAGAAACACAAAAATTAGTCCAGTGCTTCTTAAATTGCAATATATGCATGTTGCCTGGGTCTTCAATGCTGGTTGTGATCCTGAGACTGCATTGCTCACAAGCGTGTGGGTGGTGCTGATGCAGAGTGTGGGTCTGTGGCCCACACTCTGAGTAGCCAGGCTCCAGCACAGTTTCTCAGCGCAACCTTCTAATGACAGGGCACTCTTCAGCGCCACCTATCCTATCATCCAGCGATGTGCTGAATTTCTCATTGCCAAGCTCTATTAATTCATTCTTTTTCATAACCTCTTATTCTTATTTCATGGATGCAACATTTTCTTTGTCTCTCAGGGAATAATAATTATTCCTACTTTTAAAGGTCTAATTTCTTTATTACTTTATTTCTCTGGGAGTGAGTTTTTCCTAAAGGGATAATGAGATGGAAAATGAAAAAACAAAGTTGAGACATGGAGATACCTTCTGAAACTCAAGCATTCCTCTACGTGGATGTGCCAGAGGGAAAGAACAGAACAAAGGAGGGTAGACACTATTTAAATAAAAATATATAAGAATATTACATAACAAACAAAAAAGCCCAAATCCTCAGGTTGAAAAGGAGGAGAAAATGTCAAGCAAGACAAAAACAGATGAGCAACCAAAAAAGTGACATAGCTGGTCACCTATATTGAAATTTCAGAACATGAGTGATAAAGGACTCCCAGAAAAAACAAAACCCAAACTAAAAACAGAAAAAAAGGAACTTTACCACAAAAACATGAGAATCAGATGACATCAGTCTCTCATTAAGAAAATTGCTATAGGGAATGGGGCAAGGCCTTCAAAGTGCAGGGATACAATAACGTCTCTGAGTATTGAACTTCATACTCAAAATCGATTTTGTATGATAGCACTGTAAGGGCAATTTAGGACATAGAAAGACCCAGGAAATCAATCACACATGCCTCTCTGAAAGAATTAATAGAGGGTTAATTCCAGCAATAAGAAAAATGAATCCAGGATTCCGTTTTTTCCAGTGTAATGTGAGTGTAAGAAAACTGAGGCTTAGCAAGGCTGAGTAAACTACCTGTGGTCACACAGCTCAAAAGTGGCAGGGCTGGGCCTCAAAGTCAGGTTTGTGTGCTTGTAAAGGCTTTAGAGCTTCTGCTGCATCAGCAGTTTCTTACCAGAAACATCTGTGGCCCTTGCCCTAAATTCAGATTCCAGAGCTATAAAATCAGCCTTCAGGGGTGGGTCCAGGCTTCTGCACTGTCGGGCTTCAGAGGAAGTTCTCAGCCAACCTGCCAGGTGCAGTCCGGGGAAGCCCTCTACCATGCTGAAAAGAGACTTAGGTGACTGAAGGACAGGAGCCTTGAGTGCTGGGGAGCCTAGGAGGAGGGCGTCCTCACGGGGTGGAGTGGGATGAACCAGAACAGAGACAGGAAGATAAACAGATCCAAATGTGCTGTGGACGGGACTCACTCCCACCTGTCCACGCTGCCGCGTCCTGCCAGCCCAGCTAGTAGTAGTTCTCCTTCTCCAGTCTTGACGGCATGTTTGCAAACTCTAGGACTCTGAGGTGTCCTTGCAGGGATTAAAACTCTGACTAGGTGTCTTAGTCGGCTTGGGCTGCCATCACAAAATACCATAGTCAGAATGGCTTCAACAACAGACATTTATTTTCTCACACTTCTGGAGGCTGGGAAGTTTGAAATCAGTGTGCCAGCAGGGGTGGGTTTGGTGAGGACTCTCTTCCTGGCTTGCAGACAACTGCTTTCTCGCTGTGTGCTCATATGGCATCTCTTCTCATAAGGACACTATTCCCATCATGAGGGCCATACCCGTATGACCCCATCTAACCCTCATTTCCTTCAAAGGCCTCATCTCCAAATACCATCACATTGGGGATTAGGGGCTTCAACATGTAAATTTGGCAGGGGTGGGGGGATGCTAATATTCAGTCCACAGCACTAAGCGTGCACACAGCAGGGATGGCGTCAGCTCAGTCATCACTGCAGCATTATGATGCTAATCGTATCTACAAAATCACCCAAACTTCTCCATCACCCTCTGCTTGTCCTTTGGGGCTGGCCCCATCTGGGTGACTGGTCTCCTGCTCTGCCTGTGCTCCCGTGCATATGCAAAGAGCAGAATTCTCTCGCATCCCCACACATGCACAGCCTTCCTTTAGTGCCGGCTTGGCTGTGCTGCCTGCCATCCACAGCATGCAGTGGCCCGGGGGGTCCCCAGGCCCAGCTCGGCCTGACCATGTGCATCGTCTATGGCTGCGCAGTCTCGTGGAGCCAGGGTGCTGAGGTACCCTGGCTGAAAACCTCTCGTCTGGGGCTCGGAATGCTTGTGGACTCCCTAGGGGACTCTGTTGGGGGCCCACTGGATATGAGCAGAAGCCAAACTAGTGGAGCATATCCCATCTTCATTTCCCAGTTTTGTTTGGCTTTGCGTGTGTGGGAAAATCATGCTGGTTACAATCTTGGGTTATTATTTGGAGACTCACGGCTGGGGGAGAATTTCATTTCTCAGTTGGCCCAAGCCCTGCTGGAGTTTATGAGCCTGGGACTAAACGCTGAATCAAAATTGAAGCAAGGAGCTTATTCTTGGCAAAAATACATTTTCCTCTTCCTTGAGAAAAAGAGTACTAAAATGACTTATAAGAGGTTAAAAAAAGAGCCTTGTGGATGTTAAAAATTCTTGCAAAAACATGTTTTTAATGATTTGAGTGTAAATTAATAAGAAACAAATGCATAGTATTTTCTTTCCTAGACTATGAAATTAAATAAAAAGTAAGAAGGGTCCATGGGGAAATCACTTGTTGGGGGCAGTTTGCCCTTTTCCGTGTGGCGGAGGACCCCTGAGGGTGCTCTGCCCACTGAATCAAGTCTGCTGGGCTCTGAGTGGGCCCTGGCTGGGCCCTCGGGCATTCTCTGGCGCTCTCACAGGTGCTCGCCCAGGGGCTGCTGAAGCCCCCTTCTCGACTGTGTGGGAGCCCACCCTGAGTCACTTGTGCATTCAGCCAGCCTTTGCTGCACTTCCAGTCCAGGCCCATGCCAGACACCACCCTGGAGGCGTGGAGAGGGGTCAGCCATGCTGGAGTCCTCAAGGAACTCACAGAGCAGTCACTTTCCATGGAGATACGCCATCTTAAAGGGCCCCAAGCTTTAAAAATTGGACTCCAACAATGGGTGAGGGAGGAGCTTCCCAGGCCGACTGTCACTCCCAGTGAATTGGGAATTGATGACATTCCTGACGTTTTCTCTCTGTGCCTAGCAGTGCATGAGGTTCAACCATCTTTGCTCAGGGTGGGAGCTTAGTACGGTTGCTCCCTCCCTTTGAGGCCTCCCCAGACTCCTCCCTTCAGGGTTTGAAGGTCCATGTGTCAGCCCCTATTTATCTAACCTGGTCTTCTCTGTGCCTGCCACCCCTCGAGGTCCCTAATATGTGCTGAATGCAGTTTATCTTGGAAAGGAGATCCGCAGAGGCTCCCCGTGCAGTCTCCACGCCCAATCAGCAATAGGCAAAGGCAAGAACCCCTTTTGACAAGCGTGGATGTTTTACAAGGCTAGGTCTGTGGGGAGAGAACTGATACCATGAGGGAGGCAGCATGGCCTCCTGGAACCAGCCGGGGCCCGTCTCTGCTGGCTGCGTGACCTTGGGCAAGTTATCGGTCTTATCTGAGTCATCATGCAACCCAATTTGCAGGTTTACTGTAAAATTAAATGAGATAATGTCGAATAGGCCCGGTATACATGGTGACATGTGCAATACACTCTAGTACCATGAGATAGTTGGAATAGTCTGTAGTTAGAATGCACTGGTGCTGGCTTGTTGATCTGAGCAGCTAGCTCTTCATAAACCTTTTCCAGGTAGACATGTTGCCTTTTAGTACCTTAAACTTAAACTGGAACTCACAGCAGGGAAGGGAACGTGTGAGGGAAGTGCACATCCCAGCACGGGGCTGAGAGTGTGGGCCGGAGGCCAGCTGCCCAAATTTAAAATCCTTCTGAGCAGCACGGAGCCCTGATCACCCCGCCCGTGTTACGTGTTATTGACAGCCAGTATTTTAGTTTCAGTTTTTGTATACTCCCGATTCAGTATTATTATACCGATTTACATAATCAATGTATTATTTATTCAATCAATGCTTGAATAGATTTTGGGATTTTTTCCTGATTTCTTTGTTTCCTGTTGTTTCTGGTGCCTATTAACTTCTCCTGGGTTCAGTTTTCTTCTTAAAGTTCCTTCTTCAGTGTTCTTTGGTGAGGGTCTATGAGTGGTAAACTCTCACAATTCATTGTAAAGTGACAGATGTTTTCTCTTGGTACTTTGGCCACACTGCTTGGTTGTGCCCTGGTCGCTTTTAAGATCATAGCTTTGTATTTGCTTCTTCAGTACTATTTGACGTGTCTATAATGAGTTCATTTTTGCTTATCCTGCTTGGGAGTCTGTGACTCATGAATATGTAGATTATTATCATTCTGGAGTATTCTCAGCTATCATTTCTTCAAATATTGAGTTTTTTCCATTCTCCTTATTTTCTCTTTCTGGAGTTCTTACCAACTTATTAAATTTTCTTATTCGATTCACATGTCTCTTAACCTCTCTAGACTCTCTGTCATAGTTTCTCTTTATTTCTTTTTGCTTCTTCTGGTTTAATTTCTTCAAATCTAACTCTACAAATTCTCCCTTCAACTGTTTTTAATCTATTGTTTAAGCCATCTTATTGAGTTTCCAGTTTCAGTGCCTTTGCTTCTTACTTGTAGAAATTCTATTTGCATATTTTTTCAAACAGATCCATCCTTTTTAAAAATAGCTTTTTTGGGGTGGGATGTAAATTGTTTTATGTCTTTTAAACATATTTATTTCATAGTCACTCTCAGATTATTCTACAGTCTGTATCTCTTGGGTAACACTTTCCTGTTTATGGTATTTGCTGACTCTCACTCATGTTTGTGATTTTTTGCTGTGCGTTTGTAATTTTTCATTGCGAGCTCATCGTCACAGTGGCTGTGTCACTGAGAATCTCTTACAGACTTAGTTGAGATCATGTCCCTCTAGGTTTAGTTTTGGTCTTTGTCAGGTACTCCAGGGATTTCACTGGCCTATAACTTAGTTTTTAATGTTAATTTCTTAGATTGGTGGTTTGTGGAGCATGAGAGTAATGTGACTTTTAAAATTCCAAATACATGAATCTCAGGTTTATGTTTCAAATTCTCAGAGAAAAATATTTTATCTGTACCTAGAAGCCAGGAGGAAGAGATAGGTGTCCTAGTGGGTGTCCTGTGCTTGTGGATGGACTTTCCCCCAGGCTCCCCTGTAGCCCTTTTCAGGGCTGACCTAATGATATGGTTTGGCTGTGTCCCCACCCAAACCTCATCTTGAATTGTAGCTGCCATAATTCTCATATGTTGTGGGAGGGACCTGGTGGGAGATGATTGGATCATGGCCGGGGGGCGGTTTCCCCCTTACTCTTCTTATGGTAGTGAATGAGTCTCATGAGTCTCACGAGATCTAATAGTTTTGTAAGAGGTTTCCCCAGCCCAGGCGCAGTGGCTCACACCTGTAATCCCAGCACTTTGGGAGGCTGAAGCAGGTGGATCACCTGAGGTCAGGAGTTCGAGACCAGCCTGGTCAACATGGTGAAACCCCATCTCTACTAAAATATAAAAATTAGCTGGGCGTGGTGGTGCACCCCTGTAATCTCAGCTACTAGGAGGTTAAGGTGGGAGAATTGCCTGAACCTGGGAGGCAGAGGCTACAGTGAGCCGAGATCACACCATTACAGTCCAGCCCGGGCAACAGAGCGAGACCCCATCTCAGAAAAAAAAAAAAAGAGTTTTCTCTTTTGGTTGGTTTTCTTCTTTTGTCTATCACCATGTGAGAGGTGCCTTTCACCTTCTGCCATGATTGTGAGGCCTCCCCAGCCATGTGGAACCTTGAGTCCATTAAACCTGCTTTTCCTTATAAATTACCCAGTCTCGGGCGTGTCTTTAGCAGCAGCATGAAAATGGACCAATACACTTAAGACACACTCCCACTCAGCACGGGCCTGTCCTCACCTGCACCTTCTCTCACTGCTGTCCTCTTCGAGGCTTCCCTGGGCATAACTTTGTTCCCATATTTCTAACTTAATCCAATTCCTTTCTGTAAATGTGTGTCAAGTATTCTTCCAATGTGTGGATGAGCCCCAGCTCTTGGGAGCATGGGATCCCAGCTTTTTTCTCATTTGCCTCGGAAGTAATCCCAAGTTCATTCTCTTTTCGCCCCTGGACGGGAGCAGTAAGAGAGAAGCGATTTTGGTTAGACCACCTACCTCTCTGTACTTCTAGACTTCCACTGGTTGCCTTTTTTTGTTCTTAGATTTGGCAGGGACCTCAAAAAATTTGGCCTTGCCCCTTTCCAGGTTTGCTGGTGGGAGTCCACTGTGCCTGTGGTGACATCGTCTCATGCTTGGTGTAGACGCTCCTCAGCTTACATTGGGCATATGTCCTGGTAAGCCCATCATAAGTTGAAAACACATTTAATACACTAACCTACCCAGCATCATAGCTTAGCTGAGCCTACCTTAAACATGCTCGGAACACTTGCATTAGCAAAATTGCCTGGCAACATGGACACCGTTTACCCTCAGGATAGTGGGGCTGACTGGGAGCTGCGGCTCACTGCTTCTGCCTAGCATGGCAAGAGACTGTCCTACCACTTTCTACTGAACGTGTATCGCTTTCACACCCTTGCAAAGTTGAAAAACCATAAATCAAACCATTGTAAGTTGGGACAATGGTATGAGGACAGCTCAGAGCCATGGAGATGTGCTGATTAATAAGAAATCCACTTCAGTAAAAAGGGAAGCTGCCAGCGTGCTGTTGAGGCTCATTGGAAGGGAAGATGAGACCAAGTAAATGATTCTTTTTTTTTTGCCCTTTGCAATCCAGAAGTATTTGGGAGCCTGAAACCCAACGTTTAGTTTGGTTTTAATTTTTGTTCTGTCCGTGGCAGTCAGAGCTTCATTACCTGTGATGATGGAACTGGAATGGTGGTTAGCCATTTGCTGACTTGGCAAGAAATCAGCTGGTGCTGAGATTGGGCTGCTAAGGAATTGTGTGCAAGCAGGTCTGGCAACACGGGCCAGCACCAGGCATGAGGGCAGGGACTGGGCGCTAAGGCTGCTGCTTAGCTGCAAGATCTCGGACCTATCCTTTTGCCTCTCTGAGCCCCAGGGCTCTCTTCCATCAGAGAGGTTTCATTGTACCTGCAGGCTTGTTGCTGGAGTCAAGTAAGATCATGCACAAGAAAGAGTCTTTTTGGGACCAGCTTACAGTATTAAAAAATGTAAAAGACTGTAAAATAACCTGACTTAATTTGAGAAGTTTATTTGAACAATGCCTTCAACAAAGGAGTGAGATAACACTGGCTCCGTGGCAGGTTTTTCTCCAGAGCCTGGTGTCAACTTGAGGGTTTCCACCCTTTTCTGTCGGGAAGGAGGTTTCTAAGCTGCTTTACTTCAGTCACAGGTGTACCTAAGGGGTATTGGGTATGTTTTCATTAAGTCAAGGAAACAGGCCGGGTGCAGTGGCTCATGCCTGTAATCCCAGCACTTTGGGAGGCTGAGGCGGGCGGATCACCTGAGGTCAGGAGTTTGAGACCAGCCTCCTTTGTACTAAAAATACAAAATACAAAAATACAAAAAAAAAAAAATTAGCCAGGTGTGGTGGCAGGCACCTGTAATCCCAGCTGCTCAGGAGGCTAAGGCAAGAGAATTGCTTGAACCCAGGAGGCGGAGGCTGCAGTGAGCCAAGATCGCACCACTGCACTCTAGCCTGGGTGACAAGAGCAAAACTCCATCTCAAAAAAAAAAAAAAAAAAGTCAAGCAAACAAACAATCCTCTCCTCTGTTTGCCAGGAGTCAGGTGTGGCTAAAGTGGCCCAACCTCCGGGCGACAGGCCCCAGAGGAAGCTGCTGTGGGGTCTGACTGCAGTGAGGCGTCAGCTGTAGGGTGAGCACCAGTGCATCCTCTGAGCCTCACCCCTCCTGTGAGCCCCACACGCCAGAGTCCCCTCCTTCTAGGGAGTCCAGCTTTGGTTCATACACTGTCGGCGAGGCTGGGATGTAAATAAAAATGTCAGACATTGGCTTCCACTTTAAGCGCCGTAGAAGAGCATCTTTGTTACAAAAAGAATTTTGAAAGCAGAATTTTATAAAAGTTTTATATAAACTGATAATGATGATCTTGTTGAAGGTTTTGGTTGGAAAGTGTGCATTTTCGCCTTCTGAATATTCTAAAACTGGGTCCCTGTGCACGTTGGAGTTGTCGAGCCAAAGGTGCTGGGGCATCTGCGGGCACCCTGCGAGGGGGTGGTTCCTGACTCGTCCATCCATCCCCACGTGTTTCTCCCAGGGCCCAGGCTGCTGGACAGGCCTTGGGCGGCAGAGGATCCGGTTCCCAGCCCTGCCTTTCTCCAGCCCTGGGACTTGAGCAAGTGGGCTGTGCTTTCTGGCCTCAGTATTCTCATCTCTAAAACCATGGGATTAAAATACCAGACAGAGAGGGTGCCTCGTTCCTCATGCATGCTGTTGAATGAAAGAATGCGGAATTATTATTCCAGGAAGTTATTACTGCCTGTGAATAACTGGCTCTAGCTAGTTTCCTGGGTTGGGCTGAATGCTCAAGCATGGTGAGCAATGAGCCGTTTTACAGGAAGGAAGAAGGATCACTGGGTCACATAGCAATTAAAGGTCTGCCAGGATCTGGGCTCAGGTGTCTCCGTCCATGTGCCCCTGCCACCTCCAGTAGGTAGGATTGAAATTGCCGATAGGGCAGGCTCTGGGGCTGTCCCCTCCCATACCCTCCCCTGCTCCCATTTCCTGTGGGACAGCCTGCTAACTTTCTAGAGGTTTGCTCATCTAGCTAAGTTCTGGCCCATTTCTCTCTTGGGTAGGTTGTTTGACAGCATTCCCTTCCAAGCAGTCTTATGTCTGCATGTTAAACATTGAAACTCACTGGGGTTTCACTGGGGCCAGGTTGTTAATTTGCTTAACAAACAGTCGTGGCAAAAAAGAGAGGAGAACTTGGGAGGCCCTGTGTCCATGAAGTCACCCTTGTTTGCCATCCAGGACTGGGGAGCTGTGGACACTCTCAACCCCGCATTCCCAGTAAAAGTGTTTAAAGGCCTTGACGACCTGAGCAGGGGCTTCAGACAGCTTCCCTGTCCCCTCTTGGTCTGTTCCTGCCCAGGGAGAGGGGACTTAGCATGACGATAATCACAAAGGGCTTTTCATTCTCTTCCTCTGGTAGCTGTCAGGGAGTGAGCAGCTGCAGATCCAGACAGGCCTCTGTGGGAGGGAGGGGACCTGGGAGGCAGTGCTGAAGCGTCCCTGTGGCTCCGATCTGCGCTTCCCCAGTGCTTAGCGATGCTGAACATCTTTTCATGTGCTTATTAGGCATCTGGGTATCCTCTGTGAAACGTCTCTTGGTGCTTTTTGCCCACGTTCCAATCGGATTATTTGTTATTTTTCTGTTGAGTTTTAGAAGTATATATATATATATGTATATATATATATGAAGTTTGATAAATTATTTATAAATGTATAAATTTTAAAAACTTTCATACGTTTTGTAAATTATATATGAAGAACATTCTTTACATATTAGAGAAACAAGTCATTTATCAGCTATGTGGTTTGCAAATATTTTCTCCCAGCCTACTTGTCTTTCATCCTCTTAGCAGGGTTGCTCACAGAGTGAAAGTTTTAAATTTCAATGTAGTACAATTAATTGATATTTATCTTTTATAGATCTTACCTTTAGTGTCACGTCCAAGGAATGTTCACCAAGCCTGAGGTGCTGAAGATGATCTTCTATGTTTTCTTCTAGAAGTTTTATAGTTTTGTTTTTTGCCTTTTTTTTTTTTTGAGACTGAGTCTTGCTCTGTCACCCTGGCTGGAGTACAGTGGCGCTATCTCGGCTCACTGCAACCAGTGCCTCCTGGGTTCAAGCGATTCTCCTGCCTCAGTCTCCTGAGTAGCTGGGATTACAGGTGCCCGCCACCACACCTGGCTAATTTTTGTATTTTTGGTAGAGACAGGGTTTCACCATGTTGGCCATGCTGATCTCTAACTCCTGACCTCAAGCGATCCACCCACCTCGGCCTCCCAAAATGCTGGGATTATAGGCATGAGCCACCACGCCCAGCCTGAAAGTTTTGAAGTTTTATGTTTTGCACTTAAATTCATTTTGAGTTCATTTTTGTACAAGCTGCGAGGTTTAGGTCAAGGTCTCTTTTTTTTTTTTTTTTTTTTGCCTGTGGGTATGTAATTACTCCAGCACCATTCCTTGAAAAGACCATCTTTCCTCTGTTGCTTTTGCACCTTTGTCCAGAATCTGTTGGCCATACGTGTGTGGGTCTATTTCTGATCTCTTGATTCTGTTCCACTATTTATGGGTCTGTCCCTCTGCCCATACCACATGGTCTTGATTCCTGTAGCTATATAAGTCTTAAAATTGGGTAGAGTGATTCTTCCCATTTTATTCTTTTCAAAATTGTTTTAGTTATCCTAGTTTCTTTGCCTTTCCATATACATTTTGGAATAATTTTGTCTATGTCTTCAACATTTCTTGCCGGAATTTTGATAGTTGCGTTAAACTTATAGGTCCTTTTAGGGAGAATTTGTATCTTTACTAAATCGAATCTTTCAATCCATGAACACTGTATGTCTCTTCATTTATTTGGAGTTTGATTTCTTTCATCAGCATGTTGTAGTTTTTGGCTAGAAGCTAAGTATATGTTTTATTAGATTTACATGTATTTCATCATCATCATTACTTTCTGCAGAGTTGTAGATAATATTGTATTTTTAGTTTTGATTTCCACGTATTTGTTGCTAGTATATAAAAATACAGTTGATTCTTTTTTTTTTGAGATGGAGTCTCGCTCTGTTGCCCAGGCTGGAGTGCAGTGGCACAATCTTGGCTCACTGCAACCTCTGCCTCCTGGGTTCAAGCAATTCTCCTGCCTCAGCCTCCCGAGTAGCTGGGATTACAGGTGCCTGCCACCATGCCCGGCTATTTTTTTGTATTTTTAGTACAGATGGGGTTTCACTATGTTGGCCAGGCTGGTCTCGAACACCTGATCTCATGATCCACCTGCCTCAGCCTCCCAAAGGGCTGGGATTACAGGCATGAGTCACCGTGCCCAGCCCTACAGTTGATTTTTTATGTTGATCCTGTATCCAGCAAACTTGCTAGAATCACTTACTAGTTCTAGGAGTTGTTTTGTAGATTCTTTAAGCTTCTCTACATCGACCATTATGCCATCTGCAAATAGTTTTATTTCTTCCCTTCTGATTTCCTTCCCCTTCCCTTCCCTTTCCTTTTCTTTTTTTCTTGCCTTGCTGCATTGGCTGGAACTTCCAATATAACATTGACTAGCAGTGGTGAGTGATCATCATTGCCTTGCTCCAATCTTAGGGGAAAAGTATTGTCTTTCACCGTTAATTAGCTACAGGGTGTTTTGTTTGTTTGTTTGTTTGTTTTTTTTGTAGATGTCAAGTTGAGAAAGTTCTCTATTCAGTTTTTTTTTTCCTGAGAGTTTTAATCTTGAATGTATATTGAATTTTGAGAAGTGCTTTTTTCTGCATCAATCGATACAAAATCATGTGATTTTTCTTCATTAGTCTGTCAGTATGGTGCATTACATTGATTGATTTTCAAATATTGCACCAGCCTTGCATACCTGGAAGTAGCCCCACTTGCTCATGATGTATAATTATTTTTATGTATTGCTGAATTTTATTAGCTAATATTATGTTCAGGATTTTTGCGTTTATGTTCATAAGGAATATTGGACTATATGTTTTTTTCTTTGTACTCTTTTAGTCTTATTTTGGTATCTGAGTAATACTAGTTTGATAGAATGAGTTGGGAAATGTTCCCTGCTTTTCTGTTTTCTGAAAAAGAGTGTGTAGAATTGGCATTAATTCTTCTTGAAGTGTTTGGTAGAATTCTCCAGTGAAGCCATCTGGGCTTGGAGATTTCTTTTTTTGGGAGTTTTAAAATTAAAAATTCAATTTCTTTAAGTGTTACAGAGTTATTCAAATTATCCATTTCATATTGAGTGAGTTGTGTGACTGAGTTTTTATATCTATTTCCTACGGAGTGAATGTCTAGTGTTTGGGGAAGTGGTTCGTTCCATCTAAGCTGTGTATTTAGGAGTGGAATAGTTCATGGTATTCCTTTACTGTCCTGTTGACGTCTGCAGGTTCTAGCCCCTGCAGTGGTAGCCCCTGTTACATTCCTGATTTTGGTGATTTCCAGCTTTTCTCTCTCTCTTTTTTTTTTTTGTTGTCAGTCTTGGTAGAAGTTTGTCAATTTTATTGATTTTTTTCAAAGAACTGACTTCTGTTTCATTGATTTTCTCTATTGTTTTCTGTTTTCAATTTTATTGATTTCTTCTCTGCCTTTAGTATTTCCTTCCTTTTGCTTGCTGGGGTTTATTTTGCTCTTTTTTTTTCTATTTACTTAAGGTTAGAGCTTGGTTTATTGATCTGACTCTTTTCCTCTTTTCTAATGTAAGCACTTAGTGCTATAAGTTTCCAAGTGTACTGCCTCAGTTAGGACGAAATGTAGAAAACTTCCTCCCTTTATGCCCCTTTATCCTCCCCCATTGAGAATGACATTGTCGTGAACGTTTCCTCTACATGCACTGATAACCACATCAGACGGTGATACAATTTTTGCTTAAGTCATCAGATGTAATTTAGGAAACTCAAGAGGAGTTTCTGTATTTATATTTTTTACTTTTTTGGTTAATTTTTTTGAGACTGAGTCTCGCTCTGTTGCCCAGACTGGGCTGCAGGAGGCTGCTCACTGCAGCCTCCACCTCCTGAGTTCCAGTGATTCTCCTGCCTCAGCTGCTGGGTAGCTGGGATTGCAGGTGTGCGCCACCATGCCTAGCTAATTTTTTTTTGTATTTTCAGTAGAGACGGAGTTTCACCATGTTGGTCAGGCTGGTCTCAAACTCCTGACCTCAAGTGATCCACCCGCCTTGGCTTCCCAAAGTGCTAGGATTAGAGGCGTGAGCTACTGTGCCCCGCATTTTTTTTTTTTTTTTTTTTTGTTTTTTTACTATTTCTGTTGTTCTTTCTTCCTGATTTCCAAGATTTCCTTCCTTAATCCTTTTTTTTCTGTTGTAAGAACTTTCCTTAGTCTGTCCTTTAGGGTAGGTCAGCTGACACAAATTCTCTTGACTGTCCTGAAAGCCTGTTTTTGCTGGGTATAGGATTCTGGGCAGCAGTTCTTTTCTTTCAGTACTGGAAACATGCTGGGCTACCTCTGTAGCTACTCCATCTCACCCATGTGTTCTGAGGAGAAATCTGCTTTCATTAGAGTTGGTTATTTCTTAAAGTAAGATGTCATCTCTCTCAATGCTTTCAAGATTTTTAATTTGTCTTTAGTTTTCACAAGTTTGATTATGATATACATGGCATAGCTTCTTTGGGTTTATCCTATTTGGGGTTTGCTTAGCTTATTGAATGTGTAGGTTTTTGTCTTTTGCCAAATTTATGAAGACTTCAGCTATTATTTCCTTAATACTTTTTTAAGTCACCCCCTTTGTTCTCTCCCTCATGGACTCAGGTGACATAAATGTTACATGTTTTGTCAGAGTCCCCCAGGTCCTGGGGTGATCATTTTTCAGTCTATTTTCTCCCCATTGTTAAGATTTGACAATTTCTATTCTGTCTTCAAGTTCACTGAATCTTTCTCTGTCCTCTACATTCTACTTTTCCTTACCCATAGAGATTTTTATTTTTATTATTATGTTTTTCAGTTCTAAAATTTCCTTTTGGTTTTTTTTTTAGACAGTCTATTTTTTTGTTGAGATTTTCTATTTTTTTCATCTCAAATGTGTTCATAATTGCATTTTTATATCATCATTGTAGCATCGTAGCTTTTTCACTGTGGCTGCTTTAAAATCTTTGTCAGATCATTCCAACATCTGTGTCATGTCAGTGTAGGAATCTTTTGATTACTTGTCCTCATTCAAGTTGAAATTTTCTTGGTTCTTGGTAAAATGAATGATTTTCACTTGAACCTTAGGCATTTTTTTTTTAGATGGAGTTTTGCTCTTGTTGCTCAGGCTGGAGTGCAATGGCGCGATCTCGGCTCACCACAACCTCCACCTCCCAGGTTCAAGTGATTGTCCTGCCTCAGCCTCCCGAATAGCTGGGATTACAAGCATGCGCCACCATGCCCGGCTAATTTTGTATTTTTAGTAGAGATGGGGTTTCTCCATGTTGGTCAGGCTGGTCTCGAACTCCCGACCTCAGGTGATCTGCTCGCCTTGGCCTCTCAAAGTGCTGGGATTACACTTGTGAGCCACCGCCCCCGGCCGGCGTTTTGGGTTTTATAGATTCTGGATCTTATTTAAATCTGTCTTAGCTGTCTCCTTTGACCTGCACTTGCAGAGAAGGAGGATGCAGCCTTGTTGCTGTGAGGCAGGGCTGGACCCAGGTTCTCTGTCTGGCCTTTGTGGACACCTGAGTAGGGAAGGATGGCTTGTCACTGCTGAAAGGGAGGGAAATGGGTGCCTCTTTACTGCTTCCCAAAGTAGGGGTGGCCTCCTCACTGCTGGGGGTGGTACTAGGCCTCCTCTGACACCACTCCAGCATGGAAGGGAGGGGTGCCTCATTATTGCCAGGGTGGGGGTAGAAATCCAGGATTCCTACACGGACTCCAGTGACACCATGAGTGGGGATGAGGGGCTTACTACAGGTGGAGATGAAGTCCCCAGTCCCCCTTGGGCCTTTGCGGGTGGGGGTAGGGTCATAGTTGTTCCTCTTTGGCTAGGGTAGGGCAATTATTGTCTAGAAGTTTCCTGCCTTGCTAGGCTGCCCCTTTCCTAGTCCTTTAGTTAGAGAGAGCTGGCTCTCTTTCTTTTTCTTTTTTTTTTTTTTTAGACGAAGTCTTGCTCTGTTGCTCAGGCTGGAGTGCAGTGGTGTCATCTTGGCTCACTGCAACCTCTGCCTCCTGGGCCCAAGTGATCCTTCCACTTCAGCCTCCCGAGTAGCTGGGCCTCCAAGGTGCGTGCCACCACACCCAGCTAATTTTTGTATTTTTAGTAGAGACGGGGTTTCACCATGTTGGTCAGGCTGGTCTCAAGCTCCTGACCTCAGGTGATCCACCCACCTCAACCTCTCAAAGTGCTGGGATTACAGGCGTGAGCCACTGCTCCCAGCTGAGAGCTGGCTTTTCTTAGGGCTTTGTTCAACTGTACCTGTTGATGATCCTAGGTCACCAGCTTCTCCAGCACCCAATCCGGAATATATGTGGCTAAAACAAAACCTTGGGAACTCACTGCCACATTATTCCTTAAAGTTTGTAACTGGTCAACTTTCTTCTTTCCACCTTCCAGAGTCTTCTTATATTTGGCTTATATATAATGCCCGGGGTTTTCAGTTGTGCTTTGTGGGAGGAATACGGAGAAATGTGTCTGCCCCATCTCACACAGAACTAGAATGCAGCCTGGTTTTGAACTAGAATGCAGCCTGGTTTTGAAACCACTGCATGAGAGAATTCCTTTGAGGTGGGTGAGAGAACTCAATCAGGTGGCTATTACGCTGGCCCAAATCAGGCAAGGCACCTCCCGTTCCCTGCCCCAGAGGCAGATGTGGTTCCTGTACTCTCCCAGAGCACAGAGGCCCTCATCAGCCGCTGGGGCTGGGACGCGAGAGGGCTTCTCTCTGCTTACAGGGCTGTGGGCTTCTCTTTCACACCGGGTCCATCATCTTCAGCTCCCACAGAGCTTCCCTCTTTTGATGGCCCAGGCTGAGATGATCCTTCTCTCTCTTCTGTGCCATCTGCCCCTGTCTTTGCTATTGCGCCTACCTCACTCTTCACCCGTATGTGCGCCCACAATATGGGGAGACACTCTGAGGTCCTTGTCACAGGGGCCATTTTATTTCCTTTTACTTCTGCAAGCTCAGCCCAAGGTCTGTTGCTCATGGGCCTGGAGTTGGGCTGGGTGGAGATGGACTGGCCCAGGGATTTGACGGGGTGCAGAAGGGAGCGGTGCCGCTGGGACTGAGCTTTGGAGGCTTAGGGTTGGGAAGGCTGTGTGCAAGGTCACTGGATTCCCTAGAGTCCTGAAATGATAAAGATCTGTGGGAGACTTCCTTTGGGGTCAAGGCAGTTAATGCTTTTTTCTTATCTCATCTCAAATCTCAAATTCTAAATGAAGAGAACAGAATTCAGGATTAAAGTAAATAAATGAAAGATTATCCCTTGTTTGAACTACCTGGGTGATTTGCGTATTCAACCCTTCTCAGAGGAATTCAGAAGATTATCAGGGAGAAGAAATGAAGATTATCCAAACTTGCAGGATACCTTAAAATGAGGTTTGTTAAACAGGCATGTTCATAAATCAGGGGCTGGAGCTGGCATAGGTGTGAGGAGGGAGGGTTAGGTGAGATGGTTCATTTCATTAGACCATACTGCTGAAGGCAGAAGGCGTGGGGGCAAGGTCTGCCTTTTCCCCACCGAGTCCTTCTGCTGTGTGACCTTGGGTGATTTCCTGCCCTCTCTGGGCCTTGGTGTTTTCACTGGTCATCTGATGCAGTTGGACTTTTAGCTCAAACCCAATGTCCTGGGAGCCTTAAACTTGACTCCCCTAAAGTTCTTCAGTAGCTCCCTATGAATACCCAAATCAAGTCCAAACTTTAAAAGGTCTCCTGGGTGTAGCCCATCTACTCCTCTGTCTTTGTCCCTTCTCTCCCCCTCATTTTGCCAGGTTCTTCAGTCACATTAGCGATCCCTAGACTGGGCCATACTCTGCCACACCTCTGGGCCTTGCCCATGCTGTTCTAGGACTAGAACACCCACCCTAGCTTGCTTGCCACTTTGCTAATTCCTCCTTACAGCTCATGTGAAGGAGCTGTCTCCTCCTCCAGGAAGCCCTCCCTGACCTTCCCTCCATCTGCTGTGTCTCTCAGTCCTGCCTTTACTGTATGTTGTTGCAATTCATCTTTGCCCTCTGTCCTGGAGGCTCCTTGGGATGGGAAGGGCTGTGATTTGGTCACCTTTGAATGCTGTCTGCCTGGCACCAGGCCTGGCTGGGAGCAGGAGCTGGTGTTAAAATGAACTGAAGATGAGATTTGGCTGTTGCCTGTAGTGGGTGAGCTGACCCATTGGGAACAGGAGTCGGGGTGAGGGGGTGGTCAGAAACTTTCTTTTCTGCTTCCCCAGACATCGTCTTAAAAAAATGTCAACTTATATAAAATGAATTGGCCTGACCTTGTGTGTCTCTGTTGCCAAAATATTTTGAATAGACCATTATGCATTTTCTAGCTCTTTAAAGGTGGGACTATGGTGACAAGTGACCAGCTTGTACTGGTCCGTCTGGGGCTTTCCTGGTTTTTCAAGGTAGGTCCTGTGTCTGGAAATCCCCTCAGTCCTAGACAAACTCTGATATTTAGTGGCCCTATGGTGTGAGGCCTCTTTCCTTCCTCCCCTAGGGTCAAGCTTGCTGTGCGGAGCTGTGGAGTCTGCTGGAAAAACCAGGTATTTGAAGGTGATGGGGTTACGGCTCGACCCCTGGCTGGTCAGGGGCCCCCGTGGTGGCTGTGCTGGGGCTCTGGGAGAAGGCCAGCAGGCCTTGCTGTCCGGCAACCTCCCTCCCTGCTGAAGGGTCAGCTCCTGCCTCCTGCTTTCCAGGGGAGAATGGTACTGGGTACTGACATGGCCAGGTGTGGCCAGATCCCCACCACTATTAGCAGGTATTCTTGAGCAACTCCAGGAGCCTCCATTTCCTAATACAGAAAATGGGCAGGAAAATCCTAAATCAAGTTGATGGGAACTTTCAGTGTAATCACATAAATAAAGGCACTGGGATGAGGTGGTCCAGCAAGCATTTCTACCTCTAGTGAGGGCCTGGTGAGACCTAGGCACCGTGGCTGTAACCCTCACAACAGCCTTACGGGTTGGCACTAATGTGATCTCCATCTGGCAGACGTGAAGACTGAGGCTCGGTGAGGCCGAGTGATCTGCCCAGGGTTACAGATGTGTGGGAGGCAGAGCTAAGCTATTGTTCCAACCCCAGGCGCACTTTTGTTTGACTGGGCCTGTCCACAGGCTCAGGGTGGTAGCCAAGTGGCTGAGATTATGCAGCTTTCATATGTGGACTGGGATCAGACTGTTGGTCCAAATTTCTCTTGAACCGGGCCTCCCCATGACTGTGGGACCGTCCCGCCAGTGGAGCTCTGGACCGGGTGATCCTCTGGCTCAGAGTAGTGGGAACAGCTAACAAAACCAACAGCCCCCATGGGTGCCCATGCTTTGTTAGAGTTGGGAGAAAATGAGGGACCCAGCAATGTGATTTGGGCAGTGGTTCATTCATTCCCTAATTCATTCTTGCATACATTAATTCATTGCAGCCATGCACTTACCCTTTTAGCCACCTGTGAGCTCATAATCTAGGGAAGGGAGGGCCCCACTAGTGAACACACTGGTGTTCAGAGGGAGGGAGGAGCACCTAAGGGGTGCTGCCTGGGGCAGTCAGAGAAGGCTTCCTGGAGGACGAGGCATTTGAACTACTCCTGGAGACTAAATGTGCCTTCTGGGTGGACAAACCATGGGTGGGTGGCATTCCAGCCTCCAGGCTGGCACATGCAGAGGCAGTTTGATGCTGCTGGACTGCAGGAAGGTGTGGAGGGAGTAGAGGGGAGGAGGCCACGTGGCTCTGTGGCCTCACAAAGGTGCTCTGTGTAGTCCTAGAGGCTCTGAGTAGTCACTGAGAGTCCTGATGGGCAGGTACAGCTGGCTGTGTGGGCTAAGAAGGCACAGTGTGGATTACTGGGGGACTGAAACCATCCTGTTGAAGGGTAGTGGCTGCTGAGAGCCAAGCAGGGTGGAGTCCCAATCCCTGCAGCACACCTCCATCCACATGGCTGTGCTGTGTTCTCATGGGCTCCCCAGAAGCCCTCGTGTCCTTGGCACACCCTGGAGTCAGATTGTGGACAGGAGCATGGATGATCAGACAAAGGTGCTGGAATCTTCAGGACCCAGTGACTTGACTGACCGATCCCAGTATAGGGTGGAGAAAGGGAGGGGTCTAGGCTGAGGCCCAGGGCTGATGTGGGGCTGGGTGGAGGGGCGAGAGGCGATGCAGGAGGAGCTGGTGGTGAGAGCTTTCTGGGGTTAGGGGAATGGTGAGGACTTGTTTGGATTTGGAAAGGAAGACATCATGCTCTGCCTTTCCCAGGAGCAAGTGCCTCTCAGCTGCTCTGACAGCTCCTCAGCCTGCTGTTTTGCACAATATACGATTTCTTTGCATAACAGACAGAATAATCTCATTTTCTCACTGGCTACACAGCTTAGCTTTCAATCAATTATCCCCAAATACATTAAAAAAAGGGCTCCATGTCACATCTCTGCCTGCTCAGTGCTCCGTTTCCCTGTCAAGGAATTTGCAAATCAATTGCTTTAACAATACTTTCCACAAATTACCTTCGAATGCCTGTGATGTCACCCACAGTTAATGCGCTCCTGATAAATAATGCATCAGGAAATGGTGAGGGTTTTTTACCCCCGCCCTGGCACACGATAAAGGAGTCTGCCTGTTCTTGGGCCGAGCACCCTGACTTTAGCCTCTGGGGCCTGGCCAGGTGGACGGATGGGTGCTGGCGGCAGGACAGCAAGGTAGCTGGCTCTGCTGCACTGCCTGGTTTGCTGTGCAAGACCCTGCCCCTCCCTGTCCCGTAGGGTGGCACTGATGCCTGGGGATGGTCACAGATGCATTACAGTGTGGTGAGCCATAGTGGCTTCAATGGAGGAGCTCGGCCTCCGGGGTGTGGGGACGGCAGTGGCTCTCACTGTGGCGCATGGCCTGATGGGGAGAGAGCACTTTTTGGGAGGCACTGGGAAGCAGAGGGCTTTCCTAAGCTGGCCAAGCTCGCAGGCTGAGGAGCCCGTGGATCTGCATCCCTGGAATCAGCCTGTCACCATCCCACCTGCAAAGCGACTCTGGAATATCCTCTGCGCTGAGCTGGGCTGGGGACCCTGAAAGCAGGGCCTAGAAGGGCATGAGGAGTGTGGCCCTGGGGGATAGCTGTGTGTCCTGGGGCTCAGGCAGCACTGAGCTGGCCCTGGCTGAGGTGGTGGGGTGACTGGAGGGTCCCGGCCTCCATGGTCGGGGAGTTTGCAGTTCCTTCCCCGTCTACTGTGTGCACGTGTGCCTATATGTATGTGTATGCAGGCATGCATGGGCGTGTATGTGCATGTGTGTAGTCAGCTCATGAGTGAGACTGGGTGGGCAGTGCAGTAGAGACGGGGTCCTGGAAAGCCTGTCCTCTGAGGCTGTGGGCTTCGTGGCGGGGGGGACTGGGCCTGCAGGGGAGGGAGTGTGTGGGAGGGGGATTCATGGGATGTGATAGGTGTTGTTTTGCCTTTTCTTTTTTCTCTTTCTTTTTCTTTTTTTTTTTTTTTTTTTTGAGACAGAGTCTTGCTCTGTCATCAGGCTGGGGTGCAGTGGCCAGGCTGATCACGTTGGCCAGGCTAGTCTCGATCTCTTGACCTCGTGATCCACCCGCCTTGGCCTCTCAAAGTGCTGGGATGACAGGCGTGAGCCACCGCGCCCGGCCTGTTTTGCTTTTTCTATCCCACAGACTGGATGTGGGGACAGTATAAGACAATGTTCTGGTGGCTGAATCCCTTAGAAATTTCAGGGTTTTGTTTTATTGCGGGGAAGGAGGTTGGGACCACAGAATTTGCTTGCGAGAATAAAGTTATTTTTTCCTGCATGATTATTACCACTACTAGTGTCATAATAGCTATAAGTGTGTTTTGATGCAGCAAGCGAAAATCATAGGGATTCTAGAAAACCCAAATAAATTGCAGCACGTTTACAGCAGCAACTACAAACAAAGGTCTGGAAGTATCCTGAGCTCCCAGCTGTGAGGAAGTTGGATGGGGGCGGGGGCGGCCTGCATGGGCCCCACGTGGGAGACACAGGCCCTGTTATACCACATCTAGCCAGGGTCCTGCGTGGCAGGCATGTTGTGTCTAGTTTAAGCATCCCATGGCATTTCATTCAGGTCTTGGGAACACACACCTTGGGAACAAAGCCAGTCTGTCTGCAGGCTGCAAAAGAGGATGCCTGGCCAGGAAGTTGGGGAGGATTTGGGGTAGAATGTGAAGGGCGACTCCAGGGCACAGCAGTTCCTGAGGCCTCTGGGAACGGGATATCCATGTGGTGGCTGAGAGAGTGCCCAGCCTTTCTGGGTGGAGCAGAGGCAGATGGGCAAGCTTCCCTGTCCTACCCTGTTGCGTGGCTTTCCCTGGGCGTGTGTCTTTGTCTTGAGATGATAATTCCGGAGGATGCAGTTGCGTGGGCGGCGGGCAGGGGCCCTGTGGTTAGGGTGGGCGGCGGGCAGGGACCCTGTGGTTAGGGTGGGCTGTGGGGTGCTGCCCACTGTGCTGCAAACACAGGGGACTGATGGCACATGAACAGGGAGAGGTCCTGGGAGGTCCTGATGCTCGTCATGGTCAATGAAAAACTTCCTCCAAATACAGGCCTGCCAAGCTGCTTTTATTTTATGAATTCATGTTAACACATCACAGAAGTGAGTTTTTGTGGAATGTGCTTTGGGAAATACGCTCATGAGTGAGTCAGCTGCAAGAAACCATCGAGCTGTCCCTGATTTCCTGTGAGTTCCTTGGGCTGGGTCCTGGTCCTGGACAGTATGGATGGCCAGACACCAGGGAATTGGCTGGCCTCAGGGCTGACCCAGCCTCCTGGGCTCTTGCACTCAGGTCTCCTAAGGACCAGCAGGGCTAGGGAGCAGATATGTCAGGCCCTTTGTGATTGTGGTGTCCTGGTCTTTAGGCCTTCGGAGACCCAAGCAAGAGGGAAAGTGGGTAATGGGGGAGAAATAGAACATGGATTGGATGGACTCAGAGCCCATCAGGATTGTGGGGCCATGGGATTTTAGCCTCACAAAACCTGAATCCACTCTTGCGGTAGGACAGGGTCACTTGGGGGCTCATGGGGAGGAGGTAGGTGCAGTTGGTAAGTCAGAGGCGCTCTGCCCTGATATAGCCCCTCCCTAACTCCCTAAACCCATGACCAGGCACACGGCCGGCCCTGGGCTTTATTGCTCCTCTGAGACCCACATGAGCAGCCCAGGTGGCCACAGGGCTAGGGCAGTGTGAGCTCAAAGGTGAAATATCAGGTAGCAACAGGGCATCTCAAACAGCCAATGAGCTGAAGAAAGCCGCTAACCTCACCAGTCCTGAGAGGGAGGATGAGGCACTGCTGCCTCACACCCAGCAGGACTAGAGGCCTTGGCATGTCAAACGACAGTGGTGTTGGCCAAACTGTGGGGAGCAGGCCTCTCTCAAGGGGGTGCTCTTGGTGTAAGAGCAGCCCGGTGTGTTTAGAGACATTTGGACTGGGTGTGGCACAGGCCTCCATGGTCCTGCACCTGCTCTGTACTGAGACACTCCACACAGTCCCCAAAGAACTGTGAGGGTGTTCATCCAGCATTCTCTGGATGAGTGGATGAGTGACCCGTGGCAGTGCCATGGACCCCTACGCAGCAGGGAGGTGACACCTGGGCTTCTGTGAGCAGCTCACATAGGCTGGGGCTGGGTGGCAAGGTCCAGCACGGGAAAGAAATGCATGGTGCAATACTCTTTAGGTAGATTAAACTACATGGCCTGGAAGGACAGATTCCAGGAAGCCTCCACATTGCAGGAAGTCTATCTGGCGTGTGGGAGTAGATGCCTCTGAGGGAAAGGGTGGTGGGTGGGGCTGGGGATAAAGGGGAAGAAAAATGGTAAAGACCACAGCAGTGTCTTAGCCTGGGTTCCCTAGAAACCAGAGCCGGGACAAGGACTGAGTACCAGTGCTTTGTTTAGGAGGACAGGTGGGAAGGATGAATGGGAACCGGGAGGACACAGCGGTCAGGCCACAGGTGCACACTGTCAGCCACATGGGACACCTCTCGACCTGCAGTGTGGAGAGTTCCTGCCTTGGATGAGTCCATAGGAGAGAAGAAGGGAGGACGAAGGTGTCTGTGGGCTCCTCTCCTCTCCCTCCACCACCCATTTGCAAGAGGTCACCCCCATGAGGAGTCCCTTGCCTGCCCTTTTTGGCAGCATTTCACTTCTGGGTCTGCATGTGGCAGGAGGAGCCAGGGACCCCAGGAGCATGGCTGGTTGGCTACGAGCAATGGAATTGCACAGAGCAGTGGAATCGGGTGAGCTGGTGGCTGTGGGAGTGAGAGGGAGCGAGAGGTGGAAAGGCAAGAGAGCCTGAGAAGATGCCCAGGAGGGGGCTATGTCGCCTGGTGATGGTGGAGGAGGATGAGCCCAGCTCATCTTGCCTGAGAAGATGGACATGCATGTGGCTTAGATCCAAGCAGACCTGAGCGTGAGTCCACGAGCAAATTATGCAGCTGCTCTAGCCCCCTTTTCTCAGATAGAATGGAGACCATGAGCATGTCTGCCTCATGAGGGTTTAGTGATATAAAGTGCCCGTCACATGGTTGGCACTCGGCAAATGTAGCCCTTTGTGGCTAGTGGGGCAGTGGGCAGGCCTGCTGTGGGGCACCAGCCACTCAGCCACTCTGGGCAGCCAGCAGCCCCAATCTGAACTCAGGACCGTTACATTTTCCAGCTTGCCTTGTAATGAGTCTTTTTAACATTGTAATGTAGCCTTGGAATCCTGCAATAAGCTGTCCGCGTCCAGGAGAAAACCTACCTGGAGTAGTTTTGCTTCCTAATTGAGTGCATCAGTGATTTTTCTCCTTAGGTTTCTGTGTTTTGACATTTGATTACATCCAGCTTCACACTCGGAGCTCTCTGTGTACTAAGCACTAATTATTTGATGTATCCTGAAATAGAGAAAACAACATGCCACTTATTGTGTTAATTGGGATTTGTTTTACCCGCAGCAAACTTGTGCACGTAGGTTTTATTCCATATTTGCTCATTAATGCAGCCAGCCGCTCATCAGACATTTATCAAGGGCTCACTGTGAGCCAGGCGCAGCGTGGCACTCAGGTTCCAGAAGTGAGATCCGACCCTGCCCCAGGCCCCCGGATCGTGGGGACAGATAGATGGCACACAGTGGGATGAGCAAATGTGTGGACAGACCAAGTGCTGAGGGCCCTGGGAAGCTGCCGTGCATGGAGGGCCACCTGCGCTGTCACCAGGTAGGGGTGGAATTTATCAGGGTGGCAGAGCAGAGGCTGTTTGGTGGTGTGTCCTGGCAAGGTGCCCATATTTGGAGTGAAGGGTCCCTGGGGTGAGAGGAGTGGTGGGAGATGAAATTGGGGTGTTTGCTGGGACTGGATAAGATGGGCTTTGAGTGCCAGGCCCAGGTTTATTCCGCAGGATTCTAAGCAGGGGGCAAACTTGCATTTTATTTTATTTAATTTACTTATTTATTCCAAGATGGAGTCTTGCTCCGTCACCCAGGCTAGAGTGCAGTGGCGTGATCTCGGCTCACTGCAACCTCCACCTTCTGGGTTGAAGCTATTCTCCTGCCTTAGCCTCCCGAGTAGCTGGGATTACAGGTGCCCGCCACGACGCCCGGCTAATTTTTTTTTCTTTTTGTATTTTTAGTTGAGATGGGGTTTCACCATGTTGGTCAGGCTGGTCTTGAACTCCTGACCTTGTGATCCACACGCCTCGGCCTTCCAAAGTGCTGGGATTACAGGGTGAGCCACCATGCCTGGCCCACAAACTTGCATTTTAGAAAGGCCACTCTGGGGACAGCACTGGGTGGTCAGGGGAGGTGGAATAGGGAACAGGGAGACTGGTGGGAGGTGGTGATCACAGGCTGTACCAGGTCCCAGGGGCTCTGGCCAAATTGGGTGCCTTTCTGCATCAGGCTGGATGGGATGCCCCTGGGCCTGACACCCTCCAGGGCTGCCTGTCTTCTCCAAGGCTCTTGCTTACTCAGGTCCAGAATTTCCCTCCTGGGCAGTTTGCTCCTTCCGGACACTGGGCTCCCCTTCTATCATTGCAGTGTTCAAGAAAGTGGTGGGACGGGAGGGGACGGCATTGTGAACAGGTGTGCACTCTTCTGAGCTAAATGGAAGGACCGTGTCTTCTGCCATGATGCTGTGGGCCACAGGGAACCAAGGCTGGGCCCTGAGATTCTGCAGGGCAGGTGGGTCTCTGTTGCTGTCCCAGTGTTAACCCCAGACCTCAGGGAAGCTGCGGCTCCTGGTGGCCGGTGACCATCACATGCCGTGGCATTTTGTAGAGGATAGGAAAGGAAGGAAACCCTTAGACAAACCAACTGATAAAGACTGGCTTATTGAAGTGAACATTGAGCAAAAGCACTGAGGGAACTGGAGAATTAACCACAAGTTGCTACAAGGGCCCACTGAAGTCACACATACTGAGCACAGGCCAAGAACTGTGAGGTTTCCAGAGAGAATCAAAGAATCTGAGATGAGAGGAATGCAGACTGGCCACACGGGTCCAGGCACTGGTTCTGGAACCACCTGCCTACCTTCACGGTATCACCATTAATGTAGGTCACTATTCATCGGTCTCATCTATAGTGTGTCCATGCAATTCCAATGAACCCCTTGCTTAACTGTGTTAGTCCTGAGTTACAAAGCCCTTTAGATGGACACTTGGTCACCTGCACTCAAGATTATGGGACCCAGAGTGGACAAAGCCCTCTCGGGCACGGAGACCCTCACTGTCTTGTAATCTCGAGATCTGTGCACCAGAGGCAGCCCTGCAGTGAGGAAGTGCCCCACGTGGGCAATGGAACTTTTGCTTTGGTGCTGTCCCTGCTGCTCAGGAACTGAGGTCCCTTGGGCAGGTCATTGACTTTCTCTGAATGGCTGTTTCTGTTTGCTCAGCCATAAAATGGAGGCTTGGATGGACTCAGTGAGCCCTATCATCTTTGCAAACCCAGACTTACAAATTCTAGACTGTGGCCTCCTGTGCAGAGGAGATCACGTGCCCCCTTGGGCCTAGCTCAGGTGCTTAGGATGCTCTTAGCAGACTCAGGGCACCTCCTGTTTGCTCTTGTGGGGGTCTGTGTGGACAAGAGCATCCAGACCTACTTTTCTGGAAGAGCTGCCCCACAACAATAGATGACTGAGGGCAGTTCAGGGCTCTCCGGGGTGTATGTCTTCGTCAGACGTAGAACCATTGGCACAGCCTGCAGCTTCTGACTCCAGACTCAGTGCTCTTCCTTGGAACCCCAGGTCTTTCCAGCAAGAATAGAGGCTTCTGCGGCAGTCAGAGTGAAGCAGACGAGCTTAGTGCAGTGGTGAGGTAAAGGGTGCCTTGTGGGATCAGTGCAGAAAGCCTGAGGCTTCCATTCCATTCTCTCATTCCCCACTGCCATCTGTGCCTGCCATGAGCTGTGTTTACCAGACTTCCAGGATGATTAGGGAGAGTCGTTTCTCTACCTCCTGGTTCAAGGTCTGGTCCGCAGGTGGTGGAGATAAAACTTCCCTGGAAGGCTGCTGTAATAGCCAATGCAGATAGTGGCAGATTGTGCATCTTAAAATGTGATTGCAAAATCAATAAGCCAATTACAGTGGTTAAATCTTTGCCTTTTCAGAGCTGCTTGCAAAGCTGAGTTGCTCTTTGCTTCACCAGCCGGCCTGTGGCTCAGACTCCAGGGCTGTGTTAGGGGGTCGGTGGAGGCACCGTTTGAGCTCTTCTTTGGGAGCCCTGCCCCCACTTCCTGACCTCCTCTCCATGGCCCTCAGTAGAAAAGCAGTTGCTAAAAACTCTGCTTGCAAGTGTTGGAGATGGGGATGGGAGATAAGGACATTTTCCAGCAGCTGGGTCCCTTCCTATCTATCATTACATCTTAACAACCCTGTGACCTAAGCATCAGTATTATTTCCCATAGTTGTATTACTTTTCCCTTACTACATAGCAAAGCTTCCCAAAACTCAGTGGCATAAAAAAACCACCACCGTCTGTTTAGCCTATGATTCTGCTGGGTGGTTCTTTTGGTCCGGACTGGGCTAGGCTAATCTCAGCTGGGCCTGCTCATGGATCTGTAGTCAGTTGGTAGGTCAGCTGGAAGCCCATTTATCCTGAATGGCCTCATTCACAAGTCTGGGAGTGTGCTGGCTCTTGGTTGGGGCACTGAGGGGCTGGGCCATGTTGGGCCATGTGTCTCTCTTCCTCCAGCAGGCTAGCTTGGCTTGTTCACGTGGCAATGTCAGGCCTCTAAGAGCAGCAAGAATGGAAGCTGAAGGTTTCTCTTGGTCTAGACTTAATATTGGTTCAATATCACTTCTTCTATGTTCTGTTGGTCAAAGCAAACCACTGGGCCAGCCCAGAACAAGTGTTTTTTTTTTTTTTTTTCTGCAAAAAATGGTGGTCATTTTTGTGATCTACCACTTGAGGAAGATGAGGTTCAAAGACTTTCTCAGCAGCTTGCCAAGGCCATGCAATGGGAGTTGGAGCCCAACCTGTGCTTCCTCCACACTATATTTGGTGTGTGACCCCAGCAGGGGAACCTCCACTTTTAAAGTCAAGAGACTAATCCCAGAACTGTGGGAGGCCAAGGCAGGAGGGTCACTTAAGCCCAGGAATTTGACCAGTCTGGGCAGCATGCTGAGGCCTCCATCTCTACAAAATAAAAATAAAAAAAAATAAAAAAAATTAGTTGGGCTTCGTGGCACATACCTGTAGTCCCACCTTCTTTGGAGGCTGAGGCAGGAGGATCACTTGAGCCCAGGAGGTCGAGACCACAGTGAGCTGTGATTGAGCCATTGTACTCCAGCCTGGGCAACGTATTGAGACCTTGTCTCTTATAAATATATACATATATACACATATAAATACATACATACATAAAGTGAAGACAGTAATGCCCAACTCAGATAAATGAACGCATAATGTGGAGTTTGGGGCAGCAATGGCTGATGGCAGCTGGGAGTGTGGGGATGGAGGGGTTCTTAAATTGTATCAGGAGCATTCACTTCATGTGGCTGTTGAGCCTCCCTGGCTGTGGGGCTGGGCTTGAGGTAAAGAGCTTGTGTGTGTACTGGGGGCCCATCTCTCCCCAACTTTCCCCACTGCCTGCTTCCTCCACAGCTGCATTCTCATTCTTCCAGCCTCATTGTGTCATGTTGGAGTGTGTGTGTTACATCAGAAGCCATGCTCCATCCTGTTGGAAGTAATGAGGTTGAAAAAGACACATTCATTTCAAATGGATTTCTGTTGACAATGCTTACAGCTAGTATTTACTTCAGTATTTCTAAATAATATGCTGACACTGCTATTTCTTGGTTAATCAATTCTAAACATTGTCTATTGACTGCATTGGAAGCTAGTGAAGTAGCCCTCCACAGACTTCCCTGCCCTGGCCCTTCCCCCATCTTCAGTACACTCTTATCACAATTTTTGGTTAAATCAATAGCCAGTATGTACATTACTATGGCAGTGAATTGTGTTTACTGCTAAGTGAAGTAGACGATAATGTTTCCTGGACTGAATATGTGCATATTTCCCCTTTATTTAGATTTCTTTGTACCCACCTCTGTTTTTCTCAGTCTTCACCAGAGCAGTTATATATGAATCAATGTTACTTTCCAAATAGTCAAATTGCCCTTCTACCAACCCCCTTTTCTCCTGGACCCTCCCATGGGGGTTTTTTGGCTCTAGGCTGCTCCCTAGACATCCTCTCCTCATCCCAGCCAATCCCAGGGCTTGCTTGGGATGGATTCCGGGTGTCGTGTCTTCCTTTCCTGTTTCATGCCGCCATTCTGCTGAAGCATATCCTCTAGTAGCTTCCTAAGAACAGGTTCTTGGGGGATAAAATTTTAGAGTCCTTGCATATCTGAAAATGTTTCTTCCAGACTGTGAAACATGAGTCTGTGTGAAAGTGATTCATTGAGAAAATACTGCCAGAGAGTGGGGACTGCAGGGAAGGGAAGGGAGGAAGCTCAGCGGGTGTGCTTTCAGGTGCAGTGCTGGTCTCAGCTTGATGGGGGGGCCCTGGAGGGGAAAGGACACGACAGGGTTTGTCCTGCAAGGGCACTGAGATTTCACACTGCTGCCCGGGGCAGGCATTAGCTCTAGGTCCCCTGTAAGCAAGGACAGACATAAGGAGAAACCTTAACTCCAGGCACTGTCTGGGCCCGAGGGTACTGGCCTGGAGTCCCCTGCAGGCTGAGACTCTGGAAGCAGGCATGTGGCAGCAGCTGGTGGTGCAGGGCTGGAAAAGGCCGGCTGGGGGCCCTGGACCAAATACTGCCGGGGGCTGCTCTGTTCTTTGCCTTGGTTGGCAGTTTGGCAGCTATATCAGCAGAGTCCAATGCTCAGTGCAGGATACACAAATTGCAATTGCTAGAAGGACTATATAGGAGCAATTTCTAGGTGGGGCCTCTAGGAATGATTTTTCAGAACAATATAGAACTGCCCCCTAGGGAGCAGCTCCCCTCAGGCAGCCTCTGCAGCCCCATCAGCCAGGGTCTGGAGCCACTCTTACACCAGCAGCCTCTGCACCCCTGGAACCTGGGGGCTGGACCCTCTAAGCTTCCACTAGGCTCAGAGTCATAGAGAAAGAAGCCACCTCCACCACTGCCACTGCTTGGTGTTGTGCCAGGAAGCAGCTGAAGGAACCTGGGACTCGTTAAAAAAAGGCAACCCCTTCTGAATGAGGACTGACGTCCAGAAGCTGCGTGGAAACTGTCTCCTCCTATAAACAAAACAAAAGCAAAAAGACCTGCTTTCACCTCCTGCAGAACCCAATGTACATCCAAGACCCTAGCTGTGAACTGGAAATGTAGTCTTACCTGCCCAGCCCAACCTTTTTTTTTTTTTTTTCTTTTTGAGACAGAGTCTTGCTCTGTTGCCCAGGCTAGAGTGCAGTGGTGTGATCCTGACTCACTGCAATCTCCGCCTCCTGGGTTCGAGCGATTCTCCCACCTCAGCCTCCTGAGTTGCTGGGATTACAGGCATGCACCACCACGCCCGCTAATTTTTGTGTATTTAGTAGAGGCGGGGTTTTGCCATGTTGGCCAGACTGGTCTCGAACTCTTGATCTCAAGTGATCCGCCCACCTTGGCCTCCCAAAGTGCTGGGATTACAGGCGTGAGGCACCGGGCCTGGCCTGCCCAGCCTTTTTATTTTTTATTTTTATTTATTTATTTATTTATTTTTTTTATTGATCATTCTTGGGTGTTTCTCGCAGAGGGGGATTTGGCAGGGTCATAGGACAATAGTGGAGGGAAGGTCAGTAGATAAACAAGTGAACAAAGGTCTCTGGTTTTCCTAGGCAGAGGACCCTGCGGCCTTCCGCAGTGTTTGTGTCCCTGGGTACTTAAGATTAGGGAGTGGTGATGACTCTTTAACGAGCATGCTGCCTTCAAGCATCTGTTTAACAAAGCACATCTTGCACCGCCCTTAATCCATTTAACCCTGAGTGGACACAGCACATGTTTCAGAGAGCACAGGGTTGGGGATAAGGTCACAGATCAACAGGATCCCAAGGCAGAAGAATTTTTCTTAGTACAGAACAAAATGAAAAGTCTCCCATGTCTACTTCTATCCACACAGACCCGGCAACCATCCGATTTCTCAATTTTTTCCCCACTCTTCCCGCCTTTCTATTCCACAAAACCGCCATTGTCATCATGGCCCATCCCCAATGAGCCGCTGGGCACACCTCCCAGACGGGGTCGTGGCCGGGCAGAGGGGCTCCTCACTTCCCAGTAGGGGCGGCCGGGCAGAAGCGCCCCTCACCTCCTGGATGGGGCGGCTGGCCGGGCGGGGGGCTGACCCCCCCCCCCCACCCTCCCGGACGGGGCGGCTGGCCAGGCAGAGGGGTCCTCACTTCCCAGTAGGGGCGGCCGGGCAGAGGCGCCCCTCACCTCCCGGACGGGGCGGCCGGCCGGGCGGGGGGCTGACCCCCCCACCTCCCTCCCGGACAGGGCGGCTGGCCGACGCCCCCCCCGCCTCCCTCCCGGACGGGGCGGCTGGCCGGGCAGAGGGGCTCCTCACTTCCCAGTAGGGGCGGCCGGGCAGAGGCGCCCCTCACCTCCCGGACTGGGCGGCTGGCCAGGCAGGGGGCTGATCCCCCCACCTCCCTCCCGGACGGGACGGCTGGCCGTGCGGGGGGCTGACCCCCCCCACCTCCCTCCCGGACGGGGCGGCTGGCCGGGCGGAGGGCTGACCCCCCCACCTCCCTCCCGGATGGGGCGGCTGGCCGGGCGGGGGGCTGACCCCCCCACCTCCCTCCCGGACGGGGCGGCTGGCCGGGCAGAGGGGCTCCTCACTTCCCAGTAGGGGCGGCCGGGCAGAGGCGCCCCTCACCTCCCGGACGGGTTGGCTGGCCAGGCGGGGGGCTGATCCCCCCACCTCCCTCCCGGACGGGGCGGCTGGCCAGGCGGGGGGCTGATCCCCCCACCTCCCTCCCGGACTGGGCGGCTGGCCGGGCAGGGGGCTGACCCCCCCACCTCCCTCCCGGACGGGGCGGCTGGCCGGGCAGAGGGGTCCTCACTTCCCAGTAGGGGCGGCTGGGCAGAGGCGCCCCTCACCTCCCGGACGGGGCGGCTGGCCAGGTGGGGAGCTGATCCCCCCACCTCCCTCCCGGACTGGGCGGCTGGCCGGGCAGGGGGCTGACCCCCCCACCTCCCTCCCGGACGGGGCGGCTGGCCGGGCAGAGGGGTCCTCACTTCCCAGTAGGGGCGGCCGGGCAGAGGCGCCCCTCACCTCCCGGACGGGGCGGCCGGCCGGGCGGGGGGCTGACCCCCCACCTCCCTCCCGGACGGGGCGGCTGGCCGGGCAGAGGGGCTCCTCACTTCCCAGTAGGGGCGGCCGGGCAGAGGCGCCCCTCACCTCCCGGACTGGGCGGCTGGCCGGGCGGGGGGCTGACCCCCCCACCTCCCTCCTGGACGGGGCGACTGGCCGGGCAGAGGGGCTCCTCACTTCCCAGTAGGGGCGGCCGGGCCCAGGAGCCCCTCACCTCCCGGACGGGGCGGTGCCCAGCCTTTTTAAATAGGAGGGTAAATTGGAGGTTGGGCAAGCAATACAAATACCCTACAGCTGGGTATGGAATTCCACATTCAACAACAACATTTTTTTTTTCCTTGGGAATTTTGAAGGTGCTGCTCCACTATGTTCTAGCTTCTGGGTTAACTGCAGAAAAATCTAACTCCACTCTAATTCCTTTATAAGCGACTTTCTTTCCACTGCCCCCACTTCACCCCACCAAAGCTCTGAGGATCTACTCTGTTACCCTGACATTTGGAAATGTTACAGTGATGTACGTTGGTTTTTCTTGTCTTTTTTTTGTTGTTTTTGTTGCACTGGCCATGCAATGATTGCAAACTCATGAGTTGGGAAAGGTTTAATAGCATTTATTGATAATCTCCTCATCTTTGTCATTCTCTATGTCTGGATTATCTCTTAGATAGCAGATCTTTTGAATCGGCCCTTTAAGCTTCTTACTTTTCTATTTTCCATCTTTTTTTGTTCTACTTTGTGTATTTTTTGTTCTACTTTTTGTCTTTTTGTTCTACTTACTTCAGCCATTATAATTTTAATTCCCAAGAGTTCTTTGTGCATCTGTTACTTTTTCACAGAACTCTATTCTTGTTCTGTGTCTGCAATATCTTTCTGACTTTATTTTTTCCTCCCTTTCCCCCCGATTGCTTTAGTTTCTTTTTTTCCCTGTTGGAGGATTTCCTCAAATGTTTGGTGACTGTTGGCTGCCAATTTGTATTTAAGGACAAAGCACTAAAAATGAGTAGGGAGCTTTTGGGTATGAGTGGAACCTTGCCGTATAGTGAACAGGTGATGATGGGAACTTATCCTCGGGGACCCCAAACATGAAGCCTTGGAGTCTCGTCTGCACAACAGCCCTTGTATGTACTTTCTTGGGGTAGGAGCCAGGAGTGGTCCAGGAGGTTGTGGTTTCCCCATTTTGAGTGCAGACGTCATCATCCTCCACGTCTCTCTGCACATCAGGCCTTCCCTCCACTATACTTGCGGTCTCAGTGAGGAGTGAGGGTCCTTGAGTGTCTAGTGCCATTATCACTGAATGTTAGTATTCCCCACAGTTCATGTGCTGGAAACTTAATCCCCAATACTATAATGCTGAGAGGTGAGATCTCTAAGAGGTGATTAATAGACCCAAAAGACGCAGAGCTCTCAGGAATGGATTAATGTCCCTATCAAGGGAGTGCGTTCCTTACTGAGAGAGTGTTTTTTTAAATAAGAGTTTGGTCCTCTCTTGCTCTCTCTCTGTCTCTGTCTCTCTTGCCCTCTTGTCTTCTGTCATGGGATGACATAGCACAAAGGTTTTAACTAGATGCTGGCGCCTTGATGTCGGACTTCCCAGTCTCCAGAATTGTGAGAAATACATTTCTGTTCTTTATAAATTACCCAGGCTGTGGTAGTCTGTTTTAGCAGCACAAAACAGACGAAGACACGAACTTTTGCCAGTACCAGGATTTCCGCCCCCAGGCCAGCCCAGGCTGCATCTGTTGTCCTGGTATAATTATTAATAGCACCCCTCCCCAGATTGTCTTGGCTGGAATAATACATTTTGTGGCCCACGCTTCCTGCTGCCCCTCAGGTGTGCTCTGGGCTCCCCTCTCCTGGGCCCAGAGGGTGGCTTGGGGCCAGGGATCACTTCCTCTTGGCATTGCCTCTGTGCCTCACTGAGGGCAGCTGCCTGGGCTCTCCAGCTCAGTTACTCTCCTCCATCCATTTTCTAGATTCCAAAATGTATTGCATTCTTGGATTTGCTGCTGTCTTCTCTCCCATTCTCTCAGTCCTTATGAGCTTATATATATATATTTAAATCTATTGATATCATTTTAGTGGTGTGTTGTGAGAGAGAGCTGACAATGCATGTGATTGATCTTCCCTGTGTATGTGTGAGTCTGGGGTCATGCACGACCAGTTGTAAGAATTGTAGTGCTCCCGCTCACCCCAGCTGTGGCCGCTCAGAAGTTTACCTCACACGTGTTTTCTGTGTGCTGTTGTGTGCGGTTTGCTGGCTCCCGAGGCATTTACAACCCATGAGGTGTTTGTGGATGCCTCCTACGCACCTGGCAGTATGCTGGCGAAGGGCATGGGGCACTGGGCAAGATGGTAACTCCTGCCCATGGGGGGCTTATGTTCTGTGGAGGACAGCAGGTCTTGGGCGGTAGTGCCAAGGCAGGTAACACACTGGCTTGAGATAAGCCTGCTGGGGCTAGACACTGTTAGGGGTGCAAGGCTTAAAAGGATGGCTTCAGCAACAGGAATTCTGAAGCTTTGTGAAAAAGAAAGTAGTCTGATGTCCCTCAAAGCCTCCTCCCTTTTCTTCTTACCCTGCAGTGGGCCAGAGATGCCAAAGGGGCCACCTCCTGCCTCCTCAGGAAAATCTACAGCAGCTTTTGATGAGCTGGTCAGGGATGGTTCTAGTTCATATCAATGCAGGACTTTTCTTGGCCCCTTCGCCAGACTCGCGGCAGGGGTGCCTGGTCTACTCGGCTCGCTGTTCTCAGCCCCTTGCAGGAGGGAGCACTTGAGCAAGTGAGTGCAGGATCCAGCCGGCCACTCCACTGACACAGGAGCAAGCTCTGTGCAGGGCCCGCAGCCAGACCAGGTGTGTGGCTTCGAGGGGAATGCAGCAGCGCCCAGACAAGGGTAGCCATGACCCTGAAGCCCCAGAGAGGGTATTAGCATGCTAATTAGCTCTTTTAGTTCTGCCATCCACAGCCCGATGGATGGTGGTGCGTTAGCAGCTCAGTCAGCCCCTTGCCCCATCTCATGGGGCAGCTGTCCTCCACTGGTGAGGGCATAGGGCCAGTGTGACAGCCTCTCCGGGTACCCGCACTCGGTAGGTCCTGAGCTCTTGTCCAGCATCCAAGAAGAATGAGGTCACGTTTGATGATTGAAGGATGGTGAGGGTGGAGAATTTTATTGAGTGATGAAAACAGCTCTCAGTGGAGAGGGGAGCTAGAGAGGGGATGGGAAGGGCAGGTCATCTTCTCCCAAAGTCAGGAGGTCTCCTCCCCAAAGTCAGGCTGTCTTCCCTCTACTGACTGAGTCTAGGGTATTTATAGGTACCACATAGGGGCCGGTGGGCCACAGGTAGTATTGGAAAAGGCAACATTCGATTGGTTAAAAGGCATTATTCAGAAGGAACCAACTGGGAGAGAGCAGGCAAACAGGAATAGAAGTTCTCACTCTGGTCTGTGGGTTTCAGACTGTTTTTGGCTTGAATGTCGGGTTTCACTGGGGACCTGCCCCTGTCTGCCTAGGATTTCTCTCCTTCCTGCTTCTATTAATATGCTCTTGGAGCATAGTGAGAATTTTCTTTCGTTGAGTCAGATTTGCTTAAGGCATGATGAGAACATGGTGGTGGAGCCGCTGGCACTTCTCCTAGTGTCTAAGGAGAAAGAATTGAGTTCAAGGCAGATCCTCCTCTGGCCCCAGCAGATCAAGTGTGACCCAATTTCATTCACTTCAGATGAGTTCCTTGAGCCTTCGTTGCACATTGCCCTGGATTAGTTTTCTGTGCTGTGTAACAAATCGCCAGGACACAGCAGCTTAAAGAAACACCTATTTTTTTGCTCCTCCTTCTGTAAGTCAAAAGTCCAGCTTGCTGTGGCTGAGCATCCTGCTCAGGGAATCACGATGGGAGAATGAAGGTTTTGATTGGACTGAGTCCTCTTCTGGAGGCTGGGGGCGGGGTGGGAAAACTCTTCCTAGCTCATTCTTTGTTGCCAGGACTCGGTTCTTTGTGGTTGCAGGACTAAGGTGCTGTTCCCTTGCTGCTGTCAGCTGGGGCTGCTCTCAGCTTCTGAAGGCTGCTGCACCGTTTGCCAGGTGGCCTGTCTGTCTTCAGGCCAGCAAAGGCACAGAGAGTCCTTCTCATGCTTCCAAGCTCTGACTTGCTCTTCTGTCGCTAGCAGAGGAAGGACACTCTCTACTTTAAAGGGCTCATGCAGGGGCTGGGCGTGGTGGCTCATGCCTGTAATCCCAGCACCTTGGGAGGCCGAGGAGGGTGAATCACAAGGTCAGGAGTTTGAGACCAATTTGGCCAATATGGTGAAACCCCATCTCTACTAAAAATACAAAAATTAGCTGGGTGAGGTGGTGCGAGCCTGTAGTTCCAGCTACTTGGGAGGCTGAGGCAGAAGAATCGCTTGAACTCGGGAGGCGGCGGTTGCAGTGAGACTGCGCCACTGCACTCCAGCCTGGGCAGCAGAGGGAGACTCCATCTCAATAAATAAATAAATAAATGGCTCATGCAATCAGGTCAGGCCCACCAGAACCATCTCCCAATCTTAGAGTCAGTGTGTCACATGATAGAACTTAATCTCAGGAGCAAAGTCCATCATATTCTTAGTCTCAGGATTATGCAGGATGTGCACTCTTGGGAGTTGAAAATCTGAATGGCTACATGAGTTCTGGTCACCACATGCCTTGAGCTAGATTCCATGTGGGGCAGGGACTTGGTCTGGGCCCTTTGAGAATGTGCTGTGTCCAGGGACATGAGACCAACACAGGTGAACTCAGCCTGGGATATGGAGGGAGTGTCTGGAGAGCTGTCATGAACTAGCTGGGAGAGCTCTCTCCCTCTCCCTGGGGCTCAGCATGTAAATGGCTAAATTGGGATGGACAAACTGGCCAACTGTGATTGCTTGGTAGTGGCTGTTTGGGGTGCTCTATTGAGCCTATGAGGTTAGCCTGGGCCCTGGCAGGGAAGCATGTGGTGATTGATTAGCTATGTCTGTCAAGGACATTGGGTGGGAGGCCAATCGTTCTCTTGTCATCTATTTACTGAGCCTGGAATCAGTGACTTTTCAGCCTTTTCAGTTCATGTATTCAGCACAGAATCACTGATGCCTCCTCTGTGCCGGGAGAATTCTTTAGAGGAGCAAGGGTATGTGACCCAGTGCTCAGATGCATGTTCTCCATGGAGTTTCAGGGGGCCACCATGTCTGTGCTGAGTTATCAGGGAGGCTTTTGGGGGTGGGGTGGGATAGAGCTTTGACTGGACTATGGGGGGTGGAGCAACAGGGGCTCAAGACCGGGATGCTGGGGTGAAAGGAAAGGAAGGCAGAAAATGAACATTCCTGATGCTGATGCCCAGGGCATCCATGCTACCCGTAGCTCACATCCATCTTACCCTGCTGGATGGATGGCATATTCCTACCTAATGAGTAAGAAACCTGAGGCTCACTGAATGTAAGTTGCTTACCTGAGACCACACAGTGGGCAGAACCATAAAAAAAGCCTTTGGCCCTTTAACAGTATTAAGCATTGGGATGCCGGGTGAAGGGCAGGGAGAGCAAGAGAGAGCCCTGCCTCCTTCCTCCATCCCCCTCCTGACTTGACAGTCATTTACCCACTGACCGATAATCCCCCTTGAGGCAGAGAGGATGGGGCCTGGTGTGTATTTGCCACCTATCAGCGATAAAACACCCCCTTTGTACAGAGGAAGTTGATAGTGGAAGGGTCAGGCTGGTTGCTTCTGGGTTTGATTCCTAATCACGTTTTAAATCCCTGGTGCCTTGTGAAATAAACATGATTAACTCCAGGAGCTGGCTCGCCAAGCCTGGCAGAGAGGAGTGGCCCAGAGCACCGGGGGACAGCTAATTTGATCAGAGGTTGTGATTTCCTCCTCTTGCCTCAGTGTCCAGGGCAGATAAAATGAAGGGAGGGCGGCGCTGCTTAATTAACCCTGTAATTCTTGCACGGGCTAATTAGCATATAGATGAGGGTGCCTCTCCAGCCTGTTTCTGGCAGGCCTCCTGTCTTTGTGAGGGGTGCGGGCTGCTCCCTGGGCGGCGGCACAGGCCCAACACTTCTGTTTTCTTTTTATTTACTTATTTATTTTTAATTTTTTTGAGGTAAGAGCATGTATCATGAGACTTCTCCTCTTAACAGGATTTTGGGTGCAACCGTGCTCTGAGGTCTCCAGAACGCACTCCTCTTGCTGGCCTGGAGCAGGATTAGTTCCTCCCTACGCCCCTCCCACAGCCCCTGGCTGCCACTCTGTGATTCTATGAATTTGACCCTGGTAGGCCCCTCATTGAGGTGGAATCATGCAGGATTTGTTTCTTCTGAGCCGTGTTCTAGTCTTATACCAGTCCTGACAGAATTTGCTCTAAAGGTCAGAGTGCTGGCCAGCTCCCCGAGATGGGGGCAACAGGAGGGGAATGGGGGCGGGAGTGGATCTTGCTGACCCAAGAAAGAGGGTCTGTGAATTTTGACACAAACCCTAGACCAGGGCTTTAGGATAAGATTGCCAGGGGCTACTTGGTTTTCTGGTTCTGGCATTCAGGTTCCTCCAGGGTGGATTCTCCTACCTTGGGGTCTCCACCAGCCAGTCCTCCTGGGCCATGCTCCGAGCTGGCTGTCAAGAGTGCTCAGGAGGAGGGGTCCTCGGACATGAACCGACTCAGCTATGCATAGAAAGGTGGTTTTCTCTGCTTTGGCTTTTCTGGAGACGCCTCCGTTACCTCTCCAGCTCCCTTGTTCAGGTTGCTGTGTTCAAAGCTTGGGGAATCTCGGAAGCTTCCCTCCTGGAGCTTGTTTGTGGCATCACCCGTCCGCATTCCCATCTGGTGACCAGGCTCTCGGAATACAAAGCCTAGCTATTTGTTTTGGTGGGTTGGAGGTCTCCCCCTGAGGGCCTGGCAGAGGCACTTCAGCATGGCACAGCATGGGGTGGGGTGACAGTTGGAGCCCCAGGCCTGGCAGAGGCAGGAGCACTGTGAGCCTCACTCATCCCACCCAGCCCTCAGCCCTTCCCAGCCTCCCTGGGAGGTCCACCCGCACCCTGTCCAGTTCTCACCCTGCTTTTCCTGACAGCTCTGGGAGTTCTGCCCACTGCAGGATGTGGACCTTTGACTGATGAGAGCAGTATTTGTTTAACAGATTCTGGATTTGAGCTCAGTCTGGGCTGAGGGTGTGCATGTGTATGGGTGTAAGTGTGCCCTGATGCACACAAGCATCCACAAAGGAGGCGATGATCCCGCCTGGCACCCACTTGGCTTCTCCTAGACCCACTGGAGCAGAAGGAGCACTCCCCAGGGAACAGAACTGCCAGCCCAGGGACGCTGACACCCTCCTCCCATCCTCCCCACACTCCATCCCCTGACCACTCTCCTTTTGGGGTTATCGCTTACATGAATGTGGCATGGCGTTTTATTGGTAACAACAATAATATTTATTGGCCCCAAGTTTCTCATTTGTGCAATGGGGATGAGGATACCCACTTTATAGATGCTACCTCTCATCCTGACAAGAAGAACCTCACAGCGGGGGACTGTTTCCCCATTTTACAGATAAGGCTGTCGGGCTGAGTGGCCACCGCTTGCTTGAGAAGCCAGAGCTGGGAACAGGGTCTGAAGTCAAATACAGATCTATGGGGCGCTGAGCTTCCTGTGCCCCCAGCAGGAGGAGAGGATGGGGGGCTTCCATGCAGGGCCTGGCAAGGGGTGTGTGTGTGTGTGTGTGTGTGTGTGTGTGTGTGTGTGTGTGCAGCTGTGTGCACATGTGTGTGCACATGCGTGTGTGTGTGCTCATGCATGTGTGTGCACGTGGTCCATCGCCAGCAGTCTGGCAGGGATGTTCTGTGCAGGATGTGACAGTCTCACCAGCTAAGGAAGGGCCCGCTCATGCTTTCACTTGTCATGGTGGGAGTGGGGTGTGTAGAGCTTACAAGTAGCCAGACATTTTTTAAATTGATTTTTTTTGAGATAACTGTAAAACCATATGAAGTTTTAAGAAATAATAATGACCCCTTGTGGCCTTTACCTGGTTTCCTCCAGGGGTAACATTTTGCAAAGCTCTAGTATGATATCACAAACTGCATCTGGACATTGCTACAATCCACTGATGTTAATTCCAATCTCCCAGTTTTACTTGTGTGTGTGTGTGTGTGTGTGTGTGTGTGAAGGGTAGGAGGGATTCTGGCCAGCTGAAGGGAAATATATGACTGTAAGAGGTGGTAACACACATCAAGCTTTATTGGGCAGCGCTGGGACAGGATTGCAGGTAGGGGAAGTCCTTCCTGACAGATGTCTGTCCAGAGGCAATAGGAGAAATCCCTACCCAGAAGGGAAGGAGGGTAAGGGACCTCCTAAGAGAGAGGGGTCGGAGAGGCTGTCTGTGTTTAAGTGACGTCCTGCAGAGTCTCTGGGGGGCAGCAGCAGCTGGGACCTTATCAATAGGGAACAGCGGGGGTGAGGTTTTGCGGGAGATGCAAAACAGGCAATGTCTAAATGGCTAAACATTTGCCATTTGTAGGGCCTATTTTTGAAATAAAAGCATGTGTAAAATTTGAGTTTGGCACCAGTGAGCTTTAGAGCTACCAGGTCTCAGCCTGCAGAAACTAAATAATGTAGGGTTCAACACCCAGTGGTAGTCTTTGGCTCATCTATATAACTCTGTGTGCATGTGTGTGCATGTTCGTGTGTGTGTGTGTCTGCACGCATGCACACTTGTCTGTCATGGCTTTCAAGCTAAGAAACTTCCAGAAAGTAAAACAGCAACTTTTAATGCTAAAAAATTAAAATATATTCCCATTCCTTCCCATGAGTTTTTTTGTATAGGTTCATGGATCTTCCACCACAATCAGGTTGCTGGACAGTTTCAACACCGCCAAGCTCCCACTTGTTGGTATTTTATAACTCATCACTAGCTCCTTTTACCCCTGGACCTAATCCCTAGCAGCCACGAATCTGTTCTCCATTTCTAAAGTACTGCTGTTTCAAAACTGTTGTGTAAATGGAACTATGCAACCATCTGGGATTGGCTTTTCTTGTTCAGTAGGATCCCCTAGGAGATTCAACCATGCTGTGTGCATGGAGTTTGTTTGAGAAGTGTTCCATAGCATGCATGCATGGTCATTTGGTTAACACTCACCTGTTGAAGGACATCTGGGCTGAATCCAGATTTTGGGTCTTACAAATAAAGCTGCTATGAACATTGCGTATATGTTTTTGTGTGAATGGAAGTTTTCATTTCTCTAGGATAGTGCCCAGGGTCATACAGTAGTTACATGTTTAACTTTTTAAAGAAACTGCCTAATTGTTTTCTGGAGTGGCTTTATTTACCATTTGACATTCCCAAGAGCATGAGTGACCCGGTTCTCCACATCCTCCCAAGCTTTTGCTATTGTCGCTATTTTTTACTTTAGCCACTCTGATAGGTATATAGTGATAATCTTGTGGTTTTAATTTGCATTTCCTTAGTGGCTAATGACATCAGCTGTCTTTTCATGTACTTATCAGTCATTTGTATACTCTGTTTAATGAAATGTCTTATGTTATTTGCTCATTCTCTGACTGAATTTTTTTTTAAGTATTGAGTTTTGATAGTCTCTCTATGTTCTAGATACTTGCCCTTTCTCAGATATGTGGTTTGCGGATATTTTCTTGCCGTCTGCAGCCTGTCTTTTCATCTTCTTTATGTGTGCTTTCACAGAACAAAGTTTTAAATTGTGGTGAGGTCTAATTTATCAGTTTTTCTTTTATGGATGATGCTTTGGGTGTCAAGTCTAAGAATTCATTGCCTAGCCCTAGATTCTGAAGATTTTCTATCATGTTTCTCCTGAAAGTTTTATTGAGTTGTTTTACGTTTAAGTCCATGATCCATTTGTTGTTGTTTTGTTTGTTTGTTGGTTTTTGCTTTTGGAAAAGACTATCCTTCCATTGAATAGATTTCACACTTTTGTCAAACATCACTTGTGCATATTTGTGTGGGTCTATTTCTGGGTTCTCTATTCTGTTCTGTTGATCTATGCGTCTATCCCTGCACAATGCCACAGTGTCTTGTTTACCGTAGCTTTAATATCAAGTTACTCTCACTTTAGTTTTTCTTATTTCAAGATTGTTTACTATTCTAGTTCCTGTGTCTTTCCACATACATTTTAGAATAAATTTGTCTGCATTAAACCTTGCTGGGATTTTGATATCAATTACATTAAATCTATCAAACAATTTGAGAAATAATTGGCATCTTTACTATTTTAAGTCTTCCAATCCATGAACATGGAATGTCTCTTCATTTAAGTCTTCTTTGATTCCTTTCATCAGTATTTCATCCTGTAGATTCTGTAAATGTTTCATTAATTGCATGTCTAAGTATTCCATTTTCTTTGGAGTAACTGTAAATGGTATTGTTTTAAATTTTGCTTTCTGGACTTCACTGTTAGCGTATAGAAATGTGATTGATTTTTGTGTGTTCATCTTGTATCCTGTGATTTTGCTGAACTCACTTGTTAATTCTAGGAGGTTCTGTGTGTGGTGTAGATTCCATGAGATTTTCCAAGTAGACAATTATGTCATCTTCAAATATAGGTGGTTTTATTTCTTTCTTTCTGAACTTTTTGCTTTTTATTTCTTTTTCTTGCCTTATTGTAGTGGCTAGAACTTCTAGTTAGTACCATATTGAATAACAGTGGTGAGAATGAATATCTTTGCTTTACTCCTGATTTTAGGGAGAAAACATCTGGGTTTTCACCGTTAAGTATAATGTTAGCTATAGTTTTTGGGGTAGATATTCTTTAACAAGTTGAGGTAATTCCCCTCAATTCCTAATTTTCTAAGAGATTATAAAAAATTATGAATGGGTATTAGGATTTTGTCAAATGCTTTTTCTGCACCTATTGATATTATTATGTAATTGTTCTTCTTTAGTTTGTTGATATGGTAAGTTACATAGATGAAATTTCAAATGTTGAATCAGTTTTGCATCCATGAAGTAAATTCCATTTGGTCATGGTGTACAATTCTTTTTATACATTGTTGGATTTGTTTTTAGTTTTGTTGAGAAATTTTGCATCTACATCCATGAGAGATATTGAATTACAGTTTTCTGTTTGATTTTGGTATCAGGATAATTCTGGTCTCATGAAATGAGTTGGGAAGTATTCCCTCCTTTTCTGTTTTCTGGAAGAGATTCGTACAATTGATGTTAATTCTTTAAATGTTTGACCACATTCCCTAGTGAAATAATCTGGTTCTGGATATTTCTTTTTTGAGACACTTTAAAAGATGAATTCAATTTCTTTGATGATTATAGAGCTATTGAGATTGTCTATTTTGTCTGAGTGAGTTTTGGTACTTTATTGTTTTCGATTGGTCCATTTCTTCTACGTTGTCAGATCTCTGAGTGTCAAGTTGTTCATAGTACTCCGTTATTATCTTTTTCATGACTGTAGGATCTGTGGTGATATTGATGATTTGTGTCTTCACTCCTTTTTGTTGGTCTTGCTAGAGGTTTATTAATTTCATTTTTTTAAGAATTGATTTTTTGTTTCATTCATTTTTCTAGTGTTTTTCTATGTTTCATTTCATTGACTTCTATTCTTTATTTCCTTCCTTGTGCTCACTTTGAGTTTATTTTGCTCTTATTTTGCTAGTTTCTTGAGGGAAGAAACTTAGGTTATTAATTTGAGTTTATCGATTAGGTTATTTCTAACATGTTATAAATAATAAATACAAATACAAATTGTGCTAATGTTATAAAGAATAAATACAAATACAAATTGTGCTATAAAATTTCCTCTCAGCATTGCTTTAGCCACGTCACACAAATACATTTTAAAAATTGCCTTTGAGACTTCCTCTTTGACTCATATTGTTTAGAAGTGTGTCGTTTAATTTCCATGTGTACAAAGATTTTCTTATGTTTTTGTTATTGATTTCATTATGGTCAAAGAGCACACTCTGTATTATTTTAATTCTCTTAAACTTGTTAAGATTTGTTTTATGGATCAGGATATGGCCTAACTTGGTGAATGTTTCATTTGGCTGCTTAGAAAATGTGTATTCTGCTACATTTGGATGCAGTATTCTACACATGTCAATTAGATCTTGTTAGTTGATTACATTGTTCACAATACTATATCTTTGCTGATTTTCTGTCTAGTAGTTCTATCAGTTGCTGAAAGGGGGATGTTATGTCTCCAGCTATAATTGTGGCTTTATCTATTTTATCTTTTAGCTCTATCAGTTTTTGCTTTATGTATTTTAAGGCTCTGTTGTGTCGTATATATTTGTTTAGGATCATTGTATCTTCCTGATGGTTTGATCCTTTTCTCATTATGCAATATCTTTTTTTTTTTTTGCCTCTAGAAATTCCTTTTCTCTGAGGTATACTTTGTCTGTTATTATTACAGCCACTCCCTTTAAAAAATTAATGTTTGCATGGTATGTCTTTTTCCAAGCTTTTACTCTCAACCTGTGTACGTCATTGAATTTGAGGAGAGTTTTTCATAAGCAGCATATAATTGGTTATTTTTCGTAAAAACTACTGCCTCAATCTCTATCTTTTGGTTGGAGTATTTAGACCATTTACATTTAAGGTAATATTGTGATATTAATACTTAAGTTTAACATTTAATGCACTGTTTTCTATTTGTATTCTCCAGTTTTAGCTCCTCTTTTTCCCTTGTCTTGCCTTTGGACAGGTTATTTGAGCACATTTTAGGATTCAATTTGACTTACATATAGTGCTTTTTTGGGACTATATCTGTATAGTTTTTTAGTGCTTGCTTTGATATTATAATATACATGTGTGACTTATAACAATAGTCTATCGGTGTCAACATCTTACCACTTTGAATCAAGTGTAGAAACCTCACTTACATTTAGGTCCTTTTATCTTCCCCACACTAAATAGAATTGTCTTGGGTGTAAAATGGTGTTATAATTTTTGTTTCAATCATTAAATATGATTTATACAATCCATGAGAAAAAGGACAGTCTTTTATAACTATCCATATTTTTGCCCTTTCTATGTTTCCTTCTTTATTCCTTGTGCTCCAAAATTCCTTCTTTTATCACTTATCTGTTTGAAGAACTTCCTTTACCCAATCTGTAATGATAGGTCTATTACAATAAGTTCTTTTGGTTATCCTTCTGCTAAGAATGTTTTAATTTCTCCTTCATTCCTGAAGTATAGTTTAATTGAACATAGAATTCATGGTTGACATTTATTTTCTTTCAACACTTGAAACAACATTGTGCTACTTCTTTGTACTCTCCCTTATTTCAGATAAAAAAATCTATTGTCGTTTGAGTTGGTATTCCCTTATAGGTATCTTCCCTCACTGCTTTCAAAATTTTTAGTTGTTTTTAGTTTTCAAAAGATTAAGGTGTGTCTTGGTGTGAAATTCTTTGGGTTTATCCCGTTTGGTTTTTGTTCAGCTTCTTGGCTCTGGAGATTTGTCTCCATTGCGTAATTTGTAGCCTCACTCTTTCTCCTCTCCCTCTGGTACTTCACCGATATAAATGTTGAATCTTTCATTATAGTCCTACAGGTTTCTGAAATTCTGTTTATCTTTTCTCTCTGATGTTTAGATTGAGCAAATTCTATTTTTTTGTTTCATTTATCTGATTCCATCTTCTATAATCTCCATACTACTATTGAACCTATCCAGCAAGATTTGTATTTGTTATTACATTAAACATTATTACATGTATTTCTTATTACATATTTCTAATTTCCATTTGGTTCTTTTTTTTTTTTTTTGAGATGGAGTCTCGCTCTGTCCCCCAAGCTGGAGTATGGTGGCACAATCTCAGCTCACTGCAACCTCTGCCTCCTGGGTTCAAGCGATTCTCCTGCCTCAGCTTCCCAAATAGCTGGGACTACAGGCATGCACCACCGCGCCCGCCTAATTTTTGTATTTTTAGTAGAGATGGGGTTTCACCATGTTGGCCAGGCTGGTGTTGAACTCCTGACTCAGGTGATCTGCAAGCCTCAGCCTCCCAAAGTGCTGGGATTATAGGCAGAAGCATTTTATTTTTTTGATACGGAGTCTTGCTTTGTTCCCCAAGCTGGAGTGCAGTGGCGTGATCTTGGCTCACTGCAACCTCTGCCTCCCAGGTTCAAGCAATTCTCCTGCCTCAGCCTCCTGAGTAGCTGGGACTATAGGTGCGTGCCACCATGCCTGGCTATTTTTTGTATTTTTAGTAGAGATGGGGCTTCACTGTGTTGGCCAGGCTGGTCTTGAACTCCTGACCTCATGATCTGCCCGTCTTGGCCTCCCAAAGTCCTGGGATTACAGGCGTGAGCCCCCGCGCCCAGCAGACAGAAGCATTTTTATTTTTATTTTGAGACAGGCTTACTCTGTAGTCCAGGCTGGAGTGCAGTGGTGTGATCCTGGCTCACTGCAACCTCTGCCTCCTGGGCCCAAGTGATCCTTCCACTTCAGCCTCCCGAGTAGCTGGGCCTCCAAGGTGCATGCCACCACACCCAGCTAATTTTTGTATTTTTTGTAGACGTGGGGTATTGTCAGGTTGCCCAGGCTGGTCTTGAACTCTGGACCTCAAGTGATCCACCTGCCTCAGCCTCCCAAAGTGCGGGAAATACAGGCGTGAGCCACAGCAGCCTGGCCTGAAGCAATTTTATAATCTCTGTTTTAAAATCCTTGTCAGATAATTCCAACATCTGATTCATCTTAGTGTTGGTGTTAATTGTCTCTTCTCACTCAAGTTGTGATTTTTTTTTTTTTTTTTGCTTCTTGGTATGATAGATGATTTTTTATTGTATCTTGGACATTTTTTCTGTGACACATTAGGAGACTCTGGGTCTTATATAAATCTTTTATTTTAGCATTCAGTCACGCTGTTTAGGTTTGGCATGCAGTCTACTTCTATCAGTTGTGGTTCGAATGTCACTTCAAAGCCTTTGTGCTGTGACTTTGGTCTGCCTGGTTTATCTGGCACTGCTGAGGCTCCCACTGGTCTCTGCTGATGCTGCCTGTGGGGTAGAAGAAGTTTCTCTAGGTTGGGTTACCCAGTGTTTCTTTGGGGAGGGAGGAGTGACACCACCACTCTACTGGTGCCCTCTGGATGTCCAGGTGTCTCTGGGTTGGGGTGGAGAGTCTTGGACAAAAAGGCCCCTAGACTGGGCCACCTGCTGCAGCTGGGCCCCTCACAGGCCTGCCCAGTTGTTGCTGGTTAGGGAAGGAGGAAGAGCCTCTGTGGACTAAGTTGCCTATGGTAGCCTCTCATGCTGGCTCTGCCTGTCACCTGCCCTGGCATCTCTCAGGGAAAAAGGGAAGTCTCAGGCTCATGAGGAAGCAGAGCATCTCCTTTGCCACTTATTCTGATGCGTCTTCTAATCCATCACTCTTGCTGTTGGTGTTGGGCTTGCCAGAGATGCACACACGTGCGGGTGTGTGTGTATGGGGGACTCCCACTGAGTCTGGGGGAGGTATAGTCCACCTGGGCTGCCTTCTGTTGCTCGTTGGGATTGGGAAACGCTGAGCCTAGGTGGCTGTCTCTTGTTGGGTGGCGGATGCAAGACCCCCTGCCACAGTGCCGTTCTTCAGTCCCGGAGTCCCAGACCAGTTTAATTTCTTGTACCTTTTTCAGTGACCTCCTTTGGTAGCTTGTCTCTTGCACAATTTCCCAGGCCCCAAGTGAACTTGGTGAGAGGATCAGGGGAAGTGGGTCCTGAACTATCTCCATTGAACACCATCGCCTTTGTTCCAGTACTCTCTTCCTTGGCCCTGCCACAGATAAACGTATGAGGTGGCAGGAAATGAGACAGTGGGGTGAAAGGCAAGGAGAGTTGACTTAGGAGACCCAGGTGTGACTTTGCTCCTAGCTCTGCTAGGACAACGAATTCCCTTTTCAACTCTGGGTCTTGATGGGGTTCAGGATATGCTACCCTGAAGTGTGAAATCTTGGCATTTGAGGAAGCAGCAGAAGCAGGAAGGTCTCTCTGACCCCCTCGACACCTTTCTCCCCTAAAGCAGGTCATAAAATCTAGGATGTTCTGACCTTCCCCTGAGGTAGGTCACAAGCCCCTCACTGGAGACGTATCCTCTTTATACCTAGAGGAAAGGAACGTCCCTATCTCTGAAGACACAGGTTGACAGAGAAGAAACTAAACAGACCGGCCTTGCTGACCTCCCTGAGGTTATTGCCATAGATTACACTTCTCCATGACCACCCACTTCATCAGACCTAGCAAAAAGTACACAGGCTTCCCTGCTTGAGTCTGCCTTTCCTTATGAAGGCTCCTGTGTCAGGTAAAACTTACATTAAAAACACATGTGTGCTTTTCTCTTGCTGATGTGTCTTTTATTGCAGGGGCCTTAGCCACGAACCTATCAGTGGGTGAAGAAAATATATTTTTTCACCCCTACAGCCATATTTCTTCATCCATAAAATGAAAAGAGAGGTCTGGGGTTGAGCAAGGTGACCTTGAAGACCTTCCCAGTGAGGATGTCCTGGATGGGTGATGCTGCGTGGTGTCTCTGTGCCAAGGATGGTGTCCTCAGTGGGTGCAAGTCCAGGGAGCAGGAGTGCGGGGCAGGGAGTGAGCCAGGTTGGAGCAAGAGCCCACAGGAGGGTGACCCACTAAGCTGCAGCCCCTGAGAAACTCCATCCAGGCCTCGGGGCAGGGAGAAGGAGAGAAGAGAGGAGGCATTTGCCCACTGGTCCCGTGTGCCCCTAGGTAAAGGTCTGTCCTGTAGGGTGTTAACCCACTGCTTCTCTGGGCTGCACACGTGTGCAGATGCCTGGGGGTCCCCAGGGATGTTAACAGAGAGGCTCAGTGGCAGGGAGAGGCGGGGGTGAGGGCAGGGGCCAGGCACTTCATTCTCATCTGTGTGAAGTTGGTTAGAGACCACACACAGAGTGGAGCAAGAGGCGAGCAAGGCAGGGAAGGTCTGAAGCAATGTCCTGGGCACTCTGCTCAGTGTCAGCGGCACTCATGCAAAGCATTGTGCTGTATATAAATGACTCGATTATTGCTGGTCTGCTTCTTCAGCATTCAGGCATACATGGCCCTCTTTTTACTGACATATGGAGCAACTGGCTCCCAGTTCCGAGGTGGTGGAGGCAGGGCACTGCCCCCAGCATGGCGTCCTTCACGCATGACTGGCAGATGGTGCCATTTCTGGGCCATCCTGGCAGCTCCCCACTGCAGGAGCCCCTGCGGTCTGTCACGCTGGTCCTCTGAGGTGGAGCTGTCTGCATGCACTTGGGCGCCGGCCCTCCCCTTTGCACGGAGCTGCCCGGGGCTGGCTCCTCACCTGCCCAGCACTCACATACATGGCAGCTGCACCCCAAATACTTGTTCAGTGAAGTATTGGGGGTGCAGCATCTGCAGTATCACTGCTAGTGCCTCATTGCTGCTGGGTTTCAAGGGCATCCCCATGAGTCCTGGGATGTGGGCTGATTGCTGAGATGAAGACCAGTGTGAGCAACTGGGGAGAAATCCTGGAGTCACAGGGAAGACATGTGCCTGGTAACTGTGCCAGTCTGCAGCGAGTCAAGGAAAAACAATTTTTTTTTTGGCTTCTGGCAAGTGGTGCTGGTTCAGGCTATGGTTCCAATTAGGACATATGGTGGAACTAACGAATATCTTCCACCGTACATTGTCGGCCAGATTTAGTGAGGAGAGGATGTGAGGTTTTCTTTGATGATGGTGATACCAGTAGCTCTCATCTCCTAAGCACCTACCAGGTGTCAGATCGTGGCATGTTGTTGCCTTTTGTCCTCACTACAACGCCGAGGGTAGGCATCATCGCTCCATCCCGTTGGCTCTGACCAGGAGTCTGGAAGTTCCTTTATTCATGTGGAAGGTGGGGCCTGGGTCCTCCTGGTTGAACTGAACACTGGCCATAGGTGAGAGCTGTGTGAGTGGTGTGTTGCACCAGGGAGGGGTGTGGAGGGGTGAGGGTGGGAGGCAAGAGCGCCAGGAGTTGGGGCCCTATCGGCAGAGCAAGACGCAGCCCCCCAGGACCCATAGGAAATGGAGAGCCTGGCATCAGCCTGGCCCCAGGCAGACCTGCGTCCACCAGCTGAGCCAGTTCTTGGAGTCTGGAGAACCTGGGTTTTTGTCCCCTCGGTCAAGTCCCTGGGGCTTTATAGGGCATCTACCAGGGGCCTGAAGCCAGGCGAGGCCTGGAGGAGGGGAGAGTGGAGGACGGGAGTGGTGCTGGGCAGGCGTCCCCGGCCCCGCCTGAGGAGCTCTGAGCTCAGTGGTCCGTGTGGCAGGAAATGAGGGTTGAGGCAGATGACTTCCAAGAGCTGATGTTGTATGACATGGAGGTCATCTGCTGCAGGCACTGGTGGGCTGGAAAGGCAGCCAGGGGCTGGGGCTGGCTGCTGTGGGTGGCTGGGCAGGCCGGCATCACATGAGTTCCTAGGTCTTTTAGTTTTTCTTTCTTTTTTCTTTTTTTTTCTGAGATAGAGTTTCGCTTTGTTGCCCAGGCTGGAGTGCAATGGCGCGATCTTGGCTCACCGCAACCTCTGCCTCCCGGGTTCAAGTGATTCTCAGCCTGAACCTCCCGAGGAGCTGGGATTACAGGCAGGTGCCACCATACCTGGCTAATTTTTTTTTAGTAGAGATGGGGTTTCTCCATGTTGGTCAGGCTGGTCTCAAACTCCTGACCTCAGGTGATCTGCCCGCCTTGGCCTCCTAAAGTGCTAGGATTACAGGTGTGAGCCACTGCGCCCGGCCTTCTGGTCTTCAAGTTTTTCAAGAGAAGTCAGAAACCCCCCTCATTTTATATGGTATTTACTGAGTTTCAAATGTTGATAAGTAATTAACAAACAAAAAACCCACTATAGGGTTAAACAAGACCCTTTGCTGGATGGATGTCCTGCGGGTGTCAGTGTGTGCATCTGGTGCTGGTGGCTTCATGTCCGTACATTGTGAAGCAAAATCCTGAAGAGCAGGGGCTGTGGGCACCTGGACTGGCACTGCCTCCTGGTGCTCGTCTCCTGGTACCCATCTCCTGGCACCCACCTCCTGGTGCCCATCTCCGTCCCCCGCCACCCCGTGCCACCCCCCAGTGTGGAGCGCAGCCTGGTCCGCAGAGGCCGTCCGCTAACCACTCCCGAGGACACGGCTGCTCTCCACACGGTTCCGTGACTGTCCTACAGGGGTCTGCCACTTCGTGTTGCACAAGTGGGTGTGTGAGTGTGTGAATGTGATCGTGTGTGTATGAGTGTGGGCATGAGGTGTAGGTGTGAATGTGGACATGAGGTGTAGGTGTGAGTGTGGACACCTGCATATGAGAGAGAGCCCGTGCACGGGGCAAGTTGGAGTGTGAGGTGTGAGCATGAGTGGGTGTATGTATGATGGAGTGCATGCATGTGTGCCTGTGTGTGTGAGTGAGCATTGTGCCAAATCTCCTCAGAGTCTGGGGTGCTTTGCAAGCTGAGCACCTTGGCTCCAAACCTCAGGGGGCAGGACAGCTGCCTGTCCACTGTGATTCCCTCTGTTCCTCTCCAAAACGCTCTGCCCACAACGAAGGGGCCTGAGCCCTTCCCCGTCTCTGGGGTCAGGCTCGGGCCTGGGCTCCCAGCACTTCTGTCTGGACCACTGGTTCCTGGGGCCCTGAGCCACTGTGTCAGAAGCTCGACTGCCCTGTGGAGAGGCCCAAGATCAACAGAAGAGGGATGGGGGCCCGCCATCCCCACCCATGTGCCGGGTATGAGAGTAGGCACGTTCTGGACCTCCAGGCCAGCTGTGCTGCAGGCTGAGCGCCACAGAACGACCTCCATCGCCCAACGTCACGTCACACCAAGCAGAAGAATCGCCCAGATGAGTCCTGCTCCAACTCTGAGCCCCTGGACAGTGAGATCTGATCGTATGGTGTGTTTTAAGCCACTACATCTTGGGATGGTTTGTAAAATAGCAGCAGATAAGCAGAATGATCAATTCCTTTAATATTTCCCAAATGGTAATGTGTCATGTTTGGTAAAGGGTTTCTTTCAGGCTGCTTCAAATTAGAAAGAACCATGTCAGCAAACTGTGACAATAAAAAAAAAGCAGCAGCCCGAATCCCAGTGAGACACAGGCTAGCTCATTCATTCAGATTCAATTCTAATGACGATGACTTATTTTTCCCCTGTTAGCAGCATCACTGGTAACTAAAGTTAGCCTTGGCTCAAAAATCAATGTATTATTTTAGAGCCTAAAGCAGGCAGGGAGTGAGCTGATGACTGACAGGAGGGCTGCAGGGCCTGTGGGTTCCAGGCCTCTCTCTCCTCCGCTGCTGCCTCCCGGGTAGCTGTGTGGAGCTGGCGGCCAGTAACCCTGAGGTTGAGCAGGAGCCCCCAGCAGGCTTTCCAGCTTCTCGGCCACGCCTTCCTTGATGTGGTGAGGCACACGTGTCAGCCAGCACTTGGTGGTGTGGGCTGACTTGTGCTTGTCCCCCGAAACTCCTTTACTAAAGTCCTCACCCCAGGAACTCAGAAAGTGACCTTATTTGGACCTAGGGTCCTTACACAGGTGGTCAAGGTAAAATGAGGCCTAATCCAACCACTGGAGTCTTTACAAGAGGAGATGAGGACACACACAGGGAGGTGACGCGAAGACACAGGACATCTGCAAGACACAGGGAGAGGCCGGGGACAGAGCCTTCCCTCACAGCCCTCAGAGGGCACCTTGATTTTGGACTCCTGGCCTCTACAGCTGTGAGACAGCAAAGCTGGGGTGTTGAAGCCACCTGGTGTGTGGCACTTTGTTCTGGCAGCCCGAGGTGACCAGGACACTTGGCACGTTCATGCTGATCACAGCTGCATGTGTGGGGGCAGCCATGAGCTTGCCTGGCCGAATGCCTGGGTGCTCCTGCGTGGTCACCTGCTGCCCCCCACCACGGCTTTCCCCATGTCACAGCAAGGTAGGCTGTGCACGCTTGTCCCAGGCTGGACCCTGCACCTCCCCCAGGAAGGTGGTTTGGGGCCACCTCCACTCTGTCCAGTGACCCTTCCCTTCTTTTGTGGCATTTTTGTGCTTTGTGGCTTCATTCCTATGAGGTGGGGGTCCCACCATGGGGACAACCAGGAATGACACTCCAGCTGGGTCCTTGGTTGCCCCACTTCTGAGTCTCACCAGTGAGAAATCCCCAAGCTGGAGTAGCCCCATGAATTCAAAATCGAAGCCCCTAGCAACTGTCAGTGGCTCCCTGCAAGCCTTGTTCCAAGCCACAGTGGTCCTGCCCTGGATCAAGGGAGCAAACTCAGAGGCACTGTGCAGAGGAGACTCCTGGTCGGCCTCAAGACAGTGCAGCGCAGCAAGCAGAGGCTTCAGGGAGGCAGGGCATAGGAGGACGGCCCCAGTGAGCAAGGAGCGGGCCCCACCCAGATGGCCATGGGCACAGAATCCTTGGGGAGCTGCGGAAGTCCTGGTGGAGGAAGAGGGCAGCTGAGGTCAGAAGGGGAGAGGGGAGGCTGGGCAGCAGCCCTGCTGCATTCCTGGGACTTGATGGTGATGGTCACACAGCGGCTCCAGGAAGCAGATTCTGAGAGGGTGTACTGGGCAGGACGACTTTAGGGAATTATCTTGGCATTGAGCAGGGGCGGGGAGGGGTAAGTTGGGATGCCAAGCAGAACTATTTTAGCCTTGGCTGATGGCCAGGGAGCAGTGGGCAAAGTGGCCCACAGAGGCTTCCCCTGGTGGGTGAAGAAGGCCCTTGGGTGTGGGCTGCCTGGGGAGGCGGCCTTGGCTGGCAGCTCTGCAGCTGAAGCAGACCCCACAGTGGCCGGCAGCCCTCCCAGCAGCCTGGTGACCACTGGGACTTTACTGCTCCTCAGGATCCCTTGGATGTGCCCCCCCCTCCACCCCAGCCTTCCTTGCCCGGTACTCATGGGCCCCAGGGGAGCCCATCAGATGCTGGCACGTGGGTCCCACCAGTTCTCATCCGGCACCTGCTTCCTTTGCCTTTCCCCTCCCCTTGGGCTCTGGCCAGCTCCAGAGATGCCCACATGGCCACAGCCTCAGGAGCTTGTTCAGCTGTGTGGAGCTAGTGCACGGTCATGGGGCCTGCTGGGCCCTGTGTCCTGCCTGTCCCTGCCCTGCCTGCCTACCCTTGAGCACAGCCCGTCCGGCTGGGCAGCCCCTTGGCGGGCAGCTGTGCGAGTTCCCAGCCCTTGGTGCTGGTCCTCGGGGCCCATGGCCTCAGCCTGGTACACCCGTCATGACTGCGTCGCTCATCTGTCCCCTTCTGAGTGTGTCCACTGCCTAGGCTGCTGCTGTTGGGGCTGCCCCTGGCTGGGCCAGGCAGGTTCCAGGAAGTGGAGCCTGGAGAGCTGGGAACAGAGGCTGTGGTGCCAAAGGCAGAGGCGGCAGGAGTGGGAGCAGCCTTCAGAGGTGCGGAGACGGGCAGAGGCCACCGAGGAGCACCACCTCCCAGGGCTGGACCACGTGCTGGGCCACGCGTTGACCTCTCTCCAAGCAGCTCCTGTCTCGCTGCCCTGAGCCCTGGGGTGTGGTTCAGGAAAGGCCACCTGCGCCTCTCCCCATAGGCAGGGCCACCCAGGCCTGCAGTGGTGGCAACTCCATCCCAGTCGGAAGCCTGGTGAGTCCCAGGGAGCCGTCCAGGGGACGCCACTGACCCCTTGGTCAGTTCAGCCATCACAGGGTGGCACCGGGGGCCCCTCCAGCCAGGCCCTCAGCCCCTCTCATTATCTTCCTAGTGCTCTTCCTGCTGTCTGTGGTCTTTGCTGTTTTTCTGTCTCTTGAATTTCCCTGACATTCCCTGCTCCTCTGTGCTTGGGGTTCACAGTCTGGAGGGGCCTTCTGTAGCTGGGTGCTGCTGGTGGGCACTGACGAGGGGTGTGTGAACGCAGCCTGGCTGAGGCCTGGGCAGGGAGCTGCTAGATTTTGCCTTGAGCCCTCTCTTGGGCGTTCCCCTTCCTGCTCCCCAGTCCTTATCTCGGTTCTCCCCTACCCAGTAACCAACTCATTAGCAGTCCATTTCATGGACAAGGTGACCTTCTCACACAGAGAGCAAGAGCCCCCCAACTGCCCAGGGGCGCAGAGTGGGAGCTGAGGCTGAGGCTGGGGGTGGGGGAAAGCACCTCCTGAGGGCAGTTTGCTCCAGGGAGCAAGAAGGAACTGGAGGGGGGATTCCTGGGTCTCCTCCAGAAAAGGCGCAGGCCAAGGTGAGCAGGGGCTTTGAGGGGAAGGCCCCGGGTGAGAATCTGCCCTGGGGTGCCCTTGAATCTGCAAACCATGGTTCCTTCCCAGAGAGGCCCTGAGGCTTTAGTTATGTGGCCCCAAATTGGCAACTACTTAAGGTCCTCTTTAGGGGAGTGGCTGTCTAAATTATGGAGTGATTGGAATGAATGCCCCTCAGCCATTCAAAGGTTTACTAAACATATGAATCCACGTGATAAAATGCTCGTCCTAGAAGCTTAAGTACAAAGAGCAGGCTACAAAATGGCCCGTGCCCCGCCCCCCACTTCTTGCAAATTTTGCTTTGTAAACAAATAGAAGTTAGGCAGAGAAAAAAGGCTGGAGGAAGTACTAGACCAATGTGGGAACAGTGAGTTTATGAGTTATTTACATTTTTCCTTTCCTTACAGTGAGTTTTTGCATTATTTACTTTTTTCTTTTCTTTTTGCCCTTGGGAATCACTGTGTAATGTGGGCAGCTGATTAGAATGAAGGTGAGGCAGCCAGGGAAAGGTTTACTAAACCTATGAATTAACACAAAAAAGCAGGCTACAAAAGCATGCCCTATTCTTGGAATTTTGCTTTGTAAAAAGCAGAAGTTATCTTAGTGGAGTAGGTGGGCCCTGGGGGTGCAGAGGAAGAGGCTCAGGAGTTAGAGCCTCCTTGGGGGCAAACCCAAGTCAGGAGGAGGATCTTTTTTCAGAGGACTTTCTCCATTTCCGGAGTGGAGTCGGGCCGGCGCTCCCCACACCCCTGCTCTGGTTCCCTGATAGAAGCAGTGCAGGAAAAAGTGCAGTAGCTGCCGGCCCGGGGCCTTCCCTTCTCTGCTGAGGTGGCCTGGCTGGGTCTAGTGCCTACTGGGTGATTTGCCAGCAAGAGCAAGTCAAGATTCTTGTGGCCCCTGCGGCCTCTCATGTGTAGTCGGAGTAGTAACCTGCTGACTTAGCTGGCACCCTCCTGTTACCGGAAAGGGGTCCCGATCCAGACCCCAAGAGAGGGTTCTTGAATCTTGCACAAGAAGGAATTTGGGGTGAAGTGAAAGCAAGTTTATTAAGTAAGTAAAGGAATAAAGAATGGCTACTTCATAGGCAGGGCAGCCCTGAGGGCTGCTGGTTGCCCATTTTTGTGGATATTTCTTGATGATATGCTAAACACGGGGTGGATTATTCATGCCTCCCCTTTTGAAACCATTCAGGGTAACTTCCTGGCGTTGCCATGGCATTTGTAAACTGTCATTGCGCTGATGGGAGTGTGGCAGTGAGGATGACCAGAGGTCACTCTCTTCACCATCTTGCTTTTGGAGGGTTTTGGCCGGCTTCTGTACTGCAGCCTGTTTTATCAGCAAGGTCTTTATGACCTGTATTTTGTGCTGACCTCCTATCTCATCCTGTGACTTAGAATGCCTAACCATCTGGGAATGCAGCCCAGTAGATCTCAGCCTTATTTTACCCAGCCCCTATTCAAGATGGAGTTGCTCTGGTTCACATGCCTCTGACGCTCCTGCGGATGCTGCCGGGGGGGGCGTGAGGTCCCGCCGGCCTGGCGTGCAGCAGCTCTGCATGGGGCTTCATCTGAGGTCTGGTGCTGGAGAGTTCAGGGGAACACAGGATGGCAGAAAGTAGCGGGTGCAGGGTGGGCTTCCAACGCCTCATCCAGTGGCCATCTTGGGGCAGGTTTCGATGCTGCTGGTGCCTGACCCTAGTTCATGAGATGAGTGAGGAATAACTGAACACTGTCTGGGAGCCTTGGGCAGACATTTGCTTTTGGCTGAGGCTGGCATTGCTGAATGATGCAGTCAGTGTGGCCCTAGGGTGACCAGCCTAACTCCCCAGAGTCTACCCTCCTGTGTCTGTGCAGCCCCCTGCTTCTGCAGTTAGGACCTCGCTGGGCTGTTCCTGGGGCACTGGGGAGTTTTCCTGGCAGGCAGGCCCTGGTGTGAGCATGAAGCTGCATGACCGTCAGTGACTCCCCAATTCTCTTCCTTGCCTCCCCTCCTCTGGCCCTTCCCTCACCACATGACTGCATTTCCAGGAGGCCCAAAGCTCCCTAGCACAATCCCTTTCCTGCTCTGTCTTCCCAAGAAGCTGCCCTGTGCATGGTGCTCTCGTGAGGACACTCGGATGCAGGAATCACTCTGTGTCCTCAGATGAGCGCTGGGTTTGTGCAGCAGTCTGGCCCCTCTGCCTGGCAGTGGCACCATCTGCTCCCAGTCCCTCAGGCCTGCAGAGCTCTCAAAGAGAGCCCATCTGGCCTGGGCCTCCCCCTCTTCTCTGCCAGGGCTCAGAGGGAGGTGGTGCAAGGGCCAGGTGGCACCCACCTGCTCCCCTCCTCTCTCACCACCAGGCAGCCCCCCACCAAGCCCCCGCTGTGGGAAGTTTGAGGGTGGCTGATATGGCCAGGCGTGGGTGGTGGTCACTGGGCTGTTTGCTGATGATATTCCCAGGTCTCCACTTTTGGGGATGTGGAAGGGGACCCATCCTGGTTTCCCTGTGGTTGGCTGGGGCAGAGTAACTGGTTCTGGCTTCGATGGTAACGAAGTGATGAGTCGAGAGTGGCCTCCAGGCTGGGCACTTAATTTCTAATGTGAGGCCTCTCAAAATTCTTTCTGCCTCTTCTACTAATCAGCCAAATTCCAGAGGGGAGACCCCAAACTCTAGCCTTGGCATGAGGGAACATGTAGGGGAGCCCTACCCTTCTCGTGGGATTCAGTGTGATCAATGCTGCATCTCTGATTTCTTTTCTATTTTTATTTTTTACAAAAGCCTACAGCACCCAGTATTCCCGGGTGGTCTCCCATCCAAATACTAATCAGGCACAACCCTGTTTAGCTTCTGAGATCACACGAGATCAGGCATGTTCAGGATGGTATGGCACAGACTGTATCTCTGATTAAGTCACTATAGTGAGGTTGTTGACTGTCTCAGGGCAGGAAAGCTGATACCGACTGACACAGGCCCTGTGGAAAATGCCTCTTGTTCAGAACGAAGGAGCTGCTCCTGGCTAGAGGAGCCCTGGTGATTCATGTGGTGCAACCCTTTACAGAAGGGGAAATTGAGGCCCAGAGCGGGAAGGATGGAGTCTTAGGTCACAGAGCCAGTTGGTTGGTGCCACAGCTGGGAGGCGATTGCTTGTCTTGTTGGTATCTTCTTTGTTGAGTCACATTGCTTCCAGAGACTGGATTTGTGGAAATGCTTCTAAAGCAGAACAGAAAAACAATGGCCCAACTTTGGGGTGAGGGAGAGTTAATATAGAGAATTTTTATTAAACACTCATTTTCAACCTTAGCCTGAGGCCAAGAAGACCATCCTGCTGCTATCATTGAGGCTGCAGGCTTCCTGGCAGGGGCGTAGCTGAGTCGGCCCCTGGAAGCCTTTGAACAAAGTTTGCAGCCTTCTCTGAAGAGCACACTGAGTTCCCTGGGAGACCAGCCAGGGGAAGAAACAGGGGCTGGTGCTGGCTAGGTCCTTTCTGGGCGGGCTCACATTGCTGCATGTAGGTTATATTAGCCTTGTCTCGTTCTTTTTTTTTTTTTTTTTTGAGATGGAGTCCCATTCTGAGCTTGGGCTGGAGTGCAGTGGTGTGATCTCGGCTCACTGCAACCTCCACCTCCGAGGTTCAGGTGATTCTCCTGCCTCAGCCTCCCGAGTAGCTGGGATTACTGGCATGTGCCAGCACACCCGGCTAATTTTTGTATTTTTAGTAGAGATGGGGTTTCACCATGTTGGCCAGGCTGGTCTCGAACTCCTGACCTCAAGTGATCCACCCTCCTCAGCCTCCCAAAGTGTTCAGGGATTACAGTGGTGAGCTACCACGCCTGGCCAGCCTTGTCTTGTTCTAAAGGTGAGTGCATGGAGGTTTGCAAACATTGACTTGTCCAGGGTCACACAGCTGGTAGGTGATGGAACTGGATTTGAATGTGGGTGGTGTGGCCCTAGGACTGGTTCCTGGAGCTGTCAGCTGCAGCCCTGGCTCAGCATCCAGATTTTGCCACCTTTTAGCTGTGTGTCTGTGGGTGTTGCCTCACCTCTGAGGTTGTTTCCTTGCCCCTCAGTTGGATCCTAGGGCAGATCCTAGGCCTGCCATCTTGGTGTTCCCATGAGTTTTGCAGACAACGTGTGTGAATGCTGGTTAGGGCCAACGCAAGGCAGGCAAGGCTCATGCATGTAGAGTCCTGGGAGTTCCTCCAGCACAGAACCTCTTGGAGATCTGCTGCTTCCACCCTCGGGCCGGCATGGGTGCCTCAGCCAGCACCCAGCAGTTTCCCCGGAAGAGAAGCTCAATTTCCCTGAGGCTTTGGTGGCAGTTCCCAGAAAGGGCTGTCCCCTTCTGGGAAGGAAGGAGGAGAGAGGGTGGTGGCAGGGAGCAGCTGGTGGCTGAGCAGAGAGGTCAAGGGAGGGGAGCGGACGCTGCCGGGAAGCACATATTGATTTCCTCCTTTTAAAAATGGACTCAAGTGGAATCATTCATAATGTGCTCTCCCACCACTGACAATACCCATTCCCATCACTGTCAGGGAAATGGATTTGCAGCACTCTCAGAAAAAACCAACATGTTGCCGGAGACGAGCAGAGGCGGCTCGGTTCCATCCCCAGATGCTTTCTGGAGACAGAGGGCGGCAGGATGAGCTGTCTGGGATTGTTCCCGGGGCAAGATCTGCAGTGAGCCTTGCAGCCCCGACAAGCAGCCACCCCATCGTGGGCCGGATGTTGAAAGGGGAAGCCCAGAGGGGTCTGACAGAGCCCTGGGGTCGGGGAGGCCGCCTGGGGAAGCCAGTGTCTGAGATGAGTCTCAGGAGTGGCCATGTAGAACCTTCTAGGTGGAGAGACACCATGCCCGGCCCCTGGCCAGGTGGCTCCCTGCAGGAAATCAGTGGGAGCCCAGTGTGGCTGGGACTCTCAGGGTGAAGGCAGGAGATGGGGAGGCTGGAGAGAGGGACAGGAGCACCCGGGGGTCCCAGTGTCTTTCTCTGCTACCACCCTCCAGGGGCCGTCAGTCCAGGTGTGGGGAGGCAACTTTGGGTGGGGTATGGCCCCTGCTGATCACCCACAATGCCTGCCCTGGGTCTGGAGCTGGGCAAAGGGACACTGACCGGAGGCCACTGTTCTGCCTCCCTTGGGCTTGGCTGGGGCTGCCCAGCAGCAGTGGACACATTCCCAGCCATGGCCCCCGTGGGTGGTGCCGCCTGCTCTGAAGACAGCCCTGGCCAGTCCCCTGTCCAGGCAGACCATCTCCCCTGTCAGCAGGGCTCAGGAGGCCACCACACCCAGGTACATCTCAGTGTTCATTCATCCACCCAATCATTCCTTGGGAGGAACATCGACACCTGGGCCTGGGCAAGGTGCTGGGGAGCCAGCCCCATAGCTTTATGGCAGGAGCAGGTGGGAAGCAGGACCCACAGTATTATGGTGGGGGCAGGTGTGGGGCAGGACCCCACAGCGTTACAATGGGGGCAGGAAGGGGGGCGGGACTCACAGTGGTATGGCGGGAACAGGTGGGGAGCAGGACCCACAGTATTATGGTGGGGGCAGGTGTTGGGGGGCGGGACCCACAGCATTATGGTTGGGGTAGGTGGGGGGGCAGGACCCACTGCGTTACAGTGGGGGCAGGTGGGGGGCGGGACCCACAGCATTATGGTGGGGGCAGGTGGGGAAGTGGGACCCACAGAGCTATGGTGGGGGCAGGTGGGTGGTGGGACCCACAGCGTTACAGTGGGGGCAGGTGGGGGGCGGGACCCACAGCATTATGGTGGGGGCAGGTGGGGGGCGGGACCCACAGCGTTACAGTGGGGGCAGGTGGTGGGCGGGACCCACAGCATTATGGTGGGGGCAGGTGGGGGGCGGGACCCACAGCGTTTCGGTGGGGGCAGGTGGACACACACAGGCTTTGGAGCCACGCAGACTAGGATCAAATCATACACTGTGGGTGACCTTTAGAAAGCCATCGAAGATCTCTGGGCCTCAGTTTCCTGAACAGCAAAACAGGGCTAACTCTTGTCAGATGGCTGTGGGGCTCCAGGGATATGGTGGCTATGAAGGACCTGGCAGGTATTAGGCCCCCACCAGGGCCCCAGGAGCTCAGCCCAGGTGCTCTTCGTTTACCTGGACACTTCAGGCAGGCTGCGCCACAGGGCCTTGGCACGTGCTGCCTCCTCCCTGTCACCCCAGCACTGCCCCCTGCCCTGCCGTATCCTCTCGCCACAGTGCTCAGTGATGTCCCACGGAGATGGGTGTCTTTTCTTTCCCTCGCCAGAATGTGAGCATCGCCAGGGCTGGGGTTTCGATTTGCTTTGTTCCCCCAGTCTCTTCCATGCCCAGAACAGTGCCTGGCCAGTGGCAAGGGTGAGGGGTGCTGCTGAGTGGCTAGAATGTCTGAGAGCAAAGCCATGGCCATTTCTGCTCACTAACCCTGAGCAACAGGAGAGGGGTCTGGGCCGAGGGCCTTAGTGGAAGGGGGCTGTCAGTCCTTTTGAGCCTTCATGAGGTGGGAAGAGAGAGGCTGGGCCTTGGAATCAGAGAGCTGGTTCCACCCCTGCAGGGAGTGCAGGTGGGAGGCTCAGGCCCCAGGTGAATCAGGCTCTGTCCCTGCCTGTGAGAAGCTCCTGGTCTGGAGGGGGCCCCAGCCATGAGAAGAGTTGGAAGCCACCCAGGATGATGTGAGAACCAGACCCAGACAGTGACTTCCCGGGTCAGGGTGCCCCTTGGCAACCTCAGACAGCTGCTTGGCAGTAGCCCAGTTGGCCCCTTAGGGAGGCACCCCCAACCTTCCCTGGCCACGTGGGTGGGTATTCATGGGCCTGGCTGCTGTGTAGGTCAATGAGACCCAGGCTCCTTAGGAGCTGTGTGCTGGCATGTTGTCTCTGTCCTCAAGAGCTGTTTCCCCCTGGTCATTACAGGTACACGCAGATGGCAGAGGACCTGTAAAACCCCTGAGGGGTCAGGGACGTTGCCTGGGCTGAACAGTTGAGGGATGCAGCAAGGGACTAAGTCAGGGTGCCCACCCCGGCACACACAAGCATGGGCCTGGGATTTACCAAAGGACGGAGTCCTCTGTCAGTGATGAACACGAATCTTCCTGGGAGAGGGGCCCGAGCTGGATCTGAGTCCTGTCTGGCTGATGCCCTCTGACTGTGGGTGGTGACTGGCTCACTGAGCCTCAGTTTCTTCACCTGTAAAGCGGGCGTGGTAACAGTACGGCCTCAGGGGCTGTCTTGGGGTAGAGTGCACACTGAGCACTGCTTGTTCTCGCAGTTACCATGGGGATTCGAATTCACTCCACGGCATGAACCACATGTGCTGGAGGGGCCTTTCCCGAGATCTTTTTGGATGGTGGAGCCTCTGCAAGTAGACTGTAACCAAGAAAGGAGGGCGGTGGGCCCAAGGCACAGCCAGCCCTTCCCAGTTGCGTGAGTGGAGGAGCAGTGGGTGGTGGCCTTGCTGGAGAGAGAAGCCTCCGGGAGTGGGCCTGGGCCCCGTGCTCCTAGCCTGACCCTCCCGGTCTGAACTGAGCCATCTCAGGGAAGGCCGTCTATAGAGGGCAGGCTTAGTGGGGCTGTGGCGCTGTCTTCCCAGTGCTGGTGGGGATATACCGCAACTCCGAAGCCCCGCGTGTGTCTGGCTCCCAGCCCTTCCCTTCAGAGGCCCAGGCCTCTGGCATCAGGCTTACTTCCGGCTCCTGGCCAAAGCTGCAGCAGCTCCCAACAGGACAGTGACATCTGTCTCTGGGATCAGAAAGTGGTGGCTGAGGCTCACCCCATCCTAAACAGGAAGAGAGCAGGCAGACGAGGCTGGGTCCCTGTCACTAAGGCCTCTACAGAGGCAGGGCCACTCAGGGTGGACATGGCCACCCAGAAGTGTGGCCTGGGCTGGGCTAGCCTGGGAGGGTGAGGAAAAGGAATGGATGAAGAAGACTGGGAGATGCACCTAGCTTTGATGCCTCTGCTTCATGGGTCTCTTTGATGCCTCTGCGTCATAAGGCTGCTGTATGCTCTCGCTGGATGGTGCGTTGGATGGCCAATGGCAGGCAGACAGCGTTCCCGCCTCGGCTCTGAGACCAGGCATCTCCTCAGCACAGAGGGCCCCACTCCTTCAGGGGTCACCACTGGAGGAGCCACTACCTCTTTCCTTGAGTTATCACAACAATCCCAGGTCACTCCCAGTGTCACCCCGTTTTACAGAAGAGACAGCTAGGGAGTTGCGGAAGCTGCTCATGAGTGCTGGGTGAGGGCCAGACTCAGGGTCCTTCTGCAATAAGAACCCTGCCCCCCTGGGCCTGGGGCAGCGGCTGTGTTTTCAGGAAGGTTGCACAGAATTTGGATCTCTGCCCCACTTCCGCCCCTGACTTAGGCGTCTTCCAGAACCCCCTAATCCCCTGCTTTATCTAAAGAAATGAGTGCTGCAGAGAGCTAGCCACAGGCTCCAGGGAGCCATTTCTAATGGGAAAACATGCCCATTTGCCTAAATGAATCAAATCCATTTCTCTCCCATACATATTTCATGGGCTTCCTCTCTGTGTAATTTAATTATCACTGTTGTTAGTGTTAATGCCCTGGTTGGTGCAGCTCTGCTCCCCAGACCCTCTGAGCCTGATGCTGCAGCAGGGCTCGAGGAGGAGCCGGAAGAATGGAACCATCGCTATGGCAACAGGATGCCATAATATTTCCTGATGATCTATTGCTTTAATCTTGAGGGCTCTGAGTATATTGCCAGCATTAATAAATAAATCTAAATAACACCCTGGTGAGATTGATATTATTCTATCCATTTTACTGATGGATAAACAGCAGCTCAGGGGGGTTAAGTGCCTCGCCTGGGGGATGGGTAAGAAGGACTGTGCTGGAGATGTGTGCGAGGGCCACACCGGTTTCTGGGGGCCCCAGTGTCCCTGCTGGAGGGGCTGGGTCAGTGCCCTAGAAGCCTTCTGGGAGCCGGTGGCACCATGATGTTGGAAAGTGCTCTGGACATATTTACATTTGTGACCCTGTGTCTGGGTTGGGGCCAGCCCAACTTCTGGTAGTGGCAGCAGGAAGGGCCCTCCGGCCTTAACAGGGCTCCTGTTTCCTAAGTCCAGAATGTTACCCTGAGATGTTCTGTGCTTTGGTTTCGGTGTGTTCAGCAATACATTTCCTTGGAAGAAATAGCCTTTGATCCAGTCCCAGCGTCACCTTGTTGTGAGAGTAACCAGGATGAGTCTTGAGTCTGGGTTTTAGAAGTGGAGGGCAGGAGGGGCAAGGAGGCAGGTGCGTTCTGTGCCTGGTGTTTAGGTGGGTGAGCCCCTTGCCCCCTTCCCCAGCTGCATGCAGATATGTGTTCTTATTTTTTATTTTTCCAGCTAAGGGCTTGAACCTCCCCCACCTTATTTAGGAGGATTTCCAGCCCCTCTCCCTCCGGGTGAGGCCTCCCCGCCCTTTGGCTGTCCTGGGTCTTACTCCACTTAAGAACTTAGTCCCATTTCCTCTGTGGCTGCCTGACCCCACCACATAGTGTCACCGCTGAGCATGGGTCCTATGTAGCCTGATGGTGGCTTGTCCAGCCTGTTCCCCTCACTTCTCGCACACTGTCTCTCACCTGCCCAGTGGCCGGTCCAAGCGCAGTCACTTCTGCACTGTTGCTGCACTCAGTCCAAAGCAGCTGCTTGGTGGCTTCAGCCTCACCCCACTCAGCCTCCCACAGATCCTCAGTCCATCAGCGTCCATTACATACCAGCCTTTGTTACCCACCAGCCTCCATTACCCACCAGCCTCCATAACCTACCAGCCTCCATGACCTACCAGACTCCATTACCCATCAGCCTCCATTACTCAGCAACCTCCATTACTCACCAACCTCTGTTACCCACCAGCCTCCATTACCCATCAGCCTCCATTACCCACCAGCCTCTATTACCCAGCAGCCTCCATGACCTACCAGCCTCCATTACCCATCAGCCTCCATTACTCACCAACCTCCATTACTCACCAACCTCTGTTACCCATCAGCCTCCATTACCCATCAGCCTCTATTACCCAGCAGCCTCCATGACCTACCAGCCTCCATTACCCCCCAGCCTCCATTACCCGCCAGCCTCCATGACCTACCAGCTTCCATTACCCACCAGTCTCCATTACCCACCAGCTTCTATTATCCACCAGCCTCTATTACATACTAGCCTTTATTACCTGCCAGTCTCCATTACCCACCAGCCTCCATTACATACCAGCCTCCATTACCCACCAGCCTACTTCTTCTTTAAAGCTGATGGCCCTCGTGGAGGTCTTTGTTGTCCTTTTCATTCTGTGATCCTTACTTCTCTGTTAAAAGGGTCCTAATAATGCGGGATAAAAAGCCCGCAGCTTGGCATCTGGGTCCCTTTCTTTACGGCACCACCTGTGCTCCTGCTCAAGATTACCTGCCCCTTACCCCAGGACCAGTTATGTCCACCAAGGAGCCTTGGGAACAGCATCGGACCAAAGTGCCCCTCAGGGCAGTGAGGCCATATCATTTTTGCCTGAGCTCATCTTAGCTGGTTTCCAGTCTCCTGCAGCGCCAGGGTGCTAGCTGATGACTTCTCTAGCTGGCATGGGCGGCTCGGCCTCTCCGCTCCTCCCGTACAGTTCTGTGAGCTCCTGGGTCTCTCTGTTCATTGCTGGTGCCAAGCACTGTGCCTGTTGAGTAGACGTGCTTTGGGGAGCGTCCCCATTCCACACGACCTTTCTCTACACTCCCTTCTCTGACGTGGCTGGCTGGACCAGGTGTGGGCATCTGACCCCAGTGGTCCCCTCAGGTTCCTCCCGGTCATTTGGAATTGGGCATCTGCGATGTTGTGACATCATAAGAAATACATATGTGGTCTTAGTCCCTGGCTCCTGGCACAGAGCTCCTAATACCCTTGGCATTCTCTGAGTGATGAGGGTGAGAGGAGCATCTTCTGTTACTCACAGCAAGACCCTTCCAACCACACCTGAATTTATGCCAGTGAGATGACTCTTGGAGGATGGGGCTGGACCAGCTGTGTGATTAGAGGGTTGGAAATTTCAGCCTATCCCCCACCTGCTGGCAGGGAAGAGGGGCTGGGGATCAAGTTCAGTCTCGTGGCTAGTGATTTAATCAGTCGCAACTACGTCATTGAGCCTCTGTGAAACCCCCACGTGATGGGATTTGGACAGCTTCTGGGTTCATGAGAGGCCCCCATAGCTTGTCCTGTGCATTGCTTCTATTGGCTGTTCCTGAGTTCTATCCTTTGTAATAAATCGGTAGGTAAACAGTATAATAAACAATAAACCATTTTCCTGAGTTCTGTGAGCTGTTCCAGTAAATTATTGAACATAAGGAGGGGGTTTAAGAAACCTTTGATTTATTTCTGGTTGGTCAGAAGCACAGGTGACAACCTGGGGCTTGCAACTGGCATCTGAAGTCTGGGGAAGTCTTATGGCCCTGAGCCTGTGGGATCTGTGCTAACTCTGGGCAGTTAGTGCCAGAATTGAGTTAAATTGTAGGACACCCAGTTGGTGTCCACAGAGAATTGGAAAATTGGTTGGTGTGGAAAAAAACCTCCACACACTTGCTCTCGGAATTGTTGTGTGTATAGAAAAAACCAGTTTGTTTTTCTTTTAGCCTCAGACAACTGCAGTTGTACCTGAACCAAGAGAACATGTAGGGCAGGTGGGCTGGGGCAGCCCCCTTTGGCTCCTGTGCCTGTAAGAAGAGGAGGATGCTGGTATTTAGCGGGAGGAAGGGAAGGAAAGAGAGAGGAAGAGGGAGAGAGACAGAGACAGAGAGAGAAGGAAAGGGTAGGGTGCGGAGGAGAGAAGAGGGGAGGAGAAGAGGAGGGAAGACAAGAAAGTAGAGAGCAGGAAGAAGTAGGAAAGAGAGACCAGGTGGCCCCTGCAAGAGAGGGGAGGGAAACCTGGTGGCTGATGCCTTCTCTGCTGTGTTCTGCTTCCCCAGCCATTAGCCCTGTCTAGTCCCTGGGCAGTCCTTATAATAGTCTGCTTTGATACTAGGCAGGAAAGAGGTAACTCAGGAGGCTTGAGTTGCTGAAATCCTGCACTTCCCAAATAAAGGTCTGTTTTCAGGACTGGTCCTTGCCTACTCCTGGAAGATTACCTGTGACATCTTAGAATATTCTGCTTCTAAGTGTTTTTGCATGCCTGAGGCTTTGGGTCAGCTGTGCCAGTTTGACTAGGTAAGTTTATCCTGACAATGTGCTGTATGGTGAACCCCTGCTTTTGCTTAGGGGCAGGCTGGAGTCTGAGTAGTTGAGGTCAGTCATGCAGAAGCTGTGTGCTTATGTGACTGTCCTCCAATAAAACCTCTGGACACAAAGGCTTGGGTGAGCTTCCCTGTTGGGAACACTTCACAAAGGTTGTCACACATCATTGCTGGGAGTATAATAGTATATCCCTGAACCAAGAAAACATGTCACACTCCACTGAGAGGGGACACCTGGAAGCTCACACCTGCAGTCTCTTGGATATCACTCATGTGCCCTTTCCTTCTGCTGGTTGAATCCATATCCTTTCACTGAGATAAACCATAAATGTGATTATGACACCTTTTTCTGAGTCCTGTGAGCCCTTCTAGAGAATCGTCAAGCCTGAGAGTGATCTTAGAGCCCCTGACACAGTGGCTTAGGCATACTTTTCTCCCTTGCAAATGAAAGAGCCTTCTCTGAGATAGCTTGGCATGAAAGTGATGTACTGGAAAGAGTTCCAGCAGGAAACAGAGGGCACACTCAACCTGGGTGCTGGGGAGGGGTTGATGAGGGGACTGTTGAGGACAGCAGGGCAGCGTGGAGGGACCTGCAGGCATGCTGTGGAACCAGCCAGGGGCTGAACCAGAACCCAGGGGAAGCTCTGGTTGTAGGAAGAGCAGCTCAGAGAAGTCAGGGCTTCAGTTAGAGGGCACAGCTCTTGTAAGGGAAATGGCTGCACTTCAGTCAGGAGTAGGTCGAGGTGGCCCTCTGGCACAGCATGACTCAGTGGGTTTGGAGTGAAGGTGTACAACTCCACACATTATATAACCATGCCATGTGAGATGCATTAAGTGACCACTCACACGAGCTCGTGGTTGGCCCGGAGCTGCTATTGTCTGTAAAATGTACTGCTGGCGCTGTACGTATGGCTCACGCCCAGAGAGAGAATAAAGCCATGTCGAAACTGCCTATGATTCCTCGAGTGTGTTTTCCAGCTACCCGCCACCTGCCCACCAACTCCCCTTGGACCTCAGTTTGGGCTTAGAACCTGATAGCCCTGACCACTGTGGCCTGGCAGGGTGAGAGCTGGAGGCCTGGGTCTCACCATCCACTCTCCTCCAGCCTCCAGGCTCCCACAAGGGCATCTGGTCAGCCAGATCCAAAGGAAACCCCAGGGCAGGTGGGTCTGCAGGGTAGATGGAGGCAGTCAGGAAATGCTGTGGAGCCGTGGACAGATCTGATGTCATCCTGTGGGGCTCCATGCATGCCCTGCATCAGAATCCTCACATGTAGCTTCTCCCATCTCATGTCTTCTGGCTGGCCACTTCCTGATCCCTGCACTCCTTCCCACTGGACCTTAACTCCCTGCCCACCTTGACCTGCTGGTGGGCTGTGTCCTCCCCTACTACTCTTCTCAGGCACACCCACACAGCAATAGCAGCCCTCCCCCAGGAGAGCAGCTTCAGCTCTGCCCACATTCCTGTTTCCAGATCCACCACTCCCACTGGGTATTTCTGCTGGAATTCTGTAGGGCAGATGTGCCCGATAGCAATAACTTGAGCATACCCTGAGAATGACCGTGTATGGCAGATGCACCTGAATGTGTGTTGGGAGTTCAGAGCTAATGAGTTCGGGATTGGCCAACCCAGAGATTCATTCCTTATCTATGAGAAACATCTAAGACCCTGTCCCGTCCTGTGGAACACAGACCTTACAGGGGATCCAGACCCTTTGCTTTGGGTGAAATGAAGGTTACTAGGCGGGGGTTGTTGGGGAAGGGTGCTAAGTGAAAATGCTATATAAACTGCATGCGTTTTACAAACAGTGGCAGTTCTCCTGTCCAGCCCGCTGCCGCTGGACTGCCCTGTATGGAAGTTCCCCTCAAGAAACCCCATGTCTCCTTTGCTGGCTGTGGGTCTCTTATTTGGCCTCATGACCCTGGTGCCAGCCCTGTCGAGGTTAATAGGGGTCTCACATGACAAATTCCCACTGGCTCATCAAACTCAACAAGTCCCAGAACACACTGACCCTCATCCCCCTGCCTCCCCTTCTCCTGTGTTCTGTCCCTCCCAACTGGCATCCCACTTCTTGCTCACTAGCTTGATGCGTGACTCCCCACCAGTTGCCTCTCACTCCTTCCCACTCTGCCCAACCAACAATAAATCTCTCAGTCCTGGCAGGTTGTGGTGGCTCACACCTATAATCCCAGCACTTTGGGAGGCCGAGGTGGGTGAATCACGAGGTCAGGAGATCAAGACCATCCTGGCCAACACGATGAAACCCAGTCTCTACTAAAAATACAAAAAATTAGCTGGGCATGGTGGCACGCACCTGTAGTCCCAGCTACTCGGGAAGCTGAGGCAGGGGAATCCTTTGAACCCGGGAGGCGGAGGTTGCAGTGAGATGAGATCATGCCACAGCACTCCAGCCTGGTGACAGAGCAAGACTCCATCTAAAAAAAAAAAGCTCTCAGTCCTTCTCAAATCCATTCTTCCTCTCTGCTTCCACCATGAACTCCAACTGCTGCTGTCCCATACCCCAGCCTGAGCCCTGTGGGCCCAGAACTTGTCAGCCTCATCTTAGGGCTGGGGATACTGCCTACACAGGCCCCACCAGGCCACCCCACATAAACCCTCCAGGGTGCCTCCCTCTTGCTGAGCATGGATGGAGATGGAGGCTGCCGGTTGGTGCTCACAGCCTCCAGGTCTCAGACTACAGTTCTAGTCCCATCTCCTGCCCCTCCTGACCTGTGCTTCACACTATGGCCCTGCCCAATCCCCCCATCATGCACACCCCCTGGCTTGCTTGTGCTGTCCCTTCTTCTGCCTCCTGCCTGCTGCTGCCTGCTTCTGCTCTGAGGAATGCCCACCAGAAACCTTTCCCGCATGCTGGCCAGGCTGGATGAGCATGCAGAGTTCTCATCACCACGCGCAGACCAACCCAAGTGATGACTGAGCCTGTGCTGACCAGGAGCTAGGGGGCAGCAGGTCCTTTAGCTGAGGGTCTAGACACAATGGGTGCTTGTCCAGGCCCAGTGCAGGGGATGTCCCTGGAGTTACTGCTAGGGGCTGAATTGTGTCCCCCCAAATTCATGAGTTGAAACCCTGATTCCCAATGTGATGCTATTTGGCAGTGGGTCCTTTGGTAGGTACTTAAGGTTAAAGGAAATCCATGAGGGTGAGGCCTTCATGCTGGGATTAGTGCCCGTCTAAGAAGAGCCTCCAGAGAGTTTTCTCTCTGTCTGTCTCTTTCTCTCTCTGCCATGTGAGGATTCAATGAGAAGGCAGCCATCTGCAAGCCAGGAAAAGGGCCCTCCTCACCAGAGCCCAATCAGGCTGGCAGCCTGATCTCGGACTTCCAGCCTGCAGTATGGTGAGAAATGTGTCTGTTGTTTAAGCCACCTGGTCTGTGGAATTTTGTTATGGCATCGCAGCCCACTAAGACAGTCCCAGTGGAGGCCGGGGCTCAGGGTGCTGTGGGTCTGCCACATGCCTGCCTATTCGTGTTGTATGTGCTGCTGCTTCTGTATTTTGCTCTATGGGGCTCTGATGTGTGAATATACTCTACCCATTCTACTTTTGATGGCCGTATGCATTGTGTCCAATATTTGGCTAATATGGGTATTTCCACTATGGTCATTCTTGTATGTATATCCTGGGATTAGTGCCCTTCTAAGAAGGGGACAGAGGAGCTAAAGCTATAAAGGGGCAGACTTGGGGGAAGGTGGGTATGATTTTAAGTAGGGGCTGGGTATAATTTCACATTCCTTCACTTGGTGTCATATTTCTGTGCAACTCCCCAGGTAGTTTCTATAGGGGCTTGTCCAAAGCCCTGGAATCTGGGAAATCCCCTCACATGCCACTGTCACTGGATGTGCTGTTTCTCCTTTGCTCAGGGACATTTGTCAGTTGTGCTTATCTGCCCTAAACAACAGGATTCCAGAGCAATATTGGGCCCTAGGTTGATATCATCCCCCTCCAACTGCACCCATGAACATAAGGAAAACCTGAAAGATACGCAGTAAGAGTGGAAAACCATAACATAACTCCCTAAGGGCCTGAGAAGTCAATAAGAACGTGGGGATTCTGAGTAATGTAATCAGTAAGATGACTTAATAGTTTACATATCAAACTGTGCCCTTAAGGCTGAGAAGCCCAGTTCTTCTCCAGTGCCCATGGGACACTTACAGAAATATTGCATTCATTAGGCAACAAAGTAAGAAAAAAAATTCTAGTAAATTTCCCCTAATAGAAATTGTACAGGTCAGTGCTTTGACCTAGTACAGCAAAAATGGAGATTAACAACAAAAGAGAAACCAAAAATCTCCATCCATGTGAAAATTAAACATAAACATAAAAACATTGCAACTGTTTTCTAAGTAACTTTTGAATCAAAGAGGAATTTAAAACTGCAATTGCAAAATAGTGAGAAAACAGGAACGTGAAAACCCTATATATCAAGAGCTAGGAGAACTGTCAAAGTTATAATGAAGCAAATTCATGACCTTAAATGCTTTTCAATGTTATGAAGAACAGAAGAAAAATAGATAAGGCAAGTTTTCAATTCAAGTTAATAAGAGAAGAATAAAGTAAATACAAGGAAAGCAAGACAAAGGGATTGATAGATAGAAGTTAATGAATTAAAAACCCCAAATCACAAATAAATACCAGAGTTGGTTCTTTGGAAACCCTCAACAAAATAAATAAATCACTAGCTGGTGCTGCTGGCCGCAATGTGTTTGCCCTGTATACATATGATGGATGGCACTACAGGAAAAACAGTTCTCTATGGGAGGACTCGGGTTAATGTGTAAGTCCACACTCCCTCCAGGGAGCTCAATTCCTCAAACACTCAGGAAACTCTCCCAGAATGCAAGTGAGTGGAGTATGATTGATTCAGAGCTAAACTTGGATTCACTCTAATTAATAAAAAGGAGGCTGTAAAAACGTTGGAAATATAACTATAATTAGAAACAGGCTGGTCACGGTGGGTTCACGCCTGTAATCCCAGCACTTCAGGAGGCTGAGGCAGGTGGATCACTTGAGGTCAGGAGTTCAAGACTAGTCTAACCAACATGGTAAAATCCCATCTGTACTAAAAATACAAAAATTAGCTGGGTGTGGTGGCACATGCCTGTAATCCCAGCTACTCGGGAGGCTGAGAAGAAGAATCACTTGAACCTGGGAGGCAGATGTCGCAGCGAGCCAGGATTGCGTCATAGCACTCCAGCCTGGGCAACAAGAGTGAAACTCTGTTAAATAACAAACAAACAAACAAACAAAAAAAACAGAAACAAAACTTTCATTGTATGTCCAACCTTATGACCCAAAGCATTGCATCCTCATGGTGGGGAGGAAAAAGCCTAAAGCACAGGGATTTGGAAGGGTGGGGGGCAGTATCTCAGATGTGGAGGAGACTAAAAAAGGGTTAGGAAATTGCCAAATACAATTCAATAGGTGATCTTCCAGATGAATATAAATGATCAAAACTTACTCCCAAAGAGAGAGAAAACCTGGATACAATAATAACTATGGAAAAAATGAACAGTTATCCACAAAATGGTAGAATAACAGCCAGTTACATGTCATGGAAAATGGCACAAGGTAGAAAGCTCCAGGAATTCATCCTTCCAGCAAACAACTAGTGAGCTGGCAAGAACTGTCAGAATTAGTGATTTTGGAGCTCTGGAATTTAGTCAAATAGTTGCAGCCTTCAGGGAAGTGCTTGATGAAGAAAAGGGCTGGTAAAATTTGGTATTTTATGTAACAGCTACCATCCTCCATCCCCAGTCTTGAGGCAGGTAGCTGGAGGAAAGATAGCCGGCATTCCTTGTGTGGCCTGCTGGTGCCAGGGTGAGCAATAAACTTTGTCCTCCAAAATGGGGTAGTGTATTTTCAAAAAAAAAAAAAAAAAAAAAAAAAAGAAACAAGGCTCTCCAGCAAAAGTAACTGCGTAGGTAAATATAGAAACTAGTATTATCGTATTTTTTGGTTTGTAAAATCTCTCTTTGTTTCCTATATGATGTAAAAGACAAACAAAACAATAATTATGCATCTATGTTAATGAACACACAAGTATGTATTTTATAAAGATACAACTTACGACAACACAATACAAAGATGGATCGGTGTAGGAATAAAGCTAAGGAATGCTATTGAAGCTATTATAAGTTGGCAGCAATTCAAACTAGATTTTTATGAATGTAGGATGTTAACTGCAACTCCTATAGTAACCACTAAGATAATATATTTAAAAAAATACAGAGGGAGCTGCGGTGGCTCAGGCCTGTTGTCCTGGTGCATAAGGTGGTGAGACTAGGCATTCGAGGCCTGATTGAGCAACATAGAAACCTCTCATCTATATAACTAAAAAAATACAGAAAAGGAAATAAAGAGAAAAACAAGGTTGCAAACTAGAAATCAATTCAATACAAAATGAGTCAGTATTGGAGGAATTGAGAAAAAATAATGTAAGATACGTGGAAAAAATAGAAAAATGACAGAGGTAACTCCTTCATTATCAGTAATCACTTTAAATGTAAATGGATTAAACTTATCAATTAAAAGACAGTGATTTGCAAAATAAAATTTAAAAGTAAACACGATCTAACTATATGCTACTTACAATAGATACACTTTAGACCCCAAGACGCAAATAGGTTGAAGGTTAAAAGGATGATGGCTCACACCTGTAATCCCAGCACTTTGGGAGGCCGAGGTGGGCGGATCACAAGGTCAGGAGTTTGAGACCAGCTTGACCAACATAGTGAAACTCCGTCTGTACTAAAAATACAAAAAAATTAGCTGTGCGTGGTGGTGGGTGCCTGTAATCACAGCTACTCAGGAGGCTGAGGCAGGAGAATTGCTTGAACCCAGGAGGCAGAGGTTGCAGTGAGCCGAGATCGCACCACTGCACTCCAGCCCTGGCAACAGATAAGACTCCATCTCAAAAAACAAAAAACAAACAAACAAAAAAGAATACTGTACCCAACAACAGCAGAATACATATTCTTCTGAAGTGCACTTGAAATTTTCTCTAGGAGGGACCATATTTAGGCCATAAAACAATTCCCAGTAAATTTAAAAAGACCGATACCATACAAAGTATTTTCTCCAACCCCAGAGAAATAAAGCTAGAAGTCAACAGAAAACCTGGAAAATACATAAACAGGTGGAAATTAAATAACACATTCTTACACAACAAAATGGTGTCAAAAAAGAAATTGCTAAGAAAAAAATACTTTGAGATGAATGAAAACTAAAACACAACACACCAAAACTTATAGGATGCAGTGAAAGCAGTGCTCTGAGGGAATTTTATAGCCATAAATGCATAGATTAAAAAAGAAGAAAAACTTAACTCATTAACCTAACTTTACATCTTAAGGACCTACAGAAATAAAAGAACTAGATCCAAATCCAGCAGAAGGAAGGAAATAATAAAACTTAGAGCAGAGATAAACAAAATAGACTAGAAGAACAATAGAGAAATCAACAAACCCAAAAACAAGTTCTTTGAAGTGATCAACAAAATTGACAAACCTTTATCTAGTCTAAGAAAATAAGAGAGAAGACATAAACAATTAAAATCAGAAATTAAAGTAGAAAAATTTCTACCAACCTTATCAAAATTAAATGGATTATAAGATAATATCATGAAAATTTTACACCACTTAATTTGACAAAGTAGATGAAATGAACACATTCCTACCTAGAAATACACAAATTGCCAAAACTGACTCAAGATGAAATAGAAAATCTCAGACCTAAAATGAGTAAAGAGATTGAATCAGTAATCAAAAAACTTTCAAAAATAAGTCCAGGCCTAGCACAGTGGCTCAAACTTGTAATCCCAGCACTTTGGGAGGCCAAGGCAGGTGGATTGCTTGAGCCCAGGAGTTTGAGACCAGCCTGGGCAACATGGCACAACCCCATCTCTACAAAAAATACAAACATTAGCCAGGCATGGTGGCATGCACCTGTAGTCCCAGCTACTCAGGAGACTAAGGTAGGAGGATTGCTTGAGCCCAGGAGGCACAGGTTGCAGTGAACTGAGATCACACTACTGCACTCCAGCCTGAGCAACAGAGCCAGACCCTGTCTAAAATAAAGAAAGAAATAAAGGCCTATCTTGAGCAGAAAGCCAAATACCACATGTTCTCACTTATAAGTGGAAGCTAAATGATGAGAACTTATGAAAACAAAGAAGGAAACAATAGAGACTGGGGTCTACTTGAGGGTGGAGGGTGGGGGAAGGGAGAGGAACAGAAAAGATAACTATTTGCTTAACACCTAGGTGATGAGATAATCTGTACAACAAACCCCCGTGACATGAGTTTACCTACGTAACAAACCTTCACATGTACCCCTGAACCTAAAATAAAAGTTAAAAAAAAGCCCAGCACCAAATGGTCTTACTGGTAAATTCTACCAAACTTTTAAAGAAAAATTAACATCAATGCTACTCGAAATCTTCCAAAAAACAGAAAAGGAGAGACCACTTTTGTACTAGTCTTCTTGGGCTTTTATAACATGATCCCACAGACTGGGGTGGCCTCAATGACAGACATTTATTTCTCATGATTCTGAAGGCTGGAAGTCTAAAATCAAAGTGCCAGCAGTATTGTTTTCTGGGAAGGACTCCTTTCCTGGCTTGCAGATGGTTGCCTTCGTATGGCCTTTCCTCTGTGTATGCATGCAGGGCGTGTGTGTGTGAGAGAGAGAGAGTGAGAGAGAGAGATTGGGGGGTAGGGCTTCAACATATGAATTTTTGAGGGGCACAATTTAGTTCATAACAACTTCCTAACACATTCTACGAGGCCCTGATACCAAAGTTGGAGAAAGATACCACAAGGAAATTATAGACCAATATAATTTATGAATATAGATACGAAAATCTTCAAAACAAAACAAGACAGTAGCAACCAAATCCAACAGCACATTAAAAGTATTATCCAGCACGATCAAGTGGGGTTTATTCCAAGAATGCAAGCATAGCTCAACATAAGAAAATTAATCAGTGTGATATATTGTATTAATAGAATGAAGGAAAAAAACCCCACATGCATCTCAATAGATACAGGAAAAAAGTATCAAAATTAAATACTTTCTCATGATAAAAACACTAAGCAAACTAGGAAGAGAAGAAAACTTCCTTAACATGATAAAAGACATTTATGAAAAAAACCACAGCTAATATTATACTCAAAGATTGAAAGCCCATATCAGGAGCAGGACAAGGCTGTCCCCTTTCACTGTTTCTACTCAACCTTGTACTGGAGGTCCTAGACAGAGCAGTTAGCAAGATGAAGAAAGAAAAGGCACTCAGATTGGAAAGAATGAAGTGAAACGATTTCCATTTGATGATGACATGATTTTATAGGTTGAAAATCACAAATAAATCACAAATAACTACTAGAGGCAATAAACACATTTAGGCAAGTTGTAGGATACGAGGTCAATACATGAAAGTAAGTTGTGATTTTATAAACCAGCAGTGAACAATACGAAAGGAAATTAAGAAAACAATTTCATTTACAATTTTATCCAAAATATACAATACCTGGGATTAAATTTAATCAATGATGTGAAAGACTTGTACAGTGAAAACTATAAAACATTGCTGAAAGAAATTTTAGAACACTGAATTAAATAGACAGCGCATGTTCATGGAGCAATTTGTTGATTCAGTGCAGTCTCTATCAAAATTCCAATGACTTATTTCGCACAAATGAAAAAAACAAGCCTTGAATATGGAATTGCAAGGGACCCCAGGTAGCCAAAAAAATGTTGAAAAAGTAAAACAAAAACAAAGTGAGAGGAGTCACACTTTCTGATTGCAAAACTTATTACAAAGTTACAGTAATCAAAACAAACCAAGATTAGACGTGGAGTGAGAGAGACCTAGTGTCTCATCCCTTTTATCATTGTTTTGAGGATCCTCACCCCATACCGACTGCTGGTTGTTGGATGGAGACACTGGTCTCCTACTGGGGAGATCCCTTTGCTGGTGCTTCTCTGCACAGGGTAGCTCTTTTGGGGTCATCTCCTATGCTCAGCATTACTTCCCAGAGACCCTCTAGGATGAGGTGCGTTTGGACCCAAAGCAGTGCTTCTCTGGTCCCTGCCACTGGCATTGACTCCAGGTCACCAGTAGGGCCTTTCCTTAGGATAATGTAGTACATAGGTCCTAACAGGTGACCCTCACTTCACTTCTCAGGAAGCAGAGGTGGGGGTCTGGTTCCACACCCTCCCCAAGGCAGGGGTCTTTGTGCAGGCTGACCTATCATCAGCCTGCAAACCAAGGGTTCTAAAAGGTCACAAAAGTGCCAGCTATGCCTCCATTCCTCACTGCTCTACCTTGCAATAAACAAAACAAAACAAAAAACAATGCTACTTAGAAGGGCAGAAAATCCAGCTTCTATAGATTAAAATAAACACAGAAACACCATTTGAATATAATTTTGCATATCTGTATATGTAGGAAAATACCTAAATACCAACAATAAAGTAGGATTATAGACACTTTCAAATTTTCCTTGTATTTTCCTGCATTTTCCAATTTTTCAGAGTTGAGACCTATCCTTCTGGTGAGATGAAAACTATGTTATGAACTGGTTGGGGAGTGCATTTTCCTCTTATAGGGCTTAGTGTGGGGCTGGGCATCTACCGAGAGCCTCTGATGAATTTTACATTCAATCTGTGAAGCACTAAAGGAGGATGCTTAGGGTCTAAGCAAGGAAAGGCCTCACCAAAAGAGAACAGAATGCCGAAGGGGTCCTCCTGCTGCCCCCCTTCCTGCCCCCACTCCTCCAAATTGTCCCAGCCTCCTGATGTGTGAGTGCTGGGCGCTGGGAAGGAGCTGCCTGCAGAGGCCTGGGTGCAGGTGGAGCTTTGTTTTCCTGGGCTGGGCCAGGTTGTCCTCAGTGTTTGCCCTGTGGGGCAGTATGGGAGTGGCACCCTCCCCCTGGCTTTCTTCACCCGCCAGCCTCCCTCTCACTTTCCCTGGCATCAGAACTGAGACTCTGCACACCCAGCTTTGCCCCTGTGGGTTCCTCTGCCTGATGCCCACTTTCCCATGAAGCTGCTTGGGTGCTGCCTGTCTTCTTTGAGAAACCACTCTGGGACACTCCAGGAGAAAGAGCACCTGCCCCCTCAGGATGGTCCCCAAGCTAGTCTGCTGCTTCTGTTCCCTGTCTGTGGGTTCTGAGAGGGCAGGACCTCATCTGTCCTGCTGCCTGATGAATCTCTGGGGTGTGCAGTGCCAGGGGGCTTCTAGGAGCCCTGCCCTGCAGGGTGGGGAAGGTTATGACCTGGATACCAGCAGGACCTCACACATCTGTCCCCTGGGGAATGGCACATTGGTCCCATCCGTAATGTAGCTCTAAGAAGATTCATGTCACCCCTACACTTGCAGGATGAAGTGCACATCCCTGGCAGGGCCTTCAGGCCCTCTGGACTGACCTTTCTCCTGCTCTGAGGCCCTGGCCTTCTCAGGATGCTCCTCACCCTCATGCTGAAACCACCTTTGCAAATGTATGATAGTAAGAAAAATCTGACATGGTGGACTCCATCTTGCTTCTATGTCTTTGCTCATTCCTTGGTGGGTGTGGGCCAAGCTAACTTTGTGAGAATTTGATTTATAGTTTATTTTTTTATTTTTATTTTTTTTGATTTATAGTTTAAATGATAATAACCCTTCTCCCAAACTGTTCTTGTAAAACTAATGAAAATCCATCAAGTTAGGAGGATGAGAGGGGCTTGAATTTTCAATAATTACCAGTTCATTATTCTGGAGGTCATAAGACTTGCAACTTCCCCAATTATTCTTGCAGATAACATCACTATTGTAGAACCAAATGTTATGGGCTCTTCGGGATGTCACTTTTCTGGCTGGAAACCTCTGTAGCTGGAGATGCCTTTGCCCAAGTTTTGCTCAGGCCTGCTGGGCTCATTCCACCCACTTGGCCTAGCAGGCTGTGCTTGGCTCATGCTGCCAGCCTGGATCCCATGCCTGCCAAGGGCAAGCCAGGCATGGAGCAATAAGGGGTGTGTAAGTGAGTGAGCCTGGAGTCCAGCCACCATGCCCAGTCAGGCACACTGGCTGCTGCAGCAGGGTAGGCAGCTCCGGGTGCAGGCATGGGCACTGGCTCTCTGTGAGGTTGTGGCTGGACCAGGCACACCACAAGCAGCTTCCACGGCTGCCACTGGGGAACACAGTAGCACCTGGAAGCTTGGAGAATCCAGGAACTACAGGGCTCCAAAGAGGGAGTCACAGCCCTACTTCCAGGAACTCCTAGTCTGGGCTCCCCAAAGGGCTGCAGCTCTTCTCACCTTCTCACCTGCAATGTGGTGAGCAAGAGGCATGTTTTAGCCCTGTTTATGTTACAACTCTTTTAGACCTACCATTCAGCAGGTCCCAAGTTCTTGTCCTGTGTCCAGGAAGAAGGAGGCAAGCAGACTCCTAGAGTGAGTAGCTCCTCTCTGCAGATGGTTGTCTCAATGTCTGCTCAGCTCTGGCTGAGCCTGGGGCTTTTATGGGCTTCAAAAGGGAGAAAGTCCACGCCAGTTGGTCTGTGGTCAGCTGTTGGTAGCCATGGGCGGGCCCAGGAAAGACACCACAAGTTCCCACTCTGGTCCATGGGACTGGCAGCCCAGCCCCCAGTCTTCAGGCCCTCCCTGGCCTGAAGGTGGGGCCTCACTGGGAACCCTTCCCCATCCACCCAGGAGCCTCTCTGCCTCCTGCTGCCATTCATAGTGCCCAGGCTATTCATGCCAGGGGTGCCTGTAGGCCATCGCCGAGCTGCCTTCAGCCAACCCTTAACTTCCCTCCCATGCTTCTTGGCACCCAAAGTCCAGAGAGGGCCAAGCCAGCAGGGGGTTGGTGTGTCAGCACTGCCCTGAGTGTGCGCACACCCAGCTGGGCTATATCAGTGCCTGGGCTTGGCCCCAACCCCACTTGAAGATTGGAGTGGGAGCCAGGAGTCAGGAGAGGCCAGGCAGTGGGAGCAGACAACTCAGCCTTCAGGGGCAGGAGGGGGCCTTCTCGGGACCCTGAGAGTGCAAAGATGCCTGGCTCTGCAGCTGTGGCAAAGGCAGGGCTCCTGTCTGCTCCCGGTCCCTCCAAGAGCACAGGGAGGCCTGGTTTCGCAGCCACAACTTGGGCAGCTGTAGCTGCACCCGGGGAGCTCCCGCCCCACCAACTTGTAAGGGGCAGGGCTCCCACTTATCCCTGGCTCCTACTGGCTCTGTGGAGTGTGCAGTCCCAGCTGTGCCTCCCTGCTGGAACCAGCATGATGGCAGTGGCCTCTCCAGATGAGCCGCTGCTGCTGTCACTAAGTTTGGCCGTTTGAGATGTCTTTTTAGGTTTTCACATTTCTGATGACTGTGACTGGACCTGCAAGCCAGTCCTGTGGCCCCACCCAGCAGCCGACTCAGCACAAGAGGACAGCTTCCATTCCCTATGATTTCATCTCCGACCCAACCAATCAGCATGCCTCCTACCTTAGTCCCCTGCCCACTAAACTATCTTTGGAAAACCTCTAACCTTCAGGGAGATTGATTTGAGTAATAACTTTGTCTCCTCAATGGCGTGGCTGGCCTCACATCAACTAAATTCTTTCTTTACTGCAATATCATGGTCTTAGTGTGTTGATTTTGTTTGTGTAGCAGGCAGGAAGAACCCATTGGCTGATTACAACACTAGCAGCATTTTTGGCCTGGAGTGTCCTCTTCTGTTGCTCAGCTGACACAAGTCATTCAGGCCTCAGGCCAGGCCTGAACATCTCCTACCCTGGGACACCTTCACAGCCTGCCTGGCCAGGAGGGCCTACTGGAGCTCACCTGTACCTGGTGCTAACCCTGTGGACAGTCATAGGCTGATGGCCAAGCGATGCCTGAGAGCACATCTGCACTCTGCCTGAGGGAGGCCTGGCTGGGAGAGGACAGGCCAGTAGTGCCTGAGGAGTGGGTGACTTCCCATTGACCATGTTCCTGGGGCATAGCAGCTCATTCTCTTCCTTTTCCCCTGCTCTGTCTCTGGTTTCCATTTTGTCTCTGTTTCCTTTCCCATTTGCATAGAGCCAATCTAGCTTATGAAAAACAAGCTGTCATCTTAGTGTTTTTTGTACCCCATTCCCCCTGCAGCTGCTGTGTTTCCAGATGTTCATTACTGCTGTATTAGCAGAGGTTGTTAATGACACTCAGGCTGGCAGAATACAAATTGATTTTCAAAAGTTATGCTGATTGCTTAGGCATGTTTCTTGCACTAGCTAAGCAAAATGAACACGAACATACACACTCACACACCCCCCCGAAAAAAATATGCCATGTGGCACATGTAGTCTTTGATCCAAGGGGCTCAGTTCACATGTGAATCAAATACCAAAGGCATTATGCTGACTGGAGAAGTTGCAGATAGAGATGGGTTTTCAGGGAAGCTTTAACTGGGCTGGACCCAAGGGGAGACAATACCTGGAGGCAGTGTGACCCTGAGATGTTTTTTAGTTTCTGACTTCTGCTGTAAGCAGAGTGAGGCCTTGTGGGGTGCAGGATTGTGGCTTGAATTGCAGCATTGCCACTTGTGGTGTATGAGTTTGGGAAAGTCGTTAACCTCTGAACACCCTCATCTGCAAAATGCAGACAATGGGTATGTGCCACTCAGGTAGTAGCATTAAACAAGACAGTGCATGCAGAATTGGAATGGCTCCTTACCAGCTTGGTGAAGATAGAGAGAGATGTTTACATGGCACTGAACTTCTAGAGTTTTCACCAGCTCAATTTGTAGGAAGGGCAGAAACTCCCCAAACTACCTAAGAACCTGGAGCTGGTACTGCTTCCAGACACCAGAGAGAAACCTGGAGAATCCAGAGGCACTGTGGTTTCTGTTGTAGCCACAAGGTGTCACTGTTGAACACAAGCCCTGCACAGCTCTGTGAATGCTGGTTCGCTGCTCTGGTGAAGGCCTAGTTCCAGGTCCCCACACAAACTGCATTGTGCCCACCCATGGACTGCAGGGTTGTGATGTTGTTCCTTTTCCTCCAAGAAAGCCCTTGAGATTCTTTTTGAGGGATTATACAATGCAGAAAACAAAAGGTCTTCTGATAGCCTTTCCTGGGGGACAAAGATACTTTGCTGAGATTATAACTAGTCAGGGACCACTCCTGTGAAGTCCCCAGGAAACAAAAGTGAACTGCAAGGTGACTTGTCTTTACTCCTACATCCTGGAAGCTGTCTTGATTCTTAAAATTCCAACTCATCAGCACCTCCTCATGCATAAAAACTAAGTTTGTGTGATTGATGCATGGTGATTGGTCAGCTGACATGAGCTTGCCTCCTTCCTTTCCACTGGGTCAGTCAGCAGGTCACAGGTCACATCAGAGGCCCTGGTAAGGTGTCTTGGTGTCCAGGACATTTATCAATTGATCATCCTGCTGTCCTTACTTCTGGGGGCCCTGGATTCAAGGGGCTCAGGAGAGCTAAAATTTCATGGTGCTCACAGCTTGCTCCATTAGGCTGAGATGCAAAGGCCTGGAAGCTGAGCACGTGAGGTTGGCTGCATGGATACTGTGCTTGGAGCACTTGTTATTTGAGTCCTCAGGCTAAGGCCTCTTTGTGACCTGGGCTGGAGAGACGCACGTTGGCAGGGGCTGAGCCTTAGCATCTTTCCTGGACAGTTACTGGGAAGTGGGATGGGGTCCTTGGGCCAGAGCCACAATAGAATCCCAACCTTGCTGCTGATCAGCCAAGGGATCTTTGCAAGTCACTGCCTCTGCTCAAGATAATACTGTCCCTAAGACTGGTGGCTGAGGACCCCTGGAATGTTAGAGTGGGATGGCCCTAGAAGCCATTCTAGTTAAATCCCTTCCCTCCTTGACCACCCTTCTCCAGCGCCACAGGGTAGAAAGCAAGGCCTTGAAGTTGTTCTCTTTCTCATGAGACTCTGATGAAAGGGACGAATAGAAGTAAAGGGCTTCCCAAATCTTTAAATAACAAACAGCAGGAGGGAGTTTCAGTAAATCCGTTTTTTAAGACTACCAAATGGAGAAGCTCTTTGAAGACTGTAAAATGGCACTGTTCTCACCTGGGAGGAGAGTCTGGGCTCATGTTCAGGACCCCCAAGTGCACCCACTGGCCAGGCTGGTGTGGGCTGTTGGCCAGAGAAGAATGGGAATCCCAGAGTTTCCCTTATGTTGCATTTTGCCACATGTTATAGGGTTCATCATTCATTCATTCATTCTTTTGTTGCTAAAAGTCCATGGTGCATCCAGTCCTACAGCCGATGTTGTGGCAATGGGGTCTGCAGTACTGGAGCTGCAAGAGCCCACCACACACTTCGGCCCCACTCACTGTGGTGGGCTGGAGGAAGCTGAGCCCTGCTCATTGCAGTGGGCTGGAGGAGGCTGGGATCACTTGCTGTGATGGATAAGGGGAGGCTGGCATCTACTTACTGTGGTAGGTGGGAGGAGACTGGGATCCACTCACTGTGGCGGGCGGGAGGAGGCTGGGATCCACTCACTGTTGGCTGGAGGAGGCTGGGATCCGCTCACTGTGGCGGGCGGGAGGAGGCTGGGATCCACTCACTGTGGCGGGCGGGAGGAGGCTGGGATCCGCTCACTGTGGTGGGCGGGAGGAGGCTGGGATCCGCTCACTGTGGCGGGAGGAGGCTGGGATCCGCTCACTGTGGCGGGAGGAGGCTGGGATCCGCTCACTGTGGCGGGAGGAGGCTGGGATCCGCTCACTGTGGCGTGTGGGAGGAGGCTGGGATCCACTCACTGTGGCGTGTGGGAGGAGGCTGGGATCCACTCACTGTGGCAGGAGGAGGCTGGGATCCGCTCACTGTGGCGGGTGGGAGGAGGCTGGGATCCGCTCACTGTGGTGTGTGGGAGGAGGCTGGGATTCACTCACTGTGGTGTGTGGGAGGAGGCTGGGATCCGCTCACTGTGGCGGGAGGAGGCTGGGATCCGCTCACTGTGGCGGGAGGAGGCTGGGATCCGCTCACTGTGGCGGGTGGGAGGAGGCTGGGATCCGCTCACTGTGGCGGGCGGGAGGAGGCTGGGATCCGCTCACTGTGGCGGGCGGGAGGAGGCTGGGATCCGCTCACTGTGGCGGGAGGAGGCTGGGATCCGCTCACTGTGGCGTGTGGGAGGAGGCTGGGATCCGCTCACTGTGGCGTGTGGGAGGAGGCTGGGATCCACTCACTGTGGTGTGTGGGAGGAGGCTGGGATCCACTCACTGTGGCAGGAGGAGGCTGGGATCCGCTCACTGTGGCGGGTGGGAGGAGGCTGGGATCCGCTCACTGTGGTGTGTGGGAAGAGGCTGGGATTCACTCACTGTGGCGTGTGGGAGGAGGCTGGGATCCCCGCTCACTGTGGCGGGAGGAGGCTGGGATCCGCTCACTGTGGCGGGAGGAGGCTGGGATCCGCTCACTGTGGCAGGAGGAGGCTGGGATCTGCTCACTGTGGTGGGCGGGAGGAGGCTGGGATCCGCTCACTGTGGCGGGCGGGAGGAGGCTGGGATCCGCTCACTGTGGCGGGTGGGAGGAGGCTGGGATTCACTCACTGCGGTGGGTGGGAGGAGGCTGGGATCCTGGGCTGGGGGCAGGAGCTAAATTGCTGGGTGAGAGGAGCAGATGAAGGTGGGACTGGATGAATGAAGGCTCTTGGACATGTGAAAGTCATGACCATATTGTGTGTGAAGGTCAGAAAGTGGTAAGCTTGGTGGAGCAAACAGCTTGCTTAGAGAAGTAAGGGAGGGGCAGGGGAGGGACCCTCTTCCTTGGAACACTCTTTGCCCATTTTTTTTGTTTGACAAACACTTCAAGGCTCTGCTGAAGTGTCACCTCCTTAGGGAAGTTCTCCCTGCTGCCCAGCCCCAGGCTAAATTAGGTGCCCTGATTTTATGGTCTCTCAGCTCTACATGCTTTTTACCACAATTTAGATGAAATCACTATTTATGCGATGATTTGTCACCTGTGATCTGGCAGGGCACCTACCATGGACTCTTTTGTTGTTGTTTTTGAGAGTCTCGCTGTGTTGCCCAGGTTGGAGTGCAGTGGCGTGATCTTGGCTCACTGCAATCTCCGCCTCCTGGGTTCAAGCAATTCTTCTGCCTCAGCCTTCTGAGTAGCTGGGACTACGGACTAACACGCCCAGCTAATTTTTGTATTTTTAGTAGAGATGGGGTTTCACCATGTTGGCCCTGCTGGTCTCGAACTCCTGACCTCGTGATCTGCCTGCCTTGGCCTCCCAAAGTGCTGGGATTACAGGTGTGAGCCACTGCACCCGGAGGCATGGACTCTTACACACCAGCAATGCTTAATGAATATCTGTGCTGGCCTCTGGGTGGAGAATTGGCATTTTGACTCTGTCCATGCCAGAAGGTGTTGCTGAGAGTCCTGAATCCCACTGCCAAGGCTGTGGCTAATGTGTGCGTGAGAAGCCTGCAAGGTCATTTCCCTCTGTTCTGTTTCTTTCTGACAAAATTGAACACGTTTTTGCCACAAATTATCTCTGAACTTCCCTACAGCTCTGAGCTGTTGGCCTCACAGTGCAGCGATGTTTGCAAGAGTCTGAGGGCCCCTGGCTGTAGGCTGGGCTACCTCTCCCTTCCTCCTCCCCTCCTTCCCGCTTCCCTCCTTCCATCCCCGCAGGACCCAGGGTGGGGGTGGGGGTGGGGGTGGGAGCTGTGAGCACCCCACCCTGTGGTTCACAGGAAGATCTGCCCTCTCTGCCGCTGGTGATGAGTTTCAGTTGAACCGACAGTGAGCTATCAGATCGCTTTCTGCAGCGCGTGGCCCTCCCTCCTTCCTGTGGCGGCCCCTGGGCCTCCCAGTCCTCCTTCTGAGGCTGATGTCTATCTGTGAGGGGTCTGTGAGTGAGCAGTGCACACTCCGTCACATGCTCACATTTTCCGCTGATGGTGCTCTCGGGTCCCCAGCCGTTCCAGGAGATTAATGATGTGGTGCAAGACAGGGGAAAGAGGCGTCTTTCTTAACCACGCAAACTCCCTGTGACAGATGATTGGGTTTCCTGAAAGCAGAGCTGCTGACTTCCACTGACATTTGTGTTAGAGCGAATCCAAACCAGATTTTGCGGATTGCTTTAAATTTGTCTGTGTGGAATGCTCGGTCTCACTGCTCCCGTCGCTGTCATCTTGGCAAAGGGCTACACCAAAGACGGGGCCCATGGGGCGTGGAGAACATTCCTTCCCGTCACACCGCCCATGCTCAGTCAGGAGCGCACATGGGTTCTTGTGTGTTTGTACTCAGGGAGACAGGGCTTGGGGGTCCAGCCAGGAGTATCACCTCTGCATCTGCACCACCCTGAAATAGCCTGACGAAAAGTTGGCTTGGTTCCATGCAAAGAGGCTGGCTGTGCTCAGGGCAGCCAGTACCTGGGCACTCTGCTTGGTGCAGAGCGGGCCTTTGGATGAGTGATTACCACACCATCTGGATGTCTTCCGGGAGGGACTATCACATCCTCCCTCACCAAGCTCTCCAGGCCATGCCAGCTGGAGGGGGCGCCATTAAGGAGTGAGGGCCCAGCAGAAAAAGTGGCCTCCAAGATGCCCACATGGTCCCTGGCTCAGCCCCGTCCTCCAGCCCCCTCAGCCTGCTCTGTGGCCTGCCCCTGCTCCTCAGGGGTTTGAGCCCAGGTTGAGTCCCAAATGCTGTCAGCTCACAGAGCTCTCATGTCCAGGGTGCACTCCTGTCCTCAAGGATACCCTCTGCCAGGACAGGATGGGGCGCTGGGGCACCCCCCCTTTGTAGGTGCTTGTCTTGGCCTGAGCAGTAGGTGCACACTGTCAGCGCAGTGGTCATTCAATTAAAACAAAAGCAGCAGTGGGGTTGTGAGGGGACCAGTGGCCTTGCCTTGTGGTACAGGCTTCATTCTGAGTCCAGTGGGCAACTCTGAAGGATGACAACATGTTCCTGTGGGAGTTCTAAGCGAGGGGTTGGACATGAACCCAGACCAAAGAACACTCCAAATACTCTGGCCCCAGGTTCCTCTCAGATTCTCTCCCCTTGGGTCTGTGCCAACCCCACCCCCCACATGCCCTGGGAAGCTGAGGGGTCCTGTTTGTCCCTTCCCTGGTCCCTCCCAGCTCCGTGTGGCAGAGCTGAGTGCCAGGGCTGCAGGGGAGACCTCTTCTGAGTGCTCTGAGCTTGTATGTGTGTGTCTCTGCAGTGTGTTTCCCGAATGAACTGTGTATGCAAAGAGACCCCCAAAGGCAGGAGGAGCGGAGAAACCACAGAAGGAGGCAGACAAGGCCAACTTGTTGTTAGAGGTTGGTTTTACTGGGGAATGTACAGACAGAAGCGTGGTCTTGGGTGGCCGCAAGACAGGAAGATCTCTGCACTGTTACCCCAGGACCAGGGCTTCTATACCACAGGAAAGGGTGTACGTGCTTTAGAAGGAATGGGCAGGAATCTGATCTAAGGGCAGGATTTAGGGTAAGTGCCTGCTCTCACACAAGGAACAATAGATAAACTGGAAATCTCAGGGGCATTCCCAGAAGCAGAGTTAACCAGAAGTCAACATAGTGCACTAACCCAAGATGGTGTTACTTTAGCCTCCATACTGTTCTGCTGGGCCCTTACTCTGTGTGCCCCAGCACCCCATCTTCTCCCAGCAGAGGGGATCCTTGAGGACAGGAGTGCGCCCTGGACATGAGAGCTCTGTGAGCTGACAGCATTCGGGACTCAACCTGGGCTCAACCCCATGAGGAGTGGGGGCCGGCCATGGAGCAGGCTGACTGTGGGGCCCAGGCTGGAGGTGGGGGCTGAGCCAGGGACCATGCTGGCATCTTGGAGCCACTCTTTCTGCTGGGCCCCCGCCCCTTAATGGCTTCCCCTCCAGCTGCCGTGGCCTGGAAGCACTTTTCTGCTGGGCTCCCCCCAGGCAGCAACCCAGCATCCTGGTGAGCACCAAGCCTCAGACTGTTGCAGTGCTTTTGCCGTTTGACCATCCCCGCTGGTGACATGGGCATTGGCTGCCCCACAGCTGCCCGCCCTGCCCCAGGCAGGCCTCCTGGTACACAGTTGGTACCACCACCGTTTAAGACATACCCGGGGTGAAGTGAAAAAGCAATGCTCCACCCAGCGACTTGGGAGGGCAGATTCGGCTGCTTGGCAGGGAGCAGGAGGAGGGGTGAGGGGGTGCTGGGATTGGCATCTGCGCATCCTCCTGAGGCCTCCTGGGCCTTCAGGCCACTCCACAGCAGTGGCCCTCATTGTGCCGTGGAGACTTGACCAACTCCCACAGACACGTGCTGCACACCCTACCCAGGCACGTGGCTGGGGCTTCTCTCCCAGGGTGCCCAGCCCAGCCCAGCTACTCTGCTAGGACTCCTGTGTGCTCTGGCCTGGTGACTGGACCACAGCACAGATGGGATCTCGGGCTGTCCCCACTTCTGCCCCTTAAAGCCCAGGCTGCTGCCTCTCCCATGCGCCACCCCACTCTGCCTGCCTCTCTGCCTTCCCCAGCCAAGGTCCCAGCTCAGCTTCCCAGGGTCCCTTCTGGGTGGGTGGAAGGCAGGGAGTTTTCTTATGGTTTCCCTGCCTACCAGGGCCTGGCCAGGGGACCAGGGGATGGGGAGGGAGCTGGGAGCTGTTGGTGTCGCCCGGCCTCAGTATGTAAGCTCTTCCTCCCCACCTTGGCATTTCTGCTGCGGCTCTTTCTGGTTGTCCCCAGTGTGTCCCCAGTGTGGTCCCCAGTGGCCACGGGTGTGGACTCTGTTCAGGGTTCAACTTGGAACCTCACTTAGTGGCAACTGATATCAGGAAAGTGATTTAACCTCCCCATGCGTTTACTCTTTTTTAAAAAATCTGTCAGATGGGGATACTAATGGTATTTGGCTTTCAGGGTTGTCTCAGTACTAAGTGGTGTTAGAGACTTAGCACAGGCTGGTGAAGGTCAGAGGGGTCATGAGGACCATCCCTGCCACAATCCCTCTCCTCTCAGGGAGGCTGGAATCAGGGAAATGACCAATTGACCATTCAATGGAGCCCTGCGAAAGGCTACAACAGGCTGTCCTGTGCGCTGTCCCAGAGTCCAGATTCTCCTATGAAAATGACCTGCTCTAGTTAAGAGGCTGGTTTGCAAAGTGTTTCTGAAACGACTTTTCAAATCATGACCTAAGTTTCCACAGAAATGCTACAGGGACAAACAGGAGGCTGGTGGGTGTGCTCTGTCCCCTCCTCCATCCAACAAGGGCCACTTTGTCTCTGCAAACTCCTTTAAATATTGTGTTCCATGTAAGAGTTTTTAAAAAATACATGACATACTGTTAAACAAGTTTGAACATGAATACATCCATAATACATTTTTTTTGGTAAAGTTTGGGCACCACTGTGGTAAAATGTCATCATCATCGTGATTATCATCACCATTTTTGAAATAAAATCATACAGCATTCTGCCACAGGCCAGGCAGTCTTCTGAATTCTGGTTAATTCTAATATCTATTTTAATAGGGGAGATTTTTCAGGCTAAGAAAGTGAGCTGCAACTCTGTGTGTTGTGTCCACGCCTGTCATGAAACGACTCTTTAGACCCCTGGTGTAAACTGAAGGAGGGTCCCTTCGGGAGGTGCTGGGATCTCAGGGTCTCCTGGGATTGGACTCTGTCCTCCCCTGGTGAGGTTAGGGCTCACTGAGGGGCCATCCTGGGGGCTCAGTGCCTCTGAGGCTTCCGTATATCGGTCAGTCAGCTGCTAAGCTTGGAAAGGGTCTGAGCCCTGTGGTCAGGACAAGCACCAAGCTCTGGGGTCCGACACCACAGAGTTTGAGGAGCACCGGCACCAGCCAGCCAGGGGTGAATTGCAGCCGCCCAGTATTCTCCTCTGGTGGTGGTGATGATTAGATGACCGGGTGTCTGTCCGGCCTGTATTATGATGGTGCCAGGGACTCTGCAGCTTTCACTCCTCTGTGGGCAGGATTCTTTAGGAAAAGTAACAGAAACTGGCTGGACAACTTAAGGAGAGGGAAGCTTTTGGAAGATTCTAGGGCAGCCGTCAGAACTGAAGAATGATTTGAATTAAGCCAGGACAGGAGTCAAAGCAGGAGTCCCAGGACTGTGTCGTCCTATGCTAAGAATTGGCCCCACAGCGAGAGAGCATTTGAGGCTCCTCTCCTGGCTGAGGGAGGGTGGGCTGCTTGGTTGGCCATTCCATCAAGGTTGGATCTAGTGAGGAGGAGGTTCCCCAAGAAAAACAGAGGTCCTGCTACCTGAAGGAGGGAACAGACATGGAGTGGGCAGTTGCCTCCACTTAGCTGGTCTCTGCTTGCATGCTCATTCTCTTCCCATCTGTCTTGCATACAGCTGTCTAATCAATCTAAACCACCATTTGCATCTGAGCACTTGCGTCTGAGTGTTGCTACGTTAGAGTTGATGATGGACTGAGGCATTCTATCTTTTCTTCTGGGCTTGTTATTTCTCTTTAGTTTTGAATTCTAGATCTAGCAACTTTGCTAGCTCCATCCTTTCCAGAATTCAAAGTCCACTCCTTTCAGTCCATCAAATTGGCCATCAGTTTCTTCCAGGGCAGAGACCATGTCTTCCTCTGCTCCCTGTTTCTCTCTCTCTCCTCCCTGTCACTGGCCTCTCACTGCCCCAGTGCCTAGGAGAGGGCCCCACCATCATGCTCATGTGTCCTTCTGTGCAATGAGGTTGTTGCAATTGGGGCGCTCAAGAGTATGATGATGGGCGCATCAAGTCATATGATGAAAGATCAGGCAGTTGTTAAAATCATGCTTATGAAGAAATGTTAATGACACAGATAAATGCTCATGGAATGTCAAATGAAAAAAGCAGGACCTTACACAGAATATATCACACAGAAGGCTTGAGGAAAAAGCACACAAGAAAATGCTACAAAATATTAATAGTGGTTGTTTTTAAATAGAGGAATTTTGTGTGATTTATATTTTCTTCTTTCTACTTTTCTGCATTTTAAAATTTCTTTCAAGGATTATATATTACTTCCATTTTAGTGCTTGCTTTATTTATTTATTTATTTATTTAGAGACGGAGTCTTGCTGTGTCGCCCAGGCTGGAGAGCAGTGGCGCAATCTTGGCTCACTGCAACCTCCGCCTCCCAGGTTCAAATGATTCTCCTGCCTCAGCTTTTTGAAGCTGGGATTACAGGGGCCCACCACCATGCCCGGCTAATTTTTGTATTTTTAGTAGAGGTGGGGTTTTGCCATGTTGGCCAGACTGCCTCAAACTCCTGACCTCAAGTGATCCGACTGCCTCAGCCTCCCAAAGTGCTGGGGTTATAAATGTGAGCCATTGCGCCCAGCTGGTATTATTTGTATAATGAGAAAACAAGGTTAAAAATTATTGAAAAGTAACAGAAGCATCTGTGTTCTGAGGTGATGCTGCCCAGCTTGATGGAATATGAATGGGATTCAATATTTTCCCCTTTATCCAGGTGTTTCATTATTTTACAGGAAGGTAAAGGGAGATGTAATTAAAACAAACAAAACAAAACAAAATCCTCAACCCCCGCAAGACCACATTTCCCATCCTGATTTTTAGATTCTATTGGAGAACAGAGTAAAATCAGGTGGATTTATCAGGGTACCTCCTGGAGGAGAACCTGGAGACATTCTCTGTCTGCACTCAAGGAATGTGCCCAAATGTGGATAAAATATGCATCCCTTCCAGTGTCATGTGATGCTTATCCAACTCTGGAACTGGAATAAAACAAACTGCTGTTAAAATCTTGACTCAGCTGTTGACCTTAAGCAAGTCATCATTTACTCGTTCTCATCTGCAAAATGGGAATGATGACACCTTCCTGGCCAGGCTGTTGTAAAGATAATGATCCTCCTTATAGCATGTCTTGTCTGGTGCCCGGCACACAGTAGGGGTTCAACCATGATGTGCTTTTTCTGCGAACACCTCTGTGTGGGCTCCAAGGGCAGAGTTCACTGTGGCCTCCCTGTTTCTCCTGCTCCAGTGGCAGGTCCCATAGCTGCTGGGGAGAAGCATCTGAATATTCCTGTCCCGAGTGTCACAAGAAGGTCTGCAGATGTCTGATAAGCAGCCAAGGAAGGGGAATCAGAGTGAAGGAAAGGCAAGGATTAAAAAAGAGACAGAGGGGCATGAAAAAGAGAAAATGGCAATTGTGTAATTATAAAAGATAATATAAATGCCTATTTTCTTTTTCTCTCTTAACTGATTTAAAAAGCAATTGTATAAAATAATATGTTTATAGTATATTGCAGGGTGTGTAAAGTATAGAAATGTAATCTATTTGCCAATAATGGCACAAAGGAGGTGAGTGGGAAAAAAAGCTGCTCTGGGCGAAGGAAAAGACTACAGATAGCAAATTAACAATTATAGCAATGTATTGTTAGGTTTGTAACATTAATAGATGTAATATGCATAACAGTGATACCATAAAAAGAGGGGGGAATAAAATAGAACTATATAGGGATAACATTACTATATGTCACTGAAATTAAGCTAGTATAAATATGAAACTGATTTTGATAAGTTAAGATATACATGGTAAGCCCTAGAGCAATGACTAAAAACACAACCCCAAAATATAGTGAAAAAATTATCAAACAAATTATAATACTGCATTAGAAAATAATACAATAGAAAGGGTAGAAGAGAATAGCAAAACGAAAAGAGAGACAGGGGACATAGAAAATAAAAAGTAAAATGGCGAATGTCAAGGCAGCTATATCAATAATACATTAAATGAATAAATTAAGCAATCCAGTCAAAAGGCAGAGATTGTCAGACTGGATAAAACATGATTCAGCCATATGCTATCTATAATACAAAATACACAGTTTAGAGTCAAAGATACAAATAAACTGAAAGTAAAAGAATGGAAAAAGACACATTATGCCAAGAGCAATCACAATAAAGCTGGGTGGTCATACTGATATCAGACAAAATAGACTTTAAAACCAAAAATATTAGTACAAAGAGACATTTTATGATGATAATAGGGTCAATTCATCAGGACGATACAACAATTATAAACATGTATGCAACTAATAACTGAGCACCCAGATAGATGAAACAAAAGCTGACAGAAATGAAGAGAGAAATGTACAATTCAACAGTAATTGTTGGAGACTTAAATAACCCACTTTTAATAATGTATTGAACTAAACATAAGATTAACAGGAAAATAGAAGACTTGAATAACACTGTAAGCTAAATAGACTTAACACATATCTACAGAACATTCTGTACAACTACAGAATATATATTGTTTTCGAGTACACATAGAACATTCTCCAGGATAGACCAGAAGCCATAAAACAAGCCACAACAAATTTAAAAGAGTGGAAATAATACAAAGTACAATATCCAATTATAATATGAATTAGAAATCAATATCAGGGAAAAAAAAACTTGTAAAACTCACAAATATGTGGAAATTAAACAACATACTCCAAAATAGCTAATGGATCAAAGAAGAAATCAAAAGTGAATCAGAAAATACTCTCACATGAGTAAAAACAAAGACACAACATACCAAAATTCATGGGATACAGCAAAAGCAGTGCTAAGAATGAAAATTTGTAGCTGTAAATGCCAATATTAAGAAAAAACAAAGATTTCAAATCAATAACCTAAACTTCCACCTTAAGACACTTGAGAAAAAAAGAGCAATCTAAACCTAAGGCAAGCAGAAAGAAGGAAATAAAAAGACTAGAGTATAAATTAATAAAATAGAGAATAGAAAAACCATCTGAAAAATTCAATGGAATAAAAACCTGGTTCTTTGGAAAGATCAACAAAATTGACATTTAGCTAGACTTATTGAGGAATGAAAGAGGACAATAACCTGAATTGGAAATGAAAGAGGATATATTAGTATCAATATTACAGAAATTAAAAGGACCATAAAGAAATACTATAAACAGGGCCAGGCATGATGGCTCACACCTGTAATCCCAGCACTTTGGGAGGCCAGGGCGGGAGGATCACTTGAGGTCAGGAGTTTGAGACCAGCCTGGCCAACACGGTGAAGCCCTATGTCTACCAAAAATACAAAAATTAGCCAGGCATGGTGGTGCACGCCTGTAATACCAGCTACTCGGGAGGCTGAGGCAGGAGAAGCGCTTGAATCCAGGAGGCAAAGTTTGCAGTGAGCCGAGATCGCGCCACTGTACTATGGCCTGGGAAAGAGTGGGACTCTGTCTCAGAAAATAAATAAATAAATAAATAAATAAATAAATACTATAAACAACTGTATGCCTAAAACTTAGATAATGAAGATGAAATGTACAAATTTCTAGAGAGACACAAACTACTAAAACTGACTCAAGAAGAAATAGACAAACTGAATAGACCTGTAACAAATGAAGAGATTGAATTAGTAATCAAAAAAACTACCTACGAAGAAAAGCCAAGGTCCAGATCGTGTCACAGCTGAATTCTACCAAACACTGAAAGGAGAATTCATACCAATCTCTCACAAACTCATTCAAAAAATAGAAGAGAAAGTAACATCTACAAATTCACTTTGAGGCCAACATTACCCTGGTACCAAAACCAGTCAAAGTTATCACAAGAAAACTACAGATCGGTATAATATCTTTCATAAATATGGATACAAATATTGTCAACAAAATGCTAGCAAACTGAATCCAATAACATATTTTTAAATTATGCACTGTGACCAAGTGGAATTTATCCCAGAATGCAATGTTGGTTCAACATGTAAAAATCAATTATTGTAATGCACCATCTCAATAGAATAAAAAATAAAAACCACACAATCATCTCAATAGAAACAGAAAAAAGTATTTGACAAAATTCAACACTTTTTTTTTTTTTTTTGAGACGGAGTTTCACCCTTGTTGCCCAGGCTAGAGTGCAATGGCGTGATCTCGGCTCACTGCAACCTCTGCCTCCCGGGTTCAAGTGATTCTCCTGCCTCAGCCTCCTGAGTAGCTGGGATTACAGGCATGTGCCACCATACCCGGCTAATTTTGTATTTTTAGTAGAGACGGGGTTTCTCCATGTTGGTCAGGGTGGTCTGGAACTCCTGACATCAGTTGATCTGCCTGCCTTGGCCTCCCAAAGTGCTGGGATTACAGGCATGAGCCACTGTGCCTGGCCCAAAATCCAACATATTTTTATGATAAAAACACTCAACAAACTAGGAGTAGAAGGGAGCTTCTTCAATTTGATAAAGAGCATCTATGAAAAATCCACAGCTAACATCATACTTAATGGTAGAAGACTGGACGCTTTCTCCCTAAGATCGGGAATAAGAAAAGGATGCCAGTTCTTACCACTCCCATTTAACATTGTGTGGAGGTTCCATCCCAGGCAATTAGAAAAGAAGAAATTACATTATCTTAATTCACAGATGACATATCTTGTATAGAAAAATCTTTTAAAAATTAGGATATCCACTAAGAAACTATTAAAGCTAATAAATGAGTTCATTGAGGTTGCAGAACACAAGACCCATATAAAAATTAATTGTATTTTTATACACTTGCAGTAAACAATCCAAAAATGAAATTAAGAAATCAATTACATTTAAATAGCATCAAATAAATTACATTTAAGTAGCATCAAATAAATTACATTTAAATAGCATCAAAATTTGTACATAAGATATGTACAAATAAGTTTAACAAAAGAAGTGCAAAACTTATACTCTGAAAACTAAAAACATTGTTGAACAAAATTAAAGATCGAAATAAACAGAAAATCGTACTGTGTTTATAAATCACAGATTTAATCATGTTAAGAGGGCAATACTTCCCCAATTGATCTACGTATTTAATATAATCCCTATCTGAATACCAGTTATTTTCTTTGTTGAAATTGACAACTTAATTCTAAAATCCATATGGAATTACAAGGAGTTACAAATACCTAACACAATTTTGAAAGAGAAGAACAAAATACAAGGATTCACATTTCCCAATTTCAAAACTTACTACAAACAATGATAATGAAGACAGAGGAGGCAATGGCACAAGGATAGACATGTAGATCAATAAAATATAATTGAGAGGCCAGAAACAAATCCATACATCTATGGTCAACTGATCTTCAACAAGGATTTCAATACCATTCAATGGGGGAAAAATATTCTTTTCAGCAAATGGTGCTGCCACATGTAAAAGAATAATGTTGGATCCTTACCTCATACCATATACAAACATTAATGTAACATAAATTAAAGCTGTTATAACCATAAAACTGTCAGGAAAAAACATGGGTAAATCTTCATTATCTTGGACTTGGCAAAGGATTCTCAGATATGATATTAAAAGCATAAACAACCAAAGAAAAAATAGATAAGTTGGACATTCATATATGTAGAAAGAGCTCTTACAATTCAATAAGACAATGACGTTCTAATTTTAAAATAGGCAAAGGGTATAAACAGTCATGTCTCCAAGTAAGATGTATAAATGGCTAATAAGTACATGAAAAAATACTCAATTTCATCATTATCAGAAAAATTGTCATCAAAAAATGCAAATCAAAACCACAGTGACAAGCCACCTCACTCTCACTAGGATGGTAGGATGCGATCCAGCAATTCCACTCCTAGGCATACACCCAACAGGAAGGAAAACATTTGTCCACACAAAAACTTGTACATGTTCATAGCAGCATTATTCATAAGACATGAAGAGTAGGAGTAACCCAAATGTCCATCAACTGGTGAACAGGTAAACAAAATATGGTATAGTCATACAAAGGAATATTATTTGGCCATAATAAGAAATTATATATGGATACATGGGTGAGCCTTGAAAACATTATGCTAAGAAGCCAGTCATTCATATCAATTATGTAATATAGAAGTCCAGAATAGGGAAACCTATAGAGACAGAAAGTAGGTTAGCGGTTGCTCAGGGCTGGGAGGGTAGGATAGGGGCATTAAGCGGTGAGAACTAAACGGTACAGCACTTCCTTACAAGGTGATGAAAATACTCTAAAGTTGATTGTGGTGATGGGTGCATGTGTCTGTGGATATGTCAAAAAACATTGAACTGAACATTCAAATAAGTGAATTGTAAAATATATGAATTATCTCTTAATAATGCTGTTAAAAACAAACAAATATCAGTAACTTTTTTTTTTGATGGAGTTTCGCTCTGTCACCCAGGCTGGAGTGCAATGGTGTGATCTGTTGCCCAGGCTGGAGTGCAATGGCGCGATTTCGGCTCACTGCAACCTCCACCTCCTGAGCTCAAGAGATTCTCCTGGCTCAGCTTCCTGAGTAGCTGGGATTACAGGAATGTGCCACCATGCCCAGCTAATTTTTTGTATTTTTAGTAGAGATGGGGTTTCACCATGTTGGTCAGGCTGGTCTTGAACTCCTGACGTCAGATGATCTGCCCGCCTCAGCCTCCCAAAATGTTGGGATTACAGGCATGAGCCACTGCACCCGGCCAGTAAAATTTTTAAAGATAGGAAAAGAGAAAATGGAGAGAGAAACAAAAAAAGAAAAGGTAACAAATGTCAACATCAGTAAATAACCTTAGTTGGGGAGACACATGAAGATGTTGGCAATTGTGTGGAATAGCACATAAGCTGACATTAAATGAAATGTCACCAAATGCCAAAAAGAACAAGAGTGGCCCCCAAGGCAGCCTAGAACCACAGAAGCTGAGGTCCTAGCAAGGGCACTGCTGGATTGAATGTGCTCTGGGGAATTTATGGACTTCCTCAAGAGGCAGAGATCTAGGCCCAGGTGGACATTAGACCTCCACTTGTTTGTCCATGACGTGAGTGGCTGCTTGGCTCAATAGGATAATAATTTTTGCATACTAGAAGACTTTCTTTTTTTGCACTCTTCAAAGTGTAACACTTCCAGACACACACACTTTTAATGTAATGTAATCTGCATTTTTTTTTTTTTTGAGATGGAGTCTTTTAGTAGAGACGGGGTTTCACCATGTTGGCCAGGCTGGTCTTAAACTCCTGACCTTGTGATCCACCCACCTTGGCATCCCAAAGTGTTGGGATTACAGGCATCAGCCACCGCGCCCAGCCAATGTAATCTTCATTTTTAACATTCCTTTATCACTGAAATCAGTAATGTTATAAGCTGAATTTGTAGCATTTGCTGATTTCTGTAGTGGAAATACCCCCACCATGGTCCATTTAAGGGTACCACCGTGATGTCACTGATGCTTGTTGGGAGGAGACCTGCAGCGGCCACCACTGAATACCATCCCCACCACCTAGGTACACCAGGTGCCAGTAACCTCAACAGCACAGGGGCAGGAGTAAAGCAATTTGGAGGAGGTGAATTCTGTGTATTTATTGCCTCTTGTTGTCATATAACGTGCTTCATTGTAGGTTTATATAATTTAATTTTTGGCAATGGCTGTGTTTAACAACATCGAGCCAGGACTGAGTGGCTCCAGTGCACCGCTGAGCTTCAGTGACCTTGGGCAAGTTAGTTGCCCTCTCTGAGCCTCCCTCTGAGGCCAGTGAATGGATACTTATATGAACCACCTCCTGGGAAAGTGAGAGGGCAAGGAGGCAGCCTGTCCTCCCTGAGGCTCTGTGAATGCTGGAAGCCTACCCCAAGCGGGTTGACTCTTCTGTTCCCATGGAGATATTTCAGGACTGTCTCCTGCCTTAAGTCAAGAGTCCCAGAAACAGACTGTGAGGTGGAGGAGTGGGTGTTGATGTATGTGCTTTGGGAGGTGAGAGGGAAAGAGGAGACGCTGACCGTGGTGCGGCGCAGCCCAGGCATCCGACCAGCAGCAGTGGAGACCTAAATCCCATAGCGCAGGCCTCGGCGCTGGCGCTTGCTTTTTCCTCCGCCTGCCCGACCTCCCCCATAGCATGGGGGACTGCTCCTCACTTCATTCAGGTTCAAACGTGCCTGCCATAGAGTGGAGGATGACCCTGACTTCTACACCGGAGAGCTTTGTCTCTGTCCTGTCACTCTTCAGGACGTCAGGCCATCATTGCCGGTGCGACGGGTGCCGCGCTCAGCTCAGTGCGGCCAGGTCCTTGTTCTAATCTGTCCGGTGCCCACTAATTACAGTCCCTCGGTCAGCGCCTGGCACATAAAGAGGCTTGGCTCACCGCTGCTGCTGAATGAGGAAAGTGCTTCTCCTGTGCTGAAGGATACGGGGGCACTGCTTGCACGTCAGCCGCGTGGCCGGGGGCGGGGTGGGGGGGGGGTCATGCCGGTGACATAGCCTTAGTCTCCCCCTCTGTAAAGTGGGAGTGATTCTCACGTCTGCCGCGTGGGGGTGCTGTGCCTGACTCTGGGGAGCTGTCTGCGTGGATCCACGGAGCACTGAGCACGGAGCCTGGAGCTTGGTGGGCACCATGGAGACGGTGCCCTGACCCTCCCAGAGCACTGCACCAACACCACCATGCCTACTCTGCCACGGGGCCTACTTATGTTCTCTCCAATCGCCTTCCCAACCTACCATGGCAGGCTATACAGATGAGGAAGCTGAGGCTCAGACGCTGTCAAGAACTCAAGAATAGGGGCCGATGTGTGTCTGGGCTGGGGTTGGAAAGCAGGCCAGCATGTCCCCAGACACTCTCACGGCTGCCTCAGCCTCTGCTCAGATGTCCTCTTCTGATCATTCTGTTCAGCCCATTCCTGTTTCCTGCTTTAATCTCTGTAGTACATCTCATTGTGTAACTTACTACCTATTTTACTTGCTCACTTGTTGGTCTGTCAGCCCCAGGAGGACGGGAACTTTGTCCATCTGCGAGGGATGCAGGAAGGCACAGAGAGGCTTCAAAATATATTGGCTAAGAGCTCAGGGTCTGGAGTGGTCCTGATTCCAGGGTTACTGGTGCACATTCCAGATTCATCTCTCACAAGCTGTGTGGCTTTGGATGAGTTACTTAACCTCTCTGTGACTCAGTTTCCTCATTCTCAATACAGAGATAGGAATGGTACCCACCTCCAGGTTGTTGAGAAGATTAAATGAGATGATAGCTGGGAGGTGCTTAGCAAGGTGTCTAGTGCAGAGCAAGCCCTCCATAAATGTGAGCATAAACAAAACAGCTGGTGGAGTGGCTCCTCTCAGCTTCTGTCTGTCATCAAGGACCTGGGGGTTCCAGTATGGCTCCTCACAATGCCTGCATTCAGCCAGAGAGAAGGGAGAAAAGGACAAGGCGAGGCACAGCCCTGCCCTTTAAAGACAACGCGGAAATGGGGCATCATTACTTCTGCTTAACACCCCACTGGCCATGATTAGTCACATGGCCAAATCTGCTGCAATAGAGTCTGGGAAATGATTTCTGTAGTCTAGATGGCTGGAAATCCAGCTGACAGTGGAGAGAAAGGGAAGACAGATACTGGGGAACCACTAGAAGCTCTGCCACATGAATTTATTCAGCATTGAAATTTCTATTTAGTAGTACCTCCTCCAGGAAGACTTCCCTGATTACTCTTCCCTCCCCAACCCCATGGGTCTCTTCTCTCCTCCTCTCCCCTTTCCCACACTGTTCTGTCTAGCACTGGTAGCACTGGATTTAATTTAATTAAATCTAATTGTCCACCTTTTCCAAGGGACTCCTTACCTGCCTCCTGTCATCCAACACAGATGACCCCAAAATCCATTTTAAAAACCTCAGAGCAGAAACAGGAGATCAAACGAATGAGTATTAAAAGCAGATAATGTAAGGTGAAGACAGGGGAGGTCAGAGTCAAAACTGCAGGGGTGGGTGCTGGAAGAAGGAAGAGAGCCAGTGCTGACCTGTGTCCACGCCATGTGGGGCATGGGATAGGGGCCGACAGGGAACAGCTTCTTCACTGGCTCCCACTGCCCACCTCCTCCTTCAACTCATTCCTCTCCCAGCAGCCTGGGGGCTTTAAGAGTCAGTGCTTTTTCTTCTGTTTAAGAACAACTTCTTACTCTTCATAATACATGAAAAGTTCAGATAACCCAATAAGATAAGAAATCTAATAGGAAAATAAGCAAAAGACATGAAAGGAAATTTACAGGAGAGTTAGCACACCTGGCTAAGAAATGTATCAAAAGTTGTCCTACCTTAAAATTAATTGAAGGAATGAAAAATTTAAATAACACTGACAAATCATTTTTAACAGACTTTATTTTTTGGAGCAGTTTTAGGTTCTTATAGCAAAATCGAGCCGAAGGTACTGAGAAATTCCATACATACCTTGAGCCCACACACCACAGCCTCCCCCACTGCAACATCCCCCACAGGAAAGAATTTTTCATCTATCAGTTCAGTAAAGATTCAAAGGGAACCCATATACAATGCCAGTGGTGTTGCTGTACTTGTTTTTGAGGGAAAATATGGAAATTTTTATGAACATTTCAAATGTGCTTACCATTGACTCAATAATGCAGGTTCTAAGAATGTGTTGTACCTGCACAGATGCATTAAGTATGTATAAGGATGTTTATTTCATCAATTCCCAGAGAAACAACAACAACAACAACCGAATGGAAGTACTCTAAATGTAGATGGCTGGGAGAAGATAAGATAAATAATACCCATGAAAACAGTAGACTCCTTTGACCCTATTAAAACAATGAAATTGATCAGTCTGCACTGATATGGAAAGACGTCAATGATTGTTAGATATCAAAGCAGCATACAGAACAATGTTTATCTCTGTCTATGTTTGTTAAAAAAGTAAAGATGTAAAGAAAAATGTCTGTAAAGATCTAGAAGCAGTGGTTAGCCTGAGAAAAAATGGAAGTGGAGAAATACATGCTCTATTTTACTCATTTTCTAAAAAAACCTAGCATATGTTATTTTTGCAATCAGAAAAAACAATAAAAGTATTTCCACACACACACAAAACAAACTAGAAAGTCAGACCTGATTAAAATTTGTGATTTGCAAATATTCTTTGATGAGAGATGGATAATCAGGATGGACTCAGCCAACTGTGGAATGGCTGAACATCAGCAAACCTACATTCCACCTTAGCTGGTTCCTTGTCCCAGGATAATGACCCAGGCACACCCCTGGGAGGCAGTTCCACTTCTTTGCAGCCTCATTTTCCATGACTTCCCCAACAGGTTGCCTCTTCTGGACATCCTTTCATTCCTTATCCCACTGGAACTGCCCCTCCTCCCATCATAGCTTATCATAGTCACTCATGACCTCCAAGTTGTAAATCCCACTTATCTGTGCCCCTCTTTACTTCTCAGCAGTTTTGAAAGCCCTGCTCTGCCCTGTTCTCAGTTTTTGGGCATGCCCTCACCCTGAGGTTCTTATCAGTCCCAGCCCCACCCTCGGCCCCAGGCTGCCCCTCTCGGCCCCCTTCTCCTCTCATCTGGATGTGGGAGCGCTGGTTCTGACCCCGCCCTTTCCCTTCCTTGTCTCTATTCCTCCCCAGGGGACCTTACCCGGCCCTTCCTCCCTTTCTCCTGGCAGGACCCCACAAGTTGTTTCCCTCCACTGTTTCATACTGACAGAGGAAAGAGACAGAAATGGAGACAGAAAGGCGGGCCTCCAAAGATGTGCAAGCTTGTAGGACCTGATTTTCCTCTCCTCAAACTAAAGGAGACCAGGCTGTCAGGCTCTGAGCCAAAGCTCAGCCATTATAACCTCTGTGACCTGCACATACATACACATCCAGGTGGCCTGCAGGAGCCAAGAAATGGGGAGCAGTCAAAAAACCACAAAGAAGGAAAACAGCCAGTTCCTGGCTTAACTGATTAACCAACATTACAACATTTTACTATTGTGACTTGTCGCTGCCCTACCTTAGCTGGCCAATCGACTTTGTGACATTCTTCTTCTGGACAATGAATCTTATGATCTCTCCACCATGTACGTTGTAACCCCCTCCTCTGCTAACAATAACCACATTTTACTGTAATTTTCCATTACCTACCCAACTCCCTTCCCCATTTCCCTTTGCTGACTCTCTTTTCGGACTCAGCCCACTTGCACCCAAGTGAATAAACAGCTTTATTGCTCACACAAATCCTGTTGGTGGTCTCTTCACACGGACGTGCTTGACACAGGCAAAGGAGAAGGAGGAAGGGAAGGGGGAGCAGCTCTGGAACAAGAGAGGAGGGTTCTGCAGAGGCAGGCGGGAGTTCTTGGGGTGAAGCATTTATTCATGGGAGGAGAGGCTCACAGGATATGACCTCAGTAAGCATCCAGTCCTTGTCACATAGTCTTAGGCACGGCCTACTGCCTGACAATCCCAGACACATTGGAACAGAGGGGCAGGGCCCTGGGAAGGGGCTTGAAGGGAAACTTCCCTACCTCCCTTTCCTGCACACCTGGCCCTGGCTGGAATAGAAAAGCATCATTTGGGAATAGAGAGCAGCTGTGGATCCATCACGGCTATCCCGCACACCATCAACACCACTGACACCTTCACCAACATTTCTAATTCTGCCTTAACCTCTCCACTGGGCTGCAGACTTACATCCAGTTGTCTCTAGGACATGTTCACTGACTTGTCCAACAGACACTGGCACTCACCAGCCTCAGGGGAAAGGCACTACCTTCCACCCACAGTCCAACCCCCAGATCAGGGAATCGCAATTCCTCCTTTCTCTACATCCTCCACCTGCAGGTCTTCAGGGTGCGACTCTGGGCAGGTCGTACTCTCCCTCCACTTAGGATTTCTCATCTGGAGAATGGGATAATGCCAGCCCCAGCTTCCAGACTGTTGTAAGGATTCAATAGGACGGATCATGTAATGCCCTTAGCCCAGGGGTTTGTGCAGGCAGCAGTCAATATGTCTTCATCATTGTTCTTGTTGGCTGGGCCAAGAGACCCTGCTTGATAGGAGAATCAAGTTCTGCAGTGAAGTTGGTGGTCTGGAAGCCGGACTCTAGCAAGGGGTATTTTGGCCTGGGTGTAGGCAGTCCCCACTCTCCACTTATTAGTCGCTCTCTGGCCTGTGGTCAGAAGCCTCCAAGGGACTGTCCCATGTGCAGTGTTGTCAGCAGTGGCCATGCAAATGGTGCCCGTGGGGCTGGCAGCACTACCCTGTCCCCAGCTGCCCGCAGTTGGTGACCTCTTCTTCCTAACACTTTGCTTTTGGTTTACCTCCTCAGCATGGGCCTGCATTTCCACTGCGTAATAGAACTAAGCTGTGGGAGCCAGTGTGGGCGGCAAGGGGACTTGGTGGCATTTGAGAAGCATTGGACAGCAGACACTCCTTGGTCAGCCCTCCCCTCTGAAAAGCAGAACTCTGTGCTGCAGCCCAGACACTGGAGAGCACCAGCCTGTCTCCTCCACCCTCCAGCGAGATGCGGGAGAAATATTCTCTCTCATTCTTTCTCCTGAGTTGTGCCTACTTCCATTTTAAATTCCGCCAAATGATCCCTTAATCTAATAGCAATTGCTAACAGCCTGGCCCTGAGAAGTCCTCTCTGCATTTCAATTCCTGCATTATCCCCTTCTTGCTGGCTTAGTAGAGCCTCTATTCCTTGATGCTTTCTAAGGCAACTAATCACTCAAACGAGGCAGAATAAACCCATTTAGACCAAACATGAATTATTTGCAAGCCAAACCCAGCACTGATGTTGGTCTAAGGTATTTGGAGCGTTATTTACATTTGTAAGTGCAGGCATTTTGATGCTAAACCTCAGGTTAAGCTCTGGGAAGCCTGACTGGCCCTGCTAGCAGCATTCTACTGCCAGGAGCCCTGCGGCTGGGGCAGTCTAGCTGGGACCCTCTGCCTGTCTGTGGACAGTGGGTGCTCTGGGTCTGCGTGTTCCCCAAGGTGAGGCTGGCTCTCTTTGCTCTCGGTAATCCCACCATCCTGCAGGGACCCAGAGCACTCGGCCCTCAGAAAATGGGGCTGTCAGTGGGAGGGCGAATTTATCTTCTAGCTAGGGAAGCAAGAAGGATGCTGCTTTTCCTAAGGCTGTTTCAGGTGCCAGAAGAGGCCCACTCAAGATGCCTCAGGAGGGCTTTCAGCCTGTGGAATCTGCGGTTTTGAGAACCTGGGGCCTGGAGCAAAAGAATAGCAGGGCCCCTAGGCTGGGCCTGGGTGAGGAACAGTGCAGTACTGAGCCCACTTGTTTGGACCGAATGCCTGTTCCCCCCAGATGCTTAGGCTGAAGCCCCAGCCCCCAATATAACTGCATTAGGAGGTGTGGCCTTTGGGAGGTAACTGGGTTTAGATGAGGTCATGAGGGTGGGGCCTTCAGAATAGAATTAGTGCCCCTACAAGAAGAGACCAGGGAGCTTGCTCTCATTCTCTACCATGTAAGAAGGTGGCTACCTGCAGGCCAGGGAGAGGGCCTCCCAGAACTGGACCCTGCTGGCACCTGAGATCAGGCCTCCAGCCCCAGGAGTAGGAGAAATAAATCTCTGTTGTTGAAGCCACCCAGCCTGTGGCGTTTCGTTATGTCAGCCCTTGACTAATCCATATTCATTCTCATTCTCTCTCCCCTCTCTGTATGGGGTTTCTGCTCCTCTTTGCTGCTCGGCCTGCTCCCTTCTCCTCCTCTCTCCTCCTCCTCACTCACCTCTGCCTCCACACTCTGTCAAGAGAATGGCTCAAGAGAGCCGGCCTCAGTACTCCCTGGGGAAAGACCTGCTTCGCCCCCAGCTAGCAGGGGACTTTCTTCTAGGTCTCTCGGATTAAATCCTGAGAGGTGAGTCTGCTTATCTAGGCCGCCCCCTCCGCGGGCGCACCGATGCCTGGCACTGCCCGCCGGGGCGTGGGCGCGCCCACACCGTCCACCCTGCTCCTGCCCAGAGCGGGTCCTCTGCCGAAGGAATTTGCGCTGGCAGCTCCCGGAGGGTCTGGCCCGCACGCGGCAGGGCAATAAAGCCTGCAAACGTGTGGGAGCGGGGGTGATGGGGGTCCAGAGGACGGGGCTTTGCAGGGACGTGGAGGGACTACAGGCAGCTGCGACCGTCTGCCCTGCCATCGCTACCTGTGTATACGCACTCGCACTCCATGTAACCTTCACAGCCACCAGCAGGCCGCGGCCGGGCCGCCCTGCAGAGGAAGGAGCGGGTCCCAGTGCCCAGGGGCTTCCCGCGGTGGGGGGTTGGGCGGGGCGGGGGCTCCACTCTGGGGGCGTGGCTGACAGAAGGCCCCGCCCCCTCCCCGCCCGCGGGTGAAACCACCCCCGAGGCCCGGACGCACGCGGACCTGCGCTCAGGTTTCCCTGGGCTCTGTTGCCGTTCACTGTCCCGGGGAGCGCCCAGGTGAGCGATCCTCGCCGCGGAGCTCCCGGACCCAGCAGCCTGGGAGGCTGGGGTCCGCCTTCTTCCCAGGCCCGCTCGCCTCGGGTGCTGGCTGGAGGGCTGTGGCGCGGGATGGTAGGACTAGCGCTGAGCAGGTGGGATTAAGCTCTCCAATGAAACATGGCCCCACCACACTTTGGTTTGGAGGCAAACACCCAGTAGCGTTACAGACTGAAACACCATCAGCAGCAACACCTTGGCGTGACGTTATCAGATCTTTTCCCCCTAGACTGAGAATTGTACTAGAGAACAGACTTTTGGCCAGGTTTGAAGATTCTCTTGCAATGCGCCATCGCCCCTGACAGTCTTCAGCATAGAAAAATACATGACAACCGTGGCCATGGGTACTAGGCTTCGCTGCGCCCACCCTGGAGCCTGCCACCAGGGTTCCCACGACGGCTTCACTTCGTCCTGGCTGCGTGAGCAAGGCCCTTAATCTTCTGACACCGCAGTTCCTCGTCTGTGAAGTGGGTGTAATATCACCTGCCTCTAGAGGCATGCGAGGGAGCAGCAGTGCCTTGAAAGCATCAATGGCTCAGTTAGAAAAACACCGCCATAATAACTAGTGTCTACAAGCCAATCTGCACACGATGTAGCTCTGTTACACGATCTCCTTTGAGTCACAAATAGCTTGGAAGTTGTTATGACTCCCATTTTACAGATGGAGAAACAGGCTCAGAGAGATTAAGAGCCTGGGCTTTTAAGCGGTGAGATAGGAGTCAAGCCCCGGCTGTTTGATTCCAAATCTGCGGAGTCCTGAAAGACCTCAGGCTTCCGGGGCAGCTGGATTTAGGGTTGAGGGCTGGTGGCCTCTTCGAGCTGCAGTTTCCTCACATGTAAAATGGGGATGATGCTATGGGTCTGCAGAGGTGCAGGCAGCAGATGTCTGTAATGGAGGTCATTACCATTATTCCACACCCGCATCCGTTCAGCAGGCACAAGTGGACTTCGCTGCTTTTGCTTGTTGATGTCTGGGCTTAGCCTGTCTGTCTACAAAACGATAGCAGAGACCTTGAAGGCTGGGAGTGCGTCAACAAAAGACAAAGCACAGCCCACAGCCTATTATCTCAGCTTCAGATATCGACATTGGCAGACTTTTCTGTGCATGTGGAGGGGAAGCATTGAAACTCTTGCCAAGAGCCAAAACTGATTTGCCCACATGCAGTCCAGCTCTCTGATCTGTCCTTGGAGACAAAATAAGGAAACTACCTCTTTGATCCAAAGCTATTTTTATCGTCCTCTGAGCAGTGCTTATGGTGCGTTATGTGTTTCATGGGGAAAAAGGACTATCAGCAGGCCAAGATAACCATTACCCCGGCCCAGCCCTATAAATAGGCACTGTTTGTTTTCTCTGACAGCGCCAGAGGGGCCAGGTTTGGGTCACCTGCCGATAGCGGGTGAGAAATGGTGTCCCCATCCCTGGGCCCATTGGTGCTGACCAGATGGTGAAGGAGGCAAAGGTTGCTTTGAATGACTGTGCTCTGGGGTGAGCCAGGCCTGGTGGGTGCCCACTCTGCTCCATGGGCTCTGCTCCCTGGCCTCCCATTCCTGCTCGCCCTCCAGCTTTTTGTGTCTGTGTCGCCCACTCCTCCCACCATCAGTCTCCATCTGGATGCAGGCTTCTGGGCTTCCGTTCACGCAGAGTTTTGGGCAGCAGCTCCCCCAGCAGCCCTGCCTGCCACCTCTTCTGGGGAAGAGGGTTCAGATGGAAGGGGCCTGGAGGATGAGGATAAGCCACGAGGGAGAGGGAGGGGCTGATGGCTTAGGGAGGACTTCTACAGGGTGAGTACCCATTGTTCAAAATGCTTGGGACTAGAAGTGTTTCAGATTTCAGATTTTTTTCAGATTTTGGAATATTTGCATGTGCATAATGAGATATCTTGAGGATGGAACCCAGTCTAAGCACAAAATTTATTTATTTATTTTTTTGAGACGGAGTTTCGCTCTTGTTGCCCAGGCTGGAGTGCAATGGCACGATCTCGGCTCACTGAAACCTCCACCTCCCAGGTTCAAGCAATTCTCTTGCCTCAGCCTCCTGAGTAGCTGGGATTACAAGCATGCACCACCATGCCCAGCTCATTTTGTATTTTTAATAGAGACAGGGTTTCTCCACGTTGGTCAGGCTGGTCTTGAACTCCCAACCTCAGGTGATCCACCTGCCTTGGCCTCCCAAAGTGCTGGGATTACAGGCATGAGCCACCACGCCCGGCCTATTTATGTTTTATGTACACTTTATACACATAGACGGAAGGTAATTTTATATGATATTTTAAATAATTTTGTGCATAAAACAAAGTTTGTGTTAAGTACTTATATGTAGAATTTACCACTTGTGGCATCATGCTGCTGCTTAAAAACTTTCAGATTTTGGATTCTGAATTTTTGTATTAGGAATGTTCACTCTGTAGTAAGAACCCGAAGGTGAAAATCAGTGTCACAGGATAATGTTTAGGATATGATGCAAGCTTTTGCACCATTCCCCCAGAAGTGTGGCTGCTTTCCAGGTGCCCTGCCTCCAGTGCATAGAGGCAGAGGTGGCCTGGGACCAAGTGTGATGGTTAACGTTATGTGTCAGCTTGGCAGGGCCATAGGATGCCTGGACATCTGATCAGACATCATTCTGGGTGGGCTTGCCAGGGTGATTCCCGATGAGATTAGCGTTGGCATCAGTGCACTGAGTAAAGCAGATTTCCCTTCCAAATGGGGGTGGGCCTCATCTAATCAGTAGAAGACCTGAATGGAAGAGAGAGGCTGAGTAAAGGGGAGCTCCTCCTCTCTGACTGCCTTGAGCTGGCACATTGCTGCTTTCCTGCCTTTGGACTCAGATTGAGGTGTCAGTTCTTTCTGGGTCTTGAGCCTGATGGCATTTGAACTGGAACTGCAAGACTGGCTCTTCTGCATCTTCAGCTTGCCACTGGCAGAGCTCCATAATCACATTCCTTATAATCTCTCTCTCTTATACATATATGTCCTCATATATATATCCTATTGGTTCTTTTTCTCTGGTGAACCCTAGCTAATATATCAAGTATTACAGTTTGACTTTGATTCCAAAATATGCTCCTAAAATACCTAGCAGAGATATAGTCTTGAAAGCCTAGGTTTTTAATGGAGAGAGCCAGCCTTTTTGAAAGAGAAGGACTCAGCAGATAAGATTTGTAACATAGAGACAAATTGAGAAGCTTGCATGGTGCTGTAACAGCCACTTCCCCATCCTGAGGGGTCATGTTTCGGTGGGGGAAGATGGCCAGATGGATGTGGATAGAGCCTGGATAGGGGGGTCCTTGAGAAGGGCTGATGCCATGCCCCCTCCACTGTCTGGGCTTGGAGGGGTGTTGAGAGGATGCAGTGGAGTTGGGGGGATCAGTGGCTGAGCAAACAAGCGCTTGATCCTCCTTGAGGAGAAGGGGGGCAGCATCCTGAATTGAATGAATATTTACCCAGTTGTTCAAATCAAATTTGCATATGCCACAATGTTTTTCTAGGGTCAAGAGAGTTGCCCCTGCAAATGTTGACTTTTGCAGTTCTTAAATAAAAATCAATTAGCTTATAAGAGTTTGCTTAAATCCTTCCCCCTCCCCATCTTCTACCCCACCTTATGCCAGTGGGTCTATACCACACCATGGCCTGCCACCTTTTTTGTTTTTTGAAGCAAATCCATCCAGATCCTAAATGCCACCCTTTTCAAATGCATAATAGTGTATCTGTTAGGCTGCTTTTGATCACAAGCAACAGCAAAATCAATTGCACTAGTTGAATCAACAGAGAGGCTTCTTTGACTGACTCAAGTGAAAAGCCCAGACTGGGGTGGGCTTCTGGTGAGGCTTGCTCCCAAGGTCTGGTGCTATCACAAGGCCCATGCTCCATGCTGCCTCCCACAATGTCAGATTCATCCTAGGCCTGCTTCTTATCGGGTACCAAGATGGCAGACTGCAGTTTCGTGGGTACACATCTTCTCTCATGCCCAGCCAGAAGGAGCCTTGGTTTTGGTGCTCACGGTCAGTAGTCACCGTCTTGAGAAGCAGAGGCCACAGCCACTTCCACCCCAGTTACTGGGTCTGTCACAGGGTGCGAGGGTGTGGACTGGCTCAGGCTGGGACATGGGCTCCATGCCTGGGGCCTGAAGAGGAGCCACTTCTCTGAGACTCTATGGATGGCCAGGTGGCAAGCAGAGCTGTCCAGAAGGGAAAGGAAGGGAGTATCTAGATGCTGGGGAGGCACCAACAAGCATCCTCCACACATGGGATCTGGCATGTTCACATTTTATTAAAATTCATTTCTGCCACCTCCTCCCACATTTTTTCTGCTAATTGGTGAGGAATCCTTCATCTGAGCAGACATTGGTAAATTCTCATAGCCAAGTGGGGGTTGAGTAAAGTTCATTGTTTACCTGAGGTCAGGGGCCAGCACCCACATTGGTCCAGTCTTGCCTTGCAATGCTGGGAGGCTGCAGTCCTGTCCAGTGCATCCGGTGACTCCTGCTTGGTGAGGTCCCACGTACCCTGCTGCGAGGGAAGCAAGCAGAAGCCAGTCTCAGGCTGTGCTGCCAATTCACGTCAACACTATAGAGGCTGCTCCCCGTAAGGTGCTGTGGGGGTTTTGGTGACAGATGCAAATTCAAAGGGGAAAGGAGAAGAGGGGAGCAAAGTGACACCAAAGAGGCTGTCAGCCAGGGTCCCAAGCATGGGGTGCAGGGGGAGGAGTGAGGGCATGCAGGCTGCGGAGGGACCCCTATTCGCCCTCCACAGTCCCGATGAGAACTTGATCACCTGCCCTCAATTCCCCATCCAACTGAGCATCACTGGAGGTGGCCACCCTCCTGAGGGGTGACTCCTGGCCTGGCCTGCTGGAGAAACAAGAGGTTCCTCTCAATCAAGTGTAGGGCTCTGACGTTGACAAAAGATTATGGTAGTAATGCTGCTTTGGACTAAAAGTGACAGGAAAATGTTTTATTTTATGAAGAAGTCCAGGGGACCTGTAGGACCCGCTTGAGATTTCATCCAGGGAGCAGGGCCTGGGGAGGAGCAGCCTGAGGCTTGGTTCATGGGGGCAGTGGGAAAAAAGAATGAAGGTGCAGCTGCTGTCCCCGTGGAGTCCTGGAGTCATTCTTTCCCAGCTCTGCAAGTGTCCTAAAGCAAGAAGCTAGGCCACACACGAGGACGCCCTGAGGAATGCATCAGTCCACATCCTGCTTCTGGGCTGTGTGGGAGGTTGAGGCCCTCAGTGCAGAAGGCTCTTCTGTGGGGGTCATTGTGTGCTGTGCCCACCCCACTCCCAGAAAGGGGAGGCGAGGGTGCCTTGCCCTCCCCTGAGCAAGTGAGAGCAGGCTTCAAGAGAGGCTCTTGGGTGGAGGCACTGGGTTTTGGAGGACAAAGAGATGGGGTGTGATTGTGCTTGGTGTAGGATAGTTATCAGCCGGGATAACTGGGTTACGCTGCAGTAACAAGCACCCCTGACACTCAGTGGCTTGATGCTATGGCATGTCTTTTCCATTCATGCTCCTTGTCCCTCATGGGCAGATGGAGGCTTCTGCTCACATAGTCACTTAGGGACCTGCCATAGGCTTCTCTGTGCTCCCACGATGCAGGAGATAGTGCATTGGCCCTTAAAGCTTTCTCTAAAAGCGACATGGCACATGGCTCCTATGTCCCCATGTCACCATCCAATGCAAATCACTTGGCCATGCCCTTGAAGAGGGGCAGGGGGTAGGCATGGAAGTGGAATGTTACTGTGTGTCTGGAAGGCAGGGATTCAGAAATATCCAGGGACCAGCACTAGTGACCGCTGAGGCACCTAATGGAGGGGGCTGTTATGAAGGGGGCGGGGTCTGCTTGGGAACGAGCTCCCCTCCCACCCACAGTGTGCTTGGGTGAAGGCGGTGTGTCAAGACCAGGCAGGGGTGTCCTGGAAGGACCCTAGGACCTCAGGAGATGGGTGGGCTCCTGAGCCCAGGTGAGATTAGGAGTTGAAAGTGGCCATCCTATGAGGGCATGGCCTGTGCCACAGGCAGGGACATCCCAGCAGGGGCCACCGAGGAGCCTGCCAGGTGCTCACGGGAGTCAGTCAGCTTGCCCAGCTGAGATCATCCACTGACCCTTCTTGTCACCTGATTCCTTAGTTTTGCTCCCCAAGTCCTCTCTCGGGAGCCGTGCATGAGGGAAGTAGACCGTGAAGAGCAGGAGAAGAGGAGAGCAGGAACAGCTGGGAGGCCAGAGGAGGCCTGATGAGATGGACTCTGCACCAAGGTTGGGAGGTGTGTGTGGTTGTGGGGAAAGGTCGGGCACACACCCCTCAGGCAGGGGTCTGTGTTATGGCTGGGGTGGCGGGCACTGCGGGCGGGTCCCGAAGGCTGTGGTTCCGAAGGCCATGCGATTCCTCAAAGGTTTGAGCTGGTGCTGGTGTTGGGCAGCTGAGAGACCATTAGGGGGTCTTGCTAGTGAAGCTGTCCTGGGTGCTAAGAGAACAGGCAGCGGCCCTCTGTGGCAGGAAGAACTCTGTTCGTCTAAGACAGAAACCGTGGTGAGAGTAGGGTCCCTGACTTCCTTCTCCACTGAAGAAGGGCTGGGAGGCCTTGCAGCTGTGCTCTGTCTGTGGGTGGGTGGGGAGCGGAGGTTGGGGCAGTTCTTCTGAGCCAGCTCTGCCTCCGGCCTGGAAGAGGAGCCCAGAAGACCGGGGTGGAGTGAGACCTCAGTCCACACAGGGAAGAGGGTGGGAAGAGGGTGGGAGGGAAGGCCAGTGTCTGGGCTAGCCCTCTCCCCACTGCCTCGCCAGGGAGGGCTGCTATCTGCAGTCTATAGATGAGGAAACTGAGGCCATGGGGATTGTGTGATTTGATGCAGGGTTCAAGCCAAGCCCAGCTGGCCGTCTCCTTACAAAAGCCTGATGAAAAAAAGCTGCAGTTGCAGAATGTTGCAGAGGGTCCCTGGCCATTCAGAAAAAATTTAAAATATGCAAAGCAGTGCTTAGCATTGCTTAGGGATGCAACCGCACAGGCTCGAAGTGGGACGGTGAATTCCAGCTTGGGAGAGTGGCTACCTTAATGGGGTGGGGGTGGGAATGGGGAGGGTTCATCTGATCCTGCATGTGGTGGTTTTTTTTTTTTTCTTTTTTTCTGAGATGGAGTCTTGCTCTGTTGTCCAGGCTGGAGTGCAGTGGCACAGTCTTGGCTCATTGCAATCTCCGCTTCCCGAGTTCGAGTGATTCTCTTGCCTCAGACTCCCGAGTAGCTGAGGTTACAGGTGTGCACCACCATATCCAGCTAATTGTTTTTTTGTATTTTTAGTAGAGACGGGATTCCACCATGTTGGTCAGGCTGGTCTTGAACTCCTGACCTCAAATGATCCTCCCGCCTTGGCCTCCCAAAGTGCTGGGATTACAGTCATGAGCCACTGTGCCCATCCCCACCTGTGGTGTTTCATGCTTTGATCTGGGTGCTGCATGCACAGGTGTTGTGGAACTAGTTTTCATGCCTTTTCGTATGTCTGAACGGTTTCTGAGTAAGCCAAGAGAGGCTGACTGCAGCCCCTGGAGTGGGTGAGGAGGCTCAGCGGCTGCTCCTGGAGTCAGCAGCCCTCCCTGTGACCCCACCTCTTCAGCAGCCCGACTAGAGACCAAGAAACGAAAAGGAGAAAGGGGCCCAAGGAGGCCCCGGCTGTGTGAAGAAGGCCTCCTGGGGCTGCCCTTATCTTCCTCCCCTGGTTCAGGGGTGGAAGCTTCTCCAGGGGAAGGAGAGGCAAAGCGCACAGCTGGCACACGCCACCTTGTGCAGGTTGCTCCTGGGCCATGAGGCAGCTGACCCTGCCCCTCGGCAGCCTCTCCTTCCTTCTCAGCAGCACAGGAGAGAGGAGAGCCAGCAAAGCCCAGCTGTGAGGGCTCCCCTTCCCTCTGCATTCCCCAGTGACTCTATCTGCCCAGCTGGCCCCGTGCCCCAGTGTACCAGCTCTGCACCTTTGGTAGCATCTCTGGGAGCCTCACAAGAGTCAGAGAGGACGCAGCTCCTGGTTGGAGCCAATTGCCACATTTTTTGAAACGTTGCAAGCTGGTTCTTCAACTCTTGGAAGCTTGAAGTGGATCATGATGGGGTATTTATACCATGGCTATTGGCTAATGCTCTGCATCAGGGCTGCCCCCTTCACTCTGCAGGCTGCTAAACATTTACCAACACAACACTGTCATGGCCCCACTGTGAGCCTTCCTGAACTCGCCCATGTGTGCTTCTGGTCCCTGTTCACCTGCACCCTCAGGTGTCCTGGTGGCCCCTGAGACCCATCAGTCTCCCACTCCCCAGTGACTGCTGCAGTCTGTGCTACACAGGCTCACTCTTCTCCCCCGACTGGCTGTTGCTCTAAGCACATGCTGGGTACTGCCTGGTGGAAGAAGTGTGGGCCTCTGAGTCTCACAGGCCGGCTTTTATTTCTGGCTGTGCCCTGTGCCAATCTGGACAAGTGACGGCCTCTGGGACTTCATTTCTCCCTGCTTATGTGGTGTTAATACTGCCTGCTCATAACCTCCATTGCCAGTGAAGGAAATAATGTATATAGTGGTCCATTTCCAAGACAAAGTGCCTTAAATCGGCTTAGGTCAGCAAACTACAGAAGAAATAGGATATACTAGGCCCCTGCTTGGATAGCCAATGCCTGCTTGTCGGCCCCCCTTAGTTGCCTTCACTCGAACCAAAGAAGTTTAGTCTAAGATGAAAGTTTGCTAGCCTGCAAAATAGCTTGTTTTGTCTGTTCTTATCAGCTGGCCCAGCTACTGAAGTCATAAGTCAAATACTTGAAGAGCCCCAGAGCTAACTAGGATTGCAATGTATTGTGGGCTGCAACAAAATGCAGCAGGACGACCCTAAAGAAAACACCTAGAGCCTCTACCCAACAACCGATAGGCGATGTCCGGGAAGATTGTGACCCCATAGTACTCAGCCTATGAGGAACTGGCGGAGAGACCTGAGCATTAGGGGATAAATTGCTTGTTGAAACTGTGCTGGGGGTGTCTGCTCATCAGACACCCCACCTTGCAAGACAGTCATTAAAAGTCTCACTTTCACTGCTCTCCGGGTCTCTGAGTCTATTCTTTGGGTTTGGATGGGTGAGTTTATTTCTCACACCAGGGCTGAGCACGTGGCTCTAGGCACAGAGCAGGCATTCCCTCAACGACAGCCTCCAGCATTTGAGCCCCTGTGGCTAGAATGGGGACTTCTAGCAGAGTTACTGAGATATCTTTCCCTTTCCTTGCTCTGTTCAACACCACTGCTCTGCAGTTGGGCCTGTGGAGTACAAGGAGAATTCCCTGCAAGACCCCTGGGTGAAAGAGACACCTCCAGTGTCATCGCGGCCTGAGGGGTGCAGTGATGGGGCAAGTGTGTCCCCAGGGGTCCCAGCACCACCCCAAATAGACTTCATTGGTTTAGTGCAAGAACGTGAGCTCTGAAGTTGGAAGTGCTGCAACGATGTTGGGCATCTGGGCGTGGAGGCTCCAGTTGAGCACAGCGAGTGTGCTGCACGGGGGCCTCCCTTGCATGTGGAGGACAGACACTGAGCTCCCACTCTCACCTGTCCAGTCTGCTCGGGGTCGGCCTTGGGGCTGAACACCCAGCAGGGACCTCACATTGGCCACTTCGCTGAGTGACTGTCTTCAGAACTCCAGAGCCCACTCTCTGATTAAGCACATGGGTTTTCCAAACTTATCCACACACATGATTTATCTACCTTTGCGTGATTTACATGCATGATTTCACTTCGGTATTTCCCGCTTTACAAGAGTGGCACCTGAAGCACAGCGAGGTGAAGTGACTTGCCCACATTCACAAGTAGCAGAACCAGAATTTGAACCCAGGAGGGGGTCTCACCCTGGAACCCACGCTCACCACACGACACCTGTGGTCCCCAACAGCCTGCAAAGCTGTGACCCGAGGTGACCTTGCTCACAAACACAGCTGGAGCCGCCAGCTCCTTGGCGTACTGGAGATTAGGTTTAAGACTAAACTCCCAGAAAGCGGGGCGGATACCAGGCCCATGGCAATGGTGCTCCCTGTGCAACACCCTGCCATTCTGATGGATGAAAAACATTTCAAGTTTTCCTGTAAAAATGTCTGTTGTGGAAAGATAAGGAAATTCTGGCACACTCAGAGGGGACTTCTTAACTAGTTCGTGCAAAAAGGCACGTTTATTTTTGGCTTTGGGGCTGGGTACAGCGTGGCCTTAATCAGCAGCTAAGGTGATGTTGGCCAGGCCACTGCCAGCCCAGGCCCAAAAAACAGTGTAGGCCAGGCCAGTGCCAGTGTCTGCCAAGGGGATAGGCACGGGGACCCTTGTCTGACCTCTGGGGGCTATGTGCAAGGGCCGTGGGAGCAGTTGGGCAGCCTTGGAGACAACCCAAATGTGGGAATCCGCAGGCCTGGGGCCCTCCCAGCAGTCAGAGGGAATGCGTGCCTGCCTCTGAGGGTGGTTGGGAGATGGAGTGTGACATTGTGTCCTGAGTCCGGAGGCTCTCCCAGCAGTGAGAAGGGATGCATGCCTGCCTCCGAGGGTGGTTGGGAGACAAAGCGTGACTCCATGTCCAGAGTCCTGGGGCCTGGTGGAGCCGTGCCTGTTCTGTGACCTCAGGCAGTCCCTCAGTTGTCTGCACCACCGCTCCTTCATGGGGAATCCTCATTAGAGCTCTGCCCAGGTGCCCTAGCCTGGTGGCGGGGGTGGTCAAGGCCACCGTTTCCCCACAGAAAGTGTCTTGGGTGCCACCTGGTTGGAAGGGGAAGTTCTATGGGCAGCTTGTGCTCAGCAAGCCTGACGCTCTCAGTGTGTGTGGGGGGGGCGGGGAGGGTGAGGACAGGTGTCAGCGGCTCCCAGCCGGGGCCTTCAGGCTGGCTCAGCAGTGCTGCTCCTCTCCCAGCCAACCTTGCTTCCACTGCCCCCAGGATGCCTCCTCTCAAGCTCCCCTAGGACAGGCCACACCTGTTTCTGCCTCCTTCTTTGTCACAGGAATCATTAGCGGTGTGCCTTGCTCCTCACCCCAGACTAGGAGCCCCAAGGTTGGCTGATGGTGGTCATCTTAGGGTGTCCAGGGCAGTGCAGGGCTGGATGGCAGGTGCTCAGTGGGCACAGGAGAAAATGCAGCGGGACTGGCTCTCCTGGCCAGTGTGAATGGACAGGCTGTTGATTCTGTTGGAAGATGGCTGTTCTTGGTATTTGGAGATTTGCCATGTGGCTCTGAATGATCTCCCACCTTCTTCTAGCCTGACGTTGCAGGTTCTCTAACCCTCAAGGGCTATGGGCTCAGATTTCTTTAGCATTTGGCTTTCCTTGGGGACCCCTTATCCCCTCCTCCCACCTCTGAGCCTGTCTTGTCAGGGGGCCTCTGAGCCTTCGCCACAGCCTACAAAGCATCTTTGCTCTACTGCCAGAAATGGGAAGCCCAGAATCTTCTCTCCTCATGCCTGCTATGCCTCTTGGCATCCTGGCTGGGCCTGGCCCTGCAAACTGTGCAGGAGGCTGTTTGCCTGTGTGCACCCCCTCCTGAGACCTTCCCCCTCCAGTCACCCCCCTGGGACCAGAGCCTTCAGGAGGTAGGAGGCGTGGGCAATTTGGAGCATCCCCACTCTGGCGGTGGGCTGTGTAGACAGAATACGGTTGTGTCTCAGCTTGGATGCTGAACAGCTGGGTGACCGAGCCTGTCACTTCACCTCTCTGGGGATCTGTGCTCGTCTGTGACAGGTGGTGACAGGTGGGAGGCAGGATGGTTGTCAGGTTCAGCAAAGGACCTCATGGTGTGCTCTGAGCACGGTGCTTGCTCATAGCTTGTAGCAGGGATTACCTCCATTCAGACCAACAGCAATACCACTGCCAGGCTCAGATTTTCTGGGAGCTCAGTGGTTTAAGGAACTTCTTTCAAGGTAGTAGTTTCCTTCTGTGTATGTGGGTGGCAGCTGCTTCCTTGGTCTCTCAATAATCCAGCTCAGTTTGAAATGGTGGTGAAAACCTTACGCCTCAGCCCAGGCAGGGGCTCAGCACCTCTCCCAGGGCCAGCACAATCCCACTTTATGATTCTTGGAAATTCCTCTCTGAGAAAAGGCAAAATTAATTGACCCTTGGGATGCCCTTGGCAGTGCTGGATTACATTTCAGCCCATCTGTGCAGGGGCCCAATATTCCAACTGGAAACTACAGCCTATCCTGAATGTGATCTTGACAAATAGGAAAGGGAAGTGGATTCTAGATAGGATTTCCGATTCACACAATTACAGTGAGCCATGGCTTTGGCTCCTGGCTGGGAAGACAATCAATTAGTTGCAGACTAACATGGGAGAGATTACACCCTGCATCTCTGAGCTTGGCCCTGCTGCAACCTGTGCATGGAGAGTGCAATTGCATCATATTTCCAAGACAGTTGTGACAGGGATTCGATTCTACTGTAGAGTGACGGCAAACACCTGCCAACACCCTTTCTCAGCCCCTATGACACTGGCAAGGATGCTGTGTCCTTAGGCCCTGCAATCAGCAGAGGAAGCACCAATAGCCAGGACACCACTCCACATCTTTAACCAGCAAGGGGACTTTCTACCTCTATGAGAGCAAGAGTTCAACAAAATGTAGCCAATGCCTGTAGGTGATGCCATCCACACAAGTGACCTGGGGCCTCCAGCTTGACCTACAGCTGTCCAGGGCCCTACTTGTGTTATCCCCACCCCTGAAGGCTTAGTCAGCAATCTTTGCCTTTTATTAAAGGGTGGTTTGAAAGGAAGAACTGCAGCTCTCCCTACCCATTTCTTGCACAGTGTTAGATATTTTAAAAGCATTTTCCTTTGATCTTTCCAGCAATAAGCACCTTTGAGCTAGGTTAAAGATTTCAGCTTTGGAAGATGGGCAAGCTGGGACTCAGCAATGTTAAGAGCTTTTCAATTCAGTAAGTATTCCACCTGCCAGCTACTGCCCTAGGCACTGGGCAGAATAACACAAATCCCTGCCCTTGTAGAGCTTCGGTCTAGTAGGGAGGAGACACATTATCAACTATGGGCATTCTATAGTATGTTAGGAGGAGTTCATGTTTGAGAAATCCCAGCAGAGTAGGTGAGATTAGGGATTCTGGGTTGGGCAAGGGCTGGAGGCAGCTTGCAATTTTGTATAAGTAGTCAGAGCAAGCCTCCAAGCCAAGGTGATGTTAAGCAAAGGTTTGCAGGAGGCGAGGGAGTTAGCCATGGGGTTATCTGGGGGAAGAATGTTCCAGGCAGAGGGAACAACCCTGCAAAAGCCCCAAGATGGGCCATGCCTGAGTGCTCCAGGAAGAGCCAGGAGCCCAGCGTGGTTGGAACAGAGCGCTTGCAGGAAGAGCTGTAGCGGGGGCAAGGGAAGCCATGCTGTGGGGGGCTTTGAAGTCACCATGAAGACTTAGGCTTTTCCTCCAAAATGGGAGCCAGGGAGGGTTGGAGCAGAGGAGCATTATAATCAGGACTTTATTTTAAAAAGGTCACATGACTGCTGTGTATGGAGGCAAGGGTGGGGCAGGTAGAATCCTTGGGTGGCTACTACAATAATCCAGGTGAGAGGTGGTGGTAGCTCATGCCAGGGCCTTAGCAGTGGAGGGATGTGGCCAGATTCTGGATATATTTTGCATAGTGAGCTCTCAAGATTTTCTGATCCATTAGAGCAGATGAGTCAACCATGACCTTAAAGGTTTTGACCTGAGTGATGGGAAGGATGGAGTGGAGTCAGGCAAGGTTCAGGCCAAGTGGGTGGGGGAAGATTGAGGAGCTGAAGTCCTGGGTGGTTGAGTTTGAGATGCCCATTTGATATCTACGCTGGACTTTTGAGTAGGTGATAGACCAGGATTACCTGAGCATATTAGGAGCAGCTGGTAGGGGAATTAGGATTTCTCTGATCTCTCTGTCCAAGCCTCTCTCTGCTACTCCATGGTGATTTTCTCTCTTCCAGTGGTTTTGAAAACTAGATAGTAGAAAGCAATTTATGTCACAAATGTCATATTTGCTTTAGGATTTGAAAGCTAGAATTTCCCCAATTCCAGGGGCCTTTTCCTTAAATGCCTTGGTGGAGCTGGCAGTTCCCCCCGGTGGTGCACAAACCTTCGTGCAAATATCCATTTGGCATGTTCTGTGCAGGGATATGGGTGATCATGCCTCTTTCTCTCCCTTCAGAATGTGAGGTCCTAAAGGGAGGGCTGGCTCACTCATCTCTGGGCTTCCCATCAGGGCTCTTGGGGTGACCTATACCTGGAGAAGTTAGTGTGAGGCTGAGGTACACCAGGGCCTCCCAGGGACACCTGCCTTTACTGGGGAGTCTTGGACATCTTTTCCTATGGCTCTCCTTCTTTTGGTTTTCCTCTTTTTATGAATTGCTCATTCACAGTGTTTACCCATTGAAAAAATTGGGTTGTTTGTCTTTTTCTTTTTGATTTGTGGGAATTCTTTATATATGTTGTCTACTAACTGTGTGTTATTAAGCAGCAAATATCTTCTCTCAGTATGAGCTTGTGTTTTTATTTTGTTTTTGATATCTTTCATTCATAGAATTTACAAATTTTGGCTCTGCATGGTGGCTCATGCCTGTAATCCCAGCACTTTGGGAGGCCAAGGCAGGCAGATCACTTGAGGTTAGGAGTTGGGAGATCAGCCTGGCCAACATGTGAAACCCCATCTCTAATAAAAATACAAAAATTAGCTGGGCCTGGTGGCACGCACCTGTAGTCCTAGCTACTTGGGAGGCTGAGGCAGGAGAATCCCTTGAACCTGGGAGATTGCAGTGAGCCGAGATCATGTCACTGCACTCCAGCCTGGGCAACAGAGTGAGACCCTGTCTCAAAACAAAACAAAACAAAACACAAACAAAAAACAAAAAAAGAACTTACAAATTTTACTGTAGTCAAGTTCATTAACCTTTTCCTTTATGACTTGTCCTTTTTGTGTTCCTCAAGAAATCCTTCTTCGTAGCCAGACCATAAAAGATGCTTACCCATATTTTTTCCTAAAGGTTTTACTTTTCATGTTTAGATTTTTATTTTAGTGCGAACTGATTTTTGTATGTGGTACAAAATGAAGATCTGCTTTTATATTTTCCTTTATGGAAACATCTGTCTCCACTATTTTATTTTTATTTTGTTAATTATTTTTTATTGTTATATAGATATAAATTAGGGCTTGCTACGTTGCTCAGGCAGGTCTCGAACTCCTGCCTCAAGAGATCCTCCTGCTTCACCTCAGGATTGCAGCCTGGAGCCACCGTGCTGCCCAGTCCTCACTATTTTTAATGCCAGCTCACACATTGTTTCCACATATGTGTGGATATGTTTCTGGGCTTTTTATTCTGTTCCCCCTTCCTATTTGATGGTTCCTGGGTCAATACCACACTGCTTTAATGATTATAGCTTTATTATAACTTCTGATATTTAATGGGATAAATATTCCTATCCACTTCTTTTTATTAAAAATTTTGCTGGTATTCTTGGCCCTTTGTTTCTCAGATATTTTTCAAAATCATCACTTTGTCAAGTGCCATGAAATAGGCTGTTGAATTTTTATTTGAATTGCATTTAATTTATAGCATAATTTTGGAAGAACCAATATCTTTATGATGCTAAATCTCAAGAGGATGGTAAAACTACCTATGTATTTACATTTATTTTAAATTTTTTCAATGATTTCTTAGAACTTTTTCTATAAAGGCATGGCTGCACTTGTGCAAATTGTGTATCTCAGTCTAGTGATGCCCCCTGGAGTTGTGCAGTGTACAAAGTTCATGGCTGCACAGGGCAACAACGTGTACAAGTCTTGTACAAATTTCTTAACTTTATTCCTAAGTACTTATAATTTATATTGTTATTGGAAGTCGTACTTTCAAAAATTTTCATTTTAAAATGTAATGTTGCTGGCATGAGTGCACACACACACACACACCATCATCATCATCTTATATCCAGTGAACTTGCTAGACTCTTTTCTTTTAGATTTTTTTTTTGTGCATAAATCACATTATCTGCAAATAATAAAATACGTTTTTCTCTTTCTAATCCTTTTACTTTCTTTTCCCATTGCACTGGCTAAGACCTCGAGCACAATAGTAAATGAAGTAGTTATAGAGGATACTTTTGTCTTTGACTTCAAATAAGTTATGCTAGTGCTAAGTATGATTTTTTCACTGGATTTCGAGACACAGACTTTATCGAGTTAAAGAAGTTTGCTCTTATTCCTAGTACGTGAAGAGGTCTTTTCATTAAATTTCAAAAGTCTATTTATAGGGAAATAATAATAATAATTATTATTAAGCAGTAGCTGGGATTACAGGCACCTGCCACCACACCCAGCTAATATTTTTATTTTTAGTAGAGATGGGGTTTCACCATGTTGGCCAGGCTGGTCTCAGACTCCTGACCTCAAGTGATCCAACCGCCTTGACCTCCCAAAGTACTGGGATTACAGGTGTGAGCCATTGTGCCCAGCTGGAAATTATTATTTCATTCCCTTTCTTTAATTTTAACAATTGCAGTGGTGAATTGCATCAATATATTTTCTAATAGTAAATCAATCTTGCTTTCCTGGGAGCAACTTGATCATGATATATTTTTGTATTTATTCATCACTGGACTTGGTTTGCTAATAATTTATTTATGATATAGGTATCTATGTTCATGAGTATAATTGGCCCATAATTTTCCCTGTTTGTATAGTATTATCCTTGTTTAGTTTTGCTCTCACAGTTACTCTAGACTTCTAGTGAGCTAACGTTCTATCTACGCATTGGAATAGTTTGTATAATGAAATTATTTATTCCTTGACTGCTTTTTAGAACTCACCCTAAAGCCATCTGGCATCTGGGCTTGATTTCAATCTCTCTGTCTCTGTCTCTCTCTATAGATTTTTTAAGCTCAAGCAATCCTCTCGCCTCAGCCTCCCGAGTAGCTGGGACTACATGCATACACCATCATGCCTGGAAAATTTTTAAACATTTTTTGTAAAGATGGGTTCTTGTTATGTTGCCCAGGCTGGTCTTGATCTCCTGGCTCCAAGCAATGCTTCCATCTCAGCATCCCAAAGTGCTGGAAGTACAGGCATGAGCCACTGTACTCAGTCTGTTTTACATTTTTATTGAGTGGCTGCCATGAGCTGACTTTTTAAAAAATTAAGAACACAACAAGAAATATTTTCAAAGAAAGGAAATATATCCTCTCCCAAACTCGAGTAAGCCTTATGCTTTGATGACTCACAGCCCTGGGTCCCAAGGTTACTGCATCTTCTAGTTCTGGTTTCTTCAGCTCAAGGAACACTTACTTGCATCTGGGGCTCTTCAAGAATTCTCTGGCTGAGAGGACTCTTGGCAATGGTGTATGTTGGGCCTGGTTCATCTGTGTGCCAGGAGGGAGACTGAACCTCAGCATGCATGCCAGGAATTTTAGGGCAGGGATCCCCAATTTCCTCCTTTCCTGCATCATCATTTTCCCCCTTGCTATCGGCTCATTCCCACCACATGCCAATGTGCTGCAGTTTCTCCTGTCTGGGAAACAGCCTTCTCTGATGCTGCCTCCTCCTCCAGACACTGCCAGGCATGGGGCATATTTGGAGCTGGAGCTGGCAGGGTGGCAGGTGGGTTGGTTGCCTTATAGAGAATGGTGTTGTGGCTGTCATTGGGACATTTTGTGTTTCCTCTTTGCTCTTTCGGGATCTGCAGGCTGCTCCAGGTGAAGCTGGAGTTCCTGAGCTGCGGGCAGGGGTGGAAAGGATCACAGCAGGGAAGGCCCAGGCTCTTCAGGCCATTTATTGCCCATGAAAGACTCAGGGGAGCCTGGAGCGTGTTCTCACCTGGTCTCCAGATAGGACCTGCCTTCCCTGCTGCCGCCAAGACCTCTGGGGCCTGTGGGAAGTGGGGCTCACCTCCCAGGCACAGTGTTACCTCCTGGACCCAGAGGAGGTGTGTATTAGGCTGTTCTTGCATTGCTATAAAGAAATACCAGAGACTGGGTAATTTATCAAGAAAAGAAGTCAGATTGGCTCATGGTGCTCTAGGCCATACAGGAAGCATGGCAGCGTCAGCTTCTGGGGAGGCCTCAGGAAGCTTCCAGTCATGGTGCGAGGCAAAAGGAGGGCAGCCATGTTACAAAGCAGAGTGGGAGCAAGTGAGAGGGTGTGTGTGAGGTGCCTCACACTTTACACAACCAGATCGTGGGAGAACTCACTCATTATCTTGAGGGCAGCACTAAGGGAACGGTGCTAAACCACTCGTGAGAATCCATCCCCATGATCCAATCACCTCCCACCAGGCCCCACCTCCACCGTGGGGATTGCAATTCAACTTGAGATGTGGGCAGGGACAACTATCCAACTCTATCAAGGTGGTGATGCAGCCTAGGGGGCCCTTCTGGGTCACTCCTTGGGCTTGGAGAGACTGAGCCATTGAGGGACGTCAAGTCCTAGATAATCTAGGATTGGCAGAGCAGGAAGGAGAGAGACTCAATGATGTTGACTTCCAGGGGCAGGTAGATGGGCCCTTACCACAGGCCATGGACAGCTGCTGTTCTGCTGACTGGCTGCGGCTCCGGGTTAGTCCCTGCCTTGTCAGCACCAAGGCTCCAGGCGTCTCCAGAGAGCCAGGGTTCGCTCCTGTTCCCCCGGTCAATAGGGCTCAGAAAGCCCAGGCCTCAGGCCCCCTTCTGAGCTGGGGGTGGTACGCGGCAGGGACACTTTCCCAGACCCTGCCTGACCTCCCTATCACTGCAGTGTGGTCTCCTGGGCCTCACCTCCCTCCCTTGTCCCACAGAGATACCTCCTGCAAGAAGCCAGAAGAGCAAAGAAGGCCGTGTGTGTAAAGAGCCCAGTGCTGGTAAGCACTTGTAAGCATGGCTCCCAATCCTGTGCCTCTGCCTGAGATGGTGGTGAGGCCGGCCCTGGGCCTCGGTTTAATCATTTGCTAATCACAGTGAATAATTCAGGTTCTCTTAACCTCCCAGGACTACTGAGAGAAACACATGGAAAAGTGAAAAATGCGTAATCCAGACCCAGGGCCAGCTTGGCCCCCAACCAAGGCATTTCTCCTCTGCCACCTGCTAAGCCCTGGGATCCACTGCCCTCTTTACTGGGATGACTGCCTTTGGCTGTTAAGGGCTGGCACTTGAGTCGCCTCCCCCTGAGGAGCTCCCAGCCCATCTGCTCCAGACAGGACTGGCACAGGCTCTCCCCTGTCGCTGCAGCCTCATGCCCCCGCCACCCCAAAGCTTATCATGTTCTTCTTTGCCTCCTTATCTGTCCTCCTGGGCAAGAATGAGGTCTAATTCAGGCCTGAATCCTTGGATTCAGCAAGAATTTTTAAACAAATGGATGCACAAATAGCTGGGTGAGAGCCAGTGAGCTGTGAGCAGAGCCCAGCTCAGGGAGGGGCAGTGGAGCCACACTCAGGGCTGGCAGGCCCTCACTGGGTGTGAAGATGCCCTGGGTTTCCAAGTTTCCAATCACGCTGGTGTTTAGCCAAGGGCGACCCCAAAAGAAGCCCCAGCCCTGAAGAAAGATGGGTCCTGAGGCCACACTCAACATCCCTGCCCTGCACTGGGCTCCTCTCTTGGGTATCCTCTTTCTAAGCAGCAACATCTGGCATGGACTGAAAGTTGAATTGTGAAAATGAAAATGCCTCTCTATTGGTTTTATGATCATCCCTTGTGTAAGTCACATTACGAGAGCTGCTTTTGGCGTGGTCTCTAATTCCTCACCACTTCTTTGTCTTGCATCCTGCTCCATGGCCTTCCTCCCAAGCCATTCTACCGATGACCCTGGCCTTGAACCCTCACATTGTCAAATCCACACTCCCCACTCCCTCAGCAGCATCACCCTGGGTGACGACACACGTAGCCTTCCTAAGGCCTTTGTGACCCCATTCTGTGTGGCTTACCCCTTCCTTCTCAGACTCGGTGAGACTTGTTCCATCTTCCCAAGGTTCCCGAACTCTGTGGGCCCTCGTCTTATCTCCCCGGCCAGCCCATCCATCACGTGACCTCCAGCACTGTGGCCTGTGTGTGCCAGGCCCTCCAAGGAGCTCAGGTACTACCTGATCCCATGACTTGGATGTCCAAGAAATCTCTCAAACTTGACGTGCCCCAAACTTAATCACTAATTTTTCCCTTGAAATCTGTTCTCTCCCAGTCTTTCTCAAGTCTGTGTGAGCCACCTCTGTCCACCCAGTTTCTCAATGATGAATCTTAGAAATTGTCCTGCTTCCTCTTATTCCCTCACTCTCTGCATCCAGCTCATCAGCAAGTCCCACTGGTTCTGCTTTCACATGTACCCCCAATCTGTCCACGTCTCCCTACTTATTGCCTGGGTCCCCCATGAGATGTAAGCTCCCTTAAGTGCAGGGACTTTGTTTTGCTCACTATTATGGATCGGACCCAGGACCTGGCCAAGTGCCCACTGCCAGTGAGTTCTAAGTTCCCCGTTGTTGAATGAATGACCGAGTTTCATTTCCTCTAGCAAGGAGCCCTGCAGAGTGGGACTGGGCCCCACTTCCTCTTGGGGTGAGTTATGTCTAAACTAAATGGTGCCCTTCCCTTCCCTTGCCTTCCCTGTCTCAGCACAGGGCACCCCACACCCAGGATTTCTTCTCAGCCCAGTCCCCTCCTTCCATACTCATCTCCTGTGTGGGTCACCTGCCTCTGGTTTCTCGGCTCTACCAGCTTTTTCCATCTCTGCTGACATTGCCCTGGTCCCCATGTGTCATTTCTCACCTGAATAGATTACTTTGCTTCTCTAATCCCCTCTCCACAAAGCAGGGTTTATGTGATCTTTTCAAAACTCAAATCGGATCACGTCACTTTCCTACTTAGAACTCTTCAATCTTCTCCTGAGGCCTGATGGTAAAATCCCACATCAGACACGGCACTGCTTACTGTGCTCTCAAGACACCCCCTGTGTCTCCCACCTCCACCCCTGCTTGGCTGGCTCACGTCAGTCTCACCTTGCTGGGCCCTCAGACCAGCTAGGGACCCACTGCTGCCCAGTCCCGGGGGAGCTGCTTCTCCGATGCCTGTGGCCGCGTTGAAGAGCTGTGCCTGTGATTTTGTTATTTGTTTGAGGTGCCGCCAGGCAGTCAGTCTCCTTGTATTCCAGTCCACGTAATTATCGATGCTTCCCAGGTTCTGCCCTTCAGCCTCGACCTCTCCCTGGGCCCTCGGCCTGGTTACCTGACTGTCCACTTGAGAGCTCAGCAGGGATGTCCAGCAGGTATCACAAATGGAACATTCCTGAACACCTGACTCCTGCTCCCTGCCCATGCCCAGCCACGTCTGCTCCTCCCACAGCCGGTGCCAGCCCAGGCACCCCAACATACCCCGTCCTCACACTTGTAGTCAGTTTTCACCTGCTGGTTCCACCTTTCAAACATACCCTGAGTCCCAGGGGCCTTCTAAGCACATTTGACACCCAGAGGTTATAACTTTTTCTTTTTCTTTTTTGTGAGATGGAGTCTTGCTCTGTTGCCAGGCTGGAGTGCAGTGGTGAGATCTTGGCTCACTGCAGCCTCGTCTCCCTCATTCAAGTGAGTCGCCTGCCTCAGCATCCCGAGTAGCTGGGATTACAGGCACCCACCACAACACCCAGCTAATTTTTGTATTTTTAGTAGAGACAGGGTTTCACCGTGTTGGCCAGGCTGGTCTCGAACTCCTGACCTCGTGATTTGCCCGCTTCCGCCTCCCAAAGTGTTGGGATTACAGGTGTGAGCCGACGCTCCCGGCCGGTTATAACTTTTTCTAACAACCCCTGTGCCATGGACTGAAGGCTTGTATCCTCCCGAAATTCATGTGTTGAATAACCCTAAGCCCCAAGTTGTTGGCATTAGGAGTGGGGCCTCTGGGTGAGATTAGGTCACGAGGGAGGAGCCCCGCTGTGGGATTCCTGCCTTTTAAAACAAGAAGAGATACCAGATTTCTCTCTCTTCTTTCTGCATGAAGCAAGGAAAGGTCAGGTGAGGACCCCGACCACGCTGCCACCTTCATCTCGGACTTCTGGCTTCCAGAGCACAAGGAGGGAGTGTTTGCTGTTTAAGCCATCCAGTCTATGGTACTTTGTTACAGCAGCCTAAACTGACCAAGACATCCCTCTTCTGTATGGCAGAATTATTATCAGTCATAGTCAAGAGATAAAACTTATAATCATGTCCAGAAAAAAAAATGCAGAGTGTAAAGTGTCTTAAATTGAACTTTGTATGTATAATCATGGCATGATAAAAGTGAATACTTTTTTTTTTTTTCTTTGAGATGGAGTTTCACTCTTGTTGCCCAGGCTGGAGTGCAGTGGCGCGATCTTGGCTCACTGCAACCTCCGCCTCCCGGGTTCAAGCAATTCTCCTGCCTCTGCCTCCCAGGTAGCTGGGACTACAGGTGCCTGCCACCACACCTGGCTAATTTTTGTATTTTTAGTAGAGACGGGGTTTCACCATGTTGGCCAGGATAGTCTCAATCTTTTGACCTCGTGATCCGCCTGCCTCCGCCTCCCAAAGTGCTGGGATTACAGGCGTGAGCCACCGCGCCCGGCATTTTCATTTTTAAAGATAGTATTTAAAATCAGTAATATTTCATGTATGAACTAATATGTATATTTGTCAAACAAAAAATGTTATACCTTGAAGTTCACAGTTTTATCACTTTACATATTTTAAACACAAATAAACATCCCAAGTGGTCCCATAGACTGACAGAGTTGAAGTAACTGATGTTCTGTTTCCTCGTCTTTATTTTGTTTTCGGTTTTTTTTTTTTTTTTGAGACAGGGTCTTCCTCTGTTGTCCAGGCTGGAGTGCAGTGGTGCAGTCATAGCTCACTGCAGCCTCAAATTCCTAGGCTCAAGTGATTCTTCTACCTCAGCCTCCGCTACCATACCTGGATAATTTTTATTTTTATTTTTGCAGAGATGATGTCTTACTGTATTGCCCAGGCTGAATTCCCACCTCAGCCTCCCAAAGCGTTGAGATTATAGTCATGAACCACCGTGTCCGGCCTTCCCTTGTCTTCATAATTGTGCTGTTAATGTTTATTGTAAATGTCCCGTTTACTTGAAGGGGTTGGACACCTGATTTGGCCCATGGTGGCTGGTGTGATTCTGAAACCCGTGAACTTCGATGAGAGCTGGTGCCCATGTGGGACCACCCGAGCAGCTGGGAGCCCTCTGAATTAATGTGTATGTAGAACACAATGCTGACGAGAGGAAAAGTGACAGAGGTACAAGCTTGAGGTTCACACACGTGTTATTAGAACTCAACAGTGACTGCAGCAGTGGTAGAAATAAGATAAACAGAACAGTTTTTGCAGGAGTAGTATTTTATCAATGAATATATTATTGTCTGCACATGGTGATGTTATGAAGCCATCAACTTTTCATCAGTGTCATTGGTGGTGTTAAATTCACTGTGGGATGTGTACCCCTTACCGCCTTCACCTAGGCAGGCCGTCTCTGCACCCTCCCTCGGTGCCTGCCTGTGGGATCTGACCCCTTCTCACCATCTTCCCTGCTGCCGCGATGGCCCCAGCCCCCACGATGCCTCCCCGGGATTCCTGTCATTGTCACTGTAGTGGGATGAATTGTGATTCCCCTCCAAACATTCATATGGTGAAGTCTGCACCCCAGGACCTCAGAATGTGACTGTATTTGGAGATAGGGGCTTTTTTTTGTGTGTGATCACAAAGAGGCCACATTTTTTTTAATTGACAACTCAATCTCTACATACATACAGTACTGCACGAATTATAAGTGGATCAACAATTATATTATTGATACAAACTCATGAGCATTTACATAAAACTACCACTCTAGGTTTTGGTGTGTTTTGTGCCAGCTACTTTAGTGAATAAACGAAACATAAAGGAACTCAGCTACTTGAATTCATGAGAATTAGCTTTCAGAAAAAGCATATATATCATCTCATAGAATACTTATTATGTCAAACCCAGGAAAATCAGTAACTAAGTGACAAAAGGAACACTTTTAAGGAAAAGTTGGTGATAAATATGTTAGGCTAAAATACTAAGAACTTTAGCAACTGGACCAAGGAACCAGAAAGTGTATGCACACTGGGAATTTTAACAAAAGATCCCCACATTCTCCTGTACAGTGAGGACCACATTCCAAAAGCATATCTGGGTTGCTACAATGTCGTCTCTGCTACAAACCATTGTTTCAAAGGTGAAAGAAACAAGATGGTAATTCACATATAAAGGTTTTAAAATTCTTCCCACTCAAAATAAAATAAAAATAATATAATCTCTATCAAATTATAAAGAAATTCTATCAAAATGTTGACCACATAAAGAAGTCAGACCATTTGCCTTCACTGACTGCCTCAGAGGGCAGAACATGTGTCACCTACAAGGAAGGGGAGAGGGGGGTAGAGTCCCTACTCTCCCCCGGCCTGTGGAGTCAGGGTAGAGAGGAGCCCTTTGGCTTCCCTGGGGTTTTGCTTCCTCACATAGGGAATTGAGGGAGGTGGGCTAGATGGCTTTAAGAGACTCCTCAACTAAAAGAATCAAAGTCAGCTTGAGATCCCATCTCTGAACAGACATATAGGGTGGCAAAAGAAATGGATTAAAAAAAAGGTGGATGACGTCTTTCTCACCTTTTGATACCATCACTCAGAACTAATCTGTACTATAGTTGAAGAAAATCTTTGCCTGGTATTATTAAAGGGTATGCAGTGAGGCAGCTGAAAATGAAATTTTTCATAAAAATGTATAAAAAGGCTGTGTTAAGTTTGGGTGGAAAAACAATGCACCGCCACATTACTACCAGCAGTCAGGATGTCCTGTCTTGGATTTTAGGCGTCGCCGATCTGGTTGGGAGAAATGCTGAGGGATGTTCAAGCCATTCAATAGCGATCTAAGGAGTGCACACAGTTGAGGAAATGGATAAACAAGTGCCCAGGAAGGCAACTTTAATGAAACTGGTTCTAAAATAAAGGATGCAAGAGACCTAAATGATCCAAAGAGAGTGATGGCTTCTCATTTTCTGTCCCCTATAGAGAATATAAATATCATTTCTTCTAGAATCCAATACACTGGCTTCATTTTCAAGATGTATCACTTTATTTTCCAGCACGTGACAGTCACATGATTTCTGCATTGAACCCCAAAGCTTCCACCAGCTTTCCTGGAACCTACGGCCAGAAGAGTCCTGAGATTTCAAATATTAAAGCTTTCTCCACAGCCACAAGTCCCTTTGATGTTTGGGTTACTGAACACAAACTCACTGGATAATTTGTCTTCAACATAGCACATTTCTGTTCCTCAAAGTGTTAGCTGTGCTTTCTTTTCGATGAGCACTCTGACTCCATCTTGAATAACTTCTTCTTCAGAATCTCCTTTTGTCTTTGTATATTCTAGAGTATAAGAAAGGCCATTACAGCCCCTGGTTCGGACACCAACTTTTACACCTACATGCTCAGGCTTATCTTTAAGAAGTTGTTTTATCTTGTTTACTGCTGAAGGTGTCAGGGTGAGGGCTGCCCGGGTGGGCTGCAGCTTCCTCTTGCTCACAGCCTGGACAGTTGCCCGGACTAAGGAAGCCGACATCTTCGCCGTCCCGATGCCCCGGTGCCTCGGGCCGGAGGTCGGCCGCCTCAGCCTCTCTCCATGGACACGGCGGGCGCATTGGAGATAGGGGCTTTAAAGAGGGGATTAAAGTAAACAAGACCACATGGGCGGGGCCCCTATCCAAGGTGACTGGTGTCCTTCTGAGAAGAAGAGATGAGGACACAGATACCCAGAGGGAAGGCCATGTGAGGATACGGGACAAGATGGCATCTCCACACCAAGCAGAGAGGCCTGGAAGGAAGCAGCCCAGCTGACACCTTGCTCTCTGGCTCTTAGGCTCCAGAACAGAATGACAGGAGTCTCTGTCAGCTGGTGGCATTTGCTGCGGGGTCCCGAGCTGGCCAGTGCATCACCTAGGAGGTTCCCCAGCCCCCCTTGCCTCCCACCAGTCCTTCCTCACCACAGCAGCACCATGCTTCTCTGCTCCAACCACATCCCGCTTCTGTGCAGACCCCTCCAGGGGTCCACAGAGCCCTGGCAGGAGCCACAGGCCCCACCTGCTCCACTCTGGCCGCTAGCCTGCTCCTGGGCCCCAGGCCTGTCATGCTCCTCAAACACCCAGGTCCTCCCATGGCTGGGCCTCTGTCCTTGCTGTTTCCTCAGCGGGAATGCCAGTTCCTTGGTGTCCACATGGCCAGCTCCCTCACAGACTTCTTTGTCTCCAAGCCACCCCTCAGTGAGGCCTTGGAGTTCACATCCTCTACCCAGCATGTCCCATGGCCCTGGCTGTCCCCTTCCTCCTTACTGCATTGAGTCTTGTTCTAACATGCTTTGTGAGCATCCTGTGTGTGCCACCAGATCTCAGCACCTGGACCAGGGCTGAGCACAGAGCAGAGCAGGGCATGGTGGGGGGCAGTGACTCTCCCGGGATGACTGAGGATGCCAGCCCTGCCCCACTCTTGAGGGTAGAGTGTCAGCCTGGGGCACATTAGCCTCCATTCCCAGGGCCTTGGAGCAGATTTACAAAGACAGCTAGATTGCAGAACTAGCTCCCCAAGGCCTGGCTCTTCCCATAGGAAATGAAATGGGATTTTGGAAAACAAAAGTGGAGAAACTTGAGGGGCTGTGGCAAGGATGTGGGGTTAGTGAAAGTTTCTAGAAGTTACCCCACCTGTGCAGACATCGGGACACAGGAGAAGATGGAATCTTCACGCCAAGCAGAGGCTGGAAGGAACCAGCCCAGTTGACACCTAGCTGGGATCAGCCAGGTATACCTGAAATCTCGACAGAAGAAGGGCTTTGGGTGGGAGAGGGGCAGGCCTAAGTCACTGCCCACTTCATCTTGGGGCACACAGGGCAGGGCAGAGCTGCCTTTGCTGAGTCACCAGGCACACTTCAACACTCCGGCCCCAGCCAGGCACCCAACAGGATTACATCAGCAGCCTCAGTTTCTTCCCCATCCCTGGCCTTTTCCTGTGAGTCCTCCTTATGGAGACCACACTCCTCCCGGGAGGGGCCTGGCCTTTAAGCCCAGGCCATGCTGAACTGCCAGTGGTCTGGATAGGCCCTTTGAAAAGGCAGGTACTTTCAAAGTGTCATTTCAGGGTTCCTGGGAAAGGCTTTGGAGTCAGACGAGTGGGGTCCTTCTGCAGGTGAAGACAGGCAAGTTATTTCCTTCTGAGCCTCAGCTGTCACCTGAGGAGGGGCACACTGGCCTGGCAGGTACAGGGGAGGGTCAAGGATGGTGTACGGGAAACTCCCGTCCTGTGGTCTGTGCTGAGTCAATCTGGGGATAGCACTGTCTACAAAAACAGCGGCAATAGCAGCGATGACAAACAGGAGGCAAGTGGGCGTCTCCAGGCCTGGGGACCTGGCTGCCGGAGACCGGATGACTGGAAAGACCACAGGCACCTGGCACAGCCACCTCCTCCTTCCTGACAGCTGTTGTGCCTGACGCCTCAAGGCCAGTGACAGTGCTGGGGCTCTGAGGTCCCCAAGTGACAGGGCTGCTCGCTGACCACAGGGTCATTTCCCCTTAAGGACCTGAATACAGCCCAGCCCTAGTCAGCCTCATGAAGGGAGAGAGGACCCTCCTCTCTCCTGGCTCTCCCCTCCCCAGGAAGCAACCACCTTCCTCTGGGGGCAAAGGACCTTCATTTCACAGGCAGCCTGTCTATGTCCAACAGAGCTTGTGGTCAAAGCGCCTTTCATGAAGGCTGCCATGTGTGTTCAATGTGTCTAGGGCTGCAGGTCTAGGGACTCCTTTTATTAACTTCAGAGCCTGACTGATGGGACAGAGAAGGCCACAATTCCCTTTGGGAATCAAATTCCATTAGAAGTGAAGAGATTCTCTCTTGCTGGTGATGGGGTGCTCATAAGAATGGGGGGTCTCAAAGGAGAACTCTAATAGTTCTGAGGTCCCCTTGGCTGATACTTGAAGATGACAATGGCCTGTCCCTGAGGAGCCTGGAGAGACATCAGATCCAGGCCATGGTGATGCAGTGAAGCCCTCCGGGGTTGGGCCCTTGGAGGGCCATGTGGGTGACAAGCATCTCAGCCCGCCTGTCCCAGGTTTAGCTCTGAAGTTCCGTCACCCTAGCATGGTCTGGCCCCTGCAGCTCTGCACAATTGTCCACAACATCTGGCCAACACGATAGCTACAGTCATGAACATCCCTTCTGCCCTGGCTATGGGTCCATCCCCCTCTGCTCCCACTTTTGATCTTCCTGATGAGATCAGGGTAAGGACTCCAGGGGTGGTGTCAATTAGGCCCACGGTCAGGCCCTTGGTGCCCCCTGACCCTGGAGTGCTGCAGAGGGAGAAGGGGAGGGTGTGTGTCTCAGGATTTAATGGCTTCTAATAGACCAGAAAGCAGCAGTGCAGCCTCCAGGGAGAGGAGGTCCTCTGCCAAGGGCTTGGAGCATTTGCACAGGAAGTTATTCTAGATTCCTGGGGGAAAAAGTTGTCATTGAATGATGCCTGGATTAAGGAACTATTTAGTACACTTCTTTGAATCCTAGGTCTATCATTGTGTGTAAAGCTCAGCTTGATGCTCCTCCTAAATGGGGTTTAATGCTATGTGTGTTCTCGTGGAATGCAGCTTTTTCCCTAATAAGATGCTTCCCAGATCACCCATACCATCGTCTGTCCCTTTGGTGCAGTTGTGCTGACTGAAGTGTGGAATTCCGCCTTGTGAATGAGCCGCATTCTCTTCTGTGTGGTACCTGGGGTGTCTCCACAGTTTTGTTCTGTGAATGCTGCCATGAACATTGTTGTCCACGCATGCTGGTACACATGTGCCAGAGTTTCTCTCAGATATATATCTAGGGGTGGTGCTGCTGGGCCTTAGGGTATGTGACTGGTCCACATTGATACGCCAATTATTTTCCAACGTAGCTGTACCCGTGTGCCCTCCCACCAGCAGAGCGGCTGTGGTCCACACCTGCATCCTCTCTCTCTAGCACAACCTCTCTTTAGACCCTTCAGTTTCTGCCAAATGAGTGTAAAATGGAATTTCACTGGGGCCTTGATTTGCCTTTCTCTGATCACTAATGAGGAACGACATCTTTTCTCATGTGTATTTCTTCTGTGAAATGCCTGTTTGTGTGTTTTGTTCATTTTTCTTGAGTTTTTTTTTTTTAATATGGATTTGCAGCAGTTTTTTATTGATGCCCTCTTCAATCACCTTTTCATCTCTGTACTTTAGTTTTGTGCCTGGTTTTTGTTCAACTTGATTTAGGGACTCCTCATTGAGCTGGGGGAGAAGTTTGCCCTCCAGCTTCCAGCTGGAGGAGCCGCACAGGGTGTACGTAGTGTGAGCCCAGGGAGGTGTGTCTGGGCTGGCACCTGAAACTTCTCCACCTCCTCAGATGCTACAGTGAGTGAGGGAGGTGAGCGAGGGAGCGCCCTCTGTGAGTTCACCAGCGCGGAGACTGAGCACCCAGTGCAGACATCTACCTCCCTGCCGCAGTGTGTGAGGGGTGGGACTCTTATTTTTTTTACAAAAACATTTTAATAACTTACAGGTGAAAACTTCAAAAAAAATCATACTCAGCTAAACAAATATTTTATCAAAGTTACATGTCTATGAGATTGAAGGTGTGGAAAAGCCCCACAGGACTCGCTAGGCAAGGCGGCTGTCCCTTGTCCCACCTTGCAGTTTCTGGGTCCCTGGAGGACTCCAGCCTCAGCTGTTCTTTTGATGGTGTGTTCATAGCTCTAAGTAAAATGCTTGCATGGCTAACTTTGACTTTCCAGTTTCTGGTGTTTCCCTTTTACTCCCCTCCCTGGAAGGTGGGAAAGTAGGCAATACCACACACAGATTCCCCACACTTCCAATCCCCCTTTGTCAACAACACAGTTACATCCTAATTCTGGGCCGCTTGAGAATACTATCGTTCCCACACTCCTAGGAAAAGACCCATTATTCAATAGCCATGGCAACAAGCAGCAGCAGAACCGGTTTAAAACTCTTTCAAAAGCCTTAGGAAACATGTTTTGTAGCCAACCAATCAGTGTCAGCCCCTCACTGAAACTCAGTCAATCAGGGAATGAACTACTTGACTAAACCCAGGAGTGCCAGCCAATCAACCACAGTCTCTTTCACCCAATAACCTTCAAGGGATGGGTCATGGCATCATCCCCGGCCTGGTGGTCCACTAATTCCTGCATTCCCAGCTCTGCTTCCTCTGGGAGGCTGCCTGAGCAGCAGTGCTTTCCCTTGCTTGAGATGGCAGTAAGTTGAGCTCTGCTTTTTATTTTGGAGTTGAGGGTGGTCCCATCATCCTTGACAAGATTAACACCCAGTGTTTATACTGTGACTTTGTGACTATGTTAGGGCCTTTCACAGCCAAGCCCATTCCTGCATAACTTTTTTGTTTTACCTGCAGTTGATGATTGCTTTCTATTTTTCACTTACTTCATTTTCTTTTTCTTGCATAACGTTTTTGTTTTGTCCAGAGTGAATAATCATCTGTATTTTACATTTATCTTTTTTGTCCTTGTCCTTAACTGATCCCCAAACTCCTCTCCTATTGCCGGTGCCCCTTCCTGTTGGTGTACATTTCCTCTCATGGTGTTCCAGTACATTAGCTGTTCCATCCATTTCATTTTCCTGCAAAGTCTCCCTGGGAGCCCGTGACCTCCCAGCTGTCCTGGCCGTTCTGGCCCTGCTGCTCAGCCATCATGGAGTCTACTTTCATTGCTGGACTGGAGACTGTCCTCAGCTTTCCGTCCCATTGGACCTCTGTTTCCTGCAGCCCTGGCAGGATGATGCCAGCCTTGATTATGTCATGCCCTTGATTTGGAAAAGCTCATTTCCTGAAGGGCTGGAAGGAAGGGTGAACGGGAGGGCAATCCGAGGGCCTGCATGTCTGAAAACGTCAGACTTGTTTGGCTGGTGGTATAAGCTGAATTGTGTCCCCCTGCCTCCCAAGCTTGCATGTTGAAGTCCTAACCCCAGTGCTTCCGAATGTGACTGTATTTAGAGATGGGGACTTTGAAGAGGTAATTAAGGTAAGATGAGGCTATTATGGTGGGACCTAATCTTGTCTAACTGGTGTCCTTATATGAAGAGAAGATCAGGACACAGGCCATATAGAGGGATGATCTCATGGGGACACAGGGAGAAGGTGGCCCTCTACAAGCCAAGGAGAGAGGCTTCAGGAGAAAGCAAACCTGCCAACACCTCAATCTTAGATGTCCATCCTCCAGAATTGTGAGAAAATAAATCTCTGTTTAAGCCAGTCTGCAATACTTTGTTACAGCAGCCCTGGCAAACTTATACAGCGGTATAGAATTCTCTGATCAAAATGATTTTTCTATAGAATTTTGAAGATATTGCCATATGTATAGATATAGGTTTTTTTAAAACAGATTTTAGAATTACTAACAAGACTCTCTGGCATTGTGATTCCTGGATTATTACATCTAACCCAGGTCAACTTATTTTTATGTCTCTCCTGAAAGCTTATAGGATTTTCTGTTTGTCCTCAGTGCTCTGAAGTTTGAAATGTGGCTGGGCATAGTGGCTTACATCTGTAATCCCAGCACTTAGGGAGGCTGAGGCAGGAGGATCACTTGAGCCCAGAAGTTTGAGATCAGTCCAGGCAACATAGCAAGACCCTGTCTTTACAAAAAATCAAAACATAAGCGAGGCATGGTGTCTAGCCCTTTGTAGTCCCAGCTACACAGGAGGCTGAGGCAGGAGGATTATTTGAGCCCAGGAGTTCAAGGCCTCAGGGAGCCATGATCATGCCACTGCACTCCAGTGTGGGTGACAGAGTGATACCCTATCTCAAAAAAAAAAATTGAAATGTAATGATGTCAATCTCTTCTATCCCAAGTATTTTCAGTTTAAGTTTACTGCCTCCCACCCCAACCACCAAACTTTTCTCCCCTGGCTCAGTCCAGGCTGTGGAGAACCGTGTCTCTGGGAAACCGAGGCAGGGCTTCAGAGCTGGCAGGAGAGAGCCAGGGGGCCTCTCTTGCTAAGTGTGTCTGGCCCAGGCTGGGTGATTGCTGTCTCCCACTGGCATCTGATGGGACATCCAGGTCCTGCCTTGGTCTGTGGCGCCTGGCACTTGACACATACTCTGTGTCCTCTCTGCATGGGACCCTGAGGCCACACGTGTGCACCTGGCCATGCTGTTGCTTCTCTAGGCACAAGGCACTGAGGAGGCTGACTCAGGCCTTCTCTGTTGCCTCCTGGGGTCTCTACAGGAAATGTTCTCACAGCTCTGGGGGTGCCCTGAGCTTGTCTGGTGGTTGAGTCATGCCTACTTTTGCAGCTGAGCTGGGGCGGAGGGCTGAGGGACAGGAGGTCTTCAGTGACACCAGCTCTGTGGCTCCCAACCCCGCCCTCCTCCGCCCTAGCCCCGGGATCCCATCTGCTCTCTGTTGGGGAAAGAGCAGGTAAGGTGGTACCTTCTGTTCCATGGCTCATGTGGGAACCCTGTCTCTTGCTGGTCAGACCCCTCTTCTCCTGGGGTGGCATCTGTGCCCTGGGCTCAGGCATCTCTGGGACTCTACAGGAGGCTGCTGCATGGGCTGTCTGCCTCCTGCCTGCTCCTGGATGGCCTCAGCTCCTGGAGCTGCCCTCGTGGCTCAGCCCTCCTGGCTCACTGTCTTCCCGTGACTTCTCTCCGGCGCTGCTGCTTCTCTGACCTGCCCCTGCCACCCTCCCTCTGGTTCTCCTGCTCCAGGCAGTGCTCCTTGGCTTCCTTCAGCCACCTGACTGGCCTCAGGGCCCTTGCACCACTTCCCTTGCCTGGACGCTGCCCCTGTCATTCAGGTCCTCTGTGTCTTCACCAGAGGGGCCGCTCCTCTTCATGTCTCGAGAGTCTGTCTTCCCTTACCTTTGTAAGTGTGCTTATGGAAGAACGCAGGATGCTGAGAGTGCTTGACCCTCTGTGCTTTACTTCACGAGTGGTTTCACAGCCCCAAACTTGGCTTCCAAGGGCAGGACCTCACTGCTCCGACGTGCAGCCTCCAGCCTGACTCCGTGACTTGTTTGGACGCGTGGCGCTTGGATTAGTGACTTTGAAGCAGAGCTTTGACTCATGCCACCACTTTCTCTCTTCTGCTGCGAAAATCCTTCCCTGGGAGCATGACCCACACCAAGCCCCTAGGCTGCACCGCTTCCCAGCCAGGAAACCCACGCACATGTGCACAGGAGGCAGTGGGGCAGCATTCCTTTGGCAGAGAGCAGCTCCCTGAGTTTGTGCTCATTCGATCTCTGGAAATCACTCTATGCCAGGAGCTTTCCTGTCTGCTCTAAACCTCTGAACCAGGAGAGCCCCTGTCACCCTGAGCTAGGCCCTGCCTCTGAGCTCAGAGGCTTATCCTGGGAGGAGATGATTCCTGGGCCTGCCCGATGTCCTCGCTGGATGCCTCATCTCCTGATCTCCCGTGTCTCTTCCCAGGCCTGCTCTCCACTTATGCCTCAACACAGGCATAGCTCAGTCACTCCACCTGTTTTGACACCCCTCACACCCGCCCCAAGCCCCATGCATCCTCACTGGTGGCTCCTCCTCTGCCCAGACTCCATTCTCCCTTTCCTGAAGTTAGGCTCAGACCCTGGGTGCAGAGTAGGGGTCACGCTCACACATGATGTAATTTGTGGGAGATGAAAAAACAACTGTCTCTACAATGCATGCGATATAAATCAAGAAAAGCGGCAAAACCCTTAAATTCTTCATCATTTTCATGGGCCAAATAGAGATGAAAGCTGTCTAAGATTAAGGGTTTAACTGATTTTAAAAATTTTGCAGCCGGGCGCGGTGGCTCACTCCTGTAATCCCAGCATTTTGGGAGGCCGAGGCAGGCAGATCACGAGGTCAGGAGATGGAGACCATCCTGGCTAACGCGGTGAAACCCTGTCTGTACTAAAAATACAAAAAATTAGCCAGGCGTGGTGACGGGCGCCTGTAGTCCCAGCTACTTGGGAGGCTGAGGCAGGAGAATGGCGTGAACCCGGGAGGCAGAGCTTGCAGTGAGCCAAGATCTCGCCACTGCACTCCAGCCTGGGCAAAAGAGCGAGACTCTGTCTCAAAACAAAACACACACACACACACACACACACACACGCACACACACACAAAACCAAAAAAAACACTTTGCTGGCCTTCTCTGCTAATTTGTTCGTGTGCTGCTCTGCCTGGGAGAGCAGGTGATTAGCAAAGCGACCCCACTGCTCTAGGCCGTGCCCAGGACAATCCCACCGACCCCTCATCCTCTCGCCCCACCCGGCTGGCCATGAAGAATTCCAAGAGGGCAGCAGAGTGCCCAGATTGCACTGCAGCCCTCAGACCTTGGCCACCCCATGTGCTCAGTTGGGCTTTTGTTCACCAGTACCTGAGGACTTGCCCTGGAGCCACACTGGCTGCTCTGTCCTCTGTGTAGGACCCACAAGAATACCGGAAATTAACATTCCTCAAAGCTGTCCTCAACCAAGGACACTCAGGAGTTTGTGTGCAAATCTGCCAGCTCCCTCTCTGGGCAGGGATGACTCTGAGGTGTGTGTTCTGCATGTTCCCCAGAGTTTTCCTATGGAATGAAGGCTGCCTGAGCTGGTAAATGGTTATCAGCTGGCTCTCTGCGGGGAGGAACCTGACTTGTAGTGTTCACTGACTGCTGTGGTCTAAAAACTCCCACCAAGGCCAATTTCAGCCACTCTTGTGACGTCACTGAAGGTGGAGCTGGGAGGAGATGCCTCCACCGTCAGCTCTTGCTGGCAGGTGCCTGCCTGCTCCAGCACTCCAGGGATCACGCTGTCCTCCATCTTTCCTGCCTTCTCTTTCCTGTCTTCCTCTACCTCCCTCCTGCTGGGATCCTTGCACCTCTCAAATAAACTACCTCCACTTGAATCCTCGCCTGGGGCCTGCTTCTGAAGGAGCACGCTCTGAGACAGTGAAAGGTCTAGAAGGGGCCGCAGAGATCATTCATTTTGTGGATGGGGAAGCCCCCGCCCAGAGAAGGGAAGCAACTTCCCAGGGTCCCAGCTGGGCTGCAACAGATGCAGCTTTGGAACTCCCGTTCCCTGACCACCAGGCCTGGGCTTGTCCTTGATTGCGCCTCCTCTACAGCTTTATGCCTGAAAGCCGTCCCAGCTGCATGGAGACTGGGGTCACATATGGCCAGAAGGCTGGGGAGAGCATTGTTCTCCGTGTCCGGGGGACAGGCCTTCTGCAAGTGAGGTGCTGAGGAGCCCTGCAGCCCTGGGTCCTGGCAGGACAGTGGGAGGGGAAGAGTGAGCTTGGGGTAAGGCAGCTAGGGTTCAGGATTCTCATTGGATCATTTCTAGGGTGAGCCCGGATACATCACTTTCATACCTGCAGCCCGCCCATCTATATACAGTAGTGGCAGTGATGCTGCCCAAAGAGCCTTCCTAGACCCCCACTTAGTGCCCAGCACATGCTGATCCTCAGGGAGTGGTGAGGATGAGAACGGTGAGGAGGATGCCAAAGAGATCAATCACAGAATATCCTCTAAGACTCGGCCTCATCATCTGCAAAATGGGAGTATTGCATATGTCAGCAGACCGGGCTGGCTGACAGGCACGGGTGAGCCAGTGTGAGTGAGCAGATGAAGGAGTGAAGTGGGGGCCTGCACTGCAGGCAACCAGGGGTCGCCACGACGCTGCCTTGTCCTGCGTCCTCTGGGGTCCAGGGCTCTTATGAGTCACTTTGGAGGCAAAAAACATCCCATCACATTTGTGGTCCTGAGCACTCAACCCCCTGGCTCCTCTCATGAGAAATGGGTCAACCACAGAGCTGCCATGGCTAGAAGTGGGTGCCAGGCTGTGGGCTGATCATTGTATGGAAAATGCAGATCATTGCTTTGCCAGAATAAAGGGGGCAGGGTGTGGGGTGGGGGGTTAAATTGGATCTTTGTCCTGCACATTTGGAGATAATAAAACTATATATTTAGAAAGTATATTTATGTGGCCGGGTGCGGCGGCTCATGCCTGTAATCCCAGTACTTTGGGAGGCTGAGGCGGGTGGATCACCTGAGGTCGGGAGTTCAAGATCAGCCTGACCAACATGGAGAAACCCCATCTCTACTAAATACAAAATTAGCCGGGTGTGGTGGTGCATGCCTATAATCCCAGCTACTTGGGAGACTGAGGCAGGAGAATCGCTTGAACCCAGGAGGCAGAGGTTGTGGTGAGCCAAGATCATGCCATTGCACTCCAGCCTGGGCAACAAGAGCAAAACTCTGTCATAAAAAAAAAAAAAAGAAAAGAAAAAGAAAGTATATTTATGCAATTCCTCATGGCAAATTTCCCTTTGTTCTTCTATTTCCTGGTGAAATAAATTACACAATGATTGGTTAACTGGAACATTTAAACTTTTATTGAGGATAATTATCAAATGTTTGCCATTGGAATTAGCAGGAATTAAAAACAAAATCAAATGGAACATTTGCAGCATTTTGAGCTTAGGCTGTTCTGGACAGGGAGGCAAGCGTTCTGTGCTGAGGTGAGAAGGGGTCAAGCTTCCTTGTCCCCAAGGACTCTCCCATTGCAGAAGGCTGTCCCGGGTTCCAAGGACTCTGTGCCCAGGCCGCCAGGGGTCTGAGGGGCAGCCCAGTGTGGGGAGTGGGCAGATTTGGGTCCATACCCTGCGGGGCCTGTGTGACTTGAGCCTGTCTGCTTCTGCTGCATTTCTGTCCCATGGTTGTCACACCCACCCTGGATGGTGATGAGGATGCAGGATCCACAGGGGAAAGCTCAAAGTCCAGTGCCTGACCCTGGCACAGGGTGGGCATGGGGCACTCACTAGTTCCCTTCTCTTCCTGTCTCACCACCCACTGTTTTTATTGAGCAGCTGTTGTGTGCACATTTGTTATAGGCCTGGTCCCTGGTCCCCAGGGACTCTGATTTCTCCTGGGCCCCTTTGAAAAAGAGTGTGAGGTAATGCTGACAGTAACCCACCTGCAGGAGTGGGTCCTACCCGTTGGCCACCATTCCAAGTGTCCATACGATAACTTTATCCAGCCTTACCAGGAGTCTTCTCCCCACTTTACAAGTGAGGAAATTGAGGCACGGAGAGATTAAGTAACCTACCTTAGGCTCCAAATCCGGAGTGGTAGAGCTAGGATTTGAACCCAGGGCCCACTGTCATAACTCCTGTGCTCTGCCTTATCCAACATGCATGGTCCTTACATGAACAGAAGAGAGCATGGGAAGGCTAAGGATACCTGGGAAGCCCTCCTGAGGCCGGGTGGATGGGGTTTAGGTTGGCCGTGGGGCTGACTTTGGAGGGTGCTGTGGCATTTTTCACAAAAATAGAAAAACCAAATCTAAAATTCATAGGAAACCATCAAAGACCCAAAATCGCCAAGACAATCTTGAGCAAGAAGAATGAAGCTGGAGGCATGATGCTTCCTGGTTTAGAAGTATACTACAGAGCAATAGTAATCAAAGGAGTGTGGTAGTGCTGTAAAAACAGATATAGAGACCAGTAGAACAGAATAGAGAGCGCAGGAGTAAATCCATACATTTATAACAGACTGATCTTCAACAACGATGCCAAGAATGCACTGTGGTGTAAGGATTGTGTCTTCAGTAAACGGTGTTGGGGAAACTGGATATTCACATACACAGCAATGAAAGTGAAACTTTGTCTCAGCCTATGTACAAAAATCAACTCAAAATGGATTGAAAACTTAAACTTAAGACCTGAATCCATAAAACTGCTAGAAGCAAACAAAAAATCTTCTTGACATTGGTTTGGGTAGTGTTATTTTGAATACAACCTCCCAAAGCACAGGCAACTGAAGCAAAAATAGACAAATGGGATTGTCTATTTTTTTTTTATAGAAACTAAAAAGCTTCTGTACAGCAAAGGAAAAAAAATCAACAGGGTAAAGAGACAACCTACAGTATGGGAGGATATATTTACAAACCATACATCCGATAAGGGGTTAATATGAAAAATATGTACAAACTCAAACACTCAATAATGAGAAGACAGTCTGATTAAAAATGGGCAAAGTGCTGGGAGTGGTGGCTCACACCTCTAATCCCAGCACTTTGGGAGGTCGAGGTTGGCAGATCACTTCAGGTCAGGAGTTCGAGACCAGCCTGGTCAACATGGGGAAACCCCATTTCTACTAAAAATACAAAAATTAGCCTCCAGCTATTTGGGAGGCTGAGGCTTGAGAACCGCTTGAACCTGGAAGGCGGAGGTTACAGTGAGCTGAGATCACGTCACTGCACTCCAGCCTGGGCAACAGAGTGAGACTGTTTCAAAACCAAAACCAAAACCAAACAAACAAAGAAAATGGGCAAATGACTTAAATTGACATTTTTTTCCAAAGGATACATACAAATGGCCAACAGGTACTTGAAAAGGGGCTCAATGTCACTAATCATCAGGGAAATGCAAATCAAAACCTCAATGAAATATCACCTCACACTGGTTAGAATGGCTAACTACAACAACTACAAAACCTCCAAAGATAACAAGTATTGGTGAGGATGTGGAGAAAAGGGAACCCTTGTTCACTGTTGATGGGAATGTAAATTGGCACAGCCACTAAGAGATATAATATGGAGGTACCTCAAAAAATTAAAAATGAAACTAATATATGATCTAGCAATTCTACTTCTGGGTATATAGCCAAATAAAATAAAGTTAGTTTCTCAAAGAGATATCTTCAGTCCTGTGTTCACTGCGGTATTTTCACAATAGCCAAGATATGAAATCAGCCTAAGCACATGTTACATATATAAGAGATATATATATATTTTTTTATTTATTTATGTACCTACACACCCCCCCATACACACACACACACACACACACACACACAGAATGGAATAATATTTATCCTTAGAAAGAAGAAATTCTGTCATTTGCAATAACATGGATGAACCAGGAGGACATTAAGTGAAATAAGTCAGGCACAGAAAGACAAACACTGCATGATTCGCTTAAATGCGGAATCTAAGAAAGTCAAACTCATAGAGGCAGAGAGGAGAATGGTTGTTTTCAGGGACTGGGGGATGGAGGGAACCAGAAGATGCTAGTCAAAGAGTATAAAGTTTCAGATATTCAGGATGTATAAGTTCTGGATGTCTCATGTATAGCATGGTAACTAAAGTTGATAATGCTGCATTTCATACTTGAAATTTGCTATGAGAGTAGATGTTAAATGTTTTCACTACAAAAAAAAGATAACTAAAAAAATTTTGCTGTGCCACAGAAACCAGAATAAAAAGAATAATTGCTGTATGTTTTAATTTATATACAGTTGTAGAAAACGCAAAGGAATTTATAGTGATAGAAATCTCAGTGGTTGCCTTGGGACTGGGAGGGGGTGAGAGCCAGGGGCATGTGGAAGATTTTGGGGACAATGGATGTGTTCATCATCTTGATTGTGATGGTGGTGTTTCACAGGGGTATAGTGAAGGATACCAAGATATTTCACCCCAAGATACATTTCTTTGGTGTATTTTGAGATGGCCATTCAGAGGGCCTGCAGACAGAAGTAGCCCTGCAAAGCTGTCTTTTGGGGGGAGATTTGCATCTGTGCAGAAAACCTGCACTGATGCAGCCGACTTTATTTGAGGTCTTCCTTTGTCCTGTCTAGGAATGGTTAACCAGGAGTCTGACACCCTTAAAGGCCACCCCTTAGAGGTGTTAAATAAACATTTAGCATCTGTTCTATCTGAGGGCTGCAGCCTGTGAGTTCTCATCTACACAACAAGACCACCTCTGGTAGCCAGGCCTCCTCTTCTCCCCCTTCCATTACCTGTTCTTGGCCATGGTTGGAGCCCCCATTCTTTCTGTAACCTCAAGATGGTATAAAAGCATCAGCATCAACCATGTGGCTGTTTCTTTGAGTTCTTGTATTTTGTGTGACTCCCATGCATGTTAATATATTTGTATGCCTTTTCTCCTATTAATATGCCATTTGTCAGTGGCTTTTCAGTGAACCTTCAGAGAGTGAAGAGGCAGTTTCTACTTGGCTTCTACAAAGGATATGTTAAACTTGTCACCAGACTTCCTAAATCCAGAGGCAATTACGTTTATAACCTTTCAGCTTCTTTTATTTTGCTAATATTTACACATCTCTCTCTTCCTCAATAATGTTCTTATACTGTTATACACACACATATTTGATCAGTTTAGGCTTTATCTGTAGACTTACTCTGGTGGACGTTGAGGATTTGATCTCTCTTACACCTGCACTCTTTTTCATCCACACCCTCCCTGTTTCCCTAGCATAGGAGTCCTTCCCTTATCAATGGCTTTGTGTCTGAGGTTTCATTTACTAGTGGTCAACCGTGGTCTGAACATATTCTGCTGCTACTCTGGTGCTTTAGGTTATTATTAAGTAAAATAAGGATTACTTGAAGGCAAGCACTGAAATACCACAACAGCCCATCTGATAAGCAAGATGGCTACTAAGTGACTTAATGGGTGGGCAGTGTCTGCAGCATGGACGTGCTGGGCATAGGGAGGATTCACATCCTGGGCGCTACTCAGAATGCTGTGCAACTTAAAACTCACACATTGTTTACCTCTGGGATTTTCCATTTATGTGACAATGCCTATGTCATTCACCTCACTTCATCTCATCATGTAGGCGTTTTATCATCTCACATGATCACAAGAAGGGTTAGCATACTGCAGGAAGCTATTTGGAGGGAGAGAGAAGGAGAGCACATTCACATAACTTTCATCACAGTCGATTGTTATGACTTTTCTATTTTATCACCAGTTATTGTTGTTGATGAAGAAAAGTGACTCAGAGCAGTCTAAAGAATGTAAGGTCTGCCGGGCGCGGTGGCTCACGCCTGTAATCCCAGCACTTAGGGAGGCTGAGGTGGGTGGATCACCTGAGGTCAGGAGTTCAAGACCAGCCTGGCCAACATGGTGAAACCCCATCTCTACTAAAAATACAAAAATTAGCTGGGTGCAATAGCACACGCCTGTAATCCCAGCTACTCAGGAGGCTGAGGAAGGAGAATCGCTTGAACCCGGGAGGCGGAGGTTGCAGTGAGCCGAGATCACGCCACTACACTCCAGCCTGGGTGACACAGCAAGACTCAGTCTCAAAAAGAAAAAAAAAAAAAGAATGTAAGGTCTGCAAAACTGATCAGGCCCAAGGAGGCATGAGCATGAGATTTCAGTCACAACCCCTGCACCCAAGCCCAAGGTTAATTGTTTAAAGTCATTACAGTTTCTTTGTTTTCTTCCCTGCAGTTTCCAGACTGGCTGGTAAATTACCGAAAATGTTACCAGTTGCACAATGTAGCCCTCGCCCATTATCTTCATGTTCCTGGAATTTGTGATACAAAAAGTAGCACATAGCCAATCAATAGGTTAGGTCAACTAAAGAACTGCCTGCCCCGTCTTTTTTCCTTTAAAACCCCACTTGTAACTGCTGCTCTCAGAGCATATATTCAGGGAAACTTGAGTCTATGTCCCCTGGGTTGCAGTCCTCAAACTTGTCCCAAATGAACCCTCTACCCATATTAATTTTGTCTCAGTTTCTTCCTTTGGGTTGACATTTCAGAGTGATGCTCCCTTGCCACTGGGCTCTCTTGGATGTGGCACTCAGTGCCAGGATGAACCTATTGAGTTCCTTCGACTCCAGAGGTTTCCCTGGGTACAAAGAGTGAGTCCTCTTGAATTCAGACCTCACTTCCTTTAAGTTGAGGTCTAGATTTTGTTTTCAAATCCTCTCTTTCTTTTAAAAGTGAGGGCTTTCATCTCTGTCTCTGGACAGGAGATTTGGTTAAAGAGCTCTACAGAGAACTTCTGGCTTTTCTGCCTCTACTTCATGGCAAAATATTTGGGTTACAGCATTGGTAGTCTAGTGTAAGTTGTTTCATTTTATTTTTTGGCCTAAAATTACATAGCACCCTTTAAAAATTGCAGCTGCTTCCTATTATTTGTAATTTGGACTTGTATTTCAATTTAATCCATTCCTGCTGGTTTTAAACTGAAAAGAACATGTAAGTGAGTTCTCCCACCCAAAAGTTAAGAGACACTCCCTCCCTCCATACCGACTGGGGACTCTAGGTGACTAGAGACTTTATGGAGGTGTTGAAATGTTCGTCCATGATACGTAGCAGCCTTATAGGACCTCCCTTCAAGAAAAATATCTGCAGGGATTTTTGGCTTAGCCAGAAGGTGCACATAAGGGCTGGTCACCTGGCACCTTGAGTGCTCTGCTGCCGAAAAGTGATGAGAGATTCCGAGACATGTAAAAGAGTGAATCCATCCTGGCTAACACGGTGAGACCCCATCTCTACTAAAAATACAAAAAAATTAGTTGGGCATGGTAGCATGTGCCTATAGTCCTAGCTGCTCAGGAGGCTGAGGCAGGAGAATTGCTTGAACGCGGGAGGCAGAAGTTGCAGTGAGCTGAGATCGCACCACTGCACTCCAGCCTGGAGAGAGAGCAAGACTCTGTCTCAAAAACAAAAAACAAAAGAATGAGTCATGACTCACTGATGACTCTTTGAGGAATGGCACTCACAGAGCAGCACACTTCAGCCTACTACATCGTTCCAGCCTTGGTCACTTTTGAAAGGGAATTTCTAAAATGGTGGGAAACTGATTGTCAAAGCTGAGCTTTCCCTTAAGGATCATCCCCCGGCCCTCGGAAATACCCGCTGTATTTGTGTATAACACCCGTGGAGCTCCACCTTGGACTTACACAACTCAAGATCATCCCAAGTAGCAATGGCCAAATTGGGGGTCTTTTGAAATTTCTAAATTAATATATTTGCACACACAATGGGAAAATGCAGGTTTTAGAACCAGACAAATGAATAGAAAGCCTACTTTCTGATTGCCCTGAGTGAAATCTGGTAATAAGAGATTTGAAAGGATTTTTTAATGAGCTGTATGGTCAGAGTAGGCTTAATTAAAAGCTGATTTTCAAACTATAATTTTTTCCTGTCTTCCTTTTCTCTTTTGGATACTGTTTCTGGGAATTGTTTTTTAGTTGACAGAATCCGCTTTTCAAATATGTCTGGTCCCTCTGTTTGCTTCCTTTCTTGTTGGCATGATTTTTGCTGACGAAAATGTAAAACTTCATTGGCTTTTTATTTTATTTATTTATTTTGAGACAGAGTCTCGCCCTTGTCGCCCAGGCTGGAGGGCAGTGGCACGATCTTGGCTCACTGCAACCTCCACCTCCCGGGTTCCAGCGATTCTCCTGCCTCAGCCTCCCAAGTAGCTGGGATTACAGGTGCCCACCACCATGCCCAGTTAATTTTTGTATTTTTAGTAGAGACAGGGTTTCACCATGTTGGCCAGGCTGGTCTTGAACCCCTGACCTTAGGTGATTTGCCCGTCTTCGCCTCCCAACATTGGTCTTTTAGAAACCTTAAAATCTCCCCAAATTGGCTCCGCTCCTCTAGGACTTGTTTTTCCTTCCATTTCTGCTCCTCCTTCCTTTTGCCATGTTAGATACCACGTGAAGAAATCTAGAGGAGACTTCCAACAGCCCTGGGCCCTCTTGAGGAACACAGGAAAAGGCACCACAGCCCCTTTGTGAGGCCTTTTACTTTCCTTGTGGAGTCCCAAGAGTAGCGGGTATGCCCCTCTCAGGGCTGAAACTCTGCTCTCTTTTGCATTGAGTTACCCGATCTCTTTGGCTTTGTAGGCACCAGGGGTTCCATTGTACTGTGAGAGGGAAGGTGACCTTTGTGTGTGTGACGGCTGGTGAGTCAGATGTGAGAGCTGCAGCTTTGGAGGTGGCCGCAGCAGTTGCAATGAGTGTATTTATTTCAGGGATGACTCGTTTCTTTGTGTGTTTAGATAAGAAAAGTGTGGTTTGGATACTTGCACGTGGTGGGAACACCCACCACCGAGGGATAGGATTCCCATGGGGGCTGGGCTGATGGCAGAGGGGGCTGGTTGCTGTTGGATTGCCCAGCAGTCTCTGGCGAATGTCTTGTAGTGAGGCGCTCTAAGAAAGTGTTGCAGGGCCTGGTCCCATCACGTTTTCCTCATTTGCGGAAAATGGGATTCAATGTAAAAGTGGGATCCTTGATTTCTGAAGATCTAGATGCTCTGCCTTTCAGCTGGGCCTGCTTTTCACATCTGTAAGTATTAGGCCCTGGAAGCTACAAATGCTTTGTGGGCTCTGTTCATTAATGAGCTCTGCCCTGAGCTCAGTGGCCCAGTTGGAAAACAAAGACCAAATTAGAAGCTACCTATCTAAATAAAATTGGGCTCCTTGTCAATCCTGTGGTGAATTCCTATGGTTTTGTGTTACTGTGGGATTTCTTCTTAATCTTTCTCTGACAAAACCAAAACCCTTCTTGAAAATGTAAATTCTTTCTCTGTGTTTCAAGATGTTAATTTGCTACCCTGTTTTCTCCAAAACCAGTAAGGGCTTCAGCCATGTGGGACAGATAAACTTTAATTTGTTCCATTTACAGAGGCACAGTTTAATCCAAGTGTCCTTTTAAACTAGTGAGTTTTACTTGTCTCATGGCTAAAATTTTAAAGTCCAAGCTGTAAAATTTTTGTGCCTATCTCTGTTTTTATGTTTACATGTGTACATGTCTGTGCGTATGTTGTCTGTGTGGTACCAAATTGACTTATAAGTGCATGAGTACTCACAAATTGCGTGCCCAAATGCTTTCAAGTTTACATGACTTTAGCAATCTTTGGTAAATAAAGCTAGCTTAAAAATTGTTGGTAAAACAAAATAGAAATGTCTTCAGAATTTTAGACATTTTTTTTGACCAAGTCTACTGGCGAACAAATACATACTGTCTCTGCTAGATGTTTTAAGGTCATAAAACTGTTGCTTCTGTGATACTTTTGATGCTTGTGTGATTTTTCTGTAAGCTAAAGCTGTGAGGGCAGGTGGCTGGGCTTCCTTGGAGTCTTGTGCACATCTTACTGTGAGCTTACATCTTTGGTGTTGAGCCTTTAGATTCTGCGGTCTAGGAGGTGGCCGTGGTGAGAACTGAAGTCTCATGGATGTTCACAGTGTCTAGGCCACCAGCTGTGGGGCAGAGCCAAGCCCAACACATCTTGCTGGCTTCTGCCTCCCAGTCATGCTGGGAGGGATCAGGTCCTGCAGGCATTGTCTTCACAGCTCTGTCCTCTGTCCTGGGCTCTGTACCTGATACATAACAATTAAAATTACTTACTTTCTTGGTTTTTCACCAGAAATTACGGTTGCCAAGAGTTAAGATTGTAGTTTATATATATAATTAAAACTATTAGATGTAAGAAAAACAATTCTATAAGCAGAATGTATATGAAAAGTAGGAGGCCGGGCGCGGTGGCTCACACCTGTAATCCCAGCACTTCAGGAGGCCGAGGGGGGCGGATCACAAGGTCAGGAGACCGAAACCATCCTGGCCAACATGGTGAAACCCTGTCTCTACTAAAAGCACAAAAATTAGCTGGGTGTGGTGGTGGGTGCCTGTAATCCCAGCTACTTGGGAGGCTGAAACAGGAGAATGGCTTGAATCCAGGAGGCAGAGGTTGCAGTGAGCTGAGATCGCGCCACTGCACTCCAGCCTGGCGACAGGGCAAGACTCTGTCTCAAAAAAACAAACAAACAAAAAACAGAAAAGTAGGATATGGTTTTGGCAAGGAAAATTATAAGAAAGACAGAAAATGATAAGATAGACAGAGAATGTGTTACTTTGTTAAATAAAAGGTATTTTTGCCTAGTTATTTAAAGGTTGCTTTAAATGGAAGATTTATGGAAATCTTATTTTGTGGTCAAAGCTGATTAGATAAATCTGTTTATGAGGTTTATTAAAATTAGGTTTAATATTAGTAATACACTAATACAAAGGTTGAATTTGTTTTTTCTTTTGAGTAAGATTCTTTTATAGTATTAATAAGAGATAGTAAAAGATTTTTGTTCACCTTTCGAGTAAACTGAAAACAAAAAGACCAAATTTCTTTGCCAATTGCATCTTTAACCAGGGCCACGTTAAGTTCTATTTTTTCTGGGGGAGGTTCTTTTGAGCTTCACAGCAACCTGGGAACCCATTTCAGTGACAAATCCTTCATCCTACTTGTCATTTATGGCCTATTTTTCAGCATTTCTGTTGTGCATGACACCCTCAGTCTTCCAGACTGGTGGGATGCACAAACGAGATGATAAAAATCAGTTGGCATGGGAGGCCAAGATGAGCAGACCACCTAAGGTCAGGAGTTCAAGATCAGCCTGGCCAACATGGTGAAACCCCGTCTCTACTAAAAATACAAACTTAGCCGGGCCTGGTTATGCACGCCTGTAATCCTAGCTATTCAGGAGGCTGAGGCAGGAGAATCACTGGAACCTGGGAGGTGGAGTTTGCAGTGAGCTGAGATCGCGCCACTGCACTCCAGCCTGGGAGACAGACAGAGACTCTGTCAAAAAAAAAAAATTAGTTGGCAAGGCTTACAGGGACTTTTAACGTTACCTGGCCTAAGGCTCTTCTGTTGGTGTCACTTAACTTACGTGCTACCCCATTTGGAAAGCATCAGCTTTCTGTCTTTGGGATAAGAGCAGGAAGACCCACCCACCTAGATGAAGGAGTGGAACTAGCTCTCCTTAAAGGTGATATTCTTCATGATTGCCAAGGCCTTATAAAGCTTCTCACTAAAACTTCTAAATTAATTAAGGATTATTTTAACAGCGAGCTCCCCAGAGACGAAGTCATCAAAGATCATGGCTTCCAATTTTATTCCAATTTTATTTATTGGAAACGCCATGAAATAAAGAACTCCTTCTAACCATATTGGAAGGGACCGTATCAGATATTGTTAATCAATCCTTGTGCAGCTTAATGGCATTGACTCACAGGTTCACATTCCTCATTTTAAAAGGGCAGCGCTGCCTAAGTGGACATCTTCCATCACTGAGATCTCCAACTGAAGCTGGCCCACAGCCAGGTGCCTTGTGCTTCAGAGCAGGATGAGAAGTGGAAACTTGGTTAGAAAAAATCACTCAAAGGGCAAGATGGCTGCAATACATTGGAAAAACAGACCCCTTACAGCATTTGACTGAGTACCTTCAGGAAAAGGAACACTTGCAGGTCTGGATTTCAAATGATTTTGTTAATATTTGTTCTTAGTTGCGTATTTTTGATCCTTAAATTGATCATGCCTTGTATTTCTAGATGTCTAAAGGCAACAACAAAAACTAAAATCATTATGGCTGGATGCTTAGAAATGATCCAACACACCACTGTTCCTTTGTATGCAATAGCCTGACTGAGATCTCACTGCTCTGTCCCGTTGTGTTGCCAGTCAACTTGGCCTTGAGAACTCACTAAGTTCTTAAGCCATAGTACCTCTCCCGTTTCCCTCTGACATGGGATGAAATTACTTGGGAATGAGCCTCCTCAGTGACATGGGACAAACTTACATTTAAAATGTTGGTCATCAATGCTTTTTGTTTGAGATGGAGTCTTGCTCTGTCACCAGGCTGGAGTGCAGTGGTGCTATCTCGGCTCACTGCAATCTCTGCCTCCTGGGTTTAAGCGATTCTCTTGCTTCAGCCTCCCGAGTAGCTGGGACTACAGGTGTGTGCCACCACACCCAGCTAATTTTTGTATTATTTGTAATTGTAATATTTGTAATTTTGCACCCATCACCAGGGCTAATTTTTAAAATGCATTTTGATTTTTTAGTAGAGATGGGGTTTCACCATGTTGGCTAGGATGGTCTTGAATTCTTGACCTTGTGATCTGCCCGCCTTGGCCTCTCAAAGTGCTGGGATTACAGGCATGAGCCACCACACCCAGACTTCATCAATGCTTTTATAAGAGAAAGATCTCAGTCAAAAGGGGAAAATGAGGAAGAAAAATGACTCAGAGCAGTCTGAAGAATGTGAGGTCTGCAAAACGTATCAGGCCCAGGGAGACATGAGCATGAGATTTTAGTCCTGCACCCTGCACCCATCCCCAGGGCTAATTTTTAAAATGCATTTTGATTTTTTTTCTTCCCTGTAGTTTCCAGACTAGCTGATAAATTATCTGTAATATTACCATAACTTGCACAATGTGACCTCCTATCACTGTCTTCATGTTCCTGGAATTTGTGATACAAAAAACAATGTGTAGCAATAGCCTTTGTTCAGCTTAGGAACTGCCCTTTCTTTTTCTCTTTAAAATCCCACTTGGAACTGCTGCCAGTTGGAGCATATATTCAGGGCAACTCGAATCTGTGTCTCCTGAGTTGCAGTCCCCAAACCTATTACAAAAAAAGTCTCTACTTATATTAACTTTACCTCAGTTTCTTCCTTTAGATTGGCATTGGTATTTTTTTTTTTTGTCTTTTTTCGACACTGAGTCTTGCTCTGTCACCCAGGCTGGAGTGCAGTGGCATGATCTCTGCTCACTGCAACCTCCACTTCCCGGGTTTAAGCGATTCTCCTGCCTCAGCCTACTGAGTAGCTGGGATTACAGGTGTGTGCCACCATGTCTGGCTAATTTTTGGTAATTTTAGTAGAGATGGGGTTTCACCATGTTGGCAGGCTGGTCTCGAACTCCTGACCTCAAGTGATCCATCTGCCTCAGCCTCCCAAAATGCTAGGATTACAGGCGTGAGCCACTGCGCCCAGCCCATGAGCCACTGTGCCTGGCCTAGGTTGACATTGTCAATCTCTTATTGTGCCTAATTTATAAATTAAAGTTTATCATAGGTATATATGTATACAAAAGAACAGAATGTGTAGGGTTCAGTATCATCTGCAGTTTCAGGCATCCACTGGGGGGTCTTGGAACGTATACCTGGTGGATAAGCTGGGACTACTATAGTTATTGCCATGTTTTCTCAATGAATTTTCTTATTTACAGATTATATAATATGCTGATGCAAATATTATTCAAAGCAGAGCCATATAATATACTATAGTTATATACGTATATTTCACTGAAATTAGTAACTGGCTTATCTTTATTTTTCATTTGCTTAGTTTTCTCTGTACTTATTCTTTTTATACTTTTCCATTACCTTTCTATGACAGTTTCCACAGGGTCAATTACATTGGGTGGTCTAATAGTCCTAAGTTATATCCTGGAGGTCTCCAGCCTCCTTCTTTCTGGGCTGATTATTCTCCAGGCCTGCTGTGTGACTCTCTTATGGCAAGTCCCTTTACTCCCATCCCTGGACTCCTTCTGGGATGGAGCCCCTGTATGCCAGACCCTGGGTCCCTCTTCCTTGATGTATTCCCTTGGTTGGATATCTCCTCTGTAGTTCCACTAAGGTTGATGGGGGTAGAATATCAGAAGCAGGTGATGGATGGCAGCCCTCATTGAGTCTGTCCTTTGAGCCACCCTAGTCCATTGTGGACCGGTTGCCCTTTGGCTTACAGGGTTGTCCTGTGGGGTCTTCCTTGTCCTTGGTCCTGGAGGTTCCCTTTATATTTCTCCCGTGAAGGGTCTCCTGTGTCCTGAATCCTGGGCCTGCCTGTTTCTTGGTTGGCGCATTTTCTCCAGTATCTTCTGAGAAAGGAAGCATGAGATAAATGTTTTAGGCTTTACTTATCTGAAGCTATCTTCATTCTGCTCTCACAGATGATAAATAGGTGCCTGGGCATGGAACTCTGGTGGGAAGTAATTATTCTCTAAGAAGGTATTGCTCCCTGGTTTTCTAGCTTCTGTGGGCTTCCGAGAAGTCCAAAGGCATTGCTAAGTCTTACTCCAATGTATGGGATCTGTTTTTCTTCTTGCTGAAAACTTGTGGAATCTGATTTTATCTCCGTGTTCTAACCTGTCTCAGTGAGGTGACTTAGGCTGGCTCTGTCTTCATCCATTTCTCTGGGTACTCAGCAGACCCCTCAGTCTGGGAATCTTCAGTGCAGGGTTTTTTCTTGTTTATTTGATTTCCTTTATTCTGTTTTCTCTGTTTTTTTTTTTCAGAAATTTTTTCCAGTTATTATTTGAATATGTACACTGTCTTGGGTCAGGTTCCCAGAAGGATACCCTTAGATGAGGTTTGTGTGCAGTGACTTTGAGGGCAATGGGTGAGGGAGTCGGGAAGCAGGGGAGGGAAGAGGTGAGATTTCAGGCAAAGTCCCATGGAAGGGCCTTCGGTTGGTCCAGCAGGGAACTGGAGTGTGAAAGCTGAAGCTGCAGTTCGGCGTCTTCCTGCCCTAAGGTAAGGGAGCTGGTTTTTACATTCCTGCAGCTGGCTGTTACTGCCTAAGGCCATCCAGGGGGATCTAGTCTCCCAGCACTTCTAGTCCCAGTGGATACAGGCCAAGTGGCTCTGGTGGCTGAAGAGGAGTCCTGCAGGAAGGTGCAGCTGCAGGGCTGAGAGCAGAGCACCCCAACGCTGGGAGACGGGAGGAAAAGTCGCAGAAAAAGAGGGCGGGCATCTGGATGGGTCAGTGAGGATGCTGGCTACACGGCCTCGCTTCACAGACGGGTCCTCTATTCAAAACACTGTTTTCTATCCTGCTGTCTAGCTCTTTGCTTTTTTCTCTCCTTTCTGTGAAATATCCTCAACTTTTTATTATGCCATTGCCTTTATCAATTTAAACTTTGTGTTATACAGTTTTTAATTTCCAGGAGCTCTCTTTTGTTTTCCGGACATTCTTTTTTAGAGCGCCCTTTCTTATTTCCTGGCTGCAATACTTTCTGTGTCTCTTAGAGGCTATGGCTAGCGGTTTTGTTTGCATCTCTCTTTCTGTGTGGGTTCCCCCCAGGTTGCTAGTTCTCTCTCTGTCATGATGGACGCTTTGCTCGGATATCTGATTCCTCTTGACCCAAGAGCAGGAGGGAAACCATTGGCTGGGAGCTGGGAGTGGGTAGGTGGGGCATGTGGAGCGATCGGGAGGGGAGAGGCTTTTACGGGGACCCCGGTGTCTTCACCTTTAGGTCTTGAGTTCCCTTCTCTTCTCTTACCTGAGGGGTAAAAGGTCTGGCTGCCCTGTTCTGAGAGCCAGGAAGGGGAAGCGTGCATGCAGACGGCGCATGGCCACGTGCAGGGAAGGGCTCTTGGTGCTCTCTGTGCCTATCTGCCTCACACTCTCTGCTTACCCATCTTCAGAGGGGAGCCTCCAGTCATCTCCAGGAGGTGGGGGGAGGGGAGGGTGGTGGTAAGGGCAGGGGCGCTTCCCTTGCTAGGTGCAGAATGGAAGGGGGGGGCTCTCGGGGGTCTCACTACTTCTCCAGCAGCCTCTAGATCTTATCTTCACCCCCTGGCCTTGGTTACAGCAGTTGCTGGTGCTGCGGGTTCTGGGCGATCTGAGGGGTCTGCAGGGTGAATCGCGCTGATTCTTTGGCTCCTTCACTGCTGACTCAGGAATTCCTTCTTTCATTTTACTTCCCACCTTTTCCTTTGCTATCGCATCTCTCCTGTTGTCTTTGTTTTTGTGGATTTATGGCTTTAAAAAAATTTCCTTACTGTGTTGTTTATTTTGGAGTGGGGCGTTGGGAGGAGGTAAAATCAGGGGTGCATGCTCAATTAGCCATCTGAAGCCAGGAGCCCGTTGTCTCCTTGTCCTTCAGAGGCCATGTAGTTCCTGGGGGAGCAAGTAGGGCAGTGTCCTGTGTCTGTGGAGTGGCAGAACTCAACTCAGCTGCTCCTGCTCTGTAAGCCAAGCAGGTGTGGACACCCGCTGGGCCTATGGGACCCATGAAAGTGCGTGGACCCGGATCCTGTGCTGGGAGCCATGAGACTGAGTTTGGCCTGTGTGGAAGGGTCCATCCAGCCCAGGGGAGGGAGGGGTGAGAGGATGCTCCAAAGAGTAGGAATGGTTGGGAGAGTTCAGGGGAGGGGGACTGGAGAAGATCAGAGGGATGGCGCCCTGTGCTTGTGGGCCACTGTCCTCATTCACCAGCTGGTGTCTGTGTGGCGCCTGGTACCTGGCATGTGCTTGTCCTCCTGACTTCCCTCTTCTCACAACAACCTGAGGTTGCTACTGTTACTCATCTTTTAAAATGAGGTGGTGCAGGCCTAGGCAGGAGAGTCTACAGAGCTAGAAGCTGGGGAGGGATGCATGCCCAGCTCCACGCAGGCCTCCTAGATGCACTTGGGGACAACCTGGAGGCAGAAGCATGACGGCTCCAGGGTGGGTGTCTGGGATTGGGGTTTTAGACAATTGTTGAGTTATCTGTATGATATGAAACACTGCCCAACTTCCCTTTGCACATCCCTGTGGTGAGCATTTATTCTTTGGGAAAAGAAACACTCAGAGAGGGAAACAAGTTTGTAAACAACACAGTGATTCCTGGGGGCCTGCATGGACTCATTAAAAACAAGCCATGGCTTCATGACATTCAGTTTCACTGGGCAGATACGCTGAGCCTTAAGACCCAGTGCTCTTAAATAAAGTACACTGTGAGTTCTGGAAAACACTGGACAACATTTCTAATTATGTTGCTGTGGAAAAAACAGGAACAGGGCACCACATGGCGGGGCGACTGCAATTAGATCGACCCAAAGTAGGCCAGGCTTCTGCACCCACAGCTTGGGCGAGGAGCCACATTGGATTCAGACACATTTTCTATACCATGGCTGCAGGGCTCTGTCTGTGACTGTGACAGTTCGTTTTAATCAATGACCTACATCATGGCAGACGGATGGAAAAAAAAGCTGGGGGAGAGAGATGCTTTGTTGAATGAGCAGCTACCAGAATGGTGACCAGACCAGGAAGGTGACGCCTTGAAGGCACAATGTAGGCCTGTTGTGCCCATAGGGAGGATGAGCTGGGTTTGCCATGGAGCTCAGACACAGGGGGTATGATGTGAAATGTAAGCTTTCCCAGAGGTTTATGGTACTTAGACTACAGACAGACTTCTCAAGGCCTCAGAGAAGTTAATCCAAAAAGCCCAGAATGAATCTTTTTTCTTTCACAGTCATTCCTCACTCACTTTCCTACCAGCCCACTCTTCCATGTCCCCACTGCCATTTACCCATCTACCCCATCAATCCACCCACTCATCCACCCACCACCCATCCATCAACTATCTATCTGCCAATCCACCCACCCATCCATTCACCCAGCCATCCATTTACCTACCCATTAATCTACCCATTATCCATCCATGCATCCATCCTTCCATCCACCCATCTATCCATTATTCACCCATTCATCCATTCACCTATTATCCACCCATCCACCCATCTGTCCATTCTCCATCCATCCAGCCACCCGTCCATCCATCCACCTATCTGTGCACCCATTCATCCATTCACCTATTATCCACCCATACATCCATCTGTCCATTCTCCATCCATCCATCCATCCACCTATCTATGCACCCATTCATTCATCCATTATCCACCCATTCATTCATTCACCCATTATCCACCCACTCACCCATCCATCCATCCATCCACCCCTCTATCCATCCATCCACCCACCTATCTATTCACCCATTCATGTACCCATTATCCATCCATGCATCCATCCTTCCATCCACCCATCAACCCATTATCCACCCATTCATCCATTCACCTATTATCCACCTATCCGCCCATCCATCCATCCATCCATCCATTCTCCATCCATCCAGCCACCCGTCCATCCGTCCACCTATCTGTGTACCTATTCATCCATTCACCTATTATCCACCCATCCACCCATCTATCCATCCATCCATTCTCCATCTATCCATCCATCCATTCACCTTTCTATGCACCCGTTCATTCATTTATTATCCACCCATTCATCCATTCACCCATTATCCACCCAGCCACCCACCCACCCATCCATCCATCCATCCATCCACACATCTATCCATCCATCCACCCACCTATCTATACACCCATTCATCCACCCATTATCTATCCATCCATCCATCCATGCATCCATACATTCATCCATAATTCACACATTATCCATTTATTCATCCACCCATCCATTTACCCACCCACCCACTCATCCATCCACTCACCCACCCATCCATCCATTCACCCACTCACTCGCCTGTTCCACCATCCTCCTGTCCAGCATCCCAGGCACTGTACTAGGTGCTGGAGAGCTGGCACATGAATTAGACACAACCCCTGCTTTTAAAGAGCTCATAGCCTATTCATGCATTTGAGTGGGAAAAACAAAAGAAAGAGTCAGAGAGTGCATTTTAGTGGGAGGTTTCTGGAGTGAAGCGGATTGTGGAAAAGGACAGCCACTGAGGAGTTAAGCAGGAAGTGCCATGGCAAGATTTGAGTGTTAGGACCCTGTCATTAGCAGCTCTGGGCAGGCTGGATTGGAGGAGAGCCATGAGAGACTCAATGGCTGGCAGTGTGTTTCAATAGCCTCCAGGAGGGATGACATGGCCTGGGAAGCAGAAGGGGAAAGGTCAAGGAGGGCCACGGGGCAAGATGCTTTGATGTGTAGGATTGGTTGAATATTTCAAAGGTGGAAGCAGAGATCAGTCTGAGGCTCTGGGAAGCACTATGGCCCTGGAGGCCAAAACATCATTATCGCCTGATTATTCCCCAGGCCTGGGGGCCCTTGAGTCTTCCTCCTCCTGTTATCTATGCTTTTCTCTGCCCACTCTCCCTTTTCTAGAATTGTGAGAGCCAGAAACAGCCAAGGGTCAGGGGAGAATAAGTGAATTTCCTGCTTGTAAATCACTGGAAAGCACCGACCATTCTCTGCTGTTTCACCCTGACCAGCAGCCATTTATCTGGATAATGCATTTATTTATTGCCACTCCACCATTTTGCATTGAGATATATGTGCAAACCAAAGTGCCAATGATTTGCTTGCAAACATCAAAGGTAGGAGAATAAAATGAAATTGGGCATATTAGATTATTTGGTATTGAATTCAACGTCTGCAGCTCCCCATTTTTCTCCATCACCCGCCTTTCCTACAAATCAATTTACAAGACTTTCGCTGGAAATATTACTTAGTATCAAAATCTGTGGGCAGAACCCAGCAGCTGGATCATTCTCCTAGTAGAAGGCAGAGAGATGTTGAGTGGGATGGCGCCAGGCTTGCGTCAGGGCGGCTGTGCTGGATGGACCTCCCGCCTCCACCCCTCAGGCCCCACAGCACTGGGGCAGAAGCACAGACACACGCGTGCACACACACAGTGATCTGGCCCCAGAAAGCTTCCTGGGCTTGGGGAAGTCACAGGAAGAGGCTCTGTGTTCTCAGGAGAGATTCCGGGCACGGCACCTGCCTCTGCCTGTGTGAGGATCAGGGCTACCATCCTCTCAAGGTGGAGGCGTGAGTGGGCTAGCCTGAAAGGATGTCCACAATGTGTCTGGAAGGGTGGTCACTGTCCAGCCACCTGTGTGGGCAGCTGCCCAGCCTGCAGCATGCCTGGCCAGCTCCTCTCCTCACTCCAAGGGACCTCCTCGTCCACTTGGCTGCTCCCTGCTGTCCTCTGACCAGGCTCAGTCCCTCACTGTCCTTACCCCTTCCCAGTGGTTTCTCCTCTGCCCCAGGCTTGATCCAGTGACAACATCACATTATCCCTATTAATTTTTAATCCTTTAAAATTGTTTTCAAAGAAAAGTTTACCTGGCAGGGTAGAACAACTTGGGGACCAGAACATGGGATGTTTAGGCTCGAACTGGCTTTCTCTCCCCAGGCCCCGCTGCTCCTGGCTGGGCCCTCTCTGGTCTCAGTTTTCACATCTGTTAACCGGGGTGATTCCTGCCCTGATTACTTCTCCAGGCATTGGAATCATGTGAGAGAATGGATGTGAAAACACTCTGCTATGTTACCACACATGCACTCAGCGCTTTCCCGGCCTCAGCCCAGTTTCCTCACTGTGTGACTTGGGCAGGTTGCTCAGTCTCTGTGGACTTGGGGTTCCTTGTCTCTAACACTTCCTCCAAGGGGTTGCTCTCAGGAGGGGAGGCAGTAAGGCTCACTGTGACCCTGCAGGCTCATGCCTCACTATGGGCCAGCCACATGCTGAGCCCTCAATAACTGGTAGTGATTATTATGCATTTTTTAAAAAACATGAAAACATGTGGACGTTGCAGGATTGAGAAAATGTGAATACCTGATGAATCAGAAAGGAATTCTGGGAAGCTGGAATCCTGAGGGGAAAAGGGCCTTTTCTTCCATGTGAAATCTCTTGTCCTGTTTTGGGGTCAAAGGAGCAAATGAGCTTCAGGAGAGAGACCGGAGGGGTTCTTAGGACAAGCACTGCTCAGTAGCCCAGCTGCCCTGTGGAAGTCCCTGCTGCCCTGTGGCCTGTCCCAGGCCCTGCGGTCCTTGGGCCTTGCACCCACCCCACCCTGGGGCTGGTGTGACCTCACTTAGCAACCCAGGGACCGCAGCGAGCGGTGGGTTTGCAGAAGCCCATGGTCCCTCCTGCCTGCCAGGAGTCTGGGCTGCTGGGCAGCCCCCATGCACGGGCACCTATCCTGTGTCAGCCATCTACCTCCTCCCTGTGCCCCACAGCCTTCCCTACCCATCCCTGTCGCCTGCAGGAAGCCAGTCTAATGAGAGCACTGGGCTGCCTGCTGGGGTGGCCAAAACCACACCGTCAGCATTTCTACAGCGTCTCATAAATTCCCAGAGAAACTCCCTGCAGACAGAAGCTCAGCACTGAGGCTCTCTGCTCGGAGAGGCATGTCCTCCTGAAGTTAGAGTGGAAATCAGTTTCTGGGTGGTCCTCCACCCTACAGCTTCCTTTTGGGAAAGGCTGAAGAGGGGCTGAGGAAGAAAGAGGGCAGGGGACAGTCACCTGGACATCCGGGCTTGCCCTCCCTTCCCACTCCCCTTCATCTTCCCCTCCTCCTCCCTCTGCCTTCCTCCTCCTTCCCTCTGTCTCGTGTAAGGGTCTGGATTACTGTTTAAGAAACTTGAAATTCTCTACCAGAGTGAACCCTGGGATTTTGCCCCTGCAAAGTGTCTCAGTTCCTGACATGGCTACACCTAACATGTGTGGCTTTCTTACACATTGCCACTTGGTTCTGGCTGAAAACCTGGAGGTTTTGGAGTCAGAGGGACATGGTTTATATTTGCAGTTCTTCCTCTTAGTGGATGTGGGGCCTGGGCACGTTCACATCTGTGCACACAAAAATGCCACCAATGGTGCTCAATGAAACTGTGATGTCACCCTAACTCACGAGTGTCTCTGGAGCTCCTCACGAATGCCTTCCTTTTGGCATAGCAGGGTCATTTGATGTCTGAGGTGGAGCCAAAGATCAACAAAGCCGGACAGTACTTAAATTCATGAGAACAGATTTCTTCAGTAACTGCCGACAGTGGGGGAAGAGCTGAGCTCCCTTTCGACCTGTGCAAAGAACGGAAGGGCTTTTGCTGCCTGGTTTCTTCCCTGGGTGGGTTTGTGTTCCTCGCAATGGGTAGAGGGCAACGAGGCAGCCCCGATTCTTCACAGGGAGGGAGGTCTGTGCTCATGAAAGCCCCCTCCTGCGGAACCCGGGCCTGGGAGCTCCAAGGTCACAGGACAGTGGGGGTGGGGGAGGGCTGTAGAACATTCTGGGTCCTGCAGGGTGTGGGGGCTATTGTGGGTGCTGATTAGGGAGCATGCTGGCTGGGCTGTAGTGGGCACTGTTTGGTCTGGGTTGCCCCACTTTGCTGGTGAGCAGAGCACCATGGAGCTGACCCGAAGTGCCCTAGAAGCAGGCCTGGGCCTCTCTCTTGGAAGAATAATTAGGCTGTGCATGGTTCCAGCATGCCGGGGTCTTTTGGGGCCTCTTTGGCAGCTACTTGCCTGGGCCTTTGGAGGTGCTGCCTCCATGAGGGATGAGGGCCCCTCTGCTGTGCCTGCCAGCATTTCCCTGAGTGTTCTCATGGGTCCGATTCTCAATCAGAGAAGCTATTCTCCTTAGCTCTGCTCCTGCCATGCCAGCATCCAAACAGCTGAGGTGTGCAGTGGCAGGGCCAGGCATCTATGCTGGCACAGGAGCTGCCATAGATGGGAGGTGCTGGGATGAGCTGAAGGCTGTGGCTGGGCTCATACCTGCTGGCCGATGTGGGTGCCTTCTGAAAGCAGATGCGGAGATCGGGCCTGGAAGAGGGCAGAGCCAGTTGGTTAGAGTGCGGTCCCAGCTACTCAGGGGCGAGAGGACCTCGAACAGAGTAGGGACCAGGAGGACCAGGCTGAGGGGTGAATGCTGGGTGAAGGGACCCTCCCTCCCAAGTTGAACAGGCCTGACCAGTGAGGGCTCAGTCCCTGAGAGTTCAGTCCCTGCAGACCCCACCCAGCCCAAGGGTGGGGAGTCTCAGGCTGTAGCCAGGCCAGCAGCCCAGGTTCAGGTTCTCAACAACTGGCAATCCGGAAGGAAGTTCAGAATATCACATGTCAATTAAACACAGCTGGACCGGGATAGGGGAGAAAGGGCCATTTAGGGCTCTGGACTTCCTGATTAATGTCCCCAAACTATTTCAGCCTCTTTCTTGTTAGAGACATTTCTCTGGTGCCCAAGGCCCTTTCTTGCCTCTGCATCCATTAATAGGGTGCTCTCCGGACTTTTGAATAAAGCCCAGTGCACACTGTCTGGGCCTCTGGCCACAGAAGTGGAGGTGGCATCAGACCCACCCCAGGACCTCCAGTAGGACCTTATCTCTTGTTATTACCTCCTCCTCAAAGTGATGGCAGGGAAAATTCTGGATCACTAGTACCCAGGGTATGGGGAGGGAGGTTTTCTGAGCATTTGTTAGTTATTTTCTCTTTCTTCTAATTGCTGGGGTACAGCCTGGACCAGGAGTCCCAGGCTCCTTTGTGTGGGCTCCCACTCTGAGGGACAGGCAGCTCCCCGCCTTCCACCAAGTTCTCCTGGATGAAAAGAAGGCATGCCCACAGGAGCTGTGCACGTGCAGATGCTGGCTGCAGGCTGGGAGCTTCCCTATCCTGGAGTTTGTTCAGCTGGGAGCCACGTGCCTGCAGATGCCCTGGGTGGAGATGGGAAGCTCTGATTCCCAGACACCTGCATGGGAATCCAGACCCACCCCAGGCCTGCTGAATCAGCACCTCTATACTGGTGGGGGGCTGCCCAGGAACTGCACATCAACAATGGCCTTTAGTCTTGGGGGCTGGGAGAGGATGGTGGCAGGCTCTCTCCTAGCCCTGGATGTGTGGCTGGCCTGGCTTGGGCAGCGTGGCCGCTGGGCCTGATAATGTTCAACCTTGAACTGAGCCCAGTGTGGACACGAGGAGCCCCTCCTTGGTTGCTGGGGGGTGCACAGAAATCAGGGGAGACACACCTTTCCTGGAGCATGTCTCCCACAGGGCGCTGGCTGCCCCTGCTGGGCCCTCTGCTGGGGCTGGCATTGTGCTCAGCCGCCTGTCTCTTAAAAACACCATTTCTTTTCAGAGGAAGTGATTTTGCCTTTAACATCTGGACGTTATTGTTGTTTCTTCTAGGGTTCAGCAAGGAAACCCTTCCTTCTCTTTCCTCAGCTGCAAGAGCAGTGGTCTGGGGACTGTTAGTCCACGACTGGCCAAGGAGACTGCCCTGGGCCACCTGCCAACATCACTGTGGTTCCCCGTCAGCACCCTGGTTTTCCTCTTGTTCCCAGGCCAATGACCTAGGTTTCAGGCCCAGCTCATGCTGGCTGGCTTTGGACCATTCTTCCTCCAGGCCTCAGTTTCCCCAGGTGTGGAAAGTGTCTGGCTGTGTGTGTTCTCGGGATGGGGATGCCTCGGTCCTCTCTGGGAGCCCGGCTTGTTTGGCTATCCGGCTCCCACTGCCCTCCTCAGATTCTGGTCCCTGCCATCTGAGCCTGGGTCTACTTGGCTGGAGAGGCTTCAATTCCATGGCTGTGGGTTAAAGTGGGTGGCCCAGCATCAGGGCCCTCAGTGGTCAGACCTTGTTGGCAGCGGCACAAGTCAGCACCCTTCTCCAGTGCTTGTGATATGATCTCTTCCAGGAGGCCTCAGAGGGGAACCCGCAAGCCCCCCTGGGGTGGGTGAGCTGTCGAGATGCCGTCTATACATGGTTTAGATGGACAGACCCCCAGGAGTCAGGGCTGCTTGGTGGCCTGAGGCTTGAGCAGCTACTCCCTGTGTCACCTCAGCTTTCCTGACTCAAACATTGGGATAATAAAAGCACCTCCCTCAGGAGTGATGGGATGTCCTGTGCCTCCAGATACCAGGGTCTGGGTCAGGGCCCAGCTTACTCCTTATTGGTAGCAGGGCCTTTTGTATTTGGGCTGAAATCTCACAAAATCTACTCTTCTTACCCTAGCCTGCCCTCTGGTTTGAACTGGAGTGGGGCAGTGTGGTGAGGTGGAGAGAGTACACCTCTCAGGACAAAGCTGACTGCACCCCAAGGCTGGGAGCTTGCTCTGCCCATGTGAGGATCCCCAGGTACTGTACCTTAGACCCTGTGGCGGGTGCACAAGAAATAGTCACTCAATGTTTGAATAAATGCGTATATGCTGCTGGTGTTGAAAACAAATGGGTACAAACCAGAAACCAAGATAACCCCAAACCTTCCCAGGCCTTTCCCTGGGCTTCTGCCTGGCCAGCCCCCACTCACCCTGAACTTGTGCACTGATCTTTTCACTTTTCAGGCTTAAATCCACACAGACTGAAGCCTCCGGGGACAGCTACTCAGGAAGCGTGGGGGTGCTCCCACCCCACCCCATTGATCCTGAAGTCCCTCCCCTCTGCGTGGTCTGCAGAGTGGCCTCAGCCTGCTGCAGCTCTGCCTGCCCAGATCCTGTCTCCCTGCTGGGCCTGACACAGTTTGCTCCTTGCTCTCAGGAGTCCCTGGGTCTCTCTGACTGGTACCCTGGCAACGCAGAGCAGGACGGTCCTGTCTCCTGTGCACAAGGGCAGCCTCACTCTGGCTTGGCCCATTTGTGTTGTCCACATGTGCCTGGTCTTGGGGGTGTCTGGTTCTGGTGTCCCCTCCACGCTCTTCGTAAGCCAGGCCTGCTCTCTGCGGTGGTGCACTGTCTCTCTGGGGAGGCTCAGGGGGTGTGGAGCACCAACACCCCCTCCTGTTAGAGCTGCCTCCTCCAGCATTTTCTAGAAGCTGCCAGCATTCCTTGGCTCCTGACCACATCGTCCCAGTCTCTGCTTTCAGCAGCACAGCACTTCCCCCTCACTGGGCTCTCCTGTCTCCTTACAGTGACTACCCTGAGGGCCCACCTGGACAATCCAGGGCAACAGCCCCATCTCCAGAGCCTCCATCTCATCACACCTGCAAAGCCTCTTGCCATAGAATGCAACTCTGTGGCAACACTCACAGGTGATTCAGGCGTCCATGGGAACTTTATCATTTTCAAAATGCATCCAATGTTGAGACAGCAAAGTAGAAAGAGAGCAAGTTGGAACTGAGACAGACTGGTTGGAAATATGGCCTCCCGTATGTGTGGCCTGGGACAGGTGACCTCACTTCTCTGGGTCCTAGCTGTCTGGGGCGGATCTCAGAGCTTCCACCTTCCCTCAAAAGGGGCTGGCTTCACACATTCTCTGTGACTTGAAATCAAACAACTGAGTGTCTTCATTTGGGGGAAGGAGAGGGGTGGAGGGGAAATAAGGGGCATCAGAAAACAGGGTCTGAACCTTCAAGTCCCAGCCCGAGATCAGTCAGTGCCCATCAATCCTTTCATTGATTCCAGAAGTTTGAAGACTGAGCATGCTCTTTTGCTCACTTTCATTTAAAAATGTTCGCCAGGTGCTGCTGAGTGACTTGCAACTCACTGCAAGTTGGATTCCCAGGAAGCCAACTCCGAGATCCGGATTAGCTTAGGAGGTGCTGGGATCAACTCCTGGGAAGGAGTTGCAGGGTTGGGTGGAGGGTCCTGCAGAGAGCTCTGAAACTGGGGGAACTGTCAGTGTGTCCCAGCATTATGCAGGAGGACAGGTCCTTATATCACTGTGTCTTCAGGAATCAGATGTGACCATCTGAAAAAGGGAGGTAGTCTCCCAAAAGGTGGAAGATGAAGAAGGACCAAGGTGTTGCATTCATGGCCCCTCAAACACCTGTTTTTTTCTTCCCCTCTTGCCTCCATGCCTTTGCACAAGGTGGCCCCTATTCCTGGACTGTCTGTCTTTTCTTTCCCATCCCTGCAGCTCCTAGGTAACTTCTACTTAGTGTGCAAGGCTCAGTCCAGGGAGCAGTTCCTCCAGGGGCCTCCCTGGCCTTGCGGGTGAAGTGAAGTCCTCTCACCCCTGCACACCTGATGCTCTCACAGTGGCTCTTGCACACACCAAGATGTGCAAGATGGCAGAAGTGTTTGTTCAGGGGTCTACCTCCCCTCCAGCCCAGCCCAAGGAGGGCAGCTGCTGTGACCTGTACTTGGAATCAGGCACTCTGTACATGTATAGTGCATGAGGCTTAGTAACTGCTGCCTGATTTTCTGAGGACGGTCGGTTTTAGTGTCTTGGAATCTCCTGGGTCAAATGACTTTTCAAGCCTTCCAATAGGAATGTTAACCTTCTAACCTTGATGGAGTGGCAAGTGCAGGGTTTGACTAAGTGACAACACAGGCAGCTTAGTAAGATGCCATGCCTGGTACTCGTCCTGTGTAGTGGAATCAGCGGCTCCCACGGGAGGAACCTGCTCTGTGAGCAGTGTGAAAATATCATGGGAAGTCGACTGAAGTGGGGAGGTGATGTGTGATGAGAGTGGGGGTTCCTGGGCTGGACTGCCCCTGTTTGTTGATACCATTAGTAGTTTTTGCTGTGATCTTCGGATGGATGCACTCAAACAGCAGAGACACAGGAAGGTTTGGCTCCTTCTTGATGAAGTTAAATGTTGTGGGTGTGTTTCCTTCACTGTGTTTAACAATGGAACACAATGAACCCTGGGACCTGCTGACAATGATGAGTTGCTATGGCCTGGATGTTTGTGTCCCTAAAAAATCCATATGTTGAGTGCTAACCCAGTGTGAGGGTATCAGGAGGTGGGGCCTTTGGGAAGTGATTAAGGCGTTAAGAGTGGAGGCTTCATGAATGGGATTAGTGCCCTTATAAAAGAGGCCACAGAGAGACCCCTTGCTTCTTCTGCCATTACGACTAGGAGGTGCTTTCTATGAACCAGACAGTGGGCCCTCACCAGACACCATCTGCTGGTGTCTTGATGTTGGACTCCCCAGCCTCCAGAGCTGTGAGAAATACATTTTTGTTGTTTCTAAGCCACCCAGTCTATGGCATTTTGTTATAGCAGCCAAAATGGACTAAAGCAGGACTCAGTCAGGGCAGGATGCGAGTTAGAATCACATGGGAGTGTTATTATAATGCAGATTCCCAGTTCCTCTCAGAGCTCCTGAACTGCGGCCTCTGGGCAAGGGGATGGGACATTACAGCTTTTAGAAGGTTCCCAGGTGACTGTGGGGCCACCAGCCCAGCACAGCCTGCAGACTGACACTTGGGGTCTCTAGCCAGGATGGACAAATGCCCCAGCACACTGGCTGTGGAGAAATGTGACATTAGTGGTGTTTGACGGTGTCACCTCCACTCCCTGGGCTAGTGACCTTGCAGACTAAAAGTAAAGCTAATGTTAACTGAGCACTTACTATGTGCAAGGTCTCTGCAACCCCGTGAGTTAGGAACTATTATCATCCCCAAAATGCAGATGATGGTATTGAGGCACAGAGAGGTTTGATTAACCGGTCCAAGGTGCCAGGGCAGGAGGGTGGCAAAGAACGTTCAAAGCTGACCTGCTGATCCAGACCCAGCTCCTGCCCCCACTCTGGATTGCCTCTGTAAGCAGGGGTGCCGTGGGGCTTGGGAGGGGCAGGAGCTGTGTGGTTTTCTGTGCTCTGCTATGCCCAGCTGAGTGTCTCTGGACCATTGCTTCCCTCCCCAGGCCATGGCTCATTATTCCAAGCTGCAGGGCCGGTGAGAGCTGGGACACGCACCCAGTGGCTGCCCCTCAGGCTGGAGCCCCCCGTTTCTTTTACACCTGGCTTTGTGGACCCAGGGAACTAGGATGATGTCCAGGTAAAGAATTGGGGGCTGCCTTGGTTTCCCTTTATAGTGTGGTTTCCCTTTCTACTTCTGAAAAGTGGAAACACCCTTTCTGCTTCTTCATTTTTTAAAATAAGTTTTTAATTGTTTTATCTGATAGTGTACTCATTGTAATACATTAGAAAAATCAAAAGTATAAAACAATGCAGAAAACTCACCCACAATTCTTCCATTCACTGTTAACACTATCAAGGTTTTCTTTCCAGTATTTTCAAACTTGCTTTCTTGCTTTTCTTAATTGAGCTCATACTTTAAATAAAAATTTGCATTCTGATTTTAGTTCAGTGTTATATTGAAAACACTTCTGCACACCCTTAAAACAGCTTTTTGTAAACATTTTTCATCATTTCATAATATTCCAGCAATATGCAAATTTATTATTTCACCATTTCCCACATCTGGATTGTTTCAATTTCTTGCTATGATGAGAATGCTTGATGAATATTTTAGTGTCTACGTCTTTACCCATGCCTCTGTGGGATTTTGCAGAAGCAGTATCAGTGGGTTATTACAAAGGCTCTTGATACAAATTGCAAAATTGCTTCCCTGAAAACTTGTGCTAACTCATCTTCCTGCCCTTGTGAGTTAATATTTGACCTCAAAGGGATGCTAGAAGTCTTCAGTTATGAAATGACCCTCCAAATTAAATTGAGGCAGACAGAACGTGGAGTCAGCCCATCTCTCCGTGAAGGAGGCCCCTGGGGGACCTTCAGGCTCTATTAAGAGAGCACGTGGTCTGTTGGAATAGGAGGAATAAAACTCCTCTTCAGGCAGATTAGGCAGGTCATATTTGCCTGTTAAGCCTGTTATTTGTAATAGATCTCATTTTAAAAGATCCATTGCCAACATAATGTCAGATAATTTTCCATTGAATTGCCTTTTAGATTTTAATATGTTTCTGCTCAGTCACTTTGAGGAGTTTTTTTTTTTTTTAAATCTTTCTTTTTAAATGTTCCAAGTTTTCCATATCCCCACCCCCTTCCTGTGTCCAGGACAGACTTTTCAATCAACCCAGCACGATTTTCCTGCTAGACCTGGAGACCCCCTCTGAAGCCTTTGCACTGCTTTACCCCAGGAAGTCATTGCCAATCAAAATAAGCTGGCACAGAAAATTTAAACTCATTTTCTGTCTCCTGTTAACCTCCCCAAATTGCAGCACATCTCACAGGGTGCTGTAACTGGTGGCTCAGTGGTTTCTCCCCGCCCACTAGTGAGTGGGCTTCTTGAGAGGAGATGAGTGAGTGGATGACTACTGAGGGAGGTGAGGAGGCTCTGGGTGATATTTTGGGGTGCAGTCTTCCATTGGTCCATATGGGATCCTTCAGCTCCTCTCTTATCAATGACTACATTGTCATCTACTCACGTTTAAGCCCAAGATGGCCTGACCTGGGCTTGAGATGCTTATAAAGTCCCTATTTTATACCTTCGAGAACCCATTGCCCATGATTCCTCTCTTCTATACAAAGGCTTTTTTTTTTTTTCTTGGATTCATCTAAGGAGCCATTTTCCAAGGGAAAACTTGGGCAGCTGTAGGAGCTACGGGAAGCTTTGTGGACGTGGAGGCAGTGGGCAGGTGACAGGTGGCCTCCTCTCTGCTCCGGCCCACTCTTCATGGTCCACCTCTGTCCCATCAGGGACCCATTGCCATTGGCAGCGGTGAGTCGGGCTCTGGCTGATGGTGTCTCCTGAGGCTCAATGGAGTCACTCTGCAAAGGCGTGCAGCGTCCTCATTGCCAAGGCCCTCTTCCTATGTGGACTGTGAGCTTCTTGAGAGCAGAAGCCACACCTGATAACCCTGTTTCTTTCCTGGTGTTGACTGTTTGTAAATTGTAATGATGATTCACTTGTTTCCTCATTCACCAAATAGTTACGGAGCCCCTTCTAAGGGCAGGCACTGTTCTAGGTGCTTGGGATTCCTGCCTCGAGGAGTGTACATTCTTGGAGGATGGGGAGAAATTAAACAATCATCATGATGCATTTGTAATTTATGCAGTGTGGTGGAAGGTGACGAAGACAGAGCAAAACAGCCTAAGCAGATTGGAGTGCTGACCATCATTTTATATAGGGTGACCGAGGTAAGCCTCAATAAGCAGGAGACATTTCAGTGCAGCCTTGAAAGAGCTGGGGGCATTGGCATACAAGTGTCTATGGAGAGAATGTTCCAGGCAGAGGAGGCAGCGAGTGCAAGGGCCCTAGGGCAGAGTGGGACACTGAAGTGGCGAATGGAGGTCACCGTGGAGGGACAGGGTCAGAGATGCCTGGGCCCCGTGAGCCTTTGTGAGGACTTGGGCTTTCCCCCTGAGACAGGCAGGAGCCTTGCTGAGATTGTAGGAACGGAGTGGGGAGACAGTTGGGAGGACTATGCTGAGGGTGATGGGAGTGTGAGCTGTGAGGGTGATGGGAAGTGGCCAGATCCTGGATGTATTTTGAAGGGAGAGCTGGCAGAGTTTCCAGGTCATGGGATCTCAGAGGAGTCAAAGCTGACTCTAAGATATTGAGCTGAGCAATTGGAAGCCTAGCGCTGGTCACTGAGGGGAATGGCAAGGCCGTGGGAGGCGTGGGTTTTGGACAAGAGGTGGAAGGACCAGCAGCGAGGCTTGGGCATGCTGGGCTGGAGGTGCCCACCAGACCTGCAGGAGTGGTCACAGGTGGGCAGGCAGGCTGTGGGTGCGGCTGGTGGATGCACGCAGCCTGTGGAAACTCTCTTCTACCTCCTCTGTGTCCTTGGTGAAGCAGGACCATCACTGCTGAGAGTGAGGATGGGGAGAGTCCTGGGAGAGATGGGCAGGTGAGACTCAACCTCAACCATCTGTCTGTGTGGATGAAGGCATGCGCCACGGAGCTTCAGGGGCTCGGGGGAAGCCCGTTGTCATGAACTGAGCGGGTGGCCAGTCACTGGGGTTTGCCTGTCTTTGGCTGTGTGTATTTAGCTGCAGGGCATGGGGGGAGCTGGGCTTCATCTTCGCTGGGCTTTGGTCTCCTGTGTAGGGCAACGTGCAAGGAGGCCTAGGTTGGCCTCCTTGCAGTCCATTCCCCATGGAGCAGCCAAAGGAATATTTAAAAAATGGACATCAGATGATGACATTCTCTTGTGAAAATCACTCCAAATCCTCCCATTTCTCTTAGAAAGACATTCAAAAGCCAGAGGATAGCCAAAAGGGCCCTGCAGGGCCTAGCCCTCACTACCCTCCGACCCTGTTTTCTACAAGATTGTCCTCTCTCACTGCACTCCAGCCACACTGGTAGGACCCAGAGCCTTTGCATGCATTGTCCTTTCGCCTGGAACAGCCTAGACCCTGCAAGATCTCCCTCAGAGAGGCCCACTCTCTGAAACAGTCCTGAGACTATCTATCTCCTTCCTCCATTGTGTCTTTCCCCATAGTGGTTATCACTGCCTGTTACTATATTACATATTTATCTATGTTCTCTCCTCCACAACAGAATAGAGGCTCTGTTGGGGCAAGCACCGCTCTGTGTGTCCGGAGGCTTCAACCCATAGCATGCTGCTCATACATGAATCACTTCACAAAAGCCACAAAAGTTATCTACATATGAGTTTAAAGTAAGAAAACTTTAACATCTTCTGAAGGTCAAAGACCTGAATAATAAAAAGCATATCATACTGGATAGCAAGACTATTTTTTTTTTTTTTGAGACGGAGTTTCACTCTTGTTGTCCAGGCTGGAGTGCAATGGTGCCATCTCGGCTCACCATAACCTCTGCCTCCTGGGTTCAAGTGATTCTCCTGCCTCAGCCTCCTGAGTAGCTGAGATTACAGGCATGTGGCACCACGCCCGGCTAATTTTATATTTTTAGTAGAGACAGGGTTTCTCCATGTTGTTCAGGCTGGTCTTGAACTCCCGACCTCAGGTGATTCACCCGCCTCGGCCTCCCAAAGTGCTGGGATTACAGGCGTCAGCCACTGTGCCCGGCCGCAAGACTCTTACAATGAATACATCAGGTCTCTCTCTATGAATCTGTGACTCCAATGCAATCCCAAGGTTCTAATGAACGTCATTCTAAAGTTCTGAGCTAATTCTAAAGTTCACTTTGGGATGGAGGGAACATGTAAAAACAGCCAGAAAATGTCTTAAAAGGAATATAAAAAGGGAGAAATAACCCTACTATACAAATAGAAAAGTTACAGTAGTTAGAAGAGTGTGTCTGGCACAAGGATAAACAGAAAAAAAGAATAGAACATAAATAAATGTCTGGAAAAGAATCCAAGTATGTATAAAAATATAGGGCTTGAAGCAGGTGGCATATCAAACCCATGGAAGGGGAGACTTATTCAACTCAGTGGCCATGCAGAAAAATAAAATAAAAAAATAAATAAGTAAACCTGGATCCCTAGCTCACCTCAAAACCAAGGCAAATTACATATGCATCAAACATTTAGTGCAAAAAAATAAACTCTAAAAAAATGAAAAGAAACGCAAAATGCCTAAAAATTTAACTTTACATTGAGGAAGGACTTTTAAAGCAAAACACAAAATCCAGAAGCTTTAAAGGTTTGACCATCTCCACTACAAAATAAAGTTTTGAAACCCCGCTCAAGCAAATATTTTAAACATAAAACAAAATAATAAAAGATCAAAATTTGAAGGAATAACTGCAGTACTATGATGAATAAAGGGATAATTTATTTAACAATAGGAAACAGATAAAAATCCTAATAGGAAAAGAGACAAAGATGTATAGTCAGGTCACAGAAAAGGCAACACAAATAGCCAATAAATGTGTGAAAAGTTATTCTATCTCATTCACTAATCTACAAAATGCAAACTAAAGCAAGTGTATCAGAGTTTTCATCTATCCGGTTAGGAAAGGCAAAACTTTGATGATATGTAGCATTTTTAGTGTGTGGGAGAAAAGTACTTATATTCTATCGTTTGGAGGAAATTTGGCGCAAATTCTGGGTAAAGCAATTTGGCTGATCTAAAATGTAAAATGCACAGAGCATTTCAATCAATGCTTCATTTCCTGGGAGCTTACTCTACAGGTATGCCATTGGGAAAAAAAAAACTCATTCATCAGGATGTTCCCTGCAGAATTTGTATGGTAGTCCAAGACCAAAAAAGCCTAGTTATCCATCAAGAGAGGAATTGTTAATTAAATTAAATCATAGTATTCCTATACAATGGAATGTTGCATAGCCATGGGAAAAAATATGAGTCAGCTCCAAATATGGTGATATGAACAATCTCCAAGATAGGCTGATAAGGAAGGCAAAGGGCTCAAATTATGTACAACATGCTCTCTCCTTGAAAAACTGGCAGGACAGTAGTTTCTTATGTATATGCTTGCAATGAACATGACTGTGCGGGAACCTCTGGACAGAGCCAAACGTCTGTGCGTTAAGAGTTGCCTCTGGTGGGGTCTGTGGGACGGTGGGCCTGGGGTGGGAGTGACCTAATATTAGCTTGGAGACCAAGCTTCTCTGAGGGTGGAGCAGACATTTTCAAATCCAACATGACTAAGGGGGCTGTAAAGAAGCCAGGTCTTCCCCCGTGAGTCCCTACGCTTCATGCCACCACCAGGCCACCAGCCCAGGGCATTGTCTTGAAATGTCTGCTTGTTTGCAGTCAGAGACCCAGTAGGCCAGGAAGACCCTTGGCTCTGCATGGGGGAAGAAGACAGGAAGTGGAGGGAAGAACATTCTAGAACATTCTAGGCCCAGGGCAGGAATGTAGAGAAGGATTTTGCCTCTGCTGTTTGCTGGGATCTTGAGTGGTGAGGAGGGGGTGCAGAACACAGGGAACTCCTCTATAGATACTGGTGACACTGCCTTGGCCCCTCTGTGGCAGGCTGTTGCCTACACCAGGGGCCCGGGGAGGGGCTCTTCCTCCAGTTGGCAGCTTGTGCTGGGCACTGTTCCCTGCACAGGGTGATGGAGGAAATTAGCTTCAGCCCCTTGCAGCAAGGAGCTCACAGTTTGGCAGTGAGAATGCTACAGCGTGGGATGGGCCCGGGCTGGGAGCTCCTCCAAGGCTGGAGCTGGAGCTCCTCCAAGGCTGGAGCTGGATCTCCCTTGACTAAATTAACTAACAACAAAGGAATGAATGAGCTAGCCAGCCCAGGGAGCTTTGGAGTACCAAGCGGGGGTGTGGAGTCTCACTCGGAGTGGGACCTCAGGCCAGGCCAGAAGACTTTCTGGAGCAAGAGCTGTGGAAGCTGAGTCAGAGGGGTGGACAACAGGAATTCTCTCTTGAGGCTGATCCCACTGTCCTGTGGCAGGGGCCCAGCCTGCTCCAGCAGACAGACACTGGGCCCCTGGAAGACCACTCAGCCACCCACCTCTTTATGTCATGGAAAGCGCAGAAAGCACAGTTACTATCTGCCCTGCAATAGACATTTTTCTTTTTTTTTTTTTTTTGAGATGGAGTCTCGCTCTGTCACCTGAGCTGGAGGGCTGGAGTGCAGTGGCACAATCTCGGCTCACTGCAACCTCTGCCTTCCAGGTTCAAGTGATTCTTCTGCCTCAGCCTTCTGAGTAGCTGGGACTACAGGAGCGTGTCACCACACCCGGCTAATTTTTGTATTTTTAGTAGAGATGGGGTTTTGCCATGTTGGCCAGGCTGGTCTCCAACTCCTGACCTCAGGTGATCTGCCTGCCTTGGCCTCCCAAAGTGCTGGGATTATAGGCCTGAGCCACCATGCCCGGCTGGACATCTTTGTGAATACAATTTGCCTTCACTGTTTGCTGTTTCTTAGTGCCACCATGCATGGGTGTTTGAAGTGCTTTCTCACTTAGCAGTGAACTGAAAAGAAACAGAAGCCGGCTCATTGTCATGACACACATGGGTCTCACCATGCCCTTCACCCAGAGCTGCTGGCCCGAGAGAACTTGAGAAGGCCCGTTGAGTCTTGGGAACAGCACTAGCTAAGGGTCTGCATGCTGCAGAGCTGGGGTCCTACCTTCAGGATCCATATATGCCTTGAACATAACCATGACTGGATGCAGTTTCTCCCAGGGCCAGGACACCTGGGTCTGAGAACCAAGAGGTGGCTGCATGGAGGGCTCCTTTCTGTGATCGCTAAGGCCCTTCTTGCAATGTATGCTACTGGTTCCACAGTCATGGTCCCTGCTTGTTTTCATGAAAGTCTTGGTTCCTAAGGAAGAAATGTGACAATTGCTTCATGGAAGTTAATTTGTGAATGGCACTCAGCTGCTTTGGATCCACAACATCATTGCCCAGTGAGCAAAGCAGAGGACTTCCACACTGGCTGGGTGCTTGGGCCCGGAGAAGAACGTGTCTGGAACATGGGGTACCTCTTTGTGCTAGTACATGGTAAAAACGAATGGAAGGATACAACAATCCAATATAGGTCATGGCTTAGATCCTTCAGGAATGAAGGTTTGGGTCACCTTGCCAGGTAATTAACCATGATCAGCCAAGGTGTGGGCTGCGGTGAAGGACACGTGGCCTGGATTGTGGGAAAGGAAGGTTGTCAAGGCCCACCAGGGCTGTAAAAGCTCCGTGTGAATTTGTCCTTGCTTTATTGTGTATTTGTATATATTTACCCAGTTCTCTCTTATCTCTCTGTCCACTCCTTGCTAATATGAAGCACTAGTTATGGGATCTCCAACAGGGGTCGTGACTCAGCTGGAAATGGGAGGAATCTTCTCCAGAGGCGGATACCTGGTTGACTGGCCTTTGCATCTTCCCTTTTAGAGGAATGATTGAATTTACACTGATGGTGTGAGGGATGGCTGCATTGTGCAAGACGCAGCACACTGCTGCTCTGGCTGTTTGGAAGTTTGGTACGGGTGTAGGGATCTGAGGTGGCAAAGGTGTCAATTGTGCTGGATTGCCTGTTGGTGACTCGGCTTCACTGCCCCACCTTCTTTTCTGCATAGTTGCCGGCGAGGAGCCTACAACTGCATTTCCTGCAATCCCCTTCCTCAAGGTCTGGGTAGAGTCAGCCAAGGAGGGGCACTCATATGAGATTTGGAAGGTGAAAGAGAAAGGGAACCCAGTGGCAATTGATGGCAGCTTTTCAGGGTCCCCTGCTTTGGTGCTGTGAGCAGCTGAGATAATTTTTGGTGGCCTCCTTGACCCTTGCATCCCAGCCTTCCAACAGGTGAAAGCTTTGCATTCCCCTCGTTAAAGCCATTTCCGTTCACAATGGAGGATCTCAAGTGGTTTCCATTTTCCTCACCAAACCCTGCCTCATGCAACTCATTTCAGCTGCTGCAGTGTGCTGGGCCCATGAACCCAGAGTGTGCACACGGGCTGGAAGATATTTACTGGTAATTTCTAGAAAAATTGACATATGCACCCTTACCTGGCCTGTCTGCAGGGCAAAGTTCTCAAGGCAGTGTGGGGTTCCGTGGTCTGGATCTGTTTGGCAGAGTCTGTATGCCCAGTTAAATGAATTTACAGATGATTTGAACTATGTTTAAACTTTCCTCATAAAATCGACAAGTACCTTAAAATATTTCTGGCCATAAACTGCAGATTAATGATACTACTAATAATGAAAGCAGATGCAATAGGAAGTACTGGAATGGGCATTGTACTCCTAAGGGTGTCTTTGAATCCACATGATGGTATGGGAACACTGCTGAGCTACTTAGATTTAATGCATTTGCATCACTAATAAATTTTACAAATATAACTTTTATTTGGGAGGCTGAGGTGAACAGATCACCTGAGGTCAGGAGTTCAAGACCAGCCTGGCCAACGTGATGAAACCCCATCTCTACTAAAAATACAAAAATTAGCCATTGCGGTGGTAGGCACCTATAATCCCAGCTACTTGGGAGACTGAGGCCAGAGAATTGCTCAAACCTGGGGGGCGGAGGTTGCAATGAGCTGAGATCTCGCCATTGCATTCCAGCCTGGGTGACAGAGTGAGACTCCATCTCCAAAAAAAAAAAAAGTATATATATATATAATTTTTAAATAGATTTTAAAATAAATAGATCTTTGGATAATTGTGCATAGTGTTCATAGTGTTCTATGCTATAGTGTTAGATGTTATAGTACATTAATAGAGAAGCCCACAATAATCTCTCATGTATGGATAAGAGCGTGTACCTGCGTGTGCCTTTGCTTGTCCTGGTTGATTTGAGTGGTGAGTAAGGTGGAGGTGGGAAGAGGTTATTTGGGGAAAGGCTTTTGTTTTCTTTCCATTGCATTTTAAAAATAATAGTTAGCTACATGGATATTATTTTTGAATATCAATTCCATGTTCAGGCACTTTACTGAATTCTCTTAGTTTTCAAATAGTTTTTCAATTGATTCTTCTGATTCTTCCAGGTATATGAATAATAATAATTTTGCTTTCTTCTTCCCAATTTGTATATCAAACCACCAGACCCAGATTGAATTCTATATCATCAAAGGATAGAATTTGAATGCACATTTAAGCTCTCCAAGAATTTAGAGAGAAAAGGAAAACCTCAAAATTATTTGATGGAGTCAGCATAAAATTCACACCAAAACCAGACAAAAAGAGCACAGAAATAAAAACATATCAATTAATGCAAAAAGTTGAAATACAATGTTAGCTAATCAAATCTATAAATAAAATTGAGAAACAACGCAATGCAATCAGGAGAGGCTCATTTCAAAAATGCAAAGGTGTTTTACTATTAGGAAATAATTAGTATTAAAAAAAGACTGGGGGCCAGGCGTAGTGACTCACTCCTGTAAACCCAGCACTTTGGGAGGCGTAGGTGAGTGGATCATTTGAGCCCAGGAGTTCAAGACTGGCCTGGGCAACATGGCAAAATTCTGTCTCTACAAAAAATACAAAAATTAGCTGGGTGTGGTGGCGCATACCTGTAGTCCCAGCTACTCAGGAGTCTGAGGTGGGAGGATTGCTTGAGCCGCAGAGGTCAAGGCTTCAGTGAGCTGAGATCATGCCACTGCACTCCAGCGTGGGTGACAGAGTGAGACCCTGTCTCAAAAAAACCCCAAAACCTGGGAAATAATTTCCCATATTAAGGGGTCATTAGAGGGGTAAAAAACCCATGATGATCTCCATTGAAGCCAAAATGGTATTTGATAAAAGTGTTTAGTCATACCTAAAACAGGAATAGCTAAGTACTTCCTTAATGTATCAGGAGAAACAAACTCAAACAAGACACCAGCTTTCTATTGAATAGGGAAATGCAAGAATATGCCATTAAAGCAGATATAAGGCTATTTCCATTACTATTTCTATATAATAGTATTTCTATCATATATAATAGTATTTCTACTACTATTTTCATCACTATTATTTGAGCTTGTGTGAGAAGGACTAACTAGTACAGCTAGAAAATATAAAAAGAATAAGATATAAAAACTGGGATGGAGGGAGCAAAATTATCATTATTTTCAGGTGGCTTAATTGTGTACCTGAAGGAAGTAGAATTTAGTGAAAACTTACTGGAAAAACAAGGGAATTCAGCAAAAATAATGGAATTGAGATATTTTCCTATGGTAACTTATCTACTATTTTTTTTTACATTCTACATATTTTTTCTTATATTCAAATTTGATAACTCATATTTTCCTGAAAAGTAATTCATTTCTTCCAGGTTTTATGTGCATTGCATAGATTTGAGCAAAATATGCTTCTGTTATGTTTTACAATTTTTTTTCTGATTTGATTGGAATGATGTGCTTTGAATTCTCCATTTGCCCCTCTCCAATCTGTTTTTCACCTTTTTTGCCCTATTCTGGGCCCTAAAAGGCTGATGTTTGTGGCTGTGTCACCTGAGCAACCTTGCTGCCAGCCGGCTTCCAGGTGGGTTCCAGGCAGGATGGGGGAAGGCAGCAGAGGGCAGGAGGAGGGGCTCCTTCCAGCTCACCCTGCCTGTCACTTTGCTGGAAGTTCCTGCCCTCGCCAGGCTTCTTGCTTCTTCATTCCTAAGGTGGGGAGAGCTTCTAGCTGCTGCTCCTCTCTGGGTGCCTCGGGCTCACTCCCTGGTTCCTTTCATCCTGCCCACCACTCTGTAAGCAGGTCGGCCATCAAGGTCGAAGCCCAGCATTTGTAAATGTCCCATAGATTTTGAAAAGCAGGTGGCATTCTGTTTGCTGGGCATAGTGTGAGATATAATTATTCATTTTGTTACATGGACCCCCATCCTTAATCTCTTGTCATTGTTGTGATTTATATGATTGATTGGTCATAGGCAGAGGGAGGCTAGTCAAATCTGTTTGCTACTGTTGAATTTCTATTTTCTTTGTATTTACTGTAGTTTTTCCTTTTATAATTTGGTGCCCCATTATTTGGCATATACATTTTCCTGAGTTAGAACTTCATTGTATATTATACTCTTTATCATTCCGCAGTGCTTTTCTCCTCTCCCCAGTGCCTTCCCTCGGATCACCTTGACTGATGACCCCATCACAGCCCTGGCTTCACTCTGTCTGGCTTTGCCCAGCCATTCACATTCAGGTTCTCAGTGACTTTGCTGCAGATATATCTCTTTGTTTTCCACAAACAAATTTTTAAAATGTAATCTTTAAAATGTGAGTTTATTCAGTTATACTTGTTGATATATCAAGAAAGTCTGGTCTTACTTCTATCATCTTTTTAATATTACGTTATACTGAGGGTTCTTTCCTCTAACATTATTGAGGTATACTTGATAATTAAAAATTGGGTGCATTTAAGGCATACAACTTGATGATTTGATGTATGTATACATTACGAAATATATACCACAGGACGGGCGCGGTGGCTCAAGCCTGTAATCCCAGCACTTTGGGAGGCCGAGGCGGGCGGATCACAAGGTCAGGAGATCGAGACCATCCTGGCTAACACGGTGAAACCCCGTCTCTACTAAAAATACAAAAAATTAGCTGGGCGTGGTGGCGGGCGCCTGTAGTCCCGGCTACTCGGAAGACTGAGGCAGGAAAATGGTGTGAACCCGGGAGGCGGAGCTTGCAGTGAGCCGAGATGGCGCCACTGCACTCCAGCCTGGATGACAGCAAGACTCTATCTCAAAAAAAAAAAAAAAAAAAAAGAAAAAGAAAAAAGGAATATACACCACAATCAAGCTAATTAGTATATTCATCACTTCATGTAGTTACACGTGTGTGCGTGTGTGTGTGTGTGTTACATTTTCTTTGACCATTCATCCATTGACCAATATTTAGTTGATTCCGTATCTTGATATTGTAAATAATGCTTCAGTGAACATGGAAGTACAGATATCTCTTTGAGATACTGATTTCCTTTCCTTTGAGTAAATACCCGGAAGTGGGATTGCCAGATGATATGGTAGTTCTATTTTTAATTTTTTGAGGAATCTCCATACGGTTTTCCACAACGGCTGTACCAATTTTCATTCTCACCAACAATGTATAAGGGTGTCCTTTTCTCCAAACCCTTGCCAACACTTACTGTCTTTTTTTTACAGTAGCCAATATTTTGAATGTTTGCATGTTTAAGATTGCCCATTGCTAAACGTGGCTTACTAGGAAGTTTATGGTCATAGCTTACTCCTATGAATTTCAAATACCTATTTCTGAGGTTTTCTGGAATCTGGTGGTATTAGGAGAAATCTAAAGGCAGCCTGGTTTCTTTCTAGGTAAGGAACTTTTTTTTTTTGTGGGGGCAGAGTGGGGGGGCTGGATACCTAAAGAATTTCTTCTTTATCCTAGCAAATGATTTGATGTTGATTTTCCTGTATCATTATCTTCTGAAATATGTTGTGTCCATTCAAACTTTAGTTATACATTCTTCCTTTTTCTTCAGGAATTTTTTTCTCATTTTCATTGGATATTTTAATTTCCATTTGGTAGGTTCCCTCATTTAGGGATACCATTTATCCATAAGTTGGATACTTTTTGTTTGCTTTTCATGTCCATTGATATCTGTTTAATTACTTTAATCATGTTATCTTTTCATTCTGCATTAATTTTGATTATATTCAGTATTTCCTCTATGCCAGAAACTTGGTAATCAGTCATGTCTTTTCTTTTCTGTTTCTAATTTACTTATTAGTTCTGTAAAAGCTCTTTGTTTCCTTAGCTCCTTAATCTCCCCTTGTTATGCCATTCTACCATTTTAATCATCTTTAAAATCTGTAAATCCACCATAGTGTAGCAGAGCCCTTCCACATTTATCTCCTGTAATCCTTACGACAATTTTAAAGAACAGATATTATCTTCTTGCCTCAGCATCTTACTATAAAAACTTTTCACATACAGGAAAGATGACAGAATTTTACAGTGAACTCCCATCTTCTTAACACCTAAATTCTACAACCAAGATTTTATTACATTTGCTTTACTATCTCTCTTTCTTTCTAAATCTTTCTTTCCATTCCTCAATCCCTTGCATTTCAAAGTTGCAGACATCAGTACACTTCCTCCAAATACATTAGCAGAATCTCTATTTTTGAGTTCTTTCATTGCCTTTCTGTTCTGTGTAAGATTTTCTTTAACATGAAGCACTCTTGGAATTTTCTACCATTTTTTATTCCTCCCCTCTCCATGCAAGATTTGATTATTCATCTTTTTTTTCTTTCCTAGAATGTTTTAACATTTTATCTATTTATTTTTGTGATCTTATATGAGGTGACTTCAAAAAGTTGGGAGAAAAATAGAACTAAAAGATAAAAGTAAAATATATAAAATTTATTTCTCAACGTAAGTTTCATCAAGTTCAAGGCACTTTTGTAAGTGGTGATACCAGCCATTTAGTTAATCTGTAAAGAACTGAGGATCCTAGGAATTTAACCATATCAGTACAGACTTTTTTACATTGTTAAGTGAAGAAAAATAGGTGCCTTTAAATAAATTTTAAGGTTAGGAAGCAAAAAGAAGACAGACGACGTCAAATCAGTACTGTAAGGTGGCTGCCTAGTGATTTCCCATTGAAATACTCACAGAATTGTCCTTGTTGGATGAGAAGAATGAACAAGAGCATTGTTGTGGAGGAGGACTCTCTGATGAAGCTTTCCCAGGTGTTTTTCTGCTAAAGCTTTGGCTAACTTTATCAAAACACTCTCATAATAAGATGTTATTGTTATTTGGCTTTCTGCAAGTCAACAAGCAAAATGCCTCGAGCATCCTAAAGAACTGTTTCCAAGTTCTTTGCTCTTGACAAGTCCACCTTAGCTTTGACTGGACCCTTTCCACCTCTTGGTAGCCACTGGTTTGATTGTCTTTTGTCTTCAGGACCATACTGGCAGAGCCATATTTCATCTATTGCAATTCTTAGAAGAAACGCTTCAGGATCTCGATCCCACTTGTTTAAGATTTCCATCGGCAACCCTGCTCTTGTCTGCAGCTGATCTTGGTGCAACAGTTTTGGCATCCATTAAATGGAAAGTTTGCTCAACCTTCAGTTTTCAATTACATTGTGAACTGATTGAGAGGTCTATGGTGTTGGCTATTTGTGCTGTTAATCACCAGCCCTCTTCAATTAGGGCACAAACAAGATTAATTTTTTCCTGGCAAGTCGATGTAGATGGTTTGGTGCTGTGGGCTTCATCTTCAACATGAACTCATCCCTTCTTAGAAAGAGTTATTGATTTGTGAACTGCTGATTCCTTTGGAGCATTGTCCTCATAAGCTTTTCATAAAGTATCCATGATGTCACTGTTCTTCCACCCAAGTTTCACCGGAAATTTGCTCTTTGTTCTTGCTTCTATTTTAGCAGAATTCATATTGCTCTGATAGGGACTCTTCAAATTGTTGTCTTATCTTTCCTGTTTCCCCAAACTAGATTCTGTTCAGACATGTTATAACAAGTTAGTACAAGTTTATTTTGGCACAAAAGAATTTGAAATCCCTGCATAGTTTTTTTGATAATAGACATTGACCATGAACTTTTTGAGGACCCCTCCATAGCTGCTATGCCATCTCTTTTCATTTTAATGTATGTAGCTCCGTCAGGTCTTCCCATTGGTTGGCTGGGCGCAGTGGCTCACACCTGTAATCCCAGCACTTTGGGAGGCTGAGACGCGTGGATCACCTGAGGTCAGGTATTCGAGACCAGCCTGACTAACAGGGTGAAACCTCATCTCTACTAAAAAATATAAAAATTAGCTGGGCGTTGTGGCAGATGCCTGTAATTCCAACTACTTGGGAGGCTGAGGCAGGAAAATCACTTGAACCCGGGAGGTGGAGGTTGCGGGGAACTGAGATCATGCCACTGAATTCCAGCTTGGGCAACAGAGTGAGACTCCTCACAAAAAAAAAAAAAAAGACGTCCCATTGGTTTCAACATGGTGTGGGAAATGCCTCCTGGCCTCGCTTTGCATTTTATTGGATGTTATTTTTTCTTCCCCTCAGAGTTTCACTTTGAGGGCTAGGCATATCATGGTTTCCTGTAGCTGGATATGGGGCTTGTGCAGAGGAAGGTGGGGGTGCTGGGCTGTGGTCAGCGGACACTCTGGATCTAAGAATGCCTCTGCCCTGCTATTTCATTGGGAAGTTGCTTCCACTAGGGTTCTCTTCCACTGGAAGACTTTAGTTCAAATCAGAGCCCTCCTCTCCCATGGCTCCTCTGCAGGCATCCTGTCTTAAATGTCCACCCCCCTCCACTCCAGGTGTTTTGGAGGGTCCCCTCTGCCCTCTCTGCGGGTCTGTTTCCCACTGTGGGTCTGTAAGGAGCTACACAGAACTGCACCCAGCCTCACTATGATGACTCCAACTCACTTCAACTCTTTCTTTTTTTCATCATTACTTTCTGAAATTTATGTTGAGGATATCTCTACTTCATAATAAGCTGAGCCAGGTTGTATTCACTTAATACGGATCAGATGTGACACAAGCTATTCACAATGGCTGCAGTTAGCAAGGCTAGGTCAAGTCTTCTGCTCATCCCGTCTATCCCAGCGCCTCAGGGCTCCTCAGATGGCCTGGGCTGCTCACCATCCCTCCTTTATCTGAAGAGCTAGGGACAGCAGAGCCAGCCACAGAGCTCCAAATGCAAGACACAAGCGCTTGATCGCACTGCCCTCTGCCTCTGTCCTGAGGGGACAGCGTTCCCATCCAGCCCACTCAGGACATTGCTTTGGTGTGATGAGCTGTGTGGATCTCACAGTGGGGCCTGTTAAAGAAAGATTTAAAAAAGATTAAAAAACCCTCGGTCCTAGGCTCAGGTATGAGCCTGTCACCTAAGGACAGTATCAAGGAAGAAGAAAGACAAATGATCCTCCAGAAAAATGGTCACAGGACATGATCACACATTTCACAGAAGAAAAATCCCTAGTGGCTAATAGGCATGGAAAAATATGCTCGCCCACCCCAGCTGGGGCTGGGGAGTGCCCATTCATATGGCCACGGGACACCCCTGGACAGGGTGCAGCAGTGACAAGAGGGACGTGGGCTGGGGTAGCATAGGCTGTGCTGCTGGGAGGAGAGGAGCTCAGCCAGCCTTGGGGGACAGGAAGGTAAGCCCTGATGAGGCTGAATAAGTAATACTGGAGAGTTTAGCACCAGGCACCCTCCCCAGGGCAGCACCTCCATGAGAGGGGAAGATAGGAACAGGTTTCAGGAGCACTGTTTACAGTAGTGAAAGATCGCCATGCCCACCGGGGGGAATTGGATAAATAAATTATGGTGTATTCCTATGCACACATTCTAACAGCAATGAAAATAGACGAACTAAATTTACATGACTCCACTCCAAGACCGCTTAGAGCAACAATGGTGAGTGAAGAAAGCATGTTTCCGTGTTATAAATTCAATGTGACTTGGTGTAAATAGTAATAATAAAGCATCACGCTGCACTCTTTAGATGCACGGCCAGATTAAAATATTCTTCTCAGGACGGGAGGAATGCATGCTAACTTCAGGAGAGGACTTTGCTTGCTGGGAAAGGAGTGGGACAAGGGAGGGGTACAGGGCAAACCTCAACTGTCGCTGTATTATTTTATTTCTTTAAAACTCTCCGAGGCACCTGTGGAAATGTGAAGAGCAGCTGCCCGGGAATCCTGCGTGGAATGAGCAGAAGTGGTGAAGGGTCCTCTTTCCCTGACTGTCGCTTAGAAAGACCCTCTGCTTTCATGCAGGTCACTTTCTGGAAGTACTGCATGGAGTGAGTGAATGCTTGGTGGAAGGGCAGCTGTGTAGTTTACCTGTGCCTGCTGAAATCCAAATGCATCATCCGGGACCAAGTGAATTCAATAAAGGAGGAGACTCCTACTCAAGCAGGCAACTAGACTTTGAGGACAGAAATAGGAATCTGGGCCTAATGAAGAGAGCTATGTTAGCTTTGCTCTACAATGCAATTTACGTTTACTTCTTTTTAAGATAATGTGAATTCATTGCCTGGTTGACATTTATCTTATTTCTCATATTTGGGCATGAGTGTGATTTCACCCCCATTGTCCACAGCATGCTGAGCAGCACTCAGAGCAGCAGTGTGGCAAGAGTCAGACTGAACTTCTTGTCCGCAGTCTGACCTCCGGCAAGCCTGTTCATCATTCTCGGCCTCAGTTTCCCTGATGGTAAAATGATGGGTGTCACTAGATAATCTCTAATGTGTGGCCCAGTTCTAACATTCAAAGGTAAAATGAACTGCGTGCAAGAAGCACCCAGATGTCTAGGAAGTAGTCCCTGCCTTTGTTTTGCCACAGAATAGGCATAAGATAGAACCGAGTAGAGACAGAGAAGCTGCACTAAAATCCTTTCATCTCAACAGTTTGCACCTCCTGAATTTCTAGTTGTTTTCTTTAAGAAAATTTGCTGTCAAATACCAACATTGCTCATTTGTTGATTTTCCACTATACTTGGCTTCAACAATAAGCTCTGCTTTGTATCAAAAGCCCAGAGACGTGAAGTGCATTTGTTCTTGGAAAATTGGGAGGTGGATCTATTTATCTACTGATTATAAAAGTTATAGATTCTAACAGAAAATTTAGAAAATACAGAAAAATTTAAAGAAGAGGCCAGTGCTGTGGCTCACACCTGTAATTCCTGCACTTTGGGAGGACGAGGCAGGCAGATCACCTGAGATCAGGAGTTCGAGACCAGTCTGGCCAACATGGTGAAACCCTGCCCCTACTAAAAATACAAAATTAGCCAGACACGATGGTGTGCACCTGTAATCCCAGCTACTCGGAAGTCTGAGGCAGGAGAATCACTTGAACCCGGGAGGAGAAGTTTGCAGTGAGCCGATATTGTGCCATTGCACTCCAGCCTTGGCAAAAAGAGCAAAACTCCATCTCAAAATCAAAAAAAGAGAAGAAATCAAAATCACCCAGAGGACAGCATCATTAATATTTTATGTACTTTCTTCCAAACTTTTCAATGGGATATATAAATTCAAATATAGAAATCTTAAAATTGCAGAAAAGTGCAAATATAACAAGCACTTGTATATTCACCACATAGAACTAACAACTGTTAATATAGATTACATCTCTTGCAAGTCTTTTTTGCTTTCTAAGGAATTAAAACATAGTATAGAGTTGAGGCCCCCTTGACGCCCGCCACCCCTGCCCCAGGCCCGTTGCAACAACCAGTCATTCAATGTGTATCTTCTCAGTCTATTTCAGCCTATTCAGTCTATATGTGTGTAACCATGAGTGATTTGGAATACTGTTTTTTATGTTTCTAAGAATGCATATAAATGATATTATACTAAAAGTTTTATTCAGCACACCTTTGATTAAACATTCTTTTTTTGAGAAATATTAATGTTGATTCATAAATATCTATTTTTTTTTTTTTGAGACAGAGTTTCACTCTTGTTGCCCAGGCTGGAGTGTAGTGGCAAGATCTTGGCTCACTGCAACCTCTGCCTCCCGGGTTCAAGCGATTCTCCTGTCTCAGCCTCCTGAGTAGCTGGGATTACAGGGGTCTGCCACTACGCCCAGCTAATTTTTGGTAATTTTAGTAGAGATGGGGTTTCACCATGTTGGCCAGGCTGGCCTTGAACTCCTGATCTCAGGTGATCTGCCCGCCTCAGCCTCCCAAAGTGCTGGGATTACAGGCGTGAGCCACCGCACCTGGCCAGATCTAGTTTTTATTAACACGCTGGATAGTCTTTAATTGACTGAAAATATTCCATGTTTTACTCATCCATTCCGTGAGTACTGGACATTTGAGTTTATTCCAATATTTTGCTGTCATAATGGTGCACATGAGGACTCTTCATGCATATGTCTCTAGTGTAACCTTGAACCTCTCCCCAGAGGGGTGGAATCATTGAGTCATACGGGAGTCACATCTTCAGTTAGTATGGATATTTTGAGTTACTGGACTGGTCTCTCTCTCTCTTTCTCTGCCTCTTTCTGTATATGTGTATGTATTGTATATGTTTTTAAATTATACTTTTTCAAGAACTATTTCAAAATGAGGATTCCCCTGTATCACTGGTGGTTTTAAAAACATCGTTGCTGCATATGGAATATCATTCCATTATATGGATGCAGGAAACCACTAACTGCACGGTCCAGCATTGCTCAGGAGCATCACTGAGCTGTCCAATACCATGGACCCCACGAACACCTTTACATTCCAGGGAATCCGTGGCATCCGGGGGATTCAGGCTGACCAGCTTTGCCTCTTACAAACTGGGTGAACTTAGCAAGTTCCCTAACTTCTAGGAGCCTCAGAATTCCCACCTGGACCAGGGGACCATAATAATATAGTCAGCTCCTAGGGTTGGGAGGATTACTAAATGCAGGCGTATCAACAGCCATCAACATTGTTGACTGTAATTAGGGTTATGACTGACCGAGAACTGTTGAGAATTAGGTTTGCGCTTCCGGACTAGTTTTCACCTGAAAGCCTTGGAGCTACAGGCATTTTGTTCAGGGATGTACACAGAGTCTAGTCCAAAGCGTTTAAACTACAAAGTGCACTGTCATCTCCTGGAGGGTCTCATCGAAATAGAGATTGGGATCAGAAGGTCTGGGTGGGGCCCAAAGTCCTGCATTTTGAGATCCTCTACCTCCAGGCACGGCTCACCTGACACTGCTGGTCTGAGTATCAAGGCTTTGTAGCATCTTCCCCGGGGCCCTGTCTCTTCCCATAGGCAGCACATGTATGGGGAGTCAATTTGTTTTTGCAATTAAGGATAAGTGGGAAAAAGACCTCCTAGCTTAATAAGGTATGTTGTCTTGCCCTGAGATACTAATAAATATTTTCCCTTACTCTGGACCCAGCATTATGGTCTGAATATTTATGTCCTCCCCAAATTGCTATGTTGAAACCCAACCCCCAGTGTGATGGTGTTAAGAGGTGGGGCCTTTGGAAGTTGAGTGAGTCTTGAGGTAAAGGGCTTTACAAGAGACCCCAGAGACCTTGCTGCTTCTGTCTCTGTACCATGTGAGGACACAGTGAGAAGCTGAAAGTCTGCAGCTCTGAAGAGGGCTCTTCCCAGAACCCAGCCATGCTGGCACCCAGCCTCTTCAGCTGTGAGAAATAAATGTCTATTGTTTATGAGCCACCCCACGCATGGCATTTTGTTGTAGCAGGCCAGGCTGAGTGAGACACCCAGAAAACAGTTTCATATTATCTAATAACCTGAAGGCTTTTTGACCACTTATTAAAAACAAAGGAATAAATCTCGGCCGGGCGCGGTGGCTCACGCCTGTAATCCCAGCACTTTGGGAGGCCGAGGCGGGTGGATCATGAGGTCAGGAGATCGAGACCATCCTGGCTAACAAGGTGAAACCCCGTCTCTACTAAAAATACAAAAAAATTAGCCGGGCGCGGTGGCGGGCGCCTGTAGTCCCAGCTACTCGGGAGGCTGAGGCAGGAGAATAGCGTGAACCCGGGAAGCGGAGCTTGCAGTGAGCCGAGATTGCGCCACTGCAGTCCGCAGTCCGGCCTGGGCGACAGAGCGAGACTCCGTATCAAAAAAAAAAAAAAAAAAAAAAAAAAAAAAATCTCACTTAGGAATCTTGGATAACGGATGAAGATTGTGCTAACTGGACGTGGCAACATCCATATAAAAAGCAAGACAGTCAGTCAGCTAGAGAATCAACCTCTTGTCTGTGCATGCTGGAGGCGGGGAAGGGCAAAGTGAGTTTGCTTCCTTCCTCCCTCCCTCCTCTCCACTCTAGGGAGACTCCAGGGCAGAACAACCCTCCTTAAATTGCTGTGTGGCTTCCAGTTGCTGGAGGCAGTGAGGTGTAAAGTGAGTCCCTCCATCCCCTCTCCATCACCTCATGTTCCACTCTCACCCAAAGATCCAGGTGGCTGGAAGACCCTGGGCAGAGCCCTGGCCCCGCCCTAGTGGCTGTCCTCCCACCTGCCCTGTTCCTGCTGGACTCTGTCCCTGAGCTGTTTCTCCTGGTTGTCAACAGTGCACAGACAGAGCAGAGGACAGGGCTGCGTGGGGATGGGCATGGCCCCTATGCCACCTGCAGGTTCCCTTCCTCTGAGGCTCCCCACCCACGGGTGGTCTTCCCTCCTCCTGATCCACTAAGCCTTTGCCTGATCACCTCCTAACACTGCCAGCAGCTCCCAAGCTGTAGACCCGCAATTCTCCCAAAGTTGGCTGTGGTACTGCTGGACTCCTTAGCCCTAGGAATCCATCCCTCGCTGCCCATGGCTGTCCCTTCACCACCCCCACCACACTCTCTAGAGCTCCACAGTTCTTCCAGCCTGCTGGCCGCCCAACCTCTGCCTTCTGAGCCGCCCCCAACACCTGGACCCCAGCCGAATATGGTTTCTTATTCAAGAAGTTCCTATTCTTGTCCTATGCCCATATGGCCCTCAATAAACATTTGCTGGGGGAGTGAGTCAGATGAGCACTAATGACTCTCAAATCTGTATTGTTACATCTGACCTCTTCTCATTGGCTCTGTGAAATTTAATAATTCAAAGTTAAAGCTGTTGGACTTTAAATTGTTCTGAGCCTTGAGAGGAATGTGGCTATGCAGCCTGAGTCACGTGGTTGCACCTTGTGCCTTTTTTCCCCTGTAAATAATAAAGACCAAGTGGTGCCAGAGATAAAACGCCCTCAGATCACTGCCCCTCCTCATGGAGTAATAAAACATTCTTCCTTGGCATGCAGCAATCTGTAACCAGTCAATCCCCGCACCCTATATGCTTGTCTTTATGGAAAATGTTGTTCCTGCTAAGACTTCCCTGTCTCTGTCTAGGTGAGTGAAACCTTAACTTCACTTTGGGATGCTGACCTCATTCGTTCGAAGTTGGGGTCTCCCGGGTGGCCATCCTCAAGCTTTGTGTTCAAATAAACTATAGTTAATCATATTTTCTGAACCTCATTATTTGAGGTTGACAGCTTATGTGCTAGTTGGCATCACTGGGATGTGCCATGAGCAAGCCAGACCCAATGCGTCCAAAAATGATGCCATTGTCTTCTTCCTTAATCGGTATGAGTCCAGGGCCCCCATCGCCCAGCTGCCCAACCTGCAAATCTGGAATTATAATTGCCTCCCTCTTGATTGAATGAGGATTGCCCCCCTTCAATCACATTCCATGTCCTGCCAATTTATTTCCACTCAGTTCCTTTCCCTAGGACTCAGCAATGGGGTCCAGGAAAGAATAGTCTGGTGGATGCTGGTTCCCAGGTGCCTGGTCCATGGGGCCAAGACCAGGGCAGGAGTTTCTCTGTTTCAGCCACAGGGCCTCAAGGAAGAGCCGGCACCAGATGCGCATCCTGCTTCCAAGCCTCTGTTTGTGCTGCCGTATAGGGAGAGGGTGAGTGGATTCCACCTCCATCCGGGTGTCCCGGCTGCCTCACTGCCAGCAATAATTTGGCAAGAAAAACTTCCAAGCTTGCTCTTTAATCTATATTGGAAGCATAATCTATGCTAGACACTTGTGCAAAGTGAGAAACAATAATTCTACCAATTGATATAAAATATTGATCACAAAAGCTGTCTGTAAAATATGACACAAAAGAACCTACCATACTCAAATAATAAGATATCAGAAGTGATTACCACAAATAACATGGTCTTAGGGAAGAGCAGCCTTCTCACTCATCTTTTATGCTGTTAGTGAAGAATGTCTGATGCCTAAGGCAGACAAACACATAACTCACTCTCTCAAAATTTCAACCCGATATCGGGAGAGGATGAGAGAGGAAATCCCAGACTCCAGCCCTGGACCATTATCATAAGAAACTTTGGAAATATGAAAAACAATATTTTATCTCTGACTGAGTTGGTAAGAACAATTCCCAAATTTAATGAAGATCAAATAAAGCCACTAGTAGCACCATTACTCAAGTCCAGGAAAGTGGACAACAGGGTTTGGGGAAGCACTTCAGAGTGCCTGCCGAATAACGCCATTGGAGACAGCCCATCTTCACACCCATACTGTGAATAAAGTAAGGTAGATCACATGACCTGGCAAAGGCAACTTCTTTTTTTTTTTTTTTTTTTGAGACAGGATCTCACTCTGTCACCCAGGCTAGAGTACAGTGGCACGATCTCAGCTCACTGCAACCTCCGCCTCCTGAGTTCAAGCGATTCTCCTGCCTCAGCCTCAGCCCCTGCCTCAGCAGGGATTACAAGTGCCCGTCACCACGCTTGCCTGATTTTTGTATTTTTGGTAGAGACATGGTTTTGCCATATTGACCAGGCTGGTCTTGAACTCCTGACCTCAGGTGATCCACCCACCTTGGCCTCCCAAAGTGCTGGGATTATAGGTGTGAATACCAGGTCAGCTGTAAGCCCCATTGGCCTGACAGGACCAGGGGAGCACTGCCTTAGACCACATACCCCTAACACAAGCCATAATGCAAGCCTTGGTGCCAATTCCAACTGCTCCAGGCATAGTGCTGTAGTGGGGCATGGCTGCCAGGCTGGGGCAGCAAGCAGACATGGGGTATATGACAGTGGCCTCTGGACAGCATTACAGGCCACTGTGCTGCTTTCTTTGGGCAGGTCTCCACTTTTACGGCCACATCTCCCTTGGCATGGGATTGGGAATGCTGTTTACTTTGGAACCAGACTACCTGGCTCCACCACACACTCCCGTCCCCTCTGCTTCATCCTCATCCTTGTAATTGACCCCAGAGAGCAACACTCGCACAGAGGACTTACATAGAGTTAGAGCTGGCTCCTGCTTGTCCTCCAGGACTTGGTTTGAAGCCACCTCCTCTGGGCTGCCTTGTGGCCCACCTTGGCCAGGTGAGGCCCTTTGGCTGCCTGAGCAGCATACACCTGCTCTCTGAAATGTGCCTGGCAACCATGTGGGCACCTGTCAACCCATTTGTCTCACTCCCACCATAGGCTCTGTGAGGCCGGTGACCTGCCTCTAGCCACAGAGCTGTGGACAGGGCCTTCAATAGCAGTCCCTTGCTTCCTCTTCCTGTGTGTCACTACAGCAAGTGGGTTCCATGGGAATGGGCTGGGTGCTCACCTTGTGCCTGTCACAGGAACACTGACTGGCAGGCCAGGCTGGGCCAGCTCCCCGGAGCCTTACCGGGCCTAGGCCAGTCTCTTGGCCTCTGAATACAGAGGACTTTAGGACAGACTGCTGGCCAATGACACTGAAAGTCAAGTCTCCAGGACCTTGGGTAGGTGACAAAATAAGGAAAGAATAAGGAAAGGAGGGAGTTCAATTGGTGTCCCTGGCCTCTGGGGATGACCTGGGTGGAAGAGGCCCATCCAGGAGGAGGATGCAGAGGTGTTTGAGCTGCAGCTGTGCAGAGGCTGCCTGGAGCAGGCAGAGCTCACAGGTGCACATTCCCTTGTGAGCCCAGGTAGGGCTTCAGGGCTGGCCTGCAGCCTTGCAGATGAGCTGTGCAAGGTTACTGCAGAGGGGCACCACCTCCCTTCTGTTCCCGTGACTTATTTGACTGTCTTTATGACAGTGCCACTCTGTCATATAATTACTGGAGCTTTGTAGCCAGTCTTAAAATCAGGAGTGTTAGTTCTCTTTGTCCTTTTTTTTCGAAGTTGTTGTAGATATTCTAAGTCTTTTGCATTTACATATACATTTTATGATCATTTTGTTATGATGTACAAAAAAATCTGCTTGAGTGGGATTATGTTGAATCTGTAGATGAATTTGGGGAGAACTGACATCCTAATCCTATTGAGTCTTCTCACCCAAGAACATGATATAAGCCTCCTTTAATTTCTCTCAACAGTGTTTTGTAGTTTCCAAATCTTTCATCAGGTTTATTCCATAATTTCATATTTTCTGATGCTACTTTCATGGTATTTAAAGGATTTTAACGTATGATTTTTATTGCTAGTATACAGAAATACAATAGGTTTTTTTTTTTTTTTTTTTTTTTTTTTTGTATAGGACTCTGTAACCTGCAAGCTTGCTACCCTCACCTATCAGTTTGAGGCATTTTAAGACAATTTCCACTGAATTTTCTACATAGATGATCATGGCACCTGCGAATAGAGAATTTTAATTCTTCCTTTCCAACCTGAATGCTCGCTCTTTCTTTCTTTCTTTCTTTCTTTCTTTCTTTCTTTCTTTCTTTCTTTCTTTCTTTTCTTTTCTTTTTTTTTGCCTTATTGTATTGTGCTGATGAGATCTTTCAGTGCAATGTTGAATAGAATAGAAGTGGTGAGCAGACATCTCGCTCCTGGTCTTAGGGGAATATCTGGGAATATCTTCAGTCTGTCACTATTCAGTATGATGTTTCTGTAGGTTTTTGTTTTTTTTTTTGACATCCTTTATCAGGTTGAAGAAGCCCCCTTCTTTTTACACTTTGTTAAGTGCTTTTGTGAAGAATGGGTGCTGGATTGTCTCAAATGTTTTTTCTCTATCGATTGAGATGAAAATATAGTTTTTCTGTTTTAGTTTGTTAATATGGAGATTACATTTGTTGATTTGGGAATGCTAAATGAATCTTGCATTCCTCAGATAAATTTGGCCATGATGTACTGATCTTTTTATACATTGCTGGATTTGATTTACTATCATTTTGTTAAGAATTTTTATGTCTATGTTCACAAGGGATATTGATCTGTAGTTTTATATTTTTTGTAATGCCTTTTCCTGGCTTTGGAATCAGGTAATGATGGCTTTTATAATCAGTTAAGAAGTATTCCTTCCTCTTTTGTTTTCTGGAATAACTTTTTGGTAGAACTTGTATTATTTCTTCCTTAAATGTTTGGTGGAATTAGTTAATTTTTCTGGGCCAGGAGTTTTCTCTGTGGAAAACATTTTACTATAATTTTGTTTTCTTAATAGATACAGAGATAGATAGGTTATCTATTTCTTTTTGTGTGAGTTTTGCTAGTTTGTTACTTTCAATAAATTTACCCATCTTATTTAAATTTTCAAATGTATTGGCATAAATTTGTTTATAATTATATCACTTTCCTAGGGTTTCTGTAGCAAATTACCATAAACTGAGTGGCTTAAAACAACAGAAATCTCACGTTTGTGGAGGTTAGAAGTCCAAAATGAAGGTATGGGCAGGGTTGGTTCCTTCCAGAGGCTCTGGGTGGAACTTGTTCCACACCTCTCTCCTGGTTTCTGGTGGTTTATGGAAATCCTTAGCCTTCTGTGGCTCTTAGGTACTTTAGTCTCTGCTTCCACCTTCATGTGACATTTTCCCTGTGTGTCTCTCCGTGTCCAAATCTTCCTGTCTTATAAGGACACCAATCATTGGATTTAGGATTCATTCCAATCCAGCATAACCTCATATTAACTTGATTACGTCTGCAAATATCCTATTTACAAGGAATGTCATACTCACAGGTTCCAGATACACACAATTTTTTTGGAATTTTATTTAACACAGTACAATAATATTCCTTTATTATCCTTTTGTGAGTAATGTCCCTTCTCCCATTCATGATTTTGGTAATTTGTGACTTTCTCTCTTCCCTTATGTGTTTGATAATATTATTAATCTTTCCAAGGAACTGAATTTTGGTTTTGTTGATTTATATATATATATATTTTTTTCAGTTTTCTGTATTTCTATTATTTCCTTTTTTCTACTTACTTTGGGTTTAATTTTCTTTTGTGTTCTAATTTCTCAAGGTGATATCATTGATTTAAGACTTTTCTTACTTTCTGGTATGGGTGTTTATAAAGTGCTGCAGATTTTCTGTCAGTACTTCTTAAGTGGCATTGCATAAATTTTGATATAATGTTTTTATTTTCATCAGTTCAAAATAATTTCTAATTTAACTTTTGACTTATTCTTTGTTTTATGTTATTTAGAAGTGTGTTGCTTAGTTTTCAGATATTTGAAACCATTTCAAATGTCTTTCTGCTTTTGATTTCTAATATAATTTATTTGTGGTCAGAGAACAGACTGTATTCCTTGAAACTTCTTAAACTGATACAGATGTGTATGTGTTTTCTGGTCCAGAACATGGTTTATCTAAGTAAATGTTCTGAGTATGCTTCAGAAGAATGTGTACAGGAAATGTTCAGAGTGTGCTTGGGAAGAACGTGTACAGGAAATGATCTGAGCGTGTTTGAGAAGAACGTGTGCAATGAGTGTTCAGAGTGTGCTTGAGAGGAACGTATCCGGGAAATGTTGGGAGTGTGCGTGAGAAGAATGTGTACAGGTAATGTTCGGAGTGTGGTTGAGAAGAGTATGTATACGAAATGTTTGGAGTGTGCTTGAGCGAAATGTTGTGTATTCTGCTTTTCTTGCATGGAGCATCCTGTTAGTAGCTTTTGGGTCAGCTTGGTTGACAGTGTGGTTCAAATCATCAATATTTTTACTAATTTTCTTTCTGCTTAATTGATCAGTTATTGAGAAATGAGTATTGTAATGTCTAACTATAACTGTAGGTTTATCTATTGCTCCTTGCAGTTCTATCAGTTTTTTATTCATGTAACTTTGGAACTCTGCTATGAAGGCAAAAATGGGTATGACTTTTATGTTTTTGTGATGAGATTACCACTGTATTATTATAAGATAAACTTTCTAGCCCATAGTAATATAGATATTTTTGCCCTGAGACCTACTTTATCTGATACTAATATCGTCACTCCAGATTTCTTTTTCTTAGTGTCTTTAGCATGGCATATCTTTTTCCTGTCCTTTTAACTTATTTGTGTCTTTACTTAAAGCATATTTCTTATAGGCAGCATATTGTGAGGTATTGATTTTTTATTCAGTCTGACAATATCTGCCATTTAATTGGAGGTATTTAGGCCATTTATATATAATGTAATTATTGACATTGTTAAGTTTAAATCTATTATCTTGCTATTTGTTTTATGTTGGTGCCACCCATTCTTGGTCTCTTTTACCTCTTTCTCTGCTTTCTTTGGGATATATTAAATATTCTAAAAAGTAACTTTGTTATCTACTATTTTGGCTTTGTTTTGTTATTTTTGTCGTTGCTTTAAGTTTTATAGTATACAGTCATACATCACTTAGCAACAGAGATATGTTCTGAGAAATGCATCATTAGGCGATTTTATCATTGTGTGAACATCATAGAGTGTACTTACACAAACATAGGTGAGATAGTCTACCACACACCTGCCCCTATGCTATATGGTATAGCCTATTGCTCACAGGCCACAAACCTGTACAGCAGGTTGCTATACTGAATACCGTAGGCAATTGTAATACAACGGTGAGTATTTATCTAAACAGGTTTAAACATAGATAAGGTACAGTTAAAATACTGTAAAGATAAAAAATGATACATCTGTATAGGGCACTGACCATGGATGGAGCTTGCAGAACTAGAAGTTGTGCTGGGTGAGTCAGTGAGTGAGTGCTAAATGAGTCAGTGAGTGAGTGCTGAGTGAACATGAAGGCCTGGGACATTACTGTACACTACCGTAGGCTTTATAAACACTCTACACTTAGGCTACACTACATTTATAAAAATGTTTTTTCTTTTTTCAATAATAAACTAACTTTAGCTTACTGTAACTTATTTCCTTTATAAACTTTTAAATTTTAATGTAAAAATTTTAAAGTTAATTTAACTCTTTTGTAATGTATAATGTGTTTACTTAAAACACAAACACATCATACAGCTGTATAAAAATATTTTTCTTTATATCCTTATTCTATAAGCTATTTTCTTTTTCTTTCTTTCTTTTCTTTTTTTTTTTACTTTTGAAACTGTTTTGTTAAAAACGAAGACACACACACACACATTGGCCTAGACCTACGCAGGCTAGGCTTTGGGATTGTTAAGATGTCACTAGGTGATAGGAATTTCCCAGCTCCATTATAATCTTGTGAGACCCCCATCATATATATGGTCTCTCATTGACCAGAACATCCTCATGCTGTGCATGACTGTACACTTTTGACTTATGGTCTGTATTTGCACAAGCCTGAGAGTCTGTGCCGCCTAAAATTTTCTGCCCTTGTGCTTCTCATGCCTCATCCTAGTTCTGGCTCTGGTTTATATGTCCTTACCTGTTAATTCTAACATCTGCATCAGCTTTGGGTCAGTTTTGAGTGACTGGTTGAAGTATTCATTGTCACTTCTATTTTCTTGTTTCCTTGTGCACCTGCTGATTTTTAATTGATGCTAGATATTGTGAGTTTTACATTGTTAGGTGCTGGATATTTTTGTACTCCTACACATAGTCTTGAGCTTTGTTTGGGGACACAATTAAGTACTTGGAAACAGTTTGATCCTTTTGGGCCTTGCCTTTGAGATTTGTTAGGAGCATTGCTCTTTTTTTTTTTTTTTTTTTTTTTTTTGACGGAGCCTCCCTCTTTCACCCAGGCCGGACTGCAGTGGCGCTATCTCGGCTCACTGCAAGCTCCGCCTCCCGGGTTCACGCCATTCTCCTGCCTCAGCCTCCTGAGTAGATGGGACTACGGGTGCCCGCCACCGTGCCCTGCTAATTTTTTGTATTTTTTTTTTTTAGTAGAGACGGGGTTTCACCGTGTTAGCCAGGGTGGTCTCGATCTCCTGACCTCATGATCTGCCCGCCTGGGCTTCCCAAAGTGCCGGGATTACAGGCATGAGCCGCCGCGCCTGGCACGTTGCTTATTTTAAGCCTAGTGTTTCCCATTGCTAAGGCCCCACGAGTCTTGTGGTTTTCAGTATGGTTGGTGGGCCCAGGCACTATTCCCAGCCTTGTTACCTTGTTGATGGGAACTGTTACCTCTGATTCTTCAGAGTGGTACTTTCCCTGGCCTCTAGTATTTTCCTCTGAAGCGTGCACTGATCAGTTCTCAGCTGAAGACTTGCAGCAGGTCCTCTTTGAGGAGTTTTCTTCCTAAGCAGCTCTCTCCCTCTCAGCACTCTGTTCTGTGGACTCTGGAGGCCTTAGATGTCTTGGGCTCTCAGCTCCATCTCTGCAACAGGGAGTCTGCCAGGCTCCTCCTGAATTTACTGTCCCTGGGTTTTGGCCTGGAAACCCTCAGGACAACAAACGGGGGCAATTTGAGGGCTCACGTCATTTCCCCCATCTTTCAGGGATCATGATCCTTTGTTACTGTCTTAGTCTCTTTCTGTTGCTTTAAAGGGATACCTGAGGCTGGTATTTATAATGAAAAGAGGTTTACTTGTCTCACAGTTCTGCAGGCTGTATAAGAAGCATGAAGCCAGCATCTGCTTCTGGTGAGGACCTCAAGCTGTTTCCACTCATGGTGGAGCAGGTGTCACATGGAGAGAAAAGAAGGAAGAGAAAGAGGTGGGGAAGGAGGTGCCAGGCTCTTTTTAGCAACCAGCTCTCTTGGAAACTAATAGAATGAGAACTTGCTCATTGCTGCTGGGGCAGCACCAAGCCGTTTATGAGGGATCAGCTTCCACAACCCACACGTCTCCCACTCAGCCCCACCTCCAACACTGGGCATCACACTTTAACGTGAGATTTGGAGGGGACAAATGTCCAGACTATACTAGTTGCCTTAACTATGGTGTCTTCCAAGTCTTTGTTTCATTTATTTGGTCAGCTTTATTTATTTATTTATTTATTTATTTATTTATTTGCGATGGAGTTTCACTCTTGTCGCCCAGGCTGGAGTGCAATGGCGCGATCTCGGCTCACTGCAACCCCCGCCTCCCAGGTTGGAGAGATTCTCCTGCCTCAGCCTCCCGAATGGCTGGGATTACAGGTGCCTGCCACCATGCCTGGCTAATTTTTGTATTTTTAGTAGAGATGGCGTTTCACCATGTTGGCCAGACTAATCTCAAACTCCTGACCTTGTGATCCACCCACCTCAGCCTCCCAAAGTGCGGGGATTACAGGCGTGAGCCACTGCACCCAGCACAGTTTTAATTGTTGTTTTGTTTTGGGAGAAAGGGTAAAACAGTCCTTATTATCTAATCTTGGCATTAACAGAGGTCCCTGTTCTGCCCATTTTAAAGCCTGGTTTTAAGCATACACACAACTTATGGGACCTTCCTGAGAAATTCAAACTCTCATTCTCTTCAGTTTGTCTCAGCAGAAATATACTTTCATCTTCAAAAGCCCTTTAAACTCTTAATTTGTTCCTTGGAAGTCAGAGCATCATTCTTCCATTGAGATTTCAAATTTTCTTTTACCTTTAGTGCAATTAATTTGTCAATGAGTCATTACAAATTTCAACTAGTGGTTTCACCACACACCAATAAAAAGTATCACTTTGGTAAATGTTATACTTACAAACCGTAAGTACATTTAACTACTCACTTCTGGCACACACACACACACAATGCATCATATTTATATCTGTTGAAGAAGCGAATGAAAAGTACATTGAATTTTGAATAAGACAGAAGTGGCTTTCTTGAATCCAGCCCTGTAAATCAAGCTTCTCTTTCCTCTCAGTCCCTACTTTGTAACCATTAAGTGAGATATGTGAAGTGTAGGAACATTTAGCAGGTGTTGACAGCCCTCCTCTCCCTTCTGCCTAGGTGGAGACTAAAGTGACTCTGTCTCAGGAGCTAAGCTGCCATGTTGACTTCTGATTAACTCTAATTCTGAGAATGCCTCTAAGATTTCCAGTTTGCCTATCATTCCTTGTAATAGCGCATGTGTACTTACTGTAAACGCTGCCCTTAGGCCAAAGCAACCTTGATGTTATTATGGAAATTACTGGCTATGATGTACATAGCATTCTTGTCTTTTCCTGGAAGGTCAACCTAATAGAGCCCGTAAGCCCTTTTCCTATGGTACAGAAATCCTTGGCCTGGGGTGGGTGACAGCACGGGGATCTAACTGTTTTGCGGCTGCCCAAGACCACGCTTCTGTCCATAAGTTCCCCAATAAATCATCCTCTACCGGCAAACTGGATTCGTTTGTCCGTACTTTGGTTTTCGCGCTCCTTCTGCATTTGAGGGTGAATTTGCATAGAGGACCCTTTCTCGAAACATTCCCCATCCTTACTGGAAGCTACTCCTTTCTCTTATTTTATGTAATTTCTTTTCACTGAAATAAGTAAGCCACAAACAATGGGAAATCTGTTTTTTCCCCCTGAAATACACTGAAATCCCTTGGTGGATGCGCATTGGGTAGATAGATGAACAACATCTTGTAGTCAGTATTTGGGGCAGCATTTCACCATGTGGAGTTGTTTTGCTTCAGGGAACACACTTCCCCCAGTGGTGGATCTGCCTCCTCAGCGCATTACAGAGTCACAGCTACTCAAGATCTTGAGGGAATCAGGGGATGGAGCAGCCCTAGCCCCCTGCTGGAGGGAGGGGTGAGTGGGCACAGCCTGGGGAGGGAAAGTGGCTTGACTGGGGTTCTGGGCTGGTGGGGTGAGGCTGGATTTCAGGCTTGTCTTTCCTAGTCCTTGACTCAGTACTTGCTCTTACACTGTGACGAGTTCTGCCCTTGCGGAGATGCTACGCACAACTGATGAGGAATTCTCAGAATCGTTTGGGGCCCATCTGGACTGTGACTCAAGCATACCCTTTGGAAAGCCTGGTGTTATGGACTGCATATGTGTCCCCCCAAAATGTGTAAGCCTTAATCCCCAATGCAAGGGTCTTTGCAGGTGGGGTCTTTGGGAGGTAATTAGGTCATGAGGGTGGAGTCCTCATGAATGAGATTAGCGTCCTCATGAGACGAGGCGTGAGTGAGATCATCTCTTTCTCTCCCTCTCCCTTTTGCTCCCTCTCACTACCATGTGGGGCCACAACAAGAAGTCAGCAGTCTAAAAGCTGAAAAGAGGACCCTCTCTAGGAACAGGATCTACCAGCATCTTGACGGTGGGCTTCCAGCCTCCAGAACTGTGCGAAATCAACCTCTGCTGTTTAAGCCTCCCAGGCTCTGGTGTTTCGTGAACTGACTAAGACCTAGTAAAAAGTTGGGGTGCGATGCAATGAGCAGAGTCCTTGCCTTGGCCAGCCTGGCTCCCACCAGGCCAGGCAGGCATCCACACTTCCACCCATTCATCCTTACAGAGGGACTGTTTATCTCAGTAGCCTCAGTGTTCTAGGCCCTGGGGATGCGGCAGTGACCAAAACAGACAAAACTCCCAGCCCTCAGGGAGATGAGCGCCATTAGAGGAAGACAGGACGGTAGGAAAACTCAATGTCCTCGTTGTGTTGGTAACAGAAGGTGGTGAGTGTAGTGGGGAAAAATGCAGCAGAGAAGTCTGGGAATGTAGTGGGGCCCCGGGCCCTCACTGACTTGGATCCTACCTCTCCCTGGCTCGGGCCTCCTTGGTTACCGCATGGTCTGTCCCTTATGCATGGGAGCCTTTTCTGGCATGTAATCCCTGCACAGGGATGTTCAAGATGGTGTTCTGGGAAAAGGGTGAGCAGACAGTGGCAATGACAGGAAGGGAAGAGTTTCTGGGGCTGTCTCATCAGTGCTGCTGGGCACAGACGGAGAGTTGGGAGGACAGGGGGTCAGTGCTGGGCTTCCTCACAGGAGAATGTCCTGGAGGGTGTCACTCACAGACTCCTCAGCCTTCAGGAAAGGTCCTCCTGCCTGGGCTCCTCTGCATGCATCAGATGGAAGGAATCCCTTTCTCTGGCAGGTGCAGGCTCAGAGGCACAAGCTGGGGCTTGGGCTCTGTGGCTGGCTGGTGGTGGTCCTGCATCGCGCCCCTGCCACGGGGCAGTGATGCTGAGTCCTCCCTGCTCCTCAGGGTTTCCTGGAAAGCTGCAACCTCGTTGCAACAAAGGCTGGATGCCAGTTTCACCCACCACTAACTTTGTCACCTCCATCCTCAATTATCTACCAACAGGAAATCCTGCCTTCCTCCCCTGTTGCTGGGGCCTGGCACGAGGTGGTCCATTCTCTGGCTCACTCATTCTGTAGGGGCTGAGCATCTCTGATGTGCCATCTCTGAGCAGGCAAGCTTCTGCACTGCATGTGCCAGGCATGCTGGAGCCTGTGGGCTGTGGCCTGCCATCCTCATTTGCACTGGAGAGATGAGTGGGAGGGGTAGGGGCTCTGGGAGGGCACCAAGGGGAGGTGGCTCAAGAGTCCCTGCAAATCAGATAGGCTTCAGATGGGAAAAGGAGGACAGAAGCCATTCTAGGCAGGGGCTGCCCCGTGAGTGCTTGAAGAGTGGAGGCACCACAGGGAGAGGTACAGAGACCTGTGGCCACAGCGGACGCTGGATGTGGCTGCAGAGATGCTGGTGGGCCAGGCCATGCAGGCTGATGGGAGGAGAGAAGAGAGTTCTTTCCAGGACAGCTGGGGATATCTCTTCATTATTCTTTTGCTCAAAATAGAATTATCTTTTGAAATCAGATTTGACAGGCAGCCTAGGCACTTTGCCTGCGCTGTCTGGAGGAACTGGCTTTCTCGCCTACAGATACTTTTTTCCCTTCCAAAGGAAGAAGGAGTAGCATTCTGCTGGTTTTAGAGAAAGTGGGAGTGAGGAGGGAGAAGTGCAAGCCATGGATTTAGAAGGGTGAGGCAGGGCAGAGTGCAGTGGAGGAGGCTGGAGTGAAAGCCAAGTGTGGCCTGAAGCCAGTGCAATTCCCCGTTAGAAACGCAGAACCCATATTGCTGGTGGGTGGGCTAGGGGCTCACTTCCATAACAGTGGGCACTGTGCTCACAGCACCCTGCCTCTGGGACCTCCCCCGGGCAGGTGAGCGGGACATGCAGGGTTGGTGGCCCCCTAGGAGTCTCTGGGATGCAGTCCCACAGAGTAGGGCCCTGGCTGACAAGACGGTCTGGCCCAAGCCCCTGATTCTCAGCAGGAACAGGCATCTGCTGCTGTGAACTCTGGGAGAAGAAAGAAAAGTGGGGTGAAAGGAGGAGATGTGGGGGTGGGGGGCCAGGGGGAGCAAGGGAATGAGGGGTACTCAGAGATAACAAGAGAGGGGCCAAGAAGCCAGAGAGCAGGGCCAGGACCTGGCTCGGCCACTGCCACCCTTTGTTTCCCCACCTGGAAGAGTGGGTTGTGCAGACCCTTTCTGCCTGGCTTGGGTAGTTGTCAGAGCTAGGGGCGGGCCCCGTGCTGCATGGCGCCCTCTGCAGCTCTCTGTCCCTCTGCCTTCCTTTAAGCCACCTGTCCCTGTCTGCTCTACCCCCTGGGCTGGGTCTCATTGCATCTGCTCTACCCCCAATTTTCCCTTGTACCTGTCTCAAGACCTGGCCCACAGTGCACACATAATACCTGTGCAGTGAATGGTTGAATGGATCAACAGGACTGAAAAATCTTTGGGGAAACCTTTAACAAAAGGCAGGAAGAGGATTCTTTTCAAACACGGAGAATTGAACATTGGCACGTCCTGTCTCCTGTCAAAATGTCATTTAAGTAACAGTACAGGAGTTAAAAAGGTATAAACTCAGAAGCACAAAGAGAGCAGGAAGGACACATATTAGACAAGAGAATATACCCAAAGGAATGTAAATCATTCTACCATAAAGACACACGGATGTATACGTTCATTGCAGCACTATTCACAATAGCAAAGACATGAAATCAACCTAAATGCCCATCAACTGCAGACTGGATAAAGAAAATGTAGTACATATACACCACGGAATACTACACAGCCGTAAGAAAGAGCAAGATCTTGTCCTTTGTGGAAACAATGAATTTAGAGGCCATTGTTCTGAGTGAACTAATGGAGGACCAGAACACCAAACACTGCATGTTCACATTTATAAGTCGGAGCTAAACATTGACATTGAGTAGATACAGACACAAAGAAGAGGCCAGTGGACAATGGGGCCTGCTTCTTGGGTGGAGAATGGGAGGAGGGTGAGAATTGAAAAACCACCTATTGAGTACTATGCTTATTACTTGGGTGATGAAATAACCTGCACAGCAACCCCCCACGACACACTATTTACCCATATAACCAACCCACGCATGTACCCCTGAACCTACAATATAAGTTAAAAAAAGTTCAGAAAATGTTGAAAACCTGAAAGTGGAAGATAAATAGTAAACGACTTTGCAAACCTGAGAAAGCTGAAAGCTAATAATCTATGAATTGATACAAAATCCAGAAAGACTCAAGAATTGAACATGCCAGGTCCCAGAGGAGAGGGATTGGGGCGGGCCTGGAAACTGGAGAAGTGGACAATAGCTTTCAAGGAAAATCCACTCAGATTCAAGCCCTGAAAATGAACCTGGCCTGACTGGCTCCGTAGCCTGTGTTTGTGCCTCTCCTACCCACAGGGACAGGCTGGGATTTCTGAGCCCTGTGCAGGCTCAGGAGGAAAGGCAGATTCTGGGGAAGAAGCCCCCAGCAACAGGAGCAATCCCAGCTGCAGAGCCAGGCTCCTGTCGTCAGGCCTGGCCCATGTCCTGCCAGTCAGCGCATGGCTGGAGGACCGCACAACTAGCTGTGACGGTGGCTGCCTTCTTTCCATTTCTACTCCAGCAAGCTGGCCCCAGGAACAGCTGCGTGGGAGGTAAATGGAAACTTTGAGGAGAAAGCCCAGTGGTCACCCAGGGCTGGCGATGCTCCTGCCTTTAAGGTGTCCTGGGCACCCGAGCAGCTGTGGGCTACGGCTTATACTTTCCCTAACTGCGGGTGGCTTTATTGGAATGTGAGACACAGGCCATTAACCTTTTACCCCAGTCATGCAGCTAATCACCAGAGCATTTCACCACCTCAGCCGTGGCTGCAAAACACTAAGCTGATTATGGGAAAGTGCAGAACACGAATGCTCTTGTGGAATTTTCAGTAGAGATAAGCATTTGCTGAGATTGAATGTGATGTGAACTCAGCGCCCTCTCCATCTTACTGTGACCTGAAGCCCAATGAGCCGGTCCCTGGGTGGACCCTGTCCCTGGGTGGACCCTGCCCCTCAGTGGCCCCTTCCAGGAAGGCCTTTGGTCTTCATGCACTCAGTCAGCTGTGGCTGGTACCTGTCCTCCTCAGGCATCATCTCAGGTAAGACAAGGTGTGGGACCTGGGGCTGGCAGAAACAAGAACCCCTGGTGCTGGAATGGCCGGCGGTGAAGGTTCTCCAGAGCTTATCCCACTGCGGCAGCTCAGAAAGATGAAGCAGCTCTCCCGTTGTGTCCTCCCAGCACACAAACCTGCTGTCAGTGACTCCAAGGCCCAGGAGGAGCTCCAAAAACCACACACTGGAGAAGATCTGTCATGGCCAAGTCCCACAGGGACTCCGGGCTGACAACCAGACCTGGCCCTGGGTTCTGACAGGGGCTTTTGGCATGCCCCATGGGACCCCCACAGAAGACCGTAGGACCTGACAGCAACTCCACATTTCCAGAAGGAAGAAAACAGGATCTTGGGTGTTGGTGGTGGGTCCCAGGAATCTCCTCTCAGTGAAGCCATTTCGTTCTTCCAGGGGCTGAGATCCAAACCCAGAGCCTTTTGGCCTTCCTCTTCCCTCACTCCCCATCAGCATACACAGCCAGGACTGGGCCTCTGCTCCCTCTGGCCTTCCCCACTCACCCCTGGGCCAACCGTCCGCTTCTCGCCTGGATGACTTTGGGGCCTCCCACCTGTCAGATTATACCTGTTACACCTGAGTCACATCAGTCCCACCTGTGCTCAAACTCCCCACGGCCCCCAGCCCTCCTTTTTTAGCCTTTTCCTGCTTGTTTTCCCCATTGCACTTGTTCGTAGCTGGCCTGGCTTGTATTTCCCGGTTCATTTGCATTTTGAGTCCACCCCACTGCAAGGTGAACATGTGAACAGCATTTTGTTTGCTTTGTCAACAGCTATATCCTCAGTGCCTACAGTGTCCCCAGCAGGGAGCTCTGCTGAGCATGTTGATGCAGCGACACAGCCAGAGCTCCAGGCAGAGACCCCATGGGTGGTGGTGTGCACTCGGCGGCACCTGTGAGGTCACCTATGATGGCAGCCATGCAGTCCAGACCGTGGGAGCTCCACGGCCCAGCCCCGCACACAGCCAGTAATGGCAGCCCTAGCTCCTTACCACCCACCATGCACCTTTTAGATTCAAGCATGGGCTCAGGTTCCTTGGCCTCAATGTTCTCATCTATTAAATGGGATGATGACACACCTTCCTCAGTAATAGTAATGCAGATGGACAGATCTCCAAATTGGATGGGACAGCGGGACCAGCACACCTCTGACCCCAAGTGTCACTGCCCTGTGGGGTTTCTCTTTTGGATCCTGCGTGTGCACTTCCCTGAGCCCTGGACCGCTTAGTGCTCTGGTTCACAAGTATCCCCGATGTCTCCATTCCTGAATTCGGCGGAGGCAGGGTGGGATGTGCAAAATCAGCTTCCTGCAGGCACTTCTCTGACCTCATATGACCTTCCCAGCACAGCTGTTGGGAAAGTAAGAGTGCAAAGGGCTGGCATCTCCGTCTTGTGCCCCGTGAGGCCGCTTGGTCTTTCCCACTTTCGACCTTCAGAGGACCAGGGAACAGCTGGTGTCAGGGGACTCCTCCCTCAGCCCTTGGCATGCTGAGGGGCTGGGATACAAGCCCGCACTGCCCTCCTGGGAGCTGGGCTGCCTTCTTTTCCCTACTGATGGTGAGGCAGAGCTGCAGCTGCTTTTCAGGAGACCACTCAGGGCATGTAGGCATCTGACCTTTCCTGCAGTGACTTCCTTCCCATCACTCAGCAGCACTTGCAGGCTGCCCTGTCTCGGAGAGGAGGAAATGAAGGTGGAGAGCTCTGAGGCCTGAGCCTCTGCTGACACAGCCTGGCAGGAAGAATCTGGAGGGTTTGCAGCATGGGTACTTGCCCGGGAAGGGCCCGGCAGGCTCCACCTCCTTGGTCACCTATGGGCAGGACCACTAGGGACCCTCCTTACGGTGCGGCACCACTGGGTGGTGGGACACCTTACACCCCGACAAAGTGAGTGTGACTGGGACGGCCTTCTCTAAGAGGGGCTGTCGCCTTTTCACCCATGTTGGAAGAGACCCCCTGCTCTGTTCTTGGGACAAATGCAGCCCTGTTCTCTGAGCTTGATGGCCTGGGTTTTGTGCAGGCTGCACTGGGATCATGCAGCTGTGACAAGAGGGACCTTTTAGCTCCCTGGTCCAGAGTCAGAGGGTCCTGACTGGAATGCCGCTGGACGGGGCAGCCACTGGGTGATGCAGGCAGACAGGCCCTTCCTGTGCCAGTGGTTAAATGTCCTTCTATGGTCAGCCCCGACCCATGGACTCTGCTCCTATAGCCTGCCCAGGAGCAGGCTTCTGAGGATTCAAAGCATCCCAGACGCATTTATTCTAGAAAGGGTGGAGAAGAGCTAAAGGGGCAGGTCTGGGGTAGGGTGGGCCCAGGCCAGGGAGCCCTGAGCAGCCCCAAGGAATCAGGAGGCAGGGAGGGCGTGGAACTGGGCTCCAGACCAGGCTTGTCAGGGCTCGGCTCCCAGGGCGCCTTCTCCAGCCTTGCAACCTGCTGCTATGGTGCTCCTGCTCCAGTTCCTTTGACAACCACTTATTGACCTCCCACTGGGCCCTAGGTGAGCCTAGTCATTGAGGGAGATGGAGCCGGGGTCGTGCTATGCAGGGGAGGCTGTGCTGGAAGATGCAGTGGCAGGTCTCAGCCCAGCCTCAGGGAGCTCCAGTGGAAGCAGGTCAAGGAGGCCTCCTGGAGACACTGACCCTGGCCAGCCCAGAGCGCCGGCAGCAGTGGTGCAGGCCCAGGAGAGGAGGCAGGGTGAGGCCCAGAAGTGCAACCTGTGTGTGTGTCAGCAATGTTGGGCAACAAGGTAGGGCGGCGTGGAGTTGGGAGATGAGACACGTCGCACAGGGGCCTGGGTAGTGTGTTAAAGAGCTTAAACTTTCTCTTGCAGATGGGGGGCAGAGAGGAACTTCAAGCTGGGGAGTGATATGGTCAGATTTGGATTTGACAACTGAAGGAGTGTGGATTGCAGGGAGGTTGGCTGGAGGCATGGAAACTGAGAAGGAGATGGGGCAGCCAGCTTAGCAAAGTGAACAGTGGCCCAGCAATGGGGAGGGAGTAACCAGGGGGGTGGAGAGCTACTTGGGAGGCACTCAGGGCTGGGGTGTTGTCCTTGATTATACATGGAGGACAGGCCAAAGGGAGTAGTCCTTTGCAGCAGCTGTGGGAATAGAGGACATTAGAAGCCACCTAGCTGAGCCATCCTGAAGGAGTCTTCCCTCGGTGGAGCCCAGGATAGCCACGTGGGGTGGCCAGAGGCTCTGGGGCCTGCCGGCTTAGAGCATCCTTGAGCTATAAGCCTGGAAGGCAAAGTGCTTAAATATTTATTGCAAACAGAAATTGATGTTGGAGAACTAAATTTTCAAAAAGGAAGTTGAAAGGAAAGGGAGGGTGGGAACTCTGAATCCCAATTTGTAGCATGCGGCCTCTGCATATTTCATTAACTCCTCAGAGTGTGGCAGCCCAGATGTTCAGGATGTGAGGAGGTTCTGCTATTCACACTCCAGTGCTCTGCCCCTGCAGCAGCTCATTATTCTGGGGTTGTGTGAGGAAGGTCAGATGAAAGGATGCTCGAAAAAGGAAGAGTGAATAAAATTGTGATGGACAGGGGAGGACTTGTGTCAAGGTGCTGAAGGAATAATAAGAATGAGAAGCGAGTTTAGAATTGAAATGAAAACCAGGAAAAGGCAGCAGGGTGTTTAGAAAGAGCACTGACTTTGAATTAAGCCAGACCTCATCCATTTACCAGCTCTGAGAACTTGAGGAAATTTCTTGATATCTCTGGATTTTACAAGGTACACCATCATCACCATCAACACTACCACCACTATCATTATCACCACCTTTATAATCACTATCATTACCATCATCCCATCATCATCACCATCATCACATCACCATCACCATCACTGTCATTATTACCATCTCCATAATCATTATCATCACCACCATTGCTATCATCACCATCACCATCACTGTCATTATCATCATCTCCATTATCATTATCATCACGACCATCACTATCACCACCATCACCATCACTGTCATTATCACCATCTCCATAATTGTTATCACCACCATCACTATCATCACCATCACCATCACTGTCATTATCACCATCTCCATAATCATTATCATCACCACCATCACTATCATCACCATCACCATCACTGTCATTATCACCATCTCCATAATCATTATCATCACCACCATCACTATCATCACAATCACCATCACTGTCATTATCATCTCCATAATCATTATCATCACCACCATCACTATCATCACCATCACCATCACTGTCATTATCACCATCTCCATAATCGTTATCATCACGACCATCACTATCATCACAATCACCATCACTGTCATTATCATCTCCATAATCATTATCATCACCACCATCACTATCATCACCATCACCATCACTGTCATTATCACCATCTCCATAAGCATGGTCATCACCATCATCATCACCATCACTATTATTGTCACCATCACCATCACTATTATCATCACCATTATCACATCACCATCATCATCACTATAACCACCATCACCATCACTGTCATTATCACCATCTCCATAATTGTTATCACCATCATCACATCATCATCACCATCACTATCACCACCATCACCATCAGTGTCATTATCATCATCTCCATAATCATTATTGTCACCATGTTCACATCATCACATCATCATCACCATCACTATCACCATCACTATCGTTATCGCCATCTCCGTAATTATTATCATCACCATCATCGTTCCCATCACCTATCATTACCTCATTACATCATCATCATTATCATAATGCTCATCACCTCATCATCACCCTGATCATTGTTGTCACTATCATCATTATTATCATTTTCATCATGTTGAAAACTTACTATGTGCCTGACATATGAATCAATCTATTCCTCAAAACAACTGTGTCATTATAGACTATTATCATGCCCATTTCACAGTTGAGGAAACTGACGCATAACAAATTAGGCCCAAGTTGACCAAGAGCCAGTAAATGGCAGAGTGCTTCTGCCTGTCAGTGCAGGCATCTCCGGGATTGAGGGTCATTGTGAACATTAAGTGCATGTGCACCCAGGGATGCTTGTAAATTGCTGGCTGGAAGCAGGTCTTATTACGTGGAAATTCTTGCTGCCTATGCTTTTGTTGTTGAACAGCAGCTGTGTTCTGGTCTTGTCAAGGGGTGGTGCAAGTCATGTTCAGGTTTGTGAAGCATGAACAAAGTCCAAAGACATTTTTCAGACCCTCGTACGTGCTGGGCAATGTGCAGGTAGACACCGGGCTGTGAGGCGCTTGAACCCAACACCAAGAATCATGTCCTCATGGCTCTGCAGCGAGGTCCAGGAGATGCTTCATCTGCTGGGGCAGGTGGAGACTCCTGCCTGCTACCCAGTGAGCCATGGCCTGGTGGCTGCTATCTCACCTCCATGGGACAAGAGCTTGAGCTTGGTCAGCAACTACAGCAGTGCCAGCAGAGGCCGAGGGCCTGGCGGCTTCCGCTTAGGTGCCCAGTTGGGTGTTCAGCAGCCATGCCCAGGCTCTACATTGATCAGCAGAAATGGCTTTAATCAGAGAATTGGTCTTTGACATTTTGAGAGCACCTGGCTAATGGATTTGAGTACATTTTGATTACTTTAATAAAGCACCCTTGACAGAATGCATTTTAAGGGCAGAAGGAAGGAGGGAGGGCCCTTGCAATTATTCCACCCCACTGCATAATTTATTTCGTATGCTATAGAGTCACCTCTGGTATTTGGAAGTCTTCTATTGTGCTTTTGGCAAGGGGAAAACAGGCAGAAAAGGGAGACTTTTTTCTTATTGGGTTAAGTAGTCTTATCCACCTCATTAAAGGGGCCCACATTTATTATCAAAAACCCAAGACAGAGTCTCACTTCCCAAAGTTTAACCATTTGTTAATATTTTATGAATGGATTCTTCCATTTATAAAACATTATAAATATGTTCCCTTCTTAACATTTTTATTAAAAAAAGAAAGAGGAGAAATGGCAGCAATATAGGATTAAGAAGTGTTTGGGGGAAGAAGGAGCCCTCAGGGAGGCATGGGAGGGTGTGAGCTGTCATGCAGACAGGGTTGTTTTGTGGTCTTATAAATGTGGATGAAAGCCCCGCCTTGTCTGTAACTTTGACAACTACAGAGTTTCTGTGTCTCAGTCTCTTATCTTTAGTGTGGAGACCAGTGTCTGGCTCTAGGGCTTGTGTGAGGTGAAGGGAGACCTGCTAGTGGAAGCCCTGCAGATGCTCCAGTGAGCGTGCAGTACTCGCTCAGTCCCTTCCCTCCCCCTTTCTGCCTCTGCCGAGCCACAGCTGCACAGCTGCAAGAGGCCTGGATGCTCTGGACCACACAGAGAGACATATTGTTCACATGGTGGTACCTAGAATCAATTAATTGCCCAGCATGGGTGCATGTTCCATACATGTGCATGCATGCTCATGAGGACGCACACACACACACCTGCAAAGTTGTCCACACGCAACTTTAGTGTGTATGGGGTGTATGAAGATGCACATGGGCACATGTCTGTGAGGATGCACAGACGCTCATGAGAATGCACACATGCACATGCCTGTGAGGATGCACATACACGCTCATGAGAATGCACACGTGCACATGCCATGAGGATGCACCCACATGCTCTTGAGAATGCACACACGAGCACATGCCTTTGAGGATACACATGCACAAGTGCCCCTGAGGATGTGCAAGTGCGCGTGTGTGCGCGCGCACACACACACACACACACACAAGGATAAGGGGTGGTGCTGTAGATGCAGCTAAGGAGGGCCAGAGTACCCTGCAAACCAGGCCAGGAAGCATCCCCGAGGCAGCGAGCCCGTCCAGTGTGTGCACACCCTCGCTGCTGTGGGAGCTCTTTGCCATGGCCTCCAGACCCTCCGCTCGGCCTACTTTCCTGTGGGAGCTTTTGAGGAGGGGAAGCTCCACCACCGTCGGTCCCCCTGGGGGAAACCAGAGGCAGTACTGCAGACCAAGGAGGGGACTCTCGCTGCCACCGGGTGAGTAGGGGGCTGAGGCAGCAGCTCTCTGCCCGTCTGAGGCTGTCCACCTTGGCAAGCATGGTCAGCTGCAAAGGCCCTGCAAAGCTCCGAGACAGCAGGTGTGACCCTAGGGACCATCCATGTGGATGGGCTGAGTGTCACTGTTCGGAGGGACACTTGGAATAAAATGATCCTGGCACTTGGAGGGTCCACAGAAGGGTGTGTTCCAGGCTCAGTGTCTGGCTCCCAGGGGCCCTGGACTCTGGGCTTCCAGACTCAAAGAGAAAACCTGAGGCCTGAGTGTGCCAGGCACGTTCTTATCTGTCTGCAGGGCCCGTCTGAGAGGGTGGCAGTGCCAGCACTCCCTCTGGGATGTGACTGGGAGACACACTCATCCCTGGCGTTCATTCATTCATTCTATAGGTATTTTCTGAAGACCCCTCCTTGCCAGCACTGTGTGATGGGCTAGGGGGCAAGGGAGTGTGGAGGGGACAGGAGTCCCTCCATGTTCCTCCCCTTGGCCCCAGGCTGGCTGGGGCCACTGTGACCAAGAGAGATCAGTGGGCAGAAAGCCGGGCAGTACGGAGGACTTGGAGCATGGCGGGGGGAGTAAGATGGAGCTGATTGGCCCCACGCCCTGGTGCCACAGGGCTCTGCCCACCCTGCCCTGCCAGACTCACTCCTGACATGTCTCACTGAACTCAGTGGGTTCTGATGTTCCAACACCACTATCCTCTCACAGCAGCGAGGCTGAGGCCCAGGGAGCCGAGGGCCTTGTCTTGTGCCCATCCTGGAGCTGGTGTTGGGATAGGGTAATTCTCCCTCCACCTTAGGCATCAAATGTGAGGAAAGTGAAGATTTAAAATGCAAGAAATTAAAAAATCAAGACGTGGATTAAAAGGTGAGCTGTGGAGAGGGTGGCATGCCTGTGTCAGGGGCTTCTGGGCTGCTGGGAACATGGGGATTGCTGTGGGGGCGGAATGGCCCCTGGCTGTGAGCTCCGCATGTGGGCGTTGGCAGTCCTGGCTGCAGGTTCCAAAGTTCTATTGGTGTGAGTGTGTGAGTATGAGAGTGAGCACACACACCCCACTGTCCACACACCTGGCTCTGTACACACCACAGGTCCACTGCCACCACAGGCCCCTGCCCTCCTGGGTGGGCTGAGTGTGCCTGGGAACCGGGAGAAGTGGGTGAGTGTCCGCCTAACTCCAGGACCTGCCTCTGGCCTCAGAAGACAAGGCGGCAGGTGGGTGGGTGGGGTCAGGGTTCGAAGCCCAGCCTCCACAGGTACTGCCTCCCCAGGTGCGCTCACCTCAGTCGGTTTCCGGAACAGGGAGAGGGACGTTGGCGGAAAGGAGGTCCCGGGACTGTTTTACATGTGTCGTCATGCAGGTGGAACTGCTAGGTTGCCATTCACAGACCGAGACACAGATGTAGACTGTACCCAATGCCTGCCCTGTGGCCGTCATGGCTAGCACGTTGCTGAGCTTCCCAGGCCCCACAGTGAGGAGCCAAAGCCCAGAAGAGCCAAGTGCCTGGCCTGCCACAGCGGAGGAGGCCCAGGGCTGGTTTGGTCTGCCTGGGACCTTGCTGCGGAGCCTGTCTGGGCTGAGGATGCAGCCACACAGCAGGGTTGGAAGCCAACCTGTCAGCAAGCTTTAGGAATGGGAGGTTGGGCAGCTTTTATTAACTGGAATCACTGTGTCCAATTTTGGAAGAAAGAAAACAACCACCACCCATCATCTGCTTGTGTTGTCTCCCAGTGATCCTCACCGGGCTGACGCAGACAGCCCTGAGGCCTGAGCATCTCACGCAGACTGGCTGTACAGTCTGAGGGACCCAGGGCAAAATGAAAAAGCGGGGACCTTTGTTCAAGAACTTTCCAACTTCAAGATGGTGACAGCACAGCCTGGAACCACCTGTGGGCCCTTCTGAGCACACGGTCCTGGGTGACTGCATGGTCTCCCATTGTGACATCAGCCCTGACCTTCCCATTTCCTCTGTGTCTTCCTGCTTGTGACACGTGGTGCACAGAGCAGCTGGCCTGCACACCCCAGGGCCGGGCTACAGCGCCTGCCTTTGGCATGCAGCCGTCCGCCCATGTTCAGGCCCTTGTGGCTGGTCTAGCTCAACCTGTGGGTGAAACTTGGTGTGAGGATTTCAGAGACAGCCTTTCAGGAGGGCTCCTGACCCCAGTGATTCTGGGGGACCAGGGGTAGTCCCCGGAGCCGGGGAGGGTGAGGGAACAGGAAAGGACTGCCCGCTAGGATGTACGTGGCTATTATGTTAACCTCGCTGAGCCTCAGTGTCCTTGCCTGGGCCAGGCCACAGCCCCCTCTCTCAGGGTGGTTCAGACACCCGATGTCTGGACAGCCACATTCCCGCTTGTCCACCGCCCAGCCCAGGGCTCTGCACACACGGTGGGCAGCAGGTACCCCTCTTCTCTCTCCCTGGATGAGAAATAGCTTGGATCAGATGTGACAGGAAAGTAGGTAGACTAAAATAAATCAAAAGGAACTTGGTTTTGAGGGTTTGGGGGACACTCAAGGCAGGATTATGGCTGCATCTCAGATCCAGCCCAGCAGGACCATGATGGCCTCTTCCCTCACCCTTCTTTTTGTTCCTGCACAGGCTCCTTCCTGCTCTGGTCCTCACAAGAGACATGGCAGGCAGCACCTGAGAGTCACCCCTCACAGCCCAGGCACCCAGGGAGGCTGGCCCAGGTCCCAGGCCAGAGCCCAAGGAAGGCACCTGGGGCCCAGCTGGGGTGAGGGACGGAGGTCCCAGGGAGGGTGCTGGTGGATTCTCCAAAGGGAGGCCTCTTCTGCCCTGTCCATTCAGAGACACCAAATACATGCGTTGTTTTGGTCTGCATTCCAAATCTCTGTTTGAAGGACATTTGGAAACTCTGAAAAAGTATAAAGGGAAAGTAGAAATCATTCAGAGATAACCTCTGTTACATCCTGATGAATCTCCTTCCTTTCTTTGTAAACAATCAGTCTCTCTCTTTTTTTTTTAGACAGAGTCTCACTCTGTCACCAGGCTGGAGTGCAGTGGCGTGATCTCAGATCACTGCAATCTCCGCCTCCCAGGTTCAAGCAATTCTCCTGCCTCAGCTCCCGAGTAGCTGGGATTTCAGGTGCGTGCCACCACAACCAGCTATTTTTTTTTTTATTTTTTAGTAGAGACGGGGTCTCACCATGTTGGCCAGGATGGTCTCGATCTCCTGACTTTGTGATCCGCCCACCTAGGCCTCCCAAAGTGCTGGGATTACAGGCGAGAGCCACCGCGCCCTGCCAAGAATCAGTCTTTTAAGACAAGTACAGTTTGGACCTCCTTATGCCTGGGTTCCGCATCTATGGATTCAACCAAACGCGGACAAAAAATATTAGGAAAGAGCAATGAAAATAACTATACAACAATAAAATAATACAAATAAAAATTCAATAGAACAACCATTTACATAGCAGTTCCATTGCATCTGGTATTACAAGTAATCTAGACATGATTTAAAGTACTTGGAAGGATAGGTGTAGATTATATGGAAATACTATGCCATTTTGTATCAGAGACTTGGAAATCCCTGGATTTTGGTATCCTCGGGGGTCCCAGGTCCTATCCTTGTGGATACTGAGGGATGTCTGTGGTGTTATTTCCCCAGCTGAGGAGAAAAGGAATTACCACATGCTGAAAGAAGGTGCCCAACCTAGCACGTCCTGAGCATAGGCCGTGCCATCCTCTGCCCACCCGCAGGAGGTGGCCAGCGTAGGGACCAGGAGTTCCTGCCAGTGTGGACCCCACTCCAGCACCAGCTATGAGCGCTTGGGCAGCTTATCTAACCTCTCTATGCCTCAGTTTCTTCACCTGAATGGGGGTATTAACAGTTCTTGCCTCCCAGAACTATGATTAGGGCCAGGGAAGTTAGTACTGTACCTTCTTTGCTAGACTTGGGCCTGGATCATAGTGCATACTTACTTGGTGGATGGTGGCGATTGTACGGTTGTGCCAGGTGCAGGTGTCCATCGGGGTCAGTGTCCCCTGGCTGCTGTTGAGGATGTGTGCACCGCTGCCCCTTCTCCAGGAATGCTGGAGCAAGCACTGCCATGCCTGGGAGGTTACGCCCCTGCCTCTGGAGCAGCACACACCCACCTGCTGTCTGCTGATCCCAGAGAACAGCTTCCCACCCAGGAGAGACCAACCGTTCAGAGCAGTCTGTGCTCCAGCCCAGAGTCTCCCAAGGCCTGGCGGGTGGTGACTGGCTTCACCTGAGCTCACACCTTGCTGGGCTCTTCCCTACCTGTGCTGCTTCTGCTCTGTCTCATGGTACTTCCTGAAAAGCTCACTGTCAATACACCTTGGGCCTGCAGATCTTAGCCCCGGGCTCTGCTTCTAGGGAATCCATCTAAGAGGGCTGTATTAATTTTCTATCACTGTTGTGACAAATTGTTGCCAACCTGAAACGAAACAGCACAGATTTACTCTCCCACCGTCCTGGGGCCAGAGGGCTGAAACAAGGCTCAGCGGACGCAAAGGAGTCGGCAGGGCTGGTTTCCTCCAGGGCTTGAGGGGAGCGTTCCTTGGCTTTCTCGGTTCCAGAGGCCACCCTCATTCCTAGGCTCTGGGTCTCGGGAGTCCCGGGTACACTTGGATGAAGAGAATGTGTGCTGGGGAGGCCTTTCTCAGCCCTGCGGGACACACGTCAGGCCCCATAGGCCCTTCCAAGGAATGGGGGCTGGGCCCTCTGGCGAGTGTAGCCAGGCTTTCCTGGTGAGTGTGCATGCCTTCAGGTGTGGAATGGCTTTCCTGGTGAGTGTGCACGCCCTCAGGTGTGGCCAGGCTTTCCTGGTGAGTGTGCATGCCCTCAGGTGTGGAATGGCTTTCCTGGTGAGTGTGCACGCTCTCAGGTGTGGCCAGGCTTTCCTGGTGAGTGTGCACGCCCTCAGGTGTGGCCAGGCTTTCCTGGTGAGTGTGCATGCCCTCAGGTGTGGCCAGGCTTTCCTGGTGAGTGTGCATGCCCTCAGGTGTGGCCAGGCTTTCCTGGTGAGTGTGCACGCCCTCAGGTGTGGAAAGCTGCTGGTTCTTGACAGCTCCCTCCATCTTCAATGTAGATCCCTTCAACCTCTGCTTCTGTCCTGCATCTCCTCTGGCTCCTCTGTGCCCCTCTGATGAGGACCCTTATGATTATATTGGGTTATTTCCATAAGCCCAGTAATTCCGCCATCCAAGATCCTTGACTGTATCACACCTGCAGAGTCCCTTTCGCCATGGAAGGTGACATTCTTAGGTTCTGTGGTCCTAGTCTCAGATTAGGATGTGGATATCTTTGAGGTCATTCTGCAGACTCCTACCAAAGTTGCTGTGAAAATCCTGCTTCTCCCAGGCAGGCACAGCCAGATCTCTCTTCCCGAGCGGGGACAGCATGGGAGTCCAGGAGTGGCAGGGGCTGCCAGACCTGGGGCAGGAGTTCAGGTGGGATGGCTGGGGCTGCACCCACCCTCTTCCTCCGCGACAGCAAATGCCAAGTCAGACCTGCCCCTCTTCTGCCCCAACCCTCCAGCAGCTCCCACTTCTCTTGGAACCCCAGGCCCAGGCTTGCACCTGCTTTGACCACATTGGCCCCTTGTTTTCTGAACATGCTGAGCCCGGGGCCTTTGCACTCATTGCTCCCTCTGCCCGGACAGCCTTCCCCAGACACACTGTATACTCCTTTCCAGGATCAGCTCAAGTTTACATGGTCCAGGTCCTCCCTGGCCAGCCTCTCTGAACAAGCCTTCCCACCCCAGTCTTGAACGCCTACTAACTGCTTTGTTTTTCTTCTTGACAGTTCATTGCAACTGACAAGTATTTATTTGGGTATTTGCTTTGCTTCTGTCTCATCCCAGGAGAATATATGCTGCTGATGGCAGAAACTTTATACCTCCAGGGCCTAAAACAGTGCAAGTCTTGGTAAACATCAAATGCATGCCTGAATGAATGAATGAAGGAATGAATGCCACAGACTTCTGGAAAAGCTCCTAAAACGTGAGGTCCAATATCAGCCAATTTGGATAAGAGGTTCTGGGCTGGAATTCCTGGTTCAGGTTGTTGGGCAATCTCCCTCTTTGCCTCTCTCGAGCTCGCAGTTTGCTGGGCACGGTGCACGTGGCTGAGGCTCCTTCTGAAATTGACCGAAGTGTGCAGGAAGTGAGGGCTGTGGCCACCCACCCAGGGCGAGGGAATGGGCTTTTGAAACCCGGCCTCATCAGCACGTCTACTGCACCACTCCCTCCTCAGGCATACTGAGCTTGCTTATGATGTTGGGACCCAAAGGGAAAAAGGCAGTCTGTAAATAAGCTCTCTCAGACTTAAAATTAAATTCTACATTTTCCTGAGCTCATGGGAATTGACACTGCCATTAGTCTGTAATTTGTTTCTCAAAATTCTTCTATTTTAAGAAATTAAGCAGGAGGAGCAGAGGGTGGAAAATGAGCGGGAGGGAGAGGGACTGGGGGAAATGAGGACACCCCAAAGCCAGACAGACTGGGGGGCGGGGATGCGCTGTGGGGGCGGGGGAGGTGAGAGACAGCCCGAAGCCTGCGCCTGCGTGTTCTGTTCCTTCTCCTCCCATGGTTGCCGCAGCGATTTCTCAGCTGAGAATACCTTTGCCTGCCAGTCTGTGTGGAGGCCTGGCAAAGCCCGGGCACTTACAGCGGCACTGGGGAGAGGACTTTTCTCAGCCAGGCATGGAGTCTCAGGTCACTCTGGCACGCCCCGGTGGTGCAGAGCAGTCATCCCTGGCCCCGAGGGCACCAAGTCCAGGAGCTTGGCACAGCTCAGCCCTTTCCACTCAGAGCCCTGCCTAAAAACAAGCAGTGCTCTGGGTCTCGGGAGTCCCGGGTGCACTCGGGTGCATGGGAATGCGTGCTGGGGAGGCCTTTCCCAGCCCAGCAGGGGGCACGTCCTGTCTCACAGGCCCTCCCAAGGAACGGTGGGGCGGGGCCCTCGGGCGAGTGTGGCCAGGCTTTCCTGGTGAGTGTGCACACCCTCAGGTGTGGAAAACTGCTGGTTCTTGACAGCTCCTATATTCTGCACTGGAAACAGACCTGCTAATCCCAGTTAATCTTATTTCCACGAATAAGGATGATAAGGGGCAGTTGGAGCTGGTGCCTGCTTATGAATTGACAATACATTCCCGACTGATGGAGGAGGCAAGGAATGAGCCCTGAGTGTTATATTTGGGCAAATGGCTGTCTCGCGGGAGATCAGCCAGTGCAAAGGCCCTGAGGCTTGTCTGAGGAGCGGTGAGGAAGCCAGAATGAAGTCCCGGGGAGGGAGCAGGAGAAGTACAGGCCTTATAGGCAGCCTGGGGACTTGGGCCTTACTCTGAGAGAGATGGCAACTCCCGTGTGTAGATCCAGCAGGGTGCTGGTCTGGCCTGCCTTATAGAATGATCACTCTGGCCATTGTGGTGCGGGAGATGCTCTGTGTGGAGGGTGGAAGCATGGAAATGCGTTCGGAGGCGGAAGATGAGGGCGGGTGTGGACCAGCTGGCAGCAGGACAGTGCTGAAGAAGGGGTTGGATCTGGGTATATGGTATTGGAAGGGCAGAGCCCCCAGCTTTGCTGATGGAGGAATGAGTGTGGACCACAGAGCTTCCGTGGAGGCAGGAGGTGGCAGAGCGCTGCGAGGCGGCTGTTCCAGGGCATGGGGGTAGTAGTGGCAATGCAAGTCCTGCCTGCCCCAGTTGCCAAGAGTGAGTGGGGAGACAGGAGGGTATGCCTGCTGCTGGGAGACCATGCCAAGCCGCCCTGTTTTCAGTTCTCATGTCTAGGTTGACAGAGCCACCTGGGAGCTTGAAGCCTCACCTGTTGAGGATTTAGGAGCTCAGAGCTCTAAGACCTGCTCTCCTTGTTGCTGTTCTCAGTTCCTCCATCTGGCCCCTTGCAGTCTCAGACCAAGTCCCGGAGCCTTCCTGGTCACTCTTTTGCGGTAAGCAGGTTGCTCAGGCTGGACTCAGGGGCGCTGAGGACACTGGCTCTCCCCTGCACCTCCTCGGCTTGACCTGTCTGCACCCAGGCCTAGATCTGTCTGCACCCAGGCCTAGATCTGTCTGCACCCAGGCCTAGATCTGTCTGCACCCAGGGCTAAAGCTCCTGTGATGTTGGTGCACAGGTCCATTCGTAAGTTGAGAACAAATGCGTGGCCTTTGCCTCCCCTGGACACTTCCAGTTCTATGCTGGGATGGTTCTCCCTTCTCTGTGGCCCCCACTGGGCCCTCTGCAGGTCAGTGGCAGGAGAGCTCGGGTGCTAGGCAGGCAGAGCCCCCTTTCACTCTGATAATTGCTCAGATCACACCACACTCTTCTTGACCTTCTTGCACCTTTGGACCGTGCCTTTCTTCTAATTTTTTTTTCATAGCCTCTGGTGCTATTTTTTTTTTTTTTGAGATGGAGTCTCACTCTATTGCCCAGGCTGGAGTGCAGTGGCACAATCTCAGCTCACTGCAACCTCTGCCTCCTGGGTTCAAGCGATTCTCCTGCCTCAGCCTCCCAAGTAGCTGGGATTACAGGCGCCTGCCACCATGCCCGGCTAATTTAGTAGAGATGGGGTTTCACTATGTTGGCCAGGCTGGTCTCTAATGCCTGACCTCAGGTGACCCGCCCACCTCAGCCTCCCAAAGTGCTGGGATTACAGGCGTCAGCCACCACTCCCGGCTGCTTCTGGTGCTGTTTAATTGTTATTGTTACATTATCCCTGCTTACTTTTTGTGTTCTGTCTTTGTTACATCCCCCAAGATTTTTCAAGATCTCTGTAGCTTTTCTAGGGACTCTCTAAAAGCCCCCGCATTATCTGAAAGTTCTCTACATCCTCTAAAAACTCTGCCTCTGTCCTCTGTCCCTTTCTGGGGCCTGTCCTTGGACCATAGCTGCCCTCCTAGAACCACCATTACCTGTCTCTGGGATTGGAGCCACCGTTACCTCATCCCATGTCTTGTTTCCTGATTTTCCCCCTCACTTTGCTGGAATCTATTAACAACTGCTTTCTAAGGAAGGGAGGCTTAGGGTTACTGTTTTCATCCTGCGTTTCTAAAAAAGGGTTCGTTGTGCCCTCACATTTTCTTCCAGCTGCCCTGGTGAGGCAATGTAGAGCCACAGAAACACTCCTGCCCAGAACCTCGCGGTGTCCTGTGTCACCTCCCAGGATCCGGGTGGCCGATGTCTGGCCGTGCTGCTTGTATCTTTATGAGGGATGGGTTCTTTGTCCAAAAGAATTATTTTTTCCTTCAACTCCAGCAACTTTTCCTGTGTTGCTTTTTGGATAAATGTTCCTGCTTCCGTTTTGTTCGATCTTTGCTTTTGAAACTTTTATTGGTCAGTTGTTGGAGTTTCTAGATGGTTCCCCTGTAGGGTTTATCATTATTTCACTAATGGTCCCGTCTATATTCTGAGATATTTTCTTGTTTTTAATCTTCCTATCTCTCTATTAAGCTGGTTGTTTTGGCATTGGGCATTAAGTTTGCAAGAGGATTTTCTTATTCTCTGATATTTTGTTTTTTATGACAGCCTGTTTTGGAGGCCTTCCTTCTTTTCTTAAGTCTCCCTAGAATACCAACTGGACATTTCTCTCTCTCTTTTAAGAGTGAGGCCTGGTACGGTGGTTCACGCCTGTAATCCCAGCACTTTGGGAAGGTGAGGCGGGCAGATCACCTGAGGCTGGGAGTTGGAGACCAGCCTGACCAACATGGAGAAACCCCGTCTTTACTAAAAATGCAAAATTAGCTGTGCATGGTGGTGCATGCCTATAATCCCAGCTACTTGGGAGGCTGAGGCAGGAGAATTGCTTGAACCTGGGAGAGGCAGAGGTTGCGGTGAGCGGAGACCGCACCATTGCACTCCAGCCTGGGCAACAAGAGCGAAACTCAGTAAAAAAAAAAAAAAATCTCTTCTGGCCTCTCTTCATGGTGGTGACCCTGGGAACCTGCCCAGATTTGGGGCTGAGATACGCAGACTATCTGGGGGCTCAGGTTTTGGGGATAGGCAGGTCAGAAATCCCTGTAGGTGCTGCTGGCTATTTCAGAATTCTGAGGGCTGTCTTCTGTGGGAGCCAGCCTGCTCCTGGGCCTTCTTAGCCTGTTACTTCCTAGGCTGTTACAGTGCTTGGGAAAACTGTCCGGCTTTGGCCTTGAGGCCATGCCTGGGTCTGGACTCTCCTGTGCACCAGGGTGGGGTGGGAGTGGGGATAAAGAGAATGACCTTTTAGAGCACAAACCTGAGCTCCTCCTCCCAGGTTAAACCTCTGCAGGTCCCCTGTGGGGTGGCTGAGCACAACTCCCTGTGCCTCCCAGCTTCTGCTGCAGTGATGCGGGCTTTCTACATCAAGGCGGGAGTTGCTTCTAGCATTGAAAGAAAAACAAAACAAACAAGCAAAATGCCTCTTTAACCCTCCCTTTACAAGACTTTGCCTGTTGCTGCTCCTTTTACTGCAAAACTCAGAGAAGCAGCTCTCCTGCCACTGTCTGGTCTTCCAGCCTCTACCCAGCCACTCCCTCAGGCAGCTCCACGTCCCCATGGAGCCTCTCTTGCCAAGGCCCCCTCGTGGCAGGGTGGTCACTCTCTGGCCACTCTCCTCTCAGTGCTCTGCTGGCCTTCATGACCCCCCGGGCTGTCTCCTCTCCTGGCCTCTGTGTCCTCCTGGCCTGGGAGTATTGGGGGCTCAGGGCTGTGTCCGGCTCCTCTTCTCTCCCCCATCTCTAGGGTCTCCTTCCAAGCCCATGGTTTTGAGAGGCAAGGACACACTGAAACCACCAGAGTCTGTCTCTAGCCTGGAGCTGTCCCCTGAGCCCCAGAGCTGGCATCTAACTTGGATGTCTCCGGGCATCTCTGACATCACCTGCCCTCATCCGACCCTTCCCTATCCCCGCAGAGCACAGGCCGCCTTACAGCGGCCCAGGAGGGTTCTGGGAGCTGCTCTGGATGGACGTCTCTCTTTCTCTGTGTGTGCATCTGTCTCTGTATCTCTCTCTGTGTCTCCACCTCTGTCTCTGTCTTTTTCTCCCTCATACTTTATATCTGCATCCAACCCATCAGCAAATCCTAGTAGCCTCTTTGTTGGAATTGAGTCCAGAACTCCCTCCCTCCGCCTTCACTTCCACCATCTGATCTAAGCCACTACCACCACTCCCTTGGACTGCAGTGGAACCTAACGAGGCTGCTGCTTCCTCACTGCTCTGTGCAGGGACTTCTAATGCGTCTCTGACACTCTCTGGCACCTCTGCTCACATATCTGCCCACATGCCCCAGGCCTCTGTGAGGCAGGGACCATCTCTTGCTCACTGGCACCCAGCTCCTAGGTTGATGCACCCAGGGCAGGGGCACAGGTAATGCTTACTCCATGAGATGCTGCCGCACCCTTACTTCCAGATGGGCAGAAGAGCTGGCTGCCTCCCCCATGCCACTCTTCCTTGCTGCAAGAACCCCCATCCTGTTCAGGTATCAGGATCAGCAATGTCCTCAGGGAAGCTGGGTCCCCAGGCAGAAGGGGGCTTCATGATTGGTTCACCTCAATCAATAATCCTATTTCTCTCTGTCAGGAACCCCTGTAGTGGTGGGCGTGTCACTCATTTCTGATTGATGAGGCCTGAGGGGAAATTGGCTGGGGGCTTCTGGGAAAACATTCTGTACGTCCACAAAGAAATGGATTCTGCCCTGGAGGGGTACAGAACCAACCCTGGCAACAGCTTGATTTAGGTCCAGTGGGACCAGACCAGTTGACCTTTGTGTGGTTTTAAGCCACCGAAGTGGTGGTGATTCGTTGCAGCAGTGTACAGCAAAGGGTTAATTCTGCAGGGGTGAGTTGCCCAAACCCTGGCCTTTCCGGAAGTCTGCAGGGCTGGCCCTTTCCTGGCTCCTGAGGGGTAACTTCTGAGCCTGGGAATGTCTGCTTGAGAAGAGGGTCTTTGTATATCTTTGCAGATGTGAGGCTGCGGGCCACACAGAATCCCTGCTAACAGTGTGATTTGTGGTGATCTTAGCCTTCCAGGGCTTTCCAGGGCTGCCACAGCGGAGTGCTGCAGGCTGGGGCTTCAGCAGCAGAAACTCACTTTCTTACAGTTCTGGAGGCTGGAGGCCTAAGATAGAGGTGTGGGTAGGGTAGTTTCTCCTGAGGGCTCCCTCCTCGGCCTGGAGATGGCTGCCCTCTTGTTGTGTCCTCACGTGGCCTTCCCTCCGTGTCTGTGTCCTCACCTCTTCGTTTTATAAGGACACAGCATACTGGATTAGGGCCTGCCCACATGGCCCATTTTACCTTCATCACCTCTTTTAAGGCCCTGTCTCCACACAGAGTCCCGTTCTGAGACACTGGGGGTTAGGGCTTCAGCATAGGGATTTGGGAGATGGGTACAATTCAGCCCACAATGATGACGAATGCCTGTTTTTGTTTGCCTGGGATCCTGAGCCATGCTGAAAATTGTTTGGCCTCTGGGGCTTGGGGACAGTAGCTGAGGTCAGTCATAGGGGCTCCCAGTGCCTATGTGACTGACCCCACTGAAGCCCTGGATGGGCACACTTCACACATGCAGTCACACATTGCAGCTGGGGAATCCAGCACTGCCCACGTAATTCCATGGGGGGCGACACCCGCAGACTGGACCTGGCTGGCCTCTCCTGGACCCTGCCCTAAGCACCCTTTTCCTTTGCTGATCTACATCTCTATCCTTTCACTGTAATACACCATAGCTGTGGGTGTTACCAGCTTTTCTGAGTTCTGTGAGTCCTTCTAGAAAGTCATGGACTGAAAGAGTTCATGGGGCCCCCCAATACAGGCAGCAATGATAAATAAATGCATATAGCAAAGAAAGCCAAACCTATGGGACCCGGGCTGCCATGGGAACACTGGTCATGGATTAAAGTGCTATGTTTCCCAGTGCATGTGGGCCTGTGCCTTCCCTGGCATGAGCAGAGGCGGCACTGAAGAAGGTATCTGGTGTCGCGACAGAGATGGTGGTGGTTTCCTGGCTGGTGGGAAGTGCTCTGCCACACTCCTGGGACCAGCTAATTCCTGCTCTGTTTTTCTTTTAAGGAAATATGTTCTTTAAAAAAAAAAACAAGCAACCCCATCAAAAAGTGGGCAAAGGATATGAACAGACACTTCTCAAAAGAAGACATTTATGCAGCCAACAGACACATGAAACAATGTTCATCAACACTGGTCATCAGAGAAATGCAAATCAAAACCACTATGAGATACCATCTCACACCAGTTAGAATGGCAATCATTAAAAAGTCAGGAAACAACAGGTGCTGGAGAGGATGTGGAGAAACAGGAATGCTTTTACACTGTTGGTGGGAGTGCAAATTAGTTCAACCATTGTGGAAGACAGTGTAGTAATTCCTCAAGGATCTAGAACTAGAAATACCATTTGACCCAGCAATCCCATTAGCGAGTATATATCCAAAGGATTAAAAATCATGCTACTATAAAGACACACACACACGTATGTTTATTGCGGCACTATTCACAACAGCAAAGACTTGGAACCAACCCAAACGCCATCAGTGATAGACTGGATTAAGAAAATGTGGCACATACACACCATGGAATACTATGCAGCCATAAAAAAGGATGAGTTCATGTCCTTTGCAGGGACGTGGATGAAGCTGGAAACCATCATCCTCAGCAAACTAACACAAGAATAGAAAACCAAACACCACATGTTCTCACTCATAAGTGGGAGTTGAACAATGAGAACACTTGGACAAAGGGCGGGGAACATCACACACTGGGGTGTGTCAGGGCATGGGGGGCTGGGTGGAGGGATAGCATTAGGAGAAACACCTAATGTAAATGACGAGTTGATGGGTGCAGCAAACCAACATGGCACATGTATACCTACATATCAAACCTGCACGTTGTGCACATATACCCTAGAACTTAAAGTATAATAATAATAATAATAATAATGATAATAAAAGAAAATATGTTCTTTAAAAGCCTTAAAACCAACTCTGTGAGGAGGGCCCAGTGCCCCTGTTCCTGTGGAGCCTCAAAGCTCAGTGGGTGCTGGCATAATTATTGCCCAGGGTTGTCCTGCCTCATCGAGGGACTCTGGAATTGCCATCCTGCTGCCTGCTGCCTCTTAGCAGTTCCTGGAAGCAGTGGCTCCTCTCACTAATTTCTGGGTCAGACTTGGCCAGGGTGAACCACGTGTGAGCGGAGATGCTTCTTTGCGATGAGCTCATGTGCAGCAAAAGATGCCATGTGGGAGATGACCTGGTGCTGCTGCCCTGCTGCCCCTTGGCCTCGTGCCATTCCCAATATCCGGCCCTTCCTGCACCAGGCCTTTTCTACCCCGGCCTTTTCTTTCCTTCCTTGTCCTAATTGGTGTGTGTGGCCCCCTTTGCTCTGCTGCACCCGGGAACTGTGGCTTTGACTCATTCCTGATTGCAGGGGTCTGGGGCTTTCCAGGTATCACGCAAATGGGATATGAAAACAAGTCAAAGTGAACACCTACAAAGCAAAGGGATAACTGCAGAAGAAATGGGATAATGCTGATATGGTTTGGATCTGTGTCCCCACCCATATCTCATGTCAAATGGTAATCCCCAGTGTTGGGGGAGGGACCCGGTGAGAGGTGATTGGATCATGGGGGCAAATTTCCCCCTTACTGTTCTCATGATGGTGAGTGAGTTCTCACGAGATCTGGTTGTTTGAAAGTGAGTGGCACTTCTCCCTTCGCTCTCCTGTTCCACCGTGGTAAGACAATCTGGCTTCCCGTTTGCTTTCCATTATGATTATAAGTTTCCTGAGGCTCCCCAGCTGTATTTCCTGTACAGCCTGCAGAATTGTGAATCAATTAAACCTCTTTTCTTCGCAAATTACCCAATCTCAGGTAGTTCTTTATAGCAGTGTGAGAATGGACTAATACAATCACTTTGCGGATACTGTATGTGGGCAAAGAGACAACAGGCAGGTGCTGGACCTCAAGAAGATTCTGGCCTTGTGAGCTGCAGCCATGTGGGACACATGCATGGAGGGAGTGCACCATGCGAGGGGCTGGCTTGCTTCATCCCACTAATCACAAAGGCGGCAAGGGGGACAGTGCAGAGGGCCTCAGTGCTGAGTGAAGGCAGAGCCTACACCGATGGCTCTGAGGTAGATTTTGGCTAGGGTTCATTATCAGCCAGACAAGATCACCAATAGCAGCCTCCCTGCTAAGAGCTGCAGATACAAGGCCGGATGTGGTGGCTCACGCCTGTAATCCCAGCACTTTGGGAGGCCGAGGAAGGTGGATCACGAGGTCAGGAGATCAAGACCATCCTGGCTAACATGGTGAAACTCCGTCTCTACTAAAAATACAAAAAAAAAATTAGCTGGGCGTGGTGGTGGGCGCCTGTAGTCCCACCTACTCGGGAGGCTGAGGCAGGATAATGGCGTGAACCTGGGAGGCGAAGCTTGCAGTGAGCTGAGATCACGCCACTGCACTCGAGCCTGGGCGACAGAGCAAGACTCCGTCTCAAAAAAAAAAAAAAAAAAAAAAAAAGGAGTTGCAGATACTGGGGAAATGGATGGAAACCATTTGCATTCCCTCTGCACAGGGTGTGTGCTGAGCCCTGCCACGTCCCACACCTGAGCTGTTCTGTGCTTCCTGCTCAGGGAGAGCACTCACCCTAGCATTAAGGGAAGGCTGGGGGACTGAGTGTCACTCTGTGAGCACAGGGGAGTGGCCAAGCCCTGGCCACCCCTCCCTGCCTTGCCCAGCATGCACCGTCTACATGCTGCTCCCAGTGTGGCCACACTGGACTGACTCCCTGAAAGACGCTGGGCTGGGTGGTGCTCTGAGACTGGGGTGGGGAGACAAGCCTGTCAAATGTCAGGCATGTGAGAAGTGACGGCCCAAATTCAGAGAGGAAAGGCGGGGACAGTTTCAGATGGGGGCAGGAGCTGGTGAATGTCCCTTTCTATTGGAGCCTCCTTGCCTTGTTTTGCCAACTTGTATATTGTGGGGATTGGGTGGTGGGAGTGTGCTCATGGCTTCTTGGAGAGCCCTCGTTGCCAGGGTGGGAGCCCTCCAGCTGGGGGGAGTAACATTCTGGGAGTGTCCAGGGACTGTGCTGGGGCCCTTGCTTGAGTGGCCCAATTCAATTCCCGGAGGATCACTTGAGGGAGGTCCACAGGCTTATTTGAACAACCAGAGAGCTCAGACAGTTGCTGTGCTGCAGATGGTAGGAAGTGGAGTTGGGGTTCCAACCAGGACTCCAGAGCCTTCATTTGCACTGGTAATGCTGCCCGTGGAAACAGCTTTCCCCAGAAGTCAATGACACCCAGTGCCCACGAAGGGCGGGATCTGCGAGCACATTCCTGCAGGTCTGAGCGCTGCCTGCTCCTGACAGACCTACCCTGATGCTAGGGCCTGTGGCCAGGTTCTCCCTCCACAGTTAATGGGCATGGGGTCATGTGCAGTCTGTGTGGAGCTGAAGCTCCTGTCTGTGTGCCTGCTTTGGTTTGTATGTTTGTCCCCTCCAAACCTCGTGTTGACATTTGATCCCAATATTGGAGTTGGGACCTGATGGGAGGTGTTTGGTTCATGGAGGTGGATCCCTCATCAATAGATGAATGTCCTCTCTCAGGGTTGGGGGCAAGTGAGTTCTTGCTCTATTGCCTTCCACTGAGAGCTGGTTGTTGAAAAGAATCTGGCACCTCCCATCTCTCTTGCTTCCTGTCTCACCATGTGATAACTGCACACACCTGTTCCCCTTCACCTTCTGCCAGGAGTGGAAGCAGCCCGAGGCCCTCCCCAAATGCAGATGCTCAATCCCAAACTTGCCAACCATCAGAATCGTGAGCCAAATAAATATTTGTTCTTTATAAATTACTCTGGCTCAAGTATTCCTTTATAGCAACACAAAATGGACTTAGTGCCCCACCAAGTGCAACCCCCAATACCACAGCCCCCAACCCTCAGAATGTTCCAGACCCACAGGAAGACAGCTGTACACTTAAACCCCAGCAGCCTGGCTGAGCCCCCCAACTTCTTGGGTCCACTGCTCCCTGGGAGGCTGTGTCCCAGCATCCTTAATTTTGCTGTCTACCTGTGCTGGGACCTCTGTCTTTGCTGGATCCCAGCCTGATATCTGCTGCCCAAGGCCTCATTGTCCTGTACCATGGTCCTCCCTGGAGCCCATTCCTAGGCCTGGCTCTTGAGGGCAGTGAATCTGCTGGGTGTGGCCAGACTTCTCCCTTCAACTTCTCCCCCAGATTCTAACTTTGTGGAGGGAGCTGCAGGACCCACCTTACCTGACAGTACCCCGGGTGCACAGGGCAGTCAGCAGGGCCAATGTGTGGCCACATGCATGTGCACACACACGGACACATGCACACACACAAATGCCCACATGATACACATACATATAACACAACACACACACATACACACAAGAACACACATATATGCACACACATATGTGCACACACACAAGTGCACATGTGTGTACACAAGCACACACACATACAGATAATATACATATGCACACACCAATTTTGTTTTTCTCTTAGGGGAAATATTCATCATTCAGCATTCTCTCTCTCTTTCTTTTCTTTTTTTTTTTTTTTTTTTGAGATGGAGTCTCTGTCACCCAGCCTGGAGTGCAGTGGCATGATCTCAGCTCCCTGCAACCTTTGCCTCCTGGGTCCAAGCAATTCTCCTGCCTCAGCCTCCCGAGTAGCTAGGATTACAGGCACCTGCCACCACACCCGGCTAATTTTTGTATTTTTAGTAGAGACGGGGTTTCACCATGTTGACCAGGCTAGTCTGGAACTCCTGACCTCAGGTGATCCGCCTGCCTCAGCCTCCCAAAGTGCTGGGATTACAGGCATGAGCCACCACACTTGGCCTTTGTTTCAACCCCTCCAAATAAGACTAAATTTCAGACCCCTCGCCTCCCTGCTCTGGACACACCCCATCTTGTCACCATCAGCCTCGCAGGCTCTGTGGGCTCTGGGCTGTGTGGGAAGGCTGTGGCAGGGAGCGTGGGAGCATGTCCCGGCCAGGAGGGGTCAAGGTCGGAGGGAGTGGAAACTATAGCTGCTCCTAGGAACATGGGCTGGTGCTGTCCTCGGACGGAGGGATGGCCTGTGCCACTCTGTTCTCAGGGCCCCTCAGCTCTGCTGAGGAAACCCCTTCCAGCCGTGGTGGTCTGCCTGGAGGCGGCTGCGCTGACCAGAGGTCCTGGCAGATCCCGTCCTGGGCGCGGTGCTTTCCTCCTTCCCTGACTTCTGGTTCTCCGTAAGGGAATGGAGAAAGACCACTGAGCCTGGCAGGCCTGCGTGGCGCCACCATAGAAACACCTTCTCTACCCTCAGCAAGGAGGCAGGACCACCCCTCCAGTGGGGGAACTGAGGCCTGGGGCGGGCAGGATGACACAGCCAGGATTTGAGTGGGGGTTGCTGCCCCTGACTGTCCCAGGGCTATTCCCATCTCCACACACCCTGCTGTTCTCTCTGGGTCCTGGAAGTGGGGGTGGGACCTGCTGCAGGGCTGAGTGCTTTCCCAGGGAGAGAGCTGCTTGCCTGGGGGAGCCGAGACTTGCCCCCTCCCCCTCAGTGCACTTGTTTAGATACTGAGCAGCCCCTCCTTGTGGGGCAGGGGCCACAATGCCATGTCCACCTGGGCCTGACAGACTTCTCCCCCACCTCTGAGCTGCAGGGCACCGGCCTCGGGGGCTCTGGGCTCAGGTCCCCTTCCTTCCCCTGTCCTGGAGGGCACAGACATGGCCCTGAATGTTTGTGTCTGCCCAAAATTAATGTGATGAAACCTAATCCCAGCTGGGCCCAGTGGTTCACGCCTGTAATCCCAGCACTTTAGGAGGCCAAGGCAGGTGGATCACTTGAGGTCAGAAGTTCGAGACCAGCCTGGCCAACATGGTGAAACCACATCTCTACTAAAAATACAAAAATCAGCTGGGTGTGGTGGTGGGCGCCTGTAATCCCAGCTACTTGGGGGTCTGAGGCAGGAATGAACCTGGGAGGGGGAGTTTGCAGTGAGTCGAAATTGTGCCACTGCACTCCAGCCTGGGCAACAGAGCAAGACTGCATCTCAAAAATAAATAAATAAAAAAGAAACCTAATCCCACTGTGAGGGCATTAGGAGGCAGGGCCTTTGGGAAGTGATTGTGTCATGAGGGTGGTGCCTTTGGAATGAGATCAGTGCCCTTACAAAAGAGGTCCCAGAGAGACCCCTTCACCCCTTCTGCCATGTGAGGAAATGGCAAGATGACTGTCTGTGAACCAGGAAGTGGCCCTCACAGACTGGAATCCGCCAGTACCTGGGTCTCGAACTTCCAGCCTCTACAACCGTGAGAAAGGAATCTCTGTAGTTCACTGGCCTCCCCATCTGTGGCTTTCTGTTCTGGCAGCTTACATGGACTGGGACATGGCTGGCCTGCCCTACACATCCCAATCTTGGATTTGGGACCTGATGAGAGGAATTTTGATCATGGAGGTGGATCCATCTCCTCTCCCTGCCTCTCATCCTCTCTTCCTCAGAATGGCCCCTTTGGTCCACTCCTCTACCATCCCTGGGCACCTGGCCATGTGGCTGCAAGCAGGAGTCCCCAGAGTTCTGGCCCCTGGACACCTCTGGTCATCCCTCCCTGTTCTTTCTTAGCTGCAGTCCTTGCCTCTGAACCTGGGTCCATTATCTGCACTGCCCCCTCACTGAGAAGCTCATGACCCCTAACAGCAATTCCTTACCCAGTATTAGGCCCTGGCCCTGTCCATGGTCTTTGAGTTTGTATGATCTACCTGTAGTCTGGACTGGATCCTGCATTCTTCTAGTTTCCTCCAATATCTGCCTATTACTCTCCAGATGACCATTTCCAATTTTCCTCATCCTTCTGGCTTGGAATTGCCATGGTTTTCCTGAAGCCCAGCAAGCTGAAGCCAGACTACTTGATAGAAGCTTCAGAGAAGCCACCTCAACAGCTCATGCATGGAAAACCTTTGTGACCTCCAAGCTGCAAACCAGGAAGAGCTGTCACTTGCCGCTGCCTGCTCCAGCTGAAGGGTCTTCAGGCCTAGCATCTAGAAATCTTCTTGACCGGCTGACTGCCTTCTGGACTCAGAAAGTGAGTTTATGCTTGTTCCAAAAATTACTCTTTGTTTTTCTTTTATTTTCGTAGAAACTAAACTCCACTCATTACTACCAAGTCCCAGCAGATGATTCATTTGTACTTAATAAACAAAAGGTGGCCCAACAAGAAAATGGACTTACGTTATGCAAAGGAAAGAAGAATGTCTTCTTTTCCCCTCAAATGACAGAGGGGACTGAGAAAGATTCTCTGCTTGGTCAAATGTGAGTCTGGTCGAGCTCCTGAACTTCCTTCTAGGCCCATCTGTGCATGTCCTTGGTAAATTCCAGTTTCAGCAAGAACCTTGCTAGGTCAGGTTAGCAAGAAGACTTTACCCTCAATAACTCATCACCCTCCATATCTGATAGGGTTCCTTATCCTTCACCGTCCCCCAGGGGAGGTCTGACCATCCTGGCCTGTCTTCACCAGAAATCCTGTGGGGTTGGTTTAGCCTGAAGTCCCCTTACCCCTCATAGGTCCTCTTTGTTATTTTCCATTGACTGGCCCCTACCCTACGCCTCGGTTATAAACTCCCTCTTGTCCACGCTGTGTTTGGAGTTGAGCCCAGCCTCTTTCCCCAGCTGCAAGCTCCCATTGCCATGGTGCCTGTACCTATCGCAGTGGTCATGAGTGAAGTCTTCCTCGCCATCCCTAACATGCATCACTGAATAATTTCTTGTTTATTGCCTCCATCAGTTGTGCCCTGGATTGTGTGGGCCAGGACCTCACACAGGACACTGTGGGGAGGGCCTGTCTCTGCTCTGTGGTGTCTGGGTCTCACTGGGAAGAGGTGAAGTCTAGGGCCGAAGCCATCAGAAGGCTGGTTGCTTGTGGGCCTGGTGGTTGATGCAAGCTGTCAGCCGGGAGCTCCTTAACCTCCGCTGGTGACCTCTGTGTGTGACTTCTCCATGTGGTTGGCCTGGGTTCCTCACAGCATAGTGCTGATTTCAAGAGAGCCAGGCAGAAGTGGCGTTGTCCTCGTGACCTGGCCTGGAAGTCACACAATGCCACTTCCCTGCAGTCACAGACCTTCCCGGATTCAAGGTTAAGGAACACACCCTGCCTTCCTGTCGGAGGAGGGCCAAGTCACACTGGGAGAAGGGACCTGGGATGGGAGAGATTGTGGTGCCATTAACAAAAATATGATCAGCCACAGTGCCCATGCATGAACCCATTCATTCAACAACGATACCATCCAAGGTCCTGGTGGACACCAGACTCCTGCTAGCCACTGGGGACACAGACTCTGGGCCAGTAGTCTACTGGGCTGAGCATAAACAGGGTGGTGCAAGCCCTGGTGTGGGCAGGCTTCTTCTCCTCCCTTCCCCCACTCTCAAACCCCACCCATTCTAAAAAGCTTTGGTTGGAAGGCTATAGAATTCCTGAAATGAGACGTAGCCAGAGGTTTTAGCATCCACCCTCTCCATTGGTTTGCCAGTCATTAGACCAGGGGACCTCCAAGGATAGGGCCGGGCGTCAACTTGTGCAGACTCACTGGCCTCTCCCACAGAGCAGGCGTGAGAAACCATGGAGGATGGGTGCCCTCTCTCTCTCTCTCCCTCTCCCTCCCTCTCTCATTCTCTCTCTCTCTGTCTCCCTCTCTCTCTCACTCATGCATTCTTTCTACACGCGTCCATCAGGCTCAGGCACTTACTTGCTCTGTGCCAGCTGCAGCGTAGGCCATGGAAGTAAAGAGTGAATGAGAACAGGTCCTGCCCTGACTGCAGCCTAGGGGTTGTGAGCCAGGTCCTCAGCTCGCTGAAGCCACCGTTCCCTTATGCCCTGCCCAGCTCTGTGCTGATCTGTCACCGAGCTCAGTGTGTCTTTGGGGGAGCAGAGTGGGCCAGGGGTCGGGGGAGGCACCTGGAAGTTGGGGGGCCCCTGTCCCTGGGGCTGGAGAGCCAGAACGAGCCTCTGCATCCCACCCCTTGGCTGTGGGCAGCCTCCTTGATCCCATCTGGCTGAGACACAATCACAGGGATGAGATAAGGCAGCGCCACTGCCCACCAGGCTTCCCGGCCACATGTGTACCTGGAACCCCTTTAGGAGTTCAGTGAAGCCTTTGTACCCTTCTCAGAATAATGGCTTTCGATGCATCCAATAAAGCCATTAGTAGTATGGAAGAAGCCAATTATAGAGAAATGCAGTCATCAAAACGTTTACAAGGCACATTTGGGTGTGAGTAGTGTATGGGTCTCTCCCTTAGCAGGGGCCATGGTGATGGGTCTGAGGGGGACTTTGCATCGTCTGGAGACCCATGATGGGAGTCAGCCTGCCTGTGATTTCGTCGGTCCTGCTGGTCCTAACGTGGCTTCTGCTCATCTCCATCATGGCAGGAACTGTTGAGGCCCTGCAGCCGCCCAGGCCCTTGGGTAGGGGATCCTCATTCTGCAAGCCCCTCACTTCACCCAAGCCTGGGCAGGAGAGGAGGCCTGAGCTGCTTCCTAGAGGCTGATTTTCCTTCTGCTCTGAGCAGACACTCCTCAGATTACAGTGACATTTGGGGTTTGGGTTTCAGCCACATTTTCAAATTTTTCTCTTCATTTGCACAGAAACCTGAGCAGCCTCTGTGGTCTGATTGCATCATTCATCACTGTGGGTTCTGCGCCTGCATGCTCAGATGGGAAATCTCTGCTTTGTTTCTTTTTCTCTTTGGCTTTTTTGCTCTTTACCTCTGACTGAAGGTTAGACAAGTCCTTGCTCTGTGTCTATGCGGGCTCTCCCAAGGCACCAGCTCCCCTCCTTCCCACCCCATCCCGGGCACATCCAGCCCCTCCCTGTCCCTTTTCCCTGTTTCCAATCTCCTCAGTGCAGCCAGCAGTGGCTTAGTCAATTTGTATCCCCACTGTGGCCTGAGGTGGGGGGGGGTGCACACGCCCACACACACACACACACACACACACACATACAGCACACCCACACCACACGCACACATACAGCACACCCACACCACACGCACACATACAGCACACCCACACCACACGCATGCACATATACCATCCACACATCCACATGCAGTCGGAACAGTCTCTGCATTAAGCCTCCCGGGGCAGTGGGTGGACGTTCACAGTCTCAGCTGCATCCCCGCATAACCGAAAGAGCTGCCTAGGGGTTTTGCCCTGTACAGAGGGGCAGCTCCCGGTCTCTGGAGGTTCATTCCAGTCTCTCTGCTGAAGGAAGAAGGTACTGGTGACTTTCAAAAGTCACCTCTTCATTCCCTTGGTAGCCAGGATCCTGATGGCAGAGGTGGATATCCTGGGGCTGGCTGAGACAAGGCAGAGAAGATCAACGCATTTCAGACAAGACCTGCTTTTTGTCCCTCTGCTCTTTGGTGACAAAGAGCTGGAGCCCAGCATGGGTCCAAGGTGCGTCCTCTGATTTCTTTGTACAGGAGAACAAGGAATGAACTTCAGGTGGGGCTCTGTCGCTTGGGGGATCTTGGTCTTGTCATCACAAACAGCCCTGCCCTGGAACTATCATTGGCTGGCACTTGGGCCTGATGACTTGAGTCCAGGTTATGGAGCCCAGAATGGGCAAAGCCAGGTCGTCGTGTGCCCGGCGTGTGTGTTTGTTTGGGGCTGCTCTGGAACTTACTTGTGTAGAAGGAAGGGCAGGGAGGGAGCAGGTAGACAAAAGTGGTGCTTCACTGCCTCTGCAGCAGGCCACCAGCCTGGGTCTGACCTGGACCCAAGTCAGGCACCAGCCACCCTTGCAGACCTGTCCTTCCAAGATATCTGACACCTAAGCACCCAGGCAAATGTGAAGATGCCTCTAAAGGGAGCATTTTAGGACGACGATAGCAAAGCACTTATCACGATCTGTTCACATGACTGTCTTCTGCCCCAGCAATTTGGTTCTCAAAGGCGTCCATGTTGGGAGGCGCCAGCAAGGGACCCAGCATCCATGCCAGGAGGACACCAGCAGTGCCCTGGGCCCCTGCCAAGGGTGAGGGCCATGCCACCTTCTGGGGCTGGGACCGGAACCATCTGGAGGCCACCAGGAGAAGCTGGAAAAGACCCAGACTTCCCATGACTGGTATTTCACATGGCTGCACTTGGGGTCTCCACGGCCAGTGTCCAGCTGAACAGGCAGAGCCCATCCCCTAAATGAGCGAGGCTCCGAAGTCATGTCTGCTACATTCTGTCAATTGCAGATGAGTCTCAGCCCCACTCCTTCCAAAATACAAGAGAAGGGCCATCGTCCCCAGCTCTCCATGGAGGGGTGTCTAGGAGACACTGTTGAGGAGCAAGTGGGGGTGGGGGACAGTGTCACGGCCACCATTGGGAGATGCACCATCCAACCCTCTGCTCACAGTGCCCTCCCTACTGTCACACATTGCATCAATGATTCCCTTCTACTGCTCGGAAAATCCACAGCCCTGATGAAATCCAACTCTCCACCTGCTCTGTGCCTCTCCCAAAGCAGCTAGAAGCACCAGAGGAAGCACACGCCCCTGGCCAGTCTCACTCTCCAATCCTGTTCTTTCCTGCAGCACTCTGCTCTGTTTCCCCTCCCCAAGAGGTCAGCAGTGACCCTCCGAGCTAAGCCCCTGCAGGCTGGTCTCCCTGAGCAGAGGGGCCTCCCAGAGCACCACGTGAATCAGCTGGGGACTACGTTAAGGCCTCCTTCTGGCAGAGGTGTCGATGGTGGGGATGGTGGATCAGGATGCTGCCTTCCTCCCCTGACAGACAGCTGCCCTGTTAGGTCTGGTCTTCACTCTAGCAGCAAAGCCCTGCTGCTGCTTACATCTTTGAGAGCCTCCCTGCCCCTGTCACTGTTCCAGGAAGCTGGCCTCCTACTGCTTGTCCGTTCCCTTTGCCTAGTGGGAACCCCCACATCTCCCCCTTGCACACTGGCCCTTCATGTCCTTCATGTGAAGAGGTGGTGGCACCTGGGCATGTGTGGCAGCCAATCCCATATCTTCCACTCTTTCATCTCTCCAGTGAAAACCTCCTTCGGACATCCACTCTGCTAACCAGGGGCCCTCTGGAGCAGGCTTAGTAGTGTGTGGAGAGCTTGCAGCGGCTGTCCCTGAGGCACAGGCTCCTGGTTAGGGTATTTCCAGTGCGCCGTCCACTCCAAGAGTTTGAGTGAGGGGGGCTTCTGGCACACACCTAAATTGTGCTGTCTCTTCTCAAGTGCGTTAAAGAAAATTTCAGGCAATAGAAGATCCCAGTGCCACATCGGTGGCTGCATTTTCCCTCCAGGTTCTGAGAGACACTCCTGGGAGAGAGCCTGTGTGCACGTGTTTGTTTCCTAGCTGTGCACACAGCGGGCACCCATAGAGAGCCTTGTAACTTGGCTCCTGAGCCCTCTCTGTGGGCTGTGTCACAGGCCTGACTCAAGGGGCCTGGTCCTGACGCATCTCTCCGAGCTCCCCACGGGAGGGAGGGAGAGGAGGAGGAGGAGGGGGTCATGGGCAGTTCCTGTACTCCCCGGGTAAAAATCATTTCTTCCCAAGAATCACTGGTCTCTTCTTCTGAAGCTGACCCAACCAGCCCCTCTGGCTGACTTCGTGGATAAACAGGGATGCAGGGAGGGGATACATCACACATCGTGTGACATTTTCCATGCGAGAGAGGCTGATGACCACACCCCTATCGTAATGCCCCAGCGGATGGATCTGAAAAATCAGGGGGTTGGGCGGGGCTGCCTCCCAGCTCTGACATTCTGAACATATGGTGGGTGTGACGGCTGTGTGGGTGTGGGGAGATCTGTGTGTGTTGGGAAGCGGGCTGCAAAGCCGAGAAAGCAAACGTAGCTCTGAGAGTGGGAAGTCAAGTCTGGGCGGGGCATGCCTCCCTTCTGCTCTTCGGCCTACTGAGCAGCTCCCCTTTCCTCTGGGAACCAGCTCACCTTCTGCTTTTCCAGGGAATACGTTTGTAACTCTAATGGGGTATCCCAACATCTGCCTGGTCCATTTGACACCGTGATTTACCATAAAGGGAACTGTTTGCTGTCAGCTCCCGTGCGACAGGTACCTGAGTGCCACAGACACCTGCATAGATGAGTGAGAAGGGAGACCATCCTCTCGCAGTCCACACTCATCAAGAGCCCCCTCCTTACCCCAGACTGATTGTGCTGTAGCAGAGACAGTGATGGTATAATTCCAACCCGTGCCTTCACCTTTAGAGTCTTGATTTAGTGACACCCACGCGAATATGACAAATGGCTGGTGTGTAATTTTGGTTAGCAGCATATATGTCCCCAGAATCCAATATATTTCTTAACCTCATACAATTTAATAGAGGCCATGTGAATTTGCTTGAGACCTCATACACCTTAACTCAGCCTGTGATTTACAGCTAAACTTGGAAAACGAGCTAACGTCACATCAGAGCCACAGATCTTCAAGCATTATTTGTGTTAACGAGTTAGAAATCAAACAGCCTGCTCTTTTGGGTGTGGGAGGATTAGGCAGAGCTGCCCATTAGACCTCACTGAGCATTGTCAGTCCTTAAATGTTTGAAGAGGACATGGCCGTTGAGACAATGGCTAGAATCATAGCTCGTCCCTTGCACTCCCACTCAGTGAGGACACGCGTCCCCTTGACTCCTGTGTCAGTTTGCTTACGGATCAACCATAACCTCTCCCAAGGGCAGACTGAAAGCTCCTCCACAGGCTGTGAGGTTCTTGGGGGCAGGTTGGTCTCCTCATCTTTGTTTCCAAACCCCGGGTGTCTGGCAAGTAGGAATGGCGTGCTGAACCCTGGATATCCTGGGAAGCCTTGCTGCTTGCTGGACACTGCCAGCCCTGGAGCAGAAGTGTCAGGTGCGAGTTGTCTGATGGCCAGAATCACAAAGCAGGACTGGTTTGCATGACCATGGCAGGTGGCAGCCTTGGCCAAAGCCGAGGAGAAAGCAGCCCCCACGTGGCCCAACCTGCTGTCACCATCGCTGGGTGCTTGGGAAGAGGAGCGGGGCTGCCTGGTGCTATGAGGCTGGATCTTTTCCCTCCCTCCCTCCCTTCCTCCCTCCCTTCCTCCCTCCCTTCCTCCCTCCCTTTCTTCGGAGTTTTCCTCTTGTTGCCCAAGCTAGAGTGCAATGGCGCAATCTCAGTTCACTGCAGCCTCCACCTCCCGGATTCAAGCAATTTTCCTGCCGCAGCCTACTGAGTAGCTGGGATTACAGGCACCTGCCACCACACCTGGCTAATTTTTGTATTTTTAGTAGAGAAGGGGTTTCACCATGTTGGCCAGGCTGGTCTTGAACTCCTGACCTCAGGTGATCTGCCTACCTCAGCCTCACAAAGTGCTGGGATTACAGGCGTGAGCCACCGCACCCAGCCTTGGCTGGATTCTTTCTAGAGGCGTCTCTTTTCTTCATCTAAAACACTTCCTTAGCACAGTTTCTTTGCCTGCTTTTTTTTCATCCTGCCCAGTTTGATAGGAAGATTTTCCAGAGGCATTGGGTCTAATTCTTTGATTTGGATTGTGACAATAGCTAGCACGTGGCTGGCACTTCCTAGATGTTTAATAAATAATACTAATTATCCTAATAACAGGCCTTCTGCTTGCCACCAGCTCTGCCCTCCTCCCTCCCACACGCTGCCAGCACCTTCTGGGGCTCCTTCCACCCCCTTTGCCTTCCTTCTTCACAACTCAGTGGCCACGATCTGAACTGATTCAGACCTTGCTCAGCCTCCTGATGTGTTCCACCTCCCTACGGGGTCTTTACAACCGCCATGAACAGAAACAGCTCCCTTTCTTCCAGGATTCGTGATTCATGCTGGGTTTTTTGTAGCATTTGTAGGTGACCATAGGGACCCCAGAACAGCTTACAGGATGACCTAGAAGAAGAGCTGAGCTCATTTACTGGGGAGCTGGGATGAGTGTTTTCCGGCATGTTCAGCACAAGTGCCATCTCTGAACACCAAGCAGGCAGGAGCCCATGGAGATGAGCAGGGCCTGTCCCTGTCTCCAGGGGGCCACTGGCAGGGCAGGTAAAGCTAGCAATTAACCACAGTCCTACCACCTAGATCTGAAAAAGACACCATAAAGAGTATGTAATTAGCAAGTTCTTCGTTGATGCTGCCAAAGGGCTGATGCTGCTTAGAAACAGTATCTTCTTATTTCTCTCCTGAGGAGAAACTGTCTTCCTGGATGGAGCAATGAGAGGTCAGTGCCCAGGGTTAGTTGAGCTAGCCTTTGATTTCAAACGGTTAGGAACTTGAATAGGTAAAATTTTAATGGAAATAAGTGTAAGACTTCCAAAAATGTGACTATTATTTGAGAAATAATGCAGCTCTTGCAAATTATAGAAAGTTTTCCACATGAGCAATGCTTCTGGTGTTAATTTAAAAATGCTTATGAGAGGCTATGTGTGATGGTTTGTTTTGTGTGTTAACTTGACTGGGCCATGGGGTGCTCAGATATTTGGTGAAACGTTATTCTGCGTGCTTCCATGAAGCTGTTTTGGATGAGATGAGCGTTTAAATAGGTAGACTGGGTGAAGCAGACTGTTCTCCACAATGTAATGGCCTCCCCAATCAGGTGAAGGCCTGAACAGAACAGAAGGCTGACTGTCTCCAGAGAAAGAGGGAATTATCTTGCCTGCTGCCTTTCAAACATGGATGTTAGCTTTTTTCCTGCCTGATAACCTTTTATTTTATTTTATTTTATTTTATTTTATTTTATTTTATTTCAGCTGCCCTGGCTGGAGTGCAGTGGCGCAATCTCAGCTCACTGCAACCACCGTCTCCTGGGTTCATGCCATTCTCCAGTCTCAGCCTCCCAAGTAGTTGGAATTACAGGTATCCGCCATCACACCTGGCTAATTTTTGTATTTTAGTAGAGATGGGCTTTTACCATGTTGGACAGGCTGGTCTTGAACTCCTGACCTCAGGTGATACGCCCGCCTCAGTCTCCTAGAGTGCTGGGATTACGGGCGTGAGCTATCGTGCATGACTGATAAAGGCTCTTTCTGTTTCACAGCAGCTTCCAATCTTCAGATTCAAACTGAGACATCAGCTTTGCACATTTTGGACTTGGCCTGCCTCCATAATTGTGCAAGCCAATTCCTCGTAAGTTCCTATCTATCCATCTATCTATCCATTTACTATCCATCATCTGTCATCTATCCTATTGGTTCTTTTCTCTGGAGAACCCTAACATGGTGTAATATAATGGAAAGAGCTTTGGACTCAAATGAGACCTTCAGTTCCTCTGTTCAGCACTTGAGACACTTAGGCAAGTCATTGAGCCTCTTGAAGCATTTTTATCACCTGGAAAATGGGGGATCTATCTTACAGGGTCATCATAAGGACTGCTGCTCAGATAAACTTTAGTGGAATGCATTAATCATCACGCACAGCTGGCACAGGGCAGGCATGAAGGAGGGGAGAAGGCCTTCTCATCATCCAGTATCTGCTATGTTCCAAGGCCCGTGGTAAGTGTCAGAAATATAGGGAGTAAGGAAACCTAGACCTGCCCCTACGGAGGGCACAGACCTCTCCCTCCATGCCTTCCTCTCTACCCCCAGCAGAGGCAGCCCCACACACATACTGCATGCTCACTGTGTGCAGGGGACGGTGCCTTGCACCTCTATTGGGAGACACTTCTGGGCCATCCAATGCCCTCATTATCCACTGGCCATGCCCGTCTGCCTCACGTTTCACCTGTCTTGGGAGCTGGCTGGTGATTGGTCTACTCCTGGGGAGGCAGAAGGAAAGCTCTGCTCCTGAACACCCAGATGCTGTCCACCGGGCCTGGCCCCACCCAGCAGCATCACTGCAGGTGGGCTCCTCAGGAAGGAGAGTGGGGCAGGCCTCTCTGTGCATCTCACCACAAGCCTGAGCACCTCATTCTCGTGTGTAAAATGATCTGTGGTCTCATTGTTCCCAGGAACAAAACCAGAGTGGTAAGCAAGGCTTGTGAGGCTGTGGGGACCGAGCTTGGTGGCCCCTGCTGCCTCTCACGGTTCTGCCTCTCCACACATGGACTTCCCATGGATGTGGCGCCCCTGCTCCCCCACTTCACTAAAACCCAAACTCATTTCTTAGAAATTTAGCATTCTGTAAGGTCTCACACCCACCAAAGGGTATTCACCGTGTTTGTGTAGACTCCGCATCATAATCATGAAATACTCCTGAACTTGCTACCAGCTCCAGAGCCACAGCCAGGCCAGCCCGTCCCTTCGCTGCTTCACAGTCACCTCCACTCCTTGTGCACCCCCAGCTCTCTGATCCTGTCTCTTGGCAAACTCCCACCCAGGATATGCACCTCTCAACAGGCTGGGCTCTGCACCCCTGCAAGAATAGGGCCAAGAAAGCCTACAGCTGCACTGGCAGCCCCCAGGATAGCCCAGCCTGTGTGCCTGTTTCCCTGCATGGGTGCCCACGTTCCAGGCTACTTCCTCGCTATCTCTCTGCTCCTCAAACCACTCTCCCTATCAGAGGAGCACCCAGAGCAGCCTGTGTCGCACCTTCCACCTTCCTACAATGCCATCTGCCTGCACTCCTGCTCCTCCCGCACCTGCGCCCGGAGGGCTGTGCCTTCTCTGCTCCTTTCCATGTCTGTCCCCATCATCTCCCACCAGCGCTAGGACCTTCTCCAGCATTTCTCCCCTCTTTCTGCACCATCACGTTCTCCTGCTCTCCTTTAAAGCAAACCAACCAGCACGCAAGCAAACAGATGAAGCCACCCTCTTGGGTGCCCTTCCCAGGCCTGCTCTCTCACCCATGTCTTTGCTCCCCTTTGCAGCAACACTTCGGAGCAGCTCTGGACCTTGTTGCTGTCTCCAGCTTCCCTCTCTCATTCCTTCTTGAGCCTGTTCTATCAGGAATCCTGCCCCTCCACTCCCCCAAACCTGCTGGGATTGCAATCACCTCCAATCCAGAGGTGATGGCCTCCCTGCTGCACCCGAAGGCTCTGGGCGCTGAAATAACTTCGTTACCTGCTTGGGGGCTCTTGGCCCTCTAGTTCCTGTCCATTGGTGAGTCGCCTCCCCCTGCACTAATAGCATTTATCTTAATTATTCAGACTTGGACATCTGGTCTCTGGAAGGTCAGCTCGCGGCGCCCCCCACCCCCGGCGTTGTTCTGGCTCCCTATGGGCATCTGCATTTCCACTTAAGAATAACCCTGTGGAGTCCCACAGACATCATTGTTGGGATTGAAATGATGTTGAATCCTTAGATCAATTTGGATGAAACTGGCAGTTTTGTGTTAGGGACTCTTTCAGGCCATCTGGGACTGCTGGTTTTCTCTAGGAAAAGATCTTAAACTGCTGTTTTCATTTTTTTAGTGATGCAGGGTCTCTCTTTTGGTGTCTATTTAATTAGTTTTATTTTTCTGGGAATTTGTACATTGTTCATTTGCTTTACTGTTTTGAAAATTTCTGCTGTATCTGTAGTTCTGCCCCATTATCAATCCTCCTCTTTTTAAATGCTTGATTATGCTTGCAAGAAATTTGGCTATTTTATTTGTTCTTTCTAAGAAACAACTTTTGGCTTTTAAAAAATTGTGTGTTCTGTTTTATATTTAATTTCTATTACATTAATTTCTGCACTTGTTGCTCTTATTTCCTTTCTTCCTCTTAGAGTATATTTTTGCTATTTTTCTAACCTCTTTGGTTGGATGTTCGGCTCATTAAATTTGTAGCTATTTTTATTATTCTTTTATACAAATGGTAACATACCAAGTGTCTCCTGCTTCAACTTGCTTATTTTTAGAAGTCAGTTATTGATGTACAATTTGCAAACAGTAAAATGTATCCCTGCAGAGTGCTCACTTCACTGAGTTTTGACAAATATCAGCAGCCCGGTAAACACGACCTCACACAAGATCTAGAACACTTACATCACCCAAAAGTTTCCTCCTCATCCTTTTGCAGTCAGTGCTCTGTTTCCAGCCTACCCCTGGCAATCAGTGATCTGATTTTTTTCCCTGAATTTGGCCTTTTTCAGAGTGCAATATAAGTGTAAACTTATATATTATTTTGTGTTTGATTCATTTCATTTACAATAACGTCTATGAGATTCATCCACGTCACTGCATGTGTTCCTAGTTCATTCCTTTATACTGCTCAGTAGAATTCCATTGTTTGCCTATACCACACATATTTTTGGTTTTATTGTCTGATGGACATTTAGTTGTTCTCACTTTTTGGCTATTATGAGTAAGCTGATATGCATGCGAACATATGTTTTTCTTTCTTTTGAGTAAATCCACAGGAGAGGCATTGCTGGGATGCATGATAAGTGTGTGTTATACTTTATAAGTAGCTGCTAAACTCTTTTCTAAAGTGGCTGTACCATTTTGCACTCCCACCAGCAATGGATGAGAGTTTCAGTTGCTCCACATTCTTGCCAGTATTTGGTGTGGTCACTGTAATTTTAGCAATTCTGGGGGTGTGTAATTTTAGCAATACTTCATTATAATTTTAATTTTCTTTCCTTAATGACTAATAGTACTGTGCATTTGTATGCACTTGCCACTCACATATAGTTTTTGGTGAAGTGTCCAAAATCTTTTGTCTATATTCCATATTGAATTGTTTGTCTTCTTATTATAAAGTTATAAATGTTCTTTCAATATTTCAGGAAGGTCCTTTATCAGATACATGTTTTTAAAATGTTTTTTTTTTCCAGCTGGGCACAGTGGCTCACCCCTGTAATCCCAGAACTTTTGGGAGGCCGAGATGGGTGGATCACCTGAGGTCAGGAGTTCGAGACCAGCCTGGCCAAGATGGTGAAAGCCCGTTTCTACTAAAAATACAAAAAATAGCTGGGCATGGTGGCAGGCGCCGGTAATCCCAGCTACTTGGGAGGCTGAGGCAGGAGAATGGCTTGAACTCTGGAGGCGAAGGTTGCAGTGAGCCGAGATCGTGCCACTGCACTCCAGTGTGGGTGACAGAGTGAGATCCTGTCTCAAAAAAAGAAAATGTGTTTTTCCAAGTCTGTGGCTTGACTTTCCATTTCTTAAAACAGTGTTTTACAAAAAACAGAAGTTTTGATTTTGACGAAGTCCAGTTTATCAATTTTTTTCATTTGTAGTTTTGTGCCTTTTTTTGTCCTATTGAAACATGTTTGCCGAATCCAAGCACACATGTTTTTCTCCTATCTCTTAAGAGGTTTAGGCTTTGGTTTTACATTTAGGCTTATACTGTATTTCAGTTAGTTTTTTTGGTTTTTTGTTTTCGGGATAAGGTACAAGGGAAGGGTTGTGGTGCATTTTAAAATAAGGATGTCCTGATGTTTCTGACTCTTTGTTGGAAAGAGTGAACTTTCCCTGTTGAATTGCTTGGCATGCTGTTGAAAATTAATTGATCATATATGTGTGACTTTATCCCTGAACTCTCAATTCAATTATATTCTATCAATCTCTATGCCTGTCCTTATTCTAATACCACACTATTATGAATACTGTAGCTTTTTATTTAGTATTTACGTCTGGTGTGAGATTCCTCCAAATTTCTTCTTTTTTTCTTCCAAATTGTTTTGGCTATTCTGACATTTTTTGCTTTTCAATTTAAGTTTTAGAACCCACCTGTTAATTTACTTCTCAAAAGTCTATAGAAATTCTTAATGGGTTTGCCTTGAATTTATAGATCAGTGTGGGAAGAACTGCCATCTTAACAATGTCGAGCCTTCTAACCCATGCGTTCAATACTTCTCCACACATTTAGACCTTTTAACATTTCTGTCATCAATGCTTGAGAACTTTTAGTATACAAATTAGGCATATATTTTGTGAGATCTATTCCTAAGTGTTTGGTTTCTTTTAATGCTATGAAAACCGTATTTTAGAAAATATATATTTTGATTTCCAATTGTGTGTTGGTAGTTTGTAGACATCTGGGTGAATCGTCCCTCCACGGCGGTTGCCTCTTCACCTCCTCGGCCTCCAAAGACAGTCTCTCTGGGGTTCTTTGCAGTGGTGGACAGGAATCCAGTTCTTGTTTCTTGGAGTGGGGGCGGGAGTGGTGATTAGAACACTCTTCTGGTGTTAGTATGTGTTAGCACTTTAAAAAGTCTTTCAATATTCTCACTTGAAAGGCTTTGATGAGGCCCTGCCTGCCATGGTGAGTTGAGAAGGACATGCCAGCCCCGTGGCATTCCCCCTCCCTGCCTAGCCCCTCCCTACCCTGGATTGGCCACAGCCCCGCCTCTCACTTTGGGTCCTAGTGATTCAGAGCAGAAAGTGCCAGGGGAGAAGCAAAACAACAGCAAGGGCAGCAGTGGCCAATCCCGGGCTCAGGCCTGAAAGTGGAGTCCTTCTTTCCTTCCTTCCTTCCTCCCTCCCTCCCTTCCTTCCTTCCTTCCTTCCTTCCTTCCTTCCTTCCTTCCTTCCTTTCTTCCTTCCTTTCTTCCTTCCTTCCTTCCTTTCTTCCTTCCTTCCTTTTTCCCTCCCTCCCTCCCTCCCTTTCTTTCTTTCTTTCTTGATGAAGTCTCGCTCTGTCACCAGGTTGGAGTGCAGTGGTGCGAGCAACCTCCTCCTGCCAGGTTCAAGTGATTCTCCTGCCTCAGCCTCCCAAGTAGCTGGGACTACAGGCACATGCCACCACGCCCAGCAAATTTTTGTATTTTTAGTAGAGACGGGGTTTCACCATGTTGGCCAGGATAGTCTCGATCTCCTGACCTCATGATTCACCCACCTTGGCTTCCCAAAGTGCTGGGATTACAGGCGTGAGCCACCCCGTGCCCGGCCACGTGGAGAGCTTTCTAAAGCTTCTACAGAGAAGGAGGAGATTGGAATGTGGACTAAGATCTGAGTCAAGTTATTTTACTTGGTTTGGGACAAAAGAAAATCCTGTTTTGAGACAGATTTAAAGTGGGTTTATTACAGAGACAAAGGTTTTGTGGTGTTCTGTATTTCCTGAGATTTGCATGCAAATCCACACTTGGGGGAATAAATACTAGCCCAGAAGAGCCTCCTCATCCAAGGCGGATCTCTTTCCTGAGACTCACATTCCACCTTTTCCTTTGCCTGTTCTCTGGGTCTCAGAGACACCCTGAACGGAGCTCATGTCCAGGCCATTCCTCCTGGCTGGGATGCAGGCCTGCTGCTGCTCTCCTTGGTGAGGCCAACTCCCTCGATCCTCTCAGCCTCTACTCCACCACTCTCCTCTGGGTGGCACTGGGCCTCTCCTCATGTCGGGACCCCCTGCATCAGCACTCTGTTGAAACAGGTTGTCCACATGCCTGTCTCCCTTCTTGGAGGAAAGATTGGCCTCCAGGGGTGCCAGTGCCTCTACAGTGCTGGGCACACGTCAGCTCTGCTGTATGGAAATAGGACATTAAAGGGCCAGGAGTGTTGACACTTGGTTGGACAGGATCTCCAGACCCTGACACCTCCCCACTGCAATTGAGTGTTCCTCTGGGCCTCCAGGTGCACACTCTGACAGCTTGAGAGTTTTCAGGGACAGCCAGCTTGGGAGAGGCCAGGAGCAAGAGGGTGCTGCCAGGGAATGTGTGTAAACGGAGCACAGGATGTGACACGACAGAAGCCAGGAGGCCCTGTCCTCTTCCCAGGCTCCCAGGCTCTCTCGTGGCTGGTCTGTCTGATCCTCGCATAGCCTTGAGGAGTTGCTGGCAGTCCCATTCACAACAGGGAAATGTGAAGTTCAAGTCACACAATTACAAATGGGTTAACTGGGAATAAAACCTACATGCCGGCCAGGTGCGGTGGCTCATGCCTGTAATCCCAGCACTTTGGGAGGCCGAGAGGGGTGGATCACAAGGTCAGGAGATTGAGACCAGCCTGGCCAACATGGTGAAACCCCGTCTCTACTAAAAATACAAAAATTACCCAGGTGTGGTGGCGTGCACCTGTAGTCCCAGCTACTCAAGAGGCTGAGGCAGAAGAATCACTTGAACCAGGAGGCGGAGGTTGCAGTGAGCTGAGATCGTGCCACTGCACTCCAGCCTGGGTGACACAGTGAGACTCCATCTCAAAAAAACAAACAAACAAACACAACAAAACAAAAAAAACCCTATATCTCTGCCTCTGGTTCAGTGTTCTTCTCAGCAGAAAGCATGGGCTAGACTAGAGATGGGAGCACCAAGGCAGGAGGACAGACACAGGCTGTGATCTAGATGCAGCCTCTCCTGAGTCACTTGGCTGTGTGATCGTGGGTGAGTGACTTTGTATGAGTCCCAGTCTCCCTATCTGCAGAAGGGATGACCATGAAACCTCATAGGCTCACATAGATATTACTTGACACTTGGGCTCCGTTTAGGCACATATAGGAGCTCAGTAACATCTGTAATAGTCTGGTTGCCATGGTTAAGAAGAGACATTGCCAGTGGGAGTTGTGCTGGTGAGTGATGCCTGGAATGGTGGAAGGTTGTTGGGGTGGACTTGCTGGCCTCCACAGCTGCAGAGAGGACGTAGGGGGCATAGCGTCTCTTCAAACACACCAAGTGCTGACGTTGGGATAAGGGATCAGGTGCACTTTGCAGATGTACCTGGTATCCTTCCGAAGCGCAGAGCTTGGATCTAGTGGCTCAGGAGCACCCAAAGGGCTGGAGAGGTGGCCTCTGGTAGTGAGGATGCCACCCACATGTGTTCAAGCTGTGGCTGGATGAGCATTCACTGGGAATACTGGGGAGGGGGTTTTGGGTTTTGCAGGATGATGGAAACAGCCCGTGGAAGTCTTCCCAGACCAGGCTTTCTTTTCCATTTCTATGCCAGGCTAAATAATGGCCCCAAAGATATCCACATCCTAGTCTCTGAGAATGTGCTAGGTTGCCTGGCAAGGGAAAGTGAAGGTTGCAGATGGAATGAAGCCTGCTCATCAGCTGACCTCAAGGCAAGGAGCTTACCCTAGATTATCTCGGGGGGCCCCGTGTAATCACAAGCATCCTTGCAAGTGGAGAGAGAGGCAAGAGGTGAGAGCTGGGTGCTGCAATGCGAGAGCGGCTCCGCCAGCCATTGCCGTCTTGAAAGAGGAAGGGCCCCTGGTCTGAGAAACGTGGGTGGCCTCTGGAAGCCAGAAGGGCAGGAAACAGATTCTCCCCCAGAGCCTCCAGAAAGAAATGCGATCTTGCTGATGCCTTCCTTTTAGCCCAGTGAGGGCTGTTTTGGACTTCTCACCTCCTGCACTGTGAGATAATATATGTGGGCCGGTTAAAGCCACTGAATTCATGGTGATTTGTTACATTTGTCATAGAAAACAAATGCAGCTTCATTTCCCACAAAGTTAGAATAGAATTTTGGTTTTCATGCCTTTAAAACCCACAGCTGAGATGGGCATTTCCAGGTTTTGAGCAAACACAGATGAATGACCGTGTTACGGGAAGTGAAGCCAGGGCCCTGGTGTGGGCTGAGCAAAGCAGCCTTGCCCTGGTGGGTTTGGGCCAATTCAAAGCACCCTATCGCTAAGCTCTACACACAATTCAGTAAATAACAAACACAATCCACAGATTGGTTGTGAAGCATGGGATGATGAATAATTCATGAGCCAGCCTGGCAGCTCACAGCAGGGACCCTGGAATGTGGCTCCAGTACTGGGAACTAGGACAATAGGGCCTCAGGGCAGGATGTTTCTTTGTCCTTTAGTCCCACATTTCAGCCCCTGCACTGCCTTTGGGATGTGAAAATTGATTATACAAAATGGAGACATTTTTATCACATCTAACTAAAACAGAGTTGGGGGCCTTAGGGAAAAACACCCAGGTCACAAACGCCTACTCCCGGAACTGTCCCGCAAGGCCAGTCCAAAACCCGCATGGGCCTGCCATGACCCTAAGCTTTCAAGTTTTACTGGGAACTGCTGCCATTCTCCCTCAGGACTCGCTGGCTCCTGCAGGACACCACCCCCACTGAGGAAAGAACTTTCAGAACAGCTTTACAGAACCTTCCTCTCTTCTGCAAGGAAACCCCAGGCTTTCACTTTGTTCTTCGAACACACCTAGGGGCCACCCAAATTTGAGTCCCGAGTGGCAATTCTTGTACATTATTCCCAAATAAACTGTCTGCTTGGAGATTCACCTCTCTATATGTTATTTCATATTGACATGAACAGTGGCCTGAACATCTGCTCTGCTTGTCCTAGCAAGGGACCTGGGGCATGTCACTGGGACTCTAGGGCCTCATTTTCCTCCTAGAAAATTAGTGGGGGCTGCTGATAGCTCTTCCTCCGGTGGCATGTGTGGAGTACTCGTGTGGAGTACTGCACGAGGCGTCTGGAGTGCTCATCAGTGCTGGTCTTACCCAGCAAGGGCTGCCGAGGGGTGTGCTGGGATGCCCTCTCCAACAGATCCTGTGGGAGAACCGTCAGGATTGCACCCAACAGCCAAGTACGGATAGCCAGTGTGGGGGCAACAGATTTGGCTGTGGCTTATCCTCTGCTCTCCGCCCTTTCCTCCAGGCTTGTGCCTTGGATATTCAGGCAGGCAGAGGCCTTGTGTCTCCTGACTCCACGCCCCGTGCTGTTCTATCCACTAGGGGGTTTTCAAGTCCAAGAGTGACTCAGTTTAAGTCTTTAAAAATGAAAGGCTTCCTTGATAGAACCCGTAATACAGAAAGAGGGAGAGACAGAAAAGAGATATTCTCTCTTTCCAGAAAGTCTTGGACAGTAGGTATTGGTGTGAAAAGTCAACACATCCCATGGCCCCTCAGAGCCGTCCTTGCATGTCCATCCACATTTCCTTGCAAATCTTTGATAGGATGCAAGGCTGTGAGTGGTGAGTTTGGGCTCTGAGCCTGCCAGTTTCTCTGTGACCCAGAGACCCCAGTGCAGGGATTCCTGATGCCATGGCCCAGTCCTCCCCTGCCATGAGCAGGCAAGGTATCTCTCATGCCTAGTCGAGTGGACAGGTCACGTGCACAGCTGACCATGTACTACAGGCTGCTTCTGCTGACCAGGAAGTCAGGCTGTGCATGGAGCAGAACTTCCCTGAGATCATAGGCTCCATGTCAGAGTCAGGACCAGCCCAGAGGCCTGGGCTTCTGACCAGTGCTCTGCCAAATGATGGACAGGTTGGCCAGATTTCTGTGCTCTGAGAGCTGGTCCCAGATGTTTCCAGCATCAAGGATGTTTCTTTTACTTTCCTGGTGAACAAATGCAGCAATGTCATCACACAGAGTTCCCCATGACCCAGGATCCAGATGCCTCCTGGTGATGGAGATTCAATGCTGCTCCACTCCTTGCCATGTGTCCAGCAGTGTAGATGGCTCTGATCTGCTGACTTTTCACACCAAAACCTGCTGTCCAAGACTTTCTGGAAAGAGAGAATGTCTCTTTTCTCTTTCTCCCTCTTTTTGTATTTAACGGGTTCTATCAAGGAACACTTTGGTTTTTAAAGACTTACATTGAGTCACTGTGGGACTTGAAAACCCCCTAGTGAATGAAACAGCATGGGGCATGGAGTCAGGAGACGTGAGGCCTCTCCCTGCTTGAGCATCCACATCTGTAGGTGGCCCTGGGCCAGGCAATCGCTCTCTTTCATCTGCATACAGGGCCAGGAGGGCCTGCCTACCTCATGCATAGAATTGCTGAAGGTCTTGTGCCACTTTGGGGAAATGCCAAGTGCTGGACAGAGAGGGGAAGAGGAGAGAGACTGGTGGGTAATTAGGGCATTTGTGAGGGTGGAGACGTGGCTCGTGACAATCTGCCTTTACACAAGGCCCACTGAGTGCCTGGGGCTTTCCATACACTGCCGCCTTTAAATCTTTTACCTTCCTGTGTTTGAAGACACCTTGTTCCCACTTCTCAGATGAGACTCAGAAACAGATGGAGGTTTGCCAAGGACACACGGCAAGGGAATGGCAAAGCTGTGACTTCAAAAACAGGCTTATCTCAGGTCCAGACTCATGCTCGTGGCCTCTACCCACCTGTTAGGAATGGAATTGTTTCCACCCCAAATTTCTTTCTTAAGGCCCTAACCTCCAATGTGGTACTGGTATTTGAAGACGACAGGGGCTTTAAGGGGATGATTAAAGCCAACGAGGTCCTGGCATGGGGTCCTACTCCAGTCTGACTTGTGTCCTTATAAGGAGAGACAGAGGCACCAGGGAAGGGCGATGTGAGGACTCAGCTGGAAGGTAGCTATCTACAAGCCGGGGAGAGGCTTCTGCAGGAACCAACACCGCTGATGCCTTGGTCGCGAGCTTGCAGCCTCTCGAGCTGTGAGAAATGAAAAACAAGTGTCTGTGGTCTGAGCCAGTCAGTCTGTGACATTCTCTTACAGCAGCCTAAGTAGGCTAAGATGCTGACATTCTAGGCTGAAGGGTTGAGTGGCGAGGCTGTGTGGGCAGGCAGAGGCTGGACCAGGGGCCTTCCGATGCCGCCTGGACCCAAGGCTTGGGCTCCCTAGAGTGGGCAGAGAGTTGGAGTCCCCAGGGACTTTCCCAAGGCAGATTGACAGGTTCCCCCAGTATCTGCTGAAAGGGAATCTCTGGGGTGAGCCCTGAAGAGGCTGGGGACAATGTCAGATGGTGGCATTTGCATCTGTGTTCCATTGGGAATGATGTAGCCAGATCTGGTTTCAGAAGAATCATCCAGACTGAGTGAAGGCCTAGCCTAGGGAGTCATATGGCGAGAGGAGGGGAGGACAATCAAAGGTCCTTGTCTTCAGTCTACCAGGGCAGAGACGAGGCCAGAACTGGGAAGGCAGCAGGGGGATTGGTGAGAGGGATGTTCTGAGACAAAGTCAATAAGCTTAGAGTCAGATTTGGGTGACAAGTTCACCTCTGCCACTTAACTCTTGAGTGAGTTTACATAACTCAGATGTCAATGTTCTCAATGTAAAATGGAGTGAAAATGTCTCTTGAATGGGACCGTCATGAAGTTCATGTGAGGGAAGTGTATTTGCAGGGTGCAGCGTGGTGCCTGACATTGAGGAGCTGTTGAGTGCATGCTGGCTTAGATCACTGCTCCTGTGATCTAAGGAGCACACTGCTCCTTCAGGCCCCTTTCCTATAGAGCCCAGGCCTGACTTTGCCTGAGAACATCCCTTTCACCAATCCCCGTGCTGCCCTCCCGGTTCTGGCCTTGTCTCTGCCCTGGTGGACTGGAGACGTGGACCCTTGATTGTCCTCCCCTCCTCTAGCCTCTTAGTGCAGCATCCTGGAAAGCCACTGTTAGTCAGTCAGAAGTGGAGACATCTGCCAACCCCAGTAGCAGACCTTTCACTAGCCCAGTGTGCTGCTTCCTGGTCTCTGGTCCCAGATCCATCTGGGTCACAGGGAGCAGGAAGCCTGCAAACTAACTTGCCTTCCAGTTTAATCTTGCCAATGGGAAACCCCGGCAGGAGACTGGAAGGTGGAGAAAGAGAGAAACCATTTTATTTTCTTCCTGCCTCTTCTGCTGCCTCTTGCAGCTGTAAGAGCCTCTTGGGTTCCTCCCTAAGATGACCGATTCCAGCAGCATCTCACTCATGAACTCTGGCACAGACGGTGTCCGTGGGAGGGAAGCCCCCTTGTTGATTGCTAATTTGTGATGATGGTTCCAACAGTCACAGCAGCAGCAGCATGTGCTCCATAGCCTCAGAGGCACAGTGATCCTGGGCTCTGGGATATGCCATTTTCTCTTTTGCTTCTCCAGCTCTAGGGGTGACGACAGCTTCCCACAGTTCATAGTCTCTGCAGAACCTCAGCTTCCCCTTTCTAATTTTCCAACCTTCCAACACGTTTGTAACTGGTTCTCCATATTAAATTCCTACTGTTTGAAATACCTAGTCTCTGTTGATCTGACAGGACACTGAGTGAAGTGACCAGTACAAACCATGGGCAGAGGCTCACATGAGGCCAGGTTTGTCTCTCACTAAGGTCCGAGATTAGGGTCAGCAGGTGGCTCAGCTCCACATGCTGATTCAGAGATCCGAGTTCCTTCCACACTGTTTCTTCCCCACCTCCTTCAGCACTGTTCTCACCTGTGTGATGAAGGCTGGGTCCTAGCTCCTTCCATGCTCAAGTTTGTAGGAAGAGGACCCAGATGAAGGAACAGCCAAGCCCCAGTTGTAAACGCTTTGGTCAACAAGTGACCCCACCTCTTCTGCTCCCATTAGGGCCCACCTGAGTGCAGCGGGAGCTGAGGCATGCGGTGTAGCTCTCCAGCCATTGCCAAACTGCAGTCCTATTATTAGAGAGGATGGGAAGAATGGATTTTGGCAGAACCCACTGCCACTTCTGCCACCTGAGCTTTATGAATGCACACAACTCACTTAGGATACCTTCCTTGTAGGGTCATGGCAATGGCTGAATGAGAATAGCATAAAAAATTCTTATCCCAGTGGTGGTACCAAGGAACTTTATCTAAGATCAGTGCCCACTGTCTACACCAGGACTGACCCCCCAGTGGGTCACAGTGACTGTGAGTGAACCTGGGCTCCGGGGGAAGGACGCAGAGGTGCCTGCATCTGCTGCCTCCTGCTGACAGCCACAAGTTCAAACCTCAATGTGAGCAAGAAGGTGATGTCTCCTTTTTTCTACTTACTCATAAGCCCTGGTTAGCATCTTTTTTGCTTTATAGTTACAGGCTGCTTTCAAATTGGCATCCAGGACAGGGAAATTACACCCTGTAATGGAGCAGATGGTAGGTGAGGACAGAGGTTTTCCCCAGCCGTCACTGGTGGTTGAGCCAGATCCTAAAAAGTGTCATCTGTCATTCCTTTTAAAGGGCTTCTATTCCTGTGTGGCTGGAAACTGGGGAAACCTGGCCTCTGGACGGCTCACAGTAAGTTGTCACGTCCCAGTCCCAGGATGGCTGAGGGTGGTTGCCATGGCAGTGGACCGTGCTCCTTTCTTGCTTTCAAAGGAAGCTGGGGCTGCCCAAGTAAACGAGGGAGCCTCCGTCCTGGGAGGTTGGAGGCCTTTGTTCCTCTCCCACCCCTCTTCCCCCATCCCCCCAGAGAATGCACAGGACCTCATTATGCTGCTTCTGTCTTGCATGCTATAATTTGGATAACAAAAGCGGCTCAAGATGGATGGAAGCCATCATAGTTCTTGGCACCATGGCCCAAGGATGAACTTGCTTCTCAGGGTCTGATTGGTTATCTCACGACTAAGCTCACAATGTCAAGTTTGAGTCTACTCCTGTGGGTCGAATCGTTCTATTTGATTGGCCTCATTTTAGTGACCAGCTACCTAACTAATTAGTTAACTGGCTAACTTTCTTTCTCCCTCCTTTTCTGCCTCTTCCCCTTCTCTCCCTCCTCCACCCTTTCTCCCTCTCTGCCTTCCCCTTTCTCCCTCTCTACCTCATTTCCATCCCTCAGTTCACCCTCCCTTCCTTCCTTCCTGCCTCTCTCTCTCCTACCCTCCCCTCCTCCCTTCCTGCCCCTCTCTCTCCTACCCTCCCCTCCTCCCTTCCTCCTCCCTGTTTCTTCCTCTCTCCCCTCCCCCTCCATTCTTCTCTCCCTCCCTCCCCTTTCTCTTCTCGCCCCTCCCCTGGCTTCCCCACCTCTTCCAGCCTTGCTCTGGCCGAGGTTATGGAGATACATAAATAACACTTGAGCCTTGATCACCACCTGGAGTTGGAGCAGACACAGCAGGACACACTCATGATAAGAAGCTATAAGTGCTAGGATGGTGTTTCCCTGGCTGCTGCAAGGGCTCAAAGTGGGAAGGACCACATGTAGCTGAGATGGGGTCAGAGGTGCCCTGAGCTGAGCTAAGTCTGCATGTGCATGCCTGTCTGCAGGGGGAGCAGGGCATGCCTAAGGCATGGGGTTGGGGCAATAGGAGGTTCCAGTCAAGGAGGATATGGGATGAGGCTGGGGAGTGTGGCAGGAGAATAAATCTTGGAACCCCCAAATCACTAGCTAAAGAGAAAAATCAAGCTGGGAACTGCTTAGGGAAAACCTGATTCCCATTCTATTCAAAGTCATCCCACTGCTCACTGAGATAGACGCATATCTGATTGCCTCCTTTGGAAAGGCTAATCAGAAACTCAAAAGAATGCTGCTTGTCTTTTATCTACCTACAACCTGGAAGCCCTCTCTGCCTTTCCAATGGAACCAAAGTTCCTCTTACATATGTTGATCGATGTCTCATGTCTCCCTAAAATGTATAAAACCAAGCTGAGCCCTGCCCACGTTGGGCACCTGTCGGCAGGACCTCCTGAGGCCATGTTACAGGCGTGTGTCCTTAACCTTGGCAAAATAAATTTTCTAAATTGACTGAGACCTGTCTCAGGTATTTGAGGTTCACAGGAGTGTGGCAGATTCCAGCTCCCAGAGAGGGTCAGTGTAAGGCACTTGGGCCCTAGCCTCATGGTACCAGGGAGCCACTGAAGGGTTGTGAGCTGAGGAGGAGAGCTGCGGTCAGATCGGGTGGCCGTGTAGAAGAGGGACTTGAAGGATTGGACTAGGGGTACAGGGGCCGGTGGGACAGTCTGAAGTTCCATGGAGAGGATGACAAGGAGGGCACGGGTGGTTGGGGGCCAGCAGGGGCAAAGGGTGTCCTTGTTCCCTCTACTCATTCATCCAACAGGAAACAGAGCCTCTCAGGAGCAGTACCATTTAATCCTTCACCACCTGAGAGGAGATGAGAGCTGTTATTCCCATTTTAAAGATGAAGAAACTGAGCCTAGCAGAGACTGAGAAAAAGCAATCACACAACTAGGGAATGGCAGCATAACAACAAAAATCCAGGTAAGATTTTCCCCTCAAACCCATGGGCCGCGTGGGAATGGAATTTCCATGGTCCTGCCTCCCATTCTCAGTAAATGTCCGCTGGAGAGTTGGGGTGAGCAGACGAATGCACCCTCCACTGCCCAGAGCAAGATCGCCAAGCCCCGCGGCCTCCTGAGCCCACCTGTCAGGGCCTGCGGTGCACAGCCCGGATGCAGCTCCCCGGTCTCCCCTGGTCTCCAGCGAGCCCACACATCTCATTCTGAGGGCCCCTACTTTCAACAGTGCTTCTGGGGAGTTGTGGGCTAATTCATCAAATTTAGGAATGTCTGGCTCATTTCATTCTCTTCCCAAGGGATACCAATTCTGGGAGTTAAAACGGCCCTGGCTCTAGAAGGCCCCTGAGGAATGAGGCTACTGTGGGAATTTCAGGACTTGGGAGGGAGCTGGTGTGGGTGAGTGCGATGGGTCTTCTCCCTCACTCTTTTCTGCTTTTCCACACATTGTACTGTGCTGATGTGCTTAATGTCATGTTGAATCTTAACTCAGTCCAGAAAGGCGGGTATAACGATCCCCATTTTACAGCTGAGAAAACCAAGGCAGAGAGGTGATGTCTAGCTCAGCATCACCAGCTATTAAGCAGTGGTGCCAGGATTCAGTCCTACCTCAAAGCATCAGTGGCTGGGGTGATGCTGACCTGCCACCCACTCCTGTGCAGCCAGCACTGCAAGTTCCCATGAGGTTAGTGTCCCAGAGCACCTGCAGTCTGGAGTCCATTCCAGCACCTGGTCCTACTCCAGGACATACAACGTTATGTAGGGTTTTCTCTGTCACCTCAGATGTCAGCTCTGTGAGATCACAGCTCATGTCTGCTTCCTCCTTACTATCTCCTTCAGGGCCTAGCAACGTCTGAGCCCTACAGCAGGTGGGGATGAGGAGGGCATCCCCTGGAACAGGAGCTGCCCAGCACCACCCCAGAGGGGACAGAATTGGGAGAGTGTAAGTGTCCAAAGAGATCCACAGAATGCATGCCTTGGCTGAGTGACACTCATTGACCCTGAGGCCCTTACAGCCCCCAACCTGCAGTTCTAGGGCCCATGTTCCAAACTTGCATCCTGGGTGAGCACATCCACCCTGCCTCAGCATGGCTGTGCATATGTCCTTTCAGGGAGTAGCATATTTCCAGAGAAGCTCAACTGCAAAGGCGGTCCTGGAGTTTAAAGATGTTGAGAGCTACATGTTATGAAATTAGAGCAGAGTTTCTTTCCCATTCCCATTACCTCCTTTCGATAAATGAATCTGCACGAGAGGCTGCGATTCCTGTCAAAAAAGACTCGGCATTCATCTCAGTGTCTGGGGCTGCAGTCCAGCAGTACTGTGAGTTCCCACCCTGCCAGCCTTTTAATAACCTGACTTTAGAAATTTCCTGGTGGACATGGCCTATTGAACCCAATCTACATCCCAGGACAGACCTGGAAATTTCAAAAATCCTGTCTCTCTCATCATTTTCAAAGAGAGTGATTCGCTGAAATACTTATGTGCTCAAATCAAACCTCTCTTATTCTGCTTCTGGAGACACATCTTTGGAAATTCCCTTTGGCCAGAGACAGGTCTGGTTCTGTTGAGAGGAGCTCTTGTCCGTCCCATGCCCATCATGATGCAGAAGGGGGTGGTTCAGAGAAAGGAGGGTGCCAGATCGAGGCAGAAATCCTTCCCTTTTGAGACCCCCAACCCTGTTCTTAAGCCTGACCACCACTCCTCCATTCTCTATTTCTCTAATCTTGCTATTTCAGTGATGTTACATAAGTGGAATGATGCGGGATGTAATGTTTTGGGATTGGGTTTTTTTGCTCAGCATAAATCTGTGAAGATTGACTTGAGTTGTTTCATGTACCCATGGTTTGCTCCTTTTTATTGCTGAGTGGTATTTCATGGTATGAAAGTACTGATTTTTTTTTTTTTTTTTTTTTTTTTGAGATGAAGTTTTGCTCTGTCGCCTGGGCTGGAGTGCAGTGGCACGATCTTGGCTCACTGCAACTCCGTTTCCCGGGTTCAAGCGATTCTCCTGCTTCAGCCTCCCGAGTAGCTGGGACTACAGGCATGTGCCACCACGCCCGGCTACTTTTTTGTATTTTTAGTAGAGATGGGGTTTCACTGTGTTGGCCAGGATTGTCTTGGTTTCCTGACCTCGTGATCCTCCCGCCTTGGCCTCCCACAGTGCTGGGATTACAGGTATGAGCCAGCATGCCCAGCCTAAGGAGTACCAATTTGTTTAACCCTTTACCCACTGAAGAATATCTGGGTTGTTTCCAGTTTTTTTTTTTTAATTATGAATAAAGCTGATAAAACATTTGTGGATGGGTTTTTGTGTGAACACAAGTTTTGATTTTTCTGGGACACGAGCGTAAGTAAGCAGTGACTGGTTTGTATGGTGGCTATATGTTTAGTTGTCAAATTGTCAAATGATTGTTAACTCAAATTTCTAGAGTTCTTGTTCCATTTTACTCTCCTACCATCAATGTATGTGTGCTAGTCTCTCCACACACTCACTAGCATTTGCTGTTATCACTATTTTTTATTTTCATATAGTGATATCTCACTGTGGTTTAAGTGTACATTTTCCTTGTGGTTAGTGATGCTGAACACACTGTCATGTACTTTTTTGCCATCTCTATATCCTTTTCAGTGAAATGTTTGTTCAGATCCTTGCCCATATTCTAAATGGTAAGTTTGATTTTTTTACTGCTGAGTTTTGAGAATTCTTTATATATGTCTGGTACTAGTCCTTGTTAGACGTGTGGGTTGCAAATATTTTCTACAAGTACATAACTTGTATTTTCATCCTCTTAATAGGCTTTTTCTCAAAGCAAACATTTTTAACTTTAATAAAGTCCAATTTTTCATTTTTTTGTAGGTTATACTATATAAAGTTCTCTTTGTCTAGTCCTAGATCCCAAATACTTTCCTTTTTTTTATAGTTTAATTTTTTTTTTTTTTTTTTTGAGATGGAGACTTGCTCTGTCACCCAGGCTAGAGTGCAGTGGCACAATCTTGGCTCACTGCAACCTCTAGTGATTCTCCTTCCTCAGCCTCCCGAGTAGCTGGGATTACAGGCGTGTACCACCACGCCTGGCTAATTTTTGTATTTTTAATAGAGATGGGGTTTCACCATGTTGACCAGGCTGGTGTTGAACTCCTGACCTCAAATGATGCACCTGCCTCAGCCTCCCAAAGCGCTGGGATTACAGACGTGAGCCACTGCGCCCGGCCAGTTTGATAGTTTTATATTTTACATGCAAAAGACCCTGAGTTAAGTTTTGTTTAGGGTTTGAGGTTTAGGCCAAGGTTTTGGAGTTTTTGTTTTTTTTCTGCTTATGCACATCTAATTGTTCATTGAAAAGCTTTCCTTGATTGAATTGCTTTTGCACCTTTGTGAAAAATCAGTTGGATGTATTTGCATGGGTCTATTTTTGGGTTCTCTACTGTTCTTTGTCTGTTCCTCCACCAATACCACATAGTCTTGATTACTGGGGTTATATAATAAGTTTTGAAATCAGATAGATTGATTCCTTTCACTTCATTCTTCTTTTTCAAAAATGTTTAATGCTTCATGCTCCTTTGCATTTTCACAAACATTTGTCTATAAAAATATGCAGGTATATTGCTGGGGTTTTGATAGAAATTGTATTTTAACTTTATATCAGTTTTAGGAGAATTGACAGCTTTACTATACTGACACGTCCAGCATATGAAAATGGTATGTTTCTCCATTTATTTTGATCTTCTTTCATTTCTTTTATCAACATTTTGTATTTTTCCGCATACAACACATGTACTTGTTTTGTTAGATTTGCACCTAAATATTTCATTTTTGGATGATTTAAAATACTATTATATTTTTAAATTTTGTTATCCAAGTGTTCATTGCTAGAATATAGAAATATACAGTCATGAGTTGCACAGTGATGTTTTGGTCAATGGTGGACCGCATATACAATGGTGGTCCTGTAAGATTATAATGAAGCTGAAAAATTCCTGGTGTCCAGTGACGCTGTAGCCATCATCATGTCAGTGCATTATTCATGTGTTTGTGGTGACACTGATGTAAACAAATCTACTGTACTGCCAGTCTTGTAAAAGTATAGCACATAGAATTACGTATAATACATAATACCTGGTAATGATAATAAAGGACTATGTTACTGGCTTATGTATTTACTATACTACGCGTTTTATCCTTACTTTGGAGTTTATTTTTTCTATTTATTAGAAAATAGTTAACTGTAAAACAGCCTCAGGCAGGTCCTTCAGGAGGTATCCAGAAGAAGACATTGTTATCCTAGGAGATGACAGCTCGGTGCATGCCGTTACCCCTGAAGATTCCCAGTTGGACAGGATATGGAGGTGGAAGACAGTGATATTGATGATCCTGACCATGTGTAGGTCTAGGCTAATGCTTGTGTTTGTGACTTAGTCTTTAACAAAAAGTTTAAAAAGCAAAATAAATAAATAAATACGTAAAAATAGAAAAGATATAGATAAGATTAAGAATGTAAAGAAATAAAATATTTTTGTACAGCTGTATAATGTGTTTGTATTTTAAGCTAAGTATTATTACAAAAGAGTCAAAGAGTTAAAAAAAGTTTATATAGTAAAAACGTTATAGTGAGCTAAGGTTAACTTATTATTAAGGAAAGGAAAATATTTTTAAATAAATGTAGTGTAGCCTAAGTGTACAGTGTGTATAAAGCCTAGACTAGTGTAGAGTAATATCTTGGGGCTTCACATTCACTCACCACTCACTGACTCACCCAGAGCAACTTCCAGTCCTGCAAGCTCCATTCATGGTCAGTGCTCTCTACAGGTGTACCATTTAAAATATCTTTTATGTGGTATATTTACTGTACCTTTTCTATGCTTAGATATGTTTAGGTACACAAATACTTACTATTGTGTTACAATTGTCTGCAGTATTCAGTACAATAACATGCTATACAGGTGTGTAGCCTAGGAGTAATAGGCTGTACCTTATGGCCAGGGTGTGTACTAGGCTATACCATCTAGGTTTGTGTAAGTACACTGTGTGTTTGCACAATGACAAAATCCCCTAATGATGCATTTCTCAGAACGTATCACCGTTGCTAAGCAATGCAGGACTGTAGTTCAGTTTTGTATATTGAGCTTACAACCTAAGATTTGGCTAAATTCACTTATTAGTTCTAGGATATTATTTTTTAGATTCCTTGGGGTTTTCTACATAGATCATAATGTCATCTGCATATAGTGACAGTTTTAGCTCTTTTTAAAAATGTATATGCTTTTTGTCGTGTCTTATTGCAGTGTCTAATCCTTATTGAATAACAGTGATGAGAGTGGCTATATTTACTTTGTTCCCAGTCTTAGGGGGAAAGCAACCAGTCTTTCACCATTAAGAACAATGGTAGTTGGAGGTTTTTGTTTTGTTTTGTTTTTGTTTTTATATGCTCTTTATCAAGTTGAAGAAGTTCTCCTCTTTAATTTTCTGATAGGGATTATTTTGATTGATTTTAGTATTGATATTAAACCAATCTTTTATCCTGGAATATGCCTTACTTATATCATGCTATATTTTTTTATATTTCTGAATTTTAGTTGCTAATGCTTTGTTAAACATTTTTGTGCCTCTACTTATGAAGGATATCGGCCTGTAGTTTTCTTTTTTTATATTACCTTTCTTTGGTTTTAGTATCAAGGTAATACTAACTTCATAAATTAATTGGGTAGTGTTTTGTCCTGTTTTTTTTTTTTTTTAAGAAAATACTGTGTAGAATGCGTGTCCTTTAAATGTTGGGTGGCATTCACTGGTGAAATTAACTGGGCCAGGAGATTTTTAGGGGTATTTTAAATTTATGAATTCAATTTCTTTAATAGTTGAGCATCTCCCAAGTTCTCCATTTCAAGTTGCATGAGTTATGTTAGTTTGTACTTTCTGAGAAATTGGCCTATTTCAGCTAAGTTGTCAAATTGATGTGTATTATATTGTATTGTATTGTATTGAGTTGTATGTAATATTCTCTTATCTTTTGTTGTTTGCCAGGTCTTTAGTGATATCTCATGCTTTATTCCTGATGGGTAATTTGTATCTTCTCTTTTTCCTTACTAGGGGTTTGCCAATTTTATTGAACTTTTCATATAAACAGCTTTTTGTTTCTGTATTGGGTTTGTTTTCAATTTCATTGATTCTGCTATTATCTTTACTATTTTTATTATTGTTATTTTGATTTCATTGTAGCCAGAGAACAGTGTGGGATTTCAATCTTGAACATTTGTTGAGATTTGTTTTATGCCTCAAGGTATGGTCTATCTTGGTGAGTGCTCCATGGATGCTTGAAAAGAACGTGTATCCTGTTGTTGTTGAGTGGAAATTTCTGTAAGTTTTGATTAGATGCTTTTGAGGTAGGACTGTGTTAAATTCTATTCCTTGCTGATTTTCTGTCTAGTTGTTTTATCTGTTGTTGAGAGATGGGTTTTGAAGTCTCCAATTATTATTAAGAATTTGTTGTTTGTTTGTTTTTTAGTTCTATTCATTTTTGTCTTACATATCTTGCAGCTCTGTTGTTTGATGTAGACACATTTAGGATTACTAAGTTTTCTTGGTGGATTTACCCTTGTATCATTATGTAATGTCTTTCTCTGTCTTTAGTAGTTTTCCTTGCTCTAAAGTTTACTTAATCTGATTAATACAGTCACTCATGTTTTCTTTTGATTAATATTTGCATGGTGTATCTTTTTCTAGCCTTTTAATATCAGCCTCTCTATGTCACTATAATTGAAGTGAATTACTTGTAGACCATATATAGTTGACTTATTCATTCTTTTATTCCCTCTGTCAGTCTCTGTCTTTTAATCATTGAATTTAGAATATATACATTTAGTGTAATTATTGACATATTAGGGTTTAAATCTGCCATTTTAATTTTTGTTTTTTGTTTGTTCTCTCTGTTTTTCATTTCTCTATTTTCATGTTCTTTTTTCCTTATGGGTTGCTTGAACCTTTTTTTAGAACTCCAGTTTGATTAACCTATAGTGATTTTGAGTGTATGCTTCTAGATAGATATTTTGGTGGTTTCTCTATGTATTATATTATATATACCTAACTTATCACTGCCTACTATTGCCCAAATTTTGCTAGCTTGAGTAAAGTGTAGATAACTTCTCCTTTTAGTTCCTTTTACCTTCCAAAGTTTATAGTATAACTGTTTTACCTATTTAGTCAACACACATTTAGAGTCATATAAGACAGTGTTAACATTTTTGCTTCAACTATCAAACATAATGTAAAGTGTGCAAAAGGAGAAGGAAAATGTATTCTTCATCCATGTTTTGATTCTTTCCTTTGTTCTTTCTTCTTACCTAATATTCTAAAAGTCTTGCTTCCATTCTGTTTAGAGGACTTCCCTTAGCCATTCCCTTAAGGTGGGATAATTGATGACAAAAATCTCTTTGCTTCATCTGAGAGTGTCTTGAATTCCCCTTCATTCTTGAAGGATATTTTCTCTGGACGTAGAATTCTGTTTTTTATTTTTGCTTTTTTTTTTTTTTTCCTTTTAGCTACTTCCTTTGTAGTGTCTGTTGAGAAAATCTACTGTCGTTTGAATTATTTTTCCTTTTTAGGTAAGGTATAATTACTCTCTTGCTGCTTTCAAGAGTTTTTTTTTTTTTTTTTGGTCTTCAGTTTTCAGAAATTTTACTATATGTTTTACAGTAGATTATTTGGGTTTATACTCTTTGGGTTTCTCTAAGCTTCTTTTTTTTTTGTTTTGTTTTTTTGAAATGGAGTTTCGCTCTTTTTGCCCAGGCTGGGGTGCAATGGCATGATCTTAGCTCATTGCAACTTCCACCTCATGGGTTCAAGCAATTCTCCTGTCTCAGCCTCCTGAGTAGTTGCAATTACAGGTGCATGCCACCATGCCTGGCTAATTTTTGTATTTTTAGTAGAGATAGGGTTTCTTCATGTTGGTCAGGCTGGTCTCGAACTCATGACCTCAGGTGATCCACCTGCCTTGGCCTCCCAAAGTGCTGGGATTACAGGCTTGAGCAACCACACCTGACCCTCTCTAAGCTTCTTGAATCTTGTCTTTTGCCCAATATGGGAAAAATTTAGCCATTATTTCTTTAAATACTTCTCAGTCTCACTCTCTTTCTTCTTTCAGGGCTCCAAGGACATGAATATTAGATCATATGTAATATGGTTTCAGTCTGTGTCCCCACCCAAAACTCACGTTGAAATGTAATCCCCAATGCTGGAGGTGGGTTTTGGTGGGAGGTGATTGGATTATGGGGGCAATTTCTAATGGTTTAGCACCGTCCTCCTAGAGCTGTTCTCCTGATAGAGCTCTCATGAGATCTGGTTGTTTAAAAGTGTGTGGCACCTCCCCACCCCCTCCCTTCTTCCTGCTTGGGCCATTTTGGCCATTTAAGGCGTGCCTGCTTCCCCTTCCCCTTTCACTACGGTTGTAAATTTCCTGAGGCCTTGCCACCAGAAGCAGAAGCTACTATGCCTCCTGTACAGCCTGCAGAACCATGAGTCAATTAAGTGTTTTTCTGTTTTTTTTGTTTTTTTTGTTTTTTTTTTTTGAAACGGAGTTTTGCTCTTGTTGCCCAGGCTGGAGTGCATTGGTGAGATCTCGGCTCACTGCAACCTCTGCCTCCCAGGTTCAAGCAATTCTCCTGCCTCAGCCTCCTGAGTATCTGGGATTACAGGTGTCCGCCATGAAGCCCAGCTAAGTTTTGTATTTTTAGTAGAGATGGGGTTTCACCATGTTGGCCCAGCTGCTCTCGAACTCCTGACCTCAGGCGATCCACCTGCCTTGGCCTCCCAAACTGCTGGGATTACAGGCATGAGCCAGCGCACCCAGCCAAACCTCTTTTCTTTGTAAATGACCCAGTCTCAGATATTTTTTATAGCAATGCAAGAATGAACTAATACAATATGTCTCTGAGATTCAGTTTATATATATTTTTTCCTGTCTGTTTTCTCTCTGTTGTTCTTCTATTGTTCTACCTTCAAGTTCACTGATTCTTTTCTCTGTCCTTTAAATTATGCTATGTAGCCAATCCACTGAGTTTTTTAAGTTGGGCATTGTAGTTTTCAGTTCTATAATTTCTTTTTACTTCATCTTTTACATCTTTTATCTCTCTGCTGACACTTTCTGTTTTTTCATTTGTTTCAAGCATATTTACAATCATTTATTGAAGGATTTTTATCACTCTTAATATCTTTTTCAGATAATTTAAACATTTGTGTCATCTCAGTGTTGGTGTCTGCTGCTTTCTCTTTTCATTCAAGTTGTGATTTTACTGTTTTTTTAAATGACAAGTAATTTTCAGTTGAAACCTGGAAAATTTTGGTATTATGTTGTGAGACTAGACCTTGGTCAAACCTTTTGCTTTTGTTGGCTTCTTAAGACATGACTCCAGCAGGAAATGAAAGAGTGGTGCCACCTTATTATAACGCAAAGAGAAGACAAGTCCAGTTTTGCCACTAGCTTCATTAGACACCCTAGAGAGGCAGGGGCTCCTCATTACTGATAAGTGGGCATGGCACTTCTGCTCTTCACTAGGTCTCTGTTAATAGCACCCTGTTAATGGCTAGAAAGAGCAGAAGTACCTTGTTGCCGCCTCCCAGGTGGCCTCCACCTTAACCACGCGGGTTGGCCTCTTTTCTCCTAGGCAGTGGTAGCACTCTCCACTTGACCATGCCTGACAGTACCCCAGAGGAGGTGAAGAGCACCTCGTTCCTGTCAGTAAAAGATGGAACTCCAGGCTTCTATGTGATCTCAACGGGCACAGCAGTGGGACCTCCTTACTGCTCAGGTGATGAGAGTTGCAGCTTCAGACTTGGCCTTCCCTGATACCACTCTGATAGGGGATTGGGTGTCTTTTTATGGCCTGGGCTGAAGCCTAAGCTCTCCACTGGACCTTGCTAGTGTCAGTGGGGCCATAGTTTTTTCTGTAGTATTTGGCTGGGGTTGGGCACTTATTATCTGTGAGTTTTCTGTGTTGCTGGGTAGCCTCCTCTCTGGTCCTTTGGCTAGAGAAGCAGCCACTGATTGGGCCTTTTATTACTCCGTCTCAAAAATGAATACATAAATAAAAATAAATAAATACATAAAAATTTACGCTTTTTTGTGTATCTGGTAGCCAGCTATTCCTGTCACAAGTCTACGATATACCACACAAAAAGAAAACCTAAGAAATGCACCTCCGTATCTTTTCTGAATTTTACATTTTAAAGGGTTTTAAAATAATGCAAAACAAAACATAGCAAACAACCATGACAACAACAATAACAAAACAAAAAATGTGACAGAGACCATATGTGGTTCCAAAAGCCTAAAATCTCCTTTACAGAAAATTTTTATTTGATCCCTGGTTTAGACATAAGTTAACTTTTAGAACAATGGAACAAATATAAATTTTATAACATTTTCTTTATGTCATTTCCAGTGCTTTTCTTTATATTGTATAGACCTGGGTATCTGTATCATATTTCCTCTAATTGAAGAAATTCCTTTTTCAGTTATTTTTGGGCAAATGTGCTAGTCATGAACTTTCTTTGTTTTGTTTAACAAAAGTGTTTTTATTTCTCCTTCAGTTTTGAAAGATACTTTATTGGATTTAGAATTCTGAGTTGTCATTGTTTTTCCTTCAGTTTTTAAAATCTGCCACTTTATTTTTTATTTTTTTATTTTTTTGAGATAGAGTCTCACTCTGTTGCCCAGGCTGGAGTGCAGTGGCACGATCTTGACTCACTGCAACCTCTACCTCCCGGGTTCAAGCGATTCTCCTGCCTCATCACCCAAGTAGCTGAGATTAAAGACATGTGCTACCATGCTCAGCTAATTTTTGTACTTTTAGTAGAGACAGGGTTTTGCCATGTTGGCTAGGCTGGTCCCGAACCCCTGACCTCAGGCGATCTGCCTGCTTTGGGGCTCCCAAAGGGCTGGGATTACAGGCGTGAGCCACCGTGCCCAGCCAAAATCTGCCACTTTATTGTCTTCTGACTTGTACATTTTTTGATTAAAAGTCTTATGCAATTCCCATCTTTGTTCCTTTGTATGTAATATGCTTTCTCCCTCTGTGGCTGCCTTTAACATTTTCTTTTTATAATTGATTTTCAACATTTTAAAGATGATATGCATGGATTTGGGGAGATGGTTTATGCATTTATTCTGTTTGGTGTTTTTGAAGAATTTGGGTCTGTGGCTTGGGGGCTGTTATGAACTTTGCCCATTATCTTTTCAAATATTTTTGCTGCCTGTTTTTTCTCTCTTCTTCTCCTTCCAAATATACATATGTTAGACTGTTAGATATTATCCTACAGCTTATGGATACTCTGTTTTTATTACCACTACTTTTTTGTGTGTATGTTTTAGTTTGTATAATTCATAGTGACTTATCTTCAAGTTACTGATTCTTTCCTCAGCTGCATTGATTCTATTATTGAATCCAATAAAGCCTCTTTCAACTTTGTTATCATGCTTTTCATTTTTCATGTCCTCATTTGATTATTTCCTGTAATTTTCATATCTCTCTTGAAGATCTCCATCAGATCATGCATACTATCTAACTATTCCACTTGAGATTTTAACATGTTAATTATATTTATTTTAAATATTTCATGTAATAGCTTCAACATTTGTGTCATATCAAAATCTGGTCTTGTTGATACTGTTTTTTCCCCTGTGTTTCTTTGTGTGTCTTACATTTTTGTATGAGAGCCAAATATCTTCAACAGGACAACAGAGACTTACATAACTAGTGTTAATGCTTGGAAATGGATATTCCTCTTTTTTGTTTTTGGCTAAGACTTTAGTGTAATCATTTGAGTATATCTAGTCATAAGTTAAGCTGTGGTTAGGTTTTGTTATTGTTGTGTTCATGCTCAGTGCAATATGAGTTTCAAATTCTTCTCTGTTATCTTGTTTTTAGGGTAGGGTTCTCACATTAATGCACACTCAATCTTTAGAAATTCATTAAAATTTGTAAATAAATTCTTCTTTTACAGTGTCCATTGTCTGTGGCTGCTCCTTTCCTTGGAGGTGCCTATTTTCCTTAGATTTTGGGTTACTTGTTTATCCTGCAATCTCAGCTCTCTGATTTATTCAAGAAAAGTTGTGATTTTCGCAAATTATCCAAATTTTTTGGTTGTAAGATGAGAGCAATGCTCCTTCCGGTTTTTTAATATCTGAATCAGAAAATTGAATTTCCATAAAGCCCATTGTAAGTCTTTGGTAACTTATGGCCTGGCCAATCTCATCCAAACTATGTAGCCTCTATGAGCCAGTTTTCTGATCTATTAAAGGTAAATAGAAATACTTATCTCAAAAGGTTGTTATTTAAGATTAAATTAAGGATTAAAAAATACAGATAGCCAGCCATAGTGCCTGCCATGAAAGAGCACATTTTAATTCTCCTCTGCTTTCTGTCACCTAAGGAAGTGGATTAAGGATGTTTTACCAATGAGATTTCTTTTAAATGATTTGTGTCAACCAGTCATTACAAACAATGTGACCTCACTTGTTTATCATGATCAGAGAATGGACATCATCCTCATAGAGTCAGAGATAATTTTTAAGAAAACTGAAGTCTGTCACTAGAGTTGAAAGTCTGCATCTGATGACCTCTGCAGCATCTCCTGTAGTTTGTCCTTAGTTGGAGAGTGTACTTTCTACTGAGAAAGCCCTTTCCTTTCGCACAGCTCTGAGCGGGTACTAGGGATTTCTGTCTTTGCGCTGAAGGCTGTCTTCTCTGGCTCCCGCTGTGTGGTCCCAATATTAGTTCTTATAACAGGACTTGCTCATCTGAATGCTCATTGCCACGGCTTCCTTCCTTTATGTGAGGATAGCTCTTACCTACCCTCTGAGTAAGAGGGGGTCTTCTTGTCTGTAGGTGAAATCCATTTGTTGACTTTTCTTCATGTGGCAGGATGTCCTGGCCCACAGTCACAGCCCACTAGGTCTCCTCTGCTCAAGCCGCTCTCCAGGTGCGACTCCATCATGAACTGAGTCCAGTGCTCCAGGTAAGGGCAATCGGCATTGTGTCTGCCAAGACCGCAACTCCACTGTGCCAGATGCTAACCTTCCAGAAGCCAGCCCAAGTTCGTGCTAACTTTTTGGGTGTCAATATTTCTGTTGATTCCTTGACTAAAACTCCTAAGTGTCAGACACGTTGCTGCTAAACTGTACCTTCCTAATGCAGTTGGGTTTTAGCCCCAAGGACCACAGATGATGCTCGTTTTTACTGAGTGCGATCCTAGCTGGATTTGGCCTATTTCTTCAGCATGACACAGTCATTTCGGGGTGCTGATTCTTCCCTCCACCATATGCTTCCTCCTACACCGTCTTTACATCCGTGGAGCTGATGAGCTCTGCTGACTCATCTATACTGTAGCAAAGGTCAGATTTGGAGGAGCCTGGAGGGGGCAGCTCAGGTTCTTTGGGTTGCTCACTTGCCTACCTCGAGGCCTCCCTGTCTGACGGAGGCTGCCCTGTCCCCAGCTTCTTGCTGGCCTCCCAGGCTCATGGACACAACCAGCACTTTTGGTTTACATCCTTGCCATTTTATTCGCCTGAGGTTTTCCTATAAATATTAGCTTATCCTGGTGTTTCCCTGGTTTTCTTTCACTTCCAAAATGGTGGAGGGACTGTCAAAGAGGAGCTGCCACGAAGATTTTTCTGAGTTGCCTTCATGGATCTCCAGCTGACTTTTAGTCCTTTGAGTTCACTCATCCCCCAGACCTCTACCTTCGAGTATTAGAACTTCCCCTTCCTTATCCACAGCTGCCACCCTCTTCCCTTAGTCCTTAAGGAACACAAAGTCTAGTCCCAGCTCATGTCCAACTTCATTCCCACATATTTCTTGAAAGCAGGCTCTCCATGACTTTGTACAACTTGTCGATGATTCAGAAGCCAATAGGACGAGGTAAAGGGTCAAAGATGGCACCTGGCGGAGCTCACCTGAACCCCCCAAGGCCGACTTCATGAGGCGTCCATTTCAGCCTGGAGGCTCAGAGCATATCACAGCTCTCCAAGCTCTCCAGACTGGTTTTAGGCTTTCTTTCCACCCTTTAACACCTGCAAACCATTTTCCTTGAATGATAAAAGTAAATAGAAATTGGGGAATTCTTTTTCTTCATTTCACCCATCAGCGTTATGACATTAGCCCCAGATTTCAGCTTTGACTTCTTAAATGTGTGCTGTGAATGTCACTCCCCCAATACCCACCCATGCGGTTTAGATATTTGAACTTGTTTAGTGCTTTGCTGGCTTGGAATTCTCTTTTTTCCATTTTCTGGTCTCAGGACTTTTCCTCATTTCTGAGTAAGAGAGAACAAAACTGGAAGTAGTATAAATTAATATAAGAATTTTCTAGAGACAGTGAGAGGATGAAGATCAGTTTTTTATAGGAAAGGCTAAAGCATATTAATTTATTTTACAACTAGCGAAGGAAGTCGGGGTTTTGAGGTAGCTGGGGGCCAGAGAGGGAGGGGAAGAGAGGGTAGAAGAAGAAAGCCTCCTGGGTGGGACTCTTTGTCTGCCGTCCACACTCCTGATTGAAGTTGCTTCTTCCTGGCTCCCACTTGGCTCCTTTCTCTTAAATTGTGCACGTGTCTGAAATCAGAGCACCGTATATAGGAGACACATGCCAGTGGGCACTGCAATACTAGCTTTAAAGCAATTCAAAAAGTATTCATTGAGCTCCAACTGTGTGCCAGGCCCTTGCAAAGTTCTGGAGGTTGAGGAGACAGTAACATAGCCCCTGCTTCGAGCAGCTGAGTCTTGTGGGGGAAAACAGTTCAATAAACACCTGGCAATTATTCTCTGTGTAAGTGCCTTGCTGGGCGTGTGGGCACTGTGCAGTGGGAGCAGGAGGGATCAGCTGGGGAGCAGGCAGCGAGGCCGCCATGCACTACGGGCAAGTCTGGGATCCATCATCTCACCAAGTGCAAAGAGGAAGGTCCCAACTGGCTCCTCGCATTGACCTGTAAAGAGTTCTACATATAGGGGGGCATATGTCTGCTGGGGAATCCTTCTCTGGCTGCCATCTCCCCATCCCCTACCCCAGCATGCACTTCTAGATGCTCTGTATTTAATTTCTCTCTCAACAGAAACCTTTCTGTGGGCGATTGTACAGTCCCACATCTCCCCACTGGAAATCTAGCAACACCCAGTGTGGAAGGGGCAAGGGCAGAGGAACTTGCCTGCACTGCTGCAGGAGTGTACACTGGCATGATGTCTGGTGAGTCTCCATAAAGGCAAAGGTGCTCACGGCCCAACCAGCCCACCTGCAGCCTCTGCCCCGGAGAAAGCCAGTGCACAGGCATGGGGTGGCCAGCCCAGGAGTGTGGTCTGCACCATGACTGCATGAGCAGAACCCTGCCCATCAGCAGTGGATCAGGACTGGACTGAGAGGATACCAGTGCCGTGGAGTGCTCTGGGGATTCCCATTTATCAGCCTTGACAGAGCTTTAAACTGTAATGTGAAGAAAATGAGCACGTTCTGGGACAATATGAACGGTATCACATCATTTACAGAAATATTAAAAAACAATAAAATGAGACCTTAAAATGTTTCCAGACAAATCAATATGTAGTAAAAATATAAAACATGTGTGACAGTGACAGTGAGTTCCTGAGAGCAGTTACCTTTGGGGAGAGAGGAAGGGGAGTGGGATGGAGGCGAGGCAGGCAGGAGACTTCGATGATGTCTGTAATGTCTGATCCCTGCAATGAGAAGGAAACCTTGCCTCCACTATGGACAGATCACTGGCTACTGACCCTCTCTCTCCTATTTTATAGTTAAATTTCTCCAAACCACAGTCTAGATATTTTGTCTCCATGTTCTCAAATCTCAGGCATTCCTCAGCCTGCTCTCCTCTGGTGTCTGGTCCCCTTAAGACATGGAAACAGCTGTCACCAAGACCCTGATGATCTCCAGGTCACCGAATCCCAAGGCAGCACAAACGTGGTGCAGTGGTGTGCATGTGTGCACACTCACACTGTTTCCAGCATAGAAAACGTGAGTGGATGCATCACCGGTTTTAGCAAGTCTTAGCATTGTTTCTTACTTGCTTCAGATTTCCTTTGCAATCCCCCACCTTCTCCCTCAGCCTGTCTAACCCATTTCCCTCTGAGAGCTTCTGCGGTCTGCTGCTTCTCTCTCCCACACTGCCAGCCGGCCCTGGCTACACCGAGGTGTGGTTCCTTCCAGGTCCCAGCATGTACCAGCCCTATGGCCTGGACAGGTCCCTAGCCACCCGTGCCTCAGTTTCCTTATCTCAAGTTTATTGGGAGTTGAATGACCTACCACCTATAAAACCCTCAGGACAGAGCAGACTGCAGAGGTGAGTGTCCACCCACTCTCTCTTGGACTCCTGTGATGGACACTGGGAGGTTCACCATGCATGTCCCCTCCTCCAGTATCTCCTACACTGAAGACAAAAGGGCTTCGGAACCGGAAACTGTAGGTTTCTCTCCACAGTCTCCAGAACAAAGAGCCAGCTGGCCAGGTCCCCAAGGCTTGCGTGGCCTGGCCCTGCTCGCCTCATCCAAACCACCCTCTACTCATGCACTGCTCTTCCCTCTTCACAGGGCCTTGGGATATGCTTCTCCATCCTCCTGGCCTGGAAGCCTTTCTTGCTCCCACCCTACTTTGTCAGCGTTCACCTGTCATTCAGACTGGATCCTGTTCAGACTCACCAGGTGTGGATCTGCTTGTGTAACGAGCTCTCATTGTGTGATGTGTCTTTCTTCAGAGTGCGTGTAATGATATAGTTGTTGATTTACTCAGTGGTGATTTCTTGGGCACCTACTATGTGCTGGAGATTGTACTTGACACTGGGATGTATCAGGGAACACAGAGACGTTGTCCCCAGGCCAAGGAGCCTCCAGGCCCTCAGGAAGCTCCATTAAGCAGCAGTTCTGAGCACAGTGAGGCCACAGAGGAGAGAGAGATGTGCATTCCAGGCGGTATGCAGGGGGGCGGTCTGACCTAATAGGCAGCCTCTTGATGGCTTCTCCAAAAGTACCCGAGGCAAAAAAGGGGAAGAGAAGTCCAGGTAGCATATTTGAAGGTTTTAAAAGAGGAATGCTCATGACACTTTTGAAAACTCAATGATGTAAAGGGCAAATCAGGGAGAGGAGAGACCGGGGGAGAATGAGGAGGCAGTCAGGATGCTGGGAGGAAAGAGCATCATGGAGGAAAGGAGCCCTGAGGCTCTCTGGCGAGGCAGCGAGGCCAGAGGAGCATGCTGGCAACTCCTGTGTCAGTCTCCATGTCTCAGGAAAGCCCCCAAGAGTGGCTGGCCTGGCGACAGCCTCACCTGTCTCAGACATCAAGAAGTCTGATGGCAGGCAATCCTGGGCTGGGTGGGATGCTCAACTATGCCAGGGGAGACAGGTGCTCCCCTCGCTTTTGCTGTTGGTGCCCTCTGCACGTGGCCTCTGATCTCAGGCATGCTTTCTCATGGTCACGAGATGGCTGCTGCTCCTCCAGCTTGTGCCTCTTAGTTCCAGGAAGGAAGAGCAGGCAGGCAGAAGGGGTAAAGGGCTTCTCCTAGGAAGGTTTTGCTCTTGTTGCACTGTTGCTGTTTAATTGAGGAAGACTGCCTGCCCCCAGGACTTCTGCCTGCCTCTTACTGGCTAACTGATACAGCACCATCCCGAGAGGCTGTGTTAGTATTTTTGGTCGGGCACGCTGATATCTTTAAAAAGAAATGTTTTTGTTTTAGAAAAGAAGTGCCTGCCCCGGAAGATGTGAGCTGAGAGTAGGTGTGGGCCCCACAGTTAGAGTTCCAGGTGGCCTTTGAGAGAGGGGTTTTAGTGCCAGTCCTCAGAATGACAGTCTCCGATCCGGGCCTGTTGAGAAAGCAGGAAATCCTCACCTATCATGAGGATTCCAACCAGCAGGAAAACCCATGGCATCTTCTATTCTCCCTCGCTTTGCTGCCCAGGAGTTTTGGGGCCAGTCATGTATTTGAGGGGTTCAAGTTAAAGCTTTTTTATTTAAAAAACCAACTTTTAAATTTAATTTTATTTTAAACATCAAACCAACTCAACCAGATTATGCTGGGCAAAAAGTGGATCACTGCTGTGGGCAGGTGGGCCGTTCATCTCCAACAAGGAGCACCTGATCAGGGGAGGGCCACCCCTCTCCTCTCCCCTCCCCTCCCGTCCCCTCCCCTCCCCTCCTCTCCCTTCCCATCCCCTCCCCTCCCCTCTTCTCTCCTCCCCTCCCCTCCTCTCTCCTCCCCTCCCCTCCTCTCCCTTCCCCATCCCCCTCCCCTCCCCTCTTCTCTCCTCCCCTCCCCTCATCTCTCCTCCCCTCTTGTCCCCTCCCTTTGCCCTCTGCATGTGGCCTCTGATTTCAGGCATGCTGTCTCACAATCACGAGATGGCTGCCGCTCCTCTAGGCTGAAGCCACCTGCTGTTTAGAAGGGCAGGGCTGGGGGAAGCTTCCTGCAAGGTAGCAAGTCTGCAGGGTTCCAGTTCTTCTTGGCTGGGGCCGGCCCAGGACCTGGCATCTGGGGTAGCAGTGGGAGGAGGGAGAAACACCTTCCCCTCCCCAGACAGAGGAGTGCACACAGGAGGGCAGTGAGGAAGCTGGGCTGCTGTCCCCCTAGGCCCTCTCCTCTGTTCTCATTCACCCACAGGAGGGAAGTAACAGGAGAACTTGCAGGGAACACAGCCAGGCTTCAACTGAAGAATGCAGTACAGGCAAGGCGGTGCCCTGGACTGCCCTCTCTGTCCCCCAACCCATCCTCAACTGCTCTGCCATGCCTCTTCATCACAGCTAAAGTGCCACCTCTGTCAGGAAGCCCTCTTGGCCTGCTCTGGTCCACACTGTTCTCTTTTTTTCCAGCCATGTCCTGGGTCTCTCAGGCCCTTCCTTCTTATTGCTTTTTCCCTCAGGAGGATGTCTCTACTTTAACAGAACTGACAAGAAACAGTGAACCACCCTCATTCCTACTTCCCTCCAGGCGGAACCACTGGGAGGGCGCTGGCCCACTGGGCGAAGGCTGCCTCTACTTGGGATGCCAGAAGAGGTGCCTTGGGCAGGCCACCTGGGAGGACCCTCTTCCTTTCTCCTATAGGACATTTACAGAGGGTGGTCCTGGGGATGCTGACAGTTGGGAAGTGGCCCCCAACAACTCACTTACCTCCTTAAGGACACAGTGTGGGCAGTGGAGGCTGCAAGCCTGTTGGAGAGGGGGAGGGTGCCCAGAGGCGGCACTGGACAGGAGGGAGACCAGCAGGCCTCTGTGAGCCTGAGCCTTGCCCTTTCTCCCCTAGCCTGTCCCTGCCCTTCCTGGGTCAGGGTCTGGATCTCTTGCTGACAATCAGGATCCCTGGGAACCTGGCACAGACACGGGCAGATGTGCAGGCCTCACCCCAGAGCTTCAGGTGCAGCTGGTCGGGTGGGGTCTGACATTGGTATTTTTAATTAATTAATTAATTTTTGAAATGGAGTCTTACTGTGTCGCCAGGCTGGAGTGCAGTGGTGTGATCTTGGCTCACTGCAACCTCCACCTCCTGGGTTCAAGTGATTCTCCTGCCTCAGCCTCCTGAGTAGCTGAGACCACAGGCACATGCCACCACACCTGGCTAATTTTTGTATTTTTAGTATAGGCGGGGTTTCACTATGTTGGCCAGGATGGTCTCGATCTCTTGACCTTGTGATCCGCCCGCCTCAGCCTCCCAAAGTGCTGGGACTACAGGCGTGAGCCACCGCGCCTGGCCTTATTTTTATTTTTATTGACACATAATATTAATAATTGTACCAACTTATGAGATACAGTGTGATATTTTGAATCATGTATATATTATGCAAATCAGGATAATTAGCAAATCCATCATCTCAAATGTGTATTATCTCCTTGGTAGTTTTTACAGGCACTCTAGGAGGGTCCAGCCTTCAGCCAGCCTTGAGAGCCACCTCCTAAAGCCCTGTCCTTTTGTCACCCAGAGTGCGGCTCTTTGCAGCATCCACGTCTGGTTTGGATGGCTGCTGCAGCTTCAAGCCTGGGCTGCTGGATGACAATGGCGATGGTCGTTCTTCCTCCTCCTCTTCTTTCTCCTCCTCCTCATTCTCTTCCCCCTTCTTCTCCTGCACTTCTTACTCCTCTTTTTCTCCTCCTCCATCCTCTTCCATCTATTTATTGTGCGAATTATGAAGAGCTTTCTGTGTGGCAGATGCTGATGAAGACCCTGGGGATTGCACTGGGAATAGAACAGATGCGGTTTCTGACCCCACGGAGAATTCTGCTGGGGGAGCAAGATCCTGGTGGAGTCAGATTGGCACACACAAATAAATGTGAAATATGTCAGGTGGGGATGGAGGTCATAAAAAGTGAGGCAGACACTCGGGAGGCTGAGGCAGGAGAATCGCTTGAACCTGGGAGGCGGAGGTTGCGGTGAGCCGAGATTGCGCCATTGCACTCCAGCCTGGGCAACAAGAGCAAAACTCTGTCTCAATTAAAAAAAAAAAAAAAGTGAGGCAGAGAGGGCTATGCAGCAATGAGGAGGGTGCTGTTTTGAATTGGTTGGGCAAGAAAGGCCCTCTGATCCGGAGGCACTGAGTAGAGGCCTGGGGAAGTGCAGGAGGAATCCACGTGGCTGGGGAGTTGGGGAGCACTCTCGCACATGCCGAAGGAACACCGTGTGTGAAAGTCCTGAGGCTGGAACATGACCAGCATGGGAGATTGTTACTCCCTTCTAACTCAGCTTCTTTTTCCATGGTTTCTCCTGCACTTTCATCTTCTTCAACTTTTCCCTCCCCTTCATTTCTGCTGTCATCATCCTCCTCACCATTGTTTTCATGGAAACCCTTTTCCGAGCATACACAGTCTCCCAGATCCCTGTCTGAGGCGAGTGTGAGCCTTGGTGAGCTTCTTCCTGGTGGAGGTCAGTGAATGTCCACCTGGTGCGGCTTCATGCCTCTGTGCTTTGTTCTGGATCTTCCCTACGTCCTGGAGCGTCTTCCTACCCTTGGCCCATCCAGAAAAGTCCTCTTCACTCTTCAAAACCTTGCCTCCACATCTCATCTGGGAAGCTGTGGGTAGACCGTGCATCAGAGGCAGGGCCAGAGGCTGCCCCCTATTAATAGCCAAAGTGTGCACTTACTGTGTGCCAGATGCTGGGCTTCCTGTACTTATCTGTACCTCTGTTATTTCATTTAGTCCTCACAAGATCCCCACCAGATGGGCTCTGTTGGTAGCCACAGTTTACAGTGAGGCCATGGAACTTGCCCAGGGCCATGCAGTATTTGAACCTGGGCAGATGGCTCTGTTGCCGGGACACTCAGTGTTGCCTGCAGTGGGTTCCGCATTGCCTTGTCAAGACTGGACTTTCTCCGAGAGCCCGTGGAACTGCTGACCTGTTCCAAGCAGGGCATGAGCAAGGACGGGTGTTAGTCTTGCTGGGTCACTGTGCTGCAGTGTGGGGAATGGATTCCAGGGTCAGGAAAGGGATCCCAGGAGAGACGGCTGGGGTGAGGCTGGTGGGCAGTGGAGAGATGCTGATTTGGAGATGTACTTTCAGGAGGCAGAGAAGACAGGAGACTCCGGGTTTGTGATGAGGCTTGCTGAGGGGTTCCTGGCAGCATGCACACAGATCAGGGCTCATGTGGTGTAGGATGCCCAGATGGAGTAGCCAAGGAGGCAAATGGAGGTTCGAGACAGGGCCAAAGTGGTCTGTGCTGGAGGAGCAGACAAAGGAGGCTAGGAGTCACTCTGAAAATGACTGAGGCCGTGGGGGAGGATGTGGGTGTGATTGCTTGGACTGAATACAGTGGGCAAGCTCGGGGAGAGACCTGCCTTATGTCCTAAGGAATGTTATTTAATAAAACCTTTTAGTTAGTTCATTAATGAATGAATTCATCCATCCGTCCATCCATAGTTTCTCTAAGTTAAGCATTCAAAATTGCTTGTGTATCTCGAGGAATACACATAGATATTATGTGTGTGTGTGTGTGTGTGTGTGTGTGTGTGTGTGTGTGTTTTCTTTTCTTTTTCTTTTTTCTTTTTTTAGACAGAGTCTTGCTCTGCTACCCAGGCTGGAGTGCAATGGCACAATCTCGGCTCATTGCAACCTCCGCCTTCTGGGATCAAGCAATTCTCCTGCCTCAGCCTCCCGAGCAGCTGAGATTACAGGCGCCCACCACCACGCCAGGCTAATTTTTGTATTTTTAGTAGAGATGGGGTTTCACCATGTTGGCCAGGCTGGTCTTGAGCTCTTGGCCTCATTATCCGCCCACCTCAGCCTCCCAAAGTCCTGGGACTACAGGCGTGACCCACCACAGCCGGCCGTATTTTTTTCTTAATCCTAATATTTAAATCTAAATGTAGTTTAGAGCATGAATTTATATGAGTGACCTTTAAAGCTGTGTCATAAAAAGTTGTATGCTATGGAAAGTTTTGCAGTAATAAAGTTGCACATTTTAGAGAGTCTCCATTTAGAATGGTTAGGACTTGGAGTAGATATTAAGCATCATGCAAAATTTTAGGAAGAAAACTTCAGGGTTTAATAATGAATTCAGAGAGAGAGATGCAGGGAAGAAAACAAGGGAAAGTGTTGATGGATGTAATCGGTTAGGGCCAGAATAGAAGTTTGGGAGATTTCACAGTGTTGTTGGGACAAACTTCACATAGGCATGAGTATATTACTTCTAGCAGTACTCATAGTTATAATTAAAATAATAATGACAATAATTACAACATTGTAAATGTGCCTTATATAGCCTCTTTAAGTTAACAAAGTGGTTTCTTATTTTCTTGGTTACTTCTGTCCACTCAGAGTGTGTGTATCTCTTCCTTACAATAATCACCTCTGAAGGGGTGAGGGGAATTCTGTTGATACATGGGATTAGGAAGCAGCACTGATGGGATTATCAGGTTCCAATCCACATAGTTTTGGCCAAATTACTCACCTTCTCTTCTCTCTGTGTTTGGTGTGCAGAACATGCTGTGGCAGTGTGAGGTTTTTGGACTCAGTGGAGGCAAGATGTGGCTTGTTAATTCATTCAGCAGCTGTTTCCTGGGCACCTGCGCCATGTTGTGGCACTGCACGGGGCTCTGGGATGCTCACTAGCACACATCTTGTCCTTTACACTCAGGAGACCTCTGAGATCTGGGTCTCTCCAGTCACCTGGGGATGCTGGTTAAAAAGCAAAGATATGGCTGGGCGTGGTGGCTTACACCTGTAATCCCAGCACTCTGGGAGGCTGAGGCAGGCAGATCACCAGGTCAGGAGATCAAGACCATCCTGGCTAACACAGTGAAACCCCGTCTCTACTAAAAGTACAAAAACTTAGCCGGGCGTGGTGGCGGGCACCTGTAGTCCCAGCTACTCGGGAGGCTGAGGCAGGAGAATGGTGTGAACCTGGGAGGCGGAGCTTGCAGTGAGCCAAGATCACGCCACTGCACTCCAGCCTGGGTGACAGAGCTAGACTCCATCTCAAAAAAAAAAAAAAAAAAAAAAAAAGCAAAGATAGAGAAGAAGAACCCATCAGGGTGAGCTAAGGAGTTCCCATCAAAAATGAGTTCTCTGAGTCTCTGAGTATTGAGATTCTTCAGAATCAGCCACTAAAAAAAAGGCTGGAGCCAAGGACCATTTCCTGCCTCGGACACCCTCTAATCAGTAAAGAGATGGAGGGCAGAGTTTTTATAAAGAAAGATGGTGAACAAAAATGCTGTGACCTAGTTCTGTTAATTCATCCCTGGGCCCTGTAGAATTGAAAATGAAAACAATATTGATCTTGTTCTGAAGGGACTCGCAGACCATGGGAGTGGCTGCAGGGAGGCAGCCGGGGGCCAGGCTGGATGAGTGGGGAGCTGAAACAGGCAGGTCAGGCAGAGGAGCAGCTCACCTGGGCTTAGGGTATGTCATCCACAGAAGGCACCTTTCAAAATAAAGGCTGTGACATTTCTGGTTCTGGGACAGTGAGGCATTTTTCTCCTTATTTCCCTTGCTAAGAACAGCTAAAAATATGCAACATTATAAAGTAAACATAAGCAGACTCTGAGAGCTTGAGAGAAGAAGGCAAACTGGCAAGGGATCTTGAAGAACAACATGGTAGGGAGTTCTCTGGGTTTTCTTTTGTTTTCATATGTTTTGGACTGGGTACTGGAGAAGCCAGCAAGCCAGGAATGCCAATGGGCGCAATGAAAAAACAGCTCTGAGAAAAGCCTTCTCTTTCCAGCTAAAAGACCAGAAAGGAACATACTAGCATGAAAAAAAAAAAAACTTTCAGACAACAAACCTTTACTCTAGTAAAATACTACAGAAAAAAAGTGTACTTTCTACCTCCCAGCAAAGACCATGAGCTCAGCAATAGTTACAAGATGCCCCTTCTCCTGCCCCCATCCCTGGGGTGTCAGCGGAGGCAGTGGGGATCTGTACTTCAACCTGCACTGGGTGGTAGTGAGGTAGCATTCCCATTCCACCATAGGCACAGTGACAGGGAGGGCCTGTTAAAACAGAATGTAGAGTCTCATAGAAAATACCAGGCCGGGCGTGGTGGCTCACGCCTCTAATCCCAGCACTTTGGGAGGCTGAGGCAGACGGATCACGAAGTCAAGAGATCAAGACCATCTTGGTCAACATGGTGAAACCCCGTCTCTACTAAAATACAAAAAATTAGCCGGGTGTGGTGGCACGTGCCTGTAATCCCAGCTACTTGGGAGGCTGAGGCAGGGGAATCTCTTGAACCCGGGAGGCAGAGGTTGCAGAGAGCTGAGATGGCGCCACTGCACTCCAGCCTGGCGACAGAGCAAGACTCTGTTTCAAAAAAAAAGAAAATAACCAAATGTCCAGGATACAACAGAAAACCCTCTTCACGCTAAGAATCAGAAACATCTCAATTTGAGTGAGAAAAGACAGTCAACAGATGGCCAATGCTGAAATGACAAAGATGTTGGAATTATTAGACAAGGTTTTATTTTTTTGTTTGTTTTTTTGAGATGGAGTCTCGCCCAGTCGCCCAGGCTGGAGTGCAGTGGCACTATCTCGGCTCACTGCAAGCTCCGCCTCCCGGTGTGTCCGGAATTGGTGGGTTCTTGGTCTCACTGACTTCAAGAATGAAGCCGTGGACCCTCGCGGTGAGCGTTACAGCTCTTAAGGTGGCGCGTCTGGAGTTTGTTCCTTCTGATGTTCGGATGTGTTCTGAGTTTCTTCCTTCGGGTGGGCTCGTGGTCTCGCTGGCTCAGGAGGGAAGCTGCAGACCTTGGCCGTGAGTGTTACAGCTCATAAAAGCAGTGTGGACCCAAAGAGTAAGCAGTAGCAAGATTTATTGCAAAGAGCGAAAGAACAAAGCTTCCACAGTGTGGAAGGGGACCCAAGCGGGTTGCCACTGCTGTCTCTAGCAGCCTACTTTTATTCTTTTACCTGGCCCCACCCACATCCTGTTGATTGGTAGAGCTGAGTGGTCTGTTTTGACAGGCTGCTGATTGGTGTTTACAATCCCTGAGCAAGACACAAAAGTTCTCCATGTCCCCACCAGATTAGCTAGATAGAGGGTGTGGACACAAAGGTTCTCCAAGGCCTCACCAGAGTAGCTAGATACAGAGTGTTGATTGGTGCACTCACAAACCCTGAGCTAGACACAGGGTGCTGATTGGTGTGTTTACAAACCTTGAGCTAGATACAGAGTGCCGATTGGTGTATTTACAATCCCTGAACTAGACATAAAGGTTCTCCAAGGCCCCACCAGAGTAGCTAGATACAGAGTGTCCATTGGTGCATTCACAAACCCTGAGGTAGACACAGGGTGCTGATTGGTGTGTTTACAAACCGTGAGCTAGATACAGAGTGCTGATTGGTGTATTTACAATCCCTGGGCTAGACATAAAGGTTCTCTAGGTCCCCACCAGACTCAGGAGCCCAGTTGGCTTCACCCAGTGGATCCTGCACCGGGGCTGCAGGTGGAGCTGCCTGCCAGTACCGCGCTGTGTGCCCGCACTTCTCAGCCCATGGGTGGTTGATGGGACTGGGCACCGTGGAGCAGGGGGCAGTGCTCGTCAGGGAAGCTCGGGCTGCACAGGAGCCCACGGGGGTGGGCGGGTGGGCTCAGGCATGGCAGGCTGCAGGTCCCGAGCCCTGCCCCTCGGGGAGGCAGCTAAGGCCCGGCGAGAAATCGAGCGCAGCCCCGGTGGGCTGGCACTGCTGGGGAACCCAGTACACCCTCCACAGCTGCTGGCCAGGGTGCTAAGCCCCTCATTGCCCAGGGCCGGCAGGGTTGGCCGGCTGCTCTGAGTGCCGGGCCTGCCAAGCCCACGCCCACCCGGAGCTCTAGCTGGCCCGCAAGCGCCGCGGGCAGCCCCGGTTCCTGCTCGCGCCTCTCCCTCCACACCTCCCTGCAAGCTGAGGGAGCTCGCTCCGGCCTTGGCCAGCCCAGAAAGGGGCTCCCACAGTGCAGTGGTGGCTGAAGGGCTCCTCAAGTGCTGCCAAAGTGGGAGCCCAGGCAGAGGAGGCACTGAGAGCGAGCGAGGGCTGTGGGGACTGCCAGCACGCTGTCACCTCTTACCGCGTTCACACCATTCTCCTGCCTCAGCCTCCCCAGTAGCTGGGACTACAGGCACCCGCCACCACTCCCGGCTAATTGTTTGTATTTTTAGTAGAGACGTGGTTTCACTGTGTTAGCCAGGATGGTCTCAATCTCCTGACCTCATGAACTTCCCATCTCGGCCTCCCAAAGTGCTGGGATTACAGGCATGAGCCACCGCGCCTGGTTGACAACGTTTTTTAAAGCAGCCATTGTAAAATGCTTTGACAAGTGATTACAAATGTGATTGAAACAAATGAAAGAAATAGAAAGTCTCGGGGAAGAAAACGGTAGACTTAAAGACCCAAATGGAAATTTTAGAACTAAAGAATATAATACATGAAAATTTTTGAAAAGCTTAGTAGATGGGCTGAACAGCAGAATGTAATATATGGAAGAAAGAATCAGTGAACTTAAAGAGATAGAACATTAGAAATTGCCCAGCCTGAAACACAGAAAAATAGACTGAAAAGGAAAATGAATAGACAATCAGGGACATGTTGGATTTTAACAGCTGGTATCACATTTGCATCATTCAGAGTTCCAGAGGAAAGAAGAAAAACAGCAGGCCCGAAAAAGCATTCCAAGAAATAATGGCTGAAAAGTTCCCAAATTTGGCAGAAGACATAAACCTAGAGATTCAAGATGTTAAGCCAATCTCTCAAAGAGGACAATCCCCAAAAATGTATTCCAAGACATATTCTAATCAAACTCCTGGAAACTAGAGACAGAGAAAAGAATCTTTAAAGCAGCAAGGGAGAAATGACACCTTATTTATGGGAGGAAAACAATTAGAATGACAGTGGATTTCTCATCAGAAACCATAGAGGCTAGAAGGAATCAGCACAACATCTTTTAAGGACTTTCAACAAAAAATTCTGTATCTAGTGAAAATGACTTCAGAAGTGAGGGAAAATCAAGACGTTGTCAGATGAAGGAAAACTAAGAAAATCTGTCACCGGCAAATCTACCCTAATAGGATGACTAAAGGGAGCTATTGAAACAGAAACAAAATGATACAAGAAGGAATCTAGAACATCAGGAAAGAAGAAAGGACAATAGAAAGAGTAAAAATATAGGTAAATACAATAGATTTCATTTTTCAGTTTCTAAATGATGTTTGATGGTTGAAACAAAATTATAACACTATCTGATGGAACTCTCAAAGTGTGTAGAGAAAATATTTAAGACAATTATATTGCGAATGGGGGAAGTTAAAGGGATTTAAATAGAGGTAAAATTTTTACACTTCCCTCAAACTGGTAACATATCAACACTAGTAGATGGTGACAGTTATGCATGTATAATTAATACCTCAAGCAACCACTAAAACATCTATTCAAGTATACATATTCAAAACACTAGATGGAATTCTAAAAAAAAAAAAAAAAAACAAGGATCCCCACAGGAAAGAAGGATAAAGGAAACAGAAAAATGAAGTAAAAAAGAAAGAAACAGAGAACAAAAATTAAAAATGTCATACTTAAGCCCTGACATAAAACAACTACATTAAATATAAGTGGTTCAAATATATTGGTTAAGAGACAGAAATCAGCAGGTAGATTTTAAAATCATCCAGTATATGCTGTCTACAAGAAACTCACTTCAAGTATAATATTATAGGTAGGTTGAAAATAAAAGAACAGAAAAAGATGTAACATGCAAACATTAATTAAAAGAAAGCATGAATAGCTATATTAACATCAAAGTCAACCTAAGAGCCAAGAGAATTACCAGAGACAGAAAAGAACATTGTGTAATGATAAGGGGTAAATCCATCAAGAAGACATAGCAATTCTAAATGTGTGTGCATTAAACAACAAAGCTAAAATATGTGAAGAAATAATGCTAGAACTGAGAGAGAAATAGGCAAATTCTCAATTATAATTGAAAACTTCAGCAACTATATCTCAATGATAGAATATTCAGATAGAAAATCAGTAAGAAGATTTTAGCAATGAACAGGATCTAACTGATATTTATAGAACATTTCATTCAATAGTAGCAGAATACACAGCCTCTTCAAGTTTTCATGGAACATTTACAAGATAGACCATATCCTAGGACATAAAACAAACCTTAATAAGTTTCAAAATATTGTAACCTTACAGAGTATATTATCTGACCACATGGGAGTCAACCTAGAAATAGATAATAAAAAGATAATGGAAAAAATCTCTAAACATTTGGAAACTAAATAAACATCACACTTCTAAGCAAAGCATGGATCAAAGGAAAATAAAAACATGGAATTAAATGAAAAAAATACAACATATACAAATTCATGGGACAAAGCTAAAACAGTGCTAAGGGAAACATATGGCATTAAATATTTACATTAGAAAAGATAAAATATATTAATATTCTACATTTCCATCTTAAGAAAATAGAAAAACAAGAGCAAACTAAACCCAAATCAAGCATAAAAAAGAGAATAATAAAGATAAGGGCAAAAAATAAAATTGAAAACAAAAAAAGTAGGGAAAATCAAAGGGACAAAAAGCTAGTTCTTTGGAAATTCCATAAAATTGACAAACATCTAGCAAGATTAACAAAGAAAAAAAAGAGAATACACAAATTATCCATATCATAAATGAAATGGGGTATCTCTAATAATCATGGATGTATCAAAATCATAAGGAAATACTCCAAGCAACTCTACAGACCTAAGTATGTCAACTTAGAAGACGTCAACTAAATCCTCAAAGCACAAACTCTGGCAGCTCATCCCATATAAAGTGAATAATTTGCCTACCTCTATAACTATTCAATAAGTAAATTTTATTTTATTTTATGTATTATTAATTAATTCATTTATTATTTATTATTTTTTTGAGAGAGACCCTCACTGTGTTGCCCAGGCTGGAGTGCAGTGGTGTGATCTCAGCTCAATGCAACCTCTGCCTCCTGGGTTCAAGCTATTCTCCTGCTCTAGCCTCTCCAATAGCTGGGACTGCAGGTGTGCACCACCACGCCCAACTAATTTTTGTATTTTTAGTAGAGATGGGGTTTCACCATGTTGTTCAGGCTGGTCTTGACATCCTGACCTCAGGTGATCTGTCTGCCTCGGCCTCTCAAAGTGTTGGGATTATAGGTATGAGCCACCACATCCGGCCAAAGAAATACGTTAAAAAAAAAAAAAATCTCCTCTGAAAACCTTCAGGTCTGGATGATTTCACTGAAGAATTCTACCAAACATTTCAAGAATAATTAATACAAATTCTATATAATCTTTTTCAGAAATTAAAAGAAGAGGAAACATTTCCCAAAGCACTTTTTGAGGCTGGTTTATTCTGATGCTAAAACTAGACAAAGACAGTAAAAAAAGAAAACTAAAGCCAACTATCCCCTGCATGTAAATGCAAACATTTTAATAAGATATTAACAAATACGATTTGGCAATATATACAAAGAATTATAGATCGTAACTAAATCTGCTCTATTCTAGGGATGCAAAGCCAGTTCAGTAGTTAGAATGTAATCCATCATATTAGCAGATGACAGAAAAATCACAGGGTCATATCAATTGATGCACAAAAGACAGTTGACAAAATTCAAGCCCCATTAATCATAAAAACTCTCATAAAACTAGGAATAGAGGCTGGGTGTGGTGACTCACGTCTGTAATCCTAACACTTTGGGAGGCCAAGGCGGGCAGATCACCTGAGGTCAGGAGTTCGAGACCAGCCTGGCCAAGATGGTGAAACCCGTCTCTACTAAAAATACAGAAATTAGCCGGGCGTGGTGGCATGCACCAGTAATCTCAGCTACTTGGGAGGCTGAAGCAGGAGAATCGCTTGAACCCAGGAGGCAGATGTTGCAGTGAGCTGAGATCATGCCACTGCATTCCAGCCTGTGTGACAGAGTGAGACTCTGTTTCCAAAACAAAACAAAACAAAACAAAAAACCACAAAACTAGGAATAGAGATTTCCTAAATTTGATAAAGACCATCTACAAGTAACCTACAGCTAATGTTATGGTTAATAGTGAAAGACTGGATGCTTTCCTCCTAAGATTGGGATCAAGGCAAGGATGTTCACTCTCATCCCTCTTCTTCAACAAAATACTGAAATTTTTTGCCTGTGCAATATGGCAAGAAATGAAATAGAAGGCATGCAGATCAGAAAGGAAGAAATTAAATTATTTCTATATGCAGATGACATGACAGTCTATGTAGAAAGTCCCCTAGACCTAATTAGTGCATGTGGCAAGGTTCCAGGATATGAATCCAACATACAAAAATGAATATATTTCTGGCCAGGCACAGTGGTTCAAGCCCGTAATCCCAGCACTTCGGTAGGCCGAGGCAGGCGGATCACATGGTCAGGAGTTCAAGACCAGCCTGGCCAACATACTGAAACCCCGTCTCTACTAAAAATACAAAAATCAGCGGGGTGTGGTGGCACATGCCTGTAGTCCCAGCTACTAAGGAGGCTGAAGTGGGAGAATCGCTTGAACCCAGGAGGCGGAGGTTGCAATGGGCTGAGACCATGCCATTGCACTCCAACCTGGGTGACAGAGTAAGACAATGTATCTCACACACACACACACACACCACACACACACACACACACACACACACACACACAGAACATATTTCTACCTGCTCAAAATGTATATGTAGAAATTAAAATAAAAATATAATACTATTTACAACTGCTCAAGAAAAATGAAATACTTGGGTATAACCAAACATGCATGAGTTTTGTATGCTGAAAACTATAAAACTGAAGAAACAAATAAAAGAAGATATAAATAAACAGAGAGATATATCATTTCCATGGATTGAAAAATTCAACATTGTTAAGGTGTCAATTCCATCCAAAGTGATATATAGGTTTAACACTACACATATTGAAATTCCAGGGAGTTTTTTGTAAATATAGAAAAGATTATTCTAAAATTTATATAGAAAGTAAAAGATCTAGAACAAGTAACCACTTGGCAAAAAGAAGAATAAAATGGGAGGATTCCGTCTACCTGATTTTAGGACTTAGTATGCTATGGTAATCAAGAGAATGTGGCTTTGGTGGAGGGATAAACACATCAATGAAACAAAACAGAGAACCCCAACATTTCTCCACACAAGTAGAGCCAATTGATTTTTTTGGGGGAGGTGGTGTCAGCTTTATTTAGGTATAATTTATGTACAACAAAAATATGCCATTTTAAGTGTTTAATTTGATGAGTTTTATATTATGTATATAGTTGTATAACCATCACCAAAATAAAAATATTGAACATTTAATCACTCCTTAAAATTTCCTCATGCCCCTTTGCAGTCATTCCCCTCTGCTACTCCTGGCTCTGGTAACCAATGGTCTGCTTTCTATTGCCATAATTCTGCTGTTTGTGGAATTTCATAGCATGAAACCACACAGTGTTACAATCTTTACATCTACTTTTTGTTGTTGTTGTTGTTTGAGATGGAGTCTCGCTCTGTCACCAAGCTGGAGTGCAGTGGCATGATCTTGGCTCACTGCAACCTCCGCTTCCCGGGTTCAAGCGATTCTCCTGCCTCAGCTTCCCGAGTAGCTGGGTCTACAGGTGCCCGCCACCATGCCCGGCTAATTTTTTGTATTTTTAGTAGAGACAGGGTTTCACCGTGTTAGCCAGGATGGTCGCAATCTCCTGACCTCATGATCTGCCCTCTTTGGCATCCCAAAGTGCTGGGATTACAGGCTGAGCCACCGCACCCAGCCATGTCTACTCTTTTTCAGTTTGCATAATGCTTTTGAAATCCACTCATGTTGTTTCTATTACACTATTCAATGGAGCAAGGATAGGTGCTGGAGAAATTGGGCATCTATGGGGGAAAAAACAACCTAGAATCAAAATTAGCTCAAAAAGGACCATAGAATTAAAAGTAAAATGTAAAACTATAAAACCTGTAGAAGAAGATAACAGAAGAGAAAATCTCTGGGACCTTGGACTTGGTGAAGAGTTGTTAGAGTTAACACCTAAAGTGTTTTCTTGAAATAAAAATATTGATCATTGGACTGCATAAAAATTAAAAACGTTTGCTCTGTGTCAAGTCTTGTTAAGGAGGATGAAAAGACAGGCTACAGTCTGAGAAAAGATATTTACACATCACATACCTGACAAAGGATTCGTCTCTAGAATACCTGAAGAATTTTCAAACCCAACATTAAAAAAGCACAATCCAACTACAATATAGGCAAAAAATACGAAAAGACATTTTACCAAAGAGGATGCATAGATGGCCAATAAGCACATGAAAAGATGTTCAGCATTATTAGCTACTAGGAAATGCAATTTAAGATCATGATGATGATCTTATTTTTCATCTGTTTAATTTCTTATTTACATTTTGCTATTGGAACAGCTAAATTAAAAACATAATGACAATACCAAATGGTGATGAGGAAGTGAAGAAACTGGGTCTCTTACAATTGCTGGTTGGAATGGAAAATGGCACAGCCATTCTGGAAAATAGTTTGGCGGTTTCTTAAAAAAACTACATAGAATTTACCCAGCAATAATTTTGGACATTTATTCCAGATAAATTAAAAAATTATGCTCACACAAAAATCTGTACACAGTGTTCAAACCAGCTTTACTTGTGATGGCCAAAAACTGGAAATAACCAACAGGTTCCTTAATAGGTGAAGAGTTAAACAAACTGTGGTACATCCACTCCATGCAATGATTCGGCAATGCTAAGGAACTGACTGCTGAGACACTCCACAACTCTGATGGATCTTAAGGATATTGGGCTCAGTGAATCGAGCCAGTCTCAAAAGGTTACACACTGTGTGACTCCATGTATTAAACATTCTCAAAATGATAAAGTTATAGAGTTTTTTTTTTTCTTTTTTTGAGATGGAGTTACGCTCTTGTTGCCCAGGCTGGAGTGCAGTGGCATGATCTCGGCTCATTTCAATCTCCGCCTCCTGGGTTCGAGCGGTTCTCCTGCCTCAGCCTCCGGAGTAGCTGGGATTACAGGCATGCACCACCACGCCTGGCTAATTTTTGTGTTTTTCGTAGAGACGGGGTTTTGCCATGTTGGCCAGGCTGGTCTCAAGCTCCTGACCTCAGGTGATCTGCCCGCCTTGGCCTCCCAAAGTGGTGGGATTACAGGCATGAGCCACCACGCCTGGCCAAGTTATAGAGATTGAAATGAAATTCTCACTGCCAGGGTTGAGGGATATTGGGGCGGGTGTGGGCGCGACTGTTTCATAAGGGAGAGCTTTGTGGGGACGGAGCGGTTCTGTGTCTCGAGTGTGGTGGTTGATGCCTGAGCACATATGTGTGATAAAAGGCACAGAGCTATACACACACTTTATAGTAATGTCAGTTTCCTGGTTTTGACATTGCACTATCCTACGAAAAATGTTACTTTTATAGGAAACTGAATGAAGGGTACAGGGGACCTCTTTGTCCCCTGAAACTTCCTGTGAATCTGAAATTATTTTAAACATAAAAAATTTAACAATGGAAAAAGAAAACAAAGGCTCTGAGTAAAACAACTGGGATCTCTCCCCAGTACAGTGCTAACCAAGCCAGGAGAAAGCCAGAGGAAGAGAAAGCTCACAAAGTCCGGGGGTTTTCTCTTTCTTTCCTTTCCTTCCTTTTTCCCTCCTTTTTCCCTCCTTTCTTCCTCTCTCCCTCCCTCCCTCCCCCCTCTCTTTCTTCCTTTCTTTCTCTCTCTCTTTCCTTCTTTCCTTCCTTCCCTTCCCTTCCCCTTCCTTCCTTCTTCCCTCCCTCCCTCCCTCCCTCCTTCCTTTCTTACTTTCTTTCTTTCTTTCTTTCTTTCTTTTTTTCTTTCTCTGTTTTTTTCTTTCTCTATCTTTCTTTCTTTCTCTTTCTTTCTTTTTCTTTCTCTGTTTCTTTCTTTCTTTCCTTCTTTCTTTCTGACGGAGTCTTGCTCTGTCACCCAGGCTGGAATGCAGTGGCGCCATCTCGGCTCACTGCAAACTCCACGTCCTGGGTTCAAACGATTTTCCTGCCTCAGCTTCTGGAGTAGCTGGGATTACAGGCACCTGCCACTGCACCTGGCTAATTTTTGTATTTTTAGTAGAGACAGGGTTTCACCATGTTGGCCAGGCTGGTCTCGAACTTCTGACCTTGTGATCCACCTGCCTTGGCCTCCCAAAGTGCAAGGATTACAGGCGTGAGCCACCACGCCCAGCTGGGGTTTTCTTTTAATTGGAAGCATTGTGAAAATTGACAAAGGATGATTGTAAAAAGTAAAACAGAGCTTCCTCTTCAAAGACTTTCTTCTCCGTCTAATTAGGGATAAATAGTAACTTCTCTTAAATGCAAATTTATTCAAAGACTTGTGCTAACATTCTTAAATATCTGCTAGCCCTTTATGTTCTTTATGTTCTTAGCTCCCATAATTTAGCCTAAGTGTTTGCCCTGGCATGCTTCTACTGGTCCAAGAAAGCATTAGGTCATAGCCTGTTCCTCTTCCTTATTTGAAGGTGTTTTTACCTTTCTTAGCATTCCACAAGTTACTTTCTCCTTCCTTTGTTCTCCTCTACCTTTGCCTCTTTAAAAAAGTTCTAAGTTACTACCAATTGGGACAAATACAGAAAGTGAGGTCCCCTTCCAGCCAATGGAAACCGGACACAGCAGTAGGGTGGACACGTCAGGTTATAAATGACCCTGTCTCCTTTGTTCGGCGTACTCTCGGGGCAAAACTGCTGGCGAGTGTACCTTTCTGCAGAAAGTAAAAATGGCCTTTTTTTTTATGTTCAAGTGCTATTAATTTATGGCACCGGAGAACAAGCATTTCAAACAATGATGTAAGCACAGCAGTAAGGACTCCCACCTACAGGTGGAGGAAAGGCTCTGGGAGCTCAGGCATGAGCTGAGAAAACAAACAAGGAGAATGGGAAGGAAGGGGAAACTCGAGACGGCCCACATTTCAAAGATCAGTGTAGCTTGAGTCTGCATACACAGGTAAAATACGCGAGCTCCAGGTGGAGGTGCAGGGATGCTGAGGGCAGCAGGGAGACATGGGAGCTCCAGCAGTGTAGCTTCCAGGGTGCTGCTGGCCACACATGCCCTGTCCTAGGACTCACGCAGCACCTCCTATAGGCCCTGGCATTGATTGCAGTGTGAAGGGACCCCTGAAACCTCACTGGTCAGAGGTAACCAAGGGCAAGGTTGGTCTCAATGTGTGAAGTCTCTGGATAATAAATTCATTTAAGAATGCTGTGCTTTGCCCTTTGGAGAACATAATTTACATAAAAAAGAGGCTTGCAGAGTCACCCAAGAGGGAAGAAGTAATGAATGGATAAAAAGTAGATTTAACTTGTTAAAAAGGCATGATGGGTTCTGAGATATACATTTACTGCAATCATGTAAAGAGATATGTCTAAAGTTTCTCTTAAAAAGGTCACAGTCATGAAAGGTTAAATGTTCCCATTTCTGTCTTTCTGCATGTGGTTTAGTATGTAATTGCACTCTTTTTAAGAAAGGAATCTGCAGCACCATATTATCATTCATTCATGCCACAAACAGTTATTGTGAAACACCACACTCGATCCTGGGATGCAGGAGGGAACCAATGACTCTGAATTCCACCTTCACAGATGTGTCACGCCAGTGTGGACCTGACACAAAACAAAGACACAAAACAAGCGGTTCAATTCAAATCTTGAACACTATTACTAGGGGAAGAAAGACAGGTTTGAAACTGGCTGAAGTCGGGGAGGACTTCCATGAGGAAGTGACACTGAGATGGAACCTGGAGGGAGGGGTCTGGCCCCAGGGTCTTGCTGTGCAGAGAGGGGGTGGCGCGCCCTCCTCACACGCAGAGAGATTATGATGGAACCCTATTAGTCAGGGCTCTTGATTGCATGCAAGAGAAACAGGCTGGCTGTTTCAGACAGGAAAGGGATTTATTTCAAAGATAGGACAGGCTTGAAAAATCACCAGGAGTGCTGGAGAACAAGGTTTGGTAGATGAGCAGGGATGAGGGAGGCGGCAGGACACACCAGGGCCCAGCAGCACCACACAAAGACCCTGTCCTGGGAGCTGGGCCCTCTGCTTGCCCTGTGGTCACTGGCTCCCAACTCCAAGTCAGTGCTCTGTTTCTGATAGGCCATGGTGGCTGTGTAGACCCAGAGCAAGCAGGTCCCTGTAAGGGAGGAGACCACCCCTCATATTGTCTTACGCCCAATTTGTGTCTCCAAAGAAAAAAGAAGTAAAAACTAAAAGGCATAAATGAAATCCCCAAGCAGACAGCCCGGCACCACACCCTGGGCCTGGTAAAGATCAACAGCTGACCTAATCGGTTATTTGCATAAAAAAGCACTGTGAAGATCCCTGAACTGTCCTGTTCTGTTCCGTTCTAATTACCAGTATATGCATCCCCCAGTCACGTACCCCCTGCTTGCTCAATTGATCAAGACCCTCTCACGTGGACCCCCGTAGAGTTGCGAGCCCTTAAAAGGGACAGGAATTGCTCACTGGGAGAGCTCGGCTCTTGAGACAGGAGTCTTGCCGATGCTCCCGGCCGAATAAACCCCTTCTTTCTTTAACTTGGTGTCTGAGAGGTTTTGTCTGCGGCTCTTCTTGCTACATCTGGATCTTTAATCCTGCACTAGAGACATATTCAGCCTCTCAACCCGCTGCAAAAGTAGGCGTTCGGATGCTGCAGGGCAGCCTCCATCCCCAAATGACACATTTCCACTCCACGTGAATGTGTAAATTTGTGGCTGGGCGGAGGCAGGAGCCAGGTGTGTATGGCTTCGGGACACAGGCTCTTTCTGGTGCCCTACAGAGCAAAGTGGCCGAATGAGCTTGTGCACAGTGAGAAAACCCATCTAATCTTGCATTGTAAAGTATACTCATTACATGTATTGAATGCAGAATTAGTTCACCTAATGCATTAAAAAGCCTTTTAAAACGTCGTAGTTATCATTGATTATGTGGTGAGGAAATGGCCCTGCTGCAGTGAGATCCAACATTTCTGGAGGGCAGCTTGAGAGTCTGTATCCAAAGCTTTGAAAATTAAGCCCTTGACTCAGCAGCTCTCTGCCTGGGGATATAGCCTAAGGAAAGGATTAGGGATGAAGACACAGATTTACATTAAAAATACAGGACCCAGCAAGGCCGGGCTCTGTGGCTCACACCTGTAATCCCAGCACTTTGGGAGGCAGAGGCGGGTGGATCACGAGGTCAGGAGATCAAGACCACGGTGAAACCCCATCTCTACTAAAAATACAGTGGTGGGCACCTGCAGTCCCAGCTACGTGGGAGGCTGAGGCAGGAGAATGGCGTGAACCCAGAAGGCGGAGCTTGCAGTGAGCCGAGATCCCACCACTACACTCCAGCCTGGGCGACAGAGCGAGACTCTGTCTCAAAAAAAAAAATAAAATAAAATAAAGGACCCAGCAGCCTATGTGTGGAAAAGGTTGTATCAGTTAGAATTCTTGCATTTGGGAAAGGCTCAGTGGCTCACGCCTGTAATCCCAGCACTTTGGGAGGCCGAGGTGGGCAGATCACTTGAGGTCAGGAGTTTGAGACCAGCCTGGGCAACATGGTGAAACACCGTCTCTACTACAAATACAAAAATTAGCCGAGCGTGGTGGTGTGTGCCTGTGATCCCAGCTACTCAGGAGGCTGAGGCAGGAGCATCACGTGAACCCAGGAGGCAGAGGTTGCAGTGAGCTAAGATCGTGCCACTGCACTCCAGCCTGGGTGACAGAGCGAAACTCCATCTCAATGAAAAAAAAGAAAAATTCATGCATTTGGTGAAAAGCCTGACCCAATTTGTTTAGGCAAAAAGACTCACCTCCCTGTGCCTCCTGGGGTAGGTGGGGCTCCAACAAAGTTACCAGGCTCTGTTGTTAGGTTTACACTTCTCAGGGCCCCTTTCTATGTGTTGATTCTGATGTTAGGCAAGATTTCTTATGGATGAGAGCAGTCCTAGGGTTCACGAAGAGTGAGAACCTCTGCCCCAGCATCCTAAGAAATGGGCCCAGGGCCCCCTCTGATGGGACAGGCTGAGTCACTTCACCACCTGGACCAAGCCCCAGTCCAGAGGCTGCTGTATGTTGGCTCAGGCCAGGCCTGGGGGACCCCCACCAGGGAGGGGTACAACTCCTAATAAAATTGGGCTGTTGAAGAAAGGAACAGTGAATTATATGGATCAAATTAAACTGTCAAAAGACAGGGAGAAAACACACTTCAGTGTTTGCAGCAGAAAACTCTTGACGTGAGGTTGATTGACCTTTATTTTCCACTTTATATTTTTTATGTAATCAGAAAAATTTCCTTTAATAATCTTGCACGATCAGGGAAGGTGGTGGCATGGCAGACATGGTGGTTGCCCCTGTATCTTGCCTGTCTCCATTGGGCTGAAGGGTAGAGACTGGTTCAGGCCACCTGTGTCCCTCTCCCCTAGGCCTGAGCCAGTTCCCACATGGCACTCCCTTGTCCACAGGGGGTGACCAGGCAGCATCAAGATCAGGAGTTGAGTTTTGTGGCTAAGGGAGGGGCTTCCCTATGGCCCTGTGTGCTGGTGGCCCTCTTGCAACTGGGAAGGAAGCTAGTCTGAGGAAACAGCCAGCACTGGGAGGGCTGTAGTGGGGAAGACAGAAATCTGATTTAATGATGCTGAACCCATGCTTCCCCATAGACCTTTCCAGTGTGAGAGACAAGAGATATTTTATTACTTGAGCCAGCTTGAATTGCACTTCCTATTAATCGAAACTGATGTAAATGTGCATTAATTTTGGGCCTACAGTCACCTCTAATGAATCTGAGAACAAGATTGGCCTGAGATGTGAAGAGAGAGAAAGGCGTCTTCTGCTGGCCTGTTGACTTGACTGAGGATGTGAAGCAGGAGGAAGGGCTGACCTCTCCAGGAGGGCCTTCCTCTCTCAGCCAGGGGTCCTTGGGAAGAGGCAGCCCCACCCAAGACAGAAGGGAATCATGACTGCCGTCAAACATGAACTGGCTAGTTCTGGGGCCTGCAGCAAGGATCTTACCCTCTATTTGCCTGAGTGTCCTAACTTCTAAAGTGAAGAGATTGAAAAAAAAATTTGAGCTGGATATAATGTGAAATATAACAAAGTTTTGTTTGGTGAAAACCAAAGCAAAATAGCCCCAGCAGGGTTTGAAAGCCAACCTCGATGGACCTGACTCTGTGCCGTGGACAGGCCCAGCTGGGCTTTCTCTGACTTCATCTCCAAAGGCCAAACCTCCCTCACAGCAGGGTCAGTTTTGGTCCTGAAAGACTGAGTTAAGAAGAACGTTAAAGGCGTGTCTAGCAAAGTACTCTGTAAGAAGAGAGCTACCCCAGAAGTAGCAGCCGCAGAGAAGAGTGACCGTGCACGTGTGGGCAGTGCTGAGATGGGCCAGCCCCTGATGGCCCAAGGTTCTGCTGATGTTCCCACCACCTGCAGCCCCCAAACATAGTTTTATACTTGCTTACTCGCTTTGCTGTCCCTGGATCAGACTGGACCCATGGAGGGCGTGTGCACCACTATAACCCCAGACCTTGCAGGGTGCCTGGGACAGAAAGTCAGCTAAATGACAGGCAGAACTGAGTTAAGTTGTGCCATCCCCATCCTGGGGCTCCTTCCCCTGCCCATGATGGGGGACAGGCAGGTGGGTACCCATAGGCTTATCACCGCAGCCTGGGTGCTATGACACCCTCATTGATGGAGCCCCTCTGAGCCACACCCTCTCTGCTCCCGGAGAGTGCTGCTGGGTGGATTGGGTTTACATTTCAACCTGACCATAAAACCGCACATTAGGCAAGGTATCCAATCAATTAGTTCTAATTAATCATGAACAAAATGTGTCTCTAGCTGTAGGATGTGGTTTCTTTCCCATTGGCTATAATTAGAAAAGTTTGGTGACTGTACAAAAATAAAATGTCTATGGGAAACGGAGAGGGGAAGAAGGAAGAAAAACAAGTGGTTAGAAGCAGTGTTGAATGGTAACTAGAAAGCTGTAACCACTTCCCATAGACGTGGGGAAGCTTCCTTGAAGCTGAGTGCAGCTGCTCTGGGCAAGCAGAGACGTTTCTGTCCCCCGCCTGCATGTCCCAACCCATTCATTTCTTTCTTTCTTTCCCTTTTTTTTTTTTTTTTTGTATTTTTAGTAGATACAGGGTTTCACCATGTTGGCCAGGCTGGTCTTGAACTTCTGACCTTCAGTGATCCACCCACCTTGGCCTCCCAAAATGCTGGGATTATGGCCATGAGCTACCACACCCAGTCTCCCATCCATTTGTTTCTACCGGGCTTTCTCTGTGGGCCTCACAGGCAAAGCTAGCCAGCAACAATCCTCCCCTTCCAGGAGACTGGGGTGGGACTGAGTGGTTATAACATGACCTTGTGCCCGGAGAGCTCTGGCCACAGGGCTGCTGCCACTGCCATGGGAGCGCAGAGCTAAGCTGCTGGGTTAGAGCCCTGCCCAGGACAGGGAGGCTGATCCCAGCCAGGGGAGGCTTGGGGGGGTCTCTGAGGGTGTCATTCATCAAGAGAATTGGTCAGTCCCTCCATGGCCTCCTTGACGGTATGTTGTAGAAAAGTAACATCTTCACTGCCAGGCTTTGTCATTGATAAATTAAGTCTGACCCACCCCCGTCTAGTGTCTGTGAGGTTTAGGGCACTGTGTTGGGATAAGCATCCAGTGTTGGGCACCAGAGACCACTGGGGAAGATGCCAGTCAGGGCTAGCAGATGTGAAGTGTGTGAGTGGTATGAAGTGGGCCAGGGCAGGGAAAAGTGAGTTAGAGCTGATCTCCCCTACTTTCCAGCCGTGTGAGCTCAACCCTCCACACTCATGCTGCTCATCTGTACAGGGAAGCTGTGGGTCCTGATGTCACAGGGATGGTGGATGCTGTCAGGGCATGGCTCTCCAGGGGCTCCATGAGTGGGAGCTGATAGCATGATTGTGATTCTATAGCAAGGGTGCCAAGGGATCTCCCTTTATACCCTCAGCAGGGAATTGGATCTCAGCCTGGAAAGTTTCTTGATGCTTCTTCTTCATGAAAAGAGTGTCGGGAGCCATGCTGCCTGGGCCACCATGTTGCTGGGTGCAGCAGGTGGCTGCCGTGCTCCGTGGGGTGGGACGGTGTAGCCTGCTCAGCAAGGGAGCCAGTGAAAGCTCCATGACTGAAGGGACCCTCTAGCAGGTGCACAGCTGACTGGGGGCACTGCACAAGGACCTCAAGGGCCAGCTCAGCCTTAGCAACAAAAACAGCAAAACCCTGACTGGCAGAACAATGTTGAGCCAACCATGGATACCTGGAAGAAATCTCATTTAGTTGTGGTGTATAATTCCTTTTATATGGTGTTGGATTTGTTCTGCTAATATTTTCTCAGATATATTTGTGCTTATGCTCAAAAAATCAGATATATTGGTTTGCAGTTATCTTTTTTTTTTTTTTTTTTTTTTTTTGAGGTGGAGTTTCACTCTTGTTGCCCAGGCTGGAGTGCAAAGGCACGATCTCAGCTCACTGCAATCTCCATCTCCCAGGTTCAAGCGATTCTCCTGCCTCAGCCTCCCGATTAGCTGGGATTACAGGCATGCACCACCACACCCGGCTAATTTTTGTATTTTTAGTAGAGATGGGGTTTCACCTTGTTGGTCAGGCTGGTCTCAAACTCTTGATCTCTGGTGATCCACCTACCTCGGCCTCCCCAAGTGCTGGGATTACAGGCATGAGCCACCATGCCCAGCCCTGCAGTTATCTTTTTTTGTAATGTCACATCTCATTTCGTTGTTAGGGTAATGCTGGCCTCATAGATCACTTGGGAAGTACTCTGTCTGCTTCTATTATCTGGAAGAGATTGTGATGAATGACAATCAATATTTTTTTTTTTTGCATAAATGTTGGTAGAATTTACCAGTAAGGACATGTGGGCCTAGTACTTTTTTATGAGGTTATTAATAATTGACTCAAATTACTTACTAGATATAGGGTTATTCAGGTCATGACATTCTCCTTGGGTGGGTTGGTCTTTGAAGGAGTTGGTGTACAGTTTGGCTTTTTCTCCTCTGCACCCTATACCTTTCACTGGCTGCGATATTTCCAATCTACATCCCAGAAGCTGTGGCTCTTATGGACCAATGTTTTCTCCCTCTCCGGTGATCCAGGAAGCCTGGGGAGGATTGAGGGGGAGGAATTCCCTTCCCCAACATAGATAAGGTCCTGGCAAAGTCCTTTCTCCTGAAGAATAGACCTTTATTATGGGGGAGGCCCTGGGCGGATGTCACAATGATTGCTCTTCCCATCTCCCTGCCAGAGCCAGGAGGGGAATCCTTCTAGAATCTTCACCATGAGGACATTGTGGCGTCCCTAGATATAAAGTCCACACATTTTAGGGACTCTTAACTCAGTGGCCCCAGTAGTTTCTCCCTCTTATGCTAGTCCACACTCAGCCTCCAGCAATTTGTCAAAACTACCATTGAAGTGTTCCTCCCAGTTAATGACCTAGCAGCTTCTGTTCCAGATAAGCAGGTCTCAGTTCTGTCTCTGGGGGCACCTGACTCTTTGGATTTTGAGGTATCTATTTGTTTTGCAACCTCAGTTTCATGATGGGTCCTAGGAAAGTTGCTGATTTTCAGTTTTCCAGCTTTCTGTTGCTATAAGGACAAGAGTGATGACTGCAAAGCTCTTCACATGCTGGAACTGAAACCAAAAGTCTCTAGTCCTTTTGTTTTGAAATGAACCTCTTGGGGTCTTGCAGAAGGGCTTGGTGGGCCCATGTTGGAGGCTGCAGTGGGAAGTCAGGGGACTGGAACTCTGAGCCTGCAGACCAGCTCTGCTCACCTCAATACGCCAGGCTGTGAGCTGGCTTTGAACACCTAACCCTCAGGCTTTAATTTCTTATGCATTTATCACATGACTGGAGATATCCAGGCCCTCTCATCCTCAAAATTAATGTGTAAATCGGCTCTGGAATTGCAAAAGAGACCCAGTGTATGGCAGATGCACCTGACAGCAATAATTGAAACATACTCAGAGAATGATTCTATGGTCTAAGAAGAATGTGTATTCAGAGTTCCTAGCCAGGGAATCCAGAGTGGCCAACCCAGGGATTCACTCCTTTCCCATGAAGGATATCTGAACCTCTGTCCCTTTCCTTGAAACACAGGACATGCAAGAAATAGAGGCTCTTTGTAAATGGTGGTTGCTAGGCGGAGGGTGCTAAGTGGAAATGCTGTATAAACTGCGTGCTTCTTACAACTGCTAGTGGTTCTCCTGCCCAGCCCACCACCACTGGATTGCTCCCGTATGTAAGTCCTCAATAAAACTTATGTCTACTTCACTGGGAGAGAAGTGAGGAGGTCAGAGGGGTCAGCCCAGCCCTGGGCACCTGGGCCCGTTAGCCTCGCCAGTGACTTAGAGGCTTTCTTCTAAAGTGAAACCGAGGCTTCTGAAGAGGGGGAGTGGAGGAGTGGTGTGCTCAGATGTGTGTTTTGGAAGGGGCACGGCAGTGTGGGGAGTGCAAGGTACGAGCCTGGGAGGCCAGCTAGGCTCCAGATGTGGTCCAGGCTGGTGACGAGATGAAGACTACTTATCTGCACCCGGAGCTGGGGGGCAGAGAGGGGAGAGAGGGGCGGATGCGTGGAGAACTCCCCTCCTACTTCCGGTGGCTCACCGCTGCCAGTGAGCGTCTGCCTGGCCTTCCACCCCCTCAGTGCGGCCACTCTCCGTGCCTTCATGGGCTTTGGGTAGAGTCACAGCACTAACCACCACTTGACACTGTATCCCATCAGTCATCTCACATTGCAGCACATTTTCAGCAGCTCTGATTTGCTCAAGGGACCCCACGTGCCAGGTTATGACCAAGGAAGAGCCCTGGACATCACAGAGTGAATGGAACCCCACCGCACCCACTCCACCCCGTTCCCCACCTACCCCACCCCGTCCCCACCTGTCCCTGTGCCGGTCGGGCAGCGCATGCGCCTATGGCCTCGGGCAGCGCATGCGCCTATGGCCTCTCCCTTGCTCTGGCTCCTCCTCGCCCCACCCCCTTCTTGCTCCTTCATGGCTGGGGCACGGGAGAGGGATCAGAAGGAGACAGGGGCTTCTTGCTGTGCTGGCTCTCTGGGCAATTCTCTCTTGTCAAAGCTCTTGGTCACTAAAGCGTCCTAGCTCCTCTATGGCACTCAGGGATGGAAACTCCTGGGAGGGTCTCCTGCACCACCCCGGGCCCTAGAACAGAAGCCCCACCTCAGGGTCTTCTCACCTGGGGACGCAGCCCTCTTGAGAAGCAGGGAATTAACATGATGGAGCCCAGACCATTCAGGGCTCCACAAACCTTATCACGAACCACCCTGCCAGGAAAACACCCGTATTCTTGCCCCACCAGACTCCAGCAGTGCCAGCTCCTCCCTCGTTCCCCCACGTGGTTCCTGTCTTGCCCTCCTCCACATCCAGGGGACGGTTGTCCTACCCTCTCAAGGACTGTTAGGGGCTCTTCTCCTAAGACGGCATGGGGTCCAGAAGTCTCAAAACAGCCCTCACCCAGCTGGGATGCAGCGGCCCTGATAGCAGACAATCCAAACTCTTCACAGCGATTCTCTGGGGACCTCTTATTTGGCCAGGCTTGAGGTACTGAGAAGCCCACAAAACTCTGTAATCGCTAAAGAAATTATTGCTTGTAAGGAGCCTCTGGGCTTGTCTCACGTGGGTTGAAGGTGGGATGTGACCGTCTAAAGCTGTGCAATGTAGAAATACTCGGCAGCCATTGGCCTCAGTATGAAGTTCTTGCCAAAATTCTGAGAAACAGGGATGCAGACCATTGCAAATAAATTTAATTTTTAAATTTCCCACTAGAATTATTAGTCTAGTAAGGGCAGGGGATTGACTCATTCACCTCTATGTTTCTTGTGACTAGAACAGTGTCCAGCACACCGAAGGTAGTCGTATTTTTAAATGACTAAATGCATATGTCTCAACTTGGTAACTCTGAAAAGAGGGCTAGCAGAAGAGATTGGCAGCCACTCACACGGACTTCTGGCTCCTGCTGCTCACCACATTGTTTTGTAAACGTCCATTTAGAAAGTGGCTTAGCTCTGGGGGATAGATGAGCAGCAGGCTGATGTCTGGCATGTAGTTAAAGGGCTGATTTAGGTCTGGGCGTGAGTGAGCAGAAGACTCAGGCTTTGAGTGACAGTGAAGGGGAGATGTGGATCTAGGATAAGTTTGGGATTCAGACTCAGGTCTGGGTGTGGGTGAGCGGCACACTCAATTCTTGTGTGTCAGGAAAGAGCAGACTCAGACTTGCTTAGCTATTGCACGTAGCTAAGCAGTGCACTGTCGTATGAGCTGAGAGGAGCCTCACTCAGGTCTGCAATTCCAGTGGGAAGCTGTGGATCTCCCTCCAATCTGGGGCTCAGCAGAGGCTTCTTTTAACCTAGTGGGCAGTGTTTTCATTGCTTTTGTTTGTGTTATGCAGGTACAACCTTATTGGGCTAATGGATCTGCACTGGTCCTTACGTTCCACGATTAATTAACCAGAAGCAGAGCCTCGTGATGCCCCCACAAATCCGGTTGCTCATTGTGGTCTTTGTGCCTTCCCTGCTTCCGACAGAGCAGTGCCAGGGCTTGGCTTTTGCCATTTGCCTCTTGGTACCTCCATTTAAATCGGGGACCTCATTCTCCCTATAGCTCCCCACACCTGCACCCTGTCCTCCAGAGAACAGCCACTAATGTGCTTCTAACAGATTCCAATACTCCTCCCATTTGCCTTGGGTGTTAGGAATGTCTTCTGGCCTCTTTAAAAAGATGGAGTTAGGATATAATTGAGAGGTCAATGTCAAGACTGGTGAGGTCTGAGTCTGAGATTTCACTCGACTCAAATATGCTGACAAGTTAGTGTCATGAATGCTGTCAGAAAAAAACAGCCTCCTGGACTGGAGATGAAAGATTATATTTCTCATAGTAAAAGTAGCAGCCGGAGCATCTGCATGGTTTTTTGGTTTCCTTGTCCCCAGGTCCCACGGAGGCGGTGCAATGGGCCCACATGTATGTCATGCAGGCAGTGGGTTTGTGCTGCAGCCGAGGAATCCAGGCCAAGGGCCATCACTTTTGTTTTGGCTTTTTTTGAGATGGAGTCTTGCTCTGTCGCCCAGGCTGGAGTGCAGTGGCATGATCTCAGCTCACTGCAACCTCTGCCTCCCAGGTTCAAGCAATTCTCTTGTCTCAGAATTTTTGTATTTTTAGTAGAGATGGGGTTTCACCGTATTGGTCAGGCTGGTCTTGAACTCCTGACCTCAGGTGATCCACTTACCTTGGCTTCCCAAGGTGCTGGGATTATAGGCGTGAGCCACTGCACCTGGCCTGGGCTGTCACTTTTTGATTAAGTAGCAAACTTCACAGCAGGCAGTGGTCACATGGTAGCCAGTGGTCATGGTGTGCTCGCCCTGACCTACTTAGATGCCACGGAGACTGCTCAGCCTCTGGAGACTGATCGGCCTCTAGAGACTGATCGTCCACACAGTCCAGCACACCAGCAAGACTGTGCGGGGATGTCAGGCCCATGGCAGACTGGCATTCCCAAGGGGCTCAAATTATCAACCCGCTCCAACATTCCTGGCTCCAAAAATCTCCTAAGGACACTGCTGGCTTCTCAGCCTCATTTCACATCCATCACTGCGCTGAATTCCAGTGGCCGTCCTCTCTGACAGGTATAGGTGCTCCCTGGTGCCGACTGGCGCTGGTGCAGTCTGCTGGTGCAGGCCCCTGGGAAGAGTCTGCCCAGCTGATGTGGGTCTTTCCTTTGGTGATCCTGCATCCCCTCCATGCCAGTCCATATTCCTTCCGTTTCCATGGCTGTAAGTTAGTGGCCTGTGATGTTTTTGCTGGTTGGCTTCCCAGTTTTGCCTTTTTAAGGAAATCTAGGAGATTCTGGACTCTTTTCCAGGAGTGGTTAGGTTGGGGCATGAGAAGAATGACGTTCTCTGTCAGAGTAACTCCCTGGCAAGGTTGTTAAAGAGCAGCCCGGAAAGACAGGAGCAGGTGGGAAAAGCCTCAGCAGGTCCAAAAATTCCTAGTGAGTGAAGGGGCTGCAGATGCTCACTGGAGCCTATTTCCCAGCAGACCCAGCATGGCCCTAGAAAAGCAGGCTGCAGGCCATCTACCCTCACCCCTCAGGTCCCCTCAGAGTCGGAGGAAGGTGCCAGGCCTGGCCTTTGGCTCCCGAGGCTCACCACGATGCGGCCAGACAGCTCTGGCTTCTTTCTCCACCTCACTTGCTCTACTGTGGCCACCTGAAACTTCCTTGTGTTTCTGACCTGGCAGGCTGACCCCCGGAGTGCCTCTCCCTGCCAGTGTCCCCTTCTGAAAGAGGCATCCTGCCGCCCGGCTCACACACCTGCCTGCCAGGAGTTTTCCAGCACCTAACTCTGTTTTTCTTCATGGCACCGAGTCCATGTGAAATGTCCTTGTGGGTTTCTTGTTCATTGCCGCTTCCCCCTAGAATGTCAGGCTGTGTGAGCAGAGGCCTGTGCCCTGGAAACCCCGTTAGATAAAGCTGGCCTTTGTGTATGGACTGGCAGTGTGGACAGGCTCAGTGGGTCATGCTGTTTACTTCTTTTTTTCTTTCTTTTTTTTTGAGATGGAGTTTTGCTCTGTCGCCCAGGCTGGAGTGCAGTGGCACGATCTCGGCTCACTGCAACATCCACCTCCAGGGTTCAAGCGATTCTCCTGCCTCAGCCTCCAGAGTAGGTGGGATTACAGGCAGCTGCCACCATGCCCGGCTAATTTTGTACTTTTAGTAGAGAGAGAGTTTCGCCATGTTGGCCAGGCTGGTCTCAAACTCCTGACCTTAGGTGATCCACCTGCCTCAGCCTCCCAAAGTGCTGGGATTACAGGCATGAGCCACCGTGCCCAGCCGCTGTTTACTTTTGCAAGGGTAGTCGAGGCTCCTCCTGACCCGGTGTGTGCTGGCCTCAGGCCTCCCCTGGGGTGATGCTGCCCCGCAGCGTTGCCGTCTGGTCTCTGGCCCCTGCCTGTGGCCATGGCAAACACTTTAGCCCTGACACTCTGCGGTGCTGTGACATGCAGCACCCAGTGGCTGTCGGGCAGCATGTGGGTCTCACAGGGTTTGCCTCATTCATGCGTTCAGAAGTGACTGTACCACAGGTGGCATGCTGGAGTGAAGGAGGCAGACTGCCCCTGCCATCCCAGAGCTTCAGTTGTGGAGAGTGGAAAATACTACAGGGTTAACTCGACAAATCGTTCTTTATGTCCCCTTTTTTTCTTCCACTTGGACCTCTCCCCAGGCATCTAGAAGGTTCCTAGCACGTTCCCTCTGTGGGGCTGCCTGCTCTTGGTAGAACTCCATGCCACAGGCTTTTGGCTTTCACACCTGCTGACCTCCAAAGCGGCCCAAACCCAGCGCCCCATGCACAGAGCATGGGGCCTGAAAGCCGACCTGACTCCTGGATGTGTTCTCAGATGCTACGGGCTGGTCAGGGCTTGATTATTTACTCCTCCCAAATAACATCTGTGTCCTAAGCATGTGGAAAGGACATTGAAATAGAAGTTGGCAAATCAAAATTCAACTCCTAAATCTACTCTCTACCAACTGTGTATCTGTAAGTCTCTCTGAGCCTCACATTTCTTGCCTGAAAAATAGAGCCACTGACATCTCTCCCAAATCCCTTTCCTAGGAACTCTAAGTAGAGAATAAGAGTGTGCTTATAAAGTCACTTTTTCGAACCGCAAATAGTGGTGATTCCTAATCCTTTGGCAGATGGATAGACATACTTCGGGTTTTGCCAGTCTCGCCACCTGTTATGAGTGTGGCTTGATATAAACTCCAGGTTAGAATCCTGGCTTGTTCATAAGGTGAGATTCTTAATCTTGTCAAGTCCTGGTTTCTCATTGGCAGAATAAACATAATTCCAGCAGAACAGATTCACAGTGAAGACAGCTCCTGCACTGTCCATGGCACATGGATACCCTGGATAAAGGTTAGCTCTGCAAATGCACAGGGCTCTTCCCTTATTGCAGTCTCTTTAGGGTTTCATTAAAGATTCCATGTGTTCTTATCCAGGCTTTTGCTAAGGAGGTATCCTCTGTCACTTTCCACCTGGAGGTGGCCTGAGAGCTGGATGGGGAAGAAGACCAAAGCAAATGGCACAGAGGAGAGGCTGCCCGGCCACCCTTGGCTCTGTGGCACCCACTCGCTTCCCAACATGACTCCGACCTTGGGGATGATTCTGCATGACGAGTGGGGCAAGGAACAGTCACATTGGTAAACAGACGACTGAGCAGTGAAAGATGTTTCCAGCAAAGCATTCTGAATACAGTATTTATGGACTCAAGTTGTTCCTGGGATATTTATAGACGGGATGCAAATGTAAAGCATATGGTGTACTCTTCCAGAAATACTCTTCCAATTAGGCTGTGCATGGTGCTCAGCCACACTGCTCTTTCCTCTGAAGATGCTCTTCAGCACATTTGTAGCAAATGTTACTCTAAGTTGCAGAAAACGGGGTGAACACGTGTCTCTCAGGGCACTGTCTCTGATGAAAGGCTGTTTTCTTCTGATGAACACTTTTCTGCCCCAGCTCCAGGGTCCATTCAGGGGTGCTCTGTGGTGAAGCATGTGGTTGATTTTTTCCTTCTCTTCTTGTTGCTGGACATGTGGAGATCACTGTGGAGGCTGTGGCAGGAAACTCCAAGAACAGGTTTTAGAATGATCTGGAAGAAGGGCCCTTTTGTCCCTTACCTTCAGTTTGTATGTGCTGTATTCTGGGGGGAGCCAGTACCAGGATATGCTTGGCACACTGCCTAAAGCTACCCATGCCACTGGGAAAATGCATTCCTTGTTTAGAGCATGGCACTGGAAGCAGGTGTCCAGAACCAGCCACTGATAGAAGGCACATCACATCCTAGGACTGACCATCTCCTCAGAAGCCGTGCAGCGTAGTGTGTGGTCAGTGTGAGCAGCACAAGCGTGGACTCTGCCCTGAGCAGAGACAGGGTGTAAAGCCGCAAACAATCTGCTGGTTGGTTACACACAGTGTAACGCAGTGGTGCAGGTCTCTCTTGTAGGTTTCTTTAGACCAGTTGATTTACTTGTCATTAAGAATACACGTGTATTTTCATTTTAAAAGGGTAATATTCAAAGCACTCAAGATTTGGGGGAAATGGAGGATTTGGAGGAAATGGGGGAATTAATATAATACAAGCCTTTTGGAAGGTAAGTTGCGTTAAGCATAGAGAAAAATTCATATTTTAGCATCAGCATTTTCATTTCTAGTCATCTTTCTAGATAAATAACTTAAACGTAGACATAGTTTCATGACAAGAGCATTATTGTCATTGCTGGCATATGTGTATGTGTGTGTGTAAGAAAAGACAATAAAATGCTTAGTATCAGAGAAATAATTCAGTAATCTGTTATATAACCACAAAAAGGCAGTTACATAGCAGTGAAAATTAAGCTTATTTGAGTTCACATACAAAGTGGTGTTATGTTAAACTATTGTTTTTAAAATCAAGATGTAAAATTAAATATATAAGAGCACTACTACAAAGAAACTTTAAACGAATCTATGACTATAGGAAATAGATATTTAAATAACTTATTAATAGGCACTTGGAAAAAATGTTCTAGCTCAAATGCATGAATGTTTTTTTCAAAAGTATTTTTCACCTATTAAGCTGACATAGGTTTAAAAAACAATAATGAAAAAAATAGATGGTACTGGTGAGATGTGAGACAAGTGGTTATTGTCATTGATGTTTATTTTATTCTATTCTTTTTTTAATAATTTCAACTTTTATTTTAGATTCAGGAGGTACTTATGCAGGCTTGTTACATGGGTATACAGCATGATGCTGAAGTTTGAAATGATTGATCCTATCACCCAGGTACTGAGCATAGTATTGTGTCCGGAATTTACTCCTTCTGGTGGGTTCTTCGTCTTGCTGACTTCAAGAGTGAAGCCACGGGCCCTCATGGTGAGTGTTACAGCTCTTAAAGATGGTGTGTCCAGAGTTTGTTCCTTCTGATGTTCAGATGTGTCTGGAGTTTCTTTCTTCCGATGGGTTTGTGGTCTTGCTGACTTCAGGAGTGAAGCCACAGACCTTCGTGGACCTTTGCTGCGAGTATTACAGAGTGGTGATTGGTGTGTTTACAATCCTTTAGCTAGACACAGAGCGCTGATTGGTGCGTTTTTACAGAGTGCTGATTGGTGCATTTACAATCCTTTAGCTAGACAGAAAAGTTCTCCAGGTCCCCACTCGACCCAGGAAGTCCAGCTGGCTTCACCTCTCAGTATCCAATAGGTAGTTTTTCAACCCTTACTCTCTTCCTTCCCTCTCCACTCTAGTAGTTCCCAGTGGCTATTGTTGCTATCTTTATGTCCATAAGTACCCTATGTTTAGCTCCCATGTGTAAGTCAGAATATGAGGTATTTGGTTTTCTGTTCATGTGTTAATTTGCTTAGAATAGTGGCCTCTAGCTGCATCCATGTTGCTGCAAAGGACATAAATTCTTTTTTTTTTTTTTTTTTTTTTTTGAGATGGAGTCTTGCTCTCTCACCAGCCTGGAATGCAGTGGTGTGATCTCGGCTCACTGCAACCTCCACCTCCCGGTTCAAGCGATTCTCCACCTCAGCCTCCCAAGTAGCTGGGACTACAGACACATGCCACCACGCCCGCCTAATTTTTTTGTATTTTTTTAGTAGAGATGGGGTTTCACCATGTTGGCCAGGCTGGTCTCGAAATCCTGAGCTCAGGCAATCTGCCCGCCTCAGTCTCCCAAAGTGCTGGTATTATAAGCTTGAGCACCTGGCAGACAAAACAATTTAACTCTGTTACAAATATATGAAACTACTTCACTGTTTTGCTTTAGATTATCTGTAATACATAAAGTTTTCACTTTCAGAGCTTAACTGTTATCTTTATACACATTGTATCTGAAAAATTTCAAACATATTAAGACAGATTAGTTCATTGATATACTGTAAACAGAGCAATTTTGCTTAAGAGTAAAAAAATTGTCCTATATGTGAATGGGCCAAAAATTGAACAGATAGCCTTTGTATGTATGTCTCATTAAAAAAAACTTCCAGCTTTTTTGAGATATAATTTGCATACTGATATAACCGGAGGAAAACTGGAAAATTTATAAATACATGGAAATTAAACAATATACTCCTGAACAACTAAAGGGTCAAAGAAGAAATCAAAAGGTAAATTGAAAAATACCTTGAGACAAAGCAGAAAGAAAGAAATAATAAAGATTAGAGCAGAAATAAATTAAAAATAGACCAAAAAGGCAATGAAAAAGATCAATAAAACTAAAAGTTGATAATTTGAAAGGATAAATAAAATTTACAAGTGTGTAGCTAGACTAATAAATAAAAAGAAAGAATAGATTCAAATAAATAAAATTGTAAATGAAAGAAGAGACATTACAACTGATACCACAGAAATTGTAGGCTCATGAGAATACTATGAACAATTATGTGCCAACAAATTAGATAGCCTAGAAAAAGTTCCCAGAAACATACAATCTACCAAGACTGAATCATGAAAATATAAAAATCCAAACAAATAGAAAAACCTCCCAGCAAAGAAAATCCCAGGATGAGATAGCTTCATGTGTGAATTCTACACACATTTAAAGAAGAATTCATGCCAATCATTTTCAAAGTCTTGCACAAAATTGAAGAGCAGAGAACACTTACAAACTCATTTTATGAGGTCAGCATTATCTTCATACCAAAGCCAGAAAAGGATGCTACAAGAAAAGAAATTGCAAGACAATATCCCTGGTGATCCTAGATACAAAAATTCTTAACAAAGTATTAGTAACCCAAATTAAACAGCACATTAAAAAGATCATACACAATGATCAAGCAGGATTTATCTCTAGGTTGTTAGGGTGATTTAACTTATGCAAATCAATAAACACCATATGCCACATTAACAGAATGAGGAATAAAAATTTGTGCATATGGTATGATCATTTCAATAGATGCAGAAAAATCATTTGAGAAAATTTAACATTCTTTTATAATGAAAACTCTCAACAAATTAGCTATAGAAGGAATACTCCTCAATGTAATAAAGGCCATATATAACAAGCTTACAGCTAACATCACACTTAACCATAAAAAGGTGAAAACTATTTCTCTAAGATCAGGAACAAGACAAGGATGCCCACTCTCACCACTTCCATTCAACACAGTACTGGAAGTCTTAGCCAGAGCAATCAGGAAAGAAAATGAAACAGAATGCCTCCAAACTGGAAAGGAAGAAGTAAAATTTTTCTGTTTGTGGAAAATGTGATCTTATATACAGAACACCATTAGAATCTACCAAATAAGTGTCTAAAATAATAAATGCATTCAGTGAAGGTGTGAGATGCAAAATCAACATACAAAAATCAGTTGCATTTTCATATACTAATTAGCAAATTATCTGAAAAATAAATTAAGAAAACAATCCCATTTACAATTGCATCAAAATAATAAAATACTTTGAAATAAATTTAACCAAGGAAGTGAACAAATCTATATATTAAAATTATAAGACATTGATGAAGAAGTTGAAGAAGACATAAATAAATGGAAAGATATCCTGCGTTCATGCATTGGAAGAAACAGTGTTCTTAAAGTGTTCATACTTTCCAAAGTTATCTACAGATTCAGTGCAATCCCTATCAAAATTTCAATGTCATTTCTTACAGAAATAGAAAAAAAATCCTAAAATTTGTATGGAGCCTATAGAAGACCCCAAATAAGCCAAAGCAATCTTGAGTAAGAAGAACAAAGTTGAAAGCATCACTTTTTCCAATTTCGAACAACATTACAAAGCTGTAGTAATGAAAACAGTACAGTATGATATTGGCATAAAAACAGATATGTAGACATATGAAATATAATAGAGAGCCCAGAAATAAAGCCACACATATACAGTCATCTAATCTTTGACAAGAGCATCAAAAGTACACAATGGGGAAAGTACACTGTCTTCAGTGGTGCTGAGAAAACTGGATATCCACATGCAAAAGAATAAAATCAAACCCTTATCCTACACAATACAGATAAGTTAACTCAGAATGGATTAAAGACTCAAAAGTAAAACCTGAAACAATAAAATTGCTAGAAGAAAACATAAGGAAAGGGCTGTTTGACGTTGATCTTGGCTATGATTTTTAAAAATGACTCCAAAGCACAGGCAACAAAAACAAAAATAAATAAGTGGTGCTACATCAACTAAACAGCTTCTGCACAGCAAAGGAAACATTAAAAAAATGTAAAGGCAACCTACGGAATGGGGGAAAATATTTGTAAATCATATATCTGATGAGGGGTTAATATCCAAAATATTTAAGGAACTCATACAAATCAGTAGCAAACAAAAAACCTCTCCAAACAGGCAAAGGACTTGAAGAGACATTTTTCAAAGACGTACAAATGGCCAAAAGGTATATGTAAAAGTGTTCAATATTACTATCATCAGGGAAATGCAAATCAAAACCATAATTAGATATTTCCCCACATCTGTTAGGATGGCTATTATCAAAAAATAAGAGGTAGCAACTGTTGATGTGAGTGTGGAGGAAAGAGAATCTTTGTACGTTGTTGGTGCAAGTGTAAATTTGGTATTGCCATTATAGAAAACATTATACAGGTTCCTGAAAAAATTAAAAATTGAACTACCATAAAATCCAGCTATCCCACTTCTCAGCATATATCCAAAGGAAATGAAATATATGCAAGAGTGGAATTTCTGGGTAATATTGTAATTCTATATTTAACGCTTTTGGAAGCTTCCAAGCTGTTTTTCAAAGTGGCTTCACCATTTTACATTCTCATCAGCATGCGTGAAAATTCCAGTTTCCTGATATCCCTGTTGATAATTGTTACTCTGTTTTTTTTTTTTTAAATTAAAGCCTTTCTAGTGGGAGTGAAGTGTAATTTTGATTTTATTTCCCTGATGGCTAATAATGCTGAGCATGTTTTTATGTGCTTACTCACCATTTGCATATCTTCTTTGAAGAAATGTCTATTCAGATCTTTTTCCTAGATTTTTGATTGGGTTATTTGTGTTATACTATTGAGTAATAAGGGTCCTTTATCTATTCTAGATACAAGCTCCTCATCAGATACATGATTTGCAAAAATGTTTTCCTATTATGTAGTTGTCCTTTCACTTCATTCATGGTGTCCTTTGAAGCATCAAAGTTTTAAATTTTGATGAAGTTCAATTTATCTATTTTTTCTTTCTTTACTTGTGCTTCTGGTGTCATATCTAAGAAGGCTTTTCCTAACCAAAGCTTGTGAAGGTTTACTACTATATTTTTCCCAGATGTTTTTATAATTTTAGCTCTTAGTTTTAAGTCTGTGATCCAGTTGACTTAGTTTTACTGTATGCTGTGAAAAATAACACTAAATTCATTCTTTTGCATGTCGATATCCAGCTGACCCAGCACCATTATTTGAAAAGTTTATTCTTTTTCTTATTAAGTTTTCTTGGCAACATTGTAAAAAATTACTTGATTGTAAATGTAAAGGCTTATTTCTGGACTTTGAATTCTATTCCATTTATCTGTATTTCTATCCTTATGCCAATATCATACTGTCTTCATTAGCTTTATAGTAAGTTTTGAAATAATAAAATGGGAGTCTACAACTTTCTTTTTTCTCCAAAGATTGTTCTGAAAATTCTGGCTTTCTGGAATTTCTTTATGAATTTTGGGATCAGATTGTCAATTCTGCAAAAAACCTAACTTGTTGCGTTGAATTTAGATCAATTTGGGAAGTATTGACATCTTAACAGTATTAGGTCTTCTGATTCATGAATGTGGGAAATCTTTCAATTTATTTAGGTCTTCTTTAATCTCTTTCAACAATGTTTCATAGTTTTGTGTTCACTCATTAAATTTATTCCTTAGTATTTTTGTCACTTTGATGCTATTATAAAGGGAATGCAATCTTAATTTCATTTTTGAATTGTTCATTGCTAGTACATAGGATTACAAATGATTTTTGTATACTGATCTTGTACCCTGCAACATTTGCCAAAATAGTTTTATGGTTTTATGGTTCTGTAGATCTGGAGAGAGGGTTCCTTAGGATTGTCTGTATTCAAGGATATGTCATCCAAAACCATAAATAGTTTCACTTCTGCCTTTATAATATGGATGACTTTTCTTTTTTTCTTGTTTCTTTTTTTTTGGCTAATTGCCTTGCTAGGACTTCAGTACAATCTTGAATAGAAGTGGTGACAGCAGACATCTTTGTCTTGTTTCTGTCTTGCAGGAAAAATATTTAGTCTTTTACCATTAAGCGTGATGTTAGCTTTGGAGTTTTAAAACTAATACCCATTATCAGATTGAGGAAGTTTTCTTCTATTCCTAGGTGGTAAGTGGTTTTATCATGAAAGGATATGGGATTTTTGCCAAATTCTTTTTTTCTTCATCTATGCAGATGATCAGATGATCATGAGTTTTTTGTCCTTTAGTCTATTGATACTGTGTATTACATTAACTAATTTTCACATGTTAAAACAACCTTACCTTCCTAGGATAAATTCCACTTAGTAGTGGTGTATATTTTTAAAATATGTCTGGATTTAGGTTCCCAGTTTTGGTTAAGGATTCTTGTATCTAAATTCAAAAAAGAAATTGGTCTGTTATTTTCTTTCCTTGTGATGACTTTATATAGTTGGGGTACTATGGCAATACTATCTCATACAGTGAGTTGGAAAACATTCCTTTCTTTTTATTTTTTGGGAAATACTTTGTAAATAGTTGGTATTAATCTTTCTTTAAATGTTTGGTAGAATTCCCCAATAAAGCCTTGTAGGCTCAGGTTTTCCTTTGTGGAAATTTTTTCAGTAACTAATTTGATATCTTTATTGTATATCTATTCAGAACTTCTATTTTTTCTTTTTAGCTTCAGTAGTTTGTGTATTCTAGGGACTTGTTCATTTCATCTAAGTTATATGATTTGTTGGCATACCGTTGTTCACAATATTCCCTTACAGTCCTTTTTATTTCTGTAAGGTCAATAGTAATGCTGCCACTTTAATTGACTTTTGCAATTTGAACCTTCTCTTTTTTCTTTTGATCAGTCTAGCTAAATATTCATCAATTTTGTTGATTTTTTCAAAGAATAAACTTTTGATTTTGCTGATTTTCCCTGTTGTTTTTTATTCTCTATTTCAATATTTTCTATTATAATCTTTAGGTTTCTTTCCTCCTTCTAGGTTTAGGTTTAGACTGCCTTTCATTTTCAGATATCTTAAAGGGTAAGGTTTGGTTGTTGATTCGAAGATCTTTGTTTTTAATTGGGACATTTACACTTGCAACTTTCCATCTGAGCACTGCGTTAGCTTCATCTTGAACATTTTTGGTAAATTATGTCTTCATTTTCCTTTATATCAAAGCATTTTCTAACTTCCTTTATGATTGCTTTTTTGACACACTGGTAATTTAGGAGTATGCTGTTTAATTTCTACATATTTGTAAATTTCCCAAATTTCTTTCTGTTTTTGATTTGAAATTTCATTTCATTGTAGTGGGTGAGAATAATTTATATGATTTCAATTCTTATAAATTGATTGAGGCTTGTATTCTAACCTAGCACTTGGTCTGTCCTGAAGAATGTTTCATTCTGAAAGTAATGTTTGTTTATTTATTGTTGGGTGGAGTATTATATAGATATCTGTTAATTGGTTCATAGTGTTGTTCATTTATTCTGTTTCTTAATCTGCCTAGTTGTTCTATTTATTATCAAAAGTTTGGTACTGGATTCTCCAACTGCTATTGTAACTTGTCAATATTGTATGTAATTCTGTGAGTTTTTGCTTTGTGTATTTTGGGGTTTTGTTGGTAGGTATACATATGTTTGTAATTATTATGTATGTGTGTGTATGTGTGTGTATTTAGTGTGGTAAAGAATTTGGCATTGTCTGATAAAATGTCTAGCCTTTGCCCTAAGCTTCTGGGAGATACTCTACATAAAACTTGAAAGAACTGTCTTGGGAGCTAATTTTTTTTTTTTGAGACGGAGTCTCGCTCTGTCGCCCAGGCTGGAGTGCAGTGGCGGGATCTCGGCTCACTGCAAGCTCCGCCTCCCGGGTTCACGCCATTCTCCTGCCTCAGCCTCCCAAGTAGCTGGGACTACAGGCGCCCGCCACTACGCCCGGCTAATTTTTTGTATTTTTAGTAGAGACGGGGTTTCACCGTTTTAGCCGGGATGGTCTCGATCTCCTGACCTCGTGATCCGCCCGCCTCGGCCTCCCAAAGTGCTGGGATTACAGGCGTGAGCCACCGCGCCTGGCCGGGAGCTAATTACTCCAAATCTTAGACTAGGGCTGGCCACACCCATCAGTGTTAGGGTTGTGGCTGTCCAAAACAGAAAGACCAATCATTTGGCTTAGGTTAGGGGCTGACCATGCTAGAAAGACCAACCATGTTATTTAGAGTGAGGGAGCGTTTGGGTCATTTGGGCTATCAGTTGACCTGGAGACTGAATTTAACCTTGTGGGCAAACAATCAATCAATTATACCTATATAATGAAGTCCCTATAAAAACTCTGAACACTAAAGCTCAGGTAAGATTCCCTGGTTGGCAATACTTTGTACAATGGTGTCAACAAAATAACGTGTTATGACACCACAAGGAGAGGATACCAGAAAGTCTGGATTTGGAACGCTCCCAGACCCAGCCCTATGTGTCTCTTCTTTTGGCTGATTTTAATCTGTATCTTTTCCATGTAATAAACCATGATTGGAATATAATAGTTTTCAGTGAGTTTTCTGATTTGTTATTGTGAATTATTGAAACTGAGGGTGGTTTTAGGAAACTTGAAAATTTGTAGTAGGTGTCAAAAGTGAGGGCAATCTTGTGGAGAACTGCTCTGTTATATTTTGTAGTTTGGCTAACTCCAGATATATATACCCAGTTTGAAAATCTTTGCCTTTTGATTGAACTGTTTAATTTATTCTCATTTAATATTATTATTAACATAGATTTATATCTATCTTTTTTTCTATATGTCTCGTGTTTTGGTTTCCCTATTTCTCCTTTACTACTGTCTTTGGTATTAAGTGAAAATATTTGAGTATAGTATTTTCATTTCTTTAATGACTTTTTAATGATGTAGTTGGTTTTAGGGCTAACCATACACATTTTAACTTATCAGAATCCACTTCGGATTTATACTAACATACTCAATTATGATATAAAAATGTTACTCCTATATAAATCTAGCCTCTCTTCTTCCCTTTTGTTATATTATTATTATATATTACATTAATACATGTTAGGAACCCAAAAAACCTGTTTATAATTTTAAATAATCTTATCTTTTGAAAAAAGCTGAGGAAAGTAGGAGAGAGAGCATTAACTTGCAGAGTTTTTTTGTATTAACCCACTTAGCTACCATTTTTTGTTCTTTTCATTTGTTTCTGTGGATTTGAGTGACATATAGTGTCATTTCTTTACTTCAGTACAGCCCTGCTCACTTCCTTTGTGCTGTTGTTTTCAAACATAATTACAGTTCTACATGTTATAGGCTCAACAATCCAATTATACACAATATTTATACAATAGTATTTTGAATTATTTAGGAGAAGAACTATGCATTTCTACTGCATTTTATAATTACAAAATTTAACAGTGCTTTTTTTTGTGGGTGTGCATTTGAATTACCATCTGGGGTCACTTGCTTTCAATCTGAAAACCTTCCTTTAGTATTTTTTGTCAAGAGAGTCTGCAAGCAACTAATTCTCTCTAATTTTATCTGGGAATGTCTTTATTTCAACTTCAATTTTGAGGAAGAGTTTTATCAGACATATGATTCTTGCTTGACAGTTTTTCTTGTTTTCCTTCATTATATCAGATGTTATTTGACTTTCTTTTGGCCTCTGTTGTTTCTGATGATAAATCAGTTATTAATCTTATTGTGGTTTCCTTGTTAACTGATGAGTAATTTTTCTGTTGCTACTTTGTCTTTCAACATTTTGACTACGGTGTGCCTGGGTGTATTTTTGCATTGCTGTAAAGAAATACCTGAGGCTGGGCAATTTATAAAGACTAGAGGTTTAATTGGCTCCCAGTTCTGCAGGCTGTACAGGAAGCATGGCGCCAACATCTGCTCAGCTTCTGGTAAGGGCCTCAGGAAGCTTATAATCGTGGCAGAAGACAAAGGGGGAGCAGCCCCCGCCCACCACTTTGTCACCACATACTGAGAGCAGAGGTAAGAGAATGAGCAGGGAAGTGTCACACACTTTTAAACAACCAGGTCTCACAATAACTCAGTATCATGAGGATAGCACCAAGCTATTCATGAGTGATCCACCCCCATTATCTACCTCCCACCAGACCCCACCTCCAATACTGGGGGTTACATTTTAACAAGAGATTTGGAGGGGACAAATATCCAAACCATATCAATTTTCCCCTGGCCCCCCAAGTCTCATGTCCTTCTAACATTGCAAACTATAGTCATCTCTTCCCAACAGTCCCCAAAGTTTTAACTGATTTAAGCATCAAGTCCAAAGTCCTAAGTCTCATCTGAGACTCATCTCCTTCTCTCTAAGAGCCTGTAACACCAAAATAATTTATTTACTTCCAATATACAATGGGAGTATAGGCTTTGGGTAAACATCTCAGTTCCAAAAGGGAGAAATTGGCCAAAAGAAAGGGGCTATAGGACCCACGTGAGTATGAAACCCAGTAGGAAAGTCATTAAGTCTTGAAGCTCCAAAATAATCTCCTTTGACTCCATGTCCTGCATCCTGATGCAAGGAGTAGGCTCCCAAGGCCTTGGGCAGCACTGCTTCTGTGGTTTCCCTGGGTGCAGCCCATCACAAGATGGAGTTGAAAGTCTGTGACTTTTCTACACTGAAGTTGCAAACTGCTGGTAGCTCTACCATTTTTGGATCTGGAGGGTGATGACCCCCTTCCCCCAGCTCCACTAGGCAGTGACCTGGTGAGCACTCTATGTGGAGGCCCCAATCTCACATTGTACCTCTGTACTTCCCTAGTAGAGGTTCTCTGTGGTGGTTCTGCCCCTGCATGAGTCTTCTGCCTGGAGACCCTGCCTTTATCATGCATTTTCTGAAATCTAAGAGGAAGCTGTCAAGACTTCTTCACTCATGCATTCTGTGTGCCTGTAGGCTTAAGACCACATGGAAGCTGCCAAGGCTTATGGCTTATACCCTCTGAAGTGGTGGCCCAAGCTGTACCTAGAGTTCTTTGAGCCAAGGATGGAGCTGGAGCAGCCTGTATGCAGTGAGCAGTGTCTCAAGGTTGAGTAGGGCAGTGGGGCCATGGGCCTTGTCCACACATCTATTATTTCCTCCTAGACCTCTGGACCTGTGATGTGAGAGACTGCCTAGAAGATCTCCAAAATGTCTTTGGGACATTTCTCTCATTATCTTGAATGTTAGCACTTGGTTCTTTTTTAGTTGTGCTAATATCTCTGGTTGCTCCATAGTCTTCCTGGATTCTTCCCCTGAAAATGGGCTTTTCTTTCCTACCACATGGATAGGCTGCATATTTTCCAAACTTTTACACTCTGGTTCCCTTTTAAATATAAGTTCCAGCTTTAGGTTGTTTCTTTATTCCTGAATCTGAGCATAGGTTGTTAGAAGCAGCCAGGCCACATTTGATCACTTTGCTTTGTAGAAATTTCTTGGGAAATTAAGCTTAACCTTCTGTAAATCTCTAGGGCATAAACACAATGCATCCAAATTCTTTGCTAAAGTATAACAAGAGTGACCTTTGCTTCAGTTCCCAATAAGTTCCTTATTTTCACTGGAGACCTTGTCTGCCTGGACTTTACTGCTCATATCACTATCAATATTTTAATCACAACCATTTAACCAATCTCTAAGAAGTTCCAATCTTTCCATCATCTTCCTATCTTCTTTCAACCCCTCTAAACTCTTCCAACCTCTGCTAGTTCCAAAGTTGCTTCCACATTTTCAGGTATCTTTTTTAGGAATACCCCACTCCTGGTACCAATTTTCTGTATTAGGCTGTTTTTGTGTTGCTCTAAAGAAATACATGAGGCTGGGTAAGTTATAAAGAAAAGAAGTTTAACTGGCTCATGTTGCTACAGGCTGTACAGTAAGCATGGTGTCTCAGCTTCTGGTGAGGTCCTCTAGAAGCTTCCAATCATGGTGGAAGGAAAAGAGGGAGCTGGTACATCACATGGCAAGAGCAGGAGCAAGAGAACAAGGGGGAAGGTGCCACACACTTTTAAACAACCAGGTCTCACAAGAACTCACTCACTATTGCAAGGATAGCACAAAACCATTCATGAGGAATCTGCTCCTATAACCCAAACACCTCCCACCAGGCCCCACCGCCAACACTGGGGATTACATTTTAACATGAGATTTGAAGAGGACAAATATTCAAATCATATCACTGGGTGTATCTTTTTGTTTGTTTGTTTTTGTTTTTGAGACAGAGTCTTGCTCTGTTGCCCAGGCTGGAGTGCAGTGGCACGATCTTGGCTCACTGCAAGCTCCGCTTCCTGGGTTCATGCCATTCTCCTGCCTCAGCCTCCCAAGTAGCTGGGACTACAGGCACCCGCCACCATGCCCAGCTAATTTTTTTTTTGTATTTTTAGTAAAGACAGAGTTTCACCATGTTAGCTAGGATGGTCTTGATCTCCTGACCTCGTGATCCGCCTGCCTCAGCCTCCCAAAGTGCTGGGATTACAGGTGTGAGCCACTGCGCCTGGCCTATCTTTTTTTTTTTTTTGCATTTATTCTACTTGGAGTTCTTTGAACTTCTTTGATGAGTAGATTAATGTTTTCCTTCAAGTTTAGGAAATTTTCAATTTCAATTGTTATTACTTAAAATATTTTTTTCTGTTTATTTCTATCTTTCTTCTTCCTCTGTTTCCTCCATAATGTGTATGTATGTTTTGTGTGCTTAATGTTCACCCACATTTCTTCAAGGTTCTATTTATTTTTCACCATTTTTTTCATGTTTTTGGGATTACATAATTTTAATTGATTTATCTTTAAGTTCACTAATTTTTTTATTCTTTCTATTAAACTATAGTGTTGAGTCCCTGTAATGAAATTTTTATGTCTTTTACTGTACTTGATGATGGTGAATTTAACAAGGCTCTCTTTCTCTTATCTCTCTTTTCAGTTGCCTGTCTCTGTTGATATTACACCCACCTATTAAACTCTACTAATTGCTGACGGCCTTATTGTTTTCAACAATAGCCTTCCCATAAGTTGCTTCACATTAATTTAAAATTAACTGTGGGTCCCTCTGTAGGGAGAGTTTCTGAGTCAGTCTGGAAATTTTATTCTGACCCTAGGAGGGCTATTCTTAGCTGTCTCTTTTCTGGTTCTTTCGGGTAAACTAGCTGATCTATGGGTTAGCTTGTTGCTTTCATGGAGCTAACTTACTTCTCTTAGTTGCTTATCATCAAAATCTCCACTGTTTTAGAGCGTTCACTTAGTCTTAAGCTTTCTCATACTGTAAATAAAGTCAATTCCTTTGAAGGGAATCTTTAGAGCTCCCTGTTCTTATGGCCTGTTTCTCCCCTGGGTAAAACCTCTATGCCACTATTTCAGAGCTGGGGGAAATAGCGGCTCACTTCTCTTAGAATGTCACCTCTCATTTACATTCAGTGTGTTGGGTAGCAGCAGCAGCTTCTGGTTTTCTTGGTTTGCATCTCCTGTAGGGCATGGAACCTCTACCATACAAGTGAATTGGCATTAGGACAATTGGGGCCCTACTATTGTTGTCCTACTTCATTGAGATAGAGCCTCTACAAGTTGGGGCTGGGTAGGGGAAGTGAACCCCTGATCTACATTTGCCTGGGATTTGGGTTCTGCAACACAGAGCTGGTGCGGAGAGAAGTGCTGCTGGCCTGCCCCTTTCAGAGAGATACTGTCATCCTGAATGTATTAGTCGCTTCTCATACTACTATGCAGAACTGCCCGAGACGGGGTAATTTATAAAGAAAAGAGGTTTAATTGACTCACAGTTCCACATGGCTGGGGAGGCCTCAGGAAACTTACAATTATGGCAGAAGGTGTAGCAGGCACGTCTACGGCAGCAGGCGAGAGAGCCAATGAAGGAAACCAAGGGGAAAGAGCCCCTTATAAAACCATCAGATCTCATGAGAACTCACTAACAATTGTGAGAACATCATGGGGGAAATTGCCAATCATCTCCCACCAGGTATCTCCCTCAACAATTCAAGATGAGATTTGGGTGGAGACACAAAGCCTAACGATATAACTGAAGTAATAGCTAGGGGAAAAGGAACCCTGTGTTCTTCACAATGCTTACCCAGGGTGGAGCTTCTGTCATGCTGGGCTGGTTGAGAAAGAGGAAGGGGGCAGGCTGTGGCTCAACTGCCACAGACTCTTGCTGTTCTTACCAAGATTTAGTCAATTTTATTGAATAAATATCTTTTCATTTTCTGTATGTGCTCAGAACAATTACCAGTGGCTTCAATTTTTAAAAAAAGATTATATATATGTGTGTGTGTGTGTGTGCGTGTGTGTATGTATGTGTGTTTTGGATGTAGCTTTACAATATATATCAGAAGTCTCCATGTTTTTTGACCCAGTAGTTATATATCTAGGAACTTATACTAAGGATATTAAAATACAAAAGTTTATGAATAATATTATAATTATTTTTAATAGAGAAAAATAAAACAACCTAAAGATAGCAATAGTAGAGTGGACAAATAAATTATTACGCATTTATAGAAGCTAAGAATCTTACTCCCCAAGCTCTTTGATACAGAAGAGATGTCATAATTCTTCCCCCTTCCCATTGTCTTATTGTGGTAAATATACATAACATAAAGTTTACTATCTTAACTATTTTTTTTTTTTTTTTAGACAGAGTCTCACTCTGTCACCAGGCTGGAGTACAGTGGCGCGATGTCGGCTGACTGCAACCTCTGACTCCCTGGTTCAAGTGATTCTCCTGCCTCAGCCTCCTGAGTAGCTAGGATTACAGGCACACGCCACCACACCCAGCTAATTTTTGTATTTTTAGCAGACAGGCTTTCACCATGTTGGCCAGGATGGTCTCGATCTCCTGACCTCATGATCCACCCGCCTCAGCCTCCCAAAGTGCTGGGATTACAGGCATGAGCCACCACACCAGGCCAACTGTTTTTAAGTATACAGTTCAGTAGCATGAAATACATTCATATTATTGTGCAACCATCACCATCATCCATCTTTAGAACACTTTTCATTTTGCAAAACTGAATGCATTAAACAATAACTCCCCATTCCCCAGATCCTGGCAACCACCCTTCTACTTTCTGATTCTGTTCTTTAACTACTCTAAATACCTCATGTAAGTGCAATCATACAGTATTTTATTTTTGTGACTGGCTTATTCCACTTAGCATAATGTGCTTGAGATTCATTCATGTTGTAGCATGTTTCAGAATTTTCTTCCATTTTTTTTTGAGAGAGTCTTACTCTTGTCACCCAAGCTGGGGTACAATGGTGCTATCTCGGCTCACTGCAACCTCCACCTTCTGAGTTCAAGTAATTCTCCTGCTTCAGCCACCTGAGTAGCCGGGATTACAGGCGCCTGCCACCATGCCCTACTAATTTTTGTATTTTTAGTAGAGATGGGGTTTAGTAGAGACCAGAACACTGTTGGTCAGGCTGGTCTCGAACTCCTGACCTCAGGAGATCTGTCTGCTTCGGCCTCCTAAAGTGCTGAGATTACAGGTGTGAGCCACCACACTCAGCCTTCCTCTTTAAAGCTGAATAATATTTCATTCTATGGATACACTACCTTTTAGTTATCCATTCATGTATCAAAGGACATTTGGGTAGCTTCTATTTTTTGGCTATTGTGAATGATGCTCTTATGAACATTGTTGTACAAATGTGTTCCAGGCCCTGCTTTCAATTGTTTTAAGTAGATATATGAATGTAGAATTGCTAGATCATGTGGTAATTCTAATTTTGACTTTTTGAGGAACAACCAAACTGTTTTTCACAGTGGCTGCACCATTTTACATTCCAACTCCCAAGAGTTCCAATTTCTCCACATCACTAACACTTGTTATTTTATGGGTTTTGTTTGGTTTTGTTTGGTTTTGTAAATAATAGGCATCCTGATGGATACAAAATGGAATCTCGTTGATTGTGGTTTGATTTGCATTTCTCTAATGACTAATGAGGTTCAACATATTTTTGTGTGCTTATTTGTATATCTTTTTGGGACAAATGTCTATGTAAGTCTTGCCAATTTTTGAATAATTTTAATTTAATTTATTTTTTCTGAAATTAATTTCAAGACCAGCATGAGGAGAGCCCATTTTTGAATAATTTTGTTTTTTTGTTGTGTTTGTTGAGTTTTAAAAGTTTAAAAATGTGTATATTCTCAATATTAATCACTACCAGATCTACAACTTGCAAATGTTTCCTCTTATTCTGTGGGTCACCTCTTTACTCTGTTGACAGCATCTTTTGATGCACAAAACTTTTTAATGTTCATAAAGTCCAATTTGTCTATTTTTTTCTTTTGTTGCCAGTACCTTTGGAGACATATTCAAGAACTCCTTGCCAAGTCCAATTTCATGAAGATTCTGCCCTATGTTTTCTCCTAAGAGTTTTATAATTTTAGGTCTTACATTTAGGTCTTCGATTCATTTTGAATTAATTTTTGTAGATGGTGTTAGGTAAGGATCCAGCTTCATTCTTTTGCATGTGGGTTTCCAGTTTTCCCAGCATGAATTTGATTCTTCTTTTCTTCTTTCTTAGTCAAGTCAGCTAAAAGCTTGTCGATTTTGTTGATATTTTCTAGAAGCCAACTTTTGGTTTTATTGATTTTCCTCTCTTGTTTTTCTATTGTCTGTTCTATCTCTGCTCTATAGATGTCACAATTCTTTATTTGTCTAAACTCAAATTCAAGTCTACTCAGTCCTTTTCCTGCCAGGAGGGCAGAAAATTCAATGGTTTTTCCTGGAGTGCCCTGCTCCTGGGGTATGCTGCGCCATCAGGAAAACCCTCCAGCCTCCACCATGTGGTTAGCAGTGCTGACTTGCTCAGAGTTAAGGGTCCCCTGAATTGTGGTGCCTCTCTGTTTTCCTGCCCTTCAAAGAACAAGAGAATTTTTGTTGAGGGCTGGGGACTCTATTCACAGGGTTGACCCTCTTTAGGACGGTATGTGGTACTCTCTTCACCGGCCCTGTCATAGCCACAGGTTTGCGTTCCCAGCTCCAGCTCTTACCTGGAGGAATCTCTCTCTCCCAGTCTGTCTCTGTCTTGCTCTTATACTCTCCTCTCTTCCTGGTATACACACATACACACACACACACACACACACACACACACACACACACACACACACAGAGTCACTGGAGATATCTGTGGCAGTGCTGGCAGTGGGGGATGCTGGACATCCTGTGCAGGGTGTTAGGAGTCCCAGGATACTTGTGCACCAGCCACATCCCAGCTTAGGACGTGGGGGTGAAGTTACCACCTCTGGCCCCTGGTGTCCTCCATTCCCAGACTCTCTAGCCAAAGATCATTTGCAGACCATTCACATTCATTCTTTGATTCACTTGTCCAGATTTCCCATAGGATGCATCCTGGTTCATTCCCTTGTTCCCTGGCCTTGAAGAGTCTGTCCAGAGAGCCAGATGGAGTGACATGGTGAACCACATGGGAGGCCCAGGAGCTGTAAGTCTCCTGGGTGGGTGACTCCACTGAGACCTGAGGGCCCTGAGCGGGGCAGGAGGAACTGATGAGGGACAGAGTTAGACAACAGCTGTAGCTGGGAGGAGGCTGGCAGGGAGGGTGGGAGGAGAGGAAGCCCAGGGGCTATGGTGTGGGGAACACAGCCTAAGCTCAGAGGGCTTCTTCCTCCTGTGTGGTCTGTGGGGCTGCAAAGGAAGGAATGAACCCGGAGTGTGAGATCTCTTCTCCACAGCCTCATGTGACCCAGCTGGGCCTTGGCTCCTTCTCCTCCCTGCCTCGCCTGGTGCGCCACAAGCTTGTGCCTATTTAATATCAGTAGGCATAAATGATTTCTTATTGAATGTCATTTGCAAATCACTAGTTTGCTGCTCCTAACAGCACTTAATGTCAATTACTTTTTAAAAATACCAATTGAAAATCACTAGTTTGCAGTTCCAAGCCTCTCTTAATGCCAATTACTGCTCCGAGTGCCGGCAATGCTGTCTCTGGATGCTAGATATCTAAGCAGTGACTTGCTCTCATGTTCTCCATCTGGCCCCAGTTTCCTGGGGCGAACTGCCACCACCTTGCATTAACCTTCATGCCCTCTCACACACAAGGGGGCAGCACTCTCTCAGTGGGGCTTGCCCAGGAGAGGGTTCTTTGGGGGCTCAGAGAACCGGGGCTATGCTGGTCAGCACTGTGATGTGCCTGGCAGACCCCAGGTTACTTGGGAAGGGAGGCAGATGTTGGAGTCCTGCATGCCCATCCCCACTCCTGCCTCAGGCCCCAGCTCTCCAGGATCAGTGCCCTCAGGTTGCAGAGGGTGAAGCCGACCAGTACACCTGGTGTCACCTGGCTCCCAGCTCAGCGCTTCGGGCTGGAAGCTGATTGGGCCTCTCACCAACTCGTGAATTTGGGCCAAGGGTGGGCTCTCACCTGTAAAGTGGAGAGTTTTTGCCTTGCCCTGGGGTGGCTTTGAGGACCATGTATGAAGGACCTAGGGAATTACCTGGCACAAAGGAAGTGGTGCATTGTGCTCTGAGGAGCAGCGGGAATAGGAGGATAGGCAGTGGCAGACATTGTGGTCCTTGTCATGGCTGTGGTTGTTCTCTGTCAGCATGTGAGGCTTCCCCTGGGCTGTCAGGGCAGGACCGAAGAGGAGCCTGGGTTCCTGAGAGAGAAGGGGTTGCCCCGGCACAACAGGGTACGCAGTCCAGAGCACTCACCGTCAGCTGGGATCTAATCCCCACTCCATCCTGTGAGTTAATGGAGATGACCCGGAGGGAAAGCCTTTTCCCCAGAGAAATGCCGTGGCAGGTGGAGGAGAGGAGGAGCTGGAGCAGGAGGAGGAGGATAAACAGGGAGAGAGGAGAATGGGAAGAGAAATTGGGGAAGACAGGGAGAGGAAGGAGGTGTGAATATTCTCCTTTCTCTGATGCCTTGCCACGTCCCATCCAAGGTATGTCTGTCTTATGTTAGCAGGCAGATGAATAATGATGAGTTTCGGGGACAAAGATCTAATTTTCATCCTCAGAGAGAGGTGACACATTGGGGACAATGACCCAATTGGAAATGCTACATTGTGATTAATATGGAAATGTGTTTTCTATTATTAGCATATGGCAGGCTGAGGAGTGTGCAACGAGAGGCTGACAGATAGCCCTGCTGGCTGTGTGCTCTGGGGCTTCCAATGAGCTTTTCTGCCCTGTGAGGTTTGATGCCCAGCTCTCCAGGGCAGACATTCTGGTTTGCCACCAAGCCTCTTTTCTAGCCAGGAATGATGGCAGGTCTGAGGCTAAGGAGGAATGACCAGGCACTGGGACAAGAGGGAGGAGGTAGATGTTCATTGAATCCTACAGTGGGCTGTGTGTAGCATTACCTCACTCAACCCTCACAGGAGCCAGGAAGGCAGAAGACATGGTTACCATTTGCAGAAGATATATCTGAAGCTCAGAAAGGTTAGCTCAGTGCTTCTCAAACTTGCTGTGCATCCAAAGCACCCGGAGATCACACTACGGTGCAGATTCTGCATCAGAGTGTCTGTGCAGGGCTGAGACTCTGCATCTACCCAGTGTCCTGGCAATGCAGGGGTTGCTGGTTTGCCAACACACTTACGCTAGGGGGGACTTGGAAGATCCACCTGGGCCACACTGCTGCTTGCAGGGCAGAGCTGGGAAGGACCAGCTGTTGGCATAGGGAGGTGGGCAGGCCTGGCTGTGGAGGCCATGCTGTGCTGCTGAGATATTGGACTTTAATCCGTTGGCAACTTGGCCCCTGGGGGACGGTTAAGCCGCCAGCTGACTGCAAAACCCACAAGGAAACCATGACTCCAGGTGCACAGCAAGGAGATACCCGCGAGGCTGCCTGCTGTGAACAGATCAAAGCTAAAGTTTTGGATGAGGGGTGGGAGGATGGAGATGAGAAGTGCTCTAATTCTCAAACGTCCTTTTAAAATTAGTTTTGAATGAAATTCATTGTGGCCCTAAAATGTACCCAAATTAAAGATATACTCAGTAATTTCGGCAAGTGTACACATCACACAGCCAGGAACACAATCGAGACAGAGCATTTCCAGCATCCTAGCAGTGCCCTTGCCCTCCCGCCCCTTCTAGTCATCAGACTAATGAACGACCTGCCTGCTTCATTCAGCTGTTTCTCCTTTTTGATTGCTGTGTAGTGTTTCATTGTTTGGCTATACCACAGCTTGTTGATCATTTTCCTATGGATAGCTATTTGGATCTCTTCTAATTTTTGCCTATTTTAAATAAGCTTCCTATGAAGATTCACATAAAACTACTTTCATGGACATATATTTTCATTCCTCTTGATTAAAATCGCTAGAAATGCAATTGCTGTGTGGTGTGGTAAGCAAATGCTCCATTTTCCTTTTTGAATTTCTTCAATTCTAATTTTTCTGTAATTCACTCATTCACTCACTCGTTTAGTAAATACACAGGGCAGCTACTATTTGTCAGGCACTGCTGTCTAGGAAAAAGGGGTCGACTTATTAACAAAACAGAAAAAACAAAGCCAACCCTCCAGCCTGCATGAGCCTTACTTAAGGGAAACAGAAAACAGACAAACACAGGCTGGGCACGGTTGCTCATGCCTGTAATCCTAGCACTTTGGGAAGCCAAGGCGGGTGGATTGCCCGAGCTCAGGAGTTTGAGACCAGCCTGGGGAACATGGTGAAACCCCCGTCTCTGCTAAAATACAAAAAAATTTAGCCGGGCTTGGTGGTGTGTGCCTGTAGTCCCAGCTTCTCGGGAGGCTGAGGCAGGAGAATTGCTTGAACCTGGGAGGCGGAGGTTGCAATAAGCCAAGATCGCACAACTGCACTCCAGGCTGGGCCACAGAGTGAGACTCCATCTCTAAAAACAAACAAACAAACAAAAAAAAACAGACAAACACATTCACAGGAAAGATATCTGAGAGTTTTAAGTTGTGTGTAAGAATGGAAAGGGCACACTGTGCTTAAGTGTGACTGGCTGTGTGGTCAAGGAGGTCCTTCAGAGGAGGCGACATCTAAGCTGAGATCTGAGTGAGGAAAAAGAGACAGCCACACACAGGTCTGGGGGTGGGGGAAGCTTTCATGCCAAGGAAGGACCAGAGCAGGGCTCTGAGACAGAGCTGAGGGACAGAGGAGGTCCCTGTGGCTGGGCTGGCAGAAAGGAGATTGCTGCTGGAGGAGGGTGAAGGACTGGATATGGAGGCTGTCTGCACACTCTTCATCATTCTGGTTGTTAATGATCTCTTTCTGTGTTTATTTGGTTGTTAATGATCTCTTTCTGTGTTTATCTGCATGCCCCCCCTCACTCACTGGAATACAAGCCCGTGGGAATAGAAATTTTCTCTCATTGCCTCATCATAGCCATCCCTGTGCTTGGAACAGACTCAGGCACATGACAGACTCTTATTAAATATTTGTTAAATAACGAATACTTGAACGAGTGAATGAATTCAATAACCTCTGGTTCAGTGCCCTGTCCCTGGCACTATGATGGTTATTATTGTTACAAAGTGAAATAAGACACAGTTCTTCCTCCCAATGAGCTTCCAGGCATTGAGGAAGAGAGACAAGTAATCATGCCATGGCAAGTTCCATGACAGAAGAAAGCCAAGGCAGGAGGTGGATTACAGAGGAGCCCCCCGCCGGGCACTCTGCCAGGAAGGTTCTTCAGGAGTGACCCTGGATGGTGGTGGAGGACTTAGTGAGGTAGAGAAGGCTGGGGAGAGCAATTTCAGAAGCAGCAGCAGTCAGTGCAATTGCGTGGATGGCTAAGAGAGCACCGCAGGTTTGGCAAATTACAAGATGTGGGGAGCTCTGCAGAGACAGCTCATGACAGGGACTAAGGAGAAACTTTGAAATTTATCCTGATAACCAGTGGAGGATTTTGAGTGAAGCTAAAAGACTTGATCAAATTAGCGCTTTAGGAAAACAAAACCTTTGTTGGCTTTCCATTAAATATGGCAGCATCAACACCCCAACAAAACTCTCCTTCCTTTTCTATCTCCTCTACACGAACAGTGACAGAGTTTTAAAAATAACAAACTAGGCTGTGCACTGTGGCTCACGCCTATAATCCTAGCACTTTGGGAGGCCGAGGTGGGAAGATCACCTCAGGTCAGTAGTTCGAGACCAGCCTGGCCAACATGGCGAAACTCCGTCTCTACTAAAAATACAAAAAGAATTAGCTAGACTTGGTGGCAGGTGCCTGTCATCCTAGCCACTCGGGAGACTGAGAGAGGAGAATCACTTGAACCCAGGAGGCAGAGATTGCAGTGATCCTGCCTGGGTGACAGAGCAAGTCTTCATCTCAAAAAAAAAAAAAAAAAAAAGCACAGACCAACATTCCTCAGAAAGTTTACAATGGAAAAGATGTGGTTAATCAAAGAGAGCAGCCAGAATTCTCACACAAGCTTGTACTCCTACAATAAATTGACACAATTTAGAAAACAATGTGGTGGAATCTGCTGGAGCTTAATATACACATATCCTGTGACCGGACAGTTGCACTCTTGAGCAGGTACCCCACAGAGATGCACACACATGTTCACCAAAGAGCAGGCACAGGAACAGTTATACCAACGCGATTCACAATAGTCTCCAAATTGGAAACTCCCAGTGTTCACCAAAAATAGATAAATAAGTTTTGGTATACTCATACAGTGAGAAGATTACACAGCAGTGAGCATGATCTACCACTGCACACAACATTAAGAGTGAATGCCGGCCGGGCATGGTGGCTCCCGCCTGTAATGCCAGCACTTTGGGAGGCCGAGGCAGGCGGATCACGAGGTCAGGAGATCAAGACCATCCTGGCGAACATGGTGAAACTCCATCTCTACTAAAAATACAAAAAAATTAGCCAGTCATGGTGGCGTGCGCCTGTAGTCCCAGCTACTCGGGAGGCTGAGGAAGGAGAATGGCGTGAACCCAGGAGGTGGAGCTTGCAGTGAGCCGAGATCGCGCCACTGCACTCTAGCCTGGGTGACAGAGCAAGACTCTGTCTCAAAAAAAAAAAAAAAAAAAAAAAGAGTGAATGCCACATGCAAAATGTTGAGTGAAAGAAGCAGGTACAAGAAAGGCCAAACTGTGTAATTCTGTTTATATAGAACTCAAAGAAAGGAGAAAAACTGCATCTGTGCTGTTAGAGGTCAGGATAGCGGGCACCATTGTGGGGAGGAGATAGGAATGGCCGGGGTCCCTGGTCCTTCTGGGGTCCTGGTAATGCTCTGTTTTGTGATCTGGGTCCTGTTTACACGATTATGTTCTGTTTTCAACATTGAGATCTACCCTTGTAATGTATGTAATTTTCTGTCTACATATCATACTTCCATAAGAAACATTCTAAAAAGGCATAAACCCACAGGGACAAAAATAACAAAATTTGGGGGACTGGAAAGCAGATGGTGAGTGGCAAGTGATGCTGCTCAGCTGAGAAAGCTGAATTTTTCATTGCAGAAGTAAAAGCCAAAAAGTAACTTGGTTTACATAGTAGGATCTCCAAGAGGCCAAGGAAAAGTACAAGGCACCTCTGGAAATTTACAAAACCAGAAGAAGCTTCTAAAAATGTATAATACTAGGAAATTTATAAAACCAAGAGAAGCTTCTGAAAAGGGGGAAAAAAACAGCCTCACAGATTTCATGCAAAGAATCAATATATAGAAAGCATCAGACATAGAAGCCAGAAGACAATAGAACAATAATTTCAAGAGCCAGAGAAAATCACTTTCCAACCTAGAATTCTGTACCCAGCTAAACCATCAGTAAAGTTCACACTCGAATAAATACATCAAAATATTATATCCATGTGCCTTCTCTCAGGAAGCTCCTGGAGGTTGTGTAAAGAACTACACCAAAAAAGATCACAGTAATCCAGGAAGCAGGGATCCCCAGAATAATGGTTAAGGGAGAACCTGACACTACAACTTTGCAACAGGCATAGAGAACAACCAGTCCAGGTTGGAGCAAGTCCCAGCAGACACTGGAAACCTACTAGACCTACCCAGATTCTCAAACAGATAACATAAGCACACAGAGAAAAGACTTCCTCCAACTGACTTTAAAATACAGTGTGTTGACTCTACGTTCTAAAAATAAAAAGAACACAGACATTTTAAGGAGCAATTCAGTATCAATTGTTCGTAGTGTATTATTATTTGAAAGCTATTGTATTAGACTGCTTAGGCTGCCATAACAGACTACCACAGACTGGGTTAAAATGATAGGAATTTTTTTCTCATAGTTCTGGAGGCTGGAAGTCCAAGATCAAGGTGCTGGTAGAGTTAGTTTCTCTGGAAGCCTCTCTCCTTGGCTTGCAGATGGCTGCCTTTTCATCGTGTTCTCACCTGGCCTTGCATCTGTGCATGTCCACTCCTGGAGTCTCTCTCTTTTCTCCTAAGATCACCAGTCTTATTAAGGAAGGGCCACACGATGACCTTATTTAACCTTAATTACTTCCTTAAAGGCCCTGTCTCCAAATGCTGTCACACTGAAGGTTAGGGTTTTGGCATATGGATTTGGGGTGGGGTGGGGAAGACACAATTAAATTCATAACACTATTATAAGTATACTGTATAAAACAGCAAATAGATAAATATGCCAATGTAATTAAGATTCAAGATTTTAGTATAAGAGAAATATAAAATCAAAGTAATTGAATAAAATTCTGTAGTATTAAATTAAAATTGGAAATACCAATTTGGACTCATGATTTCTTTTTCTAAAAATGTTTTCTTATCTGTCCACTGAAAAGGTCTAGAAACAATGACAAATCAGTAGCAATGAACATACTTAGTGCTCAGATTGTGGCCTCTGTACACTATATTCCACTGAAAGAAACCAGAGTTATAGGAGAAATGTCTGATTCCATGTCTGGAGGAGGAAATTTACAAGATGAGCCCACGACTTCTTATTGTGTTAGAAAGCAGGGTAGTGATTCCAGGCTAGTGGGGTCATGTCAAAGGGACACAGGAGGCAGCTGGAAGGGCTTTCCCTAACCAAATCTAGAGCAATGAGAATACTGAATATATAATATCTGCAATATATTAAATCACATCCAATAGATACAATCTATGAGTTCATAATCATACACAGGAAAAAACTCACTTGTGTCTTTGAGAGTTTATTAGGGCATCAACTCATTACTCTGAGAGCAGACAATGAGAAAGAAATGGGCATTTATACCACCTTTCTTGTATGAACTGTATTTTAGGATAACAAAAACAATTAAAGAGGAGCAGTTCTTTATAGAAAGACCTCATGGAAAAGGAATTATGGCTGTTTTAAAGTTGCTATTTTATCACATCTAATAGAAGAACCTAGGCAATGATCATCAGTTGGCAAAAAGATGATGGAGATTATAAGGAGGGATCAGGCTGGCCACCTGAGCTCACCAGGAAACCTTAGCACCACTGAAGGTGGGCACCCTAGCACTGCGCGCTTCATGAATGACACATCAAGACAGTGTTCCTGATGTTCCTGGTGAGTTTTTAAAAACATAGGCCTTGAAGCCCCACTCTCAGGTATTTGGATTCAATTGGCCTGGCATGGGGTCTGAATCCTGGTGAACAGGAGCTCTGCAGGTGACTCCAACATATAGCCAGGATTGAGACCATCTCAACAGAAAATATGCAGCACAACCTATGAAGTCTTTATGCTTAATAAATGGAATTGAATCAAACCAAACCTCTACAGCAGTGGCTCTCAGATGTTAGTATGCATCAGAATTCCTGGAGGGCTTGTTAAAACAGATTGCTGGGCCCCACCCCTGAGGTTTCTGATGCAGCTGATCTTCACTGGGGCTGCAGGTGCTGCTGGTCCTGGACCACATGCTGAGAAGGGCTGCTCAGAGAGGAATGGTTTTCGATGTAAGTGCCCCTTGGAATCCCCTGGGGCACTTTACAAGACTGATGTTTGGGCCTCATCTGGGGTTTTGATTTAATTGGCCTGGAGTGTGGCCTAGGCACTGGGATTTTAAGAAGCTCTCCAAGTGATTCTGATGTGCATCCTGGGCTGAGACTCACTGCTCTGAATCCAACTACCAGTGCACAAGGCATAGGAAGAAGAAAGAAACAAGCTAGATGAGAGCTGAAGGAAGCAATCAGCCACATGTAGAGCACAAGATACTTTTCAAGCTGACCGACTTGGGTTCTCCAGTGAATCAAGGCTTTTGAGAAAAATACTTAAGGGATTGTTACAGAATAAGAGACTTAAAAGACAAGGAAAGTCAATGCTTGGGCTTCATTTGGCTCCTAATTCAAACAACCACTAACAAAAGACATATGGGAATGCTCATAACATTCAAATTTATAGTAGTTATCAGGTGATATTGAGAAATTATAAATTTTACTAGGTTTGATATTAGCATGGTGGTTACGCTTCTTACATGTACCTAAAAGTTAGAGATACATATTGAAGCATTTACAGATGAAACAATATGATGTCTGGGAAGCTCTTTAAAATATTCCATCAAAAATCTAAGTTTGCTGGGTTTGTTATAATATTCTCTCTACTTTTATGTACATTTAAAATTTTTCACAATAAAAAGTTAAAACAAAAATAAAATAACAATGAAACTACTGAATAGACAGAAAGCTTTAGTAGAGATGCTTCATGATGATACACTTGAATACATTGAGAGGTTTATAAAACAGGACAAGAATGCAAAGAAAACTACATAAATGAAATGACAAAGTAATTATTAACTTCAGGGACAGCAAAGTATTTTACAGGAAATGAAAGGTAATCATAGTATACTACATGGCTTAGTAGCACAGAACATTTAGCTAGTCATAATGATATTAATATCAAATACTGATCTAATGAAAACTATAAGGAAACCAAATTGGACCAAGTCAAGAGTGGAAAATCCTCATGTATTGGGTGGGGATTGGGAGCAACAAACATCATCTTCCAGTCTGAGCAGTCAATTAATAATGGCCATATTGAAAAATCAATAATTAGCTAAGTGAGCATGGTAATTAGCTATATAGAGTTAAGTACCAAAGGAATTGTAAAATAAAGTAGAACCTGATGATAATGTAAGAGTCAGTCATGTAAAATGGGAAGGTCACATTATTGAGAGGTTAGTGAAAAATCCCGTGTGATCCTGTGTGTCAGCTAGCTGGGAATTTGGAGGTCTGAAAGCCAATGATTAGCCATGTTATAGCCAAAGCCACATGATTATAGGGCCTACCTGTTGGAGTTTTGCCTCAGTTTCTCACCAGAGGAGGAAAATGGGGCAGTGGAAAGGGCTGTTGTACTTGTACTCTTGGACAAACTTATGCTCTGTTCAAGTATTCTTCTTATACTTGCACTCATCCTTATGCATACATAATTTTGATAAAGAAAAATTAAATTAAAAAATCCCCAAAAAGACTCCTTGGCGGATGGATGGATTAGTGATGAGAGGATAGAGACAGAAAAATTGAGTAAGAAACCACTGTGGTCATCCAGACGAGAGGGTGAAGGCCCACACAGAAGGGGAGATTGAGAGACTGGATTTCTACACTGCAGTAGACTTCCAGGACACACAGTGTTGATGGCAGTCCCACCTGTCCTACTCTCAAACTCTTATTTTCTCAACAATGCTGGAAAGGTGTGGTGCATACGCACACACATACATGCAGTCTAGTCAGCCTTCTGGCATACTTGCATACTTGCTTCATTGGAAGTCAATCTTGAAGCCACCTTCCTGGAGGGTATTAAAATCAAGTCTGGATGACGTGCAGACACAGGTGCTATAAAGGGGTCTCCTGTATTTGCTGTAGATCCTGTGTTTCTCTATAATACCATGTGGAATTCCTGAGTATTTGGAGGCGCTAGATGGCTGGCTGACTTTTCAGTTTTCCATCCATCATCTGCATGTTCGGCACCAGTCTTGAGTACCGTTGGCAGTGATTTTCCAAGGCCAGGGCTTCTTTGTTGCCATGGCAAGAATGCATGCAGGCTGTCCCTGGGCAGGCCCGGCATGGAGCAGAGGCTGGGCTGTGCTTCGGAGACCTGTCAGGGTAATTCCCGTGGTGGAAATGGCCTAAGCTATGGGAGCAGTGTGAATTTGCTGCCATAGGATTGATTGCTGGTGAGGTTTCAGTTTGAATATACATGTTTTGTGAGGAAAACTCCCACTCAGGATTCTCTGAGCATGTTAATGAGACTGGTTTTCTAGTCAGTTTCCAACTGACCTTTGGAAGAAGTCCTATCCAGGGATCAAACCCAGCCTGCCTTCAAATGGAGACCGCTGACCAGGGAGCTTCTCCTTGTGGCAGCCACGCCTAATGGCCTCAGGGATTTGTAAGTGCAGGCCTTTCCTAACCAGGTCCCGGGTGAACAGCATTGCCTCGGGTATCCACACCACAAACACCACACCCACCGTCTGGCTTCTCAGTTGTGTTTTTACCTTTATTTCCCATCACCTCCCATGCCTGTATGCATTCAGCTCTCAGAGGCTCAGGCCCCGCATGACAGCCAGAGTTTCCCCCTCCTATGCAGGTAGGATATTGAAGTCATCTGCCGAATAGAAAAAGTCAGGTCAGCACATGTTTAAGGAAGGCCTCCTACACACAGGCTCTTCTCCAAGCTCTGGAAATATAGCGAGCCCCTGGAAATGGCAAGGTCCCTGCCCCAAGCAGCTCATTTGATAGTTGGGGACAGAAACCAGTAAGCAAATGATTTATGAGGCGGTGACAAGGGCTATGAAGAAAAAGCAGGCTATGGGGATAGACAGGACTTGTGATTTTAGCTGTCTCCAAGGTGATTTTTGAGCTGAGATATAGATGAAATGAGGAAGATTTACTGTAGCCGTACTGGACAGAATACTCCAGTGGAGAGTGTGGCATGTGCAAATGTCCTGAGACTGGGACAATGATATGTCTGAGGAACAGAAAGCAGGCCCTAGGACTGGAAGAGTTCTGTGAGACGAGATGGGGAGGTGGGCAGAGAGGGCTGGGAGGGCCTGTCCAAGCTCGCGTAGACCATGAGAGGAAGCATTTTTGGGTAGAGAACAGGTTGCAGGGCAAAAGTGGAAGCAGGGAGGCTGGTGAGAATGTGATCACATTTGCAAAGTTGAAAAGAAAAGCTGGAAAGAATATTGGATAGATTACATCTATTTTGATATAGATATATTTTGAAGGTGGAGGTGACAGGATTAGCTGTTGAGTTGAATGTGGAATAAGAAAACGTGGCTACAAGATTGACTCTAGAATCTTTGCCTTCAGTTACTAGTTGAATGTTGACATCATTTATTAAATTGGGGAAAGCAGAGAGGCCAGGTGCTGGAGGCAGGGGGATTGAGGTGTTTGTTAGAAATCCAAATAAAGAGGTCAAGTCTGCAGGTGGATTAGTGAGGCCGGTGTTAAAGAGTGGGAATCTGAGCAGATAAATAGGCTGTGGAGCCAGAAGTTACCCAAGTCTTTGCGATATTACAGGCTGTAAGATTGAATGCAAACACTGTAGAGAGAGAGAGAAGAAAACAGGTCTGAGGTTTGAGCCCTGGGTACTGAGGTTTGAGCCCTGGGCACTCTCAGCTCAAGGTCTGGGTGGTGAAGAGGAGCCAAGAGAGACTCAGAAGGAGCCTGGGTGGGAGGAGGCTATTCTGAGACTGATTCATGTGGGCTGAAAGGGAACTGATATAATCCAAGATAAATGCCACAGCACGGCACAAGTCTGGAATAAGATGCTAAGGAAGGCAAAAGATCAGAAGGAGCTCATAAATGAAAAAACAACTGTTAAAAATATTTTTTGAAGGATTTTGTAAGTTTTGTTGACAGAGTCCAACTGTTGATGGCATATGGTGTAATGTTAAAAGGTGACAGAGAGAAAGTACAATGTCTCACTTTCTGTTTTACTGCCATGATTTTTCTAAAAAAACTAAACCTACAAAATGGAAAGGGTGGATGCAACATGGTTAGGAGGCAGGAGACCCAGCCTAAGGGAGAAGGCAAAAGAAAGCATTAGCAGGGCTGAGCACAGGGCAGATCGTGGCCCAGCATATAAACATCAAAAGGATCATGAAGCCCATTGCTAACCTATGATAAAGCTTGGAGTGATGGAGAGTCCAGAAAATGTCAAGAGGATTCATATTGCACAAATCTTTAAGAAGGTAAAATATATTTTAGAAATTAGAGATCCGAGAGTTGGGTGGTTTCTAGTGAAATTAAATAAATGGCTGTGATAACGTAGTAGGAACCGACAGGAGTTTCTTGAGGTTAAGGGGTGCCAGATTCAGCTTGTTTCTTTTTCTGAATGACCAGTCTGTGACCACTGACATGTGTGGAGCTCAGACTTCTGGTCAAGGTATTAAACCAAATAGAGCTGAATACTTATCATTGCCTGTTGCTCCAAGCAACTGGCTGGTCATTGGTGTTATTTGCTATAACAAGAAAGACTGACAGAACCAGGTTGTGGCTGGGGGAGAAACTGAGATGTCTGTTAGACGTTTTAGTGGACATGTCAGCTTACTACCTTGACTAGAAGTCTGAGCTCATTTATCCATGATAGATGCAATGAAGCAATTAAGAAAAAAGCCCAGTTTCAATGTAAGAAAGAGAAATAACTAGAAGCAATCAACAAAGAAGGAATGCAAAGCCATGACAGAGAGCCAGCGTTGAAGCTGCAGAGCCCTCAGGGGCTGGATCCACTCCTTATGGCAGGGATTTTGTTCTGTGTAAAGATGGACATCGAGGGCTCCATGTGAAAGCTTGGGTGGAGAAGGACTGTGTAGGCCAGGGCTGGGGCACAGGAAGGAGCTTGCCCCTGCAGACTGTGGCAGGGGGAGTTTCCCATGTAAAACTGAAACCCCAGCCTCTGTCACAAAAAGATGTGGGGCTCCAAGTCACACTGCCTATGCCATAGTGTCAAAATAAACAAACAAAAAATGATAATTATTGTAGAATTTGGCCTCATGGCACTTGTCCAATTTGAAATAAGAATATATGGAGACAGAACTCCAAGCAAAAGGGATTTATTTGGGAATGAACAAAGAAATAGGATTGAGATCTCAGACATATGCATAGACTGGGATGGTCTCTGGCATGTCTGGAGAACAAAGGAAAATTAAGGTTTTACTGGGGAGAGAAGAGGTGATGCAAGTTGTTTTGAAAGTTCATTGTCAAGTATCAGTAGCTGCTAGGTGGGACTCAGCATCTTGGAGTTACGGTTAGGCCTTTGTATTTTTGGACTGACCTTGTGAGAGTTGCAAAACAGGCCAGCGTGCCTCTAGAAGTGGCTAGCTGTTCTTGTGCTGCTAGCTTTTCTTGTGTGACTCATGTAGTAAGCTGTGGTTTGGAAACAATTTTTGAGGTGGATCCTATCATCAGATAAATTATGAGTGAGAGTCCTCCCTTCATGGCCTTCCCTGGCTCTATTTTGCTATGGTTTGAAAGAGTGACTCCACTTTGATTCTGACAACTTTCACACATTTTAGGGCTCTGGCAGATGCAATGTTAAGTCCCCTACAAGGACATACCCACAGCTCACGGCACATCCTGGATTGTTACAGAAGGTAAGTCTTGTTGAAGATGAGCTCACAGACAAAATCTCAGAGTAAATGGGGAAACCTAACACTATGAAAGAGAATCAGCAGATGGAAGAAATGGGAATATTTACTCCTGTGGAACTAGCAGCCATAGAGTAAGTGTATTTAAATGATAAATGAGACAAAAAAAAAAAAAAAAGGAGAGAATCTACAGGTACTAGAGAAAGCCACTATGCAAAAGGACCAAATAATTCAAGAAACTAAATAGTCATTGAAATTAAAGGAAAACAATGTCTTTAATAGATAAATAATACAATAGTCCAAATACAACTGACAACTGAAGATAAAATTAGTGAATAGGAAGAAAGAGTTAATCTATCAAAATTCTTTATGGAACAAATAAGAGAAAGATAATTTGAGAGGTGCAGAGGCTAAAATCAGAATCTCAAATACATATCTAATAGAAATTCTTGAAGCAATAATTAGTGAGATTGAGAATGTGACAGTATTTGAAGAAGTTAGACACAAGTCTTGATATTAAAGGAGTACATCAAATATTAAATAGAAAAATTAAAAATAAACTTATCTAGAAGCATCATCATGCAACTTTAGAACATAAAATAAAAAGTCAAAATTTTTAAAGCTATGATAAAAGAAAGACATTAAACACAATGGAAAAGTTTCAGAGTGGCACCTACTCTATCAGACACAAAAGTCTCCAGAAGACAACAGAATAAAATGTTTAAGACGCAAAGGGAAATAATTGTTAACAATAATGCTATATCCAAGTAAACTGTCATCTAGGGAAAGATTTCCATACATACAAAGACTGATAATTTGCCACACATAGATCTTTTCTGAAAGAAGTATTTAAGGATGTGCTTCAGCAAGAAGATCATTGAATGTGGAAAGAAGTATGAGAATGCAAGGAGCAGTATTCAGTGATCAAAGAAGTATGTATGTAAATCCAAATAAGATTGATGGGAAATAATGATTTTTTTTCATGGCTTTAAGTACAACACATAAATACTAAACAAGACTAATTGGGGAATGAAAGGGGGTACATTTAAAAGATAGTGAAAGCATACTGATTCCGTTTTCAGGAGAGAGAAAGCAAATTAGAATTACTGTAGCATTTGTAAGAAAAATATAAATTAGGCATGTATGTTAAAATTTTAAGTTAAAATTAATGATGGAAAAATTTGTCAGTAAAGGTATTTGTGCTTTAAACCAGGATACAACTAAAAGAAAGCTGATATAGCAATAAGCAATATTTATAACAGAAAAAATAAAATGCAAGCTTAGAAACACTATTATGGTGCAATATATAAAGAGGTACAATGATAAAAGGACCAATCCTCCAAGGAGCCAAAACAATCATGAACTTTACATAACTAATGAAATATATAACTATATAAGGTCCTACTTTACAGACGTGCAAGGAAAAATATCAAATATTGATTAAAAATATAAGATGCAACACATATTTTTGAGTAAATAATAGTTATTGATAATTTGTATCAGGCACTGTGGTCACAGCCCCGTTTTACATATGAGAAAATAGAGCCTTGAAAATGTCAAATAGTGTGCCGAGTCATATGGCTAGTTGGGCCTGCAGTGAGACTTGAAGCCATGGAGTATAATTCCGAGGTCATGCTTTTAACCGCTACACAGTGCCTCCTTGAATGTTAACACTGGGGCCAGAAGACATGCTAAGTTGTATTCCTCTATTGTGTTTGGGAAGGCAGGGATATTAATTGTTTAACAAATATTTCTTGAGGGTTTTCTTTATGCCAAATGATGTGCTAGGCACTGGGGATTCAGCATTGGAGGAAACAACAAAACAGAATACCTGCTCCATGGTGCTGAGATTCTAGCATGTGTGTAGGAGAGGGAGAGGAACAACAGTAAATATGAAGAAACATAACATGCCAAGTGATGTTCACTGCAATAAAGAAGCAAGCACAGTAAGGGTCAAGAAGTAGCAGAGAGTGGGGTGGGATTTTATAGAGGGGTCTCTCTATGTTCAGAGATGAGAGGCAAGAAGGGAGTGAATCATGGGAATGTACATTTCCAGGCAGAGTGAGAAGCCCTTGTCAAGCCCCAACAGGGAGCTGGCTGGCTGTGCCAAGGACAGTAAGGAGGCAGATGTGGCTGAATTTCCAGAAGCCAGAGCAGATATGCAAGAAGGGGTCAAGAGGTAGCAGTGTAATACATTTTTGAATTATCTGTATAAACAATGGACAGGGTTTGATGGGGTGATGTTTGTCCCACTGAAATGGAACGTCCCAGCATTTCAGTGACAGAATGTGGGAGCTCCTGGGCATCTGCTATTGCCTAAATGAAAGCACTGGCTCCACCTCACTCAATGTCTGCTGTAGGCTCCATGGCAACTGGAAGGAAGCCTGCAGAGGCCACTGATGGTAACTGCCTGCCCGTAAGTCTTGAGGACTGTCTTAGTCCATTCAAACTGCTACAATAACAACACCACAGACTGCATGATTTATAAACAACACACATTTATTGCTCACAGTTCCAGAGGCTGGGAACTCCAAGATCAAGGCACTAGCAGATTCCGTGTCTGTTGAGGGCTGACTTCCCAGTTCATAGATGGTGCCTTCTCGCTGTGTCCTCACATGGCAGAAAGAACGAGGGGTCTCTCGGGGATTTCTTTTGTAAGGGAACAAATCTCATTCACAAGGGCCCCACATTCATGACTTAATCCCTACAAAAGCCCCACCTCTAAATAGCCTCATATGGGGATTAGCACTTCAACATATGAAGTTGAGGGTGACATAAACTCTCAGTCTATAGCAAGGTCCAATCCTCCAGTGCACCCTTTTCCTCCCACACAAGAAAGGACAAATGCAGAGACAAGCTGCAGGTGAAGACACTCAGACACAAGGGGTCTCCTGCAACTTATTCTCCTTCCAGAGAAAGAGGTACCCTCAGGAGCCCATGAGATGGCAGGGGCCCCTGGTGGATATCTGTTAGGTTGTGGTCAGGATTCTCACCACAGAGGACCTGTGGCTGTCTATCAGAGGAGATGCTGCAGTGTGGATGTGCTGAGGGTCGGCAAACAAATCAGAGGATCAGGTCCCTGGAGGACCTGGAAGATACTGGGGATCCCCCAACACCGTGTGCTTGGCAAGATATTAGGATGCATTTAGTGAAGAAGGTGAGGCTGACAGGTGGTCCCCTTTTCAGCAGAGCCCTCTGTGGGCCTCACACAGGCCTCGTAGCTTAGTTGTCAAGGGCAGATCCAAACACATTCCCAACTAGACACCATTCTAAATGGGATGGCACTCTTTTTTTTTTTTTTTGAGACAGAGTCTTGCTCTGTCACCCAGGCTGGAGTGCAGTGGTGCGATCTCCGCTCACTGCAAGCTCCGCCTCCCAGGTTCATGCCATTCCCTGCCTCAGCCTCCCGAGTAGCTGGGACTATAGGCACCAGCCACCAGGCCTGGCTAATTTTTTGTATTTTTAGTAATGATGGGGTTTCACCATGTTAGCCAGGATGGTCTCGATCTCCTGACCTCGTGATCTGCCTGCCTAGGCCTCCCAAAGTGCTGGGATGGCATTCTTAATGGATACGCCCCACATTGTGGGCTGTGGTTTTAGATCTTCTTCTTGTCTTTTCCTTATTGGTCTTGACAGATTCTGATGTGATTACGGTCTTTGAAGGGAGGAGGCTTGGTTTGGGAGTGTGGATGTAGGGATGGATGTGTGTTTGGCCACTGGAGACACAGAAAGACAGAGGTAACAACTCTGATGTGGATCCTGTGTGGGAGAGGGCCCTAGAAGTCCCCTAGAAGGGCACAGAGGGGCTGGCGCCAGCTCTCAATTCACTGTCGCAGGGCCACGCAGCCCCCCAGCACCCTCCACACCCCACAGATGGAGGAGGCTATGCGGGTGCCTGGTACCTCCCTCTTCTGACACAAGCACCTGAAGAAGAAAGGGCTAGGCTTGGAAAGGAGGTGAGAGGGATGGTGAATAGTCCTCAAGACTGGGCCTTTGGGATCAGCCACCCAAAAACCATTTGAGACAGATGGAATCTGCCATGTTTCTAGGGCTTCCAGTTTCAACACAGAAAAGGCCCAGGGCGATGCTAAGACTCCATCAGCCTACCCGAGGCTTCCACTACACACTTGACGTCGGCATCCACCAGACCCAGCTGCACCTGAATCACACACACCTTCTCTCTCTCCCAATCTGTCCCTGTGGTGAGCACAAATGAGCCTCCATGGAAGACAGGCGGACCTTGTTCCATTCAGAGATCAGACCTCGGGGCTCCTAAGCAAACCCTATCCACATCTTCTCCACTCCCAGACATTTTCATTTCTGGATATTGTCATTTTCTGATGAATGTCCCAGGAATAGTGGCTGGTGACCCTTCACCTTCTTTTTCTTCTTCACAGACATATGAACAAACTCTTAAGTTTTGGTGAACTTAAGGTAGCATTTCCCAAGGTGAGTTCCCTAGAACACTAGTTCTTTAGGCTTGTTCTTGATGTTGTGCTAACAAAAAGGTTTGTAGTCAAGGTAATTTGGCATAGATTTGGTTGGAAAATGTTGAGCAGGCTCACCTTCTGCCCCTTCCCCTCCTTGTGAGTTTCCAGCACAGCTACCCTTGCCAGAGTAACCACTGCTAACTGCCTTCCCGTGAGCAGGTTTCTTACAGCAGGATGTTTCAGGGCCTTTAACAGGCACTGTAAGTCTGCAAGAGGGAGATCATAACTGGTATCCTCAAGCTCATTATGCCACAGACCCTTATTTTCCTCCAGGGCTCTCTGTGGGATATGCTGCACTAGGGGTGGCTCTGCCTGTGAACAGCTTCTGTTGGGCCCCTTTCACACACTGTTGGCCAATGGGGGCTTGCTGAAAACACATCCTCCGCCCACCACCCTATTAGGAAATATCTCATTTAAGTGTCTCAGTGTCTGGAACTGGGCCATTAGATGTCCATTTCTCTGTGTAAGCCTTTTCTTATTGCAAAATGCAAAATCCCCTGGGAGTAACACATGCAATAATGACTAATCATTCACAGTTTTGTGCTGAGTAAAGAACACGGCTGTTACTGACAGATGGACTTGGGTCAGAATCCCGATTTCACCCTTCCTTTGCTGTATTACCTTGCTTGACAGGAGGGCTGCTGGTCACATACAGTGAGATACATTTGCCCCTACCTCCCAGAGTTCTTGTGAGAATTAAAATGATGAACAAACGAATGCAAAGACAGAGCCAGCAGGGGAGTGTCTCCCAAAGGGGTGCTTTGCTAAGGATTTTAGAGAACCTGGTGTGCTGCCTTGATGCTGGTGCCCAGGGGCTCGCTGCCCACTGCAGTGGTGTGGTTCCTGTACCGGATCTGCCCTGATGGTAGAACCTGGCCCTGCCATCCTCAGTGGATGTCTGTTGCAGATGCCACAGACCCAGAAGCATGCCTGGATGATACGGTGGGCTGGTGTGTGACAAAAAGCATTTGCTAGGCACAATTAAGCCGGCTGAAAACTGCAGAAGGGGCAACTAACCTAATTAACAAAGCAGCATTAGTCTGAGGGCTTTACAGAAATTAATTGTTGTTATACAAATGCTGAGCTAATTGAGAATAGGTCTGATTAATTTATCAGAGCAGGTCCTCGTGGATCCGCCTTAGAAACACTATCTTGCAGGCGGCTCCAGCCACAGGGATCTTTACATCACCAGCACTGGTCTCCCCTTCCATAGCTTAACATAGTAGCTGCCTTTCCGGGCTTGCTTTATTTCCACCTTGCCTGTTAGTCTGATGCAGGACTCTTGGGCTCTTGGCTGTGATGGGAAGAAGGTTCTGGAAGCAGCACTGCAACTCTGAGCTGGCTAGATCTCAGAGTCAAAACCAGACGACACTGCCGGTGTCTTTTTCACTTCGCTGCAGTGGTCTTAGATTTAAAAGCCACACACATCAGAACTAGTTTCTGATGGAATCAACTCATTGAGTTGGAAAAATTATAATTTAACATTACATGGAATTTAAAGTCTCTATTACACATAGCGGATGCACAATCAAACACGGTTCATTCTTGCCTCCCCCTCTCCCCTGCCAACTCCCCCTCCTAAGTGATGGGGCAGACAGCACAAAGGGTTCTTGAGTTTTGAATGTTGGGAGTGTGTCTGGAAGCCTTGTTTTGTTTGCAGCAGTCGTGGCCGCACCTGCGGGCCCACACCTTGTGGGCAGTTTCTTGGTGCGCGAAAGGCGTAGTGCACCCAGGTGCAGGGCTCTGCCCTGGCGCCCTCCTGTGACAGTGCCGGGAGCGGCGGGGTGCGGGGCACCGCCAGCTGTGGTCTGTCCCGGTGACTGGTTTCTTCTGAGTGTCTCAGTTCTGCAAGCCATCGTAGCAATGGGTCCTGACCGTGTCTCTGAACTGTCTGGCAGGCGGGCAGTGTGTCACCCGCTTCCCTGGTGGTAAGTGCGGCCAGGAGGATGCGGCCTGTGGATCCTCCCCGGACCTGTGAGCAGCAAGCCTGGGACTGAATCTGTCTGCATCGTTAATCACCGATTTGCTATCTCTTCCTCCACAGCATATCACTCCCTTTCCTCTGGAGGAAAAATGCCTCATGATCTAAAGCTGAAGGCATCTTTCATAATGAAGTGCTTCCTGTGCTGATTCATGCGTCCCCTTTGCCCTCGCGAGTCCCCTTTGACATCCTCCACACACAGAGCGCGACAGGAAACGCGTGTCCTCTGGTTAAGCCACGCTGACTTCCCTGAGGGTTTGGTACCACAGTTAGCACTTTTTGGATGAGGAAGATGAGGCTGAGAAGGGCGCCCAAACCGACCTCCCGGCTGCAGGAGTGTGCGGCCTGAAGGGAACCCCGGGGAACTGCGCAGGCTTTGGGAACCACGCAGGCCGGGTGCAGACGCAGCTGCCCTGCCAAGTAGCACGTGCTCCTGGGAGAAAGATTGCCCTGGGGGAGACACTCAGCCCAGCCCTCAGGTGAACGGACCAGGCCACCAGGCCAGTGGGGCTGAGGGCGGGGAGCCCTGAAGAGGAGAAACCCCGGGATCAGATCTGCATTTTGGGACTTCATGGCAGGGAGGGGCACGGGTAAAGACCCACACGGTGAGGTGGCTGCTGAATTATGGTCCTGAAGGTTGACACAGAGAAGCCAGGATGGGAACAGGGGCTGGAACTGACAGACTGGGATTGCGCAAGGAGAGTGAGGATGAGGGTGACGCACTCGAGGGTGTCCTCGGACCCCAGAACATGATATCCAAGCGCGGGGCTTCCACAGACAGCATGAGTGGGTTCTGTGCAGTGAGACTTTCAGGTCGGAGCCTAGGTGTGGGCGCGGAGGGGCAGCAAGGCCCTGGGGACCCGGCCCTCCCTATCCTCACACACCGTGGTCCCCAGAAGCCTTTTGCTTCACGCCAGCTGCCCCAGGGTGCAGGATGGCCCCCGCCTTCCGAGGTCTTAGGTTTAGGAGGACACAGAACGGAAGGAGAAGGAGGGGCTCCTTCTGGGGGGACTCTTCCTTTTATTCTAGAAGCAGCGCCCTCCTCAGGGGCATTGGCGTAAAAATCATTGGCTAGGCTATTTCACGGCCACCTCACTCCGCCAAGCCCTAGGCAAACGGGAATCTTTACCCGGCCATATTGTGATTCCGAAGCAGCTTGGAATTCTGTCATTAAAGAGACACAAGAAGGAATTCTGTATAACTGGCCGTGTCGGCTCCTGGGGAGGCCACGTTGGCTCGGGCTAAGTGTTCAAGATGGTGTGGTGCAGTGAGTCAGGGGCCCTGACCGGGACCACCCGTAAGTTAAGTGGGGCGTGTGGTCTTCAGGGCGCACAGGTGGAGATGCCACTACATGGTCGCATGTGGGTGTCCACAGTGCAAGAGAGGCCCTGGGCCAGAAACCCAGCCCTAGGCTGTGCCTGTCCCCTGGCCATCTCTGGCTCGCCCTCCCTCCTGCCTTTTCTCTGTCCCTGGGGATGGTTTGCAGGCTCAGACCGCATGTCTGGATTGGCAGTCTCATTCTGCAGGCTCTGCAGACCTAGAAGAACAAAATGCTACCAAAGGAAGGATGCAATTTATCCATACAGAGGCTAGTTTGGACATATGGGAGGAAGTCTGTAAGGGTAGTTGCTTGTCTCTTTTGGATTTCAAGGGCGAATGGAGCCCGGATGCTGGCAGCCCCTCCTGCCCAGCGCCTTGGTTCCCGGGGAATTGAGCCTTGGCTGCTGGCTCAGCCTCCTCTGAAACCAGCAGCCCAGGGTTGCCTTAGAAACATGGCCTGGTGTGGCAAAGCCTATCCCGGGGTCTTTCGTGTTTGTGTCCTTTGAAGCCTAATTTAATCGGTTCCAAATTCTAGAACAAGAGTTCTCTCAGGGTAGCTGCAGACGTGCTCCACCCTCATCCTCCCACCCAGGAGAACCAGCGAGCTCTGGAGAGCCGCCTGCAGTTCTCCCTGGAGCCACAAGATGGCGCCAGGCCGACCGTCAAGGCCGTGGAGCCGGGGAAGAGGGGAAACGCGGGATTCTGGAGTCCCCAGCCCCTGGCCGAATCGGCTTCTGGTGCGGCCGCGTTTGGGGCCGCGGCTCCACCCCCTCTGGCTGGCCAGTAGCCTTCATCATGGGGGACGTGAGCAGACCGAGTGAGAGCTGCCATTTTTCTGGGTGTGGGCGGACAGTTGTGCAGGCCCATGTTATAGACAGAGAGACTGAGGGCGAGAGGCGCCGCCCGCCCGGGGAGCCGACTGCGAAGTGCAGAGCCGTGGTCCCCCGAGGTGTCCGCGCGGCCGCCTCCGGGCGGGGGTCCCCGGGCGCCTTCAGGCCGGGTCTGCTGCGATGCGGCGCCATCCGCGTCCGGCTCCTGGGGCCTGCAGACCTTCCGGGCCACTCCTGGAACCGCGCCGAGACCCAGGCCAGGGTGCTGAGAGCCGCATGTCGCGGCCACCAGGGGTGTTCCTGAGGACTCCACCGGGCTCAGACGAGGCGTCAGGCGGGGACGGTGCGGATGAGCGCCTGTTGAGGCCGGGGCTGGCCAGGCAGGGACAGGGAGCACAGGGAGGACACACAAAGCCGACAGCGTCAGGACGGATCTGGGGAGCAACGTTGCTGTCGCCGTGTGGACAGGACACCGACATTAGCGTGGCATTGCTGGGATGCGGTGTCTCCTGGTGAAGGGAGGAGAGTCCGCGGTGGACAGAGCACCCAGCCCAGGAGAGCCTTGGACACCGCTGGGAGGCTCAGCCTGAGGGTAGCGTGGAGTGGCCAGAGGGTTTCCGCCGGGAGCAGGGGATACCTGGGCTTCTATTTCAATACTGTGCTAACCTGAAGCCCTGAATCCTCCCGGGCCGTCCCTGGAAACCCCGGTCCATGCCCACACCTCCCTTTCTGACTCCTCATTTGTCTGTGCCAGGCACGCAGGACCCTAGTCACAGTTGTATTTGTCCCTGCACTTTCTCTGCAGAAATAAGGTAGGCTCCTGGAAGTAGGGAGTCAAATGTGTCCTGTGCCTCTCTTAGGCTTCTGGGAACCCAGGCTTCCACATACAGTAGGCCTTTAGTTGTTGACCGAAACAGATGCTAGATGCTGTTTGAATCTGCCATGATGGCGCACAGTTTTCCAAAACTCGTCCCTTAGGGCTGCAAAGCCCTGAAATGCAGCAGAGGAGAATCAGAGAGCTTAACTGGCGCAGCTCCCATCTTGAGCACTGCCTTTGTAATTAAATGTCAATTATGATTCATTCAGAGGAAAATCAATTGTGCTACTTTCATAAACTTTTATTTGGTTATTGAAAGGCAAGATTTCTCTAATCAGTTTTTCATTAAGTCAGAGCTTGATTTGCAACTGGAAGCTTCCAAAGCCCTCCCGTCCCACTGCTGTCCCTCTTTGGCCTGAAGAATGTGACCGTTTGGGGTGTGACCCTAGGTTCATATTGCATCCGTGGGTTCCCACACAACCCTGTAGAGCATCCAGACCCACTGCTGCCTCTTTCAGAGCCAGTGTAGACAAGGTCATCTTCAGAGCACTGAGCCTCAGTTTCCTCATCTGCTAAATGAAGGAAGTCTTTAAATGAGGTAGTGGATATGAAGATAAAAATGCCTGGCTCTGGGCCTCACAAATAGATGCTCAACAGATACTAGTTCCTTAGTAGATTTTAGTTTCCTTCCTGCATCCTTGATTTCTGCCTGGACTCTTCTACTTTAAGTGGGGCATTGTGCAGTTTATGGCCAAGAGCCCAGAATGTAGAACTTAGCACCTAGAACTTTGGTGCAGCAAGGCTGGGAGTCACACACCACCTCCCCAGCCCCAGCTTGTCCCCCACAGAGCAGGCCTGCATCTCTCCACCGACCTCGGAGCATTTCCTGGAATCTGCTCCCCAGCTTATTGTGATTTCTAAACATTTACTTTAATGCTTGGATTAATTTTTCTGGTATGTGTGTGTGCACAGGCCTGCAAGTATGTATGTGTACATGCAGGCATGTCTACTGCATGTTGATGCCCTGCCTCTGGAAAAAGTCTGGGGCACACACCATTGCACGTCAGGTAGGGGAGAATTGCCTGAAGGAGAGACGACCATTGCACCAGTGCAGGAGGACTTGGTGGCAGCCCTATTCCCTCTACTTGCTCCTGCTACGTATGAGTTCCCAGTACGTTTTAGCCAGCAGCCTGCTTTGCCGCCATCACTTGCTCCCTGTAGCCTGGGAAATGTTTGTGGCTAATTTTCAGCTGACCGGCAGACTCTGAAGAGGGTGGCCATGCTACTCAGTAGGAATACAGTCTCAAAAAGAGGGGGAGCAGGGCTGCCAGAGTGGGGTGAGGTCTTGCCAGACAAAGGAAAGAAAAGTGCACAGGAAGGAATCTGTGCAGCAGCTTTTCTTCAGGTAAGCCAGACTAATCCCTGAGATCTCAGGCTGAGGGACCAGCACTTTAGAAAACAAACTTGCAAGAGCTTAGTGATGGTTAATGTTGGCTTGTCCCACATTAGCTTGCTGAAGATGGGCATGTATATACCTCCTCTCATTGCCCACCCAGGACACCCCCAGACCTGGTCTCCCAGATTGCCTCTCTCCACCCCTCCAGTTTATAGTCTCCACCACCTCCTACTTGTGCCTGTTCCATTCTTGCAAGAGAAGTTTCTCAAAAGCCAGCTCTATAGCTACTCACTATTCATCACCAAATGTACTTCCCAAGAATAATAACTACACTTGTTGAGTGTGTTAGGCCATCCTTGCATTGCTATAAAGAAATACCTGGCTGGGTAAATTACAAAGAAAAGAGGTTTAATTGGCTCATGGATCTGCAGATGCAAGAAGCGTGGTACTGGCATCTGCTTCTGGTGAGGGCCTCAGTAAGCTTACAATCATGGTGGAGGGTGAAGGGGAAGCAGGTGTCTCACGTGGGAGAGTGGAAACAGGACAAAGAGATGGAGAGATGCCACACACTTTTAAAGAACCAGATCTCAGGAGAACTCACTTGCTATTGTGAGGACAGCACCACGCCATTCATGAGGGATCTCTCCTTGTGACCCAAACACCTCCCCCTAGGGCCCATCTCCAACACTGAGGATTCCATTTCAACATGAGATTTAGAGGGGACACACATCTAAACCATATCACTGAGACTCTACATTTTTATGTACCCAAGAATTCTCTCTGGTTACAGAGCCACACGGCATGTGATGGAAAGGACATAGGCTCTGACATCATAGACGTGCAGGTACCATCCCATCTGTCATTGCCAGCGGGAGAGATCTTGAACAAAATGCACAACTTCCTCATTGCTTATTTTCTTCTTCTCCAAGCCAAGGATTTAGATCAAGGTGAATAACCATAGGCACCAAGCTCCCCTCCTACATCCAATCACTGGAAATTATAAAATGTATTTTGCAAAGAGACTAACTACATGACATTGATGGGAAACCAAAGGATGTCATCAGTGATACAGATGTTTTGATGAATGCCTATGGGAGAGAAGATAGTTAGAGCCAGATTACGGAAGAAAACTATGCATAAGAAGGCCCTAGTGTATACTTCTGAGATCTGGAGCAAATGTGGAGAATGTCTAGGAGCCCTTTAGCTAGGAATTCAAACAACAGATACAAGAAAGAGGAGAGAGCCTGGGAGTGCCATTGTGGTGAGCAGGCGAGGAAAGTGTGAAAGAAGCACTTAGGGGGATGGGGAATAATCTCTTTTCCCAGCAATTCTTGCCAAGTGGTGACAAGTCAGTCATTTGGCCCCCAGCAGGCCCGTGAGTGTGGGGGCTCTATCTTAAGAGGCAGGAGCTTTCCTGGAAGGCTGGGGACACTGGCACATCCTACTTGGAAGCATACCCCATTGCTGCCTTCATCCTCACCCTTCAACACCCTCCATGATACTCTCCAAAGACAAGAGGGGAAAACTTACTAGACCACAAACAAATAAGACCTCAAGAGAAGTATGATTAATAACACTGGAGAGATCAGAGAAAATACTGCTTCCATGAAACAAGAACAGATACATATGAAAATAAATGATAAACTGATGGTTTTGGAAGTGAAAATTTAATAGATAGGATGAACAGTTGAATGGACACAGCCGAAGAGCATTGGAATGACCTGGAGACTCGGCATAAGAAGTTTTGGAGACCAAAGCACAAAAGGACAGAAGGATGAAATATAATTTAAAAAAATTTAAGAGCTAAGGAGGATGGATATAAATTTTCCAGTTGTAAAACATGGCTCAAAAAAAGAGCAAATGTTTTGTGACCTGTGCTCTGAGTGTGAAAGGGTGTGTAAAAAAGGTAAGCAGGAAGAAAAAACCCCACACTTGGAGACATCAGTGCGGAAATTCAAGCATGAAAAGAAAACCTTTAAAAAACATGAGAAAACTTAATCTCTAAAGGAATAAGAAATGAATTGAGGTATCCAACTTGTCCTTGGCAGTACTGGATTCAAGAAGATGTTGGAACAGTATCTCTAGAGTTTGAGCTGAGGACACTTATAACACTATCCTTGGCCAAACTCTCATTCAGCTGGAAGGACAAAACAAAAACAGTTTGACATGCAACTATGCGGAAAGTTTACCAGATTAAATTCTCTAGTAAAATGTGAAATGTATCCTGAGAAGACATGGCAATAAAGAAAGAATGGTAAGCAAAGAAGATATTAGAACTTAGAGTTCAGTATAAAAAATAGTTGATTGCAAAATAACTTCTCATATAGAATGAAAAGGAGTTGATTTTCTCTAGATATTAATAGAACAAAATGTACAGTGTTAAAAATTTGTGTGACTGCTAGAAAATAGAAATTGGGTGAATAAATTCTGAATCCCAAGAAAAGGAAAAATTTGACAAAGAAAATGGGTTTAATGGCTGGGCGCGGTGGCTCATGCCTGTAATCCCAGCAATTTGGGAGGCAGAGGTGGGCAGATTACCTGAGGTCAGGAGTAACCAGGAGTGACTAGACTGGCCAACATGGGGAAACCCCATCTCTACTAAAAATACAAAAATTAGTCAGACGTGGTAGCGAGCACTTGTAATTCCAGCTGCTTGAGAGGCTGAGGCAGGAGAACGGCTTGAACCCTGGAGGCAGAGGTTGCAGTGAGCGGAGATCATGCCACTGCATTCTGCATTCCAGACAGAGCAAGACTCTCAAAAAAAATAAATAAATAAAATGAAAGAAAGAAAGAAAGAGAAAGAAAGAAAAAAAGAAAGAGAGAAAATGGATTAAAGACAGGAATAAGAAATGGAAAAACAAGAAAAACTTGTTAAATAGAAAACATAAAATAAGATGACAAGGGCTGGGCACAGTGGCTCATGCCTGTAATCCCAGCACTTTGGGAGGCTGAGGTGGGTGGATCGCCTGAGGTCAGGAGTTCGAGAGCAGCCTGACTAAAATGGTGAAACCCCATCTCTACTAAAAATACAAAAATTAGCCGGGTGTAGTGGTGGGCGCCTGTAATCCCAGCTACTTGGGAGGCTGAGGCAGGAAAGTTGCTTGAATCTGGGAGGTGGAGTTTGCAGTGAGCAGGGATCGCGCCATTGCATTCCAGCCTGGGCGGCAGAATAAGTGAGACTGTCTCAAAAAAAAAAAAAAAAAAAAAAAAAGACAAGAATAAGCCCAAGCATACAGATGATCATTTTTAATGTGAATAAGGTAACTTCCCTATTAATGGATACATACTATCAGATTGAAGTTTGCAAACAGCATACCTTACACAAAGTAACATGGCAAAAGTTGGAAATAATAAATTAGAAAAACTGTAGCAGAGAAATATTAACAAAAATAAAGGTGACATAACAATATCAGAGGAAAAATAATTCAAATTCCTAAGCGTGAAGATCTCCCTACTCCCTCTGTGCTGGGTGGCAGCCAGGGATAGGACAGGGAGCCAGGTCAGCTGCCATGAGGTGAACAGACAGCAGCTTACAGAAGCCACTGAGACCTAGCCCCATCACCCGCTACCCCAGGGCATCCCAGGTAAAAGGGGTAATTTTACAAGAAGAAATAGGTGTCAGCAATTTATGCATTAAAAGCATAGCCTCGAGGTACATTCAGCAGAATGAGGTAGAAATACAAACTGTAAAGCTGTAATTACAAGGCATGACATTAATATATTTCACTCAGAAATGGACAAAAACATCAAAGACTGTTGAGGATTTAAAATAATACAGTAAGTTTTATCACACTTGTGTTTGTGTATTTGTGTAAACGGGATGTATATACATATATATTTTTTCAATAGATAATATATAGTATATCCTAAACCCACAGGCCAGTCACAAAATCGAACATGTCGTAAGACTGAACACTAAGAAAATCTCAATATTTTCCAAAAATCAAAATCCAATAGGTTATTTTCCTTTACCATAATTCAATAAAATTAAACATTAACTGCAGAAAATGTCTAAAACTATATCTACTCTTGTGTTAAGGAAGACATGAAAATTAAAATTACAAATCAAATTTAGAGTTCATCCCATATCACAATTCCTGGGATGTAACTAAAGAAGAACTTAGAGGAAAAGATGTTGCCTTAACTATATTTATTAGAAAATAAGAAATACTGAAAATACAGTGTACACTCAACAGAAAAACTTGAAAAGTGAATAAGAAATGAAACCAATTATAGTAGAAAAAATAAAGTAATATAAAACAGAAATTAATAACATGGAAACAAATAAAAATTCTAATGTTAATTAAAAACCAAAAAGCTGGTATGTTATTTTTTGTTGTTTAACTTTTAAGTTTGGGGGTACATGTGCAGGATGTGCAAGTTTGTTATAAAGGTAAGTGTGTGTCATGGGGGTTGCTTGTATAGATTATTTCGTCACCCAGGTATTAAGCCTAGTGCCCATTAGTTATTTTTCCTGATCCTCTCTCTCCTCCCAACCTCTACCCTCCAATAGGCCCCAGTGTATGTTGTTCCCCTCTTTGTGTTCATGTGTTCTCATCATTTAGCTCCCACTTATAAGTAAGAACGCATGATATCTGGTTTTCTGTTCCTGCATTAGTTTGCTAAGGATAATGGCCTCCAGGTCCATCTATGTCCCTGCAAAGGACATGTTCTCATTCGGTTTTATGGCTGCATAGTATTCCATGGTGTATATGTACCACATTTTCTTTATCTAGTCTATCATTGATGGACATTTGGGTTGATTTCGTGTCTTTGCTCTTGTGAATAGTGCTGCAATGAACATACGCATGCATGTGTCTTTATGACAGAATGATTTATATTCCTTTGGGTATATACCCAGTAATGGGATTGCAGGTTTCAATGGTATTTCTGTCTTTAGGTCTTTGAGGAATCAGCATACTACCTTCCACAATGGTTGAACTAATTTCCACTACCATTGACAGCATATAAGCATTCCTTTTTCTCCACAACCTTGTCAGCATCTGCTACTTTTTGACTTTTTAATAATACGTTTTTGACATTTTAATAATAAGCCATTCTGACTGGCATGAGATGGTATCTCATTGTGGTTTTGATTTGCATTTCTCTAATTATCAGTGATGTTGAGCTTTTTTTCATATGCTTGTTGGCCGCTTGTCTGTTCATATCCTTTGCTTGCTTTTTAATGGGGTTGTTTTTTTCTTGTAAATTTGTTTAAGTTCCTTATAGATGCTGGATATTAGACCTTTGTCAGATGTATAGTTTGCAAAAATTTTCTCCCATTCTGTAGGTTTTCTGTTTACTCTGTCAATAGTTTATTTTGCTGTGCAGAAGCTCTTTAGTTTAATTAGATCCTATTTGTCAACTTTTGTTTTTGTTGCAATTGCTTTTGGCACCTTTGTCATGAAATCTTGGCCTGTGCTGATGTCCTGAATGATATTGCGTAGGTTGTCTTCCAGGATTTTTAAGTATTTAATCCATCTTGAGTTAATGTTTGTATATGGTGTAAGGAAGGGGTCAAGTTTCAATCTTCTGCATATGGCTAGCCAGTCATCCCAGCATCATTTATTGAATAGGGCATCCTTTCCCCATTGCTTGTTTTTGTCAGGTTTGTCGAAGATCAGATAGTTGTAGGTGTGCGGTCTTATTTATAGGTTTTCTATTCTGTTCCATTGGTTCACGTATCTGTTCTTGTGCCAGTACCATGCTGTTTTGTTTACTCTAGCCCTGTAGCATATTTTGAAGTTAGGAAGTGTGATGCCTCCAGCTTTGTTCTTTTTGCTTAGGATTATCTTGGCTATTCAGGCTCTTTTTTCTGTTCATGTGAATTTTAAAATAATTTTTTCTAGTTCTGTGAAGAATGTCAATGGTAGTTTCTTGGGAATAGCATTGAATCTATAAATTGCTTTGGGCAGTGTAGCCATTTTCACAATATTGGTTCTTCTTATCCACGAGCATGGAATACTTTTCCATTTGTTTGTGTTGTCTCTGATTTCTTTGAGCAGTGTTTTGCAGTTCTCCTTGTAGAGATCTTTCACTTCCCTTGTTAGCTGTATTCGTAGGTATTTTATTCTTTGTGTGGCAATTGTGAATTGGAATTTTTTCACGATTTGGCTCTCAGCTTCCCTGTTGTTGATGTGTAGGAGTGCTAGTGAATTTTGCGCATTGATTTTGTATCCTGAGACTTTGCTAAAGTTGCTTATCAGCTTAAGAAGCCTTTAGGCTGAGAGGATAGAGTTTTCTAGATATAGGATCATGTCATCTGCAAACAGGGATAGTTTGACTTCCTCTCTTCCTTTTTGAATGCCGTTTATTTCTTTCTGTTGCCTGATTGCTCTGGCCAGAACTTCCAATACTATGCTGAATAGGAGTGGTGAGAGAGGGCATCCTTGTCTTGTGCAGGTTTTGAAGGGAATGCTTCCAAAAGCTGATATTTTGACAATAATAGTTCAACTTCTTGGTTCTGATGAAAACAAAAAGAAATTCTAAGGACTAATAATCTTCTTTATAAATGAGATAAGTGGCAGACTATAGATACAGGGGAGATTTAAAAACTTTCAAACATGTAAATCTTTATAGATTTACTTGAAAATAATATAATAGATAAACAGTTTTCCAGGAATATGAAATGACCAAAATTGAATTTAGCAACAATAGAAAACCCATCTATGAAATTTTCAAAGCAGTAAAAAAATGTATCCTTAAAAAAGCCAACATGTCTAGACAGTTTTATAGGGTATTTTAAAAAACCAAATCTATAAAAAGACAAACTGTATATTAATAAAAAGTCCCAGAGCATACAGCATAGAAAATGATGGAGAAGCTGCTCAATTTATTCCATGAAGCTGGAAAAACTCCTCCAATGAGGACAGGAAAAAAACCCACCACTTTAGAACATAGAGGCAAAAGTCTCCAATAACATATTGACAAGTTAGATCTGGCAGTGCATCCAGAGTGTATGTCACAACCAGGAAATAAATACCATGATATGTAATGTGTGGTATTTATTAAAGTCCCTGGCACAAAGTAAGTAATCAAGTCAGGTATTAGCATTCTAATCCTGAATAGATGGTTTTATATTGATGATAATTTTTAGATAAGTCACCATATTAACTATTAATTGAGAAACAAGATATATGATCACCTACATATTTGGCTGAAATATGCATTTATTAGGGGAACTTACAGACAGCTTCAGCGTCCCTGGGATGGATAGAAAGAAAAGAGAAGTTCATCCTGGGTATGTCCATAGCAAGGGTGAGGTTGTGGAGTCTATAAGAGGGCTTAAGGCATTTGGCTCAGGGCCAGGGCTAGTTTCTACATGTATAATAGCAACAGGGTTAGCCTCAGTGTTTTTGAGCACGGACCTCAACAGTTTTATCAGTGTCTGGGAATGTTCAAGGTCCCGGCTTGGGTGAAGCCTGCGGGGAAAACATGCAGCTGCCAGGGTCACAGAGCGGTCAAGGCACTCTGTGTTTCTCAGTCAGGACAGAGAAAAAGTGGGGAAACTGGGGGAGGCTACAGCTACCTTCAGTGCTATGACAGTATTATTAAGGACAGGAGGTGGGCAAGAATTCCCACTATCAACATTACACCAGATGTAGCTAAAGAACAGATCAAGACTTAAAAAGACAAATTACAGTGTTGGAAAGGGAAAACCACATTTGCAACATGTATGTACTGAGAAGATCCAAGGAAACAAACCTAAAAATGTGGTAATCAGACAAATATAAATGAACACACAAGAATCGAATACTTTCCTGTAAATCAGGATTGCCCAATTAGAAAATGGGAACGACAAATATGACATGCATTCAGCAACCCAAAACATAAAAAATTGAAGTACAAACTTTATAAGAAATATGCAAGATGTGTAACAAGAAAATTAAAAATTATAAAACACAAATGAATATCATTAAAAGAGACCTAAATAAATAAATATCATGTGTCTGAATGGAAAATTCAGTATTTAAAGATGTAAACTCTCTTCCTATGAACTTACAGAACATCTCAACAAAATCTCTATTGGATTTTTAATGGAAATCCAAATGGAAGAGAAAATGCGCAAGAATAACCAAGCAAACATTTGACATAAAAGATCAACAAATAGTAAAAGGTATACCATTAAGCCAATGACTTATTGAAAACTTATGGTACATGCACAGGGCTCAACCAACAGATTAACTCAACAGAATAGTAAATTTTACAGTAAACTTAAGGATTTGTGGTAATTTATACCTGTATCTGTGTTTCTCAAATCCATGGGGAAATATAGCATTCTCATAAGCAGTGTTGGAAAAATTGACTACACATTTGGAAAAATGAAATGAGATATCTAACTCTTGCTCTGCAATAAATAAATCAGCTGCATTAAACAGCCACATTTTTAAAAACATAAGCATTAGGAGAAAATTTAAGACAATATATAAAACTATTTTGGGGGGAGCGTATATAATCCAGACACTTTTTATAAAACATTTATAGATAATTTGACCAAAAACTAAAAATAACTTCTAGAAGAGAAAAATACCACTAATAAATTAAATGACAAATAACCAACTTTTGGAAAACAATATTCAGGAAGTTAGGGGCTACTTACTATCCATCTTTCTATATAAAGAGCTTCTAAAAGTCAGTAAAGAAAATGAAAATAATTTAAAAGAAAAATGGGCAAAGGATGCCAGTGGAGAATTCACAGATTCAGAATCTGTGTGTGAAAAGATGCTCAACTTCAAAGGGAATGTAAATTTTAGCCATAATACTGTATTTTGTTTTGTCTCTCTGGTTTGCAAAAATGAAAAAGACTGATAATACCCACTGCTGGCAAGCATGTGGAGAAACAGGCCTTCTCATCTGCGGTGTGAGAGAGGGCAGCTTGGTGAACATCAAGCTTCTTGAATACAAGTTGCCAATCTGTTCAACTGTAAAATGCACATACTCTTGAAGAAATTTTACTTCTAGGGCTTTAGACTTAAATTAAAAAAAATCTTGTTATATGCACATTAGGATGTCTACATGAGATGTTAAGGAGGCTCATTCTAGACTTTTTTATAAAGAGAAAATTTGAAGCAGTATCAACGTACATCTACTCTGGAGTGCGGTGCAGCCATTACGCAGAATGAGGTAGACCATGCGGCTGACAAGAAAAGAGTATTTCCAAAATGGTGGTGCGTAAAGCAAAGAAAAGTATATGTAGTATGGTTCTGATGTTTAACTTGTAAAGATGACATTTACAATGATGCATGTTTATACAAGTAGGGGTGTGTGTGTGTGTGTGTGTGTGTGTGTATGCACAGAAAAGTGCCTGGGAGTGGCATCCTCCCGGCTGACAGTGGTGAGTCCAGATGCGGGCAGGGGGAGCCGCTGCTGATGCGCGAGTTGTCTGAAGCCCTTCGGGGAGAATGCATCTGCTCAGGCTGCTGCGAGCTTGCCTAAGTGAACTTTCCAGAGCTTCAGTCCCAGAGCCGTTGTCATTGCAGAAGTTCTTCTTGCGGTTAGAGTTCCAAATGCTCACATTATTAAGCCACCATCCTCAGTCCATTGGCCTTGGTCTCTAACCCATCATCTTGGAAAGCCCTCAACCCAGCAGCCGGGAGTTCAGCTCTAGGAATGGAGAGGATGGGGCACGGAGGGAAATCCCCTATCAGAATGAGGCAGAGCTCTGGCAGCACAATGGTAACTCACTGATGTTGGACCCTCATTTTCACTGGGAAAGACCCCAGAGGGTGGGGAATTCAGATGCTGCAGGTCTCCCAGCTCTGTATCTTTTAGTAGGGAAAGTCATTAATATGTGTAATCTGTTCAACCGTGTTGTAGTAATTATGTCTCCAGCCAGTACCCAATGTGACAAGATTAGCAGAGAGCACGGTTATTCATCAGTGAGTTGTCACAGCCTAATTGTCCTTTAAATGCATCAGAATGCAGTGGAGGTTGAAGAATGCGGGGAGAGATCTCCGTAGCTTCCCTGAGAACCAGCACAGGTAGACGCTGACAAAATGAAATACAGTTTCCGAGCAAACAGTGGATCCCAAATAAGGGTGTATCAGCACACATTGCCCTTCCCAGTTTTGCTGTGTTCTTCCTTGCACCCCTGACATCTACTTAATATTCACAGGGGCTGTCATCAATGAGGGCTACCCCTATACCAGACAGCTTAGGAACAGCATCTTTGAGCTGTGCAGTAACTGTGAAGTGGCTACTGCATGATGCCCATTTTACAGATGAGGAAACCGAGGGTCACAGGAGTTAGGTGAACATCCAAGATTCTGTGGCAAATAATTAGAAAAACTGAGAATGAAACTCAGTCTAAAGCTCTCTCTCTCTCTGTGTGTCTCTCTGTGTATGTGTGTGTGCTGGAGAAGTTGCTGAACATGCCCCGTGTCTGGAATTCTCTCCAGCTTATGCGTGTTTGCTGTCAGAACTCTTGAGAGAGGCTACCCTTGACTACTGCAGCCCAAAGGAATTACCTCTACTGCCTTAATTCTCCCAGTTGATTAGAATTCACTCCCGCACCCAGCCTCCCATTGGTTTGCTGACACATGGGTTCAAAGCGGCCTTCAAGCTAGTGGGGACAGAAGGCACAGTGCTGTCCCTTGGAATGGTAGTCCCAGCTGGAGCCCTGCACCCGCTCCCCTCCAAGCCGTCTGATGCATGCTGGCTTCACAACCAGCCTTTGAGAGAGCCTCATCTGCATGACGGTTGTCCTGGCTTCTTTTATTTGAAGCCAAAATCTTCCTGGAATCTTTTGATCCTTTACCTGAGCTGGGGGTCACTGCTTGCGGAAATGAATCTCAAATTTATCTTCCTGAACTAGAGAAATTGGTAACTTCTTGCTAAACTTTCTCCCTCCTTGAGTAAATGGGTTAGGGAGTTGTTGGGGTCCCCTCTCAATATTAAGGGAGCTGGGCTGGGCGCAGCAGCTCACACCTGTAATCTCAGCACTTTGGCAGCCTGAGGCAGGCTGATCACCTGAGGTCAGGAGTTCTGGAGACCAGCCTGACCAACATGGTGAAACCCCGTCTCTACTAAAAATACAAAATCAGCCAGGTGTGGTGGTGGGCGCCTGTAATCCCAGCTACTTGGGAGGCTGAGGCAGGAGAAACGCTTGAACTCAGGAGGCAGAGGTTGCAGTGAGCTGAGATCCCCATTGCACTCCAGCCTGGGCGACAAGAGTGAGACTCCATCTCAAAAAAGAAAAAAAAAAATAGTAAGGGGGCTTCCTGGAAGGAAGGTTTATGAGCTAAAACTGACTGACTTTGTGATTTCAATGACACAAGTACACAGAATCAACCAGCTCCCCAGCCCTCCTGGTTGTGTGGTTTTCACCACGTGACTTTTGCAGCTCCCCAAACTGAGTAGGCAGAGTCGGTTCTCCCACGTGGCTCTGAATTGAACCCTCTTGGCTTCTTTGGTCAGTGGACACAGTAGAGGCCTGAGAAAGCCTGAGCTGGTTAGTTTCCTTGTCCTGCTGCTGCCACCTCTGCCTGTGCACATGCCTGGGAGGGTGCCTGGCTGCCTAGGGGCAGTGATTACTCCAGCCAGGCCACTAAGTCCACCTAGAGCCAGCCCTGGGCCGGGGCCCATGCCCCGCCTGACTACTCCACACACCCCAGGAAGAAATGCCTGCTGAGGGCTTGGTAATTGTTAGGCAGTATGATTCTGGAAATCACTGATTCATCAGCTTTCAAGGGCATTTGCTTGGAGGTCAAGAGTTGAACTTGAGCTCCAGCTTTTTTTTGGCTACTGACCTCTGGTCATGCCATCGCGGCCTCAGGACTCTGAGTTCCGTCCTCTGGGAGGCATCCCAGGGTGGGCCTAGAGGAGTTCATCAGCAGCTCTCAAGAGCAGGCTTTGTCGCTTGTGAGAAGGGAATCACAACCGTGAGAGTGGACCCAAGAGGGGAAGGTTCCCTCACCCCCCAGAACCCAAATCGCAATGTTAAAATACATCATCTGGCTTTTAAGTCTTTATTTCTTTATTCTTTTTTCTCAAATTGCATTGATTTGGTAAAAATGAAGCCTGTTCATGACAAGAAATGGAAATAATGCAGAAAGAGAGAGAGGGAAAAAATATACATGTTTTGAACTAACCTGGATTCAGCTGCTCTCCAATAACCACCCCTGCCCCAGGGGCCCTCACCTCAGCCATATAGACTACAAAAGGGTGCAAGCAGGGCTGAACAAAGAAATTCCCTTCAATAAAAAGGGGATTTGTGATACCTCCTATTTTCAATATAAAAGTATTTTATTACATTTTACTTCAATTTAAGAGAAGAAAATGAAGTGGTATTTAAATGAAAAGAATTGCTGATCTTCAAATAAATGTTGCTTTGCCACAAAAGATATTATTTTGTAAAAGAGCCCCTGCAAGGCTAACAAGATATGAAAAACACGAAGAAGTTGGAGCCTTCATGTTTTTAACTCACGTCTCAATTTCAGAAGGTCTTAATTATACTCGATTATAAAAGATGAGGAAATCAGCATTCTTAAACTTTCTCTTACTACTTCTCTTGATTTTTCTTGGTGATATATATAATACTGACTTTTCCAAGGTTAGGAGCATTTGCATTCTATTTTGTAACAATTATTCCCACTGGTTTTATCTTTTTTCTATATTTAAGTGGATTTGATACTCATGAGTCTTTTTTTATAACAGCTTTTACTCTCCTGGCAGGGTTTTTATTTTACTTTTTTTGTTTGCTTGGCTGCATTTCATCCCCAAGTCATTCTCCCTCTCCCCTCTCCCCTCTAAAGGTCCCGTAGACGTATTCCCGAGTTCCCGCCAGCCGTGACAGTCTGCCACCTATATAATCAAGGGGAAACTTGGCTGAGTAAACAGTTTTTTTTTCTTTTTCTTAGAACTTTTAAATCCACACTCCACTGTCCTTTTTTTTTCCTGCATTTTAAAAATGTTTTTCTTTATTGTGGTGAGACATGCATAACATAAAATGTAGGGTTTTAACCATTTGTCCCCTAGTTTAAATGTTGCCCCGGGCCTACCCTTTCCCTGTTCATATTAGTGGGTTGGCATTTTTTTTTTCTAAATGTCTCATGGTTGCAGCCTACTTTTTGGTATGTTTATCTGGGTATTTTTTTTTTTTTTTTTTTTTTTTTTGGGATGGAGTCTCAATCTGTCACCCAGGCTGGAGTGCAATGGCATGATCTCGGCTCACTGCAACCTCTGCCTCCCGGGTTCAAGCGATTCTTTTGCCTCAGCCTCCCGGGTAGCTGGGACTACAGGCGTGCGGTGCCACGCCTGGCTAATTTTTGTATTTTTAATAAAGACGGGGTTTCACCATGTTGGCCAGGCTGGTCTCAAACTCCTGACCTCGTGATCCATCCACCTCGGCCTCCCAAAGTGCTGGGATTACAGGGTGAGCCACCGCACCTGGCCTTATGTGTGACTGTTATTTCTGAACCCAGCTGGCTGGGTTCTTGAGTAAGACTTTCTGGCCCTCTGAATTTTCCCTCAATGTCATTGCTATTGCCCTCCGTCACTGCTCCAGAGCGGTGGGAGACGAAAGCACTGAGCCCAGGTGATCCACCCCTGCCCAGTCATTTCTTGGCCTGGCTTGACTAGCTGAATGCTTGAAGCACTCTTTGCTTATCCTTCCTGTTCATTACGTTAACCAGGAAACTTCCCATGGCCGTGGTTCTGTATTAACATTTTCTGAACAGCGTGCTCCTTTTGGATTGCTTTCAGTTCCTGTGTCTTTGTTAATGAAAATAATCGTGTATTTGCAAAGACATCCTGTCGCCTTCTGTGGGGTTTCCATGTTAGGGACATGTGTGTGTCAGGTCACGGCTCCCCGGGTCTGTTCTGCATTTCTGTTGTCCTTTCTCTGACTGCTGTCCTCTCTGGGTCCTTTCTCAGGCATTCACCGCCGCCATCTCCATCTCAAGCCTGTCTGCCTCTGTGTCAGGAACTCACTGGACATTTTGTCCCCTGTTGTTTTTGTTAATCTACTAGTTCTGTTAGGAATGTTGCTTTAGCACTCGATGTTTCTAAAGGTTCTCTTTTAAAGCTGTTCTCTCAATTTTAGTCTCATTCACGTTTCTATCCAGCCTTCCTCTGGAGTGAGGGACTCACAGAGTCACACTCTTCTCCAGGCCTTTGTGTGCCATGCGCCCCCCTCCTTTGCGTATTTTCCCTGGAATATGCGTGTCTCATCCCTGCGCAGTTGCTGTATCTCTCTCTCACCCTTAACTTCCCTTGCTCAAATATCATTGGGTGAATTTTCCTTGACAGCCTCCCTGCCCCGTTTGACATGATTGCCTTCCTCCGGGGCTCAGTTCCAGGCCTGCCTATTGTGTTTTATGCATCGGTGTTCTCCTTCCGTCTTGGAAGGAGTGGGAAGGAGAACATCCTCGGGATATCCAGTGGGAGGCCCTCAACCTGCTGGAGCCCAGATTTCTTCCTGTCTCTCCCAGAGCCAGAGGAAGCCAGCTGGGCTTCCTTCCTGTCTCTCAGGTTGATCTTTCTATTTTCCAGGGTGGCCCATTTACCTTGTAGTCACCACATTTGGGGGCATTGAGAGAATGCTTAGAACTTTTTTTTTTTTAACCTCCTTTGCCAGCTTGACCTCTGGTTGGTGGAGAAGAGTAAGCGCCATGCTGAGCTAGAATACTCTGATTTTTTTAACTTGGCCTCCTTGTCTGCAGCTCTAGGATGCAGTCCCTTTTCCCTTGCTTGGAGGCAGTTGGGAAGGTTTTTGCTGACTTTTGTCCTCATCTGTTGGAGAGAAGATTTGTGATCCAGCGTCACTCTCCTCGTATCATTATCCCATTTCATTTAACATCAAAGCCCTCACTAGTCAGAACTGGGCCGCACGCGTGTATATTTAGAAGTGCCTGACATCCTTCCAGGGCTGCATTCTCCTGCATTATCATATCAATTGGAGCCCTGCTCCTGTGCAGGTGAGGTGGGGCTGGGGGTTATCTTGCAAGATCAGAGACATAAGAACTTTATTTTGTGCTATATATAAAATCTCAGTTAGGAAATTAAATTCTGCACGGGGGAAAGATGTCAAGGTTGCTTTGATCACATGGAAAAGCAGCAGAGGCGCAGCAAGAGAGAGATAACCAAAGGAGGAAGCTTGCAGGCGCCTCCTCCCAGGCCAGCTGCAGGATGTGGGCAGGAGAGTCTGGGCTCTCAGTCCCGGTGGAGACAGGCCCTGTGTGCAGTGAGTGCTGCAGGAGATGGTCTGCTTACAAGCATGTGCTTCCTGTCATCAGTGCAAGCTGTTAAGTGTGAGAAAAAATGACCGGCAGTGAAGCAGAAACTCACTAAAAGTATTAATAGCCGGTGGCTGTCACCACTTGCTTGCTGTCCTTTACACCAACACTCCCCTAGCCCTCTCCCAAATGCCCAGGCTCATTTACTCCACTATGCAGGACCCCACAGGATGCTGCGGTGTGTTCCGCTTCTCCTCTGGTCTGAACTGTACCTGCACACAGGGCAAGTCCCAAGGGAACCAGAAGCCACCTGGAACAGGAAGCAAATAATAGCACCATCACCACCACCAGGATAGCTGACATCAATTACTGATTGTCTACTAGGAGTCAAGAACTGTGTTATTGTTTTACAGACATTATTTCCTATAAGTTGATCTCATAGTACAGATACAGAAATGGAAGAAAAAAAGATGTTAGGCTATGTATACACATCATATGGCTAGAAAATGCCAGAGAACTTTTTCCTAAGTTTGTTTCTGAAATGCAACATATATTAACTTTTTCCATCTCTTCACCTGACCCCCAAAGATAAAAAGACCTAGAAATCAATCCCACAGTCAGTCTGGGTGGAGTCCGTTTCCCTGTGACGGGAAAGCATATTAACGGGAAAGCATATTAAAGCTGAGGTCCTGCAATTCAACCCACATCCCTGACCCTCGGCCCTGGAGACTCTGGGGGGCAGTGAGCTGTGCACCCCAAAGAGACAGAGCTCCGGAGGCCGAGGCGGGCGGATCACGAGGTCAAGAGATCGAGACCATCCTGGCTAACACGGTGAAACCCCGTGTCTACTAAAAAATACAAAAAAAATTAGCCGGGCGTGGTGGCGGGCGCCTGTAATCCCAGCTACTGAGGAGGCTGAGGCAGGAGAATGGCGGGAACCCGGGAGGCGGAGCTTGCAGTGAGCCGAGATTGCTCCACTGCACTCCAGCCTGGGCGACAGAGAGAGACTCCGTCTCAAAAAAAAAAAAAAAAAGGAGACAGAGCTCCTCTGCTTCCAGCAAACCTCCCTTTTTCTCTCCAAAAATACACATGCATGCCTTTTTTCCTGCTTCCACTGCTGACTTAGTCATTTATTCATTCGGTCAATATTAACCGAGAGTCAAAAAGTCCCAGCCGCGCTCAGGATGCAGCAGAGAGAAAAGCGAAGACCCCTGCCCTCATGGAGCACGCCCTCTAGTGGGGAGAGACGGAAAACAACAAAGATAAATAAGGAGTATTCCAGGATTTATCATGGTTAAGTCTCAAGCAGAAAAATCAAGCAGGAAAATGGAAAAAGAGACTTCACATTGGCCTCTTGTCTGTCCTCACCCGGCAGCTTTCCCAGTGTCGAGGACCCCTCTGAAAACTTTTTTTCGGAACTGGCTGTTTAGGTTTCATATATACCCTGCTAGTGCCAGAAGATTTTAACCATCTCCGGGGCTGTGCCTTGTGTCGATTATGCATGACCATGGATAATCCAACAGCTCTGTGCCCCGGTAGGAGCTCCCTGGAAGAGTGTTGGCTGATGGTGTGACAGCAACTGTAACTCTGCATAAAAGTTGCAGGGGCTCCTTGCCTACGGAGGACGCATGGATGCCCCATCCTGTGGGCTGTGGGGAGAGAAGAGCAGGGACAGGAGAACTAGCATGTCCCACGGGACCACCTGCCAGGCAGTGGCGGTGGACGTGTTTTCTGAGACAAGCCTCACTCCCGTGGTTAAATAGGGGCTATCTACATTTTCAGAAACTCATAGACGTGAGGAGGTGCACCTGCCCGAGGTTCTAAAACTATGGAGCTGAAGACCTGAGATCCAAAGTCCAGCCTGCCTGATGTCATTCTTTGAGGCTCGAAAACAAAGTGAGTCATCTCTGAAATCAAATTACTTGAATTTGAGCAAATCTTATATATTAAAACTTGTGGCAATCACTGCATGATTTATTATAGGACTAGTAAATGAACCACAGCAACACCAAAAATAGAGATGAAAAAAGGGGCAAAAGAGTCATGCAGAAGATGGTTGGATACATTGAGATCTGGCATTGAGCTCCAATTATGCTGAACTGACAGCTGGGAGGTGTCCAGGCTGTCAGATGTGTTCTCTCCCACTCTCTAGTGTACAGCTGGGGCCCATGTGTGACACTTAGCAGGAGGCCCTTTTTCCAGTCCCTTCACAGAGATGGAATGACGCTGTCAGGAGGGCTGGGCAGCTGCTAGCACTGGATGGAGAGAGAAACGAGGAGAAACTTCCAGTTTATGGTGTGTGGGTGTGGTGTGGATGGGGCAGGTGCAGACCAATCTTTCTGAAAAACACTTGGTGATACATACGAAGAGCTTTAAAAAACTATCTTTTGGCCAGGTGCGGTGGCTCATGCTTATAGTCCCAGCACTTGGAAGGCTGAGGCTAGCAGATCACCTGAGGACAGGAGTTCAAGACCACCCTGGCCAACATCATGAAACCCCGTCCCTACTAAAAAAATACAAAAATTAGCCGGGCATGGTGGCACGCGCCTGTAATCCCAGCTACTCAGGAGGCTGAGGCAGGGAGAATTGCTCCAACCTGGGAGACAGAAGTTGCAGCGAGCCGAGATCGCGCCACTGCACTCCAGCCTGGGCAACAGAGTGAGACTCCATCTTAAAACAAAAACAAAAACAAAAAACAGCTGCCTTTTGATTGAGTAATTACTTTGGTAGGAATTTATCCTTAAGCTGTAATGAGGAATATGGATATTACATAAAGGAGTTTCTTGAAGCAGTATGAAGAATAGAAAAAGAATGGAAACAAACAGCCTGCCCATTGTTCAGGGATGGCGAGACACAACCACAAGTAGTGGATGATGCAGACATAAAAATGATGTGCATAAGGAATTTTTAATTTTGGGAAAATGCTTATAATATGCTGTGAAGTGAAAAAAAGAGGAGGACATGCAATTGAGTCACCTTCTCAGCAAAGCTTTCCCCCACCTCCCAGGCAAAGACATAGTCCCTTGCTCTTCTCTGTTAGTGCATATCACAATTGCAATTAATTCTACTGAATTAATTATGTGCACAAGCATCCATCTCAAATCTGTCTTGCATTAGAACGAACGCCTCAGGAGGATAGCCATCAAGTCTACTGTGTTCAGCGATTAATCCCCAGGACCAAGAACAGCACCTGGCACACGGAAGTCACTCAATAAACATATGAGGCAATAACATGGACCCAGGCAATATGCGGCTCTTTGTGCCTGGCTTCTTGCATTTAGCATAGTGCTTTCATGGTTCACCCATGTCATGTATCGGTACCTCCCTTCTCATTGCTAGATAATATTCCATTGCATGGAGATACCACATTTTGTAAAATCCATTCACTTGTTGATGGGCATTTGGGTTGCTTCCACTTTTTGGCTAGGATGAATAACGCTGCTATGAATATTTGTGTGTAAGTTTTTTGTGTGGACGTATGTTTTCATTTCTCTTGGACATATACCTAGGAGTAGAATTGCTGGGTCATATCACAACTCTCTGTTTAACTGAAGAATTGACAAACTGTTTTTAAAAGTGGTGTCACCATGTTGCATTTTCACCAGCAGTGAATGAGGGTTCAGATTTATCCACATCCACACCAGCACTTGTTCGTCTTTTTGACTTTAGCCATCCTAGTGAGTGCAAAGTGGTATCTCACTGTGCTTTTGATTTGTATTTCCACGATGAGTAATGATGCAGGACCTCTTTTCATGTGATTGTTGACAATTTGCATATCTTTTTTTTTTTCTTTTTTTGAGACAGAGTCTTGCTCTGTTACCCAGGCTGGAGTACAGTGGTCAGGATCTTGGCTCACTGCAACCTCCACCTCCTGGGTTCAAGTGATTGTCATGCCTCACCCTCCCCAGTAGCTGGGACTACAGGCACATACCACGACGCCTGGCTAATTTTTTTTTTTTGAGACAGAGTTTCGCTCCTGTTGCCCAGGCTGCGGTGCAATGGTGTGATTTCGGCTCACCACAACCTCCATCTCCTGGGTTCAAGTGATTCTCCTGCATCAGCCTCCTGAGCAGCTGGGATTATAGGCATGTACCTATAGCTACGCCTGGCGAATTTTGTATTTTTAGTAGAGACGGGATTTCTCCATTGTTGGTCAGGGTGGTCTTGAACTCCCAACCTCTCAGGTGATCTGCCTGCCTCACTCTCCCAGAGTGCTGGGATTACAGGCATGCGCCTATAGCCACACCTGGCTAATTTTGAAGTTTTAGTAGAGACGGGGTTTCTCCATTGTTGGTCAGGGTGGTCTTGAACTCCCGACCTCTCAGGTGATCTGCCTGCCTCACTCTCCCAGAGTGCTGGGATTACAGGCATGAGACACCATGCATGGCCAATTTTTTGTGTTTTTAGTAGAGACGGGGTTTTACCATATTGGTCAGGCTGGTCTCGAACTCCTGAGTTCAGGCAATCTGCCAGCCTCAGCCTCCCAAAGTGCTGGGATTACAGGCATGAGCCACTGCGTCAGGCCTCATTTGCATATCTTCTTTAGAGAACTATCTACTGGAATATAGTTCCCATTTTTAATGGGATTATTTGTCTTTTTAATGTAGAGTTGTAATAATTCTTTATATAGCCTGCATACAAGTTACTTATCAGATATATGGTTTGCAGATATTTTCTCCCATTCTATAGGCTGTCTTTTGTCTTTTTAATGATGGCCTTTGAAGCTCAAAAACATTTAATTTTGATAAAATGCAATTTATTTATTTATTTATTTATTTATTGCTTGTGCTATTGGTGTTTTATCTAGGAACCAATGCTTAACACAAGGTAAGCAATATTTACTCCTGTGCTTTCTCCTAGAGAGTTTGTTAGTTTCTGCTCTTACATTTAGGCCTATGATCCATTTTAAGGTAATTTTTATATATGGTGTGACGATATCCAGTTGTCCGAACACTATTTGCTGAGGAGACTATTCTTTCCCACTGAATGATCTTGGTACTCTTGGCAAAAATCAATTGACTTTAAAGTTGTGGGTTTATTTCTGGACTTGTAATTATATTCCATTACTCTGCCTGTTCATCTTTATGCCAGTACATTGTCCTGAGTAGTGTAGTTCTGTTGAAAAATATGAGTCATCCAACTTTGTTCTAGCTCAAAATGGTTTTGGTTATTATGGGTCCCTTGCATTTTCATATAAATTTTAGGACCAGCTTGTTTATTTTTGCAAATAGTGAATTGGGAATTTGACAGAGATTGTATTGAATCTGAAAATCAATTTGGAGAAAATTGCTATCTTAATAATATTATCTTCCAATTCATGAACATGGGAGTCTTTCCATTTATTTAGATTTTCTTTAATTTCTATTATAATATTTTGTAGTTTTGATGTACACATCTTATATTGAACTGTGTTCTTAAGTATTTTATTCTTTTTGATATTATTATTAATGTGATTATTTTATTTTCATATTGTTCAATACTAGTGTATAGAAATACGACTGATTATTTTAAGTTTATTTTGTAGCTTGCCCTATGGCTAAACTCATTTATTAGTTTTAATACATTTTTTTTTGTGTGCACGTGGTTACCTTAGGCTTCCCATATAAAAGATCACATCATCTGCAAATAGAAGACCTTTTACTTTCTTTCCAATCTGTATGACTTTTTTTTTTCTCTTGTCTTGGCTAGAAGCTACAGTACAATGCTGAATAGAATTAATAAAAGACATCTTTGTCTTGTTTCTAATCTTAGGGGTAAAGTATCCAGTGTTTTACCATTAAGTGTAATATTAGCTGTAGGTTTTTCTTTCTTTCTTTTTTTTTTACCATCGTGGCATTTTTTTGCTTTCTTCAACCTTTATTTTAAGTTCAGGGGTACATGTGCAGGATGTGCAGGTTTGTTACACAGGTAAATTTCTGCCATGGCGGTTTGCTGCACAGATCATCCTATCATCTAGCTATTTTTCCTGATGCACTCCCTCCCCTGACCCTTTCCCGCCATCTGACAGGCCCCAGTGTGTGTTGTTCCTCTCAATGTGTCCATGTACTCTCATCATTCAGCTCCCACTTATAAGTGAGAACATGTGGTGTTTGCTTTTCTGTTCCTGCATGACTTTTCTGAGGATAATGTCTTCCACTCCATCCATATCCCTGCAAAGGACATGATCTCATTCCTTTGTATGGCTGTATAGTATTCCATGGTGTATATGCGCCACATTTTCTTCATCCAATCTATCATTGATGGGCATTTAGGTTGATTCCGTATCTTTTCCCTTCTGAGTAGGGCTACAATCAACATCTGTGTGCATGTATCTTCATAACAGAATGATTTATAGTCCTTTGGGTATATACCCAGTAATGGAATTGCTGGGTCAATTGGTATTGCTCTCTCCAGGTCTTTGAGGAATTACCACACTGTCTTCCACAATGGTTGAACTAATTTACACTCCCATTAACAGTGTAAAGGCATTCTTTTTTTTCTGCAACCTTGTCAGCATCTGTTATTTTTTTGACCTTTTGATAATAGCCATTCTGACTGGTGCAAGAGGGTGTCTCTCTGTGGTTTTGATTTGCATTCCTCTAAGGATCAGTGATGTTGAGCTTTTTTCATATGTTTGTTGGCCACATGTATGTCTTCTTTTGAGAAGTGTTTGCTCATGTCCTTTGCTCACTTTTTAATGAAGTCTTTTTTTTTATTCTTGTATTTAAGAATACAAGTTCCTTGTAGACTCTGCATATTAGAACATTGTCAGATGGATAGATTGCAAAAATTTTCTCCCATTCTCTAGGTTGTTCACCCTGATGATAGTTTCTTTTGTTGTGCAGAAGCTCTTTAGTTTAATAGATCCCATTTGTCAATTTTTGCTTTTGTTGCAATTGCTTTTGGTGTTTTCATCATGAAATTTTTGCTGTGCCTATGTCCTGAATGGTATTGCCTAGATTTTCTTCTAGGGTTTTTATGGTTTTGGGTTTTACATTTAAGTCCTTAATCCATCTTGAGTTAATTTTTGTATAAGGTGTAAGAAAGGGGTCCAGTTTCTGTTTTATGCATATAGCTAGCCAGTTTTTCTAGCACCATTTACCGAATAGGAGATCCTTTCACCATTGTTTGTTTTCTGTCAGGTTTGCTGAAGATCAGATGGTTGTAGATGTGTGGTGTTATTTCTGAGGTCTCTGTTCTGCTCCATTGTTCTATATTTCTGTTTTGGTACCAGTACCATGCTGCTTTGGTTACTGTTGCCTTGTAGTATAGTTTGAAGTCAGGTAGCATGATGCTTCCAGCTTTGTTATTTTTGCTTAGGATTGTCTTGGCTGTATGGGGTCTTCTTTGATTCCATATGAAATTTAAAATAGTTTTTCTAATTCTGTGAAGAATGTCAGTGGTAGTTTGATGGGAGTAGCATTGAATCTATAAATTATTTTGGGCAATATGGCCATTTTCATGATATTGATTCTTCCTATCTGTGAGGATGGAATATTTTTCCATTTGTTTGTGTCCTCTCTTATTTCCTTGAGCAGTGGTTTGCAGTTCTCCTTGAAGAGGTCCTTCACATCCCTTGTTAGCTGTATTCCTAGGTATTTTATTCTCTTTGCAGTGATAGTGAATGGGAGTTCATTCATGATTTGGCTCTCTGTTTGCCTATTGTTGGTGTAAAGGAATACTTGTGATTTTTGCACGTTGAATTTGTATCCTGAGACTTAGCTGAAGTTGCTTATCAATTCAAGACATTTTTGGGCTGAGATGATGGGGTTTTCTAAATATGAAATCATGTCATCTGCAAACAGAAACAACTTGACTACCTCTCTTCCCATTTGAGTACCCTTTATTTCTTTCTCTTGCCTGATTGCCCTGGCCAGAACTTCCAATACTATGTTGAATAGGAGTGGTGAGAGAAGGCATCCTTGTCTTGTACTGGTTTTCAAAGGGAATGCTTCCAGCTTTTGCCCATTCAGTATGATATTGGCTGTGGGTTTTCCATAAATAGCTCTTATTATTTTGAGATATGTTGCATCAATACCTAGTTTATTGAGAGTTTTTAGATGTTGAATTTTATTGAAGGCCTTTTCTGCATCTATCGAGCTAATCATGTGGTTTTTACCTTTGGTTCTGTTTATGTGATGATTACATTTATTGATTACATTTATGGACTACATTTATTGATTATGTATGTTGAACCAGCCTTGCATTCCAGAGCTGAAGCCAACTTGATCGTGGTGGATAAGTTTTTTGATGTGCTGCTGGATTCAGTTTGCCAGTATTTTATTGAGGATTTTCACATCAATGTTCATCAGGGGATATTGGCCTGAAGTTTTCCTTTTTTTGTTGTGTCTCTTCCCAGTTTTGGTATCAGGATGATGCTGGCTTCATAAAATGAGTTAGGGAGGAGTCCCTCCTTTTCAATTGTTTGGAATAATTTCTGAAGGAATGGTACCAGATCCTCTTTATATTTCTGGTGGAATTCAGTTGTGAATCCATCTGGTCTGGGCTTTTTTTGTTTGATAGGCTATTAATTACTGCCTCAATTTCAGAGCTTGTTATTGGTCTATTGACAGATTCACCTTCTTTGTGGCTTAGTCTTGATAGAGTGTATGTGTCCAGGAAATTATCCATTTCTTCTAGGTTTTCTAGTTTATTTGCATAGAGGTGTTTATAGTATTCTCTGATGGTCATTCATTTGTATTTCTGTGGGGTCAGTGGTGCTATCCCCTTTATCATTTTTTACTGTGTCTATTTGATTCTTCTCTCTCTTCTTCTTTATTAATCTGGTTAGCAGTCTATCTATTTTGTTAATTTTTTTTAAAAAAACTAGCTCCTCAATTCGTTTATTTTTTGGAGGGTTTTTTGTGTCTCTATCTCCTTCAGTTCTGGTTTGATCTTAGTTATTTGTTGTCTTCTGCTAACTTTTGGATTAGTTTGCTCTTTCCTCTCTAGCTCTTTTAATTGTGATTTTAGGGTGTCAGTGTGAGATATTTCTAGCTTTCTGATGTGGTGATTTTAGTGCTATAAATTTCCCTCTTAATACTGCTTTAGCTGTGTCCCAGAGATTCTGGTACATTGTCTCTTTATTCTCATTGGTTACAAAGAACTTCTTGATTTCTGCCTTAATTTCTTTATTTACTCCAGGAGTCATTCAAGAGCAGATTGTTCCATTTCCATTAAATGGTGTGGTTTTGAGTGAGTTTCTTAATCTTGAGTTTTAATTTGATTGTACTGTGGTCTGTGAGACTATTTGTTATGATTTCAGTTTTTTTTTGCATTTGCTGAGGAGTGTTTTACTTCCAATTATGTGGTAGATTTTAGAATAAGTGCCATGTAGCACTGAGAAGAGTGTATATTCTGTTGGTGTAGGGTAGAGAGTTCTGTAGATGTCCACCAGGTCCCTTGATCCAGAGCTGAGTTCAAGTCCTGAATATTCTCACTAATTTTCTGTCTCATTGATCTGTCTAATACTGACAGTGAGGTGTTAAAGTCTCCCACTATTATTGTGTGGGAGTCTAAGTGTCTTTGTAGGTCTCTAAGATCTTGTTTTATGAATCTGGGTGCTCCTTTATTGGGTGCATATATATTTAGGATAGTTAGCTCTTCTTGCTCCATTGATCCCTTTACCACTATAAATGCCTTTCTTTGTCTTTTTTGATCTTTGTTGGTTTAAAGTCTGTTTTGTCAGAGACTAGGATAGCAACCCCTGCGTTTTTTTGCTTTCCATTTGTTTGGTAAATTTTCCCCCATCTTTTTATTTTAAGCCTGTGTGTGTCTTTGCACGTAAGATGGGTCTCCTGAATACAGCACACTGATGGATCTTGACTCCTTATCCAATTTGCCAGTCTTTGTCTTTTAATTGGGACATTTAGCCCATTTACATTTAGGATTAGTATTGTTATGTGTGAATTTAATCCTTTCATCCTGATGCTATTTGGTTATTTTGCACACTGGTCAATGGAGTTTCTTTGTAATATCATTGGTCTTTATATTTTGGTGTGTTTTGGCAGTGGCTGATACTGGTTTTCCTTTCCATAAAGCTTAGTTTGGCTGAATATGAAATTCTGGTTGGAAATTCTTTTCTTTAGGAACGTTGAATATTGGCCCCCAATCTCTTCTGGCTTGTAGAGTTTCTGATGAGAGGTCTGCTGTTAGTCTGATGGGCTTCCCTTTGTAGGTGATGTGGCCTTTCTTTTTGGCTGCCCTTAACAGTTTTTCCTTCATTTTGACCTTGGAGAATCTAATGATTATGTGTCTTGGGGTTGATCTCGTGGAGTACCTTAATGGTGTTCTCTGTATTTCCTGAATTTGCATGTCAGCCTGTCTTGCTAGGTTGGGGAAGTTTTCTTGGATAATATCCTGAAATGTGTTTTCCAGCTTGTTTCCATTCTCCCCATCTCCTTCTGCTTTTGGTACTACAATCAATCTTCAGTTCAGTCTTTTTATGAAGTCCCATATTTCTTGGAGGCCTTGTTCATTCCTTTTCATTCTTTTTTCTTTATTCTTGTCTGCATGTCTTATTTCAGTAAAGTGGTCTTCAAATTCTGGTATCCTTTCTTCCACTTGGTCAATTCAGCTGTTGATACGTGTGTATGCTTCACTAAGTTCTCATGCTGTGATTTTCATCTCCATCAGGTCATTTATGTTCCTCTCTAAACTGGTTATTCTAGTTAGCAATTCCTTTAACCTTTTATCAAGGTTCTTAGCTTCCTTGCATTGGGTTAGAACATGCTCCTTTAGCTCATCACAGTTTTTTTATTACCCATCTTCTGAAGTGTACTTCTGTCAGTTCGTCCATCTGATCCTCTGCCCAGTTCTATGCCCTTGATGGAGAGATGTTGTGATCATATGGAGGAGAAGAGGCACATTGGCTTTTTGTGTTTTCAGCATTTTTTCATTGATCCTTTCTCATCTTCGTGAGTTTGTCTAGTTTCAGTCTTGAGGCTGCTGACTCTTGGATGGAGTTTTTGTGGGGGCACTTTTGTTGTTGTTGATGATGATGCTATTGTTGTCACTTTCTCCTTATTTGTTTTTCAGTAGTCAGGTCCTCTTCTATAGGGCTGCTGCAGTTTGCTGGGGATTCACTCCCGTTCCTGGAGATGTCACTCAAGGAGGCTGGAGAGCAGCAAAGATGGGTGCCTGCTCCTTCTTTTGAGACCTCTGACCTTGAGGGGCACCAACTTGATGCCAGTAGGATTGCTCCTGCATAGGGTGTCTGGCAACCCCTGTCAGAGGGTCTCATCCAGTTGGGTGGCATGGGGAGCAGGACCTGTTTAACGAAGCACTTTGTCCCTTGGTAGAGAGGGTGTGTTTTGCTGGGGGGAAACCCACTACTCTGGATTGCCTGGATTCCTCAAAACTACCAGGAGGAGAGGCTAAGTCTGCTGGTCTGCAGAGACTGTGGCCACCCCTCCCCCTAGGGGCTCAGGCCCAGGGAGATCTGAATTCTGTCCCTGAGCCTCTGGCTGGAGTTATTGGAGATCCTGCAGGGAAGCCCCACCCACTGAGGAAGGATGGATCAGGGTTAGGCCTGAAGAGGCACTCTGGCTGCCGACTGCCACAGCTGGTGTGTTGGGCTGTGGGGACAAGTCTTGGGACCAAGCCGTTCAGCCTCCCTGGCTCCAGCAGGAGAAAAGTTCAGCCTGGAGCTATAGAAACGGGCACCACCCTTCCCCCACCCAGGGAGCTTAGTGTGTTAGGCAGTTATGAGTCCCAGTGCTGGCTGCTGCCCCTCCCCCAAGAAGCTCAAACCTTTAGACAGCAGGCAGCTGCAGCTGGTGCTGGTCACCCCTCCCTTCGGGAGTTCGGTGGGCTTAAGCAGATTCCAGCTGAGAGACTGTAAGAATCTGTGGATTCCAGAGTTGGGACGCTTGGCCCAGGTGGCATGGGTTTGAGGGTGGGAACTTCCCATCCATGGGTTGCACAGTTCCGTGGAAAAAGCACAGTTTCCCTTGCTGGGTAGCCCGCTCACTCACTGCCTCCCAGTCAATTTTGATGAGAGAACCTGGATACTTTGGTTGCCAGTGAAGGATTCACACGCTTATTATGGTTTTTCTCTATGGGAGCCTCTGACTGCCACTGCTTTTAGTCGGCCATCTTGAACCTGTCCTCTAAGTTTTAAAATTACTAATTTGATCTCCTTACTTGCTATAGTAGACTACCTGTTCCTTTTTGTGTGTTTCTTGAAGGTTGTCCATTTCATCCAGGTTATATAATGTGTTGCTTTATGGTTGTTTATAGTGTTCCCTTATACTCTTTTTTTTTTTATTTCTATAAAGTCTTAATTCTAGTGATTTGAATCTTCTCCCTTTTTTTCTTGATCACTCCAGCTAATGGTTTGTCTGTAATGTTGAGAACCAACTTTTGGTTTGATTGAATTTCTGTTGTTTGTTTCATTTATCTACATTCTGATTTTCATGTGCTTCCTTCTATTTGCCTGGCATGTATGTGGTTTGCTCTTGTCTAGTTTCTTTCTTTCTTTCTTTCTTTCTTTCTTTCTTTCTTTCTTTCTTTCTTTCTTTCTTTCTTTCTCTTTCTTTCTTTCTTTCTTTCTTTCTTTCTTCTTTCTTTCTTTCTTTCTTTCTTTCTTTCTTTCTTTCTTTCTTTCTTTCTTTCTTTTTTTTCTTTTTTTGAGATGGAGTCTCGCTCTGTCTCCCAGGCTGGAGTGCAGTGGCGTGATCTTGGCTCATTTTAAGCTCCACCTCCCGGGTTCACGCCATTCTCCTGCCTCAGCCTCCTGAGTAGCTGGAACTACAGGCACCCACCACCACGCCCGGCTAATTTTTTTTTTTCTTTTGTATTTTTAGTAGAGACAGGGTTTCATGGTGTTAACCAGGATGGTCTCGATCTCCTGACCTAGTGATCCGCCTGCCTCGGCCTCCCAAAGTGCTGGGATTACAGGCATGAGCCACCACGCCTGGCCCTTTGTCTAGTTTCTTAAAGTGAAAACATGGATTGTTGATCTGTTATCTTTCTTTTTTTAAATAAATAAGTTTATATATTAAAAATGTAGCTATAAATTTCCTTCTGAGCACTGCTGTAGTTGCATTCCATAAATTTTGGTGTATTGTGTTTCTATTATTATTCATCTCAAATTATTTTCTAGTTGCCTTTTTGATTTTTTTCTTTGATCCAGTGATTATTGGGAATATTTTTCTTTAGTTTGCTCATACTTAAGAATTTCAAAAATTTCCTTTTATTATTGATTTGTAACTCAATTCCATTATGACAGGAGGACACACTTTTTACAAATTCAATTATTTTGTAGTTACGGATATTTGTTCTATGGTTTAACATGTGGCCTATTCTGGAGAATGCTCCATGTGCACCTAAAGAGAATGTATATTTGGTGTTATTGGGTGTAATGTTTTCTAAATGTCCATTAGATCTGGTTGGCTGACAGTGTTGTTAAAGTCTTCTATTCCGTGCTGATTTTTGCCTAGTTGTTCTATCCACTGTTAAAGGTGGGGTATTGAAGTTTCCAATTATATTTCTGAGCTGTCTATTTTTGTGTATTCTTCCCTTCATTCTTTAGTTTTTTTTTTTTTTTTTTTTTTTTAATGTATTTGGGGCTTTGTGTGGGTGTTGAGGCATAACTTCATTGTGATAATTTGCAACTCTGTCTTGGCCTTCACTTCCTGCTAGTGCGGGGCCTATGTTCTGCCAGAGGTGAGAAGTTAGGGTCTTTTCAGATCACTTCCAAGTATGCACACTTCCCTGTATATGTACATGTCCTTCTAGACCCTTAGGAATATGGGTCAAAGTCATCATGGACATCTTTTCCCCAGGTCTTCCTTTTAAGTTTTTGGCCAGATACTTGTTTGCCCCAACTGTCATCACTACTTCAGTGACAATGTTAAACAACTACCACTGATTATTTTTGACAGATGCCCTGGGGTCAGGGCTCTTTGCACAGAGTGAGCTCCGGAGTCAGGTCAGATAATGATAGGCCCTCCAGATGGGACTTTCTGAAGCCCTTCAAACTCTGGCTGACCCCTTTAGTTGCTGCTGTGATGATGGTTTTTACAACTACTGATATTGCAAGACTGCTGATTTTCAAGGCTACTGGGGAGCTGGGGAGAGAAGGCAGGGAATAGAGCAAGTTAAAACCACAAGGCTAACTATTCTTACTGAGATGCAACCAGTTTTCTTGGATCGATACTTCTTGCATTGTTGTAAGCTTTTGGTTAATTTTAAGAGTCCTGAAAAAGTTTATTTTGTCAGATTCTCATTGATTTTACGAAGGAGTAGATTTTGGAGGCCTTTCACCACCATTCCAGAAGTTCCTTATATCACTTTTATAAAAATATTGCTAAATATCAAGGTATATTGCATTCTTGAGCAGGAATGCATGCTTAACTCCAGAGGCCTGGAAGATTATCTTAGACTATAGGTTCTAGAATATAGGAAAACCTTCCAGGCCTCTGGAGTTATGCATGCATTCCTGCTCAAGAAAGATCTGGCTTTCATCTCATTTTTGATCCAAGCTTCAGCTGATTGGCTGCCTGACTCAGGGTTTAAGGAGGTTTGCTCTACTGTTTGACATATGTTCCTGCGAGGAGCTGAACACCCATATCCATTAGTGGAATATGAGTATTGGTTTAATGTGGACACTTTGCAGCCTTGGTTGGACCTCTGGAGTTTCATATTTACTGTTCAAGGCACTATAGTAAGGTCAGAATGAGCAGGGCTGGGTTCACAAAGAAGGAGAACAAGTAGGAAGAAGAGAAGGGGGAGGGGGAATAGAGGAGAAGCAAGAGAAAAAAACCACACACCTGTATTCGATTCTGGAAATTGTTTATGGAAGGATTAGATGTGATAAAGTGTAAAACGAAATCTTGAAACCATTGTGTCCTGTATAAGTAATACAACTTACTACATTAATCCTAGTCTTAATGGGAAGTCCAGGGCTCCAGAGTTAAGAATGTGTGGGGTCCCTGGAGAAGGCAACCATCCTGAACAAGCCATCTAATAGTTATTCTTCCCCTAGAGAGGCTTTTAGGAGAAATCAACCAGGTACAATGATCAAAGCAAGAGAAAGAATACGTAGCCATGTAATGGAAAGAAAGCCAGCAGCATCTTAAGGCCTCCTGTTTGTTTGTTCTTTCATTGGCTGAGCAGGAGCCGGACACTGTGTCAGATGAGGACTCAGAGTAGGCAGCAAGCAGCCTAAAGGAGTCTTGATGAGGATGTGGTCATCAAAGCCACTGTGGCTAGGCATAGAGCAGGGGCCCCTGGGGCAGTGCGGGGCAGGTGCTGGGTCTGCGGCCGAAGACCTGCTACAGGGGAGCTTTGTGTTAAGACATTAAGGCCAAGGTGGAGACACTGAGGTGGAGCTGGGCAGGTGGGAAGAGGCAGCGAGAGGCATGGAGATAGGGAGCCAGTGCATGCTTGGACTCTTTGAGGAATGCAGGTCTCACAGGGTGACTGGGCACAGGGTTTGACAAGGCTCCTGGAAGCTGCAAAGACATAGGCCACCATGTTGAGGAGTTCAGACTATGGTGAGTGACTGGAGATATGAGCAGGGAGTGATGTGGCCAACACAAACTTAAGGATTACCCTGTCCTGGAGCCAGTGTGAAGGAGAGGTGGAAGGCAGGCATGGTGAGTGCAAGGGCGCCCTGAGAGTGTGCCACCATGGTGGCTTACAAAAGCAAGATACAGCCCAGGCCCAAAGGGCTGTGGGACAATGAGAGTGGGCGGAGGGGCAGGTGTTGAAGAAGAGACCATGGGGCAGTGGCTGCTGGATGTAGGGAGGAAGCAAAGGGAAAAATGTAGGCTCATGTCTAGAGCTCCAGCATGGACAGCTGGGTGGATGACGCGCCAAGCTTCAAGACCAGGAATCAGAGGGAAACTCAGGGTTAGCAGGAACATCAGGAAATACATACACTCTGTGCCATTTCAGTGGCTGGCATGTGCAGCCTCGTGCTGAGCCCTGAAAATGCGGTGGCACCCCCAGGACCCAATGGGCACCTGCACAGGGGAGATAAGCACACAGTGTCAGGGGTGCCCGGTCAGGAGAGCCCTGGTGGTGTGCCCAGGCTCGGAGAAGAGACTCTGCTCAACTCTCCAATTTGGTCGGGGTGAAGAGTGAGTATAGCCTGGGGGGCTGTGGGCCAGGCCAGAGCTGTGGCAGGGCCAGCAGGAAGAGCGTGGTACTTGGGCAGGCCAGGCCAGAGTGTTGGGCTTGGTACTGAGTGTGTGCAGTGTGGGCATGGCTGGAGCCCCACAGCTGTAGCATTCCGGTGGAAATGTTCTGCAAGCCTTAGAAGATACAGAGGACAACTTGGAGAAGACTCCTCAGTGGGGGATCCAGATCTGGGATTTATCCATCCGGAGGTGCTTGCAGCCACGGCAGGAGTGAGACGAGGGGAACGTGGCATGAAGAGGGTGCCCCAGGGAGGCTGTGCCAGGTGCAGGCTTGAGTCAGCTCAGGCGTTCACAGCCTGCAGGAGGGCAGGAGGTGCAGCGGTGAGGCCTGTGCTTGCGCTCTGCTGTCTGCCTCCATCATCATCCCCCTGCACCCCTTTCCCACTGCCCGAGAACTTGGCACCCCCAGCATCCTCTAACGCCCAGCCCTGGTGGCTTGCCCTGATGCTCAGTTCCCAGCTGGATTCAGGGGCTCCTGCTCAGGGGTTCCCACAGCTCTCTGAACACAAGTTACTCTCAGGCCACAGCTGTTTGTCCACACCAGGCCATCTTGCAGGGCTGTGACCTTTTTGCCAGCAGGGCCTGTGTCCAGGCTGAGTGCTGAGGAAACCAAAATATTTCACCTCAAAATATGCTTCTTTGATATATTTCAAGACGGCTATTCAGAAGGGCTGCGAATGCAAGAAGAATTGAAAAGCTGGCTATTGAGGGGAGATTTGCATCTGTAGAGAATCTGCATCGATGCAGCCAGGCTATTCTCAGAGGCCTCCATTATCCTATCAAGGAGAGATTAACCAAGAATCTGACATCCACAAAGGTCCAAAAGAAACATTCACCATCTATGCTGTCTGAGGGCTGCTATCTGTGAGCTTTCACCTACACGAGACCACCTTTGTCAGCTAGACCCCGCTCCCCCTCCAGTAACGTGATTTAGCACCATAACCCATCTGTGGCCATGCTTGAAGCCCCCATTTTCTTCCTGTTTTAGCCTACAGCTGCCTCCTTACTATTTTAAGTTTGGCCTAAAGGTTTCTCTGTAAGTGTGAACTGTACCCTAACTGGATGTGTGAACAGACATAACCTAGTCTTGTACTAATCACTGAATTTCAGCAAATCACAGGTGGCCAACTATTCAAACTGCATTTAAATAAGGCAAAGCTGAGCTGGGACCAATCTGGCTGTTTCTGTACCTCACTTCTGTTTTCTGTACGTCCTTTTCCTTTTTTTATCCATGAATCTCTGACCACATGGCAGGGCTGGAGTCTCTCTGAACCTATTCTAATTTGGAGGTGAGGGGCTGCCCAATTTGCAAATAGTCTTTGCTCAACTAAAGTCTGTTAAATTTAATTTGCCTAATGTTTTTCTTTTAACATTCTGTAACCTCAAGATGGTAAAAAAGCATTAACCATCTTGTCTTTCTTTGAGATGTTTGTATGACTCCCAAGCACATGAATAAAATGTGTGCATGCCATTTCTCCTGTTAATCTACCTTTGTCAGTTGGTTTTCAGTGAACCTTCCAAGGGTAAAGGGAATGTTCTTGGCCCCTACAGCATGGTGCCCACGAGCAATAGGTGACTGAGGAGTATCTGAGTTGGATATTTGCCACCTGCACCATTAGGCAAGAAACATGTAAGCTGTCCAACAAACACACCTTTTCCTTTCTCTTATGTCTGTTGCAGAAATGGATTTTTTAAGGATGGGTACAAATTATATCTTAAATATACCAAGGTAAGGGACCAGGAAGGGACACTCAGTATCTACCACCCTGCAAACACCGTTTTAGGTACTTGTCTTAAGGGCTGAATGCAGGCTTGGCTGTAAAATTTGCAGGGCCCAGTGCAATGTGACAAACAGAGCTCTTCAGTAATTACTATGGATTTCAAAACAGGAATAGTAGAGCATTAAACCACATTGGGCCCTTCTGAGCACTAACCCCTGTGGCAGCACAGGCTGCAGGCCCATAGAGCTGGCTCTGGCTTACCTACAAGGACATAGTTAACTTTTTTTATGGACTCAGAGAAGATAAGTAACTTGACCATCGTTGCCCAGTAAATGAACCATGTAGCCAAGATTCAAACTTAGAAATTCAAACTCCAGAGTCCTTGTTGTTCTCTCAAATTCTGTGTGATGAATATTTTTCATAAATGGCATTAGTTGTAACTGTATGAAATTTCCATTTTTGAAGATGAAAATGGTAGATTATTGGCAATTTCATATGGTTCCATTTAACACAGTCCCTTTGATCACACTCCTCTCTGTGTGTGGGTCAGTTCAGCTTACTTAGAGTGAGGCCGACGAGGCTGCTGGCTGCATCATTCCGCCTGCACTGGCATGGGGCTGACCACAGCCTCTCAGCCATGTGCTGGAACTGTGTGTGACTGTTGGAGGTCTCTATCCCTGTCATGTGCAAGGTGGCCTGTGCCGATTTGCCCCCTTGGGGCTCAGTGGAAGGCTGGGCAGGGACCAACACTGCTGCTTTTGGGTAGGACATGGCTGTCTGTGGCTGAGGGTCTGGTGTATAGAAAGTGCTCAGGAAATGTTGTTGGATGTTTCAAATCAGTGATTTAAAGGCTCAAGAACAGAATATGCACTGCTGAAATACAGGTAAATCAGTCATCTAGAGATTATGGAAAGCAGTCTGGCCGTATGTACCGCAGGTCTTAAAGTCTTACTGAGCTTCTGTCTCGTCGTCACCATCCTGAGAAGTTAATCTAAAATGAGGACAAAGTTTTAAGACTATCTGTGTGTTTTCAGTTCTTATTGATAATAGTGAAAATGGAGGACAAACTCGATGTGCATTAATAGGTGAACCACAAAGGAAATTAGGGCACATTCATTTGATGGAACATCTTGGAACTTACATTGGATGATGACCACTGGTTGTTTTATAAGATGGAAAAGCACTTACATTATGTAATGTTTTCAGGAAAAAGCAGAATGGGATAAGTATGTGAAAAATTAAGTAGCATTATTATATGTAACAACTCAGTCTTGAAAACTTATGAAATAGATTGAAGACAACTTATTAAAGATCAACATTAATATTGACTTGGCCTGGGATTGCGAGCAATTTTCTTTTACTTTTAGATTTTCTGATGTTCTAAATCATTCAACGAGGGTGAATGGCTCATGTCATTCGCATAGGGAAAGAAGTGGACTTCGTGGGCCCCTCTCTCCCTGAACCTGCTCTGGCCCTGCATTGCTGTCCTGGGTCCTGGGGCCTCCTCGTCTCTCTTGGCGGATTCTCTGTGTGCCCTGTGTGCACCCGCTGCTCATCCTCCTCGTCTCTCTTGGCGGATTCTCTGTGTGCCCTGTGTGCACCCGCTGCTCATCTGACCCCTGAGTTCCTGAGGCCTGGATCATGGGCAGTGGCCTCTCCCCCTGGGCCCTGGAACTTGACCCCATCTGTCCAGGCTGACCATAGGGCCAAGCGTCCCTGAGCCACAGCGTCAGTGACTCCGGACTCTGGCCATCCTTGTCCAAGATTTTCTTTGGATCTAGCCAACTTTTGATTATGACCATGCAGCAAGTCTTCACACCACAGCCTGGCCCCATCAAATGTCATCCAATCCAACCCAGCAGCTCCCTTCTGCGCGGATGGGGAGAGATGTAGCAGGAGTGCCCTGGCAGAGAACAGGCTTTGGGAGAAAACTGCTGACTTAAGGAGAAGATGGATGAGCTCGGATGGGACGTTGAGCTTGGTATGGTTTTGAAACAGAAAGAAAAGCTGCATCATCAGATTTTAATGACATCAATAGGAGGCCACAGGGACTGGGGAGGATGTTGGGCTCGCCAGTTGAATGGCCTCGGGGAGCTAATGAACTGCTCCTATACCCAGGCATTGCATCTTTAAGAGCTGGCCACAATTCTTAATTTGCAGAGCTTTTGTGATGAATAGAAATGGCATTGGTGAGAGATGAGCTAGTGGTCTTCCAGATGAACTGGTAGTTATCCCATGGCTGGCTCCCAGGGCCTCTGCAGGCACCTGTGCTGATACACTAGCCCTTGAGGCCATCAACACCTAGGAACAGTGCATTTCTTACTTATTGGGTCTGTAATTCCTATTGCAAAGTGCACAGCCTTTCAAACCAGTTAGGCAATCCCTGCCCCTCCCAACTCCTTGATGAATAAAACACATGTCCCGGCTTATCTGTCTCAATGCATATCTATTGCCCCAGCAGAGTTATTAATAGCACCTCGTAGTTATTATTAGTGCTCCAGTTTGGATAATAAGTTATATGAGTTACTTGGCCACCCTACCTATAAATGCATGAGGCCATAGAGAGCAAGGACCCCCTTCTGGAGTGCAGCCAAGGTGGAACACACCCATCCCTGCAACAAGCAAAGCTCACTTTGGGATGGAGGGAGGCTGGGCTGTGGGCACCTGGCCAACCTGGGCCTCTGCCTTCCTGCTGGATGGTTCTCTGAGGGCTATCCACATCTCACCTTGCCCCTTGCTAACAGTTGGCCCCATGAGCAGAATGTGGTGGGACCCTGGAGGTGGGAGAGACCCCTCCGGGTGTTCTGGTTGCGTGGGATGGTTGAAATGCAGTGGTCAGTGAGGGGGCTGGAAGGGAGGCTATATTTGCAGTCAGCTGCAGCCCTAGAGGGTCTACTGTGAAAGGAAATGTGGATGCGTCAGGCTGTCCACGCCCTGTGTTGTCCCCCAGCTCTGGCCTGGTGGCCTGTGCAATGTGGGGCAGCCTCGCTGGTCCTGCAAGGCTGGTCTGTGTTCTGTCAGGGGAGGGAGACACTGTGCGGGCTCAAGTTTCCACTCCAGACAGAAAGAAGCAGGAGCAAAAAAAGGTATCTGTCATTTGATGGGGCTCCCTCAGGCAGAGCCATTTATAGTTGTTAGAAAAGGGGATGGAAGAGATGGAAAGGCTGCCAAATTTTCCACCATGGAAGAGACACAGGGAAGGGGCTGGCCCAATCTGAGAGCCAATAAAGAAGTGACAGGCAGAGCAACTGTGGGAGGTGAAAGCGGGGAGCGATGGTGAGGCCTGGGGAGAGGGTTGTGCAGTGGGCTTTAGCTCTGGTCCCTGTGTGCACCTCATAAAAAGACCCAGGGGACAAGGCCAAAAAAGTGTGCCCACGGCAGCATGGACTCTGGGCAAGGACACTCTCAGCCCTTCAGCACATTTTGCAAGGGCTTCTGTGCCCTGAGCTGAGACCCTTTGAAATAAAGAAGATGGGAGCGAGGCTTGGTCCCCGTCCTGCACGTCCACGCCAGGGCCATCGCTGTCCCTGTGCTCTAGTGCCTGTGTGCTGGAAAGACGGAGGTCTGTGGCTCACATGCACTAGCTGACAGTGGCAGCTGAATGACATCTCCTTCATGCTTCTAGACTATTAGACATCCAGAAAACTTCATTTTGTTTGTGCTCCTGACAGGACACCTGTGATCAATGAGCTGGAGTGAGGCTGTGCCAACCGCCAGCTTCCCTGGTGACTGTTGGGGCAGGAGGCTTCTCAGTGAGGCAGGAGGCCTGGTTGCAAGGGGTGCAGAGCACACCCCCAGCCAGGCTCTCCAGGGGGAGTTTCTGCTTTAAGTCCATGTTGTCTGAGTTGTCCTCACTCCTGGGGCGACAAACATGCTCAGTGCTGGTGAGTGCGCAGAAAGAGCGTGCCATGGTTCTAGCTCCTGGAGGGATGAGTCATAGTAAAATGAGAAAATAGAGGTGAGTGGGCATGGTACTGTGGCACAGGGGGTGGGGCCTCAGGATGGCTGGACATAGTGCAGCGTGCACAGGTGACATTGTCTGCTCTCCACTGTATGTGTTCTTGGTCCCCCAGCAGAGTCCCCCAGAAGTCCCTTTCAGAACTGGGCTCCTGGAACATGCCTTCTAAACATCATTTCCTTCTCCTCACAAGAAGTGCCATCGTAGTCATGCTCTTGCTTAAAAGAATGTCTCTCCAGCTCAGGCTGAGCACGTGAGACCTGACTGCTTCACAGGGGAAGCCCCAGGGACTGGCTTCCTGGGAACAGCAGGGCGTTTGCAAACGTGCAGTGTCTACCAAGGGGTCTTGGCATCACTATACCCACCTGAAGAGCCCATCCTGACGACATTCCGTCCCCTCAGACCTGGCATTTGCAGGTCCATTTGGGGCACTGGCATCCTCCAGGCATCAGTGCCATTAACTCAGACCAGCCTCTCTCCACAGGCCACCTGTGTAACCACTTACCTTCTTCCTGAAACACCTCCCATCCATTCCCACCACAGTCGGTGATGCCGGCACCACTGGCTTCTAGAGGCACTTCTGTTCCCATCCACTCTCCACGTGGCTTCTAGAAAATGGACATGTGACCTTTTCAATGCCTAGTTAAGACTCTCCCTGGGCTCACCTGGCTTGCAGGATCAGCTCCCAGCTCCTGCGAGTTCCCTGTCCCGTACCTCCGGTTTCTAGCCCTGTGTCGGGGGCCTGTGCCAGGAGGGCTCAGTGAATGTTTTCTGTGTGCACCAGTAGCTGAGCGGGGTCTGTGGGCACTCTAAATGCATGTCTGTTGATGTAAACACTCATAGCCTTCCTGTGGCCTCCATGCCGACATTTCTCCTGTTTAGATTAATGGAGACTGTGCCTCTGTGCCTGTGACCGCCTCTCCCCTGCAGAGTCAGCTCCTATGGAGCAAAAAAAGAGCTTCATTCTTTGCAGACAAGCAAGAGGACACTCTGCTAATAGGCTCTGGAAGAAAACATGGCCAAGTCTCAGGGCACGAGATGGATGAGGCTTGGCTGTCCTGTAGAACCTTTGGAATGGCCTCGTTGCCGGCTGAGTTGGTGTCACATCAGCAGCTGCTCTTCAGGCCCAGGAGACAGAGCGTGGGGGCACAGGATGGGGGTGCAGGGATGGTCCTTGGTCCACAGACTTGCTCCAGGCTCCTGTGCTTGGGTCTCTCCTCCGTGCTCCATGTACTTCCTGCATCGGGGCTCCCTCCACCACCTCCTCCCCTCCGTCTTTTTCATAAATCCAGCTCAGGCCTCTGTCCTCTTGGATGCCCTGGCCTTTTCACAAGAGGGGTCGCTCCCTCCTGTGAGTGCCCATAGCCCATAGTCTGTGCTTGGTTTTGGCAGGAGCAGAGCATTTACTCTTCCTCCCCACCTCCCTCCTCCCTCCCTCCCTCCGTCCCTTCTGCAAGCTGAGCACCTACTCTGTGTTAGACACTGGAAGTACAGAAGTGAGGATGTGCACCTGCCACCGCTAACCAAGAACTGTGGGAACACAGAGGTGGGGTCCCCACCTACGCCTACAGCACGGGAATGCCAGGAAGGCTGTGTGGAGGAGCAGAGGTCTGAGCTGCATATCTTACATGAACAAAGGGCAATGAGTCACCAAGGCATTGGGGTCCATGAGCAACACATGCTCTGAGATGCAAACACACCTGGCTCGGTGTGGCAAGGCCAAGCTGAGGGAAGAATCTGCAGGGGCCCGAGCATGTGGACTGGGCCCCGGTGTCCCTGAACGCCCTGATGAGCATCGCGTCTCACACTTAAACGTCTCTCACAGCACCGTGCACATTGCGGATGTACCATAAATACCTCTGGGGGGACAGGAAGTCACGTTCTGGCTCGGGAGGGCTGAGTCCACATTCTCGAGGTGGAATTGTGTAGTTATGAGGCACGTTTCACACTGTTTAAAATAACTTGTATATTAAACAAGTCGTACTTCACATTGCAGGAGTCAGACAATAAGAGAATATAAAAACCAACTATAATCCTACAACTTCCAAATCATTGACTAAAAAATATGCATGAATTGGAGGTAAAGAGTAGCAATCCATTGTTTCTTTAACCAGGATTCCCTTGACTATTAGGGAGTGGAAGCCGTCTCATTGTTTTCTATGCCACATAGAAATTTCTTCTTTTATAAGCTAAGCATTTGCTTCTTGTCTTTTTCTTATTGATTTGCAGAAAGTCTGTACATTGGGCAATATTAACAATTATGTGAACACAGCAAATATTTCCCTAAATGATGTTTGTCTTTTAACTTTATAATTTTGCATTTGGCTACTCAAATGTATTTACTCTCAATGCAGTTGAATCTGTCATTCTTTATGATTTTGTCTTTGGTATCAGGTTTAAAAATATATCTCAGCCTCGCAGAATTGCCTATGTATCTGTTAAGTCATTCTGTGGCTCTGTTTTTACATTTAATTATTTAGTGCCTCTGTAATTTGTTTAATACATGCTAAAAGGGTGAGATCTAATCTAATTTATTTGCTAAGTCAATTGTTTAGATAAGGCAGTACCTTTTCCCCCTCAATATTGTACTGTTTCTTATTTTTTTTCTCCTGCTTTGTTCACGGGTGAGATTTAGAACTATTTTATTGAGTTCTGAAACTCCTCGTTGCTAATTGCCTAATTTCCATTCTCTTTTTCTAGACTCCCTCATGGCATAGATGGACATGTTGACTCAGTTCTTACCAATGAGATAAAGTGAAATTTTTCCCACTAGGCTACCAGAAAAAACTTTGTTTTCTGATAAAAAAGGGACATATTTATCCGGTGTGCACCTTTTCCCCTTCTGTCCTGCCTGGAATGTGGCTGAGATGTCTGGAGCAGCAGCAGCTACCTTGTGCATGTGGAACAGCTGATGTAACAGGATACAGAAAGACAACAAAAATATATGGGAACATAGGGTTCCCTTTGGCATCATATGGTGTTCGTACCAGTCCTTTATTGTCTAACTTCAAACTTTCCACTAAAAGAAAAAATAAATGCTTTTTTGTTAAGTTACTATAGTTAGATTTCTCTTATGTTCAGCCAGACTCAATCTTAGTAGTTCAAATTCTTTTTGCACTTTTAATTGGATTTGTTTTACATTAACGGGTGAATTGGAAGGGGTGTGGGTCCATTCCAGTATCACAGCTTTCCATCCAGCCTCCGCATGCATGTTACCGAATTCCACTTCAGTCACCTTGCTGTTGCCATCAGACCACTCCCATGGGGAACACCATTCCTGTCCTTGCGGCCAATCTGGGTCCTGGCCTCCTGCCTCTTCCAGAGCCTTTGAGAAATATTCCCACTAGGGGCTCCACTTTTCTCCTGTGGGTGGTTCCCCTTGCTCTGGTGCTCTCCTGTGGCTGGGGGCAGGAGAGGGACTGGCTTTAAGAAAAAACAGACCCTACCAGCTCACCAGGGTAACAATCTCACTATTTGAAAGCCACACCTTAAACACAGGGAAAGGGAGCTGGTGCTGTTTTGAGTATCTGGAGTGTCCCAGGCTGTACTAGAGCCAGGCTCTTGGTTTCCTTAGGGCTACTCCCAAAGATTGGCTTCTCTCTCTTTTCCAGAACTACACTTCCCCACCCTGCTGACCCAGGGCACAGCTGAGAGTTTGCTGTGGTCAGGAGGAGAGTGTGAGTTGGAGACCATGCTCCCTGCTCCGGGGCGCTCTTTTCCCATCTGCCTCTGCAGCCACATTCCTAGGGTGACAGCCACTCTGCCTGCCTGGGGCCTGGGAGGAGGGCGCCTGCCACAGGATCCCCAGTGGACTGCAGAGGACGTGAGAGCGTGAATGAGTGAGTGGCTGGCTATGCCTCCTGCAGCTTATCTTGCCTGATGTGGGTACCTCATCTCATTTAGCTCTCAGAAGAGCCTCTGACACAGATTTAACAATTTCCAGTTCATCAGCAAGAACATCAAAGCTACGCGGGAAGCTTAAGCACTGACATCCAGGAAATACCCCCAGACCAGGGCTTTAAACAGAAGGTGCCTGACTAGAAGGCCGGGCTTGTTCCCTTGAAGCTATCTGCTCTTAGTTCACCCCTTGGTCTTCTCTCTAAAATTTCAGGTGCTCCCATGCCATTTCCAAATGAGACATAGATATCCTGCTTCCTTTCCATTGTCCTCAGTGCCACTACACAGGGACCACAACAGGAGATAGGGAATGCTGGCAGCAGTTCCCAGGAGGCCGGCTCTGCTCAGTTCAGCAAGTCTATATTGAATGCCACTCTGTGCCTGGTACACTAGCTCTGGGCACACGGAGATGGGGGTAGGGACCTTGCCCTGAGCTCCCCACAATAGCTGGACCCAAGGCCTGGGCACTTAGACCAGGCTGCCAGGGCTCTGTGGCCCCTTTGGTGCCATGTCAGAGGGGTAGAAAGGGATTTTGCATGTGGGTCCCAGCTGTGCTGTCAGGAAGGGTTGTTTGCAGCAGACATAAGGTTGTATCTCCTTGCTCTAGGCACATTCCCTCTGGCTCCTTGTGGGGCCATGCAGGTTCAGTTGACTCCTTCTCCATCATAGAGCCTCACCTGATTCCAGGGCTCCTGCTTGACTGTGGTGATGAGTCTGGATGTCTGGGCCTTAGTTGGGAGATGGATGTGGGCCAGGGTCCTTGCAGCATCATTTGAGAAAGCATCAGTCTCAGGTATGTGAGGAAGGACGTGGCCCTGGTGAATGGGCCAGCATGAAACCATGGTGGATCGGTGCCTGTCATCCTCAAGTTTGGGGACCACCCAGTGTCTGGGGACCCTGGCGCTCTTGATAAATCCTTTGTGAACACACAGTAAAACTGATGAGGCCATTTCCAGCTCTGGCTATCATCAACACGTCTTTCAATTGTTGGGATGACTTGTTTTACTACCAAAGAGCACCTCAAGAAAAGAGTCCTCCCTTGGTGGCATCTCTTGGGACTTTGGTGGGTAAGTGACCATTGGGGTCAATGGTACATTGGTGTGAGTGAGTGTGTGTGGAGATAAGTGGGTGGGTGCACACATATCCCCTTAATCTGTGTGAGCCTGTTTCTGAGTATGTACACAGACAGGTCCACATCTGTGTCTCTGTTCTATTCATGTAGATATAATAGTTGTGTCTTCCATCCCCTGCAGGCCACTGTGACACAGGCATGGGAAGGCTTCCTAGGCACCCTGGGCGGGTGCATGGAAGGTAGTGCCCTGGGCGTGTGCCCTGGGTGGATGCATGGAAGGTAGTGACTTCATGCCACTGACTTTCAAGGGCCCCTTCCAAGGTGCTGCAGAGGCCATAGCAATGTGTTCCCATGGCCCAAGTGTTTACTGACAGGTTCTAAAGCAAGATATTTCTGCTGTACTCCCCGAAGACCTCTGTCTTAGAGGAAAATGCAGCTGAAGGGTGTGTTTGTGCTCCTTTACATGAAGACATGCCTGGATGCCTTCCGATTCCTCCATTCGACCAGCACGAGTGAAGAACAGCAGAGGCACTGAGGCAGAGACAAGCCCTGGATGCCTTCCGATTCCTCCGTTCAGCCAGCACGAGTGAAGAAGAGCGGAGACACTGAGGCAGAGACAAGCTGTCCTTGGGGTTCTCCACTGGGGGGAGACCAGGCATGGAGGGGACCCATACGTCTCCATTCCCAGTCAAGCGCTCCAGACCTCCAGGACCTCGATGAGGCTGTTAAGGAAACACATTAAACACTGCGCTTCTGAAGCCGCCTGGGGTGATTAAAACCCGAGCTGTGATTAAAGGAGGTTGGATGTGAATTTTGTAGCTCTCACCACTTTCCCTTTCATCTTCCTCGCTCGTCTTTGGCACTTTCCAATCACACTGCATCTGTTCTGCTGTGGTGCTAGAATCTGCCTTCTTTGGGAGAGCCCTGCTGATCGCTGTCTGTGGTGGGGCTGGGCCTTGGACTCTGGAGGAGCAGAGGAGGGGAAAGGACAGGGCGGCCCTAGGCTCACCTGGGAAGGCACAGCTGCCCTGGGAAGGCACAGGCTGCGACCCTCTGAGGCAGAGGAGCTGGGGCTTTGGAGGACTGTGAGCCTGAGAGGAGCCTGGCACTGGTGAGGCTGTGAGTCCCTTTGCAGATGTACACACTCCCTGCCTCTGAGAAGCACCAAGGGCAGAGAGCCTGGGCCTGACTGCCAGTACCCAGACCTGCCCTTGCCAGAGCCAAAGAGTGTGATGGGATGATCAGTACTGCTAAGGAAAAGTGAGACGGGGTAGAAGGGACACAGAGGTGTGTGTGTGCACGTTGGTATTTTATACCAGGAATACAGCCTCCAATAAGGTAAAATTTATTAGCATCTAGAAGGAAGAGATGGAGGAGGCAGCCATGGGGGTGCTTAGGACACTGGCAGTGAGAGAACAGAGAGGGCAACAGCACCCTGGGTCATGGGGGCAAGTTCAGCATGTTCCAGGTGGCAGGGCCTGAGCAGGACATGCAGTGGGAGGGTGACGGGCAGGGTTGGAAGCGGATCAGGCCTGAGAAAGCTGGGCCTGTGGGGAGTGTGGCCTCTGGCTGCCCAAGGAACCCTCGCCAGTGGCCAGGGGCCTGGCTCTGCTGTGTATTCCCTGCACTCCTTAAGGAGCAGGCAGGTCACACGAATCACCTGCTATGTGTTCCCTGTGAGTCTCAGAGGTCACTACTGAAACTATCAATTTGTAGACAAGGAAAGGGAGATTCAGCAAGTTCAAATGGGTAGTTCCAGCACACACAAGAAGAAGGGGTGGAGACCTGAGTCACACCTGTCCCCCTCTCCACACTGCTCACCAGGACTCTCTTTGCAGTCCTGGGTCACACCTGTCCCCTTTCCATGCTGCCCACCAGGACTCTCTTTGCAGTCCTGGGTCACACCTGTCTCCCTCTCCACACTGCCTGTCATGACCCCTCATTTCGTGTGGCCAAAGGCCTGCTCCTTGCTGAGCTGCTGCTCTCAGTAGAGGGCAACTTGCTGCTGTTGGTGCTCTGTGGAATCTCCATGCCATCTTTCCCAGGGAACCTGCCACCCAACATCTTTTCTGGAGCTAGGAAGAAGGGTCCAGCCCATTAGTCATAGGATCTCCGGCCTCAGGAATTTGGGGGGAAAGTCAGAGAGTTCTTTCTGCTGCCATGGGAAATCAGGGCCACGGTGGTCTCCCTTGATCTCCTTGGCCCAGCCTCCTATGAGGCAGGGTGGGGAGTTGTGGGTCTTGGAGAGAGCACGGCATGTTTATTTGATCCCCTTCCGGCAAGCGCCTGGTCCAGCAGGCCGACCCACCTCCAGGGCAGTGCACCCCTCCCAGGAGCACCCACTCCCCATGTCTCTCTTCTGTCCTCTCGTCCACACTGAAACGGGCACACGCTGGTTTCCCCTTGGAGGAGAAGTCCATGGTCACAGATTCCCAGTCTGGTCAATCACACCCTCTCCTGAGTGTTCTGGAAGAGGACAGTCTGCCCTCTGTGTTCAGCCTCTCAGCCCCCCCAGAGCATATACAGTGTTGTTGAGACCCCAGCTCCCCCACCATGGTTTCCACTCTCAAGGGCTGTTTCTGGGCACCTGTTCCCGAACCTGTTTCTCAGAATCACCTGCCTGAACAGCGTTCCAGAGACTTTCTTGTTTAGAGTGTTGTCACCAGTGTAACAAAGCACATGCCACATGAAATGAAATATACTGCTCACACTGAGTAATAAATGTTTATGAGCTTTTTTGTATCTCCCTAAAGAGTCAACAGAGGCTGAATGGACCACTGCTTTTCTTAAGTCAATGCCCAGTGTCTTCCCCGGGCCACGGGGGTTTTTGTGCTTTGTGCTGAAAGCTATTGCTGAGTCCTATTCAGGGTGGAGGCTCAGTCCTGGCCAGTGGCCTGGGCAGAAGTTGAGGTTCTTTAACTCCTCAGACGCCCTTGAGGAAGTTTTGGTTTCTGGAAGTCCCTTTCTGATTCATGGGAGCCTCACTGTCTGGGGCTGGGCTCCAGCTTGTGGCCTCCTTTTCCTTGGCGAAGGACACAGTCCCTCGCAGGCACCGTGGGTGGGGCGGGGGTTGGCGGGTGAAACTCAGCATCCTGTCTGAGGCACAGCATGGAGCCCATGGATAAGGGATAGGTCTAGGCTGGGCGCAGTGGCTCACGCCTGTAATCCCAGCACTTTGGGAGGCTGAGGCGGGCGGATCACGAGGTCAGGAGATTGAGACCATCCTGGCTAAAACGGTGAAACCCTGTCTCTACTAAAAATACAAAAAATTAGCCAGGCGTGGTGGCGGGCGCCTGTAATCCCAGCTACTCGGGAGGCTGAGGCAGGAGAATGGCGTGAACCCGGGAGGTGGAGCTTGCAGTGAGCAGAGATCGGGCCACTGCACTCCAGCCTGGGCGAAAGAGTGAGACTCCGTCAAAAAAAAAAAAAAAAAAAAAAAAAAAAAAAAGGATAGGTCTAATAGTCTCCGGGTGTCTGCTGTCCCCGAGGGTTCCACAGGCACTGGGCTCAGAGAGATGGGGCAGTGAGCTCCCTGCCCCCACAGAGCCCTCAGGCTGAGCTGGGACACCACCGAGTAAACACACATATGCTTACTGGAGGGCCACTCAGGGCCAGGGCTGAGGGGTGTGAGGGGTTTGTGGAGACACAGAAGAGGGTGCCCAGCCCAGGCTTGGGCATTTCTCAGGAAGCAGCTATAACTGAGTGAGTTTGAGGTTGTGTAGGGGCAGCCAAGGTAGGGGCAGGCCGGGGAGAGTTGGGAGAACAGGATGTGCGGAGGCCGGAGCACACGGCAGTGCTGCTTAGGAAAGGCAGGCGCTTGGCACAGCCAGTCTCACGTAGGGGAGGCAATGGTGTCCAGAGCTGCTGCTGAATGGAGCGGGATAAGGTACCTCAGTCCTCTTCTGCCTGTTGGCTTAGCCCGTGGGTTCATGGAGGGGAGTCTGCAATGGCTCTTGGACTGGCTCACGAGGACCCAGAGCCTCATCCTGTGCAGACTGCACGGCCGCAGCAGCTCTCTGGGTGGCATCCCTTCGCTCAGGGCGACGACCTTGCTGTTTCCACTGCGACTAGACTCTTACCTCCGCTCTAAGGCTGTGCAATCAATCACTCACACTCCAAGTCCAAACGGGGTTCTTATTCCCTTGCATTAGGGAGAGTCATGGTTAATGGGAGTCCTCATGTACATGGGCTTATCATGTTGTCAGGAGGATTGGGTGCCTTCTGCTGGACTTAGAAGATTATTAATCAGTGTCACAAATGGCTTCATGCTAAGGTGTATTCTTGGAATCAGGTGGGCTTCACGACAGAGGCGCTCTGCAACGTCTGAGGACACCACTGAGATCCGGGTGACACTGCATCCTTTCCAGGGCAGCGTCCTCTCCAGGTGTGAGGCTGACACTGCTCAGCGTGGCTGTCACACACAAGCCTCGAGATGTCCCATCAGACGGTGGCACGCGTTTCTGCTGCACTTGTGGCTAAAACGGCTCTACTGGCAGTATTACTATCATATTTTTCAGTGGAAAGTAATTGAAGGAAGGGTCCATTTACAAGGCAAGATCAAAAGAGTTACTAAGAGCTGGCAAGGCATACAGGAAGCAGCAACGTGGGAAGCCACTCCAATCCCTGGGCCTCAAGAGGAGACTGCGTTCCCAAGGGGCCCTGAACAGCTACAGTGCGAGGTCCTGGGCACCGCGGCTGCAGAGGAGCACTGTCACGGGCAGTGGTAGTGTTATTTGCTATATTTAAAAAAAAAATTGTGGTAAAGCATATACAACATAAAATGTATCATCTTAGGCTGGGCGTGGTGGCTCACGCCTGTAATCCCAGCACTTTGGGAGGCTGAGATGGGCGGATCACCTGAGGGTGGGAGTTTGAGATCAGCCTGGCCAAGATGATGAAACCCCATCTCTACTAAAAATACAAAAATTAGCCAGGCGTGATGGTGCATGTCTGTAATCCCAGCTACTCGGGAGGCTGAGGGAGGAGAAGTGCTTGAACCAGGGAGGTGGAGGTTGCAGTGAGCTGAGATTGTGCCATTGCACTCCAGCCTGGGTGACAGAGGGAAACTTCACCAAAAAAAAAAATAATAATAAAATAAAATTAAATTAAATTAAATTAAAATAAAATAAAATATCATCTTAATGATGTTGAAATGCACAATTCAGCAGCATTAAGCCACTCACATTGTTGTGCGGCCATCACCACACTCTGTTTCCAGGTCTTTCTTACTGTCCCCACACCGAAGCTCTGTCCCCATTAAGCATGAACTCTCTACCCCCTTCCCCCAGCCTCTGGCCCCCACATTCCTACTTTCTGTCTCTGTGGATTTGACTACTTTCGCGACCTCATGTACATGGAATCACACAGTATCTGTCCTCTAGTGACTGGCGGATTTCTCCTTGCATAACGCCCTCAAGGTTCACCCACACTGTGGCATGCATCAGAATGGCCTTCCATTTTAAGGCTGAATAATGTACCATTGTATGCATGTACCACATTTTGCTTAACCATTAATTATTTGATGAAGACAAGTTGTTTGCCCCTCATGGCTTCTGTGAATAATGCTGTTATGAACACAGGGCACAAGTATCTGAGACCCCGCTTTCAATTCTTCTGGGGATAGACCCAGAAGTGGAATTGCTCAATCATATGCTAATTGTATTTTTACTTTCTTGAGGAGCCAACTGGCAGTATTATTTGAATGGCTGAGGGATTAGCTCACTCTGTCTGGGCCTCATTGTTTCTTTCCCTGTGTAAATAAGCCTAATGGCTGGATGGGATAGAGCAATGCTTCTCAGGGCTGTCAGACAGGGGCTGCTCTAGCAGAATTTCAGAGCACCTTATGAACCTTAGTGATTGTTGATTCTTTCCTGCCTCCCTCCTGCTCTCCCGGGGAGGTTTGCATGGGCTCTCAGAGCTGTCCTGGCCAGGCACCTGCCTCCTGCTGTTGGCTGGGGGAATGGGAATGAGGTCGGGCTGCTCCCTGCTTTCCTGCCAGGCTTTAGAAGAGCAGGGCACCTCCATTCCATGGACTGTCTGGTGTTGATGGTGGCACTGCTAAGGAGCGGTGTCTCTGCAAGCCTCGATTTCCTGGCTGTCCTTGGGGCAATCCTGCTGAGTGAATGGGCCCCGCTGTGCCAGCGTATTCACACAGTGTCCCCATTTGGCAGATGAGGCACTGAGGCTCAGGGAGCACAGGGCAGAGGAGTCCCTGGCTGTCCTCAGGGCATCCTTGCTGGGACGGCCCTGCGCCTGCTGCACCTCCTGTGCCAGCCAGTGCACCCCTGGCACCACCTGCACCCTGTAGTCCACCCACTCTGGCACCCCTTCAGCCTCTCCCCACTTCCCGTCCATCACCAGGCCTGCCTCCTTAAAGCCACCCTCTTTCCCACTCCCATCACCGTGTCACGACTTTACCCATAACCCACTCTTTCTAGATTTCCCCAGTGCTGAATCTGGCTAAAGACTTCTGCAATGGTCTTCCTCAGGAGCCTGGAGGATCTTCCTAAACTGCCAATCTGTCAGAATTAGTGCCTTCTAGACACCCTCAGTGCCTTCTAGACACCCCGCCTCAGGAGGAGGTTAGCACTCCGTCGCAGCCTCCAACACACTCCAGCCTAACTCTCCCACCCTCCGTCACCGACCAGCCATCCCCCACCGTGCGAAACTCTGGCACCCCTAAACCTACCTGCTGCTCCACACCTTCAGCCTGGAGCACGGCTCACCCTTCTCCCCACTGGGCTGAGCCAGTGGGTCGGGAGGATGGAACCCCAACCACAGGAGGGGCTTTGCGGGTGGCTCCCCCACACGCCACCCCATTAGCTGGAATAAGCTCGTACGGTCCAGATGCTTCAGAAGATATCAGCGATAGCCAGGCCCCACAGGCTGGTCCACCTTCCCCCACCCCTCCGCCCCCAGACTCCTAGCAGTAGTCCCCCACAAAGTAGGGAGCAGATCCCAGTGGGAACTGTGGAGAGATCTCCACCCGCACTGTGGAGAACGGCAGCAGGGACACCTGCAGGGTCGCGAGCACTGTTGTCGGCATCCACACTGCTCACACGATTTGAAATTCATACTTTGCCTTTATATTTTCCTTTTGAAAATATGTGTGTCATATACCTGCTTATAAAAATACAAACAACACAAATATATGCACAAAAATAAGAAAGCTTTTCCTTTTCCTCTCCCTCAATATCCCAGCTGCTTACAAAAACTTCTAGAGCTTTATTTGCATAAGAAAACACTTGCTTATATAGATACATCTATGTGTGTGCATATGTGTGTGCATGTGTGTGTGCATGTGTGTCTGATGTGTGTGCGGGTGTGTGCATGTGTGTGTGCATGTGTGTCTGATGTGTGTGCGGGTGTGTGCATGTGTGTGCACGTGTCTGTGTGTGCATGCGTATGTGTCTGATGTATTTGCAGGTGTGTGGGTGTGTCTGCATGTGTGTGCCTGATGTGTATGCAGGTGTGTGCATGTGTGTCTGATGTGTGTGAGGGTGTGTGCATGTGTGTGTCTGCATGTGTGTCTGCATGTGTGTGCATGTGTGTCTGATGTGTGTGCAGATGTGTGCATGTGTGTCTGCATGTGTGCACGTGTGAATGTGTGTGCATTTGTGTCTGATATGTGAGTGTGTGTGCATGTATGTGTGTGCATGTGTGTGCATGTGTGTCTGATGTGTGTGCGGGTGTGTGCATGTGTGTGTGCATGTGTCTGATGTGTGTGGGTGTGTGCATGTGTGTGCACATGTGCACATGTGTGAATGTGTGTGCACGTGTCTGCGTGTGCATGCATATGTGTCTGATGTATTTGCAGGTGTGTGCGTGTGTGTCTGCATGTGGGTGCCTGATGTGTGTGCAGGTGTGTGCATGTGTGATGTGAGGGTGTGCGCATGTGTGTGTCTGCATGTGTGTGTGCATGTGTGTCTGATGTGTGTGCAGATGTGTGCATGTGTGTCTGCATGTGTGCACATGTGTGAATGTGTGTGCATTTGTCTGATATGTGTGCATGTGTGTGTGCATGTATGTGTGTGCATGCCTGCGTGGGGTCGTGTTCTCCCTATTACGCATCCACTTGCTATCTCCTTTCAGTCTGGGCACAGAGCTCTAGCTTTTTCTTTATAATGATTCTCATGCACTTTTCTTCATCAACACAGTGCTCCTTGACGTCCCCAGATCCACTTGTGGCCTTGGCTCATGCCACTTTCCTCCCTGCAGGGTGCAGGGCTCAGCAGCCTGCCCATGAGCCAAACCCACTAATCCGTGTAAGATGGACGAACCCAGAGCCCAGGGGGACAAGTCTCCTGGACTTGAGCAAGCAGCAGCGCCTCCCGGGAACCCAGCTCCACGTGAGTCCAAAGGGAAGGAGGTCCCTGTGTGTTCTCCATTTGGTGAGTGTTGAACAGACAGATGAAAAAATGCTGGGAGCAATATAAAATCCAGCCAACTGCAAGCATGGGGGTTACAGCCTCTCCATTCAGCACCCACCTCCCCCTTCCAAACCTCTTCATAATCTGTTATTTGGGTTAAAGATACAGGACCAAGGAGCTTGGACCGGTGTGTGGAAATCTAGGCGTGTAGTTTGAAAAACGTTAGCCCGTGTTACTGATGGGCCAGAGAAGAGCTGCGAGGGACGAGGGCTTGGAACCTCCCCCCACGACCCACAGATGCTCTTATGGTGGGTCTGCTGATGTGTGACAGGTCGGGGACCCAGATGCCTTGGTCCTGGAGGAATCAAACTGGACCTCAGCCCCACCTCCGGGAACCGCGACTCCATGGCTTTGCACTCAGCCCCCGGGAGACGGGTGCCCAGGGTGTGGGGACAGCAGGCAGTGTGGGGTGGAAAGAGGCACCAACTGAGGCTCAGGGCAGCTCAGATGAACAAGGGAATCTGGTCAGCGTGTGGCTGACCCGGGTGAGCTGTTCAGTCGCCGGCACGTGTGCATAGCAGGTGCTCCTCACAGCCATGCCCCTCCACTGGGAAGGACGGCTTCGGTGGCTTTCATTTACGAGCACACTGCCTTGGTGGTGTAGTGGGTCTGTGGAGCTGTTTCAGATCTTGAAAACCTCTCTGTCCAGAGCTCCTCCAAGTTCCAAGTCCAGGCCTTCAGGGGCAGGAGGAGGGCTGGCCCTTCAAGATAAACATTTGTGGCACTAAGCCTACAGTCTCGGAGCCAGTGGTTGTGGCAAACCAGTGGCATTGATGAGACACAGTTGCACGTTTACTGACAGCATCCTGTGTGTCTCTCCAGTCCCCCTGATTCCTGCGCGTCCAGGGTGGAGATGTGACATCCTTGCTCATTCTCGTGAGCCGTTCTCCACCAGAGACAGAGCGTCGCACAGATACCACCTTCCCCATATGCGGGCTGGCCTCTGCAGGGAGCGGCCTGGGAAATAATGAAGCCAGCTGACCCAGCCAGGCCGCTCCCTCACGACAAACAGCAGCTAGGAAAGCGTGCATGTCTTCCCTGCCTCACTGGAGTGCTGTGCTGGGCAGTTTTCTTGTGCTTTCTGCAAAGTAGAGGACAATGCATCTGCGTTATGGCTGAAGCCCAGAGGCCACAGCCCTCGGAAACTCTGCAGAGCAACCCTGTGTTAAAGTGAACTAAATATGGCCTGAGAGGGATTCCCTACTTCTATATTTGAGTTCTTGTGGATGAGCTGCAACCTAGCGTAATAGGCAAACAAGATGGAAAACCTAACTAGGAGCATGCGCCGGTAACAATCGCTGAGTCTTGACCGATCCCGGCAGCCGTACTTCAACCATTCGTGCACTGCTGAGTGTTCAAACTGTGTGCAAATAAGGCAACGCCAACATGTCACCAATCCAGCTGTGTCTGGACCTCACTTCCTCACTTCCAATTTGTGTATGTCACTTTACTTTTTTTTTTTTTTTTGCCTGTAAATTTGACCACTGGAGTCTCTCTGAATCTGCTGTGATTCTGGGGGCTGCCTGATTCGCGAATCGTTAATTGCTCAATGAAACTCCGTTGCATTTAATTAGGCTGAAGTTTTTCTTTTAACTCCCGGAAAGGGCTTCCTCAGGCTGGCCGGCCCTTCAGGCCACTCGTGCTCTCAGCCAGGCAGTTGCTCCAATAAAGTCCAGGGCCAGCCCTGCCAGGGCCTCAGCCCCACACCTCGGGGAGTGCTGCTCCCAGCTCCCACTCTGCCCTGCTCTCTGCCCTGTGCCTCTGCCTCCCGACAGGGCTCCCCCCACACATGGAATGAATGCTTCTCTGGCATACTCTGATTTCACCGCAGCCACAGCCGCCTTTCTAGAATGGAAGTCTGAGTACATCAGCGACTCTCCTCACTGGGCCTTTGTCAGGCGGCCTTGCCAGTCCACCTCTTGTCGTGACCTGCCTTGCAGCGTCCGAAGCCAAATATGCTGTGCCTCCTCCTTTTGCCAGGATATTCCTGCTGCTGCCTGGAGATCCTCTTCACCCTTCACCTGGTGGAGAAGCCTTCTCAGCCCCACCAGCGGTCTCCAAACCCAGCCAAGGACTCAGAGTGTGGGGCCTGAAGGAGGGGCTCTCAGCAAAGCCTTCCTGGATGAAGGGGCTCATCCTCTGCATTGCATGATGAGAAAAAGGCCCAGAAAGGTGAGCAGGAGATGCTAAACCCCGTCACCCACGCACCAGTCCCACCCGAACGGGGTGCCGTCCACTCTCTCACCCCTATGACGACATCTGAGATCCCGTGTTGAGTTGGTCGGCTTCCTCAGATTGCCTTCTCCCCTGCCAGCCCCAGACCCTGCGGGTGTGGAGCGGGAGCCCAGGAAGCAAACCTCAGCAGCCCTGTGTGGGGACAGGGAGGCCACTCTGCAGAGGACCGCTGAGCTGTCTCCATTGTGGTTTAGGAACTGCCCAGGTAAGGAGCCCTGGTGGATGCTGAGCAGGGGTTCCAGGCAGGGGAGCGGCATGAACCAAGGCCACAGGTGGACCTGGGGAACTGGAGATGCTCCCTGTGGGGGAAGCAAAAGTGAACAGATCATAATAAAGAAGCAAGAGCTCTGTGCCCAGTCATGCAAGGAGACCACAGGGTCACATCGCAGGAGACAGCAGGGGATGCATAACAGGGGGAACATGACCCCGCGCGTGCACTCACATCCGCACAGTGTCTCACACACACATCCACGCACAGTGTCTCACACAAAGACCTCTCACACACACACATCCACACACAGTGTCTCTCACACACACACCTCACACACATGCACAGTGTCACACACATCTCACACACTCACACACAGTGTCACACACACATGCACACACAGTGTCTCTCACACACACCTCTCACACACACGCACACACAGTGTCACACACATGCACACACAACCCTCACACATCCACACAGTGTCTCACACACACATCCACACAGTGTCTCACACACATCTCTCACACACACGCACACATGGTGTCACACACACATGCACACACAACCCTCACACATCCACAGTGTCTCACACACACATCCACACAGTGTCTTACACAGAAACACCTCTCACACACACACATCCACACAGTGTCTCTCACACACGCACACAACACCTCACACATCTCACACACATGCACAGTGTCACACATATCTCACACACATGCACACACAGTGTCTCACACACATGCACACACAACACCTCACATACATCCACAGTGTCTCACACACAACACCTCACATACATCCACACAGTGTCTCACACACACGTACACAGTGTCTCACACACACGCACACAGTGTCTCTCACACACGCACACCTCACACACACATTCACACAGTGTCTCACATATACACATACATCCACAAAGTCTCACATACACACACACATGCATACACAGCGCCTCACATACACAGACACATGCACACACAGTACCACACACATGCACACACAGCATCTCACATAACATACACGCACACACAGTGCCACACACAGGCACATGCACATACAGAACCTCACATATGCACACATGCAGGTGTATCTATGTAAACAAACATTTGCGTGTTCATAGAAAGGTCTATATGTTTTAGCAGTTAGCTGGGATATTGGGGAAGGGAAAGGGTTAAAGAAAAAGCTTTTCTCTTTTTGTATGGACTTTTGTATTATTTGTATTTTTAATAAGTAGAGATTACATTTATATTTTTTAAAAGAAAATACAAAGGCAAAGTAGGAATTTCAAATAGTGTGGATTCAGACAACAGTGCAAGGTTCATGACCTTACAGGTGACCCCACTGTCGTTCTCCCCTGGGATCTGCTCTCCCCTTGGTGAGAGACTCCTTCTGGGGATGGGGGGGAGTGGGAGAAGGAGGACAGGCCACGTGGGACTGGGCCATTGCTGGCCTCTTTGGAGCTGGCCAGATGCCATGAGTCTATCCCCAACTGGTGGGGTGAAGTGTGGGGAAGCCACCATAAAGCCCCTCCTATGGCTGGGGTTTCATCCTCCTGACCCACTGTCTCAGCCCAGCGTGGGCAATTCCCCCACCCCAAATGGGGGAAAGGGAGCAAGCAGGAGCCAGTGTGTTCCAGGGCCAGGTGCCCCTCTCCGTTTCCTGGCAGCAGGATGCCTCACTTCACAGCTTCACAAATGAGTGACCCTGACCCAGCCTCTACGTGTGCTTCAGCCTGTCTGGCCTGGTAGGGACCCAGGGAAGGAGCGTGCATTTGGAAGCGTGGGTCTGAATCTGAGTCCTGGCTGGCCGCTTACAAGCAGACTGTCCTTGTGAGGAGGACACCACTTCTTAGATCCTTAGTCTCATCTTCTAATTGTGCAGATAATAATGCATTTGTCACAAGGCTGATGGAATGAAAGGACTGTGTATGTCAGTTGGGGCCAGGCCCCCACAGAGGCTCGATATATGTACTTGTCTCCTTTCCAATCATCTACACCACCCCCGCCAACCCAAACATGACTTTGGGATATGAATGCGACACAAACTCCTGCTCAAAAAATTTAGTTTTTCTCCCAGTTCCAGGTGACAAATCAAATTAGATATGGCATTGTGCCGGCATGTGAAAGCCCCCCCCCCCGCCCCAACTTGCCCCCAACCACCTCCCCAGTCCTCATCACTAAGCTTCACTGCGTCCAACCTTGCTTTGCCTGGAGACATGGCAATGCTTCTCCACTTGCTTGCTCCGAGGTTGGCCAGAGTGCTGGGCTCCTTCTCTTGAGCCTTAGAGGCAGGAGGCCTGGCCCTCAGTTCATGTCTGCACTCAGGCCGAACACAGATTTCCCAACATCCAGAAACTAAGGGCTTCCTTAGAGCATGCCGGCTTTTTTCCTCTCTGCAGCCTCCGTCTGCAGGCCCCTCAGGAAATGACAGAAGCAGAACTGCCAGGTTTACTGCCCTGATGGGGGCAAAGGCCCATGTTGGCCTCTCCTCAATCTCCTGAGAGTCCATGTATAAATCAGAGCTCACACATTCCCTATTCAAGTCAACAAAGCATGCAGATTTATTTTAATGTGATACATATGGTGGCGACATCTATTAATCATTCGCCCTCTTATCCCACAAATCTTTAATGTAAGCACACTCCATGCGGGACACTGTACTGGGAAACATTGGGGTGTACTGATGAACAAAACCGCATGGGTACTGACCTCAGAGAGCTCATGGTCCAGGGCAGGGGCACAGAAGAGCATTGATGAAGCATTGAGACAGGGCAAACTGGATGGCAAACATCGACAAAACCTGTGTAGGTGACACTTGGAGCTCATAGCAGGGGCCTCCCCTGGGAACAGGACATTTGAGCTGAAAGCTAGAGAATTCATAGACCTCCACTAAGCAAATATGAGTGATTTTAATAGAGCCGTCCTCATGCTGTACTGACCATATCCAGGTATGGTTCTCAGGGATTCATGACATTAACTCATCAAACCTCAAAACAGCTCTGGGGGTGAGTCCTGTTCACAGTTTCCAGCTCCCAGGCTAAGGGGCGGAGGCACGAAGGAATGGAAGGGTATGGACTCGAACCTGGCAGGAAGATTAGCTCGAACCCAGGTCCCTGGACTTTAGGGTCCAGGCTTTGCAGTGCTGAGTGAAGTGGTGGTGGAGGAGGAGGGGGCAGTCCCACAGACAGAGGGAAGGGCAGGTGGAAGAAACGCTTAACGCATATGAACAACCTAAAAATCTATAACCAACAAATCCAGCTTAACAAAGCTAGCCTTGAGCTTGTTTGAGCCAAACTACCTGCCTGTGCACTGATTTTTACTCCTCTAGGAGACCAAGAGCCGGCACCCTTATAGTGGGCATGTGAAACAGAAGAAGAGGCTACTGATTGGAGGAAGGGTTGAAAGAGGGAGGGACACTGTTGGCCTCTTGCCACCGCTTCCCACCTTCCAATTCCTGTTATAGGAGTGGTTGCTCTGGAACCTGGGCATCACTCTGCCGTTGGATGGAAGTGAATGGGGCTGAGTGCCTCCCCATTGGTGCCCCTGACTACAGATTGGCTCCTATGTTCACAGAGAGGCTGAGGCCATCCAATCAGGATGGGTGCAATGATCAGGACATGGCTTCTTGCAATTCATCCACATGTTAGGAGAGGTAACAACTCATAGATGGAAAGTGACTATTACAACTAGAGGAGAGAGAAAGACAAGAGGCTGGAAAGAACACAGCCCCTGCGGGTGGGAGGAGGTCCTCCCCAACTGACAAAGACATTCTAATTCATCAATACTAAGATGCACTTTCACCCCCTATCTTTTAGCATCTCTGCAATCGGATGTGATGCATCTTGCAATTGATAATGTAGCATAACGATGTCCAGGAGATGACAGTTGTAACAAAATTGTCATTGCTTGCACACAAATGAAATTGGTCATAACCTGAGTATTCCCATGTCCCATTTTGCTGGGGGCAGTCCTGGCTTATGTGAATTTCCCTGTAATAATTATTAGCAGTACCCCTTTTATCCTCAATAGTGCTATAATGGGATGATATGTTGCGCGGTCCCCCTGTCCACGACTAGTGTCGCTTCAGTTACACATGTGCATTGTTGGTACTGTATCTATTAAGTTTAATTAGCATTAAAAGTGTCTTCCCAAAGGTAATATCATGATATGGCATTGAAACAAAGAACTAATTGTGTGCATATAAAGGAGAGGAAGCAGCAAAGGCGTGTAACTTTCGTATTAGTGATGCATGGGTTTGGCATTGAACGGGTGGCGACAATTCCAGGCTTTCTTGCAAAGCAACCATGAAGTAGTTTGTGTGATCCAGAAAAGAAGAATCCCATGGGAGAGGTAAGCTGGCTTCTTTTGACTGAGGCTGTGTGAGGAACACAGCAAGCGATGCAATTAAAAGCAGGAGAAATTGCCAGGAGATGTGTTTGGTAACAAGCTTGATGCTGATGCACTGTGTTACACTGAGAAACAGCACATCACAGGGAAGGCATGGCCGTGTTTGTGGTGGGGATGGGGGTGCCTTCTTGCAGGGGCAAGCCTACTGGTGAGCTGAATGACCACAGTAAGAACCAGGATGGGAGAGGACCGCTGTTCAAATCTCCTACTGGAAGATTGGTCTCCTACATGATTGGTCTTGCAATCATGGTGATTTAAGAAGTTCCTCTGACTTTGGAGCTGAAGGGCCGTGAGTAGGAACTCGGACTTTCCCTGTGTCCACACTCCAGGCTTTGGCTCTGGAGGCCGTCTGCCCATGCGTCTGTCAGGGGACAAGTTTTTTACTCTCTTTCATCTGTAATCATTTCTTCTGAAAAAGAGGCGTAAGAATGTACCTGCCTCATGGAGTCTTATAAGGAATAAACAAGATGATGCTGTAAACTGCTCAGAACAGTTTCCAGACCATGGAAAACACACCACAAATGTCTGCTACTGTTGTTGCTGTTATATTTTAACTTCCCCACCTTCACAGAAAAAACTGCGGCAATGACGCTGCATGATAGCTGCTGTCTGGAGGGACTGTAGGGGCCCTGCCTGTAGGTGACCTCCTCGAAGGCACCTGCATCAGTTAAAATTCTCGAGAGAAACAGACTCAAAAGAGACAGACAGACAGACAGACACACACACACAGTGACTTTAAAGTGTTGGCTCCTGTCAGTGTGGTGGTGGCAGGTGTGAAGTCTGTAGGGCTGGCCAGCATACTGCACACTAAGATAAGGGGAGTTGTTGCAGTCGTGAGTCTGAATTCCACAGGGCAGTGGCTGGAAGCTCAGGCAGGGTTTCTGTGTTGCAGTCAGGAGGCAGAATTCCTTCTTCTTCGGGAAACCTCAGTCTTTGCTCTTATGGCCTTCACCTGATTGGACAAGGCCCACCCACATTTTAGAGGGTGATCTGCTTTACTCAAAGTCTATTGATTAATACGTTGATCACATCACAACATTGCTAAATCAATGTTGATCACTTTGATTTATATGTTGAATCCTGACAAATACCTTCATGGCAACATCTAGACTGGTGTTTGACCAAACAGCTGGGCGCCATAGCCTAGCTGAGGCGACACATAACGTTAGCCATCACAGCACCGCAGCCTCATGTCTATGTATACCTCCCATAGCACATCGTGGATCTGATGAATGACCAGGTAGCATATGGGACAGTCCCTGGAGTCTTGTAGTTTATTTAGTTCTTCATGCAAAGCACCTAGTGATAGAGACAGTAGGGGCAAATACATTTGCATGCATGATTACTGCTGTGGGAGGAATTCACAAAGAAGGTGACAAGGACGTCAGCTAGAGAGGAATGGAGGTGCAAGAGTGGAGTTGGCTAGTTGAGGGGACCCTGTAGAGAAATGCTGCTGGTCTCACACAGGCATGTGCTGCCTCCTGTCCCCCTCTCCGTGGTCCTGGGTAGGGGGATGGCTTCTGCTAAATACACGTGAGTTTCCAGGAAAGGCAGCCTAAGACTCAGAGAGAGAGTGCAAGACCCTAGGAGAGGCCAGGGGACTCTCAGTTGGGACTCTCCAGCTGTCAGGCCCTGCTCAACATAGGCCTGTTTGTCTTTCAAGGGGGATGTTCTTTCCAGCTGTTGGCAAGCAGAGGCTTCTCTGGGTAGCTGGGCGAGCACCCAGCTTGCATGCATGCACCAGCACCCCACAGCACGCTCGAGGGCAGTTTCTGTTTCTCCCAGGCCCCTGCTTTTAGCCACATCATGTCACATGCTTTCTTTTCGCTATCAAGATCTTCACTACTGGCCCCGATATTTCTACTCAGCTTTCTTTTTCATCTGTTTGAGAATCAGGGGACCTGGGTTCTTTTCCAGCTTCTGACACCAATTGACCTTGAGAACTTAGACAAATGACCGACTTTTCTAACCTCAACTCACATTTGATAAAATGAAGTCACTCTCTTTAATGTCTTCCAAGGCATGTTTCTGCCTGTTTTCAAAAAGACAGAGAATAAATGGCTTCTATGAGACCGTAGAGAAAATCAAAATTCAGATCAGAATTCATGCACTTTGCTGCCCTAAGGTGTTGGCTGGGATTCCCCAGGCTCCCTTATTCTAAGACTCATGTAATGAGCATATCTGGGTTCCTGAGCAGGGCCATGGAAAGTCTGATATGGCACTTGGTGGAGTGAGGAGAGCCAGGATGGAGGAAGTCAGATGGGGAGGAAATCTGAGGAACGGTGCTGGCAGACTCATTGCTCTTTGTCAAAGGCGGAGTATGGAAGGGTGGGCTTGGGGCTGAGGGGCAATGGGGTATGAAATATTGGAACGGGGGCTGAGCTCTGTGTCACTGGCTGCTAACTCCTTCAGCAGCATCCCTGTCCACCCTCCTGTCCCCTAATTGTGCTCCAGAGGCCATTTCTGGAGATGGGTGCAAAAGTGCTCTGATTTCTATTTCTGGGAACTGAGAAATCTGCTGACTGTCTCTGGCTTAGAATAAAACTTACATGTGATGCCAGAATAAGATGTGGCAGGGCCTTCTCTGAGACAGGCTGGCCAACCATCGCAAGGTCAAGATCATCTTACGAAAGGCCACAGAGTGCACACACAGCAAGCACATGCCCTTTCAGTAGTTGTGCCTCAAGATGTGTATTTCGAGTTTTGTTTTGGGATCAGGTAGGACACTGAAGCCCGGGGCAAGGACAGACATAGAGCTGGGGTGGGCCGTGTCCTTTAGTCTGGCTGCCATCTGTCTCTCCTTTCGCAGGTTCCTGGAGTGCAGCTGGCCCACTAGATTATGGCTGTGCTGAGCAGAAAGAAATCTCAGGAAATCCTGGGCATCAATGCAAGGGCTGATTGGCAGGAGGTGTCCATGAGTAGGGAGGGTTACGTTTCTGTTTCTACACTCTGCCCCACTGGCCCCCAAAGGTGTCATGTTCTCCCAGGTATTCCCAACAGGAACCAGGCTCTTCAGGAGTAGTGAGGATTCCCCAGGGCCCCTCTCCTTCCTTGGCTCTCAGGACCCTGTCAGCTTCATGCCAACTGGGCAGACCTGGATAGTTTCCTGCCCTTTCAGACTGGATGCTAGAACCCAGACTCTGTTCAGGAGGCAGAGGGCAGACCAAGGAAATGCCATCCTGCAGATCACTCCCAGCCTCCAAGATGAAAGCCGCTAAGCCCAGGACTGTGTGCATGGGCAGAGCCTGGTGAGGGCAACTGTGAGAACACAGGAATTCACAGGGTGAAGATCCATCTACACTAGGTGCAGTGAAAGTGACTTGCAAAACTCTTAAGCACAACCTATAGAAATATGTTTTACACTGGGATCCAGTTGTGGTCTAGTGCCTGAATATGACACACTTTTACGTGTGTGCATGCAAGTGTACAAAAACAGTATTTGTGTATGCTGGTTATACATTTGCATAAACCTGTTTTGTCCTAGTCCAGGTTTCCCAGAGTACATAGCCTGAGGCAAAGTTTGGGACTCTTGCTTTATTTCCAGTGAGGTGGGAACAGGGAGGGGAGGAGGAACACAAACCTGGGGAACCGTATTCCCAGCTCCAGCTGGCTATGCCACTTCTGCAAGCACAGTGGGTTTTTGGCCATGCTGGATGGCACTGGAGAACCTCTATGGAGCACCACATCTCAGAAAGGTCTGCTGCAAGGAGAGGAAAAGGGCTTTATCTGTTACCTCTTTCCATCTCCTGTCTCTCATCAGTTAACGTTTGCTGCTCAGCAGATAACACCTGTATTTTCAGGCAGAGCCTCCATGGGTCTGGTTGGGTTGAACACGAGAGTGGCAGCTGCCATACTCTCCGCACCACAGGTGTGATGAAGGCCAAGTTGAAAGCACAGGCTTCACTCCTGTGGGCATCTGGGAAAGCCAGTGTCATTAGGAGAGGAGGCAACAGCAGAAGCAGCCAGGGCTCTCTATCGAGCAGAAGGCAGAGAGCCGGAGGTGCAAGGGGACTGAGTAGCTAAGAGTGCACCCCAGAATCTATGTCTGTATGAACTGAGAAAGAATGTCATCTTTCCACATACACACCATATAGTCGTTCTTACATTGTTATAAAGGAATACCTGAAGCTTGGCAGTTTAAAAAGAAAAGAGGTTTAGTTGGCTCACGGTTCTGTAGGCTGTACAGGAAGCATGGTGCTGGCATCTGAACCTGGTGAGGGCCTCAGGAAGCTTCCAATCATGGTGGAAGGCAAAGGGGAGTAGGCGCATCACATGGAGAGACTGGGAGCAAGAAAGAGTGGCAGGAAGCACCACATACTCTTTTCTTTTTTCTTTTTTTGAGATAGAGTTTTGCTCTTGTTGCCCAGGCTGGAGTGCAATGGCACAATCTTGGCTCACTGCAACATCTGCCTCCCGGGTTGAAGCGATTCTTCTGTCTCAGCCTCCTGAGTAGCTGGGATTACAGGCGCATGCCACCACGCCCAGCTAATTTTTGTATTTTTAGTAGAAATGGGGTTTCATCATATTGGTCAGGCGGGTCTCGAACTCCTGACCTCAGGTGATCCACCTGCCTCTGCCTTCCAAAGTGCTGGGATTACAGGCATGAGCCACTGCCCCCAGCCCCACCACACACAACAACCAGATATCCTGTGAACTCGGAGCACCCCCCACTCCTCACCAAGGCCATGGTGCTAAACCATTCATGAGGGACCTGCCCATGATCCAATCACCTGTTATCAGGCCCCATCTCCAACTTTGGGAAGCACATTTCAACATGAGATTTGGAGGGGACAAACACCCAAACCATATTACACACACCCACACACACACACACACACACAAACACATCACAAAACAATCTTTATCCTCACTACTTTGGAATATACTGTGATACTTTCTATTCTTTAAAGAAAAAATAAATCCTGGTTGTTACCCATTGAACTACTATGCCACCTCTTTTAACAAAATCTAGAGGCTTCCCTAGCTCATGTTAGCAGCAGGGAAATTTGCCAGAAACAAAGAGACTGGGAGTCCACCATGCTTATTTTGTTTTGTTTTTAAATTGAAATTCTTGAGATAAATGTAGATTGATGTGAAGTTGCAAGAAATAATACAGAGAAAGAGAGCTCTTGTACCCTTTGCCCATCTCCCCAGTGGTAACATTTTGTAAAACAATAGTATAGCATCAGAACCAGCCACCAACCTTACTCAAATTTCCCCAGCTTTAGTTCCAGTCATTTATGTATATGCATGTGTATTAAGCTCTACACAATTGCTTCAGCTGTGTGGGTTCATGAATCCACCATTATATTCAAGATGCAGAGCACTTCCAATCCAGAGGATCCCTGGGCTGCTTTTTTATAACCACATTGGCACAGTTCCCCAGGCCCTGGCAACTGCTCATCTGCCCTCCAGTTCCAAAATCTTTTCATGTGTTTATTTACCATATGCATATCCTTTTAACATCTGTTCATGTCTTTTGAATTGAATTGTTTTTGTTTCCAGTTCAATTTTGGAGGCTCATTATATTCTAGATGCGAGTCCTGTGCTGGATATATGATCTGCAATTTTTTCTCCTGTTCCACAGTTTGCCTTTTCCTTCTCTTAACAGAGTCTTCATAGAGCAAAAGTTTTTCATTTCGATGAGGTACAATTTATCATATTTTCCTTTTATAGATCCTGTGCTTGATGTCAAGTGTAAGAATTCTTTGCCTAGCCCTAAATTCCAAAGAATTTTTCCTACTTTCCCCCCAAATTTTATGGTTTTGCATTTTATATTTACATATGTGATCTGCTATGAATTACTTTTTGTATAAAGTGTGAGGTTTAGATCAATAATAACTTTTTTATTTTCTTTGCTCCCTCCCTCCCTTCCTTTCTTTCTCTCTTTCTCCCTCTCTTTCTCTTTCATTTTTCCTCCCTCCTTCCTTTTCCTTCCTCCCTTCCTTCCTTTTCCTTCCTTCCTTCCTTCCTTTTCTCTTTCCTTCCTTCTCCCTTCCCCTTCCCTTTCCTCGCCTTCCTTCTCCTTTCCTTTCCTTTCTTTTACATCCAATAAATCAATTATTTATTTAAAAGGCTATTCTTCCTCCATTGCATTGGTTTTGTACCTCTGTCAAAAATCAGTTCAGCATATTTATAAGTGTCTATTTCTGGATCCTCTAATGTGGTCCATTGATCTATGCAGGAACCAGTTGTCTTTGATTTCTGTAGCTGTATATTAACACTTGCTACCTGGTAGAGTAATTCCTCCCACTTCATTTTTCTCTTTCAAGATTGTTTTAGCTACTCTACATTTATTTCCACATAAATTTTAGAATAAGCTAGTCTGTTTCTACAAAAAAAAATCTTTGATGAATTTTCATAGTGTGACCCAAAAGTATCTGAGACAGGTCTCAGTCGATTTAGAAAGTTTATTTTGCCAGGGTTAAGGATGTGCCTGTGACAGCCTCAGGAGGTCCTGATGACATGTGCCCAAGGTGGTCGGGGTACAGCTTGCTTTTATACATTTTAGGGAAACATAAGGCATTAATCAATACATGTAAGACTTACTTACACTGGTTGAATCTGGAAGGGTGGGACAACTTGAAGTGGGGGGCTTCCAGATCATAGGTAGATTTAAAAGTCTTCTGATTGGCAATTGGTTGAAAGAATTATTATCAGTAGGAAGGAATGCGTGGGTTACAATAGGGGGTTGTGGAGATCAAGGTTTGATCATGCAGATGAAGCCTCCAGGTAGCAGGCTTCAGAGAGAATAGATTGTACATGTTTCTTATCAGATGTAAGGGCTGTGTTGATGTTAGTGCTGGAGGGTGTAATGCTGTGTTGATGTTAGTGCTGGAGGGTGTAATGAGGCATGTCCAACCCCTTCTTCCATCATGGCCTGAACTAGATTTTCAGGTTAACTCTGGCATGTCCTTGGCCAAGAGGAGTGGTTCATTCAGATGGTGAGAGGGGGACTTTGAATTTTATTTTTGGTTTACATTCACCTCCTCTAACCAAGATTTGCCAGGGGCAACATCAATGGCCAGCCACCACATTTTTATTTAGTCCTGTAGTGTTGCCGGGATGGCATGGCAGCCTGCCCGAGGTCCATCCTGTTCCTTGATGGACTCCCTATGGCTGAGGGACTTAGAGTCAGAAGACTTATAGCCAATTAAATGTTCTAGACCAGATAGGAATGGATGTGGACAAGCATTTATTACCACTTAAAAAACACTTTTTTAAAAGTAAGAGGTCAAGAAACAAAAAGCCAAAGGTGAGGTCACAAAACGGACTTATCTTTAACTTCCATGCATTGAGCTACTGTAATCTTGGTTTTATTTGCAGCCTTACAGCAATTAGCTATAAAACACATAAGCACTTTTCTGATTAATTTTGGGAGGAAAGCCAGTGGAAAAGACTCCTTAGAATGCACCACCAAATTAGAATTAGGATCCTAAACAACAACTTCTTAGGAGGAAATTATTTTTAGTTTACAGTAGGAATTGCAGTAAACCTATATATTAATTTGTAGAGAATCGGCACTTTTACTATGTTAAATGTTCCAATTCATGCACACCACATGTCTCTTCATTTATTTGATGTTCATCATCAACATTTAAAATTCTGATTTCTGCATTTCACTGTTAACTACATAGGAATCCAATTTATTTTTGAATGTTGATTTCATATCTTGCAACCATTTGAATACATTGATTACTTCTTGGATATTTTTGGAGATTCCTTGGGATTTTGCACATGGATAATCATGTCATCTGCAAATAGAGATAATTTTATTTCTTTCTTCCCATCCTGTGTGTCTTTTGTTTCTTTTTCTTGTTTCATTGCAGTGGATAAAAATTCCAGTTTGTTGAGTAAAAGTGATGAAAGAGGACATTCTTGTCTTATAACACTTCTTAGGGGGAAGGCAATTGTTCTTTCCCCACTAAGTATGATGTTAGCTGTAGGATCATTGCTGGAGCTCTTTATTTAATTGAGGTAATTTCCCTCTATTAGTAACTTGCTGAGAGGTTTTTTTATGAGTAGGTCTTAGATTTTACCAAATGCCTTTTCTGCCTTAACTGATATAATCATATGAATTTTCCTCTTTAGCCTGTTGATATGGTGAAATATATTAATTTTTGCATATTGAATGAATAAAGCATTCCTGAAATAAATCCCACTTGTTAACATTCTATAATTCTATAAATTGATGAATTCAGTTTGCCAATATTACATAGAGAATTACTGGGTCTAAGTTTATGGGAGACGTTGGTCTTCAGTAACCTTTTTTGTACTATATTTTTCTGGTTTTGGTATCAGGGTATTTTAACACTATCCTCATAAAATGAGTTAGGAAGTCTTTTCTCCTCTTATAATTGTTAAAATTGTACTAATTATTGACTTACTTGGTAGAATTAACCAGAAAACCATTTGAGTCTCAGCATTTTTTTCTAGAGATTTTAATTACAAAATAAATGTCTTTAATGATTTCAAAGGTATTCAGATCATCTATTTAATCTTGGTTGAGTTTTAATTTGTGGTTTTCAACAAAGTGGACTGCTTCTTCTATGTCGTAACACTCATGAGCATGAAGTTGTCTACACTATTTCTTCTCTGATGATCCTTTTAACTGATGCAGGGTATGTAATGATATCCCATTTCATTCCTGATATGGATCATTCGTGTCTTCTAGCTTTTCCATTTTTTCAGCCTGGCAAAAAGTTTAAATTTTTTCTTGATGTTTTGCAAATAATTTGCTTTTTGTTTCATTGATTTATTTTATTGTTTTCTGCACAAAAGGAGGAGGTCTGAGATTGCTATCCTTTGAAAGGCCTGTTTACCAGGTTGACCCTAGAAACTTAGATTTCAGAACTCTCACTGTTTCCACATATGAGAAAGCGGTTCCCTACACCTGAACTGTTTGTATCAACAGCCTGTTTATCCTAAGCATTCACTTTCCTTTTGAAATTTGGGTAGGGCCAGGCAGAGGCTGCCTGTAGGATTAGTTCCCAATAAGAACCTGGAAGCTATGAATCAGTCTCTAATGAACTTCCCCAGTTGGAAACACTTTGCACATGTCACAACTTGTATTGGGAGAATTAAGTGAGTCTCGTGAAGCTCAATGGAAAGAGACTCCTGGAGGCTTCCACCTGGTCTTCCCTGAACTTCATTTATGAGCTTTTCCCCCTTTGTTGATGCTGCTTTATATTCTTTTGTGGTAACAAATTGTATTTGTGACTATGATTGCATTTGAGTCCTGTGATTCTAGTGAATCACTGAAACTAGGAGGACTCTTGGGAAATGCTCATATTTTCCTACTTTCTTTTTCATTGATTTCTGCTGGTATTTCTTTAAGTTTGATTTTATGTTTTCTTTTCATTTATTCTGCTCTTCTACTAGTTTCTTGAGGTAGGAACTTTGGTTATGAAATTGAGACCTTTCCTCCCTTCTAATATAAACATTTAGTGTCAGCCTTGCTTTGCCTGCACTCCAAACTTTGATATGTTATGTTTTCATTTTCATTCAGTTCTAAGTATACTTTTATTTCCTCTGAGACTGCCTAGTCAACCCATGGATTATTTAGAAGTGTGTTGTTTAATCCCACCTCTTTAGAGATTTTTCTGTTTTCAGACTGTTAGTGATTTCTAGCTTGATTCCATTGTGATCAGAAAACATATTCTGTATTATTTCAATTATTTAAAATTTGCTGATGTTTGCTTTATGGCCTAGGATGTGGTCTTTATTGGTGAATGCAGATTTGAAAAAGATGCATATTTACTTTTCTCGAGCATAGTGTTCTATGTCAGTGGGACCCCTTTCCTTGGTTGTTTTTTTCAGATCTTCCATATCCTTGATGAATTTCTGTAGAGTGGTTGCATCCATTCTTGAAAAGTGTTGACGTCTCCAACTCTAGTAATGTATTTGTCTATTTCTCCTTTTATCTCTATTCATTAAAGCATTTCAAGGCTCCGTGGTTTGTTCAAATTCAGGATTGTTCTGTTTTCCTGGTGGACTGACCCTTTTATCAATACATAATGTTCCTGTTTGTCTGTGGTAATTTTTTTGACTCTGAATTTGGTCTTATCGGATATTACGATAGCCCCTTTTGCTGTGCTTTGTTTTGATTGTTTGTATGGTATATCTTTTCCTATCCTTTAACTTTCATCCTTTCACTTTCAACTGCTATGTTTTGATTGGGTATTCAGGCTATTTACATTTATGCTAACTATTAATATGTTACTTAATAGCTTGTCTATCATTTTATTATTTGGGTTTTGTTTCCTATTGTTCTCGTTACTATTTCTCTTTTCTTGTCTTCCTGCAGATTACTTGAGAATATGTGTGGGATAATATTTTGATTTATTTATAGTATTTTGAGAATACTTCATCGTACGGTTTTCCTAGTGGTTGAGTATTACAACATACATATATGTGACTTAGAATAGTGTACTTTTCAGAAACTTTTTCAGGTCTTCCTTCTTTCCTCTATTGGAATTCTGACCGTACAAATGTTGGAAATTTTGTTACTTTCCTACAGATCCCTGAGGCTCTGTTCTTGTTTTGCTTTTCAGTCTAGATTTTCTCTATCATTCAGACTGAGTGGATTCTATTGATCTGGCATCAACATGGTATCCTAAAAATTTCACTTCAAGTGAAATGTGAAAACCTCACTTCCACTTAGGTTTGTTTTCCTTCCCCACTTCTAAATATCATTACTTTTGGTCTCAGATAGTGTCACAATTTTTACTTCAGTAATCCAATGTTATTTATAAAACTTATAAGCACAAAAATACTATATTATTTGAACCCATATTTTGGCTCCTTCCATTGTTTCCCCTTCTTTCCAGCTGCTCCAAAATTCTTTCTTTTATAATTTTCTTTCTATGTAAAGAATTTTTTGAGCCATTATTTAAAAGTAGGTCTGCTGGTGGCCAATTCTTTTAGTTTTCTTTAATCTGACAATTTTTTTATTTCCCCTTCATTTCTGATGGATAATTTCACCAGATATAGAATTCATGGTTGATGGTTCTTTTCTTTCAGCATTTGAAAAATATTGTGCCACTTCTTTCTGACCTCCATGGTTCCAGCTGAGAAATCTGCTGTCATCCAAATGGTATTCACCACACATAGGGTGTCACTACTCTCCAGTTGCTTTTGAGATTTTAACTTCGTCTTTAGGTTTCAAGAGTTTAATTATGATGTGCCTTGTCCTAGATTTCTTTGTGTGTATCCTATTTGGGCTTTGCTCATTTTAATGAATCTCTATGTTTGTGTTTTTCATCTAACTTAGGATGGTTGTCAACTATTTTTTTCAAATACTTTTTCAGGTCTTCCTTTTTATTCCTACTGGGACTCTGACCATACAAGTGCTGGAAGTTTCAAAGTTTTGTTATTTTCCTACAGATCCCTGAGGACTTCATCTTGTTTTTTATTTTTGTTTGTTGTTTTTAGTTTGTTCAGATTGGGTGAATGCTATTGATCTATCTTCATGTTACCTAACTATAACCTTCATCATCTCCACTCTACTATTGAGCTCATTCATTTCTGTTATTGATTTTTTCAGATCTATAATTTCCCTTTGGTTGCTTTTTATAACATCTATTTCTTTCCTATTTTTTCATTTATTTCAAAATATTTTGTAATTGAATGTTGAAGCTTTTTTTTTTTTTTTTTTGGAGATGGAGTCTTGCTGTCTCACCCAGGCTGGAGTGCAGTGGTGCGGCCTTGGTTCACTGCAACCTCTGTCTCCCAGGTTCAAGTGATTTTACTGTTTCAGCCTCCTAAGTAGCTGGGATTGCAGGTGCCTGCCACTGTGCTGGGCTAATTTTTTTGTATTTTTAGTACAGACAGGGTTTCACCATGTTAGCCAGGCTGGTTTCGAACTCCTGACCTCAAGTGATCCACTCACCTCAGGCTTCCAAAGTGCTAGGATTACAGGAGTGAGCCACTGCGCCTGACTGTTGAAGCATTTTAATAATGACTGTTTTAAATTCTTTACAGAAAATTCCATCATTTGTTTCATTACCGTGATGGTGTAAGTTTTTTTTTTTCTTATTCAAGTTGTGATTTTCTTGTGTGTTTTTTTTTTTTTTTTTGACTGGTGATATTTTATTGTGTCTTGGACATTTTGTCTATTTGTCAGAAGTGCCTTGGATGCTATTTAAATCTTCTATTTTTAGTAGACAGTCACTCTATTTAAGCACACAGTTGCTGGCCTGCTTTTGTGTGCTGTGGTTCCAATGGTGGGTTAATTTTCCATCTTTGCAGCATGACTTTGGCCTGCTTGCTTGGTGTATCTTCTGTAACTGTATGTCCCCGTGGCCTGTGCCAGTGCTGCTTGAAGGGGCAAAAGGGGTTCTTACAGGTTGGGCTGCTGAGGTTGCGGTATGGGGCATCTTCTTACTCTGCCCCTAATGCCCTGTGCCCCTGGGTGAGGGAGGAGAGTGTTAGGCCCATAGGTACAAAGAGAGGATCCACACCAGGCCACCTGCTGTAGCTCTCTGGCCGGCTCTGCCCACTCGCCCACCTCACTGGAAAAGGGGCATCTCAGGCTGGGGGGGAAGAAAGGTGCTTCCTGTAGCTACTTACTTATAATGGGTCTCCCAATTGATCCCCCTTACCAGTGTGTTGGGATTGCCTGATGTTGTCGGGGTGACTCCTGCTTGATTTGTGGGAGGAATGAGCCTGGACTGCCTTCTGTTGCTAGGCTGCAGGGCTGAGTCACCTTCTTCTGTTAGGAGGGGTTGTAAGACTACTCCTATGCTGTTTCTTCATTCCCAAGGTCTCTATCCAGCTCAAATTCCTCTTTCACCCTTCAGAGTTCTGCTTTGGCTCTTTGGTATGATTTCCAGGGTTTATAGTTGTGAAGGGTGGGCAGGGGCAGGGAGAAATGGGTTTATGCTGTTTTGTCCTGATCTGAACCCTGTGTAGTATCCAATATGCTTTTAAGACATCAAATTATCCACCTTATCATGTGAGTCATGGCTATTCCATGAATCACACATGGGATAGTCTCCTTATCCCATGTGATTTTGCAACTGTTTAACCCTGGGAACTGGAATCAAGAGACATGCATGGCCGAAAACTTTTTTAGGAGAGGTGCACACCCTGTTGTCCACCTGAGTAAAACCATGCAGGTAAACAGAAAAGACAGGTACTCCCAGAGAGCAAAACTGGGTCTTGAGAACAGGGAGTCCTCCTTAACCCCTTCACAGGCTATGGTATATCCTATGTCACTGTGATTATCATAGTCTTCCCTTCCTCAGTGGGCAGAGTTTATTGCAGTAACTCTGTTTCTCTTCTAGTTTATTGCAGTAACCCTGTTTCTCTTCTGCCTGCTCATTAGGTAAGAATGCAATATTTTAGCTTGAATTACTTGGGACTAGGAATCAAGTGCTGAACTGAGGAAGAGGCTGCACAAATCCCAATGGACCTGATTCTGAGCTGCATGCAGTACTCAGATAAGTTTTGAGGGCCCTTCTTTTGGGAGCAAATTGCATATATGGGTGAAAGGGAATGATGGTAAGCCACAGTGTGTATCTGTAGCCTGACCAAGAAGCTAGTCCTCCCTTATGGCTTGTCAACAGAACCCTAATTCTCTCACATGGCAATGTGCTCAGCCCCAGGGAATGACTGAAGACAGATCTAAGCCAATCATAGCAATCTCATTCACCTTTGTGAGTCACTGGTCTGGACATGATCATGTGACCCAGTTTTGGCCAATGAAACTTAAGGTGATGTGTGCTGGGGGTGACCGAGGTTAAACTGCCTCTGTCCTCTACTACTTCCTGCTCAAGATGCTGTTGTATGATAGTGCGATGCCTGGAGCAGTGGCAGCTGCTTTGTAGCTGTGAAAGAGAATGTGATCTACGCAGATGATGGCAGCTAGGATAACAGAAAAAGTTTGGCTCTTGAATCATATCATCGAGTTGCCGAATTAACTCATAATTCTTCTTAAATAAAAAGTAACTACTCTTGGAGTTTAATTCATATTCAATAGGATTTTCTACTTATTGCTATCCAAAGCATCCTAAGTCATACAGAGTGATATGGTTTGGCTGTGTCTCCACTCAAATCTCATCTTGAATTGTAGCTCTCATAATTCCCATATGTTGTGGGAGGGACCCAGTGGGAGCGGGCAAGTCTTTCCTGTGCTGTTCTCATGAGAGTGAATAAGTTTTATGAGATCTGATGGTTTTATAAAGGGGAGTTCCCCTGTACATGCTTTCTTGCTTGCCACCATGTAAGATGTGCCTTTCTCCTCCTTCACCTTCTGCCATGATTTCGAGGCCTCCTGGGCCATGTAAAACTGTGAGTCCATTAAACCTCTTTTTCTTTATAAATTACCTGGTCATGAGTATGTCTTTATTAGCAGCATGAGAACAGACTAATACACAGAGGCATACCTAATCTCTGGTCCACCTACCAACTGGGTCCCTTCCTACAGTGTTGTTACTTATTTGATGCAGAGCCCTTTTTTCCTGTCTCCCTATAACAGTTATCGGCTATTTGCAACATGGGATGAGTTATTACAGAGTGGTTTTATGCACCTTAACACAACTTTCAGTGGTTCATAAAGGCATACGTGTTAGAGCCTGAGGGTCCGGGAGACCATCTCCTCCCACACTGTTTCTTTACAGATGAGGAGTTGGGGCCCTTAGAAGGATGTGACCAGCCCAAGGTCAACCAGTAAAATGAAGTCAAGACAGGATGGGAACCCAAGCCTTGTCCATCCCAGGTAAAGTTCCTTCCTGTCCTCTGAGACATGGGCCATCTGACCATACCAGGTGTGCACTGAAGTTTGCATCCACAGAAGGACCCTTTTTTACCTACAATTTTGCTTGAAATCAAAGAAACAGATGAAGGGCTTCCTTCTGTACATTATCCTGGAACTCTGGGAAATGTCAGCTGTAAAGGAGGAAATAATCAGCCTGAACCTTTCTTTACAGCTAATGTGTTTGCCAGGAAACCAATCCAAGGGCCAGAAGCAGCAATGTTCAGCATCTTAGATTCTTACCAGGTCTTCTCAGCAGAAACCCAGGAATGCATGCTGGGCAGGAGCAGTGCCTGTGTCACTGGGGGAAAGGGAACAGCTTTACTTCTGGGGTGGAGCTGCTTGTCGGCTGTGGCCTGGCCTGGGAGTGATCCTTTCCCGAGAAGGCTTTTCTTCCAGGAAAGCCGATGTCCAGGAAGCCTATCTGGTCCTCACGGCACTGCTGAGAAGGAGGCATGACCAGTGTGGGGCCCATGTTGTTGGGGTTGGCCCCAGGGCTTCTGGCTCAGCATTGTGTATAAGCCCAGGGTATAGGCATTCTCCTGAGCTGAAGGCATCCGGGAGGGGACTTAGGTGACAGCACCTGGCAGTCCTCAGTCCTTGGGCTGCCAGAGAAAGGAGAGGCTGCCTTGCTGAATAGAGATATAGTCTTTGGGGGCCATCTAGGCCACTAAAAATGCCCAACCTGGCTGACCATCAGGATTGCCCAGCAGGTTTCTGAACATTCAGATGCCTGGGCCCCATTCCAGAACCCCCGAGTCAGAATCTCAGGGTAGCATGCAGGCATCTGCACTTTCCCATCCCAGATGTCCATTTTGGACCCATTCACTTAGGCAAGTGCCCTCTCTGTGCAATGCTGTCCTCAGCCACCTCTCTGAGAGACCAGGGGCCAGCTTCCGTGGAGAACCATTCAAGACTAGGAGCTCTCAGCTGTGGGGAGCCTGGTCCACCAGGGGAGACGCACTGAGAAAACAGGGGTCCAGACACCCACCTGCCCCAAAGCCCTGCTGGTAGGCTTTGTCTCAGCGCAGACCCAAGGACACAGTCGGACTGTCCTCATGGCATCTGTCCCACATGTCAGGTTTACACCAACCACCGGCTTCTGCAAGGGCTTCCCATCCATTTGCTCATCCCTTTCCTAAGCATGAAGTGCCACTGCCCCGACGGCACTGGACCTCATCTGCTGATCCTCTTTCCCTGGGGCCCATCAGTGCCATGCCTTCTCTCCGCCCCATCACCCATGGAGGAGGAAGGGCATGAGGATGGCAGTGTGAGGTAAAGCTGCCATCATGGCCTGGCTGTCTTCTGCCCAAAAGCCCAAATGCCCAGCAGGGTACCCCGTGACCCTTTGCAATGCCTGCAGCTCCCCATTGACCAAGGCATAGCCGCCTCATGCTTGGCTGGAGTCTGGCAGTGGGCTGGCTCTGTCACTCGATTGTGATGGGGTCACAGGACACATGCTTGTTGAGACAACCCTTGTCTGTAGGAAGAAGTGGCCTGGTCAGGAGACGGTGTGGTCAGCAGATTCTTCAGACAGAGACAGGGAGGGGCTGCGTGGGACTGGAAGTGAGAGCACACTGTGGCTAGGGGAAAGCCAGCAGGGGCCACAGGAAGGCTGGAGGGAGGCTCCTGACTTCTGCTACTCCCTGGCACCCCACACAGGGCCATCCTGCAGTGTGGCCAGGGATCCCTGCACCACCGGAGGTCCCCCAGCACGTGGGACTGAGAGGGCAGGCAGAGGTCTCCAGGCGCTGGAGTGTTTATGTTCTCATGCTGGGAAGGGGCAGACCCGGGCTGCAGAAACAGGGGTGCCTATGCTGAAAGAGGGGAGTCTGGCACTGAAGTCAGCAAGGTCACCTGCTGCTGCCAAATGGGGACAATGGGGTCTGACAACCAGACTGGCTCTGGGGCTGAGACCTTGGAGCTAGGGTCACAGAGGAGACCACGGTCCCAGAACAGTCAAGGACACCCAGGTGTGGGTTGGGCCATACACAAGGGCTCCAGCAGTCAGGGAGAGCTGCCCTCCCTCCCACCTCACCCCCAGCACCTCCCTCCTGCTTCCCTCCCAACTTCCTCCCCTCCTCCCTCCTCACTATTCCCCACTGCGTTTGCCCTACCTCCTCCCACCCCTGTCAGCGCCCCAGCCCCCAACCTACCTCCTGCCCATGACCCACCTTCTGCCTGTCTCTCTGCCTACCACCTGTCAGAGTTCCTGGGGATTTACATCTCCAGCTGGGTGACCCCAACCAAGCTTCTCAGTCTCCTCAGTGACTAGGCCTCTCTCTGCTCCAGCCACTCAGAGAGGTGCCACCCAAGCCCTGTTCCCATCCCAGCCAGAGACTGCAGGTCCCCACACCTTGCCCCAGCTCATCACCCTCTCCCCTGCCCATTCCCCTTGGCTCCTGACTCCAGCAATGTCAGCACCCCACCTGATACCAGCAACCCATTCATCCACTGCCTTTCTATGACCGCACCCTCCCCATGGCGGCACCTCTTCCTACCCAGCTGAGTGCAGTCACAATTTGCTCCCTCTCACTCATTCCCGTGTCCTGCCCCTCTCCCTGCATCACACTCATTTCACAAACCCCAGCCCCGGTTATGTCCAATGCTTTTGTCTCCCTGTCTTCCTGACCCGGCTGTGGCTGCCCTCCTCCCTTCTGGGGCAGCCCAGACGTGCCAGGCACCGCCTGCCTCAGGGCCTTTCACTCACTGGCCCCACTGCAGGGAGCACAACCCTGTGGACACACATCTGGTTCCCTTCTGAACATCCACTAAGTGCCCTATTGAATGCTGCCATGTCTGTTGGCTTGTCACATTCATAGTGCTGCCTTCCCTGGCCATTCTTCATACAATACACTTCCCCCCGCCCCCCAGGCAGACCCATTGCACCTGGTTTATTACATCCAGAATGACTTACCACTACCTCACATACATATTCTAATATTTTATTTCTTTTTAAATTTTTAATTGACAAGTAATAATTGTACATATTCATGGGGTACATAGCAATGTTTCAATACATAAAATGACCAATTTTCAACAAAGATGTGAAAAACAGAAGGATAGTCCTTTCAAGGAATGGTGCTGCAGCAGGTGGGCATTCACAGGCAAATGAATAAATAAGCTTCCCCCTAAACCTCACAGCTTAGACAAAAAGTAATGCAAAATGGCTAAGATACTCAAATGTAAAATTGAAAATTATGCAACTTTTACAAAAAAATAAGAAAATCTTTGGAACCAAGATAACACCAAAAGCATGACCCATAAAAGGAAAAATTGATAAATTGGACCTTATTAAAATTAAAACTTTCACTCTGTGAAAGATCCTGTTAAGAGAATGAAAGGCTACAAAGAGGGGGAAAATATCTGCCAACCACACAATCAACAAAAGACATTGGTTAGAATATATAAAGAACTCCTAAATCTCATCAGTTAATAAACAAGTCATGTGACTTGAAAGAGGCAAGACAGGAACAGACATTTCATCAAAGAAGATATACAGATGAGAAATAAGCTAACAAAAATATGTTCATTAGTTATTAGGGAAATGCAAATGAAAAGTGACAATACAATATCACTGTGCCCCTATCAGAATGGCTAAGATAAAAATGGTGATGGCACCAGTGCTGGAGAAGATGCTGAGAAATTGGCCACACATTGCTGTTGGAATGCAAAGGGGTAAACCTCCTTGGAAAGTAGTGTGGCAGTTTCTTATCATACTTAACATGCCACATCACTGAGCAATTGTACTCACACAAAACACCACTCATGCTCATAGTAACTGTATTCTTAATAGCCAAAATTGGATACAACTCACATATCCTTAAACTGGTGAATGGTTAAACAAACTGTGGTACAGTAGGCCCTTGATGGGTTTCCCATTCGTGGATTCAACCAACTGAGGATTGAGAATATCTGGAAAAACATTCCACCAAGTTTCAAAAGGCAAAACTTAAATTTGCCGGATGCCCAGCACTGCGTTGAATTCAGGAGAATGAAATGATGTGTAGGCATTGTGTTAGGTATTGTAAGTAATCTAGAGATGATTTAAAGTATACAGGAGGATGTGCACAGGGTATATGCAAATACTGCACTATTTTACACAAGGAACTGGAGCATCCCCAGATTTTATATCCCTGGATTTGGGTTTGAGGGGCCCTGGAACCAATCCTCCATAGAAACTGAGGGACAAAGGTATAGTACCGTCAAGTGTTGCATATGACGGTGGTCCCATGAGATGCTAATGGAGCTGAAAAATTCCTACTGCCCAGTGACATCATAGCCATCATAATGATGTAGTGGAAGCATTACTCGCTTGTTTGTGGTGAAGCTGGTGTAAAGGATCCAGGAGATCAGTCAGTATTATTTATTACAGCTGTTTAGCCATCTGCAATATCTCAAAATAAAATGGGTTTTTAAAATACAGTAAATGAGAAGTAAATTGGATAATTTCACATATGTGCTTAAAAAAGGTTACAGTAAGCTAAGTTTATTTTATTATTGAAGGAAGAAAAATATTTCCTATAAATTTAGTGTAGCCTAAATGTACAGTGTTTATAAAGTATACCGTGGTGCATAGCAATGTCCTAGACCTTCACATTCACTCGCCACTGACTCACTGACTCACTCAGAGCAACTTCCAGTCCTGCAAGCTCTATCCATGGTAAATGCCCTACGCAGGTGTGCAATTTTAAAAAATCTTTTATACCATATTTTTACTGTACTTTTTCTATGTTTATTTATATTTAGATACACAAATACCATTGTGTTCCTACAATATTCAGTACAGCAACATGCTGGACAGGTTTGTAGTCTACGAGCAATAGACTATCCTATATAGCATAGGTGTGTAGTAGGCTGTACCATCTAGGTTTGTGTAAGAATGCTCTATGATGTTCACACAATGACAAAATCACCCAATGATGCGTTTCTTAGAATGTATCCCTGCGGCCAGGGACGGTGGCTCACGTCTGTAATCCCAGCCCTTTGGGAGGCTGAGGTGGGTGGATCACGAGGTCAGGAGATCGAGACCATCTTGGCGAACATGGTGAAACCCCGTCTCCACTAAAAATGCAAAAAATTAGCCAGGCGTGGAGTTATGTGCCTGTAGTCCCAGCTATTCGGAGGCCGAGGCAAGAGAATCACTTGAACCCGGGAGGCAGAGGTTGCAGTGAGCCGAGATTGCGCCACTGCACTCCAGCCTGGGTGACAGTGCAAGACTCCATTTAAAAAAAAAATTTATATATATATATAAAATCTGTATGTGTATATATATACATATAAAATCTGTATTTTATATACATATAAAATCTGTATGTATATATATATAATCTGTATATATATATATATATATAATATGTATATATATATATATATATCTGTCATTAAGTGATGCATGATTGTGCTTGTATACCATGAATTACTGCTAAGAAACACAAAGGAAGAAATTATTGATATATGCAACAATTTGGGTGAATCTTAAAGGAATTATGTTGAGTGAAAAATGTGAATTCCAACAGCTTATGCATGACTTCATTTATATAAAATCCTTGAAATCATAGTATTATATTACTGGAGAGTAGATTGATGGTTTCCAAGAGTTAGGGATGGCATTGGAGGGACAATGGGTGGGCGGTGGGTGTGGGTATAAAAAGTCAACATCAGCACCTTTGTAGCTATGGAATTGCTTTGTGTCTTGACTGGTGGTGGGTGCATGAAACTACTCATGTGATAAAATCGCATGAACTAAATATGCACATGCACACAAATAAGTAAAAGTACAACTGGAGAATCTGAGTAAGCTTGGTGAATTGTATCAACATCAGTATCCTTCTTGTGATACTGGGCTACAGTTTTGCAAGATGTTACCATTGGAAGAACTGGGTAAAGGATCCAGGGGATCAGTCCGTAATATTTATTACAGCTATTTATCAATCCGCAATATCTCAAAACGGGTTTTTAAAATACAGCAAATGAGAAGTAAATTGGATATTTTCACGTGTGCGCTTTAAATTCTTCAGTGGTCAGCTATCTACGAAAGTGCAGTTCAGATCTCCCATTGAGCAGGCTTGCTGCAGGAAGTGCCATTGTCTGACGGCCTCCAGCTGTGGTATCTTCCTGCACTGCTTCAGTTATCCAGCTGGGACCACCTGCGTTCTAGCTGTTGCCTGCCAGTGACTGAATCCTGGGGTGCTGGGATGGCTCACCATTCCTGCCACAACAGGTTCCTCCATGGGTGATGTTTGTCCTGGCCCCTGGAGGCTGGCCCAGGCTTTCTCAGAGCTGAGCTTCAGTCTGAGGCTCTTTCTACCTCCTCTGCAGCCAGGTGCCTCCTAACTTTCTCACCCACAAGTAGATTATGCTCAATAAATAGTTTACACTTGAAATTCTGTCTGGTGCTTGCTTCCTGGAGGATGACCCCATGGACACAGATTTCTCCTAATTGCTCTCAGGCTGTGCTCACGGACCACCCAGAAAACATCTGGAAGGCCATGGTTGCAACCCATGACTGCTCCAGCTTCTAGAGCCCGGTTTCTTTCTCTATTTTCTGAACTTTCTCTTGGTCCCTTGAATTTAAGCCCTTTCCGTGGTTGGGCATGCACACTTGGCATTTCCTTCTCCTGGGAAGCTCTGCTTCTCTCCTGGTGCCTTCTGTTGCTCATTCACATGAGCTCAAATGTCCCTGGGCAGACTCCTCTTTCCTGATCCCTCAGACCAGATCAGGCTCTCTGCTTTTCTCCTCCACTGGCTGTGGGTTGTCTGTGTAATTACTTGATTCATGTCTGAGTTGCCCGGTGCACCAAAAACCAAGACATCGTCTGGCTGTTTTGTTGATTGTTGAGTCCCCACCACCCATCCCAGTGTCTGGCACGTGGCCGGGACTTGGTGATGTTTATTGAATGAATGGGCACGTTGAGTTAAGCAGAAGAGGAAGGCACTGTCTTTCTGACCTGTATTTTCTTAATTTCACAAATAATTTTGTGCAACGCCTTTTATTTAGGGAAATGCTTTTATTTAGGGAAACATGTAGGGCATTAGTACCTTTGCATTTCATGTACTTATACCTTTATAGGTCTTGTCTATGCTGTAAAATGCAGTTCACTCCCAGCATTACTTGAAGCGCCTCTGTATTCCCTGGGGTCCACTTACTGCAATATCTTCAGTCTGATGCTGATTTGCTAATCAAAGGCTTCACTTCTTCCTGTAACCCTCTCTTGAAATCAAAAGGGAAAGGTCATTCCAGAAAGTTGGTTTCTCATCCTTAACAAACAATTCTCATGAAATGCTAATTAAGTGATAAATCCAGCGGACAATCTGTAAGTGGCTGACTTGCTTTTTTTAAGCTAATGAGTATTTGTAGTTGTCTTGGTTATGGAGGCCTTAATGGATTTCCTGGTACAGTGTTTGACTGCTGGGCCATAAACCTCCCATCTCTGAGAGGGGCCATTGCTCAAGCTCCATGAAAATAAACCTAGGGGTGGAATCTACATGAAATACTTTATTCTTTGAGGCTCCCAGGAACTAAACCACATGGGAGCTAAATAATAAAAGCAAATGAATAACAAATACTACACACAAATATGCACACACACAAATTATACTAGAACTGTTTATGGACAACAGAAGTCTAATGCACTCCAATAAGTGCTCATCAACAATTGATAAGTCTAATTAGAGTCTTAGGCCCTCGTTGTCATGCTGGGGCAGTCATGACCACAGCCCCATGCCTTCCTGAGCCTCTTCATGGACCAGCGCTGTGCTGGTGCTTATATCAGCCCCTCCTCAGGGATGCCCTGTTGGCTAGGAACTCCATTTATCGATAACAGGACAGAGGATCAGAAAGGCTCCGGCGTTTGCTCATAATCACAGCACGGTTAAATAGCGGAAGTGGTCCATTCTTTCTGGCACCACAAACAGCCCACAGAAATTTCTCTCAGGAGCCCAGCCCAGCCTTCTTACCCTTATTTTCCAGCCCTCGCCTGCTCAGGCCCTTGGTCTTACTAATCTTTCTGCTGGAAGCACCTCTTCCACTTGGTCCTCCTGGGAGCACCTGTCCACTGCTTGCAGAAACTCAGTCAAAGGCCATCTCTGCTGGGAAGTGTCCCTCCATGCCAGGCTGCACAGGTGCCCCTCGACTTTGCACTGATGACAGGGGCTGCCTCCCTCTGTCACTCCACGAACTTGAGCCCTCATCTCAGAACTCCCTAGGCCAGGCATTGAGCAGACACCTTGAGAGGTGGATTAGGCCCTCCATCCCCGAGCTCAGCCCTGCTCATATCCTTCCCTCTACTGCTTCCAGCATTCCCCTGTGATGTGGCCACATAAATGCTTCATCATTAGCAGAAAAAGAATTAGCCTCTGGGTTGGCATATTTTACTGAGTTGTATACTTTTTCTTACTTTTTTTTTGTCACAAAGCTTGGTCTTCAAAACAGCATTGAGGGACCCCCTCTAAGTAAGACGGCTAGAAGCAGGGCTGCTCTGCTGGGCAGCCTGGAGGATCCCTGGGCCCCTGCAACAGCATCCCAGAACCCCACATTCCAGGACTAGGTGACCTTTAGATTCCCTGGCCCTTGAGTATCCTGTACACCAGGTGCCCTGGCTTTGTGGGATTTCTGGGGTTCTGAGATTCTGAAGCTCTCACTCATTAGTCCAGAGGGCTTTCCTCCATCCTTTCAAACAAGATTCAGAAAGACTGCCCCACACAGAGGGCTGGGAATCCTAGGCAGGGTCACGAGCATTCAGGAGCCAATGCCCAAATAGAACTGGGATTCCACCAAGATTAGGGGCTTCCTAGAGTTTGCTCATACCTTGGGTTCATGCTTGGAAATAGCTGTAGATGAGTGGAAGTGAAAGGTTACAAAAGGGTGTTGAACTAAAAGGGGTAAGAATGCTAAGAGTCACCTCCCCCTAAGCTGAGTGACTCTGGTGCCTCCTGCATATTGAGAAGCAAGGACTCAGGGAAGGATTCCGAAGAAGCCGCTTCCCCTCCGGCCCCACCCGCACCCAGACTGAAGGCAAGTCACAGCTTTCAAAGTGCTCTGAAGAGAGCTAAGCATCTACATGCTTGTCATCGGGAGGGAACTGGTGGCTGGAAATGCCCCCCACTAGCCCATGGAGGACGTTCTCATAAGGAAACACTCCCAGGAACTCAACCACGAGGAAGCTAAATAAAAGCAAATGAATAACAAATACTACACACATATATGCACACAAGCAAATTATACCAGGAGTGTTTATGGACAACAGAAATTTAGTCTCATCATCAACATGATGGCATGGTAAGGCCCACTCGGAGGCTCATTCTGTGATATTTGTGTGAGTGGTCAAGGAAGCACTTTGCCTGAAATAAGTGCGTGCATTTCAGTCTTTCCTTGCTAGCTTGTTTGGGGATCCCAGGGATGTGTCTGCTGGGATGACGCATCTTTTCTTTCCAGTGGCTCTGTCGGCCTGGTGCCCAGGCTTGGCTGGAGCCTCTGCCAGAGCACCTGGTGGGCCAAGCAGAGAGCCCCAGGCCAGCCAATGGATGGATCACTCCTGGCAGCTTTAAAATATTTCTCTTCTCTGCCTTAATTTCCATGAGGGAAAACTGAAGTCATTTTATCTTAAATATCTTTTTTTAATTAAAAAGCAAATTGGTTCACTTTCAGAAAGCAGGTTCTGGTTCTCCAAAGAGTGCAGAGATGGCTGGATGACCTGCAGCCCCTGGCTCAACTCTTGGGCCACCGTCTCCTGCTGTGAAGATGCAAGGAAGCCATCGGCCTCTGTCAGCCTCAATTTCCTGGTGTTGGATTAAAATGGCTGCAAAACCCATGCTGCCCCTCCCATTGAGGGATGGCATCATCCCCTGAATCTGAACTGGCCTGGGATGACTTTCCTGGCCCATAGATTGCAGTAGAAGGGAGGTTTTGCTACTACAGAAGACACATCATTTGAAGCCCTCCAGCTTCTGCCCCAGGCTCTTGGGAGCTGTGGAAGCCCTGAGCCTCTGTATGAGGAGGCAGTCAGCTGACGGGGCCACTCCTGTGGGCACTTGGGCCTCAGCCTCAGCTGAGCCCAGCTGGCAGTCATCCCAACCAAAGTCCCAGACAGACAAGGGTGTGAAGCCACCCTGGGCCCTCCAGCCCAGTCCATCTGCCAGCTGAGTGCAGCCATGGCCTCTGTGGATGGCTCCTGCTAGGGATGGAACCAGCACTGAGCCAGGACCTGCCTGAAATCCTGACCCACAGATCATGAGCTATAATCAAGTGGTGGCTGTTTTAAGCTTCTAAGTTTTGGGGTCCTTTATCACACAGCCATGGATAACCAGGTGTCTTACCTGAATGAGGGAGTTAAAAATAATTTCCTTGCAGGGTTGTTTAGAGGATCAGCAAAAATGAAAATGAGCCTTACCAGGTAAGTGATGAGTAAAGGTAGCTAATATTTTTGTTATTAAAGTGGCAATGGGGCAATGGTACCTCGGGCTTACAGGATGGTACTGATTACATTAACCAGGACAGGGATGGAAAAGTGATGCTTTTGGGGATGGGTGGGGTCATGGCAGCAGAGGAAAGGAGATGGGGTGGGCCCACTCACATCCTTCCCATTTCCAGGTCCCTCCCCTTTGAACGAAATTGGACCATCTATGGGCTGTGCCCACATTTGGTTTTACCTCGTCAAGAAACATGCTATGCCAGCTCAGGCCAGGTGCTGCTCCAGGTTTGGAATGTGAGCACTGCAGGGCAATCTCACCATTAATGTGGGTGGGAACTGGATGGGTTGGAAGGAGAAGATGTTAGAGAAGTTCCACAAGATGATTACGCTGAGGAAATGGCTCTGAGGGCTCTGAGGAAAATGCCAGCCTTATGAGCATGCCATGTAAGCATGGGCTAGCTGTGATTTGATTTAGTGAAATGGACCAGGGAAGCGGGAAACAGGCTGGAGACATACCTCGCAGTGTGTGGAACCAAAGCAAAGGTGTTCGATCTTCATCCAAAGAGCAGCAGGAAACCACGGTGCGTTTAGACGGGCAGTACATGAGCAGGTGCCACTTTAGGAAATGCCCTAGAGGAGACCAGAGAGGTGCATGGTGGGGCAGGAAGGAGAACAGAGCAGCGCAGCCACCAAGCCAAGCTCCAGCTACTGCACAGTGGGGTCTCTCCTCTGAGTCGGCCAGAGCCCCCTCCTGGTGCTGCCAGGGGCACCTTTCTTTGTTTCATTAGGTATTTTGATAAAGTGGAGAAAGTACCCCACACATACACACAAAGCAGCTCTTTCATAGAATGGTCTGTTCTCTCCCCTGGAGGTGGCTGGTTGTTGATGGTGGAGACAGGCTGTGACAATAGGAGCACCAATCACCCTGCTGCACCCACCTCGCCCCCGACCTGGTGGGAGAGGGCAGGTGCCTGCCACTTTCTCCTCTGACCCCTCTTCCCTGAGGATGCACCCCTTCCTGCGATGCAGATAGACATCTGCACAACCCACTCAACTGGCCCTTGAGACACACCGGGCACTTCCAAATCCATTTTCCGGTGGGTTTTTACTCTCAGGATGGACACATTTTCTCAGGGTGTGGACCTGAAGTGACAATGGATGCTTCAAGTACAGCCGACTAGACACTCTAGGCCACTCTTCCACAAACAGTGTGCAGACAGGAGGGGAAGAGCTTGAGGCAGGGTTTAAGTCACATGGAAGACAGAATGAGAATGAGAAAGCTGAACTGGAATTCCAGGGGCGGAAAGAAAAAGAGGAAAAAAAGCAGCCATAAATAATGGCTGAAAATATTCTAGAAGTGAAGAAAGACACAGATCCAATAAACCCAATATACACCAAAAAAGACAACAAATCCAAAGAAAAAACCAGAACTAGACACAGAACCTACCAAACCAAGAAGCCAGAAGAAAATCTTATAGTAGCCAGAGGGCAAAAATCTTCAACTTAGTAAAGAAACAGTGGGCTCAGGGCACACTTCTGAATAGCAATAATGAACGCTCAAGACATCAGATACCAAGAAACAGTGGCTGTCAACATAACACTTTGTCATCAGCAAAACCATCTTTAAATAATGAGAAAGACATAAAAATATCTTCATATAAACAAAAACTTGGAGGAGTAAACACCAATAAATATACTCACTGGAGGGACTTCTAAAGAGTGAATTTCAGGGAGAAAAAAATTGAGGAGAATGAGGGTTTTAAATGCCTTTAAATGACTTTAAAAAAATGGGAAAGAGGGTGCGACCTGGGCAAGATGGACAAATAGGAACAGCTCTGGTCTGCAGCTCCCACTGAGATCAATGCAGAAGGCAGGTGATTTCTACATTTCCAACTGAGGTACCCGGCTCATCTCACTGGGACTGGTTAGACAATGGGTGCAGCCCACAGAGGGTGAGCAGAAGCAGGGTGGGGTGTTGCCTCACCCAGGAAGCACAAGGGATCAGGGAACTCCCTCCCCTAGCCAAGGGAAGCCACGAGGGACTGTGCTGTGAGGAACAGTGCCTTCCGGCCCAGATACTATGCTTTTCCCACGGTCTTCACAACCCACAGACTAGGAGATTTCCTCGGGTGCCTACACCACCAGAGCCCTGGGTTTCAAGCACAAAACTAGGTGGCCATTTGGGCAGACACCAAGCTAGCTGCAGGAGTTTTTTCTCATACCCCAGTGGTGCCTGGAACGCCAGCTAGACAGACCGTTTACTCCTCTGGAAAGGAGGCTGAAGCCAGGGAGCCAAGTAGTCTAGCTCAGTGGATCCCACCCTGATGGAGTCCAGCAGGCTGAGATCTACTGGCTTGAAATTCTCGCTGCCAGCACAGCAGTCTGAAGTCAATCTGGGATGCCTGAGCTTGGTGGGGGAAGCGGTGTCCACCATTACTGAGGCTTGAGTAGGTGGTTTTCCCCTCACAGTGGAAACAGAGCTGCCGGGAAGTTCAAACTGGGCAGAGCCCACTGCAGCTCGGCAAAGCCTCTGTAGCCAGACAGCCTCTCTAGATTCCTCCTGTCTGGGCAGGGCATCTCTGAAAGAAAGGCAGCAACCCCAGTCAGGGGATTATAGATAAAACTCCTATCTCCCTGATACAGAGCACCTGGGGGATGGGGCGGCTGTGGGCACAGCTTCAGCAGAATTAAACATTCCAGCCTGCCAGCTCTGAAGAGAGCAGTGGATCTCCCAGCACAGCACTTGAGCTCTGCTAAGGGACAGACTGCCTCCTCAAGTGGGTCCCTGACTCCTGTGACTCCTGACTGGGAGACATCTCCCATCAGGGGTTGACAGACACCTCATACAGTAGAGCTCCGGCTGGCATCTGGCGGGTGTTCCTCTGGTAAGAAGCTTCCAGAGGAAGGAACAGGCAACAATCTTTGCTGTTCTGCAGCTTGCACTGGTAATACCCAGGCAAACAGGGTCTGGAGTGGACCTCCAGCAAACTCCAGCCAACCTGCAGCAGAGGGGCCTGACTGTTAAAAGGAAAACCAACAAACAGAAAGGAATAGCATCAACATCAGCAAAAAGGACACCCACACAAAAACCCCATCTGAAGGTCACCAACATCAAAGACCAAAGGTAGATAAAGCCATAAAGATGAGGAGAAACCAGGACAGAAAGGGTGAAAATTCCCAAAACCAAAATGTCTCTTCTCCTCCAAAGGGTCAAAACTCCTTGCCAGGAAGGGAACAAAACTAGACAGAGAGTGAGTTTGACGAATTGACAGAAGTAGGCTTCAGAGGTAATAACAAACTACTCCGAGCTAAAGGAGCATGTTATAACCCAATGCAAGGAAGCTAAGAATCTTGAGAAAAGGTTAGAGGAATTGCTGACTAGAATAACCACTTTAGAGAAGAACACAAATGACCCGATGGAGCTGAAAAACATAGCACGAGAACATCATGAAGCATACACAAATATCAATAGCCAAATTGATCAAGCAGAAGAAAGGATGTCAGAGATTAGAGATCAACTTGATGAAATAAAGTGTGAAGACAAGACTAGAGTAAAAAGAATGTAAAGGAATGAACAAAGCTTCCAAGAAATGTGGGACTATGTGAAAAGACCAACCTACATTTGATCAGTGTACATGAAAGTGATGGGGAGAATGGAACCAAGTTGGAAAACACTCTTCAGGACATTATCCAGGATAACTTCCCCAACCTAGCAAGACAGGCCCACATTCAAGTTCAGGAAATACAGAGAATACCACAAAGATACTCCTTGAGAAGAGCAACCCCAAGACACATAATCATCAGATAAGGTTGAAATGAAAAAAAATATTTATTTTATTTTATTTTATTATTATTATACTTTTATTATAGTTTTAGGGTACATGTGCACAACATGCAGGTTTGTTACATATGTATACATGTGCCATGTTGGTGTGCTGCACCCATTAACTCGTCATTTAGCATTAGGTATATCTCCTAATGCTATCCCTCCCGCATCCCCCCACCCCACAACAGTCCCTGGTGTGTGATGTTCCCCTTCCTGTGTCCATGTGTTCTCATTGCTCAATTCCCACCTATGAGTGAGAACACGCGGTGTTTGGTTTTCTGCCCTTGCGATAGTTTGCTGAGAATGATGGTTTCCAGCTTCATCCATGTCCCTACAAAGGACATGAACTCATCCTTTTTTATGGCTGCATAGTATTCCATGGTGTATATGTGCCACATTTTCTTAATCCAGTCTATCCTTGTTGGACATTTGGGTTGGTTCCACGTCTTTGCTATTGTGAATAGTGCCACAATAAACATACATGTGCATGTGTCTTTATAGCAGCATGACTTATAATCCTTTGGGTATATACCCAGTAATGGGATGGCTGGGTCAAATGGTATTTCTAGTTCTAGATCCCTGAGGAATCACCACACTGACTTCCACAATGGTTGAACTAGTTTACAGTCCCACCAACAGTGTAAAAGTGTTCCTATTTCTCCACATCCTCTCCAGCACCTGTTGTTTCCTGACTTTTTAATGATCGCCATTCTAACTGGTGTGAGATGGTATCTCATTGTGGTTTTGATTTGCATTTCTCTGATGGCCAGTGATGACGAGCATTTTTTCATGTGTTTTTTGGCTGCATAAATGTCTTCTTTTGAGAATTGTCTGTTCAAATCCTTTGCCCACTTTTTGATGGGGTTGTTTGTTTTTTTCTTATAAATTTGTTTGAGTTCATTGTAGATTCTGGGGATTAGCCCTTTGTCAGATGAGTAGGTTGCAAAAATTTTCTCCCATTCTGTAGGTTGCCTGTTCACTCTGATGGTAGTTTCTTTTGTTGTGGAAAAAAAATATTAAGGGTCACCAGAGGGAAAGGTGGGGTTACCCACAAAGGGAAGCCCATAAGACTAAGAGCAGATCTCTCTGCAGAAACCCTACAAGCCAGAAGAGAGTGGGGGCCAATATTCAACATTCTTAAGTAAAGAATTTTCAACCCAGAATTTCATATCCAGCCAAACTAAGCTTCATAAGTGAAGGAGAAATAAAATCCTTTACAGACAAGCAAATGCTGAGAGATTTTGTCACCACCAGGCCTGCCTTACAAGAGCTCCTGAAGGAAGCACTAAACATGGAAAGGAAAAACCGGTACCAGCCACTGCAAAAACACGCCAAATTGTAAAGACCATTGACACTATGAAGAAATGGCATCAACTAACGGGCAAAATAATCAGCTAGCATCGTAATGACAGGATCGAATTCACACATAACAATATTAACCTTAAATGTAAATGGGCTAAATGCTCCAATTAAAAGACACAGACTGGCAAATTGGATAAAATCAAGACCTATCCGTGTGCTGTATTCAGGAAATCCATCTCATGTACAGAGACACACATAGGCTCAAAATAAATTGATAGAGGAATATTTACCAAGCAAATGGAAAGAAAAAAAAAAGCAGGGGTTGCAATCCTAGTCTCTGATAAAGCAGACTTTAAACCAAAAAAGATAAAAAAAGACAAAGAAGGGCATTACATAATGGTAAAGGAATCAATGCAACAAGAAGAGCTAACAACCCTAAATATATATGCACCCAACACAGGAGCACCCAGATTCATAAAGCAAGTTCCTAGAGACCTACAAAGAGACTTAGACTCCCACACAATAATAGTGGGAGAATTTAACACCCCACTATCAATATTAGACAGATCAATGAGACAGAAAATTGACAAGGATATTCAGGACTTGAACTCAGCTCTGGAGCAAGCAGACCTAATAGACACCTACAGAACTCTCCACCCCAAATTGGCAGAATATGCATTCTTCTCAGCACCACATTGCACTTATTCTAATATTGACCACATATTTGGACGTAAAACACTCTTCAGCAAATACAAAAGAATGGAAATCATAACAAACAGTCTCTCAGATCACAGTGCAATCAAATGAGAACTCAGGATTAAGAAACTCACTCAAAACCGCACAACTACATGGAAACTGAACAACCTGCTCCTGAATGACTACTGGGCAAATAACAAAATTAAGGCAGAAATAAATAAGTTCGTTGAAACCAGTGAGAACAAAGACACAACATATCAGAATCTCTGGGACACAGCTAAAGCAGTGTTTAGACAGAAATTTATAGCACTAAATGCCCACAGGAGAAAGCAGAAAGGATCTAAAATCAACACCCAACATCACAATTAAAAGAACTAGAGAAGCAAGAGAAAACAAATTGAAATGCTAGGAGAAGACAAGAAATAACTAAGATCAGAGCAGAACTGAAGAAGATAGAGACAAAAAAAAAAAAACCCTTCAAAAAAGCAATGAATCCAGGAGCTGGTTTTTTGAAAAGATTAACAAAATAGATAGACTGCTAGCCAGACTAATAAAGAAGAAAAGAGAGAAGAATCAAATAGACACAATAAAAAAGTATAAAGTAGATATCACTACCGATCCCACAGAAATACAAACTACCATCAGAGAATACTATAAACACCTCTATGCAAATAAACTAGAAAATCTACAAGAAATGGATAAATTCCTGGACACATATACCCTCCCAAGACTAAACCAGGAAGAAGTCGAATCCCTGAATAGACCAATAACAAGTTCTGAAATTGAGGCAGTAATTAATAGCCTACCAACCAAAAAAAGCCCAGGACCAGACAGATTCACCACCAAATTCTACCAGAGGTACAAAGAAGAGCTAGTACCATTCCTTCTGAAACTATTCCAAACAATAGAAAAAGAGGGACTCCTTCCTAACTCATTCTATGAGGCCAGCATCATTCTGATACCAAAACCTGGCAGAAACACAACACAAAAAGAAATTTTCAGGCCAATATCCCTGATGAACATCAACGCAAAAATTCTCAATAAAATACTGTCAAACCGAATCCAGCAGCACGTCGAAAAGCTTATCCACCATGAGCAAGTTGACTTCATCCCTGGGATTCAAGTCTGGTTCAACATACGCAAATCAATAAACATAATCCATCACATAAACAGAACCAAAGAAAGAAACCACATGATTATCTCAACAGATACAGAAAAGGCCTTCAATAAAATTCAACAACCTTCATGCTAAAAACTCTCAATAAACTAGGTATTGATGGAACGTATCTCAAATAATAAAATCTATCTATGACAAACCCACAGCCAATATCATACTGAATAGGCAAAAGCTGGAAGCATTCCTTCTGACAACCGGCACAAGACAAGGATGCAGTCTCTCACCACTCCTATTCAACATAGTATTCGAGGTTTTGGCCAGGAAAATCAGGGAAGAGAAAGAAATAAAGGGTATTCATATAGGAATAGAGGAAGTCAGATTGTCTCCATTTGCAGATGACATGATTGTATATTTAGAAAACCCCATTGTCTCAGCCCAAAATCTCCTCAAGCTGATAAGCAACTTTAGCAAAGTCTTAGGATACAAAATCAATGTGCAAAAATCAAGCATTCCTATACACCAATAATAGACAAACAGAGAGCCAAATCATGAGTGAACTTCCATTCACAATTGCTACAAAGAGAATAAAATACCTAGGAATACAGCTTACAAGGGATGTGAAGGACCTCTTCAAGGGAAACTACAAACCACTGCTCAAGGAAATAAGAGAAGACACAAACAAACGGAAAAATATTCCATGCTCATAGATAGAAAGAATCAATATTGTGAAAATGGCCATAGTGCCCAAAGTAATTTATAGATTCAATGCTATCGCCATCAAGCTACCATTGACTTTCTTCACAGAATTGGAAAAAACTACTTTAAATTTCATATGAAACCAAAAAAGAGCCTGTGTAGCCAAGACAATCCTAAGCAAAAAGAACAAAACTTGAGGCATCACACTGACTTCAAACTACACTACAAGGCTACAGTAACCAAAACAGCATTGTACTGGTACCAAAACAGATATATAGACCAATGGAACAGAACAGAGGCCTCAGAAATAATGCTGCTTATCTACAACCATGTGATCTTTGACAAACCTGACAAAAACAAGCAATGGAGAAAGGATTTCCTATTTAATACATGGTGTTGGGAAAACTGGCTAGCCATATGCAGAAAACTGAAACTGGGCCCCCTTCCTTACACCTTATACAAAAGTTAACTCAAGATAGATTAAAGACTTAAATGTAAGACCTAAAACCATAAAAACCCTAGAAGAAAACCTAGGCGATACCATTCAGGACATAGGCATGGGCAAAGACTTCATGACTAAAACACCAAAAGCAATGGCAACAAAAGCCAAAATTGACAAATGGGATCTAATTAAACTAAAGAGCTTCTGCACAGGAAAGAAACTATCAGCAGAGTGAACAGGCAACCTAAAGAATGGGAGAAAATTTTTTCAATCTATCCATCTGACAAAGGGCTAATCCAGAATCTACTAAGAACTTAAACAAATTTACAATAAATAAACAACCCCATCAAAAAGTGGACAAAGGATATGAACAGACACTTCTCCAAAGAAGACATTTATGGGGCCAAGAAACATGAAAAAAAGCTCATCATCTCTGGTCATTAGAGAAATACAAATCAAAACCACAATGAGATACCATCCCATGCCAGTAAGAATGGCGATCATTAAAAAGTCAGGAAACAACAGATCCTGGAGAGGATATGAAGAAATAGGAACACTTTTACACTATTGGTGGGAGTGTAAATTAGTCCAACCATGTGGAAGACAGTGTGGCGATTCCTCGAGGATCTAGAACCAGAAATACCATTTGACTCAGCAATCCCATTACTGGGTATATACCCAGAGGATTATAAATCATTCTACTATAAAGACACACCCACACTTATGTTTATTGCAGCAGTATTCACAATAGCAAAGACTTGCAATCAACCCAAATGCACATCAATTGTAGACTGGATAAGGAAAATGTGGCACATATATGCCATGGAATACTATGCAGCCATAAAACAGGATGAGTTCATGTCCTTTGCAGGGACATGGATGAAGCTGGACACCATCATTTTCAGCAAACTAACACAGGAACAGAAAACCAAACACCATATGTTCTCACTCATAAGTGGGAGTTGAACAATGAGAACACATGGACACAGGAAGGGAAACATCACACAGTGGGGCCTTTCTGGGGGCAGGGGGGCTAGGGGAAGGATAGCATTAGGAGAAATACCTAATGTAGATGATGGGTTGACGGGTGCAGCAAACCACCATGGCACATCTATACTTATGTAACAAACCTGCCCGTTCTGCATATGTATTCCAGAACTTAAAGTATATATATATACGTATATATATACATATATATATATATGTATATATATACGTATATATATACGTATATATATACGTATATGTATATATAGACGTATATATATACGTATATATATATATAGAGAGAGAGAGAGAGAGAGAGAAGGTTATTAAACTGATTTAATAGATTTAAAGAATAAAAAAAGTGTGAAAGAAAATTATGAATAAAATGTAAATCTAAACAAACACCATGATAAGACCAAACACCATGGAAAACAATAATCAGAAACAATGATATCTAACTTGTGGGACAAACAAATAGGTGCGAACTAAACAATAGGCCCCAAATAGCATTAAGATAAGAGAGGGTTGATCAGTTATCAGAAATTTTAGATCTTTGTATTGTTAAAAAGGAAGATTAAGATATGTGGTAATTTGTTTTTTCAGATTGTGGTGAAATATACATAACATACAGTTGACTATCTTAACCATTTTAAAAGTGTAAGCATAGTAATATTAAGTACAGTGCAGACCGGGTGCGGTGGCTCATGCCTGTAATCCCAGCACTTTGGGAGGCCAGGACGGGTAGACCACATGAGGTCAGGAGTTCAAGGTCAGCCTGGCCAACATGGTGAAACCCCATTTCTACTAAAAATACAAAAATTATTCAGGCATGGTGGTGCATGCCTGTAATCCCAGCTACTTGGGAGGCAGAAGCATGAGAATCGCTTGAACCTGGGAGGTGGAGGTTGCAGTGAGCCAAGATTGATCCACTGCACTCCAGCCTGGGTGACAGAGGGAGACTGTTTCAAAAAAAAAAAAAAATGTATAATGCATTCACATTGTTGTACAACCAATCTCCAGAACTCTTTTCATCTTGCAAATCTGAAACCCCGTGCTCATTAAACAACTCCCCAGCACCCCTCCTGTCAGCCCCGGCAGCCCCTATTCTACTTTCTGTCTCTGTGGATTTCACTTCTCTAGGTGCCTGGTATAAGTGGAATCATCAGTATTTCTCTTTTTTGTGACTGGCTAGTTTTACTCAGTATAATGTCCTCAAGGCTGATCCACATTATAGCATGTGTTAGAATTTCTATGCTTTTCAAGGCTAATGAGATTCCATTCTGTATACACCGGATTTTGTTTCTTCATTGCTCTGTCAGTGGACACATGTGCTGCTTCCATCTCCCAGCAACTGGGAATAAAGCTGCTATGAACATCGGTGCACACTTACCTGTTTGAGACCCTGTTTTCAATTCTTCTGAATATGTGGAGGGCACAGAACTCCAGTGTAGACACCACAGGGCTGACGGAGCCCAGAGAAGAGGCTTAAGTGGACCACACTGGCAGCCTGGCTGTAAAGGTACGAAGAGCAGGTGTTGGCTGCCCTGCAGAGCGGAGTGTTTTTTAAGCACCTGTGATGTGGCACATGCTGTGCTAAGTTATTTTTACGTGGATTCTCACTGAAGCCTGTCAATTTATAATATGAAAGTTGTAGCTTAGTGACAAGCAAATTTCCTGACATCTCCCAGACATGGGGAATGGGCATTTTGGGCCAGTTCCATGCAATGATCATGCTTGTGATCTCTCCTTCTCTTCCTTCCTTCCTTCCTTCCTTCCTTCCTTCCTTCCTTCCTTCCTTCCTTCCTTCCTTCCTTCCTTCCTTCCTTCTGTCCTTCCTTCTTTCCCTCCCTCCCTCCTTTTCTTTTTTCTTTTCCTTTTCTTTTCTTTATCTCTCTTTCTCTCTCTCTCTCTTTTATTTTTTGAGACAGAGTCCGGGTCTGTCACCCAGGCTGGAGTGCACTGGCGCGACCTTGGTTCACTGGAACCTCCAACTCCTGGTTGCCTCCAACTCCACTTGCCCCAGTCTGCTAAATAGCTGGGATTACAGGCGTGCATCACCATGCTACCTAATTTTTTTTTTGTAGTTTTAGTAGAGACAGGGTTTTGTCATGTTGGCCAGACTGGTCTCGAACTCCTGACCTCAGGTGATTTGCCCACCTCGGGCTCCCAAAGTACTGGGATTACAGGCATAAGCCACTGCGCCTGGCTGATTTTTCTAGTGAACCACACTAAATGCTTGTAGAGGTGGTCTGTGTGCCTGTTAAATTTGGTCAACAGAGAACATAAGGACATTTTTGGCTTTAAACATTTCTTTGTCAGCAAGAGCAGTTGGCTTAGTTTTTTTCTCCTGCAGATCAGCTGGATAATAGCCTTACCTTTCCGCTCTATTTCACTCTAAATGTAAGTCACAATAGATAAGGTTTACTGAGAGACAGAGGAAAAGAAAAAAATGTTGTCCTGGCTTTGGCTCTGCCTATTATAAATGGCATAGGTGGGGCTTTCTGAGCCATGCTCTAGCATGAGGGAGGGAGCCTGGCAGCCTGCACTCCTGCACTCTGTCCTTGCTGGCTGGCTCATGAATCCTGCTGGCTATGAAGAAGACGAGAGCAGAAACAGGTGACACTCAGCTTCCCAGAAGCTGGGAACAGCAGATATTTGCCCAACACAGACACACATTCTTGCCCAGGTAGGTGGTCCCTGAGCAGCAGCACTGGGATACCTCCATCAGAACCTCGTGGACTTGGCCTTAGTAGAAATTAATGGGGAATCACTCCTGCTGAGAAGAGTCAGGAAGCAGCCCACTGGGGGCTGGGAATCATTAAGCTGATAGAGGATACGCTGGTCCAGACGCTCTGGGAAGAGCAGAGGAAGGCGTGGGAGGAGGGCAGTGTGCTCTGAGAGGGGCCGAGGCAAGGTTCTGGGCTGCATACATGCAGGAAGCATGGCCCAAGCTTGGATGATGGAGTTGAAAGGCAGTGGGCTTCGCTTCAGCATTCTATTGGTATATAACTCTACTCCTTTGTATTTCCCAAAGTAAAAGTAATGCACATGCATCCATTTTATAATAAAACAATAAAAAAGGCATTAATTGTTGTATGGACAAGGCAAGATCTGTCAGCAGGCACGTGATTTCTAACAACGCAGCGTGAATTGACAGGCACATGTTGACCACGTGCAGGTGAGAAGCCCTCACATGTGCTTGGCAAGCAGGGAAGGTACCTGCAGATGCGCTGCAGGGCACTTATTGTCAAAAATGCAAACACAGAGAATGTGGGTACCCATGGTAGAGTATTGCCTAAGGAAATGTTGGGAACCAGACCCCCAGAACAGGGAACTGTAGAAATTCCTCCTAGGTCCGGGGGCTGTATGGAGAAGGGAGGCCACCCAGGGCCAGAAGATGCCCGCAGCCTGTGGAGCTGTGGCCAACCTGGGCCATCTTTGTGTCCAGAGAGCACTTTACCCCACATGTCCCAACACTAGACTGTAAGAAACTCATGCTGTGATTTAAACCAGAAGAGAAAGCCTTTGTCTAGATTCTCTACTTTTGGTGTCACTGAAATAGATGAGAATCATTTTTTCTTCGATGTGTTTTAAGCTGAAATGTTCCTAGGAATCCTGGTTCACTTTAGTAGATTAAAAAAAAAAAAGCCACTTAGTGCCTAGCTGACATGAGATTAATTTCCTCTCCCTCTGTTTTTCAAATCCATGACCAGGAATAGTTTTCCTGTAATGCACAGCACTGACATCTCAAAGCCTGTGCTCCCCCGGTGCACAGAGGTCGGCTATGTGCGTCATTTATACAAGCACTTTCTTCCTAGAGACCGTTTCCAGGCTCAGCCTCCCCACAGCTCAGCCCTCTATTTATACCAGGTGCTGCTTTGAGACAACACAGTCAATGTTTCTCCAGGTGATGGGCCTGGGTCGCCTGGGGAGCAGAGGTGCCTGGGATGAGGCTGTGGCTCTGGTGAGCCTTATGCCCACCATCCCATGAGCAGCCGTGTGTGTGCCCTCAGTGTGGACCACTCTGCCTGAGCCACCATTGCTTGTGAGTTCCTTAATGCAGCCTGGTGTTCCCTGCCTCTCAGGGCAGGCAGGCTGCTCCCTGTCTCAGATACATTTTCCCATGAGATACTGTTTATAAAATACATCTTATTTCTCCTTCAAAACACAGCTCACAGGTGGTGCCTCCTCCCAGCTCAGGTGCCCTTTGCGTCTGCTCCTACAGGCCCCTTGATGTCTATTTTAATCACTGTTCATTGTCTATCTGCTCCCCTCTGGGTCCCTCACCTGGCTGCCCTGTGAGTGTCTGGTGCATCTGGATGGAACGTGCAGTATCCCATCCCCAGGTCCCTGGCCATCGGCGAGCTGAGTCATGATGCCCCCTGATGTGCTGACTCATGTGCACCTGCCTGCCCACTGCTACTGGGACCCCTGACCTTGCATGCAGCTGTTCTAGGTCAGAGCTCGCCATGGTCATCTCTCCTGTGCCCTCCTCCGGCGTTCTCTCTCTCAGGAAATGGAGCTGCCCCAGCTGAACCCCGGGCATTCATCCATCTAACTCCTTATCTCCCAAGTCCCTCCACAGGCCCTTGGGACAAAGAAGCACACTTTCATCCATCCCAACAGCTCCAGGAGCTGTGCCTGTCTCTCCATCCGTCCCCTGAACCCCGGTTTTGGCTATTTTCATCTCTCTGGACTAGCAGGACAGCTCTCACTGCTGTCCTCACCTCTTCCATCCCCTTCTTCAAGCTAGAGCCAGGAGCGGCACAGTGGATGCCTAGATCTCCAGAGCCCCTCTCCTGCTGCTGCTTGGCTCTGTCCTTACAGGGCAGGAAGTCCAGGACATCTGTCCAGCAGGACATGAGATCTGGGCCTGGGGGACCAGCTGAGTGCCTGTGAGCATGTGGGCCTTGTGAAGATGACTCTGCCCTGCTGCCCAGTGGCCTTGCACATAACCACAGAGGCCACGCAGCCAAAGGCCCACACCACAGCTAATCTGAGGCTTGACAAGACGCCCCGTGGTCCTCCCGGAGAACCAGAGGGTGAAGGCCTGTGAAGAGCTGCTCCGAGCCCTCTACCCCTTGGAGGCTGTCATGGGGCAGTTTCGCATCACCTCCAAGATTCTGGTGAACTGTGGAGCTTTCAGCCTGTAATCTTCGAGCAGAGCTGCAGCTGGCGAAGCCGCTCAGCTGCAGTCTGGAACAGGCTTCTCAGGAATGGGACGTCTCCTCCCGTGCTCAGTTTACCCACCCCTTCTGCTTCTCGGTCATCCTTTTTGGTGTGAGGGACAAAGACTGGGGGAGCTGGTACCTTTGGCCACTCTTCATTGCACCATCTATGTCAATGGTAACCTACCTGAACCTAAAGTGGCCCCCGTGTCCTCGCTGGCTGGGTGGGCAGTGCTTTGGTCTTAGCTGTGCCTTGGATGGGGCTTTCCTCTATGGAGAAGTGGCCACGTCCCTTTACAGAGGCAGGTGATGTCCAGGTGCAGCTGGCTTCAGGCAGGGCAGTTTGGAGGGAGGCAGCTCCAGGTACCTTCCTTCTTTATACTACGGTGGCCAACTTCCTGAGCCAACGATTCTTAAAACACGGGATCCTCATAAGTTCCTAGGCAGCCTGCAGATGGACAAGGCCACAGGACACAGAGAAAAGATCCCCAAAGCCAGAAAGAGGAGAAAGCTCAGCCTCCTGTCAGCATCAAGGGTTGAATAGGAGCTGCTCATCAGGAGCATGAGCTGGCCCTGCTCTGACCACTGATTTTTTCCAAATGAGTGCAGAGCCTGAGATCATGTAGGGAAAGTCCCAGATAGGATTTTAATGTAACTGTGGGGCACCACTGAGCTTAACCAGACTTGTTAGGTGCTTGCTAGGCTACCTCTACCACTACGGGTAGAAGGAGTTGGACACTTGTAAGAGAAGTGTCTGGTAGGAGCCCAGCATAGACCCTTGAACATTCCTCTGTGCTGGCTGATGGGCAGTGTCAGGCAATGGTAGTGTGACAATATCTACAGGGCCAAGCAATGCTGTTGTAGGCGGTGGTATGCAGCTCAGCCCGTGTGTTATCAGGGCAGCAGCATGCAGGACCCAGGCTTTTCCTGATGCTGGTGACTGAGGGTCATTGAGCCAACTATGACCTTCAGTTGCAGTCTCCTGGGCATGTTTATAAACAAAGACACCCAGGTCACACCCCCAGGCATCCTGATGTCATGGCTCTGCCATATGGTCTGGTGCTCCCCAGGATTCCAATGGTGGCAGGGGCTGAGAAACATGGCCTCTGGAGCCATCGGCCCCTGGGGCTGTCCCCTCCTCAGTTCTTCCCACATCTGCTTTCGGCTCCTCCTGGGAGCCAGAAGCAATGTTTCTTCCTGTGCTGGGACAGAACGCCTACACCAGCTTCAGTGCCCCTCTCCTCCATTACTTGCAGTAAAGTCCAGCTCATCATGCAGGACTCACTTACTCCAAGAAGCCTTCTCTTGACCAGCACCGCGTGTTTGGTTGTTTTATTATTGACATGGTTGGTGTTTTCTAAAAAGTAGCCTACTGTGTTTGGCCCTGGCCTTTTAATACAGAACAGAGGACCAAAAATGAATGCCTGAGAGTTTATGAATTGGCTAGAGCTTGTGCTGGGGCTTATGCAGGAATGTACTGAAACTTCACTAACATTTCTAGAAGAGAACACTCATACTAAATCCTAACCCTGTGCAGTTTTCTTTGTAAACATTTATACAAATGTGTCTCCTAACGAAGTGGCATAATTTGCTAACACGTTTGTCCTTCCTAATTAAAAGCCAGCAGATGCTTTATGGTAATAAGTAAAATATGAGACTTCATTAGGGATATTCTTGCTTTTGTGTGTGTGTGTGTGTGTGTGTGTGTGTTTCATTAAAGTCTACAGTGTACCTGTTGAAATGTTAGAAGGATTATTTTGTCTTCATTATCTAGTTTCATAGGATTTTTTTTTCAATCTTTCAACACACACTAACTTTATCCTTAATATTTACTACTAGTAGTATTATCACTTATTGGTCACCTACCATAGTGAAATCAGTGTATTTGTTTTTCTCTTAAGTTTCACAACAAACACTGCGAATAAATTGTTACTTCCATTTTACCAGTGAGGATACTTAGAATCAGCAAAGTTAACCAAACATTATTCAAGATTACAGAGTCCAACCTGAGGTATGGACCCAGACATGGCTGATTCCAAAGCCTTTCTCTTTCTATCACTCTGTTTTGCCTCTGAATTTTAATTACACTGATAATAATTAGCATTTATTGCTAGGTAAAAGCACAATGCGAGGTTCTAAAGACCTTATGAGAAAAACCAAAACATGCTTTAAAGTTTATGTGGAGAATTGGTTGTACTGTCCGCCCCCCTCCCCCACCTCCTAGGAAACAGACATGAGAAAAATACTACAGAGTACGAATAGTATTCATTTCTGGGGGACAGGTTAAGAGTGACTTTTATTTTCTTCTTTATCTCTTTTCCTACTTTCCAAAGTTTATAATATAGATGTGTATTGTTTTGGTCTGAGAAACAATAAATAAAATTTGATGCAAACATCCCTTAGAGAGGAAATGGGCATGGCGTGGTTCAGGGGTTCTCCAACAGTCCACAGTTGACAGTGTGTCGTGTGTCATAGGAGCTGGGAGAAACCCAAGGTGGGACTGCGGAGCTGGAGGACAGGTGTGTTCCTAGAGGAGGTCGGTGGGTGTGGAAGAATGCGGAGGGGCAGTTAGGAGGCAGAGGGGATGTGAGGAGACAGCCAGGCAGGGGCCTGAGGGGAGGGTGTCACAGGAGGAGGAAGACTAGTGGGGAGGGAGTTCCTCTGGCCCTGATGGCCAAGCCAGGGCCCCTCAAGGCTGTATCTTGCGATACATGAATAGCTGTGTGTGTCCTTGCTGGACTTGGGTGGTCTCCTACTTGATTTACTTAATTTATTTGTCAACATTTGCTTAGTCTTTTATATTTATGGTAAAGCATCAATTCCCAACATTTTCTAGAATAAGAACCCCTGCGTGTTGGTAGCACACTTCCCTGTGGTTAGCAAAGGAATGACTAAGTGGACACTTTAGCAAATGAGAAAGTGCACCTGGCTCCACAGAAGCACCTACCTTGTGCACATTAGCATTATTGTCAACACCAGGGCCTTGCTTCTTTCATGACACCAGTCTCTCAACGGAAGAAGCCTTGAGGCAAAACCCTTGACTAGCTAGACTCTTGAGTCTGGGAACGCTTGTCTCTGCCCTAGCCAGGAGCAGGGCTCGCCTGTGGGGCCCCAGCCTGCTTGAGGTTGCATTTGGTGCCTGGCATGAAGTTTGTCCACAGTCACCAGGGAGTAGTGAAGAGAAGGGTGCAGAACGCAGGACCCTCTTCAATCAGAGATCCTGAGGCCTCCTTGCTTGTCCTCTCACTGGCAGTCTGGCTGCCAGGCTCTGCCCCTCCTTCCCTACCTGGCTTTTTGGCACTTTCAACCTCTTCTTCAACCTGAAAAATCTCCTTGGCCTTGATAATTTCCTTGTCTGACATCTCAAGACTGCCTTCTCCCATCTATCTGTATCACATTCCTGTTCCTGGGGCCTCTGGGACAGGGCTGATCGATTCCTGATCGTGCTCCTGGATGTCTTTGGAAAGAGCAGCCAAGGAGGCAGTAGGGGCAGAGCTTTGTGCATTTTTGAGGCCATGGGCATAGTGGGTAGAAAAGGGAAGAATCAGGGCTGGAGATGGAGACAGGTGGAGCCCAGGTGATCCCAGAGCTTCTGGTGTTTGGATCAGCCAGCCACAGAGCTTGACAGTCCCCATCACTGGTAATGATATAGGGATGAGGCAGGAAGGACAGGATCAGCCTTCTTGTATATGAGTGCTTTATATACACCACTCCACTTCCACATGACTTCTGGAATTCCAGCAAGAAGCAATATCTGGACCTGGGCGTGGTGGCTCATGCCTATAATCCCAGCACTTCAGGAAGCCAGATGGGAGAAGGTAGGCTTGAGGTGTCAGATGCGGAAATTATCAAGGCCAAGGAGATTTTTCAGGTTGAAGAAGAGGTTGAAAGTGCCAAAAAGTCAGGTAGAGAAGAAGGGGCAGAGCCTGGCAGCCAGACTGCCAGTGAGAGGACAAGCAAGGGGACCTCAGGATCTCTGATTGAAGGGGAGGGTCCTGCATTCTGCACCCCTCTCTTCCATATGCCCTGGTGTCCGTGGACAAGCTTCATGCCAGGCATAAAGCCTGCCTCAAGAGTCTAGCTAGTTAAGGGTTTTGTTTCAAGGCTTTTTTTCAAGGCAGGAGGATCATTTGAGGTGATCCAGTTTGAGACCAGCCTGGGCAGCCTACCAAGTCCCTGCCTCTACAAAAAATTTAAAAAAATAGTGAGGTGTTGTGGTGCACACCTGTAGTCCCAGCTACTCGGGAGGCTGAGGCAGGAGGATCACTTGAACACAGGAGGTCAAGGCTACAGCGAGCTATGATCATGCATCCCTGCCTCTGGTGACAGAGTGAGATCCCCACCCCTATCAAAAACAAACAACAAACAACAACAACAACAACAACAAAAGCAACAGAAAAGAAGAAGAATCAATACTTGTGCATGGAAAAAGAGTAAAAATGATGCAGCAAAAGTGATGGAAACACTCAACAGAATATCAGCTCAAGGTTCATGCCATTGAAATACTTGTTTTTATGGGTAGGTTTTTGAGGGATGACACCTAAATTCACATTTTGTATCATACATGTTACTCTATAGGTAAATAATTATCTACCGAATGAGTTAATGAATGAATAAATGACTGAAGGAGTTGACAAGTTGGAGGACAGATTGGTTTGGTAGCATGACTCAGTGGAAATGGGAAGCAGAAACGTTGGGACTGTCTTCACAGACATCATCTTCTTCATTATCATCATCACCACTGTTTCCTAGTCCTCTGCCATTTCCCAAGGGCTCACCTTTGGCATCACTGAGTTGACAGAAGGGGCATGGCTAGAGATCTGGTGGGCCCCTTTCGTCACCCCCTGAGCCTCACCTCCCTCAATGAGAAAAGAAGATCATGTGTTCACAGTGGTTTTCACGAGACTTGGCCCATAAAGTTCTCAATAAATACTAAACTTAAGACACCATTTTATCATTCTGGCAATCTGCTTTTTTCTGCACTTCAGAACCCTTCCCCAGTAAGCTTTTTTGGGTTAAGTTTGTACATGACCTTGAGGAAGTTAGGAAAATATCTTCTCTGGAACCCTTGGTCAAAGCTAGTAACTGGGTAGAAAAATTATCTTCCATCTCAATGTATTAGGGAAAAATTCGAAACATCATTTGAAACATGAGAAGTCTTTTGCCTGTAAAGCTCTAGAATTCTAATAAGATGTTAAATCTATTTTAAAAGACAACATTAAACATTTAAGACAAAACTCATCCTTTATAATGAAGAATGAGCAGGGGAATTCAGTCAATTCAACTTGATTCAATTTACTCTGTATTTCATGAACTTCTACTGGGAGGAGGGTGGTTCAAGGGAAGTTAAAAAAAAAAAAAAAGAAGACCTTGTTTCCTAGGAGCTTCTGTGAAGAACTGGTGAGAGGGAGGGACTTCTGAGATGCGTTGGATTTAATTCCAGCAGCTGCTGCAGTGGATGGCCGGGTCACTCACCAGGGATGTAGCTCAATCGCCTCATTTTCTAAACCCCCAGGTCTCTGGGTAAACCACTAGAGTCCCCACACAGATTCCACGCAGCAACAGTACCCACCCCTGAGATTCTGAGTAGATAGAGAAAATATGGGAAGCAAGGTATGTGTGAGGCTCACTAAGACAGAATTCATTCTCCTTTAATCATTTATTGAACACCTTCTGTTTTCTAGGCACGGGTCTAGGGTTGATATCAGGACATACAGCAGTGGACAAAACAAATCATTGTTTTCGTGGAGTTTAGAATTTACTGGGGAAGACACATAAGTAAGTAAAATACATGCCATTTTCAATATCTAAAAATGCCAAAGAGCAAACAGGGAGTGTAGGAGGGACAGGAGGTGTTTGCAGGTGTCATGAAATTCTAGAAGGGCAGACAGGGAAGTGTGGTAGGCTGGGTAATGGTCCCCAAAGATGGCTGTGTCTTAATCCCTGGACCTGTGGGTGTGTCACTTCATGCGGCCAAAAGGACTCTGGAGATTTTGAGATGGGGGAATTATCCTGGATTATCAAGGTAGGAACTAAAAGCCATCAGCAGGGTCCTTTTGTATGAGTGAGGAAAGAGGGTTAATGGGGGCAAAGGCAGTGATGTGATGTTGGAAGCAGAGACTGGAGAGAGGTGGCTGCAGGCAAAAAATGCCAGCAGCCTGCAGACGCTGGAACAGCCTCCAGAAACAGCAGCCCAGCCAACACCTTGACTTTATTCCTTTAAAACCCTTTCAACTTCTAACTTCGTGGTTTTAAGCAACAAGAGCGAATAAATTTGTGGTTTTAAGCCACAACATTTGTAAGAATTTCTTACAATAGGAACAGAAAACTCACAGGAGGGCTCACTGAGAAGGTGCAATTTGAGTAACTATCTGATGAAGCAAAAACGTGAGCTGGATAGAGGCAAAGAGCCTGAGCAAAACCATGCCTGGCGGGTGGAGGAGCAGTCCAGGAGCCAGTGTGAGGAAAAGAAGTGAGCTTGGATCTCATAGCATTGCTTCTTTATTTGCATACGTTTAAGGGGTGCAGGTGCAGTTTTATTACATGGATCCACTGTGTTGTGGTGAAGTCTGGGCTTTCAGTGCAACTATCACCTGGACAGTGTACATTGTACCCACTCAGTAATTACTCATCTCCCTCACCTTTCCAGCCTCCAGTGTTTACTATTCCATACTCTAAGTCCATGTGTACACATTATTTAGCTCCCACTTATTTTTTTTTAATTTTTAATTTTTGTTTTTGAGATGGAGTTTCTCTCTTGCTGCCCAGGCTGGAGTGTGATGGCGTGATCTCGGCTCACTGCAATCTCCGCCTCTGAGGTGCAAGTGATTCTCCTGTCTCAGCCTCCCAAGTATCTCGGATTACAGGCATGCACCACCATGCCTGGCTAATTTTTTTGTGTGTTTAGTAGAGACGGGGCTTCACCATGTTGGCCAGGCTGGTCGCAAACTCCTGACCTCAGGTGATCCACCCGCCTTGGCATCCCACAGTGCTGGGATTACAGGTGTGCGTCTCACTTATAAGTGAGACATGTGATATTTGCTTTTCTGTTTCCAAGTTATTTCACTTAAGATAATGGCCTCCAGTTCCACTTGTGTTGCTGCAAAAAACATGATTTCATTTTTTTATGGCTGAATAGTATTCCATGGTGTCTATGTATCACATTTTCTTTATCCAATCATCCATTGATGGACACTTAGATTGACTGCACATCTTTGTTAGTGTTAATAGAGCTGCAATAAACATATTAGTACAAGTGTCTTTTTGATATAATGATTTCTTTTCTTTTGGGTAGATACCCAGTAATGGGACTGCTGGATCAAATGGTAGTTCTATTTTTAGTTCTTCGAGAAATCCTCATACGGTTTTCCAAAGAGGCTGTACTCATTTACATTCCCACCAACAATATGTAAGTGTTCCTTTTTCTCCGCATCCTTGACAACATCTATGATTTTTTGTCTTTTTAATAATAGTCATTTTGACTGGTGTAAGATGATACCTCATTGTGGCTTTAATTTGCATTTCTTTGATGATTAGTGATGCTGAGCACTTGTGCTTGTTGGCTGCCTGTATATCTTCTTTTGAAAAACATCTATTCATGTCCTTTGCCCACTTTTTAATGGGGTTATTTTATTTTCTATAGAGTTGTTTGAGTTCCTTATAAATTCTGGATATCAGTCCCCTGTTGGATGATGCATAGTTTGCAAATATTTTCTCCCATTCTGCTGGTTGTCTGTTCACTCTGTTGATTATTATTATTATTTTTTGCTTGCAGAAGCTTTTCAGTTTAATTAAGTCCCATTCGTCTATTTTTGTTTTTGTTGCTTGTGCTTTTGAGGTACAGGTCTATTGGGAATGTAACTGACATCCAATACACTGAACATATGTCAGGTGTACAATTTGATTTGTTTTGACCTATGCATGCACCAGTGAAACCTTCATTGCAATCAAGAGAATGAAAACATCCAATACCCATCCCCTCCACAAGTTCCCCTGTGATTCTTGGTAATCCCGTCCATCTCTCCATGCATCCCTCTCTCTAGGCAACCACTAATCTTTTTTCTGTCACTATTGATTAGTTTGCATTTTCGACACTTTTACGTAACAGGAATATATATCATGATATGCACTCTCTTTGCATCTGGCTTCTTTAACTCAGAATAATTACTTTGAGATTCATCTAAGTTGTTGCATGTATCGTTATTCATTCCTGTTTATTGCCAAGTGATATTTCACCATATGAGTACATCTCAGTTTCTTTATCCAGTCACCTGTTCATAGGCATTTCAGTTGTTTCTAAGTTTTGGTTATTACAAATAAAACATCCATGGCAATATGTTCATAAAGACATATTCTTCTTTTCTTGGTAAGAACCTATGGATGGAATAGCTGGATCATATAGTACGTGTATGGTTAACTAAGAAACTGACAAACTTTTTTTCTGAAGAGGTTGTAGCATTTTATAAAAGTGTTAAGAGAGTTGCTCCACCTCTTGCAATTTTTTTATCCTATTATTGTTACCCACAATTTTTCATTTTCCCAAAATGAAATCCTATAAGTATTCAATAATAACTCTACATTTCTCTCTCTTCCTGGCTCGTGGCAACCACACTTTTACTTTGTGTTTCCAAGAATTTGACTGTTCTAAGGACTTCATATAGGTAGAATCATACAGGATTTATCTTTTTGCCACGGGCTTATTTCACTTAGCTTAATGTCTTCAAGATTCATCCAGGCTGTCATAAGTGTCAGGATTTCCTTCTTTTCTAAAATGTTAATGATATTCTATTGTATGTCTACACCACATTTTGTTTCTCCATTCTTCTGTCTATAGATACTTGGGTTATTATAATATTTTGTTTATTGTAGATAATGCTACTGTGAACACTGGTGCCCACGTATCTGTTTGAGGCCCTATTTTAAATTCTTTTGGTTATATACCAAGAAATGAAATTGCTGGATCACATGGTAATTCTATGTTTCACTTTTTGAGGAGCCGCCAAACTGCTTTCCATAGTGGCTGCACCATTTACATTTTTCACCAGCAATACACAAGAGTTCCCATTTCTCCGCATCCTCACCGACACTTGTTATTTTCAGTTTTGTTTTTTTTTTAAATCATCATGGGCATCCTAATGGATGCAAAGTGATATCTCATTATGATTATGATTTGCATTTCTTTAATGGCCAGTGAGGATGAGCATCTGTTCATGTGCTTATTGGCCATTTGTACATCTACTTTGGAGAAATGTTTATTAAAGTCATTACTCATTTATGAATTGTTTGTTTTGTGTTTTCATTAAAGTTAAGGAGTTCTTTGTATATTGTGACTATTAATCCCTTATCAGATATATGATCTGCAAATACTTTCTTCCATGTGTGGGTTGCTTTTTCATTTTGTAGATAGTGTCCTTTTATGCATAAAAGTTTTAAATTTTGATAAGATCCAATTTATCTATTTATTGGTTTTGTTGCCTGTGCTTTTGGTGATGTATCTATGAAATCATTGCCAAATCCAATGTCATGTAGACTTCCCCTGTTTTAGCTCTTACATTTAGGTCTTTGATCTAATTTTAGTTAAATTTCATATGTGGTACAAGGTAAGTGTCCACCTTCATTTTTTTCCATGTGGATATTCAGTTTTCTCAACACCATTTGTTGAAAAGACTGTCCTTTCCCCCATTGAATGGTCTTGTTAGAAAATTATTTGAATATATGCAAATAATTCAAAATATTGAATACATGCAAGGGTTTATTTCTGGGATCTTTATTCTATTCTATTTGTCTGTCTTTATGCCACATTATTTTGATTACTGTTGTTTTGCAGTCAGTTTTGAAATCAAGAAGTGTGAGACTCCCAACTTTGTTCTTCTTTTTCAAGGTTATTTTAGTTATTTGGGGTCCCTTGAGATTTCATATACATTTTAGGGTGGGTTTTTCTGTTTCTGTAAGGAAATGTCACTGGAATTTTGACAGAGATTATGTTGAATCTGTAGATCACTTTGGCTAGTATTGACACAACATGTTTTCATTTATTTCTGTCTTTAATTTCTTTGATTTTTTGTAGTATTCAGTATTTTATTCTTTTTGATGCTATTACAAATGGAAATGTTTTCTTAATTTTCTTTTCAGATTATTCAATGTTAGTATATAGAAATACAACTAATTTTAGTGTTGATTTTGTATCTTATAACTTTGCTGAATTTATTATTTCTAATAGCTTATTTTTGGTGGAATATATAGGTTTTTCTCCACATAAGATAATGCCATCTAAGAACAGAGATAACTTATTTCTTCCTTTCCAATTTGAAGGACTTTCATTGCTTTTCCTTCTCCAATTGCTCTAGTTTTATCAAGAAATATTGTGTTAAATAGAAGTGACAAAAGTGGAGGTCTTTTTTTTTTTTTTTTTTTTTTTTGAGACGGAGTTTCGCTCTGTCGCCCAGGCTGGAGTGCAGTGGCGCGATCTCGACTCACTGCAAGCTCCGCCTCCCGGGTTCACGCCATTCTCCTGCCTCAGCCTCCCGTGTAGCTGGGACTACAGGCGCGCGCCACCATGCCCGGCTAATTTTTGTATTTTTAGTAGAGACGGGGTTTCACCGTGTTAGCCAGGATGGTCTGGATCTCCTGACCTCGTGATCCGCCCGTCTCGGCCTCCCAAAGTGCTGGGATTAGAGGCGTGAAGCTGTGGATTTTTAATATATGGCTTTATTATGTTGTGTAAGTTAACTTGTATTACTATTTTGTTAAGTGTTTTTTTTTAATCGTGCAAGGCTGTTGAATATTATCAAATGCTTTTTCTGCATCAATTAAGATGACCATGTGTTTCTTCCCCTTCATTCTGTTCATGTGTTGTATCACATTGACTGATTTTCATATGTTGAACTGTCTTTGCATTCCAAGAATAAATCTCACTTGGCAATGGCATGAAGTCCTTTTAATATGTTCCATATCATTTTTAATTTTAGCCATTATAATAGATGTATAGTGGTATTGCATTATAGTTTTCATTTGTGTTTTCCTAATGATATCTCAGGTGAACATGTTTTCATGTGCTTATTAACCAGCCATATATCTTCTTTGGGGAATTGTCTGTTAAAATTTTTTTCCATTAAAAACATTGAGTTGTTTGTTTCTTTATTGGTGAGTATTGAGAGTTCTTTCTAGATTCTGGACCATACGCTTTGAAAATATTTGCCCCAGTCTTTGGCTTGCCTTTTTGTTTTCATAACTGCATTTTAAAGAGCAAAAATTTCCAATTTTGATGACATATATTAATCAGTTTGTTATTTTATGGGATATACTTTTGATATATCTGAGCAACATTTGCCTAGCTTAAAATTTTGAAAAAAATATTTTATGTTTTCTCTTGAATGTTTTATAATTTTAGGTTTTAAATTTAGGTTTATAACTCATTAAAATTTTTTTGTGTGTATAGTGAATGTTATGGATAAATGTTTCTTTTTGCATATGAATGCCTAGTTGTTCCAACATCATTTGTTGAAAAGACTGTCCTTTTCTCTACTAAATTTCCTTGTCAAAAATAAGTTGCTCACATATATGTGGATCTATTTCTGGATTTTATTGTTTTCCATTGATCTACTGGTGTATCTATGATATTGTGATATAATACAAATATATGCTTAGTTTCTGCCACCCAGTTCCTGGCACAGAGCTCCCCAAATCCTGGTAGATAGGGGTGCTAAAAAAACCTTTCATTTTCACATTTGACCTTTGACTCCAGTTCTCACACAGAACTCAGAAACTTTGTGATTTCCTGAGTGATAGGAGCATCTGATACACTGCTCCCAAATCCCTTGGGATTTCCTGGGTAATAGGAGCATCTTTTGTTGTAATGAGGCCACTCTCAGTATTACCCATACCCTGGGTTCTTGTAATCTCCCAGGAAATCAAGAGAGATCACCAGACATAGCTGTAAAGAGAAATTTTATTTAGCTTGTGCACAAGGGAGCCAGCACAACAAAAGAAGGGTGGGCTGCTCCCTGAAGGTAGTATGTGGGTTAGCATTATAGGGTTTTTCTACAGGGAAAGGTTTCATTAGGGCATGTGTAAGGTTTTTTGTTTTTTTTTTTTTTTTTAGTGCTTGCTCAGTGGCTCAATGTGCTTCTTTATACATTGCATGTATCCCTAGCATTTTCTATCTCCACACCTGGGTGTGATTTTTAGCATTAAAATGAGGAAAGAGTAACTATAAGTTGAAGTTTAAGTGTAATGGCACATGTGAGGCCCCAGGGAAGTCCATAGCCCCCTAAAGCAGGAACTTGTGGCTAGCAGCTTCTTGGATCTGTTGTTGCTGATTGATTGGAAGTTAGGTAAGCTACAGCTTGAGTAAGGGGCTTTGGTTCTTTTGCTTTAAAGCACATCAAAACAGGAAACCAGCCAGCCTGCCTGTATCATTGGTGGGCTCAGGATAAAGTCTAGCTGCCAGGGAAATCAACCATGTGATCAGAGGGTTAAAACTTTCAGCCCTACCCCCTGACCTCCAGGCAAGGGAGAGGGGCTGAAGTTTGAGTTGATTACCAATGGGCAATGATTTAATCAATCAGTCAATCATGCCTGTGTCACAAGGTCTCCATAAAAACCCAAAAGGACAGTTTGGAGAGCTTCCCAGCAGCTGCTGTGGGGTGGCATGCCTAGAAACGGCATGGAAGTTCTGCATCCCTTCCTCCATACCTCACCTTATGTACCTCTTCCGACTGGCTGCTCATCTGTGTCCTCTGTGATATCCTTTATAATAAATAGGAAAATGTAAGTGAAGTGTTTTTGAGTTCTGTGAGCCACTCCAGCAAATTAGGTGAACCCCAGGAGAGGTGTGCAGGAATCCCGATTGATAGCAAGTTGTCCAGAAGTACAGTCACAACTGGAGCTTACAATTGGCATCTGAAATGAGGGGTAGTCTTGTGGGACTGAACCCTCAATCTGTGGGATCCAATACTATCTACAGGTAGGTAGCATCCAAATTATATTGAATGTGAGGACACCCAGCTTGTGTCCACTGAAGACCTCCTTTGTGTGTAGGAAAAAATCCCCACATCTGGCATCAATAGATGTGAGTATGAGTGGTGTATGAGAGCAGGAAAAGCAGTTTATTTTTCTTTTCTTTTTTCTTTGTAAATTAAAAAACTGAAAGATTAGGGGAGGTTCCAAGATGGCCAAATAGGAACAGCTCCAGTCTACAGCTCCCAGCGTGAGCGACGCAGAAGACGGGTGATTTCTGCATTTCCAACTGAGGTACCGGGTTCATCTCACTGGGGCTTGTCAGACAGTGGGTGCAGTGCACCGAGCATGAGCTGAAGCAGGGCGAGGCGTCACTTCACCCAGGAAGCGCAAGAGTCCAGGGAATTCCCTTTCATAGGCAACTGAAGCTGTGACAGATGGCACCTGGAAAATCTGGTCATTTCCACCCTAATACTGCACTTTTCCAATGGTCTTAGCAAACGGCACACCAGGAGATTATATCCTGTGCTTGGCTCAGAGGGTCCTACGCCCACAGACCCTCACTCTTTGCTAGCACAGCAGTCTGAGATCGAACTGCAAGGTGGCAGTGAGGCTGGGGGAGGGGCATCCACCATTGCTGAGGCTTGAGTAGGTAAACAAAGTGGCCAGGAAGCTCGAATTGGGTGGAGCCCACGATAGCTCAAGGAGGCCTGCCTGCCTCTGTAGACTCCACCTCTGGGGGCAGGGCATAGCCAAACAAAAGGCAGCAGAAACCTCTGCAGACTTAAATGTCCCTGTCTGACAGCTTTGAAGAGAGTAGTGGTTCTCCCAGCACAGAGTTTGAGATCTGAGAATGGACAGACTGCCTCTTCAAGTGGGTCCCTGACCCCCGAGTAGCCTATCTGGGAGGCACCCCCCAGTAGGGGCAGACTGACCCCTCACACGGCCAGGTAACCCTCTGAGACGAAACCTCCAGAAGAATGATCAGACAGCAACATTTGCTGTTCAGCAATATTCACTGTTCTGCAGCCTCTGCTGCTGATACCTAGGCAAACAGGGTCTGGAGTGGACCTCCAGCAAACTCCAACAGACCTGCAGCAGAGGGTCCTGACTGTTAAAAGGAAAACTAACAAACAGAAAGGACATCCATCCCAAAACCCCATCTGTATGTCATCATCATTAAAAGACCAAAGGTAGATAAAACCACAAAGATGGGGAACAAACAGAACAGAAATACTGAATATTCTAAAAATCAGAGCACCTCTCTTCCTCCAAAGGAACACAGCTCCTCACCAGCAATGGAACAAAGCTGGATGGAGAATGACTTTGACGAGTTGAGAGAAGAAGACTTCAGACGATCAAACTTCTCCAAGCTAAAGGAGGAAGTTCGAGCCCATCGCAAAGAAGTTAAAAACCTTGAAAAAAGATTAGACAAGTGGCTAACTAGAATAACCAATGCAGAGAAGTCCTTAAAGGACCTGATGGAGCTGAAAACCATGGCATGAGAACTACGTGATGAATGCACAAGCCTCAATAGCTGATTTGATCAACTGGAAGAAAGGGTATCAGTGACTGAAGATCAAATGAATGAAATGAAGTGAGAAGATAAGTTTAGAGAAAAAAGAATAAAAAGAAATGAACAAAGCCTCCAAGAAATATGGGACTATGTGAAAAGACCAAATCTACATCTGATTGGTGTACCTGAAAGTGACGGGGAGAATGGAACCAAGTTGGAAAACACTCTGCAGTATATTATCCAGGAGAGCTTCCCCAACGTAGCAAGGCAGGACAATATTCAAATTCAGGAAATACAGAGAACACCACAAAGATACTCCTTGAGAAGAGCAACTCTAAGACACATAATTGTCAGATTCACCAAAGTTGAAATGAAGGAAAAAATGTTAAGGGCAGCCAGAGAGAAAGGTCAGGTTACCCACAAAGGGAAGCCATCAGACTAACAGCTGATTTCTTGGCAGAAACTCTACAAGCCGGAAGAGAGTGGGGACCAATATTCAACATTCTCAAAGAAAAGAAATTTCAACCCAGAATTTCATATCCAGCCAAACAAAGCCTCATAAGTGAAGGAGAAATAAAATCCTTTACAGACAAGCAAATGCTGATTTTGTCACCACAAGGCCTGCCCTACAAGAGCTCCTGAAGGAAGCACTAAACATGGAAAGGAACAACAGGTACCAGCCACTGCAAACACATGACAAATTGTGAAGACCATCGACGCTAGGAGGAAATTGAATCAACTAACGAGCAAAATAACCAGCTAACATCATAATGACAGGATCAAATTCACACATAACTATATTAACCTTAAATGTAAATGGGCTAAATGCTCCAATTAAAAGACACAGATTGGCAAATTGGATAGAGTCAAGACCCATCAGTGTGCTGTATTCAGGAGCCCCATCTCACATGCAGAGACACACATAGGCTCAAAATAAAGGGATGGAGGAAGATCTACCAAGCAAATGGAAAACAAAAAAAGGCAGGGGTTGCAATCTTAGTCTCTGATAAAGCAGATTTTAAACGAACAAAGATCAAAAGAGACAAAGAAGGCCATTACATAATGGTAAAGGGATCGATTCAACAAGAAGAGCTAACTATCCTAAAAATATATGCACCCAATACAGGAGCACCCAGATTCATAAAGCAAGTTCTTAGAGACCTACAAAGAGACTTAGGCTCCCACACAATAATAATGGGAAACTTTAACACCCCACTGTCAACATTAGACAAATCAACGAGACAGAAAGTTAACAAGGATATCCAGGAATTGAACTCAGCTCTGCACCAAGCAGACCTAATACACATCTACAGAACTCTCCACCCCAAATCAACAGAATATACATTCTTCCCAGCACCACACCACACCTATTCCAAAATTGTCCACATAGTTGGAAGTAAAGCACTCCTCAGAAAATGTGAAAGAACAGAAATTATAACAAACTGTCTCTCAGACCACAGTGCAATCAAACTAGAACTCAGGATTAAGAAACTCACTCAAAACCGCTCAACTACATGGAAAATGAACAACCGGCTCCTGAATGACTACTGGGTACATAATGAAGTGAAGGCAGAAATAAAGATGTTCTTTGATATCAATGAGAACAAAGACACAACATACCAGAATCTCTGGGATACATTCAAAGCAGTGTGTAGAGGGAAATTTATAGCACTAAATGCCCACAAGAGAAAACAGGAAAGATCTAAAATTGACACCCTAACATCACAATTAAAAGAACTAGAGAAGCAACAGCAAACACATTCAAAAGCTAGCAGAAGGCAAGAAATAACTAAGATCAGAGCAGAATTGAAGGAGATAGAGACACAAAAAACCCTTCAAAAATCGATGAATCCAGGAGCTTGTTTTTTGAGAAGATCAACAAAACTGATAGACTGTCAGCAAGACTAATAAAGAAGAAAAGAGAGAAGAATCAAATAGACGTGATAAAAAATGAAAAAGGGGATATCACCACCGATCCCACAGAAATACAAACCACCATCAGAGAATACTATAAACATCTCTATGCAAATAAACTAGAAAATCTAGAAGAAATGGATAAATTCCTGGACACATACACCCTCCCAAGACTAAACCAGGAAGAAGTTGAATCCCTGAATAGACCAATAACAGGCTCTGAAATTGAGGCAATAATTAATAGCTTACCAACCAAAAAAAGTCCAGGACCAGATGGATTCACAGCCGAATTCTACCAGAGGTACAAGGAGGAGCTGGTACCATTCCTTCTGAAACTATTCCAATCAATAGAAAAAGAAGGAATCCTCTCTAACTCATTTTATGAGGCCAGCATCATCCTGATACCAAAGCCTGGCAGAGACACAACAAAAAAGAAGAACTTTAGACCAATAGCCCTGATGAACATTGATGCAAAAATCCTCAGTAAAATACTGGCAAACCGAATCCAGCAGCACATCAAAAAGCTTATCCACCATGATCAAGTGGGCTTCATCCCTGGAATGCAAGGCTGGTTCAACATACACAAATCAATAAACGTAATCCAGCATATAAACAGAACCAAAGACAAAAACCACATGATTATCTCAATAGATGCAGAAAAGGCCTTCAACAAAATGCAACAGACTTCATGCTAAAAACTGTCAATAAATTAGGTATTGATGGGATGTATCTCCAAATAAGAAAAGCTATTTATGACAAACCCACAGCCAATATCATACTGAATGGGCCAAAACTGGAAGCATTCCCTTTGAAAACTGGCACAAGACAGGGATGCCCTGTCTCACCATTCCTATTCAACATAGTGTTGGAAGTTCTGGCCAGGGCAATCAGGCAGGAGAAAGAAATAAAGGGTATTCAAGTAAGAAAAAAGGAAGCAAAATTGTCCCTGTTTGCAGATGACATGATTGTATATCTAGAAAACCCCATCATCTCATCCAAAAATCTCCTTAAACTGATAAGCAACTTCAGCAAAGTCTCAAGATACAAAATCAATGTGCAAAAATCACAAGCATTCTTATTCACCAATACCAGACAAACACAGAGCCAAAACATGAGTGAACTCCCATTCACAATTGCTTCAAAGAGAATAAAATACCTAGGAATCCAACTTACAAGGGATGTGAAGGACCTCTTCAAGGAGAACTACAAACCACTGCTTCACGAAATAAAAGAGGACACAAACAAATGGAAGAACATTCCATGCTCATGGAGAGGAAGAATCAATATCGTGAAAATGGCCATACTGCCCAAGGTAATTTATAGATTCAATGCCATCCCCATCAAGCTACCAATGACTTTGTTCACAGAACTGGAAAAAACTACTTTAAAGTTCATATGGAACCAAAAAAGAGCCTGCATTGCCAAATCAATCCTAAACCAAAAGAACAAAGCTGGAGGCATCACGCTACCTGACTTCAAACTATACTACAAGGCTACAGTAACCAAAACAGCATGGTACTGATACCAAAACAGAGATATAGACCAATGGAACCGAACAGAGCCCTCAGAAATAATACCACACATTTACAACTATCTGATCTTTGACAAACCTGACAAAAACAAGAAATGAGGAAAGGATTCCCTACTTAACAAATGGTGCTGCGAAAACTGGCTAGCCATATGTAGAAAGCTCAAACTGGATCTCTTCCTTACAGCTTATACAAAGATTAATTCAAGATGGATTAAAGACTTAAATGTTAGACCTAAAACCATAAAAACCCTAGAAGAAAACCTAGACATTACCATTCAGGACATAGGCATGGGCAAGGACTTCATGTCTAAAACACCAAAAGCAATGGCAACAAAAGCCAAAATTGACAAATGGGATCTAATTAAACTAAAGAGCTTCTGCACAGCAAAAGAAACTACCATCAGAGTGAACAGGAAACCTACAGAATGGTAGAAAATTTTTGCAATCTACTCATCTGACAAAGGGCTAATATCCAGAATCTACAATGAACTCTGTCTTGCTTTGCTAAAAAAAAAAAAAATTTTTTTAACAATTAGCTGGGTGTGGTGGCATGTGCCCATATTTCTAGCTACTTAGGGTGCTGAGGCCAGAGGATCACTTGAGCCCAGGAGGTCAAGGCTGCTGTGAGCTGTGATTGTGCCATTGCACTCCAGCCTGACAGAGCTAGACCATATATCTGGGGAAAAAAAAAGCCAAATAGTATTCCATTGTATACATACACAACATTTTTAAAAATGCACTCATCGGCCGGGCGCGGTGGCTCACGCCTGTAATCCCAGCACTTTGGGAGGCCGAGGCGGGCGGATCACGAGGTCAGGAGATCGAGACCATCCCGGCTAAAACGGTGAAACCCCGTCTCTACTAAAAATACAAAAAATTAGCCGGGCGTAGTGGCGGGCGCCTGTAGTCCCAGCTACTTGGGAGGCTGAGGCAGGAGAATGGCATGAACCCGGGAGGCGGAGCTTGCAGTGAGCCGAGATCCCGCCACTGCACTCCAGCCTGGGCGACAGAGCGAGACTCCGTCTCAAAAAAAAAAAAAAAAAATGCACTCATCGATTGATAATTGATTAAATAACTTGGCTATTGTAAATCATGCTACAATGAACATGGGAGCACGAGCACAGAGATCTTTTTGATATACTGATTTCAAGGCTTTAAGATACATACATAGAGGTGGAATTGCTGGATCATATGTATGGAGGAAGTTCCATACAGTTTTCCATAATGAGTATTCAATTGTCCCTCAGTTTGAAAAGTTGGCTCTCTATGTATACAGGTTTCCTATACCACAAATACTGTACTTCCAATCCACGATGGGTTGGGAAAAATACACTATAAGTGGACTCATATAGTTCAAACCCATGTTTTTCGAGGGTCAACTGTACACAGCAGACAGTGTACAAGGGTACACTTTTCTCCATCTCCTCCCCAACCTTGTTAGCTTTCATTTTTTTGATAATAGCCATTCTGACAGGTGTGATATCTCATTGTGGTTCTAGTTTGTGTTTTCCTAATAATTAGCGATATTGAGCATTTTTCATATATCTTTTGCTTATTTGTATGTCTTCCTTTGAGAAATGTGTATTCAAGTCCTTTGCCCATTTTTAAATTGGGTTATTTATTTTCCTATTAAGTTGCTTGAGTTCCTTATATGCTTTTGATCTTAGAGTTTGGTATTTCTCTGTCTTTATAGTACCCATATGCCAATAGCATGCCATTTTAATACAATTACTGTAGCTCAGTAATAAATCTTGATATTGATAGTGTCATTTCTACAATGTATTTCTTCTTCTTCAAAGTCTTCTTGGCTGGTGGTTCATGCCTGTAATCCCAGCACTTTGGGAGGCTGGGATGGGAGGATCGCTTGAGCTCAGGAGTTCAAGACTAGCCTGGGCAACATAGTGGGGCCTTGTCTTTACAAAAAATAAACAAAAACTAGCTGGGCATGGTAGCACGTGCCTGTGGCCCAGCTCCTTGGGAGGCTGAGGCTAGAGGATAGCTTGAGTCTAGGAGTCTGAGGTTGCAATGAGCCGAGATAGTGCCACTGCGTTCCAGCCTGGGCAATAGTGGAGAGCCTGTCTCAGGGGGAAAACAAAAATCAAAAAACAAAAAATCAAACAAACAAACAAAAACCCAACAACAACAACAACAAAACCCCAACAGTTTTCTTGCCTATTCGAGGTATGTTGCAATACCAAATGAATTTTAGAATCAGTTTGTTCATTTATACAAAACAGGCCTGCTGGGATTATGATTTGAATTGCATTGAATTTACAGAACAAATTGGAGAGAATTGATATCTTAGCCACATTGAGTCTTCCAACCCATGACTATGGTGCGCCTGTCTATACTTTTGGTCTTCTTTAATATCTTCCAGAAATATTTTGTAGTATTCAGTATCCGTGCCTTTACTTCTTCTGCCATATTTATCCCTGAATATATTATATTTTATACTGTATTTCATCTAAGTTGTTAAAATTATAGACATTGTATTTTATAACATCCCCTTATTATCCTTATATTATCTGCAGAATCTGTAGTGTTTACATTTCTTTCATTCCTGATATTAGCAACTGGTGTCATTCTTTTTTTTTTCCTTATCAGAAGATAGAGATAGGTTTGTCAACTTCATTGATCTTAAGCAGCTTTTGGTTTTATTGATTTTTTTTCCCCATGGTTTCCTGTTTCTTTATTTAATTGATTTCCTCTGATATTTAGTATTTTTTTTTAGCTTAGTTTGTGTATTTTCTTTTTCTTTTTTGTTAGTTTCAAAAGTGAACACTGAAGTCATTAATCTGACCTTTCATCATTTCTAATATAGACATTTAGTAATATGAATTTGCTTTAGTGACATCCCACAATTTTATGTTGTATTTTTATTTATGTTTATGTCAAAATACTTTCTAATTTCCTTTTGATTTCTTTTTTAACTTATGAGTTACTGAGAAATTTGCTGTTAAGTTTGCAAATATTTGGTGGATTATCCAGATATCTTGCTGTAATTGATGTCAAATTTAATTCCACTGTGGTCAGAAAGCATATTTTATATGACTTGAATCCTTTTCAGTTTACTGAAAATTCTTTATGACCAGGGTGTTGCTTCTTCACAAGATTCTCCACGTGTACTTTCTTTATGAACAGGGTAGTGCTTCTTGACAAGTTTCTCCACGTGTGCTTGTAAAGAATGTGTATTTGGATCTGGTTGGGCGGCATATCCTCTGAAGTCAATTAGATCAAGTTGCTTTATAATGTTATTCAAGTGTACTGTATATTTGTTCATCCTCTATTTTTCTATTAATCTCTGAAAGAAAGGTGTTACAACTTTCAACTATAATTATGGATGTTTCTATTTCTTTTTATAATTCTATGTGGTTTTACTTTATGTATTTTCAAGTTGTATTTTTAGGTACATAACTATTTAGATTTACTATATACTTTGATTGGCTATTTAATCACTATGAAATTATCTTCAACTATACTTTGCCATGGAATCCACTCTGTATAATACTAAAAGAGCTACCCAAGTTTTGATTTTGGTTTTGCTTTTACCTTTAACCTATTTGTGTCTTTATATTTAAAGTGTGTTTTTTGTAATCAGATATTCAGCTTTGTAATCCAGTCTGACAGTTTCTGCTTTTAATTTGGGTTATTTGAACAATTTACATTTAGTGTCATTAGTGATATGGTTAAATTTGTCTCTCATCTTGCTGTTTGGTTTTTATTTATCCTATCTTTTCGTTTCTTCATGTTTCTTCTTTTTTGCCCCTTTAAAAATTATTTGAGTATTATTTCTGATTTTATTTGCTGGTTTATTAACTATAACTCTTCATTTTATTATTAGATTGATTGTTTTATGGTTTATTTTATACATTTTTAACTGAACAGAGCATACCTTCACATACCTACCTTTGTATTACATGTAATGGTAGGATAAATAAAAATAATTGTACCATATAATAATAGTACATAATGAAGTGTGATATAATAGCATAATAGTTCTTTAATAATGTGGTATGATAACAGTAAATCCAGTATATGAATAATAATATACATCTTTAACTTATAACTTTTGACTTAAATATGATGGAACAAATTATAGTAATATATTTCCATTTCTCTCATCTCTGCCTTTGTGATATTACTCATACTGTCCTTATACATATGTTATAAACCCCAAATGCATTGTTATTATGTTAATTTGTGTTTATGTCAATTAACTTTAAAGAGATTTAAATAAGAACAACATTTTATGTTTTTACCCATGTAGTTACCATTTCTCTCATATACCATTTTTGTTTAGATTTACATCTCCATCTCCATCTCCATCTCCATCTGGTATCATTCTCCTTTTGCCTGAAGAAATTCCTTCAACATTTCTTGTAATGTGATAAATTATTTGAATTAGTCTTAATTTTCACTTCATTTTTAATATTTTTGCTGGGTGTAGAATTGTAGGTCAACAGAGTTTTTTCAGGACTTTAAACATGTTGTTTCACTTTGTTTTTGCTTATACTGCTCCCAGTGAAAAATCAGCTGTTATCCTTAAATTTGCTCCTTTCTTCATAATGTGGTTTTTTTCTCCTCTGTCTGCTTTAAGATCTTTGTTTAATACTGGATTTGAACAATTTGATTATGGTGAGCCTTGGTGTATTTTTTTCATGTTTCTTATGCTTGGAGTTTATTGAACTTCTTAGATTTGTATATTTATATTTTTAAATAAATTTGGAAATTTTAAAACCATTATTATTTCAAATATTTTTTCTCTGCCCCCTACCCCCATTAGGGACTCCATTCAAATGCATGCTAGTTTGCTTGAAGTAGTCTCACATTTTGCAAGTGCTCCTTTTAATGTTTGTTCTCTCCGTGTTTCATTTTGGATAGTTTCTATTGCTATGTCTTAAGGTTCAGTAATTTTTTTTCTACTCTATCTAATCCATTAATCCCATTTAATGTATTTCTCAACTCACACATTTTAGTTTTCATCTCTAAAGTTTGATTTGGTTGTTTTTTGTATTCTCCATATTACTACTTACCACTTTAAATAATAATGGCTATATAAATGTCATTGCCTGAAAGTTCTTTTTGTGCTAGCTCTGGTGCAGTTTTCTTGATCCATTATTGTCTTCATTATGGATGATGTTTTCCTGCTTCTTCGTATGCCTGGAAATCTTTGTTTAGATGACAGACATTGTGCATTTTATCTTACCATGTGCCTGCTATGATTATTTTTTTATTTTTTATTTTTCTTTCTTTTTTTTTTATTATACTTTAAGTTTTAGGGTACATGTGCACATTGTGCAGGTTAGTTACATATGTATACATGTGCCATGCTGGTGCGCTGCACCCACTAACTCGTCATCTAGCATTAGGTATATCTCCCAATGCTATCCCTCCCCGCTCCCCCCACCCCACCACAGTCCCCAGAGTGTGATATTCCCCTTCATGTGTCCATGTGATCTCATTGTTCAATTCCCACCTATGAGTGAGAATATGCGGTGTTTGATTTTTTGTTCTTGCGATAGTTTACTGAGAATGATGATTTCCAATTTCATCCATGTCCCTACAAAGGACATGAACTCATCATTTTTTATGGCTGCATAGTATTCCATGGTGTATATGTGCCACATTTTCTTAATCCAGTCTATCATTGTTGGACATTTGGCTTGGTTCCAAGTCTTTGCTATTGTGAATAATGTGGCAATAAACATACGTGTGCATGTGTCTTTATAGCAGCATGATTTATAGTCATTTGGGTATATACCCAGTAATGGGATGGCTGGGTCAAATGGTATTTCTAGTTCTAGATCCCTGAGGAATCGCCACACTGACTTCCACAATGGTTGAACCAGTTTACAGTCCCACCAACAGTGTAAAAGTGTTCCTATTTCTCCACATCCTCTCCAGCACCTGTTGTTTCCTGACTTTTTAATGATTGCCATTCTAACTGGTGTGAGATGATATCTCATAGTGGTTTTGATTTGCATTTCTCTGATGGCCAGTGATGATGAGCATTTTTTCATGTGTTTTTTTGCTGCATAAATGTCTTCTTTTGAGAAGTGTCTGTTCATGTCCTTCGCCCACTTTTTGATGGGGTTGTTTGTTTTTTTCTTGTAAATTTGTTTGAGTTCATTGTAGATTCTGGATATTAGCCCTTTGTCAGATGAGTAGGTTGCAAAAATTTTCTCCCATGTTGTAGGTTGCCTGTTCACTCTGATGGTAGTTTCTTTTGCTGTGCAGAAGCTCTTTAGTTTAATTAGATCCCATTTGTCAATTTTGGCTTTTGTTGCCATTGCTTTTGGTGTTTTGGACATGAAGTCCTTGCCCATGCCTATGTCCTGAATGGTAATGCCTAGGTTTTCTTCTAGGGTTTTTATGGTTTTAGGTCTAACGTTTAAATCTTTAATCCATCTTGAATTGATTTTTGTATAAGGTGTAAGGAAGGGATCCAGTTTCAGCTTTCTACATATGGCTAGCCAGTTTTCCCAGCACCATTTATTAAATAGGGAATCCTTTCCCCATTGCTTGTTTTTCTCAGGTTTGTCAAAGATCAGATAGTTGTAGGTATGCGGCGTTATTTCTGAGGGCTCTGTTCTGTTCCATTGATCTATATCTCTGTTTTGGTACCAGTACCATGCTGTTTTGGTTCCTGTAGCCTTGTAGTATAGTTTGAAGTCAGGTAGTGTGATGCCTCCAGCTTTGTTCTTTTGGCTTAGGATTGACTTGGCGATGCGGGCTCTTTTTTGGTTCCATATGAACTTTAAAGTAGTTTTTTCCAATTCTGTGAAGAAAGTCATTGGTAGCTTGATGGGGATGGCATTGAATCTATAAATTACCTTGGGCAGTATGGCCATTTTCACGATATTGATTCTTCCTACCCATGAGCATGTAATGTTCTTCCATTTGTTTGTATCCTCTTTTATTTCCTTGAGCAGTGGTTTGTAGTTCTCCTTGAAGAGGTCCTTCTCATCCCTTGTAAGTTGGATTCCTAGGTATTTTATTCTCTTTGAAGCAATTGTGAATGGGAGTTCACTCATGATTTGGCTCTCTGTTTGTCTGTTGTTGGTGTATAAGAATGCTTGTGATTTTTGTACATTGATTTTGTATCCTGAGACTTTGCTGAAGTTGCTTATCAGCTTAAGAAGATTTTGGGCTGAGACGATGGGGTTTTCTAGATAAACAATCATGTCGTCTGCAAACAGGGACAATTTGACTTCCTCTTTTCCTAATTGAATACCCTTTATTTCCTTCTCCTGCCTGATTGCCCTGGCCAGAACTTCCAACACTATGTTGAATAGGAGTGGTGAGAGAGGGCATCCCTGTCTTGTGCCAGTTTTCAAAGGGAATGCTTCCAGTTTTTGCCCATTCAGTATGATATTGGCTGTGGGTTTGTCATAGATAGCTCTTATTATTTTGAAATACGTCCCATCAATACCTAATTTATTGAGAGTTTTTAGCATTAAGGGTTGTTGAATTTTGTCAAAGGCTTTTTCTGCATCTATTGAGATAATTATGTGGTTTTTGTCTTTGGCTCTGTTTATATGCTGGATTACATTTATTGATTTGCGTATATTGAACCAGCCTTGCATCCCAGGGATGAAGCCCACTTGATCATGGTGGATAAGCTTTTTGATGTGCTGCTGGATTCGGTTTGCCAGTATTTTATTGAGGATTTTTGCATCAATGTTCATCAAGGATATTGGTCTAAAATTCTCTTTTTTGGTTGTGTCTCTGCCCGGCTTTGGTATCAGAATGATGCTGGCCTCATAAAATGAGTTAGGGAGGATTCCCTCTTTTTCTATTGATTGGAATAGTTTCAGAAGGAATGGTACCAGTTCCTCCTTGTACCTCTGGTAGAATTCGGCTGTGAATCCATCTGGTCCTGGACTCTTTTTGGTTGGTAAACTATTGATTATTGCCCCAATTTCAGCTCCTGTTATTGGTCTATTCAGAGATTCAACTTCTTCCTGGTTTAGTCTTGGGAGAGTGTATGTGTCGAGGAATGTATCCATTTCTTCTAGATTTTCTAGTTTATTTGCGTAGAGGTGTTTGTAGTATTCTCTGATGGTAGTTTGTATTTCTGTGGGATCAGTGGTGATATCCCCTTTATCATTTTTTATTGTGTCTATTTGATTCTTCTCTCTTTTTTTCTTTATTAGTCTTGCTAGCAGTCTATCAATTTTGTTGATCCTTTCAAAAAACCAGCTCCTGGATTCATTGATTTTTTGAAGGGTTTTTTGTGTCTCTATTTCCTTCAGTTCTGCTCTGATTTTAGTTATTTCTTGCCTTCTGCTAGCTTTTGAATGTGTTTGCTCTTGCTTTTCTAGTTCTTTTAATTGTGATGTTAGGGTGTCAATTTTGGATCTTTCCTGCTTTCTCTTGTGGGCATTTAGTGCTATAAATTTCCCTCTACACACTGCTTTGAATGCGTCCCAGAGATTCTGGTATGTTGTGTCTTTGTTCTCGTTGGTTTCAAAGAACATCTTTATTTCCGCCTTCATTTCATTATGTACCCAGTAGTCATTCAGGAGCAGGTTGTTCAGTTTCCATGTAGTTGAGCGGCTTTGAGTGAGATTCTTAATCCTGAGTTCTAGTTTGATTGCACTGTGGTCTGAGAGATAGTTTGTTATAATTTCTGTTCTTTTACATTTGCTGAGGAGAGCTTTACTTCCAACTATGTGGTCAATTTTGGAATAGGTGTGGTGTGGTGCTGAAAAAAATGTATATTCTGTTGATTTGGGGTGGAGAGTTCTGTAGATGTCTATTAGGTCCGCTTGGTACAGAGCTGAGTTCAATTCCTGGGTATCCTTGTTGACTTTCTGTCTCGTTGATCTGTCTAATGTTGACAGTGGGGTGTTAAAGTCTCCCATTATTAATGTGTGGGAGTCTAAGTCTCTTTGTAGGTCACTCAGGACTTGCTTTATGAATCTGGGTGCTCCTGTATTGGGTGCATATATATTTAGGATAGTTAGCTCCTCTTGTTGAATTGATCCCTTTACCATTATGTAATGGCCTTCTTTGTCTCTTTTGATCTTTGTTGGTTTAAAGTCTGTTTTATCAGAGACTAGGATTGCAACCCCTGCTTTTTTTTGTTTTCCATTTGCTTGGTAGATCTTCCTCCATCCTTTTATTTTGAGCCTATGTGTGTCTCTGCACGTGAGATGGGTTTCCTGAATACAGCACACTGATGGGTCTTGACTCTTTATCCAACTTGCCAGTCTGTGTCTTTTAATTGGAGCATTTAGTCCATTTACATTTAAAGTTAATATTGTTATGTGTGAATTTGATCCTGTCATTATGATTTTAGCTGGTGATTTTGCTCGTTAGTTGATGCAGTTTCTTCCTAGTCTCGATGGTCTTTACATTTTGGCATGATTTTGCAGCGGCTGGTACCAGTTGTTCCTTTCCATGTTTAGCGCTTCCTTCAGGAGCTCTTTTAAGGCAGGCCTGGTGGTGACAAAATCTCTCAGCATTTGCTTGTCTGTAAAGTATTTTATTTCTCCTTCACTTATGAAGCTTAGTTTGGCTGGATATGAAATTCTGGGTTGAAAATTCTTTTCTTTAAGAATGTTGAATATTGGCCCCCACTCTCTTCTGGCTTGTACGGTTTCTGCCGAGATATCCGCTGTTAGTCTGATGGGCTTCCCTTTGAGGGTAACCCGACCTTTCTCTCTGGCTGCCCTTAACATTTTTTCCTTCATTTCAACTTTGGTGAATCTGACAATTATGTGTCTTGGAGTTGCTCTTCTCGAGGAGTATCTTTGTGGCGTTCTGTGTATTTCCTGAATCTGAATGTTGGCCTGCCTTGCTAGATTGGGGAAGTTCTCCTGGATAATATCCTGTAGAGTGTTTTCCAACTTGGTTCCATTCTCCGCATCACTTTCAGGTACACCAATCAGACGTAGATTTGGTCTTTTCACATAGTCCCATATTTCTTGGAGGCTTTGCTCATTTCTTTTTATTCTTTTTTCTCTAACCTTCCCTTCTCGGTTCATTTCATTCATTTCATCTTCCATTGCTGATACCCTTTCTTCCAGTTGATCACATCGGCTCCTGAGGCTTCTGCATTCTTCACGTAGTTCTTGAGCCTTGGTTTTCAGCTCCATCAGCTCCTTTAAGCACTTCTCTGTATTGGTTATTCTAGTTATACATTCTTCTAAATTTTTTTCAAAGTTTTCAACTTCTTTGCCTTTGGTTTGAATGTCTTCCCGTAGCTCAGAGTAATTTGATCGTCTGAAGCCTTCTTCTCTCAGCTCGTCAAAGTCATTCTCCATCCAGCTTTGTTCCGTTGCTGGTGAGGAACTGCGTTCCTTTGGAGGAGGAGAGGCGCTCTGCGTTTTAGAGTTTCCAGTTTTTCTGTTCTGTTTTTTCCCCATCTTTGTGGTTTTATCTACTTTTGGTCTTTGATGATGGTGATGTACAGATGGGTTTTTGGTGTGGATGTCCTTTCTGTTTGTTAGTTTTCCTTCTAACAGACAGCACCCTCAGCTGCAGGTCTGTTGGAATACCCTGCCGTGTCAGGTGTCAGTGTGCCCCTGCTGGGGGGTGCCTCCCAGTTAGGCTGCTCGGGGGTCAGGGGTCAGGGACCCACTTGAGGAGGCAGTCTGCCCGTTCTCAGATCTCCAGCTGCGTGCTGGGAGAACCACTGCTCTCTTCAAAGCTGTCAGACAGGGTCATTTAAGTCTGCAGAGGTTACTGCTGTCTTTTTGTTTGTCTGTGCCCTGCCCCCAGAGGTGGAGCCTACAGAGGCAGGCAGGCCTCCTTGAGCTGTGGTGGGCTCCACCCAGTTCGAGCTTCCCGGCTGCTTTGTTTACCTAAGCAAGCCTGGGCAATGGCGGGCGCCCCTCCCCCAGCCTCGCTGCCGCCTTGCAGTTTGATCTCAGACTGCTGTGCTAGCAATCAGCGAGATTCCGTGGGCGTAGGACCCTCCGAGCCAGGTGTGGGATATAGTCTCGTGCTGCGCCGTTTTTTAAGCCGGTCTGAAAAGCGCAATATTCGGGTGGGAGTGACCCGATTTTCCAGGTGCGTCCGTCACCCCTTTCTTTGACTCGGAAAGGGAACTCCCTGACCCCTTGCGCTTCCCAGGTGAGGCAATGCCTCGCCCTGCTTCGGCTCGCGCCCGGTGCGCGCACCCACTGGCCTGCGCCCACTGTCTGGCACTCCCTACTGAGATGAACCCGGTACCTCAGATGGAAATGCAGAAATCACCCATCTTCTGCGTCGCTCACGCTGGGAGCTGTAGACCGGAGCTGTTCCTATTCGGCCATCTTGGCTCCTCCTCCGCTATGATTATTTTTAAAAATATTATTGAACTTTATTCTGGGAAGCAATTACTTAGAAACAGTTTGCCTGTTTCAGGACTTAATTCTACAACTTGTTAGGTGGGTCAGGGGCTATGCTCCATCTGTTGCTTATTATTTCTTACTACTAAGGCAAGCCTTTCTCAAGTAGACTACCCAATGAGCCATAAATTATGAGTTTTCCACTCACTGGAGCCAGCAGGAATAGATACTATTACCAGATGCATGTGAGCCCTAGATTCTCTTCTATTGTACTTTCAGATGTTCCCCCACACCCTGGTGTAGTTTCTATACACGAAGTGCTGAGTATTACTCTGTTGAGTGAATAGTGAAGAGGAGCCTCTGCAGATCTCTAAGCTTCTGCCTATGGATGCTCCACTCTTTTGTATACTGCAAACCAACTGCTTTCATCTCCCTGGACTCTCAGCTCTATCTTGTCAACTTAGGGAGACCAGCAAGGTGTGCCTGGGTTTCCTCTCTCTGTCCTCGCCTGGAGATTCTTTCAAGCCGTCAGTTGGGGATTCATAGGGCTCACCTAGTTTGTTTCTATCTCTGAGAGATGACTGTCCTTCATTGTCTGATACTCAGTGTTTTGAAAAGCAATGTTTACTATATTTTGTTTGTTTCTTGTTGCAGGTGGGAAGTGGGAAGATAAATCAGATCCCTGCTACTCCTTAAGCAGAAGTGAAATTCATTCATGGTATCCCTAATAACATTCTTAGTTAACATGAATGTGTTATGTGTTTTCTGTGTATGAATAAGTGAGCTTAGAGATTCATATTAGCAAGTCATTGATCTCCATGATAACTCTGCAGGGCAAGCATTAGCTGGCTCTAACGCCCACCTTCTGTACGATGCTAGGCACATTATTTTACCTCTGGGTTTTTTAATCTACAAAATGGTGATTATGATAAGTAACAATTTCCACAAATTGTTGAGAAAATTAAATGAGATAAAAATAGAGCACTTCGCTCATCACTTGATGTATAGAAAACACTCAATATGAGGAAGTCAAGCATAGTGAGGTTAAGTAACTTGCTAAAAGTCTCACAGTTGTTGAATGTCAGAGCTTGGGTGGGAATAAGCATCATTGAACCCAGGAAATCTGTAGTGTCTCTCCAGGGAATAATGGATGTGGTTTCCCCGTGGAAGGGAGGTCACTTAGCTGGCCACATTGGCAACCTAGGAAAATGAAGGCATGGTCTTAGCTGTAGTGGGGACATTGGGAGGGAGTTGATGGAATAAGCTGGAGAAACACCTCCCAGCATGTATCCTCCGGAACACTAGTGCCTAGTGAGCCAGATAAAGGGTTCTGAGGCCGCAGACTTTAATAAATTGTGTGGTGTTTCACAATGAGGCTTCATAGCGCCCATGGCAGAGCAAAGATTCTAACAAATCTGTACTAGGAAAACTTCTTAACTTCATTTAATCTTAACATCCTGTAGAATTGGCCATTCTTAAAGTCCTAGATTTAAAATAAAGTCTATTTAGAAGCTAAAGTTGATGGTTTAATGATGGCTTGGCTATGGAGTGACAAGGTCTGATAATTGTATGTGTGTGTGTGTATATATGTATATATTATATAAAAGAAATACTATATATATTAGAAATACTATACATATATAGCTCCTGCTACTATACATACGAAATACATACACTAGTATATATATTATTACTAATATATATTAGTATATATATTTATTTAATCCACAAAATTGTGATTAGGATAAATATGTATACTAGTATATATTGGTATGTATATTTCTTATATCTAGTATATATGTTTTATATATATATCAGAAATACTATATATATGTAATATGTAATATATATATATATGGCTTCTGAATTGTACCTGGTGCACACTAGTTGCTCTATAAATTAAGGAATTATTTTATACATAGATGGAAAGTGCACTAGTTTAAGACCTTCGATGTCATATAGAATTGAATTCAAATCTTGTCACTTATGATTTATGTGACCTCAGTGTTTCACCTAATCTCACTTTGCCTCAGTTTCCTCAAATGCAAAAGAGTTATAATAAAATCCCCCTCACAGAATATATAATTTACGAATTTACTAAGCAATTCTGCAGTAAAAATCAGCCCTGCACTATATTGTTTTGCAGAGAACTTGGCTCCTGTAAATTCCTTTCCTCTTTCTCTTCCTGTGCTCTGAGGTAGGTCTGGACAGACTTCTTTGTGCTTCAGAAGCTCATCATCGACACAGCAGATTGCACTGGAACTTCCTCAGTGCATGCAGATGTGGAAGCCACCTCCTGGTTCATCTAGTACATGCTCAACCGTGGCCTGAGTGGCTCAGATGTATTTGGGCCTCATTGCATTTAGCAAGTTAATTGTTCATTAAGAGGAAGGGACATTCACAGAGCTGGACCAACATCCTGATAAAATACCCAGTGACTTTCAGTGTTTGATTTATGAGCACAGGCTCGGCTCCTTGCAGGCTTGTGTCAGGACGGGCTGGAGCGATAAGCACATATTTATCTTCAGGCCTTGATGAATGACAGGGGAACGCGGTACTGTAAAGGCAACAAAGCCACCCCGTGGGCAGAGGACAGTCGCTGGGTGCATTGGGAAAGCTGGAGCAGACTCCTTGTGGGAAGACAATGAACGGAATTAGAAGTTAGGGTTTTAATTATCATACAAATTAGAAGAGGATTAATCAGCTCATATTTTATGACATGACATGGTGTGGAGGACTGCCGGTTAAGTTTTATGGCAAATCTTTGATTAATTGAGACACAGCATGAAGGTATAAAATCCAGACTACAGCTGCATGTTAATCTCTCCCTTTCCTTCCAAGGTTAGAAGCCGGTGTAAGAGAGATGGCTGCTGAAGACACATAGCCGCACGTGTGAACATGGCCTCACAGCTTGCCTCTCCATAAGAGGTTTATTTGTCTTCTCATATTTGTTCAATGTGGACAAGAACCTTCTGGCCCCTGCTCCTCTTTTGCATTTGGAATCCTTTGACTTCTGCTTTCTTGAGGAGTGAGGCTCCTGGGCAAGTTGTCACCCAACTCTGGGCAGTCATCCCAGGACCTGAGAGTCACTGCAAATCCTTGCTCAGAACCCCATGCCCATGTGTTCATCCTTGCGTACTTTCCCAGGCCCCAGACCAAATTAAAACTTGGCAGTTGAATCACGGTTTTCACAAAATCAGCCCAACAAACTATGGCTCCAAGTCCAGCAGGGCTGGGCCACTCAAGGCAGAGTAAAGCTTCAGAGACAGAAATGGAAAGCTGACCAGGGCTGCCCAGGAGCCGTGACGAAGGAGACTTGTCACTCTGTTGCTGCAAACACAGAAGTGTTTAGAGTGTGTAGGCCACTGTTCCAGGTAAGAGTCTCATGGAGAACTTGAGAAGGACTGTGTGTGTGCGGCCAAGGTAAGTCTCAGACGGAAGGCATGTGCTAACAGGGCAGCTAACAGATCTGCAGAATGTAATGTGCCTGACCCTGAGCTGCTGATCTACCTCACACTCCAATTCAATTCAGTCCTTTCAGTTGCTTAAGGAAATCAGCAGTTATCTGATTTCTCAACGAGTCCTGTAGGTTCTACTATAAAAATATATGGAAGAACCACCTATTTCTCACCACTGCTATTTAGACCATGCTGCTCCACCCACTTCTACCTTCACCTGGGCTCTGGGTTACTGCGGTAACTTCCTCCTCGGCCCACATCTTCCATCCCTGTCCACTTAGGTCTATTCTCAACACCCCTGCCAGAATGAGGTGTTGAAATGTAAATCAAATCATGTCCCCACCCTGCTCAGCCCTCTGATGACTGTGACTCACTTCAAATACAAGTCAGTCTGTGTGGTGCCCTGCAAGGCAATGAGATCTGGCCCTGGTGACCTCCTGGGCCTCACTTCCCACTGCTGTCCTTTTTCCACTCCACATAGCGTCACAGCATTGGCACTTGCTGGCTCCCCTGCCTGGAATTCTCCTCCTTCTGGTAGCCATGTGGCCCAGCTCCCTTGCTCTGTTTCAGCCTTCCCCCAAGGAAGAGTGAGGCTGCTCTACCTTCAGACCCAAAACGCAACATGAACTCTCCTCTGGGTCAGGAATGCCTTGTTTAGCCACCCTATGTACAACGGGAGCTCTCTCTTCAACAGACTCACAGTAGCCCATGGCATACAGATGTTCTGGTGAATGTTCAATATCTGGTTTGTGGCTAGGGGATGGGCACACCAATTTTTGGTGCTTACTGATTTCCACAATGTAAATGCTTTCACTGTGGCCAATTTTAAGCTACCAAAGTGATGACACAACTGCCTTGCAAAATTCCTGAAAGTAAAGTAATTGGCTTTTGCAAGCCAGTGTGAGCTGGCTCTGGCACACGCTATAGTCCTTGTCTGTTCTGTTTTTCCCCTTGGTTTCAATTCTGACATACTATATACGTCATTCATATATCATGTATATTAGATGTCTTCCCATTACAATATAGTTTTCACAGGAGCAGTGATTTTTTGACACTTTGTTCATTGCTGGTACAGTGTCCACTACAGGGCCTATCACAAGTAGGTGCTCAATACAATTTTGCTGAATGAGAGTATTAATGAAAGATGAGCATCTACTCCTTATCAGATATTGACAAGTTTGGGGATACAGAGTATAAGACAATGTTCTTGATCTTGACTTCTATCCAGTGGTGAAGACAAGCCTTTGCAATACAATGAAATAGCAACTAAATAGTGGTTATTCCTGGTAGGCGTTAGAACATAGAAAAATCATTGAAACAAAATTTAAGTATCAGAGTTGATTAATTCTTATGTGAATGGGGATGTAATTGTGTAACTATTAATAGTATTTGACCAAGGCTCCCTGGAATGTCTTCTAATACCCTTTGTCTTCATTAAATTTTAGATATATACATAGAACATTATAGTGCTTTCCTGACCCGCTGAGTGCCTCTAACTCTTCATTATGCATGATAGCTACAATGAAGCACATAGCTTAGTCTAGCTTCTACCAACCACAATGTCCACTTTACCAACCAGTCAACCCTTGGAGCTAGAAGTCATTAAAACACCTTATATTAGCCTTAATGCTTGAGAATGAAGTAAAGTGAGAGTGAGTTAATTGTACCTGCCAATGGGGCACCTTCGGCCTCTGTTCAGTCTCATGTCATGGGTGGCAGGGATGGTAAAGAAGGCCACAACAGAGCATGCCTTTATTTATTTATTACGTTTTATTTTTTATTTGTTTGTAGAGATGGGGTTTCACTACATTGCCCTCAAGTGATTCCCCAACCTTTGCTTCCCAAAGTGCTAGGGTTACAGGTATGAGCCACCGTGCCCCGCCACAGCATGCCTTTTAAAACAGTGATTGGGCCAGGTGCGGTGGCTCACACCTGTAATCCCTGCACTTTGGGAGGCCAAGGCGGGTGGATCACCTGAGGTCAGGAGTTCAAGACCAACCTGGCCAACATGATGAAACCCCGTCTCTACTAAAACTACAAAAAATTAGCTGGATGTGGAGGCGGGTGCCTTTAATCCCAGCTACTTGGGAGGCTGGGGCAGCCTCCCAAGTTCAAGAATTGCTTGAACCTGGGAGGCAGAGGTTGCAGTGAGCTGAGATCTCTCCACTGCACTCCAGCCTGGGTGACAGAGCAAGACTCTGTCTCAAAAGCAAACAAACAAACAAAAACAAAAACCACAGTGATTGTATTTACTGGTAAACATGGTCCCAAAGGAACATAACCCCATTAGACTAGTGTTTACTTCATTTTGAAGAGTAAGGAGAGGATGAGGAGAAGAGTCATGGCTTTCCTTCCCTCTGCATGTTGCTAGTGACTTAATGTGCAATTTATCCCAATGACAGATGCATTTTAAAACATGGTAGCATGAAGAAAATGAACATGTACTGGCAATGCTAGGTTACTCTGCTGGATTCCCCACACACATTTATAGACCAATGGTTTTGTTGGTGGAATTCCTGAAATCCTTAAAATGTGCTCATCGCCTATGTGGTAACTTGGACCAGAATACAGCAATTCCTTGGGTGAGTTTCCTGAGTTTCTTTCACATTCTGCATGTGCTGAGCATCTTCTATTTCCAAGAGGCTCACCTAAATGGACTAAACAGACAGACTCCCCTTGTTGGACTTCTGGTTGGGTTGGGCCAATGTGGAGCCCCCACAGGTCAGACGGAGGCAGAGGGTGCAGTTAGGACTACTACAGGTGCCTCTCATTTAATGAAGGATTGTGTTCGCTGCTTTCAAATCTTGTGGGCACCACAGTGGGGACCACTTCAGACCAAATGTGCAGCTGTGGCTCCTCAGCAACCTCGGGCCACACTTTTCCAGGTGAAAATGTGTGAGGCCAGAACTTCTCAGGACTTCTTCTTTCACGTTCTTTTACTTCTTCTGCTCTGCTCCTCCCAAGACAGTTTCTCAACACTTCCCCGGGGTTCGGGGAGCAGGCTGTTGGGGGGAGATTTGTTTTGCAGTCACCATGAGATAAAGCTTGTAAACTTAAAATGTCATCTCTAGGATTTTCCACTTTGGGATGGGGGTGTCCTGAGGGTGAACTGAGCCTGAGTGTTTGGTATTGGCAAATTCCCATGGGACTTGGGAACTCCAGTGGTTGGCTTACTTCCTTGGTTAAAGGCTCTAATTTAAAAAAATGATCTGGGAGTTTCCACATCTTCAAATTTTAAAGTCTTTTCATGTGATTTTTCTTCCCCATATTGATCTGGTGTTTTGATTTTTTTTTCGTTAACAAGAAAGTTGTTTCAAATGACCTAGCCTCATTAATAGAAGCTGGAGGCACATGAGATTTTTCTAGTTGAAAAATATCACTCTAATTATTTCAGAAGAGATTTGACAGCAACTTTTTGGATGGGAGGAATTGAGAAGGCAGTGGAATCTAGGGGTAATTTTTGCAAAGAGTTATGCAGGTTAGCTTTACACCCTCCTCCTTTCTCTAGTCAGATGATCTACAGGAAGGAGATCCCCCTTTAGGGGGTGTTTCAAAGGCAGGGGGCACAGAGCACCCAGGCAGAATAGCTTAGTCTTTGCAATAAAAATTTCTTTAGAAGATCCAGGGATGTTGGAGTTAAAAGTATTAGGTACAGATAAAAATAGCAATGAGATAACATCCTCACCTATAAATTAGAAAATGTTAAAATAAAATAAAAAAACCCACAACTCCTCCATTCTATTGTGATGAGACAGGCATGCTCACTTGTTAGAAAAGAATTTGACAACATGAATACGACCTAAAAGATAATTATACCTTTTGGTCAATAATTTAACTTCTAGGAAAATTATCATAAGTAAAATCTAAAAGTGCAGAAGAAAGTTCTGTGCACGAAGATTCATTTATTAATAAATATTTAGTGAGGGCTTACTATGTAGCAGATATTTTCCTGAACGCTAGGAATTCAGCAGTGAATTAAGAACAAAAGCCTTGTATGTAGGCAAGTGCTCCAACAAGTGGGAATGGGGCTAGTCAATAAGCAAACAAGGAATTAAGAAGATTACATATTATTGAAAGTGCCTCAAAGTCATCCGTTTCTGGACAAAATGAAGTAAACCTACTGCAGCTTATTTTTTACAGTGGCCACAAAAAAACATGCTGGACAAAATATAAAAGGCCGAGGACTCTGAAAAATGAAGAATAGCAGACAGACTGGGAGCAGGGTCTAAACACCAGCATGCAGAATAGCCAGTATGGTGACCCAGGCTTTTTTCCTTTTTTTTTTTTTTTTTCACACAGTTTTGGACCAAGGACAAGTCAAAACAGGAAGCTGTAGACCACAGAGCAGGCACAATCAGCAAAACCTCCAAGAGAATCTGTCTCTCAGGACGGAGGACAGGAAAAAATCCCCTCACCCATATGACACAGGAAGTGTGGAGAGAATCCTCATAAGATTTTTCCCCGGTTTTTTTCCCCCTCCTGGCCCTGCCCGAAGGTCGGTTCCAGCTACATAATGTGCTACCATAGAGTTGAGCACCCAAGACCCCAAGAGGAAAGTGGGATCAGGAAAGGAGGGTTTCACAAAGAGTGTGTGGGGTACCCGCATAGATTTTTCTCTCTCTTTCTCTCCACAGTGATGTAGCACAGCATGGGGGTTAAAACTCTAGAGAGCAATTCTCAGGGGAAAATATAATCAACAGAGGCCCATTCCAACATGATCCAGGTGTTGGGATGGTTAGAGAGACTTTAATGGCTCTATTACAACAGCGATCCATGAAGAAAAGGTGAATATTTTGGAAACAGGTGGAAATATAGGACTTTTCTTCAGAAAAACAGAAATTACAAAACAGAAGCCATTGTGCATTTTAGGACTGCAATATGTGTGATCTGAAATTTAAAAAAATTACCGAGTTGACTCAGCTGGGTGGAGATGACAGAGGGAAAAATCAGTGATGTTGAAAATAGAGGAATAGAAATGATCCAATCTGAAGAAAAGAGAGTAAAGAAATCAAAAATAAAATAAACAGATCCCTGGAGACCTTTAGAACATTATGAACAGGTCAAAAATTTGTGTCATTGGAATCTCTAACATATATAATGCAGTACTAAAAATATTATATAATGGCTGAAAACTTCCTAGATTTGGTGAAAAACATAAACTTACAAACTCAAGAATCTCTGTAAAATCCAAACAGGCTAAATGCAAAGAATTTCATTCCATAGAAGAGTAAAGTAGGACCTCCACCGCAGACCATACACAAAAATTAACTCAAAATGGCCACAGACTTGCATGTAAGAGTTAAACTGTAAGACCCTTAAAAGAAAACATAGGCATAAATCGTCAGAACCTTGGGTTAGGCCGTAGTTTCTTAGATACAACAAAAAAGGCACAAGCAACAAAAGGAAAAACAGGTAAACTAGATATCATCAAAACAAACAACAGTTTTGTCTCAGGGGACACCATTAAGAAACAGAGAAGACAACCCACAGAATGATAGAAAGTATTTCAAATCATATGTCTAATACGGGACTTGTATCTAAAATATGTAATGAACTATTATAATTCAATAATAAAAGACAGTCTAATTTTTAAAGAAGGAGAAATGGTCTGAACAGACAGTTCTGCAAAGAAGAGATGTAAATGGTCAAGAAGCACATAAGAAGATGTTCCGTATTGTTAATGAGATGCAAATCAAAAGCACAGTGAGATGCCACTTCCACGCTTTTGACGGCTGTGATCAAACGGACAGAGAATTAACAGGAGACGATGAGGATGTGGAGAAAAGGAAACCTTCATCTCCTGCTGGTGTGAATGTAAAATCTGCACTCTCCTCACCTGGGATTCTGTCACGGTCTCCATCCCAGGGGCCTGTTTCCCATCAACAAAATAGCTGGTGCTGGGGAAGACCCTGCTCTGGGAGCCCAGGAACTCTGGTTCCACAGCCATCTGGCCCTTGTCTGAGATGTAATTTTGGTCATTTGACCTCTCTGACTGTACTTTTATCTTTTGGCAGGATCGGGGATTGAGCCCAGGGCTGCCCATGTCTCCTTTCCCCACCCAGCTCTCCCGCACCAGCTCCCCAACCCCTGACTCCCTTTGCCTTCTCCACAATGTACAAGTTTGCACTTTCTGAAAGTTTCTCCATAGTTGGGAAAGCTTCCCAGAGAATGCTGACTCTCCTGTGCTCGTTTGTTTGGGTAGCGCTTCGTGCTTTGTGGCATCTTCCTTCTCTGGTGCAGTGGAGCTCACCCTTGGGGCCTCACTCAGCTGCCGGTGGCATGAGCCCATGTGGGCACCTGGCTTGACCACAGGCACCCATCTCCAATCCTTCCTTCTCTTGCGGTACAGGACAGCCATGTGCCCCCTCTGCTGGGATGCTGGTCCTTCTGGTCAAGTTTCCTGATGAAAACCCCTCTGCAAGGGACACAGGCAGGGGCAGATGCACATGGCATGGCCACAGTCCAGGCAGAACACAGGAGAGTCCTTCCCTGCCATCAGAGATGCTGAAGTTATAGAGGTTCTGCTCTCTGGAGTCCCCCAACCTTCTGTAGTTCTCTGAATGTTGATTGCAGATGAACAGGGATCTGGCTGGCTGAGGCCATGTCTTCTGGGCCACAGCTTCATCATGGCACCATGAGCTTTATGCTCAGTATAATCACAATCTTTCCATGAAAAATCCTTTAATGTTGCAGAGTCGACGGCCATCCAAACAATTTGTCTGCCCTCATGAGAAATGATCGTTGCTCTCTGGTTCAGGCAGCCCAGAGGAAACTGAGATATGGACCAGCAATTTACCCACATTGTGCTCTTTCTTAAATCACCCAGGACCACTTCCAGATGCTAACATCTGTGCTCTTGAGGGGCTTCTGTGTTTCATTTGAGTCTATCAAGAGCACTGCTTACTGTTTTGTTGTTAAAAGACCCCAATAGCCTGTGGTGTCTCCATCCGTCCCTCTCCCTTCCTGCTCCTATACTTCCAGCCTCCCAGGCACCATTCCCCCAGTGCACTCAACACCAGCTGCAGAGGACACTGTAGCTTGGTTGATTGCCAAGGCTGACCACATTCATTCCTGGGGTGCTCTTCATTGCTTAGTCCCTATCTCTGAATTCTTGGCTTCGATTTTGCCCCTAAAGCTTTGGGTTTTAGAGACTTACGTAGACATCCTTCCTTGGTCCTGGACTTGACTTGTGATCCTGCATACGCTCCTGGCTTCAGCGCCTTGCCTCCCCTTCCTACTCTTCTCCAGCCCTTGGTCAGAAGCTGGCCTTCTCTTGGAAACTACTCTTCTTTGTCAAATGATGATGCCAGAGTGGGAATGATCACTTTGCTCTTGCCATGAAAGTGAGCCTGTGGGGGATGGGCTTATCGTCCAATTCTGCTGCTTGTGGCTGCGTCTTTTTTGCTCCCTGCTTTCTTACTTGCATTCCTTTTTCCATGTTGTGGAGGAGACTTAGGTGGACACAGGGGAAGGGAGCTCTGTATTCGTTTGGGTCAGTTAGGGGGTTGCATGTCATAAATGCTGTCAACAGGCTACGGTGCCTGTTGTCTAAAACAGAGGAATCCGGGGGTCCTCCAAGCTTGCCACATTCAGGAGCTAGAAATTGATTAGTCAGGACTGTTTTCAGTTGTAAGTGAAGGAAACCCAACTTGCATGAGCAAAGGGGGAAGACAGTGACTTGTTACTGAGAAGCCCACAGAGAGGCTTCACTTCAGGCCTGACTCAATCCAGGGACCCAAGATAATGCCCTCTGGCTTTTCTCATCCTGCATTTCCGTCTCTTGGCTCTGAGCTGCTTTTCTTTTCATTCTACAGATGGACTCTTCCAGCCATTGTGGGGCGGGGGGACAACTGCCTGCTTTCCCAGATTTGTTTTCCCCAATCTTTCCAATTCCATTACAAATATTTCTCTGATTGGTCCTGCCTGCATTATATATCTATCCTGGAGCTATCACTGTGCGCAAGAGAATGTGGTGTTTAGACCTGGGTCACTGGGCCACTGCTATGACCATGGGGAGAGGCCCATAACCCAAAGAAGGGGCTGGAGGAACAGCACAGGAGGACGCCAGCATCACAGCAGCCACAGCCTCTCAGACAGCAGCCATGTGGGACAACCCAGCCCATGGGGGAAGGTGGGGAAGAGTGTGTAGCCATAGAGAACAGGCACTCCTCACTCAGGGTGGGAAGCCTTCTGCTTACCAGGGGCCTTTCTTACTCATTTCTTTGGTTACTAAAAGGACGAGTTCCTATGTGATCTCAATCACCCATGCTCTTTGTCTCTGCAGGCCTCAAATGCTCCAGAAGAAGGAATTATTTTGCCATAGCCCCTAGGGTCCCAACTGGCCATACCAGCTCCTTGACTGCAGTGGAAGAAAAGACATTGGCCACTTAATTGTAATGTGATTAGTCACACTTCCTGACAGTTAACATGATCTGTCAACATCATTAGCACCTTCATTAAGACAGGGAACTGGGTACATGGTTTTCTTTAATATAGGATATAAACAGACTTAACATCTGTGATTTAAAAAATGGCCTTGTGTTTAAGGAGTTTGCAATTATACGCATTAGCTACTCCAAAGAAAAGCAAGAAACAGTAAGGTAGTTGGCCCCAAGCAGAAAAAACACAAGCACATTTGTACAGAGTGGCAGGAAACCATTCCATTTGAATCTCAGCATTACTTCACAGATGGTCTGTTAGCCTGATGCATTCATTATAGGTGTGATTTCCCACAAGGGCTCCCATTGCACTGTGCCATTGCTTAAGTGATTTCTTCCTCATCCCGATTAAAAAGACAAAAACATAAAGATGCTCAAAAATTACCTGTCATAGAGCTAGCTCTGGTTTGCATAAAAGAAGACATTCTTTTGCTATGATTAAGATACTCATTGGTTTACATTAAGCCATGTATAGATTATTTGTTGCATTTTTTAAAAAGCCAATTTGCTTCCCAGTGTTAGTACTTAATTGAATTCAAAGCCTTACCATGCATCAACAGAACATGTCTTCAAGGAAAAACCAGAGACACTGTGCAGATCAGAGGCTTGAGGCAGCTGTGAGAACAGGCAAATCCATAACTCATATTTTATGCATCTCTCATTTCAATTACCAAATGTGTCCATTTCTTCCCTTTCTCTCTGTTAATCTCTCACTAATAAACAATCTTGATGTATCAGACAATAAGGAGAATGCATCTTATAGATGCATCAGTTTGCATCAGCTCTCATCCAGAAACCTGAATTCCAGAACAAATAACATGGGTGGAGTCAGCACAGAGAGCTCGGGGACTGCTGGTTTATGGCATACTGTATGTGTGTGTGTGTGTGTGTGTGTGTGCACACGTGCACGAGTCTATACAGTATAATTTCCAACAAGATATTAACAAGGCTAATAGAGCTGTCAATGAATGTGGATCGTGTAATGATTTGATGTTTGTCTTTGCTACAAGGGAGAGAGAAAAGGTCCAGTGCCATTACACTGGGAGGGCCCATCCTAGTGATTGCATTCATATGATAAAAAAGACACTGATGTCACTGACAATTTTGATGGACAATGGCTTGGTAGAAAGTCCTTGTCTGTCTTTCTATCTCATTTCCAGTGAGTCACAACTGAAATATTAAACCAAAGTAGCCAAATTTTAACACAAACCTCTGCCAGCTTGTGTTATTTTTAAAACAAAGAAGGTAGGAAGATTAGCAGGTGTTGCTAGTTACATTGGAAATCCTTTGAAGCTGGACATATCTCTTGGTGTCTTACCTGGAAATTACATTCTTGGTGACCTGAGCTCAGTCAGGGTGGCTGCCCATCCTCAGGACAGGCAGTAGTAGGAAAATGATGAATCTTCCAGAAATCCTCGAGACTTGTTCATTAATCTGAGAATGAAAGAGAAAATGTCAGAAAACTTGAAAAACATTAATTTTGAACATTAGGTGGACTGACGGGAGCCTGGAATTGCCTCATTACTTGCTGCCCCGTGCTTAAGGTTGTAAACCAAATGAGGTGAAGGGGCAGATGTGGCCACAGAGGCAGGTGTGGGACCAGCAGTCAGGAGACCTGTGTTCCTACCTTGGCAATGTTGCCCCAGCCAGGAGATTTTGCATGAAAACAATCTTACTTCTCTGGCTTCATGTTCTTCCTCTGGACAAATGTAGCTAATAACAGCTTATGTCCTTGGCTCAGAGAAATTGCAGAAGGCCTAAGAAGTGATAGTTGTTACTAGAGTGATTTATATAGCAGAAGGGGTTTGGAAAGTACAAATCCACATGCTAATGAAATCATGGGCGTTGGAGAGAATCATTTGGAAATGTAGGAACCATAACACCTACCCAGCTTGTCCACTAATCTGGGCTACTGATCATCTACCCCATGCATGTCCTGGCTTTCTCACATCCTGTTCCACTTACAGCCCCATTTAGAGAAAGAAACTTGAGTCAGTGTTTGTAGACTGGTCACCTTGAGTTACACACCTGCAAACTAGAGGCAGTAATCACTTGCTAGATATATTTAAAAAATAAAAATAATAGGATCCCTCCCAATCAAATAAATAAACAAAAAGAATCTCTCTCTCTCAGAAAAAAAAGTAATTACTTCTGGGGTATTAAAAGACCAAGTGAGATAAAGTGTGCTGAGTCCCCAGCACATACTAGGTATGGGATAAATGCTTTGTAAGTCAGCTGGCTGTAAGCAGGACAAAACATGAGCACATTGCACAGAGGCTAGGAAACCCTTCTCATTATTTCAGGGGTCTCCTCACTGCTGAAATTTGCATTCTCCCTCCACTCCTCCCTCCTTTCTGAGCTGCTGAAAGGGCTGCTTGGAATGGAATGTCTCTGTGGGGGACCTTTGTCCGACCTGGTCTCTCAGTCTCTCTATCTCCAGAGTGTCTTCCTGAAGTGGAGGAGGGCTGGGTGATTGGCTGCCTGATTCTGGTCTGTGGAGGTCAGAGCATGATCCAGCAGGCCCACCTAGTGAAGCAGGAAGTTTTCCCTGACCCCTTTGCGGGTGGAAACTGTAGTGCACGGGCACTGGAACTAGCTGGCCACTTCGGTGCCTGCAGGGGTGGACTCCACTGGCTCAGTCCTGCTGGGTTCCACCCCTCGCAGGAGGCAGCATGCAGGTGAGCAGGTGCAGGAGCTGGGGCGAGTGTTTTTGGGTGCTGGCAGGAGCAAAATTCTGTGCAGGGCCCACAGCAGCATCTGGGAATAGTACCCGTGACCCCTGAAGCCCCAGAAGGAGTGTTACAGTGAGCACTCTTAGCTTTTGTTGTCTGCTGACAGCTTAAGTGTTAACAGTTTAATGGGCCCTCTGCCTTCTTGCATGAGGCAGTTGCCCTCCACCAACGAAGGCAGAGGGTCAATGTGACAGCCTTTAGCATCCATACCCGTGGCGCCCAAGCTCTTGCTCAGCATCTAGGAAAAATCAGGTTGCATGAACGAATTGAAGGGAGATGAATATGGAGGATTTTATTGCTTATGAAGGTGATTCTCAGTGGGAAGGGGAGTTGGAAAGGGGATGGAGCAGGAAGATAATCTTTCCCCAGAGTCCAGCTGTCCCCAGCTGAACTCCTCTCTGAAGCAATGCTGTCAAGCCGTCCCTGTGAAATCAAGCTGCTTCTCTCTGATGTCCAACTGTAGTCTCTGATGTCCCACTGCTTCTCCTATTCTCCTCTCTCCTCTCTCTGCCAGTGGAGGCTGGGGTTTTTATAGGCACAGGATGGGGGGTGGGGTGGGCCATAGGCGGTTTTGAAAAAGGCAACATTTGAGTGGGAAAACAGGAATGCATGTTCTCACTTTGGGTTGATGTTCCAGGCTTGAGGCCGGGACCCTCACTGGGAACCACCCTCTTCTGCTCAGAATTTCCCTGCCTCCTGTCCCTATCACCAAGGCTTGCTGCATAACTGATTGTGATTTCAGAGGCCACACAAGCCTAAAAATGGCTGAGCTGCAGTCAGAGGGAGCCTTCTAGTCTAAGCCAACCAGGCTGAGAAGGTGTACACTGGGTTGGGGCTCTGCTGGAGTCTGTGTGGGAGAGTATTGTCAGGGCTATGTTGTCCCTGAGAACAATGTGGGGACCAGCAGCCAAGTCCTGGGGTGAGACTGTGCCTTCAGTCACCTAGTTATCTTAGAGAAGGCTGAGGGGTATATGTGTATGGGTGTGTGTGCAAGTGTGAGTTTGGTGTGTTGCATGTGTGAATGTGTCTGTGTGTGTAGGTGTGTGCTTGTGTGTGGTTTTTGTGCGTGTTTATATTTTAGAAGGGCTGTCAGAGCTTCCTGGCTCTAGAGGACTGTCTGGGTCTCTGAGTAGCTTCCTCCTCATTTCTAGGAAAATGCTCACTGAACAACCAAGTCAGTGACCTGGAAGATCAGGGAGAGGCAGTGTTTCCAATCTCAAAGGAAAGAATGAGGGAGAAACAGAGGGACCCAGAGGACAGATCCAGGATATCTAGCACATGGATAGCAAGAGCTCCAGAAGGGGAAGAAGGAACAGATGGGGAAGAGGTAATAGTTAAACAAATAATAGAGGAAATTTTCACTGATCTGAAGAAAAACTGTTCACTGACTAAAAAGGCTGGGTTTCAGACAACGTGGACACTTCTCCTAGTAAATTTCTGAGGTCCAAGGATAAAAGGAAATATACATGCCTTTCAACAGAAAGAACAGCTTATTAACAAATGAAAATTAATGGGGTCAGGACATATAAATATATTTATTTTTTTCTCATCTGCAACATTGGAGACTAAAAGATGGTGGAAGAACCTTAAAGAAACCCTGAAGAAAATAGACCACAACGCAAGAATCCTCCATCCGGGTTACATAACGTTCTGTCAGGCCAGAAGAAGGGTGTTTCTGGATGCCAAGGATTCAAAGGAGAGGTAAACCAGAAATTACTAAATACCTAGAAATCAAGAAATGAAAAGAGTGCATGCCTGGAGCCATAGGTGATGTTACACTCAGATGCAAACTTAATGCTTTATTGGTCTCCTTTATGAAAGAGAAGGACTGATGATAAAGGAGCCAGGAACAAGTAAAGAGAGAAAATTGTCTTAGAAAACCTAAATTAGCTAAAAACTAAGAAATAATGGTAAATACTTCTGGAATCTTTAAAGAAAAAATAATAGTAAAAAGAACAAATAAAATTTGTTTTGTTTATTCTTAAGGACTAAAAAATGAGAAGACTCTCGCAAGATCAATTAAGAACATCAAAAAGTGGGGGAAGGATATGAACAGACACTTCTCAAAAGAAGACATTTATGCAGCCAAAAGACACATGAAAAAATGCTCATCATCACTGGCCATCAGAGAAATGCAAATCAAAACCACAATGAGATACCATCTCACACCAGTTAGAATGGTCATCATTAAAAAGTCAGGAAACAACAGGTGCTGGAGAGGATGTGGAGAAACAGGAACACTCTTACACTGTTGGTGGGACTGTAAACTAGTTCAACCATTGTGGAAGACAGTGTGGCAATTCCTCAAGGATCTAGAATTAGAAATACCATTTGACCCAGCCATCCCATTACTGGGTATATACCCAAAGGATTATAAATCATGCTGCTATAAAGACACATGCACACATATGTTTACTGCAGCACTATTCACAATAGCAAAGACTTGGAACCAACCCAAATGTCCATCAACGATAGACTGGATACAGAAAATGTGGCACATATACACCATGGAATACTATGCAGCCATAAAAAAGGATGAGTTCATGTCCTTTGTAGGGACATGGATGAAGCTGGAAACCATTATTCTCAGCAAACTATCGCAAGGACAAAAAACGAAACACCGCATGTTCTTACTCATAGGTGGGAATTGAACAATGAGAACACTTGGACACAAGAAGGGGAACATCACACACTAGGGCCTGTCTTGGGGTGGGGGGATGGGGGAGGGATAGCATTAGGAGATATACCTAATGTAAATGACGAGTTAATGGGTGCAGCACACCACGTATACATATATGTATACATATGTAACAAACCTGCATGTTGTGTACATGTACCCTAGAACTTAAAAGTATAATAATAATAAAAAAATAAACCAATTGTAGAGACCTCAAAAAAAAAAAAGAACAAAAAGAAATTAGAAATAAGAAAAAAAGACAAACCATGAACAGAGAAGAACAAAATTATGAGACTATTTTTGCCTGGGCAAAAAGAAGAGAACATGGATTGTCTCTTAGAAAAATGTAGAGTGTCAAAGATTCAAAAATAAACAGAAATTTTTAATAAGGCAGTTACCAATGAATAATTTGGAATGACAACTAGCAGTGTGTCCGGAATTTATTCCTTCCGGTGGGTTCTTGGTCTTGCTGACTTCAAGAATGAAGCTGCGGACCTTTGCAGTGAGTGTTACAGCTCTTAAAGATGGTGTGCCCAGCCAGGCGCAGTGGCTCATGCCTGTAATCCCAGCACTTTGGGAGGCCGAGGTGGGTGGATCACCTGAGGTCAGGAGTTCAAGACCAGCCTGGCCAACATGGAGAAACCCCATCTCTACTAAAAATTAAAAAAAAAAATCAGCCGGGTGTGGTGGCACATGCCTGTAATCCCAGCTACTTGGGAGTATGAGGTAGGAAAATTGCTTGAACCCAGGAGGCGGAGGTTGCAGTGAGCCGAGATCGCACCACTGCCCTCTAGCCTGGGCAACAAGAGCTAAACTCCATCTCAAAAAAAAAAAAAAAAAGTAGATGGTGTGTCTGAAGTTTCTTCCTTCAGATGTTCAGATGTGTCCGGAGTTTCTTCCTTCCGGTGGGTTCGTGGTCTCACTGACTTCAGGAGTGAAGCTGCAGACCTTCGCAGTGAGTGTTACAGCTCTTAAGGGTGGTGCGTCTGGAGTTGTTAGTTCCTCCAGGTGGGTTTGTGGTCTCGCTGACTTCAGGAATGAAGCTGCAGACCTTCTCAGTGAGTGTTACAGCTCATAAAGGTAGTGCGGACCCAAACAGTGAGCAGCAGCAAGATTTACTGTGATGAGCAGAAGAACAAAGCTGCCACACGGTTGCCACTGCTGGCTGGGGTGAGCAGCTTTTGCTCCCTTATTTGGCCCTGCTCAAGTCCTGCTGATTAGTCCAGTTTACAGAGTGCTAATTGGTCCATTTTACAGAATGCTGATTGGTGCATTTACAGTCCTTTAGCTAGACACAGAGTACTGATTGGTGCATTTTTACAGAGTGCTGATTGGTGCATTTACAATCCTTTAGCTAGACACAGAGTGCTGATTGGTACATTTTTACAGAGTGCTGATTTGTGTGTTTACAATCCTTTAGCTAGACAGAAAAGTTCTCCAAGTCCTCACCCGACCCTGAAGCTCATCTGGCTTCACCTCTCAGCAGGATACCATTAAGTAGAGACTGGGTCAAAATGTTTTTACAGTTGTTCACCTCACCTTTAAATTACATATGATTCCAGTGATATTTATATTATATGACAGTTTTTCTCAGCGTGTGATCCTAGAGAAGCAAAAATGTCGATTCTCAAACCCCACCCTGGATCTCCTATTGAATCAGGAACTCCAGAGATGGGACCCACCGCACCTTCCAGATGGGAATGCACACTAAGTTTAAGAGACACTGCTACTCCAGAGCATAGAAAAGGTTTAAGAGTACCCTGTGTGCCGGGGGAGGGGTGGTGGTAGTGATGCATTGTTTTGTTATCTCTCTCATCTATCATTTATCTATCTATCTATCTATCTATCATCTATCATCCATCTATCATCTATCTTAAGTATATAGATTGTGCAAGTTTCTAAATTGCTGGAATTTTTTGTAGATTTAAAGATGAATAGGTATTGAATTTTATCAAGCATTTTCCTGAATGTGATAAAAGGATTTCATGAATTTTCTTCTTTATTCTAGTAATATGATGATTTTTACATGTTAAATGTTGCAGTCTTGCCTTAAACCTTGTTTGATCATGATGCATTATACTTTTAAGATGCTGTTAGCTGGGCTCAATGTCTCATACCTGTAATCCTAGCACTTTGGGAGGCCAAGGCAGGAAGATTGCTTGAGCCCAGGAGGTCAAGACCACCCTGGGCAACATAATGAAACCCTGTCTCTACAAAAAATACAAAAATTAGCTGGGCTTTGTGGTGCATGCCTGTAGTCACAGCTACTTGGGAGGCTGAGGTGGGAGGACTGCTTGATGCTTGAGTCCAGGAGGTCGAGGCTGTGGTGAGCTGTGATTGACTGAATTGTTTAATTAAGTTTGCTGATATTTTATTTATGATTTCTGTTCTTGAATAATGTTGATCTGTAATTTTCTTTAAAAATATATATATTAGTAAAACTTTTATAACAGGGTTATTTATGTAGGGAATCATAAAGATGGGTGTCCTTTTTTTCTAAAGAAAATATTGTGTAATATTGGTATTATTGCTTCCTAATTTGATAGAATTCACCAGTGAAACTATTTGGGCCTGGAGTTCTTTTTATAGAAATATTATAGTGATTCAATTTCTTAACAACCATTTTTATTATATTTTTAATTCAGATTTTTAAATTTCTTCTGGTATCAGTTTTGTAAACTGTGTTTTTTAAGTAATTTGTCCATTTCATCTAAATTGTCAAAATTGTTAACATAAGGCTGTTTAAAACCTTCTGATTATTACCATTTTAAAAAGACTATTGAGATATAATTTAAGTGCTATAAAATTGACTCTTTTAAAATATACAATTTATTAGTTTTTACTATATTCACTGAATTCTGCAACTATCACTTCAATCTAAGTTAACAGTATTTTCATCACTTCATATTTATTAGCATTCACTACTCTTTCCTCCTCCTCCAAACCTCGACAGTCAGTAATTTACTTTCAGTCTCTATGAACTTGTCAGTTTTAGTCATTTCATAGAAATGAAATTGTGCAATATGTAGTATTTTGTGACTAGTTGCTTTCACCTTGGATAACTTTTTTAAGATTCGTCTCTGTTGTGGTATATATTAGTACTTCTTTCCTTTCTATTGATGAATAATAATTCATTGTATCAATATACATAATTTTGTTTATCACTCATAATTTGATGGACACATGGATTATTTTCACTTTAGGGCCATTATGAATAATGCTGCTGTGAATATTTGTGTACAAGATATTTTGTGAACATATGTTTTCATTTCTCATGAATATATACTAAGGTGTGGGTTTGCTGGGTAATATGGTAACTGTTGACACCTCTACATGTACTTACTGGCTATTTGCACATATTCTTCAGAGAAATATCTACTGAGTTTCATTGTCCACTTTTAAAGTTGGATTATTCATATTTTTAAAAATGATTTAAAGGGGAATTTGATATAACTCTCTTATCAGGTATAGGAATTACAAATATATTTTCCCATTCTGTGTGGTGTTTTTCCTTCACTTTCTTGGTAGTATTATTTGCAGTATAAAAGGTTTTAATTTTGATATACTCCAATTTATAGATTTTTCTTTTGCTGCTTGTGTTTTTGCTGTCATATCAAAAGAATAAGTTAAACCAATATGATGAACACTTACTCCTAAGTTTTCTTCTTAGAGAGTTTTATAATTTCAGCTCATACATTTAAGCACCATCATCTATTCTGAGTAAATTTTTGTGTATGGTGTAAGATATGGGTCCAACTTTTTTTCCTCACAAGTAAAATCCAGCTGTCACAGAATCATTTGTTGAAAGGACTATTTTTTTGCCCATTGAATATCCCCTTGTCAAAAACAACTTGTTCATAGACATATGGATTGATTTCTGCATTCACAATTCTATTCTATTGACCAATGTGTCTACCCTTATGCCAGTACCACACTGTTTGGATTACCATAGCTTTGTAGTAAGTTTTGAAATTTAGAAGTGTGAATTTTCCAACTTTGTCTTATTCAATATGTTGGCTATTCTAGGTCCCATGTATTTCCATATGGATTATTAGTATCAGCCTGACAATATTAGCAAGAGAGCCAGATAGGATTTTGATAGGGATTACATTTAGTCTGGATATCAGTTTGGGAAGTAATCCCATTTAATAATATTAATTGTTCTAATCCATGAACATGGATATTTTCTACTTATTTAGATCTTTATTTTCTTTCAAACATGGTTCGTAGTTTTCAGTTTGCAAGTCTTACATTTATTCAATTTATTGTGTATTTTATTATTTTTGATGTTATTGTAAAAGAATTTTTTAGTTCAGTTTTTTGGTTGTTTATTGCTAAAATATAGACATACAACTGATTTTTGTATCTTGATCTTGTATGTTGCAACCTTGCCAATCTGAAAATTGATACATTGGTAACTCAAAGTTATCAACATTGTTGATATTAGCTTAACTAGTTTCTAATATATTTTTTAGCATTTTCCGTAAACAGAATTATGCAGGTGGTATTTATTTCTTTTTCTTACTTAAATGCCTGACTAAAACATCCAGCGCAATGTTGAATACAAGTGGCAAGAGTAGACCTTCTTGTCAGTTTTCTAATCTTACAGGAAAAGCATTTAATCTTTCACCATTAAGTATGATATTAGCTATGAGTTTTTAGTAAATGCCCTTTATCAGGTTGAGGAAGTTTCTTTCTATTCCTAGTTGTAGAATTTTAAAAATCTTTAAATTATGAAAGCCTACTGGATTTTGTCAAAAGTTCTTCTATGTCTATTGAAATGAACATATAATTTTGATCATTTATACACTTAATTGATTGATTTTCTTATGCTAAAAAGACCTTGCATTCCTGGGATTAATCCCGGTTGGTTACAGTATATAATCCTTTATATAACTTGCTGAATTTCATTTGCTAGTATTTTGTAGAGGATTTTTGTGTCTGTAGTCATAAGGGAGGCTGGTTTGTAGTTTCCTGTGCATGTAACATCTTTGTCTGGTTTTGGTATCAGGGTGATAGTGACCTCACAGAATGAGTAGAGAGGTATTTTATCATCTTCATTTTTTCTAAAGACTTTATGAGAAATTGGTATTAATTTGTTTTTAAAAAATGGTCAGTGGAAACTACCATTGAAACCATCTGGGGTTCAATTTTAGTTTGTGGGAAATTTTAAAATTACTGCTTAAGTCTCTTGTTATAGATCTATTCAGATTTTCCATTTCTTTTTGAGTCATTTTTGGTAGTTTGTATCCTTTTAGGGATTTGTCAATTTCAGTTATCAGTAACTTGAATAAAACAAGTCAGTAAATGGCTGTTCATAGTATTCTCTTGTTATCCTTTTTATTTCTGTAAAGTCAATAATCACATACACCCTCTTTCATTCCTGATTTTGGTAGGTTTAGTTTTCTATATTTTTCTGGGTCATGTAGCCAAATATTTGTCAATTCTGTTAATTTTTACAAACAGCTTTTGGTTTTAAAATTTTTTCTATTATTTTTCTATTCTCCATTTTATTTTTTTCACTGTAATCTTTAACATTTTATTTTTTCTTTCAATTTATAATATTCTTCTAATTTAATATACTGTACGTATTTATGCTATTGATTAGGGACTCTTCTTTTTAAAAAACTACAGGCATTTATAACCATAGGTTTCCATCTGACCACTGCTTTAGCCACAGCCTGTAAGTGTTGTGTTGTCATTTTTATTCATCTCAAGGTATTTTCTTATTTCCCACGTGAATTCTCTTTGACTCTCCAGTTATTTTGAAGTGTTGCTAAATTTCCACATATTATTAGATTCCATAACTTTTCTTTTCTTGTTTTATAATTTTATGCCATTGCTGCCAATCATACTTTGTATGATTTCAATCCTTTGAAATTTATTGAGGCTTGCTTTGTAGCTTACCATATGGTCTTTCCTGGGCTGTGCAGTCACTGAATCCCCGCTTAGATTTATTTATTTTTGTTTTCATTGTCTTTTAGCTTGGTGTGATGGTTAATACTGAGTGTCAACTTGATTGGATTGAAGGATGCAAAGTGTTGATTCTGGGTATGTCTGTGAGCATGTTGCCAAAGGATATTAACATTTGAGTCAGTGGGCTGGGGAAGGCAGATCCACCCTTAATCTGGGTGGGCACCATCTAATCAGCTGCCAGCAAATAAAAAGTAGGCAGAAAAACATGAAAAAGCTAGACTGGCTTAGCCTCCCAGCCTACATCTTTCTCCCATGCTGAATGCTTCCTGACCTAGAACATCAGACTCCAAGTTCTTCAGTTTTGGGACTCAGACTGGCTTCCTTGCTCTTCAGCTTGCAGATGACCTATTGTGGGACCTTGTGATCATGTGAGTTAATACTACTTAATAAACTCCCCTTTATATCTATATATCTATCCTATTAGTTCTGTCCCTCTAGAGAACCCTGACTAATACACCTGGTTATCCAGGGGCCACCCCTGGGCCAGCCTAAGTCACTTTACGTCAAAGGTTGTGCTTAAGCCTTCTTGGCAAGATAGATATTGACCCTTCAACATTAGATGTGTGTGTGAGACTTGGGGACTGAAATCACAGTTCCTGGAGTTTATGCTGTTGCTCTACGTTCAGTCAGGCATCAAAAGCTTAGATTTTGTCTCTCTGATTACACCTGAGGGGGCCCAACCTTGTGCATGCTCACAGTCTTTCAGACTGTCAGGTGTGTTTATGACTTCACTTTTGTGCCTGGCTCCTTAGGCTTTGCCCATGGTTCAGAGCAGCATATTGCTTACCCAGTGTTTGGTCAGAGGCTGTGCTGAAGCCCCCAGTACCAGTGAGAATTACACTATTGGTGATGCCTCTGAGTGCAGCTTGAGGCATGCTTTCAAGTCTGCCCTCCACCTGCTTACATGCCCACAGGAGCCCCCGGCAGCAGAGTGGACTGTGATTCCAGAAGGGTTCTTCCTGGCTTTCTTGTTCCCTGGTTCTCACTGTTAAAGTTCTGGCCACTCTGCCATTTTGCTTGCTGCTACTGATGTCATGGAGCTGTGAGCACTCTGCTATTTTAATTGCTCTTTCTCTAGATCTCCAATTTCTCTATGACAACACTGTAAGCATTTTAGATGCTCTGAATGAACTCCCTCAGGTGGAGCTACAACATTCTTTGCTATGACCTGCTGCTCCTCCTGGGGAGAGCCTCTGCAGAAGATAGCTGTCATCCTCTCTGACATAGCTGTCCTACAATGGGGCACTAGCAGGTGGGTAAGGAGGACCCTGGTCATCTTAGCTTGTCCTTCCTCAGCAAGCCACCCCATGTCCATCTCAGCAAGCCACCTGATGATAAGGCAGCTTAGGAGGAAGTGACTGTGATCAGGGCTCAGGAATCTTGGCCTACTGTGCCTGGAGCTGAGCTTCTGACCTATGAGTGGGGCTGGTTGGGGAAGAAAATACTGGTCTTCTCCACTGAGCCTGCCCAAACAGAGCTTATGCATCACAGAGCTGAAGGAGATGAGACACCCCAGTGGCCTGCTTTTCCCGTTATGACAAAGAGCTCTAGGCTGGGAGATGAGAGGAAAATGGTCACCTTTCTTCTGGACTACTCTCACCTGGATCGGAACCCCTGGAGTGATTTCCATAATACTGAACCTGAGATTGGGGAGGGGAGCATGTTCTGCTTCCAATGCTGCTAACTCTTGCTGTTCTTACTGACATTTAGTACGTTATTGTAGATTTTCTTGAATCTTACTTTCTTGAATGTTACTCCATTAATTCATTTGTGCCTCCATAGACTTCAGATAATAGCTCTTTAAACACAAATAATTTTCCCTAGTTGAATGGTTGTTTTGTTGGAAAGAGAATCCTCCCCCACTTCTCTACTATTCTGAAAGTTCCTTTCCCTTCTATTATCCTGTTAATTCCTACAGGCTCTGTAGTAATGTCTCCTTTTTCATTTTTTTCTATTGGTAATCTGTGTCTTTTATTTATTTTTATCAGTCTTGACAAAAGTTGGCTGGTTTTACTAAGCTTTATTAATAACCAAACTAGTTTCATTTATCTTTTTTCCATTTTACATCTTTTAAAAAATTTATTTGTCTTTTATCATAACATTTTTTTATTTGCCTTGGTTTAATTTGCTTTTCTGTTTTCTAGTTTCTTGAGATGGAAACTTAGATAATTAATATTAAACATTTCTCTTTTTTTCTAATATAGTTATTTAACACTATGGAGTTCTCCTTAATCCCTGCTCTAACTGTATCCCACAAACTTTCATAAGTATACTTTCATTACTACTCAGTTCCAAATATAGCCTGATTTCTGTCTGATTCTTTCTTAGACTCATAAATTATTTAGCAATGTGTTGTTTAATTTTCAAATATCTGAGGACTTTCTAGTTGTCTTTTTTATTGATTTTAAATTTAATTCTATTTTTTCCTTAAAGCATACTCTGATTACAATTCTCTGAGATATACTGAGACTTCCATTACAGTTGAGCATTTGGTCTATTTTGCTGAATATTCCACATGTTCTTAAAAAGAATCTTGATTCTGAAAAAGTTAGATGTAGTTCTAAGTCATCAATGAGGTTAAATTGTCTAATAGCACTTTAAAATTTTTCTCTATATTTACTGATTTTTTTTCTTCTGCTTGCTCTATCAATTCCTGAGCTATGTGGGTAAAACTATGTGGCTTTGATTGTGAATTTGTATATTTTCACTCAATAGTTATGCTAATTTTTGCTTTATGTTATTTGATGCTATGTTATTAGAAACATAGGGATTTAGAAATGTCATGTCTTTCAAATAAATTGATCCATTTAATTATGAGATACTTTTATTTATTTCCCAAATTTTCCTTGTCTTGAAGTTTACTCCATCTGATACTTATGGGGCTACATTAGCTTTCTGGTGGCTAGTATTTGCATGTCACATTTTCCCAACCATTTACCTTCCCACGACTTTTTGTCCTTTCACTTAAACTATGTGTTTATAAGCACCATATAATTTTCTCTCATCTATCCCATCTGACAATGTCTGTCTTTAGATTGTTTTGCTCATTTTGATTTAATATGCCTATTGACATCAGTAAGTATATTGCGTTAGAGTTTGTGTTCTATTTGCCTTTTTTTGCTTGTTTCCTTGTTCTTCTTTTCTTTCTTTTTAAAACTTAGTAATTTTTATTATATCATTTGTATTCTGCATGGACTATTTAGTAATGTCCTTTTAACTTTTTTAGTGGTTATTGCAAGGTGCATCTTTAATTTATTATAAACTACTTTGAATTAGTATTTTTTTAGAATCTTAAAACAATGTAATTCCATTTATACTCTCACGCCATCTGTGCTATTTTCATGTATTTTACTTCTGTATGTTATCATTTGCAGAGTACATTTTTTGTTGTTCTTAGCCATCAACAGTCTTTAACATAAAAAAGTTCTCCATATTTACGTGTGTGTGTGTGTTCACGCACGTGTGTGTGTTTACTTGCTGATGCTCATTTCTTCCTGTAAAACTGTGCCTCAGGCTGGTATTATTTTTGGTTAACTTGAGCTTTTATTATTTATTTGAGGGTAAGCGTTGCTTATAAACAAATGTTCTTAGTTTTTGTTTGACTAAAAATGTCTTTATTTCAATTACGTTTAAATAATTTTTTACTTGATATACAATTCTAGTTTAGACAATTTTATTTTTAACACTTTAAGGATATCTGTTTATTATTTGGCTTCCATCATTTTTGTTGTCAAGACACTTGTAATTCTCATTGCTATTCCCATATCTTTTTAGGGGGTTGGGGACAGTGCTGCTTTTCAGCTTTTATTTTTATTTTCGGTGTTCAGCAGTTTGATTATAGAGCGCCTATGTGTGTTTTTCTTATTATCCTGCTTGAATCAGTTAGTTGATATCTTTTATCAGTTTTGGAACATTCTCAGCTGTTATCTCTTCAAATACTGCTCCCTTTTCTCTGTCCTACATGTCACTCATGGTCTGTTATTTTATTTATTTTTTCTCTTTTCTGGCCTCAGTTTGGAAAATTTATTTAATATTGTCTTCTCATTAACTAATCTTTTTTTCTATGTCCATAGTTTTGCTAAACTCAGGTTTTATTAATTTAATTAATTATTATTTATTTAATTTATTAATTTCACATAATTTCTGATCTGAAATGCCTAATTTTTTAGAATTTTATTTCCATACCAAAATTCCCTATTTTTATCCTTTCTTCTAATGTCTTTACTATAATGATAGCACCTAAAGTCTCTGCCTGTTAATTCTAATATCCAGGTCATCTGTGGGTCAGCTAATTATTGAATATTCTTTCTCTTGATTATGAATCTCATTTTTTTCTGTTTATTTACATTTACGGTAATTTTTAATTCTTTGCACCTTTTATAATTTTTGATGAGGCATTATGTTTTAAAAAATTACAGAGATGAGAAAAAATATTATTTTCCCTTAGAATGAATCACGCTTTCTTCTATGAGATAGATCGAATAAAGGACTGTTCATTCTGGTCTAATCAGAAATTATGCTAGTTCATGTTTTGATGACACATTCAATTAATTTTAGTTAAGTCCATTTAAATTTTTGAGAGTGAGATTTGGACTATGTGTATTACAGGTTCCCTCTCTACAGGCTCTTGGTACGCAAGAATCCCAATACTTTTCCCTAATTTACCAGTCTAGTATTTACCCTTCCACTATGAGTTTGAAACACATGACACAGAAACATGAAGTGAGCATGTGCTGTTGGGAAAATGGCTCCAACAGACTTGCTTGGTACAGGGTTGCCACAAATCTTCAATTTGTAAAAAAACAAACAAACAAACAAAAAACACAGTATCTGGGAAGCACAGTAAAGCAAACTGCAATTAAATGACGTATGCCTATACCTGCAACTGGTGGAAGGGATAGAAATGTTGCTTTTTGAGAATTGTAATGAAAAGTCAGAATTCTCACTTGATTTGGTAGAAGAAAATTAGTCTGTTTAGCAAACATGACCTACAAACTGATTAATGTTGTGGGTGACAATGCTCTCTCCAGAGGGCATGGTTGCATTTCAGTTGCCATTGCATCCTACCGTAATCATGTCATTTCTTATTTGATTTAAATTATAAGACAAAGCCTCAGAGGCTGGAAGTGGCTTTGGTGCTACACAGCAAACAAGTGGCAAAACTGAAATCTAAAGTCTAGGGTTTCTGACTCCCAGAGCAGGACCATATTCTTTAAACAATTATGGGATGCCTGTGATGTGCCAGGAACCATGCTAGGCACTATTATACTGTCATCCCACCCCCAGATCCTCAAAGGCAGAGAAACTCAGTTCTTCCATTTTACTGCCTTAGCCCAGGATCCTATGATCCTATGATCCTGTGTGATCTCCTACACAGTAAGCACTTGACTAGAGTTGGATTTAATCAGGGGTGGGCTCCTGATGGGAAAATTTCTTTGTCCTTACCTGGCATATGTTATGGGTTGAACTGTGTCCCCCTCCTAAATCCATGTGAGGCCCCTGAACATTTCTGAATGTGATCTTATTAGAAGATAGGGTCATTGCAGATGTTAGTAGTAAAGTTGTATAATACAGTTGTGTAATTAGTAAAATTGTGGTGCTGCCCAGGTGCCTAAAAGTGAGCCTGAGGTCATGAGGGTGGATGCTAATCCAGGATGGCTGGCATGTTTATAAGAAGTGGATACGACCCACAAACATGCTTAAGGGGAAGATGATGTGAAGACGTAGGGAGAAGACGGCCATCGCCAAGCCAAGGAGAGAGGCCTGGAACCAATCCTTCCCTCATAGCCCTCAGAAGGAAGCAACCCTGCTGCACCTTGGTCTTGGACTTTCAGCCTTCAGAGATAGAAGATGATAAATTCCTGTTGTTTAAGCCAAAATGAAACACACACACATGCATGCATACATGCACATGCGTGCACACATGCACACATACATATACTATATGTGATATATGACAAAGTGGAAATCTTCAGTACTCTCTACTATGACCAATGACACCTCTAGCACCTAGAGGTCAGGATTAAGTGGAGGGGAGAAATGGTGCCCATTTTCATTACAGGAACCTCAAAGTTGTGAGTTGATAATTCTGTACCTTTTCAGTTTATTGCAAAAAAAAAACCTTACTGAGTACATACTATGTAACATACACCTTGCTGGGTATACAAAAGTAAATTAAGACGCATTACCAAGAAAAGTAAAGAAATAATTATACTCCAGTGCAAGAGGCACATGAGGGTGCTGTTCCAGCTCAGAACAGGGAAGTCAAAGAAAAATTTCCTGAAGAAGACTTCTGGGTTGAGTCTTGCAGCATAAGTAGAAATTAGCCAAGAGGAGAAGGGAAAGAATGGTGTACAGCCAAAAGCAGTGAGATGTGAAATAATGCATTCCATTATGTTTTCTCTGGAAAGGACAGACGTGCAACACCTATGCATGCGCCCAGTCCTCACCTTCACCCATCCTGCGCCCTAGGTGGAAGATATGGTCTGGCTTCTGTAGAGGCCCTCACCATGTAAGATGACTCCCCTCCTTCCCAGCTTGTGTTATCACCCGACAAACACAGGGGCAGGGGCTCCCATGAAAACCCCCTAACATCTGCTTATTTCAGGAGATATGCACTCATACTTACCTAATGCAGACAGAAGTGAATTTTCTGCTATAAGTATTGCATTAAATGGTTTGAGGGAGATATTGCACTTAAGAGAGAGGGGCATTTTAAGTCAGAGTAGAGAGGTGGAAAGTAAGGTCCTTGGGCTGCCTCTGAGGATGTGGAGGGAGGGAAGGCTGGGAGCAGCAGGTGAGAGGGCTGCCCTGTGGGGGCATTTATGTTAAATACTGGCTGCTTGGGAAGGCAGTCTGTTGGAGAGAAGAGAGATGCCAGGCTGCTTTAGCAGCAATGAAAATCAGTTCATTAGAAATAACAATACCAGCAGGTCATGAGAAATGAAAATATTTTGGCAGCTGTGGAGCTATTGTGCTGCTTGGGCACCTGTAGCTGAAGGACCCTCCTGTCTTTCTTGCCTGGTTGAGAACCACAGGCATAGTGTTTCCTCCAAGGTTTCTAGCCTTCAGGCCAACAAGGTACAGAGAACAGTGCTCTCCAGGCCCTATTTTCCCTGGCTAATTAGGTGAGTGCTGGGGGCTCCAGGGGAGGAGGGCATGAACGGTCTTGATTCAGGCTCCTTGTATGAATAAATACTGTTTAGAAGGGAGATAGATATTTATACAAACACTTTAGTGATTTCACTTCTTGGTGTCCACACTAAGGCATATACAAATGTTAATGGGCAAGAAAAATGTTAATTAAAAATATGAAGTAATCTAGTATTCAAGTATAGGAACATGGGTAAATAAAATAAATATGATACTTCAATGAAATTTAATAATTGTAAGCATGTTTAAAATTACTTTAATGACATGGGAGTTTCCATGAAATGATGCAAAGTAGAAAATTCAAGATACAAAATTGTATCTTGAATGAATAGTGAAGTGTAGTTATTGAAACTACAGGTAATAACACATTAGTGGGTCTTGCAATCAGTTTAGTAGGTTGCAAAAAATATTTTTTAAGAAATGAAACAAGATAGAAACTATCAGAATTTATTGCAAGTAATAAGGGTAAGTCTTTGGCATAATTTGGATGTTTGGATATGGGTTGGTCGTTCCCACCAAACGTCATGTTGAAATTTGATCCCCATTGTTTGAGGTGAGGCCTGACAGGGGTGTTTTGGTCATGAGGGTGGATCCCCCATGAATAGATTAATAATGCCCTCCCTGGGGTCGGGGTTGAGTGAATTCTTGCTCTATGAGTTCCCTGAAAAGCTGGTTGTTAAAGATCCTGGCACCCTGCCCTGTCTTGCTTCCTCTCTTTCCATGTGATCTCTGCACACCAGCTCCCCTTTGCCTCCACCACGAGTGGAAGCAGCCTGAGGCCCTCCCCATATGTCCAGTCTTGAACCTTCCAACCAGCAGAATCATGAGCCAAATAAACCTTTTGTTTCAAATAAATTATTCAGCCTCAGGTATTCCTTTATAGCAACACTAAATGGACTAAGACAGTATTGTTTTGTGAACTTTTTTCTCAGTAATGTAAAATCTATATGTTATTGGGCTATAGTCAAAGAAATCTGAAAAGCAGTAGAATATATATTATGTTCTGAATTTTGTTAAAATAAATGTATAATAAATTTAAAAGGAATATATTGCCGTCAATATATTAACAGGGATTGCTTCTGAGTGGGGGATTACTAATGCTTTGTTTGTTTATTTCTGCTTTTCTGAGACTTTAAATTTTTTAATAAGCATGTATTAGTTTCATTCTTAAGACAAAAAAAAACAACCTGAACGCTATTATAAAAGTAAAGTAACACAATACACTGATAATCACAGCATGATGAGAGGCCATGGCTCATTTCGGGGGATTATCTTGAGTCTTACTGTTGCCATCCCTTGTAAGGTGTTAAAGATCATGTTTAAAAATATGTCTCTGGCTGGGCTTGAGGGCTCATGCCTGTAATCCCAGTGCTTTGGGAGACCGAGGCAGATTGATCATGAGATCAGGAGATCGAGACCATCTTGGCTAACATGGTGAAACCCCATCTCTACTGGAAATACAAAAAATTAGCTGGGTGCGGTGGTGGGCGCCTGTAGTCCCAGCTACTCAGGAGGCTGAGGCAGGCGAATTGCTAGAACCCGGGAGGCGGAGCTTGCAGTGAGCCGAGATCAGGCCACTGCACTCCAGCCTGGGCCACAGAGTGAGACTCCGTCTCAAAAAAAAAAAAAAGCGTCCTTCCAGGAACATGATTTTTATGGCAGTCTTAAGAACACTTTTAAAGCATAGGAATATAAAATTTGCAAAAGAAGGGTTAGGGTGCATTAGTTTTCTATTGCTGCGTAACAAATGATCATAAACTTAGATCACACCTCACAGCTCTGTAGGTCAGAAGTCTGGGCGCAGCATACAGTTCTTTGCTAACAGCCTAGTGAGGCTACAATCAAGCTGTTGGCAGAGCTGTGTTTCATCTGGAGTTTGGGTCCTCTTCCAAGCTTAGTGGCTGTGGCAAAGTTCAATCGTTGTGGCTGTAGGGCTGAGGCTCTCATTTCCCTGCTGCTGTCAGCAGTGTGCTGCCCTCAGCACATCTTCAAAGCCATCAGCCCAGAATTTCCTTCACGCCGAATCCCTCTCACACTTTAAACCTCTTTTGCCAGGAAGAGTCTTGTCCCTTGTAAGGTCTCATCTGGTTAGATCAGGCCCACTAAAGGTAAGATCCCTCTCTTAAAGTCAGCTGATTTGGAACCTTAATAACATATGCAAAATCTCTAACTAGCAGCATCTACATTAGAATTTGATTGAATAACTGGGAGATGGTCTCTGGGAACTTGGGGGACCATCTCCAATTTTAAGATTGTGTTTACCACACAGGATAATGGTGTGGGACTGTTCTGAAGGGGGCGACCTGATGTTCCTCCCTTACTACCCACTTTTATAGGGAATGTATATGAATCTACAGCAGATCAATGAAAATGAGAGCTGACATTTGATGCCATTCCCTGAGTACATTCTATGCACCATTTGTACCATTTATTTGTTGACCCATGTACACATGCATTCAGCACAAGTTTAATGGTCTCCAGGGTGTGCTAGTGTGGCACAGGGACAACATATCCACAGCTGGACTGAGGAGCTCTATTTTTCAGACCAAAATGATGCCCAGAGGGATTCAGCATGTTCTGCACAGTTTGTGGGTGGCAGAGTTGGAATTCATGCCCAGTCTCCTACTCTTTCTCATTGTTTCCCTAAGTCATCAGTAAATGCATGTTTACAAATTGAACCAATAGGCCCAAAGGCGAGCTATTGAATGATTTTCCAGCTTCTAGCACCCTGAAAGGCTTACTGTTGTTTTGATGAATTCACATGTTATGTGTCCCACCATTTGGGCATGTGCCATGGTAGACGTTACTATTCAATCACAGCCCTCTGCTCTATGATCCAGAGGGATACAGCTCCATAACTCTTTTAAGCGTAGTGCTGTGGGAAGCCTTTGGCTGAGGACTGACTCATTATAGCACATCAGAGGAAAACTGAGGCCAGAATTAGGGTTTGAAGACCAAGGACTCTGAAGAATTAAATTAAATAGATCAGAAATGGGCTGGGTTTAATCAACATTTTGAAAGCCACTTCCTTTGGTTGTGTTTCATTTACCACATGGTATGGATGGACAGTTTTGACAATTAATGAAATCTACTTATTAATGACACTTTCTTCTTTCTATCTTTATCATTATTATTGATTCATTTGTATCTTTTTCATTCATCCAATAAGCAATTATTGTCTTCTTCCTTTATAAAAGTGGATGTTGTAAGTGGGAGATAGACACCTCAATGAAATCTGTCCTCTGCTCTCCTTGAGCTCAGAACGAATACAATTTTCATATTCTTTGCCTGACTTTATTTTCCAATCTCTCTTCTATGTGGTGGGAAACTTCTCTGGCCTCTTTGGAACAAACACAGGCTGATTTAGATGTCTGTATAGAATTCTAGTGCTGCTTGATGCTTGGATTCAGAAAAAATTAGAAAAAGATTGAAAAGAAATAAGCTCCCACATGTAACTTGACGCCATTTACTCACTGACCTACAAGTACATTCAACACATTTTGCCTGGGCTCTCTAGTGTGCTCATGATTATAGGATATAAAGGTGAGTAAAGCAAGTACCTGCCCTCCAAGAATTTACCATCCAGTGGTGAGTATTTACAAATGTCTGCAGTACAAGGAAGTTGTAATAAGCATCCTGAGTGGAATAAACATTTAAAAGGAAAAAGAAATACACAAAGCTTTCAGAACCCACCTTTCCCCCCTAACCCGAGTCTCCCCCGGGCTCTGGCTCCCAAGCTGCCCTCCCCTGTACCTGGCTCTGCCTCAGGCTGGTACCTGCTATTTCTGCCTCAACTCACCTTCCACCAGCCCTCATGTCTCCTGCAGTCCCTTTTCTGGGGCTCCTCTCCGTGGAGCTCCTCAGTACTCCCCATGGCCTATTTTTGTAGGTGTTGTGCATAAATCCAAAGCAGGTGAGTGAAGCTGAGAGCTGAAGAAAAGAATCTAGGCTTCTCAGCAGGATGCACAGGGCCCTCCAGGGTTTGGCCATGGCTGAACATGCAGCCGCGTCGAGCTCACCCTTCCACAATCCTCAGTTGCAACCATCCTGGATGGATTCCTGAGCTCTCTGGGCGAGCCCAGGGTGCATATCTCGTGCCTCTGCAGGGGTCCCTGGCCCCACTCAGGTTGTCCCTGAGGCTCAGCTAAGGGCCTGCCTGGGTCTGGCACAGTGCCCACTGTTCTCAAAGTCTGAGGTAGCATCTACTATGCCCTTCCTGGCATCTCATTGAACTCTTGAGACTTCTCCCACAGTGCCTGGATATTTACTTGGGTGTATTTTAATTTGTATGCACAGCACTCTCCCCATAGCCCTGGAAATAGCTGAAGGAAAAAAGACTGCACCTTCATTGCTGTTCCCCAGGGTTAGATCAGTGCACTCACTGTGTTGAATGAATGGATGGATTTGTCAGTGCCCTATGGTGATTGAGAGGGAGGAAAGATGAGGAGTCTGATGTGATTTAAGGAAACATTTCAAGTCCCGAAAAGTGTGCACGGAGGGCCATATGTACCAGGCACTGGTTATGTCCTGGGAAAACATTTGCATAAGGCTCAAAATTGTCTTAGCCATTCATGAAAGCATGAATTCTGGGGCAGAGGTAATAGAGACAACAAAGTCATAACAATGGAAAGCCTACTTAGAAAATGAAGGACTGATTGGGCTTCAGCTTTTATTCACTCATTTATCTGCTCCCAAACATGCATCGAGCATCTCGAGTGGAGCCCTGTGTGCATTCTGGTAAGACTGGATGGATCAAGGGATTTCCTGCCCTTGAGAAGCTTGCAGAATCCTGGGAGAGAGATATTTCCACACATAGTTACAGTATGCCCTCCCGGGGAACTCTTGACCTGGGGAAAAGAGCCAGGAAAGATGTGTTTGAGCTGTGCCTGCCTAGATGTCACTTCCAGTGTGAGGAGCCAAGAGAAGGTGGCACGATGCAGGAGGCAAGTGGCAAGGATCCTCTTATTTGAGCCTAGTGTGATGAGAAGGCAGATGTGTTAAGATGTACATTTCTTATGTCTTTTTTAGCTTTTTTTTTTCAATAAGAATGTAGTATTTGATTGTAGGAATAAGGCTTCAATAATCAAGTTTGCTTGTATGCTTAATGAGAGCATGTGATGCCTGCCACCTGGGTGGTGTGAACCAAGCATTTACCCTACAGTTAGGGCAGGCAGGCCCCCTGCGTCATGCAATAATGCCTTCCACAATACCTCATGACGCTGGGGATGGAGGTAGAGACAGCACCTTACTGACCAGGGGTTAGTGTTCTGGTGTTGGGGGTGCCATTGGAGGCCTAGGTGCAAACAGGTGAGCATGTACAGCACATTCCAAGTGCTACTTTACCGGTGGGTAGAGGGGGCCCTGAGAGCACAGCAAAGGGGTGCCTGGCCCCCTGGGGAGAGTCAGGGCACATGGACAGTCATAAGGCGTTACAGAATGAATTGTGTCTTCCCCCAAAATTCATACGTTGAAGTTATAACCCTGAGCACTTCAGAATGGGTCTGTATTTGGAGACAGGACCTTTAAAGAGGTAACTAGGGTAAAATGATGTCACAGGGCTGGGCCCTAATCCAAGGTGACTGGTGTCCTTATAATAAGAGATGGGGACACAGACACGTGCAGAGGGAAGGCCATGTGAGGACACAGGGAGGACACCGTCAGTGGGCCAAGAAGAGAGGCCTCAGGAGAAACAACCCCACTGGCACCTTGACCACGGACTTCAGCCTCCGGCAGCCTTGGGGAATCAGCTTCAGTGTTTGGAGTCACCCAGCCTCTGGTGTTGGTTACCGCAGCCCCCTCTGACTAATACCTAAGGTAACACAAGGCATCCAATGGCGGTGCATTGAAGAGACAGTGGGATTTTTAGGGGACATGCCTATGTTTCAGGACCTAAAGAATGTCCTGGTATTTAGGGAAAGTGGTTTGGGCTCTCAGACACAGAGGAAGCTTGAGCTGGGTGAGCAAAATAAACCACCCCTGCAAGCATCCTTCACCCGGCCCCACAGTTCAACCTGCTCTTGTCCCTGGGAGCACTTACATGGTTTCACCCCCTGTCTTGTAAGCATTTGTTTCATCATGTCACCGCAGTACTAGAAGGCGAAGTGGGACCCGGAGCTAGCCGGCATATTGTTTCTCAGCAGCTAAGTCAGCCTGAAGGAAGAAGCCTGGGCTGCTCTGTGCAATGACGCCACTGAGGGCCCAGCGGGGCCGTGACCCTCAGGGGACCCAGGAGCAGAGCTGGGGAGAGACAGGCGCACAGGAACTACAGGTGACATCCGCTGGAGGAGCGTGGCGCAGGGTGCGCGCTGGTGCCAGCAGAGCCGGAGCTCGTGGTGCTCTGGGCACAACCTCGCCTTTGGTCGTGGTTTTCCCGTTGAATAATGCTGCAGAGGACAGCGAGAAAGGATAGTGTGACAAATGCATCGCATATGACAGCTCACAGATCGCCTCTGCGCCCAAGCCTCATGAAAACCGCACTCCTCTCCTGGGACACAGACGCCAGCGCCACCCCCACCCTGGCCAGGCAAACGCGCCTGGGGCTGGCGGGTGAGGTCTTCCAGCTGCAGACCCCAGCCAGGCCCTCCCTCCTGCAGGTGCCTCCTGGCTGCTCGATTTGAGGCTCAAGCTGTTTCTGTGCCCAGCCAGTGTGGCTCCTTACCGAGCTCGCCCAGAACCCGGACTGTGCAGCCCAGGCTTTCTCTGCACCCGGTGACGCCAGGCGACTTTTCTGCGTGGCTGCTGAGGTCGCAGGAAAGTGAGCTTCAGAGGAAGTGGCCTCGGCGGCGTTGGTGTGTTTTAAGACTGGGATCGCGCTCCTGTATGCCTGGTCACCCCTGTGTGAGCCGCGCTTGGCGCCTGTCTCCTCCCTAGCAGCCAGGGACCGTGCCCTGCGCTGGGAAGGGCGGCCTAACTGTCGGGAAGGCGCCCCTGCCTCTCAGCTGCAAGCACAAGCGATTGTGCCTGACTTTACTCAGCTGTGACAGGGGTGCGGTAATCCCCATCACTCGAGATTGTCCTGAGAATTAAAGAAGACAGAAAGAACGGGAAGTGACCGCTGTATGGGGAGGCCCTGGCTCAGGCCTTCCAGAGGGGAACCAGACACGACAGAGCAAAGCCAGTCCCCCTCCCCTGATGTTTCTCCCGCTCAAACTGCTGCTGTCTCCTCCCCGTTCCCAGTGAAGCTCTTCTGTTTCATGCTTCTTCTTAAGTTATGAAATATATAATGTGTGCAGAAAGGTAGACTTTGCCAACTGCCAGAGTTTTGCCCTCCACCAATTACGTAAACCGTGACTTTTTATATGTACATTTGAAGCTCTTTTGTGGTTCTTCCCTGCCCACGAGGAGTGCCTGTTCTCTAACTTCAGCATTTCACAGTCTCATGCATGTTTTAAACTTTTTCAGCCGGGTGCGGTGGTTCACGCCTGTAATCCCAGAACTTTGGGAGGCAGAGGCGGGCAGATCAGGAGGTCAGGAGTTCGACACCAGCCTGGTCAACATGGCGAAACCCCGTCTCTACCAATAATATAAAAATTAGCCGGGGCGTGGTGGCGGGCGCCTGTAATCCCACTTGTTCATTCCTCCCGTCCGGAGTTCGTGGTCTCGTTGGCCTCAGGAATAAAGCTGTAGACCCTTGCAGTGAGTGTTACAGCTCATAAAAGCAGCACAGACCCAAAGAGTGAGCAGCAGCAAGATTTATTGCAAAGAGCGAATGAACAAAGCTTCCATAGCAGGGAAGGGGACCCCAGCGGGTTGCCGCTGCTGGCTCTGGTCGCCTGCTTTTATTCACTTATCTGGTCCCACTCACATCCTGCTGCTTGGTCCATTTTACAGAGAGCCGATTGGTCCATTTTACAGAGAGCTGATAGGTCCGTTGTGACAGAATGCTGATTGGTGCATTTACAAACTTTTAGCTAGACACAGAGTGCTGATAGGTGCGTTTACAATCTTTTAGCTAGACACAAAAGTCCTCTAAGTCCTCACCAGATTAGCTATACATAGAGTGCTGATTGATGCTTTTACAAACCTTTAGCTAGACACAGAGTGCTGATTGGTGCATTTACAATCCTTTATCTAGACAGAAAAGTTCTCCAAGTCCCCACCTGATTAGCTAGACACAGAGTGCTGATTGGTGCATTTACAAACCTTTAGCTAGACACAGAGTGCTGATTGGTGCATTTACAATCTGGCTACTTTAGCTAGCCAGAAAAGTTCTCCAAGTCCCCACCCATCCCAGAAGCCCAGCCAACCTCACCTCTCACTGGCACTGGCCACGGGACTTTGCGGCACCTCGCCCGGGCACTCCGGCAGCCCAGAGGGAGCTCATCACCTGATCAAGCCCAGCAAGTGCCAGCCGGCTGCGCTGAGGGTGGGGCCTGCCAAGCCTGCGCCCACCCCAAACCCACGCTGGCCCGCGAGTGCCACGTGCAGCCCCAGGTGCCGCCCGTGCCTCTCCCTCCACACCTCCCTGCGAGCAGAGGGAGCCGGCTCCGGCCCTGACCAGCCCCAGAGAAGGGCCCCCACAGTGCAGAGGTGGGCTGAAGGGCTCCTCGAGCAGGGCCATAGCAGATGCCGAGGCCCAGGAGGCACCGAGAGCGAGCGAAGGCTATTAGCACGTCATCACCTCTCAATCCCCCCCTCTAAACAGGACAGCCCAACTGCTGTTGGGAATTTGGCCGATGACCACTCTAGCTACTTCCTGCTGGATAGGGGTGAAGAAGTGGCCCTGCAGTTGTAGTGTCCTCCAGAGGGGAACTCTTTAGGCCAGTGGAAGGGCCAGCGGGTCGGTCCAGGGGTCCTCGGTAGATGGTAAGACCATCTGTAGCTTGATGGCCTTGATTCTAGAAGAAACAAATTTGACACGAAGGTTAAAGATACAGGGCCCAAAGGCGAGTAACAGCAAGATGGCTGCCACAGGACCTAGAAAGGGGAGAAGCCAGGTTGCCCAACTCCAGAGGTTGGTATAAGAGTTTGAAAGTCATTATCTGATTTCAGAAGCCTTTTCCTGTAAACACCAGGTGGCATCTCCTACTATCCCTGACTGGTCAGTGTAAAAACAACACTGTTCCCCTAAGAAGGTGCAGAGTCCTCCTTTTTCAGCAGTGAGGAGGTCTAGGCCTTGGTGGTTTTGGAGAGTCACTGCTGCCAAAGAGTCTATTTGGGACTGTAAAGTAAAGATAGATTTCGTTATTTCTTGCAAACTGTCTGAGAGATCCTTTGAGAGTGTGTGGTAGTAGGACAGTGAAGTAGATAAACTGGCTATTCTGGTTCCTGTAACAGTAGCCATTCCTAACCCTATAAGTAGGGGTATTAGTTGTATGGCTCTGCACTGACGGACTTGAGCTTTGAGGGGTACTGATAAGGTTTGACTTCCTGGGGCAATGTTAATGTTGGGACTTAGAAAGACTAAGGCACAGGTGCCTGTCCAGTTAGTGGGGCGGCAGATATAGGTCAAAGATCCACATAAATAGAATATGCCTTGGCTGGGTAGAAAGAAATTTACCCTGGCTTTTAAAGGAATAGGGTACACTGTTTTTTATTTACTACTTCCATCTCTCTTTCTTTCTCTTTGACTTCTTCTTTGTCTCTCTCTTTCTCTCTGACTCCCTATTTGCCACTCTCTTCCTCTATCTCTCTGACTTTCTGCCTCCATCTCTTCCTCTTTCTGTGTCTCTCTCTTTCCTTCTGCTGGTCTTTCCCGGCCTCTGCCAGCCGCTTATGCTGCTGTTCTCCCCTCTCCTTCCCCTTTTTGATGGCTTTGGACCAGTAAAACTGCCACCTCCTTGGGTTTTTGCACTGCGTGCAATGTTAGTACATGTGTCGAGGGCCTTAGAAGCAAAGTGTTCTTTAAACAGCAAGTCTTGACCTATTAGTGGAGCATTAAATCTAGTAGTGAGTAAGGCCAGCATTATGGCCATTAGTGGAACATTAAATCTAGTAGTGGGTAAGGCCAGCATTATGAAGAGATGTAGTAAAATAGAATTTTAAAAGCCAGTGTGTCACATGTGGTAAGGGTAAGTATTTTTCATGGAAATACACACAGATACATATATATCATACACATATATATGTTCTGTTTATTGGTTAATGATGTAAAACGGATTTTCACTGGATCCAGTGAGAAGCATTTAGAAGCTGTAGTTCTAGTTGTATTCCCAAGAGAAATTTTCTGTTCACATGGTAGACTCATCTTCCAACGTGGTAGATATTTCCAGATTCATCTCCAAAGTGGTTGTGGCAATTTTTATACCACCCTACCTCTATTTATTTGACCAGTCTAATGGGTAAGAAATTGTATCTCGTAGTAATTTTAATTTTTCTTTTCTGGATTAGTGGTGCAAGCTGAGTATTTGGAATATTTATTGCCCATTCAGTTTGCCTAATTTACAACATTTTTCCCTTTGCTTATTGAATCATTTGCTTTTTAATGATTTTGAGGTGTATGTATTTGATACTAATCCTCTTTCTGTTACACATATGGCTAATCTCCTCCTTGTCTGTCTTGTTTTTCACTTTATTTATTATGTATTTTGTGTAAGTTTTTATTTTAACGTGTCAAAAATAATCAATTTTTTCCTTTATGGATTGTTCTTTTTGAAACCTTTCTAAGGAATCCTTGTGTTTCTAAGGAAACAGTTAGTTTGTTTGTAGAAAGGGACCTCACTATGTTACCCATGCTGATCTTGAACTCCTGGCCCGAAGGGATGCTCCTTGCTTTGGTCTCCCTAAGTGCTGATATTACAGAATGGAGCCACTGCATCCAGACCCTGTTGAAGCATTTAAAGAACTAGTTAACTCTGTTCTATTTACCAAATAGCACATCCTTTCCCCCTGATTTGTTGTGTACTATGTGTACATGATGTTGTGCCTGGGTTTTCTGTTCTCCCCAGGGGTCTGTACCTGTAGCCTCACATCAGCACCACAGTACCCTGCTTTCACTGTCACATGCCCTGATAGGTCCAGACACCTATGTTCTTCAAAACTGCCTTGGTTCTTTCTGTCCCTCTGGCTCATCTACAAAAAATTTAGGATTGGTTCAAATTTTATAGAAGTGTATGGGTTTTTTTTACAGTTACATATAATTTATAAATTTATAAAGTATAAATGACATTTTTATAATTATTGAAGCTTTAAATCTCTGACCAAATTTTATCTCTCCAGGTCTCCTATAAGTCTCCTTTAAATACTTCCATAATTTTAAGTTTCCTTATGGCTGCTTTAACATATTTTCTTCTATGGATATTATAGCTTTTGCAACTATTTTGAAAATGGAATTTTCCATTAAATGTTTTAACAAGCATTAGTAATTATTGATGTGTAGAAGCACTGTTTACTTTTGAATGTTGATCTTATATCTGGTCAGAATGTTAATCTCTCTGGAGTTGTGATTTTATTAATAGCTTCTTTTTGATTTTCTAGGCAGGCTGTCGTAATCTCAAAATAAGGATGGTTTGATCACTTCTTCCAATGTTGGTACCTTTTTTCCTTTTAACTTTTACAGCCACATCTTTAATGACCATATTGTTTTCAAACTGTAAATGTTATACATGAATTGGTTAAAAATTTTTAAACTACAGAGAAAAGAATGAAAAAAATAAAACCCCAAATACTACCACCGAGTAGACTATTGTTAAGATTTTGTTTTTACTATTTAAATTAAAAAAATTATTTACAGTAAAATTTGCTGTTTTGGGGAAGGACAGTTTTGTGATTTTTGACAAATATATAGAGTCTTAAAACCACCACTACAATCAGAATATGGGGAAGTCCCTCATTCCAAATTGTTTCTTCATGCTGTGGCTGTGTAAGCAAACCCTCCTACCTCTAATCTTTGATAACTATGAATCTATTCTCTGTCCTTGCAGTCTGTGCCTTTTCCAGAATGCCATATAAATGGAAACATATAGCATATAACCTTCTCGGTCTAGGTTTTTTAACTTACAATAATGCTTTTGAGATTTATCCATTGTTGGGTATATCAATCATTCATTACTTTGAATGTTTAATAGTATTGCCTTGTATGGATATAACACAGCTTGTTTATTCAACCATAGAAGGACTTTTGAGTTGTTTTCAATTTTTTACAATGAAAAATAATGCTGCTATAAATACTCACATACAGGCTTTTGTGTGAATATAATTTTTCATTTCTCTTGGAAAAAAACTTGAGTGGGATTATGGAGTCATATGGTAAGTGTATATTTGAAATACAGGAAACAATGTACTATTATCCATAATGTCTTTACTATTTTGCATTCTCTCCAGCAATGTATGAGAGTTCTAAATGCTCTGCATCCTTCCAGCACTTGGTATTGTTATATATGTATTTGAAATTTTAACTACTTTAATAGGTGAATAATGGCATCTCATTGTGATTTTAAATAATGTTAAAAATTTATAAAACGCATTTTATTTTAGAACACTTTCAGATTTACAGAAATATTGTAAAGATAATACACATGGTCCCTGACTTGATGATTCTACTTATGACTTTTCAATTTTACAATGAGACTAAAGCAATACGCATTCAACAGAAACCCTATTTCAAGTTATTATAAAATAGGTTTTGTGTTAGATGATTTTGCCCAAATGTAGGCTCATACCAGTATTCTGAGCACATTTGAGGTAGGCTAGGCTAAGCTGTGCCCAGCTGTCTTTGGTAGGTTAGGTGTGTTAAGTACATTTTTTGATTTATGATATTTTCATCTTACAATGGGTTTATTATAAGTCGAGGAGCATCTGTGTAGAGAATTACCATATACTCTCAAATTATTATTTGTCTGATGTTTTTCACATGATTAGACTGGGCTAATATGTTTTTGGGAAAAACCTCAGAGACAAAATATTATTTTCACTGCATCATATCAAATGTACATGCTATCAAATGATTTACTGTTGATGTTAACCTTGACTATCTGGCTGACATAGTGACTGTCAGCCTTCTCCACTGTAAAGTTACTTTTTTCCTTCGTTTTCATACTGAATGCTTTGGAGGAAAGTCACTCAATTTGTCCTGTTTTGGCATTCAGGATCTCTTTCACTTGGCTCCTGTGTCCCTCTGAATTATCCCTCATCATTGTGGTGCTTTGTATAAAATATTTTCTTAGCATTTCCTTAGTTTCTGACACTTAAATATGCTTCCTGTTCATCTTGTATATTTCCTGTTTCTGTTCTAGCATTCGTCATTTCTCCAAGGAGCCCTGCTTCCTTCTCTAGGAGAATGGTGTTAAAAGCCAAGGTCTGGGGATAGATTTGCTCATTGCTATGAGGGTTTTGTTGCTATTAATTCCTCTGAGTTGACAGAGCAAGGAAATGCATGCGTGTATCCTAAACCATGTATATATAATTATTTATAAATATTTCTTTTTTTAATTTTATTTCTTATTTTTTTTGAGATGGAGTCTTGCTCTGTCACCCAGACTGGAGTGCCATTGCACCATCTCAGCTCACTGCAAGCTCCGCCTCCCGGGTTCACACCATTCTCCTGCCTCACTCAGCCTCCCGAGTAGCTGGGACTACAGGTACCCGCCACCGCGCCTGGCTAATTTTTTGTATTTTCAGTAGAGACGGGGTTTCACCTTGTTAGCCACGATGGTCTCGATCTCCTGACCTTGTGATCTGACCGCCTCGGCCTCCCAAAGTCCTGGGATTACAGGAGTGAGCAACCATGCCTGGCCTATAAATATTTCTATATGTAACTGTCTGAATGTATATTAAGCTATGCTTGAGTTCATAGTGATGTCTCTAACTATCAGTTACCATATGGATCATGTGGAACCTGGCTCCCACCACCAGCCATCCGTTTGCTTAATTGCTCAATTCTAGTATACACGTGTAATGGTATTAGAAGTGTTAACCTTATCCCTGTCAAAGTGAAAAATGCACTGAACACAATTAACAAGAAGGGAATACTTTATTCAATACTATCACAATAGAAGAAAAGGACTGAACTCAACTCCACTGAAACAAAAGGTGGCAGGTTTGTTGAGTGCTGAGCGAGCTATTGGAAAAGTACTGGAGGATCTTAGCGGGATGGTTGCTCAATAGGATGTGTCACGCACATTGAGTTATTCCTGAGTTTGCAAATGTGTTTTTCTGTGATTAGGGTTTGCTAATTGGCACTAATCAAAGTTAGACTTTTACTCTTCCAGAGAATAGAAGACAGGGGTTCCCAGGTACTTGAGAAAGGCATTTCTTGAATTATAAAACTAGTAAGAAACTGAAAGAAGATTCACATACATTTAAAAAGAGACAGAGGAAACTTTTACAATTAGGAGTTTTCTAAACTAAATGCTCTAAGGAAAGGAAGGTCATCGCCACAGAGGCAGAAAGAAGCCCCTCTAAACTTTAGCCAATCTGAGGGAAACATTAAGGCTGCCTTGGTTATCCCTGTGAGAAACATTTTTATCAGTAAGAGTAAAGTACTTATGTGCAAGTTCTTTTGCCATTACAAGATGCCACTCATTTCCAAAATCACTTAGGTCGGCAACTCCCCCCAGCCTCCTTCAGTGAGGGAGTTTCATATATTTGTAACAGAGTTAAATTGTTTTGTCAGCCGGGTGCGGTGGCTCATGCCTGTAATTCCAGCACTTTGAGAGGCTGAGGTGGGCAGATCACCTGAGGTCAGGAGTTCAAGACCAGCCTAATCAACATGGAGAAACTCCATCTGTACTAAAAATACAAAATTAGCCATATGTGGTGGCATGCTTGTAATCCCAGCTACTCGGGAGGCTGAGGCAGGAGAATTGCTTGAACCCAGGAGACAGAGGTTGTGGTGAGCCAAGATCGTGCCATTGCACTCCAGCCTGGGCAACAAGAGCGAAACTCTGTCTCAAAAAAATAATAAATAAATAAATAAATAAATAAATAAGTTGTTTTGTCACATTCTGCATTCCATCCTGGGATCCCCCAGCTTCCTAATTTTTTTGTTTTAGTTTGCTTTTCTGAATTTTGCATGTATTAAGGTTTATTCTCTTTGTGGTTAAGTTGTATGGGTTTTGAAAAACAAATAATACTATGGATCTACTGTATTAGTTTGCTAAAGCTGCCATAACAAAATACCACAGACTGGAGGCATAGACTACAGAAATTCATATTCTTGTAGCTCTGGAGGCTGGAAGTCTGAGATCAAGCTGTCAGCACGGTTGATTTCTCTTGAGGCCTCTCTGGTTGGCTTGCAGACATCTGCTTCTTCTGGTGCCGTCACATGGCCGTCCCTATTGGGCATGTCCCTACATGGCCGTCTGTATTGTTTGTGTCTTGTTCTCCTCTTCTTATGAGGACACCAGTCATACTGGATTAGGGCCCACTCAAATGGCCTCATTGTAACTTAATCACTTTTTTTTTTTTTTTTGAGATGGAGTTTTGCTCTTTTGCCCAGGCTGGAGTAAGTGGTGCGATCTCGACTCACTGCAGCCTCCGCCTCCTGGGTTCAAGCAATTCCCCTCCCTCAGCCTCCTGAGTAACTGGGATTACAAGCACCCACCACCATGCCCAGCTAATTTTTGTATTTTTAGTAAAGAAGGGGTTTCACCATGTTGGTCAGGCTGGTCTTGAACTCCTGACCTCAGGTGATGATCCACCCACTTCAGCCTCCCAAAGTGCTCGGATTACAGGCATGAGCCACCATGCTGGGTTGAACTTAATCACCTTTCAGAATACCCTATCTCTAAGCACAGTTTGGCCCAGTACAGTTTCATACAGAAGAATTACACTGTTTTAAAAAAATACTCTATGGTTCACCCATTTCACTTTTCCCCCCTAATTCAAACCCTTGGCAAACACTGATGTTTTACTGTCTAAATGATTTTGTCTTTTCTGAAACGACATATAATGGAATTACACCATGTGTAATCTTTTCAGACTACCTTCTTTCACTTAACAATATATATTTAAGATTCATCTGTATCTCTTTGTGCCTTGATAGCTCATTTCTTTTTATTGCTGATTCTTTTTATCCATCTGGTGAATGTACTACAGTTTATCCATTCACTTACTGAAGAATATCTTCCTTGCTTCTAGTTTTTGATGATTATGCATAAAGCTGTTGTAAACATTTGTGTGCAGGTTTGTATACAGACGTATTTTCAAATCATTTGGGTAAATACCTAGGAACAGAATTGCTGGATTTTATGGTAAAATTAGGTATAGCATTGTAAATGCTATGAAACTGTCTTCCACTGTTTGAATAGCTGTACAATTTTTCATTCTCAGCACTAATTAATGAGAGTTTTTTTTACTCCACATTCTTGTTAGCATTTGGTATTGTCTGATTTTAGATTCTAACCATTTTAATAGGTGTATGAGGATATCTCATTGTTGTTTTAGTTTGAAATTCCCTAATGCCAAATACTGTTGAACATCTTTTTATGTACTTATTGACCATCTATTGGGTAGCTACTTTGGTGAGGTGTCTGTTCAGATCTTTTGTTCATTTTTAAAATTTGCTTTTCTGTTATTTTATTGTTAAGCTTCAAGATTTTTGTGTGTTTTGAGTACAAGTCCTTTATTCGATATGCGTGTCTCACATTTTTCCCCAGTCTGTGACTTGCTGTTTTATGCTCTTAGTATTGTTTTCACAGAGTGAAGCTTTTAATTTTAATAAAATTATACTTATCACTCTTTTTTCCTTCAAGGATCATCATCTTATTGTTGCATGTAAAGAGCCTTCACCCAACCCAAGGGAACTTTGATTTCTCCTGTTTTCTTTGGAGGTTTTATAGTTTTTAATTTTACATTTAGGTCTATGATACAGTTTGAATTAATGTTTGTGGACATTGTAAGGTCTGTGTATGGTTTCATTTTTTTCTTTTGCATTTGTTCTGTTAATCTATATGTGCCTTCTTTCACCAATACCACACTATCTAGATTCCTGTAGTCTCAACATCAAATAGTTGAGTCCTCCAGCATTATTCTTCTTCAGTATTGTGTTAATTGCTCTGGGTCTTTTGCCTTTCCATGTACACTTTAAAATTTGATTGTTAATATCTACAAAAAAGGTTGCTTGCATATAGAATTGCAAGAAACCCCACTAGCCAAAACAATCTTGAAAAAAAAAAAAAAGAACAAAGTTGGAGGACTCATACTTCCTGATTTCAAAACATACTACAAAGCTGCAGCAATCTAAAAGGTTTGGTACTGTAATAAAACTAGACAAATACACCAGTGAAATAGAACTGAGAGCCCAAAAAGAAGCCCTTACAGTAATGGGCAATTGATTTTCAACAAGTGTGCCAAGATCATTTAATAGTGAAGGGAGAGTGTCTTGAACAAATTATGCTGGGGCAACTGTATATCCACATTCAGTAAAATGAATTGGACTCCTATCTCATACTATATATAAATTAACTCAAAGTAGTACAAACACGCAAATATAAGGGCTAAGTTATAAAACTCTTGGAAGAAAACAGGAGTAATTATTGTTGACCTTGGATTTGTTAAAGGAGTCCTAAATATGATGCCAAAAGCAAGAGCAACACAAGCAAAAATAGATAAACTGGATTCCATTAAAATTAAAAACTTTTGCCATAAAATGACACTATCAAGAAACTGAAAAGAAAACCTACAACATGATCATTCAGTATCCAGTATATATAAAGAACTCCTATAACTCAAATACAATAAGACAGATACCCCTCAAAAAATCTGGACAAAGAACTTGAATAGACATTTCTCCAGAGATACACATATTCACAAAAATATTTGAAAAGGTGTTGAATGTCATTAGTCTTTAACAAGATGTAAATCAAAAGCAAAATGAGATGCCACTTCACACCCACCAGGATAACAATAATAATAATTTTAAAAAACAACAATTGGCAAGGATGTGGAGTAATTGAAATTCTTATACATTGCTAGAGGGAATGGAGAATGGTTTACTTGCTATGGAAAACAATTTGGCAGTTCCTCAAAAAATTCAACAGAATTACTATATGATCCAATAATGTCACTCATAGAAATAGACCAAAAAGGATTGTAAACGGGTATTCAAACAAATACTTATACACAAACGTTTACAGCAGCACTTTTCAGAACAATCAAAAGATGGTGATAACCAAAATGTGCATCAGTGGATGAGTGGATGAACAAAATTTGGTAGATCCATACAATGAAATATTATTAATCCATAATAAGGAATTAAGGACTAATACATGTTACAATGTGGAAGAATCTCAAAAGCTTTATGGCAATTGAAAGATGTCAGACACAAAAGGTCACATGTTGTATGACTCAATTTATCTGCAATATCTAGAAAGGTAAATCCATAGATACAGAAAACATATTAGTGGTTACCATGGACTGAGGGGAATGGGAAGAGAAATGGGAATTAACTGCTTAAGAAGTAAGGGTCTTCTTTGGGCATGATGAAAACGTTCTGGACTTTCAATGTGGGAAGATGAAAAATGTTTTGGAGATGGAATGTGGTGATGGTTGCACAATATTGCGAATATACTAAATGGCACTGAATTGTACACTTTAAAATGGCAAATTTTATGTTGCATGAATTTTACCTCAATTTAAAACAAAAGAAAGCTCACAGGAATTTTGATTGGGATTGCATTGAATATATAGATCAGTTTGGAAAGAATTGATGTCTTAACAAAATTGAGATTTAATAAGCATGGAATATTCCTCCATGTATTTATTCATGTAGACCTTCTTTGACTTCTTTCATTAATGCTTTTTCATGTTCTGCATATAGATCCCGCACATAGACTTACACATAAGCATTTCAATTATTTTATTGCTAATGTAAAGGGTTTTTTTTTCAATTTTTTTCATTGCTGATGTAAACAAAAGCAATTTTTAAAATATTTAGCTTGCATTCTGTAATTTTGCTGCAGAATGGTACTTGGTACTTATAGTTCCAAAATTTTTGTGTTGATTCTTTAGAAACTTCTACATAGACAATCAGGTCATCTGAGAATAAATACAATTTATTTATATATTTCCAATTTGTAGATTTTTATTTCATTTTTTAAAATAGCTAGGACTTCCAGTATGATATTGCAGTGTTAAGAAACAATACCCATGTCCTATTCCTGATCTTAGGAGGAAAGCATTATTTTTCTCATGATTCAGCATAATGTTAGCTATATAATTTTTTTTATGAAGTTGAGAAAGTTTTCCTATACTTCTAAATTTCTGAGTTGAGGCAGTGCTTGTTAGATTTATTCACTGTACAGTTAAATTACCTCCTTTCTGTACTAGTCTTTGATACAAGTCAGAATGTGTAGCCCACATTGCTTATGTGCAGTTACTTCTACTTTTAGTCTTACATACTACACTCATTTCCAAAGTTACTTAGGTTAGTACCCATTTCCCACACCTTCAAGGTAGGTTTTTGATTTATAGTTTTTAAGTGTTTGTTCTTTTATCTTACTTTGTTTTGATGTCAGGATCTGCAAGTACACATATGTTTGACATCATTTTCTTGTCTTCTATATTTAACACTTTTGACCGAATCCTTTTCATCATTTCTTCTGAATTCTCTAAGCCTTTTAATATTTATTTTATATGCTTTTATGTTAATTTGATGGTGTTAATCTTGTTTTCAGTGAAATTCAGTTTCCATTTCTGAAATAATTTTGTCTTTTTAAAATTTATTTTCTAAGTTATGCAAATTTCTAATTAACATTTTTCTCTTGTCTACTAATTTACTCTCTAAGATTTCTTAAAAATTTAAAAATATTTTTCTTGACTGCATTTGCTCATTTAAAGATGTGTTGTTTTGAATTTGTTTTTTTGCTATTTACTCTGATTTGTGACTGCACTTTCTAGCAAGTTTTATTCTGTTTCTTACAAGCTCTGCTTTTATTATTCTATTTTTGTAAGAATTAAGCATTTCTTTTCTTGTATTAATTATTGAATGATTTGGCTCATCCTGGGTCACGTATTAACAGAAGAACCATATTGTTGGAATGTTTAAGGGCACTTTCCCCATTTCTCAACTTAAGAAGGTTTCCCTTCTCTCTTATCACAGGGAAGCCTCATTTTTTCATATGTAACTGTCGCCTTAATTTTTCCATACTTCTCACAACTGTTATCTTGACTCTTCCTTTTCTTCTATGTTTCTTTATTGGTTCTCAAATGTATCTTTATCATTTCTACATGCTGCCTTTTGTGTGTGCGTGTTGTGGTAAATTATAAATATTGGCTATAAATATTTGGGTTTACTTATGAACTCTTAATTCTATTCCATTGATGTATATGTATATAATTGTCCCAATATTATACTTAATTGACAACTATAACTTTGCTATAAAATTTAAAATTGGAGGCTGGGGACAGTGGCTCACACCTGTAATCCCAGCACTTTGGGAAGCTGAGGCAGGCGGATCACCTGAGGTCAGGAGTTTGAGAACAGCCTCGCCAACATGGTGAAACTCCATCTCTACTAAAAATACAAAAAAATTAACTGGATGTGGTGGCTTGCACCTGTAGTCCCAGCTACTTGGGAGGCTGAGGCAAGAGAATTGCTTGAACCTAGGTAGCAGAGGTTGGCAATGAGCCAAGATCGTGCCACTGCACTCCAGCCTGGCTGACAGAGCGAGACTCTGCCTATATATATATATATATAAATTAAAATTGGGATGTATGAATACTCCAACTTTAAAAAAATATTGTTTTGGGTACTTGTGGTCTGTTGAAATTCCATATAAATTTTTAGTATTAGCTCTTTCATTCTTCATAAAGGCTATTCAGATTTGGAATAGGACTGCACTGAGTCATTATATTGCTTTGGGGAGTACTGACATCTTAGAAATGTTGACTCTTTCAATTTATTATCATGAAATGTCTTTTTATTTATTTCAGCAATATTTTATGGTTTAAAGTGTACTATTCTTCCACTCATTGGTTAAATTGATTCCTAAGTATTCTATCCTTTTAAATAACATTATAAATAAAATTATTTTCTTAATTTCCTTTTCAGGTTGTTTATTGCTAGTACACAGAATTAAAACTGATTTTTGTGTGTTGATCATCTATCTTGCAACTTTGCTGAATTCTTTTACTAGCATTAATACGTTTTGGGGTGTATTTGTTAGGATTTTCTACATATAAGATTATTTCATTTACATACAGTGTTAGTTTTACTCCTTTTCTTTCAATTTAAAGGCCTGTTATTTCTTTTTCTTACCTGATTGCTCTGTCTAGAATGTCTAGGACAACGTGGAATAGAAGTAGCAAAAGGAGGTAAGCTTATCATGCTCCTGACCTTAAGGAAAAGGATTTAGCCTTCAACCTTCGGGAATAATGTTAGTTAAGGTTTTTTTTTTTTTTAAATATCCATCATAAGTTTTTGAGTGCTTTTATTATAATAGGGTATTGGATTTCTTGAATTTTTTTGTATAAATGAAGATTATGATGTGGCTTTCACCATTTATTCTGGTAATATTATGTGTTACATTGATAGAGTGTCATATATTAAACCATCCTTGCATTCCTAGAATAACTCACTTGGTCATGGTATAAAATCCCTTTAATATGGGGCTGTATTTGTTTTGCTAGGATTTTGTTGAAGATTTGACTTATATAGTCACAAGAATATTAATCTCTGGTTTTTTGTTCTCATTTTATTTGTGATGTATCTATTTGGCTTTGATATCAGGGTAATTCTGGCCACATAGAATAAGGTAGGAAGTATTCTTTACTCTTCTATTTTTTGGAAGAGTTTGAGAAGCATTGGTATTAGGTCATTTTTATTTTTTGGTAGAATTCACCAGTGCAGTTATTTGGCTGGGTTTTGTTGGTTCTGAAGTTTTGATTACTGGTTTAATTTCTTCTTATATGTCTTTTCAGATATTCTTTATAATTTTTAGTCAATTTTTATAGTTTTTTTGTTTCAAGAAATTTGTTCATTACATCAAGGTTATCTAATTTGTTGGCATACAATTGTTAATAATATTCTTTAAAAATACATTTTATTTCTATAGAATCTGTGGCAATAAGCACATTTTCATTTTTATTCTAGTAATTTGAGTCTTTGTTTCTTTTTTCTTAGTCTAGTCTAGGTTAAGGTTTGTCAATATTGTTAATGTTTTAAAAAACTAATTTTTGATTTTGTTTATTTTCTCTATTGCTTTTCTATTCCCTATTTTGTCATCTTTATTATTTTGTTTCTTCTGCTAGCTTTAATGTTAGCATCTTCTTCTTTTTCTACTGCATTAGGATGTAACTTTCATTTCTTTAAATGCAGGCATTTACAGCAATACATTTCCTTTGAGCACTGCTTTCACTGTTTCCTATGAGATTTGTATTCTCATTTTCATTTGCCTCAAAGTATTTTCTAATTCCCATTTTGATTTCTTCTTAACCTCTTGGTTATTTGAGAGTGTATTGTTTAATTTCCACACATTTATGATTTTTCAGTTGTTATTCTGTTATTGATTTCTAGTTTAGTTTCATATGGGTTGTAAAGGTGGTCTGTATGATTTCAGGCCTTTTATGTTTATTGAAACTTGTTTCGTGACTTAACATATGTTCTATCCTGGAGAATGTTTCACGTTCACGTGAGAATAATGTGTAGTTTTGTTGTTGTTAAGTATAATGTTCTGTATGTTTGTTAGGTCTAATTGGTTTGTAGGGTAATTAAAATTCTCTATTTCTTACTCATCTTCTGTCTAGTTGTTCTATCTACTGTTAAAAGTAGGGTATTGAAGTCTCCAACTCTGATTGCACACTATTTTTCTCTTTTTTGTCAATATTATGTTCAGATATATTGAGATTTTGTTGTTAGCTGTGTATATATTTATAATTGTTATATTTCCTTTATTGTCTAAAGTCTTTTAACTTTTGTAATAATTTTTGACTGAAAGTCCATTTATTTCTGATACTGTAGCTCCCACTCTCTTTGGGTTACTATTTTCACGAAATTTCTTTTATTTTACTTTTAACTTAGTTGTGTCTTTGAAATTGAGATTCTTACAGACGACATATAGATAGATCATATTATTTTAGCCATACTGTCAATCTCTGACTATTAATTGGGGGTTTTAATTTCTATTTAAAGTTTAACTTATATTTAAATTAATTACTGATAAGAAAGAAATTATTTCTGATATTTTGCTATTTATGTCCTATATGTGTTATGTCTTTTTTTGTTCCTCAAGTATTGCTTTCTTTGATACTTAATGAATTTTTTTAGTGCCCTGTCATCATTGCTTTCTAATTTCTTTTCTGTACACTTTAAAAGTTATTTTCTTAGTGGCTACCTTCAGGATTACAATTAATATCTTAAACTCATACAAGCTAGTATTTGCCTTTTCAATCATAGAGAAAAAAGGAATTACAAACCAAAGATGCAAAGACACTGGCTTTAATTTACTATATAGTTACTTTTACCAGTGCTCTTGATGCCATCATACAGTTTTGATTTAGTCTAATGTCTTTACGTTTTGTGTGAAGGACTCCCTTTAGCATTTTTTAGGGCAGATCTACTAGCAATAAACTCCAGTTTTGTTTATCTGGAAATGTCTTAATTTCTTCATTTTTATAAATTTTATTTTATTTTAAGTTCTAGGATACATGAGCAGAAAATTTCTCCATTTTGAAAGATAGTTTTCCTATATCTAGAATTCTTGGCTGACAGGTTTTATTTTTCTTTCAGTAGTTTAAATATATTATTCCAGTGTTTTCTTATTTTAGAGGTTCTGATGACAATTTAGCTGTTAATCTACTTGAGGATCACTTATCTGTGATGAGTCCTTTACTTTTGCTGTTTTCAAAATTCTTTTTGTCTTTGGCTTTTGAAAGTTGGATTAAAATGTACCTTGGTGTTGATGTCTTTGGGCTTATCCTACTTGGAGTTTGATAAGTTTCTTGAATGTGTAGTTTTATGTCTTATATAAAGTTTTGGAAAGTTTTTGGCCATTATTTCTTCAGGTACTCTTTATGCCCTCTTTCTCCTCTTCTTTCCTTTTGGCACTCCCATTATGTCTATGTTGGTAAACTCAGTGGTGTCCCACAAGTCTTAGGTTCTGTTTTTTGTGTGTTTGTTTGTTTGTTTCTCTTTTTTTACTTTTAAAAAATCTCTGCTCCTCAGACCGGCTAATATCACTTGGCTTATCTTTCAGTTTACTGATATTTTTCTTCCATCTGTTTAAATCTGATACTGAGCACTCTAGTGAGTGTTTCATTTCAGTTATTGTACTTTTCAGTTCCAAATATTCTATTTTGTTCCTTTCTTTTTCTATAGTTTCTATATTTTTATTCCTGTCCCTTTATCTGTGTTTGTTCACACATTTTTCTCCTGATTTTCTTTAGATTTTTGTCTTCCATTTTCTTTAACTATTATAGTGTATTTAAGATAGTTAATTTAAAATATTTGTATAGTACATTTAACATCTGTGCTTTTTGATGAACAATTTTAATCCTTTTTTACTCAGTTAAAATGCCATATTTTATTACTTTTTTGCATGCTTCATAATTTTTAAAAAATTGAACATTTTGAATATTTTGACATGGTAACTCTGAAAATAAGATGGTCCCACTCCCAGTGAATTTCTGTGCTTACTGTGGGCTGTCACTATTTAGTTACTTTTCTAAACTACTTCTGTAAAGACTGTGTCTTCTTTGTCATGTGTACCCTTTGTTTCTTTAGCTTAGTGTTCAGTTAGTGTTTTGACAGATTTTACTAAACACCTGAATCCAACAACAAGAATGAGAGTAAAAAACATATGAAGCAAATTTGTCCATATTTGCAGATTGCCTCTGTGTCAGGACGCTCTTTCAAGGCTTATTAATATCTCTGCCCTACCTTTCATTTTTGCCTACATGGAGTCTAAGAGTAGCCAAAGATGAAATCTCTTGGTCTTTCCAGCATGTGTGTTTTGCCCTGGTTGTGTAGAATCTTTGAAATATGTGGGAACTCAAAACCCTTATTCCCTAAATTATTTTACTCTCCAGCTTTTCTTTCAGGCATTCAGTGTGTGCCTACTCTTTGCCCTAAATGGTTTTTATTTTATTTTGTTCTTTCATGTAGCAGAGACTTTATTATTTACATTTTATTGTTTTCAAGTAATCCCCCCTGCATAGCTGCTTCTCCACTTTGAGAAGGTTTTGAATTAGGGAAAACAAACAAACAAAAAACAACAACAACAAAAAACAAGGCCCTTATATAAATTCTTCAGGTAACTCCCAGACAGGTCAAAACAGACTAATGCAATTTCTTGGGAACAGGAGTAACTTGGCTTCTTCTGAAACTCCCGCTGGAAATAGGTACACACACCAGGAAGGTAGGATGCCATCTCCAGGACCACCATGATATCAGTGTGGGGTATGGAGCAAGGGTAAGTTAAAATACCTCAAAGCTCTTTTACCAGGTTAGAGTGGAGTTTCTCATTATTAAGCATTCACTTGGAGGCTGTACATTTTTTAATTTCATCCACAGTTTTGATAAGGTTGATTTTCACTTTTTTTTTTTTTTTGCCAGATATGTGGTGTTTCTGAGGAGGAATGGTTACCTATGATTTCCCACTTTGCCATTTTTTTCTAATGTTCTTCTGTTATTCACATTTGAAGGATAATTTTTTCTATTTATAGAATCTTAGATTTGTTTGTTTTTTAAAAAATTGTAAATATTTTACTTCATTATATTCTTTCTTGCATGGTGTCTGAAGCAAATCCCACTGCAATTCTTCTTCTTGTTCTTCTATATATAATGCCCCTTGCCACCTTGGGCTTCCTTCAGAATTTTCTCTTGGTCTTGTTTTTCTGCAGTTTGAAAAAAGTCTTAGTATAATTTTGGTATTTATTCTGCTTGATGTTTTTGGATCACCCTGAATCTGTGGTTCGGAGTCTTTTATTAATTTTGGAAAAGTCTCATCCATTATTACTTCAGTTTTTCTTTTCTGTTCCATTTTCTATTTGTTTTTCTTCTGGTATTCCAATTATTTATAGATTACACCTTTCAGAATTGTCCTACAGTTCTTGAATGTTTCTTTTTCTCTCCCTCTTTCTGTTATCCTTCCTCCTTCTCCTTTTCTTTCTTCTTTTTCTTTTCTCATTCTTATTTGCCTGTTGATTTTGTAAGTTTTAATTGACTTGTCTTCAAGCTTGCTGATTGTCTAATCTCTTGATAATATTATCAAAAACATTGTCTACTTATGCCACAGTGCTTTTGATTTCTAGTATTTCCATTTGATTCTTTCTTAAATTTTCTATCTCCCTTCTTGAATAACCTATCCGTTTTTGCACTGTGTCTCTTTTTTAAATCAGGACTTTTAACATCTTCATCATAGTTATTTTAAATTCACTACCTGAAAATTCCAATAATTGTTTTATATCTGAGTATGGTTCTGGCACTTGTTTTGTTTCTTCAGCCTTGTTTTACTTTTGTTTTGCTTCCTGTACAGGAAAGGGTTAAATCAGCAAGTTATGTTGGTTCAAACCTTACATATTCCCAGAAAATGCTAGTATTCAGGATTGGCACTTGACTGGCTCCTGGGAGGTGAACTTTGAGCTCTGGGAATATTCTGCCTGATAAGAAGTGTGGGACTATGTAGTTCCAGTTTGATCAGATAGTTTATGCTAACGTGCATTTTATGGTGAACACATGTTTTTGCTGTGGAAGACTGGAGTCTGAGTAGCTGCAGTTAGGTAGAAACTGCATACCTGGATGCATGACTCCCAATAAGAACCCTGGACATCCACGTTTGAATGAGCTTTCCTAGCTGACAGAACATTGCCTGTGTTGCCACCACATCACTGCTGGGAGAATTAAGCATGTTCATATAGCTCTTGGAATTTACCCTTGTGTCTTTTTTTTTTTTTTTTTGGTGGTTTTTATCTGTATTCTCACTCAGTGATAAACTATAACCGTAAGTATAGTAGCTTATCTGAGTCCTGTAGTCCTTCCAGCAAAACATTGAGCCTGAGGGCAGTATTTAGAACCCCCAACACACTTGCAGTTTAGCATGTTTCATAATATCTTTAAAAGTTGGACACGTTGTATTAGGTAATAGCAACTGTTTTATTTTTTTCAAATGCAGCTTCAGCCCATGAAAATGGTTTCTTATAACAATAATAAATGAGGTGTGTATATAACTAGATTGGCCATTATCTTTTCTCTGTTTGTTAAAGAAAATATTCATGCTGCCTTGGATTATATTATTTCTCTTGAATAATGCAACGCTTTAAAGTGCTTAATTATTACCCTCTCTTATCGTACAGGTGTAATATATTATTTTCTCCTCATTTTAAATCTCTCAAATTAAGCATCACTGTGGTTGTAATTCTAATTTTATGAAGTCAATTATTATTTAGATTTACCCAACTATTTGTCAGTTTCTTTACTGACTTTTTTATATTATTTCCTTTAAAATAAATTTTCATTTTATTAAATTGCATTATTTAGGTTGTTTTGACTATAATTTGCGAGTAGTAAACTCTCAGAATTTGTTTAAAATTATATTCATTTTGCCCATATTGTTGAGTAATAACTCAATCTAGTGTGTGTATTACTAGATTGGCCATTATTTCTTCTCTGTATATAGAAGAAAGTATTCATGCTCTTCTGGAGTCTGTTGTTATGCACTAAGTCTGCCATCAGTCTAATTATCATTCCATTGCAAGTAATGTGATATCTTTTTAAATTTGACTGCTTTTGTTGGTGTGCTGCACCCAGTAACTCATCATTTAACATTAGGTATATCTCCAAAATGCAGCACACCAACATGGCACATGTATACATATGTGACTAACCTGCACGTTGTGCACATGTACCCTAAAACTTAAAGTATAATAATCATAAAAAAAATTTGACTGCTTTTAAGATCTCAATGGCTTTGATATTTTTCAATTTTATTATAATTTACCTATATGTTATTTTGTTTTTCTTTAGTTGACATAATTAATTACATTTATTGATTGTGAGAAAGTATGCCTTTAATCAAATATGAGAAATCTAAGCTCTTCTCTTTTCAATCTCCTTTACTTTATCATTCTAGAATTTATGTATGACACAAATTAGATCTTGTAAGTCTCTTTCAAATCTTTTAACTTCTGTTTATACCTCTAAAGTTGTTTCTACCACTGTTTTATTTTTTTTTCTTAGGGTTTTGTTCTTTTCTTATGGTTTTTATTTCTTTGTATGTGGTTAACCATTATAAATATACTGATTTTGTACTCTTCTATCACCTGAAATGTGAGAGTCTTAATCTTCTGTTTACTTTAATCTTTGCTAAAGATTGTGTATGATTTTTTTCATGCATTCATTGCTTTGGATTATTAGTTCATTTTTAACATTGCTTTATTTGTGGGTATCCTGGCCCAAGATGAATTGTATTAATGTCTTGGGTCTTGGTACTATATATTCGTCTGGGTTTTCAGAGGAACAGAACTGATAGACTATACACACACACACTCTCTCTCTCTCACACACACACATATACATATATATCCTATTGGTTATATATAAACATATATATACACATATGTATATATATGTGTGTGTGTGTATATATGCATGTAATTCATTATAAGGAGTTGGATGTTGGGTCATGTACTAGTCCATTCTTTCACTGCTGTAAAGACATACCTGAGACTGGATAGTTTATGGAGAAAAGAGGTTTAATTGACTCATAGTTCCACAGGCTATACAGGAGGCATGGCTGGGGAAGCCTCAGGAAACTTACAGTCATGGTGGAAGGTGAAGGGGAAGCAAGCACATCTTCACATGGTGAAGTAGGAGAGAGAGAGGAAAGGGGGAAGTGCTACACATTTTTAAACAACCAGATCTTATGAGAACTCACTCACTATCATGAGAACAGCAAGGGGGAAATCTGCCCCTGTGATCCAATCATTTCCCACCAGATCCTTCCCCACCATTGGGAATTACAATTCAACATGCGATTTGGGTGTGGACACAGACCCAAACCATATCAGGTCACACAGAGGCTGGCAAGTCCAAAATCTGCAAAGTTGATGTCCCAGTTTGAGTCCAAAGGCTGGAAGCTGCTGTAGAACTGGGAAATGCTCATGACCCAGTTTGAAGGCTATAAGGTAGGAAGAACCAATGTACCAGTTCGAAGGTGATCAGGCAGGAGAATTCTGTCTTACTTAGAAGAAGGTCAGCCTTTTGTTCTATTCAGGTCTTTAAGCTGATTGAATAAGGCTCACCCACACTACGAAGGGCAATCTTCTTTACTCAGTCTTCTGATATAAATGTTAATCTCACCCAAAATTACCCTCACAGAAACACATAGAGTAATGTTCAACCAAATATCTGGGCACCCTGCGCCCAGTCAAGTTGACACATAAAATTAACCATCACAGAACATGACAGTAGTAAATCCAAATGTAATTCCAAGAGTGAATCAGCTTATATTATGTATTCTAGGGGGCATTTATTTTATTATCTACCCTGAGCCCAGGTGAAATGAGCTAAGTTTGTGGGCTTTGTTTTGTTTTTGTAATCTCCTTATGCTGTGAGCTAATAATTGTAAATTTGACAATTTACTAAAGATATAGATATATTTAGATAATGGTCTTAGTTTCAATTCCCTATTTAATGCTGGTCCAATATGAAGTCTACTGTCTCCAAGAAGTACTAAATCTCAGTTCTTGGGTTGCGAAGACTGGTGATCTCACTAGTCTATCCCTTCTCTAGGGCATTTGCTGCATTAGCTCTTGTGTTTATTGGTCTGTTTCATTATCTTTCTCCTAGACTCTGAGGATTTCGCTATCACTCACATTCTTTTGTGCAAACTAAATTCTGCACTTAATGTGACATTAATTAAATCGTTCTCTAGCATTTCTAGATGTATGTAGAATTAAATTTTCAGGATATATATTGTTCTATTATGCTAATACCCAAAGCCAAATCAATTATTGTTATAATTTTGGGAATAATTTTGGGCATTAGTCTCTACACAAATATATCATTATGTTCTGAAGCTAATGGAGTAGAACCAGTAGTTTCTGCAAATACCTGAACCAAATCATAATCCCATTCAGTTTATTTCCTTTCTTTAGTGTAACATTTCTGAATTCTGTCCTTCCAAACTTGAATTTTTAGCACACTTTAATTCTTTAATTGTAAAACTGCATATGGATAATTGGGCAAACATATTTTTTCCTTTGTTTATCCTTCAATATATAATTATGATTAAAGAGTAGATAAATATTTTTACTTAATCTTATTCAAAGAGAATGTATGCTTAATGTTTTTATACTAGGAAACAAAATCACAACCTTTAATAAAACCTCTTGATACATGCATGATGTACAGTAGTCTGTATTTTAAAAGCCAACTGTGGAAGTAGGCTTTTATTCCCAAGGATAATATATTATTCCCTGGACAGAGAAAGATGAAATACTCCTTGCTTCAATTCCTGCTGAGTCCCTTGTATGGAGACTTTTAATTAGATTCTGGGGCTGGTTTGATCTTCCACAGAGAGAAAAGATTGCTGAATGCAGATATTCATTGCAGAGATAAAGTTCACAGCAGCTGGGAGATCCAACTGGGAAATTGTGGAAAGATGGATTCCAACATGCTATTTTCAGGAAAGGTAATTATCCCAGACCTAACAGGAATAGCCCAGAGTTACCTGGGATGCTCAGAAAATTAAAAATAGGGCTACTTAAAAAAACTTACTGTATAAACTACTTCATAGTAGATTTTTATTTTCATAAAATTATAAGGTAATACAGAGTTCCTGTGTATCCTAGACCCAGTTTCCCCTGTTTTCAGTATTTACATTTGTTTGCAAAACTTTTATAATGAATGAATAACTACTGACATATCAGCATTGCTAAAGTCCAGGTTTATTCAAAATTCTTTGTTTTTACTTTACGATCACAGGATCCCCTGCAAGATGACACATTACATGTAGTCACCAAGTCACCCTTGCTCCTCCTGGATTTTAGGTTCTCAGAGTTTCCTTGTTTTTGATGTCAGTGAGGACTTTTAGAGTACAGGTTATAGACTGATCAACCTGCATTTGTCTGATGTTTTTCTTATAAATAAGTTGGAATTATGAATCTTTAGGAGGAAGCCCACAGACATAAAGTTCTATTTTTTATCACATCATATCAAGGTTAGATACTATCAGTGTGACTTATCACTGTTGAAGTTAATCTTGATTACCCGGCTAAGGAAAGGTTGTGATGTTATTCTTTTTTTCCCTTTTCAATATCATACTGTTTGGAAGGAAGTCACTATGCACAGTCTGCATATGAGGAGTGGGAAGCTATTCCGCACTACCTGAAGGCATAGTACTTTCATAAATTCTTTGGAATTCTGCTTGGGAGATTTGTCCATGTTCCTCTTTATATTAACTAATTTTTAAATTATTTATGTCAGTATGAACTCATGGACATTTATGCTATGGTTTCAGTTATACTCCAATACTACCTTGTTTATTTTTTTCTCAACTCGTTTTAGCTTTGGCCATTGGAAGCTCTTTCTGTTGGCTTCTATGTCCCTTTGACATACTCCTATCTTTGTGTTTTGTTAGAGCACTTCCTTACTTTCTGAAAAGTCCAGACTCAAATGTATATTTCCTGCCCTAGTCCTAGAATCAGTCATTTTTCCAAGGATTCATGTTTCTTTTTCAATTGAAGAATGGTATTAGAAACCAAAATCTGAGCACCCAGTGTGCTCGTTGTTACTGGTGTGTCTTGCTTCTAGGTTCTCTCAGCTGATAGAGCAAGGCAGTATATGCATGTGTGTCCAGCTCATATATATGCATATATCAATAAATATCTTTTTTATCATCTGTGTCTATATAAAAATGAACATTTGTGCACACTGATGTCTCCAGCTCTACTCTGATTCATTACCACAGGATTACTCTAGACTTCTCCATCTGCTTATCTGTAATCTCCCATTCCAACAGTGAGAAACATGGCTCCCACCATCTGCATTACATTTATTTAATTTTTCAATTGTATTATACATGTATATTGGTTGCAGAATTGCTTAACCCATGCCGCATATGAAACTACATTATCAATTATATTGCTCTCATATAGTTCCATTTGTCTTTAAAGATTCCACATATTTCCAAAGTTACCTAGATTAGTTACTTTTCTCACATTTCCTTTAGTAACAGACATTTATTTCTATTACTGTAATAGAACTATGTCGTTGCCTTCTGCATTCCTTTCTGGAATATGCCAACCACCTGATATTAAAACATTTGCATACACAAATGTCCACACTTTCAGCTGCAAAATGATATGGTGTTTAAAAACTGTTTAGTATTGTGTATCTATCATTAGAGTGTTATACAAAATAGTTTTACTACCCTAATAAAAATTTCCTGTTAATCTCCTATTGAATACTGTTCCCCCTAAAACTGTGACAATGACAGATCAGTTTAACATCTCTGTAGTTTTGAGTTTTCAATCATGCCAAATAAATAGAATCATGTAGTATGCAGCCTTTTCAAACTGACTTCTGTCATGTAGAAATATGAATTTAGATTTATCCATGTTTCTTCATGACTTGATAGCTCATTCCTTTTATTGATGAATACTATTATATTTTATGAGCATACCACCATTTGTTTATCTTCTCTCCTACTGAATATTGGCTGTTTCCAGTTTTTGGAGATTATGAATATAGCTGCTATAAATATTCACCTGCAGGTTGTTCTGTGGACTTAGTTTTCAAATCAATTGGGTAAATATGTAGGTGCACAATTACTGGATTGTATACTGTGGTAGGCTGAACAATGGCCCACAGAGATATTTGGGTCCTAATCCCTGGAATTTGTAAACGTTACCTTACATGAAAAAATGGACTTTTCAGATGTGAAAAAGTTAAGAATCTTGAAATGGAGAGATTATCTTGAATTACTTGGGTGGTCTTTAAATGTAATTACAGGTGTCCTTATAAAGGGAAGACAGAGGCAGAATTGACTGTAGTGTAGATGATGTGACCAAAACATTGAGAGGTTTGAACATGCACACTGCTGGCTTTGAAGATGAAGGAAAGAGTCAAGATGAAGAAAGGGAGAGTCAAGAGCCAAGGAATACAGGCATGTTGCTAGAGAAACTTGAAAAGACAAGGAAATTGATTTCCCCTAGATTACAGAGGGAGTGCAGCCCTGCCAACACGTTGACCTTAGCCCACTGAAATATACTTTGTACTTCTGTTAATCTCCTATTGAATACTGTTCCCCCTGAAACTGTGACAATGACAGATCAGTTTAACATCTCTGTGGTTTTGAGTTTTCCATCATGCCAAATAAATAGAATCAGGTAGTATGCAGCCTTTTCAAACTGACTTCTTTCAGAATTGTAAAATAATAAATTTATGTTTTTAAGCCATTAAGTTTATAATAATTTGTTTTAAAAGCCACAGTAAACTAATAATGAAACAATGTTTAGTATTGTTAGAATCTGTCAGTTTCACAGTTTTGCATTTTACAATTAGTTTTATGATGTATTTTAAGTTAATTTCATATAATATTTGTATCTAGAATCATTTATTTTCCAGTGTAGTTACTATTTTGCATTCCAACCAGCAACGAATGACAGTTTCTGTTATTCCTCATCATAGCCAGCAATTGGTACTGTCAGTGCTTTAAAAAATTTTAGACATGCCGGGCGCAGTGGCTCACGCCTGTAATACCAGCACTTTGGGAGGCCGAGGCGGGCGGATCACGAGGTCAGCAGATCAGACCATCCTGGCTAACACGGTGAAACCCCGTCTCCACTAAAAATACAAAAAATTAGCCGGGCCTGGTGATGGGCGCCTGTAGTCCCAGCTACTCGGGAGGCTGAGGTAGGAGAATGGCGTGAACCCGGCAGGCGGAGCTTGCAGTGAGCAGAGATGGCGCCACTGCACTCCAGCCGGGGCGACTCCGTCTCAAAAAAAAAAAAAAAAAAATTAGACATTCTATTAAGTATGTAGTGGTAATTCTTTGTTTTAGCCTGCATTTTCTTAATGACAAGTGATATCGAGAATCTTTTTCACATGCTTTTTTCAAATTTGTATGTCTTCTTTACTAATGTGTATGTTCAGATCTTCAGCAAATTTATAAATTAGGTCATTTGTTTTCTCATTTTTGACTTCTAAGAGTTTATGGTATACGTTGGTTATAAATTTTTTATTACATATGGGTTTTGCAAATATTTTCTCCCAGTCTGTGGTTTGTATGTTTCTTTTTATATCTGTATATTTTACAGAACAAGATTTTTAAATTTTAATAAATTTCAACATCAATTTGTTCTTACACAGATTGTGCTTTTAAATGTTATATCTAAAGAGTTATTATCAAACCAAAGTCACCTAAATTTTTCTTCTATTTTTTCTATGAGTTTCATAGTTTTGCATTTTGTAATTAGTTTTATGATGCGTTTTGAGTTAATTTCATGTAAGTTATAAGATTTCTATTTAGAATCATTTATTTTGTGTATTGTGGTGGGAGTTCTGAAATTAGGATTCAATATTATGTACTGCCTTCATGCCTGGCAAAATTGTGAGGGTTTGAATGGCGTAACTGCAAGTCCTCTCCTCCACTCTGCTCATATTGATATTGTTCCCTAGCTGGAAAAAAAGTTCCTCTTTCTCACAGGGACCAGGCAGAGTTCCTGCTTATCCCTGAGTAGTGGGCTTCAGTTCCTTGCTTGCCGGCGGAATTATTCAAGCAACCAATCACATTCTCCAGAGAGAACCAGTGGCCATCCCACACTCTTGTTGTACAAGGCCTTCCTCCCACAGTCTCTGCTTGCTAACTCTGTTTTGAAGTTCAGCCCCTTATGGTCTTGTGAGACTTAGTGTCCTTTGCTGTCAGCTGTCAGTATATGTGACTAATACACTTCTGTTAATCTCACTTGTCTAGTGTCAGGTGTCTTGGGTATGGCAATCCAAATTCATATGACATCATTTTGTTACAGTACTGCTTGTTCAAAAGACTGCCTTTCCCCATTGGACTGTCGTCATGCCTTACTAAAAAAATCAGTTGACTATATTGTTGTGGATCTATTTATGAGTTTTCTAATCTGATCCATTGGATTGTTTATCTTTTTTTTTTCCAATACCATACTGTCTTGATTTCTGTACCTTTATGGTAAATCTTGAAATTATGTAGTGTGAGTTCCCCAATTATGGTCATCTTCAGAGAGGTCCTTTGTCTTTCTGTGTAAATTTTAGACTCAGTTTGTCAAGATCTACAAAGTCGTTTGCCGAGATTTTCATTTATATTGCATTGAATTTGTAAGTCAGGTTGAGAAGCAATAACTTCTTAACAATATTGTGCCTTCAAATTCATGAACATGGAGAATCATTTATTTAGATCTTTGACTTCTTTCTCAAGATTCTGTAGCTTTCTGTGTACAGGTCCTTCTGTACATATTTTGTTAGATTTATGGCTAAGTACTGCATTTTTTAAAGTGCTAATATGTTTTTTTTAATTTCAAATTCCAATTGTTTATTTGTGGTACAATCATCCTTCAGTATCTGCAGGGATTCCAGGACCCTCACAGATATTAAAATCTGTAGATGCTCAAATCCGTTGTATTAAATGGTATAGTGTTTTCATATAATCTACATATATTTTATATTTAAATTATTTGGGAACATATAATACCTAATATAATTGCATGCAATGTAAATAGTTGTGATACTGTATTTTATTTGTATTAATCTTTGTTGTTGTGTTGCTTTTTGTTTTTTTTCCCAAATATTTTTGATCCACAGTTGGTTGAATCTGTGGATGTGAAAACCATAAATACAGAGTCAATGGGAAAGCAATTGACTGTTTTTATGTTGGTCTTGTATCCTTTGATCTTGCTGTACTCATTTATTAGTACCAGAAGGGCTTTTTTGTTGTTGTTTATTTCTTCTGTTTTGTTTTGATAGACTTTTGGTGGTTTCCCACGTAAAACAATCAAGTCATCTGCAAATAAAGACAGTTATAATTTTTCTTTTAAATATGTGTATCTTTCTTGTCTGTTTTCTTTTCAAGATATCTATCTATACTTCTCTTTTTCTTGTCTTATTGTGCTAGCCAGGAATTTCAGTATGATGCTGAATAGTAGTGGTGACAGGTGACACTTACCTTGTTCCTTCCTTAGAAGAAAACATATTTTTTCATCATCAAGCGTAATATTAGCTATAGAATTTTTTTGTGAATTTTTTTCAATTTGAATAAGCTCAACTATAGGTCTGCTTTGCTAAAAGTTTTAGCCAAATTGGGTTTTGTGTTTTCCCAGCTTTTTTTGTGTCAATTGATCTAATTATAGGATTTTTCTTCTTTAAGCTTATTGATATGTTAGATTGCATTGATCGATTTTTCAGTGTTGAATTAGGCTTGCATTCCTGTAACAAGTCCCACTTAGTTGTGGAGTATAGTTATTTTTTACATTGTTGTTTTTAATTTGCTAATATTTTGTTGAGGATTTTTACATCTATGTCCATGTGAAACTGGTCTGTGGTTTTCTTTTCTTGTATATGATTGGATTTTGATTTTTAGAGTAATGCCTGCCTCATAGAATAAACAGGAAATCTTCTCTTTCCTATTTTTTAAAAGCGACCGTGGAGAGGTGATATTATATCTTCCTTAAATGTTTGGAAGAATTCACCAGTGAAACCATGTTTTTGGACAATGATTAATTATTAAATTAATTCTCTCATAAATATAGGGATAATTAGTTTGTGTTTTCTTATATGAGTTTTGGAGTTCTAGTAGTCTGTATCTTTCAGACAATTGTTTTGCTTTGTTTTGTTTTGTTTTGTTTTGTTTTCCTGAGAGGGAGTTTCACTCTGTCACCCAGGCTGGAGTGCAGTGGTGCAATCTCAGCTAATTGCAGCCTCCACCTCCTGGGTTCAAGCAATTCTCCTGCCTCAGCCTCCCGAGTAGCTGGGACTACAGGTGCATGCTGCATCGCCCAGCTAATTTTTGTAATTTTAGTAGAGACAGGGTTTCACGTGTTGGCCAGGATAGGGATCTCCTGACCTCGTCATTCACCTGCCTCGGCCTCCTAAAGTGCTGGGATTACAGGCGTGAACCACCTTGCCTGGCCCAAATAATTGGTTCAAGTAAATTATATAATTTGAGAGAACAGGGTTACCCATTGCTTTCCTGTTCTTCTCCTATTATTCCCTTAATGTTCATGTGATCAGTAGTGGTGTTCCGTTTTCATTTCTAAGATTGTCAATTGCACTTCTTTTTTCTTTCTTGGTTAGCCTGAGAGGAGGCTTATCACTTTTATTGATATATTTAAAGAATCATTTTTACAATTTTTTCTGTATTATCCCAGTTTCAACTTAATTGATTTCTGTTCTAATGTTTATTATTTATTTTCTTATGTCTACATTAGTTTTAAATTATACCTATTTCTCTAATTCCCTAAGGCAGAAGAAGCTTAGGTTATTAACTTTAGGTTATGCTTCATTTCTAATATGTTTATTTATTTCTATAAGTTTCCCTACAAATGCTTCTTTCACTCTACCCCTCAAATTTTGATGAGTTGTTTTTTATTTCCAAATACTTCTAAATTTTTAAAGAGCTCTTCTTTTACTATATGTTACTTAGAAATGTGCTTAATTTTCAAATATTTCAGGATTTTCCAGCTATCTTTCTGTTATCAATTTCAAGTTTAATTCCACTGTGATTGGAGAACATCTTTTGCATGATTTCTATTCTCTTAAATTTGTTAAGGTGTGTTTTATGGCCCAGATCCTGGTGAATTTTCCATTTCAGCTTAAGAAAAAGGTGTGTTCTGCCATTGCTGGGTGAAGTATACTATAAATGTCAATTAGATCCAGTTGATTGATGGTGCTGTGCAGTTCAACTATATCGTTACTGATTTTTTGTCGGTATCATTTATCAATTACTAAAAGAAAGGTGTTAAACTCTCTCACCGGGAGAGTCAAATTATCTTTTTCCCCTTTCATTCTATTGGCTTTACCTCATGTATTTTGATGCTTTTTATATTTTAGGTAATATATATTTAAAATTGTTATATTATTGTTGTGTTTTATTATGATTTTTAGTAATCATTTTTATAAATCTATTTTATTTCTTCTCTTACCATGTCAAACTTCATTTGAAAAAACAGTGATTGTTATAGAGTTCACAATATACATTTTTAACTAAGAAAAGTCTACTTTAATATTATTTTATTTTTAACTGGCAAATAATTGTATATATTTATGGAATACATTGTCATGTTATGATATATGTATACATGTGGAATAATTAAATCAAGCTAATTAACATATCATCTCCTCACATGCTTGCTACTTCTTCATGGAGAGAACATTTAAAATATATTTTCTGGCAATTTTGAAAGCTCCAATATGTTATTATTAACTAGAGTCACCATGCTGCTCAATAGATCACTAGAATGTATTGCTCCTGTCTAATTGAACGCTTGAAACTTTTGACTAACATTTCCTCTTTCTTCATCCACTGCCCTCCAGCCTACACCAGCCTCTGGAAACTACCCTTCTACTGCTACTCCTATGAACTTGGCTTTTTTGGATTCCACATATAAGTAGAATCATGCAGTATTTGTCTTTCTGTGCCTGGCTTATTTCACTCAATATCATGTCCTCCAGATTCATCCATGTTGTTAAAAATCACACAATTTTCTTCTTCATAAAGACTGAATTGTATTTTCCATTGTGTACATATAACACATTTTCTTTATCCATTCATCCATTGATGGGCATGTAAGTTGTTTCTGTATCTTGGCTATTGTGAGGAGTGCTGCAATAAACATGGCAGTGCAGATATCTCCTCAACACACTGGTTCAATTCCTTTGGATATATACCCAACAGTGGGATTCTGGATCACATTTGGTAATTTCATTTTTTTGTTTTTTTGAGGAACTCCATACTATTTTGCAAAAATGGCTGTACTAATTTACATTATCACCAACAGCATACATTTTCACCAACACTTCTCTTTCATCTTTTTGATAACAGCCATTCCAACAGCTGTGAGGTGATATCTCTGCAGTTTTAATTTGCATTTCCCTGATGATTAGTGATATTGAGCATTTTTAATATATATGTTGGCCATTTGTATGTCTTTTTGAGAAGTGTCTATTTAGGTCTTTTTCCTATTACAAATTTTAGATTTATTTGTTTTTTTGCTATTGAGTTGTTTCAGTTCTTTATACATTTTTTGGATATCAGATCCTTATCAGATGTATGGTTTACAGATATTTTCTCCCAATCTGTTGGTTGTCACTTCACTCTGTTAACTGTTTCCTTTGCTGTGCAGAAGCTTTTTAGTTTGATGTAATACCGTTTGTCTATTTTTGCTTCTGTTGCCTGTGCTTTTAAGGCAATATCCAAAAAAATCATTGCCCAGACTGATGCTTTTCCCCTGTTTTCTACTAGTAGTTTTCCAGTTTCAGGTCTTACATTTAAGTTTGTGTCCATTTTGAGTTTATTTTTATATATGGTGAGAGATAATGATCTGATGTCATTCTTCTGCATGTGAATAATCAGTTTTCATTCATTAGACAGTTTGGGCAGCTTTGTCAAAACTCCGTTGATCATAAATGCATGGGTTTATTTCTGGGCTCTCTTGTTTTATTGGTTGATGTGTCTAGTTTTATGACAGTACCATGGTGTTTTGATTAGTATAGTTTTCTAATGTATTTTGAAGACAGATAGTGTGCTCCCTATAGCTTTGTTCTTCTTGTTTAAGATTCCTTTGGCTATCTGAGGTCTGCTGTGGCTCCATATAAATTTTAGGATTGTTTCTTCTATTTCTGGAAAAAATGTCATTGGAATTTTGATAGGGATTGCATTGAATCTGTAGATAGCTTTGGGTAGTATGGTAATTTTAACAATATTAATTCTTCCAATCCATGAGCATGGTGTATCATTTTATTATTTATGTCATCTTCAGTTTATTTCATCCACGTTTTACAGTTTTCAGTATACACATCTTACACCTCCTCCTTGGTTAAATTTATACCTAAATGTTTTATTTGTTTTTTAATGCTATTGTAAACAGGAATTATTTTCTTAATTTCTTTTTCAGATAGTTTGTTGTTAGTGTATAGAAATACTACTGATTTTTGTATGCTAATTTTGTTTTCTGCAATCTACTTAAAGGTTTGTCAGATCTAACAGTTTTTTGGTGGAGTCTTTAGGATTTTTCTACATATAATATCATGTTGTCAGCAAACAGAGACAGTTTTACTTCTTTCTTTCCAATTTGGATGATTTTATTTCCTTTTCTTACCTAATTGCTCTGGCTGAGACTTTCAGTACTATGTTAAGTCAAAGAGGTGAAAGTGGGTATCCTTGTCTTGTTTCTGAGCTTAGAGAAAAAGCTGTCAACTTTTTACTATCAGTTAAGATGTTAGCTTATCATATAAGGCCTTTATTGTGTTGAGGAACATTTTTTCTATACCTAATTTGCTTACAGTTTTTATCATACAAGGATGCTGATTTTTGCCAACTGCTTTTTCTGCATCTTTCAAATAATACTCACCTACTTCATATGTAATCCAGGCACCTTGTAAAGGAGCATTACTAATTCCTCCCTTTCACTCTTTGAGATATTGCTGTCATACATTTCACTTGCCCATATGCTATAATTACACATTATATTGTTACTGTTATTGATATAAACAGTTGCCTTTCAGATCAATTAGAGGTCTCTAAGAATTAGAGGTTGGGCATGGTGGCTCGCACTTGTAATCTCAGTACTTTGGGAGGTGAGGGGATTGCTGGAGCCAGAAGTTTGAGACTAACCTGAACAACATAATGAGACCCCATTACTCCATAAAATAGAAAACATTAGCCAAGCATGGTGGTGGCACGTGCCTGTGTTTCCAGATACTCAGGAGGCTGAGCAGGAGGACTGCTTGAGCTCAGGAAGTCAAAGCTACAATAAGCCATGATTGGACCACTGTTGTCCAGCCTGGGTGACAGAGTGAGACCCCATCTCAAAAAAAAAAAAAATAGAAAATAAAATATTTTAGACTCATTTATTCATACTCTGATGAACTTCCTTTCTTTATGTAGAACCAATTGTTTTACATAGAGAATTTTCCTTCTGTCTTAATAATTTGTTTCAATACTTCTTGTAGAACAGGTTTGCTGGTGATGAATTCCCTCAGTTTTTGTTTGTCTGAAAACATCTTTATTTCTCTTTCACATTTGAAACAATATCTTGTTCAATATAAAATTCTAGATTGGTGTTTTTTTTTCTTTCTATACTTTAGATATTTCATTCCACTCTCTTCTTGCTTGTAGTGGTTTCCAATGAGAAGTCCACTGTACTTCATTCTTACTTCCGTTCCTCTATGTGTACGTTTCTCCATCGGGCTTCTTTCTTCTCTCTTTGTCTTAGGTTTCTGTAGTTTTGATATGGTATGTCTACATGTATTTAATGGGAAGGCTGTATTTATCCAGCTTGCTGTTCTCTCATCTTCTTGGATCTATGATTTGGTGTTTATGATTTTGGATGGATCGCAACCATTATGACTTCAGACATATTTTCTGCTCTATTCTTTTACTCTTCTTTTTCTCATGTACTAATTCTTCATATGTTACACCTTTCGATATTGTCCCACATTTCCTGAATGATTTGTTATACTTTATTTTTATTATAATGACTATTTTTGCTTTTATTCTTCTGTTTTGTATGTTTTCTACTTTTTCAAATACAGGCCTTAACAAATTAATTATAGTTCTTTTAAATTCCCTCTGTGATAATTCCTACATCTGTGTCATATCTAAGTTTGAGGAAACTATGTTTTCTCTTGGCTTTTGGGATGCCTAGCAATTTTTTGTTAAAATCCAGCCATTTCATGTTCAAAGGTAATAAGCCTTTGGAGTGGCTTAGTGGTTGGTCTGTATAGTCTGATTAGTAGTTGGGCTGTGTTCAATGTTTGCTGTAGCTATATGTACCAGGAGCTTCAAATTCCTTTCATGTTCTTGTTTTTGTCTTCACTTGACCTTGGGGCTTCTCCATGTTCTTCTCTTCGGAGACTGCATGTCTTGTAAGTCTTTTCATTTTGTTTATTCATTTATTTATTTATTTATTTATTGAGACAGGCTGGAGTGCAGTCGTGCAATCTCAGCTCACTGCAGTCTCCACCTCCCTGAGACTGAGAAACACCTAAAGGCCACAATCTAAGGGTACCCCAGAATTTTGTGGACTTCACCTTTAGGAAATACCCTAGATTTTTATGGTGAAGATCTAGAAAGATTACCTCAAGGCTGTGGCAGAGGTGGGAGATGAGCAAGCATTGTGAACTAAGCTCAGAAACTTCTCCATAGCAAATGTTACCCTCCAGGGGCAAGTATTTGCCAGAGGTCTATCCCAGTCTTTATCCCAGTTTAATCCCTCAGCTTTATCCCGATCTCGTGCTGAGGCATGAGAATTGCTTGAACTCAGCCTTTTCATTTTAATTGACTGCTATCATATTATATTGGAGCCTTCTTGTTGTAGTAGTAAGGTGTGGGTTGGCATGGCATTCTACAATCTCCTCATTCATCTTGGCTTTTCTCTTTTTCCTTGAATCCCTGACCTCATTACTGAAATATGGAAGGGGCTGGAGTGAAAGTAAATTCCTTCCCTGCCTGGCATAAATCTCTGGCAAATACTTGCCCCTGGAAGGTAACCTTTGCTATGGAGAAATTTCTGAGCTTAGTTCACAATGCTTGCTCATCTCCTCACTCTGCCACAGACTTAGGGGAATCCTTCTAGATCTTCACCATAAGAATCAGGGGCATTTCCAGGCCAGGTGCGGTGGCTTACCCCTTTAATCCCAGCGCTTTGGGAAGCTGAGGAGGGCAGATCGCCTGAGCTCAGGAATTCGAGACCAGACTGGCCAACATGGCGAAACCCCATCTCTACTAAAAATAGGAAAAATTAGCCGGGTGTGGTAGTGGGCACCTGTAATCCTAGCTACTCAAGAGGCTGAAGCAGAATTACTTGAACTCAGGAGGAAGAGGTTGAGTGAGCCGAGATCACACCATTGCACTCCAGCCTGGGCGAAAGAGCGAGACTCTGTCTCAAAAAAAAAAAAAAAAAAAAAAAAAAAAAAAAGGATCTGGGGCATTTCCTAGAAGTGAAGTCCACAAAATTCTGGGGTACCCTAAGATTGCCACCCTTAGGCATTTCTCATTCTCAGGCTAGCCTGCACTTGGCGTCCAGCAGCTTGTTAAAATTACCATTTGAGTGCTTCCGCTAGGTCTGGCTACAGCAGCTTCCACCACACCCAGGCAAGCAGACCCCATGTCTGCCTCACTGGAGGGGCCTGGCTGTCTAGATTTTGGGGTGGCTGTTTGCCCTGCAGTTTCAGTTGTCTGATGAAGCTAAGAAAGTTGCTGATTTTCAGTTTATCCTTTTTCTGATGGTAAGGATGGGAGTGACCCAGGCTCTTTGCTTAATAGAATGAAAACAAGAAGTCATGTAAGAGATCTATGAATATACTTTGAGTTTGCCTTCTGCCTTCTCTTGGGAGGGATTCCTCTCAAGTGCCTGCGTGTGTTTCCAGTTGTTTGCCACTTTATTCACCATGCATGAACCTGCCTGCTTTTACTCTAATCCAAACAATGGCAAAAAAAAAGGTGTTGACTGATCAGAAGTAGTACCAATATTGGGAAAAATACTCTTAGAAATGGTCATTTAAAAACTGATGAAATATATATTGCACATTTAAGAGTTGTCTACTGATGTTTTGGTTCCCAAATCTCACCCTTTCCTTCCTTACCACTAGGTTCCTGGTCAAAGGTGATATAACAATGCCATTAAACTATTGGTTTTTAGAAATACCTGGGAAAATTTGTGTCACCACCAACCCAGGCTCTGGTGAAGGTTGGGCTGGAGAAGGTGGTTTCAACCAACCTGCATGTCCTCCACGCACGGGTAAGGGTGAAGCATCAGGTGACAGCACTAAGTGATGATACTGAACACCCTGAAGGGTGTTTATGGTCTTTCTCCTAGATTCTGGAATCCCAGGTGTCCATGGAATACAGCCATGCCCATCTCTGCAGCTGCCTCATCCTCCATGGAGAGCACATAACTTGGGTGAGATGATGAAATGAGCACTGGCTTTGGAGTCACACAGACCAGGGTCCAGGCGCCTGTACCATAACCCTCTAGTGGTGTGGCGGAACCTCTCAGACCTCCCAGCCAGAAAGGAATCTGTTCAGCTGCCAAGAGCCGACAGCTCCCAGCCATCAGAAACTTTAGGACCCCATCTCAGCTTCAGAGCTGAGGCTGTTCCTCCTGGGCAGCTCCAGCAATGACCAAGACTGGCTTAGGTACCAGAGCATGGCCATTCTCAGCAAATACAGGACCCCTCTGTTGGGCAGGCTTTGCTCTGGATCTCCCATTGGATTGGCTGAGGATGTCAGACGTCATTGACAGGTGAGGCTCTCCTGCCTGATCCTGATTACTCACCTTTGTTTCATTCCCAGGTGTTAATATCTTCTACCCCAATCTCAAATTCCTAACTCTCAGTGCTCGCTTCTGGAGAACACCCCTGCCGCACTATGTAACCTTTGGCAATTTACACTGTGTTATAGCAATATAGTGAAAAGGGTGATCATTACCTCAAGACTGTTCACAAACACATGGGCAAATATTCAAGTGTTAATGGAGCTCTGGTTTAATTCCTGTGCTACTTTGTGAGATGGCATCTGACAAGTACAATACGCACCCTCTACCCCCACATAAATCTATACAACACGCACCCTCTACACCCACATACATCTATACAACACGCACCCTCTACCCCACATACGTCTACACAACATGCACGCTCTACCCCCACATACATCTATACAACACACAACCTCTACCACCACATACGTCTATACAACACGCACCCTCTACCCCCACATACGTCTATGCAAAATGCACCCTGTACACCCACATACGTCTATACAACACACACCCTCTACACCCACATATGTCTATACAACATGTGCCCTCTACCCCCAAAACATATGTGTATACAACATGTACACTCTACCCCCACATACGTCTATACAATACACACCCTGTATACCCACATGCATCTATACAACACGCACCCTCTACCTACACATACGTCTATACAACATGCACCCTCTACCCCCACATACGTTTATACAACACACACCCTTTACCCCCACATACGTCTATACAACACGCACCCTCTACCCCAACATACGTCTATACAACACGCACCCTCTACCCCCACATACGTCTATAGAACACGTGCCCTCTACCCCCACATGTGTCTATACAACACACGCCCTCTACCCCCACACGTGTCTATATACATCGTGTACTCTCTGTGCTGCTGGAGGAGTGTTCAAGCTGAACTACTGTGCAAGTGAGACATAAGAGAGGGGGCCAACTAGGAAGTAGAAATGGAAGGAGGGAAAAAAAGGACAGTCAACTCTGTAGATTCACTTTACCACTAAAAGTTACTTATTGTTAAATACTAGATCTAGTTATACAGGAGGACTATATGTCTATCCTGGCTTGCCCAATAAGAGTCATCTGATAGAATAATTTTATTTTATTTTTTTAGACTACTCATTGTTAAGGAGAGTTGGAAAAAGAAGTGGATGGAGACCCTGGAATTCAGAATAAACGTAAAAGAAGGAAGTCTGAGGTTAACACACACACACACACACACACACACACACACACACAGACAGAGAGAGAGAGAGCGAGAGCGAGAGAAAGATCATTGAAATCAAGTAGCTCACATTTCTTAAATACCACAGCCACAACCATCTCAGAAATAGCTGTCAAAAACTACTAAATTCATGAAAAGCCTTTCATACAAATTCTTATTGTATTTACAATCGTCTTACAAATTAAATATTATTTCCTCCTTTTTTTTTTTTTTTTTTTGAGAAGACAGTTAAGGCAAGCCTCTTTCCCAAAGTCACCCCAGACCCCAGGGACAGTGATGGGGCTAGACTCAAGTACTAACCACATCTGCACTATCACTTTATTTTTTTTTTTTTTGAGATGGAGTCTCACTCTGTCACCAGGCTGGAGTACAGTGGCATGATCTTGGCTCACTGCAACCTCCGCCTCCTAGGTTCAAGCAATTCTCCTACCTCAGCCTCTGGAGTAGCTGGGATCACAGGCACCCACCACCACAACCAGCTAAGTTTTGTATTTTTAGTAGAGACAGGGTCTCATCATGTTGGCCAGGCTGGTCTTGAACTCCTGACCTCGGGTGATCCTCCCGCCTCGGCCCCCCAAAGTGCTGGGATTACAGGCATGAGCCACTGCACTATCACCTTTATTTCAATGAATTGCCATCAGCAAAATTGTACTCTTGGAGCAGAACAGTTTGTCCAATGTCTGCCTAGAAACAATCATTTTTAACATGCTGGAGGAAGTGTTTATCTCCGAGTTCAGATTATTTATAAGTGGAGAAACCTGAAATTCTCCCATGACAGAATCTGGCAAGTGCATGCAGATCAGCCTTGGACCTGTCCTGTACTTGTGTTTCAAGGGCACCGATCAGCAAACACAGCTCCAATCACCGATCAGCAAACACAGCTCCAATCACCCCATTTTACAGCCCAGGAGGGGGGTCTTGGCAGCTGCAGAGCCAGGTGCCTGTGCACTGCTGGCTCCTTTCCTGCTCATGGAGATTCTCCACGCTAATGCTCAGCTCATTCAGCCTTATTCTAAGCAAAAGCTGTTCAAAATGTAATCTTATTGCTTAGTTAGTAGAGTGATTATATAACAAGGCAAATCTTAGCAACTAGCCCAAAGTCTGGTATGCAATAAGCATGCAAATGATTCTTTAAAAAAATAGATGAAGTATCTCATATCAACAGACTTCTGTTTTCCTTCATAGCTTCCTAAAAAGGCAATGTTTAGTATTTAGGACAAAATTTCCAATGAGGATTGAACAAAATCATTACTATTTATTAAATTCCTACACTGATGCCCTTCACCTGTCATTTATACAACCTCATTTAATCCCCACAGTCATCTTGCTACTGTTTTTGATTCAATAAGGAAGACAAAAGGATATTCAGATAACTTAAATAGCCTATTAAGGTGACCTGCAAGTAAACTGTACTGAAAGGATTTGAACCCAGGATCGACCAGCAGCAGACTCAGTGCAGTGGTGCGATCTGGGCTCACTGCAACCTCCGCCTCCCGGGTTCAAGCGATTCTCCTGCCTCAGCCTCCTGAGTAGCTGGGAGTACAGGTGCGTGCCACCATGCTCGGCTAATTTTTTGTATTTTTAGTGGAGATGGGGTTTCACCTTGTTAGCCAGGATGGTCTTAATCTCCTGACCTCGTGATCCACCCACCTCAGGCTCCCGAAGTGTTGGGATTACAGGCGTGAGCCACTGCACCGGGCCTCAGAATATGTTTTCTATCACATCGGTCAGTGGTTTGTAGGGGAGGTCCCTGGCCCAACAGAAAAGCTTGATGGAAACACGAGTAGCTGGGTCCCAATCTGTACAGACTCAGTGGGCCACTCTGAGGGTAGAGCCTGCAGCCTTGTCTTGATGTCCCTCCAGGAGATCCTGATGCAACTCAAGCCAGAGGGCTGTCGTGCTGCACCACTGGACCATCCCCAGCTTCTTCGTTTTCATTTGCTGGTCTTCCACTAAGTCTTGGCTCTTATTCTTGAATTTGTGTGTGCCATTTACCTACTTGGTGCTGATCTAAAATATTTTCTATTGGCTTCAACCAGTTGTCACAGCATGTCTGCAATGGAAGTGTTTTTCTTACATAAAAATTATTCAGCACACTTATTCTGAGGGACACTATACCTCTGGAAAAACAACAGTTTCTAAATGAGGGCATTCTTAGTCACTATGACTGTTGCTACTTTCTGTAGTATTATCACAAATTTTAATAGAATTGCATGTTACTTGCAAAATTATTTCAGTATGAAAAATGATCTTACAATTAAGTGTTAAGCAGTGGTATATTGCATAACATTTCTTTTTTTTTTAAATTATACTTTAAGTTCTAGGGTACATGTACACAACGTGCAGATTTGTTACCTATGTATACATGTGCCATGTGGGTGTGCTGCACCCATTAACTTGTCATTTACATTAGGTATATCTCCTAATGCTTTCCCTCCCCTCTCCCCTCACCCCACAACAGGCCCCGGTGTGTGATGTTCCCCTTCCTGTGTCCAAGTGTTCTCATTGTTCAATTCCCACCTATGAGTGAGAACATGTGGTGTTTGGTTTTTTGTTCTTGCGATAGTTTGCTGAGAATGATGGTTTCCAGCTTCATCCATGTCCCTACAAAGGACATTAACTCATCCTTTTTTATGGCTGCATAGTATTCCATGGTGTATATGTGCCACATTTTCTTAATCCAGTCTATCATTGATGGACATTTGGGTTGGTTCCAAGTCTTTGCTATTGTGAATAGTGCCACAGTAAACATACATGTGCATGTGTCTTTATAGCAACATGATTCATAATCCTTTGGGTATATACCCAGTAATGGGATGGCTGGGTCAAATGGTATTTCTAGTTCTAGATCCTTGAGGAATCACCACACTGTCTTCCACAATGGTTGACCTAGTTTACAGTCCCACCAACAGTGTAAAAGTGTTCCTATTTCTCCACATCCTCTCCAGCACCTGTTCTTTCCTGACTTTTTAATGATCGCCATTCTAACTGGTGTGAGATGCTACCTCATTGTGGTTTTGATTTGCATTTCTCTGATGGCCAGTGATGGTGAGCATTTTTTTCATGTGTCTGTTGGCTGCATAAATGTCTTCTTTTGAGAAGTGTCTGTTCATATCCTTTGCCCACTTTTTGATGGGGTTGTTTGTTTTTTCTTGTAAATTTGTTTGAGTTCTTTGTAGATTCTGGATATTAGCCTTTTGTCAGATGAATAGATTGCAAAAATTTTCTCCCATTCTGTACGTTGCTGGTGCACTCTGATGGTAGTTTCTTTTGCTGTGCAGAAGCTCTTTAGTTTAATGAGATCCCATTTGTCAATTTTGGCTTTTGTTGCCATTGCTTTTGGTGTTTTAGACACGAAGTCCTTGCCCATGCCTATGTCCTGAATGGTATTGCCTAGGTTTTCTTCTAGGGTTTTTATGGTTTTAGGTCGAACATTTAAGTCTTTAATCCATCTTGAATTAATTTTTGTATAAGATGTAAGGAAGGGATCCAGTTTCAGCTCTCTACGTATGGCTAGCCAGTTTTCCCAGCACCATTTATTAAATAGGGAATCCTTACCCCATTTCTTGTTTTTGTCAGGTTTGTCAAAGATCAGATGGTTGTAGATGTGTGGTATTATTTCTGAGGTCTCTGTTCTGTTCCATTGGTCTGTATCTCTGTTTTGGTACCAGTACCATGCTGTTTTGGTTACTGTAGCCTTGCAGTATAGTTTGAAGTCAGGTAGAGTGATGCCTCCAGCTTTGTTCTTTTGGCTTAGGATTGTCTTAGCAATACAGGCTCTTTTTTGGTTCCATATGAAATTTAAAGTAGTTTTTTCCAATTCTGTGAAGAAAGTCATTGGTAGCTTGATGGGGATGGCATTGAATCTGTAAATTACCTTGGGCAGTATGGCCATTTTAACGATATTGATTCTTCCTATCCATGAGCATGGAATGTTCTTCCATTTGTTTGCATCCTCTTTTATTTCATTGAGCAGTGGTTTGTAGTTCTCCTTGAAGAGGTCCTTCATGTCCCTTGTGGGTTGGATTCCTAGGTACTTTATTCTCTTTGAATCAATTGTGAATGGGAGTTCACTCATGATTTGGCTCTCTGTTTGTCTGTTATTGGTGTATAAGAATGCTTGTGATTTTTGTACATTGATTTTGTGTCGTGAGACTTTGCTGAAGTTGCCTATCAGCTTAAGGAGATTTTGGGCTGAGACAATGGGGTTTTCTAAATACACAATCATGTCATCTGCAAGCAGGGACAATTTGACTTCCTCTTTTCCGAATTGAATACCCTTTATTTCTTTCTCCTGCCTGATTGCCCTGGCCAGAACTTCCAACACTATGTTGAATAGGAGTGGTGAGACAGGGCATCCCTGTCTTGTGCCAGTTTTCAAAGGGAATGCTTCCAGTTTTTGCCCATTCAGTATGATATTGGCTGTGGGTTTGTCATAAATAGCTCTTATTATTTTGAGATACGTCCCATCAATACCTAATTTCTTGACAGTTTTTAGCATGAATGGCTGTTGAATATTGTCAAAGACCTTTTCTGCATCTATTGAGATAATCATGTGGTTTTTGTCTTTGGTTCTGTTTATATGCTGAATTACATTTATTGATTTGCGTATGTTGAACCAGCCTTGCATCCCAGGGATGAAGCCCATTGATCATGGTGGATAAGCTTTTTGATGTGCTGCTGGATTCGGTCTGCCAGTATTTTATTGATGATTTTTGCATCAATGTTCATCAGGGATATTGATCTAAAATTCTCTATTTTTGTTGTGTCTCTGCCAGGCTTTGGTATCAGGATGATTCTGGCTTCATAAAATGAGTTAGGGAGGATTCCCTCTTTTTCTATTGATTGGAATAGTTTCAGAAGGAATAGTACCAGCTCCTCCTTGTACCTCTGGTAGAATTCGGCTGTGAATCCATCCGGTCCTGGACTTTTTTTGGTTGGTAGGCTGTTAATTATTGCCTCAATTTCAGAGCCTGTTATTGGTCTATTCAGGGATTCAACTTCTTCCTGGTTTAGTCTTGAGAGGGTGTATGTGTCCAGAAATTTATCCATTTCTTCCAGATTTTCTAGTTTATTTGTGTAGAGGTGTTTATAGTATTCTCTGATGGTGGTTTGTATTTCTGTGGGATCGGTGGTGATATCCCCTTTTTCATTTTTTATTGCGTCTATTTGATTCTTCTCTCTTTTTTTCTTTATTAGTCTTGCTAGAGGTCTATCAATTTTGTTGATCTTTTCAAAAAACCAGCTCCTGGATTCATTGATTTTTTGAAGGGTTTTTTGTGTCTCTATCTCCTGCAGTTCTTCTGTGATCTTAGTTATTTCTTGCTTTCTGCTAGCTTTTGAATGTGTTTGCTATTGCTTCTCTAGTTCTGTTAATTGTGATGTTAGGGTGTCAATTTTAGATCTTTCCTGCTTTCTCTTGTGGGCATTTAGTGCTATAAATTTCCCTCTACACAATACTTTAAATGTGTCCCAGAGATTCTGGCATGTTGTGTCTTTGTTCTCATCGGTTTCAAAGAACATGTTTATTTTTGCCTTCATTTCATTATGTACCCAGTAGTCATTCAGGAGGAGGTTGTTCATTTTCCATGTAGTTGAGCGGTTTTGAGTGAGTTTCTTAATACTGAGTTCTAGTTTGATTGCACTGTGGTCTGAGAGACAGTTTGTTATAATTTCTGTTCTTTTACATCTGCTGAGGAGTGCTTTACTTCCAACTATGTGGTCAATTTTGGAATAAGTATGATGTGGTGCTGAGAAGAATGTATATTCTGTTGATTTGGGGTGGAGAGTTCTGTAGATGTGTATTAGGTCTGCTTGGTGCAGAGCTGAGTTCAATTCCTGGATATCCTTGTTAACTTTCTGTCTCGTTGATCTAATGTTGACAGGGGGGTGTTAAAGTCTCCCATTATTATTGTGTGGGAGTCTAAATCTCTGTAGATCTCTGGGGACTTGCTTTATGAATCTGGGTGCTCCTGTATTGGGTGCATATATATTTAAGATAGTTAGCTCTTCTTGTTGAATCGATCCCTTTACCATTATGTAATGGCCTTCTTTGTCTCTTTTGATCTTTGTTGGTTTAAAATCTGTTTTATCAGAGACTATGATTGCAACCCCTGCCTTTTTTTGTTTTCCATTTGCTTGGTAGATCTTCCTCCATCCCTTTATTTTGAGCCTATGTGTTTCTCTGCACGTGAGATGGGTCTCCTGAATACAGCACACTGTTGGGTCTTGACTCTGTCCAATTTGCCAATCTGTGTCTTTTAATTGGAGCATTTAGCCCATTTACATTTAAGGTTAATATAGTTATGTGTGAATTTGATCCTGTCATTATGATGTTAGCTGGTTATTTTACTCGTTAGTTGATGCAGTTTCTTCCTAGCATCGATGGTATTTACAATTTGTCATGTGTTTGCAGTGGCTGGTACCTGTTGTTCCTTTCCATGTTTAGTGCTTCCTTCAGGAGCTCTTGTAGGGCAGGCCTTGTGGTGACAAAATCAGCATTTGCTTGTCTGTAAAGGATTTTATTTCTCCTTCACTTATGAGGCTTTGTTTGGCTGGATATGAAATTCTGGGTTGAAAATTCTTTTCTTTAAGAATGTTGAATATTGGCCCCCACTCTCTTCTGGCTTGTAGAGTTTCTGCTGAGAGATCCACTGTTAGTCTGATTGGTTACCCTTTGTGGGTAACCCGACCTTTCTCTCTAGCTGCCCTTAACACTTTTTCCTTCATTTCAACTTTGGTGAATCTGACAATTATGTGTCTTGGAGTTGCTCTTCTCGAGGAGTATCTTTGTGGTGTTCTCTGTATTTCCTGAATTTGAATGTTGGCCTGCCTTGCTAGATTGGGGGAGTTCTCCTGGATAATATCCTGCAGAGTGTTTTCCAACTTGGTTCCATTCTCCCTGTCACTTTCAGGTACACCAATCAGACATAGATTTGGTCTTTTCACATAGTCCCATATTTCTTGGAGGCTTTGTTCATTTCTTTTTACTCTTTTTTCTCTAAACTTCTCTTCTCGCTTCATTTCATTCATTTGATCTTCAATCATACTCTTTCTTCCACTTGATCAAATCGGCTACTGAAGCTTGTCCTTTCGTCACGTAGTTCTTGTGCCGTGGTTTTCAGCTCCATCAGGTCATTTAAGGACTTCTCTACACTGGTTATTCTAGTTAGCCATTCGTGTAATCTTTTTTAAGGCTTTTAGCTTCTTTGCCGTGGGTTCAAACTTCCTCCTTTAGCTCAGAGAAGTTTGATCGTCTGAAGCCTTCTTCTCTCAACTCATCAAAGTCATTCTCCGTCCAGCTTTGTTCCGTTGCTGGTGAGGAGCTGCATTCCTTTGGAGGGGGAGGAGTACTCTGATTTTTAGAATTTTTGGCTTTTCTGCTCTGTTTTTTCCCCAACTTTGTGGTTTTATCTACCTTTGGTCTTTGATGATGGTGACGTACAGATGGGGTTTTGGTGTGGATATCCTTTCTGTTTGTTAGTTTTCCTTCTAACAGTCAGGACCCTCAGCTGCAGGTCTGTTGGAGTTTGCTGGAGGTCCATTCCAGACCATTTGCCTAGGTATCAGCAGCGGAGGCTGCAGAACAGCGAATATTGCTGAACAGCAGATGTTGCTGCCTGATCGTTCCTCCGGAAACTTCATCTCAGAGGGCTACCTGGCCATGTGAGGTGTCAGTCTGCCCCTACTCGGGGTGCCTCCCAGTTAGGCTACTTGGGGGTCAGGAACCCACTTGAGGAGGCAGTCTGTCCATTCTGAGATCTCAAACTCTGTGCTGGGAGAAACACTACTCTCTTCAAAGCTGTCAGACAGGGACATTTTAGTGTGCAGAGGTTTCTGCTGTCTTTTGCTCAGCTATGCCCTGCCCTCAGAAGTGGAGTCTACAGAGGCAGGCAGGCCTCCTTGAGCTGCAGTGGGCTTCGCCCAGTTTGAGCTTCCCAGTCACTTTGTTTACCTACTCAAGCCTCAGCAATGGCAGGCGCCCCTCCCCAAGCCTCGCTGTTGCATTGCAGTTAGATCTCAGACTGCTGTGCTAGCAATGAGTGAGGCTGTGTGGGCGTGGGACCCTCCGAGCCATGCACGGGATATAATCTCCTGGTGTGCCGTTTGCTAAGACTGTTGGAAAATCGCAGTATTAGGGTGGGAGTGACTTGATTTTCCAGGCACAGTCTATCACCCCTTCCCTTGGCTAGGAAAGGGAATTCCCTGACTCCTTGTGCTTCCCGGGTGAGGCGGTGCCTTGCCCTGCTTTGGCTCACACTCGGTGGGCTACACCCACTGTTCTGCCCCCACTGTCTGACGAGCCCCAGTGAGATGAACCCGGTACCTCAGTTGGAAATGCAGAAATCACCCGTCTTCTGCGTCGCTCATGCTGGGAGCTGTAGACTGGAGCTGTTCCTATTCGGCCATCTTGGAACCACTGCCTGCATAACATTTCTTAATAAAGATGAGGGATCAACTAGATAAACAAATCATTGAAGTGGGATTGGTCACCATCATCAAAAATGACTCATTGGTGTATCACTGTGAGCAGAGGTGACTGATTCTGCGGGAAGCTTCTATTTCCCCAAACCCACAATGCAGTCATAGCCAGCTCTTTATTGTGTCTATCACTGACCACAACAAAAAAATGCAGCCACACAAAATTGACTCCAACTCCAGCAGCAGTAATATGCTGTGTGGAAGGTTTCTAAAGGAGCCAGAGAATGTACAGAAAATCTTGCAGCATGTACAGAAAAACTAAATTACATTTTTGCAACCCATGAGTCCCAGATCAGCTGTGTCTCTGAGATTGTCCTTGTGCTCTGTCCTGCCAGACAGAGCTGCCCCAGCCCCTCCTGCCTTTCCTGATCTTTCCCCTCTGTCCCTTCCCCATGCCCACCTATGTGCACATGATGGATCTTCTTTGAGATTCATTTTTCTAAGACACAGAGCTGATCATAAACATTCTTCCTTTTTATTGTACACATTCAAGAAGAAAAATTAATTTTGTAAGCCACTCTTTTTTTAAAAAAATTCAAAGACAACTTTATAGTAGAGCATGGAGACTTCCATTGTGTTTGTTCATTGGTGGTAGAAAGGGGCAGTAAGATAGGCACTGCCACCGCTGTGCATTCTGCTGTGGACACATGTCACTGAGGCTGGATGTGAGCCGTGCTGCTGGGCCCATGACAGGACAAGACTCTTCCCTTTAGCTGGAACCAGCCAGAAGATGATGCTTCCATTTCACATATGAATTTAGGCTTAAACGTTTGGTTTTCCCTCACCTCTCCCCTTATCTTTCCCTGGGGAATGAATGACCCTGATGACAAAAAGAACCTCCTCCTCCTGTGATTACCCTAGTTTAACTCGGTGTTGACTTTTATTGAATCTGTTTAAGAAATGCAGTGTGATCATGCATTTTACTGAACAGATTTTTATCCTCTTTTGTCCTTAAGGAAATAGTCACATCAGCTTAAGGAATGGAAAACATTCAATTAGCAAAATAAGTATGTAGGACAATATGAAGATCCTAGGGCTGACCCTAAATGCTTCACAGCACAGAGGTCTCTGAAGCTGGGGGTTTAGTAATGAAGGTAAGGTGGCTGAGTGTGAGCCAGGTACCAACACAAGCCCATCTGGCTCGCAGGACTTCTTGCCTCCTGTCTGCTCTTTGCAATCAGCAGTATAGGAAGTTGGTTAGGAGCAGAAATTCTGGAAGCAGACATTAAAATTCCAGCCCTACCACTAACTAGCTGTGTTACCTTTGGGGAGTTATTTAATTTATCTGTACCTCAGTCCCTTCAATGATTAAATGAGGGCATAATAAATGTACCCGTGTTATAGGTAGTTTGTTGTTTATCGTTGCATAATAAATAAACAAATTTAGTGGTTAAAAACAGCTGCAATCATGTTATCTTCTCTAACTATTGGTCGTCAGTTCAGGAAGGGCTCTGCTGGACAGCTCTAGCTCAGGGTCTCTCTTGGGACTGTGGCCAGACAGTGGCTGAAATGTGACAATGGCCGAAACTGAGGGTGGGTAGGTGGAGCAGCACAGTTGGGGCTGGGCATCTCTCTCCCCATGCAGACTGAGGCTTCATCCTATTTTCTCTCCAGTGGAGCTAGTTGTGCTTTCTCACAGCATGGCAACCTCAGGGCAGCTGGGCTGCTTATGTGGCAGCTGCAGGATTCAAGAAGGGGGCTTCCAGCAAACAAAGTAGAAGTAGTGTCATCTTTTATGGACCACACTGAGGAGTACCATAGTGTCACTTTCACCATATTCTATTGACCATACAGTCACCACAGCCCCAAGTGCAAGGAAACATCAAAGTCTCACACTAAGAAGATCTATAGGGTGGGCAGCAATGTAGTGGTTATCTCTGCAGAGCACAACCTACCACAGTTGGGTTGTCAGGAAGTTTAAATGAGTTACTTCATGCAATCACTCAGAACTTCTGCCTGCACATAGTGATCCCCTGTGAAGCATGAACCTTGCAAAGATGTGCAGCCAAATTGGCAAAACAGGGGCCAGCCGCCTATGAAAAAGCAACACGAAGACTCCCTTTCCTTCCTCTGTGGGCCAGGGAGCATCTGCTGCTGACTTAGCTCCAGAGAGGGCAGTGCCCATTACCGACCTCTGTGCTCAGGCTTGGGGCACCTTACCCAGGCATGCTGAGTCGACTGAGAGGAGGACACTGGCTGAATGGATAGAAAGTGGTTCCATGTGCTATTTGGGCCAGCCCTGTGGATTGCCTGTGCTGGGCTGAGAGCTAAAACAGGATTTGGTTGGAATTCCAGAGATGTAGACTTGAGGTTACCATCGGTCCCAGTGTGCTCACCTTAGCTGGGACCAGAGCTTCCTCCGGGTCTTCATGTGTGGCTGACCTCTGCATGGCTGCTGAGTCAGGTGAGCGGAGTCAGGTCTCAGCATTGCCACTCTCTGGCCACAGAACCTGGGAAAAGTGAGTTTACCTGCTCATGGGACATGAGCCCTGGACTTGGGCCGTTGCTCCTGGTATGGGCCCACCTGGGACATCGTAGGTCCTTGGTGATCCCACCATGCATACTGTGTGACCTATCCCCAAGTCGTCCTGGTTCTACTTTCAAACCTCACCGCTGTCTGCCCCCTCTCACTGCCTCTGCCTCCTGATTCTTGCCAGTTCTTTCTCACATTCTCACACCCGCCCCTCCCTCCTAACTGGCCTCCACCTCCGGAAGGTCCCTCCACTCCCCCTCTGCACTCCAGAGTGTGCCTTCATCTAAATGCCGTCCCCACCCCATTCCTCCCCTCCTTCAAGCCCTTCCTGGTTCTTGGCCTGCTCCAAGAGCCCAAAGGCTAGCCTAGCGTGCATTCCTTCTCCTTCAATACATGGCTTGTGATCCTGCTCCCGAGAAGCCTCCGCCTGCCTCCTACTACTCTGTTAAGCTGCCTGGACTTATTCAACATTAAACATTTCCCTGAAGGCTGCCTCACAGCGGATTGTCCTTACTGTTTACCTCTGTGACTCCCTCCTTGGCAGATGCGCCGGGTCATCCTTCCTCCCGCACCTGCACATACAGAGCCCCCGGACTGTGGAAATGTGCCATGGGCATATGACTCTTGGAGGGACTGTCTGTCAGTGAACACCTGGGCTTAGACAAATCCCTAACCTTGGTTCCTCAGGTACTGCCTGAACCTGGAGGCATGGTCAGGGAATGCCCAGAAAGCTGGTCACTCATCTCAGGGAGAGGCAGAGCACATAAAGGAACCACGGCCAGACTGGGCAATCCTGGAGCGTTGACCCACAGTTCACAGCAGCTTGTCCAGGAAGCCAAACAACAACCTCTGTAGCCATTGACTCAGGGTGGTCAGGATTTAAACAATAACTGACAACTTCCCTAACTTTGCCCCTCTTCCAAATTAGGATCAACCAGAGAGAGCTAAATGTACACCCTCACCGATCCCATAGGCTGCCCGCCTGCGAGCCTCCATCAGGCACACCGCAGGCCTTCCTTTTTCCATATTATGAAGAGTCCCACTCCTCTGCCTGCCTTTGAGTCTCTGCCAAGCACAAGTGACCATGACCACCTCCCTTGCTACGATGAGCTCTGAAGAAGCAGCGTTTGCTCTTTCTCCGTACGCCACACCAGACTCCTGGAGGCTGAGGCAGGAAGCTGAGCTGTGAAGGCTGGAGGTGGTGATCCAGGTGAGCTGGATGTGTCAGTAGAAGAGTGAGGACTTAAGAGACTTATTTCAGTGAAGGACAGCGCATGTGCTCCTGCACATGCCTCATGGTTCATCCTCATCTGCACCCATTGGCATAATGGGTGGCTGGGGGCGGGGAGGGGTGGTTGCTGGCAAAGAGGGGAGTAACTACTATTACAAATACAAAGAAATACAAAAAAGAAACATTTGTACATCTTCCGTATATCCTCACCAACCACTGTTAAAATGTTAGCATTTTTACTCACTCCCTTTAAATAAACATTATTTTCTTGTTTCCCTCAACACCATTATACTTATGAAGAAACTGACTAATGCACAAAAGTACAAAAATAGGTAAAATAATTTACCTCAAAGCCTACAACTTGGAAATAACTACCCTTAATGTAGGCAAATATCACATCAGATTTCTTTTTATGAGAAATACAGATGGAAGGTGAGATGGAGATAAAGATAAATGCATGGAGAGTCTTTAAAAAGTAGGCAACTGTACTCTAAATGTGTTTTTTATGTAAAGGTAATAACTGGTATATTTAGTTTCACTTGAATTTAACAGAAGAAAAAGTGGAGTTAAACTGAATAGTTATTCAAATACATGTTTCTTCACTACAAGAAATATTATTATTATATAACGTATCTAAGAATAAGAAAAGAAGCTGTGAAAATGTTAAGTGCTTGTGAGTCATGCTTTTATCTGTTTTGAGCTTAGACAGTTTCAACCTGGCACCTGCCATGAAAGAGGACAGAGCCCCTCACTCATTCTACTCAGCTTCCATCCTTGCAGCTCCTGATGTTAGTCCGTTATGATTTCTATGTGTGTCCCTGTTCATAATGTTCTGTTTCTGTTCTATAAACATCATTCCCACCACCCTTCAGTGTTGATAAATGTGTAAGCTGCTCACAGTAGCTGGAGCCAGGACTTCAGTGTCCTGGTGTGCGGCTGTGTTCTGCATGGCTTCTGAGTTTGATGGACGGAAGTCAGGTGTGAGTGCTTCCACTCGCTGACCATAGAACCTGGGATAAAATGTTCCCCAGGTGCTCTTGCTGGTATGCAGAAGGAGGCATGTCCAAGAGGCTCATTGCAGACACGCCTGCAATTAAGTAAAAAACAAAATGAAACCTAAATGCTCATCATGAGAAACAAATACTTATGTTGTGGTATGTTCATACAATTAAGTATTATACAGATTTAAATGTATGATCTAGATCCACATGACTAATCTCGTAAAATAAAGCTGAGAGAAAGAAGCTTGGTGCAGAAAATTATAGTAAGCCATTTTTTTTGTGAATTTTATAAACACCCAGAAAAATATTGTATGCTGCCTATGAATTCATATACATGAGGTACAACTATCAAAACACTGACTCCAGAAGGCTGATTACCCCAGGGGAGAGGGAGGAGGGCACGTATGGGATCTGGTGAGATGCAAAAGATGTTACCATGAAATTGGAAATGTTTTATTTGTCAAACAAAACACGAGTACATGTGACAAGCATATCAACACTTGCTATATTAGGTACTCTGCTTTGTGCTTGTTTGAAATATTTCCTAAACAAACCTATGGAAGAAGAGAGGAGAGGAGAGGAAGCTGGCTGCTTCAGGAAGAAGACCCACTGCTCCCAGATTCCAGGTCTCTGCGTCGGCTCTCCTGTCCTCTCCTGCCCCATCTTTCTCCCCGTCCTGGCTCAAACCACACCTGTGCCCTCAGAACTGGGTTTTCTGTGCATTCACACGCAACTGCCTCTTGTACCCTCTGTCCTCCGCTCCCGCTGGGGCCTCTGAGTAACCTCGGGGAAGCTGACTGCTACGGTTTGGATTTGTGTCCCCACCCAAATCTCATGTTCAATTGTTATCCTCAATGTTGGAGGTGGGGCCCAGTGGGAGGTGATGGATCATAGGGGTAGATCCTTCATGAATGGTTTAGCACAGGGTGTCCAATCTTTTGGCTTCTCTGGGCCACATTGGAAGAAGAATTGTCTTGGGCCACACATATTATAAAATACACTAACATTAATGATAGCTAATACATTAACATCAACATAACACCTGACAGGCTCTGGTGTATGATGTTCCCCTCCCTGTATCCATGTGTTCTCATTGTTCAGCTCCCACTTATAAGTGAGAATATGCAGTGTTTGGTTTTCTGTTCCCGTGTTAATTTGCTGAGGTAATGCCTTCCATATCCAACCATGTCCCTGCAAAGGACATGTTCTTGTTCCTTTTTGTGGCTGCATAGTATTCCATGGTGTACATGTACCACATTTTCTTTATCCAGTCTATCATTGATGGGCATTTTGGTTGATTCTATGTCTTTGCTATTGTGAATAGTGCTGCAGTGAACATATGCGTGCATGTATCTTGATAATAGAATGATTTATATTCCTTTGGGTATATATCCCGTAATGGATTGCTGGGTCAAATATTATTTCTGGTTCTAGGTTTTTGAGGAATTGCCACACTGTCTTCCACAACGGTTGAACTAATTTACATTCCCACCAATATAGCAATGCAAGAACAAACTGAGACACTGACCCTTCTGGCCAAGTGTTCTTACATCACCTCATTCTTTTCTGTTTTTTTTTTGTTTGTTTGTTTGTTTGTTTGTTTTTGAGATAGAGTCTCTCTTTGTTGCCCAGGCTGGAGTGCAGTGGCGCGATCTCGGCTCACTGCAAGCTCCGCCTCCCGGGTTCACGCCAATTCTCCTGCCTCAGCCTCCCGAGTAGCTGGGACTATAGGCGCCCGCCACCAGGCCCGGCTGATTTTTTGTATTTTTAGTGGAGATGGGGTTTCACCATGTTAGCCAGGATGGTCTCGATCTCCTGACCTTGTGATCCGCCCGCCTCGGCCTCCCAAAGTGCTGGGATTACAGGCGTGAGCCACTGCGCCTGGCCTACCACCTCATTCTTATACTTGCTATCCCAGTCACCACAGCAGTTTATAACTGCCTGCACATATCTGTCCCAGTGGCTAGATAGAGGCCATGCTGAGAGCTGGGCTCCGGTCTGAGTTCTGTCTCTATCTACAAGTCAGTCTAGAAGCCAGTGGGGGGTGCAGGAAGTGTGTTTTGAGCTTAGCGGACCGAACCTCAGGCATGTCACTGGTCATTCCCAGTCCCTGGCCAGTCACTGCTGGACCTTGGTGAAGGCAGGAGTCCACTACTGCTGAAGCCACCTCAGAGCCCCCATCCCCAGGCCTGCTGCTGCGGAGTTGGGGTGCTCTTACAGTCACAGTCACACGCCCACAGTTGAAGGTGGGAAGGTGCTGCAACCAGAGCTGAACTGGTTTCCTCTCTTTTGAGGACTTCCCTCATTTTTGTTAGTTGTTGTTGTTGTTGTTTTTAAGACAGAGTTTCACTCTTGTTGCCCAGGCTGGCGTGCAGTGGAGCGATCTCTGCTCACTGCAACCTCCACCTCCTAGGTTCAAATGATACTCCTGCCTCAGCCTCCTGAGTAGCTGGGATTGCAGGTGCCTGCCACCAGGCCAGGCTAATTTTTGTATTTTTAGTCGAGATGGGGTTTTGCCATGTTGGCTAGGCTGGTCTCGAACTTCTGACCTCAGGTGATCCACCTGCCTTGGCCTCCCAAAGTGCTGAGACTATAGCATGAGCCACTGTGCCCGGCCAGTTGTTGTTGTTCTTAAGGGTTTTATTGATTTTTCAGCTTCTAAGAGGCTTACTGCAGTCACCACCCCATCTGCTCCTTGCTTTCAGGGGCTCAATTAATTTTTTTTTTCCTGCTTCATGATTGAGAGACCACTCATTCCTGTGAGTCTCTGCTCTTCCTCAAGCAGCTTCCATGATCACATCATTGACTCTCCTGAGCATCTTGTGAAGTGTGTCACCATCATCTCCATTTCACAGATGAGCACATAGAGGCTCCAAGAGGCAGAATGACCCATGCAAAGTGACACAGCAAGCAGTAGGGCCAGAAGTACTCCCCAGGGAGGAGGGATTCCCAGCCAGACCTCTGCTCCTTCTGCAGCTCCCCTGACCCCATCCTGACTCTTGTCCCCTCGGGCCAGTGGCCCCCCAACACTCTCGCTCTAGTTATTGTCAGGGACGGGACCAGCCCAGCAGACATGCCAACAGTGATGTGTCTATACCAGCCTGGAGGAAAGACAGTGATAAGCAGCCTCATTACTCCGGGGCAATTGTACACAATTAACAGCTTTACTCATTTCACATTCCTGCCCTTCTGATAGATGTGCCATTTTATATGCAGTTATTATTCCTGTATCAATACGAGATTGCTCCACTTTGAAGCAGAAGTAAAAAGCAGTGGGAGGGGTCACTGGGCCAAGCCATGACTGGCTGTCACCTGAGAAGGGCTGGATGCACTGCTGCCCCTAAGTCTTCATCAGGGAGCTGGTGTCACCGGGGCAGGGTGCCACAAAGATGGGATCATTAGCAAATTACAAAGCTAATGAAGGGCAAATTAATAAAATGCTGTAACATTTTATAAGCATCTGCACACAGCAACTTGTCATACATCACGGGGAAATAATTGCCAGAGAGTTGTTTGGAATATACTCATTAAGTCTTCACAATACCAACTGGACAGCCTATCCCCCACGGAGCAGCCTGTTCAAAAGAGCTTCTATCTTTATCTCAGGCTCTGAGAAGCAGATTTCAGGCCGCAATCCCAGGCAGGCATCCAGCCTCACCTTGCGTGGTAGGATGGGCATGTCTGGGGACATCATCTTATGAGCTGGAGGAGGAGAGAAATGCCCCACCCCCAGCAAAGGGCAGTGAACCATCAAATTGCAAAAATGTTGTATGTGTTAGAAGATAATTCCTTTTCTGCTCTTCCTTCCCGATACTTGTTTTTGAAGAAAAAGACAGTAAAAGCATTGTTGATGCCTGTGTGGACCACAGCACACCTGGCTGCTGCATCTGGATGATGCCCTGCAGCCCGTCATGCACACACCTTGGGAGTGATGATAGCAGTAGCACAGGCACAGCTATATGTCTTAACATAATTAGCATTCCTGCCATGCAGTCTCATTAGGTCTGGATGTGCCTAGCTTAAATTTGGAACTCCTTTTGCAAATATTCTTGAGGTCTGTTCTTTGAAGGATGGCTAATGCTAACAGAGTTGCAATCAGCCCAAAGGCCACCAGTTGCTGGTCTTCCTGTGGGGCCGGTGTAGGCAGATGCACCTGTCTGCAAAGCTGTCTCAGCGCTCCGGTGTCAGCCTCTTGAGGACACTGTGGGAAGGTTTGTGTCATGCTAGCTGGTTGTCCTGGGGGCTGGAAGGACATTCATGGTTACCAAGTAGGACAGAAAAGAAATGAGACAGAGGGGAAGAGGAGTTGCTGGGGGAGAGAGAGAGGAGGAAGGAAGAGAGAGAGAGAAGAGAGAGATTGAAGACAGGGCCTTGGGCTATTGCTGTCACGTGGGATCAGAAGGAGGAGCACCAAACAGGCCCTGCCTGGACATGGAAATGGTCTGTGCAGTGAAAGATTTGGGGCTATGTCAGGGGTTAATGGTGCAGCTGTTTCCATGGAGCCCCCAGATGGGGACTGGGGTAGAGGCAGGGGAGGCAGCTGCAGAGATGGCAGGCCCTGGTCAAGAGCAGAAGGCTGACAAGTGGCAACTTCTCAGGGCTTCAGGTTATCAGGAAAGTTAGTGTTATGGGCTGAGTTTTGCTCCACCTAAATCCATATGTTAAAGTAGTAACCTCCAGAACCTCAGAATGTGACTGTTTGGAGACAGGGCCTTTCAAGAGGTGACTAAAGTAAAATGAGTTCAGGAGGGTGGGTCCTAATGCAATCTTGCTAGTATCCTCATAAGAGAGGAGATGAGGACATGGACAGACACAGAGGGAAGACCACATGAGGACACGGGAGAAGACAGCCATTTGTAAACCAAGGAGAGAGGCCTCAGGGGATGCAACCCTACTGACACTTTGACCCTGGACTTCCAGCCTCCAGAATTGTGAGGAAGAGTTTGTGTTGTTTAAGAAGGCTCCCTGTCCATGGGGCTTTGCTATGGCAGCCCTTACAGATGAAGACATTTGGGAAATAGGAGCTTGCAGGGTGGCCTTGATGAGCACTGGCTGAGGTTAAGATATCAGCAACACAAGCTTCCTCTGTCCTCCCTAGTCTTGGGCAAACATGGACTTAGGTAAGGAATTACCTAAACACTGCTAGGTCTTACACCAGCCCCCAGCCAACCAGCCCCTGTACTCCCCACAAAGGACCCACACATGCCCCATGAGCCAACCCCTAGGTGCCGCACACAAACTCACACCCACAGGCACTCGCCCCTTGACCCCGTTGGCCACTGCAGACAGGATTCCCAGAGCCAGAGCTGAGCTGATTAACCTCTCCTCCTCCTCCCCATCTCCTCCCCTTCCCAGTGTCTGGTAACCACTATTTTACTCTCTGCTTCTATAATATCATTTTTTAGAAGATTCCATGTGTGAGTGAAATCATGCAATATTTGTCATCCTGTAACTGGCTGATTTCACTTAACGTAAAGTCCTCCAGATCCATCCATGTTGTAGTAAATGACAGGCTTTCCTTCTTCTCTATGGCTGCATGGCATTCCACTGGGTCCATACACCACGTTTTCTTTATCCATTCATCTGTTGTAATGGGGTTCCAGATGGGAAGAGAGAAGAGTGCAACAGAATTCTCAGCAGCAAAGCAATGATTTCACTGGAGTAAATGATTTTTAAAAAGTCTGTGGAAACTGTTCTAAGGACATACAGCAAATGGAGAAATATTCATTAAACAATATTTACTGTATTTGGTAACGGTAACCAGAATGTGTGGCATTTGAACCATCAGCCCCTTTCCCTGCAGCCCTCCCAGCTCTCATGGAAGCTGCCCTGGGGACTCCAGTCCATTGGATGCAGTGAAAAATCGGGGCTTCTTCTGTCTCCATCTCCTAGCTGGGAATATGTCCGCATTGCAGGAGGAGCAGGCTGCTGATGCTTCTATTTTCCTCTGCCCCCATGTTGCAGAAGCTCTCTTCCAGGCAGGCACTGGCTCCCTCCCCTGCCCAGCCTCTATTCATAAGGTAGGAGCTCTACCTCAGGTGCGGCAAGCTGAGAATATGGGGACCCTGATCCTCTGTCCCATGTCACTCCTCATGAGGTGGAAGTTCCGTGCTTGGAGGGGAAAGACAAGAAGACCAGGGGCTCGCACTCCCAGTGTTTGTTCATATTACAGAAACACCAGGGTTTCAGTCTGGGTCCTGCTGCTCACCACACAGAAAACCAATCTCTGAGATGTTGAGTATTGCCAAGAAAGAAGGCTTTAATCAGGTGCTGCAGCCAAGGAGATGAGAGCTCAGTCTTAGGGGAGCTCAGTCTCAAATCCATCTCCCTGACCAACTAAAACTTCCACCTTATGAATAGAGGCTGGGCAGGAGAGGGAGCCAGTGCCTCCCTGGAAGAGAGCTTCTGCAACATGGGGCAGAGGCAAACAGAAGCATTGGCATGCTGCTCCTCTTGCAGTGCAGACATATTCCCAGCTGGGAGATGGAGACAGAAGGAGCCTCGATTTTTCACTGCATCCAATGGACTGGAGTCCCCAGGGCAGCTTCCATGAGAGCTGGGAGGGCTGCAGGGAAAGGGGCTGATGGCTCAAATGCCACACATTCTGGTCACCATTACTAAATATTTGTAATGAGGGATTTACTGTATTAGTCCATTTTCATACTGCTATAAAGAACTGCCCAAGACTGGTAATTTATAAAAGAAAGAGGTTTAATTGACTCACAGTTCAGCATGGCTCAGGCCTCAGGAAACTTACAATCATGGCAGAAGGTGACAGGGAAGCAAGGCACCTTCTTTTTTTTATTATTATACTTTAAATTCTAGGGTACATGTGCACATGGGGATAACAATTCAAGAGGAGATTTGGATGGGGACACAAAGTCTAACCACATCAGTTTATATAGCAGGGAAGAAATGTAACAATGTGTGGGAAAACAGGAACTAGGGAGGGGCAAGGAAGCAATCATGATGGATGAGTGGTCCAACATTCCACTGTTTGAATGTGGTGATCTGGTAAGTTTCAGTTCTTTGATATTTCTTTTGAGAGTCCTGAAGGTCATTTCCTGAAGAAGAAACTCAGATAAAACAAATAGTTTCAAGCTTTAAGACCGGAAGTGTCAATTTCTTTTTTTTTTTTTTCTCAGCAAGGCCATCTTTACTTTCTGCAGAAAGGATGCTCAATTGCAGATGGAACAATGGCGAGAGCACACTTGAACAAAAGAAAAGCAGATATATTTATCCCTTACACATTTGGGTCGTCCTTACTGCTGTGTCCTGCATCTATTGGCTGGAGCAGGACCTCACAATCTTAAACTAATACCTGATTTGCTAATAGCCTACAACTTTCCTAATAGTTAAGTACAGGGAAGAACAAAGAAGTTGCTTACAAAGGTTTAAGGAGATGCTAAAAAGGTTTAAGGAAGCAATAACATTTCCAAATAAGGAAGGGGCATAGGGTATGAGCTGGAACATGCCTGTGAGCAGAAGTGTCAATTTCTATATTTATTTTTTAAAAAATTGTTGATGGGTCAGTTGAATCAGTTTCATTCCAACAGCAATGGTGTCACCCAGGAGAAGTGCCCACAGTTCCCACTCCAGACCCCATGCAGTTTTGCAGGACTTCTGCAAAGGGTGAGGGCCAGGGCATAAGGACTAATGGCAACACTGCTCTGCCTAAGGGGACCAACTACATTTGGAAGAGATAATGGAGAATTCTATACCTATGGGTATTGCCCCCACAAAGGGAGATCTTGGTAGAAGTAATTAAGATAGCATTCATATCTCCATGATCCCTGTAACAAGCTGTATGGCAGAGAAGCCAGTTTAATAGAACTGGGGAAAGAGACAGCCAAGACCAAGAAGAGCACTCTGAGGTTGATGGACAACCCCGGGTCCTGTGAAGGTTGTGTTCAAGTGTAGGATCCACTCAACCAGGGAGAATCAGAGGTAAATACTTGCAAATATTCCCAGAGCTTCACACAGGTTAGTCAACATCACTTGCACTAAGGGCTTGAGCACAACCTCTGACCAAAGACTCACTGAATGATAAGCTACTCTAAGGCACAGTGACTCCTAGAAAGTTAGGCTGAAATAGTACAGGCACACCTCATTTTATTACACTTCATTTTATTGTGCTTCCTAGATACTGGATTTTTTTTTACAAACAGAAGGTTTGTGGCAGCCCTGCATCTAACAAGTCTATTGACGCCACTTTTTTCTAATAGCATGTGCTCACTTCATATCTCTGTGTCGCATTTTGGTAGTCCTGAAAATACTTCAAACATTTTCATTATTCTGTCTGTTATGGTGATCTCTTGTTACTACTGTAATTGTTTGGGGGTGCCACAAACTGTGCCCACCACATAAGACATTTAACTTAATCAATAAATATTGTGTGTGTTCTGACTGCTCCACAGACTGGCCATTCTTATATTTCTCTCCCTCCCTTTGGGCCTTTCTGTTCCCTGAGAGACAACAATATTGAAATTAGGCCAATTAATAACTCATCAGTGTCCTGTAAGTGTTCAAGTGAAAGAAAGAGTACATATCTCTCACTTTGAGTCAAAAGCTAGAAATGATTAAACTTAGTGAGGAAGCTATGTTGAAAGCCAAGGCAGGCTGAAAGTGAGGCTTATTTAGCTAAACAGTTAGCCAAGCTGTAAATGGAAAGGAAAAGCTGTTGAAGGAAATTAAAAATGCTATTCTAGTAAACAGGATAATAAATAAGTGAAACAGCCTTATTGCTGATACGGAGAATTTTAGTGGTCTTGAGAGATCAAAACAGCCACACATTCTCTTAACACAAAGAATAGGTGCATTGTCAATGAGCAGGAGAAAAAGTTGAAAGTAATCTTTTTTTCTGAGCAGTAGGTCTCAACAGTTGGCTTAAAATATTCAGTAAACCATGCTGTAAACAGATATGCTGTCATTCAGGCTTTGTTTTTACATTTAGAGAGTACAGGCACAGTAAATTTAACATAATTCTTAAGGGCCCTAGGACTTTCAAAATAGAAAATGACTATTGGCTTTAACTTAAAGTCACCAGCTGCATTAGTCTCTTACTCCTTAGTCTCATATCATTAGTCTCTTTCTCTGATCCATAGAAAGGTCCTAATCCTGTTCAATTCTATGAAGGCTGAGGGAGGCGAGGAAGCTGCAGAAGAAAAGTTGGAAGCTAAAAAGGTTGTTTCATGACTTTTAAAGAAAGAAGCCATCTCCATAACATAAAAGTAGAAGGTGAAGCTATAGCAAGTTATCCAGAAGATCTAGCTAAGATACTTGATGAAGGTTGTTGCACTAAACAACATATTTTCAATGTAGATGAAAAAGCCTTATATTGGAAGATGTCGTCTAGGAACTTTCATAGCTAAACAGGAGAAATCAATGCCTGGCTTCAAAGCTTCAAAGGACACTTCACTCTCTTGTAAGAGACTAATGCACATGGTGACTTTAAGTTGGAACCAATAGTCATTTTCCATTTTGAAAGTCCTAGGGCCCTTAAGAATTATGTTAAACTTACTGTGCCTGTACTCTATAAATGTAAAAACAAAGCCTGAATGACAGCATATCTGTTTACAGCATGGTTTACTGAATATTTTAAGCCAACTGTTGAGACTTACTGCTCAGAAAAAAAGATTACTTTCAACTTTTTTTCCTGCTCATTGACAATGCACCTATTCACCAAGAGCTCTGATGCACAAGGAAACTAATGCCATTTTCATGTCTTCTAACACAACATTCATTCTGTAGTCCACAGATCCAGGAGCAATTTTGACATTCAAGTCTTATTATACAATAAATCAACTTGACAATGCTATAACTGCTATAGATCGTGATTTCTCTTGGATCTGGGCAAAGTAAATCGAAAGCCTTCTTGAAATAATTCACATTCTAGATGCCATTAAGACTATTCATGGCTCATGGGCAGAGGCAAAAATAGCAACATTAACAGGAGTTTGGAAGAAGTTGATTCCAAGTCTCATGGATGAATTTGAGGAGTTTAAAACTTCAGTGGAGGATGCAACTGCAGATGTGCTGGAAATAGCAAAAGAACTAGATTAAAGTAGAGCCTGAAGATGTGACTGAATTGCTGCAGTTTCATGATAAACTTGAACCGATGAGGAGTTGCTTCTTATGAATGAGCAAAGAAAGTGGTTTCTTGAGATGGAATTCACTTCTGGCAAAGATGTGAACATTGTTGAAATGAAAAGCAAGGATTTAGAATATTACATACACTTAGTTGATAAAGCAGTGGCAGGGTTTGAGGGGACTGACTCCTATTTTGAAAAAAGTTCTACTGTGGGTAAAATGCTAGAAAGCAGCATCTCATGCTACAAAGAAATATTTCATGAAAGATTTCATGAAAGAAAAAGTCAGTTCATTACTGACTTATTATTTTCTTATTTAAAGAAGAGAGAAGAATCAAATAGATGCAATAAAAAATGATAAAGGGGATATCACCACCGATCCCACAGAAATACAAACTACCATCAGAGAATACTACAAACACCTCTATGCAAATAAACTAGAAAATCTAAAAGGAATGGATAAATTCCTCGACACATACACCCTCCCAAGACTAAACCAGGAAGAAGTTGAATCTCTGAATAGACCAATAACAGCCTCTGAAATTGTGGCAATAATCAATAGCTTACCAACCAAAAAGAGTACTGGACCAGATGGATTCACAGCCGAAGTCTACCAGAGGTACAAGGAGGAACTGGTACTATTCCTTCTGAAACTATTCCCCTCAATTGAAAAAGAGGGAATCCTCCCTAACTCATTTTATGAGGCCAGCATCATCCTGATACCAAAGCCGGGCAGAGACACAACCAAAAAAGAGAATTTTAGACCAATATCCTTGATGAACATTGATGCAAAAATCCTCAATAAAATACTGGCAAACTGAATCCAGCAGCACATCAAAAAGCTTATCCACCATGATCAAGTGGGCTTCATCCCTGGGATGCAAGGCTGGTTCAATATATGCAAATCAATAAATGTAATCCAGCATATAAACAGAACCAAAGACAAAAACCACATGATTATCTCAATAGATGCAGAAAAGGCCTTTGACAAAATTCAACAACGCTTCATGCTGAAAACTCTCAATAAATTAGGTATTGATGGGACATATCTCAAAATAATAAGAGCTATTTATGACAAACCCACAGCCAATATCATACTGAATGGGCAAAAACTGGAAGCATTCCCTTTGAAAACTGGCACAAGACAGGGATGCCCTGTCTCACCACTCCTATTCAACATAGTGTTGGAAGTTCTGGCCAGGGCAATTAGGCAGGAGAAGGAAATAAAGGGTATTCAATTAGGAAAAGAGGAAGTCAAATTGTCCCTGTTTGCAGATGACATGATTGTATATCTAGAAAACCCCATTGTCTCAGCCCAAAATCTCCTTAAGCTGATAAGCAACTTCAGCAAAGTCTCAGGATACAAAATCAATGTACAAAAATCACAAGCATTCTTATACACCAATAACAGACAAACAGAGAGCCAAATCATGAGTGAACTCCCATTCACAATTGCTTCAAAGATAATAAAATATCTGGGAATCCAACTGACAAGGGACATGAAGGACCTCTTCAAGGAGAACTACAAAACACTGCTCAGTGAAATAAAAGAGGATACAAACAAATGGAAGAACATTCCATGCTCATGGGTAGGAAGAATCAATATCGTGAAAATGGCCATACTGCCCAAGGTAATTTATAGATTCAATGCCATCCCCATCAAGCTACCAATGACTTTCTTCACAGAATTGGAAAAAACTACTTTAAAGTTCATGTGGAACCAAAAAAGAACCCGCATCACCAAGTCAATCCTAAGCCAAAAGAACAAAGCTGGAGGCATCATGCTACCTGGCTTCAAACTATACTACAAGGCTACAGTAACCAAAACAGCATGGTACTGGTACCAAAACAGAGATATAGATCAATGGAACAGAACAGAGACCTCAGAAATAATGCCACATATCTACGACTATCTGATCTTTGACAAACCTGAGAAAAACAAGCAATGGGGAAAGGATTCCCTATTTAATAAATGGTGCTGAGAAAACTGGCTAGCTGTATGTGGAAAGCTGAAACTGGATCCCTTCCTTACACCTTATACAAAAATTAATTCAAGATGGATTAAAGACTTAAACGTTAGACCTAAAACCATAAAAACCCTAGAAGAAAACCTAGGCATTACCATTCAGGACATAGGCATGGGCAAGGACTTCATGTCTAAAACACCAAAAGCAATGGCAACAAAAGCCAAAATTGACAAATGGGATCTAATTAAACTAAAGAGCTTCTGCACAGCAAAAGAAACTACCATCAGAGTGAACAGGCAACTTAGAAAATGGGAGAAAATTTTCGCAACCTACTCATCTGACAAAGGGCTAATATCCAGAATCTACAAAGAACTCAAACAAATTTACAAGAAAAAAACAAACCACCTCATCAAAAAGTGGGCGAAGGACATGAACAGACACTTCTCAAAAGAAGACATTTATGCAGCCAAAAAACACATGAAAAAATGCTCACCATCACTGGCCATCAGAGAAATGCAAATCAAAACCACAATGAGATCCCATCTCACACCAGTTAGAATGGCAATAATTAAAAAGTCAGGAAAGAACAGGTGCTGGAGAGGATGTGGAGAAATAGGAACACTTTTACACTGTTGGTGGGACTGTAAACTAGTTCAACCCTTGTAGAAGTCAGTGTGGCGATTCCTCAGGCATCTAGAACTAGAAATACCATTTGACCCAGCCATCCCATTACTGGGTATATACCCAAAGGACTATAAATCATGCTGCTATAAAGACACATGCACACGTATGTTTATTGCGGCACTATTCACAATAGCAAAGACTTGGAACCAACCCAAATGTTCAACAATGATAGACTGGATTAAGAAAATGTGGCACATATACACCATGGAATACTATGCAGCCATAAAAAATGATGAGTTCATGTCCTTTGTAGGGACATGGATGAAATTGGAAATCATCATTCTCAGTAAACTATCGCAAGAGCAAAAAACCAAACACTGCATATTCTCACTCATAGGTGGGAATTGAACAATGAGAACACTTGGACACAGGAAAGGGAACATCACACTCTGGGGACGGTTTTGGGGTCGGGGGAGGGGGGAAGGATAGCTTTAGGAGATATACCTAATGCTAAATGACGAGTTAATGGGTGCAGCACACCAGCATGGCACATGTATACATATGTAACTAACCTGCACATTGTGCACATGTACCCTAAAACTTAAAGTATAATAAGAATAAAATAAAATTAAAAAAAGAAACTTTAATATTGTTTTATTCTATGAAATTGCCCCAACCACTCCAACTTTCAGCAACCACAACCTTGATCAGTCAGCAGCCATTAACATCAAGGCAAGATCCTTCCCTAATAAAAAGATTAGGACTCACAGAAAGCTCAGATGATTAGTAGCACTCTTTTAACAATAAAGTATTTTAAAATTAAGATATGTACTTTTTTAAGACATAATGCTATGCACACTTAATAGATTCTAGTATGCAAATAAATTTTACATGCACTGGGAAACCAAAAAATTCATATGACTCACTTTATTGTGAATTGCTTTATTGCAGTGGTCTGGAATCTAACCCACAATACCATCAAAGTACACCCATGTTGTAGTCACCCCTCAGTCTGGGAGACCATGTGCAAGCCCAAGCAGGCACCCCCTCAGGCATGATTAGGGAAAAAATTATCTAGTTAATTAGTTTCTGGATAAATGGTGTACAAAAACAAATAAATATGTAATCTCCCTGAACTGTGATATTAGCCTACAGTTTACACACACATCCAACGGTGAAGGGTAAAAATCTATCTTGCTTAAGGGACTTAAGTACAACCTCTGACCAAGAACAACCCTAGGTTGCCAGAATAAAAGATAATAAAATTAAAAAAAATCTAACCAGAGGCATCAGAAGCTGCACACTGCAGGATAAATAGCTACTATATTATTAGTTCATCAATGTCATGACATAAAAAAAATAAATGACCAAACATATATGAACAACATATACCTTAGGAAAGGGAGTGATCAATGTCCAGAGTTGCTATACTGTCTAAAATGTCCAGTTTTCATCACAAACCTATAAGCATCCAAAGGAAGAGTAAGTCTGACCCATACACAGGAAAAAATGCAGACAATAGAAATTGCTTTTGAAGGGTTCCAGGTGTTGAATTTAGCAAACAAAGACTTCAATGTAGCTGATATAAGTATGTTAAAAGAATTAAAACAATCATGTCTAAACAATTGAGGAAATTTTAATGACAACGTCTCATAAAAAATACAATCAGAAAGTAGAAATTATATTTTAAAAAGAACCAAATGAAAATTCTGGGGCTGAAAAGTACAATATGTTATATGAAAACATCACTAGAGGGGCTTAGTACTAGATTGCACTGGCAAATAAAGAATCAATGAACTTGAAGACAGAGATGATGCAATCTAAAAAACAGAGATTAAAAAATTCAGAAAAATGAATACAGCCTTAGAAATGTAAGGGAGCTTTGAGCACCAACATAGATGTAATGGAGTCCCAGAAGGAGAACAACCAGAGAGAAAGAGGCAGAGAAATTATTTGAAGAAATATTGGCTGATCACTTCCTCACTTTGGTGAAAGATTTTAACCCACACATCCAAAAATTCAGCAAACTCCTGGTAAGATAGGCACAAAGAGATCTACACAGAGATACATTATAGTCATCATGTAGAAAGCCAAAGATAATGAGAACATTTTCAAAGCAGTAAGAGAAAAATGACTCCTCGTGAATAAGAGAACCCCAGTTACACTATAGGCCGACTTTTCATCAGAACTATGGAGGCCAGAAGGCAATGGGATAACATACCCAAATTGCTGAAAATAAGATGAAAATGTCAGCCAAATTTGTATCCAACAAAAATAATGAAAATCTTTCAATAATGAAGGCATAATTCATGCGTTTTCTGATAAAAGCTGATGGAACACGTTGTGAGCCGATGTGCCTTAGAAGAGATACTAAAGGAGTTCCTCAGTCTGAAAACAAGAGGGACCAGACAGTATTTTGAATCCACATATAACAAGGAAACAAAGAGTGTTGATAAGGGTAATTAAATAGGTAATTACTTTAAAAGTATAGTTGCAAATTTGTATCCTTCTAATTGAATTAAAAGGTAATTGCAAAAATACTACTAATTATTTTATGATAGTATAAGATCATGATAATGATCATTATAATCATTTTGTTGTTGCTCATATGGCTTATGTAAATGTCATATAATTAAAAATAACAGTCCAAAGGAGGTGGGTGGGGACAGAGCTGTGTTGGAGTAAGGAAAGGACACCAGATGGTAGCTTGAATCCACAGGAAGAACCTAAAAGAATCAGAAATGTTAAGTAAGATGCATAATATAACAAACTCTATAAATATATGCTCACTCTCCTTTCTCTGTCAAAGTCTTTAAAAGACATAGAGTTACATAAAGCAATTATTACAACAAAGTATTGGTGAGTTTGCAACATATGCATATGTAGAATGTTTAATAATAATAGTACAAAACAGGAGGGCAAGAGAATGGAACTATATAGAAGTAAAATTGCTATATTACACTAGTATTTATTTAGTGTAAATATAATATAATCTTGATAAAGTAAGATACGATACATATATTAAGTCTTACAGTGACCACTAAAATAATAATTAAAATACATAATTATTAAATTAAAATGTCACACTAGAAAATAATGACTTCATCAAAATAAAGCAGTAAAGGAGGAGGAGAGAAAAAAATGACATGAGACATGTAGAAACAAAAAGAAGAATGGCTAATGTAAATCCATATCAATAATAACATTAAATGTGAATAAACAATGAAAGTGAGAGACAGATTTTCAGACTGTATAATGAAACAAGGTTCAGCTTTATTCTGCAGGAGACATACTTCATATACAAAAATATATACCACATAAATAGCAATCATAAGAGAGTTGGAGTGGCTATGCCAAAATGAGAAAGAAATAAACTTTAAAATAAAAAAGTTACTAGATATAAAGAACATTTCCTAATGACTAAAGATCAATCCATAAGAAAGATGTAACACTTAGAAACATATATGCACGTAACTTCAGAGCTCAAAATACATGAAGCAAAAACTCACAGAATTGAAGGACTGTTTAGGCAACTTGACACTTTTGATAATGGGTAGTTGACTAGGAAGAAGATCAGTCAGGAAACAGTGACTGGAATGGCTGTAAACCAGCAGACATCTACGGAGCACAGTCCAACAAGAGCAAAGTCTATATTCTGCAATGCACGGGGGACATGATCTGGGATAGACTATATGCTAGGCCATAAAACAAGCCTCGATTTAAAAAAATACAGATATTTAAAGTATACAGGGTGTGTTCTCTGAAACCATGGAATTCAATTAAAAATTACCATCAGAAGAAAATTAGGGGAAATTCACAACTATGTGGAAATTAGACCATCTACCCTTAAACAACCAATGAGTCAAAGCAGAAATCACAATGGAAATTAGAAAACACTTTGAGATCCATGAAAATGAAAACACAACATACAAAACCCTACAGGATGCTGCGAAAGCAATGCTTAGACATTCTCCCCTGCTGTCTGCCTTCCAAAGCATGAACCACATCAGTCACGGTCGAGAACTCTGCCCTGCAGTGCCCAGAGCTTCCTGGCAGATTTCAGTGCTGTACCCTTAAACACGAGCCGAAAACCAAGGGTGGTCAGACATCCGATGGAGCCTGTAATGTGGCAGAGATCAAAGCAGATAGGAAACACATAGACAGAAACAAACATAGAGAGTAGGAAAAAGAAACTGTCAATAATATCCTCAGAGACATAAGGAAAGACAACACTGTGACAAAGCTATAAAGAGACTATCATAGAAATTTAAGAAAATAGACATCCAGAAAGTTCATATGCTAGAGTCTTCATTCGTGGAATATAATTGTGATAATGACAGAGCATGGGGCTGGATGGGTTCCAGTTCTCATTTCTTATTTACCTTTTTTTTTTTTTTTTTTTGAGACAGAGTCTTGCTCTGTTGCCTAGGCTAGAGTGCAGTAGTGCGATCTCAGCTCACTGCAACCTCCACTTCCTGGGTTCAAGCGATTCTCCTGCCTCAGCCTCCTGAGTAGCTGGGACTACAGGTGCCTGCCACCATGCCCAGCTAATTTTTGTATTTTTAGTAGAGATGGGGTTTCACCATGTTGTCCAGGCTGGTCTTGAACTCTCGACCTCAGGTGATCTACCCACCTCCGCCCCCCAAAGTGCTGGGAATTCAGGCATAAGCCTCTGCGCCTGGCCTCTTATTTACCATTTAAGAGGATGCACAAGAGAGAAAGTCTAGGATGTGCCAGGAAATTCCTCTTCTGAGCCTTTAGTATGTAGTGTCTATGGTGGTCTATTGGTATATTAGCTTTCTATTACTGTTGTAACAAATTGCCACAAACTTAGTGGCTAAAAATGACATAAATTTATTGTTGTACAGCTCTGGAGGCCAGAAGTCTAAAATCAAGGTGTTGGCAGGACCCCTTTTCTTCTGGAGGTGCCGGGGAGAATTTATTTCCTTGCCTTTTCCAGCTATCAGAGCTACAGGCATTCCCTGGCTTGTGGCTCCTTCTTCCACCTTCAAGCTACATCACTCCAACCTCTCTTCTGTACTCATCTCTCCTTTTTCTGAATTTGACCCTTTTTTCTCCTCATGAGCTTTTGTGATTATGTTGGGCACATCTAGATAATCCAGAAAAACTCTCTGTCTCAAGGTTCTTAACACAAGGTTCTCACATCTACAAGGTCCCTTTTGCCACGTAAATTAACTTAGTCCCAGCTTCCATAGATTAGGGGTTTGGGAGACCTTTCAGCCTAATAAGCTGGCATTTTATAATTTCTACAGCTAGAACTTACTGAATATCTCCTCTGTTCTGGACCCCACTGGTGAAGCTGGGGACACACAGCAGGTGAAAACAGCCTCTGCTTTGGAGGAATTCACAGTCTCATGGTGGACACACAAGGTGAGATAAGCAGGCACCTGTGATGTCTGCAGGACCACGTTCTGGGGAGACTTCTGCAAGTGGCTGAGAGATGATGCAGTCATTATCCTTGTCTTCAGAAGATTAAAATCTATTTGGGGAGAAAACTTGGGAACAGATGTCGCTGGTGCAGTCAAGAGTGCCATCTCTGGCTCCTACACAGAGTGTGGTTTTACTGTTTTCCGGGGATTGCATGTTAAAATCCCTTTTTCTCATTGGAAGTAAGCCCCCTAATAGTAAATCAAGCTTCCAGGGCTTCTTGATCCCTTTCAATTGATAAGGATCTCATGTTAGTTCTTTAAAAATTCAATCGTGTTCCTCTTAGAGCCTAAGCATCGTGAAACCTTCCTTCCGCTCCGCTGAGTGCAGGCTGGACGCCTGGCCCTGGCCTTGAGTGGACAGGCTAAAGGTGGGAAATGGGGTACTCTTGGGCACTGGCCCCTACGATCTCACAGAGGGAGGGAGAACAGAGGCCAGTGGTCCTGACTCTCCCTCCCATGCTCAGTGCAAGGCAAGGTGTGGACCCTACTGTTTCTCTGCCTGCCACTGTCTGGCCACTGGGTTCCTCAGTGTGGGAAACATTTGTCCTCCTTTTGGGGCCTGTGAGACCCTCTCCCCACCTCAGGCATGGCCTCTTCCACTTTGCTGTCCCTGCATGAGGCACCCACTGCTCCTACTTCTTGTTGCTGGGGGCCCGTGCCGAGGTACTTTCAGGGGGCTCTGCCTATGGGAACACAGCCCCTTCTCAGCTCTGTGGTTTCCTTCCTACCTTTTCTCCCACACCCCAGCCATTTTAGGTGCCTGCTCATTCTAGAGGCTTCTCAACTCCCAGCAAGAGGTGATCTCCAGCCCAGGCTGGTGCTGTGATCTCAGAGATGGCCCTAAACTCTCCCTCCCTGGACATAACCAAGGGAGTTGCTTCTCTCAGCAGCTAGTGTCCTATTGCACAGAAAACATTTGAGAGGCTCAACATTTTAAACCAAAGCAAATGCAAACTGTCTTTTCCAGCACCTCCTCAAGGGAGTGGAACTCAACACCAGCCATAGCTCTGTCTTCCCTTTGAATGATTCTCCAGGTTTTTCATGCCCTAACCTCTCCAGTGCTTTTCATTTACCAGACCTGCCCCTATAAAGCATAAAATTCTCTCCCTAAGTCATTTACTGGGGCACCCCCAGGGCCTCTGTGGCCATGTCATTGGGTCATACTTGCAATGAAATATTTGTAGTTCTACATGGTGTATAGGGTGGGGAAATGGATATAATAATAGTTATCTCCATCCTGACAAGCTTGGCAAAATATTATATTTCACCAATAGTAAATTACCTGGGAAGGACCTTGAAGTTCCTGGACTCTGGCTGGGCACATGGTAGATCCAGTGATGGGCTGCCAGGGTGGCAGAATGAGATGCCTCAAGTGGAGGGAAAATGGCTGTGGGTAAAGGGAAGCGCTGTTCTCGGGGGTCTTGGGGGTTCCGTTTCCTGCACTCAGCACACTTCTTTCGCAGACTTATTTGGCTTTATCCAAAGCCTTACCCAGTGGAGTTTTGACCTCACATCCCTACCATCCCTCCTCCCTGCCTGCCACCAGGGCCTCCATGTGGCCAGATGCAGAGCCTTCCTCTGGTCTGTTTATCTCTGCTCTCTGTTGCATCCCCAAGATAAAAGGCACCTGGGCCATAGGCAGCACTGTATAGGATTTGCTGTCAGAGCTATCTAATGAACTGTAAAGGACTCCTATAAAATGACAGGGCACAGCTGAGAGCAGGGCCCTAAAGGACAGTAAAACAGGTGTCATGGAAAATCGTGATTCATTGTCCAAGCTCCCAGAGGCAGCTACTGGTTTCCCTGCAGCACACCACTGAGCCACACAAACTGCTTCATCAAATGACTGCTGGGACAGCCGGCACCCTTGTGGAGTGAGTGCACCACTCACAGGACTCGCAGCGGTTCTTTCCTTTACCTGCCCTGCAGTTTGGGACCACCTGCAGGTGACAGAGCACTCCTCCCTGCCCCAGTGACAAAAGGAGTCACAGAAATTGAATGGACAATTTTCCTGCTAGACCATCCCTGGTACATCTCCATTTGGGTTGGATTCATAACATTTATAATAGAAATGAGCAGAGAAGATCTACTGCCTCTGATAAGAAGGTCAATGACTGTCAGCCAGGCCTTATGATTTCTTCCTTTGCAAAAAAATATGTTTGGAAATGTTTCACTTCTATTTTCTCCTTCTCCGTTCATACTAGATGACTCCTAGCATCGCTGTGTATGCATCAGGGCACCCGGAGTGTCCCCACTCCACTTTTATAGTGACATAGAAGCATTTTCATATGCTAGAGGAGGGAGCAACCTGGTCTTCAGAATTCATACCATCATGCTTTCTCTGTCCTCCTCGGAAAATGAGGTGAGCATGTCCGAGTGAACAGGACAATGGAAACGTGTGCATGGGGGCAATGGGCTGAATGATCACTAAGATTGCACCTGCGTCAGCTAATTCTATCCTCACACACTTCGTGAAGTTGACAACCACGTTTATTGTTCTCTTTTATAACAGAGGAAACTGAGGCACAGTGATATTGTGTGATTTACCCAAGAGCATGAGATTGTCAAGTGGCAGGCTGGGTTTTGAAGCTGGGTCCATCACCAAATGCAAGCCTTTAGCTCAGATCTTTCTCTGTGAGAATCAATTTGGCACAGATGCTACTGAAAGCATTTTATGACAACTGAAAATTCTTTATAACAGTTTAAGTAAGCATGTTCACATTATACACAGTGTCTAAATTGGGTGTATGTGTGTGTGTCTGCTGTGGAGATATTTCAAAAACTGAACTACAGCTTCTTTCTGAACTCTTGATTGACAGACTCTATTTTACAATTTTATTTAACTTTTTAATTTTTTTTTTTTGTTTTTTGTTTTTTTTGTTTTTTTTTTTGAGACGGAGTCTCGCTGTGTCTCCCAGGTTGGAGTGCAGTGGCGCGATCTCGGCTCACTGCAAGCTCCGCCTCCCAGGTTCATGCCATTCTCCTGCCTCAGCCTCCCGAGTAGCTGGGACTACAGGCGCCCGCCACCACGGCCGGCTAATTTTTTGTATTTTTAGTAGAAACGGGGTTTCACTGTGTTAGCCAAGATGGTCTCGATCTCCTGACCTCGTGATCCGCCCGTCTCGGCCTCCCAAAGTGCTAGGATTACAGGCGTGAGCCACCGCGCCCGGCCACTTTTTAATTTTTAAATATGTGCATTTGTGTTTCCAAATACAGCCCGAAAACAAAACAAGTGGGTCCGAAAGCAGGGGCGGGAGCTGCATCCAGCCAAAGCCCAGCCTCTCCCTGAAGCCACCTGGCCTGATGGCGTCCCCTCTTCTTCTCCTACAGCGGAGCCCTCAGGACCGAAACCTGGGCCCATCCTGCCTCCTGGGAGACTTCACTAGGATCAGGCTGTGTCCAACACACAACGCGGTGTTATTCACGTAGTAAGCGGTCAATTCCTGCCGATGTTAGTTATGACAAGATATGAGGACTAGGGAGAGAATTTCCTTTTATCTGTTCTCTACAGAATGCTATTTTGTCAAAAGCTTCCACTGAAGAGGAGATTCTATCACAACTTACAGAAAAACATACATCAGAGTATTGGGGTATTCTCACATTTAGCAGTTTGCCACTAAGTGTGACTATGGTCTTGCAGTTTTAGGAAAGAACAAGACAGATCTAAGCAGTGCTGAAAAGGCCAACTTTGCCTTCCTGGCTTCCAGTTTCTACTCTCTACTCTATAAAAGATTCCGAAAAAGACACCAGCAACAAGGCCAGGTGTGGTGGCTCACATCTGCAATCCCAGCACTTTGGGAGGCCAAGGCAGGCTGATCACCTGAGGTCAGGAGTTTGAGACCAGCCTGGCCAACATGGTGAAACTCCGTCTCTACTAAAAATACAAAAGTTAGATGGGCTAGGTGGGTTTACTTGTCTTTTCAAAAGTTTAAGCATTCTTTACATATCCTACGTATAGGCCATTTTTGGTTATATGTGTTGAAAATATCTTCTCCTGTTTTGTGACTTGAGTTTTTACTCTCTTATTGGTTTCTTTTGATGACTCATATTTCATGGTCTTAATGAAATCAATTTTTCTCAGTCTTTTCCATTATGATTAATACTTTTGAAACATATTTAGAAATTCTTTGCATACCCAAAATTCATGAAACTATTTTCTTTAGTTATATTTGAGAGTGGCGTTATTATTATTTACATTGTACATTTAGACTTATAATATACCTGTGTGCAGTGTAAAGTAGAAGTATAAATATCCAATTGATCTATCACAATTTATTGACATTTTACCATTTTCCCAGGATTCTTTGTTGTACATCAACAAATTTGGCATCTTTGTGATACATCAGTTACCGTGGGTCAATCTATCCTTGACTGTGTTCTGTTTCATCAGTCTGTTAATCTATGTATACTTTACTGTATTATTTCTTGTAGTTTTATTGTTAGTCTGGTTATTTAGAAGCTTTAGTCCTCCAATTTGTTCTTTTTCAAGATTGTCTTAGCTATTCTTGGCCTTTTAAGTTCCATATACATTTCAGAATCAACTTGCAATTCTCCAACAATCCTGCAAGTAGATTGATGAGATTTTATTGGATCTATATTTGAGGAAAATTGCTATTTGTACCTCTCAATCTATGAATGGTTCTTTGTTTATTTGGTCCTTTGTGTAGGCTTTATTAATGTGTCACCTTGGCTAGGTTGTAATGCCCAGTTATTCAATCAAATGCTAATCTAGTTATTGCTATGAAAGAATTTTGCAGATGTAGTTAAAGCCCTGATCGGTTGACAGTAAGTAAGAGAGGCTGTCCTGAATAATCTGGGCAGGTTTGATGGAATCTGTTAGAAGTCTTTAAAAGCAAGGCCGAGGTTTCCCCAGGAGAGGGTAGACACATCAGCTGTGGATGAGAGCCTCAGACCTGCCACATGCTTACTATTCTGATTGCCTTCCCTGTGGATTTTAGACCAAGCAGTCCCCATAAATTTATAAGCCAATCCTCATTTCATTTTTTATCCCTTCCAGAAGAATGAGTATGTTGTACTGAGGGGCTATGTCTTCAAATCCCATCACTGCTGATGTGTAATAAATATTTGTGGTTGCAAGTCACTGAGATATTACCTTTGTTATGCAGAAAAGATAATCGATACAATGAGCTTCCACCTTGGGACACTTTTCTTCTGCCTGTGGAGCACCTTAGTGTAGGCACACTGGAAACATAGGTCTTTCAATTTTGTTAATCTGAAAATGTTTTCATTTTACCTTCATGTTTTTTTGCATTTTTATTGAGGTATAATAAGCATACAAATTGATGAAGTTTCACAGGGTTAATATACCTTAGTGGCCAGGACCCAGATGGAGAAGCCTAACATGATCAGCATCACAGAAGCACCCTCACAATGTCCTCTCTAGGTGGAAGCACCTTCCAAGTTCATGGATATCCTGACTGTTTTTATTGATTAATTTTGCCTATTTTTAAACTTGACATGAAGGGACTCATGCTGTGTGCGTCTCTTGTAGAATTTGCCTTGTTCACTAATACTTCCATATTTTAAAAATAGTCACAATACATAATTACATTAAGTTTTGTGCTTTTATTGTGTTAGAAATATTTATTAATCTCTCTTTTTCCCTCTTCACCCTTGCCAGAAGTATGTCTCTTTTTTCAACACTTGATTGTGCAGTTGGTGTTTTTACTGTTCATGCACATGCTTTTTGATGGTTGTGTATCTCTTCTGTATCAGGCACTGTGCAGTCGATGGGAATAGTTGTGACCAGGGCACTCCCTCACCCTTAATAGGGGCATGGTCTGGCAGCCACAGGTAAATAAGTGGTGTGATGATGGCCATAGCTGGTGTAAGCACAGGAGCCTTGGGTACTATATAACATGAATGCATGAAATAAACAATGAGCAGTGCTCCTTCTGAGGCAGCCCCATGTGCTTATCACACACATCTTTATTATACACCCACTGGCTGTCTGCCTCTGTCCACGCCCTGGAGATATGCAAACGTCACCATGGCCCATCTCAGCTGTCTTGTAAGTTTTACTTGGGGCTGACTTACACTCAATGAACAAATAGAACAGTAAGTGAATGATGTCAAGCAGTGATGCCTGGTGTCAGTGCAGCACAGTGGAGTGCTGTGAATGGGAGGAACAGGGGCAGGAAGTGCCAAAGCTCTGAGGTCGTACCCAGCTTAGTTCAGTCAGGACAAAGGGGTCCGTGTGACTGTAGCCTCATACCTAAGGGCTGGTGAGCAGCCCAGCCTGAGACTGGGGAGGCAGCGGAGACCCAGCCACGTGGGCTTTAGGGGCCTTAGCAAGGAGTTTGGTTTTCACTCTGGGTATAAAAGAAAGCCAATGCAGACTTAGAAGCTGCAGGTAGAGAAGAAAAGGAGGAGAGGGCTCAGCAGCCTTTGGAAGAAGAACAGACGTCATAGGGACTGTGACCACCAGAGGACAATGAGTCAGTCCCTTGCCTTGCTGTAGAAGTAGAGGAGGTGGTCCTGAGGAGACCCCACAAAGGCCCTTGAATGCCAGGCTGAGGATCTGGGGCTTATCCAGGAGGAAAAGGGAATTCACTGACACAAGAAATTCAAGAAAATATCGTGACCCAAAGGAGGCTCTGGGTATTGATCTGAGGGTGACATGAAGCTCAGATTTAGGAGGACACTCATCACCCTGGCAGTGGGGGAAGGCTGGTCCCAGGCACACTGCACATTATATAAGACACTCGCAGAAAGAGTCCAAGGCAACACAGCCTTCTTGCTTTCAGACTTTCCAGCTCCCAGACTCACTCTCTGTGCAGCCTCAGGCATTTGGACAATGCCACATGGGTGAGATGTGAATGGGCAGCAGAAGGGCTGCGAGCGAGGGCACAGGGGTGAGAATGTGGCCCTACTTTCCTGTCTTGCACTGAGGTCCTAGTTGTTGGTCACTGGTGTCCCTCCGAGAGCAGACAGCACAACTCTGTGCCCCACGGGGCTGGCTCCTGAAGAGGCTGGTTGATGGAAGCAGTGTGAGGCGAGGGTGGGGAGTGGAGCAGAGGTGTGGGAGGGGCCTCGCTGTGGATGACTGTGGGGCCCGAGCGAGGAGGAGTGGGAATTATAGGCAGTAGGGAGCCCCTGGTGGCTGTTGAGCAGGAGTGGGCATGGGAAAAATGGATGTCTTAGGGACATTTTCTTGGTGGTGGTAGGCAAGATAGCTATAAGAGCATCATTTTGATAATGGAGCCAGGAAAGTGCAGTAGGATTTTTTAAAGTCATTACATATAAATGTAGGTCTTCATTCAAAAGGGATTATATAGATATATGCATATTTATGTTTCTAAATATGGAGGAAGCATAGTGTCTAGAGGAACATAATGATACTTTTGAGTTTTGGTCAGAAAGATATTATATGGCTCTAAATTGCTTCTGCATATGTGACCATATTTTATTCCCATTACGGGTGTGGGAATGCAAGCAATAATCCCATTTTCAGGTGGGAAAATAAGCCAGTGTTTAAGCACCTCCCATCGCTGTAGATGGCCAAAGAGGACAGAGCCCAGAATCCTAATAGCTTCAGGTCAGTGGGGCTGATTCTGCCAAGTGGTCTCTGCTTTCTTTACTGGCTTGTCCAGTAGGAAGTTAAGCCATCATGGAGATGTCCTACATCTCAGCTGTCCACTCCAGTATTGTTAAAGAAAAAAATCATTCAAGGATGCTTGTTTAAGCACAGTCAGGCTGACTTTATTCAAGGGGAGCTATTGTCTATCTAGGAGCAGGGACCACTGTGATGGGGCTTCTCGGTGAGGGTCGGGAGAGACTGGGCTCAACTCTGAAAATGGCAAGGAAACATGGTAATGTATAGCCAAGGAGCAGGGTGGGAGGCCCTGTGGGTGGAAAATGACTAGTTGGAAGCACCAGGAATAAGGGGGATTCTAGCTAAACCAACCTAACAGGACTCTTGGTGAAGACAGGCCAGGGCGCTTAGGCATCAGTGGTGGGATGGAGGGAGGGGATGAGGTGCCAGATTAGACACAGAGGGTGCTCAGATGATTAGCTGTTGGAGGGGGTGATTCTAGCTAAACGGACCTAGGAGGGTTCCTGCTAAAGTTGGACAATGCCGAGATAAACACGGGGATCTGAAAGTCAGGCCTCACTGAAAAAGAGCTCGGGTAGCTGGAGCAGAGTTTGGTCCAGGAGAGAGCCTTTGTCAGGACCCACTGGCTGCGTATGGCTTTCATAAACTTGAAATGTGTCTGGGGAGACAAAAGAGTTTTTATTTTATTTAATTTTAATTGATTTAAATTTAGATGTGAACACCTGCATGTGGCTGCTGGAGGCGTCCTGAGCCACTGCCTCGGGGCCTGGGCACTCGGCCCTGCTCTGGGCTACTTGACTGTGGCTCAGTCGGTACTTGGGTTGCTTTTCTTAGGCTCATGGCCAGAGAAGCAGCCTTATACTGGGGAGGTGGGGAGAGGCAGCAGGATGTTGCTTCAGAGTCTCTTTTTTTCTTTTTTTTTTTTTTTGAGATGGAGTCTCGCACTGTCGCCCAGGCTGGAGTGTGATGGCGCGATCTCGGCTTACCACAACCTCCACCTCCTGGGTTCAAGCGATTCTCCTACCTCAGCCTCCCTAGTAGCTGAGGCACATGCCACCACACCCAGCTAATTTTTTGTATTTTTAGTAGAGATGGGGTTTCTCCATGTTGGTCAGGCTGGTCTCGAACTCCTGACCTCAGGTGATCCACCTGCCTCAGCCTCCCAAAATGTGGGGATTACAGGCGTGAGCCACTGCGCCCAGCCACTTCAGGGTCTTCCAAGGCAAATTTGATGCGTTAAAAGTCTCTGGTCACTTGGGGTTGAGCAGTTCTGGATTAAACAAAGGTAAAGGACTTCTTTACTGCAAGACTTGTTTGAGTCTTTTCTGTGCTGACCCTCTTAAAGCCCTAAGGGAAAGAGACTCAGGAAACCACATTTCCCAAATCCAGTGACAATACACCCATTTTTGCAGGACGCAGAGTATACGAGGAGGTATATTTTGGAAATCTCTGGCTTCAGACTAAGAAAAATGTGACTTATTGTCCGCATGACCTTGAACTACATCTTCACCTTGCTGGTCTTCAGTTCCTTACTCACAGAGTGTGCTAATGTCATCTCCCAACTCAGAGGGTCTCTGTAAGGATGGGCCAGGCTGCGTGGTTCTGGGGGTGACTAAGATACTGTCCCAGTCTTTGGTGAGACCCAGCAGCGGTTAATCATGGAAATGAATGATACAGAGAAGTCTAGTTCTAACAGAAATGGCACAGAGCCTGCTGTGGACATCGGGGTCAGGACCTCTCCCTGTACCTTCCTTCTGTCTGTCTCACCTAATGCCCTGAAGCTTCCTGAGTGGGTCTGCATTTATACAGCGATGCTCCAGGGAGCAGTCTGCCATTACTCCTCTGTGGTGCTTGCAGACTTCTGGTGATAGGTCTAGTTTTCCTTTGTCTGGTATATAAATTGATGTAATTGGTGATTTTTAATGTGCAGATGTTGGACAGTATAGGGACAACTGTCAATAGAGAAGGACAAACAACCTGATGCCCCAAACCCTCAATCACTGAGTTTCTAGAAAGGGGTCTCTTCTGTTTTTATTTTTTAACTTGAGTTATTGCAGTTTTGTGTTTAGCCTGGAGGGCTGAGGGACAGGACACAGAGCCAAAGAGAACTACTGCAGAGCCCTACAGTCTGATGGCCTTTGCCTTGCTGGGTTTTGAACTTGCTTGGAGCCTGTTGCCCTTTCTTTCTTTCCTACTCCTCTCTTGGAATGGGAATGCCATTCTTGGGCCTGCCCCGCCTTTGGATTTTGGAAGCACATAGCTTGTTTGGCTTCAAAGGTTCACAGCTGGCCAGGAATTTTGCCTGAGGATGAATGGTGCCTTGAGCCCTACGCACCCCTGACTTAGGTGCTATATGGACGAGGCTCTGGCATTAGGCTCCAGAGCTCATGCCGGTGCGAGTTTAGACCTTTGGGGCTGCTGGGATGGTATGAATGTGTTTACCTGTGAGAAGGCCATGGATGTGGAGGACCACAGGGAAATGTTATGGACTAAGTGTTTGCATTCCTCGCAAAATTCTTATGTTGAAGCCCCCAGCCCCCAATGTGATGCTCTTTAGAGATGGGGCCTTCAGTAGGTAATTAGGGTTAGATCAGGTCATGAGGGTAGGGCCTTCGTGATGGGGTCAGTGCTCTTCTAAGAGGAGGCTCCAGAGAGTTCTCTCTCTCTGTCTCTCTCACTTTCTCTCTGCCATGTGAAGGTACAATGGGAAGTCAGCCATGTGCAAGCCAGGAAGAAGGCCCTCACCAGAATATGACCAGGCTTGTACCTTGATTGAAGACTTGCAGCCTTCAGAAGTGGGAGAAAATAAATGTCTGTTGTTTAAACCACCAGACTGTGGTACTTTGTTACCTCAATCTGAGCTGGCAATGACGCCCACCTGGGACCCTGCTTTCTCTTGGGCTGAGGTTGTGTCTGCTGCTGGTCTCCAGGGCCAGGCAGAGGCCTGACATGCAGTAGGTGCTAAGCTAGTGCTGATGGGCCCCAGCTCCAGGGCAGCCTGCACATTCCAAACAGCACACGCTTTTTAGTGCCGGGGAGCTCATGTCCTGATAGAGCAACTGATTAGGAGATGGCTGTTTTTGAGAGAAAGGGCAGAAAGACAAATAGATTTGTTTTACCTAAAAAAGAATCTTCTCCTTTATAAAAGACGGGAGTGAAGTCCAGGGATGAGAGGAGGGAGAAGAAGCTCCTGAATGCAGAAGGCAGGTCCATGCCTGTCAGGAAGGGGAAGGTGAGGGAAGAATGAGATACTGGTGGTGTGGGGCTCAGATTCCAGCCTGTTCTCCTCTGGGGCTGCCTTCCTGCCTTGTGAGGGCTGGAACTTGCTGGCTGCCCTCATTCCTCCACCTGCTGTCCTGGCTACAAAGTGACTTCCCTCACTGAGTTTGCTTTCCTCTCACTCTGAAAGAAACCCTCTTCCCTAAGAGTGCCAATCTGGTGAATTGCTGGCCAGAGATTGCTAAGACCGCAGTGTGGACTCAATCCATAAAAACGAGTCTCCAAGGACAGCCCTATACTGTGGAGGGGAAGAAGAGCCTGCCAAGGAAGACACTGCCCCACCCCAGTGCACAGTCTCCTTGAGCAGCTCTAGGGAATAAACCCCTGGAGGAGAGGGCTTCCAGGACCTGTGCCTCAACAAAGCCTCTGCTGCCTCATCAAAATGCGAATTGGTGTGTCTGCATCAGTCCACATCCCAGAGACATGAAGGAGTGGTGACAGCCAGCGCCCCAGATGATCAGGGTGGCCTCAGCTGGACCCTGCCCCACACTCAGCCAAAATGAAAGCAGAAGGGGAGAAACTGTGAAGTTGAAAATCTGCTCTCCTCGGGGCAAAAGTTCTTGAAGCCTCTGCTGGGGATGCAAAGAAGAGGCAGCCTTGCCATGAGGGGTGTCATGGCCTCCAGCCTGCAGCCCAGGAAACCATGCTGCTACCTGCCCACTCAGCAAAAGTTGTCATCATTCATGATTCTACAGAATTTAAGAGATGAGGTGGACCCCACCTCCCACTCAGGTCTCTCCAAAGGTTTCTCAGTAGGTGTGGCCAGATTCGTCATCATCATCGTGGCTAGGCAAAATTTAGAAATCTGAGTTGGGTCAAGTTTAATAATACTTACAAATTATCATGGCCCTGGCTCTATATTAGGAATTCCTGATAGTGGAAAAATAGGTATGTATGAAGGCAGGCTGTGTGGTCGTGGAAAGAGTCAGTTTGTCCCAGGTTCAAATTCAAATTCATTATTTAATTAAATGTGAAGTCTTCTGGAAGATGCTCAACCTCTGTGAGCCCCAACGTCCTCATCTGTAAAATGGGCTTGTAGTCCTGCCCCATGGCATTTTTGCACAAGTTAAATCAGGTCTAGCATGAGGACATTCCTTTTCCCCACACAATACTGGTTCACACATTGAACTTGGAAGGTAGCCCATTTGTCTGAGGCAGTAGCATATGGCTGGATTGAATTTTAAACACTTTCAAGTAAGATACAGAATTCATCCTTTTTAGTGAATTAAAAAAAAATCATGACAGAGCAAGTTCCAGGCAACAACCAGGATGAGCCCTTCTTTCAGACCCTTCTTACAGATGTCAGATGACAACAGCTCTTTGTTAGGCATTTTTCTAAACCCAAACAACCACTGCACACCAGCAGCACCTAAGTTCAGAATCATACGATTACTGCATGTAAGAGGGGCCAGCTCTGTCTTTGAGTCAGGAGGTGCTTTTTCAACATATAAGGTACTAAACGTATTCCCCTGCTGCTCCCTCAGTGAAACAGAATGGCCATCCATGGAAGAATCCTCAATGTAGAAGCAGCTGTTTCAGTGAGAAGACCCTGCTTTGGAGTCAGAAGCGCCATGATCAAACACTGGCTTCACCAGCTGCGTGACTTTGAGAAGGTTGCTTAACATCTCTGATCCTCTGTGCCCTCAATAATCAAATGAGGCTGAAAAGGACTCCCAGGCCTGCTGTGAGTGTTACATAAAATGATGGATTAAACATTTGGGCCTAATACCTGACACATAGCATGCACCCAAAGGCACTCTTACTTCTTTGATATACCAGTGACATTGTTTTAAACATGTGTTCCTGTGCCGAGAAGGGGCCCAGAGAGAGAGGCCCAGAAACGGGAGCTGCGGTCTTGTTTCTGCATCCCTGGGCACGCCTGCATTTGTGTGTGCAGACTCGCTTTGCTGCCTCGTGCTCAGCTTGCGGAGTGCTGTCATTCTATCCTAACTTCTTTCCAGCACCCTGCCTGGGTGAAGGGGGGATTCCCTAGAGGCCTACTATGTTTTATTGGTCGGGTTCACAAAACCCAGTAATAAATGGTCATATGTTGATGATGAGGCTGCTGACAGACTCATGGAGTGTGGTAAGGAAGCTGCCCTATCCTAGCACCCTAGCATCCTGGCAGACCTTTGAGGGCACTGGCACCAGCGGTGGGCGTGAGAGTCCTGGTTGGAGCCCCCTTGCCTTGTGTGATATTTGGAAGGCACCTGCTCCTTGGAGCCCAGTTCCTTACTTGTAAAATGGGAACATGATGCTTCTTATTTGCTGCTCTGTATGGAGTGGATACATAGACTAAAACGCACAGACAATCAAACACAGGTGTTCTGTCCCCTGTCATCAATACTGGCCTTGTTCTGAGAGTCTTCATATTGTGAACACGAATGATGGAAATTCTAGAAGAAAGAATAACCCATGATTGGTACTAAAGCCACTGTGTTTCTGTCCTGGGAAGGTCTCCCAACTTTTACTTTCCTCTCTTTCATCCCAGAAAGAGAGACTTTTGTGAAATACTAGGCAATAGAAACACATGCCGGCTCTGCCTTGTTTTGTTGTTGTTTTCTGAAGGACAATCTATTATTTCTTTAGATTAGTAGCAATAATACTGATGATAATGGCAATAATAATAGCCATTTATATTTCTCGAACACAGGGTGCTAAGTAGACACATTTATATTACATAGTACCGTGGATAGTAGTGGTTGCCATTCTCATTTCACAGATGAAAAAAAAAATAAGTCTCAAAGATGTTAAGTGGCTTAATTCCAGGCTACTCAGTAGGTGAATGGCAGAATACAAATTCAAAGCTAATCAGTTTGGAGGCAAAGCCCAGTGAACTTTCTTCCACATTATGTGGTTTATTTACAAGGACCTTCCTTTTGGTCTGATACTTCCAGCGTCCTGCACAGGGTCTAATCCTTTCTAAGAAGTTGTTAAATGAGTGAAGGAAGGAAGGAATGCATGCCTGAATATATCAGTGGCTTAATTCAAACTCATTTGCAACCATGACTCATTGAGAGACATACTTTTATTTTCTGGCCAAATTAACATATTTTTCTCCTGCTTGGCTGTGTGTTCCATAGGGACAAATGACTGATGAGCAAACCCACTTTTTATGCTTCCAGCAGCTCCTGCCAGGCAGGGAGTCAGCTGTGCTCATCTGGCTCTTAGAATAAGTCCTACCCCGAGAGCTGAACTCAGACAGGAGGCAGGAGCACAGACACTTCCACGTTGCTTACCTCTCTTGCAATGTGTGCAGGAAACTGGGAGATTAATACACCATGGGGCGGTGACATGGAGAGATAGAGGCTCCAAGGCAGGCACGGTAACCGGATTGCCCCAGGGCAGCAGGAGCTGTCTTGAACTGTTCCTCCTGCTGGAGGACTATCCTCCCCTTGCAACCTTGGCTGAGCAGCTGGTGGCTTTCTCAGGGCTCTCTTTTGTTAAAATCAGGAAAACAACCCAGATTCAAGTATGAACACGACTGTCTTTGTGAGAGCTTCCCACCTAGGGACCTTTCCCTACCTTGAGAGAGAACAGAAAGACCACATACAAAGCGTCTGAGGTGCTCGGTGTGGAGAGGGGGCTGCGTACACAGGAGTTTTATTATTGACCTTCCAGTGAAATTCAACTGGGCCACCTCCCTTCCACTGCTAGAATGCTGTGAATCCTCATGGCACAATTACACCCAGCAACTTGCTCAAGGTCACAGTTAGGAGGCGACCCAGCCTGCCCTGGAAGCCCAGCCTGCACCCCACCTGCGGGTTTTAGACTGACCCAGGGCTGCTGGGTGCAGGGTGCTTCCCTGAGCACGTTATGTAACAATCTCATTATCCAGCCACAGCAGGCCTACTTTCACATCGATTTTATGTGTGAAAAGACTCAGGCTCAGACAGGTAAAAACACATCCCAGGTCACAAAATTGGCAAAGGTGTGTGCCCAGGTGTGTCTGAACTTTTCACCCTGAGCCGTCGTTTGTGACTCTCTTGCTGCACTGCGCCCTCCTGCTGCAAGGTGAAGAGGTCTCTAGGCTCAACAGCTGCTGGTGCAGGGACTGGTCTCTGCGGGGAGTTTCTCGTCTACTTAGGAAGCCTGACCCATGAGCTCCTTTTGGTTTTCCACACGGTCTTCACAAAGATCACCTCAGAGCCCTGACTGCAAGTCTCTCTGAAAAACTCATGGCTCTTGTTGCCCCACTTTAATTAAGAGGCAACCCCAGAGGCTGCTGAAGCATGGGCCATCCATCTTCTAGAATAAGCCACCAGCTGAAGGGGTAAGGGGCTGAATCAAAGCCTGAGGGTCAACCCAGAGAGAATCTGCCTTTCAAAGTGAGAGCCCTGCTGTTCCAGGATGGGGGAAGCAGGGGTGTTGGGTGATTTTACTCAGAGGTGCATGTGCTGATCTTGACAGATAGAAACATGTACTTCTGTCTTTCTCATTTTGACAATGAGTCACAAAACAAAACTGTGTCTTCTCCTCTTTATCTGCATGCACACTATTTAGCAAAGGGCTGGACACAGGGTGGGCGTTTCCATTAATGGCTTGTTCAGTAGTAAAAACCAAATTTGTCTCAGGTCATTCATTCATCCATAAAATATTAACTAGGTAATTAGCTAAGAAATTGACAGTAAACTGAAAGTTGTTGTTAAAATTGTCATGCAAAAAAGCAATGATACTTCTTGTAGGACACAGCCTGACAGAGAGACAGCCAATAATTATAGAAGATACTTAAGAGTATAATAGAACAAGGCCCACGAGGTGTCTGGCCTACTTGGGGGATCAAGGAAATGTTTGTTAAGAACATGACTGTTCCGCTGATGTTTGACTTAATTAAGTGAAGAGGGGAAAGAAACATTCCAGCAAGAACAGCATGTGCAAAAGCCCTTTGGCAGGTGGGAGCAGGTGCTTAGGAAAGACTCAAAGATGGTGTGTAGGTGGAACAGAGAGAGGGATGGTGCCCAGGAGGCTGAGGAGGTGCGGGAGGGAAGTGAGGGACCAGACAGAACGTGTATACTCTGTTCATGAGGTTGCTTTGTCTGCTTTAAAAAAAATCTTTAACTGGCTTTATCCATCAAAGTGCTTAATGATGTTAAACACTTTAAAGTGGCACAGCATGTTCACTGGCATTATCACGTGTGTGTGCTTATTTTAAACATCATGCTGTCTGCAGTTGGAAGAGGTCAGAGAGGGCTTGAGGAGACCGGTTTAAAGACCTGCCTCAGCAGTCCAGGAATGAAGGAAGGTGGCTTGGACCAGGTGGAGGTGGTGGTGGCAGTGAAGAACAAAGGAGAGATTCATATGTTCAGGAGGTAAAGCCACAGTTCCTGTGCAGACAGAACCTTGGCTAGTGCAGGGTTCTTGGCTGCCCTTTTGAGCAGCTCTGAGGCAGGGACAGAGTCTGCTCACTCAGTTCTGGTACCCAGAATGCCAGCTCTGCCCTCTGCATAGTTGTGGTGAAACATTCACATCGGGGAGAATTTCTTACTGGAACAAAGCACTGCTGTTTGTCAAGGTCAAGTTTCCTTTCTTCCGCTATTCATTTTCCAAGGCCCAACTCAGACCCTCTCCTTCCAGGAACCCTCTGCAGCCATCACAACCCTTGGTGCCTGCTCTTGCCTCTGAACTATGTGAGAGATTCCAGGTTCACTTCTTTGCAACTCACCTCAGCCCCGAGAGCTGGAACAGTCTGGGTGCAGGGCACGGTCCTGCCTGGGCCTCGCTTTCCTCCTTTGTCAAACGAAGAGGAAGGACCAATTTTGCTTAATGTTTGCCTAGCTGTGCAGTTGGTTCTTCTCATGACAAGTGTGCACTTTGAAGGCCCTGTGGAGACTCGTGTGCCCTTCTCTCTTAATCTACCTTTTGAAGGCGTGCCCAGTTCCGTCATAGCTGTATCTCCTTGTGCGTCAACCATGGCTTACACTCCTTTGCACACTTCACAGTGGGTGCACAATGAGCATTTGCTGATTTGATTTGATGTGATTTGATTTGACTTGACTTGAATGTTGGCTTCAAGGCCAAGATCAGAACCAGGCAGCCTGGGTAAAACTGCCCAGTCATGACCTGACCTCTGGCTGTCAGTTGCTGCTGTTGGGATGTGGTGTGAGCTAAGTCAGCAGCAGAAAAAGATGCGGATGGTATGAAGTGGGGTAGGGGGTCGTACCTGAGCTGAGATAGATAGGCAGAGGGGAAACTGCAGGCATCAGCCCATTAATTTTATATTTAGCTTTGTAATGCATGCACATAGTTACTCAATGAAACAACACTGGAAAGATCATGAGATAAAATAGCAGATTTCACTGCATCCCTTCCCAGCACCAGTTCCAATATTTTTGGCTTTTTTCTTGCACTTATAGTCATATTCTGTAACAGAGGCTGGCACTATTGCTTCTGTGTGCATCCGTTTCACAAGTTATTTGTTGCTGCTGCTTTGTGTGAGATTCAGATTCAGCCCTCTTGCATCTCCCCGACATCTCTCTCCTACTTCTTCCTCCCCCACCCCAAGGTCCCCATCCTTCCAATCCAGTCCATCTCCTTTTTCGTTACACCCATGCTCACTGTGCTCCACACTCCTCCACCTCATCTAAAGTGTGTTTAGCTGCACAGGTCATGGGTCCCAGGCACCAGTGCAGAGGGAGAGCTGCCTGGGAGAGTCCTGCAACAGAGAGGAACTTCATCCCTGCCCTGCCTTCCCTCACATTCTATTGAGGTTTTGGGCACATGTCATTTGGGAGCTGGGGACAGTACATTTTTCCCTAGGGACAGATATTATTTGGGTTAACATTCTAAGCACTGGGGAATATCTTTTTTCTTCCATTTTGTGAGTATAAGGCCAATATTTTGATATTTGCTTATGTTCTATTTAGTGGTCATATTCATAAAAATGCATCCAGAGGTTATGGGCTGGATTCCTTTGGCTTTGGGCTTGATGAAGGAACCAATCACATATCATTTCTGGTTGAAGACAGATCATGTTCCAGCTGCTGAAGAACATCAGTACTCTCTAGGCACTAAGAAATTGTCAGGGTGATAAAAAATATGTACTATAAATCTGAGCAGAATTGGAAGTAGGTAATGCCATAAAATTCTTAGGACATTCTGCTTCTAGGGAGTTGTGAAAGGGACTTTCCCCTATTTCTCTAGATAAGTAAAATGAAAAATCTTGGGCATTAGATAGAAAACAACATTTCAGGAAGACTTAGAAAGGTGGGAGAAGAAGGCAGACTGGCCGGGCACCTCAGCATTGAGAAACAACACATTCCATTTGTAAGGATTTTCTTTTTTACTTTATGTATCTTGTGGAAATCTCAATGGACAGAGAAACAAAATAAAATGACAGATTTAAGCCCCAACAAATCAGTAATTACACTGAATGTAAGTGGTCTAAATGCACCAATTAAAAGTAAAAGATTGGCAGAGTAAAAACTAAACAATGCTCTTCTAAATAATTCACGGTCAAAGAAAAATTCGCAAAATAATGTTTAAAGTAACACACTGAATTGAAAGAAAATAAAAATACAACATATCCAATTTGTGGGACACAGCTAAAGTAATGTTGAATTGGAAATTTAAAAGAGGAAAAGGCAAATATTAATAATCTCTGGTCTCAAGAATCTAGAAAAAGAAGAACAAAATGAGTCCAAATTAAGCAGAAGGAAAGAAATAAGCATAAAATAGAAATCAATAAAATTTAAAACAAAAACAATAAAAAATTAAAACAAAGAATGGGGTCATTATAAGATAAAAGAAATTGACAAATATGTAGCCAGACTGACAAAAAAAGAGAAGACACAAGTTACCAATATCAAGAATGAAATGGGATATTATCAAAGGGATGATAATGGAATGCTACAAACAATTCTACACACATAAGTATAAAACTTACACTGGACCAGTGCCTCAAAAACACAAATCACCACAATTCACCTGATACAAAGTAGAGTTTTAACAGTCCTATAACTATTAGAATAATTGAATTTATCATTTAAAAACTGCCTCCTGTTTGCTGCAAATCCCCAGACTCAAATTGTTTTACTGTAAAATTCTACCAAACATTTATGGGAGAATTAATTTTAATTCTACACAAACTGTACAGATGCTAAAAGAGAAAGAAACATTCCTCAATTCATCCTATGAAGCTATTGTCACCCTGATACCCAAACCAGACAAAGACAATAAAACAAACTTAACAAAACCCAAACTACATACCAATATTTCTCATGGCTATAGATGCAAATATACGTAGCAAAATATTAACAGATAAAACTCAGCAACATAGAAAGAATCATACCATGACAAAGTGAGGTTTATTCCAAGGATGAGGAGCTGGTTGGTATTTTAAAGTCAAGCCATGCAATCTATCATATCAACAAACTAAAGGAGAAAAAATATATGATCACATCAATCAATGCAGAAGAAGCACTTGCCAAAATTCAACACCCATTCTTGAAAAAAAAAACTTTCAGCAAACTAAACATAGAAGGGAACTTCCTGAAATTGATAAAGAACATCTTCAGAAGTCCTATGGTTGACATTTATTCTTAGTAGTGAAAGATTAAAAGTTTTATGCCTAAGATTGGGAACAAGGGAAGATTGTCTGTTCTCACCACTCGTATTTATGACATCTTATGCTGGATGTTCTAGCCAGTGCAATCAGGCAAGAAAATGAATTAAAAACCAAGCAGATTGGAAAGAAAGAATAAAATTGTCCCATTATGCAGGTGACATGATTTTCTCTAGAAAATCCCAAGGAATTTACAAATAAACACCTAGAACTAGTAAGCAAATTCACAGTAACTAATAAGCAAAATCACAGACAAAATCAATTGTATTTATACATACTAGCAATGAACACATGGGGACCAAAATGACAAATACAATCCTTTCAAACTATACATCTAACAAATAAATGAAATAATTACCTATAAATCTAACAAAGTAAATATACCTGACTACATACTAAAAGTCATTCACAAATCTACCTGACTTACATGCTAAAAACTACAAAGGACTGATCAAAGAAATCAAAGATGAAAGAAGGCATTCACTTAGAAGATTCATCACAATAAAGATAGCAATTCTTCTCAAATTGATATAGAGGTTCAATGCCATTCTTATCAAAATCTCAGCAAGACTTTTTTTGTCAATATAGGCAAGGTTATTCTAAAATGTATATGGAAAGGCAATGGAACTAAAAATAGCTAAAACAATTATGAAAAGAGTTAAAGTGGAGGTATCAGCGTAGCTGATTTCAAGACTTCTTATATAGACTGTTTGGTCTTGGAGGAGGGATAGACACTTGGAGGGAGAACAGACAAATAGATCAATGGGACACAATGGAGAACCCAATGTAGGCTTACACAGATATGCCAAAGAGATTTCTCACAAAGGTGCGAGAGCAATTCAAAGGGGGAAATTATAGCCTTTTTAACAAATAATGTTGGAGCAATTAGGCATTCATAAGTCAAAAAATGAGCCTAAACCAAAATCTCACATCTTTTGCAAAAATTAATGCAAAATGAATCATAGGTGTACATGTAAAATGTAAAATTATAAAACTTGAGAAAAAAAACACAAGAAAATCTTTGGGATTTAGGGCTCGAACTCTTTAATTTTACAAAATGTAAATTTCTGGGAAAAATTGATAAATTTGGATTCATCAAGGTTAGAAACTTTGGCTCTGTTAAAAAAATTAACCTGTCAAGAAGATGAAAAGACAACCTTCAAAGTGAGAGAAAATATTTGTAAACCATAAAACAACTAGTAATTAGAATATTTAGATAACAGTCAAAATTCAACAGTAAAAAATACAACAAGACAATCTAATTATAAAATGGGCAAAAACCATGAAGACAGATTTCACCATAAAAAATATAGATGAGGATGGTTAACATCATTAGCAATTAGGGAGATGCAAGCTAAAAGCATAATAACATACCACTGCTTACCTATCAAAATATCTAAAATAGAAAATAGTGACAATGGGAAATGTTGTCCAGCATTTTGAGAAACTTGATCACTCTTAACATTGTTGGTGGGAAAGTAAAGTAAAATGGTACAAGCGCTCTCAAAACAGCTTGAAAGTTTCTTAAAATACTAAACATACAACTATCACACAACCTGGTACTGAACTCCTGGACATTTATCCAGAGAAATGAAGACTGATGTTCACACAAAAACCTGTACATGAATGCTTCTTTGTATTACTTTATTGGTGATAGCCAAGAACTGGAAACAACTCAATTTTTCTTCAATGGGTGAATGGCTAAAGAAACTGTAGTACGTGCATGGGCTACTGCTCAGGAACAGAGGCATCGTGTGGACACATGCAACCACCTGGATGAAGCTCTAGAAAATTATGCTGAAACATCCCTATTCCAAAATGTCATATACTACATTAATATAATATTCTTGAAATGATTATAAAATGTAAAGACAGATTAATTGTTTCCAAAGTTAAAGAGGGGATGAAACTGGGAAGAAGGTGGATGAGGATGAGGAAGGGCAACCTGAGAGGTCCTTGTGGTTACAGAAACGTTCTTTATCTTGACTGCATCAATGTCAATATCCTGGTGGTGATATTATACCATAATTTTGCAAGATTAGATTATCAAGAGAAACTATGTGAAAATGCACTAGATCTTTCTATATTACTGCATGTGAACCTACAATTATGTCTAAACATTTTTAATTAAAAAATTCTGTGAACATTAATTTCAGAACAAAATTGGACTTTAGAGGTTGATGTAGTTATATCTTGTTTGAACTTTAATTTCTTCTGGGAACTTCATAATGGGAGAGATTTTATATTTAAATTTGGAGCAGCTATCAATATGTTGTTGGCATTTTGTGATTGGAATATCTTACTTTTTTAATATTGTTGGAAAACTTTGATGAGCTATATTGGACAGTGTGGCTGGACATAATTTGGAATGGGAAACAGAAAAGCAAATTCATTTTTAACCCTGAGAAAAGAGTAACCTTGGAGTCTACTTCCATTCTAGAGCCTTCTGGGGACAAAATCCACAATAGCCATCAGCAACCCTGGGAGGAGTCCACAAAGGAAGGTTGGCCTCATGTATGATGATCAGGACTGCCTCGAAGGCCACATGCTGGACTGATGATACGATTGATGGTTATGACCATTATCTTAAGAAATAAAAAATCTGGCAGTTATTGAGGGGTGGGAGTTGGGAGTCAGGAGAACCATGTGAAAGCAAGGCCTGCTGGGTGGAGGGGATTTGACTGGCTTCTCTGCAAGTTTTGGAGAAGCAGTTGCACAGGCTCGACTCAACCCTTCCTTTCCCTCAAAAAAAAAAAAAAAAAAGGAATGGCAGTCTCTCTTCCTCCACACCACTGAAGATTCTACAGGGGCAGCCCCTCAGAGAGGCCCATGGTGGTGGGCACGCTAGCAAGCACACCTGGCTAACTAACCTCCACCACATTCTCCTCTTCCTTTTATCACTATCTTTCAGTTGGTTCTGAATTTAGTTGGGAATAAAAGGGGGTGTTCTCCATTGAATTCCTGGAAATCTCAGCTTCCTTTAGTCAGCAAAATGACTGAGCACCCACTCTGCATTGGTTATTGTGCCAGGAGATGAGATCCAGCTCTGTATATAGGACCACAGGCACCATAGGGGCTTGAGTGAGAATTTTTCTAAGATCAAACACGTGGACCCCAAGCCTTCTATCATAGTAATGTTCACTACATATGTTCTTTCTTTATATTCATGACAAATTGTTTGCAAAAATGGTCATAAGAGCTTCTCTCCCTTTATCCACCCTTATGTTGTCCCATCCTGTAACAACATAACAGGTATAACAACATCCTCACACAGATAAATGTCTAGTTATAAATTGTGATGGTTTCCTTGAGAATAAAGCTCAAAGGAAACAAGAAGATCTTATTGGTGTTGAAAGGTTGGGGTAAGCTTTTATACTAGGCTAAGCCGTATAACTTGCTATCCACAGAGTCAATCACAACTGGCTTATAAGCCGAGATTTGAAAAATGCCCGCATATTGGGGCTCTTTCTTGCTACTGATGGAAACCTGTGACCGCCACCATGTGAGCTTGGCTAGTCTGATGGATGGTGAGAGACACAGGGACCCCTTGTTCCCATTGCATCAACTGACAGGAATAGGTGAGTGAGACCACTCAGTCCAGCCTACCCAGCCCAGACCAGCAGAGCTCCCAGCTGACCACAGAATCATTGAGTAACAACAAATATCCATTACTTTAAGTTACTAAGTTTTGGGATGGTTTGTTATGCTCCAAAAGCAAATTGAGATGACTGTTGTTATGCATTTGTTCAAGGTGTTAACTCTTGTTGCAGCCAGTTTGTGGCTTTACCCTAACATGTCAGAAACCTTCAAAAGTGACTTTAATTCCCCATGCTATCAACAGAAAAAAAAGTATTTGATATATAAGCTCCCACTGTTTTGTTTTTTGTTTTTTTTTTTTTGAGAGACGAAGTATTGCTCTGTCGCCCAGGCTGGAGTGCCATGGCGCGATCTCAGCTCACTGCAAGCTCCGCCTCCCAGGTTCACACCATTCTCCTGCCTCAACCTCCTGAGTAGCTGGGACTACAGGCACCCGCCACCACGCCTGGCTAATTTTTATGTATTTTTAGTAGAGACGGGGTTTCACTGTGTTAGCCAGGATGGTCTCGATCTCCTGACCTCGTGATCCTCCTGCCTCAGCCTCCCAAAGTGCTGTGATAACAGGGGTGAGCCACTGCGCCCAGCCAAACTCCCACTGTTTTATATTCAACCATTGACTGGCTTCCCATGACTCTGCCACTGGGGTTCTACCATTCTCTATGGTAAAATCCCCCATTGAAGGAAATGAGGATTCCCCCCTTGCACTTCCAAGTGCAACTCTTCTTTGGCAGCTACCGAAGCCAGCACCATCACACTGCAGTGACAAGACACTCACCCTCGCCACCACAATTCTCTTTCTATTGATTTTCTTGTAGAGAGATTTTGGTCACAGCCCACATTGCCCATAAAATCTTTATGTCATCATTAACACTGCAGAATCTTAGAAACTCAGCTTTATTTAGTGCTATGTTATGTACTGTGCAGAGGTGGGGGCTGTCGAGGCCTCCAGAGGTGTTGCAGTGAGTCAGGCTGGCTTCTGTCCGGAGCACCCACAACTATCCCACTCTTTTTCTCATTCCTTCCTCTGCTGTCTCTGGTGGTTGTTTTTTTTTTTTTTCATACTCACATTACTGGACTTTTCCACATTGTACATCACTGTGAGTCCCCTGGGGACAGGAACTCTGTCATATCCATCTTCATTCCCCACCTTCCAGTGCTGTATATGGAGTGTGTCAGGTGTAGAATGAAAGTTGGAAGCCTGGAGGGTTGAGTTCAATTCAACTAATTCATTCCATACATCCTTATTGAGTTTGCACTGCATGACAGACACCAGGTAAGCATGCCATCTGGAACAGTGAACAAGATAGACATGGTCCCGTGTCCTCACACAGATAAATGTCTAGTTATAAAGTGTGACGGTTTGCTTGAGAATAAAGCTCAAAGTGAATAAGAAGATCTTATTGGTGTTGAAAGGTTGGGGTAAGCTTTTGTACAAAAGGATTTCAGCTGCTTACGGAAGCAGGGATCATCTAGGCTTTGCAAGCCTGGGATCATTGATGGACATGGTATTCTAGCAACAGTGCTCCCTGGAGTAATGCAAGTCAGTGACTCTGAAGCATAGGATGAGGGCTTTTCCAGAAAGAGGAAACAATATGCAACCATCCATAGGTGGAAACATGCTGGACTTAAAAGGAAACCGTATACCAGGAACATAGTGAGGTCCGCCTCCATCCAATAACCACTTCTTTCATGTTCCTGTTGTTTGTAAAGTAGGGTGCTACTGGAGTTTCTTAGACACATGTACTGTTGGAAACCTGTGCTGGGAGCACAAAGGTTATCTCTGGGCTGAAGATGTAGGTGAGCAGCCGTCGGCTTATAGATGGAAGGAATGGGAAGAGGCAGAATCAACTGGATGGAATCTGCAAGTGAGATGCGAGCTGTCTGGGGACAGAGCCCTCAGGAGGATGAACATCTGAGTACAGGCAGAGGCAGAGGAGCTCAGGAGGAAGGAGGAGGTGTTGGGAGAATGGCGAATGACATGTCTGGATGATGAAGAGGCCCAGGTCAGCGGGGTCTCCCCTGTTGTGTGGCTCCTTCTCCTCCCCTAACTCACGGTGTGGCCCCCCTGATGAATTCTCATCTTGTGGTGGATCTGCTTGCTTGTCTTCCTCCCAGCCCTCCATAACTGGGGCCATGTCTATACACTTCCAACTCTGTGAGCCCAGCCCAGATGCTAAGCACAGGATAACTTCTGGCTCAGCAGCCAAGGACCTGAGCCAGAAAGCTCAGGACCCCCAGGACCCCCAGGAGCCTTCCTCATTCCTGCACTTACACTCACCCTTCTCACTCCCAGCCTGGGTTCAATGCCCTTTTCTGAGTTTCCTGGATACACAGTGTATCTCCATTATTGTCCTTATATTGTACTGTGCACTCCCCCAGACACAGACCCCGAGCCCAGGATTTGAGAGCTAGTTGTTTATTTGGGAAGTATAGGGATGCCAGGAAGGAAAGATAGCCAATCAACACAAGTCAGACAACATTGGACAATTAAACTTGGCCAATGCCATATACTCAGAGTTTTCCCAGCCAAGGGATGAGGGAACTGAAATATTTACATACTGTGATAGTTAATATTAGGTGTTAACTTGATTCGATTGAAGGATGCCTAGATAGTGGTAAAGTATGGTTTCTGGGTGTGTCTGTGAAGGTGTTGCCAGAGGAGATTGACATTTGATTCAATGGACTGGAAGAGGAAGACCCACCCTCAATGTGAGTGGGCACCATCTACTCAGCTGCTAGCGTGGCTAGAACAAAGCAGGTGGAAGAAGGTGGGATAAGCTGGCTTGCTGAGTCTTCTGGCTTTCATCTTTCTCCTGTGCTGGATGCTTCCTGCACTTGGACATCAGACTCCAGGTTCTTCAGCCTTTGTCCACAAACTGAAGCCTGCACTATTGGCTTCCCTGCTTTTGAGGCTTTTGGGCCTGGACTGAGCCACTACTGGCATCTCAACTTGCCTATCGTGGGACTTTGCCTTGTGATAGTGTGAGCCAATTCTCCCTAATAAATTCCCTTTCCTATATACGTATATCCTAGTAGTTCTGCTCCTCTGGAGAATCCTAATACACTATCAACTCCTGACACTCACTGGGTGAAGGTGTGTGTGTCTGTGTGTGTGTGTGTGTGTGTCTCTGTGTGTGTGTGTGTAGAGCTCTTCTCACTGTGGGCAGTGTGACCTTATATAATTCCGGAAATTGCTGCTAGACAGAGAAATGAAGATCCTGGAAGCTGGAGTTCACTGAGCTCACTAAAATTGCTAAAGTCAGAGAAACATGGGTAGATCACAGGTAGAATCTACCTCAACTTATCACAGACAGAATCTATCTATCTGTTTATCTATCTATCTATCTATCTGTTTGTCTGTCTGTCTGTCTATTTATGCTATCTATCTATCTATCTATCTATCTATCTATCTATCTATCTATCATCTATCTATCATCTTTCTACCTGTCTGCCACCCTCTATATATCTGGATCTAAATTTCTTGGGCCTAGCCCATGTCTGGTGCCTGGAAAGAACACGAATGTGAGGTGGATGAAAAAATTTATAAATTAAATAAGGCAAGGCCACTCTGAAGGGTTGATTTCATATGTCTTATGTTCTGGAAGTCTAGGGAAATTTGTAGGGCTTTTAGGAGGATGTATAGAAAAGCAATAAACTTGTCCCAAGGAATTTTTCCTATATGATTAAGAAAGAAAGAAGCTTTTAACAAACTCATCTTTGTTACTCAGTTTGGCAATTCAAACATCGCCTTTCAAAATTTTCATCATAATATTTCAAAAGTCAAATCATCCTGTAATATTTATTCAGAAAAGAGTATGACCTCTCCCCTCATTTCTCCAACTTCCTCTTCCCCAGATGCAACTGATTTTCTCTACTTTAGCTGTCCTGCTTCTGTTTTAATGTTGATGTTTACCTCCATCTCTAAATAAAATGCCTGCAGTGCTGCCTCTTGACTGTTCAATTTTAGGCATTGAGGATTGACCATTCACTCTATTAGGTGAAGATCTCTTTTATTGATCTCTAGTAATGGATCTTACTCTGTTATTGATCTCTTTCTTCACTTCTACTCCACACCTTTCCCTTCCATCCCGACCCAAGTGGTATGATAGTAATTATGCCATTGCCATTGCCAGTTAAACCATGATTGCCTTTTTTCCTCTTGTTTCACTAGTTTTTTCTTTTCCTTGGAGTATATATTTTCCCGTTTCTCTTTTTTTCCCTCTATCTCTATTTTCAATGAATTGATCACAAATTTGACCAAAAATTCCCTTGAAATGTTCAAACAAATCTGTTGTCTGTTGATCTTATTCTCATGAGGAAGCCTGGCCCAGAGCGCTCTGATGGCTCCCTGTCTGTGTAGCCGACTCCAAGCCTGGTGCTGGTTGTCACTCCTGTGGTCTTCCTTTCCTCTGATCCTGGGGGTGTCTTTCTCTCTACTGTTGGGCTCCACTTTTTCAAGCACTCCAATATTCTTTTTTCTTGCTTCACTCTTGCCTTATAGAACAGATCTTCCAGTAGCTTCCTGACAAAAAGTGCTTGGGAGATAATTTTTTGAGACTGTGTCTCACGAAAAAATTACCATGAGTAGGGCTGGATGCGGTGAACAGTGAACACCTCTACATTCCTAGTGGGAATGTAAACTAGTACAGCCACTATGAAAACAGTGTGGAAATTACTTAAAGAACTAGAAGTAGAGCTACCTTTTGATCCAGCAATCCCACTACTGGGTATCTACCCAGAGGAAAAGAAGTCATTATACGAAAAAGATACTCGCACACACTTGTTTGTAGCAGCACAATTTGCAATTACAAAAGTGTGGAACCAACCCAAATGCCCATCAGTCAATGAGTGGATAAAGAAACTGCGATATGTATATATATATATATATATATATATATATATATATATATATATATATGCACACACACACACACACGGAAAATATATATATATATACACATATGGAATATATATATATACATATGGAATATATATATATATGATGGAATACTACTCAGCCATAAAAAGGAATGAATTAATGCATTCGCAGCAACCTGGATGGAACTGGAGACCATTATTTTAAGTGAAGTAACTCAGGAATGGTAAAACAAACATCATATGTTCTCACTCATAAGTGGGAGCTAAACTATGAGGATGCAAAGGCATAAGAATGATACAATGGGTTTTGAGGACTCAAGGAAAAAGGGTGGGAAGGGGATGAGGGATAAAAGACTACAAATTGGGTGCAGTGTATACTGCTCAGGTGATGGGTGCACCAGAATCTCAAAAATCACCATGAAAGAACTTACTCAGGTAAACAAACACCACCTGTTTCCGAATAACCTATGTAAATAAAAAACATTTTTAAAAAACTATAAAAATTACTAACTATAGAAAAAATTACTTATTTTACCCTTATATTTATTTTACCCTTATATTTGAGTTTTAGTTTTAGAATCTTTTTTCAGAATTTAAAGGCATTCATTTGTTGTCTCCTGTCTTTTAGGGTGGCTTTTGAAAACTCAGATGACATTCCCCTCCTTGATTCTTCATATTTCGCCTTGTTTTTCTGCCTAGAATCTTATTGAATCTTTTCTTTGTCCTCCACGTTCTGAAATTTCATGGTGATGTGCCCTGGTGAGTGTCTGATTTTATCACCGTATGGGCTATTCCATGGGCCTTCTCAAACTCAACATTTGTCTCCGTCAGCCTGAGGGAATTTTCTTGAACTATTTCTTTGATAATTTCCTCCTCTGCATTTTCTCGTTGTCTTTCCTTGCAGTTCTCACTTTCATACACTGGATGTGCGGGGCTCTCCCGGCTTCCCAACTCCTTCATATTTGCCATTCTGTCTTTTGCTTTCCTCCTTGGAGAGTTGCTTAACTTTATCTGAGGAAACTTCTATTGTATTTTTATTTCTGCTGTCTTATTTTTAGCTTCTAAGAGTTATTTTTTCTTCCCCGCATATTCCATTTTTACAGTATCCTACATTTTCTCCCTAAATATGTTACCTTCTATTATATCTCACAGAATATTTTTGATGGTTTCTGTTTGGTGGTGGGGCTGTTACCCTGCATGGTCACCCTTTCCTTTAACTTTTAAGTCTGTCTTAGCTTTGGTCTTTAATTTTCGTGTTAATCACATTCCTCAAGCTTCTTATGATCTTTGGTTTGCTGAGGACATTTAAAGTGAGGCATTGAGAGGCTGCTGGAAGGCACCAGAACATGCATGAGGCTCTCTGATGAAGTTCACTGTGAAAGAAATAGGCCACTTCCTTGAAGATGCCCTGATGTCAATATCTTTAAGTCTTTCTCTTGGGCTGGCCAGATTCTCTAGAGAAATGTACTCTGATCTGTGACCTGGAACATGGAGAACTGGCTGGCAGGATTCTGGACAGTGTAGGAAAAAGGGTAATGTTGCAATGGGGTCTCAGTGTCCACCATGGGATTATTTACTAAATCCATTTCAAAGCAAGACAAGAAAGAAATGAGTGTGAACTAAGCAAATCCAAGAAAGCAGATTCCTAAACCAGTAGCAGAAAAAACAAAAATTGACTCTGTATATGCAGGCAAACCCCTAGAAAGCTCAGGGTTTCATAGAACAAAGTGCCTGTAGGAGTAGGGTGAAGGCAGGGCAAGAGGACTGACACACAGCGAGGTGACACCATGGCCTGCAAGGGCCTGCCACGTCCTGGCAGAGGGCTGGAGGATAAACAGGGGGGCAAAGCCCGTTCCCCTGCAGTCAAAGACACCCATACCCTCAACACCATAACCCTCTCCCCTTGGCTTTACTTAGCTCCTCGCTCCTTCCCCATCCTTATGATGGATGATGTGGTAGCTGACGTTAGGCTCCCTGAGGTCAGCTCTGTGACCAGCCTAGAGCCTAGTGCTGGGTAGACCTTTAGAGACTGAGTATCTTCTTTCTAACAAGTGGCTTGCTGATATCTACACCTACTGAGTGTTGAAATGTCTCTGCTACATGCCTGTCTGGTCCATGCTCTTCCTCTTTTCTTAGAATCTGTCCATTCTATGGAGTGCAGGGTGTAAGTCGCTGGTGTCTTCTGACAGATAACGCAAAGGGAAACAGAATCGCTGCCATGTTTCTGACGTGGAAACATGATCACATATTTTTTACTTTTTGGAGGAAATATCATGAGGCCAAGCTCACTCACCAATGTGCAAATTTTTAGTTATCTCAAGAAAGTAAGCCAAAATAAGAATATTGAGGCTTTGCTATATTTGCTAACATTATTCTAGTATCCCAAATCGCAGGGGCTGGTAGCCCTTAGTGACTAACAAATGATATAATGGCAAAAGCAATACAGCAAATCCAATTTCTCTTTTACAGTTTTAATATTTAACTCTTAAGTTTTTCCAAAATAAGCGCGATGGACTGAGTATCTGCATCTCCCAAGATTCCTTTGTTGAAATCCTAATCCCCAATTTGATGGTATTAGGAAGTGGGGTCTTTGGTAGGTGATCAGGTCATGAAGGTGGAGCCCCCCATTCACAAGGGGGCTCCACCCTCATAAATGGATTACTGTCTTTATACAAGGGACCCCAGAGAGCTCTCCCATCCTCTTTCCGCTTGTGAGATATAAGGAGGAGTTAGTTGTCTGCAACGTGGAAAAGGCCCTCACCAGAACCCAACCCTGCCAGCACCCTGTCCTAAACTTCCAACCTCCAGAACTGTGAGAAATAAATTCCTGTTGTTTATAAGCCACTCAATCTATGATACTTCGTGATGGCAGCACAAAGCACCTAAGACAATATGTGACAGTAACCTGACCTTCATTATGTAAAAATTGCCATCATTATTAGGACCCTTTTGCAAGACATACAAAAAGCCTATTTTCGCCTTTTCTAAAACTCAGTCTTAGCCTTCCTAAATGATACATTAACAACTCAAAGCTCATGGAGATAAAATATTACAAATGCAGTTGTAGTTTATGAAAAATTCTGTTTTCAATCTCACTACACAAAGCTTATTTCTTTTGCTTTAGGAAAACTTATATTTTAGTATATAAGTAATGGACATAGCAAATATCTAAATCCCAAAAGGTATAAAGAAAATAGCAAAAGACATTCATTATTTCACGTCTCATGTAACTGCTAGTGGCATTTTGAATTTTTTAGGCTCTCTCAAATGTATATGTTGTGTTTTTAATATCAAGAGTGATTCAATAAGAACAATTTTTTGGCCTGTTTTCTTTTTTTAATCAACAGTGTACCAGTCCTCCACATCAGAGGTTATTTTTCTTTCTTTCTTTTTTTTTTTTTTTTTTTGAGACGGCGTCTTGCTCTGTCACCCTGGCTGGAGTGCAGTGGCACAATCTTGGCTCACCACAACCTCTGCCTCCCGACTTCAAGCCATTCTCCTGCCTCAGCCTTCTGAGGAGCTGGGTCTACAGGTGCACACCACCATGCCCGGCTAATTTTTGTATTTTTAGTAGAGACGGGGTTTCACCATGTTGGCTGGGCTGGTTTTGAACTCCTGACCTCATGATCCCCCCACCTTGGCCTCCCAAAGTGCTGGAATTACAGGTGTGAACCACCGCACCCAGCCCCAGATGCTATTTTTAACCATAATTTTTAGCCATTATTGATTTAGTAGTTCCCATGTTGGATGTCCAGGGCACGTAATGGTTGTCAGTACTGTAAATGATGCTGCCAGGGACATCTATTTGCATCCACCTCTGCCTGCACCAGTGATGTTTTCCTTGGTGTAGACTCCTAGAGGGGAAAATTACTGTTGCAGAGATGAAGGGTATTTATGAGGTTTTGATGCATGTTTTTGAATTGATTTCCAGAATGATCATACCAGCTTATTCTTCCCTGAACAAAACCTCCAGAAAGGCAGCTATAAAGCACTTGCATCTTGGTGCTGATGACAAGGTCCCCCTTCCCCACCCTAAAGAGCCCACAGCAGACCATATAAAACCTTCCTGTCTGCCTGTCAGACTTTGGTCAGAGTTAGGATATGTGCAATGTCTGGACTCTTGCCAGACACAGCCTTAGAAGAGTTAAAGTATTTTCTATTAAAATGTCCTGTATTCCACGTTCCACTCTGTGCCTCTTCCCCTTCCTCACCAAATAAAGTGGCCTTATGGCTTCCAGAGCCTGTGCAGGTGGACTCCGAAGCTGCCTGAAGGGTGGACTGGGATCCCCGAAGTTTCCTTCACTCGTGTGTCCATCCATCCATCCAGCATCTCCTCAGGGACAGGCAGGATGCCAGACACTGGGAAAGATGATGACGAAATCTCAGGCCTCACAAGCTCTCAATCTATATGAGGAGACAGGTGTTTAACAGGCAGGCAGGTGTTTAACAAGGTCCTTGGCTGTTTCTGCTATATGAACAGACCATGAATGTTTATTGCCCTGTGTTTGTATATCCTGTTTCATGGAATAACTTCAGCAGCAAATGATCATTCACTGAGGACCTGAGCGCCCAGGCTTGACTCACTTATTCCATACTAAAGGAGGCCATTGTCACACCCGTTTCACAGAGAGGGAAACTGGGGCTCAGAGTGGCAGCCAGGGTCATCTATACAGCATTACCTACCCAAACAGCTCCTCTCTCTGGTGCACCTGGTGGTCACCATCTCAGGGACTTTCCATGGAGCTCAAGCAGGGTTAGGCTTCATGTAGATTAATTCAGGCTTTTAAGATCAAATTAGAGTGCAGTCCACCTGGTGGCAGCCCCTAGAGTTGTGGGGGTGGCACATGTGGGCAGGGTGTCTGGGGCCTGTTTCTCACCAGGAGGAGTCTGGAGGGGCAGGCTGGCTGGGCATCCAATGACAGGGGGTGAGAGCACTGGGCTGCTGTGGAGCCAGGTGCATCCCACCTGCTTGGACAGCAAGAATGTGAGAGTTCCCCATGGGGCCTGTAGCTGCTGTGGAAGGTGGGCAGGCTCAGAGGTCTTGGAATGCCCCACCTAAGCTGCTGCCCAGGTGACGGGCCTGCAGGGCTGACCATTAGGAGCAGCAGCTGCAACGGTTGTTTAAAAAGGCAGGAGGTGAAGGAGCTGCAGTTTGGAGGCCCCAACACGAAGTCTCTGAAGACCCAACTGGTGGTCTTTGCACTGAGGCCGCTTACAAAGGTCCCAGTGACATGTGTCTTTGTTCTTGTCATCCAAACTGCAGGAGGCAGTGAGAACGACAGGAGGCCAGGCCTGAGTAGAAAGTAGTGTCGTCTGGTTATGTGATTTCTTCCCAAGGAACATGACTTGGTAGAAGATGGAACTGAGGAACTGACTGAAATCACATCTTTCTTTCTCCATTGAGTAGCCAAGAAATAGGAAAGTCTGCAAGGTCAGGAGATGTGCCCAAATCTTAACTCATAGGTGGAGCTATGCTTGAGATAATGTTTCACACACTATGTCACTTAAGAGGAAAGTAGTTGGGCCAGGCATGGTGGCTCATGCCTGTAATCCCAGCACTTTGGGAGGCCGAGGCAGGCGGACCATGAGGTCAGGAATTCAAGACCAGCCTGACCAACATGATGAAACCCCGTCTCTACTAAAAATACAAAAATTAGCCAGGCATGAATCCCAGCTACTCAGGAGGCTGAGGCAGGAGAATCACTTGAAGCCGGTGTGAGGTGAAGCCAGCTGGACTTCCTGGGTTGACTGGGGACTTGGGGAACTTTTCGGTCTTACAAGGGGATTGTAAAATGCACCAATCAGGACTCCGCAGCTAGGATTGTAAAATGCACCAATCAGTACCCTGTAGCTAGCTAGAGGTTTGTAAAATGCACCAATCAGTACTCTGTAGCTAGCTAAAAGTTTGTAAAATGCACCAATAAGCGCTTTGTAAAAACGCACCAAACAGCACTCTGTAGCTAGCTAGAGGTTTGTAAAATGGACCAATTAGCACTCTGTAAAATGGACCAATCAGCAGGACATGGGCGGGGACAAATGAGGGAATAAAAGCTGGCCACTCCAGCCTGCAGGGCAACACACTCGGGTTCCCCTGTGGAAGCTTTGTTATTTCACTCCGCAATAAATCTTGCTGCTGCTCCCTCTTTGGATCCGTGCCAAATTTAAGAGCTTTAACACTCACTGTGAAAGTCCGCGGTTTCATTCTTTAAGTCAGCAAAACCATGAATCCACCGGCAGGAACAAACTCCAGACACACCGGTAGGCAGAGGTTGCAGTGAGCCGAGATCATGCCATGGCACTCCGGCCTGGGCGAAAGAGCGAGACTGCGTCTCAAAAAAAAAAAAAGGAGGAAAGCAGTGGTGATTCCTTGGTTAATTTATTCAATTATTAATTTATAAACCCACATTGATTAAGTGTCACTTTCTGCCTGACAATGCAATAGGGGAACACATTGCTGTGTAAGCCCAGCACACGGGCTCTGCCACCGAGAGGCCCAGGCCTAGGTGGAGACACCTTGCCATCGATGGAGCATGTTAATGGTGCTCTATGAGATCATGAATACTCTACATTCTTTTAGAATAAAATGTAGTATTCTTACCATATTATGTGTGATTTTGTTCCGAGAAAATGGCTAAGCAGTAATAAAGACCTGCTTCCCATTCAGCCTGGACTTAATATTAGGTTGAACCACATAAAGTTGCGAGTTTTGCAGGTGGAAATGGTCATATAGTGCCAATATCAAATGGTCCAGACCCAGCAGCCAGAAACATCCCTGGACTGTCTCCTCCCAGGGCAGGACATAGATGCAGGATCCACTGCTCAGTGTTACATTCAAATCTGTACGTGAGAGTTCCTCAAATGTGAGATCGTCCGGCATTTACAGACACACAGGAGCTCTGCTGTGCCCAGGCTCCCACTTCAGGAGAGGAAGGCTATGGCTTCAAGTTGGCTGGAAGTCGTGCCATCTCCCATCACCCTTATTAAAGCAGGGGATTAATAATCCATGGCTCCTTCCACACACATAACCAGAATGGCAGAACCTTAACCCCTCACTGATTCTTTTGAGATTGATCTCCGCAGCCTATCCATCAATGTCTTTTGTTTACTTTTGTTGTCTTTTGATAGCTAAAGCTGGTGGTTTTTGACCACCTTAAAAAGTGCAACATTTATAGAATAAACCTAGCTCAGCTGAGTTCTTAGCTAAGGCTTGGCAGTCTCTCTGACCTGTTTCTGATTCAGCTCAGCACCAGCTAGGAGGCAGGCTTATCAGAGCGCAGCTAAAACACATTTCCATAGAACATTAAAAATGCTTAAAATGGGCTTGCTAAATGGCTTGTCCCCATGAGCCTGGAAGGTCAGATTTGGTGGGCCACAGCCCCTGGCTCAGCCTCGTAGAGGTGAAGACCTCATGGCTACAGGGCCAGGGTCTCCAGTTTCCATGTGTTCAGACCTGGCTTGTCAAAAACAAGTCTCCTTGGGCAAATCACCTTATGTAGCTTCAGACTTAGAGTTAATAAGCTCAAAACTTGTTTATTTTGTACATGTTGAAGTCTTCAATGTTTCAAGCTCTACTCCAGCAAGATGAAATTGACGTTACCTATTAGCAATGTGTTCTTTTTCTAGAAAAAAAGAAAAATGGGCTGAGCTGAAAATTCGGGAGCAAGGGAGAGATGAGTGGCCAGGGCATTGAGGGCTGCAGGTACCTGCACAGAAGTGTCTCAAGAGCTGAATGTAAGGAATCTCCTCAGTGTTGTCATGCTTCTGTTGAAAACCACAGTGAAGCAAACCCTGGAAGAACATTGCAAGTGGGCCAGAGACTGTGAGGGCAAAGCAAAGGCAGATTTAATTAGTGTTTTCCCTTATGGGATATCTGTGCAAAGGACTTCACCTGAGGCATGGGCACCCTGCGGTACATGCCATGACCTGCACATCACTCCATGAACTCACTCCTGCCTTTGCCATCAGCCCCACCATGCTCCTGCTCCTGCTGACTATCTGCCTGCTCTCTACGCAGCTCCCTCAGCACCCCGCACTGAGTCTCAGCCCCAGAATGCCCCACTCCTGCAGGAGAGCATCTCTGTCCAGCCCCCAACCAGCCACATCTCTCCCAGTTGAGCTGTGCCCTACCACCTCTGATACCTCTAGCAGCTTTTATCATGTGGCTCCCTAAGGATTTGCCACCTCACTCTGTCTCTGTGGTTATGAAGTCCTTGGAGACAGGGACTCCCTGTTACTCATTTTTATATGAATCACACAAGTCTAGCCTATTGTGGGCAGACAATACAAATGCAAATTTAAAAATACAAATGGAAGCAACACCACAAACCCTTCTACCAGTCCAATTTGTAGGGATTGAGGATTGGAGTCCCCTCCCTAACATCATCCAGTCAGCAGCTGCACCCCCTGCTCTGTGCCAGCTGTGGGTCTGGCCCCATGGGAGCCCAGGGAGGACAAGACACTCAGGCTACTGGGCACCTTGTGATGAGGGAAGTCCTTTTGAAAATAGGACAGGATTGGCATCAGGCAGACCGTGTTCCTCTTGAGATAGAATCTGAATCATGCGAACAGACTTGAGTTTTAACACTTGAGGCATTTATTTAGTTTAGCCAAGAGAACTGTCTTAGAGGTGATGTCAGAGTTGTGTGCCCTCCTTTATTCCACAGGCAAGCCGATTCTCCTGTGCACCAGGTGCAAGGTGGGGCATGGCTGTGCCCAGGTGAGCCTCTGCCCTGCCCCATGGAGATGCAATAAGGACGCACCTGTGTGGTATGCCAGTGCCAGCCAGTGTTGCCAGGCAGAAGACATGCGAATGGGGGGATAGAGAGTAACTGGGCGTGTTGATCCTAAAAGCAAGGTCAGATGGGAGCCCCTCTGCTGGGGGACACTGGGTAGAGTGTGAACAAGGAGAGGCATGGCCCTGGAGAGGATGCCCAGGAAGGTGCAGGTCCTCCAGGGAGAGGCAGGCCAGGGACGGGTGCAGGGAGAATGGGGGCCGAGCCCGGGGTGAGGGAACGAGGGTGTGAGGCACGGCCCTGTGGCTGTGCAGTAGGCCAAGACTGCTAATTTGGAGAGAGATGGGAAAATTGAGAAGGATTTAAGCAGAGGAATGACATGGTCTGACTTACCTGCAGGCTCCTGTCCTGGAATAGTGTGAGGGGCCAACAGCACAAAAAGGGAGAGTGGCCAGTCGGCCTCTGCAGGAGTGGAGCAGGTGGGAAGAAGGACTCCAAAGAGTGCCAGAGGGACCCTCTGCAGCACCCGAGAAAAAGAGGAGCCAAGAACAATTTTGGGACCACCATGGTGGACACCGGTGAGGGTACAGGGATTGGGAGCTCAGGCTCAGCCTCCCTGTGGCAGGACTCTGTGGCCTGGCGACACTGCGAGGACCCCATGACCTGGTGATACTGCGAGGACCCTGTGGCCTGGAGATACTGCAAGGACTCTGTGGCCTGGCGATACCGCAAGGGCCCCATGGCCTGGGCATACTTCAAGTGGCTAACTTGGGACACGAGTGGCTGTGGGCCGGCCATACAGTGGAGGCAAAGTCCACAGTCTTGCTAAGTGACTGAACATAGAAAGCAAGGGCAAAAGCAGGATGAAGAGTGACCCACAGGCTTTTGGAGAGAGCAACTGTGCGGTGTTCCACAAAGAGGGGGAGCCCCTCCTGCAGCCCTGGTTGGTGGTGTCACAGCACTCAGCATAGGATGCTGCCTGGAGGTGATTCAGCTGAAACTCCACTGGGCGTGTGGCCTCCGAGACTACACCTGGCTCTGCTTAGACAGGCAGTGATGGGGTCCGGATGGGTCTCCAGGGCTCTGCCCAGCCTGTCTGCCCAGGCAGCCCACTGTCCTTCCAACAGGAGGGTTGGGAGGATGGGTGACAGTCACCTAACAAATGAATTGAGAGGAGGGAGGTCCCTTCAAAAACTGGTCCAAATTCTCATCTTTATTTTCTCCTCCCACTAATTTCACCTAAGTAGGCAGCAGAGGGGCTGAGTCTTCTTTGTAGCACCCCACTCTCGTGGTGTGTGAGAAGGTGATGGAGCACGTGTCATAGTGTGTCAGCAGAGGTACACAGTTTCTCTCTGAATTGAAGCATTTTTTTTTCAGACAATGTCACATCAAACACACAAGTACGTCTCAGGGACAGAGTATGTCCCCAGGGCTGGGCTGAACTGACAGTATTGCTCTTGCAGTACTAGCCGTGGAAGCCTGGCCAGGGCACCAAACTTAGTTGAGTCTTTGTTTCTCTATTTGGCAGAGTACTTAGCTCAAAGATATCCTGGCTACCTCACAAATTGCTGCTGTTTCCTGTAATTTTATTTTGTGAAGTAAATGCAGAGAGGTGCTGGTGTGGCTATCACATCGGCATGCACACAGGAGGGGATGAGTAGGAACTGGCTCTTCTATCCTCCCTGAGACTCCCCGTGCTCTGGGGTGTGCAGGGCTGTGCATTAGGTCACCTGGCTGCTGGCTTCCATGATTCTCCCTTGCACCTGGGTGAAGGTCTTTGGGTTTTTCTGCTTGGCACTACCTCTACTTCTATTCAATACTTCCCGCCATGTTCAGCTTGTGAACTTATGAGACAAAAGTAGGCTCAGTTGCTTTGTTAGAGTTTTGGTGTCAAATAAGGCCAATGAGTCACAAACCATCTATAAAATGAGAGAGTAGTATCTTCCTCAGAGGGTGAGGTTGAGGAGCTTGAAAAATGCAGAGTGCAGCCCTTGCCACTTATTAAGTGCTTGGTTTAATCAGAGAGAGAGAGAGTCAGTGAGAGAGAGACAGAAAAGAGAGAGAGAGGATGAGAAAGAAAAGGAGAGAGACAAAGAGAGAGGAAGCAAGGATGAGAGAGAGAGGGAGGGGAGGGAGGATGAGGAAGAGAGGAGAGAGGATGAGAGAGAAAAGGAGAGAAGTGTGATGGCTCATGCCTGTAATCCCAGCACTTTAGGAGGCCAAGGTAGGTGGATCACCTGAGATCGGGAGTTTGAGACCAGCCTGACCAACATGGAGAAACCCAGTTTCTACCAAAAATACAAAATTAGCCAGGCATGGTTGTGCACGCCTGTAATCCCATCTACTCAGGAGGCTGAGGCAGGAGAATCTCTTGAACCCGGGAGGCGGAGGTTGTGGTGAGCCGAGATCGCACCATTGCACTCCAGTCTGGGCAACAAGAGTGAAACGAGAGAGAAGATAAGGGAGAGAGAAGATAAGAAAGAGAGAACAAGGATGGGAGAGAGAGAGAGAATGAGGGAGGGAGAGGGATATTGAGTATTTGGACTGTGTGTTTAGAGATAACTTTTACTTGTTGAACAACTGACGGGGCATGTTGCTAACTTCACTAAAATCCCATGAAGGACCAATGAGCAGAAGAGGAAGCCGAAGGCCAGTAAGATCTAGTTCTTTACGCAAGGTCCCAGCGCCAGTCCGTGGCAGAGTTGGGATTTGCTCCCCTGGCCCTTGTATGGCTGTGGAGTCCCTTCCCATTACTCTTTCTAGTTTGCTGTGCTGTCACTCCAAAGGCTGATCTGATGGGGTCCGGCCAGTGAGAGAGCAGTGCCCAGGAGCCTGGGACACAGGACAAGGGGCTGTGTCGAGGGGAGCAGCTGAGTTTGAGAAGAGTACACAGACTGGAATGAGGTTAGGGCTTCCGAGCTGGGGCAGTGAGCCAGACAGGGGAGAGTGCAGAGCAGGATGCAGCTGGGCCAGGCAGTTGGGTGGCATCAGAGGTAAGTGCAGTGGTGAAGACTGCTTTGAGGGCATCTACACCCTCCCCGCCAATCTGCCACTGAAGAACACAGAAGGAGAAGATATGGGAGGGAAAAAAAGGAGAGTTCCAGTTTGGATGAGTTGGATTTAAAATGTCTGTGAGGTGTCCCGGTAGATATGACCAGTTTCAACTGGGGACGAAGTCTGAAGCTCAGGAGAGAGGGCTGGGCTGCAGATACCTGGGGGAGGGCACGATCCCTGGAGCCTCTGGCTCAGCTCAAGTCATCAGCCTGTGCCCTGGATAAGATTCCCAAATCCTCAGTGTGAAACAGGGAGCATGATCTTGTGGGGTAGAGTGAAGTCATTCATGTGAATCCCTTTGAACAGTGCCTTGCACATGTAGTACAGTCTTTAAAAAACAAACAAACAAAAAAAAACAAAGAAAACTATTGTGTATACTTGAGGTTTACAACATGATGTTATAAGGATACATAGATAGTGAAATTGTTACTATAGTGAGGAAGATTAACATATCTAATATCTCACATAGGGGTGTGTGTGTGTGTGTGTGTGTGTGTGACAAGAACAGCTAAAATCTACTTATTTAACAAAAATCCCTAATGCAATACAGGTTTATTTGCTACAGTCTTCATGTTGTTCATTAGGTCTCTGAATTTGTTCATCCTACATAACTGCTACTTTGTATCCTCTGACCTACATCCACTCTCTATCCCTCTGCCCTGCTCTCCCCGTTTGCCCACCGTAACCACTATTTTATTCTCTATCTCTATATGTTTGATTTTTAAAATTACACACATAAGTGAGATCATGCAGTATTTTTCTCTCTGGTCTGGTCTATTTCACTTAGCATAATGTCATCCCGGTTCATCCATATGTGGCAAATGGCAGAATCTGCTTTTTTTTTAAAAAAAAAAAATAAGGCTGAATAATATTCTATTGCATATCTATACAACATTTTCTTTATCCATTTGTCCATCAGCAAACACTTAGGTTGTTTTCTATCTTGGCTATTGAGAGTAATGCTGGAGTGCAGATATATTTATGAGGTGGTGGTTTCATCTTTTTTGGGTATATAGCCAGAAATGGGATTGCTGGGTCATATGGTAGTTCTGTTTTTAATTTTGTGAGGAACCTCCATACTCTTTCCCATAACGGTTGTACCAATCTGCATTCTCATCAACGGTGTACTAAGGTTCCCTTTTCTCTATACCCTTACCACACTAGTTATCTCTTATCTTTTTGATAATAGCCATTCTATTGGCTATGAGGTGTTATCTCCTTGTGGTTTTAATTTGCATTTCCCTGTTGATTAGTGATATTGAACACCTTTTCATCTATGTATTGGTCATTATTATGTCTTCTTTGGAAATATATATTTTCAGGTCCTCTACTCATTTTTAAAATCATGTTATTCTGCTACTGGTCATAAGAGTTCTTTGTAGATTTTGAATATTAACTCCTTATCAGATATGTGGTTTGCAAATGTTTATACCTAGTCAGTAGGTTACCTTATCATTTCACTTATTGATTTCTTTACTGTGTAGGAGTTTTTCAGTTTGAGATTGCCTCATTTGTTTTTGCTTTTGTAGCCTGAGCTTTTGGTGTGATATCCAAAAAATTCATTGCAAAGACCAGTGTCAAGGAACATTTGCCCAATTTTTTTCTTGCCAGAGTTTTATGGTTTCAGATCTTACATTTAGGTCTTTTATTTATTTCAAGTTTATTTTTGTGTATAGTGTGTAACAAGAGTCCAATTTTATTATTTTGCATATGAAAATAAGTTTTCCCAGCATCATTTATTGAAAAGACTGTCCTTTCCCTGTTGTGTCCTCTTAGTGCCCTTGTCAAAACTTACTTGACCATTTAAGTCTGGACTTATTTCTGGGCTCTCTAGTCTGTTCCATTGGTCTATGTTTCTGTTTTTATGCCAATTCCATACTATTTGATTACTATGGCTTTGTAATATAGTCTTAAATGAGTAAGTGTAATGCTTTCAACTTTGTTTTATCTTCTCAGTATTGCTTTGGCTCCTCAGGGTTTTGTGGTTTCAGAAGTATTTTAGGATATTTTTTCTTCTGTAAAGAATGCAATCAGCATTTTTATAGGGATTGCGGTGAATCTGTGTATTGCTTTGGATTAGTATAGACAACAATATTAATTTTTCAATCTATGAACATGGGATGTCTAGTATAGTCCTAAAAATATGTTTATGAATGGAAGTTGAACTCGATGTCATGTGTGTCATCTCCAAATTTGGTAAAATTTATCTTTTTAGATACAGTGAAATATAACACCAGCCTAAAACTGTCTTGGACCAGGGCTTTCTGATTAAGACCAAGTGGCTATGATTTGGGTGTTTACAGATTTTACATAGTGTTCATATTCATGAGAGAGGGAAAACAAGTCATCTGAGTGGGTTATATAGGTTTGGCCTGAAAATTATGTCCTGTTCATAGCTAGGTTGACTCTAAAATTTATAATCTAAGCCAGGACGTATTTGTGAATGAAAGAAGAGAGGGCATTTCATTAATGACCATAGCTTATGGTCAAGGAAAGGCATCCTGAAGGATGACAGCTTTGGCAGGGCTGCAGAGCATGTCAGAAGTCCAGGTGCCTCATCCCATGCCCCTCTTCCTCCTCCCTCCCAGCTTCCTCATTCAGCTCCAGCCGTACTGGCCCTGGAACATGCCCAGGCTGTCACTCTCAAGCCTCAGTGCTCATAGTTTCCTCTACCTGCTGTGTCTGCTCTCCAATTTGACCCTTCTCACCCTTCTGACCTCAGTTCTTGTATGTCTTCCTGACTCTAACACCTCAGTATCCAAAGTTGGCTCTTCTGAAGTTCTCACTGTCAGCACACCTCAAGATAATTCCCTCCATGGCTCTTATTGCAATAATTAGCTAATTGTCTTCGTACCCATTTACATGTGAAATCTGCAAAGACAATGACTGGTCTCACCTTCATCTTCAGCACCTAAGACTGTGCCTGGAATACAGCTGCCACTCAGTAAGCATGAATCCAAGGAGTAAATAAACTAAGCAGGGCTCCACAGATGCCCCTTTGGGGATTCTTTGCCTTGAAGGCTCATTGAATCTATAATGGATTATTGATTTAGCGATTTTATGTTTTCCCATTTAAGGTCAGTGGTCTGTTAAAGAAATGTGTGTGCTTTCCATACCACCTGGAATACCAGCTGCCACCTGAAATACCCAGTTGACCCTCCCCACCTCTGCCCGTAGCTAACTTCTGAGGTCTTATTTTCTTTAGGGAGCACTTGCTGATCCTCATAGCATGAGGTTTCTTCTTGGTGCCCTCCTGCCCCACAATTTGATAATTTCATTTGCATTTGCCCATTTCAGAGTGCGTCTGCCTCTTCTATTACCTAGATGCTCCTTGAGCTCAGGGTGCTCCTGGCACAGAGCAGAGCTTAGTCCCTCTGTGGGTGTGTGAAGGACAGGCAGGCTTGCGTACATATGCCAGCAGCCAGGGACACTGATGGAGAGGGGCTTGTAGAGGAAGACCCAACTCCACAGGGGATGCATTTGAGCTCATATCAGTTGCAGATGCCAGATGCTAATGGTGGAAGAAAGTTATTCTGAATAAAAGGGCGGTTAACATTCTGCAAACATTTTCTGTCTCAGACATGCACAGAGTAATTTTGATGAAACGTGTTGGTTTACTGAACCTTTGGTATTATGCACATTCACAGAAATGCATCTGGACTTGGGTCTGCCTTGGAGGACTATTGTGGAGGAACGTAATCAAATCACTTGTGAACTCAATATTGCTTTCCTGTGGACCATTTGGATGTGGCTTTAATAAAAATGCTTTTCTTCCCCCTCTCTAGCAAATCATTTCTGTGTGCAGTCATGAAATGTTGTTGCACTCCTAGTTTATTGCAGATTTAAATTACTTGGATTATTCTGTTGAACAGTGGCTCCCCAAAGCACAATGAATCAAATCATTAATTACCACTCGAGTGTGTGTGATCCATTGGAAAGCATTAAGCTCCACTCAGGAGCTCATTTCGTGATGATGACTTCTGAGTCAGTGCCTGGGGCCCCAGATCAAATAGAAACTTCCAGACAAGATGTTGCCATTTGCTCCCCTGGGCCTGAAATGATAAATGCTGCTGTGTGAGATATACCAGGTGCCCTGGGCTTCCTCATTCTGTCAGATGGGTCCTCTTTTATGCCCCATCCAGCAGGTAGCGAACAAGCCTCATCTGACACCTGCATTTCCGCACCATGTCTTCCTATTTTGTACTTTGTCCATCCCTCGGTTGACAACAAGGAAAATCAGCTTTCTAAAATGCAAATCTGGTCACAACTTTCCCTTTTAAAAATGCTTCATGGCCTTCCCATTGCCCTGGAAGGTAAGTCAAGATCTTCGTCTAGCTGGACTCCTGCTAGGTCTGGCCTCTCCTGCCTCCCCAATATCATTTCCCACTACTTCACCCCGCCCTGCACTGCCTGCCAGATGGCCCTTCTGGTATCTCCGCTGTTAGGCTTCTATAAACAGTCCCCATAGACCACCACCGTTCTTTAAGCAATGGACTTCAAAGCACAGCACTGACATCATTCTGTTCAGGAATCTCTTATGAGGCCTCTGGCAGGTTGAGAGTGTTGCCCCAGGGCACCCAGTACCCTCTGATTCCCAGGAGCAATCTCTCCCCGAGTAGATAGATACAGCAGTGTGGTCTCGAGGGCACCCCTCACGTGCACACAAACGACATGGGTGTCTCATGTAGAACCTGTGAGCTTGTTCTGGGGGAAAATAGGGAGAGGCAGAGACTGTGACAGGGTGTCTTCACCCTGTGTGAAGCATGATGTGGCTTCATCATGCTGCTGAACGGGAAGGTGAACCTTTCAGTGACTCAAGAGGTAGGACACCTGCCTTATCTGTGAAGACTCTGGACTTTCTAATGTCGAAGGAAAAACTAAGTCGCTTTTGTGTGCTTTGCCTTTACAAATATATTTTTACACACCGTATGTACTAAGTAAAACCATTGTACAGATGAAATGTGGCCCACTGGCCACTAGCATTTTTTTTCCTCTGGTATGGATGTAGACAGTGAATGAGAAAAGCCACCTACATTGGTGAGCTTATAGTTATTGACCTCCCAATGTGATTGTGTGCTTTGAGTTGGGACTGAGGCATGCAGACAGTGGGTGTGGCAGGAGCCAGGCCTCTGCTGAATCCGTGCTCTCTCCCTCCTCTTAGGCCTACATTCAGCTGGATGACTCTTCCCAGAGCTCTTGCAATTGGGTGTAGCCAGGGGACTGAATCTGGCTAATGGCATGGGGTGGAAGCGAACGTGCCCCGCTTTGACCCTCAGCCCATAGAAACCCATTGTGTTCTCTGTTCTGTCTTCCTTGGCCTGCCCTACAGAGGGTGACACCCAGGATGATGACCTCAGGAGCTTATTTCAGCCAGGTTCCCAGATAACTGGGTGAAGCAGAGCCTCCCCTCCACACCCACTCCCTTATTAATTGTACTTTACATGAGCGAAAAACAAATTTCTATTGTATGGGGCACTGAGATTTTAGAGTTCTTGGCTTGCAGCAGCTCGTGCTAATGTGACTAATGCAGCCTGGCTTCCCCCGACGGGCAGTGACCATGCCCAGTGGGCCCCAATCCCAGGTGGGTGAGGCTACTGACTGCTTTAGCTCTCACCCCAGAACAGAGTCCTTGGGTTTGGCCTCGAGCAACCCTCAGCCCTAATGCCCCTTAATGCTGGTGTTGAGTGTTGCTTTCCTCATGGACAAAGGAGGCAAGGGAAGCTGGGCCTGGAGCAGTCGCACACCCCCAGTTGTCTGATGCTGGATTCCCTCATGGTCCAAGGCACAACTCAGGAGAAACGATCCACTCTTTTGTGTGTAGCTCTGCCCTCTAATCTATCCACCCTAGATGACCCCAGGGTCAATGCACCAGCGGTCACCTATGCCATACCTTTCACTTTCTCCACAGTGTCTTGATTTTTACCCCCATCACCTCTCTCTGATTCTCTGGCTCTGGCCCTGACCATGACAGTCACCTCTGACCTCGGGCTTCCAAATTCCCAGGGCCCTTGGGTCCCGCAACTACTTGGCACTTCCCTGGTTTGAGAGTGGGGGATCTCCCACTCAGCTAATTTCCAAGTGAAATAGAAACCTGTGGGCCTACCCCAGCTGGGCCAGATCCCATCCCCCAATTTTATTCCCAAGGAAGGAGCACACATTGCTAGCTCTGGAGCCCTGAGTTAGGGAGACTCACCTAAGAGGAGATGAGGGGCTCCTGACAGTGAAGCTACTTTTGCCTCCTCTGCTCCGTCAGCAAGCAAGGCTCACCACCCAGGACCAATCTTGGACTCTGGGCTCGACCCCTGCTGCAGTTGCCTGGATCATGGAGCTCAGATCCCAGGATCAATGCAGCTGCCTGGATCATGGAACTCGGATCTCAGGATCTATTCTCGACCCTAGTTATATCAGTTTCCTTCCCTGCAGGGACTAATTCTGAGACAAGAGGTACTAAATGCTTAGCATGTGGATGCACTTTGCCCTGCCTGTCCAACTACAACCAAATTCCCAAGCAGAAAGGAGACAGGTTGTCCTATGGCCCTGACTCAACCCAGTGGTGGCTAAACCACTTTTTATTGAGGGTCATTGATGCAGAAAATATAATCTTAGGTCCATAAGGCAAAAGTAAAACATATATCTCAAATTAATTTACCTAAGCATTATTGAGAATCTATAAGAGAAATTTGAAATGGCCCTTAAATAATTCAAGCAAATTTTGTCTAACAAACAAGGCAATTGCTTTATTAAATTAGAATCACCACTCATTACTTAAGAACACACCCCTGCAGGCAGGAAAGGGGCCTGGATGGTGGGACACATCATGCATGCCCTTTATTCTATGTTGGAATTGCTTGACTTTTTTTAAAAAATGAGTATTACGTTGTTTTTAAATTAAAAATTAGGCCAGGTGCAGTGGCTCATGACTGTAATCCTAGCATTTTGGGAGGCTGAGATGGACGAATTGCATGAGGTCAGGAGTTTGAGACCAGCCTGGCCAACATGGCCAGACCCCATCTTTACTAAGAATACAAAAATTAGGCGGGTGTGATAGTGCATGCCTGTTATCCCAGCTAGTAGGGAGGCTGAGGCAGGAGAATTGCTTGAACCCGGGGGCAGATGTTGCAGTGAGCCACGATTGCACCGCTGCACTCCAGCCTGGATGACACAGTGAGACTCTGTTTCAAAAAAAAATGCGTAAATAAAAATTGATAAAAGGAGGAAAAAGGGAAAGAAGAAAAATAAATAAGGGAAAACAAAACAAAAAAGAGAAAAAGAAAGAGCAAATAAGGAGATATTGAGAGTCACAGGAGGCATATTTTACAGGGTCAGGGGAAGAAGGGGAGAGCAGGGAGAGTCAGCAGAGAGAAGGGGGAGCCTCCTGCCCCGTAGGGCTTCTGTGTCACCCAGCACCTTAGTGAACCAGCACATCTCTTTAACTTCTGTTTATGTTCAAGTCTTCCTTCTGAACCTCTGATTTAAAGTCGCAGCCATCTAGAGACCAGAAGTGACTCTCCAGTTTTCACAGTAGAAACCATGGAGGGGCAGGGATCTGGGTGGGGCAAGGAATCTAGGCAAAGGCCAGACATCCCAGCTCAAGGAAGGGCTCCATACTTAAAGCAGGAGTCAGTGGGCCCCTGACATTTCCCACCTTCAATTCTTATTTTGCTCTTTCACAAAGCCATCTGCCAATCAAATAAACCCTATTTCAAACAAGAAAAGACTTCTTGCAAGGGCCCTAGAGTAAGAGGATGCATTAACACACACACAATTGGTGATGTGATGCGGATGACACCTGGTCACGGCCTCCCCTGCTGGCCTTGGGTGTACATCCTTAGAAGTCAGTGCTAGCTTTACCTTCTGTGTGTGAAATAAGCACACACAGTTATTAAACTTGCTTAAAGGCAAAATGAGGGGAGACAGAACAGTGGACTCAGGTAGATTTCTCCACTGGCCTGGTTAATTTGTAGTCCTCAAAAGTCATGGTGAATAAGGTCTCAGCACTTGAGTTCCTCCTCATTTCTTTTTTCCTTTTTTTTAGGCTTGAGGTTATTTTTATAGTTTTTATTTTTATAATTTTATTTTAGTTTCAGGGGTACAAGTGCTACTTTGTTACATAGGTAAATTGTGTGTTGTCGGGTGATATGGTTTGGCTGGTTATCCACCCAAATCTCATCTTGAATTCCCATGTGTTGTGGGAGGGACCTGGTGGGAGGTAGTTGAATCATGGGGGCAGTTCTTTCTTGTGCTGTTCTCGTGATAGTGGGTAAATCTCACAAGATCTGATGGTTTTAAAAGGAGGAGTTTCCCTGCACAAGCTCCTTCTCTTTCTTGTCTGTTACCATGTGGGATGTGCCTTTCCTCTTCTGCCATGACTGTGAGGCCTCCCCAGCCACATGGAACTGTGAGTCTATTAAACCTCTTTCTTTGATAATTTGTCCAGTCTCGGGTTTGTCTTTATCATCAGTGTGAAAATGGCCTAATACAGTAAATTGGTACCAGTGGAGCTGGACACTGCTGAAAAGATACCTGAAAATGTGGAAGCAACTTTGGAACTGGGTAACAGGTAGAGGGTGGAACAGTTTGGAGGGCTCAGAAGACAGGAAAATGTGGGAAAGTTGCAAACTCCCTAGAGACTTGTTGAGTGGCTTTGACCAAAATGCTGATGGTGATATGGACAATGAAATCTAGGCTGAGGAGGTCTCAGATGGAGAAGAAGAACTTGTTGGGAACTGGAGCAAAGGTTACTCTTGTTATGTTTTAACAAAGAGACTGGGTGCATTTTGCCCCTGCCCTAGAGTTTTGTGGAAGTTTGAACTTGAGAGAGATGATTTAGGGTATCTGGCAGAAGAAATTTCTAAGCAGCAAAGCATTCAAGAGGTGACGTTAAGGGCATTCAGTTTTATAAGGGAAGCAGAGCATAAAAGTTCAGAAACTTTGTAGCCTGACAATGCAATGGAAAAGAAAATCCGGTTTTCTGAGGAGAAATTCAAGTCAGCTGCAGAAATTTGCAAAAGTAACGAGGAGCTGAATGTTAATTGCCAAGACAATGGGGAAAATATCTTCAGGGAATGTCAGAGGTCTTCATGGCCGTTCCTCCCATCACAGGCCCAGAGGCCTAGGAGGAAAACATGGTTTCTTGGGCTGGGCCTTGGGCCTCCCTGGTCTGTGCAGCCTAAGGACTTGGTACCCTATATTCCAGTCTCTCCAGCCATGGTTAAAAGGGGCTAAGGTACAGCTTGGGCTGTTGCTTCAGAGGGTGGAAGCCCCAAACCTTGGCAGCTTCTACCTGGTGTTCAATCTGCGGATCCACAGAAGTCAAGAGTTGAGGTTTGGGAACCTCCACTTAGATTTCAGAGGATGTATGGAAATGCCTGGGTGCCCAGGCAGAAGTTTGTTGCAGGAGCAGGGCCCTCATGGAGAACTTCTGCTAGGGCAGTGCAGAAGGGGGTCAGAGCCCCAGCACAGAGCCTAGTGGAGCTGTGAGAAGAGGGCCACCATCCTCCAAACCCCAGAATGGTAGATCCACCAACAGCTTGCACCGTGAGCCTGGAAAAGCCACAGACACTCAACGCCAGCCTGTGAAAGCCGCCAGGAGGGGGGCTATACCTTGCAAAGCCACAGGAGTGGAGTTGCCCAAGGCAATGGGAGCCCACCTCTTGCATCAGCGTGACCTGGATATGAGACATGGAGTCAAAGGAGATAATTTTGGAGCTTTAAGATTTGACTGCCCTGCTGGATTTTGGACTTGCATGGGGTCTGTAGCTTTGTTTTGGCCAATTTATCCCATTTGGAACAGCTGTATTTACTCAATGCCTGTACCCCCTTTGTATTTAGGAACTAATTAAATTGCTTTTGATTTTACAGACTAATGATAGGCAAAAGGGACTTACCTTGTCTTAGACGAGACTTTTGGTCTGTGGACTTTTGAGTTAATGCTGAAATAAGTTAGGACTTTGGGGGATTGTTGGGAAGGCCTGATTGGTTTTGTAATGTGAGGACATGAGATTTGGGAGGGGCCAGGGGTGGAAAGGTATGGTTTAGGTGTCCCCACCCAAATCTCATCTTAATTCTCATGTGTTGTGGGAGGGACCTAGTGGCAGGCAATTGAATCAAGGGGGCAGGTCTTTCTCATGCTGTTCTCATGATAGTGAATTAAGTCTCATGAGATCTGACAGTTTTAAAATGAGGAGTTTCCCCACACAAGCTCCTTCTCTCTCTTGTCTGTTACCATGTGAGACATGCCTTTCCCCTTCCACCATGATTGTGAGGCCTCCACAGCCAAGTGGAACTGTAAGTCCAGTAAACTTCTTTCTTTTGTAAATTGTCCAGTCTAGGTATGAATTTATCAGCAGCATGAAAACAGACTAATACATGGGGGTTTGGAGTACAGATTATTTTGTCACCCAGATAATAGGGTGAAGATTGAAAAACTACCTCCCCATTTCTTAATAAGGAAATAACCAGATAATTCCAAAGAATCTCCTATAGAAAATTGTCTTCAGATTTTGCCATACTCTTTTGATTTCAAAGAACATATGAGAACCTTCCAGGTGTGAAACATCTTGTTTATAAGCAGTGTAAGTTGCTGGCCATGTGTCTGCTGCTGCCCAATTCCTGCTACTGCTTTCTTGGGAAGCCTAAATGCTGCAGACCCCATGCCCTTTGCTCTTCGGGAGCTTGTCTGCCTAACAGAAGACAATAAGGATGTAATGAAGGTGGGGCTGAACATGGCCCCGCTCATTATAGAACACAATCTCATGTTTGAAATTTTATTATGAGAAATTTCAAATAAATTTAAAAGTAGAGAGAATCTTAAAGATTCTCATCCCTGCTTCAATATATCAAGATATAGCCAACTTTGCTTTCTTTTTCTTTTTGTAGAGACAGGGTTTTTCTCTGTGGCCCAGGCTGGAGTGCAGTGGCATGATCAGACCATAGCTTACTGCAGCCTTCAACTCTTCAGCTCAAGAGATTCTCCTGCCTCAGCCTCATCAGCATCTGTTGTTTTTTGACTTTTTAATAATCACCATTCTGACTGGTGTGAGATGATTGTGGTCTTGATTTGCATTTCCCTGATGATTAGCGATGTTGCACATTTTTTTAATACACGCTGGCTGCTTGTATGTCTTTGTTTGAGAAGTGTCTATTAATGTCCTTTGCCCACTTTTAAATGGGATTGTTTTTTGCTTGTTGAATTAAGTTCCTTGTAGATTCTGAATAGTAGGCCTTTGTCAGATGCATAGTTTGTGAATATTTTCCCCCATTCTGTAGGTTATTTACTCTGTCGATATTTTCTTTTGCTGTGCAAATGCTCTCTAGTTTAATTAGATTCCACTCATCAGTTTTCTTTGTTGCAATTGCCTTTGATAACTTAAACATAAATTCTTTCCCTAAAGCCAATGTACATAGTGGTGTTTCCTAGGTTTTCTTCTGAAATCCTTCTAGTTTAAGGTCTTACATTTAAATCTTTAATTCATTTTGAGTTAATTTTTGTGTGTGGTAAAATGTAGGAGTCCAGTTTTATTCTTTTGTATATAGCTAGCCAGTCATCCCAGCATCATTTATTGAATACAGTCCATTCCCCAGTTCTTATTTTTGTCCGTTTTGTCAAAGATCAGATAGCTGTAGGTGTCAGGCTTTATTTCTGGGTTCCCTATTCTGTTCCATTGGTCTATGTGTCTGTTTTTTTGTGTGTTTGTTTACCATTACCATGCTGTTTTGGTTACTGTAGCCTTATAGTATAGTTTGAAGTCAAATAGTGTGGTGCTTCTGGCTTTATTCTTTTTGTTTAGGATTGTTTTGGACATTCAGGCTCTTCTTTGGTTCCAAATGAATTTTAGAATAGTTTTATGGAATTCTGTGAAAAATGACATTGGTAGTTTGATAGGAATATTGTGGAATCTGTAGATTGCTTTGGGAAGTATGATCATTTTAATGATATTGATTCTTCCAGTCCATGAGTATCGAATGTTTTTCCATTTGTTTCTGTCATCTATGATTTCTTCCATCAGTGTTTTGTAGTGCTCCTGGCAGTCCATCCATTAACTCCTTGGTTAGATTCCTAGGTATTTCATTTTTTTGTGTATGGCAATTGTGAATGGGATTGCACTCAATTTGACTCTCAAGCTTAAACATTATTGGTGTATAGAAATACTACTGATTTTTGTAACGTGATTTTATATCCTGAAAGTTTACTGAAGTCATTTATCAGTTCCAGGAACCCTTTGGTGGAATCTGTAGGATTTTCTAGGTATAAAATCATATCAGTGAAGAGAGATAGTTTGACTTCATTTATTCCTATATACATGATCTTTGTTTCTTTCTCTTGCCTGATTGCCTTGGCCAGGAGATCTAGTACTCTGTTGAATAGGAGTGGTGAGAGTAAGCATCCTTGTCTTGTTCCAGTTCTCTAGGGGAATGATCCAAGCTTTTGCCTGTTCAGTATAATGTTGGCTGTGGGCTTGTCATAGATTGGTTTTATTATTTTGAGGTATGTTCTTTCAATGCCTAGTTTGGGGAGAGTTTTTATCATAAAGAGATGTTGGATTTATTGAAGGCTTTTTTTCTATGCCTGTTGAAATTCTATGTATTTTATTTTTAATTATACGTGGTTAGTCATTTTTATTGATTTGCATATGTTGAACCAACCTTGCATCCCAGGAAGGAAGCCTACTTGATCATGGTGAATTAACTATGTTTTCCTTTTTTGTGACAGGGTCTCACTCTGTTGCCCAGACTGGAGTGCAATGGCAGGATCTTGGCTCACCACAACCTCCACCTTCCAGGCTCAAGTGATTCTCCTGCCTCAGCCTCCCGAGTAGCTGGGGTTACAGACACATGGCAGTACTGCCCACCTAATTTTTGTATTTTTAGTAGAGACAGGTTTAACCATAATGACCAGGTTGGTCTTGAATGCCTGACCTCAAATGATCCAACTGCCTCAGCCTCTCAAAGTGCTGGGATTACAGGCATGAGTCACCATGCCCAGACATGAACTAACTTATTGGTATACTGCTTGATTGGGCTTGCTAATACTATATTGAGGATTTTTGCATCTATATTCATCAGAGATTTTGGCTTGAAGTTTTCTTTTTCCGTTGTGTCACCTCCAGGTTTTGCTATCAGGGTAATACTGGCTTTGTAGAATGAGTTAGGATCTCCTCAATTTTGTGGAATTAGTTCTTCTTTGTATGTCTGGTAGAATTGGTATTGGTTCTTTGTATGTCTGGTAGAATTTGGCTGTGAATCCATCTGGTCTGAGGCATTTTATGATTGGTAGGTTTTCTATTGCTGATTTAATTTTGGAACTTGATATTGGTTGGTTCAGGGTTTCAATTTCTTCCTGATTCAATCCTAAGAGGAATTTATCCATTTCCTCTGCGTTTTCTAGTTTGTGTGCATAGATGTGCTCACAGTAGTCTTTGAGGATCTTTCTATTTCTGTGGGATCAGTTATAACATTACCTTTCTTATTTCTGTTTGTGTTTACTCAGACCTTCTCTCTTTTTTTCTTTATTAATCTAGCTAGCAACCAATTAATATTGATAATCTTTTACAAGAACCAACTTTTGGTTTCATTGATTTTTTTTTTGCATGGATTTTGGGGTCTCAATTTCATTCAGTTCCATTCTGATTTTAGTGATTTATTTTCTTCTGTTAGCTTTTGGGTTTGTTTGTTCTTATTTTTCTAGTTATTGGTGTGATGTTAGATCATTAATTGGAAGTGTTTTAAACTTTTTGTGGTAAGCATTTAGCACTATAAATTTTGCTCTTAATACTGCTTTTGCTGCCTCCCTGAGATTTTGATGTGTTGTGTCTGTTTTTATTTATTTCAAAGGAGATTTTCATTTCTGCCTTAATTTAATTGTTTACCCAAAAGTCATTCACGAACAAGTCGTTTAATTTTTAAATAATTGTGTGGTTTGGGGAGATATTCTTGGTATTGATTTCTGTTTTATTCCACTGTAGTCTGACTGTGTGGATGGTGCAATGTCAGTTTTTCTAAATGTATTCAGACTTGCTTTATGGCTAAGCATGGGGTTGCTCTTGGAGTATGTTTTGTGCATCTCACATGTTTTATTTATTGGTTTCTCATTCTTTAGAAATGAAAATTATAGTGGAAGTCTGTTTCCACAGACCATAGACCCATGTCCAAGTCTGTTTCGGAGACCACAGACCCATGACCAAGTCTGTTTCCATAGACCATAGACCCATGTCCAAGTCTGTTTCCACAGACCATAGACCCATGTCCAAGTCTGTTTCCACAGACCATAGACTCATGTCCAAGTCTGTTTCAGAGACCATAGACTCATGGCCAAGTCTGTTTCCACAGACCATAGACCCATGTCCAAGTCTGTTTCAGAGACCACAGACCCATGACCAAGTCTGTTTCCATAGACCATAGACCCATGTCCAAGTCTGTTTCCACAGACCATAGACCCATGTCCAAGTCTGTTTCAGAGACCATAGACTCATGGCCAAGTCTGTTTCCACAGACCGTAGACCCATGCTTAAGTCTGTTTCCACAGACCATAGACCCACGTCCAAGTCTGTTTCAGAGATCATAGTCTCGTGCCTACGTCTGATCCCATAGACAATAGACCCATGCCTGTGTCTGTTTCAGAAATCATAGTCTCGTGCCTACGTCTGATTCCACAGACCATAGACCCATGCTCATGTCTGTTTTAGAGCCTATGGACCCGTGCCCACATCTGTTTCCATAGACCATAGACCTGTGCCCACACCCGTTTTCATAGATTATAGACCTTTGCCCATATCTATTTTTGTAGACTTGTGCTTAAATCTTTTTCTGCAGGTTTTAGACCTGCATCCACATGTTTCCATGGACTGTAAACCTGTGCCCTCTTCTGTTTCCACAGACAATAGTAGTATGACAGACTTGCACCCACATCTGTTTCTGTAGGCCGTAGACCTGTGTTCACATGTTTCAATAAACCTCACCTGTGTTCACATCATTCTTCATAAACTAGAGACCTTCAGATATCTGCTCCACAGTTTGGACATTAATTAATTTTCCCACTCTACCCTAATTTAATCTTAGTTAGCTGTCACCCCAAAGGATTTTACTCACATTACTGCTATCACTTTTCCCTTCCACCAGAGAATTTCTTTCTGATTTTCAGTCGTTTCTTGGCCCTGAGAATAACCCCCACTGGCGAGTGTAGGCTGTCATGCCAGACACCTGTCAGGGTCTTATCAGAGCAAAACTCATCAAATCCCAAATGGTTCCATTCTTTCATAATCATGAATGATATATTTGCCATGCCCCGCCTTGTGCTGGGAACTGAAGACACAGCACCGGTATTGCTAACACATGTGCTCACTTTTGAGGAGATCACCATAGCATTCTAGGATAGGTTAAGTGCAGCACAGGTGCCCATTTCACCCCTCACTTGACCAGGGCAGACATCACTAATCAACCATAGCATGCTTTCCTGCTGAGCTAGAGCTTGGATTTAGAAGTCTTCTTTTCAATCTAATGATAAAAATGAAATGCATTTGTTCTTCTTGGTGTGATGGGTAAGAGCTGGTGCCCTGAAAAATTCAGGCAGAGGTAAAGATATTTACCCAGGTGTCAGCCCCTGCAGGTAGGAGGGACTATGCGCCCCAGTATTCCCACCCTGGTTTCCAAGCTGCCTGTTCTGTGGTATAAAAGAGTACAGGCACTTGCATCACAGTCCAGGCACCACCCAACATTGCCAAGAGAATCCTCAGAGTAGCCTCATGAGGTAGGCATCATCTCCCAAGTAACAGATGGAGGACAACAGGCTGAAGACACCAGCCCCTTGGAAAGATTGAACGACAGATAGTGAGAGGACTCCCTTCAAGTGTAGGGTCTGTCTACACCCCAGGAACCAAATGCATTCCATTACACAAGGCTGCCTGGCTGGAAAGAGAGTGCCTCCAAGTAATAGTTTGTTATTGATTCGAAGAAGGGTGGTAGTTCTGTTACTCTAAGTAGGATCATGACACTAATATGGAAACAGAGCAAAGACCACATCTTGGGACTTCTATGTCCATCATTCTTTCTTGAAAATTGTGAGTTTGCTCATGAAATGCAGAATGTAGATAGTTCCCCAAAATACTGATAATGCAGTGTAAATGCATGAGGTGCTGTTTCCTTCATGCTCTGCCGCTACCGAGGGAATCCCAGGGTGCAGGGGAATGGCTTCTCCCTGGGTCAGCTTACCTCAGTGTACAAGTGTAAACCAGGGAGGAAAAGGGGAACAAACCCTGCAAGGAATATTTAGCACTGGATGACACAAAACAACATTGCAGAATGGGCTCTCTTTCTCCTTAGTGGGCTTGAATTGATGCAGCTGTCCTATTTTCTTAAAAACATGTGCATACATACATGTAAACCCCAAACACTACAGAACAAAAGAGGCCGACCTGACTCAATTATGTTTCATTCCTCTGTCAGGACTGGCTTGCAGAAATTGGTAACAATACATCTAAAAGATTTCTCACAGGAACCTTAATAGGAATAACCCAGATTTGTACCAGGCTGAATGAGAAATTTATGAATTTTGAGAGCATAAAGTAGGCTAGGTTTCTGGCCCTCATCCATACCACCTCCCCAAAACTGATGTGTGGCATGAAAAGTTTTTAGAGAATTGCTATTTCAGTTTTATCTGCATACATATCAGAGGGGCTGGCAGTGAGAGGGAAGAGGCAGAAACAGGACCAAGCAGGAATACACTCACTTTTGTTTTTTGAAAACTACCTGTTGAAAACTTGAGGTAAAGCTATACCCAGGGTGGGCCTGGATAGAGCTGATCAGTGTGGGCTCATTGCAGACATCCAAGCTGACCTTACTGTCATACTGGACAGTTCCTCCTCGCCATGCGTCCTGGCTGATCACTATGAAGCAGGAACTGCAGTGAGGGCAGGCACCAAAATGCCCTGTTGTAATCACAGACAGTCCTGCTATCCTTGCCTAGAGCCATCTGGAGCCATTCCTCTTTCCTTGTTCAGAGGAGGATATAGACTTCTAACAACAATCAGCCTGGGCAGTAAGTGGATCCTGGGAGTTAATTCCATACTCCAAAGTAGTATGACAGTCATTTATTTAATCAGGTATGTATTTAGCCCTCCACTCTAGCCAGGCTTTACCTTTATTCTTTCATTCATTTCTCACTTCAGGAACCAAATCCTACTGTTAAAGTCAATTGTGTTGTCATTTTGCAGGAAAGGAAATAAAAGCAGGCACTTTGGGGTCAAGTGCACACAGGTCTCAGGATCTTGGGCATTGAAGAAGTGGATTGCAAATTAACTATGTTGGGGACAGGGCACTGTGGCTGGGTCCGGTGCTCCATATTTCATAATGGTTGATGCACATCAGACAGGTTGGGTTTCCAAATCTGCTGTTTAGGACCATTAAGTCTTCCAGCCACCAAACTTTGAACTCAGTTTTAATGTTTGTAAATTGGGCGTAAATGGGAGTAAACCCCTTTCCCTACCACACCTAAAGGGCCCTCACTGAGTTGGTGTGTACATAGCCCCAAGAGCACAGTGGGCACTTGATTAAAGACTGCTTCTGCTTTTAGAGAACATGAAGCTTTAATGGCAGTAAGGCCAGGCACCACAATCTTTACAGAGGGGATGTGTGTGTCTGTTCCATAACTGGTTAGAAGTGCAAGGGAATGCTCAGAGGAGACAGCTCTGCAACTAATGAAATGCTGGTTCCCATCACACATTTCTGGTAGTGACAGGGGGAAATTGGTAAATGGTGGCTAAGTTGGTGAGCTGAAGTTGAATGAGTAGAGCACCTCATCTAACTCATACCCCTGTAGGGGTGCAGGGGCTCCCCTCCAAAGAACATATCTATTGCCCATGGGGAGGATGTGAGGAAAGACATTTATTCCCAATTACCAGTAGGAACTTTAAAATCATGGTACCACTCCTTGGAAGGGCAACTTGGAAATATCTAGCAAGGGTAGAGATGCAGATACCATCTATTGCTTTTTCACCAGGGTACTGAAAAAGGGAGCACCTGAGAACTGCAAAGTATCAATACCAGGCAATAGACTTCAGCAGCGTGATAAAGCTCAGGAAAAATGATCCACAAAGTTGTTTAACTCCAGGGGAAACTCCTGAGCTGACTATATATGGGTCTTATTCAAACAAGAATAGAATAGATTTTGAGCACTTGGCTCTGGCTAGACTACTGTCCAGGCACACTGATCCCTGGGTGTACATATGCAGGAGAGCTGTAAACACCATTTACAACACGCAGAAGGTTGATTGGAACTTGCAGTTCTTACCAAAATGGGTCTCTTGGCTGCTAAAATAGAGTGTCTATTTTCTCTATAGAATTTAAATGGGATCCAGCATCTCAAAACACAGTATACGTAATATCCAGGATAGTATCCAGAGTTACTCAGCATAGAGTAAACTAGCAAAATCTTACCTCTCATGGGAAAGAACAATCAAGAGACTCCAAAACTGAGATGATATATGTTGGAATTTTCTGGCAAAGACTTTAAAGTAGTCATAGAAATTCCCCAACAAGTAAGGACAAACACTCTTAAGGAAAAGACAAAAAGTTTCAGAAAAAAATAGAAAATGTAACACAAAAAGAAGAAGCAAATGGCAATTTTAGAACTGAAAGGTAAAACTACAATAAATGAAAAATAATCTTACAATTCAACAAAAAAACCAACACACCCAATTTAAAAATGGGCAAAGGACTTGAATAGACATTTTTCCAAATAGGTTGAGATCACCAATAAACACATACAAATGTTCAACATCATTAACAATTAGGGAAACGGTAATCAAAATCACAATAAGATACCAATTCACATCCATCCAATTCACGTTAGGATGGCTATTATTTAAAAAAAAAAAAAACGGAAAATAAGGAGTGTTGGTGAGGATGTGGAGAAACTGGAGCCTTTTGTACATTACTTGTGGGAATGTAAATGGTAAAATGGTGCAGCCACTGTGGGAAACAGATTCCTTAAAAAATTAAACAGAGAGTTACCATATGATTTAGAAATTCCCTCCCAGCTATATATCTAAAAGAAGTGAAATTTGAGCTGATTAGATCTTTACAAACCAATGTTTATTGCATCTTTATTCACAATAGCCAAAAGGTAGAAACAATCCAACTGTCAATTGATTGAGGAATGGATAAATAAAATTCAGTACATGCAGTCACTGAAATATTTAGCCTTAAAAAGGAAGAAAATTCCATTGTATACTACAGTATAGATGAAACTTGAATGTTATGGTAAGTGAAATAAGCCAGACATGAAAAGACAATATCGTGTAATTCCACTCATATAAGGTACACTCAGTAGTCAAATATAGGGAGATAGAAAGTAGAATCATAGTTGTCAGGGGCTAGGGAAAGGGGAAAATGGGGAGTTTCTTTTTTTATGGGCACAAAGTTTAGGTTTGGGAAGATGAAAAAGTTCTGAAGATGGATGGTGGTGATGGTTGCACAATACTGTAAATGTATTTAATGCCACTGAATTGCATACTTAACTGTGGTTAAAACTGTAAACGTTCTGTTTTATACATTTAACAATGATTACACAAAGATAAAGGGATGGAAAAAATAAAATCTTTGCAAACACTAACCAAAAGAGAGCTACAATAGCTAATTTAATACCAGGCAAATTAGACTTCATGGCCAAAAAAGAAAAAAAAACCCTGAGACAAATACAAAGATGGACATTATATAGTCATAAAAGGGTTAATACACAAAGAAGACAGAGGAATCCTAAATGCATATGTACCTGATAACAAAGTGGCAAAATACATGAAGCAAAAGACGACAGAAATGAAAGGAGAGATAGACAAATCCACAATTATATTTGGAGACCTCAAAACCCTTCTTTCAATAATTGATAAAAATTGATATAGAAAATCAGCAAGGATATATATGGTCTGACATTATTATCAAACAATTGAACCTAACTGGCATTGACAGAATACCTAATAATAGCTGGATCCACATTCTTTTTAAATACACATGTAACATTCACCAACACAGACCACATCTTGGGTCTTAAAACAAATCTTAAAAGTGAAAAAAGAAAAAAAGCCTTATAGAGTATCTTCTCTGACCCTAATTAAATTAGACTAAAAGTCAATAACAGAACAATAGCAATAATATCTCCTAACATTTGGAAATTAAATAACATTCTTATAAATAATCCATGAATCAAGAAGGAACCATCAAGGGAAATTAAAAAATAATCTGAACTGACCAAAAATTAAAATAAATATTTATAGGAAGCAGCAAATGTAGTGCTTAGATAGATGTTTATTATAAAAGGAAAAAAAACTCTCAAATCAATAACCTAATATGCTGCCTCAATAAAATAGAAAAAGAAAAGCAAAATAAACTTAAAGCAGCAGAAATAAGGAAACAATAAACATAAGAGTAGAAATCAATGAAATTAAATATTGGAACAAATTAACAAATCCAAAAGTTGGTTCTTAAAAAAGATCAATAAAATTGATGTACATAGCAAGACTGACTAATTAAAAAGAAGAAGATACAACTTACTATTATCAAGAATGCAAAAGAAGATATCACTACAGACTCTACATACATTAAGAGGATAATAAGGAATACCGTGAACAACTAGGTACATAAATTCTACAACTCAGATAGAAGGACCAACTCCTCAAAACCTAAAAACTACTAAAAGTCACCCAAGACTACAAAGATAACCCAAATGGTACTAGATTGTGAAAAACATTGCATTTTTAGTTAAAAAGTTTTAATAATTATCTGCTTGCTGGTGATATAATCTTATACATAAAAAATACAAACATTCCTCCGAAAGACTCCTTTATTTGATAAATGAATTCAGTAAAGTCTCAGGCACAAAATCAATGTACACAAACCTGTAGCGCCACTATACACCAATAACAAACAAGCTGAGAATCAAATCAAGAAATCAATCCCCTTTACAGTAGTTGCAACAGCATAAAATACCTAGGAATATTTTTAACCAAATGAGGTAAAAGATCTCTACAAAGAGATCTAAAAAACACTGATGAAAGAAATAAAAAAAATGACACAAACAAATGAAAAAACATTCTATGCTCATGAATTGGAAGATTCAATATTATGAAAATGACAACACTGCCCAAAGCAATCTACAGATTCAATGCAATTCCTATTAAATGCCAATGTCATTTTTCACAGAATTAGAAAAAATAATCCTAAAATTCATCTGGAACCAAAAAAGAGCCTAGGTAGCCAAAGCAATCCTAAACAAAAAGAACAAACCTTGAGGCATCACATTACCTGACTTCAAAATTATACTGCAAAGTGATAGTCAATAAAACAGCATGGTATTGGTGCAAAAATAGACACACAGACCAATGGAACAGAATAGAGAACTCAGAAATAAATCCAAATACTTATAACCAACTGATTTTTGACAAAGCAGACAAAAACATACATTGGAGAAAGGACATGCTGTTAAATACATGGTTCTGGAAAAACTGAATTGCCACATGCAGAAGCGAAAAAACTTGATCCCTATTTCCCACCATATGCAGAAATTAACTCAAGATGAATTAAAGACAAATCTAGAATCCTAAATCATAAAAATTCTGGGAGAAAACCTAGGAAAATTTCTTCTGGATATTGGCCTAGGCAAATAATTTATGACTAAGAACCCAAAAGCAAATGCAACAAAAACAAAAATAAATAAATGGCACTTAAATAAACTGAAAAGCTTCTGCACCACCAAAGAAAGAATCAACAGAGTAAACAGACAACCTACAGAATTGGAGAAAATATATTCAAACTATACATCTGACAAAGAGCTAATATCCAGAATCTGTAAAGACCTCAAACAAATCAGCAAGACAAAAACAAATCATCCTATTAAAAAGTGGGCAAATGACATGAATACAAGGGTACCGCAAACATGAAAAAATGCTCAGCATCACTAATCATCAAGGAAATGCAAATTAAAACTTCAATGAGATACCACCTTCCTCCACTCAGAATGACCGTTATTAAAAAGTCAAAAACTAATACATGTCGGACCCAATATAGTGAAAAGGGAACACTTACACATTTTTGGTGGGGATGTAAATTAGTGCAACCTCTATGGAAAACAGTATGGAGATTTCTCAAAAACTGTAAAATAGATCTGCCATTCAATCCAGCAATCTTATTACTGAGCTTCTACCTAAAGGAAAAGAAGTCATTATACTTAAAGGACAACTGCATGTGTATGTTTATCACAGTACAATTCAAAATTGCAAAGACATGGAATCAATCTAAGTGCCTATTAATGGATGGATAAAGAAAATATGGTATATATATATAATATGGTATATATATATACACACATGTGCACATACAAACATATATATATATACACATACACATACGTGCACACACAAACATCATGGAATGCTACTCAGCCATAAAAAGGATGAAATAATGTCTTTTGCAGCAAATTGGATGGAACTGGAGGCCTTTATCTAAACTAAGTTATTCAAGAATGGAAAACCAAATAACACATGTTCTCAATTACACGTGGGAGCTAAGCTATGCATATGCAAAGGCATATAGAGTGGTATAATGAACATTGGAAACACAGAAGTAGGTAGAGGGGCAGAGGGGTGAGAGATGAATTATCTATTTGATATAATGTACATTCTTAAGGTGATGGGTACACTAAAAGCCCAGACTTCACCACTGTACAATTCACCCATGTAACCAAAAACCACATGTACCTATAAAGCTATTAAAATGAAAATTTAAAAATATATTTCAATAATAAAAATTTGCAATCTACAGATTCAATGCAATTCCTATTAAATACCAATGTCATTTTTCACAGAATTAGAAAAAATAATCCTAAAATTCATCTGGAACCAAAAAAGAGCCTAAGATTTCACTGAAAATTTCTATACAAATTTAAGATAAAAATCACACCAATTCAATTATCTCTTCCAGTGAATCAAAGATGAGAGAACACTTCACATCTCATTGTATGAAGCTAGAAATTGTCCTGATTCACCAAGCAAAGGCAGCACAAAAGGGGAAAATTATAGACCAATGTTCCTCATGAAAAACTGGCATAAACTTCCAGCAATGTATTAGCAAGTGGGATGTAGCAATATATAAAAAGAATAAGGCTGGGCACAGTGGCTCATGCCTGTAATCCCAGCCCTTTGGGAGGCCGAGGCAGTTGGATCACTTGAGATCAGGAGTTTGAGACCAGGCTGGCCAACATAATGAAACCCCGTCTCTAATAAAAATACAAAAAATATTACCCGGGCAGCACCAGCCCTGTAGTCTCAGCTACTCAGGAGGCTGAGGCAGGAGAATCACTTGAACCCAGGAGGCGGAGGTTGCAGTGAGCTGAGATCATGCCACTGTGCTCCAGCTTGGGTGACAGAGTGAGATTCTGTTGAAAAAGAAAAAGAAAGAAAGAGAGAAAGAGAGAGAGAAAGAAAGAAAGAGAGAGAGAGAGAGGGAGGGAGGGAGGGAGGAAGGAAGGAAGGAAGGAAGGAAAAGAAAGAAAGAGAAAGAAAGAGAAAGAAAGGAAGGAAGGAAGGAAGAAAGGAAGGAAAGGAAGGAAGGAAAGGAAGGAAGAAAGAAAGAGAGAGGAAGAGAAGAGAAGAGAGAAAACACACAGTTGGCCAGGCATGCTGGCTCACGCCTGTAATCCCAGCACTTTGGGAGGTTGAGGTGGGTGGATCACGAGGTCAGGAGTTCGAGACCAGCCTGGCCAACATAGTGAAAACCTGTCTCTACTGAAGAAAAAAAAAAAAGCCAGATGTGATGGCATGCACCTGTAGTCCCAGCTCCTCGGGAGGCTAAGGCAGGAGAATTGCTTGAACCCTGGAGGTGGAGGTTGCAGTGAGCCAAGACCATGCCATTGCGCTGCAGCCTGGGTGACAGAGTGAGACTCCATCTCAGAAAAAAAAACAAAAAAACAAAAAAAAAAAGCCAAGTGAAAGTGTAGTTTTATCTCAGGACTTCAAGACTGTTCAGTATTCTAAAATCAACAATGTAATTCATCATATTTACAGTCTGAAGAAGAAAAACACATGTTACCATAGCTTTGTCAGAAAAAGATTAGACAAAATCCAACATCCACACATGATAAAATCTAAGGGAACTAGCAACATCCACACATGATAAAATCTAAGCAAATTAAGCAAAGTAAGCAAAACTAGGAACGTGATGTCGTTTGGATATGCTCCTCCAAATCTCATGTTGAAATGTGACCTCCAAGGTTGGAGGTGGACCTGGTGGGAGGTGTTTGGGCCATGAGGACAGATTTTTCATGAATGATTTGATGCTCTCGTTGCAATAATGAGTGAGTTGTCACTCTATTAGTTCACCAAGAGCTGGTAGTTTAAAAGAGGCTGGCACCTCTTCTCCATCTCTTGCTCGCACTCTTGCCATCTGACACGCTGGCTCTCCTTCCTCCTGCCACAACTAAAAGCTCCCCGAGCCCTCCCCAGAAGCCAAGCATGCTTGGCACCATTCTTACACGGCTTGCAGAACTGTGAACCAAATACACCTATTTTACTTACAAAGTACCAGCGTTGGGTATTATTTTATAGCAATGCAAATGGACTAATACGGATGGAAACTTCCTCAACCTGAGAACAGGACTTCACTAAAAAACACCTTCAGCTCTCAATATGCTTAATGGTGAAAGATGGAAAATTTTACCCCAAAACGAGATACAAAGCTATTCTCACAATAAATAGCTATTCCTATCAAACTTGTAATGGAATTTATACATAAATATATAAAACATGTAGATTGAAATGGGATAAAATCATTTCTTTTCTCTGATGTAATTGTGTGGAACATATGGAGGAAATGACAACGTGTGCACACAGACACACTCACACCTCCTAGAACTCGTATGTGAATTTACAAAGTTACAGTATTGTAGGTCACACAAAAATCATACTTCTATTTACCAGCAATGTACAATTGGAAATCAAATTTAAATAATAATAATACCATTTACAATAGCTTCAACAAATGAAATATTCATATATATTTTATATATATATATATATATATATATAAAACTAACAGAACATAGTTGGGGTCTACATGCTCATAACAACAAGATGTTGGTGAAAAAATATCTTTGATTTCTATTTAAACCAAAATGAATGGAGAGATACCACTTTCATGGATGGAAAGACAGCAGTGTAGAGATGACAATGTTTCCTGAGTTGATTTGTAGATTAAATGCAAACTCAATAAAAATCCCGGCAGGAGTTTTTTTTAAAAAACATAGACAAGCTGATTATAAAACCTATATGGAAAGTCAAAGGAATTAGAGTAAGAAAATAATTTTGAAAAAGGAAAAATAAATTTAGAGGATTCACTATACCCAATTTTAAGATTCACTTTAAATTTCCAGTAATAAAGTGAATGCATTATTTTTAAATTAATAAACATATAGATCAAAAAAACAGAATAGAGAGTCTATGTTGACCCACACAATTGCTTTCTGACAGAAGTACAGAAACAAAATGCAGAAAGGATAGTTTTTCAATAAATAGCTTTTGAACAATTGGACATCTATATGCCATGAAAGGAAAAAAAAAAAACTTTTATCTGAACCTTAGACCTTAAAAGGTCACTAAAAATACATTATAAATTTAAATAAATAACTTAAAATTATAAACTTTTAGAAGAAATATAATAGCAAAACTTTTTTTTTCTTTTTTTTTTAGTTTCTTAAGTTCAATTTTTTATTTTTATTTTTTTAATTATGCTTCAAGTTCTGGGATACATGTGCAGAACTCGCAGGTTTGTTACATAGGAATACACTTGCCATGGTGGTTTGCTGCACCCATCAACCCGTCATCTACATTAGGTATTTCTCCTAATGCAATCCCTCCTCCAGCACCTCACCCCCAGACAGGGCCCGGTGTGTGATGTTCCGCTCCCTGTGTCCATATGTTCTCATTGTTCATCTCCCACTATGAGTGAGAACATGCAGTGCTTGGTTTTCTGTTCCTGTGTTAGATTTCTGTGAATGATGGTTTCCTGCTTCATCCATGTCCCTGCAAAGCACATGAACTCATCCTTTTTTATGGCTGCATAGTATTCCCTGGTGTATATGTGTCCCATTTTCTTTTTTATTATTATTATACTTTAAGTTTTAGGGTACATGTGCACAATGTGCAGGTTAGTTACATATGTATACATGTGCCATGTTGGTGTGCTGCATCCATTAACTCGTCATTTAACATTAGGTGTATCTCTTAATGCTATCCCTCCCCCCTCCGCCCACCCCAAAACAGGCCCTGGTGTGTGATGTTCCCCTTCTTGTGTCCATGTGTTCTCATTGTTCAATTCCCACCTATAAGTGAGAACATGCAGTGTTTCGTTTTTTGTCCTTGCGATAGTTTGCTGAGAATGATGGTTTCCAGCTTCATCCACATCCCTGCAAAGGACATGAACTCATCATTTTTTATGGCTGCATAGTATTCCATGGTGTATATGTGCCACATTTTCTGTATCCAGTCTATCATTGATGGACATTTGGGTTGGTTCCAAGTCTTTGCTATTGTGAATAGTGCCACAATAAACATATGTGTGCATGTGTCTTTACAGCAGCATGATTTATAATCCTTTGGGTATATACCCAGTAATGGGATGGCTGGATCAAATGGCGTTTCTAGTTCTAGATACCTGAGGAATTGCCACACTGACTTCCACAAGGGTTGAACTAGTTTACAGTCCCACCAACAGTGTAAAAGTGTTCCTATTTCTCCATATCCTCTCCAGCACCTGTTGTTTCCTGACTTTTTAATGATCACTATTCTAACTGGTGTGAGATGGTATCTCATTGTGGTTTTGATTTGCATTTCTCTGATAGCCAGTGATGATGAGCATTTTTTCATGTGTCTTTTGGCTGCATAAATGTCTTCTTTTGAGAAGTGTCTGTTCATATCCTTCGCCCACTTTTTGATGGGGTTGTTTGTATTTTTCTTGTAAATTTGTTTGAGTTCTTTGTAGATTCTGGATATTAGCCCTTTGTCAGATGAGTAGATTGCAAAAATTTTCTCCCATTCTGTAGGTTGCCTGTTCACTCTGATGGTAGTTTCTTTGGCTGTGCAGAAGCTCTTTAGTTTAATTAGATCCCATTTGTCAATTTTGGCTTTTGTTGCCATTGCTTTTGGTGTTTTAGACACAAAGTCCTTGCCCATGCCTGTGTCCTGAATGGTATTGCTTAGGTTTTCTTCTAGGGTTTTTATTGTTTTAGATCTAACATTTAAGTCTTTAATCCATCTTGAATTAATTTTTGTATAAGGTGTAAGGAAGGGATCCAGTTTCAGCTTTCCACATACAGCTAGCCAGTTTTCTCAGCACCATTTATTAAATAGGGAATCCTTATCCCATATCTTGTTTTTGTCAGGTTTGTCAAAGATCAGATGGTTGTAGATATGCAGCATTATTTCTGAGGTCTCTGTTCTGTTCCATTGGTCTATATCTCCGTTTTGGTACCAGTACCATGCTGTTTTGGTTACTGTAGCCTTGTAGTATAGTTTGAAGTCAGGTAGAGTGATGCCTCCAGCTTTGTTCTTTTGGCTTACGATTGACTTGGTAATGCAGGCTCTTTTTTGGTTCCATATGAACTTTAAAGTAGTTTTTTCCAATTCTGTGAAGAAAGTCGTTGGTAGCTTGATGGGGATGGCATTGAATCTATAAATTACCTTGGGCAGTATGGCCATTTTCACCATACTGATTCTTCCTACCCATGAGCATGGAATGATCTTCCATTTGTTTGTATCCTCTTTTATTTCATTGGGCAGTGGTTTGTAGTTCTCCTTGAAGAGGTCCTTCACATCCCTTGTAAATTGGATTCCTAGGTATTTTATTCTCTTTGAAGCAATTGTGAATGAGAATTCACTCATGATTTGGCTCTCTGTTTGTCTGTTATTGGTGTATAAGAATGCTTGTGATTTTTGCACATTGATTTTGTATCCTGAGACTTTGCTGAAGTTGCTTATCAGCTTAAGGAGATTTTGGGCTGAGATGATGGGGTTTTCTAGATATACAATCATGTCATCTGCAAACAGGGACAATTTGACTTCCTCTTTTCCTAATTGAATACCCTTTATTTCCTTCTCCTGCCTAATTGCCCTGGCCAGAACTTCCAACACTATGTTGAATAGGAGTGGTGAGACAGGGCATCCCTGTCTTGTGCCAGTTTTCAAAGGGAATGCTTCCAGTTTTGGCCCATTCAGTATGACATTGGCTGTGGGTTTGTCATAGATAGCTCTTATTATTTTGAGATACCTCCCATCAATACCTAGTTTATTGAGAGTTTTTAGCATGAAGGTTGTTGAATTTTGTTGAAGGCCTTTTCTGCATCTATTGAGATAATCGTGTGGCTTTTGTCATTGGATCTGTTTATATGCTGGATTACGTTTATTGATTTGTGTATGTTGAACCAGCTTTGCATCCCAGGGATGAAGCCCACTTGATCATGGTGGATAACCTTTTTGATGTGCTGCTAGATTCGGTTTGCCAGTATTTTATTGATGATTTTTGCATCAATGTTCATCAGGGATATTGGTCTAAAATTCTCTTTTTTTATTATGTCTCTGCCAGGCTTTGGTATCAGGATGATGCTGGCCTCATAAAATGAGTTAGGAAGGATTCCCTGCTTTTCTATTGATTGGAATAGTTTCAGAAGGAATGGTACTAGCTCCTCCTTGTACCTCTGGTAGAATTCAGCTGTGAATCCGTCTGGTCCTGGACTTTTTTTGGTTGGTAAGCTATTAATTATTGCCTCAATTTCAGAGCCTGTTATTGGTGTATTCAGAGATTCAACTTCTTCCTGGTTTAGTCTTGGGAGGGTGTATGTGTCCAGGAATTTATCCATTTCTTCTAGATTTTCTAGTTTATTTGCATAGAGGTGTTTATAGTCTTCTCTGACGGTAGTTTGTATTTCTGTGGGATCAGTGGTGATATCCCCTTTATCATTTTTTGTGGTGTCTATTTGATTCTTCTCTCTTTTCTTCTTTATTAGTCTTGCTAACAGTCTATCAATTTTGTTGATCTTTTCAAAAAACCAGCTCCTGGATTCATTAATTTTTTTGAAGGGTTTTTTGTGTCTCTATCTCCTTTAATTCCGCTCTGATCTTAGTTATTTCTTGCCTTCTGCTAGCTTTTGAATGTGTTTGCTGTTGCTTCTCTAGTTCTTTTAATTGTGATGTTAGGGTGTCAATTTTAGATCTTTCTTGCTTTGTCTTGTGGGCCTTTAGTGCTATCAATTTCCCTCTACACACTGCTTTGAATGTGTCCCAGAGATTCTGGTATGTTGTGTCTTTGTTCTCATTGGTTTCAAAGAATATCTTTATTTATGCCTTCATTTTGTTATGTACCCAGTAGTCATTCAGGAGGAGATTGTTCAGTTTCCATGTAGTGCAGTGATTTTGAGTGAGTTTCTTAATCCTGAGTTCTAGTTTGATTGCACTGTGGTCTGAGAGACAGTTTGTTATAATTTCTGTTCTTTTCCATTTGCTGAGGATTGCTTTACTTCCAACTGTGTGGTCAATTTTGGAATAGGTATGGTGTGGTTCTGAAAAGAATGTATATTCTGTTGATTTGGGGTGGAAAGTTCTGTAAATGTCTATTAGGTCTGCTTGGTGCAGAGCTGAGTTCAATTCCTGGATATCCTTGTTAACTTTCTGTCTTGTTGATCTGTCTAATGTTGACAGTGGGGTGTTAAAGTCTCCCATTATTATTGTGTGGGAGTCTAAGTCTCTTTGTAGGTCTCTAAGGACTTGCTTTATGAATCTGGGTGTTCTTGTATTGGGTGCATATACATTTAGGATAGTTAGCTCTTCTTGTTGAATTGATCCCTTTACCATTATGTAATGGCCTTCTTTGTCTCTTTTGATCTTTGTTGGTTTAAAGTCTGTTTTATCAGAGACTAAGATTGCAACCCCTGCCTTTTTTTGTTTTCCATTTGCTTGGTAGATCTTCCTCCATCCCTTTATTTTGAGCCTATGTGTGTCTCTGCACATGAGATGGGTTTCCTGAACACAGCACAGTAATGGGTCTTGACTCCTTATCCAATTTGCCAGTCTGTGTCTTTTAATTGGAGCATTTAGCCCATTTACATTTAAGGTTAATATAGTTATGTGTGAATTTGATCCTGTGATTATGATGTTAGCTGGTTATTTTACTTGTTAGTTGATGCAGTTTCTTCCTAGCCTCAATGGTCTTTACAATTTGGCATGTTTTTGCAGTGGCTGGTATTGGTTGTTCCTTTCCATGTTCAGTGCTTCCTTCAGGAGCTCTTTTAGGGCAGGCATGGTGGTGACAAAATCTCTCAGCATTTGCTTGTCTGTAACAGATTTTATTTCTCCTTCATTTATAAAGCTTAGTTTAGCTGGATATGAAATTCTGGGTTGAAAATTCTTTTCTTTAAGAATGTTGAATATTGGCCCCCACTCTCTTCTGGCTGGTAATGTTTCTGCTGAGAGATCAGCTGTTAGTCTGGTGGGCTTCCCTTTGTGGGTAACCTGACCTTTCTCTCTGGCTGCCCTTAACATTTTTTCCTTCCTTTCACCTTTGGTGACTCTGACAATTATGTGTCTTGGAGTTGCTCTTCTCGAGGAGTATCTTTGTGGCATTCTCTGTGTTTCCTGAATTTGAATGTTGGTCTGCCTTTCTAGATTGGGGAAGTTCTCCTGGATAATATCCTGCACAGTGTTTTGCAACTTGGTTCTATTCTCCCCGTCACTTTCAGGTACACCTATCAGACATAGATTTGGTCTTTTCACATAGTCCCATATTTCTTGGAGGCTTTGTTTGTTTCTTTTTATTCTTTTTTCTCTAAACTTGTCTTCTTGCTTGATTTCATTCATTTGATCTTCCATCACTGATACCCCTTCTTCTGGTTGATCGAATCAGCTACTGAGGCTTGTGCATTTGTCATGTAGTTCTTGTGCCTTGGTTTTCAGCTCCATCAGGTCCTTTAAGGACTTCTCTGCATTGGTTATTCTAGTTAGCTATTCATCTAATTTTTTTTCAAGGTTTTTAACTTCTTTGACATGGGTTCAAACTTCCTCCTTTAGCTCGGAGTAGTTTGATCATCTGAATCCTTCTTCTCTCAGCTCATCAAAGTCATTTTCCATCCAGCTTTGTTCCATTGCTGGTGAGGAGCTGTGTTCCTTTGGAGGAGGAGAGGTGCTCTGATTTTTAGAGTTTCCAGTTTTTCTGCTCTGTTTTTTCCCCATGTTTGTGGTTTTATCTACATTTGGTCTTTGACGATGGTGACGTACAGATGGGGTTTTGGTGTGGATGTCCTTTCTGTTTGTTAGTTTTCATTCTAACAGTCAGGACCCTCAGCTGCAAGTCTGTTGGAGTTTGCTGGAGGTCCACTCCAGACCCTGTTTGCCTGGGTATCAGCAGTGGAGGCTGCAGAACAGTGGATATTGGTGAACAGCAAGTGTTGCTGCCTGATTGTTCCTCTGGAAGTTTTGTTTCAGAGGAGTACCCAGCCGTGTGAGGTGTCAGTCTGCCCCGACTGGGGAGTGCCTCCCAGTTAGGCTACTCGGGGGTCAGGGACCCACTTGAGGAGGCAGTCTGTGCATTCTCAGTTCTCCAGCTGTGTGCTGGGAGAACCACTACTCTCTTCAAAGCTGTCAGACAGGGACACTTAAGTCTGCAGAGGATTCTGCTGCCTTTTGTTTGGCTATGCCCTGCCCCCAGAGGTGGCGTCTACAGAGGCAGGCAGGTCTCCTTGAGCTTCCTGGCTGCTTTGTTTACCTACTCAAGCCTCGGCACTCCCCTCCCCCAGCCTCGCTGCTGCCTGGCAGTTTGATCTCAGACTGCTGTGCTAGCAATGAGCGAGGCTCCTGGGCGTGGGACCCTCCGAGCCAGGCACGGGATATAATCTCCTGGTGTGCCATTTGCTAAGACTGTTGGAAAAGTGCAGTATTAGGGTGGGAGTGACCCAATTTTCCAGGTGCCATCTATCACCCCTTTCTTTGACTAGGAAAGGGAATTCCATGACCCCTGGTGCTTCCCGGGTGAGGCGATGCCTCGCCCTGCTTTGGCTCATCCTTGGTGCACTAGCACCCACTGTCCTGCACCCACTTTCTGACACTCCCCAGTGAGAGGAACCCAGTACCTCAGTTGGAAATGCAGAAATCACCCGTCTTCTGCATCGCTCACACTGGGAGCTGTAGACTGGAGCTATTCCTATTCGGCCATCTTGGCTCCCTACATCCCTAATGATTAGTTTTGTTGAACATCTTTTCACATGCTTTGAAGATTGGTATATCTTCTTTGGAGAAATGTCTATTCAAGTACTTTGCCTGTTTTTGAATTCAGTTGTTTATTGTTGAGTTTTAAAAAAATTTTTTTTTTTATTATACTTTAAGTTCTGGGGTACATGTGCAGAAAGTGCAGCTTTGTTACTTAGGTATATATGTGCTGTGGTGGTTTGCTACACCCATCAACCCATCATCTACGTTACGTATTTCTCCTAAAGCTATCCCTCCCCCAATCCCCCACCCCATGACAGGCCCTGGTATGTGAAGTTCCCCTCCCTGTGTCCATGTGTTCTCATTGTTCAACTACCACTTATGAGTGAGAACATGCAGTGTTTGGTTTTCTGTTCTTGTGTTATTTTGCTGAGAATAATGGTTTCTAGCTTCATCCATGTCCCTGCAAAGGACATGAACTCATCCTTTTTTATGGCTGCATAGTATTCCATGGTGTATATGTGCCACGTTTTCTTTATCCAGTCTATCATTGATGGGCATTTGGGTTGGTTCCAAGTCTTTGCTATTGTGAACAGTGCTGCAGTAAACATATGTGTGCATGGCCAGGCGTGGTGGCTCACACCTGTAATCCCAGCACTTTGGGAGGCCGACGTGGGCAGATCACGAGATCAGGAGATTGAGACCATTCTAACACAATGAAACCCCGTCTCTAGTAAAAAATACAAAAAAAAAAAAATATTAGCCAGGCATGGTGGTGGGTGTCTGTAGTCCCAGCTGCTCAGGAGGCTGAGGCAGGAGAATGGCGTAAACCAGGAGGCTGAGCTTGCATTGAGCTGATATCGCACCACTGCACTCCAGCCTAGGCAACAGAGTGAGATTCCATCTCAAAAAAAAAAAAAAAAAATACGTGTGCATGTGTGTTTATTGTAGAATGATTTATAATCCTTTGGGTATATACTCAGCAATGGGACTGCTGGGCCAAATGGTGTTTCTCGTTCTAGAGCCTTGAGGAATCACCACACTGTCTTCCATAATGGTTGAACTAATTTACACTCCCACCAACAGTGTAAAAGTGTTTCTATTTCTTCACATCCTTTCCAGCATCTGTTGTTTCCTGACTTTTTAATGACCTCCATTCTAACTGGTGTGAGATGGTATTTTATTGTGGTTTTGATTTGCGTTTCCCTAATGACCAGTGATGATGAGTATTTTTTCATGTTTGTTCACTGCATAAATGTCCTTTTTGAGAAGTGTCTGTTCATATCCTTTGCCCACTTTTTGATGGGATTGTTTGTTTGTTTCTTGTAAATTTGTTTAAGTGCTTTGTAGATTCTGGATATTAGCCCTTTGTCAGATGGATATCTCACAAAATTTTTCTCCCATTCTATAGGTTGCCTGTTCACTCTGATGATAGTTTCTTTCACTGTGTAGAAGCTCTTTAGTTTAATTAGATCCCATTTGTCTATTTTGGCTTTTGTTGCCGCTGCTTTTAGTGTTTTAGTCATGAAGTCTTTGCACATGCCTATGTCATGAATGGTATTGCCTAGATATTCTTCTACGATTTTTATGATTTTAGGTCTTATGTTTAAGTCTTTAATCCATCTTGAGTTAATTTTTGTATAAGATGTAAGGAAGGGATCCAGTTTCATCTTTCCACATATGGCTAGCCAGTTTTCCCAACACCATTTATTAAATAGAGAATCCTTTCCCTAATGCTTGTTTTTGTCAGGTTTGTCAAAGATCAGATGGTTGTAGATGTGTGGTGTTATTTCTGAGGCCTCTATTCTGTTCCATTCATCTATATACCTGTTTTGGTACCACTATCATGCTGTTTTGGTTAATGTAGCCTTGTAGTATAGTTTAAAGTCAAGTAGTGTGAGGCCTCCAACTTTGTTCTTTTTGCTTAGGGTTGGTTCCATATGGTTTGGTTTTTGTTTTGGTTCCATATGAAATTTAAAGTAGTTTTTTTCATTTCTGTGAAGAAAGTCAATGGTAATTTGATGGGAATAGCATTGAATCTTTAAATTACTTTGGACAGTATGGCCATTTTCATGATATTGATTCTTCCTGTTCATGAGCATGGAATGTTTTTCCATTTGTTTGTGTTCTCTCTTATTTCCTTGAGCAGTAGTTGGTGGTTATCCTTGAAGAGGTCCTTCACTTCCCTTTTAAGTTATATTCCTAGGTATTTTATTCCCTTTGTAGCAATTGCGAATGAGAGTTCACTCATGATTTGGCTCTCTGTTTGTCTGTTATTTGTGTATAAGAATGCTTGTGATTTTTGCACATTGATTTTGTATCCTGAGACTTTGCTGAAGTTGCTTATCAGCTTAAGGAGATTTGGGGTTGAGACAATGTGGTTTTCTAAATATGCAATCATGTCATCTGCAAACAGAGACAATTTGACTTCCTCATTTCCTAATTGAATACACTTTATTTCTTTCTCTTGCTTGATAGCCCTCGCCAGAGCTTCCAATAGTGTGTTGAATAGGAGTGGTGAGAGAGAGCATCCTGTCTTGTGCTGGTTTTCAAAGGGAATGCTTCCAGTTTTTGCCCATTCAGTATGATATTGGCTGTGGGTTTGTCATAAATAGCTCTTATTTTGAGATATGTTCCATCAATGCCTAGTTTATTGAGAGTTTTTAGCACAAAGTTCTGTTGAATTTTGTCAAAGGCTTTTTCTGCATCTATTGAGATAATGATGTGATTTTTGTCATTGGTTTTGTTTATGTGATGGATTACGCTTATTGATTTGCATGTGTTGAACCAGCCTTGCATCCCAGGGATGAAGCTGACTTGATCGTGGTGGACAAGCTTTTTGATGTACTGCTGGATTCGCTTTGCCAATATTTTATTGAGGATTTTTGCATCAATGTTCATCAGGGATATTGGCCTAAAATTTTGTTGTTGTTGTTGTGTCTCTGCCAGGTTTTGGTATCAGGACGATGCTGGCTCCATAAAAGAGTTAGGGAGGATTTCCTCTGTTTCTGTTGTTTGGAACAGTTTCAGAAGGAATGGCACCAGCAACTCTTTGTACCTCTGATAGAATTCGGCTGTGAATTCATCTGGTCCTGGACTTTTTTTGGTTGGTAGGATATTCATTATTGTCTCAATTTCAGAACTTATTATTGGCCTATTCAGGGATTTGACTTCTTCCTGGTTTAGTCTTGGGAGGGTGTTTGTGTCCAGGAATTTATCCATTTCTTCTAGATTTTCTGTTTTATTTGCGTAGAGGTGTTTATAGTATTCTCTGATGGTAGTTTGTATTTCTGTGAGATCGGTTATGAAATCCCCTTTATCATTTTTTATTGCATCCATTTGATTCTTCTCTGTTTTCTTCTTTATTAGTCTGGCTAGTGGTCTATCTAGTTTTTTGATCTTTTCAAAATACCTGCTCCTGGATTCATTGATTTTGAAGGGTTTTTCATATTTCTATCTCCTTCAGTTCTGCTCTGATCTTAGTTATTTCTTGTTTTCTGCTAGCTTTTGAATTTGTTTGCTGTTGCTTCTCTAGTTCTTTTAATTGTCATGTTAAGGTGTCAATTTTAGATCCTTCCTGCTTTCTCTTGTGGGCATTTAGTGCTATAAATTTCCCTCTACACACTGCTTTAAATGTGTCCCAGAGATTCTCGTACGTTGTGCCTTTGTTCTCATTGGTTTCAAAGAACATCTTTATTTCTGCCTTCATTTTGTTATGTACCCAGTAGTCATTCAGGAGCTGCTTGTTCAGTTTCCATGTAGTTGTGTGGTTTTGAGTGAGTTTCTTAATCCTAACTTCTAATTCGAATTCACTGTGGTCTGAGAGAATATTTGTTATGATTTTTAGTCTTTTGAATTTACTGAGGAGTGCTTTACTTTCAATTATGTGGTCAATTTTAGAATAAGTGTGATGTGGTGCTGAGAAGAATGTATATTCTGTTGATTTGGGGTGGAGAGTTGTGTAGATGTCTATTAGGTCCACTGAGTTCAAGTCCTGGATATCCTTATTCATTTTCTTTCTCATTGATCTGTCTAATATTGATAGTAGGGTGTTAAATTCTCCCACAATTATTGTGTGGGAGTCTAAGTCTCATTGTAGGTCTCTAAGAACTTGCTTTATGAATCTGGGTGCTCCTGTTTTGGGTGCATCTATATTTAGAATAGTTAGCTCTTCTTGTTGCATTGATCCCTTTCCATTATGTTATGCCCTTCTTTGTCTCTTGATCTTTGTTCATTTAAAGTCTGTTTTATCAGAGACTAGGATTGCAACTGCTGCTTTTTTGTGTATGTGCTTTCCATTTCATTGGTAAATCTTCCTCCATCCCTTTATTTTGAGCCTATGTGTGTCTTTGCACGTGAGGTAGGTCTCAATACAGCACACCAATGGGTCTTGAATCTTTATGCAATTTGCCAGTCTGTGTCTTTTAATTGGGACATTTAGCCCATGTACATTTAAGGTTAATATTGTTATTTTTGAATTTGATCCTGTCATTATGATGCCAGCTGGTTATTTTGCCCGTTAGTTATGCAGTTTCTTCATAGTGTCAATGGTCTTTACAATTTGGTATGTTTTTGCAATGGCTGGTATTGGTTGTTTCTTGCCATGTTTATTGCTTCCTTCAGGAGCTCTTGTGAGGCAGGCTTTGGGGGTAACAAAATCTCTCAGCATTTGCTTGTCCGTAAAGGATTTTATTTTTCCTTCACTTATGAAGCTTAGTTTGGCTGGATATGAAATTCTGGGTTCAAAATTCTTTTCTTTAAGAATGTTGAATATTGGCCCCTGCTGTCTTCTGGCTTGTGGGGTTTCTGCAGAGAGATCTTCTCTTAGTCTGATGGGCTTCCCTTTGTGGATAACCCCACCTTTCCCTCTGGTGACCCTTAATATTTTCTTTTTCATTTCAACCTTGGTGAATCTGATGATTATATGTCTTGGGGTTGCTCTTCTCAAGGAGTATCATTGTGATGTTCTCTGTATTTCCTGAATTTGAATGTTGACTGTCTTGCTAGGTTGGGGAAGTTCTCCTGGATAATATCCTGAAGAGAGTCTTCCAACCTGGTTCCATTCTCCCTGTCACTTTCAAGTTAACCAATCAAACGTAGATTTGCTCTTTTCACATAGTCCCAATTTCTTGGAGGCTTTGCTCATTTCTTTTCACTCTTTTTTCTCTAGTCTTGTCTTCTCACTTTATTCCATTGAGTTGATCTTCAATCTCTGATAACCTTTCTTCTGCTTGATTGATTCGGGTATTGATACTTGTGTATGCTTCACAAAGTTCTCGTGCTGTTTTTCATCTCCATCAGATCATTTATGTTCTTCTCTAAGCCGGTTATTCTAGTTAGCAATTCATCTAACCTTTTTTCAAGGTTCTTAGCTTCCTTGCATTAGGTTAGACTATCCTCCTTTAGCTCAGAAGAGTTTGTTATTTTCCACCTTCTGAAGCCTACTTATGTCAATTTGTCAAACTCATTCTCCATCCAGTTTTGTTCCCTTGCTGGCAAGGAGTTGTGATCCTTTGGAGGAGAAGAGGTGTTCTGGTTTTTGGAATTTTCAGCCTTTTTGCACTGGTTTCTCCCCATCTTTGTGGATTTATCTACCTTGGTCTTTGATGTTGACGATGTTTATACTATTCCTTTCTGTTTGTTAGTTTTCTTTCTAACACTCAGGCTCCTCTTCTGCAGGTCTGCTGGAGTTTGCTGGAGGTCCACTTCAGACTCTGTTTGCTTGGGTATCACCAGCGGAGGCTGCACAACAACAAAGATTGCTGCCTGTTCCTACCTCTGGAAGCTTCATCCCAGAGGGACACCCACCAGATGCCAGCCAGAGCTCTCCTGTATGAGGTGTCTGTTGGCCCCTACTGGGAGGTGTCTCCAGTCTGGATACATGAGGGCCAGGGACCCACCTGAGGAGGCAGTCTGTCCTTTATCAGAGCTCAAATGCTGTGGTTGGAGAACCGCTGCTCACTTCAGAGTAGTCAAGCAGGGACATTTAAGTCTGCTGAAGCTGTACCCACAGCTGCCCCTTCCCCCAGGTGCTCTGTCCTATGGAGCTGAGGTAGGCTCCACCCAGTTCGATCTTCCTGTGGCTTTGTTTACACCGTGTGGGTAAAACCACCTACTCAAGCCTCAGCAATGGTGGATGCCCCTCCCCCCACCAAGCTCCATTGTCCCAGGCTGATCTCAGACTGCTGTGTTAGCAGCAACAATTTCAAGCCAGTGGATCTTAGCTTGCTGGGCTCCATGGGGGTGGAACCCACTGAGCCAGGCACCAGAGAGAATCTCCTGGTCTGCTGGTTGTGAAGACCATGGGAAAACCACAGTATTGGCCAAAATGCACTGTTCATTCTGGTACAGTCTCTTATGGCTTCCCTCGGCTAGGAAAAGGAAATCCCCTGACCCGTTGCACTTCCTGGGTGAGACCCACCTCACCCTGCTTTGGCTCACCCTCTGTGAGCTGCACCCACTGTCCAACCAGTCCCAGTGAGATGAACCAGGTACCTCACTTGGAAATGCAGGAATCATCCGCTTTCTGCCTTGATCTCGCTGAGAGCTGCAGACCAGAGCTGTTCCTATTCAGCCATCTTGCCAGCACAAAAACTATTATTGAGTTTTAAGAGTTCTTTATATATTCTGAATATTAATTGTCAGATATATGATTTGAAAATATTTTCTCTCACTCTGTTGGCTGCCTTTTTACTCTGTTGATGTTGTTTTTTCATGCACAAAATTTTATGAAGTCCAATTTTTGTATTTTTTTTCTTTTGTTGAGTGTGCCTTTGGTGTCATAACCAACAAATACAATAGTGTGAAGCTTTTGTCCTACATTTTCTTCTAAGAGTTTTATAGTTTTAGATCTTACATTTAGCTCTTTGACCCACTTCTTTTTCTTGTTTTGTTTTGTCTTGTTTTGTTTTTTGTTTTGAGACAGGGTCTCGTTCTGTCATTCAGGCTAGAGTGCATTGGTACGATCTCGTCTCACTGCAACCTCTGCCTCCTGGGTTCAAGCAATTCTCCTGCCTCAGCCTCCCAAGTAGCTGGGATTATAGACACGCATCACAATGCCCAGCTAATTTTTGTATTTTAATAGAGATGGGGATTCACCATATTGGCCAGATTGGTCTCGAATTCCTGACCTCAGGTAATCTGCCCACCTCGGCCTCCCAAAGTGCTGGTATAACAGACGTGAGCCACTGTGCCCAGCCTTTGATCCAATTTGAGTTCATTTTGTATGTGATGTTATGTAAGGGTCCAACTTCATTCTTGTGCATGTGGATATGTTTGAGATACCACCTCACACCTCTTGGAATGACTACCATTTAAAAAAGCAGAAAATAACAGGTATTGGTGAGCATGTGGAGAAATTGGAACGCTTGTTTTGATGAGAATATAAAATGGTACAGCTGCTGTGGAAAGCATTATGGTGGTTCCCCAAAAAATTAAACATAGAACTACATAATCCAGCAATACTATTGTGGGGTATATATCCAAAAGGATTGAAAATGGAGTCTTGAAGAGATATTTGTATATCCATGTTCATAGCAGCATTATTCACAATTGCCAAAATGTGGAAGCAACCCAGATGTCCATCAGTGGATGAATAAACAAGATATCACACACACACATACATGCACACACACACACGCACAATCACACACAATGGAATACTATGGAATACTATTCAACTTTAGAAAATAGAATGGTGGTTGACAAGGGTTCAGGAGAGGGTGAAATAGGGAGTTATTGTTTAATGGGTATAGAGTTTGTTTTACAAGATGAAAAGATATATGGAGATACTTGATGGTGATGGATGCACAACATGAATGCACTTAATATCACTGAAAGGCACACTTAAAATGGTTATAATGGTAAATTTTATGTTATGTGTGTTTTGCCATGATCAGAAATTGAAAAACAATCCATTGTATTCCTATACACTAGTAATGAATAATCCAAAAATGCAACTAAGAATGCAATTTAATTTACCACAGCAACAAAGAGAATAAAATACTTAGAAATAAATTACATAAAATCAATGCAAGGCTTGTTCGTAGAAAAGTACACTGTTGAAAGAAATAAAAGAAGATCTAAATGAATGAAAAGACATGTCGTGCTCTTAGATCAGAACACTTACTATTGTTTAGATGGCAATGCTCCTTAAATTGATCTATGAAAACAACTCAGCTCTTAATAAAATCCCAGGTGGGTTTTTTATATCAACTGATAAGCTGATTCTAAAATTAATATGAAACTATAAAAACTCTGAAGAGCAAAAACAATCTTGAAAAAGAACACAATTAGAGGACTCAGAGTTCCCAATTTAAAAATTTGCTGTAAACTTCAATAATCAAGACAGTGTGGTATGGCATAAAGATAAACACATAGATTAACAACACATACGGAAAGTCCAGAAATAAATCTTACATTTATGGTCAATTGATTTTTGAGAAGAGTGCCAATAAATCAATAAGAAAAATCAGTTTTCATAACAAATGGTGCTGGGACAATTGGATATCTGCATTCAAAAGAATGAAGTTGTACCCTTTCCTCATACCTTACTCAAAAATTAACTCAGGCCTGTAATCCCAGCACTTTGGGAGGCCGAGGCAGGTGGATCACGAGGTCAGGAGTTCAAGACCATCCTGGCCAACACGGTGAAACCCTGTCTCTACTAAAAATACAAAAAAATTAGCTGGGTGTGGTGATGGGTGCCTGTACTTCCAGCTACTCGGGAGGCTGAGGCAGGAGAATGGCGTGAACCTGGGAGGCAGAGCTTGCAGTGAGCCAAGATCGCACCACTGCACTCCAGCCTGGGCGACAGAGTGAGACTCCGTCTCAAAAAATAAATAAATAAAAATAAAAAAAATAAAAAAACCTCAGAGTGAAGCATAGAACTAAATACAAGAGCTGAAACCATACAGCTTAAAGAAATACCAGAACAAACCTTGTGACCCCAGGCTAGGCAATGGATTCTTAGATTTGACAGCAAATGTGAGCAAGAAATGAAAAAATAGAGAAAATAAACTTCATCAAAGTTAACTTTTGTGCATGAAAGAACATTATCAAGAAAGGGAAAAAAACATACAGAAAGGGAGAAAATATTTTCATTTCATACATCTGATAAAGGTTTAATATTGAGAATGTATAAAGAATTCTTACAACTCAACAACAAAAAGACAAACAACTCAATTAAAAAATTGGAAAGTGAATTGAATAGACATTTCTTCAAAGAACATACACAAGTGGCAAGCAAGCATATAAAAAATGTTCAACAGCATTGGCCATTAAGGAAATGCAAATCAAAACCACAATGAAATATCACTTCTCGCACACAAGGATGGCTGTAATTCTAAAAAAAAAAAAAAAAAAAAAGTGAGTGCAGAAATGTGGAGAAACAGAAATCCTCATAAATTTTCAGTGTGAATGTAAAATGGTGCAGCCACTGAGGAAAACACTTTGGTAATTTCTCAAAAAGTTCAACATAGAGTTCTAGATGACCCAGAAATTCCCCTGCTAGGTAGATACCCATGGGAAATGAGAACATTTGTCCATCAAAAACCTTTGCTCATGAATTTTTGCATTGGCATTACTTATAATGACCAGAAAGCAGAAACAACCCAATGTCCATCAACTGATTAATGGATAAATACAATTTGATATATCCATACAGTGAAAAATTATTCAGCCTTAAAAAGAAATGATGTACTAACACGTGCTATCACATGGATGAACCTTAAAATCATGCTGCTAAGTGAAAGGAGGCAGTCACAAAAGACCACATCTTGTATTATTCCATTTACGTGAAATGTCCAGAATGAGCAAATCCACGGAGAAAGAATGTAGATTAGTGTTTGGCTAGGGTTGGGGAATGTGAGTGTGTCGGGGAACGGGGGGCGTAGGGTGGGAAGTGACTGCTAATGTGGGGTTTCTTTTGGGGATGATCAAAATGCTTTAAAATAGATTGTGGTCTTTGGAATCTAGGGATCGTATGGAATCTTTGGAATCTATGGAATCCACACTTGTGCCATGGAAGCACAACTTTGTGGATATGCTAAAAACTATTGGCTCATACACTTTAGGTGAGTTTTATTGTATATAAATTATATCTCATTAAAGCTGTTAATAGCACACACAAAAAAAGAATGGACTCAGGGGAAGATGGGCACAGCCCTGAGATCTGGCTTTCCAGGCAGTGGCCTCCCATGCCGATCTCTAAGTCTTCTGGTTGACATTCAGTAATCATTCTTTTCTGCTTTCTGACCACTTCAATGAAAGGATATGTGAGAAAAATCACGGGATGCCCTTCCTGTGAAGCACAGCCATCAGGTGGCATTTTATTTCAGGATGCACCTGCCAAGCCACTTACCAAAGCTGCCGCTGCCCAGAGGCAGCCCTTAGTGGACTCCCAACTCCCTGAAGCGCCTCACTTTGTATCTCCTCTACCTGCCTGGCAAACCCCTGCCACTCACATTTTGGTCACTACTTAGTTTTCACTCATATTTATCAACAAAGACGTTTATTAAATTTTAACAAATCCTTGAGCGAGAAATATGGAAACTTACTGATGAAGTTATAAATTTAAGTACACAAATGGTAGGATGAGGCAGGATGATTTTTCTAATAATGAAACATGTTTGATATTGGAAAAGTCATGTTAATTTTGTTAATTTCGTGATTAAACTACTATCTATTACAGTCAATTTTGCAAAGGAAAATTGAGTGAGGTTATGTTACTCAGAAATTCTAACTTTCTTAGATCCTGTTTTAGTTTATTTTAATTGGGTGACTTTATTATTGCATCATTGTGCCCTTTTCTGTTTTTACTTTATATACTAGATTGTTTATAGTGCAGACACACAGGCTTGCTAAAGAGACACTTTTAAAGCAGTTTTCAGCTGTCTTTTGGGAGTAATTAGAGAATACCTTCAGGGCAATGGTCTCATTTAGATATTCAGTTACAAACCTTTCCATCTTAAGCATGCTACCAAATGGCTTTTGAATGTTTCTGAAGTATTATTTATTTTAAAAATATTCTGGTTATGAAACAACTGAAAACATCATCACCTATACGTGCAGTGCCTTGCAGCTTTGAAATACTTTCTCCCCTCCTGTCCGAGGCCATCCTGGACAGTGGGGGGCATGGGCTGCGGTCTCTTTCCTGGGCCTTCCTTCCTCCCTGGTCTTTGCTGACCCACAGCGGCACCTCCTTCCTCTCATCCTGTCTGAACTATTCAGCCTGTCCTTTGGTACCAGCCCGACCTGGGGGATGATCCCTTCTCAGATATTACAGAGAAACCATCCCGAAGTCGCAAGTATTTCCTTGCCAGTCTAGGGCCCTGACAGCACGTTCTCTGCTTTCTTCTGGGGATGGGAAGGGCATGTTGATGTGGATTCCAACTCAGTTCAAGACATTGACTTTTATAGCAATGTGGGGCTTCATCTGTGTACTCATCTCTCTCCTCTTTAAGGCCTGTTTCAGAAATGTCCAGGAAGCTTGGAGTCTCAAGCCTGCTAGCGCTGATGTTTTTGACTCAAGTAGTCCTGTATCTCTCATTCCAGTGTCATTGCTCAGCCATGACCAAACCCACGCAGGGTTTGGAGGACACTCAGGGTGCAAAATGCAAGCCCTTCTGGCAGTCCTGTTCATCACTGGCCTTCAACTTTGCTAAGAACGCATGACCTTCTCTGAGCCTGTCCCATTATCCGTAAGTGACACACATTCTCAGCAGCAGGTTGCTGCGAAGCAGATAGCAACGGGCAAGTGGCAGATGCTCAGTCCAAGACACTGCCTCCTCACACCCCTGGGAACCGGCTCACAGGGAGGAGTCAGTGGCCCATGACCCTCATGTGCCCCCTCACCGGCATTGCCAGGCAGATGTTTCTTGAGGAAGCTAGAGCTGCTCAGAGTGATTCTTCTCTTGAACAATGGTGCTGTTTTGCAGCTTATATTGTGCAGTGTTTATTTTTTCTTAACAACTAATTCATTTATAAAATTGAGCTAAAAGTCATAAGAGAAGAAAAAAAGTAATGTTTCTTAAAAACCACAACAAAGATATTACAGTTGTCAAGAGGGATTTGGTCAATGATTTTCCACTTTTTACAGAGAATGCAGCCTCCATGGTGAATTAGAAAGAGGCTGGGGTATGGAGAGACCTGGGTCAGGCCCCAACCCTGCCTGAACATGTTTGTGACTCAGAGTTTGTCTTGCCCCATCCCTGTAGAACAGCATGTAGGTGGATGGATCAGAGGCCTTGCCCCAGGCAAAACTCCATGTTCCAGGTTACCAGGTGGGAGGAAAGGAGTCAAACCATGCACAATGAACTCGACTAGACACTGGGGATTTATGCCCAGGGCCCCTGAGCAGCCATAGGCCCCACGGCTGCCTCCCCACAGAGGACAGGCACCCAGCCAGCAATTCTCATGCCCATGTGAAATACAGGTCCCACTGATTCCCTAGGGAGCACCAATGTCCCCTCCCCCATTTCCACTGCCAGTGTCATCTCACAGATCCACTTTTTCTCTGTTAACCCATCCACTCAGCAAGTCTTTGCCAGGCATGGCTATGTGCCCGGCCCTGTGCCAGATGTGGAAATGCAGCCATAGTCCTCTCCCTCCTGGACTGCAGCCACGGGCAGACTCTTGGGCCTTCCTGCCCTGCACCTTTCAGCCCTCTGTCTCGCAGGCTGTCAGTAAGGATGCTTTCTAAGACAACATGGGACTGCAGACTGCACTCTGCCCTTCAAGACAAAGTCACACAGTTTGACCTTGTGGCAAGGGCTCCTGGACCTGCCCCTGCCCCTCTGCAGCTCCTCTCAGATGCTGCTGCTGCTTACCTCCAGCTGTACAAAAACATTTGTGAGGCTGCTCAGGCCTGATTCATTTCCACACCTTTGGAACTTTGCTGAAATTTCTCTTCCTGCTGACGTTGCCCGATTCCTGCATGAAGAGTGCTGATTCCACCTATCAAGGCTCAGCTCAAGGGCACCTGCAAAGCCTTCCTTTAGCACCCTGTCCACCCTGTCCCCAGGTAGTGCCCCTCCTCTCTTCCTAGCTCTCTCTGCAGATTCCTACAGAGCATCTCTGTGCCTTACATACCTGCCTGCTTTCTTGCTCTAAGCCTCTGAAGGTCAAGATGTGCCCTGGGTCTCCCACTCCTGCCTGGTGCCTGACCCATCCTTATCCTCTATACATTCCTGTTGAGTGGAAGACTTCAAGATTTCCTCCTGAGGCACCTCATCGAAAGTGCACAAGGTTGGTGGCAGGAGGAATGAAGACCAGCCTAGACACTTTTAGAAGCCAAGACTCTCTTCCTGTCTGCTTTCATGTCTAGCACATGGCGCAGCATGGAGCAGTTTCTCACTAACTTGTTATTGGTTAAAATGAAAGAATGAGGGAGTGAGAGCTCAGGCCTCCTAACTTCCATCCCAGGGCTGCTGTCCCCTCTGGAAGACCATGGTGTAGCCCGCGGCGTCGTGGTGCCTCGTGAGACAATCCACCCTTTACGCACAGTCGGGGCCTGGAGTGGCTCCACCAGAATAGAGCAGGCCCCTGTTTCTGCATGTGCTGAGTTTTTCTGTCTTTATGTGGTTGGAGAGTAGGAAGCATACAGTCTGCTTTCCTTGGTATGGATGGCAAGTTCAGGGCAGAGAGGCGTGTGCACCTAGACTCCCTCATTCTTGCACCCGCAGTACAGAGGCCCTGTTTTCTGCTGAGCACAGACGAATCACAGAATTCTTCTTCTTCTTCTTCTTCTTCTTCTTCTTCTTCTTTTTTTTTTTTTTTTTTTTGAGACGGAGTATCGCTCTGTTGCCCAGGCTGGAGTGCAGTGGCGCCATCTCAGCTCACTGCAACCTCTGCCTCCTGGGTTTAAGCAATTCTCCTGCCTCAGCCTCCCTAGTAGCTGGGATTACAGGTGCCTGCCACCACGCCCAGCTAATTTTTATATTTTAGTAGAGATGGGGTTTCAACATGTTGGCCAGGCTGGTCTCAAACTCCTGACCTCAAGCAATCCAACTGCCTCGGCCTCCCAGAGTTCTGGGATTACAGGCATGAGGCACCGCTCCTGGCCTCACAGAATCCTTCTTAACACCGTGCTAGAGTCAATGGCTTCAAACCAGTTACTTACACGGTGAAGTTTATATGACACCCTTGTCCAAGAGCTCCCCAGCCCCATCTTTATTTGACAGACTTGCCCTGCCCCACCCTCAGTTGCTCCCCTGCTGGCCCAGGACTCCTGGAGACAGGGCTTCTTGTGCCAGCCCCTCGCAGGCTGGCCCGTGAGGCACTGAAGGAGGAAGATTCCACAGGCCACAACACCACTGCCTGCCTTGAGGACTGGCCTTGTGGGGCTCTGATCTGCTTCTGCCTCAGGGCTTTCCACCGGCCTTTCAAGAGCTCTCCTGGCTATTAAAACTGCAAACCTGGGATAACATTAAAAATGTTAATGTGCTGTAAAACTTTCCACGTGTGAGACTTTCACCTGAAAAGAAGAGGAGATGAGTCTGTAATGGCTGGCTGTTCATCTTCTCGATGGATTTTATTATAGCAGTAACAAGTGCAATTCCACTTAAAAGACTCTTGTCAGGTAACAGTTCCAGTAGACTATAACTCAGCATGAAAAACAATCTCTGCCCCACACAAACTTGGAACGGCCAGGAAAAAAAATGAGCATCAAGAAATACAGCTCACTGGTCCTATATCCATGAATGTTTTTGAGATGGCGGACGTTAGGGATGAACTAGGGGGTGGGCTAAGGGAGGAGGCAAGTCACATCACTCCATTAATTCATTTGCCATCAGGGCACAAAATAGGCCCTTCTGAGGACTCCAGTTCCATTTTTATCTCTCAAAAATTGTAGCAAAGACTGGGATACAGAACCTGTCAGGCCTGTTATAAAAGCAACATTGTCACTGGCAATTTTAAATAGCCAGGACAGTATTTACCTTGGAAGGGGGAAGAGGGTGTATAAAGTAGACAAACAATCCTGCTACCCAGACCAAATGGTCTCGTGGAGAGGTCTCAGCAGGAGAGCGATTCGGGCTCTATTGCTCTCTTGGACTTCCTTTGTCCCAGCTGATACGTGGCAGCTCCATCCTCTCTGACATGCCGTAGTATCCCCTCATGCCCAGTAAAGTTCAGTGGCAGCAGCCTGTGGCCTAAGTCCAACCTGTGGCTGGTTTCCTCATTTTCCTGCCTGGTTTGCCAGGGACAGAGTGGTAAGCAGGGCCCAATGCCACAATAAGTGGCAGCTTTGCATGCGAGAGCCGCCAATGAAAGGCATGCAGATAGCCACGCTGGGGTCTGTGGGGTCAAGGCCAAAGAGTTCGAGATTTCCTCACTTGTACCTCAGTGAAAATATAGAAGATTGGTGGTAAGAAAAATGAAGACAAAATCAGCCTAGACATTTTTGGAAGCCGAGACTGTCTTCTTGTCTGCATTCCTGTCTAGCACATGGCATGGCGTGGAGCAGTTTCTCACTGACTTGTTGAATACAGTGAAAGAATGTGGGAGTGAGAACTCAGGCCTCCTAACTTCCACCCCAGGGCTGCTCTCTCCACTAGAAGATCACAATGTAGGTGGCGGCATCTTGGTGCCATCCTAAGCAGGCCTTGCTGTCTGATTCCCCTTTCTCAGCTGCCTGTGAAAGGTGGACTCCTGCCTCCAGTCTCCTGTGCTGGGAGCCTGGTACCAATACAGCATCTGGGATGGTGTCTGGGCTTGCTGGACACAGCACTCCAGCTGTGAAACGTGTCCTTTGGGTGGTTATTTTACCTCCTCTGGCTTAAGAGACAGACAAACTTCTGGGTGCCATTGGCAGAGGGCAGCCAGGTCACAGAGTCATCCAACGTTATGAAGAAATTAGCCCAGATAGTAAAACCCAGGACAGCTTTACCATGAGCAGGCCAGTCTGGTGAGGCCCTACCTTTCAGTGCATTAGACCTGGAAGGAAATATATTCTGGCATAGTGTGGCTCTCCATAGAAACAAAGATCTCACATGAAACATTGTTTTTGTAAAGTGTTCAACATAAAGACATGTGTAATTAAACTATTAAACATCTGTTTAATGATCATGATCAGGCCATTGAAAATAATGTATTCAAATAGTTTACAATAATAGCTGACTTTCACATACAAGGTTAAAAGGTAGTACTCAAAATTGTATATACAACATTATTCAAACTTTGAAAAACGTTACAAAGCTATGCAAAAAATAACCCTCCTGGGAGAAAATAGATTGACTATTATTATTTATTTATTATTTTTCTTTAGAGACAGAGTCTTGCTCTGTCACCCAGGCTGGAGTGCAGTGGTATGATCATAGCTCCCTGTAACTCTGAAGTCCTGGGCTCAACCAATCTTTCTACCTCAGCCTCCTAAGTAGCTGGGAGCACAGGGCACACGCCACCATGGCTGGCTACTTTAGTTTAGGTTTTTAGAGACAGAGTCTCGCTATGTTGCTTAGACTAATCTCAAACTCCTGGCCTCAAGTGTTCCCCCGTCACAGTCTTTTTTTCTTTTCTTTTTTTTTTTTGAGACGGAGTCTTGCTCTGCTGCCAGGCTGGAGCACAGTGGCGCAATCTCGGCTCACTGCAACCTCCACCTCCCATGTTCAAGTGATTCTCCTGCCTCAGCCTCCCGAGTAGCTGGGACTACAGGTGTGCACCACCATGTCTGGCTAATTTTTGTATTTTTAGTAGAGACGGGGTTTCACCATGTTGGCCAGGATGGTCTCAATCTCTTGACCTTGTGATCTGCCCACCTTGGCCTACCAAAGTGCTGGGATTATAGGCGTAAGCCATCGTGCCCGGCCCACAGTCTTATTTTCTAAATACATTTTTAAAATTCTAGAATAGTTTTAGACTTACAGAAAACCTGCAAATACAGTACTGAGTTCCCACATACTCCACACCCAGTTTCCCCAACTGTGACTGTATTGCATTACCATAGTACATTTCTGGCAACTGACAAATGCATATAGCATTGGTTTTTAAACAGAGAAGATGACTCATAGTCTCTTCTAGCAGTGTAATGCATTTCACTTCTGTCTGAAACCCACAAACCTCCGCTCAACGGCTCCATGATATCTACTTATCTGCCCCATTACTGGATGGCTGTGTGTTACACTGACAGGCAGAGGCTGCTGCTGCTTCATAGCCACAGCGATTATCCTGCATTCTGGGACCAGTGAAATAAACTTTGTCCTCTATAAAGAAAGCTTAAACTTCACAGGGGTTGGAATTGGGGAAGACCTGCAGGTCTTCCTTCCCATATGCCGAAGGGCTGCTTCCAGGTGCCTGGGAGGATCTTAACTTGCCCTTGCAGATCACAGGCACAATGAGAACGTGGCTCCCACACCATTGCCCTGCTGGCCTCATGTGTTTGGACCAGGTTCAAGATGGTCATTGCAGTGGCTGCTGCTTTATCTGCTTTGCTAGGAAATAGGATTTTGAGTCCTGGCTTAGTGGTAGAGGCAGAAACAGATGAGTGCAGAAACTCCAAGGAGCTAGATTTAGGGGGCCTGAAAGTGGAATAGGGTAAGGCAGAGAGGAGGCTTGTGGCCTGATACATTCATGTTGGACCAGAAATTTAACTCATTATACTGAAGGATAAGAATTTTGTTATTTTTTCCCTGGTTCATTCATCAAAATGTTTGAGCAGATATGATGTGCCTGGCATTATACCCTGGGATGGCATTTAAAGCCAAATCAGCTGTGAGCTTTCTTTTTCTGTTGAATTATTTAGAAGAAGCCCATATGTAATCAAATTTAGAAAAGACCTGATGGAGATATATCTTAAAAGTCCCCTTCTGATATATTTGGAAACTGTTCTGTAAATACATTCCAGATGAAGACCGAAATGTGCAAGAGCCCCACATCCTATAGGAGGTGAACTCGGAGGTAGAAGGCAAGGGGTGCTTCAAAGTAACGCCACCAGTCCAAGCCAAGTGTGACACCACAGCCAGGACAGTCAGTCTGGCAAAGCCATGTCTTGTCTGTGCATTAATCTGACTTCCAGAAGCTAAGTGTAGCTTGTTCCAGCCCTGTTTCCTGGGCTGGTCATGGGAAGTTTAACAGACCCGAAGGCCTGGAATAAAGCTCTGACTTCGTGCCTGGCAAAATACGTTTAACTCGACATCCAATTCAGTGCTGAGTCATGAATGTTCAGAGAGAGCCGTGATTCAGCATCCCACCAGAAAGGCCTGCTGGGGAGTTGAGCTCTCTCTCAATAAGTCCTGATCTACCCAAGGGAAGAGCAATGTGCAGGACCTGTGTGTTAAGGAGAGTCTGAGGAGAGGCTTAGAAAAGAAAGCAAAATCACTGGAAACCAGAATGATTTTACTTGGTAAGATGACCAAGATGCTTTGTACAGAAGTGTTGAACATCTGGAAATGTTGATGGCTACAGGACAGCAAAGTGTAACATACTCACATTGGTAGTGATGGTGATCCGGTGGCAGCAGGCCTGAGCTAGTGCCTGAGCTGAGTCAGCATCTGTGTTAGTGCTTCTCATGTGTGCATTACCATCACAGCTAGTCTGTGGTGCAGGGATTACACCTGCGTCTCTTGGAGGGGGCAGGTTAAGCATATGGAGATAAAAGTTGACTTGCTTGAAGTCAAGCTTCAAAGCCTCAGCTGCTGAGCTCTGCAGTCATCCATCCGTCTGTCCATCTATCCATCCATCCATCCACCAATTCATCCACCTATCCATCCACCTATTTGTTCATCTACTTGTCCATCATCCATCCATCCATCCATTCATCCACCCACCCATCCATTCATTCTTCCATTTACCCTTCCACCCACCCCATCCATTCTTTTATCCACCCATCTACCCACCCATCCATCTATCCATCTATCAGTCCATCCGTCTGTTTGTCTGTTCATCCGTCCATCTATCCATCCACCCAGCCATCATTGTAGCAGCCTAGTGACATGAACTGATGAATGGGCACTAGGTTTTTTGGAGTCACTTTTAGGAGTCTCCTGTGGGCTGGCCGATGAAGCAGAGCTTGCGGGCCTATGCTGTGGGTAAAGTTTAAATATGCAAGAACATATTTTTTGAGACGAAGTGTGAAATTTGGAACTGGCAACAGGAGATGGATAAAGGTTTTTTTTTTTCTGTTTTTCTCTCTGAATGACTTTAAAACTAGATTTTTTTATGTTACTCAATTAAGTAATATTTTTCTCCAACCATAAGCAGGAAAATGGATGACAGGAACATCCCTGTTCTATCTCAGTCCTAAGATTCAGTGCTTTTTCTGAGAGTGATCCATTCAGAACATCTCCGTGGGGAAGAGGGGCTGAGATGAGTTGCTTCTGCTGCTCCATACCTTATTTTTGATAAAGGGTGAGATGGTTTAGGACCTCTTGTAACAGTGTAATCTAATGAGCCAAGTGGGTTTTAAGAATCATAAAATGCTGTCACTTTTCAAATGGCCATATCAAATTGTAGAATTTCAGTTAAAAAAAATGTATCCTAGCATGACAAGTTTTATCTTAAAAGAACTTTTTTTTTCAGAGCCAACTTAGAAACTCTTGCAACCGTGGTACCCAATAAAACTGCTGGCAGACCCTTAACTAGAGTGGCAAAAACACCGCTACCACAATAAAGAGAATAAGGGCATTGTCAGACCTGCCTTTTCACATACACTTTGATATCCTCAGTCAGTGAGAGGATGCAGGACTGATTATATTCACGGAGTCCTAAGAGTTATAAGACCTTGACAAATATATGGCTGTGTACAGAGCACCCCAAATGAAATATTTTTACTCTGCAATTCAGTCCTGGCTGGTGACAGAGAGCTCAGGGCATGCCAAGCCTTTGCATTATTTATGATGGACGTTGTTGTGCTCTCATAAAAGTGTGAGCAACATTAGAAGGCATCTGAGTGGAAAAACAGATTATTTTGTTATTTGGTGCCTTTGTTATGTGGCATTCTTCATGTTGGTTATCTGTCTGAGACACTTCATGCTGTTATCGAAGACATTTTTCCACGCTGAAAAGACTCTGTTATGGAGCAAGATAGTAATCCTATTAAACATCATGAAGCTGGGTTCAATATTATGAAGGAGGAAGCATTTCCTGAGTCATCACAGCAGCCTCCCCATGATGGGTGTTCAGTTCTGTAGAGACTCGCATTCTGCCATGATGGTAGACCAGGCAGCCACATGGGATCCAGAGGAAGGGGTGGGCAAGGAGCTGGAGGGGAAATAATGAGATGAAGTTACAGTGAATTTGACTGTGGCAAGAATTAGATAACAGATCTTGCTGTGGGGCTGGGAAAAGCTAATACATGGTGGAATCGGCGAGACAGATGATTCTGCGAATCCAGCCTAGAAAGCACAGGTGAAGAGACTCCACTGTCATCCGGAAGGGTAGTTAGGCTCATACCCGGGAATGTTAGGTTCCGCTCAGCTGGGAGGAGGTCAAGCCCTGGACCAGGAAAGCCTGTGGGTCATTTGGAGCCTGAGCACATCAGAGCGGGTGGGAAGGATCTGCAGAGCACTGGGGAGATGTCTAGGACACAGCCTAACACACATAAGGGGCTGATGAAGGTCATCTCTGAACAGTGCTGCCTACAGGCAACTGGCTGAACAATATTGTTCTTTGGTAACTCCTGCCTCTCCCACAGAGTGCACTAACTGCCCCGCACATGCATTTTACTCCAGGAGCAGCTGAAGCGCACGCCTAAGCTCTAAATAAGAGCCCATTGCTGCCATTGTCAGCTGACCTTCCTGCCCTGTGTCTGCTGGGAGGATGAGGGCTATGCATGGCACATTGGCTTCCCAGGCATTTAGCAAAGAGTCTGTCACAGAATAAGTGCTCCTCAATTACTAGCTTGCTAAATAATAAAATAGTAAATGCTATAGAGGCCAAATTACTTCTTGTTTTAGCCTAAGCTCCTTAAGCTTTTAATGTGGCCCCATTCCTAGCATGTTGTTTAGTACATAGATGCATTTACATGTACGTAGATGAGTCCATTAGTGACTTAATGGAATCTAAATTGTTTCTCGATGCACATTATACTCTTTGAAGGTAAGGATAATATCTTCTTTATATTTGGCCCACTACTTAGTGTATACCCTAAATATAAGAACTTAGTAAATATTGGTGGAATGGAGGGAATGAGAAATATGACAAATAATAAAGTCATACTCTGCATCAGACCCTTTTAACTTGGGCAGTGATTGAGAACACAATCTTCTGGGTAAGACTGTGAAATAGGACTCTGGGAGAGCCAAGAGTTTAAGATTGTAGTAGAGCTTCCAAAATAAAAATGGGAAGACTCCAGGATTAAGTTTTATGGCGTCCTAACTTTGCACCAAGAAGCCCTTCCTGTGTTCATGTTTAAGCTTCTTATGCTAGACTGCGAGCATTTGGGTTTTATGCTCCTGAAAATATCAGCACATCCATGGAGCACCTGGTAGAAGCATGGCTGCATAAGATAGAAAGAGCCCAGGCCACAGAGTGGGCAGCCCTGGGTGGCCATCCTGGCTTTGTGTCCTTGGGCAAATTCCTTTAACTCTGAGCCTCAGATCCCTCATGTGGGAAATGGGATGACAATATTCCCTTTGCCTGTCATGTATGAAAATCAGTAATAACTTACATTCAGTCCCTTATACGCAGTAGATACTCTACAATTGGTAACTAAAGAAATTGATTACAATTTTGCAAACTTTTTTTCTACAGTAAATTACTTCTACCTTTAATAATTTAGTGAAATAACATATAAATACATTGTCATTTCAAAAGTTCAAAATGCAACGTGTGAAAATTATCCTTCTTCACTACAAACTTCCAGCACACCTTTACCTGAAAGATATCTAGATTGGTATTAAATACATTATAAACATACACACAGTTTATATAAACATCTATGTACACACACCTTATATATTAGTATTACATTATATGTAATTACATACAATGTGTTATATAATATAAATTGTAAATATGATAAAATATATGTCCATATACACACATGTGTATTTTATAAATAGGATCATTCTTCATGTCTCCACATATTGCCTTTTACAATCAGTGATAAGTTGGAAAATACTCTAAACTCTATCTCTCTGGTGCCTTGTAAAGGTTGAGTTGTATCCTGCAGTGTGATAGCACCATAGTCCTGAACTGTGCTCCAATCCTAATGGGCCTGTAGCTTGCTTGTAGTGTTGTGGCTCTGGTACCTGTCTCTCTGAGCCCTCTGAGAGCAGTTCTCTAGGAGATGCAATGGCGTCTCTAATTCACCATGTCCCTGCTTCCTCATGCCACAAGGCAAAGTTTCTCTTTAGCTTTGTTTGGCTTCTCTATGCCGTGTCTTACTTTGCTTGGTTTCTAAGCTCCCCACTGTACAGTGGGGATCAGCTGACACACATTTTAGTTCTAGCGTACGGGTTTGAATAAATGTATAATGGCATGTACCCACTATGGGGTCAATTATTTTTAAAACAGCCTAGACTCCACGGAGAATGAAAACTGAAGTGATCTCTTTCTCCTAGAGACACTGAAATCTTTTTGTTGACTGTGCTTCTAACTAAGGGAGGCTCTGGAAAGAAAAGTTTTGGAGGAAGTTTCTGGAGATGGCCCTGGGAGCCTCCGTGGTGGAAAGAACCTGGCAGGAGGCACCACTGGGGCTGGTCCAGGTGCCCGTGAGGGCACGAGGTGGGACACTGAGCTGGATTCTCTGCCCTGGAAAACTTGGCTGTTTTGGAAATCAAATATGATGAAGCTGATCTTCATTTTGCACCTCTCATATGGCTGGTTTCATATTATGTTCTTGGTACAATATAAGAGCAGTAAAATTACACCCCAAAATCGAGAAGTTAGGGGTGTGTGTATGTGTGTATCTGCATATGTATGTGCATATGTGTGTCTGTATGTGAATGGGTGTATGTGTGTATATGTGTGGATGTATGTGAATGGGTGTATGTGTGTATATGTGTGGATGTATGTGTGTGTGCACTGGTGAGTATGTATGTGCATGTGTCTGTATGTGTGTGTGGTTATGTATGTACATATGTATAAGTGTTTGTGTCTGTGTGTGAATGGGTGTATATGTATATGTGTGTGGTTGTGTCTGTATATATATGTGAGTGTGTGTCTGTGTGAGTGGGTGTATGTGTATATATGTGTGAATATGTGTGTGCCTGTGTGTATGTGTCTGTGTGTGTCTCTGTGCATGTGGCTGTGTCTGTACATATGTGTGAATGTGTCTGTGCCTACGTGTGAGTGGGTGTATGTGTGTATATGTATGGATGTATGTATGTGTGCACCAGTGAGTATGTGCATGTGTCTGTATGTGTGTGGTTGTGTGTGTACGTATGTGTGTGTGTCTGTGAGTGGGTGCAAATGTATGTGTGGATATGTGTGTACCTGTATGTGTCTATGTGTGAGTGGGTGTGTATATATGTTTGGATACATGTGTCTGCCTGTATACGTGTGTCCGTGTGTGTCTGTGTCTGTACATATGTGTGAGTGTATGTGTGTCTATGTGTGAGTGGGTGTATGTATGTATATGTGTGTCTCTGTGTGAATGTGTGTCTGTGTGTGTCTGTGTCTGTACATACATGTGAGTGAGTGTATGTATATGTGTGTCTGTGTGTGCATCTGTTTCTCTGTGTGGTTGTGTCTGTACATGTATGTGCATGTGTGTGTGCACATGTAGTTTTGCAGTCCGATCCATCACCTGAAAGTCAAAGGGCACCTGCCGACAGGGATGTTGACATGAGCTCTGGCTAGGGTTCTTTCTTCAGTATCTGCCAGTGCTTTAAAAAACAAAACAAGGCAGAATAAAGAAGGTTGAGCACTTTGGTGTAAAAACACATTTCTCAAGAGCAAATTGCCGTCCCCTCCCAAGCCAAGAAGGCTGACTGTGATTCTCTTGAGTCCCCACTTCTTGCAGGTGTGGGAGCCAGGCTATCAGCCAGGCTGCCAGACATTCATGACAGAGACATTTGCAGATCTGTCCTTGGAGGGCTGTGGCTCATTCTCTGCCCTTAAAAGTCTCCACGACAGAAGTGTCAAGCTGGCAAACGAAAACCAAAAAATTATGATACTCTCATTCCTCAAAGCAGTAAACCTCAAATCCTCTCTGAAGACACAAATAAATTGCTTGCTATGCCAACTTCTTTATTTTTATTTCAAATAAAATGGTTTAAAAGAGTACGTAGTTCAACCGATATACTTTTAAAGTAGAATAGATTATATCTATTTTAATATATATGACAAGAAATGAGTGATAGGTTCATTTGCGAGTCTTTTGCTATTTCCTTCTCTTGCAGGTAATTTATTTTTGGGAATCATCACCGTCAATACCTAGTGACATTGATGTAGCTGGTAAGATGAGTACTCACACACCAGCCAAGCCTCTGGTGGAGAGCTTACAAATCAGTCAAAGACCGGAATGTGTGCTGAGACCTTGCAGCTTTATTTATTTTCCCTCCAGGGTGTGACAAGCCCCTAGCCTGGCTTCTTACTTCAACTCCAGGCTCTGAAGGCTTGGCCCCCCTCTGCCACTGGCATCATTTGTGCTGTGTTTGAAATGACCATTACCGTGTCTGTCTTGATGAGCGATTCTGAGGACAAATGTCATAACAATGGAGGCAAGCGACCTGGGACTGCTCTTCGAAAAGAATGATGAATCTCCCTGATATAAATATGAACTTTTGGAGCCTTCCAGGGAAAGACAGTCAGTGAAAGCTTCTCAGGGCTGGAGAAATTGGAGCTGTGAAGCTCTTCCTTGGCAATGGGCACATACGATGAACTGATTTTCTTTAAGGTGCTAATGACTGATAGTGTAAGGTGGCGTTTCCCCAAAGAAAACCAGTTTTATTCTTATTTCTGGACTCACCAGATAGTCCATTTTTACCGCTCAGTCTTGTTGAGTTGTGACAGTGTAAGGCTTAGGGAGTGAGCATTCCAGCCACGTCTAAATCACACCAGGCTGGCAGGCTCTTCCGATTCCCACAGATGGGGCAGGGGAGAGCAGAGACCCACAGGTACTGGGGGCCCCACTGGGAGGGTGCCTTGCAGGAGGTTTTATGCACCAACATGAAGTATCTTCTATTAGGAGCCTCCTGACCTGTGCTCCTTAGGTCACCTGTCCCAGGGCCATCTGCTTCTCTGCCTATCCTGTGGGTTGGGAGTTCTTCAGAAGTTGAAGCTCTTCCTAACTGTCTTTGCTTCTCAGCACTTACCCTAGAAACTGAGATACCCGGCGGGCTCCAGGAGGTTGGCTGAGTGAATGGGAGCTGCTTAATGTTGCATGCCTGTGGTGTGCCGGGCTTTTGCTCACGTCCTCTCATCCACACACTCACGGCACACCTGGAGGGGAACCATGAGCCCATCCGCCACATGAGGAAACAGGCTTAGAGCACGCTGGACTGTGGGGTGTCATGAAAGGGCCTTGGTACCCTCATCAGAAAGTGGTCATCTCTTCCAGGCTCCTCGGCTGCCCTGCAGAGGCTGCTGCCTCTGTCAGCAGGAAGCTCTGTGGCTGAGGCCGGAGAGGTGAGAGTGTGTGAATGTTTTGGAGAGAATGTCATGGAAAACAAAGTCTTATTCTGATGGGACCTGTGGATGTGCAGAGCTGTATGTGGGGCCATGATGCCCCCAAAGTGGGCATTCATATTCCATGCGTGGGCAGCACCAAACCTGGTGGCTAGGTTCTCACCCAAGACCCCGGGTGCAGGAATGGGAGGTGGTACTAAGTTGCCAGCACCTTTGCAGCAGCAAAGTTTTTTTTTTCTTCTGTTCCTGCTACCCTGAGAGGTGGCAGAGTGAATGTCCCAAGTCCACAGAGTTAGTAAACAGCCACACCTGGGCTCAGGGCCAGTTTCCTGACATCAGGCTAGCTTTAAATTAGAAATGGGAATGTCACTAGAGGGAAGTGCTGACGGGTCCTCTGCATACTGTGCGGCATCCTCAGACACGCACACACAGAGCCTCCACGGAGTGGGTCTGAGGGGTCTGGCCCCTTTTGTCTTCTCTAGCCAAAGATGGAGTGAGGGTGGACGCTCAGAACTCCTGGACCTCCAAGCTCTGGGCCATCTATTTAATGTATTTGAGCTTCAGTTTCCTGTTTGCAGGGTGGAGGCAGCTGTGAGAATTGGTTGAGATGACACACAGGCGGTGGCTGCAGCGGGGCCTGGCTGCAAGCACGATCTCAGTCGATGGCCTGTTATTGCCCCAGCTTTTACTTGCCCTAGACTCCCACAAGGCCCCTCCCTGCCATGAGTGCACTCCTGGTTGTTTAGCTTATGTGTTGCTTTCTGTAGTTGCAATTCTTCATGAGGACATACCCTGTTCTTATGAGTTGGACCTGAGCGTTTTGAAGGTCACACCAGCCGCCTGGTGTCAGAGCATCTGTTAGGGTTCAGTTCTCCTGTGCTAAGATGGCCTCTAAGGAGAACTGGGCAACCCCTCTGCAGCCACTTGTGTGGCTCCATATCATGAAGGCGAGGTTGTGGTGCCTGGAATGTGGACACATGGACACTGGTGTGCAGCACTGGTGACATAGCTGGGGTGGTCTGGATGGTGTTGCTTGATGCCCCCACGAGGATCTGTGTCTGTGATCATGAAGGCGATGCCCTTGGTAGGGGCATAAAGTGCTTGATTGCTGCAGCAGTCTGGCATTTTGCCAAATGCCTCTGACAAGGACCCAGATGCACCTTTTCCCTCTGAACCTGTCTGATTTCTTGATGCTGTCATCTTCTGTTCTCTGTTTCCCTGGTGGATTTCCAGACTGTTTGCTGATTAGATGAATTTTTTTCAGCTGTACAGATGGTTAGTAGCTCCTGGAACTGGCTTTCCTGCCTGTCCTCCAGCCCCCTAGCCCTGTTTGGCATAATGGCTGTGGGCATTGATTAGAAAATAATAATGGAGTAAATTTTTTAAAGCTTGGGAGGCCCCAGCAATACACAGATTTTTTTTCAAGTTTTAGTCCATTTTATGTTGGTTATTCCTAATCCTTAAAATGAATAAAGAAAACCCTCTTGTCTATAGTCACTGTTCGCCACAATAATTTTTTGTGTAAACATCTTATTTCTTTTTTTGTTTCTTTTTGTTTCCTAAAATTGAAAAGTCCACCAAATTTAATCAGACCTCAACTTTCCTGCATCCATTATTAAGCAAAGTTCGTCACTTGGAGCTTTCCAGATATTCTCTGGTCTGTTTCTGAGATCCAGATGCCAGCAGCCCATATAACATCAATACACCAAAAAGCATGCTCATGCAGCTCCAACCAGCTCCTTTCCCGCGGCCTCCATCTACACCCAGAGGACCCCAGTCCTCCAGGACAGGTGACTAAGGCCCACTGGACTCCTTCTGTCCACATACAGTCATTCTTACATCCTGCAGGTCACTTCTTCCCAGCCTCTTTTCCACCCCACCCTCACCCTTATCCCGGATATGCTTACTTCATGCGTAGAAAATTGGCATAGCCTAAGGGTGACTCTTGAGTGGTACAAACTCACCAGTGGATTATCTGTTTGCAGTCTGCCTTTTCCAACCTTCTCACAGTTACCCAGGGGATTGTCTCATAGTGATATGCCCTTGCAGAATTCCTCTGTGGGTCTCCTAGGTTTCAGGATTACAATTCTACCAGTCGTTCTTGTATTGAAGGCACCCCACAGTCCATTCCAAACTTGTCCGCGATGTTTTTCAATCCTCCCCGTGAAAATAACATTTTCATTCTACTTTCCCAACATGCCTACAATTCTTTATCTTTATAGCTTTCATTCATTAATCAAGTGATTACTGGGCCAGTGGTTCACATGTTGGTGTCAGAAAGTAAAGCCAAAGATTGGATAGCAAAGGCAAATTGGAGAAATCCTTCAGAGGACTTCCATAAATGTTCTGAAGCACATTGTGAATGGGCCAACGATACTGCCACAGCTTTACTAGACACTATCCCTTTAGTTTTCCAAAGAGTAGTTGATTGGAAAAAAATACAACAATGCTGATGAAATTTCAGTGAGCCTGTAGTGTCATACTATAAAAGATCTTTACAAAAGTCTTTAAATAACATTTAGGCCTATCAGAAGAAGGTTATACTAACCACCAAAATCATACCAAAATCAACTTGAATCCCCTTTATTCAACTTTGTAAACAGATTGGAAGAAGAATTGGCAATTATAATAAAGAGACAATGAATGCCCCCTTTGGGCTACCTCTCAAACTCATGATCTTGTTAATTTTGCTGATCTAGTGTCCCACACTCTAACCAAGGGAGAAAAGGAAAGGAAAGTTAAACAGAAAGCAAAAGCAGTAAAATCAGCTAAACAATTGTCCTACCAATTTGTAGCTCCCAAACAGCTTAAGAAGTTCCTAAAATGACCCAGTCCTCCACTTTGCAATTACTGGGAAAAGCCTAGATATTTCAAAAAGGATTATATAAAATTAAAAATGGAAAGAACAGCAACAGGCCAAAGAAGATGGAGAACAGGGGTGCTCTGAGGAAATAAAAGACATCTTCTCTTTTCTCCTCACTCATTCCTTAGGGAAAATTGAAACTAGTTTAATTGAAGACCAAACACAAGCTCCTACTGACATTGGAGCTACATTATCAGCGATAAATTCCACCTTACTACAAGGAGTGAAAAAAATACAAGTGGGAGTAAAACAAATACTTATATATCAGTATATAAATCTCAACCTATAGTTGTGCAGGCAGGTCCCCTACAAGGAATGCATGTTTTTTCTTGGTTTCTTCAGCTCCCATCCATTTGTCAGGGAGAGGATTTTTAGAATTATAGAATACCCACATCTCTTTCTCCCAAAAAGGGGAACTATATTTAGAGTTAGAAGATGTGAAGAATTATAAGAACTATTAAAAATAGTACCTGATTAATTGTGGTCAAACATCTCCACTGGTATTGTGAAAAGTATCTGGGCTGACCCTATTAAAATTCAAATAGATCCATCGAAACTTTTTCTGAACCTTAAACAATATCCTCTAAGATCAGAGGACTCATGGGGATAAGACCTATAATTTTGAATGATAAAAAATAGGCTTGATTATTCTTTTTACAAGCCCATGTAACACTGTATCCTCCCCATAAGGAATCCAAATGATAAAGGATAGAGATTGGTACAAGATCTGAGAGCAATTACAGACAGTCAGTCCCTACATCCAGTAGCACCAAAGCCCCATATGTTGTTGACTCCCATCCCAACAGAAGGTGAGTTCTTCACTGCAATAAAGCCTTGTAGTGCATTCTTTTGCATTCCTGTAGATAAAGAGAGTTAATATCCCTTTGTCTTCATGTGGGAAGACAGACGATACACATGGACATTTAGACACCTCAGGGATACACTGAGTGTCCTACTTATTTTCCACAAATATTAAAAGCCAACATATTGGATGTTGAATTCCCTTAGAGATCCACCTTGATATGATACATGGGCGATTTACTTCTCTGTTCAAGGGATGGGCAAGCCTGCATAGGAGAGGGAATTTCTTTATTACAACTATTAGCTTTAAAGGGACACAAGGTTCAAAGGAAAAGCTTCCATTCCATCAGAAACAATATATTTCACCTAATATCAAAGGAAGGGCTTTTAATCAATCTAGATAGAACAAAAGAAATATCGGCCTTCTCTATCCCAAAAAAACTGAAAAACAACTGACAGGATTTTGGACGTTGGCAGGATACTCTAGAAACTGGATCCCAAACTTCTTAAAAACTCAACCTTTATATACTCTTTTAAAACAAGGTAAGACAGACCCTCTAGAATGAACAGAGGAAAATCAGTTAACATTAAAAGAAATTATCAAACGTCTTATAGATAGCCCCAGCATCGGGGCATCCAAATTATAATATTTTATTTTCATTGTTCATAAAAATCAGGAAAATGCCTTAGGCATTCTGACTCAAAAACATGAAGATCAACCTGAAGATAGACCTGTAGATACTGTAGTTAGCAGCTGGACCCCATGGCTAGAGGATTGCTGCCTTGTATGAAGGCAGTAACGACTACTGTCCTGCTAGTAAGAGTAACTGAAGAATAGTGATGGGATCTTTCCTTTATTTCACATTCTGTGGAAGTGCGTTTAACACTAAACCCGCACCACATTCAATGCTATTCAGTTAGTAGACTTCTTTCTTATGAAGCTCTTCTTCTTTCTTATCTCCATATTAGAATCTCCAGATGAAATAACCTAAATCCTGCCACTCTTCTGTCCCTGCCTTCAAATGAAATGATGCATAATTGCATATTCTTAAACAACCAGCTTCTCTCTCCTAGAATGGACCTGCAAGAAACCTCCCTTACTAACAGTGATGTTATTTGGTTTACAAATGGATCTTACTTAAAGGATGAATCTGGAATATCAGGGCAGGTTATGCTGTAGCAGCTTTGACTGAGGAAACAGAAAGCGCTCATCTTCCAGAAGTGACCTCAACTGAACAAGCAGAGTTAATGGCATTGATTACAGCCTGTCAATTGGCAAGAGAAATAACTGCTAATATTTACATAGATAGCAGATATGCTTTCAGACTAACTCATGACTTTGGAATGTTATAGAAACAAAGGGGATTTTTAACTTCTTCCAGTCAGTCCATAAAAAATGGGCACTTCATTTCAGAATTATCGGAAGCCATACTATTGCCAAAATAATTAGTCATTATTAAGATTCCAGGCCATTTAAACCAGACACTCCAGGAAGCAAAGGAAATCAATTAGCAGATAGTAAAGTGAGAGGGCTGCCCTTAGCGTATCTGAACAAGATACACTTCAGAACGCTGACCCCATTAGTTTGGAGTGACTGTGGCTTTCAGGTGGCCATCCTCAAGTTCTGCACTTGAACATGCTCTATACTTAATTCTCTTTACTGAATCTTATTACTTAAGGTTAACAATGTATACATGCATGCATGCATTTAATTATTCCAACTCTGTTTAACAATTTTAAGATTATATGTTGCAAAAAAGGCTAAGAGTAAAAACATTAATATATTACCAGTGATTAGAGTGTGGATGATGGGTAATTTCTCTTTTTTTTTGTACTTTTTTGTGTCTTGAAAAATTTTAATATAACAAAATATTGAAATACAATATTGAAAATATTGTGTATTATTATGTAATACTGTGTATTAGTATGTAATATATTTAAAAATTGTGTACTATTTTCAATAGTAATTTTTTAAATATAACTATTTTTAATAAAAATGTTTAATAAAATTTTTTTAATTTACATTTTCAATTAAAAATTAAAATGTTTAATATAAACATTTTTCAATCAAAAAATTTTAATATTGAAAATAATACACAATTCACTACTATCATTTTTATAATGACTTTTCAAAAAAACTGTACTTGCATTTTTGAGCCAATTCTATGTGTGTTTCAACACCCAAATGTAGCTCCAACTTGCCACACATCATTTTCAGGCCACCACAGGCTGCCTACCCCTTCCTACAAACTCTAGTAACACTCATTGCTTTTGTCACTAGTCTGGCATATTGTATGACATTATCTACTTCTTCTGTTTGTATATACAATTTTTTCTCCCCAGTTAAATTATGAGCGAATGAGAAGCATGTCTTAGGTATTGTCGTGCCCCCTCAGCACCTAGCCAATTGTCTTGTGTAAAAAAAAAAAATTGGGTGAATAATTTGTGTTGATAAATGTTAAGATATGCTAAAGGTTTACATAGGGTTTACACAGATAACAAATCATTCTTCCATTTGAAATAGGCAAGTGATAACAAAGCAAACTCCTATAGGGGATCTGTTTAAATAAAAATACCTAAAGAAGGGATAATATGGAGGGACTCATGTCCTTTAAGCTCCTGCTCTGGCAGCCATGTGGAATGATGACTGTTTTCTTCCAACAGCCTCATGGGGTAAGTGCTCCTCATCCCCATTCCACAGGGCAGGAGATGGGGGCCCACAGGTGTCAGTCCTGTGCCTGAGGTCACCCAGCTAGTGAGCACCAGTGCTAGCGTCTATACAGGTTTGACTAGCTTCAAACTCACCCCCCTTTTATTGGTGTCTCATGCAATAAGATTTGGTTGTGGAGTGGACTTCTGGGCACAGTGGATGTGATATTCTACCCCTTCCCCTTTCCAGCTAGGCATCTGGCCAGGTAAGGGAAAGCTGAGGGTCAGGATAAAATAACAAAAGTCTAATCTCCAGTCCCCAAGCATATCAGCATCTCCTGCATTTTATGAACACTTCAGTTGTAGTTCTTTATGGAAATAAATGAAGATCACTGAAATGAGAATAGAGTATTTACTCAGAGCTTGCTACACTGCAGGGAAGTCAGCCACCATAACCTGCATGCAGCCGACTCAAAGGCAGACAGGGGTGTGGGAGCCTTTATAGTGGAAAACAAGGAAGACTCAGGGGTGCTCTGATTGGAGGCTGCCAGCATGGGGAGTCTGTAAGTGGACTACCTAGTCACAGGACAACCTATGTGCTATAATCTGAATATTCGTATACTCCCGAATGTGTATGTTGAAATCCTAACCTCCAAAGGAATGGTATTAGGAGGTGGGGCTTTTGGGGAGATGATTAGATTGAGGACAAGCCCTTGGGAATAGGAGTAGTGATTGTATACAAGAGGCTCAAGGGGGCTTGTTCACCCCTTCCACTATGTGAGGACACAAGAAGGCACCTGCTATGAATCAGAAGTGCGTCTTCACCAGACAGCCAGCACCTTCATCTTGGACTTTTCAACTTCTAGAACCACAAGGAATAAATTTCTGTTTCTAACCCAGCCAGTTTATAGCATTTTGTTACAGCAGCCTGAACAGACTAAGGCACTATATGATTGGTTTGGGGAGCACATTTGGGTTTCTCTGGTTGGTCCTGAGTTGGAAGCAGGGCTAATGATTTGGGAAGATGCCAGTGGCTAATCAGTACCTCACTGTTCTGGGCTGGTTGTTGCAAAGGTTTTGGGTCAGAGTTCAGCTGCTGTATAAGGCCATTGTGTATGTGTATATTCAGCAACTCATCATTAAAAACTATGCAATAATGAAACACAATTATAAATGGGTTGAAGGATCATGAAAGACCTCCTACAGAAAGTAGGGCATGAAAAGAACTTTGAAACCTACCAAATCCAGGCTGAATGGAGTTCTGGGCATATGTTTGAATACGCAAAAACAGTTTGTAGTGATATATTTATCCAAGAAGGAAAATAAAACTATGTGAATCTTGAATTTGAAAATTTTATAAGTGCCCTTGTACTCACTGAGAACATTGGAAATGTGAGAATTCAAACCTCTGATGTTACTGGTTGCAGAAAATATTTCTATTTCTTTATATAACATACAAGTTTTAACTATTTGTGTTTTCTGCTCTGCGATCAGAACATGGTGTAACAGGGCAGAAAGGGCTTCTATTTTGAAACGAGAAAGACCCATATCTGAATCCTTACTTCTGAACTTCTACCCATATGATCTTCAACAACTTAATTCATCTTTCTGAGCAGGAATAGTAATATCCACCTCCTGGGTTAATACTTGTAAAGATTAGAAGAGAAAAAAAGTATATATATATATATATATATATATGTATATATAAATAGGTACATGTACCTAATAGAAAACCCAATGTAGTCTGGAATTTCTGATGAGTTAAAATGCAAGAGAAAGCAGTAAAATTGTTGCTGGTGCCTTTCCCCAAGCCCTGAGGAATCCATTGTCCTCAGCTTTCCTGGAGGGTGCTAAATTCTGTGTATGCTGTCTCTTTAACCCTGTCACTGTGGTTCCTTATTGTTGTTCCTCCTAGGCTCCCAGAGAATGGCATTCAACTGCTAAGATCGATGAGGCTAATTTACACCTGGGATCTAGCTATCACACAGGTGAACAGAGCTGCACTCATTCAGATGTCTACCTTCGGAGAACCTTTAGAGGCCCTACCGCTGTGGTTCCCACCACACTGTGGCTGCATAAAGGAATCACTGGGGCCAAATCACTGGGGCCGGTCATAGTCAGCTCAGGCTACCATAAGAAAATATCACAGACTGGGAGGCTTAAGCAATGCCTATTTCTCATGGTTCTGGAGTCTGGGAAATCCAAGATCAAAGTGCTGGCAGATTTGGTGTCCGGCAGGGGCTTGCTTTCTGGCTGGCAGACAGCTGCCTTCTTGATGTGTCTTCGTATGGAAGATAGAAAACTCTGTCTCTCTTCCTCTTCTTATAAGGACACTAATCCTATCAGGGGGTCTCCATCCTCAAAACTTCATCTAAATCTAATCACTTCCCTGCATCCAAACACCACCACATTCAGGATTGCGGCTTCAACATATGAATTCTGAGGGGCACACAAACATTCAGCTCACAGCATGACCCCAGTGCTAGGGCAGTGACATTAGAACCCCTGGAGGCAGAGCCCAGATATCTGGACTTATTAGCAGCTCTCCACTGTCTTCCCTGAGAGGTGAGGTCCTTCTCAGGGAATGAAGACATTTCCTGAGAGGTGAGGTCCTTCATTCCAAGCAGGCATACACATGAAGCAGAGTGAACAAAGCCTGAGAGGCAGGCAAGCAGGGGCATGGACCAAATGTCACATGCCAGAGCAGAGTCCACAGGAGCAGAGAACCCAGTGTGCACAAGAGGCAGGAGCACATCCTAGATGCCGTGGGCACACACTGCACAAAGCTTTCCTCGTTAGGCTTACCCAGTTCTCATTTTCAGCTGACATAGCTGAGGCTGGAAGAATTCACGTGGGAAAAGTAGGGTGGAGCCAGGACTTGAATTCAGGTCTGATTTCTTTTTTTTTTTTTTTTTTGAGACAGAGTCTTGCTCTGTCAGCCAGGCTGGAGTGCAGTGGCACAATCTTGGCTCACTGCAACCTCCGCTTCGTGGGCTCAAGCAGTTCTCCTGCCTCAGCCTCCTGAGTAGCTAAGATTACAGGCGTATGCCACCACGCCTGGCTAATTTTTGTATTTTTAGTAGAGATGGGGTTTCACCGTGCTGGCCAGGCTGGTCTTGAACTCCTGACCTCAGGTAATCCACCCGCCTCTGCCTCCCAAAGTGCTGAGATTACAGGCCTGAGCCACCGCACCCGGCCCATGTCTGATTCTTAAATCTTTGTCGGCCGGGTGCAGTGGCTCATGCCTGTAATTCCAAAAATTTGGGAGGCTGAGGCAGGTGGATCATGGGGTCAGGAGATCGAGACCATCCTGGCTAAGACGGTGAAGTCCTGTCTCTACTAAAAATACAAAAAATTAGCGGAGTGTGGTGGTGGGCGCCTGTAGTCCCAGCTACTTCGGAGGCTGAGGCAGGAGAATGTCATGAACTTGGGAGGCGGAGCTTGCAGTGAGCCGAGATCAGGCCACTGCACTCCAGCCTGGGCGACAGAGTGAGACTCTGTCTCAAAAAAAAAAAAAAAAAAAAAAAAAATCTTTCTCTACACTACCCGTGGTTTTGCTTCAGAAAAAAATAGATAAAACCAGCTATTGAATGGATGCCTGACTTAACCCCTTCCCCACTTCTCCTCACTCCAGGAAACTTATTTTCAGACAAGCTAAATCCTAAGGGGGCACTCCCATCTTGGACTCCTAACTGTGAACACCCTGGTGTCAACTTGATTCTGTGAAGGGGAGATAGTCCCACCCTTGACTTGTAGCTTCCTTGTCAGGAGATTCTGCCTTTTCTGAATGGACAGCACTCCTCTTCCGAAGGCTAAGTGGACATCTTTACCCTGCTGCTGTGAAAAAGTGAGACCTAAAGGAAATTGTGGACATCAATTGGTCCAGCCCTTCAGGTTACAGGAGGAAACTAAACCCAGCAAGACTGAGTGCCTCCTACATGACCACACAGGCAATATAGGGAAAAGTCAGTATTCATATTTGGTTTCCAAAGTGTATTGTCATTTGAATGATGCCAGACAGTCATTCTAACACAGCTTACCAAACATCTTTCTTTATTCAATGTCTCGCTTTGAGCCTGACCAGTGGCACTGTAGCCCAAGGACAGTCTCACTGGGATGGATGGCAGGTGCAGTTTGTGAGAGAGCCACAGGACAGACACCTCACTTCCTTAAGACTGCTCCAAAACACATAACAAAGGAGGAAAGCAGTTCTGGATTTCACTGGACATCGATGTTCCTGTCAGATTAAAGGTCTGGTGGTGGAATCAGTGTCTGGAAGCTTCCAATAAGGGACTTTAATTGTTCTGTTTTATCCAGTGGTGGTGGAAAAACACCCATGCATGGTGCTTTTAAATCATAAAGGCTTAGTGTGATACCTCGATTTACTATTTAAAAGCTCTCATCTATCACTTCATGTTACCATTTCTAACCTTGTACCAGCTTGGTGGTAGTTAAATGAGAAAGATCCTTGCACAAACTGGTGTTCACTAAATCTTTGTTCCGTCCTAAAAAACATTTTAGAACTGAGAAGTGTTAAAAATTCTATCTTTTTAAAAATATTTAAATATTTCAAAAAATGTTAGAAAATATATTGGTTGCTCAGAGAAGAAATGAATGTTTGCAGGAAAATCAATGGGAGAATATTTACTGTATATTTTTTAACTTTTAAATTTTGAAACACGTGATGTACTTCCTATTGCAGTAATTAAATATTATTTTAGTGAACAAAAGAGAAGAAAACAATAATCTATTTTGTATTGGCCATTTTGGCTGGGAAGAACTCCACAGCAGAAAAAAAGAGCTGACGTACTGGAGATCTGTGTGTTTACTTATGAAGCAGCATATCTCTGGTTTAACTCCCTATATCCGCTTTTGGTGTGAGAAAACCTCCCACATGGCTCTGGATAACAAAATCTCCCTGAGTATCACTTCCATGGTGCCCTGGAATGGGATGAGCATTATGGAAGAGTAGAATTGTTTATGGTACTTTTTACAAAATTTTTTTTTTATTGAAGTGCTATATAAAATGTTTTAAAATAATCTTTTTAGAAATGGACTAGCAAAAAACATGGCAATCTTTCAAGGCACTTATTCTCACCTGCAAAACAAGAAAGGACACAAAACAAGAGTGACTGTAGAGAGGCAAATCAGTGAAACTGGCAGCTACCCTGTGAGAATCAGCTACCCCCGCTGTGCTTCTGTTGTGCACTGGGAGACAGTCTGTAGAGTTCATAAGCGGGAGAGTGGGATGGAAGATTCCTGCATAAACACGAGGCCCTCAGAGGGACGCAGCCACAGTGACTCAACTATGAAAAAATAAAGCTTTCTGCACAAATGGAGACTGTCAGAAAATTTGATCTTCCTCAGCATCAGCTTTGGGTTAAAGGAATAAAAATTGCCTTTCCAGACAATTCTAAACCAGAAGCTGGGGTGTCAAAATAGAATTAGAATCTTTGTGACCAAAATTAACTTATTTATTATGAGAATTTATTCTAATTATATTCTATGTTGGCCCTAAAAGAAGTAAAGTAAATTCTTCTAGAGGAAAAGACCTTAAACAAAGGCTCTAAATAATTCACGTAAATAATGTTTTAAGAAATATTATGTTACAAAAAGTCAAAGACAAAAGGAAATAAAGCAGTATGATTAAGTGTCAATGGAAGCAACAAACAGAAAACTCAAACCCACAAAAACTGCAGATATTGGAGTTATTGATATAGAACATCATGAGACAGATGCTTTCTGCAAACCATCTATTTCCTTATACTCTGGTTTGGGAAAATGCATCTAGGGAGAAAGCTAGGGTGAAGGTGAAACCGGGCCCCCAAGAAGTTAAAGCAGGTAACTAACAGAAATTCTGGAGTTGAGAGGATAGCAGCTAAGGATAGAAATTACTTGCTGAAATACTACAATTCCCTCTGCTTGTAAGATAACAAAACTGGCTGAAATCTGCTGGAACCAATATGGCCAACTGGAGTCTGAGCAGAACCAGCTTATGGACATCACAGCCCAAATTCCCACCTCATGTTTCATACTAACTGTCTCAAAATTTGCACATGTAACCCATGAGGTAGCACGAAGCCATAACTGTGCATGCCCAAGGACTTGCCACATCTCCCCCTTTCCTTCCACCAATCACCCACCAATCCCAGAATCTGCCCACTAAAACTTTAATCATAATATTGCTGCCTTAAAGCCAGCACAGGAAGACAAATTTGAGCTGGAGTCCTGTCTCCTTTTGAGTCAACTAGCAATAAAAGTTTTTCTGTTCTCAAAAACCTAGTGTCGTAGTATTGGCTTCAGTGCATGGGGCAACAAGCCCCTTTTGCATGGTAACAAATGTGGAACTCTTGTCTTCTGCTTTCCATCTCTCAAGAATTATAGTTCTGACTTGATCATTGTCCAGTGTCTACAGGTTGCTGCCTTATATATTTAATGCAGTTTTTATAGTTGTTTAGAGCAGAGGAGTTAGTTTGATTGTTTAGAGCAGAAGAGTTAGTTTGATATCAGTGACTCCACATGTCTATAACCAGATACCCTTTTCGCTATTACCAGTAGAACTGCTGTGAACATTCTCATATGTGTTTTTTGGTAAAATATGGTACGCATACCTTGGATATCTGCAGATAGTGTTTCTGCTGCCTGCAAAGATATATTCCTCCCTAAAATGGATTTGCTGTCCCCAGTCTAGGAGGAAGTGATTGCTGGACCACAGGATTTGTGTGTATTTAGCTTTAGTAACTGTTCCACGTATATCCCTACTAGCTGAGACAGAGAGACATCCATTTCCTCCATATCTTTGACAATATTTAATATTACCATTCACGGAATGTTTTGGCCATACTACTGGGTGCGTGGTTGTGTCTTATTGGGGTCTTACTTTCTATTTCCTCGATGACTAATGACAGTGAGCACTGTCTCATATGCCTATTAACCACTTAGGAAGTATCTGTTCAAAGATTTTTCCAATTTGTATATGAGATTGTCCGGTTCCTACTTATTGCCTTGTAGGATTTTTTTATTTTCTGTGTAATAATTCTCAATTTTATAAGTATACTGAGAAAGATAGCCCATTGTGGTTTGCTTTTTTGCTCTCTCAATAGTGTTTTAATAGCCAGAAGTGCTGAATCTTAATGTCTAATGTATCAACCTTTTCCTTTGTGGCTAGGGACATGAACATCCTGCTAAAGCATTTTGACTGCTTACATATTCTCCCACAGTTCTTTCTAGAAGCTTTATGCATGTGTCTTTCACATTAAGCTATATGACCCATCAAGAATCGGTTTTTGTTCTGGGTATAAGATAGGTCAACATCTGTTGCATCCTACATGGATATCAAATTGGCCTACTTGAAAAGATCACAATTTTTACACTGCATCGCATTGTCACCTCTGCCTTTGCTGAGGTGATTGTGCATGAAAGCATCTATTATTGGGCTCTTAGTGTGTGTTGGTCTGTTCTGATCTATTTTTTCCTTCTTTCACCAATATTATACTGTTTTAATTACTGTAAGTTATTAAAAGTCTTAGTATATTGCAGTGTAAGTCTTCCAACTTTGCTTTTCTTGAAGACTATCTTTGCTATTCTTGCAATTTTTTGTGTTTTCATATAAATTTTGAATCAGATGAAAAATTGATTGGAATTGCATTGAATTTGTAAATCAATATGGGTGAGAATTGAAACATTTTAATATTGAGGCTTTTAATACATGAAAATGGCTTATTGCTTCATTTATTCAGGCCTTTATTTTCCTCTAGTAATTTCAGTTTTCTTATAGAGTCCTTACACATCTTTCATTACATTTATTTCTCAGAATTTGAGTTCCATGCTATTACAAATGGTATTATGTTTTACAAAGTCCTTTTCTAATTGCTTTTCTTAGTACATAAAATTGCAATTGAATGTTACACATTGACATTGTATCCAGCATTATGTTGTAATTATCAGCTGTGAGCACAGGGATACTGTACAGAGATAACCCCAATGTTCAGTGGCAGTGGTTAAGGTGGTGAAGCTCTGCATGAGGTGGTGGGATGTGGAATTAGCCGGGGCTGCTCTGCTTCTAAATGAGTCTGTGGGTTGGTTGGGATAGCTCCATTCTGATTGCCTCATGCTGGGGAACAAGCTGGGTCATCAGACACGACCTGCTGTGTGTTCTTCTCCAGGAGGAGGTGGAAGCTCTCAGAGGGCTGAATAGAAACACACGAAACACATGAAGCCCTGAAGACCTTAGCACACTCTCACTTCTGCCCACAGCCCATTGGCCAAAGCCAGTCACGGCACATTCACCATCATTGAGGCAGGCAGGTCTGTCTACGCCTTTCTAGGAGGTAGGCAGAAGCAGCAAATACTGGCTAAATGAGTTTAATTTACATGGTTGCTAAATTCTGTTATTAATTCAAATAATCTATATGCATATCCTTTGTATTCTCTGTATGCAGAATTTTACTATCTTGAATTAATAACCTTTTTATTTTTTTCTTTCAAATCTTTGTACTTTTAGATTATCTTTTCCCCTTATTGTACTGTCTAGGACAATACAGTTGTTGAATGTAAGTGACTGCCTTTGTTTTTTTAAACTATCTCAATGGTAATCCTTTTAATATTTCATACAAAAGTATATTTTTTGTTGTAGGTCTCTTAATTGTAAGTGGGCATTGAATTTTATAAAATGCTCCCTCTGTGTCCTTTGAGATGAACATGTTTTTTTCTCTTTTTCTATAAATGTGGCGAGATATATTGATTAGTTTCTTAATGTTAAAATAAACTCAATTTCTGGAATAGCCAAACTTCATTGCTATGAATTACATTTTAAAAGTTGGCTTATTAGATTCATTCAGTTTGTGATTATTATGCTTAAGATGTTTACATCTATGTTCATGAGATAATTTAATGAGAATTGGCCTGTAATTTTTTCCCATGTCTTTGTCAAATTCTGATATCTAGGTTTGATAGCTTTATGAATTTGAGTTTGGAAATGATTCTTTTATTTTTCATATTTTTCATATTTTCTATTTCTTCTTGGCCACAATTGGTAAACCTTTCTTTAAAGAATGAATTTGTCTATATCATCTGAATTTTCAAAATTTTGGCATAAAGTAACGTGCAGAGCCTCTAACAATGTCATTGTTAATTCCTGATGTGGGCCCCATGCTTTCTCCTTCCCTTTTACCTCTTTCTCTCTCTCTCCATCTCTGTCTCTATCAATCCCTCATGATTTGTTGCTTTTATTAGTCATTTTAAAAACAACTTATTTTTTTTAATTTTTTCTGTTTCTTATTTGTTTTTCCTTTTATAATTTTCTGCTCTCATCTTTGTTATTTTCTTTCCTCTACTTTTTTGGGTTGAATTTGCTGTTCTTCTCATCTTTTGAGATCGAGATGGCCTTGCTAGGGTCCTGAGATTCTGGGTATGCTGGTAGCCCTGAACTTCAGCTCACACCTCCTGTCCCAGCAAGCCTGCTGAAAGATGGAGGCAGTCACTTTCTGTTCACTGTCTATGCCTCATTATGAGCATTTGCAAATGCTCGAGGGCAAAATGCCACTGCAAATTTTTATGTGTTTTAAGCTTTTATGTGTTTTCCTTATCTCAAAGGTTTTGATCTTTCAAACCCTGAGTGTCTTCAAGACCCTTCACTGCCATGAACAGATTTTTAAAAAAGTATTTAGCTTTTCTTGTTGTTCTTAATATGAAGATTAATCCGCACAAATGTGAACCCCAAATACAATTCTAAGCTCCCCAATCAACTGAATTAACCTCCGTTTCAGTAAAGGGCATTCCCAAGTAAATCTGAAAACCTAGTTCAGGCCATGCTGGAGCAGAGGGGTTGGACATGCCTCATTATGCCCTCTTCCCTTTGGAATTCAGGCACAACTGACCAGCATTAAAACAGAGATCTTAACACTGACAAAACAGATTGTAGCCATAACATACCAAGCAATAAGATACCAAATTCCAACCTGACTCTAGTACAGCATCACATGACACATAGCAGGCCCTGAAAGAAATTGAAGTATTTTACCCCCAAATATATTTTTTTGACATATTTTGAAATGCCCCTGCAAAGCTGTCTCATGTAGGGAAAATCTACATTCTTGGAGAATCGCATTCCCTTTCCAAGTCTTTTCTTAATCCAGAAGAGAATTAACTAAGAGTCTGGCACCTTTTTATGTCTGATACTTATCAGATATTAACCATCTATTCTCTCTGAAGCCTTCTTGCCTAGAGACTTCATCTGCATAATAAAATCTTTGCTTCCTACAACCCCTTGTCTTAACCTAGACACTCCTCCTTCTAACGATTCCAGGTCTTTAGATAGTAACTTAACTCTTTTAAGCAATTTCCAATCAGAAATATTTGAAGCCACTTATAACCTGGGAGCCCACATTTTGACTTGTCCTGGTTTCCAGATTGAAGCACCTTACATGTATTGATTGATACCTGCCTGTAACTTCTGTCCCCTTAAAATGTGTAAGATCAAGCTGTAGCCCAAATACCTTGGGAACATGTTCCCTGAACCTCTTGAGACTGTGCCTCAGGCCTTGGTCACTCATCTTTGGCTCAGAATAAACTGCTTTAAATATTTTACAGAGTTTTACTCTTTTCATTGACACAAGAAACTTGTCACAGCCAAAAAGAAAATCTTCCACAACATTAGTAGATAATGCCAAGTTTTATTTTAGTAAATGGGATTTTTAAAAGACAATTTACAATTCCATTCACAGGATATAAAAACTCCCATTGCTCTATGTGTCACCAACACCAGATACTAGCAGACTTTTAATTTATATAAATCTTATGGGTGTAAAATGGAATCTCACTGTGGCTTTACTGTGCATTTCTCTGATTATTAAGATGGTTGGGCATTTTTTCACGTTTATTGGCCGTTCAGTTTTCAAATTCTGTGAAATTCCTCTTCAAATCTTTAGCTCATTTTTCTTTTGGGTTGCTGGTTTTTATTATTGATGTGTAAAAGTTCTTTAGCTTTTGATATTCATTATTTTTTGTGATACAGATATACTCTTCCAGTTTGTCTTTTTACTTCATGATTTTTTTAAGGACAAAGGTTTGATTTTATACTATATAAGTTTTCTCTGCCACATGTACATATTAGCTCTTCAATTTTTGAAAATTGCATGTCATTTAGTCCATTTCATTGCCCCAAATGTTACATAAGTAACTCTTGTCTAGAAAGGCAGTGGCACTAGAATGTGATGGAGAAGGAGCAACACCATTTGCTGATAACCCACTACTGCATGCTGAGCACTGTCCTCCACTGTCTGCAATCACTGTCTCATTTAGTCTTCATAACTTAATGACACAGCCATTCTTCTACCCACTGCATAGAAGAGAAAATTAGATTTCAAGTCTCCTGCAAACGACTTATTGCTCTTTTCCTCAGAATAGAATTTCCTCTTATTCGTGTCAAGAATTGACATTTCTAAGAACATTTTTTTTTTGCCACTGAAACATGGAAACATTTTCTCAATCACAGACTCATTTGTACAAAGAAAAAAAAAATCCCAGCAAATGCCTGTGTCCTCCCACCTCAGTACAAATATGCTTGCCCAACATATGGTGCAATCTGGCTGAGTAACTCCCCTGAGGCTGTGGCCAACAGTGCTCACTTTCTTCTTTCAGCTTTAACTCTTCTGCAAGCTTAATTTCTTCTCCTATGAAATCTTATTTTTTTTTTGTTCAAAGATCATTTTTAATAGCCTATACTTAGTACATTTCTTATTTCTCATGTCACTGTATATTTTAGGCCATTATCCTTATTTCACTTCCAATGTTCTAAGCCCTGTTTTTCTCCCTTTTTTTTTTTTTTTTTTTTTTTTTGCGACAGAGTTTTGCTCTTATTGCCCAGGCTGGAGTGCAATGGCACGATCTCGGCTCACTGCAACCTCTGCCTCCCAGGTTCAAGTGATTCTCCTGCCTCAGCCTCCTGAGTAGCTGGGATTACAGGCATCCACTGCCACGCCTGACTAATTTTGTATTTTTAGCAGAGACGAGGTTTCTCTATATTGGTCAGGCTGGTCTCGAACTCCCAACCTCAGGTGATCTGCCCACTTCGGCCTCCCAAAGTGCTGAGATTACAGGCATGAGCCACCGTGCCCAGCCTAAGCCCTGTTTTTCTGCATGCAACTGTCTGTTCTCCTCACCTGGCCTCCTTGGTCTTGCTGTCTGCGCCTCTTCTCTTACCTGCCATCCCTGAGCACTGCTGCCAGCTCTGACTTAGCTCTCCTGTCTGACAGCTTTAATCCTGTCTGTATACTAATTATTTCCCTCATTTCCTTGGTGTCCACAGTCATGCTTCTGCTGCCCATGAGACCCTATTCCTTCCTAGGACTGACCACTCCCCCTTGGCCTCTGTGCAGCCTCAGCCTCTGGCATCTATGGCTAGGCTTTTCTTGGTATCCTCCACAGGCCCCACTTTCCCTGTCTTCAGCCCTGCCTTATGGAGAATGTTCGGTTTGATAGCCTTTTTCCAAGTGCTTATTTCTTCTATCCCCACCACCCCCAACCTCTCTCCAGGTGAAGACTACCCACGATTTTATCTCCAACCCAGAGGACATTTTCCTGAGCTTCAGACCTGAAGAACCAACTGAATCCAGTGGGGCACCTTATCCAACAGACTAGCACACAGCTGCCATGTCTTCATGACTTAGTATCCTGGTGGATACCTCCACTCCCTGGTGACTGAGCCCAAAACACCAGTGCTGGCAATGAGGCTTGCCTTTTTAGTCCCAACATCTGTCTTCAGGTCCCCTGATTGCTCCTGCTGTTCCTCCCAGCCTCACATTTTCCAGTTGGAGTGGAAGATACTGGAATTATCTAATTTGAAGAATCTCAGGACTATGTCAGCTAAACAGTCTGAGGGCAATATTGAGGTAGAGGAAGCCAAGAGTCTTCCATCTTGACTTTTAAAGACCTAAGTAGATTAAATAAAAGCAGCTACCATCCTTGAAACATTCATTAATAGGAGTCACTGTCTGAAGCACTTCGTGTTTGTTATCTGTTTTTTTCCTTTTTTTTTTTTTTTTTTTTAGTATATATAACGAATTCAAGAGGTAACTATTTCAGAAGAATAGAGGCTCAGGGAACTTAAAGAATTTTCCTGGTGTCCCATGCTTAGGAAGAGGAAATCCCAGATTTGTGTCCACTTCCAAGCACTTCCAGAGCCTGCAGGCTTCCACTTGGCATCTGTCTCACAATTAGGGGCCAGGTCTGCAGTTGTGATTTATAATACCACTGTTCCTGCTTTTGTGAATGCCTGGAGTGGAAAGTGGAAGAGAGGGACAACCTTAGGATTAGTTTTCTTGCCTTGGTAACAGCTTAGGTGAGTGGCTGACTGCTTTCTTCCTCATTCCACAGCAGTCCATCAAAGATGGTAGTGATGAGGTATGCTGCAGCCAAGATTCGCCCAGCCTTTCTCCTTCAGGGCAAAGTGAGGAGGGTATTTCTATTTCTAGACTTTGCTTTTACAGAGTGGAATGAAATAAAAGTTCTTTATAGATGCAAATTTAATTTTTCTCCTGATTTGTGCAGATAAGTAGCATTGACAATAGTTGATAAATGATTAGAGCCAATATTTATCACATTGTTAAATGACAAGGCACTGCAATAGCTTAATAGCAACCCTATAAAGGAAATCCTATTATCATAGATATTTTACAAATAATCATAATAATAGATAATACACATGAGATCATTCTAAGCACTTTACACGTATTAGCTCATTTGGTCTTCACAATAAACCTATGAGGTAGATAATATTATCCCCATCTACGAATAAGGAAATTGAGGCACACTGAATTAAAATGACTTGCTCAAGGTCATCCAGCCGGTAAGTGTGGAGAGGAATCCAACGTGGGTGGTCCCATGCCAGAGTTTATACTCATATTATCTCACCATACTGCTTCCACTTCTGGTGTTTTCCAGAAACGTGGGAAGTGAGATTCAAAGGGAAAAAGACAGACACTGGGTGGGTGGGAGGAAGAGGCATATTAACACAAAGCGACTGTGATACAGTTGGCTATGGCCATAAAACAATGACCAAATTACCCTTTTGGTGTTTAGGATTGCTAACAGTCATGGGCCTAATACTCCTGAAGCCTGAGGTCACCTGAAAGTTCCTGAACCTCTTCCCAGATTTTGCAGCATGGCAAAACAGGTTTTGCTGCAGGATGGGTTATGGGAGCGGGGGGAGAAGAAGAGGGAAAATGTATGAGGCAAAGATGGTCTTGCTAAACAGATGAAACTTCACAGGTAGCAGTCCTGCTCTCAAGGAGGAAAAATATAGACGGTAGTCTGAGGAAAATGTTTCTCTGTCAGACCTTGAAAGGTGTCAAGCTCTCAGCTAATCTTTCGTAGATGCAGACCAGGAGGGTTGTGGGGTGGCATAAGAGAAATCCTGTTTGCACCGGCTGTTTACTTCACTTTACTTCCTCCGCAGGTGCAAATATCCCCCACAAAAGACAGCTTTTCAGGAGTTTTCTTGTGTCTGCAGGGTATGTCAGAGAAGTATATTTTGGGGTGAAATATTTTTGGCTTCCTTTACATGTTATATAGATAATAGCTGAGAAGGGGAAATGGCCAGGCAAACACTTGTAATAGACGGTGTTGCTACAGTCTAACCTATGGGCCTGGTGGGCACACAAGAAGCTGTCAATTTGACTGTGGTGGAAGGAGGGCAGGAAGAGGATGGGTAACATCTGGCATGTGTTGGGATGAAGTTAATTCTGCCCTGACTGTGAATGCCATCAGGTCTCCTGACGCGGGGGCTCCTCTAGCAGCTGTGTTACCTGCACCAAACAAAAAGGCTCATAACCCTGAATTTACCCCAGTGTATAAGACATGGGACCAGGGCATGGCCCCTTTCAGATCAAATTGGTTGATATTTGGGTCTGAGTTTATATACCATCATGAAAATTCTATAATAGAGCAAGTGACAAATAGTGCTACAGGAATAAATACATTTTGTTTTATCCTGATGGGCTTTGGCCTTGAAGACAGGTTCTCCTGCAGTGCAACGCTGTCCCCAGAGCTTCCCCTGTGTTTCTAGCCTGAGGTGCTCTGTTCCTTCCCTCCCTGTCCTTCAGGGCTCTGCGGACCCTAATCCTAGACTGCAGTTATGCAGACTGTCTCCCTCAGAGTTGGGGGACCCACCCGTGCCTCCCACAATTGCTCTCCCTTCTCTGAACCCGTCTTCAGTTTGCTAACCAGTTTTTGTACCTTGCAAACCACCCAGTTACAGTTCAGCCAGTATCGGTGTCCAGGTAAGAACACTGACAAGAACCGGCCTTCATTTTCTCTTTATAATACCCAGACTTTTTTTCTTTTTTTAAAGACGCTTCATTGAAATACCATCCACATAGCGTCCAACCTGCCCACTTAAAGGCATAATTCAGTACAGCATGGTGACTACAGTTAACAACAGTGTATTATATTCTCGAAAATCACTGAGAGAGTGGACTTTGAGTGCTCTCACCACACAAAAAAAGATAAATAGGTAATGCATACGTTAATTAGCTCAATTTAGCCATCCCACAATGTATACATATTTCAAAACATCATGCTGTATACAACAAACACATACTATTCTTATCTGCCAACTAAAAAAATCAAATAAATTAATTTTAAAAATAAAGCATAAAGTTCAATGTTTTTCGGTGTATTCACATACTTGCACAACTATTATTACAATCTAATGTTTGAGCATTTCTGTCACGTCAAAAAGAAGCCTCACTCTCATTAGTGGTCACTCCCTGTTCCTCTTTTGTTTATCCATTTCTCAGTTGTTTCTATGTTTTGGCTATTATGAATAATGATACGATGGACATTTGCATACTACTTCTTCTGAAAATATATGTTTTCTTTGCTTTTTGGGTATTGTTAAATTTGGCCTATAGCTGCCTTCTTACACATTTTAAGTTCAGCCTAAAATTTCTCCATAGGTAGTGAATTGTATAGGGGGCATGAGAAAATTTCCCTTTGTCCTCTGAAGTTTCACTGAAAAATCAACTGACAAAATGCATATTAATAGGAGAAATAACACAAATGTATTAACATGCACAGAGGGAGAACCACAGAGTAATCATGCCATATCCTATCAGGGCCCAGATACATATATAACTTCATTTCAGAGGGGTGGGGAGTGGGGGACTAAAGGTAATTCTGTTGAAGGGCAATAAATAATTTCTAGGCAGAATAAATGGATCAGGGAACAGAGATTAACCTGTAAATGGTTCTCTTTGGAATTTGAATGAGCCTGAGAGACAGACATCATCTTGAGAAAGGGTCTGTTTGGGCATAGTTGCATTCTTGGTCTTCTTTTCTGCAATAGATAATGAGTTAACAAGGAGGGGAAGGAAAAATAAAAAGTGTTCTCCTCTTTGGTGGGTCCATCTCGTCTTTATGTAGATAGAGGGGAAGTCTCTTCAAGTGTCTCTTTGATCTCTAAGGGCTTTTAATTTTAAAATGCTCACTATACCAGGGAGATATATATATATATAAATATATATATATAAAATATATATAAAAAATATATATATATAAAATATATATAAAAATATATATATAAAATATATATAAATATATATATAAAATATATATATAAATATATATATATAAAATATATATATATATTTCTGTTTGATAAGTTTTGACAATTTTTTTTTATACTTTAAGTTCTGTGTTACATGTGCAGAATGTGCAGGTTTGTTACATAGGTATACACATGCCGTGGTGGTTTGCTGCACCCATTAACCCGTCACCTACATTAGGTATTTCTCTTAATGCTCTCCCTCCCCTAGCCCTCTACCCCCAGACAGGCCCCCGTGTGGTGTGCGATGTCCCCCTCCCTGTGTCCATGTGTTCTCATTGTTCAACTCCCACATATGAATGAGTACATGCGGTGTTTGGTTTCTGATCTTGTTATAGTTTGCTAAGAATTATGGTTTCCAGCTTCATCCATGTCCCTGCAAAGGACACGAACTCATCCTTTTTTTATGGGAGCCATATTTTAAGAGTGAAGTTCCCTGTGCTCCTTCAACTGTAACCTCACTTGATGTGTAAATAGACTGTGACGTACTCTTGTAACAAGTACCTGAATCTCAGCCAATCACAGCAGCCGGCTTTTGACCAGTCACAGGTGGCTAACTGTTCAGCGTGTTGTCAAATAAAGCAAACTGAGCTGTAACCATTCCAGCTGCTTCTGTACCTCCCTTCTGTTTTCTATACATCATTTTCCTTTCTCTATCCATAAATGTTTTCCAGGCAAGTGGCAGTCCCAAAGTGGCTTTGAACTTGTTCTGGTTTGGGGGCCTGCCTGAGTAGTGAATTGTTCTTTGCTCAGTTGAACTCTGTTAAATTTAATCTGTCCAACTCTTTTTATGGTATATACATAGGAGTGAACTTCCTGGGTTATATGTTAACACTTTAACATTTTGAGGAACTGCTAACATGTTTTCCACCATAAAAATTTGTCTATTTTTTCCTTTGTTTGTTGTGTTTTAATATCATATCAGAGAAATTATTGCCCAGTCCAGGGTCATGAAAATTTGGATCAATATTTTCTTCTAAGAGTTTAGTTTTATACTTTTAGTTCTCACATTAAGGTCTTTGATCCATTTTGAGTTATCTTTGTATATGATATGAGGTAGAGATGCAAATTCATCTTTTTGCATGTGAGTATCCAGTTGTACCAGATTTATCTGATTGAAAAGACTTCTTTCTCCCATTGATTAGTCTTGGCCCTACTGTAAAATATCAATTGACCATATATGTGCAAATTTATTTCTGGAATCTAAATGAGATTTCATTGACTAATACATCTATCCTTCTGCCAATACTTTTCTATCCTCATTATTGTAATTATGTAGTAATTTTTAAAATTTAGAAGTACAAGTCATACAATTTTGTTCTACTTTTTCAGGATTGTTTTGAATATTCCGGGTCTCTTCCATTTCTATATTAATTTTAGGATAAACTCATCAATTTCTGCCAAAAAATTTAAATTTTGAAAGATATTTTATTGAATCTATAGATAAATTTGAATAGTATTGTCATCTTAATATTAAATCTTCTAATTCATAAAAACAAAATATATTTCCATTAATATAGACTTTCTTTAATTTCTTCCATCAATAATTTGTTCTTTTCTGTGTATAAATCTTGCACTTCTTTGGTTAAATGGATTACTATGTTTCTTGAATTTTTGATGCAATTATAAATCAAATAGTTTCCTTGATTTTATTTCAGATTTTCATTGCTCCTTCATAGAAGTACAACTAGGTTTTGTATACTAATCCTGTTTTTTACACTCCTTCTGACTCTAACAGTTGTTTTTGTTTGTTTGTTTTTTTGTAGATGCTATAGTGTTTTTGATACATAAGATCACATTACCTACAAACAGAGATTGGTTTACTGCTTTTTTTAATCTGGAAGAGTTTTATTTATTTTCCTTGACTAATTATCCTGATTAGAACCTCTGACACAATGTCTAATAGAAGTGGTGAGGGCAGTTTCTTTGTCTTCTTCCTCATTTTAGGAAGAAAGCTTTTAGTCATTCACCGTGAAGTATGATGTTAGTTATGGATTTTCATTAAAGCCTTTATTTGGCTGAAGAATTTCCCTTCTATTACAAGTTTGTTGAATTTTTCTTTATCATAAAAGTATTGAAATTTGTAAATGTTTCATCTTAATCTGTTGAGATAATCATGTGGTTTTTGTTCTTTATGCTATTTATAGGACTTAAAATATTATGTTAAGTGATTGTTTTCATGTTAAATCAACCTTTAATTCCTAGAATAAGTCTCATGGGTATAATTATTTTCATTTTCTATTGAATTCAGTTGGCTAGTTTTTTCTAAGGATTTTTACGTCTATATTCATAAGGGGCATCAGTCTGTAGTTTACTTTTCATGTGATGTCTTTGTCTGGTTTTGATATTGGGGAAAAATGGCTATATAGAATAACTTTGGAAGTATTCCCTCCTCTTCTATTCTTCAAAAGAGTTAATGAAGGATTTGTCTTAATTTTTAAGTATTTGATAGAATTTAGCAGTGAAACTATCTGGTTCTAGATTTTTCTTAGGGAATATTTTTGATCACTGAGTATCTCTACTTGTTATAGGTCTCTTCAGGTTTTTCTTTTACTTCTTTTTGAGTCAGTTTTGGTAGTTTGTATCTTTCCAAAACTCTTTATAATTCATCTACATTTTATTATTTATTGACATAAAAGTGTTATAGTATTCCCTCGTAATCCTTTTTGCTTACATAAAACCAGTAATAACGTCCTTCTTTCATTCCTCATTTTAGTAATTTGAGTCTCCTTGCATTGTTTTCTTCGCAGGTCTAGCAAAAATTTTGTGAATTTTATTGATACTTTGCAAATCTGTTGGCATACTGACTTTCCCCTCTTGGTTTTCTATTCTCCATTTTCTGTGTTTATCCTCACTCTAATCTTTCTTATTTTCTTCTTTCTGCTTGTTCTGGGTTTAGTTTGGTCTTTTTTTTTTAACCTTTTTTTAAGTGGAAAATTAGTATTGATTTGAGGTCTTTTTTCTTCTATACTGGAAGTTTTTATAGCTATAAATTTATCCCTGAATACTTATTTGGTTGTATCCCATAAATTTTGGTATGTTATCTTTTCATTTTATCTTGAAGTATTTCCTAATTTTTTTCTTTGACCCATTGATTGATTATTTAAAGGCACATTCTTTAATTTCCAAGTACTTATACATTTCCTAGTTTTTCTCTTTTTTTGTACTTTTTTCCATTGTGGTTTAGAGAGATATTTTGTATGACTGCAATCATTTTAAATATAATGAGGCTTCTTTTTTAGCCTAATGTATTGTCTACCCTGAATGATGTTCCATTTACACTTCAGAAAAATGAGTACTCTGTTGTTGAGTAGAGTGTTCTGTATATGTTTGTTAGGTCTAGTTGATTAGTAATATTGTTCAAATAGTCCATTTTCCTGGTGGTCTTTTTTTTAGTGGTGATCTTTTGTAAAGTAGGTTATTAAAGTCTCTACTATTGTATAGTTATCTTTCTTTCTTCATTTCTGTGTGTTTTTGTTTCATTTATTTTAGGGCTCTGTTGTGAAATAAATATCTGTTTATGTTTGATATGTCTTTCTGAAAGATTGACCTTTGTGTCATTATAAAATGTTCTTCTTTGTCAACATTAACAAATTGTTTCCTGAAAGTTGGTTTTGTCTAATATTAGTAGAAACACTCCATCTCTCTTTTGATTACTGCTTGCTTATATATCTTTCTCAATCCTTTTACTTTCAACCAATTTGTTTCTAAATATCAAGTGAATCTCTTGTAGATAGATAGCATATAGTTGAATCATGATTTAAAAAAGAGGTCTATTCTGCCCATTTAAGCTTTATTTATTTATTTATTTATTTATTTATTTTTTGAGACTGAGTTTCACTCACCCAGGCTGGAGTGCAGTGGTGCGATCTCGGCTCACTGCAGCTTCCCCTTCCTGGGTTCAAGTGATTCTCTTGCCAAGTAGCTGGGACTACAGGTGTACACCACCACGCCCAGCTGATTTTTGTATTTTTAGTAGAGACAGGGTTTCACCATGTTGGCCAGGCTGGTCTCAGACTCCTGACGTCAAGTGATCTATCCCCTTTGGCCTCCCAAATGCTGAGATTACAGGTGTGAGCCACCGCACCTGGCCCCATCTCACCTTTTAATCTTTCTATATGTAGTTACTCATAAGTTAGCATCTCACTGCGCCCGGCCCCATCTCACCATTTTGATCTTTCTATATGTAGTTACTCATAAGTTAGCATTGTGTTCTACCATTTTTCTATTGTTTTCTATGTGTCTTAGGTGTCTTTTTACCTCTATTCCCCCATTACCCCTTTCTTTTGAGTTAAATAAATATTTCCTTGTATAGCATTTTAATTCCCTTTTCATTTCTTTTACTATATATCTTAAGCCATTTTCTTGATGAGTGTCCTGAATATTATAATTATTATATTAATGTATAACAGATTACCACCAATTAAATTTCAATTGTATGCAAAAACTTTGCTCTACCCTTTACCCTTGCCTTTATGCTGCTATTGTCACAAATTGCCTTATATATTTTATGTGCATCAATATAGATTTATCGTTATTGCTTTATGAAGCTGTTGTTTAAAATCAGTTAAAAAAAGGTGCTACAGACGAAAAATAAGATAAATTCAAAATACAGCATAAACTTATTTTTTGTTTGCTCCTATATAGCTCCCTTCACCCACTTATTTTTTACCAGTCCTTATTTCTTCATGTTGATTTGAGTTACTCTCTAGTCTCCTTCCATTTTCGTATTTCTTATAGGGCAGGTCTGGTAGTGACAAACTCTCTCCATTTTTTTTTTTTTCAGAATGTCTCAATTTCTATTTTCTTCTTTAGAATAGTTTTGCTGGATGTGGGATTCTTGTGTGACATGTTTTTCTTTCAGCACTGTGGTTATGTTATTCTCCTGACCATTGGGCTCCATGGTTTCAGATGATAAGTCAGCTGATTCTCTTATTAAGGATCCATGTATGTAAGTTGCTTCTCTCTTGCTTCTTTCAAGATTCTTTCTTTGGCTTTCCACGCTTTGATTATAATACCATATTTAAGTATGAATCTCTTTTAGTTTATTATACTTGGAGTTTATTGAGCTTCTTGGATGTTTAGATTAATAGTCTTCATTAAATTTGGAAAATTTTCAGACATCAGTTCTTCAAGTATGTTTCTGTATGTTTCTCTCCTTTCTCCTTCTAGTTGCTTGATTATCCCATATATTGGTATACTTTATGGTGTCCCATGTGTGTCTTAGAATCTATTTTTATTTGTCCTTATTTAAAAAAATTAATCAGCCTGGGTTATCTCAATTGACCTCACTTCAAATTTGCTGCTTCTCTTTTCTGTTTGAATTTGTTGTTTAGCTTCTGTAGTGATTTTTTCACTTCAACAATTGTATTATTCAATTATATAATTTCTCTTTAGTGATATTTCCTACTAGAGAGAAATTGTTCTCATGCTTTAAAAAAATTTCTTTAGACGTGCTTTCCTTTAGGGCCTTGAACATATTTAAAACAGTTGATTTAAACTCTTTGTCTGGTAAGTCCAACGCTTGAGCTTCCTCAGGAACTGTTTGTATTAACTGCTTTGCCTGTGTATTGACTATACTTTTAAAATTCTTTTTCATGTCTTGCAATTTTTTTTAAATGTGGGCATTTAAAATTATATAATATGGTAATCTGGAAATAAGCTTCTTCTCTCCTTCCAGAGTTTGTTTTTGCTGCTCATCATTGCAGTTGTTGGTTTTTGTGTAATGGCTTTTCTGAACTAAGTATTTGTAGAATGCATCTTTTATTGTGTATGCCGAAGTTTCTACCTGGTTATCTTAGTGATCAGCTAATAATGCACCAGGATTTTCTTAAATGCCTGGAACAAATAAATCTCAAATTTCCCAGGAGTTGTTTTATTCATGTTGGAGTGTACTTTTAACACTCAAACAGGCAGTTGAAAACTCTGCCTTACCATTTACTTCCTGCTTTTTCAGAGACTGAAGGTCAGCCAGAGGTGAGAGCTTAGGAAATTTTTAGAATTTTCTTTTCTTTTTTTTTTTTTTTGAGACAGAGTCTCGCTCTGTTGCCCAGGCTGGAGTGCAGTGGCACAATCTCAGCTCACTGCAAGCTCCGCCTCCCGGGTTCACTCCATTCTCCTGCCTCAGCCTGCCAAGTAGCTGGGACAACAGGCACCCACCACCACACCCTGATAATTTTTTTGTATTTTTAGTAGAGACGGGGTTTCACCGTGTTAGCCAGGATGGTCTCGATCTCCTGACCTTGTGATCCGCCCGCCTCGGCCTCCCAAAGTGATGGGATTACAGGCGTGAGCTACCGCGCCTAGCCAGAATTTTCTTGATCATATGAACAGCCCTACATGTGTGCCTGCTGTGTTTCCAGGAATATGTAGGAGCTTTCAAAACCCTTGTAGACATCTTCTTAGCTTTTCCCTTTAAGGTTTTGGTTGCTATATTGTTTGTGCCACCTTTTATCTATTGCCTCATTTAGTCATATCTTTAAAACATTTACCAATAAAGACGTCAACAAACATTTCTGTCATTGGGGAAGTGCTTTCAATACTGGATGACCAATAAACACAGGCATTTCTAGTCAGGTCTTCCAGAAAACCACTAGACAGGTAAAATAATAAAAACGCTTTGGGAATTATCTTCTTTCTGTTCCCTCCAGTACTAGTAATAAAAGCCATTGTTTTCAAGGCTATCACTGAAGCTAAGAAGTTATTACAGGACTAGAGTAGTTTAAAATGCCACAAAGCTCGACACCATGCAGATGTTTTTCTTGAATAAAAACATCCTGGGTTGTTGCAAGCCATCGTTGGATTTACAGAGTTCTGAAAAAGTTGGTTTTGACACTAAAAAATATATACATATAAATTGTTTTAATAGAGGTGCAAATTTTCAGAGGTCCTTAATCTTCTCTTTTCAAGCATTTCTCTATTTTTATGTATTTAAGTGGTTATAAATTTTGCAGCAATTAACACCTACATGTATATATATTGTTGTTCTCATTATTTTCTATAATATAATCTTATAACTGGAATAACTAAGTTACAAGGTAAACAATCATACTCTGAGAAATACTGCCCTAAGTCAACAAGTAGATTTGGTAATGGAAAGCAAAATTAATCCTACAGTGAATATTTGTTAATACTTCTTAATTTTCTTTAGATATGGAATAATTTTGGCTTGAGACTTTGAACATCCAACTTTTTATCATAAATGATTTCATTATCATTTATTGGTGGAGTTTGTGAGAAATTGAGTGCATTGGGCACTGCAAAGGCTGTAATCCAGGGCTTATCTCACCCCAGTAGATTTGTGACCTGTCACTAATTGCCTTGTGCTTTCCTTTTCCATAGGAATATAGAAAAAAAGTTTCCTTCCTATAATGAAGTTTTAATTTTTAGACAAATGAAATGCAAAATCTATCTTTCCCTTGGCTTGAGTTGAGCAGGATCATAGATATCACAAATCTATCGTAGATGAACTTTGAAAGCTTAAGGGATTTATAATAGCTGCAAATTTTATTAACAAAGCACTGCTTGCTGCTGCGTGAATGCAAAAGTAGCTGAAGTGTCCTTATTGGAGAACTTTTCTCTCGCTCTGTGCAGAGCACTAACAGAGTAAGTCAGGCAAAGATTACTCAGCTAATTGACTAGAAGCTGAGAATCGCTAATCAGACCAAATGATCCTTCATGGTGTAACCCCAGCACATGAATAATTGTGGGAGTCTGTGTTGAATGATGATTATCTTGTGGTGCTTATATGTGTATAAATGGTAATGTTTAGGAAACCATCTTTGGACATTAACAACAACAAAACATCTAAAAGAGTAATGATCAAGCAGCATGGAGCTTCAACAAGCAGTCAGGGATGCAAACATTTAGGCTCAGCAGTGCCTTCTCCAGATTTCATTTTTAATTTGCAAATTCTTAGGGGATGTATATAAAGTTCTTAATATTTTGAAATGAATGAAATGACATGACTAGTGGAAGAGGAGGCCTATAGGAATTAGAGCGACCTGCACTTGTTTCCATTTCCTTAATTTCTGTGTGTAGCTGGGTGACATGGTTCTAAACCCTCCTGGATGGGTGAAAATCCATCAGATCTGTAGCCAGAGCATCAAGATCCAGGGTGAGTGTAACTTGCATGCAGGCTGTATCCAGAGTCCTGCCCCATGACCCTTGTCCCTGCCCAGATCTTTCATAGGTCACAGAGATCTGACACCTGCTTCCCTTCAAATTCCCACAGTCTCTGTTAACCCACCCTCATCCAGGGTGAAGCTTAGATTTCTTTTCTAATAGTAGAAATAACATTCCAGATACCATGTTCTGTCTGGTTATCCCTGCCATGGGCTGCAAAGCCCCGTGAATGCTGGGGAGCGGGGGTGGTCAAGGAGTTGATGTTACGGACCCTGCTCTGCCCTGTTTCCCTCCTACAGAAAGCAGCACAGTGTAAGGGGGAACTGCTGAACCGAATGCTCCCCGCAGCAGCTCTGCAGGAGATATATTGTGATATGGTAGAAACATCATGGGCTTAGGACTTTTCAACTTTCTGGGTTACCTTGGGCAACATTCCTGCTCTGAACCTGAGTTTTCTTATAGGTAAAATAGATGTTGGGTAATTTATTAAGACTTCTTATCTAAGAGCCTTAGGTTCAGCCTGACCCTCCAATGTTGAACTTGGCTCACACTTGTGTTTTTGGAGAAGTCTTCCACAGCATTCTGTACTTCCCTGGCTTGAAGCTTACCACAGCACATGGGAATCCCATGGTCAGTTTCCCCAGCACAAGTTCCGTGTTTGTCTAGTCCATAAGCACATTGGCACATATCTAGCACACATATTAGCTTCTTGGGCACTTCTGGGGTGAGAGAGTGAATGAGTGAAAGTGATTATATCTCCTAAATTGCTGTGGGTCTCAGAAGCAATTGATCCTACGCTTTTTTTTTTAGCCATATCAACTAGTAAAAGAATTTGGAGCTTGGTCCATTTTAACTGTTTTGCTAAATATTTTGCATTTATCAGGAGCACATAATTTAATAATTTTTTTTTGCATGAAACCGTTATGAAACCATGCCCAGTGCCCAATTTTCTCCTGCAGGAAAGGCATAGAGAGGAGCCCTGAACTTTTTGTGTCTGGGAGGATGTGAGCAGCAGGTCAAGGTCAGGCAGGGATCAAGCTCAAATCAGGATTATCTGTTGAGTGGCCAGGAGCAAGGCACAGCCAAAACACCAGAGTCCCAAGAGCAGAGGGGTGGAACTGGGAAAGGGAAGGACAAGGGGATAGTTTTAGGATGCAGGGCAGGTGCCTGTTTCTGCTGTGTGCATTGTCCTGGTGTGTTGGCGTGCATCCATGGAGCAGACCCAGCTATGGCAAACAGCAGCTTGACCCCTTTTCCCATCTGCCTCCTGTTTTCCTGCCCTAGGCCTCCAAACCTAGTCTTCCCCGGGCTAAGGTTTCTTTCCAGTCAATCATATCTTATTCTCCAGATTTCCTACATTGACCTTCATCTACCTTTAGTTTATATAAAATCTCTTTAAAGTTCAAGGATCAGACACCAGACACCCACATCCCCTACCCCCAAAATAATCCTCAACCACGGCTGCATTCAAACATCATTCCCAGAGACTTTTTAAAATACCTATCCCTGAGTGTTAGGCCAGGCCAACTAAATCACAGTCCCTTAGGCATAGAACACGAGATTCAGTTTTGTTTTGTTTTTTATCTTGAGCTCCCCAGGTATTTCTAATTTGTAACCAGCGTTAAGAACTGCAGCCTTAGAAACCAGCACTTGTGTGGGAGAAGGGCTGGTTTTGCCTCATCATTGCTTTGAATTGATCTCTGCTGGCTGCTGCAAATTCTACACCCATTTTGCTTTATTTCTCATTAACTCCACTATTTTTTTCTTCTCTGCTGTACTCTGATCATAACAAAGAACAGGATCCTCAGAGACTGGGAAAAAGATGAACATTTCTGACGGGTATGTGTGTCCACCCAGCACCCAGTCTTCTTCTGCTCCCGTGTCTATGTCATGCATCAGCACCCAGGACGGACAGCGTCAAGTTCCAGAGAGTGTTTAACAAGGGTTAGGGTAAGGGTTACCAATTGTCAACTGCTGCTGATTTGATTTTGTTTATACTTATTTTTGAATTTTTGGTTCCAGTGATAGTTTTCTATCATTGTTATAACCAATTATCACAAATGTAGTGGCTTAAAACAACACAAATTTATTATCTTACAGTTCTGTTGGCTAGGAGTCCAACATTGTTCTCGCCAGGCTACCATGCTGATATCAGCAGGGCTCCATTCCTTCCTGGAGGCCCTAGGGGAGGATCCCTTTCCCCGCTCATGTGGGTGGCTGACCACATTCATTTCTTTGGGGTTATAGAACTGAGCTGCATTTTCTTGCTGGCTGTGAGCTGAGGACCATTCCAGCTTCTGGAAGTCGCCACTTTCTGTGGCTTGTGGCTCCTTCCTCCATCCTCCAAGCCATCAAGGGAAAGTTGAATCTTTGGCATATTCCATGTTTCTGGTTACAGCCAAGGAAGGTCCTCAGCTTTCAAGGACTCATTTTATTAAACTGTGCCCAACTGGGCAATCCAGGATAATCTGCCCATCCTAAGGTCCATAACAGTATCACATCTGCAAAGTCTCTTTTGCCATGTAAAGCAGCATATTCACATGTTTTGGGGATTACAGCATGGGCATCTCTGGAGGGGCATGATTCTGCCTGCCACCTTCAACTTCTATTTCAGCTTTTACTTTGTCAGAATTTGCAGCCCACATGCACTAACTGCCGAGCATGGGCCTGGTACTTAGGAGGTGCTTAGTAAGTGCTTGTGGGGTGCATGCATGGATGTTGAGGCGTGAGAGTGCTGCCCCAGAACTTGAACCTGAGCTCTGGCAACAGACTTTCCTTCCTTCATCCTTCCTGCTCTGACAGCTGGAGCATTTACATTCTTATCCCAGCTCCTGGGAACCCAGCCCCACACCCAGGCCCTCATCTGAGATGGGTGCATGTTTCTCGCCATCTTCTCCAGTCCAGAGTTGCTGAGGGCTGAGGTCTCACGGGGTGGCAGCCTGAAGACACTGGATTTACTTACTCTTGTTTGGCTTATTTCTTAAAGCATGAAAGCAAAAATTCATAGCACAGGCTACACAGTTTAGAAATCCCTGCATAGAGTTCACAATATTCTCCTTAGATCCATTGGGGGTGTCGATGAAGAAAAATTATAGGCTACGTGATTCAGTAAACAAGAGAGTGAATGGGGTATTGGCTTTTTCAGGCAATTAGTCAAATGCTGTGATTCCAATGGCCTGTGGTGGGGTAGAGGTTTGGTTTCTCAGAACAGTGAGGGTTCGGAGGGCCTGACAGTGACAGCATTCAAGGAGGATGTGTTTACATGATCTAAACGGGAAGAACACAACCTCCCCTCAGCTTCTCTTTCTTTCTCTTTTTAATCCTTTTCTCAATACGTATTGATTTTTCCCTCCAGGCAGCCATTCATTCATTTAGCAAACACTTACTGAGCAGGTGCCTAATCCCTGGCACTGAGAATACATCAGCAAACCACAGACAGTGATCCCTGCCCACGGCATTTTCATTCTCTAGGCTGCCCTACTGGGGGCCTTTCCAGTCTGTCCCAGGTGGTGGACGCTGTTAGGTACCAGGTGGTGCAAGGACATCAGACCCAGCCACTGCCTCACTGAGTTTACATGCAGTGGTGGAGGCACAGGCTAATAGGCAGTCAGAACACATAATAACACATGGTATTATTCCACGGCCAGTCCCTGAGGGCCTGAGCACGGTGGCCTGAAACAAGCACAGGGTGACCTGCACCTTGCTCAGCCCAAGGGCAGAATCTCGAAAGATCCATGATGTCCTAAACAAGGAAGAGGTGGAGAGTTTTCAGAAGGAAGGTCTGGTGTGTGCCTAATGCAGATGTGAGGTCAGGAACAACTGTGATGCCTAACTTGTGCTGTCTGTCTGGGAGGCTGGGGTTGACATGAGTGGCTTGGTTAACGGTTGACTGACAGGCAGCTGAGGTGAGATCAGTGACACTGCCTTGTCAAATCGCAGGGCAGCTGAGTGGGGTGGAGGCTCGGTTTGCTACTGGAATACCTGGGCTCAGGAGTGTGAGCAGCTGTCCTGTGTGCCATGAGGGTTCAGGGCAGTGACACTGTCTCCATCTCTGGTCACGTGGTGAATTGTGGAGACCGGACAGGAGTGAAGGGGATGAACGAAGCCGCTGCCATGAGCCCTTCCCTGGCTGTCCCACCCCTGTGTGGGGCGTGGCTCCTGCAGCCCATCTTCTTCTGTCTCCTTTCCCTTGCCAACCCCGCCTTCTCCAAGAGTCTTCAATCTGGCATCCAGCTACCTCCCAGTACTCTCTAACCAGGCAATCGTCCTATTTTTAATCTGAAATCCTTCAAGCATTTATATATCTCATTTATTTGACAGATTTGCTCTGTGTTGGATTTTACTGTCACTAAATGATTTCTCTGTTTCCTCTACATATTTATATTGTGTCTTCCTACCAAAGCAGTAAAATTCATTAAGTACAGGAGCATGTGCTGGCTTCATATAACCCAGGCTACAGAATTGAATGGCAGGCGCAGAACAGACACTTCACACATGGTTAAAGGAGGAAGAAGCATATTCCCAGACATCAGATTGACTGATAGAAAACTGTGAGGAGGCCACGCCTCCTCCTCTAGGCTTATGCCTGTAATCTCAGCACTTTGGGAGGCCAAAGTGGGCAGATCACCTGAGGTCAGGAGGTTGAGACTAGCCTGGGTAACATGGTGAGACCTGGTCTCTACTAAAAATACAAAAATTAGCTGGGCATGGTGGATGACGCCTGTAATTGCAGCAACTTGGGAGGCTAAGGCAGGAGAATCACTTTAACCCGAGAGGTGGAGGTTGCAGTGAGCTGAGATCGCATCACTGCACTCCAGCTTGGGCAACAGAGAGAGACTCCATCTCAAGAAAAAAAAAAAAAGAGAAGAAGAAGAAGAGGAGGAGGAAGAGGAAGAGGAAGAGAAGAAGGAAGAAGGAGAAGGAAGAAAGAAGGAAGAAGGAAGAAGAAGGAGAAGGAGAAGAAGAAGAAGAAAGAAGAAGAAGAAGAAAAGAAAGAAAACTGTGAGGAGAAGAAAATTGCTTCTCCTTAAGTCCCTAGGCCTGTGCTTTCCCACAGATGAGAGGCAAGGTGCCCCGCAAGTGCAGAGCCACAGGTGAGGTGTGAGGCTCATCTCTCGTGAGTGTCTTACTCAAAGAAATGTGAGAAGTGCATTATTTTTATATTAAGACCATCTGAGATATATACTGGAGTAAAATGCACAATTCAGATAAGTAGCTTTTTAAAAGGATAAAACTGCCACTTTACTGTCAGGAGAACCTTGAGGAGAAAATTCTGAGATGAGGTCCCTGCACACACCTAGGAATGCCTCCACCAGTCATGAGCCACGGCTCTCAGGCTCCTCTATGCCACAATATGTCCCTGGGAAACACATCAGCTATCTGGTGCCATTAGTGGTTTGCATTCACTTCATATTGTATTTTATGGCATTATTTTTTAAAAGAAATTTTTGATTTGACCTCAAACTTTACTCAGGGAGAGGAAATGTGTCCGAATTTTTGCGTTTTTATGTTAATAACTCCAAGGTCTTCACAAAACTGTAACAACTCATACTTGTCAAAAGTAGGGTTTTTTTTTTTCTTGACAGAGTTTCACTCCTGTCACCCAGGCTGGAGTGCAGTAGCATGATCTCGGCTCACTGCAACCTCCACCTCCCAAGTTCAAGCGATTCTCCTTCCTCAGCCTCCTGGGTAGCTGGGATTACAGGTGCACCACCACGCCCAGCTAATTTTTGTATTTTTAGTAGAGACGGGGTTTCACCATGTTGGTCAGGCTAAAGGTAGTTTTTAAAACAATTTGTGAATAGATTTGAGGGGCTTTGTGGGGGAAAACCGACACCGTAAATCCCCCTTATCTGTGGTTTCTGCAGTTTTGCTTCCCATGGTTTCAGTTAACCCACAGTTCACCATGATCTGAAAATATTCAATGGAAAATTTCAAAAATAAACAATTCATAATTTTTAAATTGTGCACCATTCTGAGTAGTGTAATTACATATTAAATAGTTTCCCTCCGTTCGCCCTAAACATGACTCATCCCTTTGTCAGGCTACCTGTGCTGTAGGTACTGCCCACCTGTCATTCACCAAGTAGTGCTTTTTGTTATCAGATCCACTATTGTGGTATCGTGGTGCTTGTGTTCAAGTCACCCTTATTTTACTTAATAGTGGCCCCAATGTGCAACATTAGTGATGTTGGCATGTGGTTATAATTGTTCTATTTTATCATTAGCTACTGTTAATCTCTTATCATGCCCAATTTATAAATTGAACTTTATCATAGGTATGTTTATAAAAGAAAAAATATATACAGGATTTAGCACTACCTGTAGTTTCTGGCATCCACCAAGGGTCTTGAAAGGTATCTCCTGCAGATGGTGGGGGGGACTCCTGCACTAAGCTGCTTTTTACTAAGCATGCCCAGCACTGGAACTGCATCAGTGAACAAAACAGACCACAATCCCTGCCTCCATGGGGTTTTCAGACCGTAGGCTGACATTGACTGAGGGCTTTAACTGTGCCTCCTGTTAACCACAGGCCAGCAAAACATGGTAGAAAATGATCATGACACTAATTGTATTACGTGAAATACTACAACATAATTGTTCGAAGTCAATAATATAGGATATTGACCATTTCACCCGGCTGAACTCAGTGACTGTCATGAGGAGCATCTTTAATGTGTCTGAACCCAGGTGAAGCGCGGCTCCATTTTACAGGTGGTGAAAGACTGGGTGGGGAGGGGCAAAGAGACATGAATGGCTTGTTTATGGAAGGGTGGCTGGATGTGACACCTGGGCTGAAATATGGAATAACAACTATGAAAGGAGACAGGAAGTCAGTTCAGACCAACTTCTTTGCTTTGTTTTGGTGGCCGTGCATTAATTCAGTCACTTATTTGCTCATTTTCCACCATGTCACAAACGAGATTTGAGCCACTCCTCAGGTCAGGTACTCTTCTGAGTACTCACTAAAAGGCCTCTGAGTCTCTGCCACTCTGAAGGCGCTACAGGCAATCCATCACTGCTGCTCAGGAGGCCAATCTGCATCACACAGATGAAAAAGCCATGGTCCCTGCCTCCACAGGTGCAGGGTTAGGATTCTCCGAAGGACCCTCTCTCCCACCTCCCTTACTTAGCCCCTTAGCTGGAGAATTCATTTCCATATCATGTAATTCACTGTATTAACAACGGCTGCCCACATAAGTTTCTCCTTGGAAATCTGAGGAATTCTTTCTTCCCTTCCTTCTGTGCTCCTCCAAGATAGCTATGGGCTCCTAGGGCCCTCAGAAAGGTCTTTATCATTTTCTCCAGGCATGTCTGAAAGACGAGTCGGGGTGAAACAATTCCTCGAGGTGTTCCCACCGGTTAGCATCCCAAAGGAGTCACTCTGGAGGCCTTTCGAGGTGTCCTGCTTCATGCAGCCATCCCACCCAGGGAGTGGGAGCTAGGCCACAGCGCGGGTGTTCACCAGCTCTAGCGGGCTCTGCACACAGGCTGGGTGCCCACTGGTCCAGCAAGATAAAATGGCACTTCAAGCAATCTGGTATTTGTACTTGTGAAGAAATAATGTGTTCAATCCCAGGACGAACTCTGCTGTGATTTTATTTTTAGGTTAAAAAAAATTGTTTCTTAAGACTAAGCATGTAGTACTATTTAAAGTATATGCAAGTTTACTTGTAATTACAGAGTGATAAAAGTCAGTCTTCTTTTTTGGAATATTTTCGTTTTTGTGGAGGTACAGGCATAACTTGGAGCTATTGCGGGCATTCCAGACCACCACAATAAAGACAATATCACATTAAAGCAAGTCACATAAAGTTATTGGCTTCCTAGTGCATATAAAAGTTTTATTTACACCATTCTGTAGTCTATTAAATGTGCGGTAGCCTTATACCTAAAATACCAATGCACCTAGCTTGACTAAAGTTATTTTATTGCTCAAAAATGCTAACGATCATCTGGGCCTTCGGCAAGTCGTAATCTTTTTGCCGGTGGAAGGTCTTGGCTTGACATTGAAGGTCTTGCTGTGGATTACACTTTGGCTTAACGGAATGTTGTGGCTGGGTCAGTCCTCTATCCAGACCACTCAAACTTTCTTCCTCTCAGCAATAGGGTTGTTTCACTTTCTTATCATTCCTGGTGTTCACTGGAGGAGCACTTTTAATTTCCTTCAAGAACTTTTCCTTTACATTCATAACTTGGCTAATTTTGGCACGAGAGGCCTCTCTTTCAGTCTGTCTCGGCTTTTGACAAGATCTGCTCACTGAGCTAAATCACTTCTAGCTTTTGATTTAAAGTGAGAGACCTGCGACTTCCTTCCCCTTGAACATGTAGAGGCCATTGTAGGGTTATAGGTTAGTAAGCCTAATTGCCACATGGTTGTGCTTCAGGGAATAGGAAAGCCCTAGGAGAGAGAAAGGAACAGAGGATCGGATGGTTGGTGAAGTAGTCATCAACTAAGTTTACCACCTTATATGGGCATGATTTGTGGCGCCCCAAAACAATGACAGCAGTAACATCAGAGATCACTGATCACAGATCACCATAACAGATATAATAATAATGAAAATGTTAGAAATATTGATAGAATTACCAAAATGTGACACTGAGACACCAGATGAGCTCATGGTATTGGAAAAATGGTGCCCATAGCCTTGCTCCACTGAGTTGCCGCACACCTTTAATTTGGAAAGCATGATGTCTAGGAAACATAATAAAATAGGGTATGCCTATGTGCTACAGAGAGATGTTAGCATTTAAAGTGCATAGTTTTATGTATTTTGACAAATGCATATACCTCTATAATCCACAACTGATTACGAAGCTATTACAATTAAAAAGTTTGGCCGGGCGTGGTGGGCGGTGGCTGACGCCTGTAATCCCAGCACTTTGGGAGGCCGAGGCAGGCGGATCACGAGGTCAGGAGTTCAAGACCATCCTGGCTAACACGGTGAAAGTCCATCTCTACTAAAAATACAAAAAAATTAGCCCGGCGTGGTGGCGGGCGCCTGTAGTCCCAGCTACTCGGGAGGCTGAGGCAGGAGAATGGCGTGAACCCAGGAGACGGAGCTTGCAGTGTGCCAAGATCACGTCACTGCACTCCAGCCTGGGGGACAGAGCAAGACTCCGTCTCAAAAAAAGAAAAAATAGTAATAATAATTTAAAAGTTTATTTTAATTACACAGAACGTTCCCTCATGGTACCCCCTTACCATTCAATCTCAGCCACCTCCTATAGGGCAACTACCAGTCTGGTTTCTATTCCCAAAGATGGTTCTGCCTTTTTTTTAGCTTTAGACAAATGTATTCAAAGAGAATGTGATCTTTCCTTTCTGTCTTCCTGCACTCAATGGGATACTCTTGCAGTTCATCTATGTTGTTACAGATATCAATAATTCGTACTTTTAATTGATGAATAGTATTCTATTGTATGGATAGACATACTACAATTTGTTTCTATATTCAGGAAGTGAAGTACATTCATGGTGTTTTCACTGTACCTGTACTCTTGGGGTATTATGAATAAACTTCTTTTTTTTTTTTTTTTTTGAAATGGAGTCTTGCTCTGTCACCCAGGCTGGAGTGCAGTGGCGTGATCTCGGCTCACTGCAAGCTCCGCCTCCTGGCTTCATGCCATTCTCCTGCCTCAGCTTCCCGAGTAGCTGGAACTACAGGTGCGCGCCACCACACCCAGCTAATTTTGTTGTATTTTTAGTAGAGACGGGGTTTCACTGTGTTAGCCAGGATGGTCTGGATCTCCTGACCTTGTGATCCGCCTGCCTCGGCCTCCCAAAGTGCTGGGATTGCAGGCGTGAGCCACTGCGCCCAGCCATGAATAAACTTCTTAATAAATGTTTGCATAGAGGTCTTTAATCGACACATGTTTTTTGGTCTCTAGGTTAAATATCTGGGAGGGAGATATTTTGAACATATGATAAGTGTAAGTTTTAACTTTATTTTAAAAAATTTGCCCTGGCGCGGTGGCTCACGCCTGTAATCCCAGCTCTTTGGGTCTTTGGGAGGCCAAGGCAAGCAGATCACCTGAAGTCAGGAGTTGGATACTAGCCTGACCAACATGGCGAAGCCCCATCTCTACTAAAAATGCAAAAAAATTAGCCGGGTGTGGTGGCATGTGCCTGTAATCCCAGCCATTTTGGGAGGCTGAGGCAGGAGAATCGCTTGAACCCGGGAGGCAGAGGTTGCAGTGAGCCGAGATGGCACCACTGCACTCCACCCTGGACAACAAGAGCAAAAACTCCAACTCAAAAAAAAAGAAAAAGAAAAAGAAAAAGAAAGCTAATTTGTTTTCCAAATAGTTATACTGTTTGCATTCTCATCAGCAACACATAAGAATTACAGTTTCCATGAATCCTCAGTAATATTTGATATTGTTCATCTTTTAAAATTTAGTCATCTAGGAGGCTTGTAGTGGTATGTTGTGTTATATGCTATTTTAATTTACATTTCCCTGACAAATAGTAACTTTGAGACTCATTTCATGTTATTATTTGCTATCTATATGTCTTTTCCTTAACTTTCTATCCAAATCTTTGCTAACATTTTTATCGAACAATTGTAATTTTCCAACTGAATTGTAAGAGTTCTTTATATGTTCTGAACATGAATCTTTATCAGCTGTGTGTTTTTGCAAATATTTTCTATAAAACTAACTTATCTTTAATGTTCTTAACAGTGCCTTTCACATTATGCTAGGTGAAAGAAGCCAGACACAGAAAAATACTGCATGATTTCACTTACATGTAAACTCTAAAAGAGAGGAAAAAAAAAAGAAAAGAAAAACTCAAATACATAGCAACAGAGCAAAACAGTGGTTATTTGGGGTCAAGGTGGGAGGTCATGGGAGATGGAGGTCAAAGGGTACAAAATCTCAGTTTCTTATTATAAATAAATCTAGAGATCGAGTATACAGCATGATAATTATCCGGATATGGTGGCACATGCCTGTAATCCCAGCTACTCGGGAGGCTGAGGCAGGAGAATCGCTTGAACCCATGAGGTGGAGGTTGTAGTGAGCCAAGATTGCACCACTGCACTGCAGCCAGGGCAACAGAGTGAAACTCAGTCTAAAAAAAATAATAAAATAAAACAAAATAATAATAATAATAATGTACAGCGTGGGGACTATCATTAATAATATGGTATTATAGACTAGAAATTTACTAAGAGAGTACATATGACTTACTTTACCCACACGTACAAACCAAAAAGAAACCGTGTAGCATCATGGATGTGTTCATTTGTTTGACTATAGTAATAATTTCACTATATATACATATATCAAAACATTATTTTGTATACCTTAAATGCATACAAGAAAAAACAAAAAAAAAGTCCTTCAAATAAGCTTTTAATTTGCTGAAAGGCAATTGTCTTGTTCTATTTAGGGTATTACAACAAAAATACCATAAATAGAGTGGCTTATAAACAACATAAATGTATTGCTCACAATTGAAGAGCTGGGCAGTCCAAGACCGAGGCACCGGCAGATTTGGTGTCTGGGGAGGGCTCTCAGGTTCATAAATGGTGCCTTCCCGTTGCGTCCTCCCAGGGTGGCCTGAGGCAAGATGGCTCCTGGGACCTCTTTCATAAGAACAGTGCCATTCTCGAGGGCTCACCCACAGGATTTCATCACCTCCCAGAGGTTTCTCCTACTAACACTATCACATTGGGAATTAGGTTTCAATGTGCAAACTTTACGGGGACACAAATAGCACCCAAATTTTGTTATTGTTCATGTGTTTGTGCAATTCAATCATTTGCCCAAACCAATGCTAGGGATATGTTCCTATGCTTTCTTTTAGAAATATTTTGTTTTTGGGATTTACACTTAGGTTCATGATTCATTTCAAGTTAATGTTTGTGTATGATGTAAGGTAAGGGTCACGGTGGGTTGGTTGGTTTGTTTAATCTTATGGATGATCAGCCCCACTTACTGAAAAGACTATCCTTTTGAATTGCCTTGGTACCTTCACCAAAAATCAGTTGCCCATGTATCTGTGAGTCTATTTCTAGACTTTCAGTTTAATCCTTTTATCTCTGTCTCTATCCTTAGGTAAATACTACCATGTTTTGGTTTTCAATTTTTTTGAGATGTTTTTCTTACTGACTTCTAAAAATTATTTATATATTCTGGGTACAAGCCCCTTATCAAATATGTCATTTACAAATATTCTACCATCTTGTGAACTATCTTTTTACTCTTTTTGTGATGTCATTTGTAGTGTAGTTTTTTTATGAAGTCCAAATTTATCTTTTTTATTTTATTTTATTTGGTCACGTCCAAGATTCCATTGCCTAATTCAAGATCATGAATATTTACTCCTATGTTTTTTCCTAAGAGATTTATAGCTTTAGTTTTTACCTTTAGATCTATGTCCATTTTGAGTTAATTTTTTTGTATGCTATCAGGAAGGGGCATAAATTAATTATCTTGCATGTAGATATTAGATAATAGATCTACAAGTAGACTTTCAATCATCTCTAGATTACTTGTAATACCTAATACAATGTAAATGCTATGTAAATAGTTGTTACACTGTATTGTTTTTGTTTGTATTATTTATGATTGTTGTGTTGTTTATAAACAGTATTTGTTTATTATAAGTATCATTTATTGAGGCCGGGCATGGTGGCTCATGCCTGTAATCCCAGTGCTTTGGGGGTCTAAGGCAGGTGTATCACTTGAGGCCAAGAGTTCGAGACCAGCCTGGCCAAAATGGTGAAACCCCGTCTCTACTAAAAATACAAAAAATTAGTTGGCCATGGTGGCACACTCCTGTGATCCCAGCTACTCGGGAGGCTGAGGCAGGAGAATTGCTTGAACCTGGGAGGTGGAGGTTGCAGTGAGCCGAGATCGCACCATTGCACTCCAGCCTGGGCAACAAGAGCAAAACTCCATCTCAAAAAAAAGAAAAGAAAAGAAAAGAAAAATAAATAAATATTCTTTATTGTTTATTTATAAACAATACAACATGAGCATCATTTATTGAACGGACCATTTTTTCCCATTGCACTGTGTTGGCGCATTTATTAAAAAAATTGACCATAAACAAAGAGTTTATTTCCACACTCTTAATAGTATTCTACTGATCTACATGTTCCTCCCTTACCAGCACCACAGTCTTTATTACCGTGGCTTTAGAGTAAGTTTTGAAATTGCGAAGTGCGAATTTTCCCAAGTTTGTTTCTATTTTTCAGTATTGGTTTGACTATTCTGGTGCCTTTTCAAGTCTATATTGGTATTAGAAACAGTCAGTTTTTGTTAAAAAAAAAATCCAGATGGCACCCTATTAAGCATTGTATTTTTTATAAATAGCTTTGGAAAGTATTGATATTTACTTTTCTCAATAATACGTTGTGCATTTTTTTTTAAGGCAACTAACTTGCTTCAACTTGAACTTCAAGCTTTCTCCTGGAAAGTGGTGAAATTTCACTGGTGTTCCTTAATCCTTAGTTGCTGTCTGCCTCTTGCCTGTATGATCCCGGAGTGAGCTAGAGATTTGGTGGAGTTTATGCACAGAATTTGAGTCTCCTTCACTCTTGCTATCTTTTTCTGTTTCTGCCTCACTTTCCAGCAATTACGGTTGTTGTGACCTCTGTCTTCTCTTTTGTGTGGAAATTTTGCGTTTTGTTTGTTTTTAATCAAAGATTTAGCTGCCAAACATGGTGTTGATTTCAGTTTACTTTTGGACCAAAAGCTATGAAAACAGCATAATTAATTGCTCCGTGTGGTTCCATTTTTCCATACGACAGCTTTCTTCCACAACCAGTCTGCTTTTCTCACTCTCCGGTCCCTTTAAGTGATTTTTGGGGGACATTTTCAACTTTTAAAACTTTCTCTCAAAGATGTTTTGGTTCCAGTGGGAACTACCCATCTATCTAGAAGTGTGCAGTTGGCCCTCTGGATCCCAGGGTTCTGCATCCACAGATTCAACCAGCCACAGATCAAAAATATTCAAAAATAAATAAATAAATAAAATTTTAAAACAAAAAAAATCAAACAATTCAACAATTAAAATCATACAAATAGAAGGCCGGGAAAGGTGGCTCACGCCTGTAATCCCAGCACTTTGTGAGGCCGAGGCAGGTGGATTACCTGAGGTCAGGAGTTCAAGACCAGCCTGGTCAACATGGTGAAACCCCGTCTCTACTAAAAACACAAAAATTAGCCGGGCATGGTGGCGCACCCCTGTAATCCCAGCTACTTGGGAGGCTGAGGCAGGAGAATTGCTTGAGCCCGGGAGGCAGAGGTTGCAGTGAGCTGAGATCGTGCCACTGCACTCCAGCCTGGCCGACAGAGCGTGACTGTCTGAAAAAAAAAAAAAATCATACAAATAGAAAAACAGTATAGTGCAACAATTATTTACATATCATCTACATTGTATTAAGTATTGTAAGTAGAGATGTAGAGATGGTTTAGAGTATATGGGAGGATGTGCATAGGTTGTATGTAAACACAAAGCCATTTTATAACAGGCACTTGAGCCTGTTATAAATCTGCAGATTTTCGGATCGAGAATCCTGGAGCCACTTCCTTGTGGATACTGAGGGACAACTGTAACTGAAAGTTTATGCTCTCTCTTAGTGAATGCTCTTGAAAAGAATGTACAATCTTAAATTGTTGGTTTTAGAGTTCTATAAACAGACTATGCTGTTTGTTAAGTGTTATTCAAATCTATTTTCTTAGTAATTTTTTTCTCCTTATTCAATCAATCCTGGCGGAAAGAGTATTAAGTATCTTCAACTATAATTATAGATTTGTCCATTTATCCTTTTAATTATGTTATTTTATATTCCATAGTTTTAAAAATAACTAACAGACATTTTAAAGAAATTTTGAGGCTGGGCGCGGTGGCTCACGCCTGTAATCTCAGAACTTTGGGAGGCCAAGGGGGGCGGATCACGAGGTCAGGAGATCGAGACCATCCTGGCTAACACGGTGAAAACCCGTCTCTACTAAAAATACAAAAAATTAGCCAGGCGTGGTGGCGGACGCCTGTAGTCCCAGCTACTCAGGAGGCTGAGGCAGGAGAATAGTGTGAACCCAGGAGGTGGAGCTTGCAGTGAGCCGAGATCACGCCACAGCACTCCAGCCTGGGTGACAGAGGGAGACTCCATCTCAAAGAAAAAAAAGAAATTTTGAGTTACTTGAACATTTAGTGGTAAGTACAGAGAGTTCCCAATACCTTCTCACCAACCCCCAACTTGTGAGGGGTTTGTACTGAAGTCTATTTTGTGTGATATTAATATAGTTGCTCTAGTTTTCTTATAATTGATGTTTGTGTATTACTTTTCTTTTGCTACTTAATACAGTACTACAAAATTAGTGGGTTAAAACAACAATCATTATTTCAGTTTATGTAGATCAAAGTCCAGTCATAGGGTATCTGGGTTCTCTTGTCAGAGTCGTACAAAGCTAAAATCAAGATGTTAGCCAGGAATACAGTCTCATCCTCAGTTTGGGTGCCCTTCCAGGTTCATTCAAGTTGTATACAGAATTCAGTTTCTTGTGTTGTTTGACTGAGGTTCCTGTTTACTTGATGGCTGTCAACTGAAGGTTGTTCTCAGCTCTTAGAGGCCACCCTCAGACCCCAGATATGCCATTCCCTATTTGGCTCTGTTTTCTTCCAGGATAGAAGGAGAAAGTCAGCTATTTTTTCTTGTATTGTTTCCTATGGTTAGGTTTTCAGGTTAGAATTACTAACCTAAAATCTATTTTTTCATCAATGCAAAATTGACTGACTAGGGATCTTAATTCTTTTGTCATGTAATGTAACGTAATCATGGGGATGATGGCTCATCGGATTCATAGGTTCTGCCCGCAATCAATGGGAGAAGATTACGTAGGGCAGGTACAGAAGGAGTTTGGAATCTTGGGGTGGGGTCGGGGGCTTCCCTGTACTGTTTTTCACTCTCTTTTTTTCTCTTTTCCTGCTTTCTTTTGTATTAATCTAGCAATTTTAATATTCCTTTTTATCTCCTCCACTGGTTTTTAGTGACGAGTCTTTCTTCATTTTTTTTTCAGGTTGCTCTGGAGATTGCACTATATATCTTTAAATGATCACAGCCTACTTTGAATTAATGTTATACCATTTCATTATATAATGTGAAAATTTTAGAGCAATATAATTCAATTTCCCTCATTCTTCCCTTTCACTATTATTCATATTCCTTTTACTTCTACATATATTATAAATCTCAAATACATTATTATCTTTTACCCAATCACCTTTTTAAAGAGATTTAAAAATGAAAAAAAAGTCACTTTTTTTTCTTTGTATCCGTAGAAGTTCTGTGTTGGGCCAAATTAGAACCTGAGGCAAAAAGAAAAAACAATAATCCTGATCCTATTTAAAATTGTAATATTTTGCTCATTGATTTTTTGCATTAATTTTGAATTAAGACATTTATTTTTCTCTTCAGTGCTCAGTATTTCTGGCCGCCCATTAAACATGTACCTGAGACTAGTGCCTCCCTTGCTTGGCCCTGATTCCAGCCTTAGTAAACATTTTCTTATTTGGGTGACGGGTATTACAGATGATATATTTTGAGTCTCTATTATATAGTCTCCCATGAAAGAGTGCTGAGTTTTTTCGGACAGGCAGTTCATTTCATGGAGGCTCACCCTGATCCTGCTGAGGTTTGTTCAGGCTGTGTTAGGGTGGTTCTGGGCAGCTCCTTCCTGCTAAGGCACTCTCTGGGGTCTAGCCCGGATGCTTGGCATGTTCAGCGAGGCCTGGCTACTCTGCTGGGTATGGATTCCAGCATCTCCCATTCCTGGAAACCTCAAGTATTTTCATTCATCCCTTGGCCTCTTAGGCCTCAATCTGCTCATTCACAGTTTTGTACTCAGCAAAGAGCTGAGGGGCCCCCTTCCTAGATTTCTGTGGCTCTTTTTCTATGTAACTTCCATCCCACTTGCACTCTGTCTCATAAATTCCATCCATTATAGTTAGCCTCAAGGTCATTCCCTTAACCAGCTCCTGTTCTCTGTGCCAGGAAACACACAAGAACATTTTAGAAAGTTTCCCAGGCAGAAAGCTGGGTGAAAATATGAAGCTCACTACATGATTTTTTTCTATCTCAAGAATAACATCCCTGCCCTGCCTGTCATATATTGCTGCAGTTAATCCATTTATTTTGCCAGTTTAGTAGCCATTTAGGAGAAATATAACTGTGCTATTTGTATTTTGCCAGAGCTGGATTGCCTCTTGAACTTCTCAAAGCGAAAGAGCACACTAGAAAGCCATGGTTCCTTTAACTAGAAAATGTGCAAGTGTTGACCAGGGTCCTAGGTGTCGTGTCAATTATATGAGGACTGATAGCCCAGGAAGGTAGTGAGAGGCCCTTCCCCTCACACCAAGTCCTGGGTAGATTAAGCAAGAGGCAGGTAGAAGGGCTGATCTCTCTTCTATGACTCCCATCAACACTCAAAAAGAGGCCAACCTCCTAAAAGATGAGTGCAAAGACTTCTTCTGTTTTTTTTTTTTTCCATTCACCCAGCTCAGGTCTGGATGTCCTGCTGGTTCCTGGGAAGGAGTTATGGATCCTCTTCTGGAATACTCCCATTGCATCTGAGTAAAAGCCAACTTGTCCCCATACCTGCAATCACATATGGATACCATGCCCTGAGGTCCCTTCTTGCTGCATTCCAGCTGAGTTCAGCAGGGTGCTGAACACAGGTCAGCCAGGCCTGTCCCCATGGAGACAGATTAACACCCAGACATTCTTGGGGAATCCCCCAAATGTGCACTTCTCCCTTCCTTTTTCTCTAGTATAGTTTAACCCTTCTCTTCTTTCCTCTTTTGCTATAATTGTTTTCTTTCCTTTTTTCTTCCTACATAGCTGGTTCAATTCATTATTCCTAATATAATGTGTTTACTCTGTCCTCTGTCCTGGACTTCCCTGGGTAATACAAGACATAGGAAATACATTATAATAATAGTTTCTATATTTGTATAATACTTGATACTTAGCAAAATGCATATACCTTGTCTAATTGAACTTCTCACACGTAGGGCAAATATTATTATTCACTTTAACAGACAGGGCTCAGAGACATAAAATAGTTCATAAAGCTATTTCATGATGCCAGTAGGTGTTCAAAACTGGGAATTAATTTATGTATCCTGGTTAAAACTTTGACGCGAATTCAACTGTATTCCATGACATTGTTAATGCCATTATATCAATTTTGTTATATTTGTGAAGTTTGGTATATTTCTCAAACACATTAAATTTTTAACATTTTTTCTAAATTTTAATAGCTTTAAGGATACAAATGGTCTTTGATGACATGGATGAATTGGATAGTGGTGAAGTCTACGATTTTAGTGCACCCATCTCCTTAGTAGTATACATTGTACCCTATTAATTTTGTAGCATTTATTCCCCTTCAATCTTCCCACTTCTGAGACTCCAATGTCCAGTATACCACCCTGTATGCCTTTGCATACTCTTAGCTTAGCTCCCATTTGTAAGTGAGAACATGTGGTATTTGGTTGTTGATTCCTGAGTTAATTCATTTAGAATAATGGCCTCCATCAAGTTTCATCAAGTTGCTGCAAAAAACATGATTTCATTCTTTTTTATGGTTAAGTAGTATTCCATGGAATATATATACCTCATTTTCATTAGTCATCAGTTGATGGGCACTTAGGTTGATTCCATATATTTACAATTTTAAATTGTGCTGTGATAAACATATGTGTGCAGTTGCCTTGTTGATATAATGACTTCTTTTCTTTCCCACCAGGAGTGGGATTGCTGGATTGAATGGTAGATTTAATTTGGTTCTTTGAGAAATCTCCATACTGTTTTCCATAGAGGTTGTACTAATTTACGTTCCTACTAGCAGTGTCTAAGCATTCTTTTTTCACCATATCCCTGCCAACTTCTGTTGTTTATTGACTTTTTATTAATGTCCATTCTGGCCAGGGTAAGGTGGTGTCTCATTGTAGTTTTAATTTGCGTTTCCCTGATAAGGGATGTTGAGCTTTTTTGTTTGTTTGTTTTTGTTTTGTTTTGTTTTGAGACAGAGTCTCACTCTGTTGCCCTGGCTGGAGTGCAGTGGCGCGATCCTGGCTCACTCCAAGCTCTGCCTCCCTGGTTCACGCCATTCTCCTGCCTCAGCCTTCTGAGTAGCTGGGACTACAGGCGCCCGCCACCATGCCTGGCTAATTTTTTTGTATTTTTAGTAGAGACAGGGTTTCACCGTGTTAGCCAGGATGGTCTCGAGCTCCTGACCTCGTGATCTGCCTGCCTCAGCCTCCCAAAGTGCTGGGATTACAGGCGTGAGCCACCACACCCGGCTGGCCATTTTTTCATATGTTTGTTGGCCACGTGTTTATCTTTTTTGAGAAATGTCTCTTCATGCCCTTTGCCCAGTTTTTAATGACGTCATTTTTTTCTTGCTGAGTTCTTTGAGTTCCTTGTAGATTCTTGGTATTAGTCCTTTGTTAGACGCATAATTTGCAAATATTATCTCCCATTCTGTAGGTTGTCTGTTTACTCTGATAATTATTTCTTTTGCTGTGTAGAATATTTTTAGTTTAATTAAGTCTTATTCATTTATTTTTGTTTTTGTTGCATTTGCTTTTGGAGTCTTAGTCATAAATTCTTTGCCTAGGCCAATGTCCAGAAGAGGTTTTTCTAGGTTTTTCTTCTAGAATTTTTAAGGTTTCAGGTCTTAGATTTAAGTCTTTAATTCATCTGAAGTCAATTTTTTTATATTGTGAGGGATAGGTATCTAGTTTCATTCTTCTACATGTGGCTATCCAATTTTCCCCCACACCATTTATTGAATAGCAGTTCTTTCCCCAATTTATGTTTTTTGTTTGTTTGTTTGTTTTTGAGTGTTTGTTTGTTTTTGAGTTTTTGTTTGTTTGTTTTTTCATTTTGAGACTGAGTCTTGCTCTATTGCCCAGGCTGGAGTGCAGTGGCACGATCTCAGCTCACAGCAGCCTCCGCGTCTATGTTCATAAGGGGTATTGTTTTCGAGTTTTATTTTTTTGTTATGTCCTTTCCTGATTTTGGGGTTAGGGTGATACTGGTTTCATAGAATAATTTAAAGAGGATTCCCTCTTTCTCTATCTTTTGGAACAGTGTCAATAGAATTGGTACCAATTCTTCTTTGAATGTCTGATAGCATTCAGCTGTGAATCTGTCTGGTCTTAAACTTTTTTGTTGCTGTTGTTGGTAACTTTTTATTACCATCCCAATATCGCTGCTTGTTATTGGTCTATTCAGAGTTTCTATTTCTTCCTGTTCTCATCTAGGAGGGTTGTATACTTCCAGGAATTTATCCATCTTCTCTAGTTTTTCTAATTCATGGAAGTAAAGGTGCTTATAGTAGCCTTGAATGATCCTTTGTATTTCTGTGGTATTGGTTGTAACATCTGTTGTTTCACGTCTAATTGAATTTATTTGGATCTTCTTTCTTCTTTTCTTGGTTAATCTCACTAATAGTCTATCACTTGTATCTTTTCAAAGAACCAGCTTTTTGTTTCATTTATCTTTTGTATTTTTGTTTCTTTGTTTCAATTTTATTTAGTTCTGCTCTGATCTTGGTTATTTCTTTTCTTCTGCTGGATTTGGATTTGGTTTGTTCTTGTTTCTCTAGCTCCTTGAGGTGTTACCTGAGATTATCCGTTTGTGCTCTTTCAGACTTCTTGATGTAGGCATTTAATACTATGAACTTTCCTCTTAGAACTGCCTTTGCTGTATCCCAGAAGTTTTGATGGGTTGTATCACTATTATTGTCCAGTTCAAAAAAATTTTTAATTTCCATCTTGATTTCATTGTTAAACAAATGATCATTCAGGAGCAGTTATTTAATTTCCATATATATGCATGGCTTTGAGGGTTCCTTTTTGAATTGATTTCCAATTTTATTCCACTATGGTCTGAGAGAGTATTTGTTATAATTTTGATTTTCTTAAATTTGTTGAGACTTGTTTTGTTGCCTATTATATGGTCTACCTTGGAGAATGTTCCACGTGCTGATAAATAGAATGTATATTCTGCAGTTGTTGAGTAGAATGTTCTGTAAATATCCGTTAAGTCCATTTATTCCAAGGTATAGTTTAAGTCCATTGTTTCTTTGTTGAATTTCTGTCTTGATGACCTGTCTAGTGCTGTCAGTGGAGTATTGAAGTCCCCCACTATTATTGTGTTGCTGTCTATCTCATTTCTTAGGTCTAGTAGTAATTGTTTTTGTAAATCTGGGAGCTTCAGTGTTAGGTGCATAGGATTGTGATATTTTCCTGTGGGACTAGCCCTTTTATCATTATGTAATGTCCCTCTTTGTCTTTTTTAACGCTGTTGCTTTAAAGTTTGTTTTGTCTGATATAAGAATAACTACTCCTGCTTGCTTTTGGTATCCATTTGCATGGAAAATCTTTTTCCACCCTTTACCTTAAGTTTATGTGAGTCTTTATGTGTCAGGTGAGTCTCTTGAAGACAGCAGCTACTTGGTTGCTGAATTCTTATCCATTCTGCCATTCTGTATCTTTTAACTGGAGCATTTAGGCCATTTACATTCAATGTTAGTATTGAGATGTGAGGCACTAGTGTATTCATTGTGCTATTTGTTGCTTGATACCTTTTTTTTCCATTGTGTTGTCATTTTATAGGTGTTGTGAGATTTATGTTTTAAGAAGATTCTATTTTGGTGTAATTTCAAGGATTTGTTTCAAGATTTAGAGCTCCTTTTAGCAGTTCTTGTAGTGCTGGCTTGGTAGTGGAAAATTCTCTCAGCATTTGTCTGAAAAACACTGTATCTTTCCTCATTTTGAAGCTTAGTTTCACTGAATACAAAATTATTGGTTGATAATTGTTTTGTTTAAGGAGGCTAAAAATAGGACACCAGTCTTTTCTAGCTTGTAGGGTTTCTGCTGAGAAATCTGCTGTTAATCTGATAGGTTTTCCTTCATAGGTTACCTGATGCTTTTGCCTCACAGCTCTTAAGGTTCTTTCTTTTACATTGACTTTAGATAACCTGATGACTATGTGCCTAGGCAATGATCCTTTTGCGATGAATGTCCCAGGTGTTCTCTGAGCTTCTTGTATTTGGATGTCTAGATCTCTAGCAAGGCTGGGGAAGTTTTCCTCAATTATTCCCTCAAATTTGTTTTCCATCCTTTTAGATTTCTCTCCTTCCTCAGGAACACCAGTTATTCTCAGGTTTGGTCATTTAACATAATCCCAAACTTCTTGGAGGCTTTGTTCCTTTTTAAAATTCTTTTTTCTTTGTCTTTGTTAGATTGGATTAAATCAAAAGCCTTGTTTTCAAGCTCTGAAATTCTTTCTTCTACTTGTTCAATTCTCTTGCTGAGACTTTCTAGTGCATTTTGCAATTCTGTAAGTGTGTGTGTCCTTCATTTCCAGACGTTGTGATTGTTTTTTATTTACGCTATGTATTTCACTGGAGATTTTTCCATTCATATCCTGTATCTTTTTTTTTTTTATAATTTCTTTAAGTTGGATTTCACTTTTCTCTTACCTCCTTGATTCACTTACTAGTTGACTTTCTGAATTCTTTTTCTGGCAATTCAGAGATTTTGTCTTGGTTTGGATCCATTACTGGCAAGCTAGTGTGATCTTTTGGAGAGTGTTAAAGAACCTTGTTTTGTCATATTACCAGAATCACTTTTCTAGTTCCTTCTCATTTGGGTAGACTATTTCAGAAGGAAGATCTGGGACTCAAGGGCTGCTGTTCAGATTCATTTGCCCTTCGGGAGGCTCCCATGATGTCTTTTTCTGTCCTTTCCCTTAGGGATGGGGCTTCCTGACAGCTGAACAGTAATGAGTATTATTTCTCTTCTGGGTCTAGCCACCCAGCAGAGCTACCGGGCCCTGGGCTGGTACTAGTGAGTGTGTGCAAAGAGTCCTGTGATGTGATCCATCTTCAGGTCTCTCAGGCATGGATAACAGCATCTGCTCCAGTGGAGGTAGCAGGGAAGTGATATGGACTCTGTGAAGTTTCTTGGTTGTATTTTTGTTAAGTGCACTGGGTTTTTTGTGTGTGTGTTGGTTGGCCTCCAGGGAGGAGGTGGTGCTTTCAAGAGCACATCAGTTGCACTAGTATAGGGAGGATCAGGTGATGGGCAGGGCCATGGAGCACCCAAGAGATTATGTCCTTTGTCTTTGGAGTTCCTTGGTTGTCCCACAGAGCCTGCAGCAGCAATCCAACTCCTTGAAAGGGTCTGTGGATTATCTTGCTGTTGTTGCCTTATATATAATATATATATATATTTTATTTTATATAAAAATAGCTGTTTTATTTTATATAAAAATAGCTACTCCTACTCACTTGTGGTTTCCATTTGTGTAAAATATTTTTCCACCCCTTTACCTTGAGTCTATAAGAATCCTTACATGTTAGATATGCCTCCTGAATACAGCATATATTTTGTTTCTGATGTTTCATCCATTATGCCAATCTATGTCTTTTAAGTGGAGCATTTAGACCAGTTTCAATGTTAATATTGATGCATGAGGTACTATTCCAGTCTTCATGTTGATTGTTGCTTAGTGAGTTTATTTTCTTCATTGTGTTACCATTTTTATAAGTCCTGTGAATTTTGTGCTTTCAGGAGTTTCTATTCTGATACACATCAACCTCTTGTTTAAAGATTTATAACTCCTTTTAAGATGTCTTGTAGGGCTGGGATAGTATTGACAAATTCCCTCTGCAGGAGCTTGCCTGATAAATACTTTGTTTATTCACTTTTTAGGAAACTTAGTTTTGGTAGGTACAAAATTCTTGGCTGAAAGTTTTTCTGTTTAAGGAGAATAAAGATAGGAACCCAATCCCTTCTGTCTTGTAAGTTTTCTGCTGAGAAGCCTGTTGTTAGTCTGATAGGTTTTCCTTTAGGAGCTACCTCTTGCTTTTGTCTCACTGCTCTTAGAATTCTTTCCTTTACATTGACTTTAGATAGCATGATAATTATATGACTTGGTGATGTCTTTTTTGCAATAAGTCTCCAAGGAGTTCTTTTTGCTTCTTGCATTTTGATATTTAAATCTCGAACAAGACCAGGGATGTTTTCCTCAATTATTCCTCCAAGTAGACTTTCCAAAGTTTTAATTTTTCTCCTCCTACAGAAGAAGAAACACCTATAAATCTTAGGTCTGGCCATTTTATATAACCGCATATTTCTTGGTGACTTTGTTCATTTATTTTAATTCCTTTTTCTTCATTTTTGTCTGATTGGGTTAATTCAAAGCCTTGTATTCAAGCTATGAAGTTGTTTCCTCTACTTGGACAAGTCTGTTAAAACTTTCCACTGCACTGAGTAGTTTCCTAAATGTATCTTTCATTTCCAGAAGTTCTCATTGTTTTTTCTTTAAAATACGTATATTTTAGAACATTTTTTATTCATATTCTAAATCATTTAAAAATTTCTTTATGTTGGCTTTCATCTTTATCTTGTATCTTCTTGAGTAACTTAGTAATCAATCTTTTGAATTATTTATTTGGTATTTCAATGATTTTATCTTGGTTTGGATCCACTGCTTGAGTTAGTGTGATCTTTTGGGGGTATCATAAAACCCTGTTTTTTCATATTGCCAGAATTATTTTTCTGGTTCCTTCTCATTTAGATAGACTATTTCTTCTAATTATTTTTAAATTTATTTTTTATTCAATTGGATTTTCTTGATTTTTCTTTTTTCCTTCTTGAGGATAGTTTATTGTCACCTAGCCTTGGCTCGGGATGCTTTCAGTTGCAAAGACTCCATATGAGTTCCTTAGATATAGAGAATGTTTGTGCAGCAGCTTTCTCAGATGCTGTTTGTAGGAGTGATGTGCTGGGTGTGTGAGCTGGTTCAATGTCTCCTGTCGGGAGTTTTCCGTCTTGTTCACAGTTTAGGATGCTGCCCGACACTTTCATCAAAGGGTCTGTGGTTTCATTCAGCTTTTCTGTTATGTTTCTGTGTTGTTTCTTGGACAAGAGTTTACTGTATGGATCTCTACACACTATTTTGTCTTTGTAAGTGGGAGATGCAGGCTAACAATGCCACCAGTCTTCCATCTTGACACATGAAAGTTTATAAAATACTTTCACATGTTCTCAAATCTATTTATATTTATTTCAGTTGCACTGTGTTAATTAATGTGTTTATTTCCCATCCAGGCCCCTTAACAACCTATTTTATCACTCTGTCTTCAGTTTTCGTATGTGAATGTGTGTGCAAACACACACACACACACACGCGCGCCTACTCATCAAAATAATGTAGTCTTCTCATCGCTGTCTTTTGAAAAGAGCTAGAAGCAATAACACCAGAGCAACAGTGCATAGCCTGAGCAGCCTTAGCAGCCAGCTAGCTTGGTTTCTAAACCCAATATTGTATTAAGAGGAAACAGGGCTCTTGGAAGAAATGGCTCTTCGAACATCTTGGACAAGGAAAGTGCAAAGAAGTTTGAGAGACCCTGTGCAAGAAAACAAGGAAATATTCAAAGACTAATAGGTACATGTCAACAGGACAATAAGGGCCAGATTGAAGAGGCTTCCATTTGCCAAATTTGAAATAATTTGAGTTTTTAAAAAATCTACAACTTTTGCAAAAATCTCTCTTAAAAGATAACATATTAACTAGAAATTGTTAATCCATAATGACATTCAAAAATAAAGACAGAAGAAAAACAGATTTTCTACCATTGCAAGTACTTATAATTCTTTACTCCTAAAATTGATAATTAAAGGGAAAACAGTAACAACTTATGTGATCCTTTTTTGAGCAGATAAAATTTATTTTCAGTTGATGTAGGAAGGCTCTTCTTTATAGAAAAATACTGGCTAACAACTATAGATAGAATGATAAAAGTTTTAAAAAGTATGTTTTCAACATCAGGCTAGGATTATTAATAAATGCCAAAACAATTTATTTAAATATTAGTAAAGTAATGTATATTTGTATAATATCAACGTATATATTTTCAATAAAAGAAGATCTAATTGTCACCATATTAACCAAATAATAAACCAAGCATCACTTACAGTGGGAAAAACTAAGGTAACACTGATACTAATGTGATGCAATATGAAGGTCACAACATCAACTATAAAAAATGTGCCAAAAATATGTAACCTGAATAGAACCAAGCCTCTAAGCTTTTTCTGTAAATACAGGGGATAGTGGAAGAAGAGGTAGGTTACATCACTAATACAATCAGAAAAATATAAAATGTGTGCAGTCTACAATAAATGGTCCAGTTTTATTAAAAAGGGCAGACATGAATAAAAAGAGAAAAAAACTTACTACTACATATTAAATGAGATTAAAGATACAAGACATTAAAATGCAATGTACAAGTCTTGATTGGATCCTGGTTTGAAAGCAAACAATTATAAAAGGATGTATTTGGAAAACTGAAAAAATTTGGATAAGGAGTAGTTATTAGTTTATATTAGAGAATGATGGCTGCTTTTTAAAGGTATGATAATGGTATTTTGATGATATAAGAGAATGTCCTTATTTGCAGGAAAAGCCTAATTTAGGGGTAAAGTGTGATGATATAGTCACACAACCATTGCACTTGAGCCTTTGAACAATCTAGATCCATACCAGGCTGGATTACTTCCTCATCTCTGTACACACCATCGTCTTCCCTTTTCACAGTGTCTTCTATGTATATGGATGGCCAGGGTGTCCTCATTCTTCTGGAAGATGCCTGACTATCTTTGAAGACCCTCAGCAAACCCTCTCCTATGAAGTTAGTCCTGCCTTCCTCAGGGAATGCTGATTGCTTTTTCCCATGTGATCCCAAAACATATTGAACATATTTCTGTTGTAGGATTTACTACACTGGGAACTCCTTCAAGATATGAGCTGTGTTTTATTTAACTTATTTACCTTGATAGTCTAGCCCCTTGCAGAGTGCTCAGCACTATGTGCATGGTAAGTGTAAAATGGTGAAATGCATCAAAAAATAAATGAATGACAAAATTGGAGCTTCGGATGTTTGTGTGACTTATCAATAGTAATTATAGCAGATAGTATAGTTAACAGTGAAACTGGCCAGGCACGGTGGCTCGTGCCTGTAATCCCAGCACTTTGGGAGGCCAAGGCAGGCGGATCACGAGGTCAGGAGATCGAGACCATCCTGGCTAACATGGTGAAACCCCATCTCTACTAAAAATACAAAAAATTAGCTGGGCGTGGTGGTGGGCGCCTGTAGTCCCAGCTACTTGGGAGGCTGAGGCAGGAGAATGGTGTGAACCTGGGAGGCAGAGCTCACAGTGAGCCGAGATCGCACCACTGCACTCCAGCCCGGGCAACAGTGAGACGCCATCTCAAAATACGTATCTATAATAATAATAATGAAACTGACCCAATTGTCCCATAGAGCTGATGTCTTTGAATAAACATAGAAATTGGTCGTCCCAGTCTTAAAACTTGAGAAAGTTACTTCTGTTTTTATCTGAGTTCTTTCCTCAGGAAACCAACCATCAGGCCTCCCAGATAGTATCAAGAAGCTGAAACTCACCACATCACTGCATTTAGCCAGAACCTTCACCCATCATGACTAACTGACAACCTGCTTTCTGTTGACCAACTCCTCTTCCTTTCTCCTTCCTAACTCCTGTTTTTCCATGCATGGTTCCACTTCTTCCCTGCTATATAAACTCCTAATTTTAGTCAGTCAGGGAGATTGGTTTGAGACTGATTTCCCATTTCCTTAGCTGCATCACCCAACTAAAGCCTTCTTCCTTGGCCATACTTGTCATCTCCATTGTTGACTTTCTGTGTGGCAAGCAGCAGGACCTAAACCAAATCCCTGGTGTTTCAGTCACAGATTTTGGTTTTCTGACTGGGAATGCATTGCTTCTGGCTCAGCTACAGGGTGCTGGGAGCCTCAGAAGTTTCCTAAGCAGCTGCCTACCCAATTTTGATTGCAGATGTGTTTTAGGCTCTCTGGCCCCACTGCTGCTGGTCCCAACTCTGTTCCTGATTGCCCAGGAAGAACAGCCTTTGAAATCTGACATCTGCATTCATATAGGTGAGCGTTCTTTGTGGGCCCAGACAGCAGTATCTGCTCCTCTCAATTTGGGAATTTTTAAAGGCATTGTCATTTGCAGGTTGAACAAACCCAACTTACTGAGAGGAAAGCATACTGAGTGTTTCAGTTTGGATAATCTTGGGGGCTTGTTTGTTGTGTGTTGTGTGTATGTCTGGTCAAATCAATGTCTTTTGTGGGTACCAGACATCAGGATTAGCACCTCTCAACTTGGGAAATTCCAAGGGAATTTTTGTTTGCAGGTTGATTAAGCCCAGCTACGGAGAGTGGAAGGAAGCCCCCAAGCTGTTTCAGTTTGGACACTTGGGGCTTGTTTGTTGCTGCAGCAGTTGGAGTGTGTTCTCGTGAATGTTTGTGTGTTGATATGGTCACGGGAAATTAGAATTCAATAAACTGTTATTCTTTTGTAATACTGTTTGGCCCCAGATTCAGTGGAATCTGGAGTTTGCTGTTGAATGGGAAAGTTGGATGGAGTTTTATGTACACAGGCTGTTATGCTGTTATTCTAAGCAAGATGAGGCCTGTGTAGTATGTAATGTTCTTCTGTAGTACTGTTTAGCCCTGGGGTGGTTTGGCCTTTAAAAATAAAACCGCCCTGGAAACTGCTTTACCCAAAATTTTCGTTCACAGCCTTCACTGTATTTTACCTATCAAGGCAAACAAAGTATAGCCCTGTGAACATGTTCATAGACTGATGAGTTTGTGTTGCTATCTCATGGCTAGAGTTCCATGGTAAAAGCTATTAGATCTTTATGTGTGTGAATACATAGATATGTTTATGTATATGTACATTTATTATGTTATATGTTGCACTTACCAAATTGGCTTATAAATAAGAGTGCCCATAAATTAAGTCCAAAATAGTTTTCAAGTTCACATGACTTAAGTAAATATTTAATAAACAAGCTGGCTTTAAAATTATTGGTAAAATAAAAGTAGAAATGTCTCCAGAATTGTCAGCATACATTTTTATCTAGGTTTTGTATTTGTTTCTGATAGATATTTTGAGGTGTCAGGGTTTGGCTCAGAAGGTTATAAAACTATAAACCCAGCCAAAACAGAACGGTCTTTGTCTGTGAAAACTTTTTGATAAATAAGACTAATTTAATATTGTTGGTTTAATGAAAACAGCTGAATCTTCTGAGTTATTGGCGCAAATACCTGTACAGTTAACTTTAAGTTTCTTACTTAGGTGAACATTTGATATTCACAGGTTAGAAAGTGGTTAACAAGAAAATGATGCGTAAGTAATATAAACTGCTAAAAATAAATAAAATGTAACTAGGTAGGTAAGTGCTGGGTGAACTTTATATTTCATTTAAAATCTTAAAATCATTTTTGATGCTCACTGGATGTCTGAGTCATTTCCAATTAAGAAAAGGCTATGATATGGGGAAACATGTTTCTAAAAATTTTGGAATGGTTCTCATCTATAAAATGCTAATATCTCATAGGCAGCTCAGGATTTCTTGCATCCTAGGTTTTCACCAAAATTTAAGGTTACTAGGGATAAAAATTCTAGTTAATATCTAATTCTCTATTAAAAATGTGCCAAAGAAGATGTGTTTTTATTGAGAAAAAGAATATTTTCTAATTCAGAAGTTATCTGAAGGTTAACTCCAATTATAAACTTGAAAAGGTTACTTATGAAACAAGGCAGACAGGAACCAGCAAGTAGAGGAGGGAGATGTGAAGAAAGTTATGGATATGAAGATGTATCTTTGGTAATGAAGGCTCTAAAGAAAAGAGAATAATTTTGTATAAGAATGGATCTTGTATGTATTTTTGTCCTAAAGTAAAATGACTGGTTAGTTTTAAAAAATTTAGGGCAAAGCAAAATCCAAGTCATAAACGGTCTGTGTAAGTCAAATGTAGTTTTATTTCCTGCTTCTCTATGTGTCATATTCATGCACATACAGAGAAAATAGAACACTGAAAAAGTTTAAGTAATAAAATATTCTTTACAACCTGATAGAAAATTTGAGAAATTTGACTAATTAACACTGCTCATTGCTAAAGTTCTTAGTCTTGATGAAGATAAAATAAGAAATATTGTAAAGAAATGCATTAGCTGTTTGGCAGTTCTTGTTTAATATAGTTAAGCATGAAGCCAGATTTAGCATGGGGCCAAATTTTACATCCAAGCTTGCTTTTTTTTACACCATACTTGTTCTTCTGCATAGATAGTACTAGCATTAAAGCACTTACTGGTCATGTACCTAAGTGAATTTCTCAATTGCACAAAATATATAGTGGTATTTGAGGACTTAAAGACCTTAAATTGTATATCAGGAACAAAATATCCATCATGTGTTTTTTTAATATTCTGGGTAACACTGTAGCCTCCAAGGTAAACTGAGTAGAGAAAAATTTGTTTTCGTGTTTTTTTTTTGTTTTTGCTTCTAACTTGTATTTATTAGCTGTTTGTTCTTTGGGTTTTACTTATATATACATATATAACCATTGATGATTTTCGTTTCTAATGGAAGGCTTCTATTTGGTTCTATGAATAGTCATTTTTGTTTCTCATGCATTTCCAACAATTCATCATTTGTTCTGTTTATCTAAATTTCCTAAGCTACCTTTGTCAAGCTTTCAGAATTGATAATGACACAAGCCATTTAAAATTTGATTGGTTTTGCTTACCTCTGATGATCTTGAAAGCTATAAGAGCTTGAAGGTTCCTAGTGAAAAATTACATAAAACACTTATATTTAAAAGTTCTGAACAGAAATAGTACATTATATGTTTTGTTATTTGGAAAAGTAGGTGATAGTTAAATGGTGTTTGTTTCCAAGGTAATTCAATTCAATCAATTATTTGAGTTTGTTTCACGTCTTTTCTTGCAGTGAGGAAAAACTGTAATGTGGGTACAAAGTTTTAGTGTTCAGGAAAGATTGGCTTTGACCTTAAAGAAAGCAGAGGCATTGGGATTTCTCTCAAACTATGTTAGCTGTGTTGACCATTATTAAAATTAAGTGGCATTCATTTGGATTAAGTAGTAACAAAAATGTGAGACTTTCTAGTGATTTTTGATCCCAGGCTGTCCCACAGTTGGGCCTTCATGTGTGTACTGGAAAACAAACTATGCACAAGTGTGTTGCACTGGTTTGAAGATTCTAGTGGTGGAAGTTACCTAATCAGTTGTCAGTACTATATCTAGAAACCAATCTTAGAAATATTTTAAAGGATAATACTCTTAAAATAGCTGAAAAGAAATTACTGTGTGCTTACTTTCACTTTGTTCCTGTTTTGCTACATAATATTTAAATGAAAGGAGATTATTTATCCTCATACTGAATTTCCAAGAGTGATATTTACTTTTACCAGTTTTTAAATGGTGAAGAAAAAAGTTAATTGTCATACTTTCATAAGTTTGGCATAGGGCCTATTACATATTTGATGCTTTTGATCACAGTTCTGTCACTAGAATGCTAGCAATTAGATATATGCAAGGAGTAACCTAATCACTTTAAAACAGTGATTTGAAGTGCTGCAGATGGTAACTACTGGACACCAAATCACAGTGTTCTAATTTGTGACATGTTAGAGAAAATGATAGGACTTTCTGTGGTATAAGTGTCCTAATAACTAATCCTTGTGCTGTTAAGTTACAGGGCTTTGACTCCTGGGTCAGAAAAATGCACCTACTCCTGCTATATCTTGAGCATTTATCTTTGTGAAAGTCTCATTTTCAGACCCAGGAGAAGGTGACAATCAAAACCAACTGCTTTTATGAGACACAGGGCCAGAAATTAAAACCACTGAATCCCTCTAGGCCTAGGGACTATCACATAAGAGGTGGGCACAAGATTGTAAGGGCCACTTTTGAGGGATAAAATTAGTTCAAAGTTTTTCTATAAATTAAACATTAATATCAAAAGCACATTGATGCAAGACCATCATCTGGGCTCTTCTGTTGGAATAACAGGATTTTCTTGAAGTGTTGATCTGCTCTCTAACAGAAAATTATAAAAGTTTACAAAAGTTTTATGGAAATCATACCTTATGGTCAAACTGATTAAAACTAGATACATTTGTTTATAAGGTTTTATTAACACTAGCTTGTAACATTAATCATACACCATACCAATGTAAAATTTGATTTTCTCTTTTGAACAAAATATTTGTGTAATATTAATAAGAGATAAAAGATTTTTGTTTAGCTTTTGAGTAAACTGCAGGGGAAAAAAGAAGGGCAGAGAGACATTTAGTTGGCCTCATGCTGCCTCTGTTAGGTCTTATTGTTTGGAAAACTGAGTCTGCTCTCTATCAAAAGATAAAACTTTTAGTTTTATCATTTTGACTTGGCATGTTAGAATTATGCAGGAAGCATTGTCAAATCTGAGGTGGAGTTTAACTTCCTTTGGGTTATCTTTATATAGATGTGATGTTAATATGCATTCCAGAATTGCATGAATTCCTAAAATTCTGATATGTCTTAATATATGTTGTCAGTAATAATTATGATTATTATGTTAAATTGTTGTATGGCACAGAGATAACCAATTTGCCTTGTCAACTGTGTCTTTATGGCTGTCTTAAGATGTTTGTTATCTGCAATTTTCATCGTTGTTTTGCTTTGATTCTTCTCAAAACATGACTTACAATCAGCTACAGTCCAGGGCTTGCTTCTTTGTTGAAGTCCATGCAAATGACTCTTGAACATAGGTTTCCGACAACTTTGGAAATTGTGCCATTGAATCAGAGAGAAAACTTCCAGGACATTAATTGAAAGGCTAGTATGTTCATAAAGATTGTTAACCCAATACGAAGCAGACCAGGAGCTGATTGCATGGACTGAACTAATAGAGGAGTAAAATAATTTTATGGCTTTTTAAAAATTTGAAACATTGCTGCCTTTAATAATTGAGTAGAGTATAGGTTTGCAAACAGAATTTGAGGCACATTTCTCTCTATGCCTAATTTCGCCAGAATTTATAAACTACTTGTGAATATTTTTAATTCATGGCAATGTGTTTCTTTGCGTAAGTTCAATAAGAATCTGTTTTCTTGCATAATGGGACGCAGTTGGAGGAACTAGTTATTTTCCCAGGGCTTTGACTCAAATGACCTTCTGAGAGGTTCCAGCAAAGACAATTTCAGAGAACCTACATGGACAATGATTCTTGCTCCACTTTGTGTGGGTAATCAGGCCAAGTGTATGGGATTGAAGCTTACTTTGTAGGCAGGTTGCGTCCTGCTATGGTTTGTCTTTAGCGAACTTGGGGGACTGGAGAGAGAAAGACTGTACTTCAGAAGAAAACTATAGTATTAGATTAACTTTTGATTCCTGGGTGGCCACGTGGTCACCCATGATATGGAGCTGCCCGTAACACCCCTCATCAGCATGAAGCAGCCAGAAATATTGATACCAGATTCTGCATGATTGAGGAATTTATAAATAGAAAAGCAGGGACTGAAACTGATCCAATTGTCCCATAGAGCTGATGTTTATGGTTTCTTTGAATAAACATAGAAATTGATCCTCCCAGTCTTAAAACTTGAGAAAGTTACATTTATCTTATCTGACTTCCTGTCTCAGGAACAAACTATCAGGCCTCCCAGATAGTATAATGGAGCCGAAACTCACCATATCACTGCATTTGGACAATGAAACACCAGACCCCTCACCCACTAAGACTGGGTAACTGGCCACTTGCTTCCTGTTAACCAACTCCTCTTCCTTACCCCTCCCTAATTTCTATTTTCCCACATGTGGTTACATTTCTTCCCTGCTATATAAGCCCCTAATTTTAGTCAGTCAGGAAGATGGATATGAGACTGATCTCCTGTATTTTTGGTTGTAGCACATAATCAAAGCCTTCTTCCTTGGCAATACTGAAAAAAAAAAAAGATTAGCTTTCTGTGTGGTGAGCAGCAGCATCTGACTGAACCCCTGTCGTTTTGGTAGCAATAGTAGAAAGTCAAACTCCAGGCTTCTGTCTACTGTGGCTGATACAATGTAGTTTTGAACATATGCTCACATCTTCCTAGGCACAAGCAGGTATACATTTCCCAGCCTCACTGTAGCTATGCTGGGCTTATGTCATTGGACTGAACTGATAAGTCACTTCTAGGCTTAATTACTGAAACTATCTCTTGTGATCCTCAGTTCTTTCTGTTCTTACTGCAGTGATCTTGGAGGGTGTGTTTCAAAGGGAAAAATAGTTTCAAGACAGAATAGGGTACCCTACATAAGACCGACTTGAATAACAAACCTTGTTAAGCCAGTGACACTTGGAAATTGGTTTGTCACTGTAGCGTTACATGTTATATCCTGATTAATAACCATCTCATTTTCCTTTTAGTGCAGCAATTAGGAGACACTATCAAACACCACCTGCCAAAATGAGGAAATGCACCCAACTTCCCGTGTGGACACTTGCAGGATGGGTGAATTGGGAAAAGAGGAACTGGTACAGACAAGATGGTGGGGCTCCATTGCAACTGGACAGAGAGGTATAGGAAGGCTGGAGAGTGCTGAAGACAAAAGATCATGGGAACCAGAGGTCTTAGAACATTTAGCCAACCTTCCCTTTTTATCGCTGTAGTAAATTGAATATTTTTGTGTGATAAGCGTAGGCAGTTTTAGGCATGGCACATAGGATCAGGGTGCTGTGAGAAAGTTTCTTTCTTTCTTTCCTGGGGACTTTTTAGATCACAGTGTCCAGTATTTGCCAGACAACTCAGAGACTCCTCACTACTCACCATGTGTCAAATGTAAGTCCAAGAATTGAGCTAACCCAAAGTGGAGAATTTATAGGATAAAAAGGAATTAAAAGTCAACTCAGATAACTTAGAAAAGGAAATGTAGTTACCCTTTATAATACAGAAAATTTTAAAAATTATTTGTAAAGGACAAGAACATACAAATATAGCTAGAATTAATGCCCACTATCTGTCCATGTAGTACATATTTAGCATTTAGAAATTAGTAAAAATTAAGTAAATGGAAGGCAGATGGTGAGAGCCAGGTGGTATCTCTCCATTGGAGTGGGAGGTTACAGATCAACAAGCAGAGAGGCCTGGAGTGACCCATGTGGTAATGGGTTAGAGTCAAAGACATCAGTATGAACCTATGCTCTGCTTAACTCAGACATAGATGGGTAACGCTAGACATATGTAGGCACATGTGTGTATACAGAAATTGGTATACACACATTCATTTCCTTGCTCTGTCAGCTGAGAGTGCCTAGAAGCACTGAAACGCTGGTAGCAGTGAGCACAGCTAGTGTTCAGACCTTGGTTTCTAATACCATTCTGAAATAGGGACTCAGACTTTTCCAACAGATACAACTTTTATTTCTTTTTTCTTTTCTTTAGTTTTATTAAATAAGAGTGGTAAGAGAGGACATCTTTGTCTCATTCACAATCAGAGGGGCAAAGCTTCCATTTTCTTACCCATAAGTACCAGGTTAAGATTAGATTTGTGTAGATATTCTTAATCAAGTTGATGAAGTTCCTCCTCAACTTGTTCTGATCCTAGCTTGCTGGGAGTTTTCATCAAGAAGAGGTATTGGGTTGTGTCAAATATTTTTTCTGCATCAATTGATCTGATCATATGATTTTTCATATTTACTCTATTGGGGTGGTGGATTACAATGCTTGATTTTCAAAAGCCAGTGCAGCCCTGCATACTTGGAATAAACCTCATTTATTTGTGGTACATATTTATTTTTATACTTTATTGATTCTGTTTGCTAATATTTTGTTGTGGGTTTTTGCATATATGTTCAAGAGAGATATTAGTCTGTAGTTTTCTTTTCCTGTAATATCTTACCTGGTTTTGATATTAGGGTAATGCTGGCCTAGCTAGGAACTATTCTTTTTTGCTTATATTTTCTGGAAGATGTTAGATAAAGTTTGAATTAATTGTTTCTTAAATATTTGATAGAATTCAGCAGTGAGATCATATGCAATTAGTTCATTTTTGGGGGGAAGGTTTTAAGTTATTGATTAAATTTTTAATAGATACAGGCCTTTTCAGATTATTTATTTCTCTCAGTGTTTTTGTTTTAAGTAATTGATACATTTTATCTAATTTATCAGATTTGTGGGTGTAGTTCTTCTTTATCTTTCTTTTATTATCCTTTCACCTTTCATGGAATCAGTACTGATGATCTCTCATTCATCTCTAATACTGGTAATTGGTTTTCTCCTCATTTTTCTCAGTAAGCCTGGTTATTGGTTAATCAATTTTATTGATCTTTTCAAATAACCAACTTTGTTTCATTGATTTTCTGTATTGTTTTCATGTTTTCAATTTCATTTATTTCTGCTTTGATTTTTTTCTTCTTGCTATATGCTTAAATTTCTCTTATTTCTCTACTTTTCTAAAAAGGAAGGCTTAATGACTGATTTTCAATCTTTACTCTTTTATAATATATGCATTTAATGCCATATTTTTCATCTAAGCACTGCTTTTGCTACATCCTGCAAATTTTGGTAAGTTGTATTTTCATTTTAACTTAATTCAAAATATTGTATTTTTAAAATTTATCTTGAGACTTGTTTTATCCATGTGCTAAATTATAAATTCAAAGTATTTAGGGGTGTTCTTGCTATCTTTCTGTTACTGATTTCTAGCTTAATTCCTGTAATCAGAGAAGGTGTATTGTATTCCATTCTCTTAAATTTCTTAAAATGTACTTTAGGGCCCAGAATATGAGCATGAGAAGAATACGTATTCTGATGCTGTTGGATGGATTTTTTGTGAATGTTCTTAGATCAGGTTGATTGATACTGCTTTTTAGGTCAACCATTTTCATACTAATTTTTTTGACCATTTATCTATTACTAAAAGTGGGAGATTGAAGTCTCTAACTGTAATAGTAATTTTGCCTACTTTATCTTGTAGTTCTGTAAGTTTGGGCTTGCATATTTGATATACCTTGCAAGAGAGTACATCCAGTTGTTAGGTATGTCCTCATTAAATTGTGTTTTGTCTTCTTGGAGAAGAGACTACATTATCATAAAGTAATGCTGCTCTTTATGCCTAAATTCCCTCATTCTGAAGTCTATTTTGTCTGAAATTAAAATAGCTACTCCAGCTATTTTGATTAGTCTTAGCATGGTATATATTTACCATCCCTTTATTTTACACTACCTGAATCATTATATTTAATATGGGTTTTTGTAGACAACATATAGTTAATGTTTTTAAATCTATTCTAAATGATTATTGGTAGAAATGGATTAATATATGTCATATTTATAACTTTATTCTGTGCATTGCATTTGGGTTTTTGTTTGTTTCTTTCCTCTTTCCTTGCTTTCTCTGCTTTTTATTTCAATACTTTATATAATTTTATTTTACCTCATTACTTAGCATATCAATTATACAATTATACTTTAAAAATTTAGTAGTTGCTCCAGAGATTTAAGTAACCTACATTCTTCAAATAACACAGTGCAACTTCCCATGTACAGTTGTAACATTACAACAGACTATTTCCTACTCTTCTTCTTCATCCTTATATTGCAATTATTTTCATCTATATATATGTTGTAAATACCCAGTACATTGTTACTGTGATTACTTTAGCAGTTATATTTTAGATTAGTAAAAAATAATAAGAAAAAAATAAAGATTTTATTTTTATTTCTCCTCCAATGCTATACATTTTAATATGCAGATCTGAGTTTCTTACCTATATTACTTTCCTTCTCCTTAAAGAACTTCTTTGAACATTTCTTGTAAGGTAGATTTACTGGCAATAAATTCCATCAATTTTTGTCTGGAAAAAGTCCTTATTTTCCCTTCATATTTAAATGATTTTTCTTCTCAATATAGAATTTTAGGCTGGGAAGTTATTTTTTCAGTAACTTAAATGTTTTCCTTCACTTTGTTCTCACTTTCATAGTTTCTGACAAGAAGTCCATGATAATTTTTATTTTTGTCTCTTACAGATAAGTTGTTATTTTCCTCCCCTTGCTTCTTTAAATAATTTGTCTGTGTCTTTGTTTTTCTGCACTTTGAATCCCTTGGTGTAGCTTTTCTATAGAATTTATCCTGCTTGGTATTTATCCGATCTTCCCGTATATGTAGTTTGATGTCTGTCATTAGTATTTGGAAACTTATTGACCCTTCTTTCTTCAAATATTTCTTCTGCTTCATTGTCTCTTTTCGTATTTCTATTAATTCAATTACATGTATGCCACACAGAGATGTCAAAGTCCTTCAGCTTCCTTGAGTTTGACTCCTTTTTGATTTTGGGTTTCCCTATGTGTTCCTCCTCACTAAGTCTGCAGCTCTTAGTTCCTACATCTGTAACCCGCTACTACCACACTGAAGCCCAGTTGGTGTGAGTGAACTGAAGCATTCTATACTATTATAGCTAAATGTCAGCCTATTATTGGGCATGTGTCTTTAGGCTGTTCATGTTCAGAAGTGTTTTTCTAGTTGTGTGGTTTATTTCTCCCCCTCTGATGAGACAGGCAGGCTAGAGGGGGTTGGAGTGGGAGCAAAGCTCTTTCCCTAGCTAAGATAGCACTCTGGTAAAGTCATTTCTCCTGGATAGTAGGTCTTTGTTATAAAGAAACTTTGGGTATATTTCACAATGATTATTCTTTCTCTCCTCTCTAGTCGGGTTCCTGGAGATAAAACCCAAGAAAAGTGGGGATATTCCTAATACTGCATGCCCAGGAATCTCTCACTCTCAAGTTAGCTCATGCTCAGCCTTCAGGTATTTGTCAAAATTGCTGTTTAAATGTCCCTACTGGTTTATGGCTGCAGTGGCTTTTCCTCTTGGCTATTGAGCTCTTGGCTGTGACTCTGGGTTTTCCGGTCTCTCAGGATTTTGTAGTCATAGTTTGTCTTGCAACCTTAGTTTTATGATGAGTCCAAGAAAAGTCATTAAGTTTCAGTTTGCTCAGCTTTTTCTTGGTGTAAAAACATAAGTAATAACTTTCAAGGCCTTTCCATGTATGATCTAAAACTGAAAACAACAAAAAAAAATGAGTGTAAAAGCCATTTTGGGAAATGTTAAAATGTACAAAATGCAAATAAAAGCCATCCAGTCACATCACCCAGATTAAGCTATTATACTATTATAAAAATTTTGGCATATTTTTCCAGACTTTTTTACCCTCACATCCTCAAAATTTACTATTATTTTTTCCAAAATAATACATCCTAATTTTAAATAATTAAAATAGTGCAAAAAGTTATAAACAAAAAGGCAATGTCACTTGTAATCCTATCAGCCACACATAATATTAATATTAGGTATTTTAGACATTTTTAGTCATATACATAATAATAGATTGACAAATAAAATGCTCTTCTATAAGTAAAATCATGTTATTATGGACATGAAGGGGACAAATGAAGGCTGCATTGTTTGCAACTTCTTGGTCTCTGCTTTGTCTTGAGAGACTTTTGCATTTACTGTACTAGTATTTGCTTCACTTAAGTGTGCAATGTACCCCATTCCCATGGAAAGACCCTCTGGCTGTGCATCTTACCTCCAAGTCGCCATGTGGTTCTAGGAACTTTGCCCTTTTACCTCATCTAACTACATTGGATTTCTTTATTATTATTATTATTATATTTGAAGCAATATAAGAAAAAAAAGGGCACAACAAGTAAGATTGCTTCTCTGCAGGACACTTGTGAGGAAATGAGGTTTTTTTCCTAGTTTGTCTTGATGGTTGCTTGAAGGGTTGAAGTCAAGTCGGGCTTAGCAGACAAAGTATGGTCACGCCAGAACCTTCTGTTCTTGCCACCAGCCCCAGGTTTTACAGGTGGTTGCTTTAAGCTGTTTTCCATTTTATTTGTTTTATTGTTAATGGTAAATCACTGGTGCCCCTGTGGTACTTTTATCTGATTTTATTAGTTATTAGAAGAGGAAAATTCTCTGAAAATGTTTCAATTCATCATGTTAAACTCAAGTCCAATTTTTCCCCATTATAGTTAGCAGTTTGATTAGTAAAATGTTTTTCAAATTTGTTTGCTCACCATTGGTTTCTGCTCTTAGCTTTTCCATATGTGTTCACTTTTTGCTGACACTGTGGTTGATTTTAATCTTTTTAAATTTATTGAGACTGGTTTTGCGGCCTTAGCTGTGATCTATCTTGAGGAATGCTCTATGTGTACTAGGGAAGAATGTACATTCGCTATTGTTGAGTGGAGTCTGTGTATGTCTGTTAGGCCTAATTGATTTGTAGGGTGTTCAAATCTTGTATTTCTTTACTGAATTTCTGTCCAGTTGTTCTGTCTGTTATTGTAAATGAGATATTAAAATTCACAACTATTATTGTAGAACTATTTTTTTCAATTCTATCCATGCTTGCATCATGTATTTTTGGGCTCCATTATTTGTTACATATATATATATATAATTGCTTTATCTTCTTTCATTAATATATGACCTTCTTTTTCCTTGCAACAATTTTTTATGTAAAAGTCTATTGTGTCCGACGTTAATATATTAATTAACCCCAGCTCTCTTTTGGTTATAATTGTTATGAACTATCTTATTTCCATCCTTTAACTTTCAACTTATTTATGTACTGGGGTCCAAAGTATGTCTTTTTAAAGCAGCATATAGCTAGATCATGTTTCTTTTTTTAATTTTCTGCCAATAACTGTTCTTTGGTTGGAAAGTTTAATATATTTATACTTAAAAATTGCCAATTAGTGATGACTTATTTCTACCATTTTATTACTTATATTCCTTACATCTTGTATCTTTTGTGTTCCTCATTTCCATCATTACTCAAGGGATCCTCTTGCCTCAGTCTCTCAAGTAGCTGGGACTACAGGCATGCACCACCATGCCTGGTTAATTTTTTTTATTCTTTGTAGAGATGAGATTTCGCCCTATTGCCCAGGCTGGTCTCAAACTCCTGGGCTCAAGTGATCTGCCCACCTTGGCCTCCCAAAGTGCTGGAATTACAGGAGTGAGCCACTGTGCCTGGCCTAGTTCACCTTCCTAATCCCCAGTTTCTCCTTCTGTAAAACGTCGGGATTTCAGTATCTCCTTTGAATATTTCTTGAGAGAATCCGTGAAACCACATGTTAAGAGCCAAGCACAGGGCAGGGCCTGGTTTCATGATATCCATTAGTTACTGTTATAATTATTAGTGCAGTTATGAAATTCAACCTCTATTTTCCTTCCTGGAGCATGCCTTTCTCAATTCTGAGATCCCTGATTGTCTCCGTCAGAAAACAAACAAACAAGGAAACAGAACTTGTAGGGAGGTTGATACTAGCAGAGTGTTCTGTGTGGTGCCTGGGGCTGGGGGTGATGCAGTGGAGGTGCACAGTCTGTCTTGTCAGTGTGGGAAGATGAAGCAGACGCCAGCAGGATCCAGCAGCCAAGGCTCCTGCAGCATCAGTGCTAAGCCAGGGGCCTGGTGAAGCATTGCAGCAGGGCGAGGAAGGAGAGAACACTGCACTGCCAGCTTCTGCAAAGTTGATCAGTTGCTTCAAAACTCCTCAGGTTTCTTCATTCTCCTGCGTTTTGTGCCTCAGAGAAGAGGTCTATGGCCAATGAAATTTGAGTATAGTTGTGATTTGTCTGTCTCTGGATGCTTATAAAATGTTTGACGCTCATAATTGCAATGCAAAAATGTAGGCAGATATCACTGTCTTCTGATTTCTCGGCTCTCACTCCCGTACAATCCACTTTTTAAATATTAGCCTGGTGAATCTCTTTCAAATATAAATTTTATTGTTACCTTCATGTTTAGAAACGTGCAATGTCTTTCATGGCCTTTAGAATAGAACTGGGCTCCTCTCCCTGGCCAGGAGGATGGGTGTGGCTTGGCTTCTGATGGCCTCTCTGACCCCCTTTCCTGGATCCCCCTGCAAACCTCCTCTGACTCCAGCAGAGCCAAGTCCTGCCTGGTTGTGCTGCTGGATCATTACCACCTTAGAGACCGGCACTGCTGTTCCCTCTGCTGACATGTTCCACCTCAAGATACTTGGCAGGCCAGATCCAAGCTCCAAGCTCCTCTCCAAAGAGACATTCTCTGCACAGCCTGCTCCACTCCACTCCCACCGTGTCTGCTGCCTCACAATTTTTCATGTTTCTTCCTATCACCAATCACCAGCACTTATATTCTGCCTGTATATACTAAAACTAATGAACTAAAAGTTTTTTGATATCCGTTGTAATTGGTCACAACTTTTCACTCTCACTGGTTATGTGTATTTGTACTGGATGCCAAGCATTTACATTACTCTAGCTTACCAGTAACTGTGGCTATCTTGTTCTTTTACACGCTTGTGGTCTGTCTCTCCCCACTGCCCATGAGCTGCCTGGGAGCAGGAAACAGCCTGGCAGCATGTCAGAGACTGCTGGGCATGAACAGCACGGGCCCTCACTAGAGATGTCCCTGGAAAAATGAATGACTTCTTCCAGGAGCAGTGTGCCAAGCCCTGCATCTGTAGACTCTCAGAGCTTTTTAAAAAATTAGGAAACACATTTTCTTCCATTATGTCCCCAATTGTTGCTTCTGTTATTCCTAACCCTACATTTCTTAGGTTGAATCTCCCTTTTCAGTTCTCAATTTTTAGCATCTTTTTCTTGCATTATTTTTATCTTCACTATTTTGATTTTTCATATACTCAACTGTGTATTCTTCTGCCTCTAATGCATCTTTTAATTCTGTTATTTAATGTTGAGTGTCCTCAACTTCTTCCACTATCTGTTTCCTTTCCAACTCAGCTTGTCCCTGGACACTTACCTTTTTGTTACATTTTTAAACAAGTTGTGCACTTGCATCCTGTTGAAGACACCAAATGATAATGTCTAAATTTCAATTTATTGAAGAAAATCATTTCTTCCTTGTACTTCAACTAAAGCTTTGGGTTAATTTCATTTATTTATTACGTGGGATTTTTTTTAAAGCTTTGTAAATTTTTTTTTTCTTCACCTTTTACCTAAGGGAAGACCTACTCAGCCTCAATGGGCAGTGCTCTCCACCCAGGTGTTGTTAGTGCCCTCTTTATCAGAGCTGGAGGAGAAGGGAGCCCGAGGCGTGCAACTGTGTCCAGAATTGGTGGGTTCTTGGTCTCACTGACTTCAAGAATGAAGCCATGGACCCTTGCGGGGAGTGTTACAGTTCTTAAAGATGGTGTGTCTGGAGTTTGTTGCTTCTGATGTTCAGACGTGTTCAGAGTTTCTTCCTTCTGGTGGGTTCGTGGTCTCACTGGCCTCAGGAGTGAAGCTGCAGACCTTCGGGGTGAATGTTACAGTTCACAAAGATGGGGCATCTGGAGTTGTTCCTCCCTCCCGGAGTGAAGCTGCAGACCTTTGCAGGTAGTGTTACAGCTCATTAATGCAGCACAGACCCAAAGAGGGAGCAGCAGCACGATTTACTGCTAAGAGAGAAAACACAAACCTTCCACAGAGTGGAAGGTGACACAAGCAGGTTGCTGCTGCTGGCCCGGGTGGCCTGCTTTTATTCCCTTATTCGGCCCCGCCCACATCCTGCTGATTGGTCCATTTTGCAGAGCATTGATTGGTCCATTTTACAGAGCGGTGATTGGTCCGTTTTGACAGAGTGCTGATTGGTGCCTTTACAAATCTTTAGCTAGAGGGAAAAGTTCTCCGAGTCCCCACCTGTCCCAGAAGCCCAGCCGGCTACACCTCTCAATGGCACTCGCGGGGGACTTGGCGGCACCTAGCCTGGGCACTCAGGCAGCCCAGAGGGAGCTCATCCCCGGATCAAGCCCAGCAGGCGCGGCCGGCTGCGCCTAGTGCAGGCCCGCGGAGCCCGCGCCCACCCGGAACTGCGCAGGCCCGCGAGCGCCAGGCGCAGCACCGGCTCCAGCCGGCACCTCTCCCTCCACACCTCCCCGCTAGCAGAGGGAGCCAACTCCGGCCTCGGCCAGCCCCAGAGAGGGGTCCCCACAGCGCAGCGGCGGGCTGAAGGGCTCCTCAAGCACGGCCAGGGCGGACGCCTAGGCCGAGGAGGCGCCAAGAGCGATCGAGGGCTGCTAGCACGTTGTCACCGCTCACAACTACTGGAAAACATTCAGGTAGGACCTTACTTCTGAATGTAAGTGGACTCTCTGCCTTACTCCATGGCCTGACTCTAAGCTGGTGAAAAGTATAAAACCTTTGAACACTCAGTGTGCATCGCCCCAGAATGCATCTAAAGGCCTCATCCTCCAGGTATGCAAGCTGTACCTCCTAGGATGCAGTGCCCTGAACCCCACCCCTACCTGCTGTCTGCAGTCCATATCTGGAGTTTCTAATCAATTTTCATGGACAGGGGTGATGGGGGGGATACAAAGATCAGTTCTCAGTGTTTTAGGTTCCACATGGTTCTTTCTTTTATGTGTTTATTCATTCATCTTCATTGAAGTATAATTGACAAATAAAAATTGTGTATATTTAACGTGTACAATATGATGTTTTGATGTACATTGTGAAGTGATCACAATCAAGCTAATTAACATATCCATCACCTTATAGGAGATAGTTGTTATTTTCTTTTTGCATATGTGTGGTGAGAACATTAATGTAAGACCTACACTCCTGGCAAATGTTGAGCAGACAACACATTATTATTAACTATAGTTACCATGCTGGAACTTAGCTCTCCACAACTTATTCATCTTACATTACTGAAACTTTGTACCCTTTTTCCATCTTCCTATCTTTCCCTCCCACAGTCCCTGGTAACCACTGTTCTACTGTTTGCTTCTATGAATTTGACATTTTTAGAACCTATGTTTGAGATCCTGCAGTATTTGTCTTTCTGTGCCTGGCTTATTTCATTAAGCATAATGTTCTCTAGGTTCACCCATGTTGTTAAAAATGGTAGGATTTCCTTCTTTTTGTGACTGAATAGTATTCTGTTGTATATTATATCACATTTTCTTTATCCATTCATCCACCAATGGACATTTGAATTGTTTCTGTATCCTGGCTACTGTGAATAATATTTCAGTGAATATGAGTGCAGATATTTCTTCAAGACACTGATTTTGTTTGCATTTGATATATACTCAGAAGAGGGATTGCTAGATCATACGGGAGTTCTATTTTTAATTTTTTGAGGAACCTCCATACTGTTTTTCATAATGACTGTACCAGTTACATTCCACCAACAGTGTACAAAGGTTCCTTTTTCTCTACATACTAAACAACACTTGTAATCTTTGGACTTTTTGATAATAGCCATTTTAACAGGAGTGAGCTGATATCTCCTTGGTGTTTTGATTTACATTTTCCTGATGATAATCAGTGATGTTGAGCACCTTTTCATCTACCTGTTGGCCATTTGAAGGTTTTCTTTTGAGAACTGTCTATTCAAGACCTTTGTCTATTTTTAAAATTGGAATATTTATTTATTTATTTATTTATTGCTATTGTGTTGTATGAGTTCCTTATATATTTTGGATACTAATACCATAGAGTTTGCATATCTGTAAGTTGCCTCTTCACTCAGTTGATTGTTTTCTTTGCTATCTAGAAACTTTTTAGTTTGATGCAATTCCACTTGTCTATTTTTGCTTTCTTTGCCTGTCCTCTTGGGATTGTATTAAAAAACGTCCAGACTAGTTCTTACTTTTTTTTCTTTAACTTTTTTTATTTTTATTTTTTGTGGGTACAAAGTAAGTATATGTATTTGTGGGGTACATGAGATATTTTGGTACAGGCATACAATGCATAATAATTACATTATGGAAAATTGGGTATCCCTTTCCTCAAGCATTTATCCTTTGTGTTATAAATAGTACAACTATATTAGTTTAGACATTTTTAAACGAACAAATTATTATTCACTATAGTCCCTCTGTTATGCTATCAAATACTAGGTCTTCTTCATTCTTTCTAATAGTTTTTGTAACCATTAATCTTCACCTTCCCTCTTCCCCCCACAAGCCTTCCCAGCCTCTGGTAACCATCCTTCTATTCTGTATTTCCATGAGTTCAATTGTTTTGATTTTTAGATCCCACAAATAAGTGAGAGCATGTGATGTTTGTCTTTCTGTTCCTGACTTATTTCACTTACCATAATGACCTCCAGTTCCATCCATGTTGTTGCAAATGACAAGATCTCATTATTTTTTATGGCTGACTAGTACTCCATTGTGTATAAGTACCACATTTTCTTTATCCTTTCATTGGTTGATGGACACCTAGGTTATTTCTAAATCTTTGCTATTGTGAACAGAGCTGCCACAAACACGAGGGAGCAGATATCTCTTCGATATACTGATTTTCTTTCTTTCTGGTATATACCCAGCAGTGGGATTACTCTATTTTTAGTTTTTTGAATTTTTTAGGAAACTCCAATCTGTTTTTCTTTGTGGGTGTACTAATTTACATTCCCACCAACAGTGTATGAGGGTTCCCTTTTCTTCACTTTCTCACCAACATTTCTTACTGCTTGACTTTTGAGTAAAAGCTATTTTACCTTGGGTGAGATGATATCTCATTGTAGTTTTGATTTGCATTTCTCTGATAATCAACGATGTTGAGAACCTTTTCGTATACCTGTTTGCCATTTGTATGTCTTCTTTTGAGAAATGTATATTCAAATATTTTGCTCATTTAAAAAATCAGCTTCTTAGATTTTTTTTTCCTATAGGGCTGTTTGAGCTCCTTATATATTCTGGTCATTAATCCCTTGTCATATGGGTGGTTTGCAAATATTTTTCCTCATTCTGTGGTTATCTCTTCACTTTGTTGATTGTTTCCTTTGCTGTGCAGAGGCTTTTTAACTTGATGTGATCTTATTAGTCCATTTTTGCTTTGGTTGTCTGTGCTTGTGGGGTATGACTCAAGAGATTTTTGCCCAGACCAATGTCCTAAAGAGTTTCCAATATTGTCTTGTAAGAGTCTTACAGTTTGAGCTATTAAATTTAAGTCTTTAATCCATTTTGATTTTACTTTTGTAAAAAGTGAGAGATAGGAATTAAGTTTCATTCTTCTGCATATGGATAACCAAATTTCCCAACACCATTTATTAAAGAGAATGTCTTTTCACCAATCAGTGTTCTTGGCACCTTTGTCAAAAATGAGTTCACTGTAGGTGAATGGATTTGTTTCTGGGTTCTGTATTCTGTTCCATTCGTCTATGTGTCTGTTTTTAATGAGTGTCCCTATTAGGCTGTTTTGGTTACTATAGCTCTGTAGTATAATTTGAAGTCAGGCAATGCAATGTCTCCAGTTTTGTTCTTTTTGCTTAGGATAGCTTTGGATATTCTGGGTCTTTTGTGATTTCATATAAATTTTTAGATTTTTTTTATATTTCTGTGAAGAATGGCATTGGGATTTTTAAAGGATTTGCAATGAATCTGCAGATTTTGGGGGTAATATGGACATTTTAACAATATTGATTTTTCCAATCTGTGAACATGGAATAACTTTCCATTTTTGGAGTCCTCTAATTTATTTCACTATTGTTGTGTAGTTTTCACTATAAAGATCTTTCACTTATTTAGTTGATTCTTAGGGATTTAATTGCATGTGTGGCTATTTTAAAGGGGATTTCATTTTTAAAATTTCTTTTTCAGATTGTTCACTGTTGTCATATAGAAATGCTAACAATTTTTATGTTAGTTTTGTATCCTGCAACTTGGGCTGAATTTATTTATCAGTTCTAATAGTTTTCTCATGGAGTCTTTAGGTTTTTCCATATACAAGATCATATTATCTGCAAACAGGATAATTTGACTTCCTTTCCAATTTGGATGCCCTTATTTCTTTTTCTTGTCTGATTGCTCTAGTGAAAACTTTTAGTACTACATTGAAGGACAGTCATGAAAGTGGGCATCCTTGTTGTGTCTCAAATCTAAGAGAAATGGCTTTTAGTTTTTCCCCATTTAATACTATACTATCTGTGGGTCTGTCATATATGATTTTTATTATGTTCAGGTATGTTCTTTTATACTCATTTTTTGAGGGTTTTTTTTATCATGAAAGAATGTTGAACTTTATCAAATGCTTTTTCAGCATCAATTGAAATGATCATAAGGTTTTTGTCCTTCATTCTGCTGATACTATGTATCCCATTGATTGATTGCATATGTTGAACCATCCATGCATTCCTGGGATAAATCCTGCTTGGTCATGATGTATGATCTTTTAAATGTATTGTTGAATTCAGTTTGCTGGTATTGTTGAGAATTTTTGCATCAATATTCTTCACAGATACTGGGCTGTAGTTTTCTTCTTTTGATGTGTCTTTTTCTGATATTGCTATCAGGATAATACTGGCCTTGTAGAATAATTTTGGAAGTATTCTCTCTTCTGTTTTTTGGAACAGTTTCATTAGGATTGGTATTAGTTTATTTTTAAATGTTTAATATAATTCAGCAATAAAGCTACTGGCTCTTGGGCTTTTTATTACTAGGAGTTTTTTTATTATTATTATGGCTATCTGGCTATCATCTTGTTACTTATTATGGGTCTGTTAAGGTTTTGGGTTTCCTTATGTTTCAATCTTGGTAGGTTGTATGTATCAAGGAAATCAAGGAATTTATTCATTTCTTCTAGATTCCCAATTTATTGGCATATGATTGCTTCTATTAGCCACTAATGGTCATTTGGATTTCTGAGGTATGAGTTATAATATCTCCTTTGTCATCTCTGATTTCATTTATTCTAGTTTTCTCCTTTTCCTAGTGTAACTAAAGGTCTGTCAATTTCATTTATCTTTTAAATAAAACCAACTATTTCTTTTGTTGATCTTTTGTATTTTCTTCACTTCAAATTCTTTGTTTCTCCTTGATCTTTATTATTTCTTTTCATGTACTAATTTTGGGTTAATTTTCTCTAGCTTTTCCAGTTCTTTAAGATGCATCGCTAGGTTATTTATTTGAAGTTTTTCTTCATTTTTGAAGTAAGCGCTTATAGCTATAAATTTTCCTCTTAGTACTGTTTTTGCTGCATCCCCTAGATTTTGGTATTCTGTGTTTTCATTATCATTTGTTTCAAGAGATTTTTCAGTTTCCTTCTTAATTTCTCTATGTCACCACTGGTAATTCAGGAGAATATTGTTTAATTTCCACGCATTTGTGTAGTTTCCAAAATTCCTCTTGTATTGATTTGTAGTTTTATTTCATTGTGGTCAGAGAAGACACTTGATATTATTTCAAATTTTGAATGTTTAAAGACTTGTTTTGTGACCTAACATATGGGCTATCCTTAGCATAAGAATGATCCATATGCTGAGGAGAAAAGTGAGTATTCTACAGCTTTTGGATGAAATGTTCTGTAAATATGTATTAGGTTCATTTGTTCTATAGTGAAGATTAAGTCTGATGTTTCTTTTTTGATTTTCTGTCTGGGAGATCTATCCAATGCTGAAAGTGGGGTGTTGAGGTCTCCAGCTATTACTACATCGGAGCCTATCTCTCTTTTTAGCTCTAATAATATTTGCTTTTATATCTGGATGCTTCAATGTTACGTAAATAAATATATATGTTGTGTAAATAAATAAATATATATGTATTTACAATTGTTATATCTTCTTGCTGAATTGACCTCTTTAACATTGTATAATTACCTTCTTTATCTCTTCTTATGGTTTTTGTCTTGATATCCATTTTGTCTGATGTAAGAATAGCTACTCCTCTCTTTTGGTTTCCATTGGCATGGAATATCTTTTTCCATCCCTTTGTTTTCAGTCTGTTTGTATCTTTGTAGGTGAAGTGTGTTTCTTGTAGGCAGTAGATCATTTGATCTTTTTAAAAAAATCTATTCAGCCACTCTATGTCTTTTAATTGGAGAATTTAGTTCATATATATTCAATATTATCATTGATGAGTAGGGACTTACTACTGCCACTTTACTTGTTTTCTGTTTTTTGAGTGTGTTTTTTTCTTTTTGTTTCTCTTCTTTTTTTTTGCAGTCTTCTCTTTCTTCTTTCCTTCTTTCCTGTCTTCCTTTGAGTGAAGATGATTTTCTCTAGTGGTATGCTTTTAATTTCCTGCTTTCTAGTTTTGGGTACCCATTGTATGTTTTTCAATTTGAGATTACCATGAGGCTTGCAAATACTATCTTATAACCAATTATTTTAAACCGATGACTATTAGTTTTTACTGTACTGTCTTATAACCCATTGCATACATTATTTTATAACCTTCTATTTTAAAGTGATGACAACTTAATACTGATTGCATAAACAAGCAAACAAGTATGCAAAAAAAAACTAGTAAAAACTTTACACTTTAACTGCATCCCCCTGCTTTTTAACTTGTTGTTGTTTCTCTTTATGTCTTATTGCACTGTATATTTCTTGAAAAGTTGTTGTAGTTATTACTTTTAATTGGTTCACCATTTAGTCTTTTTACTTAAGTCAAGAGAAGCTTAAACACCACAATTACAGTGTTATACTATTCTGTGTTTTTCTGTGTGCTTACTATTACCAGTGAGTTTTGTACAGTCAGATGATTTCTTTGTGCTTATGGACATCTTTTTCTTTCAGACTGAAGAAATTCCTCTAGCATTTCTTGTAGGGCAGGTCTTGTGTTGATAAAACCCCTCAGCTTTTGTTTGTCTGGGAAGGTCTTTATTTCTCCTTCATGCTTAAAAGCTATTTTTACCAGATATAATATTCTAGGGTAAAAGTTTTTTTTTCTTCCTTCAGCACTATAAATATGTTGTGGCTCTGAAAAGTCTGCTGTCAGATGTATTGGAGCTCCATTTTATGTTATTTGTTTCTTTTCTCTTGCTGCTTTTAGGATCCCTTCTTTATCCTTGACCTTTAGGAGTTTGAATTTTTTTATGTTTTTTGGGGGGGGGCGGAGTTTCATTCTGTCACCCAGGCTGGGGTGCAGTGGTGCAATCTTGGCTCACTGCAAGCTCCGCCTCCTGGGTTCACACCATTCTCCTGCCTCATCCTCCCAAGTAGCTGGGACTACAGGCACCTGCCACCACGCTTGGCTAATTTTTTGTATTTTTAGTAGAGACAGGGTTTCACCGTGTTAGGATGGTCTTGATCTCCTGACCTCGTGATCCGCCCACCACGGCCTCCCAAAGTGCTGGGATTACAAGCGTGAGCCCCCACACCTGGCCAGGAGTTTGATTATTAAATGCCTTGAGGTAGCCTTCTTTGGGTTAAATTTGCTTGGTGTTCTATAACTTTGTACTGAAATGTTGATATCATTTTCTAGGTTTGGGAAGTTCTCTGATGTTATCCCTTTTAATAAACTTTCTACCTCTGTTTCTTTGTCTCCTCTTTAAGGCCATTAATGCTTAGATTTGCCATTTTGAGGCTATTTTCTACATCTTGTAGGCATACTTTATTATTTTTTACTCTCTTTTTTTTAGTCTCCTCTGTGTATTTTCAAATAGCCTGTCTTAATGCTTACTCATTCTTTCTTCTGCTTGATCAATTCTGCTATTAAGAGACTCTGACACATTCTTCAGTGTTAGTTGCATTTTTCAATTTCTGTTTCCTTTTAATTATTTCAATTTCCTTGTTAAATTTATCTGACAGAATTCTGAATTCCTTCTCTGTGTTATCTTGAATTTCTTTGAGTTTCCTCGAAATAGCTATTTGGAATTCTCTGTCTGAACAGTAATATATCTTTGTTTTTGCAGGATTGGTGCCTGGTGCCTTACTTAGCTCATTTGGTGAGGCATGTTTTCCTGGATGGTGTTGATGCCTGTAGATGTTCTTCAGTGTCTGGGCATTGAAGAGTTAAGTATTTATTGTAGTCTTTACAGTCTAGGATTGTTTGTGTCTGTCTTTCTTGGGAAGGCATCTTAGGTATTTGAAGGGACTTGGGCCCCAACCCCAATAAAGCTGTGGTTTTTGCAGACTCATAGAGGTACCACTTTGGTGGTCTTGGATAAGGTCTGGAAGAATTATCTGGATTACTAGGCAGATAATCTTACTCTTTTCCCTTACTTTCTCACAAACGTAAAGAGTCTGTCTGTGCTGAGCCACCCTGAACTGGGTATGAAGTGATGCAAGCACCCTTGTGGCCACCAGCACTGGGACTGTGCTGGGTCAGACCTGAAGCCAACACAGATTGGGCCTTGCCCAAGGCCCTTCCCTTTAGGGTGGCAAGGCCCCTCTGTTCAGAGTGCTATCTTGGAGCCAGGGATTAGAGTAAAAAACCTTAGCAATGTACCTGATGTTCTATTCTAATGCAGCTAAGCTGGCACTCAAACCACAATACAAACTCCTTCCTGCTTTTCCCTCCCTTTTTCTACAGGCAGAGGCACCTCTCCCTGTGGCTGTTGCCACCACTGCTCCTTGAAGGGGTTAAACCAGGCCACTGCTGATGTTTGCTTAAAGCCCAAGAGCTCTTCTGCCAGCTTGTGGTGAATGCTGCCAGGCCTGGGACCCACCTTTCAGGGCAGTGGGCTCCCCTCTGGACCAGAGCAGGTCCAGAAATCCTTTCCCAGAGCCTAAGCCTGGACTTGGGCACCCCAAGAACCTGCTTGTTTTTCTACCCCACTGTGGCTGAGCTGGTACCTAGGGTGGAAGACAGTCTCTTTTGCTTTTACCTCTGCTTTTCTCAAATAGAAGAAATCTTTCACTGCAGCCACCACAGCTAGGCATGTGCAGAGCCATACCTGTAATCAGCACATTTCAGAGCCCAAGGCTCCTGGTACTCCCTGAGTATTGCTGCTGGTTATTCAGTGCCCAAGGGTTCTTTAGTCGGCAGGTAATGAATCTTATTAGGAGAGGGTCCTTACCTTCAAGGCAGCAGGTTCCCTTTTGGCTCAAGGTGTCTAGAAATGTTATCCGGGAGCTAGGGCCTAGAAAGGAGGCCTCATGACTGTGTCTGGTGCTCTACCCTACTGTAGCTGAGCTGGTATCCAAGATGCATAACAAAGTTCTCTTTATTCTTCTCTCTCCTCTCTTGATTTTTGGTTCTTGTGATGGTGCTTTTCTGTGTGCATATACTTGTTAGAATTCGGTGTTCTAGTGGGGGAACGAACAGTGTAGGACTCTATTCTGCCATCTTACTCTGCCAATCCAGTTTTTACTCTTGAAATATACCTTAAAAGGGAAATTAGAAGAGTTGAGGTCAAGAACACAATTGCCATTTTAAACAGAAGTAACCATAGTGTTGTTTTCTTTTTTTTTTTCCCAAGATTAACTTTTTAAACCTCATGCATGAAATACTCTGGTGTCTTTCACTTTTGGCTGCTCTTCTTTCCCTCACCTCTCATTACTATTTGTTTAAACTTAACTATATTTGTACACTATCCTCTCATGTGCCTCTCCACCCCACTGAAAATGGCACCAGCACACTGCTGTCTGCTGAAATAGGTTTTCCAAGGGGACCCATGGTCCTCTATTTGCTAATATTTGTTACCTGCCTCTTCTTTGTCCTGATCCTGCTCACTCTCATTTCCTGAGCTTCCTGGACCTGGTTCCTTATTTCTTATTAACTTGTCTCTGATCACCCCTTGAGATTTCCCACTGGTGAGCTTCTGCAGTCATGCTCCAAAGCCCCAAGGCTCTCTTGTCCTTCATCTCATGTGGTTGTATGCTTGTACCTTGGTGAGAATGTCCATCCTGTCAACCCCTTTCTGCAAATGACTCTTTTGCACTGATCTCATCTGCAAGCTCCACCCATTTCCAGGTCTTTCCTCCAGATACACAGAGGGCACTTCCCAGCCCCCTGCTGTTAGGTTAGGTGGGACTATGTGACTAGTTCTGTCTAAGTTATGTGAGCAAAGGTTCCATGTTACACTATTAGGCCAAAGTATTTAAAACCCAGTTTTTGTTTGTTTGTTTGTTTTTTGAGATGGAGTCTTGCTTAGCTGCCCAGGCTGGAGTGGAGTGGCACGATCTCAGCTCACTGCAACCACCGTGTCCTGGTAAAAACCAGGTTTTTAAAAACTACATTTTAAAAAACTTTAAAATAGTTTTAGATTTATAAAAAACATGGTGAAGATGGTACAGAGAGTAACCATATACCCCATACCCAGGAACTCCTCTTGCTAACATCTTACATAAATATGGTACTGGTCACAATTAATGAACCACTATTGGCATATTATTATTAACTAAAGTCCATACTTTATTCAGATTTCCTTAAATCTTACCTAATGTATTTTTTCTGTTCCAAGATCTTATCTAGGATCACATTTAGTCACTCTCTCCTTAGGCTCTTCTTGGTTGTGACAGTTTCTCAGAGTTTTCTTTTTTAAAAAACCACTTTATCAAGGTGTGAATGACATGCAAAAAGCTGTACATATTTAATGTATGTGACAGATGAATTTGGAGATAAGTGAATGCACATGGAACCATTAACACAATCTATGCCCTAAACATACCCACCACCTCCCAAAGTTTCCCTCTTTATTTATTTTTATTATTATTATTTAGAGACAGAGTTTCACTCTTGTTGCCCAGGCTGGAGTGCAGTGGCTCAATCTTGGCTCATTGCAACCTCTGCCTCCTGGGTTCAAGTGATGCTCCTGCCTCAGCCTCCCAAGTAGCTGGGATTATAGGTGCGTGCCACCATGCCCGGCTAATTTTGTATTTTTAGTAGAGACGGGGTTTCACCATGTTGATCAGGCTGGTCTCGAACTCCTAACCTCAGATGATCCACCTGCCTTGGCCTCCCGAAGTGCTGGGATTACAGGCATGAGCCACTCTGCCCGGCCTTATCATTGTTATTATTTTGAATGGTGGTTGCCAGGGTTAGAGGGAGAAGGAAATGGCGAGGTGGTAGTGAGACAATGTTGGTGGTGGTCCAACGTTTCAGTCATACAAGATGAACAAGTCCTAGAGATCTGCCGTTCAGCATGGTGCCTGTAGTTTACAATACTATATTGTATATTTACCATTTGCTAAAAGGGTGCTCTTATGTCATGTTCTTGTCACAAAAATGACTACATTTGAATGAGTTTTCTTCATTTTTGAGAATTTACTGGTTAGGTGTTTTATAGAAAGTCCCCATGTTGGGATTTGCCTGATAATTTTCTCATGATTAGCCTGGGGGAATGTGTTTTGGGGAGGTGAAGTGCCATTCTCATCACATCATATCAAGATCACAGACTATCAACATGGCTTATAACTGTGGATTTCAGCAGGGATCACCTGTGTCTGTCAAGAGCCTTCACTGTAAAGTGACTCACCATTTTCATGTTGTCTGGTTTTTAGGGAAGTCACTGTACCCACACCTAGAGAGTGGAGAGTTAGACTTCACCTTTTGGGGGCACAAGGTTCAATGTTGTCCATAGTCTACTTTTCCCTCATGCCATGGGCAAGAAATCAACTTTTTTTGCTCCTGACATGGAGGTTTACTTGTTATTCCAGCACAGCGTGATCAATCCTGATTAATACATCAATTTTTCCATCTGCCTAAATGGTTGTCCCAGTGGTACCTTAAACTTAGCACATCTGAAACCAATTTTGTCAAACTCCCCATCAACTCTTCCAGACTCCCCAAGTTTCCTTTTTTTAAAATTAAATAAATCACTCTTATTCTAAATTTCCAAAATTCAGAAGCTTAATACCTCTTTAGCTTACAGAAAATAGCCCACAGTACATAACATGACTTCATGAATAATACATTTTTCTCATTCGTATTCTGCATTAGTCAGAGTCCTTAGTTCTGGCAAGCAAGAGTAAATGACTGACTATACCCAATCAAGAAGAAAAGGAAGGCTACTGAGTGGCTCCTCACCAAATCAGTGGTAAGGGCAGAGAAGCTGGAGCTTAGGTGGGCTCGGAGGCAATGAAAGGATTTAGGCCACAGCCCAGAATATATGCCCCACTGGGCATCTGAAGTCAGTGCCACTGAACTTGGCAAACCTCATTGATCCTATCTTCCCCAAGCCACAGCCTCTGCTGGCCTCTTCACTCACTGTTGCCATAAGGGATTTCTCAGATATTTCAGGCTTGCTTCATTCCTGTAAAATTCACAGACCCAAATGGTACCTCGGTGGGTCAAGCCTGGGTCACATGCCCACACTTAGTTGCTAGGGGACAGGCTACGGGGATATCTGGCTCTGCCTTCAAACATGAGCCACATATTTGAAAGTCTCCAAATTACAGAAAAAAAGTATATGGATTCTGGGGAGCACAAAAGGCACTTGTCTGCTATAATCCTCATTTGACAGTTGAGATTCTTGAGAAGCAGAGGCTAAATGCCTTGTCCAAGGCCATGTGATTAGTTAATGGCAGGGCCAATTTCAGATCTCAGGAGTCCAGAATTAAAGTCTTTTCATTTTGACCTCTGTGCTAGTCTTTCCTTCCTTATTACCCTCAGTGATAGAGCCCTATTGATGGCTCTTATAACCTGCTGTCTAAGCTAAAGCAATAGACTTCTATCTAGTTCCAAAAGTACCAGTGATTCTGCAGTTACATAGAGAATAGATTCAAACTCCATCTGATCCTATCAAGCTTCTCCACTGTCCTTGCCCCACACTCCACTCCCCTTCTCTCTCACTTCACCCTTTAGACATAGCTAGGAACTTGAACCCTTGTGTTTATAGTAGCATCTCAGGTGGTTCTTATTGAAGACTGAAAACCTAGACCTAGCTAAGTGTCACATCACAGCAATCACTGTTGCTTGAATGTGCCCCCAAGCTTCCATGTCTGTACACATTTTCCATTACTTGTCTGTAATGCGGAGAAAAATATTTCATATCTTTCCCTACCTCTGACTTAAAGTCATATTATCCTCCATAAGTGCATTTTCTAGGCCACCTCCTCCAGGAAGCCTGCTCAGCGCCCAGGTGAACTGCCTCTCTTTTGCTCAGCATTCTCATGTCCCAGCCATACCACAGGCTGTGGTCAATGGTCCTTCTGCCTCCCTTGCTGCATTTTATGCCTATGAGGAGAGAAATCTTATCTTATTCATTGTCTTAGCCTTTCTACATAGTAGTTGCTCAAAATGTTTTTGTTGACTTGAATTGTATTGAAGTAGCTAGGGATGGAACTAGGAATAATAATAATAAAAAAAAGTCACCAAACCACAGTGAAGCACAGTTGCTGTTGTTGATCCCCATGTCTTCTAAGAAGACAAAGAGGAAGTTCAATCGCAAGGCTGCATTTCACTGTGGGTGCAGAGCCATCAGGTTCTCTCCTATTTTATCAGGAAAATGTTCACCCACAAATCCCACTCACGCACACACAAAATCATGAGGCATAAAGAAAAATTCTGGACATGCTGTCGCTCCCAGGTTTGATGAGCTGCTTCACTTATGTGAGTCTGAAAAGATTCTTATTTCAGGTTTACACTTATGTCTCCATTCATTTTGTTCTATAAATAGCCTGTCTCAAAGCCTGCTGACTGTAGTCATGTCCAGCACCCGACGCTCTTCCACCCCTGCTTCCCATAGTGACCAGAGCAGACAAGCAGGACCAACAAGGGGAACGCAGCACAGCAAGCAGCGGGGAAGCTTCTTTTATCCCAAAGGTCCATGAACCTGAGGCCCAGAGACTCTCTCTTACCAAGAAGTGTGAGGCTGGCTGGAGAAACTTAAAGACGAACTCAGACACAGAAAGTTGTTGGGCCCAAGAAACTCCACCCCTGTCCAGAAGTATGTGTAGATGCAGGGGGCACCAGTAAAGGAATCCACCAAGGCTCTCCCTAACCAAGAGATGCCAGTCCCCAGGCCTGGGGGAGTCTCATTTGCCCTCACAGGCAGCAGCAGGGAGCAGTGGGAGCTGCTCCATCAACACCAGGAAAACCGATGAGACCAAAATAACTCTGCCAATTCTCTACCCATTCAACACCATTAGAACTATGGCCCACAAGACCTGTGTGCTAAGCCTAAGCAGATTGTCTGCCTGGCCTGCTAAATTAAGAGACTTAATAGGACCTACAGTCCCTCAGCATAATAGAAAAAGTGTCTAGGATACAATAAAAGATTACCCATCATTCCAGTGTCCAGGAAAATCACCAAATCGAAGGAGAAAAAAGCAATCAATGGATTCAGGTCTTGAGACTCATCAGATGTTGGAATTATTCAACAGGGATTTTGAAGCAGACATGATAAATATGCTTCAATAAGAAATTACAAATCAAAAGACAAGTGAAAATTAGAAAATCTCAGAAAGGAAGTAGAAATTATAAAAAATGAAAATGATAGAGCTGGAAATTATAAAAAGTGAAAAAAGAACTTGCTGGATAGTCTCAATAACAGAGTGCAGGTAACACAGAACATGGTCAGTGAACTTGAAAATAGATTAAAAATATTATATGAGCAGCACAGGGAAAATAGACTGAGAAAATGCACGAACAGCACCTCAGGGGACTATGAGACCATAACAAAAGATCTAAGATTCGTATCATTGATGTTCCTCAAGGAGAGAAGAAAGAAAGTGGAGCTGAAGTGTATTTGGAGGAAAAAAAGGCTGGAAACTTTTCATATTTGACAAAAGACACAAATTTTTCAATTCAGAAAGCTGTTCCAAGTAGGATACAAACAAACATATCCATGCCAAGACACATCATAATTAAACTTTTGAAAACTAAAGATAAATTTTTAAAAATCTCAAAATTATAATCTAATTTTTCCTCCAGAAACTAGAAAAAGATTAAAGTAAACCCAAAACAAGCAGAATAAAGGCAAAAGAAACAAAAGACATAAAGATTGAAAAGAAAGATATAGAATTCTTCCTTTTTGAGGATGATTTGATTGTCTATATAGAAAACCCAAATAATCTAAAAGAAACAATTTAAAAAACCACTCTTAGAATAAGTGAGTTCAGCAAGTCTGCAGTATGTACAAAAAGCACACAAAGTTAATCACATTTATATGTATTAACAAAGAATGTGTGGAAACTGAATTTAAATACCATTTAAAACAATACCATTTAAAATTTCTCTTAAAAAAATGAGATCCTTAGGTATATCCTTAAGAAAACATACAGAATCTATATGCTGAAAATTACAAAATGTTGATAGAAATCAAAGAAGACATAAATGTGGAGACATAATATGTTCATGTTTTATAGACTTAACATATTGAAGATGTCAATTCCCCACAAATTGATCTATAATGTACATGGAATTCTTATTAAAATTCTGGCAAGCTTTTTCATACACCCAGACAAACTTACCTAAAATTTGTATGGAAAGGCATAGCCCCTAGAATAGCTAAAGCAAACTTGATAAAGAAGAATGAAGTGGGAGGAATCACTCTACCCAATATTAAAGTTTACTATACAGCTACAGTCACCAAGATCATAGTGCTGATGGACTTGACACCAAAAGCACAATTCACAAAAGAAAAAGCTGATGAATTATCTCACCTGAAAAATTTAAATTTTCTCAGGTGAAGCCCATGGGAAGAGGGTGAAATGACAAGCTGCAGACTGGGAGATGACATTTGTCCAGCATGCATTCGACAAAGGACTAGTATCTGGAACATATAAAGATCTTTCTTTATAATCCAAAAAAGGAATGGAAAGATCTCATGATCTGGACTTGAGAGACCCAGGTTCAATCCTGGCTCCTATTTCTACCTCTAATTCGTGCAGTCTGTGAGACACAGGTGAGCCTGTTAGCATTTGAGGGCATCAATCTCTGTGCTAATAAGACATGCTCAGCGACACCCCCTCACAGATCTCATTAGAAGGGTTAAATGACATAATGTGACTGCATTCAGAGTAGATATTTAATAAACCTGATTCCTGCATAGCCCTCTTTCTCTGCCTCAGCACATCCAAGCAGGCCTTTAAATGGATGTTTACAATTGTTCTCTGGCCATTCATTCATCCATTGATCTAGTACTTATTGATCTAGGACTGAAGCAGGCATTGTATCCAAAGCGGGGATGCAGCTGTGATCAAGAGATGTATAATTCCTGTCCTTCAGGAGATGGACGTTGAACATCCAGTTCCTCAAATCAATTCAGTTTTAATATGATGGTGGTAAGCGCTGAGCTCACCATCATCCTGGGCGTTCTCTGGGCAATGATCCTATCAGTTATACTACTCATTTACACAATTCAGTGCCTACCCTATACTATGCTGTGGGATGTAATGGAGAAGAAAACATTTCACCATTCGTAACCACCCAGCCATATACCTCCACATTACCTTCTGCCCTTGACCATCCTTTCTCTTCTACATTGTGTAAGTTGAGGCCAACCCAAGGTACCTCCAGGGAGCACACAGGTAGGGCAAGGCCTGATAGTGCTGTGCTGAGGCCCTGGGATGTTGCAGCAGGCCTGGGCCAGACAAAGGGAGTCCAGGGAGATGAAGGGTGGTCACTGTGACCTGTCATGGGCCATCCCAGGCTCCGCACCAAGCAAGCATTTCTGTGAGCTTTATTCACATCTGTTTTTAACCAGGGCAGGACTGTAAATCTGGAATCACGCATGCACACTAGTGTCTCTCATAAAAGGGGAAGGAAACTGTAAAGTACACTGAGAAAGCCAGGCTCGTGCTGGGAAGTCAGATTCAGCTCCTCAACCCTCTGCACATGTCAGATAGCGAATGGCCATTATTAGTGATGTCAGCCTGTTCCAGGGGAATGATTTTTCCCTTCCCTTTCCTCTCTGCCATATTGTGGTCTCCTTCTCTACCACATTCCCATGGTCTCATTTAAGCTCAGTCTCATTCATTTATAGTTTGCTAAGTAACAACAAAAATTAAAATGACACAACATAAGGGTCCCCAGAATGTGAAAGTAAAATAAAAGTAAAAGCACAATAATGAACGTGGAATAATTATTTCCTCACTTAGGAATTAGGTATAATTTATCAAAAAGTCCCGTTAGAGGGACCGCACTTAGAGCACTGCACAAGCTTCCTGGAGCTTCCTGCTGAGCTGAGGCCAAAAGGCCCACCTTGGGCTGGAGTGGGCTCCTGAGAGACCCCCTGCAGGAAGGAGAGCCGGACAATAAAGGTAGGTGGAACAAGACACGGGGCTACCTTCCCCAAGGAAATGCATTTCCCTGAGCCTCGGCATCCTGGTTTGTAAGTGTGAAACTGTCATCTTTCTGGCTGTTGTGAGATTTTACATTTCTAAAAAATTTATTGCTGTGGAGCAGATGACAGCAGCTGTGTCCTGATATTAGCTTGAAAATACCTGCAAATACCTGAGCACCTCAGAGGAAGCCCTGTTAGCAGGCAGGCTCCTGCGGCAAGTGCCTTGCGTTCTGCCCTCCCTCCTCTCCTGCTTTGGCTTCTGGAACTGATGGGCCAGTCACCATAATTAAACACTTTGCTGGGGAGTCTTCTTGGCAATATATTGACATTCAGACACAGTTTCTGGTCTCAAAAATGAAAAGAGGGAGAGGAAAGGTGGGGCAAATCAGTTGGTGATGTCCAGCCAGTGCCTGGGCGCCTCATGCTGCCACAAATGTGCCCTGTTCCTATAACAAATCTGCCATGGGATTTCTATTACCTCCATTCTCCAGATGAGGATGCTGAGGCTCAGTTCCCTGTGGTCATATTGCTATTAAGTATTTTCCTATAATGAATGTTTGCAAAGTATGGATTTATAAAATCACATGTAACACAAAATAAGGTTATAAGATAACTGTACTGGCCATGAGATGCTTTCAATAATGTTGCTGGAAATAAGTACTCCAGTGTCTGAAAGGGAAGCAGCATTGTAGGTGAAGGTGTGCAGAGCTGGCCTCAAGGGAGGTGCACATTCATGTTGCCAGCAGTGTCAGGGCTTGATATAGTGGAGATATAATATGCTGTGGCTGTGCATCTCCCACCTGCCTTCCTTCCATGGGTTCCCTGGAAGCAGAGCCTGAGACATGGCCTTGGACGGACGTGGTATATTTAGGAGGGGATTCCAGGAATCAGGAGTAAGGAAGAAGGGAAAGAGAGGGGCAGAAGGAGGAGGAAGGGAGATGTAAGGATGTGTAACTGAGATAGCTGCTGAGGACTACAGGGATGACTCTACTGCAACGCATAAGAGGTATGCAGAACGCCTTCTGGGACTGCCCCAGCCCCAGGATGCAGGAGGAGGTGGGGCACTCAGCTCTAGCCCCGATTCGCATTACCTGAGTGTTGATTCCAGTGGCAGTAACTCCCTCTGGCAGACCCAGTTGTTCACCCACCAACAGAGCTCCCAAGACTTGGGAAGAGCCTTGACAAGAAAGCAAGAGAGTATGATGCAGGAGGTGGGTTTGATCTTCCATGGAATCGTCCACTGCAGTAAGGTCTGATGCCAGTGGGGGCTGGGGGTGTGTGGCATGGAAACAAGAAGTTCGACCTCATGGGGAAACTGAAAATTGATAAGTCCCTAAATGATGAAGACCAGGCTCCCAAGCACCACCCCTTGCCTCCTGCATCTACCAGAGTCCTTGGTATTTGATAATTGCTGTTGAACAGACTCTAGCAATGTCTCCCAGACTGCCGATTGCCAGGTAAGGGATGGAAAGCAAAATATGCTTCAAGATCCCAAAAGACAGGACTGGGATAAATGAATTGAAGTCACAGGGGAAAATTTTCTCACCAGGAGGTAATGTAAGAAGCAGTGAGTTCCTGTGTGTGCTAGGGAGGGGCTCGAGCTGGACGGTGCCGTGGTCTGGTAGGGATGTGATAGACTAGATTCCTGCACCAAGAAGAAGGGAAAGAGCATTTCTTGAGCCCTTGTGCCTGTAAATACCTATATTCTATGTGAGCCAGAAAAATAAGATCCTATACTGAAAGGCAAATAATGAAGTTAAGAGTGACTGGATTCCCACAGGAACAGCTGGATACACCCTAGTGATAGAAGAGCCGCATGGACTGCAGTTTCCATTTTTGAATTAATTATATGCTCCCTGCTGAGGACTCTGCAACTTTGTCCTACACTGAGAGGGGAGGATGAGGGCGCTGTCATTGCTGCTGCTAGCTGAGGATGACGATGGGAAGGAGCAGGGGAATGAGGGACCCTGCACAGGTACGGGATCTTTGGGAGGCCTCCAGGCTTTGCCTACCTTACTATTCTGCCTCAGTTTCCTCATCTTATGAATTCTGACTCCTTCCATGGTCAGCTTAAATGTCCTGTCCTGATGACAGCCCCCCAAAATTCTCCCAGGGATACCCCACATTCTTCCCCAGTCTCCCTATACTCTTTCTCCCTATACTTTTTTCATGTAGCTCAGATCACAATGCAAAATAGAATTCATTTCCCGTCCCATCATCTCCCTTGGCTGTGGACTTCACAGATAAGGGACTGTCTCCATCTTTTCCTCTTTGTGTTCACAGGACTTGGTATATAGGTTTTGAATAAATGACTGTGTAAGTAAACATCTCATCAAACTTTATGACCACTGAGCAAGGTGAGCAAAATAGACCATCTTATCCAATTATACTCAGAGAGAAAACTCAGATATTGAGGTTGAACTGAGAGCCTGATCCCCTGGCAGCCCTTCTTGAGGGCTCTCTTTGAAATCAAGATCTCCTACTGAGCTGACGCTGTTTGAGGTGGTCAGAACTGTCTGGAGCATGGGAGGCAGACTCTGTCACTGTCGTTGGAGAATTCTGTCCACTTTCTTGCACAAAATCAGCTCAAAGGAGGTGAAGTGAAGGAAGCTACTTTCCCTGATTACAGCCATCCCAGATGCCTGTTAGGTTCAGATGCCCCATTAGGTGGCAGGAGTTAATGGGTCCTCACTGGTGCAACTCATGGCACATGGGTGCACAGACTGCGGCTGCCAGCTGCCTTTCTTCTGGAGAGACAGACCCACCAAGTATCCGTGGAGGCCAGGCCCTAGTAGCAGTGCCAAGGTAGCCTTGAGGGCATCCTGGTGCCTGCTGACAAGCATCTGTTTTTGTATGTGGCTCCTGCCATTGCCCCAGGCCAGCCGGGAGAGGAGCTATCCAGGCTGCGTCAGTATCAAGGGTATTTCTAGGCATGGATTCCTGGATGATCTGGGATGCTTTTTGCTATGGACCACATGGAAACTGCCAGCAATTTGCTTTCAAGTCAGCACACTGTGTCACGGGGCACAGATGTCCAGAAAGCAATTTTGTCACAACTCAAGCAATTTTGTGTAGGAGAGGAGACCTGGTTTCAAATTTACAGTGATCCAGATAAGCCACCACTTAGCTCCTATTACTGACACATTGCTTAACCTTGCTAGGCCCCAGTGTTCTCATCAGTAGTGTGAGGATAACAATGTTCATATCACAGGATTGTCCATAAAACCTGGGAATAATACATCAATGCCTCTCACGTGGTAGATATGAAGAGAATGATAGTTCCTGCTGCTATTTGGATACAGAACATAAACTTTAGTGAGAGTTTAACTAAAGTGTTCTAGTGGCACATAAACATACCAAGAATTACAGTACAGAAGTGATGCTTTGGGATTTCTGCCTCCAGCCAAGATAAAGTAACAGGAGCCAGATTTATCCTCCCATAAGAAACAATAACAAATGGACCAAATATATGATGTAACAGTGTTTGGGCATAAGGCCTTAAGCAAACAAGGACAGAGATCCCTGGCAACTGAAACCCAAATGTGATGAGTCCTATGATTGCTCCAGCTTACTGCCTTGAGGGAGTTGCAAGTATTGGGAGAGAGCAGGAGAACTCAGGCACAGCTTTAAGCTCCCTCCCTGAGTTGAGAAGATAGAGCTGAATTCCAGGGAGACCAAGACAGCTGGAGTTCATCAGCCAGAGTATCAAAGAAGAGCTGCACCCAGAGAGAACCACTCATGCAGATGTTCAGCTTGATTACTCAGCAAGTGATGAACCATATATTTATGGGAGGAAATTAGCCAAGAACAATGAAAGAATCACCCTAAAAGATTAGAGGGCACAGTACCAGCCCTCACATATGGAATAATGCCTGTTTCCACCAGCCAAACTGGAAAACTCATAATTCATGGGGCATTGAGTAGAGCACTGAGAAGGGTGTTGTCTTAGTGTAAAGAATAATTGGGCTGGGTGGGGTAGCTCATGCCTGTAATCCCAGCACTTTGGGAGGCCGAGGCAGGTGGATCACCTGAGATTGGGAGTTCGAGACCAGCCTGACCAACATTGAGAAACCCCATCTCTACTAAAAATACAAAATTAGCTGGCTGTGGTGGCACATGCCTGTAATCCCAGCTACTCGGGAGGCTGAGGCAGGAGAATTGCTTGAACCCGGGAGGTGGAGGTTGCGGTGAGCTGAGATTGTGCCATTGTACTCCAGCCTGGGCAACAGAGCAAAACTCCATCTCAAAACAAACAAACAAAGAATACTTAGCCCTAGACAGAGCACTATCACATTGCTGCCTAACAAATCTTAAAAGCAAACCAGAAGGGAACAAAAATCTCCTCAGGGATACTTATATAAATACAAAAATTACTCAGCACCCCAAAATGTACAATTTACAATATCTGACATCCAATCAAAAATTACACAGTATACAATCAATCAAGAAAATACAAATCCTTAATAAAGACAGAAAATACATTCAAGCAAGCAAAACTACCCTATATTGACACTAGTAATTACCAGACAAGTTTACTAACCTGTAACATGTAACTAAGTTAATATATAAAATAACTATTTCAATGTTAAAAAGATTAAGTAGAGACACAAAAGATATTACAAATATCCAAATTAAACTTCTGGAGTTTAAATTACCAACATTTGAGATAAAAATAGACTAGATGAGATTAACAGCATGAAATATGACAGAAAACAAAAAGATTATTGAAATAGAAGAAATAGTACCAGAAACTGCAACATAAAACATAAAGAAAAAAAAACTGAAGAAATGAAAAAGGTGTCAGTGAGGACAACTTCAATCAGGCTAATAATATACATGCAATTTGGGTCACTGAAGGAGAGAAAATGTATGATGGGAGGAACGAAGGAAGAAAAGTGTTTTAAGGAATAAATGGCTGAAAAGTTTTCAAATTTCATGAAATCGATAAACCCGCAGATCCAAGAATCTCAATAAACCTCAAATACATGAAAAGAAATGAATAAAGCCGCATGAAGTCACATCATAACTAGATTGTTCATAGTCAGTGATGAAAAAAAATTCTTAAAAGCATGCTGAGTAAGAAAATAGGTTTATTTTCTTCTCTTGTGCACAGAAAGGAAAATAAACATGGATTGCTATGGTTTGAATGTGTCCCCTCCAAAGTTCCTGTTGAAAGTTAATCACCATTTCAGTGGTATTCAGAGGTACAGCCTTCTGGGAAGTGATTAAGTGACGATGGCTCCACCCTCATGAATGGATTAGTGCTTTACTAGCATAGACCCTGTTCACTTTCTGCTATGTGAGGCACAGCAGCAAGGTGCCATTTTGAAAGCAAGAGAGAAGCCCTCACCAGACACCAAATGCTGATACCTTGTTCTTGGATTCCCCAGTCTCCAGAACCATGAGAAACAAATTTCTCGTCTTTATAAATTACCCTGTCTCAGGTATTTTGCTATTGTAGCACAAACAAATTAAGGATAACAGCACATTTCTCATTAGAAGCAATGTAATCAAGAAGACAGGGAAGAAATATCTTTAAAGAATTATATACCAGCTGATATGGTTTGGCTCTGTGTCCTCACCCAAATCTCATCTCAAATTTTAATCCCCCTGGTGGTAGGTGATTGGATCATGGGGCAGATTTCTCCCTTGCTGTTCTCATGATAGTGAGCGTTCTCATGAGATCTGATAATGTAAAAGTGTATGTCACCTCCTGCTTCTTTCTCTCTCACCTGCTGCTGCTTTCTCTCTCACCTGCTGCTTCTTTCTCTCTCACCTGCTCCACCATAGTTGAAACATGCTTGCTTCCTCTTTGCCTTTCACCATGATTGTAAGTTTCCTGAGGCCTCCAAGTCATGCTTCCCATTAAGCCTGTGGAACTCTGAGTCAATTAAACCTCTTTTCTTTATAAATTACCCAGTCTCAGGTCATTCTTTATAGCAGTGTGAGAATGGACTAATACACAAGGAAAACTATCTTTCAAAAACTAAAGTGAAATAAATACTTGATGATTCAGATAGAGAGAAAAGCATGCTACATGATCACACAGGTCTACACTGAGCATTAGGAACACGGGAAGTGGTAATTGCATAAGTAAAGGTGTGAGAGTCTTTTCCTGTTATTTAAATCTTATTAAATGATAACTGATCATTTAAAGAAAAATGATAACCATGTATTTTATGGTTGATAACATATGTAAAAGTAAAATACACTACAAAAAGAGCACAAAGTGGGAGAAATGGAAGTATTTATTACAACACAAGAAGTGTTAGGGTATCACTTGAAGGTAGGTTTTGATAAATTAAGATTTATACTCTAATCCCTAAAGCAACCATTAAAGTAACAGAACAAGGAATTACAGCTAATGAGCCAATAAAGAAGACAATATGGAATCATAAAAAAAAGAAACTAAATCCAAAAGAAGGAAGAAAAAAAGAATAGTGGAACAACAAAAACAAATACCAGAAGAAACAAACAAACAAACAAATAGCAAAATTATAGATTTAAAGCCAAGTACAACAACAGTTACATTAAGTGAAAATGGCTAAGGACCCAAATAATAAGGCAGAAGATGCCAGACCAGATTTTTGAAAGCAAGACCCAACTATACGCCACTTGTAAGAATGGCTGACAGAAATAAATGTAAAATAACAGTATGAAAAAAGACATGCTGTGCTGATACCAAACAAAAGAAATCAGTAATGGCTTTATTTCCAGTTCCATATTTAGATCCTTCACTTGTTTCCATGCCAGAGTGCTGTCCTGTTCTTAGGTGCCAGCTTCATGCCTCAAGCCCTCCTAGACCAAGAGACCTACCCAAGAAACTCATCCCAAGACCGGGCCTTTTCCCCCATTCCCCTCACTCTGCCTGCCTACCCTTAGACCTGCCCTTTCCCAAGCCTTGCTGTAAGCACCTCCACCAACTCCTGCAGGTCCACACCAATTTAAAAGACCCCATCCTGCCATGCCAGGACTTGCCTGAAGATCTTGTTCCATACTGTGACCTCCATGTCCCCAGTCTGCTCTTGCCACCATCAACAATTCATAATGGACCCCAATGTCAGGGCTTCATTGGCATTTACCACATGATTGTCCCCACCTTCTGTTATCGGGTAGCCCACCCTCCATAGCTATGTTGGTCCTAGAATCTGCTGATTTGCAGGTTTCCATGGATTACACTCAGTCTCTGACGCTATCCCTGACCCATGTCACTTAGAGTTAATCGCTTGTGTGCATCTCTGAGCCCTGGTTCCTACTGACCTATGCCCAGGCTCATTGTCTCCTTGAGGGCACCAGATGTGCTTCACCATGATCACACACCAAGTAAGTGCTATTACCATCTAATTAACCAAAGAGGTGTAAAAATTCCAGTCCTGACAATAGTGCTCATATTGAACTGTGATAGAAGAAGAGGTAATTTATTAATATTGTAAAAATATTCTTTCCATGGGTGTATTTCTGCCACTGTGGGTTTTTGAGATGTGCACAGGCAAAAGATTGTAAGTCTCTAGGGAGTAAATGTTATCCAAAGAGAAATATTCATATTGAAGGAATCTGCACGAACCTGGCTCCTTATATGGCAGAAAATTAGCATATAAATACAGAATCCCAGTTGTCAACAATTTATCCCTCTGAGTGCCACAGACTGAATGCCACAGGTGAGGACCAGAGATCAGCACGGCAAGTTAGCTAGGCTCAAATCCATTTGGGGGTGAAAGTGTTTGAGAGGTTCCAGCTGGTGGTAGGTGCAGCCAAGACGCTGCCAAGCCCAGGAGTCCTGCCCTGCCCCTTTGTGCTGTCCCAAAGATTTGTTTGAGGACATCTGACGAGGCCATGTTGTGCAGACAGGAAGGTTCTTCCTTCCTGGAACTAGAGTTTTAATGCTGGCAGATACAAATAGAGCAGGTCCTGATTCCTGTGATAAGCCAGGGACCCAAATGAGGCCACAAATCAGTCACCTGGAAGTTTGTTAAATATACAGATCCAAGCAATCAGAATCTTCAGAGATGGGGCCAAGGAGGCCCTTATTTTTCGCAAGTTTCTCACGTAGGTCTCATAACTAGCAGCCTGGCAGAGATTAGGGAGGGAGCCACTGGGCTGAAATGTTATTTAAGTCAAACTCACCTTCTCACTCTGGTCCCCCAGGGTTGGAGATAGTTCTTCCAACAAAGCGTTTGGTCATATTCTTCCCATATGGAGGCCATTAAGGTAAAATATCTGCTCCGTGCCTGAACACAGCAGAAGTGAAGAAGTGGACTCACTCACCATTGTATCAGGGTCACTGTTCTGACATGTGATCTCTAAGAAGTTCCCTTTGGTCCTAGCGACACGGTCTTGAGCTGACAGCACTGGGTAGACACAGCCCATGATTGCTGGTGAAGAGTTTGCTCAGGAAAGTCTGGGTCATGACACAGAACAGCCTTATTGTGACAAGAATCCAGTGTGGAAAAAAAAGAGCCAGGTGTCAGAAGAAGCAGGCAACAGGAAATAGCAGCATGCATGAGAATTCATTTACCTATCATCTGCTCATCTGTTTGTCCATCCATCATCTAAATATTATTTCACTCAGACACTGGTTCAATCATTTAAAGATTCAACCAACACAAATCAGTGCCATGCATTAGGTGCTAAGGTACCCAGTTACATGGAGCCCTCAGGGAGTAGGCAATCTGGTGAATCAATGGTGAGTGTGTGACAGATGCACCATCTTCCCACCTCCCCTTCACCAGGCAGACAGACATCCGCAGCCTCAGGATCCTTCACAGCGAAGGAAGTGGGCAGCCGCTACCACTGTTTTGAGTTTTGAGGCAAAATGGAATCTATTTCACACTTAATCCAGAAGAGGAAACAAGGAGAAATTAATACTGTTGGCATTGGACACACATTATCTTGTTTAATCCTCAAAACTGCCCTCAATAATTCATCTTATTATCTCCTTTTAATAGGTTTTTAAAAATGAGATTTGAGAGATGAGGTTATTTAACTAGAATTGAGGCTGAATTTCTGTCTGAACTCAGCTGTGTCTGGAACCAGAATATGGGTTCCCTTTATCAGGAAGTGCTCTACCCTGGTGCTTGCCCAAAGATGGCAAGATGGAGCAGGAGGGGCGGATGGCTGAAGCCTGCTATGCTGAAGTGGGCAAGTGCCTGGGAGGCCGGAAGCCACCTGTGATGGGAGCTCAGGGTGACAAGATGCTCCTATGGGTTTGTAGTATTTAAGGCCAGAAAAAGAGTTCAACTGTAGTGAAGTTCTTTTAGGGCTGGAAGGAACTAGAAATACCAAATAGCAACTTGTGCAAATTACTTTTCTGTATAAATAACATATGGCCTGTTTCTTTTAAAGTTGCTGGATTTTCAAGGCCACTACATTAAAGCAAGGGCCAAGGCACGAGTGAGGGCTTCACACATAGATCCCCAGGAATAAAGCAACAGTGTTGGTGAGAATGGTAGTAGTCTAGATGGAAAAGGGTTGAAACCAAAGCCTCTGCCCAGAAGCTTCCACATGGCCATATGCAGGACTGGTTGCAGATGCAACAGCCAGGAGCTGGCTATATTTTTAACTTTTATATGAATAATCTAGCAGTGCAGAGGCACATCTGATCTGTGCTATATGGCAACTTAAGTTTTTTTTCATTTTACTGCAGAATTTAGAGTTTGCTGGGTAGTTGGATGTGCCTTGTTTGGGTGTGTTCTGTAAACAATACACTGGGGTCACTCCCAATTCTCCAGAAGCTAAAATAATTGAAAGTTCATCATGTCGGCTCATTACTACATTTTGCTGTCAAGGGAGCCTCTTAGGTTTGGAAAACTTACCCCTTGGGGAAAATGTAGAATGGCATATTCATAAGAATTTTTCATTTGGGTAAAATTTAACTGAATAAACAATAAGTCTTCATTTTGTCCCAAGAATTGAGATAGATTGGTATATTTACTTTTCATAATAATCTTGTGACGAGGATTTACTGTTCCTGTTCTTTACAGGAAGAAATTGAGGCTTGAGAATCAAAATTCTTCTCCCCATCTCCACCCAAGCAAGAAGCAAAACAGGCAGAAACCTGAAAAACAATTTGTCTTGGTCAGTGCAATCTGTTATCACAAATTACCATAAGCTGTGTGGCTTATAAACAACGTAAGTTTATTTCTCACAGTTCTGGAGGCTGAAAATCTGAGATCAGGGTACCAGCAGGGTCAGATTCTAGTGAGATATTATTTTCTGGTTTCAAACTGCTGACTTCTTGTATCTTCACATGGACAAAAGAGCTGTACAGAATTTACAGCTGAAAACCACAAAATACTAATGAAAATAATCAGAAAAGAACTAAATAATTGGTGAGATATATTGTGTTCATGAATTGGAGGACTCAATGTAGAAACATCAATTTTCTAAAAATTGATCTACAGGTTTAATGCAATTTTTATCAATGTCTCAGCAAGTTATTTTATAGTTTTAGACAATATTATACTAAAATGTACTTGTAAATTCAAAGGAACAAGAACAGATAAAACACTCTCATAAAAGAAGAATAAAATAGGAGAAATCAGTGTACCTCATTTCAAGATTATTGTATACCTACGGTAATCAAGACTGTATGGTATTGGTGAAGGGATAGTCACAGGCATCAATGGAAGAAATAGAGAACTGGGAAACAGACCTGTACAACTATAACGAACTGATTTTTGACAAAAGTGTAAAATCAATTCAATAGAGAAAGAGTGGCCTTTTCAACTAATGGTACTACATAAAATCTATAGCAATATAAACTCTATGAAATTAAATGCAAAGAAAAAGATTGCATGACTGAAGAGAAAACAGGAAACTTGCACATTATACAAAAATTAATTCAAAATAGGCCATACCTCCTACTGTAAAATATGAAAATATACAACTTTTAGGAGAAAACATAAGAGAAAAACCTTTGAATCCTAGGGTTTGCTGAAAAGTTTTTAGACATGATGCCAAAAGCATTATTCATAAAATAAAATCACAACACATTGGACTTAATCAAAGTTAAAAACTTTTGTTCTGTGAAAGACTCTGATAAGAGGATGAAAAGGCAAACTACATTCTGAAAAGGGAACATTTGCAAACCATGTATTTGACAAGGAACTGGAATATATAAAGAACTGAGCAGTAAAAAAAATTCAATTATAAAATGGGCAAAAGATATGAAGAGGCATTTCATCAGAAAGGATGTGCAGATGGCAAATAAGCACATGAAGAGCTAGAAATCCTTACCCAGAAAAATATATTTCCAAAAGAAGCATGGAATACTTTTTTAAAATACACAAAAGCTGGAAGAACTTATCACCAGCAGACCAGTGCTACAGAAATGTTAAAAGAAGACAAATGGTACTAGATAGAAACCTGAAGCTAAATGAGGAAATAAAGGCACCAAGAATAACTGCTTGTGTAAATATACAGTTTGCATTTGTTTAAGATATATTTGGCTGTTTAAACCAAAAGTAATGACAATGTTTTGTGAGGTTTAAGACATATATACAAGTAAGATTGTTATGTTATTATACTATAATAATAAAACAAAAACGTAAAGAAGAAATATATGTTCTGTGTTAAGATTCTTATACTATGGATGAAGTAGTGTAATATAACTTCAAAGTAGACTATGATAAGTTAAAGATATATACTACGAACCCTTAGGCAACCATTAAAATAATACATCAAAAATTATAAAGAGCCCACTAGTAAGATAAATCATAATAAATACTCAAGTAATTTTAAAATAAATAGAAAAATGGGAAAAGGGGAATAAAGTATAAGCAAAAACAGCCCATTAAATGTAAATGGAATAAACATCTATTTAAACAGCATAGAATTTCAGATTGAGTAAAAAAGCATAACCTAAGTATATACTATGCATATACTATGTATAATAAACCCACTTAAACCTAAGGACTTTAATAGGTTAAAAGTAAAATGGTAGAAAAAGACCCTTTTAGCAACTAATCCTAAACAAAGATAGCTGGAGAGGCTATATTAACATTAAGTAGATTTCAAAGCAAAGAATATTAGTAAGATTAAAGTGGTTCATTTATAATTAAAAGGGAACAAATTCATCAAAACGACCTAACTCTAAATGATCATACACCCAACAACAAAACTTCCGAATACGTGACTCACAAATGGATAAAACTGAAAAGAGAAATAGACAAATTCACAGATGTAGAGGACTTGTTTCAAGTGTAAATGGAATGTTAGAAAAGAAGAATGGTCTCAAGTCAACTTGGAAAATGAGAAAACTAGAAAAAGAATAGAAAATGAAAGCTAGGATAAGCAGAAGAAAGGAAATAATAAAGATCAAAGGAGAAAGCAATAAAACAGACAAAAGAAAAACAAAATAATAGAGAATAGTAATGAAACCAACAGATGACTCTTTGAGAAGTTTGGTGAAGTTAATCAACTTCTAGCTACACTGAAAAGGAAAAAAAAGAGAGGAGACAAAATTGCAGCTAATATTAGGAAAGAAAGAAGTAACCTCACTACAGTGTCTACAGATACAAATAAGATAAAAAGAAAACAGTATAAACAACTTTTATGCCAATAAATTCAACAACTTAGATAAAATGGATAAATTCCTTGGATAAAATGGATAAATTCCTTGAAAGACACAACCCCGAAAGTTTGCTCAAGAAGGAGGCAACATGAATAGCCTCATATTTATTAAAGAATTGTATCTATAGTTAAAAACTATCCCACAAGGAAAGCTCTCTGCCCAGGTGCCTTCGCTGGTGAATTGAATGGAACATTTACATAAGAATGAATATGTTAATTCTACACAAACTTTTTCAGAATATTGAACAAGAGGAAATACTGCATTTTTTTTGTTGTTGTTTTCTTTTTTATTCTCATCCCAAAACTAGTCTAAGACATTACAAGAAAAGAAAAGTACAGGCTAATAATACTATGGACATAGATGCAAAAATTCTTAATGCACTTTTAGTAAATCAATTCCAACAATATGGAATTGGCCAAGTAGGGTTAAATTTTACAAATCAATTTATGTAACTCACTAATTAGAAGACTGAAAAATAAAAATAAAACATATATCATCTTAGTAAATGCAGGGAAATCATTGACAACAATTAGTAGTCAATCTTGATTAAAAACTTTCAGTAAACTAGGGATAGAAGGAATTTTCTCAAAGTAAGAGCCATGTTCAAATAACCTATAGCTAACAGTGATTAATGGCAAAACACTGAATGCTCTTCACCTAAAATCAGGGACATGGTGTGGATATCTGCCCTCACCAGTTCTAGTAATCATCATGGTAGAGTTGCTAGCAAGTGCAATAGCTTAAAAAAAAACCAGGCATTTATATTGGAAAGAAAGAAAGAAAACTATATTAATCTGCAGATAACCTATGACATGATTGTCTACATGAAAGTGAAATCCACAAAAAACTGCTACAACTAATAAGTGAGTTTAGCAGAGTTGTAGGGTACAATAACAACATAAAAATTGAATTGTACTTCTACATAATATCAATAAAAAACATAAGTTATCATTTAAAACAAATATTCTCTCTATTCCATAGCATTGCACTCCTGAGAAGCGAACAGATAGCCTCAGCCAGGGATTTCCATAGCGAGCTTTCCAGCTAGTCTTTTGGTATCAGCCCACCTCCAGGGAATAAGTTGCTACTGATAACATAGGGAGGGGAGCACAAACATCCAACACATGACTTGGACATCTCTCAGAACAGATACAATTTCATGTCTTAAAAAATATGTTTTCAGCCTACTATTTCATGAGGCAATTTTTAAAATCTACTATTTCCATTCAGCATATGCTTTACATTCTGTCTGAAACCTTGTATCTTGAACTTCAAGCTATAAGCTGTAAGGTTACACGATGCCTTCCACATTTATTTACCCTTTGGTTTTTGGTAAAACTCCATGGAGCAAGAATCAGGCCTCAGTGTTCCCTTCCTCAAATGTACAACAGGGTGGCTTTAGGGCAAAGACATGGGGTCCTGCTTGGTGGTCAATCCCTGGTTATCATGTGACCTGAGGTGTAGTTGGATCTGCAGCTCAGTCTAGAAAGCCATGACAACCCACAAAGGGTAACCTAGGGTCCTACTGGACCCTCCTCTCTGAGGTGGTCTTACAAAGATAAAGTTTCAGAAAATGGTGTGCATGTGCTGGGTCTCTTACCCAACCCCTCCAGAGGGATTCCCAGCCCTAAAGAGTTGCCTTAGGTTTGATCTCACATCAAACACAGACCCAAGGCTCTGACCCTTCATTATTTTTTAGCACTAAAAACTAAAGCATTCGGAGATCTCTGTGCATGAAGTTTGGAGGACCTGGCAGTGGGCTCCCATCCTGCCCTGCACAGCCTATTTTCAAGCCCCAGTCCATGTTCTCTCTGTCTTCTTTAGCATTGGCACCACGAGGCTCCATCTCTGTTTCAGTGCTTCTCATTTCATAATCCTCAGCTTAGTGCTCTAGAGGGTATGTTCAAGTCCCAGCACTTCTCCTGAATTGAGCCACCCAGCCAGAATGGTCTACCTTGCTCAGTCTCCTCTTTATTTATTGCTAACTCTTCCTAGAAACACAAAGCAGGGGAGTGAACTGGGACCACCAGCTCACTGTGGGCTCAAAAATAGGTATTTTCCACAGCAGAACTTCGTGGCTCATCCCCACTCTTCATTTCACTGTAGGGCCTCAGCCCCCAAATGATGATCAACCTGCCTCATTCCTTCACATTCTTGATGGACCCCTCTTGAGACCCACTGCACATCTTCTGGTGCAAAACCTAAATATACAGAGAAATGGGCATTATGAGCGATTTGGGGATACTTTTTGGTCAATAAAGACAAAAGACAGAGAGGGGATTGGACTCTCATTTGCTGAGAGCATGCTGTGTACGGAGCATGTTACCTCCAGCCAGTCCTTATGCCGTAAGCAGGCTTTCCTCTCGCACCTGAGAGCCTGGCCCCTGGACCTAATCCTTGTGGAGATCTGTTCCTGATCCACCCCTGATTCCTGCCCTCTGTACTCTTGCCTGTGGACTTTTATTATCCTTCCAACTTCATTCTTGTAGGGTCTCAAATCCTTTCCTTGGCTTCCCTTCAGACTGCCTCTGTGCTGTCATGGTCTTTCTTGGGAAGACCTTCTTCTGCTTTCTCTCTAGGAACAACTCGGCCAGGTATAGTTGCCTTTCCCAAGATTACAATTTAGCCCAGGATTCAGTCCCATGGTATCTCCGCCAGGATAGAGCCCACGGGCAAGATTAAATTATCTCATCCTCACAGTTAGATCTTTGCAGAGCTTAGCAATGCCATCTGAGAAAGGAGGCATCTGAAGTTATCAAGCAGACAGGTAACTCCGACCAATTCAGCACTCTGCCCCAACTCCAGATTCTGTGGTAGGCATCTGATATGGGGCTTCCAGCTTCCAAACAGCAGCTACATGTTCATAAGCATCACTGGAGGTCTTTGGTACATTTTGTGTGGTTTTATAAAAAATGATATTTTAAGTGTTCTCATTCATTTTCTCTTTTTGTCAAAAAAAAAAAAAATGCCACAGCATTCAGCGTTTAAGTGGTTGAGGAGGATGAGTGTAAGCAGGTAGAATATGGATCATATCCCCATGCTCTCTCTGAATCCTCCGTCTGTGCCCCACCATAAGCATAGACATACTGGCTACCACATTACCTCATCTTCTCAGGCTTAACTCAGTGTCCATATTAAATTCTCATAGTTTTTGCTGAATTCATTGACTCCCTGACACTTTTCCACACAATGAAAACATTCTGGATTAAGATATAATTTATAAGTCAGTTCAGTATGAATTACTATTGCATAAATTTTCTTTCTTTTTTTTTTTTCTTTGAGATGGAGCCTTGCTCTGTTGCCCAGGCTGAAGTACAGTGGCATGATCTCTGGTCATTGCAACCTCTGTCTCCTGGATTCAAGTGATTCTCCTGCTTCAGCCTCCTGAGTACCTGGTATTACAGGTGTGTGCCACCATACCTGGCTAAGTTTTCTATTTTCAGTAGAGATGGGATTTGGCCATGTTGGCCAGGCTGGTCTTGAACTCCTGACCTCAGGTGATCTGCCTGCCTCGGCCTCCGAAAGTGCTGGGATTACAGGTGTGAGCCACTGCACCTGATCATATTGCATGCATTTTCTTCTGGGGAAAAAATCTTGCAAGAAATACTCCCATTCAATAAAGTGACATACAAATGTTTTGTTTTTTAAAATTAACTGTATTTGTAATAATTTATATATTGTAGAATGTACTCATTCAAGTGTAATTAAGTGAATATTCACAAATCTATTCATCCATGAAAACTCTAAAACGATAAAAAATGGACAACTTTTCCATCACCCACAAAGTTCTCTCATGCCCCTTTGATCACTACCTCACACTCCAGGAAACCACTGATAGGATCCTTCACCATAGCTTAGCTTCATCTGGTCTAGAACTTCACATAAATATTACCTTACAGTATTATCTCTCTCTCTCTCTGACTGTTTTTTTTTTCATTTACTACTCTTGGGTTAGTATCTAGGGGGAAAATTACTGGATTCAATGTTAAATTTATATTCATCTTTATAGGGAATTGGTAAACTGCTTTCCAATGTACTTGCACAATTTTTCATTGCTACCAGCAATATATGACAGTTCCAGTTCCTTTGCCTGTCACTCACATTTGGTATTAAAACCTCCATTTTAATTTTATTTGTTGCTACATATGTGTTATTACATTGTATACTGGCGTTACAAGATCTTTGGGGTGTTGTTTTCCTGGCCAGAAATCTCTGTGGCCAGTGGTGCCTTTGCCTGAGTTTTGTTCACGCCCACTGGGCTCATTTTGCTCACTCAGTCTGGCAGGCTGCACTCAGCTCATTCTACTGGCCCGGGTCCCAGGCCTGCCAAGGGTGAGTCAAGTGTGGAGCAATGAGGGTTGCGTGAGCAAGTGTGGGGTCGGGCCACTGCACACAGTCAGGCATGCCGGCTGCTGCAGCTGGGCAGACAGCTCCAAGTGCCAACATGGGCACCCGCTCTCTGTGAGGCTGTAGCCAGACCAGGTGCACTACAAGCAGCTTCCACAGCTAACACGGTGGTGCCCAGAAGCTTGGAGACACCAGGAACCACAGGGCCCCATGGTCTGGACTCCCTGAAGGGCCACAGCTCTTCTTTCCTTCTCTTTGCCTACAGCATGGTGAGGAAGGGGCATGTCTTAGCCCTGTTTGTGTTACAGCTCTTTTAGGCTTACCATTTGGTGGGTCCCAAGTTCTTGTCCTGCAACCAGGAAGAATGAAGTATGCACAGAAGTGGAGGGTGTGCAAGATGAAGAGGAGCTTTATTGAGTAATATAACAGCTCAGAGGAAACCCTCAGGGGGCATCTCCCTTCCACAGCCAGGGTATCCCAAGGAATGTTCAGCTCCTAGCAGAGAGGGTATCTCCTCTCTGCTAGGCAAGTCATCCTGACAAGAGTTCAGTGGGGCAGAGACGGTGGCTCCCCTCTGAAGCTGGTCATCCTGACTGCTCAACTCTGACTGAGCTCGGGGCTTTTATGGGCCTCAGAGGGGAGGAAGTTCTTGTCGATTGGTCCATGGGCGGCCATGGGTAGGCCTGGAAAAGCCACCATATATTCCCATTTTGATCTGTGGGACTGGCAGCCCTGACGCCAGCCTTCAGGCCTTCCCTGGCCTGAAGGTGGGGCCTCACTGGGGACCTGCCCCCTTCTGCCCAGGAACGTGTTTGCCTCCTGCTGTCATTCATGGTGTCCAGGCTGTAGGTGCCAATGGGTGCCTGCAGGCCAGCACTGAGCGGCCCTCAGCACCCCCTTGGCTTCCCTCCTATGTTCATCAGTGCCCAAGTATGGAAGGGGCCAAGGTGGCAGGGGCTGGCATGTCAGCAGTGCCCTGAGCCTGTGCACACCTGGCTGGGCTGCAACAGCTCCCAGGCTAGGCCCTGACTTTGCTCTGAGATCAGAGCAGGTGCCAATAGCAGGGAGAAGCCAGGCTGTGGGAGCAGGCAGTCTTCCTGGGCCCCCAAGAGTGCAAAGATGCCTGGATCCACAGCCGCAGTTTGGGTGGCTGCAGTCTGCGCCTGGAAAGGCAGGGCTCCCACCTGCTCCTGGGCCTCAAGAATGCAGGGATGCCCGGGTCTGCAGCCATGGCTTGAGCAGCTGCAGTGGGAACCAGGAACCCCAACTCAGAAGGGATGGGGCTCCCACTTGTCACCAGGTCCAGCAGCCTTCGTGGAGTGTGCAGCCCTGCTGTGCCTCCATGCTGCAACTGGCATGATGGCACTGGCCAATCCAGATGGGCTGCCACTGCTATCACTGGTTCCATTTTTCATTTCCTGGTGACTAATGATGCTGAGCATATCTTTATGTGCTTTTTTTGCTATCTATACCTCTTCTTTGCTAATTTATTTCTTCAAATTTTTTCCCCATTATTTTTGTTTTCTTATTATTGTGTTCTAAGAATTCTCAATATATTCTAGATACAAGTTTGTAAGATATATGTATTGAGAATATTTTCTCTCACTCTATGGCTTGCCCCTTCAAAGATACCTTTCCAAGACCAAGTCTTTTAATTTTGGTGAAGTCCAGTTTACCAACACTAAAAAAAACAACTAACATTGATGCAATACTATTAACTATAGAGTTTTTCACGTTTGTCATTTGTCCCACTAGGGTCATTTTTTCCATTCAAAGATCTAATCCAGGATGACATTGCATTTCATCACCATGCCTCCTTAGTCTCCTCCCATCTGTGACAAGGTCTCAGTCGTTCCTTGTTTCTTGGTGATTGTGACACATTTAAAATAGCAGGTATTTTGCAGTATGTACTGCAATTTGTGTTTGCCTGATATTTTCTCATGCATAGATGGGGGTTATAGAATTTGGGGAAGAATACTACAGAGGTGAAGTGCCCATCACATCCTGTCACAGCAGGGGCACATGATATCAGCAAGGCTCGTTACTGGTGACGCTAACCTTGACCACGTGGTTAAGGTGTTCTCTGTCAGTTTCTTCCACTGTGAAGTTATACTTTTTTTCCTTTCCATACTCTACTTATTAGAAATAAGTCATTAAGACCAAGGCTACACTCAAGGCCAGTGGGATTAAGCTCTACCTCTTGGAGGAAGGCACAGGAAATAATTTGTGGATCCATGTTAAAACCATTAAGAGTAATTAACAAATATTTGTAACACTTTGAAGCTATAGAACTATCCTGTTTCTTCTTAAAGTTTACCTGTCTGATTTTAGAATTCCTTAGTGGATCTTGCCTGCAGCAATTATTACAGTTGCAGTCTAATGACGGTTTCCTATTACCCTGACTCTTTTTACATTTATTATTTGGAATTCTTCTGTAAGGAAGATTTGTTCCTCATCTCAATTTATATATTCAATCATTTAAATTAGCACAGATGCGTGTATTTTTATTTTCTACTCTGAGTTATAACCCCAGAACACTTTACTTACTTTGTTGCCCAGGTATTTAACTTTGGTCTTTGATTTCAGTTTGGCATCTATGCCCAACCACACCCCTTTTTAAAAGCATTTTCTAAGTTTTTGGCACAAGATGCTTCAGGCTTATTTTGTATTTCTTCAGTCCCACCCCTCAAATCATCTACTTCTCCAAGATATTCTAATTCCTTTTATGAGAACGTGGTATTTAGAAATCAAGATTTGATTTGCTCATTTGATTTGCTCTAATTTGCTCATTGTTACTGGGTATCACTGCCTTGAGGCTCTCTCAGCAGACAGAGCTTAGCAGACAGACCTACAAAATATACATGTATATGCCTATGTATATACCTATATATTTATATATGTGTGAGTGCATATATTTATATATCTTGTTATGTGTATATACATTAAAATAAATATCAGTTAAGAGTGATATCCATGACTATAAGAAAATGCCAGAAGATTCATTCTAACCTTTTCTGCCCTGCTTGCTTATAACTTCTTTTCCTGACGTAATCTAGCTCTCACTATACACAATTTATTGACTTCTTTTTCAACCCTTGTATACATGTAGTGTAGTTTCAGAATTGCTAACTTGTACTGGTATGAGAAAGATTTATCAACTAGAGTACAGCATTTATGTAAATTCTTTTTGTCTTGAATCTTAGAGTATCCAGCCAAACACTATTTTCCAAAGTTATTGAGGCCAGCTCCTTTATCCCCCAAACCCTTTGACCCTTAAGTGAGATTATATCACACATTTCTAATACAGTTATATTCATTTGTCCCGGTCTGCATTCCACCTGAGAATCCCCTGACACCTTGGTTCATGGGCTTTTCCCAATTTGCATATAGAACAATTCACTCCTTGTGGTTTACAATTTTATACATTTCCTGCCATCAAGTTTTTTTTTATCTAAAATGTTATTTTGCAATAACTGCAGATCGATTCACATGCAGTTGTAAGAAATAATACAGGCAATTCTTGGGTCTACTTTACCCAGTTGTCCTCAGTGGTAACATCTTGCAAAACCATAGCACAATATCACAACCAGATATTGACGCTGATATAGTCAAGATGCAGAACATTCCATCACCACAAGAATCTCATAGTCACACCCACACGTCCCTTCTCTTTCCACTCCCTCATAAACAGAGGCAATCATGAACTCATTCCCATTTACATAATTTTGTTATTCAGGAATGTTTTATAAGTGAAGTCAGGAAGTATGCAATATTTTAGTATCACTTTTTTATCTAGAGCAATTCCCTGATGTTTCATTCAAGTTGTTCCATGCATCGATACTTTGTTCCTTTTTAATTTCTGAATAGTATTCCATTGTATGGACATAGCACAGATTATTTTAATCATTCACTCATGAAGAACATCTGGGTTCATCCCAGTTTTTAACTATTAAGAATAAAGCTACTAGAAACATATACATATAGACTTTTGGGTGAATATCAATTTCAATTTATTTGGGAAAAACATTGAAGAGGGCAACTGCTTAATTGGTAGTTGTTACATATTTAGTTATTAAAAAAACTATTAGCTGTTTTTCAGAGTGGCTGCACTGTTTTACATTCCCATCAGCAATACATGTGTGATTCAGTTTCTCTGCATCTTTTTCAGTATTTGATCTGTCATTTTTATGTTAGCCATATGAGAGATCTGTAATGATATCTCACTGTGGCTTTAATTTGCATTTCCCAAATCAGCTAACTATGTTAAACATCTTTTCATGTGATTATTTGCTTGTTTCCCATCTTCATAAGCTCTTTGATGAAATGCGTGTTCATACCTTTTGCCAATTTTCAAATTGGATTATTTGTTATTTTACTGTTGACTGTTCAGAGTTCTTTATAGAGTGTAGATACTAGTTCTTTGTCAGGTGTGTGGTTTGCAAATATTTTCTTCCAGTTTGTACCTTGTGCTTTCATTCTCTTAACTGAGTCTTTTGCAGGACAAAAGTTTTAATTTTGATAGTCTTTTATTTTTCCTTTTATGGGTCATCCTTTTGGTGACAAGTCTAAGAGCTCTTTGCCTAGCCTTAGATCTGAGATTGGGGTTACAGACATTCTTGCATGTGTTGCCAATTTTAGGAGAAAATTGCTGTCTTTCATTTTTATTAAGTATGATGTTAGCTAAAGGGTTTTTGAAGATGCTCTTCATGAAGTTACAAAAGTCTTTTCTGTTCTTAGTGTTCTGACAGCTTTTATAATGAATTGGTGCTGAATTTTTAGATTGCTATTTTTTTTGCCTCTGTGGTGTGAAGTTTCTTTTTATTCTGTTGATAGGGTAAATTACAATGACTAGTTTTAAAATATTAAGCCAACTTTGCATTTCTTCAGTAAACTCAAGTTAGTCATGATGTGTCATTAAACTTATTTCCTAATTTTTAAAAAAATTTGTGTGTGTATCTTCATTAGATACATTGATAATTAGTATTCTTGTCTTCAAATGTTTTATATTAAATATTAGAGTAATAATGTCTTCATAAAATGAATTGGTATTTATTCCATCTTTATGTCCTAAAAATATATCATGTAGAATTGTTAATTATTTCCCCCTTAAATATTTGGTATAACTCATTAGTGAAGTCAACTGATTCTGGGGTTTTCTTTGTGGGAATTCTGTCCATTTGTTTGTTTGTTTGTTTATCATCCAGCCCAAATGTCATTTGGGAATTTTTTTGATCACAAATATTTACCTAAAATATGTCTAGTCAGATTTTCTGCTTCATATTTTGTAAGAATATTTTCAAGGGATTAGACCATTTCGTCTGTATTGTTAAACTTATCAGCATAAAGTTATTAATAACTTTGTTTTTAATTATTATTGTTCCTTTAATACCTGATATATTGATGACCTTTTCTTCATTCCTAATGTTGAAAATTTTTGTTCTCTTTCATTTTTTCTTGATCATTCTAGCTAGATGTTTATCAATTTTAATGATTTTTATAAAAAAAATCTGTCATTTGATTTTTCTCTATTGCTTATCTGTTTTCTACTAATAGATTTCTGCCTTTGTTTTTATTATTTCCTTTTCTGTATTTATTTTGTGTTTTATATGCTATTTTTCTAACTTATTAAAGTAGAAGTTTTGGTCATTGCTTTTATACTTTTCTTCATTTCTAACATAAGCAATTAAAGCTATACCTTCCCCGCTAATGTTTTAAATTCCAAGATATGATCTTCTTGGTGAATGTTTTATTTACTCTTGAAAGAAAAATGTATATTCTGCTACTGTTAGCAGGATACTCTACACATCTCAAGTAGACCAGCTTGGTAGATACTGTTATGCAAGGTTTTGTCTCCTTACTATCTTTTTGTCTGCTTGTTCTACCAATTCCTGACAGTGTGGTGTTAGCGTGTGCTATTATAACTGTGAATTTTTCTGTCTCCTTACAGTTATATCAGTTTTTGCTTCCTGTTTTCAAAACTTTGTCATTTGGTGCCTATACATCATGAATTGTTATATCTTCTTGACAAATTGACCATTTATGTCATAAAATCTTCCTCTTTATTTTTGGTAACATTTCTTATTTAGAAGTCTGCTTTGTCTGATGTTAATATTACAGGTCCTTCATAATTCTTATGATTAGTCTTTACCTACTATTCTAGGTTCACATTCTTTTATTTAGTCTATACTCTTTCTTTAAAGTATATTATTTCATATAGCATATAGCTGATCTTGCCCTATTAGTCAGCGTTTTAATCCTTTTCATTTAACTAGGATATTGTAACAATTTGCATAGAATGTGATTAATACCACCTTGGTATTTTTTCTAATCTGCTTTTAACTCTTCTTACTCTTTCCCTCCTTTCTTTTGAATTATTTTTTAACATTCTATTTTATTTATATTAGTGACTTATTGGCTGGACCACTTTGCTTATTCATTTATTTTAATGTAGTTCCTTAATATCTTATAATATGCATCTTTAATATATCAAAGTCTTCCTTCAAATAAAATGATACCAGTTCATATATATTTTTTCCAAACATTGTAAGTTGTTTCAGATATTTTTCTTCTACATATGATATAAATGCTACAAAAGATTATTAAGTGTTTTTGTGTAAAGCAGTCAATTATATTTTCTTAAATAAACTTATGAAAAAGTTGTATCTTTTATGTTTATGTCTTACATACAATTTTTTTTACTTTATATACATATTTAGCATTTATGACATTCCTCATTTTTTGTTAAGATCCTAATTTCTCTTTGGAATTATTTTCTTTCAGTCTGAAAACTTTTTAAATGTTTCTTGTACTGCAGGTCTACTGACTACAAATTTCTCAGTATTTTGTTTCTTTGAAAAAGTTTTTGTTTCATTGTTATTTATGAGTACATTTTTCTGTAAATATAATTCCAATTCATTTTTTAAACTGGCACTATAAATGTGCAATTGTATTGTCCTCTGGCTTGCATTGTTTCTGGAGAGAAGGTTTTGGTTATTCTTATTTTGTCCCCCTATATGTAATGTGTCTTTTTCCTCTGGTTCCTTTAAAAATTTCTATTTACCACTGGTTTTTAGCAATTGTATTATGATGTGCATTTGTATGGTTTTCCTTGTGTTTACCCTACTTTGGTTTCATTCATCTTCTTGGATTTATGAGTTTATAGCTTCATCAAATTTGGAAACAATTCTGGTGTTTTGACTGGAGTATTTTTTTCTTCCCTCCTTTTTTTCTTGACTTCTAGTTACACGTGTCACACTGCTTCCGATTGTCCCAACGTCACTGAGCCCTTGTTCATTTTCAAAACTGTTTAAAAAAAAGTCACTGTGCTTAATTTGGATAGTTTCTATTGCAACGTTTTAAAATTTTCTAATCTTTTCTTATGCGGTGTGTATGTTAAGCCCATTTGTTAAATATTTTACTTAATATATTGTATTGTTTTACATCTCCAGAAATTCCATTTGCTTCTTTTTTATGTTTTCTCTGTCTTCCCTTACTATAGCATGTTTTCAGTTAAATCTTGAAGGATATTTGAAGCAGATTTTTTAAAGTATTTTATGCTAATTCCAACACCTATGTTATTTCTAGGTCTGTTTCTTTTCATTGTTTTTTCTCCTGGTTTTGAAAGACATTTCTCTGCTTCTTTGCATGTCTAGTAATTTTATTATTGATGCTAAACATTTTGGTGACCATCTGGATTTTTTGTCTTTTTAAAAAGTTTTTTGACTTTAATATTTTTAGCTAACTGTTAATTTACTTTAGGTCAATTTGTTTCTTTTGAGGCATGTTTTAAAATCTTGTCGGATCAGGTTTAGAGCAGTCTGTGCTATAGGTGTAGTTATTATTACTACTAAGATGTGGTCCTTCTGGTTTTGACAGAATGTCCTGAGTGTTTTACAAAGTATCTGCAATTGGACTGTTTGGAACTCAAATTTCTCCAAGCGGGAGGTAAGATCTAGGAACTTTTCAGCCTTTATCAACCCAGTAGTGTTTTTTAATGGCTTATGGTATTTTATGCAACTCAGGTGTAGCTTAGTACTCAGCAAAAAACTCAGAGAGACTCCATTTATTTTTACAGAGTTCTTTTTATGCCATCTTATCCATTACTTTGCCCTGTGATTTTCAGCCACCTCCACCTTCCAGTTCCATTTCTTGTATCGTCAATACAGTGAAACTGCAGTTTTGCCTGTCGTGCCCTCGCTGTGGTGCTTATTGTCTGGAAAGTATCTTCATGCAGAAAACTAGAGCAAATCGTAGAGGTCATCCACTTTTTCTTTTTCTTCTTGATCATATTTTTGTGTTGTGTCTTCAGTGACTGAAAACACTTTTTCATATATGTTTCCTGTTTACTAGTTGGCCAGTGCTGCAGAACAGTGGAAGCAGAAATGCAAATTCATTTTTTTTTTTGCTATGATTCTTGTGCTTTTCAACATTTACCCAAAGACAATTCCAAATTCCAGTCTTGAACTTATCTAGGTGGTGTAATTTTGAACTCCCGCATATCTGAGAATGCCCTTTCAAAAGAAAGCACACCAGACTAGGACCTAAGGCTGGGACCTGGGGCTCCTGGCACCAGCGCAGGACCCCATGGCCTGTGCTGTCTTCTCTTCCAGCCTTTGTTGTGCAGAAAGGGATGGGCCAGCCTCAGTCTTGTTCCTCTGGAGGTCATCTGTTTTTCCATTTCTGCGTGAGTTACTAAAGGGATTTTCCCCGCTAAAAATCTTTAACACAAGTGGTTGTCAGAATGTATTCAGGGCCTAGAATTAAAATACTCTTTCTGATTTGCATGCTCAACCTTTTGTCATTTTAGAAAACTGACGTTGCTTTAGTTATCTGGATTAGTCCTGGGAGGACCTCTGACTGCTGGGTCAGCGCCCTACCCTTTGTCCTGCAGGGTTCTCATCTGTCCCCAGTCATCTCTCTGCATTTGTCTTTTAACTCTTCCTTGTGAAAGAGCCAAGCTGGCTTGTTTTCCACATCAAACAGTTTTCCCCAGTGTGATGATTGCTTTACGCTCCCTCTAATGTAGGTTCTTTGATAACATGTGTCCATTGCTTGGTGCTCTTAAGGATTTCCCCGGTCTTCCCTCTTATCTCATCCTGTTGTTTTAAAAAGGTCAGCCTGTTCTCTCTTTGGAATATTTTGTTCAGATCCACAGAATCTCCTTTCATTCAGCCTACTGAAAAGCTGAACAGGCAGGGTGAGGTGGCTCATGCCTGTAATCTCAGCACTTTGGGAGGCCAAGGCAGGTGGATCACTTGAGGCTAGGAATTTGAGACCAGCCTGGCCAACATGATGAAACCCTGTCTCTACTAAAAATACAAAACTTAGCTGGGCATGGTGGCATGCACCTGTAGTCCCAGTTGCTAGGGAGGCTGAGGCACGAGAATTGCTTGAACCTGGGAGGCAGAGGTTGCAGTGAGCCGAAATCGCGCCATCACACTCCAGCCTGGGTGACAGAGTGAGACTCTGTCTCAAACAAACAAACAAACAACAAAAAAACACAAAACAAAAAAGAAAAGAAAAGCTGAACATTTTTCTAAAAGTACCAGTTTCTATTCCCCCCATATCCCTTGTTTTGCCATCTTAGGAACTGCATTGTTTTGTAATTTATCAATCCTTAAACTAGAGGTGATCTAGCCAGTTCAACAGCCAGGTTGTGTGGTCTGCTCATCCCTTCTTTTGTTTCATCTGGATACTCTCAAGATCCCTTCTTCGTCTGTAAGTCAAGGATCCTGGCCCAGTTGTCAGGATGTCATGAAATGGTCCTCTGTGGCTCTGGTCCCTTGTGATTGAGAAAATCTTTTCCAAGCCTCATGGGCAGGTCTTCTGAAACAATGGAGGAAATGAGCAGCTGCTTGCCCAGCGTGCAGGGACATCAGGATCTCCTGGTCTGCAATCAGCCAACACATTTCTATTGAATATACTTCCCCCAAAAAGCGAGGAGCCATGACTGGCCCTGCCATCCTCTGAGTCTTCTTGGTGAATGGAGACGGCGATCTCAGAGTAAGTAATGAGAGAGGTATCAATGGTGGGCTGGCTGGGGCAGGGTGAGTGAGCAATGAGAAGAATCGGACTCATTCTTTGTGTCATGGGAGAGGCAGGGCCTGCTCAGCAGAGGGGCATCTGCCCAGTTTTGCCACATGCACAAGTCCTGGGCATCTAAGCCAAGTGTCGGGAATGCATTTGTCCCACTTCAGGTAGCATGCCGTGTGTCTGCCAGTGAGATGAGACTCAGCTCAGCTCCCTCAGCCCTGGGGGAGGTCACTCACAGGTGGGCGGCGGTCAGTTTCTAGGATTGTGAGATACTTTCTGGAGATCTGCGCTGTTCTAAGGTGAGATATAAAATTAACATTCAACTTGTGATGGTGCCACTGCCTTCCACCCATGTGGAATTGACTTTCTCCCTGGCTGAGCCTGAAACATGACTCTCTCCAGATAAAGCAAAGTGGGGCAAAGAACTCTCGGCACCTGGGCCTGCCTCCAACTCTAGGGCAGCCCCAGGCAGTACCCAGATGTTGCCTCTTGAAATCCCCTCTTTCCCCAGCCCCAGGGTCCCAGTTCTCCCCCAGCTCTTTTCGTTGCCCCCTCCCTGCTCTGTCTCCCTCTGTTCACAGGCACCTTGAAGCCAGCGTTCTGGCTTTACTCATTTTCGTCCCTCTGTAACATTTCTCTACATGTGGTCGAGATCATTCTTGACTTATACTATCTCATAGAGAATCATAGCCCATCCATGCATCCCTAGCCCAAGCCTCATAAGCCTACTCAGATGGCTGTGCCACTCATGCAGTGAAGAACCCAGGGAAGGAGGATGATGGTGCTCAGTAGAACCCATTTCCTAGGGAGCTGACACATCAGTCTGGACTCTGATAGCAAGGCCCTGGGCCACATCAGAGGTAAAGACTGGAAATATTGACCAAAGAATTGTCCACACTCCGAACAGTTCTTTAGTTGGAGCTCTGAGAGTGAATTAAGTCACCCAGGGTGAAGGAGAAGGGAAGAAGGGTGGAAATGAAATCCCCAAGAGAGTGAGCATTTAAGAGACAGGCAGAGGAGATGAAAGCCATGAGAGGAGATGAAAGACGGGCCAGAGAAAAGGTAAAGCAAAGACCGTGACGCAGTGGAGCCCAGACAACCAAGGCTTCAAGCAGGAAGTTCAGCCACACTCGCTTTCAAAAAATAGGAAGGTGACTGGTGTCTGAAAGATCCACTGTACTAGGCAAAAAAGAGGTCAGGGAAGACTGTGGCAGGAAGGGCGAGTGAAGGGCTCCGGGGGCTCAAGGAGCCGCCCAGAGGCGATGAGACAGGAATGCTGAGCACAGACAGCTTTAGGGTGGCCTGAGTGTAGCAGGAGAGAGTGAGTTGAGGACAGTGTGAGGCAGGGGGACAGAGGGTGCAGGGGGTGGTGGGCCCAAGCATCTAGTTTAAAATGGTGTGACTTGAGCTTATGAATAGAACAAAGAGATAAAGACAGAGAGAGAAAATGCAGCGTAGGAGGTTGCAAGGAGGGCGGAGGAGAGGCCCTTTCTCTCCCCTTGTGAGGTTAGCTTCTTAGGAGCACACGGCCTGGTGCCTGATGCATAACAGCTACTCAGTAAATATTTCCAGAGAGCAGAACAATAAATATTTCTTCCCTTACTCTGCTCCAGTTGCACAAGGCAGTAGTGTTATAGGGAAGGGAGTGTGGCTGCTACAGAGAGGCTGCTTTGCAAAAGACCCAACAGTTCCACTCCTGGATACAGAGCCCAGTAGCAGGCCCTCTGTGCTGCTTCCTGAATGTAGCACCCTTGGAGAGAAGTGGGCACGGTGTGGGAGGTCATAGAGCCGGGCACCCTGCACAGCGTTCCAGCCCGACCTGCAGCAGGAGCGCCAGCAACATGGACCAGGCCTCCCTCCAGTCAGCTTCGCTTCAAGGAGGAGAACTTGAGGCAACAAAAAGCCTCTGGGTAATTTCCAAGTCAAAGTTTAATTTCATTTGCACCTTTGGAAATAGTGTAAAACATAGGGATGATAATGCTCTGATTTCACCTGGCACACTTAAAATGTAAAAATGAACGCCTTTATTGATTTTCTTCACCACAAAATAAGCCATAAAACACAAATAAGTCAACCTCTCCAAGTAGAGCTCATTTGCAGCGGGGGAGCGCGCAGGCTGACAGAGCTCATCAATTACAGACTCTGAGTGATTTCTGAGCTTAAGTAGAACTTTATGGGCCAGGCTGTGACTCCACAATTGCCTTCTTCTATCATGATTCCTCTCCTGGGCCCCAGTGAAGCTGTGGGAAGTCCTTGGTAGTGGCCACACCGGTGGTCCTGGCACTCTGGTGGAAACTTGTGCTCCACATCTGAGCACGGAGGGAGAGGTAAGAGCCCAGGTTGTCAAGGTCCTCCTCGCACAGAGCCGAGGGCAGCTGGGGAAACAGCCATGCCCTCCGGAGCCCAGACCTGATTATTGCCTGTCTGTGCAGCATTAATTCCTTCTTCTACTCCAGGCCCCCCAGTCTCACCCAATTACACAGTTCCCTCATGTTGTATCAGTCAGGGGTTCAATCCGAGAAGCAAAGGCACTAGAGGTGACATTGAATAAGGGATTTGTCATAGGACTAGGCCTTCCCCAGGGTGGGTGCAGGCTGGGTAGGGTGCTGCTTCTGCATCCAGCTCTGAGCCTGAGGTCACCCATCTACGGGTCAGCCAGGCATAGCAGTGGAGGAAAACAAGAAACTGGGTGTGGACGAGGTCAAGGGCAACTGGAACCAGGCAATACACCCAGGGATGCATGCTTGCCTCCATCACCTCCCGCCTCTATGCTGTGGGTGACCTGGGGGAGAACCCAGCTCTTTGGCCATGGTGCTACATCTGCACCTGGCCCAGGTCTTGGAGAAGTGAAGGAAGACATCTAAGGGAACCAGAGACATGTAGGTCTGGGTGCTGCCCTGTGCCTGCCAGGCGAGCCCCCAGGTTGATGAAAGCATGTGTGAGCTGCCACAGGGCTGCACACCTGCCCTTGTCTTCAGAGCATAAAAATATGGTTGTAAAACATCCCTTGAGCCAACCTAAGTAGAAACCCTACAGGGAATGGAATCCGAGGAATGTGGTTCCCACCCAGCCACAAGCCCCAGGCCTGCCTTGTGCCTTTTCACCTCCACGCCTTCTTTTATGCCTGGAATGTGCACCTATCCTCATTAAAGAGGTAGGAATTGAGGAAAAGTCCTCCACCAGTCCATATTCTCTGCAGCATGAGATTCACTCTGACTGGCCACGTGTTCCCTCTGCTGGGCAACATGGTCCAGGGTTTTGCTTCTGAACCACAGCCCTGCTCTTCCCCAGCTCCCTGTAGCCACCTGGCAGGAAAACAGAGGTACCCTACAAACCTAGAGATTAACGTGGTCAGGGCCCAAATGGGAGGAGAAACCACCCTGAGTTCTTAAACTCCTGCAACTCGGGAGGCAAGACAATTAGAGACTGGCAGAGAAGGAAACTGCCTTCTCTGCTAGGCTGAAGGAACAGAGGAAGGAGGCCATGTTGTTGGGGCCTGGGAGATCACCCTCGGGTGCTGGAGCCACCGATAGGGCTCAGCCAGGGCTGCAGCACTGGGCACTGCCTGGCACAAGCAGATGGCTGAAACACCCTGGCATCTCCCTTTCTCTGGGTCTATGACCTCCAGTGCCCCACAGCCCACAGTGGCCACCTATCCCCAATACAGAGCTGATCAGGAGAAAGCTGAAGAATCGATCTGAGGGCAAACAGAGGGGGCTTCCCAGGGCTCCCTTCTGGGAGCCAAATGCAGCACTAACTGGGCCCAGAAGGAGGCGCCATGCCCCTGCTCTCAAGAAGCTCTCATGGTGCGCCCACCCATGCGGATGGGAGAGGAGAAGGAGTTTTTGCAGAGAGGAGGACATAGGGCTGGGGGTAGTAGGGGTGAGTTCCCATCTCAGCCTGGGAAAAGCAGGAGCAGGGCGTCCCTGAGCCCAGGCCTTGAGATGAGTCTGACAGAAACCCTGAAACATCTCCAGTGTCAGGAAAGGTGACCTGTGGACGCACACCCATCACTCAGTCATTCAACTGCCATTATCTTGGGCACCTACTATGTGCCCAGCATTGTGGTGCTCATAATCATCTCTCCTAGGCACACTTGGCTGCCCTCATTCTGTCAAGATTTCCCAAGACTACCCTCAGACCCAGTAATTTACTAAAAGGACCCAAGGACTCAGAAAAAGCTGTTAGCCTCATGCTTACAGTTTATCCCAGCAAAAGGATATGGATTGAAATCCACAGAGGGCAAAGGAAAAGACCAGGAGAGCCAGGCACAAGCATCCAGGTCCCCGAGTCACGTGGGGACAAGTTTCAATATCCCGGCAACACTGTGCGACAACCCGTGTGAAATGCTCCCAGCTGGGGAAGCTCACTGAGCCTTGGAGGCCAGAGTTTTACTGGGGGTCAGTCAGATAGGCATGAGGTGTGGCCCCTGTGTACCTGACAGTAGCAATGCAGACTCCAGCCCCACAAAGGGCTGACTGAAACCGCGTGGCCCAAGGCCTCAGGAAAACAAAAGCAGGCATTTGTCTTAGTCACACTGCTGGCACAAACCATCTGATAAAACTCACTGCTAGCCCAAGGTGCCAGGCACACAAAGGCTCTCTAATCAGGCAAGACTGAGAGGCTATCTCCTGGGAGCCAATCAAGGGGGACAATCCTGAGCACACCCTTCCCTGGAATGAGCAGCGTTCGCCAGCCCATGCCTACTGAGTAAAGCCCTCACTGAATACTTGAGACGACCCATTTCGATCCAGTTTTCCCCTGAGCTCTAGTCTTTGCCACATTTTCCTGTGTTGCTCTGCCTCTGCCCTCCTCCTGGACTTGGGGTTTCCATGTAGGGTTTCTCACCATCAGAATCATTGAATTATGAATCTTGAGGTCTGCTGTGCAATGACCCCCTGTTCAGAAACATTGGCTTAGGATTGGGGTCTTTGACTTTATTAAGTCAGTATCGAGTGAGCACTCACAGTGTGCGAAGAATTGTAAGCACATTTGTTCCAGTAGTGAATACAGTGGACCCCAGGCTTACCCTAGTAGAGAGTATGGTCTGCTGGAGTGGGACGGGGGAGAGTAGCATGTGATGATGGAGGCAGAGACTGGAGTGATATGTCTACAAGCTGAGGAATGCCAAAGATTGTCAGCAACACAGAAGCTGGAAGGGGCAAGGAAGGGTCCTCCCCTGAAGCCTTCAAGAAACGAATGTCCTGTCAACACCTTGGACTTCTAGCCTCTAGAACTATGAAAGAATAAATTTCTGTTGTTTTAAACTACCAAGTCTGTGGTGCTTTAAGGCAGCCCTAGAAATGAACACAGCATGGAATGAAAAGAAAGACAAAGCACTGGGGCACTGCAGGAGGAATGCCTGTGATCTAGCTCAAGAGGCTAAAAATAGGGTCCAGAGGAAGGAAAACCTTCAGAAGGAAGCTTTACACCGTGGAGGTTGTAAGGAAAAGTGCATGCACAGGGGAGAGAATTCTAGGCTTAGGAAAGAGCACATGTAGCAACTTGGAGGTAAGAGAGAGCATGGCTCACTGGAGAAATGAGGAAATGAGGGAGAACAGAGTCATGGCCTGTGAAACAAGCCGGGAGAAAGATGAGGTTGTGGGACTGGAGCCTCATGGGGGCATCACTGAGCTGCGAGCGCAATTCCATGTAAGTGGCCTGGCTGGGTGCACCTGCATGGCTAGCTCACATATTGGGCCTCAGAAATAATTCTTTTGATAGATTTGCTATCATTATCTCCAGTTCACATTTCACCTCCAGATCATGGGAAGACATGACCATAAATAAAGGGGTTGGGAGGTCAGCATCTTTTACAAGAAAATGCCATGACTTTGGTACATGTTTACAACACTGGTGCCTTGCTGGAAATCTAATGCCACCACAGCTGTGATCAATTTTCTTTCCAGTGGACTGCATTGTAGTTTTCCAGGCTGGCACTGAAACCCTCAAAACATCACCGAGGCTGGTGCCATATCTTCCATCCAGATAGGAAGGGTTAGTAACAGGTGTGAAAGCTTCGCTGTCTCCACTTGAACAACAGAGACATTGTTCCATCGTTCTCCACTGTTGCAATCAAGGAAACCTGTCGGTGCCATCCAGGAACATTGCTTGCTTTTCATTTCCCACGGCTTGTCGTCAATTTAGATTTGGGTTTGGGCTTATGATTTGCTAATCCTGTCCTGACACTGCTTTTAAATTTTTTCTTAGACAAAGCATGTTATGGCTGGTCATGTTATATATGTGTTAATTTCACAAACATTTTACCAAACACCTCTCTGCCTGGCCCTGTAAAAGGTGGTGGGGACACCAAGAAGAATGTTATGTGACTCCTGTGCCCAGGAAGCTCAGAGTTCATAGAGGAGAATGATAAGAGAATGAATCTTATTATTAAGTGAGTTAAGTTTATAAGGTAGCAATTAAGATGTGTTCAGGGTATTCTGTGAGCAAAGAGAAGGTGTAGATCAATTGTCAAAAGTAAATGAACTCCCTCCCACTTATTTGAAAGTGTAATTTTAATGGGACATACTTAGAAGATCACAGGGCTTGAGTTTCTAATTATGTACTGTCTGTTCTACAGAATGTCTTTCTTTAAGAAAATTAGCTCATACATGATTCGTGGATAAGATAATGACATCAGTTTAAAGTGGAGTTGCTTTGGTTTGTATGTGATTTTTCCAAGCACTTTATTTTTTTGTTTGTTTGTTAGCTTTTTTTTTTATTGAGATGGAGTCTCACTCTGTCTCCCAGGCTGGAGTGCAATGGCGCAATCTCGGCTCACTGCACCCTCCGCCTCCCGGGTTCAAACGATTCTCCTACCTCAGCCTCTTGAGTAGCTGGGATTACAGGCACAAGCCCATGCCTGACTAATTTGTTGTATTTTTAGTAGAGACGGGATTTTACCACGTTGGTCAGGCTGGTCTCGAACTCCTGACCTCAGGTGATCTGCCGAACTTGGCCTCCCAGAGTGCTGGGATTACAGGCATGAGCCACTGTGCCAAGCCGCAAGCACTTTGTTGTTTTGTGCCACCAAGTAATAGTGGCCGGGCACTTAAGAAATGTGGATGCTGCTAGTTGTGGGGGAATGCACGCTCCACAGGTGGATGTTCTGCCCACTCCTCCTGGCTAAGTTTGGCCACATGCTTTGTCACTGGCATACTTATAGTGCTCTAAGAAACTAACACCAAAGAATGTGTGGGGTCTCCCATCTCTGGTCTCTGTGTGTTTTGCAAGCCAGCAACTGCATTGGCACCAGCATCTTCTGATCACGAGGTTTCCCTTCCGCCTTTGACTCCATGTCTCCAGCCTTGGCCTATCCTTATTCCTGCTGCTATCATACTACCTTCATGCATTCTTCTAAAGTAAAACCTTATTGATTGCAGTTCCTTTATTCCTAGGAAGTTAACATGTCTTTAAAATGCGCTTAGTATTTTCATTAGGATTGCCGTCATCTTTTGTAGGGTCTGGTTACAAAATAGCATAGGTTTTCAGTGGTCTGATCCAATACATTTTCACCTTGCATGTGTGATTTTGCAGAATATGAGGTTTTGAAGAATTACACTGTGTGATGTAGAAAACTATTGCTATTTAACACTCTTGTGCATAGTGTAGTGCAACGTGGTGTTTAGAAGCAGTGACACTGGCATCAGGGAGGCCTGACTTTGAGTTCTATACTCTTCCTTGACTCCGCCCTTCCCCATTGGCTCATGAAATGCTCCTACCAGGTGCCGGGCTTCCAGCTGCAGAGGTTTCCCACCCACAGCCCCTTTATTCTACTCCCACCTTGCCTGGATTTCCCTAGTCCTTTGTGGCCTCAGAAGGGAAACCATATTTCTCCCTGTTCCCATTCTGTGCTCCCCAGAGATGCTGCTTGTCATTTGCTTCCTCGGCCACTCTGACTTCAACCCAGAAGACGGTGGTGGCATGAACACCTTCCAGGCCAGGCCTGTGGGATACAAGACTCTGGCTGAAGTGCTCACTGTCCTCCAGAAGCTGGATGGCTGTGTGGGTTGCATTTCCCTTCCCAGTCATAAAAACTGAAGCTTGCATACGCTTAGCAAACAAAAGTGATTCGGTAAAGAGAATTAGTGTTGGGAGGCTGGAAGAAGTAGCAGGGAGTGCTGCAGCCACCCAGAGGTTGATAACTGGAGGAAGCAGCTGTCATGCCCAGGGATGGGGGAATAAAAGGAAAGAGATTGGATTACAGAGTCTAGAGAAAGGATGCTTCATGCTAGGCTCGGCATCTAAGGAAGGGCATGGCACTGGAATTGCTGGTGCTGACCAGAGGCTGGTCCTAGAATTAGATATGAGACCAATTAGTCCTAATTGACACCTCCATGCTGAAGTCACCTGGGGAGACGTGGTCATGACTGGTGACTTGTCCCTCATTCCAGGTCTTGGAATCCAAGAAGGAGCAAGTGAATGGTGCCATGCTGCCGGAGGGCAGGGGCAGGGGCCTTGTAGGGAGGAGCTCTGCCCATCACTAGGGTGCAGAAACATTTAGCACCTCAGTAAAATCAGCCTCTGGGCAACATTGATCAAATCACTTATATGATTTGATCATATATCATATAACCTATCATATCAACCTTCTATGGCAGGTTGAACCCTATTACCTGGGCATGGTAGGAAAAATGTAGTCCTTAAAATAAGAGTAACTTCTCTGAAGAAGTGGAATGGGTTTTCAATTATAGAATGGATTCCTCTGTGCCTTGGTTTCTGGGAAGCTCAGAGCTAAATTTAGTGTGTAATTCCTCAACTTGTCATCTTTTGAGCTGCTATAGTTGTACACCCCTTCATCTTCCTTGATTCTGATATGTGTTTGGTTTTCATTTTTAGTTGCTCTGCATTTGTGCCTATGTAACTGCCTTAAATCTGGGAATTAGATTCTATATAAATTAGAAGCAAATAAGGAAAATAAATTGAGTTCTAATTTGAATTCAAAATATCTTAGAGACATGTTTGAAAATAAAAACTAGAAAACAACAAAAGATCAGTTCTCTTTACTGGCTATACATAGAAGCAATTGATTCTGCAAACCTTCCACTATAGCCATGCCAAACTATTGGCTATTTCCCAAACATGAATCTTCTCCCTTGGAATGCACACTATTCCCTATTCATCCCATCAAACTAACAATTTCTATTTATATTTTAAGACTGAGCTCAAATGTCACCTCATGCAAGAAGCTCTTCTTGACCAGAGGCTAGGCTAGGTTTTCTGTGTTCTTTGTGGAAACACTTATCACTTTATATTGCAATCATTTCTTAACTCATATGTTTTTCTCATTTACTATAAACTTTTGGAGGAATTATTTGGTCCATCTCTGTATCACTGGTATCTACAACATTGCAGACATTATTATAAATATTATTGGAGGAATTAATTAAATAGCAAACAAATTACCTTGAATAATGTTTCTCAAACTTTTCAAATGATAAATCAATTAATAATATTGAACATCCATGCAAATTACCAATTTTAGATATGTAGTTTAAACATATCTTAAGAATAAAATTAAAACTTTTAAAATTTAAGTGTGGTAATATTTACATATGTGACAGGTATGATATTGATGGAAATTCAACATTGTACCAAATTGTGCATACATGGCTTGATAATGGAGGCATTAATTTAGTGGTTTTACATCCAGCATTTAGCAATTTGATATAACAGGCATTTTTGAATTTTGAACTTCCTCCAAATAAATGATATATAATCCTTTTAAATAACTTATGGAACTTTTTTAAAAAAATTGACCACGTACTAATTTATAAGGCAAGTCTCAAAAATATTTGAAAGCTTTTCTGTGGCGATTGATTGAAGTTTAGTCCAGTACTTCCCCCTGCCTCTATCTTCTGCTGCTCCTCCTGGTAAAGAGGGAAACTCGGTTTCACCCCCGTTTGGACCTGAGCTAGTGTTGCACCTTATATGGATGTCTTTCCACATGCTATTGTGCTTGCTGCTATCACCAGGAGGCCATGCCCCACCTCACCTGCTGGGGGATAATATCCATGTGGACTTGAGCTGAGTTAGGCGAGTCATCCTGATGAAGGCTATTCTAAATAAAGTGACAACCAGACAACCTCCAGAAATTTGAGAAAGCCCACTAGAGACCAACAAAGCTTCTCAGCTAACCTGCAGATCCATGAGCTAAATAAAAGCATATTATTATAAGCCACCGAGTTTTGGAGAGGTTTATTGTAAGGCATTATTCTGACATAAATAACTCTTAGGCATATTAAGTATTCCCTCAGATCAAAGTGAAAATAAGTCAGAAGTGAGTAATGAAAGTAACTTTAAAAACCTATACATCATGCCTGTAATCCCAGCACTTTGGGAGGCCAAGGCGGGCAGATCAGCTGAGGTCAGGAGTTCAAGACCAGCCTGACCAACATGGTGAAACCCCATCTCTACTAAAAATACAAAATTAGCTGGGTGTGGTGGCGGGCACCTGTAATCCCAGCTACTCGGGAAGCTGAGGCAGGAGAATCACTTGAACCCAGGAGGTGGAGTTTGCGGTGAGTTGAGATAGCACTATTGCACTGCAGCCTGAGCAACAAGAGCGAAACTCCATCTCAAAAAAAAAAAAACCTATATGTAGGAAATTAAGAAACATCCTTTTAAATAATTTATGAGTCAAATGGAAATTATAATGAAAATTAGAAAACTTTTAGACATAAGAGATATAAAATATGTATCAAATCATATCATTTGTAGGATATTGTTAAAAAAAGTTATTTTAGCCTTAAATTTGCATAGTATAAAAAGAAGAAAAAGTAACAGTAAAGTCTCTAATTTAAAACTTGGAAAAGTAATAAAGGGGAGATGCAATGAAGATAGAAGGAAGGAAATATAAATACTAGAGCTTAGATTAAATATATAAAAAGAAAACATACAACAGAGAGAAACTACAAAGTTGAAAGTGTGTTCTTGGAAAACTAACAAAGATTCTCTGCTTGACCAAACTTCACTTAGCCTTCTAAACCTTCTCCTAGGCCCATCTGTGTACTTCCTTGTAAAAGCCAATTTTAGCAAAAGAACCCTGCTAAGTCAGTTTAACAAGAACCCCACTTCCTCAATACCCGATCATCCTCCACCATCCCCTAGGTGATGTCCAATCACCCTTGCCTGTCTTCAGTAAGAATGCTGCTGGGTCTGTTTAGCCAGAATCCTCTTTAACCCTCATGTTTCTTCTTAGTAATTTTCCACCCGTCGACTTCCACTCTATTCCTTGGCTATAAATTCCTAATAGCCCATGCCATATTTTGTAGTTGAGCACAATCTGTGTCCCATTGCAAAATTCCACTGCAGCAGTTCCCATACATATCGCGATAATTCTGAATAAAGCCTTCCTTACCATTCTTTAACAAGTATCATTGAATAATTTTTTTCTTTAACAAAACAGCTAGAAAAATTGCTGAACCTCTAGTAAGTCTGATCGAAGAAAAGAAGAGAAAAGGAACACATAAATGATGTTAGCAATCAAAAAGAGGATATAAGGTTAAACAACAGATATACAAAAAAGCGATCATGAATAACTTCATGTCAATATATCTAAGGTTTCACTTAGAAGACAATTGACAAAGTTTTAAAATATGTTACTTTACTAATATTTTAATAATTATTACAGGAATATAATTTAAATATTGACATAAGTGAGCAAAAACTAAAAATATTTATTTATAACTAGTAATGACACCAATTTTACTATTGAAAATATATCCAAAATAGCTAAATAAGACATTATTGAATAAAAACCAATGTGTAAAAAAATATATCATGTCCAAGTTAGAATTATTCCAAAATGCAGTTTTAGTTTTCACTGACGAGTCAGTTGATATAATCTATTACATTAATTATTAGTTTGAAGGAAATCTCATTATATAATCAACTCAATAGTTTGCAAAAAAAATGGTAAAATTAAGCATTCATTCACTGTAAAAATTCTTTGCAAAAAGAAGAAAAATTTCTGATCTGATAAAAGGTATCTATTACATATGTACAGATTAGGAAGCAACAATTAAAAAAATTGCTCAATTGAAAAATGAGCAAAATATATGAACAGACATCTCAACAAAGAATATATTTTGATGACAATTACACCTATAAAAAATTGCTCAATATTGGCTGGGCACGGTGGCTCATGCCTGTAACCCCAGCACTTTTGGAACCTGAGGTGTGTGGATCACCTGAGGTCAGGAGTTTGAGACCAGCCTGACCAACATGTTGAACTCCCGCCTCTACTAAAAATACAAAAATTAGCCGGGTGTGGTGGCAGGCTCCTGTAATCCCAGCTACTCGGGAGGCTGAGGCAGGAGAATTGCTTGAACCCTAAAGGTGGAGGTTGCAGTGGGCCGTGATTGCACCACTGCACTCCAGCCTGGGTGACAAGAGTGAGACTGTCTCAAACAAACAAAAGAAAATTGCTCAATATTATTTGTAATTAGAGAATTGCAAATTAAAACAACAATGAAATACTACTATCCATGTATTAGAATGGCTAAAGCACAAATAAGCCAAAAATACTAATTGTTTGCAAGGATGGCCAGTAACAGGAATCCTCACTCATTGCTGGTGGAAATATAAAATGGTACAGCAACCTTGGAAAATAGTTTTACACTTTCTTACAAAGCTAAACGTGGTCTTACTACAGGATACAGAGATTATATTCCTAGACATTAACCAAATTTGTTTTTTTTAATGCTTATGTTCACAAAAAGCCTACAGGAAAGGTTTATAAGTGCTTTTTTCATAATCAAAAACTGGAAGCAACCAAGAAGTCCTTCAATAGGTAAATGAAGGTAGATGTACCTATTGAAGGAGCAAACAAAGTGTGGTACATTTGTACAATAGAATATTATTCAAAAATAAAAAAGGAATGGGCTATCAGAGTATATAAAGAGAGATTAATTTTAAATGCATATCGCTAAATTAAAACAAAACAGTCTTAAAAGACTACATACTGTATGATTACATGTATGCAACATTCAGGTAAAAGCAAATTAGACAGGAAACAGATCAGTTGTTTCTAGGTTCTTGTATGAGGGTTGGTGAGGTTTGAATAGGTGAAGCACAAGAGGTTTTCTTGAAAGGTGAAACTATTCTGTATGATATTGTAATAAGTACATGTGACTCTACATTTGTCAAAACTCACAGAATTTTATAGCACAAGTGAATATGCAAATTTAAGAAATAGTTTAGGAGGCTGGGGGAATCCTGATGGAATGCAGAATGTGATGAAACACTGCAACTGTATTACAAGTGGATGAAACAGTCTCACTGCATGGCTGCCAGGGATAAGTGCTGACCTAGCTAACTTTAGAAATAAGTAGCATCTCTAAGACTAAAGGCAATATAAACTGTACATGAACCCTCTACTGTAGTCGATGAAGTTTTTTCTCATGTGGATATAAGTTCACCATTCGGATACCTCTCTAACTGGAATTAAATAATTAAGTAAATGGTTGCCAGATGGTAAAAGTCAGCTTTCTCCCTATTGGAGTGTGAGGTTACATAAGCAAAGAAGAATATAATTATTAGGATAGTAGAATAATTCATGTGGTAATGTTTAAATGTTGGAGAAATCGGTATGAAAGCATGCTTAGCTTAATGTGGATACAGATGGTATATGTAGCAATATTTACAGATAATTGTACATATGAACTGATATACACCCATATATTTCTTTGCTCTGTCCGCTGAGAGGGCCTAGAAAGAATGACACAACTTAAAAGCAGCAATGAGCACACCTAGGGCCCAGAATTTGTTTTGTTTTGTTTCCTTTTTTTTTTTTTGAGACGGAGTTTCGCTCTTGTTACCCAGGCTGGAGTACGGTGGCACGATCTCAGCTCACAGCGACCTCCGCCTCCCGGCTTCAAGCCATTTTCCTGCCTCAGCCTCCGGAGTAGCTGGGATTACAGGCATGCGCCATCACACCCGGCTAATTTTGTATTTTTAGTAGAGACGGGGTTTCTTCATGTTGGTCAGGCTGGTCTTGAACTCCGGACCTCAGGTGATCCACCCGCCTCGGCCTCCCAAAGTGTTCGGATTACAGGCATGAGCCACCGCGCCCAGCCCCAGAATTTGTTTCCTAATACCATTCTCCAATTTAAAAAAGTACCTGGAAGAAATGACTGATTTGATAACTGGAGCAGGGAATGTTCAAGATGAGCCTGAAGCTTCTTGTAGTGCCAGAGAGTAAGGAAGTGCTAAACACAAGCACACACACATGTATGTGAGCACATGCATGTACACACACAATGATGGGCTTGTGCCAAGGGGATACCAGGAGCCAACAAAATTCAAGCCAGGAGCTTCAATAATTTGAGCAATAAATAAATAAATTAGAAGTGAATTGTAGACTAAACTATAAAATAAATATTCATGAGTCCATATCAGTAAATAATGATACTGATATAAATAAATAGATAAGAAATAGATAAGGAGTAATTTTTAAATCTCTTTTGCAGAAAAACTCTAATCCATTTTTGTAAATACTTGTATCTCAAGGAGGTAAAGCATAACTCCCTGGTTCTTCTGTGTGGGTTTTTCACAGAGACTTCTTTGCAGTGAGTACAATACAGAAAGAGGGTGGGGGAAGCGTGACTTTACAGTGGAGAAACCCACAAACACCACCTCAGCCAGTGATCAAGGTTAACATCAAAGTGTTGTTATGTGGATAAACAGGTACTCTTGATGTGAGGTGAGAATGGTACTTTACCACTGTGATTTTCCTTCCAAAAACCCATGTCCACAATTTCATCATGAGAAAAATATCAGAAAAATCCCAATTGGAAGGAAATTCTACAAAACACCTGACTGGTGTTCCTCAAAACTGTTCAGGTAATGAAAAACAAGGACTGAGAAACTGTGGAAAAGAAACCATACCAATACAAGATGCTAACAATAGAGGAAACTGGGGTTGAGACATAAGGGAACTGTTTGTACTATCTTCCCAACTTCTCTGTACGTCTGAAGCTATTCTAAAACCAAAAGCATATTTAAGGCATGTACAGCAAATGTCTTACGTACAAAGTGTGAAAGTTGTTCTTTATAATAGGGAAGTAAACTTTCACAATCACGGTGTTTTATTTTTGAAAACTACACTAAACCTCCTAGTCTGTTGAGTAATGTCAGAATAAATATAAAAGGTTTTAAGGTTATAAAAGTGACAAAATTGCCATTATGTGCCTATGTTATGATTTTCCATATTGAATATCCCCAAAATATTCTAGGAATAATTATTATAATAAAGTAATTTTAACAAAACTGCCAGATATAAAATCAATATCCAAAAATCAATTGTATTTCCTTTATATAAGCAAAACCAAGTAGCATATTCATGTATGTATATGTAATTATTGGAATAATTATATATATTATATAGGAATAATTTATATATAAATTATATATAAATATCTAATTATAATAGGATCCAAAATTATAAGCACAAAAAGCTGATGAAACTATGACTTAATAGATTTTAAAGATGAAAAGCATTTCTTGATATAAAGTGCCATTGCATAATGAAAAGAATTTCAATTCACCAGAAATATTTAATCAGGAAAACAACATAACAAAAGAAGTATACCATGTTATGGAGAAAATTATACCCATATGTTGAAGGATATTAATCGAGGCTGGAGTAAGTAGAAATTCATAGTGTGCCAAAGGTAAGAAAACTCGAATTCAAAGACCCTGTGCTTGTGATTAGTTGCACAGCAATAGTAACTCATGCAGCTCCCCACAGACTGCTGGGACTCAGCTCCCGCGACAGTTGGCTGGGGTTCCCTGTTTCTTGCCATGTGGACCTTCTCAATATGGCAGTTTGCTTTATTAAAGATAGCAAAGGAGAAAATCTCTAGCAAGATGGAAGTCACTCTCCTATGAAACCTGGTCACAGAAGTGACATCTCTCCACCTTTCCACACTGTATTGGTTAGAAGCAAGTCACAGGTTTCACACACATTTGTGGGGAGAGGATTGCACAATGCACGGGGGTGAGGACCATTGCCAGCCATCTCCAAAGAAGCTGTGAACCACATGCCTTACATGCTTTGTCTCACACACACACATAATTTTTATCAGTTCAACATTAAGTAAAAAGTATTCTTAAAATTTACTTTGAGAAATTGCCACACTGCCTTCCACAATGGTTGAACTATACTGGATAAAGAAAATGTGGACATATACACCATGGAATACTATGCAGCCATGAAAAAGAATGAGTTCATGTCCTTTGCAGGAACATGGATGAAGCTGGAAACCATCATCCTCAGCAAACTAACACAGGAACAGAAAACCAAACACCGCATGTTCTCACTTGTAAGTGGGAATTGAACAGTGAGAACACATGGACACAGGGAACATCACACACCGGGGCCTGTTGTGGGGTCAGGGGAAAGGGGAGGGAAAGCATTAGGACAAAAACCTAATGCATGTGGGGCTCAAAACCTAGATGACGGGTTGATAGGTGCAGCAAACTACCATGGCACATGTATACCTATGTAACAAACCTGCACTTTCAGCACATGTATCCCAGAACTTAAAGTAAAATTAAAAAAAAAAAAAAGTCAAAAAAAATTACTTTGAGAGCTTCATCAGACACTATATATAGAAGTCTTGGAGGTCAAAATAGAGTGGCATATTAATTCTTAGTCTCCCTGTAAGATTACATTAATCTGTGGACTGCATTTCCTTGTGATCTGCTGCAGGAATTAGATTTGCTTTTTAATATTTCACATCAGGAGACATACTCGATTTCTTTATCAGAAGAGTAAAGCAAGCATTAAATGCTGAGAATGAGCCAAATGCAGTGATTGAGCAATTTGGACCATATTTTAGTCTTCCTACAAAAACCTGATTATCCTGAGCTTTCAACTTCAGCTCTAAAAGTGATAGTTTGAGGCTTTACAAGTTACTCAGTCTACTGATGTGGTATAGCACTTGAATAAGTCTTTCAAAATCATATAAATGATTTTCTGACATTTTCAGTATCAGGAGGAGATACCTTTTTATTTCAGTCCTCATTCTAAAGAGTCGTATAGACAGCTTTCTGTCAGACAGCCAGGGCACTTTTATGGGGGAGAGCAGAATTTTATACTCACTGCCCATTTCTTGGAAGAGGGTACTGAATAAAAACACACACATTTTGTGGCTGCAGTTTGATGTGTTCTCAAATTTAACTATTTACTAAATCAAAAGCAGAATACATGATGTTGACTTCTAGATATTGTTAGATTACAAGCCAGGTTTCTGTCACAGAAGACTCCATGATAGGGTTGCTTAAACGACGTGGAAGTTCACTTTGTAGGAAGGAACAGTTGGGACCGCTAATCCCGGTGACTGTGATGGATCAATAGTGCTGGATGGCAGGCCCCTTGCACCTGGATCTCTGCCATGACTGCACATGCACTCATTCCCAAAGCCCATCACGGCTTAGTTCCTCATCCACATTGCAGCTAGAGGAGAGGGAAGGGGAGGAAGGAGGGGACTCTAATGCACACATTTTGGGCAGAGCTCTGTTACATGGCCATGCCAGGCTGCAAGGGAGGATGAGGCATGCAGCTTTTAGCTGGGAAACCATGGACTCAGAGAAACCAAGGCTTCTGTTTTGTACATTGAGATTAGTAGATCTGTTCAACGCTCAAATATCCGTAAGTACCCTTGTTCCAGTCAGATACCATACTCATCCCCTCTCCAAAAGACATAAGGTAAAGCCCTATTCAGCTATTGCAGGGATCACAGTTTGCAAAAATTACCCTCATTTGCCACCTCTGCAGTGGAGCGTGTCCCATGGACTGTCCATCTGGCCACTCCATGTTTTGCCTTCAGGTGAATTCTTGTGTTCATTGTCTTTCATGATTCCTGGCTTTGCCCTCAAGAAGCTGTTCTCTGTCTCTGGTTCTCCATGGCTTGGCATGCAATGGGCATCAGAAACAAGGCCCTTTTTTGAGGACTGCTTCCCTTTCCTTTCATAGCCAATTCCTAGAGGTGATTGTCAGAGGCTTGGAGACCCAAGACCAGACTTCATTAAACATTGCTTCCGTGTCCAGTCTGCTTGCATCTTCAGCCAAAGGGAGTTCCTCCAGGTAGACTTTTCACTCCTGAAACTTCTGGTCTTTGTTTGATGGCCTCTGTGCTCTGCCCTCTCTCCCTCTCAGCTCATGGTGTCTGTCTTAAGGCCATCTGAAACACTAGGCATGGGTGGGAATTAGCTCTCCTTATCTGATTGATGCCACCATGACAACCCCAATGTCCAATTGAAGGTTCTTAACTGGAATTGCTACATAATGGCTTGAAGCCACAATTCAACCACAGATAATGCTGTTCTTATGAGAGATTTCTTCCAAAGCCCACTTTTGTGTTCCCCGCAGGCTTTGCCGTGAGCTGCAGGAGCACCAAGCATGTGCTGGAGTTTTGAGTTCTCTCTGCAGGCCCCTGAGCACGCAGTCTCCCTTCCCAGCTTTGCCCAGACAGTTTTACCAGTGATTTCCTAGGACATAAGGAAGGCCACCAGATAAAGGACATTATGTAGGGCTTGGAGTTAGATAGCCTGGGACTGAATCCTATCTCAGCTTCTTCCTTTCCTGTGCTTCTGTCACAAATTACCACAAACTTGGGGACTTAGGTACAACACACATTTATTATCTTAATGTCATGAAGGCCAGGAGCCCAGAATAAGTCTGGCAGGGTTAAGACCTGCTTTCTGGAGGCTCTAGAACAGAACCACTTTCTTGTATTTTCCAGTTTCTAGAGGTTGCCTGCCTTCCACTAAGGGATTGCTACACGTATTTGGCTTTATTTTAGCAGCGTCCCACTCATGGTAATATATTTTTACTTATCAGGGTACAGACAGCCTGGTAGAAGTCTCAAAAAGCAATGACTTAAACAAAATACAAATGCAACAGGCAGACCAGGTAGGTAAGGACCAGTACGATGGGTTCACACCATCCATGACCTATTATTCTGCTTCCGTCTTGCAGTCTGTGTCTCTAGTGCATGGTCCTGTCCACATGGTAAGAGGGTTCAGCACCACATTCACACCCCAAAGAAAGGAAGGGAGAGCAAGACCATTCCCTTCAAAGACATAAACCAGAAGTCTCACTCATCCCTTCTGGGCATTTATAGTTTAAAAGGAACTGAGAACTGCATATTTTAACTGTCCATATAAAATTTGGAAGGCAATACTAAAGAAAGAAGAGAAGCATTAGCCAACTATGGATGGCTGAGTGGAATAGCAGTGGGTTGCCGTTCAGGTGTGTCTTCCACATCCCTCCCTGTGCATGCTTACCTGGCAGTGTAGATAATAACCCTGGGGGAGTCACAGCAATGGTGGACTAAGATAGGAACCAGTCCTTTGACTAAGGACTATCATAAAAGCAAACAAAATAAAAGCTACTTAAAGGCATTAGAGGCCAAGCGTGGTGGCTCTCATGCCTGTAATCCCAGCACTTTTGGAGGCTGAGGCGGGTAGATTACCTGAAGTCAGGAGTTTGAGACCAGCCTGGCCGAGATGGTGAAACCCCGTCTCTACTAAAAATACAAAAATTAGCTGGGCGTGGTGGCGGGCACCTATAATCCCAGCTACTAGGAAGGCTGAGGCAGGAGAATTGCTTGAACCCAGGAGGCGAAGGTTGCAGTGGGCCAAGATCACGCCACTGCACTCCAACCTGGGCGACAGAGCGAGACTTTATCTCAAAAAATAAAATAAAATAAATAAATAAATAAATAAATAAAGGTATTGGAGAGATGAAAATAGTGAAGAACTACCATCCAGTACTCTAGGAAAAGACAGAGGCCCAGAAAAGTAAGTACAGGATTTGGGGCTGTTTTTTCACTAAGGTTGTTTGTCGATTTCAAAATGCTTGGTCATAAACATTTTTTGTAGAGTCAGCCAACGTGTTCCATGATAATCCCCACTCAATTTGGGTTGAAACACCAAGAGAACGGTCCCTGGCAGTGAAGACAAACTAAAACTATGCTTGGAATGCAGCTTCCTTCAAAATAATCTCATACCCTGAAATTGGGTGGAAGTGACCCCATATTACCTGGAAAATGAAAGATGCAGATACCTTCAGGAAGACTATAACACCATCCTAAGCCTCCAATTATTCTCACAAATGAACTAACAAAGTATATGTCACATAACTAAAAATAAGCAAGCACATGGGGAGACAATGAATGAATCAGATAGAAATGTTAAATTATAGTTTATTTGTTAAAAAAATGAAAATACCAGCAGTTGAAAATTTAAGCACAGAATCAGAAACTAGTCCAGAATTATAAAAAATTACCAAATAGAAATTTGAGAAATGAAAAATGGAATAACTGAAATGAAGAACTCAATGAGTGGGTCCATAAATGTTTAGACACAAAAGAAATTTAAAAAATAACTAGAATGAAGCAGAAAGAAAAAAGGTATGAAAAACAGAGGAGAATTGGCAAAAGACAAGGAATATAGTGAGAAAATATAAAATGTGAGCTATCGGTATCCTATAAGGCAAGACAAAGAAGCAAAACTGAAGACAGAATAAATAAGAACATTTTAAAACTGATGAATAATAGAAATATACATATTTAAGAAGTCTGTTCCAAGCAGGCTAAAGAGAAGGAAATCCACTCTTAGAAAAACTACTTAAAACCAATGACAAAGAGACAATTTAAAAAGCAGTCAGAAAATTCCCTATTTTATTTAAACACACTATAGCTGATCATTCCTGCTCATTACAACTAAAATCTTAGGACAAACTACATAAAGTAACTCCCTGAGAACTAAGAACAGTAAATGAAAGCGGGTAAAATGTAGAAAGAAGTCAAAATGTAGAGAAGAGATATTCATGGAGGTAAGAATGCCATTTCCCACCGTGGCTCTGTCCCTATGTCAGGCCCCAGTTGTGGAGCTGTGAGGCAATGCAGTGGTGTGTACACTTAAACAGAAGCCTCCTGTGATCTGGAGATTATCAGTGAGGTGGTGCCAGAGAGGAGAGCACTGAGTAGGGAATCCATTATTCTCTGTAGAAATCCACATTAGCTGTAGTGCCACCCCTGAGCTACAGTAACAGAGACCAAATAAAAATAGCAAAGGTTTTGGGAACTGAACTAATATCTAAACCATGGCACGAGTGTCAGACTCAACCCTCAGTGTTACATGTGAGGGACAGGCTTACAGATGCATAGCAAAAACAAAGCACTTTGTGGTATAAACCTGACCTCTAAAAGAGAAAATCCAAAATTATCCAGAGCCTTATAACAGAATCCAGAGGTCACACAATGTAACATTAAAAATGTCCTGGATACAATCCAGAATTACACAACAAACAATCAGCAAAATATGACCAATTCTCAAGGAAAAAGATGGTCAACAGAGGCAAACCCTGAAATGCGTCAGATGTTGAAATAAACAGGAAAAAATTATAAAGTAGCTACTATAACTTTGTTCTGTAAAAGCAAGAAATTAACAAATGAAACCCCAAAACCTTGAAATGAATGAAAGCTAAGCATTCTCAGAAGACAAATAAAAACCATAGAGAAAGAAATAAAGGGAAATGTTAGAAGTCAAAGCTATAGCATTGGAAATGAAAATTTGCTACATGGGCTCAAAAGAAAATGGAGATGAGAAAGGAAAGGATCTTGAACATAGATTAATAAAAATTAACACATCTGAAACACACAGCAATAAAAAACGATGGATAAAATGAACAGAGGCTCAGGGATCTGTGGAGCAATATCAGAAAGTCTAACATGCATGGCACTAGAGACCAGGCAGAAGAGAAGAAGTGGACCATAGTGTAGCAAATTAAAGCAGGGATGCCATTGAAAACTATCTGGGTTACATCCAGAAATTCAGATGGAAGCACACAGTGCCACACCCAAACATTGACTGTGTGTACAATCAACTCTTTACATCTAACTTCCAGTTTATGGGAAATGCAGTGAACAAAAGAACATGTTCAGGATGGGCACAGTGGCTCATGCCTGCGATCACTGCACTTTGGGAGGCCAAGGCTGGCAGATCATAAGGTCAGGATTTCGAGACCAGCCTGGCCAACATAGTGAAACGCCGTCTCTATTAAAAATACAAAAAATTAGCCGGGCATGGTGGCAGGCATCTGTAATCCCAGCTACTCGGGAGGCTGAGGCAGGAGAATCACTTGAACCTGGGAGGCGGAGGTTGCAATGAGCCAAGATCGTGCCATTGTGCTCCAGCTCAGGCGACAGTGCGAGACTCAGTCTCAAAATTTTTTTTTTAAAATTAAAAGAATGTGTTCAATGGCATCACAGGGATGCAATCAGCAAAATTCAGAATGTGAGAATCTCAATGGGACTAGTGGCCTACCTTCTTCAAAAAGTAAATTGCAAAGAAAAAAGAAATAGAAGTTGAGGGGAGGAACCTATAGACAGATTGACTAAATGCAAAATGTGGATCCTGAGTCAAACTATTCTATTGTGAAAGTATTTCCTATAAGAAAGCAGAGAAAATTTGAACACTGAGTAAATATTTGCTGATTATAAAAAATTCATGATTTTTTAAAACTTAATAATGGTAGTATGGCTATGTTTTAAACAACAGTCCTTATATTTTAGAGATACTAGAATTGTATGGATGAAATAGCATTGGGCTTTTCTCTAGAATAGTATGGAGGGGAAGGGAGTGTTTAAATAAAATAAGGTCAGGTCAAATGGTGAGGATGGGATTCAAGTTCATTCTCTTGCTTGTGGATATTTAGTTGTCTCAACAAAATTTAATTATTTTGACATCCATGTTGAAAATTACACGTATGTGTGAGGGTTTATTTACAGACTCTGGAAAATAGTTCATTGATCTCCCTGTCTGTCTTTTGGTACTGCTACATTGTTTTTGTTGCTGTTTGTTTAGTGACTTTCCTGAACTAATTCTGTAAAGTTTGTATTCTTTGTTGTTCATGTTCACTAAAGCCTTAATGGTGAGCTGAACATTTTCAGATATCTTCTTAAGCATCTTTTTGTTTGTTTTTGGTTTTGTTTGTTTTTGTTTGTTTGTTTTTGAGACGGAGTCTCGCTGTGTTGCCCAGGCTGGAGTGTAGTGGCATGATCTCGGCTCACTGCAAGCTCCGCCTCCCGGGTTCATGCCATTCTCCTGCCTCAGCCTCCCGAGTAGCTGCTTGGATTAGAGGCATGCGCCACCACGCCTGGCTGATTTTTGTATTTGTAGTAGAGACGGGGTTTCTCCATGTTGGTCAGGCTGGTCTCGAACACCCGACCTCAGGTGATCTGACCGTCTCGGCCTCCCAAAGTGCTGGGATTATAGGCATGAGCCACTGCACCCGGCCTTAAACCTCTTAATAAGTCTCCCAGCCTTCAGTAAGGAGCACTGTGGGCAGGTTAGGGCACACATTTCTGACCTCATCAGTCAGAGGGCTTAGGACTCTGTCTTTGTTTTCTCTTCTTGCTTCTGCAAAGCCTCAGAGTCGGCCTGAGGGAGAGACTTTCTCAGGTTATCCCTGGGCATGCACACACTATTGCAAATATGTGAGACCTTCTAGGTCCCCAGGAACCTGCCAAAGCTTTCCAATACCTTCCATGGACATCAAATTCCCCAGCTTTTCCTTTCAGGGGTTTTAGTGGACTTTTTGTTAGCCTCTACTGTTATTACCACTTCAGAAGATGCAATGTTAAACAATTGCCACGATTATTTTGATAGACAACATTGGGAGAAGCTTGTTCACAACAAATGTACTTTGTTCAGGTCAAATAAAGACAAAATATTTGAGTAGGGTTTTCCAGGGAACTGCCAGACCTTTTAATAATAACAATTCTGTGCAAATGGGGCTTTTCTGGGAGTTCCAAACCTGCTTCATCCTCTGGCTCCTAGGTCATTAGTTTTCATAGCTACCGTAATGGTAAGTCTGGCTGTTTCCAAGGCTACTGCAGAACTGATGAGAGTGAAATGGAAATGAGGTACGTTGAAATGCCATAAAGCTCTCTGTTAGTACTGACATTCAGCCTTTTTTCCTGGATTGTTGAAAGACTTGGTTAATTCCCAGAATTCTGAAAACCTTGCCTTTGAAAAATGTTGCAAGTATTCTTATTGATTTTATAGAGGAGAAGATATTTTTTGGTCCTTACTGTACTATTCTGGAAGTGACCCCCACTCCAAGGAAAAGCTTTTAACACATCATGTTTATTGTCCAGCAATTCACCAAATGTATTGTGACGTATTATGATCCAGGGGTAAATGATTGGCATGTCGTGATGTAAGGGCAGTGGCAAACAAGGCTATCTGCTTTAGGTTGCACGTTCAGCACCTGCTAACAATTTATCAGCTCTCATATGTCAAGATATTCAATAATAATTCCTTCTTTTGTTCTAAGCTTTTGAAATCAGCCTCTAACTTCTACAATCTTTTCACCCCCTTTAAGAAACTTTGAGCAAACACCAGTAAGGTCATAGAGCTCTCTTGTCTCTGAGATTTTCCAGTAGTTATAATGTAGGATAAGCAATCTGTCCCAATGTACATCTGTGCGAGGGTCTGCTTGGTCTTTTTCCTTGCATTTGATGACCAAGACTCACAAAAGATTGAGAGTCACTGAGTTCTTATGATCTAAATTGAGCCTTGTACTTCCCCAGGCTGTCCTAAGGGTGAAATAGCATTTCAAAGGAAAAGGGAGGCTGAGATAACATGTAACACTGTCCCCAAACTATCTAATCCCACACATCTATATGGGAAATAGCAAACACTACACAAAACCAGACTACTCAAGAAGACTAGAATGGCTTTCCAAAGTCAGCAACAAATTAGAATTGCCTTCCTCCATCCATAGCTTCCTTCCCTAATACGAGAGGATTTAAATCCAAAAGAGAAGAAGGGAAAAGTGTCACCAAAGAAGTGGCATTTATGAGCTAGAATGGGAAGAAACTTTAAAATCAAAATAGCATTGAGCTCTTTGCTGCATTTACTGTGAAAACAAAAATTATCTCAGGAACCATCCCAGAACATATCAGTGTCACTCTGAATGCACACACAATTGTCTTGAAGGGCCCAGAGGAACCTGTGGCAAGACCTCAGTCTCATCATTGTAGAGCTCAGTCTTCTTGAAAAAGAAAAAAAGAAACTTTGGGACAACAAACACTGGGGCAATAGAAATGGAACGGTTCTAGTTTGCACCCTTTGCAAGCATCATTGTGGGTAGCAGTGGGATTGTTCACTGCTGCATCTACATCTTTACTGCAACACAAGTCTCTTCTTGAACTACAAAATTTCTTATGAGAAAAGAATATTCACATTATTTGAATGAGACCAGGTGTGCTAGGTTCAAGACCTCAAGCCCCAGAAAGATGAGTTAAATCTTGAAGGAAATGGCATTTCACATGTGTGAAATCCAGATGCTTTGATTTAGACAAGATATAAAAACAAAAAAGTTGATGGCATTTCTGCCCCTGAAAGATTTAGACTGATAGATGAGATTTGTCCAGCTTCAGAAACAAAAGATGATGAATAATACCTAAGACCTTGTATTTTAAAGTTTGATGTTTAAATTTTAAAAAGACATCTCATTAAAAAAAGAACATTGAGGTTTTAAATCAGATTTAAATGTTAATTTTAAGCAGTGAAATGGTGAAAAGTTTATAAGATAAAACAAATTCCAAAGAAATAGTATTTTTAAAAATTTATTTTTACCCACTAAACTGAGAGAACTCATTAACTATTGAAAAGATTTGTGTATTTTGTTCCTTTATCTAAAGTTGTATTCTCCCAAATTACTGAGCATCTGTAGGAGAATCATATTTTCTGTTTCTGTGTCCCCTTGGCTGGTGAATCTCAATGCTGGGTTTCTAAAAGCTGCTAAATAAAACCTTAGTAGAATCATAAACATCTGTGTCCTAGGAGATTGCTGCATCCCGGTCTCCCTCAGACCAAGTGCTCCCTCTTGGCTTCCTGGGAGTGGGATTTTTCGTGCTGGGAGGGGTAGTCTTCTAGAATTTCTCATCCACTTCAACTCTCTGTTCTAAAAGCTCTATTCCAAGCAAGGCCTTCCAAGAGGGCTGCGAGTCCTTCACTCTACCTATCTCCCGACTGGAGGTGGAAGCTCTACCTCAGATAATGATAACTGAGAAATGTTGGCCCCCAGTTTTCCTTGCCCCAGTTCCTTCACAGGGACAGTAAAAGAAAACCCTAGTAAAACCACGTCATTCCAGGGTGACCATATGCCTGCCCAAGGCTAAGTCCTCCGAGGAGGAACATTCAGAGACAACACTGTGGAGGAAACAGATTTCACTGAAATCATTTGGTGATGACATTAGACAAGTAAGAAAAACAAACAAGAATAACAGGATGCCTTGTGGGGAGGAAGAATCAGTATCTAGACAGTATCAATATCAGTATTTAGAAAATACATTTTCTAAAATATCCCGTTTTTAACTAAAAATTTTGAGATATGATAGAAAATAAGAAAATGTGACCCATATGTAGGTAATTAAAAGAAGAAATTGCCTGTGAGAGGACCCATTGTTGGACTTAGGAGATAAAGTCTCAAATGAGCTATTATTAATATATTCAAAGAACTAAATAAAATAATGCTTAAAGATGACGTATAATGACCATGTCCCTTTAAATAGAGAATATTAAGAAATCATATACTTTTAAATGAAAATTCTGGAGTTGAAAAGTACAATAGTATAAATGAGATATTCACTAGAGGAGCTCAAGAGTTGTCATGATCTGACATTAAGAAAAAATCAGCACATGCTTGTAATCTCAGCAGTTTGGGAGGCCGCGGCAAGTGGATCATGAGGTCAGGAGTTCGAGACCAGCCTGGTCAACACAGTAAAACCCTGTCTCTACTAAAAATACAAAAATTAGCTGGGCATGGTGGTGGGTGCCTGTAATCCCAGCTACTTCGGAGGCTGAGGCAGGAGAATTGCTTGAACCCGGGAGGCAGAGGTTGCAGTGAGTTGAGATCATGCCACTGCACTCCAGCTTGGGTGACAGGGTGAGGCTCCATCTCAAAAAGAAAAGAAAAGAAAAAATAAGCAAACTTAAAAGTATATTAATAAAGATTATGCAATTGGAATAAAGAAAAAATAAAAATGAACACAGCCTGAGAGAAATATGGGACACATTCAAATGCACTAACATATGGTTAATGGGAGTTCCAGAAAAAGAGGTAAGAAAAAGAAGGGAGCAGAAAAGTACGCAAAGAAATGATGTTTTTAAACTCCCCATGGTGAAAAACATTAATATGCACATCCAAGAAGTTCAAATGATTTAAAGTAGGACTAACTAAAGAAAGCCACATTCAGACCCATCACAGTAAAAATATTGAAAGATAAAGACAAAAAGAAAATCTTGAAAACAGCAAGAGAAAAATTACTTGTCATGTACAAGGAAAATTCAACAGGATTAACAGCTGAATTCTTCTTGTCAGAGGCAATGAAGGCCAGAGGCAGTGGGATAACATATTCAAATTGCCAAAGAAGAAAAAAACTTTCAACCAAGAATCTTGTATCTGTCAAAATTATCTATAAAAATGAGGTGAAAGAAATATGTTTTCAAATAAAGAAAAACAGAGAATTCATTCCTAGCACATGTGCCTTACAGAAATAATACAGGAAGATATTCAGAACATAAGGAAGTGACCCAGAGAGTAATTCTAATCCAAGTGAAAAATCAAAAAGCAATAGCAATAGTAACTACAATAGGCAGTGTCATTGGATATGTACTTCCCTTTTTTCTCTGAACTGATTTATCAAGCAATTATTATTGTGTCTGACATATACAAAGGTAATATACTTACTTGACAATAACATTATTGATATAAATGACGAAAAGTGATTCAGAAAGAAATAGAAAATCTCAATAAATCTAAATAAGGAAAGCGATTAAATTAGCAATATATTTTTTAAGTTTGCATAAGGAAAACTGAAGACACAGATAGCTTCGCTGGTGATTTCTATCAATTATTAAAAGAAAATTTAAATACCTGGCTATCAAAACCAGATAAATATACCACAAAAAAGAAAACTAAAGATTGAGGCCGGGCGCGGTGGCTCACGCCTGTAATCCCAGCACTTTGGGAGGCCGAGGTGGGCGGATCACGAGGTCAGGAGATCGAGACCATCCCGGCTAAAACGGTGAAACCCCGTCTCTACTGAAAATACAAAAAATTAGCCGGGCGTAGTGGCGGGCGCCTGTAGTCCCAGCTACTTGGGAGGCTGAGGCAGGAGAATGGCGTGAACCCGGGAGGCGGAGCTTGCAGTGAGCCGAGATCCCGCCACTGCACTCCAGCCTGGGCGACAGAGCGAGACTCCGTCTTAAAAAAAAAAAAAAAAAGATTGATACTCTTATGAGTATAGACAAAAATATCCTCGACGTAATACTAGCAAAACAACTCCAGCAACATATAAAAAGGATCATCCACTATTGCCAAGTAGAGTTTATCCCAGGAATGTAAAGTTGGTTTAAAAGCCAAAACTCAATTAATGTAATACACCATAGAAGAACAAAGGACAGAAAACACATGATCATCTCAATAGACACAGAAAACATTTTTGGAAAAAATTCAACACACTTTCATGATATGGACATCAATGGACTGGGTTTAGAAATGTTCTCAGCTTGCTAAAGGGATCTATGAAAGATAGAAGCATCATCTCTAATGGCAAAATACAGAATGTTTCCCCCTGAGATCAGGAATAAGATAAGGACTTTCACTGTTGCTACTTTACTCAATATTTTACTGGACGTTCTGGCCAAGTCAAATATATAAGAAAAAAATAAAATGTATCCATATTCTAAAAATAGAAGTAAAGCTATCCCTACTTGTATGTGAGAAGTATATAATTTTGTATACAGAAAATATAAGATAATTCACAAAAAAATAGAAATAACGAATGAGTTTTGCGAAATTTCTTACATAGAGAAAGTCTTAAATAATGCACTGAATCACTATTAGAATTAATAAATGAATCCAGGAAAGAAACAATAAGTGGGCTTAGTAAATTTAGCAATTAATGTATAATTATATTTCTTTGCACCAACAATGAACAATCCAAAAATGATATGAAACAATTCTATTTATAATAGCATGAAAAGGAGTGGAATACTTGAGGATAATTTTACCAAAAGAAGTACAAGACTAGTACTTTGAAAAGCATGAAACGTTATTGAAAGAAATTAAAGATGTAAATAAATGGATTAGAATATTTAATAATGTTTAGATAGCAATACTCTCCAAATTGATCTACAGATTTAATACAATCTCTATCAGAATCCCAGCTGGCTTAGGTTTTTTTTCTTTGCAGATATTGACAAGATGATCCTGAAAGTCATATTTCAAATTCAATTCAAGAAGCACGTACTCAAAATAACCTTGAAAAAAGGATATCAAATGGGAGTATTTGGATGTCAGCAAACGGCAGACTATGAAGTTCCTAGCTTTTGTGCTTACACAGAAATATATATTTTTAGGGACATGGATGAAGCTGGAAACCATCATTCTCAGCAAACTAACACAGGAACAGAAAACCAAACACCGCATGTTCTCACTCATAAGTGGGAGTTGAACAATGAGAACATATGGACACAGGAGGGAAACATCACATGCCGGGGCCTGTAGGGGGGTGGGGGAAAAGGGGAGGGGAAAGGGAAGGGATAGCATTAGGAGAAATACCTAATGTAGATGATGGGTTGATGGGTGCAGCAAACCACCAGGCACATGTATACCTATGTAACAAACCTGCACTTTCTGCACATGTATCCCAGAACTTAAAGTATATTTTAAAAAAAGAAAAAAAATGTTTTAAGAGTTGTCAGTACTGACTCTGAAAAATTTAGTCAAAGGTATACAGCAACCTAGAAAACACCCCGTGAACAAAACCCATGTTCAAAACTGGAAGAAAGTTATAAGGCATTTTACCACCCCTGCTCCATTTCCCTCCCCAGTGCATGGTGGTGGTTTTGGTCTTGAGCAGTGGTAGCTTAGTTCTAGACTCCTCCCTGGAACTGGAGGAAAAAGAGAGGTCCTAAATTGCAAATTTGTGCATATGTCTATTCTAAACTGTCTAACCTATCTGGGAGCTACCTGAAGGACTACTCACTGGTCTCTATCTCATATAACTTAGAATACAGGCAGAAAAATTGCTGGTGCTTCTTATAAAAGCTACATGGTACTAGAAACCCACAGACTTCTAGGACAAGAAAGTATGGGTGGAGACATATAGTAGATCATCTAAGGTCCAGAGGAGAAGCTTGCATGAGACTCTTTGGGAATTGAGGACATTTAAAACAGCCATGGAAATAGGAGACTTTAGAATGCAGTGGGCCTGCCCAGATAACACATAGACTACTCAGAAAAAAATTGATATAATCTTAAACTAACACCTTGGGCTAATTCCTAGGCTTAGAGCTAGCTAGCTAATCAGTGAAGGACTACCCCAGTACAGAACAAATATTCATCATATGGTTCCTCTCATATGAAGTACCTAGAGTGGTCACAATTGTAGAGAAAGAAAGAATAGCAGTTAGCAGTGGCTGGAGGGAGAGGAGACTGGAAGTTATTGTTTAACGGGTACTGAGTTTCTGCTGGAGATAGGTATAAAAGTTATGGAACTGTATAATGGTGATGGTTGCACAACATTGTGAATGCACCTAATGCCACTGAATTATACACTTTAAATTGGTTAAAATGGCAAATTGTATTTATGTATATTTTACCACAATAAAAATTTATTGAGAAAAATGTTGGAGAACGCATACTTCCCAATTGATGAAACTTATTGCAAAGCTGTCATAATCCAGATATTGTGCTGTCAGCATAAGGGTAGACATATGAAACAACGAACTATTATTGAAAATCCAGAAGTAAGTATTTAAATGTATGGTTAACTGAATTTTTTCTATAAATATAAGTGCTAAAACTAAAAGACTGTAAGTAGAAATCATAACCGCATATATTCATGACCTTGAGTTAGGCAGAGCCATCTTAGTGAAGATAATAAAATCACACATGAAAAGGGTGATGATATTGTTTGTATGTTAGTCGCTCCAAAACTCATGTTGAAATACGATTCCTACTGTTAGGGGTGGGTCCTGGTAGAAGATGCGTGGATCATGGGGGCAGATCCCTCATAAATGGTTTAGCACCATCACCATCTCCTTGGTGGGGAGGGGGTTCTCACTCTGATAGTTGACACCAGATCTGTTTAGAACTAGAGTCTGGCACCTCACTCCCACTCTTGTTCCTGCTTTTGCCATGTGACATGCTTGTTTCCCCTTTGCCTTCCATTGTTATTGGAAGCTTCCTGAGGCCTCACCAGGAGCAGATGCCAGTGCCATGCTTGTACAACTGCAGAACTGTAAATCAATTCAACCTATTTTCTTTATAAATTACCCAGCCTCAGGTATTTCTTTATAGAAATGCAAAAACGGGCTAACAGAGGTGAGTAAATACATATATAAAGTTAAAAAAAAAAACTTTTGTGCTGTAAATGATACCTTTCAAGAAAATTTTTTAAAACTCAGAGGGTAATATATGAAAATCAAATATGTCATAAACAACTTCAACCTATAATATATAAAGAATACTTACAATTCAATAACAAAATAAATAACCCAATTAAAAATGAGCAAAGGATACAAATTAACATTTCTCTAAAGAAGACATACAAATGGCGAATAAGCACACAAAAAGATGCTGAATATCATTATGCATTGAAGAATGCAAATCAAAGCTCCAGTGAGGTACCACTTCACATCCACTAAGATGGTTAAAATTTAAAAAGACAAAATATTATGTGTTGACAATAATTTGGAGAAATCTGACCCTCACATACTACTGGTGTGATAGTAAAATAGTGCAACCATTGTTAAACATAGATTTGTAGTATGACCCAGCAATTCCACTCCTAGGTATGTACCCAAGAGAAATAGAGGCATATGTCCACACTAAAATGTGTACAGGACATTTTACATAATAGCCAAAAATTGGAAGAAGGGAAAATATCCATCAACTTAAGAATTAGTAAATGCCATGGGCTATATCCATACAATTGTGTATTACCTAGCAACTAAAAAAAGAGTAAAGTGCATTCTCTTGAACACATGACACAAAATGGATGAATCTTGAACACATTTTCTAAATGGCAAGAAGCCAGTCACAAAAGAAAACACATTGTGTGATTCCATTTCTATGAATGTTCAGAATAGTTAAATCTATAGGGAACGAAGGTTAGTGGTTGCCTAGGATGCAGAAGTTTGAGGGGAAAATGCAGAATGAATGCTAACTGGTATAATATTACTTTTTAAAGTGATGAAAATATTCTAAAATTGATCATGGTCATGTTTGTATAACTGTGAGTATAACTGAAATTATTAAATAGTACACTTAAATGTATGGGTTGTGTGGTATATGAATTACATCTCAAAAAAATCTTAGAAATTATCTATAAGTTCACTGCTCTCTAGAAAGGAAGGAGATAAAGTTTTCTTCTTTTCAGTTTTTCCCAATTTTTAAAAACTTTAAATGAATTTGCTCAACTATTAACTATAACTTGCAGGGCAGTGGTGAGAGTTAAATAACAGAATGCATGTGTAGCTCTTCCAAAGCCTAGAGCTCAATGGTTGCTGATAAGTAATAGCTTCTGTAACAACACCACAATTTTCACAGATCTGGAGGGTGCAAGGAGGAGCCATGGGAGAGTGAGAAAAAATTTCCATAGGTTCCCCAACATAAGCAAATTTCCACCAAGAGCAAAGAGCCTTCTAGAGTTTCCTCAGGAATTTAAAGGGGTGTTTTTCTAAACCCTCACTAAAATAGATATTTGGATTAACCATTTCTCCAACAAAGATGTACACATGGCTAGCAAGCACATGAAAAGAATCTCAACATTTTAGTCATTAGGGAAATGCAAATCAAAACCACAATGAAACATGACTTCATACCCTCCAGGATAGCTGTAATAAGAAAAGAAAGTAAAGAACAAATGTGGACAAAAGTGAAGAAATTGTAATCCTCATATACTGCTAATGGGAATGTGAAATGGTGTAGCTTCTCTGGAAAAAAATGTTTAATTAATATCTAGAATTACAGTAAAAACCAGCAGTGGCAACTCCTCAATAAGTTATATATGGAATCAGAATGTGACCCAGCAATTTCACTCCTAGGTATACAGCCCAAAAAATTGAAAACAGGTGTCAAAGGAAAACTTGAACACAGATGTTCATAGAAACATTGTTCACAATAGCTGATGCTGGAAAAAACAACCAAAGTGTCCTTCAACTGATGGCAAACAAAATGTGTTCTCTCCATACAATGAAGTAGTATTCATCCACAAAAAAGATGCAGTACTATAATAGTCAAGGTTCTCCAGCAAAACAGAGTCAATAGCATGTGTATACAGAAAGAAATTGATTTTGAAGTATGCGATTGTGGCGTATGCGATTGTGGAGTCTGGGAAATTCAAAATTTTTAGGGCAGGCTGTCGCGGGACGAGTTGATGTTACAGCTGAAGTCTGAAGGCAGTTTCTGACAGAATTCCTTCTTTGGGTGGTGGGGGAGGCTCACTCTTTTTACTGAGGTTTTCAACTGATTGGATGAGACCCAGCCACTTCCTAGATGGTAATCTGTTCTACTCAAAGTCTATTGACTTAAATACTAATCTTACCTAAAAATATCGTCACAGCAACATGCATGCAGATGTGTTTTGAATCGGCACTTAAAATTAACCATCACGTGTGTGGATACATGCCACAGTATGGATGAACCTTGATGATATTATGCTAATTAAAAGAAAGCAGACACAAAAGGTATTGGATGATTCCACTTATTTGAAATATACAGAATAGGCAAATCCATAGATACAGAAAGCAAAGTAGTGATTGCTAAGGAAATGGAGAGCGACTGCTCACAGGTACAGGGCTTCGTTTTGAAGAGATGAAAATGTTCTGGAACTAGATAGTGGTGATATTTGTACAACATATGAACGTATTAAAGACCACTAAATTGTACACGTTAAAATGGTCAAAACCACAATGCGGCACCAGTTCACACCCCTTGGCATGGCTATTATGAAATAAAAAATAACAAAATAACAAATGTTAGTGAGGATGTGAAGAAATTGAAGCCCTTGTGCATTGCTGGTAAGAATGTGAAATGGTGCACCTGCTGTAGATAACAGTGTATTTTCCACACACTGAAACAGTGATTTTTCTCAAAAAATTGAAGATAGAATTACCTTATGACCCAGCAATTCCACTTCTTGTTATATATTCAAAAGAAGTGAAAGCAGATGCTGAAATAGATATGCGTATACCCATTTCATAGCAGCATCATTCATAAGAGCCAAAAGGTGAAAGCAACTCAAGTGTCCATTGACAAATGAATGGATAAACAAAATGTGGTATATATATAATGCCCCTAGTCTCTCTTTAGTGAAAACTCTCAGACCTTCTTGCTGTCCTTCCCAACCCTTTCAGCTGGCCAGAATCAAAGTGAAGTTCCCTTCCAACTGAACTCTAGAAGTACTTTCCTAGTCAGTTGCTTTGGTTTCCATTCTTTCTATTTCCAATTCTTCCTGAATACCACAATAATAACAGCTAACATTTATGAAGCACTTACAGCTGACAGGACTGTTCTATGAGCTTCCAGTGATCATTCAGTCCTCTCAACAGCCCTTTGAGGTAGATGTTTTTATTCATTTTATTGTACATATGACTGTATGGAGGCACACAGAATTTTAGTAAATTGCCCAAGCTCAAGCTCACAAGGATAGTAAGAGGTAAGGCTGGGATTCAAATCTAAACAGTCCAGTTCACCTGATCATGAAACATTTAACATCAGCCTTCCTCTAGTTTGACTTTCTTCAGACCTGTCTTCTACTGAAGAACCCTCTGTGGTTCCCTACTGCCTGGGGATGGCCACCATGAAATACTGTTTAGCCTTAAAAAGGAAGGCTAAACACACGCTACAACATGGAAGAACTTTGAAGATGTTATGCTAAGTAAAAAAGACGATATTGTTTGATTCCACTTATATTAGGTACCTGGAATAAGACCAGTCATAGAGACAGAAAGAATAGGTGTTTCCAGTGGCTTGCGGAAGGGAGAAACAGGAAGGTAGGAATTAATGGGTGTACAGTTTCACCTGGGGAAGATAAAAAGTTCTTAAAATGGATGGTGGTAATGGTTGCACAATGAATGAGAATTAATTTAATGCCACAAAACAGTATACCTAAAAATGGTTACAATGGCAAATTTTATGCTATGTTTATTTTACCACAATAAAAAGATGTTTAAAATGCTGAATTTTATGTCATGTGTATTTTACGTCTCCCACCAAAAAAACCAAAAGTGACATGAAACATCATTGAGCAATGCTTGTCTTTGAAAAGCAGTGGCTCAGAGAGCAAGAAGCACCTGGGGATGTCCAGACAATTTGGTATTCAAGTCTTGGCTCTCTATTCATCTCCTTCAGCAAGTCAAGTATAGTTTCACAGACTCAGTGCCATCATCTGTAAAATATGGATATGGCCTGTTTGTGCACCTCGGGCCAGCCGTGAACCACCCATCATAAAAGGCAACGATGACAGCTACGTCTGCTGCAGATGATCATTGCCATCATCATCGCCACAGCATCACTGTCGCCATCATCTTTGCCACTGCGGTGCTGTCACCACTGTGAACTCCAAGTGATAAAGTATGACATCACATGAGTGTCAGGTGATACATTCTACAGTAGCTCACGATTTATTCAGCACACACATTCTGAGTGCCGCCTCTCCACTAGACACATGATGGGGAGAGTCTAGTTTGAGAAAGACGGATGTAAAAAAAAAGGTAAGTGGCTAAATTGCTGGGATGAGTGGATGTGACACTATGAGGGCAAAACAAAAAGGACTATCTATTTTTTCAGGTACCAGGGGATTTCAGAAAAGGACAATGTTGATGTGAGCTGGGATTGTCAAAGGTGATTTCAAGAAGAAGGCAGAAGGAAACTGTGCCCGATGGGAGAGAGGAGAGGAAACAAACTAGCTAATGAAGGTGCCAGCAAGAGTGAGAGTCTGAGGTTGGGCCCCGAGGCCAGACTGCATCACATGAGGTCAGGGCCCTGGCTGTGGGGAGGGATTCAGACAGGGCACATGGACACAGGCTAGGAGCAGATGGCTGGCCCAGGTGTAGAGAGCCAACAAGGCCACCGAGACATCTGCAGGCAGTAGGGAGCCATGGAGGGTTCTTCAGTAGAAGACAGGCCTGAAGAAAGTCAAACTAGAGGAAAGCTAATGTTAAATGTTTCATGATCAGGAGCACTGGACTATTTAGATTTGAATCCCAGCTCTGCCTCTACTTACTATCCCTGTGAGCTTGGGCAATTTACTAAAATTCTGTGTGCCTCCATACAGTCATATGTACAATAAAATGAATAAAAACGTCTACCTCAAAGGGCTGTTGAGAGGACTGAGATGATACATTGGAAGCTCATAGAACAGTCCTGTCAGCTGTAAGTGCTTCATAAATGTTAGCTGTTATTATTGTGGTATTCAAGAAGAATTGGAAATAGAAAGAATGGAAACCAAAGCAACTGCCTAGGAAATTATTTCTAGAGTTCAGTTGGAAGGGATCTGCACTTTGATTCTGGCCATCTGAAAGGGTTGGGAAGGAGAGCAAGAAGGCCTGGCAGTTTTTAGTAAAGAGAGACTAGGGGCATTATTTCTTCTTTCTCATTTATTTGCCCCATCTCTTTTATTTCTTTTCTTTTTTTTTTTTTTTTTTTTTTGAGACGGAATCTTGCTCTTTCATCCAGGCTAGTGTGCAGTGGCATGATCTCGGCTCACTACAACCTCCACCTCCCGGGTTCAAACGATTCTCCTGTCTCAGCCTCCTGAGTAGCTGGACTACAGGCGCCTGCCACCATGCCCAGCTAGTTTTTGTATTTTTAGTAGAGACGGGATTTCACCATGTTTGTCAGGCTGGTCTCGAACTCCTGACCTTGTGATCTGCCCGCCTGGGTGTCCCAAAGTGCTGGGATTACAGGCGTGAGCCACCGTGCCCAGCCCATCTCTTTATTTTCTTGACCACAGTGGCATATCACAGAAGAGAGAGGACGTGTTCCTATTCCTCTGGATTTCTTTTATCTTAGCAGTAAAACATATTGGTAACATGTTTGACAAGAAGCAGACTTCCACAGCGGCTGTGCAGGGAGACAAGAGACCTGGGTTCTCACCATGCCATGTCATGCTTTTCCCATGTGACCATGGCTCCTTCTCAAAAGTCAGGCTGCATCTTCTCCATCTATGAGCGTTGGTTTGTAACAGTACCTACAGCACTCCTTTTCCTGCCACATTGCTTTTAGGAAATGCTAATAGGAGTGCCAGAAGAGTTCAAGGTTCAAATATATTTATGAAATATTTTAATTGTATTTTCTTCCTGGAAATTTAAAATGAATGTCAGCATATTAACAACTTGAGAAATTTCAGCAGAAAAAAAAAACGCCTGTGGAATTACACATATCCCAACATCTCTCAACTTCACATGAGTATAGAGCTTATATTTATTCCACAGAGCCATGTGCCAAGGAGGCACAGGCTGGGAAACCCTGGATAGAGGCCCTTCCAAACTTCCCACCACTAACACACCTCTGTAATGTGGTGATGTGGTTGCAAACGGGCTCTGAGTGCTACAGTGACAGAAGTAGCTCATGTAAGAGTTTTCTCTTACCTCTGCGTGTTGCCCCAGCAAGTGAGGAGCAGACAGCATTTAATACTTTCAAAGTGAGAATGCAAGAGTGAGCCCTGGAGGCAAGGCTTAATTGCTGGATTTTGAAAAAGGGAATAAAAGCCCTTCCCTGCGAATGTCAAATGTATCCTGCAGATATTTTCCCATCATGGAAAGTCTCTGTGTTGGGCAGTTTTCAGAACCTAGACAGACAGGTGAAAGGGGGATCTCTCTAATTTCTTTTCATTTCCCCAGGTAATAACACTCTTGAGCGACACTCAGCTGCCTCCTCTGCCAGACTATTAACCTGCAGCTCTCTTGCTGAGTTTCCCTGAAGCTCAGGGAAGGAAGTCCAGAGGACTAGGTGCTTCCCCCGCGCGAAGAGCTGCTACTGATATTACTTTTCCTAACCTTTACTCCAAGAGCTTATTTTTTTAAATGAGAAATAGGCTGTGAGAGAAAACCTCTCCAAGAAGGTGAAACAAATGGGCTTCATTCAGTCTGGAGGGTGATAAAAGAAAGAGGGTGATAAAATAACTGTCTGTGAGGGCCAAGAGAGGTTAGGCAGGAGGGAGATGTTTCTTCTCATTAGGAAGTGGAAATGCACTCCTAAGGAATGACTTTAGAGGAAGAAGTATATTGGAGGTGAAATGTAAAAAGAAAGTGAAAAGATAACAAATATTAATGGAGTGACTGGATGGATGCATGGATGAATAGATGGATGGGTGGATGGATGTGTGGAAAATGGAGACCATTTGTCAACCCAATGGATGATTGACTATGTTCAAGAGTGACAAAGCAAAAGTCTAGGTTAACAGTAAATTTGTTAAAAAATGTCACTCTCAGCACGGTGGGCTTTAAGCTAGTCTGACACATCAATTGCAGATACTCGATGATTATAATATGCAATAATAACATCTGTGTTTTTTTGGCATATGTATTATACATGTTATCTTGCTTTTTCTCTTATGGATTCTGTGAGTTAAGTATCATCTTTAGCATTTTACATATAATAAAATCAAGGCTCGGATTCTGTTTATTGAAATTGACACTATTAACTGTAAGACATCTGTTTTATGAACTGTTAAGAAATAAAAATCATGATTATTGTAGAAGAAAGACATATTTCAAATGCAGAAAAGGGTGAGGGAGGCAGCGTGTCCGAATGAATGGGATGCTGTAGCTGGGGCAAGGTGGCCACACTCACTCGGCAGCTGTGAGGGAGATCTAGGCTATGAAGCTGGGCCTATGGAGCCAGCCCCACACCCCTGCAGCACCATTCCAGCTGCTTCTTCCTGGTCCCACCTGCCTCCCACTCTGGGTCCTGTTTCCTGCCTAAGACAACGTCCCCTCTGGTTCACAGTCCTGCTCCTGGCCTTCCACGTAACTTTTGGCTCCTCGTCCAGCCTCAGTATATAGTCTCTTCTCACTTCATACCACTTTGGAAACAAACCCCATGACTGATAATGATTGGGGATGATTAAAATGGAATATGTCAGCCAGCTCCCCCAAAACCTGCATAAGAGAATAAAGTTTACTAGAAAGCTAGCATTAGACATGAAAATCATTAAATATTCACTCCCACACTTACATATAAGCATCTATATCATACTTAATATGCTTAAATATAGTAAGTATAGAAGTATACTCATATACTTAACTCTCTTTACTTCTTAAATATAGATACCAGAACATTTCAGCTGCACATGAGTGGATTAGGTTTGGACTCCCCGCCTCTGCATTGAACTGGTCCTGTCAGTTAATACTCCCATGTGTGGGTGGGGCACACGAGTGGTTTATGTAAGGCCTCACGAGGATGCTCACAACTTCACTGCAACAGCTCAGAGATCTAGCTGACACACAAACAGAATTCTTCTTAACAGTTGTTGATAATTCAGTTGAATTAGTTTAGCCAATTAGCTAAATCTCATAACAGTTTCTAATTTTTGACATGTCTTGGTTATAAGCATTTTGACAGGTTTGGAACTACCACAGGAGTTCTAAGATGTGGGACAAGGAATGAACTTGAAATCCATGTTCTCCTCTTTAGGTCCTGCACAATTCTATAATCTTCTTTCCTTCCTCCTCCTTGTGGACTAAATAATCTGAATTCTTTGGTTAGGTACCCACATCTTCTTCCACCAAGTCTACAGAAATATTGTGGGGTAGTGAAAAGATCAAAGGGCATCCAACAGAGCCCTCCACTAATTCCTTTTTTGATTTTGAGCAGATAAGGAGGACTCTGTAAGCCTCAGAGTCATCACCTGTAAAATGAGACTAGGAATTCCTTCCTGGAGGAGCTCCTGCATTACCTAATGCATAAAGCACATGAGATGTCTGGCATGTGGTAGGTGATCAGTAAGTGACACTTACTGATGCATTTCTTCCTTGGGGCTGGAACAAAGAATTAGATGTAAGTGCTCCAGATTTGCATAAGGCTAGGATTGAGTCTCTTCATTACAAACCAATTTGGGGAATTATAAAAGAAAATCTTTCATTTGTGGAAATCACTTGACTGTCATTAGATCCAGTCAATCTCTGAGTTGGAAGTTTTTGAACTAAAAGTTGACCTTCCTCCCCTCTCAAACCACCACCCTGCCACTGTGCAGCTAAGCTTCATCTGCATCCTCAGCACCCTCTCCTCATGCCCTTGCAGTCTGGCTCCCACCCTCAACAAGCCTCTGCAGCAGCTGTCTTCCATGTCATGAGGGACCTCCTGCTTCCCACAACCCATCCAACCCATCATCCCTAAGAGACACTGGGTCCCTTCTCTTGATGGACTGGCTCTCAAGGTCCCAGGGTGACTCAACTCAGATGGAGGTCTTTGGCAAGCAGAATTTTGGGAGAACATATGGGGGCCATAATGTTGGCTATGCCTTGGAAGTTGAGCAATGTTTTTGTATTCCAATATTTTACTGAAGACCTTCTATGTGCTAAGCAATCTATTTGTCTCTTACCATCCATTTTTTACATGAATTCTCACATCAGCTTGCAAGCTGAATAGAATGTGGTGGCACTGGGTGACTTCCAAGGCTGGGTCATAAAAAGAATTACTGCTTCAGCCTGGCTCTCTCTTCCTTGCGATGCTTGCTCTTGGAACCCAGCTGCCAAGCCAGGAGGAAGCCACGGCCACACAGGGAGGTCCCATGTAAGCATTCTACCCAGCATCCCCTACTGAGGTGCCATCCAGCATCAGTCTTGACCTGTGAGTGAGCAAGCCTTTTGGATGACTCCAGGCCAAACACCGTCTGATTTAAATGACTTGAGAGACCCAGAGAGAGAACCACTCACTAGGCCCAATTAGTCCACAGAACTGTGAAGGGTAATAATAAGCAATTATTGTTTTCCAAGACACTGAGTTTGGGGTGTAGGGTTAGAAAAAAGAGTGTTTGGGGATCAGATGGCTGATGGTACATGTACTGATTTGTGCACTGTTTCTGCTGTGAGGGTATTATTTTGTATAAATGTAATAACTTTTCTGTAGTTAAGATGAGTTGGTTAAGGTTGTTTTTGATATTACTACTGGGGGGATATTGAACCCACAGAGTCCTTCGTAGCCTTCTTTTTGTTGTGATGAACAAAAAGGGCCTTTGCCCTTTGTTCTGAAAAGCTCTTGCACATCTCCACTTTGGGAAGAAACAGGTAGAATGCATTTCTGACACCACATACTCAGAGTTTGTACGGACGTCACAGGTTAAAGGCTCGGCTTGTAAGACTGCTCTCACTTCAGATACCAGCTGACTTCTGACTAACTGGCTACAAATTTGGGTGTTCCTGCTGCCTCCTAAGGTTTGATAATATGCTAGAGCAGCTCACAGAACTCAGGGAAGCACCCTCCTTATGTGCTTAGTTTTATTGTAGCAAAAGGATACAAGCCTGAACCAGTAAAAAGGAGACTGCACGGGTGAACTCTGGAGGGTTCTGCACGTGAAGCTTCATGGCTTCAGGGTGTACCCTCTCCCAGCACGACTGTGTACATCACCAACCAGACAAAGTCACCCGAGCCTCAGGGGCCAGTTTTCCCAGCAGTTTAATCACATAGGCCTGACTGAATCATTGGCCACATGATTAAACTCAGTCTGCAGTCCCCCTCCTCTCCTGGGAGGTCAGGCCAAGCTCAGCTGGCTCAAAACCCCAATCTCTAATCACATGGTTGGTCTGTTCAGCATGGTCCACCCCTTTTCTGAAAGTATTTTGGTGCCCACTTGAGTTACCTCATTAACATAAACTCAACTCAGGTGTGATCTGAGGGGGCCTGCCGTGAATAACAGACACTCCTATCATTCCAGGGACATAGAGGACACCTGCCAGGAATCGGGGACAAGGCCAGCCAAATGCTTTATTATAAAACAGAAGACTCACGCCTGTAATTCCAGCACTTTGGGAGGCTGGGGCAGACAGATCACAAGGTGAAGAGATTGAGACCATCCTGGCCAACATGGTGAAACCCCGTCTCTACTAAAAATATAAAATTAGCTGGGCATGGCATTGCACGCCTGTAGTCCCAGCTTCTCGGGAGGTTGAGGCAGGAGAATTGCTTGAACCTGGGAGGTGGAGGTTGCAGTGAGCTGAGATCATGCCACTGCACTCCAGCCTCGTGACAGAGGGAAACTCCATCTAAAACAAAACAAAACAAACAAAAAACAGAAGACTTCTGTCCTTACCCTGTTCAATAAGTTTTTCTCATTCTTTGATATGCCAAATAGGCTGTAATTATCCTCTTGACCTCCCAAGCCAAATCTAGAAAGACCTTAAACTAGCTGAACACCGGATAAGTAGTGCTACATTTTAAACTTTTCTTTCCTTGATCCCAGGAGACTGAAGATGATTTAAAGTAGTGTTTGTATAATAGAGATATTCATATGCAACTGGCTGAGAATGAAGAAGCAAGGAAAGCAGTCAGATATATGTCCTTGCCACTCCAGGGCACCCTGCCTTCAGGAGCACAAGTAAGTGGAAGAGGGCCCTGGATTTAATGATTTGAGTTTCAGTTCTTCTCATTTGTGAAAGATGGATGTTACAAGGCTGATGTAGAGGCTGAATAGGATGGTGCATGTACGGCCCCTGGTATACTGCCTGTCCTACAGCAGGATATCAGTAACAGCAACTGCTATCATGACTAGACTGTTATCGAAGTGTAGTGGATAAAGGTGCAGGCTCTAAGAAAAATTACTAGGGGCATCCTGGTCGCCTTAATTTGTGGCATCTAAACATGGACAATTCTTTCTAACTTGCTGTGTTTGAGGTCTGTCCTCTGTGAAATGAGGTTAACACATGTGGTTACCATATAAAGTTTGTTTGTGTGGAGTCTGAGTTTCACTCTTGTTGCCTAGGCTGGAGTGCAATGGCGTGATCTCAGCTCACTGCAACCTTCGCCTCCCAGGTTCAAGTGATTCTCCTGCCTCGGCCTCCTGAGTAGCTGGGATTACAGGTGCACGCCACCAAACCCAGCTAATTTTTTGTATTTTTATAGAGATGGGGTTTCTCCATGTTGGCCAGATGGTCTCTAACTCCTGACCTCAGGTGATCCACCCGCCTCAGCCTCCCAAAGTGCTGGGATTACAGGCATGAGCCACCACACCCAGCCTAGAGTTCTTAAAATGACTTATGTGGTCTCATATGTGTAGTGCAGTGCTTGGAAAAAGTAAATACTTTAAACATGTTAGCTCTTTTTACTGTTTTCGAGTCTCTTTCCTACATTTGGAGTCTGGAGAGCTGGTTTCCAGACCACACGCCTACTCAAGCTGGGTAGGTAACCTTGGGTTCTGCATCTGTTGAAAGAGGCCAGTGGATTAAATGGCCTAGAAGGTTTCCACGAGTGCTCCTATTTCTCACTGGAGATCGGATCAGATGGGTTTTGAGGGTGCGGGCTCACAGGTGGGATGGATTCCCAGCAGCAATGATCCTGCTGGCCAGGCCTTCTCTCACTGCACCTGTCATTTTCTCAGCCATGCCCCCTGGAACTGGTGCAAATCAAAACCACAATGAGATACCATCTCACGCCAGTTAGAATGACGATCATTAAAAAGTTAGGAAACAACAGATGCTAGAGAGGATGTGGAGAAATAGGAACGCTTTTACACTGTTGGTTGGAATGTAAATTAGTTCAACCATTGTGGAAGGCAGTGTGCCGATTCCTCAAGGATCTAGAACCAGAAATACCATTTGATCCAGCAATCCCATTACTGGGTATATACCCAAAGGATTATAAATCATTCTACTATAAAGACACATGCACACAGATGTTTATTGCAGCACTATTCACAATAGCAAAGACTTGGAACCAACCCAAATGCCCATCAGTGATAGACTGGATAAAGAAAATGTAGCACATATACACTATGGAGCCATATGCAGCCATAAAAGATGAGTTCATGTCCTTTGCCCGGACATGTATGACGCTGGAAAACATCATTCTCAACAAACTAGCATAGGAACCCCCGAAAACCAAACACCGCATGTTCTCATCCATAAGTGGGAGTTGAACAATGAGAACACATGGACACAGGGAGTGGAACATCATACACTGGGGCCTGTCAGGCGGTGGAGGGCTAGGGGAAGGATAGCATTAGAAGAAATGCCTAATGTAGGTGACTAGTTGATGAATGCAGCAAACCACCATGGCATGTGTATACTTATGTAACAAACCTGCATGTTCTGCACATGTATCCCAGAACTTAAAGTATAATAAAAAAGAAAAAAAAAAACTGGAGCTTGCAAGCTAGTTTCTCCTCTCCTCCTCTATCCCCTCCCCACACCCACTACCTACCCTGAAAAGGAACACTGTATCAGTACATTCCTTGTTTTTGTCTCAGTTCCACTTCTGTGGAAAATGTTTTGCAACAAAATCTCCTAAAAAGCTGCTGAGAGGCGAATAGGACCCAGGTAGAAGTTATTTACAAGACGAGAGCATGCATAGAGCCTTCATTATTAGGAAGAAGTACCACTTGAAGGGAGGGTTGCTTTTTTATTACAATTCCCACTTTCCAGTGCTCTAGCCCTTTAGCTTGAGAACCGGCATGCTCAGCCCTCAAGGAGGTAATTAAGACAAGAAAGACATTTATTCGACTGAAGAATAGACAGAGAAGCTGCCAGCCCAGCCTTGGATGGTACACTGGGTCCCAACACCCTAGAGGACAAGACGTGCCAGCTGCTGCCACACTGGGAGCGCTCAGCCAGCAGCTTTCTTTACAGAAGCCTGCGGCGGGGCTCCCGCTGCCCGCCTTGCCATGCAGTGCTGATCACAAATAACAACAGCCCCTCCTGCTTCAAAATCCCTAGTGATGCATTCAATTCGCAGAAGTCCACAGGCAGGCATTAATATTGTCTCACAGGAAAGCAACCTGGGACTCAGAAAAGTTACGTTGCTTGCCCAGTGCAATAGGTGCATTCTTTTTGCCATTGAATTTTCTATCCATAGTCACACACACACACACACACACACACACACACACACACACACACATATGCATACTTTTAGGCACAGCAAGAAAACAATTATCTTTTTAGCTAGTCGTGTCTACCAGGGACTCAGAGGAAGGGAACTGGCCACATAGAACACAGGCATTTGCTGTTGTTGTCTTAGCAAGTGGTTCCTTTTACTGGGGAAGTCTCGCCTCATGAATTAGATTTAGGGTTAGGGAGTTAGGGAATATCAAAAGTGACAGTAAGAATCTATTCCTTTAGATCTGACTCACATCCTGCACACGGACACTGCAAGCCACAAGCTTCCTTTCCTTAGGAGTTACAGAGAACATCAACTCCAACAACCACTTAGCACATTCTTAGGCTCACTGACCACTGCCCTTGCCAAGGATGCCAGAGACTCCCTTGTCCCATTCCATGTTGCTGTGAGAAAAAAGGCAAGTGGGGAGTGGCATGGACCCCTTTTGGCATATTAATGATGGGAGCAGTGAGTGCGGCACATGCCCAGACAGACCGAGCAGCCAAGGGTGGTGGCTGTGTTTAACAGCATCCCTGCATCCTGTAGAGTCTTACAAGAAACACAGCTCTGGTGACATCTGCAGGTCAGGATCTCTAAGCATGTACACATTCATTCTCTAAGCATGGACACCCAAGCGCCTGGCTCTCTGTTTTGTTTTCCTATGGCAGTACAGTGCATAGGGCTTTTTAAAAAACTGATGACTTCACACCACATCTAAAAATTATTTGACATGCCTCCCAGCAAGAAGTGGAGCCCGAGTCCCCTTTCCTTGAGTGTGTCCTGGCCTTGGTAATTCCTCTCAACTGAATAGAATGTGGTGGCACTGGGTGACTTCCAAGGCTGGGTCTTAAAAAGAATTACTGCTTCAGCCTGGCTCTCTCTGCCTTGTGATGCTTGCTCTTGGAACCCAGCTGCCAAGCCAGGAGGAAGCCACATTTTGTTGTGGCCACACAGGGAGGTCCCATGTAAGCATTCTGCCCAGCATCCCCTCCTGAGGTGCCATCAAGCATCAATGTCTAGACCTGTGAGTGAGCAAGCCTTTTGGATGACTCCAGGCCAAACACCATCTGATTTAAACGACTTGAGAGACCCAGAGAGAGAACCACTCACTGTGCCCAATTAGTCCACAGAACTGTGAGGGATAATAATAACCAATTATTGTTTTCTGAGACATGGAGTTTGGGGTGTAGGGTTAGAAAAAAGAGCGTTTGGGGATCAGATGGCTGATGGTGCATGTACTGATTTGTGCACTGTTTCTGCTGTGAGGGTATTATTTTGTATAAATGTAATAACTTTTCTGTAATTAAGATAGAGTTGGTTAAGGTTGTTTATTCTTGATTTTACTACTGGGTGGTGTATATTGAACACACAGAGTCAATGCGGGTTGTATGTTGGGTCAGAAACCTGGACTGAGACCTAACCCTTTATACTCTTGAGTCACTCAGGGTAGCAGTGTTTTCTTTGGATCAGAAATCTCTGCCAGGCCCCACTGACTGGGGACATAAGGTTCCATTGCTAGGGTCCCAGCTGCCTGCCTGGAGTGGCATGTCTCCAGCATGTCCACAGACATAGACTAAAGAGAAAAGCAATCACTTCCTCACCGTCGGAAAAGATTAAACTCTGGCTCCATTCCTGTCCAACTCTTTCCAGCAAACTCTAGGTGTCCTGGGTAAAGGGTGAGGAGGTGGAGGTGAGTCTAGCTCCCTGCAGCACTGTGGCCCCAGGGTCAGAAATAGCCCTGATTTCTTTTACGATGCACTCCACCCTCTGTTGTGGGGCCTTTCATGGAGGCTACATAAATGTGCTTGGAATTTATTTTATCCAAGAAAAATAAAAACATGTCTTCCAAAAAAAGCCATATACAAGAATTTTTATGTTACATTTATTCAAAATAGCAAAAAATAGAGACATCACAGGTATCTATCAACAGGAGAGTGAATAAATAAACTGGAATCTATTCATACAATAAAATACTACTCAGAAATTAAAAGGAACAAAGTGTGTTTACATGCAATAATGTAAAAGAGTCTCAAAAACATAATACTAGAATAAATGAAGCTGTACACAGAAGACTATGCAGAGTATAAATTCTCATGTGAAATTCTGAATGAGGGAAAACATTTTTTGTTCTGAAAACATGAAACCATGGAGAACAGCCTTTGTGGAGATGAGGGTGAGGATGGATGCATGGGGCAGGGGGTACTTCCTGGGGTGGAGTCATGTTCTACATCTTGAAGAGGTTTTGTCTTACACAGCTGTGCACATTGTACCGTACACATGCAATGGTACACAGAAGCTCTGTGTATTCCACTTTGTATAAATTTATCTATAGAAACAAGAACCATGAACACATGTAGAGTGCTAGTTAATATTACACATGCTGAAGTATTTGGGATGCTCTGTCAGGGTGTCTGCAACTTGCCTTGAAAAGGATTGAAAATAAGATTATTTGATGGACGGATAGAAACTGATTAAAACAAAGAAAGCAAACTACTGATTGTGGAGGTTAGGTGATAAGTAATGCTGTAGTATAAATATATCTCCCAAGTTTCATGTGTTGAAAATGTAATCCCCCAATTCCCTTGCTGATCAAAGGTGGGGTTTTGGGGAGCTAATTGGAATTAGATAAAGTCATCAGGCTGGGGTTACCATGATGGGCTTGTGGGGTTGTAAGATGAAGGAGAGAGACCTGAGTTGACACACATGCTCTTGCTCTCTCACTGTGTTGCCTTCAACCATATCATGATGCAGCACAAAGCCCTCCCCAGAAGCTGACCAGACACAGCCACCTGATCTTGGACTTCACAGCCCCCAGAACTGTAAGAGGTAAATTTTTCCTTTATATCCAGTGTGAGTTATTCAATTATAGCAACAAAAAGCCAACTAAGACAAAAAATTGGTACCCAGCTGTTGCTATCAATACCTGAAAAGGTTGCTGTAAATACCTGAAATGTGGAAATACCTGGAAAGTTTTGGAAATGACTAATTGGTAAAGACATGAATGGAGCACTAAGGGCAATTTTGGTGAGGACTTAGAGGAATACTTCATGACTAGGGAGAGCCTGAATCTTCTTAGAGATTAAGTGGCCATGACCAAAATGTTGATAGGAATCTGGGCAGTACAGGCCATTCTGCTGAGGTCTCAGATGAACTGAGTAACAAGGTATTGGACACTAGGGTAAAGGCCATCCTTGCCATTCTTGTTATACAGTTGCAAAGGCCTTGGCTGAATTGTATCCATGCTCAAGAGCTTTATGGAATGTAGAACTTAAGAGTGATGAACTAGGATATCTGGCAGAACCATCTAAGGAGCAAAGCATTCTAACTGCTGCATGGCTACTTTTAACTGTAGACAGTGGGATGTGGGAGTTAAAAAATGACTTGAAATGGAATGTATAATTAAAAGGGAAGCAGTATATAAAGATTTGAAAAAAAAAAAAAGCCTTTCCATGCGGTAGAGAATGAAAGAGCATTTTCAGCAGAGGAAACCAAGAGTGTGACCAAGTGACTGACTGATAAGAAAACTAGTGTGGATAGAACAAAGCCAGAGGCTATTCATCAAAACAATGGGGGAAAAACTCGAAGGCATTTTAGAGATCTTTGATTGCAACACTGTGCATGACAGCTCAGGTGTCTCCTCCTCTTTTTATGAAACCAGCAGTTCCATCACCAGGGCTTCATCCTAATGATCTTTTAAAGTCCTAATGACCTCTCAATGGCCTGCCTCCAATCAAAATGAATTCAGCAATTAAACTTCCAGCACATACAATTTCAGCAGATGAGCTACAGCCTGGGTCCAGTCTCTGATCCCTGTATTCTGGTGCAGTAATGCTTGGCTGCACCAGCTGTGGTTCTAGTGAGTCTAGGTGCAGCTTGACCCACTACCCTGCAAGGTACAAGTCATAAACCTTGGTGAAGACCATGGTGTGCTAACTCTGCAGGTGTGCAGAATGCAAGCAAGAGCTGTGGAGGCACAGCAGCCTCCACTGAGATTGCATAGGATATATCAACAACCTGGGGGCCCATGCAGAGACTTGTGGCAGGGGTGTAGCCACCCCAGAGAGTGCCTACTAGGACAATGCCTAATGAGGCTACAGAGTTGGGACCACCACCAGGACCCCACAACTGTAGAGTTCCCAGCATGCAACACCAGCCTGGAAGCACTGAAGTGTGGACTGAGCCCACCAAAGCCACAGGGGTGGGGCTGCCTAAGGCCTTGCGGGCCCAACCCTTCCACTAGTGTGTCCGGGAGGCAGCACATAGAGTGAAAGGATATTCTGGAGTCTTAAGACTTAATGTTGTTTTCCCAATTGGGTTTTGTACTTGGGACCAGTTATCTGTTCTTCTTTCTTGTTGCTCCCTTTTGAATGGTAATATCTATCCCATGCCTGTCCCATCATTGTATTTTGAAAGTAGACAACTCATTTTGATTACAAAGGCTCACAGCTGGATGGGATTTGCCATGGGATGAATCATGCCTTGAGTCTCACATGTATCTGATTCAAGTGAGATTCTGAACTTTGAATGTTTGAGTTGATGCCAGAATGAGTCAAGACATTGGAGCTATTGGGATGGGGGTGAATGTATTTTGCATGTGAGAAGGACATGAATTTTAGGGGTGAGGGACTAATGCTTTGGTTTGATTGCGTCCTCCAAATTTTATGTACTGGAAATTTAATCCGTAAATTCATATGTTGATGGGAGGTGGGGCCATGCGAGGTAATTAGGATTTACAGAGGTCATCAGAACTGATGGCTTTATAAGAAGAGGGAGCGACAGCTGAGCTGTCATGCATGCTGTTGCTGTCTAGTCATGTGATGCTTTCTGCTCTGTCATGAATCGGCAGGAAGGCCCTCACCAGATGCCAGCACCATGCTCCTGGACTTGCCAGCCTTTAGAATCATGAGCTATATAAATTTATGTTCATTGTAAATCACCCAGTCTCTGGTATTGTTAGAGTGGCAGAAAATGAACTAAAGCAGGTATCCGGGTGTTTGCTTTCAAGTTCTTTCCACTTTTTTCTATTTGAAAGTCCTTATAAAGAAGTTAGAAAATAGAGTGGGGGCACAACCTTGGCATGCTCCCATCCCCCACCTCTGGCATAATTTGTGGAAATAAATCATAACTTGCTTATTTATTTACTTAGAGATGGGGTCTTGCTCTGTCACCCAGGCTGGAGGGCAATGGCACAATCTTGGCTCACTGCAACCACCACCTCCCAGATTCAAGCAATTCTTCTGCCTCAGCCTCCCGAGTAGCTGGGATGTCAGGCGCATGCCACCACGCCTGGCTAATTTTTTGTATTTTTAGTAGAGATGGGGTTTCACCACGTTGGCCAGGCTGGGCTCGAACTCCTGACCTCAGGCGATCCATCTGCCTTGGTGTCCCAAAATGCTGGGATTACAGGCATGAGCCACTGTGCCCAGCCCACTTGCTTTTTTTTATTTTTTAAATCTGAGAAGGGAGGCATTTTGTGCATAAAATGTAAGGCGTTCAGTGGTCGGATCTCTGTATCCCTTGTACATTGCAGCCTTGTGCTTGGCTGTGAAAAGAGAGGTATGCTTTCTCTTTGTGTATCTTGTATCAAAATTAGCTCTCCTGCCAAAATCCTGAGAGACAGTGACATCTGAATCCACACACAGGTTCTAGAAGGCAGCAACCCATGCCAGGATTGCCCCAACAGCATTCTCTGCACCTGCCCAGTGACTGGCAGAGCCCAGGCTTTCATTCCTGTAGTCCTCAGTGGGCTGAGCAGACAGGGTGGGGTTAGGAGCACATTGCATTCTGTGCCAGGGTGCTGAGGAAGAATAAGGAAAGCCATATTTTAAATCAACAAGGAAAGGGAATAAAGATTTTTCAGGAGGTTCTAATTGTGCCTTCATGTAGGCTTATTTTGTAAACCAGAAAGCCATGCTAATATGACAGACCCTAAATGGGGAAATCAGCTGAAAATGCTTTGCAGATTTATTTTCATTATGCTCTCAACCAAATGTCTGTGCTCATTAAACAGACTTGTTGTTGATAATTTATCTTAGACTATGGGCACACAGTCGTTCCACCAGAACAACTGACCCTTGGTGGAGTTGACTGTGGGGAGAGAACTGTGTCAGCTCAGCCCTGACATCCCACCCAGTGCTGATCTGTCTCCAGAGAGGTTGGAATCACAGTGAGAGTCCTATACCAAGATCAGCTAGCAGCCTCTTCCTCCCTTCCCGGTCCCCTCCCCTACAGCGGCATTCACAGGATTCAGGGCAGGCCAATCCATGACTGTTGACAGTGGGGTTCCCACCCCCAGCATCCAGCCTACCCACAATCCCACGAACAGAGCTGGGTCCAGGCCCACGCATGGGGTCTGCACCCAGGGCCCACAGGCCCTCATTTCCGCACCTCGTACCTGCAGTCACAGAGCAGTCTGCTCTCCAGCAGAAGCTCTGGCTCCAAGTTGGACTTGGATTTTAAGCACAGCTCTGATACCCACTGTTACTGTCATCTCTATTCTAAGGAAAGTTCATACCTCGTGCTACTGAGGGGAGGGCAAAAGGAGAAGTGAATACAAATGGCCTAGCCCATTTGCTGGCCAAAATAGCAACAAATACCAACACAACATAAATAAGGGGAAGGTCTTAGCTGTTCATTCCATGCAGAAGGGCCTCCTCTCTGCCCCCACACTCTCTGTGAGGGAAGGAGGAGTGAATTATCTAACTGGTACATTTGGGAGTAGAAGCTGGGTGCATGTGTTCAGTTAGCTTCTCCTTCTTTTCTCTTGGGGATTTGCCACATTGGGGGACCCTCGTTTGGTTCTGTCCCTTCATGCCATGAACTCCCAGGCACAGGCTTTGCCCCAGAAAGGGAGGCTGAAGCTCTTCCTTGCCTGGCACTGAGCCGGCTGGTCCCATCTGGGGTTCAGCTGAGGAAGCCTCATCCCAGAAGCTCCCCCACTGCAGGACCATGATCTAATGTCCACCTGTGTGAGACCTCCTTTCCCAGAGAAAACAAGAGCAAGGAAAACTACACCAAAGGGGCAGGCAGAGTGGTGACATAAGCCCCGTCACAGCAGGAGAGGTGGCCCTGTGCTGGCTGCATGTGCCAGGCAGTGAGGTGGATGGGGCCAGTTGCCTTTGATAAGTGGGGATCGGGCAGACATGGCCTTTGGAGAAGGGAGAGGTCTGCAGGGCAGAAAGTGATTTCCTGGAAGTAACAAGATGTGCGTTGGACCTTCCTGGTTGGTGTGTGCATTATATGATAGGTGGATGATTCCAAGCCATTTATGAGAGGTCCTTCACTCCATGGTGGTGGCAGGCCCAGCTACGCTGCTCACTGTGATGTGAGATTCAGCCAGGTGACCTGAGACCCTCACTGTAGTCTTCCAGGGAGACTGAGAGGGGACACTAAGGGATTCGCAGCCTGTCCACGCTCTCCTTGATGCTTCCTCATGCCCTCCTCACACCGAAAGGGCCCCATTCTACAGGAGATGGGCAAGATGAGGCCATGTTCCTGGCCGCCTGTGCCTGCTGCCTCTGCAAGGCACAGGCCTCCTGTGCTGCAACCACAGTCAAGGGCTCCAGGAAGTCTACTGCAGAGGCTGTGGAAACAGAGCACTGGAGACTTGATTTATTTTCCTTCCCTTTCCTGTTGTCTCCTTCTTATTACTTGAGAAATTGTATAAAATAATGAACACCCATTTCCTCACCACCAGCTTTAGCAAGTTTGAATATGTTGTCCGTTGGCTTCAGATTTTTAAGCAATCTGAGGATCTCGCATACCCCTCCTTGAGGGCATCCGTGTCCCTCATCCAGAGATAGGAACATTTGTGTCAAGTATCAATAAACAATTGTTCTGCATCTATTCCCATCCTCAAAACATAAAGTGCTAATTTGTAGAGTTTTAAAATGTTACTCTAAATAATATTTAGTAACATGTTACTCTAAATATGATTGTGCAATTTGCTTTTGACACAGAATTGAATATTTTTGGAATTTAAATATATTTATAAATGTATTAGGCTGAAATCCTTGAAACTGCTGTTATTGTAGGTTTGAAGCAGTTGAGCATTAGGATTTGTACATCACTCAATTGCACAGCTCTAGTAAATCATTTTTAACTTTAATTTTATATTACATGAATCTATCACAATTTATTAATGCCTTTTACTGCTGGTAGTCATTTAGGGTGTATCTAGTTATCCCCCATTATGTTCCCACAATAATTATTATACATGTCAACTTGGGAACACTGTATTGAAATATTCTAGAACTGTGCTGTCAAATGCAGTATCACTAGCCTTATATGGCTATTTAAATGGATTAAAATTAAACTTAAATACAATTAAAAATTTAGATCCTCAGTGAGAGGATTAGCTGCATTTAAAGTACTGAATACACACGTGACTAGTGGCTGCTGAGTTAGCACAGAATGTCCTCACGTTGCAGAAGGTATTATTGAACAGCGCTTTTCAAAGAAGGAACTTGTTTTTCTTGATGCTCTCATTCCATCAGTTTTTGATCTTATGTTTTTTATTTTTTTCACTTTTTCTATAAGTTAGATGTGTTGCTTTGTTTCTTGAATTAGATGCTTAGTTCATTAATTAGCAGTGTTTTTTTCATTGCTAATGTAGGTATTTGAGACATTCTCTTTCTAGGTACTATTCAGCCAGTGTTTCTACACAGTGCTTTCATTGTCATTCATTACTGTACTCATTCAACAACTATCAGTCAGGTGCCTGCTCTGGGCTCCAGTCCTGCTCTGGATGCCGGCACACAGCAGTGAATGAGGCATCCACATTCATGGCCCCGTCTGCTGTTGGAAGACACACATCATGAAGAAGCAGCGCTGCAGAGCCAGGGTACAGTGGGGCTGCAGTGGGGCTCAGGGGTTCGGGGCATTTGGAGAGTGAGAGTGGGAGGGAGCCACACGGAGCAGAGGTGCATCCTGCAGGGCAGAGGACACAGCTGGGGCAAAGGCCATGAGGCAAGACTGGGAACAGCACCCAGGGATATGTTACAATCTTCCCCATGGGCAGGGTGCAGGCAGAACAGGAGAGTCACATCATCTAGGTGATGATGGATGCAGAGATCTGTCACAAGGCTCTCTGTGAGCAGGGCCCAGGCAGGAGCCTTCCATCACCCAGGTGTTGGGCCCAGCATTATGTCACAATACCCACAGTATGTGGGACCAAGACAAAAGAGGAGTCCCATCACCTAGGTGATGAATCCAGTGACATGTCACGATCCCCCCTTTTGGCTGGGGCCAGGCACGAGAGGAGAGTCACATCTCCTAGGTGATGGATGCAGAGATATGTCACAAAGCTCCCTCTGGGTAGGGTTCAAGCAGTAGGCTCCCATCACCCAGGTCACAATACCCAAAATATGTGGGCCCAGGCAAAAGAGGAGAGTCCCATCACCTAGGTGTTGGGTCCAGTGATATGTCACAATCCCCCCTTTTGGCTGGAGCCAGGCAGGAGAGGAGAGTCACATCACCTAGGTGCTCGGCCCAGTGATACATCACAATTTCTCCTTGGGCAGAGCCAAGCAGTAGAAAAGAGTCACATCACCTAGGTGTTGGGTCCAGCAATATGTCACTATACACCCTGAGGGGTGGGCCCAGGCAAGAGACTCACATCACCTAGGTGAGGGGTCCAGAGATATGTCATGAGGCCCCCTTGTGGGCAGGGCTCAGGAAGGAGAGGTAAGTCACATAACCTAGGGGCTAGGTCCAGTTATATGTCACAATTACCCCAGTGGGCTGGCCCCAGGCACGAGAGGAGAGTCACATCACAGTGGTGCTGGGCCCAGCAATATGTCACAATCCCCACTGTGGACAGGTTCCAGGAGAAAGAGGAGAGTCCCATCACCTTGGTGCTGGGCCCAGCAATATGTCACAGCACCTTCTCAGGGCAAGGCCAAGGCAAATGTGTAACTTCGACTTGGTGTTGGGGCCAGCAATAGGTCACAATCTCCCCTGTGGGCAGAACCTAGGAAGAAGAGAAAAGTCACATGAGCTAGATTTATTAAGGTTTCTATAAGTATAACTTCTACTGGTTCAGGAGATTTAGTTATAAATCTCCTTTTCATTTTTTGGTGGTTACACTTAAGCTTTGAGGATATGTTCTTTATTTCAAAATGTCTAAAGTTGATCCATAATTTCCACTTTTGGTCAACAAGTGTAAGAACTTTGATACAGTTTCTTGAAACTCGAATTACTCACTCTCCTCATTTTGCATGTTTCTTCCTACCTGATGTTTCAGTTCACCTTGTTTCTATATTTAATTCTTTCTTGCTTGATATACTCTATCCTGACAACTTTCTTTTTCTCTGTTTTCATGTTTGTCTTAATTATTTCTTCAGGATTAAGTTTATTTCACCATGAAGCATATATTTTGTTAGTTCTTTCAGTCTTTGAGTGGTTAACTTAGCCTTTGCTCAGAAACATCTTTATTTGAATAACCTTCAGTTCTCATGCTCACCTTGTAGGTCGTCTTCTGGGTTCTGTTATTATAAAGAGAAGTCTCCTTGTCCTTCCTGTGCAGATACTCTGGCTAGTTTTCTCTTGTGGGTTGCAGTTTCTTCAGTGGTTCTTGGTCTGGATTTATTTTCATTCATTCTGCTTGGTGCTCATTATAATTCCCACATGTGCAGAGAACAGGACCAGGAGTGAGTTGCCTAAAGAGAGGCTATTGTGATTGAAAACCAAGTTCTGAGATCAGCTCCACGCATCACAACCTAATTGCATTTATTCCTGTCCTATTTAATAAACTACTATCTCTGGAAATTAAGATTAAGGCCATAATTTGTTTTTAGCTACAAAGAGAAAGCTGGCCTGCAAGGTGGGAAGACAGGAAAAAATCTAAAGAGCTGTTGGCTTGGGGGCATCAAGGAGCCTGGGAGATAGGCCATAGTCCTGGGTTGTTTTCCCAGCCACACACACATGCCAAGACCCTCGAACAAAGACTAGCTGGTCATCAGCTCCTCATAGATGGGGCAACCTCCACACTGATTTGGTGAGCAAGAGCTAAGAGGAGAACCTGTGCTCAGTCAATAAGGAATGCCCTTACCATCAGATGCGTGCTTGCTTGAAAAGAAAATTGAGATAAGTTCATAGTCAAGCTTTATCGAGACATACCATTGACTTCTTTTGCTTCAGAACATGAGCCCTCTCTGTCACTGACTGGCAGGCACTGCCCGTATTTCTGATCCTGACTCCTTTAGGAAGCCTAAATGTGCTTGATCTGAAGTGCTATTCCCCTCATTGACTGAGATAGGACCTGCTCTATCTCATCAGGAAACCCGGACTGCATTTTACAGCTTGATGGTGTCAGCATGTCTCAGCAATAAGTACGTTACAATCAATAAATATATTAATCTAAAAATCCCATTTGTTCAGATATTGTTAGTGGAAAATAAGGTTTGCCCAAATTGTAGGAACATCTGAATTATTTTGTTTTTACTGGAGGCTGAAGGAAATTAACCAAATTACCTAAGATCCCCAGCTAGCAATGTTTCAGTCCAGTTTTCACTTTCTCTCTTCTAATATCCCTCTTCCTGCTCATCTCTCTGGGAAAAGTAAGAAATATTGAGACAAAAGGTGAAAGAAATTTTATTAATATTAGAATGTGTTCAGCTGCAAGAAACAGAAAATTCACTGTCTTCAATCTTAAGGATATCAATCAGTCACTTAATAGTAAGTTGTGCAATGGGCCGTTTAAGGGTTTATTCAATAAGTTCATCAAGGACTCAGTCTCTTGCACTATGTTAGATTTTTATCCTCACATAATTTTTCCAATCTAAATATATCTGCAGCAATTCCAGGCTGCATATTCATCCTAGACTCCCAGACATGCAGGATGTAAATGGGGATAAAAGTTCTCTTCTTTTATTGGAAAATATAAACTTTCCCAGAAGCCTCAGAGTAGATGTCTTCTTATATCATTGGCCAATATCAGTCACATGGCCAGCCCTAGCTGCAAGGGATGCTGAGAGTGAAAACTTCCAGCAAAATTTCTCAGTCCAGACACATTGCTGCTCCAATGCAAAATTAGGTTTCTATCAACAAAAATGTGAAGGAAAAACTTTTAAAGGAACTCACACATTTCCTCTGGAAATTGAGCACTCATGAGTTGCCGCTCAGAGCCATGTCTTGAGCATGAGTTGAGTCCCCCCAGCAGTGGCTCAGGGTGCTGACCTCCCTGCATAATCATGGGCCCTACACCACTTTCCCTACAAATGCCTTCTCACCACCCTCTGCAGTTTCCTAATCTTGGTCATCAGTGCCTGGCCCTCAGAAGGCTGTCACTCATTCAACAGCATTGGCAGAGAGGCCGATGTGCACAAGGCCCTCTGGTGGGTGCTTGAGGACTGGTATCAAATCACCTGTAAGTGAAAGTAAGGAATATGACAAGTAAACAGGTGTGGGTACTTCAGAGGAGTATCATAAAGCTATGAGTACTTCAAAGGAGGAAGGACCCCTATCCAAAAACAAACATTCTATTTACTCCCTTCCAAAAACAAAAATATTCTACTAAGTCCCACATCTCCATCCAGCTACTACCTATTACCTTTCTTGCTTTCCTTCTTTTTGCCTTACGGCAAATTTCTTCACCTCGAGTTTGTAATTTACTCTGTATTCTTTTTCTGCCTTCACTTACAGAAACTGCTGTTCTCAATGTCACCAATCACATGGACATCACAAATCACTTGCAAAGTCAACAGACTCTTGTCTGCCCGCACAGTCTTCAGAAAATGTGTCCAGGTGAATTCAAAGCAAGGCATTCTAATTAGAACAATGTACAGAAGGAAAGAAGGTATGAGAGTCTGAGGGGAGTTTGAGGAACAGAAAGTAGACAGGTATGTGTACAGTAATAAATGTAATAGATGATGTTTTAGAAAAGAGTAAACAGGGAATGCGTTCTGAATGCTTTTGAATACCCAGTTGGACATCTGGACCTCCTCCTACACTTATGAAACACCTCCAAAGAGTTTTACATGTGCTCTAAAAATTAAAGACAAAGTTAATCCCTAAACACCCACCTCACCCTCCTCCCCACCCCTCCTGTACAAAAAAACAAATAAGAGAGCAAAGGTAATTCAATGGAGAAAGGAGAGGTTTTTCAAAAAATGATACTGAAACAAATGGACATCACATACAAAAAAATACAACTAGACTAAGACTTCACTTTTTATAAAAATTAACTCAAAATGGGTAATAAACCTAAATGTAAAATGTGCAACTATTAAACTCCTAGAAGATAACATAGATGAAAATTCTGGGTGGCCTGAGGTTTGACTTTTTGATACAGCAACGAAAGTGCAATCCATGAAAGAATAAATTGATAACTTGGACTTTAATAAACTTCTGACTTGTGAAATACATGGTTAAGAGAATGAAATGACAAACTAACAGACTGGGAGAAAATATTTTCAAAACACATATTTGATAAAGAACTGGTATTCAAAATATACAATCTACTCTTAAAAGTCAATAATAAGAAAACAAATGACCCAGTTACAAAATGGGCAAGATATCTGAACAGATACCTCATCAAAAAGATATACAAATGCAATTAAGCACATGAAAATATGTTCAACATCAAATGTCATCAGGAAAACTTCACATTAAAACAATAGCAGTAAAACTATTCTTTATATTATTGTAAATGACTTTATGCATTTGTCAAAACCTATAAAACTGTACAACGCAAAAAGTGAATCCTAATATAAGCTATAGATTTTAGTTAATAACAATATATCAATATCTGTTCATCAACTGTAGTAAATGCACCCAACTAATCCATAGTGTATGAGAGTTCTTTATACTTTCTGCTTGGTTTCTCTGTCAACCTAAAACCACTCTAAAAATAAAATAAATTAACTTTTAAAAATCACCAATAATAGCCCTCATTGTGTGATTCTTGTTTTCTCATCCAAATGTTGATCTTCTCCAGATGCATTACTTCATTATCAGTTTCTGCACCTAAGTTTCATTAGTTAGAATATAATATCTTTTAAAAAGATACGTTGGTTTTGCTTTTCTTGCATCCCCCAAATACCTATTAAAAGTTCAGAGGTGGTAAATACATGGAGTTAAGACTTAAACCATAATTTAACAACAGTGAAAATTTGAAATAAGATAATATTCTCCTTGGATACAAAGGCATTTTAGCTTTGTGCTAGATGAAACTTTTAAGTTATCCAGTCTCCAGTGAACATTTATTCCAGCTCATTGAAGTTGAATATTCAGAGGACTCACTGAATTAATTTGTGCAGGAATGGTATTTTTAAGGGAGGCCATTGTAAATTCTAAATCACGAAGACTCTCTTGGCACCTCAGACAAGAATATGCTATATTGTGAATGTAGCATTTAATTCCTAAAAATGAGCAGAATGTCTTCGTCTTCTTATTTTTTGTGTGTGTATCAGCATGCTGTATGCAATTCTTTAGTAAACCACATTTAGAAATCAAATAGGAATCGCTAGGCCCGAAGGCACCTTCAGAGGTCATTTGGGTCACTTCCACATTTCCAGTGTTATTAAACTCCCTAAATTAAATCTCTCAGCTTATTAAATCTAGACTGTGCTAGTGCACAGGTTTCTATGTGCTCACAAAACCTGTCTCTTTCATTCTGGGCACAGGCATAGACCACACTTTCCAGCCTTCCTTGTGGTTGGTGCAATCATGTGACTCAAGTCTAGGCAAAAGATTACAAACAAAAGACATATGTTTTACTTGGCCCATCCAAAGCTCATACAGCTGATACTCCTCCTATTTCCTTAACTGCAAGAAGAAAGAAAAAGTCCTCTAAGGATCCAGGATTAATGTGACCACAGACTGAAAGGAGCTTAGACTTAAGGGGCCAAATTCCTGGAGAGAAAGGAAGTTCTTTGAAATGACTGATGTGCTGGGGCTTGTGCTGATAGAAGGATGAGAAGCCCAGGAGAAAGTCAAGTGAAAGAAGTGGTTTCACAGATCCCTTGGAGCCTTCTGAGAAGAGTAAAACAAAATTAAGACAAGATTTGCCAAAAAGACCAAGGTCCCAGAGAGAAGGGAAATAAGCCTATTCTCAAGCTAGAACACAAGAGCAGAAAGTGGTAAAACCCACAGCTGAAGAAACAGAACATTATCCAGGGTCTCGTCAATGTTTGGTACATAGTGAGTGGCCTTTTTTGTTTGTTTGTTTGTTTGTTTTTGAGACAGAGTTTCACTCTGTCACCCAGGCTGGAATGCAGTGGCACAATCTCTGCTCACTGCAACCTCCACCTCCCGGGTTCAAGCGATTCTTGTGCCTCAGACTCTGGACTGAAGTAGCTGGGATTACAGGCACCCACCACCATACCCGGCTAATTTTGTATTTTTAGTAGAGATGGGGTTTCACCATGTTGGCCAGGCTGGTCTCGAACTGCTGTCCTCAAGTGATCTGCCCACCTCGGCCTCCCAAAGTGCTAAGATTACAGCATGAGCCATGGTGCCCAGCCATGAGTGGCTTTTAATTTAATGTTATGAAGCATAAACAACCAAATCAAGAGAAAAATCCAACAATGGAAATATAGCAATGAAAAATATACTAGTAAATATTTATTATTAATATGGTCAAGAAAATAAATGGCATGATGGAGAAATCCACCAGAGGACTGGAATGTATTAATATCGAAAAGAATCAAATTGAATTTTTAAAACTGAAGGTAACAAAAATGAAATTAGGAACACAGCAGGTGAGCTTAATAACAGATTGGGCGACACTGAAGAGAGGATTAGGAGATTGGGAGACATCAAATGGAATAAGCTCTACTTACCTGTCTCTCTGAACACTAGTGAGAAAGAAAGATGAACGATACACATGAAACATGTCAAAACATAAGCAACCTAAGGACAATGATGAAAATATCTAACATTCATCTAATTCAATATCCAGGAGGAGAGGGCAGAAATAATGTATCAGACAAAATGTATTAGGAGTGGATGAGAATTTTCTAAAACAAATGAAAAACATGACAACAGATGTAAGAAGTACTATGAATCTCAATGTGGTCGTTTCCTACCACCGCTGTCACGAATTACCACAAAATCAGTGGCTTAAAACAGCACACATCTATTATCTCATAGTTTGTAGGTCCCAAATCCAGGTGGGCTCACCTGGCGCCTCTGCTTAGAGTATCCCAGGGCTGAAATCAAGGTGTCCGCAAGACAGGCACTTACCTACAGACTCCAGAAAATAATCTGCTTCCAAGTTCATTAGGTTTTTGGCAGAATGCAGTTCCTTGCTGCTGTAGAAGTGAGGTTCCCTTTTGTTGGCTATCTGCTGGGATCCCCATCAACACTTTCTGTTCACTTGATTCCCTGTTGTATTGTACACTTCATCTTCAAATGGCAGCAGCCTCTTAGTCTTCCTCACTCTTCAAGTCTCTCTGTGAACGTACAAGATACAATTTTGCTAAGCTTCCTGCCACTGTATTATAAGGATCCCATTTCTTCTGGTTTCCAATACCAAGTCACTCACTTCCCTCTGAGCCCTGGCTAGTAGTATCCTTCAAGTACAGATGTCTACTAACAGTCTGTTTACTGCAATTTAGGCTTTTTCTAAGGTGATTTCTAAGATTTTTCTAAAATTCTCCTTATTTTCCTCAACAGTGTCCCTATTTAATAGTCTGTTCAAAGGCACCTAGGAGTTTTCTAGCATGCTTTCCAAAATTCTTCCAGCCTCCACTCACTGCCCAATTCCAAAGCCATTTCCATCATTTTCAGGCATAGAGAAGTAGAGGGAATGCCAAGTACTGGAAATAGCAAGGGCAGCGAACTAGGATGGCTTTGAAAAATTCTGGGAATAGACAATAATCTGATATTGCTTAATAAAGTGCTTATTAGGAAGTAAAGGTGGGCTGGGAAAGACCTCTTAGAGAACCTTGAAAGCCATTGTAAGGTATTTGCAGTCTCTTCTGTAGACAACAAAGAGGCATCAAAGTCTTATTAAGACTAATGAGAAAGAAATTTTGCACAGATCAAGACAAACAAAGAGAGTTACTTGAGGCAATCTTAATGAAAAACATTAAATTCCTAAAGTCTAATAGGATAAGAGGTAGGGTGATGCAGTAGAAAAAAGGACAAAGCCTGGGTTTAAGACCTCTCCCAGCAGCTATACGCTCAGTGAATTGAGGCAAGTTCCTTAATGTTTGAGTCTCATTGTATTTATCTGTCTGCAACAGGGCATCTCTGAATTGGGGACTCTGATTGGCCCAGAAGGAATCAACTACTATGTCTGTGTGCATAAGAACAGAGATAGGCAAAGTTGACTGTAAGAAATGGAACATCCGGGCCACGCACAGTGGCTCACACCTGTAATCCCAGCACTTTGGGAGGCTGAGGCGGGAGGATCACGAGGTCAGCAGGTCAAGACCATCCTGGCTAACACAGTGAAACCCCATCTCCACTAAAAACAAAAATAAAAAAAAATTAGCTGGTCATGGTGGCACATGCCTGTAATCCCAGATACTCAGGAGGCTGAAGCAGGAGAACTGCTTGAATCCGGGAGGCAGAAGTTGCAGTGAGCCAAGATCATGCCACTGCACTGCAGCCTGGGTGACAGACTAAGACTCCATCTCAAAAAACAAACAAACAAACAAATAAAACAAAACAAAACAAAAAGAAATGGAACATCCTTGAGGCAAGCAAAATCTAAAGAATAACTGCTTAGGGTAGAATATTGGTTAAATCCTGAGTCAACGTCTTGACTTAAAAGTGAAAGGTGCAATGGCAAGTGTGTAGCACATCATGGGTGCACCACCCAAATCCTCTCAGCCCTTCTCACTCCAGCCACTACTTCAGTGACCGGGGCTGAGCAGCCTTGTGGCAACTTCAGACAGATGCTACCTGACTCTTGCTTCCTGCCATGGGATGAGCTGATGCCATGGCCTGCAGCATCTGTGCTCCTCAGCCTCAGTCCTTGCACAACCCAGAGATGCCAGAGAGTGAACGCCTTGGGCTACCTTTCACCAAGCGGGGTTAGGGGCTGAGAAAGAGCTCCTAAGGCTCCTCAGAAATGTTCTGCCCTAGTGATGGCAAATCCCATACTCATCCTTGTCTTGCCTTTCCCCTCATCCGCAAGCTCTCCTCCTACACCTGTAGTCCCCATTCTTGATCTCAATGATCACATCCCAAATAATCTACTTGCATGCAAGCCTCTGTTTCAGGTCCCTGCCTTCATGGGAACCCATGCTGTGGAAAACACTAGGTAAAAATAAATTATCTACAGAAAGTCAGGGTCAGTCAGCAGAGGGCTGTGAATGTCAAGGAGCCACAAAAGCAGAGTTGGGCAAGCAAACAAATGCAGCAGATCTGCATGCCAGGGCGGTCCAGGGGAAATCCCAATATTCCAAATACAGTAAGAGACCCTAGGCATCTTGGCTGGGCACCACAGATAACGTGCGGTTTCTTTACTGAACTTGCCCATTCAAATCCCATCTGGCCAAGCAGTTTCTCATCACTGTTTTGCACTGTATGGTCTATGGCAGAGAAAGCACTGGTCATAGCCCCTATTTGTATTTGGTGCCCACAGTGAATGCCCCATTCACAGATTTTGAAGCTGCAGGCTGATCACCAGGATCTGGATGGTCAAGGCCACAGGCCTGGAGGCAGCAGGCCTTCTCTGCGCCTTGCCAAGCTGGACTTTCTCACACTTGCTGCACGACCTGCTTCTCAGGATAGGTGTGAAGGTTGAGGAGTGAGAGAGGGCATGCCAATGGCCAAGCACAGTCCCTCGCACATAGTAGGTGCTCTGGAAAGGCAGTTACACTGATAGTAGACTGCAGGCAACAATCAGAGGTCATGGGTTCACGTGGGAGGGCCCCCAATCTTTCTGGGGAGTCCTGCAGCCTCATCCAATAGACATTTGTCCTCTTAGTCCAACAAGCTATCTGCCCTGGGTGTCAGCACTGAATTTTCTCTGACATTTTCCCTTTTCTTTTCTTCCTATAAATGAGAAATGAAGTATAAAAAGTTGTGCACAGCCTCCTGCCTGCATCACGGCTCTTAGGAGAGATGTTGGCATTTAAATGCCAGACAATCTGGTGAAGTCAGGATGAGGCCAGCCTCAGGCTTGTCTTGGGGTCAGGGGTAAGGGGCAGGGGTCCCCTCTGGTTTCTGATTTAATAAGAGGATTGCTTCCAGCCAAATGCAGGGCCAGCAAGGTCAGCACTGAACACACGCAGCTCCACTGAGAAATAAAGGGGCCAGATGGTTATTACACTGTGTGTGTTTCTTATAAAAGGCAAAAAAAAAAAAAATTCTAGAGTGACTGCAGCAGAGGCTGTTCATCAGCAGAGGCACAGTTCAGGCAGGCCTGTGGCTTGGTGCTGCTCCCTGGGGGAGGTGTACTTGTGAGGAGTTTCAACACGCCTGCAGATCCCATGAAGATTTGGCTGTGGGCAGAAGCCACAGGGATGGAGAGAGGCACAGCCACTTTGTGAAAATGGAAAACACGCCTCCCTCATCTTAGCTTTCTTAGTTTCCCATTTTGATGCTCCAGAAAGCTTCTTAAATTACAGCTGATGACCACTGTAGCAGCTGACAGCCGTCACCACTACAGTCGTGTGAGTCCGACCTCATTCTGCCCCTCACACGGTATAAACATGAGCAACTCCATTGATCACACTAACTTTAGTTTGCTCTATTGCAAGTATGGACTAGAAACATGTGACTCACCCTCTAATAACAAGGTAATATCAGATAATGTACCTAAGCCCCTGGTGCACATCAGGCACTCCAGAAACACTGAGTGCCCCTCCTTCATTCCTGGAGTCAAATACAAGGGCATTGAGCAGCCCTGAAGGAAGCCTCATCATCCCTTCTGGAGGAGGTGGATGAATGAGGAGCCCCAAGGAGTCACGCTGTTCAGCCCACTCAAACAAGGCTTGCGCCTGCTCCATCTCAGAGTTCGCTGTGGAGCGCCCAGCACCAGGAGCTCTCTGTGCTGATGTGGCCCTCTTAAGGATGGTGGTGGCATTGTCACTGCTCTCCCATGTTAATTAACTGGGTTGTTATTCCAAAGTGTTAATGGCCAGAACTGTAATTCAATCAAGTAAATAACATTTCAAGCAGTTAATAAAAGAAATGGAATTTGTAACCACCCATAAATGTGATTTTGTAGACGTAGGCCATGTCTAAGCAGTCAGTGGTCTGTCCTTGCCACACAAATGTCAGACAACCAGGATCACAAATACTGCGTGGGAATCTGTTGAGAATTTTTCTCTCCATAGGTTTTTAAAGCAAACTGTGTTCCTTTTTGCCTCTTCCCCCCTCATTAACTTTCAAAATGTGTTTTTCTTAAGGTTCCACCTTGGGGAAATAGCCATTCTCGCCCACTGATGCTGCTTGTGAATTCAGTTTTATGAGGAGCTGAGATTCCAAACACCACCTGACTTGTTATCGTTCTTTTTAATGCCCCCAGCTTTTTGGTTATAATCTATTTTCCATAACCATAGTTAATACCATGCTGTGTCCCTGCAGGGTTTTCAGCATGCATGGGAGAACATTACCTTAGGAGAGTTGCCACTTCCTCCAGTGGAGTTTCAGAGTCTGGTGGACACCTTCCTTCAGCCCCTCATTATGCCATCTCTGAGCCCCACCTCTTCCAGCTCTGAGCTGGGTCCTGAGGACTCACAGATGGACTGGATGCTGCCTCTGATCTCAGAAGATCCGCGTCCACTCTCACACCATTGGACCTGGCTATGTGCATGTCCCTGCTATGACTACCTCTCCCCTGGTGGCACGGCTGAGTGTGAGGTCACCTGCCAGAGAAGAGATAGCTGCTCCAGCCCCAGGGCCCCTTCCTTGCCCAGGGCCTGTGCTAGAGGGTCTGACAGAAGCTGCTTCATCTATGCCAGCCTTCCATCTGTACAGGGCTGATGGGCCGACTTGGTTTTGATTTCTCTCTTAGTGCCTTCTACTTCCAAGTGACCATGTTGCATACATTTTAGCAAATGAAGGGGCAATACGAGTGTGGAGTGACAGAAGCAGGGACTCAGAGGGGGGGCGGGGACAGCACCAGGTGTGTAGATAGCACCTGTCAGGAACGTGAGGTGCCTGCCTGGGCTCTGTAGGACTTCGGGCTTATCATGCTGCTCCTGCTCCATTCCATTAATGCTTCAGTCACCCACTCACTTACCCATGTGCCCACACACCCACTACTCAGCTACTTACCTGCTCCAACCACCTACTCTCCTACCCAACCTCTTCCTACCCCCACCAAACATTGTCACCACTCACAGACAAACTCACATATTATCCACCCACCTCAGTCATCCACCCACCTGGGTACTTGGCTACTAGGCTCTCTTTTAGCACCCACCCATCCGCCCACTCAACCCTCCACCTAGACACCCACTCATCCACCTAGACACTAACTCACCCACCCGGCAAGACACGTATTCACTCACCCACCCACCTAAACATCCACTCACCCACCCATGTATACACCCACTCACTCACCCAGACACCCACTCACCCATCTAGATACCCACTCATCCACCCACCTAGACACCCACTCACCCACCCAGCAAGACACCCATTCACTCACCCACCCACCTAAACATCCACTCACCCACCCATGTATACACCCACTCACTCACCCAGACACCCACTCACCCATCTAGATACCCACTCATCCACCCACCTAGACACCCACTCACCCACCCAGCAAGACACCCATTCACTCACCCACCCACTTAAACATCCACTCACCCACCCATCTAGACCACCCACACACTCATCCACCCAGACACTCACTCATTCACCTAGACACCCACTCACCCATATAGACACCCACTCATCCACCCACCTAGACACCCACTCACCCACCTAGACACCCAACAATTCACCCACCTAGACACCCACTCACCTACCCACCCACCAAGATACCCATCCACTCACCCACCCACCTAGATACCCAGTCATTTATTCATTTAGATACCCACTCACTCACCCACCCACCTAGATACCCAGTCATTTATTCACTTAGATACCCACTCACTCACCCACCTAGACACCCAGTCACTCATCCACCTAGACACCCACTCACTCGTCCCTCTAGACACCCACTCACCCACCCACCTAAACACCTACTCACTCACGCATCTTGACATCCACTCACCCACCTGGACGCCCACACACTCATCACATAGACACCCACTCACTCATCACCTAGACACCCACTCACCCACCCAGCTAGACACCCACTCACCCACCCACCCACCAAGATACCTATTCATTCACCCACCTAAATATCCACTCACCAAAACATCCACTCACCCACCCATCTAGACACCCACTGACTCACCCACCTAGACACCCACTTACTCATCTAGGCACCCAAGTACTCATCCACCAAGGATCACTCACCCATCTAGACACCCACCCACTCACTCCATCCATCTACACAACCACTTACTCACCCATCTAGACACCCTCTCACCCATCTACCTAGACGCCCAGTCATCCACCCATCTACACATCCACTTACTCACCTGCCTAGACACTGACTCACTCATCCATCTACCTAGACACTCACTCACTCATCCACCTAGGCACCCACCTACTTACTCATCTAGGCACCTAATCATTCATTCACCCACCTAGACCCTACCTACTAACTCACATAGACACCCACTCACCCATCCTCTCAAACACCCACATAGACAATCACGTACTCTGTCACTTGCTAAGCTGCCCCTTACTCCTTCACCTTCTCACAAAAGGTTACTGACCAATGACCCTCTGGGATCCGTGAGCTTTGTTGTGGGGAGGAAGAGGTGAATCAGGCTCAGATGCCAGCTAAGAGGCTCTTCTGGCCCAGTGAGGGACACAGACAGTGGCTGTATCACTGAGTGTACAATGACAGAGAAGAGCAACGCGAGGCAGGAGCAGAGAAGAGAGACATCACTCAGCCTAGGAAGACAGGAGAGGAGCTTTGAACTCAGAGGCTAGTCTCCAAGTAAGAAAAAAAATGCTGGTAGATGCAGGAGCAGAAGTCTGGAGCTGAGAGGGATGCAGCTTCTCTAGGAAAGTCATGGGGTAGAATAAGGGTGGGGCAGGATGGGTGGGTGGCAAGAGATGGTCTGGAGAGACCAGCAGGGGAAGCTCCTACCAACCTGAGGATTCTTTAGCCTCTAAAGAGAGCTACGACTCAACGTGGAGGCAGTGGAAAGTGCTAACATGGCTATAGGCAGGAATGACTCACTGCAGATGTGCATTTGAGAAAGGTCTCTTTAGTGAAGCAATGAGGGCTTTGACTTCATCATCTGCAAAAATAAAGTTATAGACTATGGTCTCTCAGATCCTTCCAGTTATCTAAGTTTAAAGGTCTCCAAGGGTAGGAGTGGGGAAGGGAGAGCAATTAAAGGGTTGTCCTCATTTTGCAGAAGACCATACTGAGGAAGCACAGGAAGTTAAATGACTCCCTCTGTTCCCACTCCCAACCCCAGAAAATATCTTAGAAGCCAAAGAAAGACTCTTTGCTTCCTGCTCCAAGCCAAGCTTGTCTTTGAACCCAGCAAACAAACACTTGGCCTTTGTGGTCTGCACAGGTGTGAACTCTGCCTTGACCTGGGGCAAAAGCTATAACACAACCAGTCAAATGACTGCATAGCCATCTTCACTAGTACCATTACCCAAAGATGCTGGAGATCTTTATGCATAGATAGGATAAACAAAATCGTGGCTATTCATGTTTAGTAAGCAAAATTCCCTCACTGAAAGAGGACCCTGGCAGAAGTGGGCTCTAATTCACCCATTCATCTGGTCCCGTCTGCTAGGCTGGAACACCATTGTGTTATTACCTGTTCTTGCCACAGCTTAGACCAGTAGAGACTGCAGCGAATCTCTGTCTAGATTAACTTTAGCCACATCCTCCATTGCAGGAACTTTACTAGATCTAAAGACAGAGACTTAAATTCCAGGCAAAAATGGGATGATTCTCAGTTTGACAAGTTTTTCTTTCAAAGCCCCAACCAGTCCAGTTTCCAGGCCAATAGGCAGTGGGCCAACCACCCTTCTTAGAAGACTTTCCTCTAACCTCTTCCTGGCCAAGCACAAGGTTTGATGACCATTCTCTTCTCTCATTCCATAGCCATCATGATGGTGATGCTCTCCCAGGGTGGATTTCTAATCACGATTTAGAAATTTAGGAAAAGTGTTAATTACACATAGACCCTCATCCGTGCACAATTTACACCCACACAAGTCTCATCCCCTTTAATGGAAATTGTGCCAGAGTCTTTCATTCCACAGCAATTCATTGAATGCCCATCATGTGGCAAGGTCCCAGGAGAAACACAGCAGTAAAACACAGCCACCTTCAAGAGACAGGCCATTGAGATAATAATTAAAATATACTTTGATAAAGCTATAACAGGTGTCAAAATAAGGATGACAGAGGTTGTGGGGGATGCCTGCCTCAACTTGAGGGTGCACAAGGCTTCACTAAGGATTGGTATGTGGACTGGGTTTTGAAGAATGAGGTAGAGAATGGCTAAAGAACACCCTAGGAAATGGAGGAGATTTCTGTAAAAGCTTAGAGGTCTTCAAGGGGTTCTCACACCTGCAATTCATCCCATATGAACAGGTGTAGAGGGATGGAAAGTGGTGGAAGATGAGATTGGATTATGAGAGGGGATGTGTGGAAGCCTACAGAGCTACTCTGCAGTGTCTGGATTGAAGTGTAAAGGCTATGGTAGTTCTCTAAAGAGTTTTAATAAATTGAAAGACAAAATCAAATTTGCATTTAAAGAAATTCTTATTACAGAATGGAGAATAAATGGGGAGCAAGCATGACTAAAGAAATATAGTATAAAGTAAATTTAATTAAAGTAACTAAATTAAAGAAATATAGTATAGATGCAATCTAGCCAAGATATGATGAAGATTTATCAACAATAAGTACAAAGAATGTATATCGAAGGTGGTAAAGGGGAGGAATTCACAAGGACCAGTTTTCCCATCAGATGGGGAGAGTGAAGAGTTGAAGAAAGAGTTAACTTTTCCAAGATGCTGGAATTCACCAAGACAAGCAGGAGGAGGAACAGGATTTGGGTACAGAATCACAAACTTAGCTTAGGATCAGTTGAGTGTGTGGTATCTCTTGCACACTAATGTAGAGGAGGAGTGTGGAGGGCAGTGGGCTCTATAGGTCTTAGGTTTTTAAATTGAAAAATTCAATTTTTTTGTTATTTAAAGTAAAATTGTATCTTATTGCAAAAGGAATAATATTTATTGAAGAATATATGAAAAATAGAGAAAAAGAATAAAAAGTGAATTAAAATTCCAAAATAATTTTCCTAATCACAGATAGACACGATTAATATTTTGGTATTTATTACTTCTATGCATATGCAAACCACAAATATTCCTTCAAGCATCTTCAGGTCTATCTACAGTCCTCTGATGTTTGACAAGGATGGTTTGATCACTCAGTCCACATGTTACAGGAAACCCAGCATTTTATTTAACAAATAGGCAAAAGCATTGTTGTGTTACATTCAACTTTCACTCCAATCCTCTGCTTCTGCAACATGCTTAATCCCACTCTCTTCTCTTCCTGCAGTTTCTGTCTTCTTTTTCCTTACTGATTCTGTAAGTTTCTGTCTTCTTTTTTCTTATTCATTTTTTTCTTATTCTCCACAGCATCACTATCCAAAGGCTCTAATATGCAACAAACTTTCTTGAAGCACAGACAATTACTTAATGGATAAGGTAGTACAGGCAGAAGCCATGGTTTTGTATTAGCTATCCCTGTGATGATATTTCATTAGCAACAGGGAATTTGTGTCTTGCTCCTGGTCTATTCTCTCAGTTGTCCTCAGACCTGGCTCACTGTCATTATCTTGGTTTATTTCTGACTAAATATTATTCTCTTACCTTTCCATTGCTTGTTCTGGTCCATGATATTCCAGTTTCTTTATTAGGATGAGCAATTTATTCCTTTGTTTCCAACACTAAATAAGGCTCTGGACATAGTGTTAAACACCAAAAAAACCCAAATGTACGCATAGAAACAAACAAACAAAAACATTCAGATGCTTGGCAATTGCTGTTTTCTTATATTAGACTTAATTTCTGGACAACAATGTGAACATATAATTATTTTTGTGTGTATTTTTCTGCACCGAATTATATATTTCTTACAATGCAATTTCCAATAGTTTTATAGCACTCCAATCTATAACTCTGCCAAAGTTAAATTTACTGATAACTTATTATTAGACATTAGCCTGTTTCCTTTGTTTTTCACTATTCTCAATATTTGAAGGGACTCTTTTTTGGTAAATCTTTGTCCTGCTTATTCCTGAAATACTTCAAAATGGGCAATAAAGACTGCTGAGTATCCTGTCTAGAATAATTTTCAGTGTATCTCTGCTTTTAGTTGTTTCTAAACTATTTTACCACTATAAAAATAGTTAATAATTGCTAGGCGTGGTGGCTCACGTCTGTAATCCCAGCACTTTGGGAGGCCAAGGCGATCAGATCACAAGGTCAGGAGATCGAGACCATCCTGGCTAACACGGTGAAACCCTGTCTCTACTAAAAATACAAAAAATTAGCTGGGCATGGTGGCGGGCACTTGTAGTCCCAGCTACTCGGGAGGCTGAGGCACGAGAATGTCATGAACCTGGGAGACGGAGCTTGCAGTGAGCCAAGATTGCGCCACTGCACTCCAGCCTGGGCGACAGAGCAAGACTCCATCTCAAAAGAAAAAAAAAAGTTAATAATGCAAATGATTTTTTTCATAGAAAAACAACTGAATTGTGTCCTGTGTAATGCAATTGGAGTGCTGGCCAGTTTAAAAATTCTTTGTAAATTAATTTCAGCTTTCCTGATAGCTTGTAAATGTGTGTCCTTTCCATTCTCCTTTGAGCCAGTTGTAATAACGTATTTATTTCATTAAAGATGAGATAAATGCCATCTTTGATATGTATTTATTTTATATTTTTACAAGATTCATGATATTACTTTTCTTAAAAAAATTATTTAACATTCCCTTGACATAGATTTCTAGAAGTAAAACTATTTGGACAAATTTTATACATTTTGCTATGATTTTTGATATGTATTACTAAATTTTCTTCCCAAAAGATGGCATTGATTTATATTCTCATCAATAGTATATGAGATTATCTATTTTTACACATTATTAATATAGATGTATTATAATCATTATCATAATTTTAATACTTTAATAAAGTAGAGATGAAATTGTATTTTTGTATTAAGTTACATATTTTTCCTTTCAGTAAAGGTGTCTTAGAGAACACTCCATTATCCTACCCTTCTGGTTTCCAGGAGGAAGATTTTTCTCTAAATACTCTTCTTTCCCTCCATTCATTACTCTCCCTGGAAGTAAAAGCGGTTAGTTGGTTGGTAGGTGGCAACATTTAGCTCCATGTTTCACAATTAGCTGGAGCCAGTGGACCAAATGCTTGATCTTTTTCTAGCCCCCATCTTCCACTCAGGCCAGGGGGAGCAGTGACTTGGGGAACTGTGATGCTTTTCAGGTGTGATCTCCAGTGGGCCTTCTCATGCTCCAGACTGTGTCCAGCATATCTTTTCTAGCTGTGTCTTTCTGCCCAGCATGTTATAGTAAGCCTGCTGACTTTGTCTTATTTCTCAAGTGATTTAGAACCTGTGTAGGAAATATGAAGTACCATTTTGTTTACTTGGTACTAGTCATTTGCAGATCTTCATGAATAAATTGTCTATACAGAGCCTTTGCCTGTTTTGGTCTTGAGATGTTCATATTTTTCTTTCTTTGTGATTTGCAAGAGATCTTGATATAATAATGATAATAGCCCATAGCTGTCACATGTGTTGACTGTTATCCAATATTAGTGCAAATACATAAATACATATATGTGTATATGTGTATGTTGTGTACATACACATATAATTATACAATAAATATACATATATACCCATACAATCACATACACACATATGTGTCTTTGCTTTTTCTTCTTTAATTATTCATAAAGTCCATGCTTATCCAAAATTTCAAGTTGAAATGAGTTTGTCAGGGATTGTGTTGGTCACTGTTTGAATTTCATAGAGAAGCTTCTCAAGTTATTGTGACCTTACTGTGTCAGATACAAGATTTAGTAGCCTGTGGGCATAAACAAGATGTTAAGAGCTTTGGGTCTGAGGAATGACCACCCTCATAGAGAGTCCACTACAGAAGCTCCTCCCCTTTGCCTTGCAAGGCCTGGGGCTGGCAGTAACTGGGATGAGGACTTCCTGGATTTCCTTTGGTTGTGCCTTCTGGAATTCAAGGTGGCTCCACTGGAAGTGGTAAGGGCCAGTGACTCCCCCTATTTGCCTATCCTTACCTCCAATGCTGCTGGGTGTCAGAGAGTGTTTTGGGAATCATGCTGGGATTTTTTTCTTCCATTTACATTCATAGTTTTCTGTGAAAACTATTCCTTCATGCAGTATTTTGGTGACTGGTCAACATTTCCCTAAATCCAGTTTCATGTCATAGATCTATTGTCTGGAGGAGATTTGGGAATGTAATCACATCCTTTCCTAGTTTTTAGTAATGGTATGGATTTTCCCCCTATTTTTATATGTGTTTAGTGAGGCTAATAGCTAAAGATGCAGAATAGGTAAATACATATATTGCAGCTACCATCTTTGCTAAAACTTCTATCAGTGAGTATAAATTTGGTTGGGAATTGTGGATTTAAATATCTTAGAAATTAACTACCAGGGCAAATAGTGTCTTTGGTTTTCACAATATGCAGTTGTCCTTCCTTTATGAGACATTCAAGTGGCTGTGGTCATAGCCCCTTGCAGTGTAGTGGAGCCAAAGACAAGTTCTGGCCAATGAAATGTGAGCATAAGTCACCAGTGCCATTCCTGGGCTGAGGCAGAAAAAGTGGCCCCAGAGAGGTAACTGCCCTCTAGAGTGAACTTTGCATGGAGCGAGCTATAAAATTTTGTTGTGTAAGTCTGACAATCTGGTGGATGTTGGTTACTAGAAAATAGTCTAGCCTACCCTCTTTATCCTGTATAAAAAGGTTATTATTGACACTTCTGTATTAGTGTTTCCTGTTTTTTCTTTGCTTTCAAATGAGGGTAAAACAAATAGGAGAATTAGAAACAAAGAGGTGGCCTATACTTGAGAAACTATAATATGCACCTAACATTGTACATCACAAGAAGAAACAAAGGCAATAGGATTTTTCCAAGAAGAGTTTTGGCAACAGCCTTTCCCAAAGCTCTGGAACCCAATCCAGACTCCCTTCACAAGGTGAATTCAAAGTGTGTTAAAGCTGTGTTCATGTAATATGATACTTCAATTGCCTTAACAATGATTAAGAGTAGCTAGAAATTGGCAGTAAGAGGACCTAATTTTATCTAGGCATTTGAGGTCTTTGGAGTTTTGTTTCAGTTAGTCAGGTTCATGAAATGGGGAGGAGATCTAACACCACCAAGAGCCCCTGAGGACAGCTCATTTCACCTTAGCAAAGCCCTTTAGTGACTCTTAGGAGGCACTAAGCCTCTGGGATACTCCTTTTCCAAAAGGAATATGTAGCTAAAACACATGGAATTACCTATTCTACATCTAATTTTAGCTATTAGCCTCACCAAGCTTATATAAAAATAGCCTCACCAAACATATATAAAAATAGGGGGACAAATCTGTACCATCACCTTTTCCAAAGTCTGCACCATTCCAGAATTTCAGAGCTCACTGCAGACATCACAATTATAAACCCAGACTAGGAACAATCATCTGACATTGGTACAGGGGACGCATGAGGGAGTGAAAAGAGCATTTGTCCAAGAGTCCTGAATAGTGGCTCCATCCCTACCAGTAATCACCTACAGGACTTTGGGCAAATCTTTTTCCCTCCTTGAGCTTTAATTTTCTTATTGAAAATCTATTCTATCCTAAAAACCATAAGTTTTCTAGATGAACTACTCTGTAATGATGGTTTATTACTAGTCAACACATAAACTTAACAGCGTGCTACTAGTCAGGAGCTTGGCTGCCTATCTGTTTATTTAATTTATATGCACTCAAACCATGCAGTGCAGCCTGAGTAGTGACCTGGAATGCAAATGCACACACAAAGTAGAGATGGCGGCCCTTTTGTGAAGAGAGGCTGATTGCAGCTGCCCATGGCCAGACAGCCCCCTCTGTCTGCCTTCTTTCTCTCAGCCCTGTCTTTGCACTTAATATGTTTCGAGCTTCTGTGCTTTCAAGTCTACAGTAATTTATCTTGTGCACAGAAAGAGTATAAGATGTGACCTAATTAAATTCAAAATAATTAATGGGAAGCTAACAGAGAAAACCATGATAGTTTAGAGATTTTATGGCCACTGCATCAATAAAACTTCTTCTCTCACATGACCTGCATTTCACTGGTTTCCTTTCCTTCCACTATTTATTCTGTTTGCAACCATTGTAGGCAGAACAGAGTATTACAGAATCACAGCAATCTGCTCTCTATTTTTAAACTGCAAGGCTGAACATCATTCTTGCTCTTCTCATTCAATGTGAGTGCTCATTCCAATTTCTTTAAATCTGGATGGATTGTTTTATAGTAAGGAATGGCAACAAAATGAATTGATAGGTAACAGAAGGGAGTCCTCAACAGGCTTTTTAGGGTAATGGCATTAAATGGTGGGATGTAGAATTTTCTTGAAAATACCAAAAGTTCATTTTGCAGATTTTCTTTGAAATGTTTTTTCCAAATCTTTGTCTTAAGAACAAATATTTGAAATGAAGATTAATCACAGTAAGAGTAACAATGTGCCCATCCAGATTGGCATTCTAGGACTTATGCACAGCCATTCATTCACTGTAATAGAGAAAGACAAATAACATAGGAGGAAGAGGGTCACAGCCTAGCAAGCAGAGAATGCACTCTTGAGATAACCTGCTTGGCTTCATCCCAGTCCTGTCACCTACTTGCTACAAGCACTGAATCACTTAATTTCCCTATGCTTCAGCTTACACATTTGTAAAAAAAAAAAAAAAGGTGAATGATAAAAATACATTCTCCTGTGGGTTGACATGAGGGTTAAACCATTTGATATATGTAAGTGTGTACATAGTTGGCATTCATAGGTGCCATAGGAGTGTTGGCCAGGACAACTTACTTTGAGGAAAGACTCTTCAGAGAGTGTAGTTTGGATCTTGCCCAATAACTCCGATTGGGAATGATTAGCAAGGGATGTCAGGGATATCTGCAGCCCTTATCAATTCCCATGACCCAGAGACACTCAGGTGTGAGATCAGGAGGGAGGCTGAGGTCGTGGTGTCCTGAAAAATATGAAGGAGCAATCAAGTGCAGAGGATGTAACCTAAACTCAGAATGTAGCATGATGTTTCAGAGACAAGTAAACCTTGAGATTAAGAACTATTTACTATTTTTCCTTTCTAAACATGAAAATCCCAGCCAGGACCCAGAAGTGTCATGGTGATCTATCTGGACTTGTGTTGGTTTTTGCAGCTAAAGAATCTAGATGTGGGTCAACCGTGCATGCATCCATGAAGCAGCTTAAAACCCACACCATTTTCCCTGTATTACAAGGGACTTTTAGTGGGGGCGCTTGGGGTGCAGATCCCACCTGCTCTCGCCAGTGCCATCAATAATATGGTCAAATCCTATGAGAGTCTAGGGAATGTGATCTATGCAGGCCAAGCTGAGGCTGTACACTAATCAGATGAGACAAGTCTGTGATTAGCCCATCACAGCTACTTTTTGTATCTCTGTGCCTTGAGTGCACCTTTCTATTAGAGTTTCAGGAAAGGGGAATAAAACCTGAATCCACTTGCTGGAATAAGACTCTAATAGCTCAAACTTTCATGCTAATTCACTAACAACACTGAAGGTGACAAGAGGATCATAGAGAGCTATGAAGGTAGAGCACATGCTATTCAAGGAGTTGCTTATATTTGCATCAACTGAGAACAAAGCAACTAGGAAAGGGTGAAGTTACAAAGGACTCCTTTGATTTAGTCATTAGGGGATTGTCTGATTATGAGAGATAGGTATATATTGCTAAGGAGATAGTTCAGAGGCAACTGGATGGGCTGGGAGTGAAAAAATCTCAGTTGTTTCAATATAACACTTACTAGCAAAGAGTGTGGGACAATCTCATCATTTTTCTGATTCTTGAGTTTCTCATCTGCAAAACTGGAGATTAATAACCAATGTGAAACTTTCTTGTATTCTAACACTTCATGGTACTCAGTATCAAAGCCTTTCTTGAACCTCAAAATAGAAATACAGAATAAGGATGTTAGAAAGAATACTCAGAGAGCTGCAGAAAATCAGTGAATAAAGTGCAGATAATGTGACACTTGGAATGATTTACATAATAAGTTAACAGTAAAATTAATTGGGATAGGGGTAACTGCACTCAACCATAAATGAGCAACTGGAAGAGGAATCAGATCCATATCCAATATAAGCTCACTGTCAAGAAAGTTTGTAAACTTTATGACTAAATAAAATTGAATAAAAATATTTTATAACAGAAGTGACATCAGCAAGCTGAAAAAATACAAGATTCCAATTCTCACAGACCCATATAAACATTGATTTTTGACAATCAAACACTGTCAGGAATATCTATATGAGAACCTAGGAATACAATGGAGAGATTCCAGCACGCTGTTCTAGCAAAAATATAATTACAAATATAGTTAAGAAGGTAAGAAGAACAGTGTCACTTTAAAATATTACCCTTCCCCCAAAGCAGCACAGCTCAGTGCCAAGAGAGACCTCATTGGCCCACAGTTTGTCCCACATGTGAAAGTGAGAGTAATGTGAGATCCTGACTTCCCCAGGCTTGTGAGATATTGCCCAAGAGGCCCAATTCTGCCTCATTCCACCCAAACTACTGAGAGCGTCAGCATAACTATACAGTCTAGAGGAGTTAGAAGTGGGGAAAAATGATGGGGGCTCACTGAAACTTTCAAGTGAATTTCAAAAACTGGACACAGATACTATTAACTGTCCTGAAAACTTTCCCAAGAGGCCTGCCCATGACCCCTGTGAGACATCTCACCTAAAGCCCCTGCATGAACTTAGCATTCCACAGGTATCCTTGAGATGGTATATGAAAGTCTCTGCAGCACAGGTGAGTCCCTGCAGATTATGAACAAGCACTCACAGAGAGACAGCTTGATTTTGGAATATTGAAAGAGGACATACAATCTTAAAAAGAAGAAACAAGAGGTGTGAGGCAGGCGCATCCATAGAAAAGGCCTGACAGATTTCCCAAATATCTAGCTGGGCTGACTAATAAAAGTCTTTCTGTCCTAAAATTAGTCAGTAAAGAGTGGAGGAGAAAACTACTTCTTCAAACACAAGGACAGTAAGACAAACTTCAAAGAACATAAAGAATCAAGAAAACATAACACCAACAAAGGAACAAAATAACGTTCCAGTGGCTGACTCCAACGAAATGGCAATCGACAAATTGCCTGATGAAGAATTCAAACTAATCTAGGAAACACAGAGAGAAAACCTAAACAATATTAGTAAAACAATACATGAACAGAAGGAAACATTCAACAAAGAGAGAGAAACCATAAAAAAGAACCAAACAGAAATTCTGGAGCTAAATAATATAATGACTAGACTAAAAATTTCAATGGAGAGTTTCAAGAGCAGACTCAATAAAGCAGAAGAAATGATCAGCAAGCTTGAAGACAGGTTATTTGAAATTATTCAGGAGGGAACACCAATTTAAAAAGGAACAAAAAAGAATGAAAGAAGCCTATGTGATTTATGGGATACAATCAACAGAAACATTTTATACACTATGGAAATCTAAGAAAAAGCAAAGAAAGAGAACAGGGAGGAAGCTTATTTAAAGAAATAATAAAAGAAAATTTCCCAAATCTGGAGAAAGAAATGAACATCCATATCTATGATACACAAAGGACCTCAATAGGCTCAACATCAAGAAATATTAACCAAAACATATTATATTCAAATTGTCCAAATTTGAAGATAAAAAATTAAAACAGCAAGAGAAAAATTGGATTATCATATACACAGGAACTGTCATAAGACTATCAGCAGATTTCACAACAGCAACCTTGCAGACCTGGAGAGAGTGGTATGATACTCAAAGTGCTATAAGAAAAAAGCTGCCAAGAAAGAGTATTTTACCTGGCAAAGCTGTCTTTCAGAAATGAAAGAGAAAGAAAGACTATTCCAAACAACTAAAAGTTGAGGAAGTTTATCACCATTAGACCTGCACTACAAGTAATGCTAAAAGGTGTTCTTCAAGTTGAAAGAGAAGAACACTAAATAGCAACAAAACATATGAAATTATAAAACTTACTGATAAAGGTAAGTATAGAATTAAATTCAGAATACCTTAATATTTTAATAGTGGTGTGAAAATCATGTTTAATATTAGTATGAAAGAAGACAAAATTATAGAATAATTATTGCTATAATAATTCATTGATAAATACACATTATAAAAAGAGGTAAATAGAGATTTTTATGTGATCAAAGTTAGTTTGACATCAGCTTAAAATAGACTGTTACAAGTATGTTTTATGTAAGCATCATAGTAAGCACACACAAACAAACCTGTAGTAGATACACAAAAGATAAAGAGAAAAAAGTCAAACATAATCATACATAGAAATTAAATGAACAAAAAAAGAGAGCAAGAGAAGGAACAAAAGAACGACAAACCAGTCTGAAAGCAATTAACAAGATAGCAAAAGTAAGTCTTCATCTATCAATAATTTCTTTAAATGTAAATTAAATTATCAAATCAAAAAACACAGAGTGGCTAAATGCATTAAAAAAACAAGATCCAACTAAATACTACCAACAAGAGACTAACTTTAGCTTTAAACACACATATAGGCTGAAAGTGAAGAGATAGAAAAAGATAATGTATGCAAATTATAACCAAAATAGAGCAGGTATGGCTATCCTATATTAGACAAAATATATGTCAAATCAAAACTGTCAGAAGGGACAGAGAATGTAACTATATAATGATTAGGCAGTACGTTTTTCAACAGGAGATAACAATTATAAATATTGATGTACCCAACACTGGAACCACTAGTATATAAAAGGGATAGTAACAAAACTGAAAGGAGTAATACAAAACAATACAATGATAGTAGGGGCTATGGTCTGAGTGTTGGTGTCTTCCCTAAATTAATATGTTATTACTAAATTCCCAATGTGATTGTATTAAGAGGTGAGGCCTTTGAGAAAAGATTAACTCATGAGGGCAGAGCCCTCACAGGGTTATTGCCCTTCATGTGAGAGTCCAGTGTTCCCCCCTTCTGCCATGGAAGAACACAGCAAGAGATACCATCTAAGAAACAGACAGTGAGCCTTCACCAGACACCAAACTGCTGACACCTTGATCTTGGACTTCCCAGCCTCCAGAATTGTGAGAAATAAATTAATATTATTTATAAATTACCCTGTCTAAGGTATTTTGTTACAGCAGTCCAAATGTACCAAGAAAGTAGGAGACTTTAATACTCTACCTTGAACATTACATAGATTATGCAGATCAAAAAATTAATATACTACATTTTAACGACACTATAGACTAAATGGACATAACAGACATATATAGAACATTTCATTCAATAGCAACAAAATATACATTCTTCTCAATCACACATGGAACACTCTCTAGGATAGGTCATGTGTTAGGCCACAAAACAAAGTATTAACAAATTTGAGGAAATTGAAATCATAACAAATATATTTTCTGAACACAATGGTATTAAAATAAAAATCAAGAACAGAAGGAAAATTAGAAAATTTGCAGACATGTGGAAATTAATCAGTGCACTTTTGAATAACCAAGAAAGTCACAGAAGAAATCAAAACAGAAATTTAAAAATATATCTTTATGCAAATGAAATTGAAAAAAACAACACATCAAAATTTACAGGATGCAGCAGAATCAGTTTTAAGAAAGAAGTTTATGGCAATAAATGCCTACATTAAGGGAAAAAATATCTCAAATAAACAACCTAAATTTACACCTCAAAGTACTTGAGAAAAAAAGAATATACCAAGCCCCAAGTTTCCAGAAGGAAGGAAATAATAAAGATTATAGCAGAAATAAATTAAATAGGGACTTAAAAATGATAGAAAAGATCATTGAAAGTATTAATGAGTTGTTTTTCTGAAAAGGTAAACAAAATTAACAACACTTTAGCTAGACTAATAAAAAAAGAGAGAAGACAAATAATAAAATTAAAAATGAAAGAGAAGACATTACAACTGCTATTACAGAGTTATAAAGGAACGTGAGACTACTATGAATAATTTTATGCCAACAAATTGGATATAATAGGGAAAACTGATAAGTTCCTAGAAACATGCAACCTACCAAGACTAAATCTTGAAGAAATAGAAAATATGAACAGAACTACAATGACTAAGGAGATAGAATCAGTAATCAGAAACCTTCCAACAAAGGAAAGCTTTAAAGCAGATGGCTTGACTAATGAATTTCACCAAACATTTAAAGAATTAATGCGAATCCTTCTCAAACTCTCCCAAAATATTGAAGAGGAGAGACCACTTCCAAACTCATTTTACAAGGTCTGCATTACCTTGATAACTAAACTAGACAAAAACCCTACAAGAAAAGAAAATCACGGGCCAATATCTTTGATGAACACAGATGTAAAAATCCTCAACAAAATTGAACAGCATAATAAAAGCATTTTCACCATTATCAAATGAGATTTATCCCTGGGATAAAAGGATATTCAACATTTGCAAATCAATAAATATGATTCACCACTTTAGCAGAATGAAGGAGAAAAGTCATAGTATCATCTCAATAGATGCAGCAACATCATTTGACAAAATTCAATATCCTTTCATGATAAGAACTCTCAACAAACTAGGTACAGAAGGAATGTTCCTCAACATAATAAAGGCCATATATGTCAAGCCTCCAACTAACATTATACTCAATGTTGCTTTTCCTCCAAGATAAAGAAGTCAAGAATTACCCCCTCTTGTCACCTCTATTAAAAATAGTACCTGAAGTACTAGCAAGAGCAATCAGACAAGAAAAAAAAAATAAAACGCATCCAAATCAGAAAGGGAGAAGTAAAACAATCTGTATTTGGATATGACATGATTCTACATGTAGAAAACCCTAAAGGTTGCAAAAAATAAAAAGATGTTAGAACTAATAAATGAGGCCAGGCACAGTGGTTCACGCCTGTAATCCCAGCACTTTGGGAGGACAAGGCAGGTGAATCACTTGAGGTCAGGAGTTCAAGACAAGCCTGGCTTACATGGTGAAACCCCGTCTCTACTAAAAATACAAAAAAGTTAGCAAAGCGTGGTGGTGGGTGCCTGTAATCCCAGCTACTTGGGAGGCTGAGGCAGGAGAATTGCTTGAACCTGGGAGACAGAGGTTGCAGCGAGCCAAGGTGCACCACTGCACTCCAGCCTGGGTGACAGAGCAACACTCCATCTCAAAAAAAAAAAAAAAAAAAAACAGGAACTAATAAATGATTTCAGTAAAGTTACAGGATACAAAATCAAAGTACAAAAATCATTTGCATTTATTTACAACAGTAATGATTTATCTGAAAAAGGAATCAGGGAAACAATACCATTTATAATAGCATCAAAATAATAAACTAGGAATAAAATTAAGCAAGAAGATAAAAGATCTCTACATTGAAAATAATAAAGCTTTGATGAAAGAAATTAAAGATGATATACATAAATGGCAAGATATAATGTGTTCATGGATTCAATAAATCAATATTTTAAAAATGGTCATACTACCCAAAGTCATATACAGATTCAACATAATCCTTATCAAAATTCCAATGATATTCTTTACAAAAATAGAACAATTATAAAATTCCTGTAGAATCACAACAAAAGATCCCAAATAACCAAAGCAATCCTGAGAAAGGAAGACAAATTTGGAACCGTCACACTCCCTGATTTCAAATTGTACCACAAAGCTGTAGTAATCAAAACAGCAAGGTACTGGCATAAAAATCAGATGCGCAGACCAATGGAACAGAATAGAAAGCTCAAATAATCTCAACCATATTTGGTCTACTAATTTTCAATGAAGAAATAATGGGGAAAGAATTATCTCTTGAATAAATGGTGTTGAGAAAACTAGGTATCTACTTGCAAAAGAATAAAATTAGACCCTTATGCCATTTACAAAAAGCAACACAAAATAGATTAGAGACCTAAATGTAAAACTTGAAATAATAAGAATCTTAGAAGAAAACTTAGGAAAAACACTCATTGACATTGGTCTTGGCAATGATATTTTGACTAGGATTCTACAAGAACACAAGTAACAAAAGCAAAAATAAACAGATGGGACTACAATAAGCTAAAAAGCTTCTGTACAGCAAGAGAAACCAACAAAATGAAAAGGACCTAAAGATTTGGAGAAAGTATTTGCAAACTGTATATCCGATAAGGGGTTAATATGCCAAATATATAAGAAATGCACACAACTAAATAGCAAAAAAAAAAAAAAAAAAAAAATTAATACCCTGATTTAAAAACGGGCAACGGACCTGAATAGACACTTTTCTAAAAATATACAAATGTCCAATAGATATATAAAAAATGTTCAACATCACCAATCATTAGGAAAATGCAAATCAAAACCACAATATTAATATTACCTCTCACACCTGTTACAATAGCATGTGTGAATATATATAATACACATATAAATGTATATGTAATATACATGTAACATATATTTCTAATAATATGCGTGATATATATATATATATTTCTAGTGTTGGCGAAAGTGTGGAAAAAAGAAAAGTGAACCATTATACATTATTACATTGTTAGTGGTAATATAAATTATTCTGACCATTGTGGAAAACAGTATGGATGTTCCTCAAAAAAATTAAAAATAGACCTATCATATCCCAGCAATCCCTCTTATATATCCAAAAGGACTGAAATTGAAGAGATATCTGCACAATCATGTTCATTACAGTACAATTCACAATACCCAAAGTTTAAAAAATCTAAGCGTCCATCTATAGATAAATGGAAAAAGACATGGCATGTATATACAATGGAATATTAGCCCTCCTTTAAAAAGAAGGAAATCCTGCCATTTGCAACACCATGAATGAATGTGGAAGACATTATGCTACGTGAAATAAGCCCGACACAGAAAGATAAACACCGTATGATCTGACTTATATGTGGAATCTAAAATAGTCCAATTCATAGAGGCAGAATAGAATGGTGGTTACCAGGGGCTAGGGGAAGGGGATGTGGGTAGATGTTGATGTTGAGGAGCACAAAGTTTCATGTATGCAAGGTGAATATGTTCTGGAGATCCAATACACAGCATGGTAACTACAGGTAACAATACTGTACTCTCTACTTAACATTTGCTACGAGGGCAGAACCTGAATATCCTCACCATACACACAAAAAAGGTAACTACGTAAGGTGTTGGATATACTTATTAGGTTGATTTTGTTGATTATTTAACAATATATTAGCATATCAAATCATCAAGTTTTATGCTGCAAATATAGACAATTTTTAAAAATACATTTTATTTATTTATTATTTTAAATAAAAGTATAACTAGAAAATCCCTGAGTATTAATTGATTGCCTTTTATAAACTGAGGTGAGGTATACGCTTGGCCTGGTAAACTCTGAGAGTAGAGAAGACTGAGAGGGTCTGAACCTGAACAGGATCCCACCTTGGGGTGTGCCAGTGATAAGGTCAGAGCTGGCTACAGGTGCCACGCAGATATCTGGCCCTCTAGAGAGCAATGGGAAATCAGAGAGGGGCAGCTCGGAGGGGCCTCAGGGCCTGCGTCAGGGTAACTGGGATCTTGGGCCGGGTGGGAGGGTCACTGACGGGAATGGTGGAAGTACTTACATTCAGAGTTCCAAGGTGGCCCCCCCAGGAAGGGTCTTGTCCAGCAGGGGTGGGTGCTCCAACCTATGGGTGGCAGGAATATGCTCCATTTCAATAAGGCACCACTGAGTAGGAAAGTTCCTCAAATAGGCAGTGAGGCAGGGGTAGGGATGTCAGCACAGGGACTGAAGGTCAGTGCTGACTTACAGAAGGAAGAGAAAGGAACCAGCATGTGCTAAGTGTATGTCGCATATCACATTCCTGATACTGCACCAGTCTGCCTGCAAATCTTTTCCCAAGGAATCCTCACACAAGCCAGAGAGTATTACTTACAACATAGTTTGCACTTGATGTAACTGGGCTCAGAGCCCCTAGTTCATCACGAAGACTGAGTGAGATCCAAACCCTGCTTGGGCTCTAAAGTCTGTGCCCTTGCAACAGTGCTCCTGAAGTCCCCTGTGCTTGCTGGCCTGCCAGGATGGTTCTGCGACTTTATGAAGGAAGAGCCTACCAAGAGGGACTGGACAATGGGAGCTAGGTAGGCTCCTACCTGCCACCACAGGAATGAGAACACCAACACACAGGCAGATGACCCACAGGAGCGCCAGCCTAGAATTAGCCTTCCCCAACACAGGCTGCTGCAGCTCACATGTGCCTTGTTGGCATAAGGCAGCAGCCAGCTCCTTGGTTCACACCATCTGCCCTGTCCTCTGCTCCTTTTCCTGGTTGACAGCTGGGCCTTCAAGTCCTCCAGCCTCTACCAAGTCTTCTCATTCAGCTTCTTAGGCTCCTGGGCCACATCCATGTTTAGTTTCAGGAATAAGAGTAGAACACCCCTATTATCCAGGGTTGGAGGTGGTGACAGAGCAATGTGGCTTCCAGTTCATTGCATGGGTTCCTGATGGTCCTTGTGGTTTCTGTTTGTCTTTCCATACTGCCTGCTGAAACCCTGATGACTGCAGGTGCAACATCAGCTGCAGATAAACCTTAACCAGCTTCCACAATGGGATAAGAACAAGCCTCCATAATAAGTCCCTTATTTTGTATCACTCCTAGTGGTTTTGCTTCTTGGATTTCATCTGAGAAGTTCTGTTTTCACTGTGCATCTCTGTAGATGACCAGAGGACATCAGGAATAAGAATATTTCATAGTTACTGTAAAGATTATACACACACATACATGTATGTATCATTTATATAAGGGCCTAACTGAATGCCTAGCACAGAGTAGGTCTTCAACAAGAGTAGCTATCACTAATTGCTTCATTACAAAGCTGGGTCAAGCTCTAGTAGCAGTTCCACATGGGCAAAAAGGCTTCATAGTTTTTGGAATCTGAATAGGAGATCAAAGACGATCTGCATTGCAATTCCCATGATGAGGAGTTTAATTATGAACAATGGGAAGAATAATGCATGCAGACTGTTTACAGATAGCTAATGGCCTAATATGCTAAATATAGTTGCAGTTCCCTAACCAAAAGCTCGGTCTGCTCTATGGAAGCAGACTGAAAGCCCCCACTGCTGTGCAATGCGGGTGAGAACAGCTGGAACAAATGTTCTCTTCCTTGCCACTGAATGATAAATCACACCTGTCAATGAATAAAACATTCCGTCTCAGCAATCAAGCAATGGATTTTTAAGAAGCCTTACCATTTATCAGTTTAGCTATTGATTACCTGTGAACGGTCATTTCATCAGAGGGATAATGAATGGGAGAGCAGAGTTCCAATGTGCAATGTGAAGTGAGTTCGTAAGTTTGCCTCCAGAAACTTGATAGTATTTAAACTTGCCCCAAAGCATTAAGGAACTTATAATAGATGTAACCACCTGTCGTTGGATTTCTGATTAACAATAACAGGTGTACTAAGCAAAAAATAGACAAATGCTGATTAAAGAAACTGAGGCCAGTTGCCCACCAGCAGCATTACCCAGAACTTTAGGATGCTGACAAAAACAAGACACGACTGTGTGCATAACAGGAGGCAAGATGAGCAGTTTTGAGTTCACACCTGAGGTCTTCTCCAAACCCTAGGCCAGCCTGGCATAATTTTGTTCATATTCCTTGTCATTTTGGTTTTGTTCTGAGAAACATGATTGTGCTCATTGCATGAGCTGCTCAATTGCTTAACAAGTGATGTGCCAGTAAGTATTTAACAACTAGCTCTCTGAGAAAAAGGAGCTTATGTGCAGTGTTTTGTCAATGTATGGTCTAAATGTAATGTGGTTTAAATACTCCCACTATGGATGATTTCAAGCTGTCAATGTGATGCCCCTGCACTCAGAGTTGGGAAGAAAGGCTAGCAATCAGCTCTTATGAGTCAGTATGAGCCAACTCCAGCCCACACAGTGTGAACCGCCAACACACCTTGTCTGTATTGTGCCGGCTTGTGTCTTGGAAGTTGCACCTATCTCCACATTAGAAGATGAATGTCTCGGACTCCTTTCTTTTATGAGCTTCATATTTATACTCTTCCTTCTGCCAAGAGACATTCTGCCAAGTGTCTTCCTTGCAGCAGAAATTTAGAAAACAACATCAAAAGTAATGAATCGTCTAAGACAGGAAGGTTTGAACTATAAAAACAATGATGTGCAAAACTTACCTAGGTGTTCTGCTATCAAATAAAATAATGGTTATTTTTCCCAGGCCAAAGGAAAAGAAAATTGCTGGATAACCGTTTTTCTGTGGTAAGCATTGAGGGCACCACACATCTGCCTGTTTTTCTGTTTAACAGTGTTCAGCCATTAATTTTGTACTCATGATGACCTCTTCCAAATTAGCTTAGGCCCAGCTTTCTCACCTCTAGTCTTCACTGGAAATCAACAGCAATCCAGGATTTAGAAATGTTTGACTTTCCCCTTTATTGATGAATGCTCTAAGTTAGTGTTCTAAATTACCCCCATCCTGGAGTTGGCATTTTGAGATAGGAATGAGGTACAAGATGCAGTAACTGAAGAAGTAGTAAAGCACAGTAGTCAACAGTGCAGACTGCACAATCAGAGTTGAGCAAGAATACTGGACTCATTGTGAATCTGTTCTTGGACAATTACCTCCTCAGTTTTCTCATCTATGAAATGGAGGTAAGTTAGTAGCTGCATGTAGCAGGTGACATCTGTGTGCTGACCTGACAGACATTCCCAACTCCTCTTCTCTCTTGTTGCAATTCACCCCACTGTACTCTACCATCTGAGAAAATTAAATGCATATTTTGCCAAAACTCTTTGCTAAAAAAGGATAACCCTATAACACAATTGTGGCTGTATCGTAGGAATGAAAGATTTCTGGTCTCTTCTGAGAAATATTTTACTTTGTCTGATAACAGGGACACATGTAGCTGGCAACAACTCTTCCTTTTTGGATGTAAATGTGATGTCTGGGAAAGCAATAGTAGCCATTTGGTGACCATGGGGTAAGAGGCCCATGGAAAAGGCCATAAGAATCACAGAGAGCCATAAAATCACTGCCAGGGAGACTCTCTCCAGATTTCCTGCGATACAGGATGAACACATTGCCTGACAAATAGAAAGGATGGCAATTTTACATGTTTATGAGTCACTATTCAGTCTGTCATTACTATTTATTACTGTACAGGATTCGTGCCTTCTGCTGTATCGCTCACAGCATGTAGGGCACTGGACTGAGGGCAGCAAGTCTGCTGTATAGAGGCTTACCATTTGATGCCACAATCCATGCCTTGGAAGAGCTTCTAAGTTTAATAAGGAAACAGATACATGCATGCACAACAATCTGAAGGCATTTAAAGGCAGTGGTTAACTATATGACCACGTGTTTCAGAGAGGTACTATAGGATTTCTGAAAGAGATCCATGTGGTTGGAATGGTCCAGGGAGACTTCATGGGGAGGCCTGTCTTAAGACAGGCCCTGAGGGGCAGTGATGAAGTGGGATGTAGGCAATGAAAGAACATACTAACTGGGAATCCCCTGTAGAAATGGCCGTAGAGCTCTAATAATGTCTGCTTTGGGAGATGCTGTTGGTTCCTCCTAATCCCTTCAATCACTCCACTCTCTCGCCAGCCACTGGTCACCTACCCTCAGCTCCTTTGCGTGTTGGCTGCTAATGGCTCACAGCTGCCCCTTTCTCCAGAGAATCACACTTAGCTATTAGAAGCTGCCTGATTGGGAGTTTGTGGCCCCTCCCCTATGGACAGCTCACAGCTAATGACTAAGTGATAAAAGTCTGGCTTTTTGCCTAATTGCACTCTGCAATACAATTCACACACAAGAACTCCCCATGGGATCAGGCTGAAGTCAGTCTCCAGCTGAGACCACATCTTTGCCTATCTTTGCCCTACTCTGTCATCCTTCCTTCATCCCCTTTCTCCTGAGATCATTTCCTCAATAAATCATGCAAATCCCTGTCTCAGGCTCTGCTTCTAAGGAACTCTGGTCTAGCTCATGATAAAATACTCAAGGAATGTTGAATAAATGACTTATTGAGGCAACAGTGGTTTCACACACTTGTTTTTTCATTTGTTTATTCCTTCTTCCAATAAACCCATGTTGAGCATCTGTTATTGGTGCACTGTGCAGGCATCTATAAGGCAGAGCAAAGACATGACCTGTGCCCTCAACAGACATCATCAGATACAGAATACTGTGTGTTATGGAGAAACAAGACAGGACTAAATGCACAGGTTTTTGGAAGCACACAGGCCTGGGATGAATATTACTTTATTGCTATCAATGTTACTGTGAAATAGCTCACTTCTCTAAGCCTCTTTATATCTCTCTGAAATGTAGTAATAAACCAATTAACTGCATGATTAATAGAATTTAAATGAAATAATGGGTAAAACTTTCTCAGCTCATAGTTGAATCTGAAGTGTGCTGAATGTTAGTATTACTACTATAAGTGCTAGGATTACAAGTCTTTACCTTGGGACCCAGGGGAAGAATGACCTACACACAGGAAAGGGACAATGGTGAGAAAAGGTATGCTTATAGTTATATCTGGTTCCACTTTCTAAATTCTCCTTGAAGCTGACACCTCTAATGATGTCCTAGATGTTATTGAAATTCAACCTGAATCTCTCTCTATTCCATTGTTACCTACATGCTAAATTTACCAACACAGAATGTCTTCATATTAAGAAGAAAAAGGAAAGAAGGGAAATGAGAGGGAGGATAAGAAAAGATAAAAAGAGAGAAAAGAAGAGAAAAACATTGTCATCTAACATTGAGTTTATGTCAGACAATTTATCAAAAATTCCCTGGCAGGAATGACCTTTCAGAATTGCCTCTGGAATTATTCCTCTCCAGTGGGAAATGGCAATTCAGCAAGCCCAGTCGCAGCTACAGCACATAATAAAATGAGAAACTATCCTAAATAGCTTATTTGCTGTAAAAGTACATATTTGGAGCACCCTGTGCTATGTGGTTTCACCTTCATCTTGGGTTCCAAATATCCTGGAAGGGCCCTAATAAGAAGACCAAATGATTTGAATCTCTAGCACAGACACTGGGAGAATTAGTAACTTGGCCTTAACAAGTGCAGTTTTTTCCTCATAACCGCCAAAACAATCATTTTTGATTCAAATGAATTTTATTCAACAGAAAGTATTATTTAATGGGGCTTCAAATTGTTACTAATGTGTTGTGTAATGGCTTAGGAAACACTTCAGGATTTGTTTTGTATCAAATATTTACCATGCACTTCTTTCCTGCCAGCCCCTGTGTTGCAGCAGGCTACTAGCTATGAATATGACATGATTTCCATCCTTTAGGAACCCAGTCATGATAGCGATAAGGAACTCAAGTTGTAAGTACAACACAGTGTAATAACAGCAATATCTGATATAAGTTTTTTATGGAACCACACATGAAGGCCTGGTTGAACTGACAAATGTAAATGGTATCAAGAAACTTCTGGTAATGACATCCATACGCATTGACACACTCAGGGAGGGCTACAGATCAGCAAAGTCACAGCACCAGTGGGGTCCTCCCTATAGTCCCATGCCCCATATCCTCAGGACAGTGCTCATGACTCTTGTGGGAGTATCTCCTCTCTAGGGGAATCACTCTTTTCCTCTTGGATTTATCAAGTACCATGTTTCTAACGACATATTTCTCCTTCAGCTTGTACCTGTTTCATTATCAGTATCTCCTAATTAAATCCCTAGTACTTAGGTCAGTGTCTGGCCCAAAATAGAGGCTGCCTTAGTCCATTTATATTGCTATAACAGAGTACCTGAAGCTGAGTAATTTATGAGGAAAAGAGGTTTATTTGGCTCATGATTCTAGTGACTGGAAATTCCAAGGCTGAGCAGCTGCATCTAATGAAGGCCTCATGCTGCTTCCATTCATGGCAGAAAGTAGAACTGAAGTGGGTATGTGCAAAGACATCACATGGCATGAAAGGAAGCAAGAGAGAGTTTAGGAATTTAAATTTGCTTCTAAACCAGCTGTCCAATAGTTAATCCAACCTTGCAAGAGTGAGAACTCACTCCCACAAGATGGCATTCATCTATTCGTGTGGGATCTGTCCCCATGACCCAAACACCTCTCTCTAGGCCCCACCTCCCAACAGTGCTACATCGGGTATCAAATTTCAACATGAGTTTTGGCAAGGAGAAATCACATCCAAACCATAGCAGATGCCCAGCAAACCTTTGTTGAATGTGATTGTATTGAAATAGCATTCCTTTGAGTGGTGCTATCCTAGTGGATCCAGTTGCCTTATGGAACTCAGGGATTTAAGCTTTATATTTATGGATACAAATTAGCTGGAACTTATTTCAAAGTGGTGAACTTATTTTACACTGGTGAGGACTTTAAACCAAGTTCTGGGGTCATTACTGATACCCCAAATCTACCACTTACTAGGTATGTGAATTGGAGCAAGTCACTTAATCTTTCTGAATCTAAGTGGTCTCACTAGCAAAGTCAGGGAGAATGTAGGTTTCCCATTGATAAAATGTTTATTATGATGCATACAACAAAATTATGTATGGGAAAGCAGGTGACCCATGTTAAAGTACGAACTCTGATTGCCTCCCTGCTGCTGTTGTTGAAGTTGAAGGGCCGGTGTTTGAAAGTGGCTTTAGATTCATTGTGTGCAGCACCCAAGGGTTGCTCCAGGACTAATGGGGGAAAGCCCTAGAGGGAAAGATTTCACTAAAAGAAGTAGGGTTTTAATGGCCAGAGCTGGGTGAGTCTTATGCTCTGCTGGCTCAGGCCAGTATAGATTATAGAAGACACCCAGGAGTGGGAGGCTACTTGGCCTCTGCCACCTTGGGGTCCCTGAAAATCCACCTTGATTTTTCCATGGCTGAGTATGCCCTCTTTTATTATACTTTAAGTTTTAGGGTACATGGACACAGGAAGGGGAACATCACACACTGGCTGTGGAGTATGCCCTCTTTTCTTAGCAAGAGTTGGTGGTGGGGAGGACAGTGGGCAGCATTTTCTGTTGCCCAAAATATTTCCCCAAGGGGCCAGTTTCCTGAGAGTGTACTTTGTTTTTTGTGAGCTATTGTATTACTTGCAGCAATCACCAAGCACGTTTGTGATCCTTCACAGAATCTGACAAAACATGGACATCCAGTTTGAGAGTCCCAGAATACTAATTTGTAAACCTGTCAGATTTGTCACAGTGGTGAGGAATGGTGTTAAAATTGCTTTCAACATCTTAATTAGTGGTAGCCTTTTAGAGAAATGCAGTATCTCCAGCTCATTTTTGTTTCTTATTTTTCATTTGTTTTTCCAGAAAAAGATGATTAAAATTTAAATCGTGAGGATCACCAGAAAACAATGTGCAATTTAGAAATGCTGATGCAAATGTGATTGAGGGTAAGGGGGCTTTCACTTGCTCCAGAATACTAAACAGAGGGCTCATTCCTGTGTCTCGTGTCCTACGCTTACACTTGACTTTCGAGCCTGGGACCGAGAGGCCCTTTGGAGGAACTGTGGAAGCCTCTGGTATAGTAGAGCAGTAAGCACCTTTGATCTGGTGTGAAAAACTTCATTCTGAGATGCCTGAAAACAGTAGCACTATAACGGTTGCTATTTACCGGGGACTAACTGTGTACCAGGCTCTTGGCATTAGTAGATTATGTCTCTTCTGGACTAATTCTACTAACAAACCTATGAGATAAGTATCATTAACATCCAGATGTTACAGACAAAGAAATGGAAGCTGTGAGAGGTAATGTGACTCCCCATGATCACACAGCCAGCAAATCTTTCTAATTCTGAAATCTGCACTTGTAATGACTATTTCATCTTACCCTTGGAGTAAAGGGTCTGCATATCTTCACCAGGAAAGCAGTGATGACAGCTGTGCTCCCTGTCTCCTGCAGGATGTGGATGGCCCGGTGCCCACTTACCTTTGCTGCTTGATCTCTTGCCAGGTCCCTGTGCTCCTTGTCCACACCCAGCAGGCAGTGACCTGCAGAGTGTACTGCATCATACATCTCAGTGTCTGCTGTTACTGTTTTCTCTGCCATCTGACAGTTGCCATTCCCGGCACCTGGTAGATGTTTATTTCCCATCAGAAGCTCAGAGCCTTCCTGGATTCCCCATATTGATTTGTAGATATCTGTTTAGGACCTCCATGACTCACTCCAACTTAGAAGTCCATTTTAGATTTTTTTTTTGTTGTTCATTTGTCTAATCTCACAGAATTTTCCACAGAGTTCATTGAGAAGGAAATAAAATTAATTTTCATATTGTTGCAGGACCCCTTTCTGAGGCTGGCACATTGCACCATAATACATATTTGATGAGGGAGGAGGGGAGGGAAGCCTGAGGGAAGCTTTGTCTAAGTTTCTGTCTAGCGGCTGCTCTTTCTCTGCAGAATAATCTCCAATAAGGGGAAAAACGCATGGAGAAAGCAAAACATTAAAACTGCCAGGAAAGCAGAGACTCTTGTCTCCACGTAGCTTGGTTTAGTTCTTTCCTAGGAACTTAGCATTGTGGTTGTGATACCAATCCAGGTAGTTGTGTATAGCTGTGGTTCTTTGCTCTCATGGCTGTATAATACAGGAATGTATCACCATTTACTTTTTTTTAAACTTGGTAGATACTGCCAGTGGTGTTCCAAAAGAATTGTGCCAGTTTACACTTCCGGCAACAAAGTATAAGCATTTCAGTTGCTCTGAACTGTGCGAAATATTTTTATTGCCTCTATGTTTCATTTTAGCTACTCTGGTGGGTGTGTAGAGTTATATCATTGTTTCAGTTAGTGAATGCTGTGTAACAAATGATACAAAAACTTACAGGCTTAAAATCAAAACCATCTTCCTACATTGTGCAATTACATGGGTCAGCAATCTGATTTGGGTCAGCTGGGGAGTTTCTCTGCTAATCCTTCCAGGGGTCATTTATGCTGCTCTACTTATCTAAGGGCTAAATTGGTACTGGATAGTTCACCATGGCCACACTCCCAGGTTTGACATTTGGTATTGGTTGCTGGCTCTGCCTCCCTGTCCATATTGCTCTCTTTTCCTTAAGGAGGCTCACCTGGGCATTTTGCATGGTGACAGCAACATTCCAAGGAGGCACATAACATCACTTCTTTCACATTCTAATGGTAAAAGCAAGTGGCAAGGCCATTCCAGGTTCAAGAGTTTCTACAGTTTTGTATTTAAATATGTTATATTTGTGGAAATAAATGTTACATTTTTATGGAAGGAGGGGCAAAAACTCCTTGCAAAGGAACATACCTGCAGAGATATAAATTAATACGGCCATTTTCGCAAACAATATAACCACTATTGTTGTGATATTGATTTGCATTCCCCAGATCATTAATAGATTTTAGCATGTTTTCACAATTTGATGGCCCTTGCATCTGCTATTCTGTGAAGTGATTGTTTAAGTCAGTGAACTCTTTGAAGGTGTCCATGATATATTTTGGAAAAATGTACTTTATTAGATATATCTATCATATATAATCTCTGCTCTATGTGCTAGTCTTTTCGTTCTCCTAACAGTGTCCTCTGCTAAATGTATATTCTCAATTTTAATGTCCTCATATTTATCAACTCTTTCTTTAAAAACAGCACTTTTGGCCAGGCATGGGGGCTCAAGCCTGTAATCCCAGCACTTTGGGAGGCCAAGGTGGGCAGGTCACCTGAGGTCAGGAGTTCAAGAACAGCCTGGCCAACATGGTGAAACCCCGTCTCTAGAAAAATACAAAAATTAACCAGGCATGATGGCAGGAACCTGTAATCCCAGCTGTTCAGGAGGCTGAGGTGGGAGAATCACTTGAACCCAGGAGGCGGAGGTTGCAGTGAGCCGAGATCACGCCACTGCACTCCAGCCTGGGTGACACAGTGAGACTCCATCTCCAAAAGAAAAAAGCAGTTTTATTCCCTATTTAAAAAATATTTTCCTGACAGAAATTCATGAAGATAAATTTTAAGTTTTATTCTTAAAGTATTATTGTTTTGCTGTTCATATTTGCATAAACAATCCATCTGAAACTGATTTTTGTGTAAACTTAGAGGTAGGGATCAAAATTCATTACTTTTTTCTGTATGGTAACCAATTGATTTCATATAATGTATTGAATATAAAAATTTATATACACCACATGAGGGTGCCACCTTTGTCATATAATAGATGACTATATTATGCATCTGTTTCTTGACCCTTTATTTTGTCCATTTCATTTGTCTTTTTCTGCACCATTATAAAAAGTGTTATGTATTTTATTTTTATAAGTCTTGACATCTGATATTGCAGAATAATCTTTCTGCTCATCAAGATTGCCTGTTACTTTTGCACTTTGCATTTTTTAAACATTTTAGCATCAGTGAGTCAATTTTTTGAAACAACTAGCTGGGATTGTGATTGAGATTGCATTGAGTATAACAATTTGGGGAGAAATAACATCTTTGCAATATGGGTTTCTCCTGTCAATGAACATGGTGTATCCCTCCATTTATATTGTTATTCTTTAATTTATAGTAACTATATGGATTATAGCAACAATACTGTGTACTCCTCAATGTGAAGGTACATATTTCATGACATTTATTCTTACTAGATTTTGTAGCTGCAATTTTATTAAGATCATTGTAAATTCACATGCAGCTGCAAAAAAAATAATAATATAGAGAGAGCCTCTGTACGATTTACCAAGTTCCCTTCAATGGTAACATTTGGCAAAAGTATAGTAGTATGTCAAAACCAGAATACAATCTACTGATCTTATTACTATTTCTCCAGTTTTACTTGTAGTCATTTGTTTGGGTGTGTGCATTTAGTTCTGTACAATTTTATCATAATTATAGGATTTTGTATCCACCACCACAGTCGAGATGTTAAACCATTCAATTGCCTCGAGATTCCTTTGCACGGCTCATTTATCACCAAGCACACCTTCCTCATGCTCACCTTGCTGCCTCCCCTAAGCCCTAGACATAACGTATCTATTCCTCATTTTTTTAAATGCTGTCACTTCACAAAGTTAAATAAAGAGAATCACACAGTATGTAACATTTTTGATTTGGCATTTTTGTACTCAGAAAAATTTCATGGAGATTCATCCAGTTGTTGGATGTATCAGTAGTCTATTCCTTTTTACTGCTGATCAGTATTTAATGGTATACATGTAACAGTTTGTTTAACCATTGGCCTGTTTAAGAGCATCTTGACTTTCCAGTTCTTGGTGACAACAAATAAAACTGCTATGAACATTCACATACTGTTTTTGTGTGTGCATAAGTTTTTATTTCATTTTATTCTCAAGAGAGCTACTGCTGGGTTGTGTGTTAATTGCATGATTAATTTTATAAGAAATTGAGAAACCATTTTTTAGTGACTGGACCATATTACATTCCCAACAAGGATGTATGAGGGGTCCAGCTTCTCCCCATTCTCACCAATATTTGGCACTGTCACACAATTTTTTTTTTTTTTTGAGATGGAGTCTTACTCTGTCGCCCAGACTGGAGTGCAGTGGCATGATCTCGGCTCACTGCAAGCTCCGCCTCCCGGGTTCAGGCCATTTTCCTGCCTCAGCCTCCCGAGTAACTAGGACTACAGGCACACACCACCATGCGTGGCTAATTTTTTTGTATTTTTTAGTAGAGATGGGATTTCACCACTTTAGCCAGGATGGTCTCGATCTCCTGACCTCGTGATCCGCCTGCCTCGGCCTCCCAAAGTGCTGGGATTATAGGCGTGAGCCACCACACAGGGCCAGCACCATCACATTTTTTAAAAATTACATATTCTGATCAATTTGTAGTGGTGTCTCATTGTGGTTTTAGTTTGAATTTCCTTGGTGGCTGATGGTACCAAACATCATTTCCTGGGCTCACTTGCCAGCTGCAGAGCCTCTGGTGAAATTTCTGTTCAGGTATTTTGCTCATTTTCCATATTTAACTAGTTGAATTCCTTACACAGTCTAGATATTAGTCCTTTGTCAAATGTATAGTTTGCAAATATTTTCAACCAGGCTATAATTTGTCTTTCTATTCTCTTCACATGAGCTTTTGCCGAGCAAAAGTTTTTCTTTCTTTTTAATATTAATAATGCCCAACTTACCAAATTTTTCTTCTTTAACCATCTCTAAAAATTGTACTATTTTATATAGACTATTTAATCCATTTATATTTAATGTATCTGGTTTCTTAACTATCATCTTACTATTTGTTTTTATATTACCTTTTTTATGTTCCCTTTTATCTTTTTCTAGATTAATCAGATATTTTTATTATTCCTTTTTTAACTTATTATTTATGCATTGTTTTATTTAAGAATTTACCTTAGATATTCTAATTTGCACTTTAAAAAAAATTCTTCTGAAAAAAACAGGACACATGCAGAACGTGCAGGTTTGTTACACAGGGATACGTGTGCCATTGTTGTTTGCTGCACCTATTGACCCATCCTCTAAGTCCCCTTCCCTCAACCCCCCACCCCCCAACAGGCCCTGATGAGTGTTGTTCCCCTCCCTGTGTCCATGTGCTCTCAATACTCAACTCCCACTTATGAGTGAGAACGTGTGGTGTTTGATTTTCTGTTCCTGTGTTAGTTTGCTGAGGATGATGGCTTCCAGCTTCATCCATGTCCCTGCAAAGGACATTAACTCATTCCTTTTTATGGTTGCATAGTATTCTGTAGTGTAAATGTACCACATTTTATTTATCCAGTCTATCATTGATGGGCATTTGGGTTGGTTCCATGTCTCTGCTATTGTAAGTAGTGCTGCAGTAAACATACATCTGCATGTGCCTTTGTAGTAGAATGACTTATATTCCTTTGGGTATATACCCAGTAATGGGATTGCTGGGTCAAATGGTATTTCTAGTTCTAGATCCTTGAGGTATCACCATACTGTCTTCCACAATGGTTCAACTAATTTACATTCCCACCGATAGTGTAAAAGCATTCCTCTTTCTCCACAGCCTCACCAGCATCTATTGTTTCCTGACTTTTTCATAATTGCCATTCTGACTGGCACGAGATGGCATCTCATTGCAGTTTTGATTTGCATTTCTCTGATGATCAGTGATGTTGAGCTTTTGTTCATGTTTGTTGGCTGCTAAATGTCTTCTTTTGAGAAGTGTCTGTTCATATCCTTTGCCCACTTTTTGATGGGGTTGTCTGTTTTTTCTTGTAAATATGTTTAAGTTCCTTGTAGATTCTGGATATTAGACCTTTGTCAGATGGGTAGATTGCAAAAATTATCTCCCACTCTGTAGGTTGCCTGTTCACTCTGATGGTAGTTTCTTTTGCTGTGCAGAAGTGCTTTAGTTTAATTAGATCCCATTTGTCAATTTTGGCTTTTGCCGCAATTGCTTTTGGCATTTTTGTCATGAAGTCTTTGTCCATGCCAATGTCCTGAATGGTATTGCTAGGTTCTGAGACCACAGTGCAATCAAATTAGAACTCAGGATTAAGAAACTCACCCAAAACCATACAAGTTCATGGAAATTGAACAACCTGCTTCTGAATGACTCCTGGGTAAATGTTGAAATTAACACAGAAATCAAGAAGTTCTTTGAAACCAATGAGAACAAAGAGACAACATACCAGAATCTCTGGGACATAGCTAAAGCAGTGTTAAGAGGGAAATTTACAGCACTAAATGCCCATATCAGAAAGCTGGAAAGATCTCAAATCGACACCCTAACATCACAATTAAAAGAGCTGGAGAGGCAAAAGCAAACCAATCCAAAAGCTAGCAGAAGACAAGAAATAACTGAGATCAGAGAAGAATTGAAGGAGATAGAGATCAAAAAAACACTCCAAAAAAAAAAAAAAAAAAAAAAAAAAAACGAATCCAGGAGCTGGTTTTTTGAAAAAATAAATAAATAAATAAAAAATAACAAAAGAGAGAGACCACCAGCTAGACTAATAAAGAAGAGAAAGAAGAATTAAATAGACACAACAAAAAATGGTAAAGGGGATATCACCACTGACCCCACAGAAATACAAACTATCTAATTTGCATTCTTTTTCTGCATAACAAAAAATATTGATTTTATATTTTCTCCAGTAATTCTAAAACCTCAGAACAATTTACTTGCATTCTTCAGGGCCTATTTTTGTGCTATTGTTCCCCTGAATTTTAATTCTGCATGCATTATAAACTCTATGTCACATTGCTATTATTGTTGGTGCAGAATATGTTCCACCAACATCAATATACATCAATATTTTCTTACATATACACTTCTTTCAGTGGCTTTTTTTCCTGCAATTCTATGTTTCCCTGTGGGGTCATATACTTGTGCTTTAAAAAAATCTTTTTTTTTTCTTTTTTTGATAGAGGTCTGTTGGTAAGATATTCTTTCAGTTTTTCACATCATTTAACTGATAGAAGAGATTTTCTCATAATGAAACCAATTCATTTTTAGCTATCACTTTACTTCTAGCATGTGTGCAAAAATACTGGAATTAAAAAATTAGATTATTTTGAAAAACAAGTTAATCAGTCTAAATGAAAAATTGTGCTTTCTCGAGTGAAATGCAAATGTTCCTTCTGCAGATACTTTTAAAAAGACATTATCTTTGGGTGCAGTCTTCTTAAAACAACCACTAACTTTTGAAATAGATACTGACACATCTTCTGCAGACATGTCTTCTGGTTTCTAAATGGTCATTAATAACACTTTGGCTCTAATGATTATTATGTCGGCATTTTGTGCATGCTTGTTAACATTCTTGAAACACTAATTTATGTGCTGACTTTGTCATCAAACATTTAACGTGTTGAGCTCACTGCTGCTAAAAGTGTTTATTAAAATTTTTTGAAAATATTACCAAACAATATTATTAATAAGTATATTTACAGGATGAAAAAAAGAAGTAAAAGCATTGAGACCACTCTTAGAGCCTCAATGGAAAGGCTCTTCAGTGTCTATTTATTTTTATCATTACTTTTCAGATGCACTCAACCACAGATCCTACTGACATGAAGGTTTATGCACCTTGAGGACTGCTGAACACTGACACAGCTAGCTGGTGCATCTAAGAGACTGGCTAGGGCAGCAGCTTTGAATACTTCTCCAACTACCACAGAGACTGCAAGGCATCCATTCAGGCACAACTCATTTTATCAGCAAGCCTTCTGCAAGCCGGTCCCAAAAAGAGAAATGAGCTGTGGCCTGGAAAGGGTGAGAATGAAGGGACACGGGTTGCTGCCGGTGGTTTCAGTTTTAATCGTGTTCTACATTGGAAAACTGTGTTTACTACATATATATATATATCTTTATATACATATACATATATATATATTTTTTTTTGGAGGCAGAGTCTCGCTCTGTTGGTCAGGCTGGAGTACAGTGGCACGATCTCAGCTCGCTGCAACCTCCGCCTCCCAAGTTCAAGCAATTTCTTTTTTTTTTTTTAATTTTATTATTATTATACTTTAAGTTTTAGGATACATGTGCATAATGTGCAGGTTTGTTACATATGTATACATGTGCCATGTTGGTGTGCTGCACCCATTAACTCGTCATTTAGCATTAGGTATATCTCCTAATGCTATCCCTCCCCTCCTCCCCACCCCACAACAGTCCCCAAAGTGTGATGTTCCCCTTCCTGTGTCCATGTGTTCTCATTGTTCAATTCCCACCTATGAGTGAGAACATGTGGTGTTTGGTTTTTTGTCCTTGAGATAGTTTGCTGAGAATGATGGTTTCCAGTTTCATCCATGTCCCTACAAAGGACATGAACTCTTCATTTTTTATGGCTGCATAGTATTCCATGGTGTATATGTGCCACATTTTCTTAATCCAGTCTATCGTTGTTGGGCATTTGGGTTGGTTCCAAGTCTCTGCTATTGTGAATAGTGCCGCAATAAACATACGTGGGCATGTGTCTTTATAGCAGCATGATTTATAATCCTTTGGGTATATACCCAGTAATGGGATGGCTGGGTCAAATGGTATTTCTAGTTCTAGATCCCTGAGGAATCACCACACTGACTTCCACAATGGTTGAACTAGTTTACAGTCCTGCCAACAGTGTAAAAGTGTTCCCACTTCTCCACATCCTCTCCAGCACCTGTTGTTTCCTGGCTTTTTTAAGATCGCCATTCTAACTGGTATGAGATGGTATCTCATTGTGGTTTTGATTTGCATTTCTCTGATGGCCAGTGATGATAAGCATTTTTTTCATGTGTTTTTTGTCTGCATAAATGTCTTCTTTTGAGAAGTGTCTGTTCATATCCTTTGCCCACTTTTTGATGGGGTTGTTTTTTTCTTGTAAATTTGTTTGAGTTCATTGTAGATTGTGGATATTAGCCCTTTGTCAGATGAGTAGGTTGTGAAAATTTTCTCCCATTTTGTAGATTGCCTGTTCACTCTGATGGTAGTTTCTTTTGCTGTGCAGAAGCTCTTAGTTTAATGAGATCCCATTTGTCAATTTTGGCTTTTGTTGCCATTGCTTTTGGTGTTTTAGACATGAAGTCCTTGCCCATGCCTATGTCCTAAATGGTATTGCCTAGGTTTTCTTCTAGAGTTTTTAAGTTCAAGCAATTTCTGCCTCAGCCTTCTGAATAGCTGGGATTACAGGCACCCGCCACCACGCCTGGCTATTTTTTTTTTTTTTTTGTATTTTTAGTAGAGACAGGATTTTACCATCTTGGCCAAGCTGGTCTTGAACTCCTGAGCATATGCTTTTTATATACATTACTATATGAAATAATGGAAGAATAGGAATGACAAGGTTCAGGTCTACCAAACCCAATCTGATTTATTTTAATGCAACTATTCATAATAAAAGTTATTAAAATATAGAATCTGTTAAAATATAAATATAAAATATAAATTTTAACCAAATGGAATGCCAAGATAAAGATTTGTTGTTAACAAGGGCTCACAGAACAGGATCAACAGAATGGGAAAAATGCCTGGAGAAAAGGGTCCAGGTATCAGTAAAGACATCACACCCACAGTGATCAGGTTATCAGTGAGTACCAGTAGATACCGAGTGGAAGGAAGTCAAAGTCTCCATTTATACCCAAATGTCTGGCATGCAGTTTGCTGAATGTAACTACTAAGTTGACTGTACAATCATTGCCTTTTTATTAAGTTCAATCATTCTCAGTGATCATTCTAATCCGAGAACCCATTTATCCAGCTACTATTATAAGAAGGCACCTAGGTAGGACTGACATTTACAAAGGCTAACATCAGATGAGGAGCACTGTCTGTGGAGTGTCAAAATTTCAGGGTCTGCCACATTTTCACAGTAGCAAAGAAAATGAAACAGGACATTAAATGTGTAGTCACAGGTCAGAGTTTTCATTCCTTTAAGAACGGAATACTTGAATAAAACAGAGGATGGGTGTGACGTTGGAAAGCTACATTGACACATGAAGAGTCCTCACACGGCAGGTGAAGGATTAGAACACTTATCCTTAGGTGCTGTGAGCCATCGAAAGCTTGTAGGCAAGAAGCAGAACTGTGGGAGGAAGATTGAAGGAAGATTAGTGTGGTAGAGACATGGGAGCAGAACGGAGGGAAGCCTGAAGGCAGGGCCGCATATCAAAGCAGCAACAATTGTCCAGGGATGAGGCAACAAGACTAAGGGATTGTTTGTTCTCTGATATTGGATTTACTTTGTACGTTTAAATTTTACCACTGACTGGTAGTTTTGTGACAAAATAAAAATATGCATGGCAGGGCTCACCTGGCATAAACAGATGGGGCTTCAGAAGTTCTCTGTAAGTGTCTACACCTCTGTCCTTGGACCATCATCCCTTTCAGTGGTGAAGACTTTGGATCTGTTACCCTGTGAGGTTTCCCTGTGAGGTTGAAACCCATATCAAAAGTGTTGACAGTACCTGCTGTGTTGGGTGGACTTCCTCCTGAGTGAAGGTCCTCACCCTGAGTGAGTTATTTCACTTGGAAAAAAGGAATTTGTATCATTGGGAGTGGTTCAATCTAAAACAAGGATTGAGAGTAAGGCCCCAAGCCTTGGAAAGAAGAAAGGAATATTATTTTTTGAACACTAATTTTATGGTAGCTTCAACATCTCGTTTAATTCCTCAGTATTAGAACAGAGATATTATAATACCCATCAACTGATAAAGAAATTAGCATACAGTTTAAATTATGCAAGGTGATAAATCTAGTCATTGGTGGAGGGACGATTCTAAGCAAGATGTGGTTAGTGATGGAGTTCACGGGATTTCCACGAACGGCAACAGGAAAAAAGTAATAAAAGAGCCTGTATTCAAGGATAGAGATTACACATTTGACTCTATAAGTCTTTTCCTTTCACTTAGGTACAACCTAGATCAATTAATTAAATGTTACCAGCAAGCCAATTACAGCAAGGCCAAGTTAGATCAAGAATGAAGCAATGTGACATTTTAGGGGTGAGTTAGTACCAGTGTCCCTGTATATGTGACCTGTGATCAATTGTTGCTTTTACTGCCCTGATATTTCTCATTATGGTCTGAGGAAATTGTTAGTTTTCCTCTTTCAAAGGAAGTCATGGGACTCAGTATCAGTCTTGTCAAGCGTAATGGAGGCTGTTTGATGTTGGACATAATCATGAGGATCAAGGTAAGATGCCACAGGTAGGACCATGAGTGGGAGCCACTGAGCTTCACCAATGCACAACTCTGCTGAGGGCGGCAGTGCAAGAGGCTCTTCCCCTCTCCCCAGCTTGGTCACACTGTACCCAGATCATCATATAGTCTCTGGTTCCATTAGTGCTAATAGCCCTGCAATGCCTGACTTCAATACTGGTCACACCATCTCTGACCTTTGAAACTTATAGTCAGTCACTGAGTTCCCCAGTTGACACTAATGCTTCCCACAAACCCTGGCTAACTTAAGGTTGTCCCAGCCATTCTTTACTCTTGGCTGTCTCCAGTAGGATGTTCACTGAAGTTACAATCCTTGGGACCCAAATTTAGGCATTTTTCAGAAAGGTGGGGGAAGAGGGTTAGTCCTTCTGTCCTACTTCATCTTCAACTAAACAAGAAGGTGCCTACAAAGGACATAGCTGAAACCCTACAATGTTGGCGAACAGTCTGGAGACCTGGCGGCCTGGAACCCACACCAGGAAGGAGGACTGGTTGTTAGCATTCTGAGCCCTGGGACTGCTGAGACTCTGAATAATGGGAGGGGAGTTCAGACAGAACTGAGCCCTGTTAACAGTCCATGCCAGTGGGAGCATGGCGCTCAGTGATTAGCGAACCTCTACTTCCACAATGCAGCAAATGCAGTTTTAATTGAAGCCATGCTTTTCTTTCCATTCATTCATTGTGTCCTTTAGTGATTAATTAATTATTCTCTAATACTTCCACACATACTGGGCAGTTTTCCAACCTTTTAGTTATAAGGAAAATATAATAAAATTACAATGAGGTATCACTACACATCTACCAGAATGACTGGAGTTAAAATACCAACTGTTGGCATAGTTACAAAGTGGAGAATTCATTCACTGCTGGTTAGAATGCAAATTGACAGAGTCACTTTGGAAAACTGTTTGGCACTGTGCACTAGAGCTAAGCATATGCACACCATATGGCACAGAAATTCACCCAACAGACATGGGTACTTACATGTCCTGAAAAATATGTTCAGACATGTTCTTAAAGACATTATGTGGAAGAGACCCCAAAGAGGAAGCAATCCTGATAAGACGGATGAATAAAGTATGATATTTTTATACAATGGAATACTATTCACCAATGAAAATGAACAAAATAAAACTATACTCTAAAATATGGGTGAATTTCATAAACAACATTTTCTGAAAGCAGACAGACACAAAAGAGTAAATAATGACTTATTCCATTTATACAAGTTTTAAGATTAGGAAAACTAATATGTGCTGTTTGAAATTGGGACAGTGTTTACCTCTGGGAGGATGCAGGGCATAGCAGGGAGCATGTAGGGGGCCTCTGAAGTGTGGTGATTTTATGCTTTCTGTATTTCTTATATGGGCGTATTCTCTTTGTCATAAGTCATTGAGGACTTATGACTTGTGCAATTTTTGTAGATACTGCACTTCAATTTCAAAATGTTTATAAAAAGACCCATCAGTGTGCTGTATTCAGGAAACCCATCTCACATGCAGACACACACATAGGCTCACAATAAAGGGATGGAGGAAGATCTACCAAGCAAATGGAAAACAAAAAGGGCAGGGGTTGCAATCCTAGTCTCTGACAAAACAGACTTTAAACCAACAAAGATCAAAAGAGACAAAGAAGGCCATTACATAATGGTAAAAGGAACAATTCAACAAGAAGAACTGACTATCCTAAATATATATGCACCCAATACAGGAGCACCAAGATTCATAAAGCAAGTCCTTAGAGACCTACAAAGAGATTTAGACTCCCACACAATAATAATGGGAGACTTTAACACCCCACTGTCAACATTAGACAGATAAACGAGACAGAAGTTAACAAGGATATCCAGGAATTGAACTCAGCTCTGCACCAAGCGGACCTAATAGACATCTACAGAAGTCTCCACCCCAAATCAACAATGATAGACTGGATTAAGAAAATGTGCCACATATACACCATGGAATACTATGCAGCCATAAAAAAGGATGAGTTCATGTCCTTTGTAGGGACATGGATGAAGCTGGAGACCATCATTCTCAGCAAACTATCGCAAGGACAAAAAACCAAACACTGCATGTTCTCACTCATAGGTGGGAATTGAACAATGAAAACACTTGGACACAGGAAGGGGAACATCACACACCAGGGCCTGTTGTGGGGTGGAGGGAGGGGGGAGGGATAGCATTAGGAGATATACCTAATGTAAATGATGAGTTAATGGGTGCAGCACACCAACATGGCACATGTATACATATGTAACAAACCGGCATGTTGTGCACATGTACTATATATATATATATATATATGTATATATATATATATATAATAAAATGTGATATCTTTCTCAAAAAAAAGTGTGCATATGTATGTGTGTGCATTCGTGTGTGTGTGTGCAGAGAGAGTGGGAGATTTATTTTAAAGAATATTTGTGGGGCTTTATCTCCTTATTCAGTGCTTCCAGGGAATTTTGCTTGGGTGTAGTCCCCAGGCCTTTCGAGGGACACGTCCACATCAGGTAGTGGGGCAGAGGGAGGAGGGAGCATTGCCCTGACACTGCCCTAGCTACTCAGCCAGGGCACTGGAGGCTTCGGTTCTGCAGATGGTAAAGGTAAAATTCTGGCTACTACTATGCTGCTCACAGACCCCATTCTTCCTAAGAGTTTGAAGCCCACTTGAGTATCCATGATCTTCAGTTGCAACATTTTGAAAAACCCCAAGAAGTCACTATGGAGTGAGTAGCAATGGGGCTAAGGGGAAAGCCTGTAATAAACCCAAAATAGAATTACTTTTACTTTCTTCAAGAAGAGACAGTTACAAGGAAGATGGACGGGGAAGAACAGAAATAATGGTGTGCTCCATCAGTGTGGGATTTGCAAAGCAATTCCTCTTTCAGTGGAGGACTTCAGTTTCTTCACGGGGAATTAATAACGTCAATCTTTAGTTCAATTATAGTCAACAAATATTGCCTGCATTCCTATTATGTGCCAGATGCAATGCCAGGTGTGGAGGATTCAGATGAAGTGTGCAATTCCCACTGTGCTCATGGTTGACTCCTTAGCCAAATGGATGGGCACACAAGCAAAGAGCTTGACAGTACAAATGATTTCACAGAAAGGCAAACAATTTTTGCAGGATCAATAAAAACAGCATGGGGTGACTAATTACAGATTCCTAACTAAAGTGTTTTATTAAATTGTGGCTTTCTTCCCCCACATAAACAGAGTTGGCTGTCCAGGGCTTTGGTGCAGGCTCTAGGAAGCCACCTTCATTCCTTCTACTTTACCATGTTGGTGTGTATCCTCCTTCCTCAAGGTCACATAATGGCTGCTGGAGCTCAAGCCTTTTGTCTAAGTTCCAGAGAGAAGGAAAGGGAAGGTAAAGGAGCAAGAGGAAGACCCTGGCCATTTCCTAGAAGCTCCACCCAATGATGTCCCTTACATCTCATTGGCCCTTCTTACTGCAATGGTATGTGGGAAATGTAGTATTTTATTTGAGCACTTTGACACTCTGAATACATCACGTATTTATTACTAAGTGTATATCAGCTGGTCTTCAACCACAGGATCAGAACCACTGTGAGTTATATGGAATAAGGGAGTAATGAACAGGTTTGGACCATTTGTAATTTTTGGAGATGGTTAAGCAGTCTATGTAAGCCTTTATCTTTATGCCTCGTGTTGGTTCTGAGCCTTAAGTCAGCCTGGCCATTAGTCAGGAGGAAGACTGGAAGTGACATGAGGGATTGCAAGGACAAACTGGAAGCTATTCGCATGACTGGATCCCATAAAGACACACTGGAATCTGTGAGGATAAACTGGACCCCACATCTGTCTCTCACAGTCTTCACCCTTAATGGCATGGGTGACCTGTAGGAAAAGCTGATGCCATTTGCAAAGAAGTGATGTATGCGCTACCCAGAACTTGGAGCAGCTGAAAGAGGCAGTCTGCTAGAACTGCAGGAGCCAGGAGGCAGCAAGGCGAGCCAGCAGGGCAGAGACAAGAGTCCCCAGCCCAGCAGTGTCTGGTGCCCTACATGGTACTTCAGAGCATACGCAGAGCCTGCTGGTTCACCTCTGCCTCCAAAATCTTATACAAACTCCTTTCTTTTCTGGTCAACCCTTACCCAAAACCATACAAGAGGGAATTCAGGGAACAGTAGTTCGAATTTAGTTAAGTTGATATAGTTCAGGACTATAGTCTCAAGGTAGAGGGGATAAGGGGCATGGTGCCAGCAGAGAGCCATATCTCCCACAGAAGGAGAGCAGTCAGCCAGAACTGGGTTGAAAAGGATGACGTGTTTTCTAAGTGCACGGGAAACTTCTCAGATGAGAATAGCATGTGTGCCAAAGAGGAAGAAAACACAGCGTGGTGTTCCACAGGCACTTCCAAATTGCTAGAGCATGAGACAAAAATGGGGTTGGAGGCGTGGGAGGAGAGGAAGCTGAGGACCATAGAACTATATTGACCTCCGTTTTATGTACATAACCTTGTAATATCATGGAAAACATGAAAACTCCTAACACCCCTGTGTTTGTCAGGACCTTGGCCCCTTGCCAAGCATATGGGGCTCCATAAATCAGTTAGAACTGTGTCTGGGTAAGTAACAGAAATTCCAATGACAGTAGCCTAAATAGAAAAGGTGCTATTTGTCACATATTACAAAATGTCTGGGAAAACAGGGCAGGTGTGATAGCTGAGCAATGACATCGGGCCTTTTCAATACATGTGCTCTGTTATCCCTTCTGAATGTTTCAGATTGGGTTCATTGGAAACAGATGTGAGACCAGGCATTTCCTTAAGAGGGTTTACTGGGGAGAGCTTTCAGGAGACGTACCAGTTAGGGACATGAGGAAGGCAGGTCTGGGCAGTGGGAGATGCTGAACAGCAAAGCAGTAACAACTCATGCCTCAGTCAATCCTAAGGAGTCTCTGGAGCTGGGATGCCCCTCAGAGTCATCCCAAATGCAGGCCCTCCATATTCCACATCAGCCCATCATTGCCTGGGCTGTGGCGCCTCCTTTAGGCCAAGGGCAACCTTAAGAAGCAACACAGTTGTGTCTTCAGCTACCACTCTCAATATATGGGGGACAGGTCTTGGCAGAGCCCTCTGGAATCTACTGCAGTTGATGAGGTTTAATCCTTATGCACGTCACTTCATGCCACAAGGTAGATGCTACGCCTCATGGTCTCACATCCCCTCCTAGGCAGGTTCTAGAGGTGCAAATGGGCAGAGAAACTCCTTCTCAACAAGGCTGGGCCTTTCCACTCATGAAAAGTGTGTCCTTCTGAGGGATTTCTACCAACACTTTATGTGCTTGAGCTGTAACCCATTATCATCTCTACTGTTAGGGAAGTGGGGAGTTTAATGCTAAGGATACTACTAAGGACTCTGAAACATCTGCGTTCCGTAGTAAAAGGAGGAGGGAATGGGTATTTGGAAGACAGATAGCAGGTCTGACACCCTGCAGATGGTGACTTTAAAAGGAGTTAAGTAGACTTGGTCTCTGCCTACCTAATGTTCAATCTCAACTGGCAAAGGTTCAAGGAAAATAAAACCATGTCACACTATTAGTGCAGAGGAATACTGGAACACAGCTCTGGAAAATAATTAGGAATGGATGCTAGAGAAACTCTAGCACCTGAAGGCATAAAGGAGATGAGCATGTGATGTGCGTTTCACCATCATTTATAACACCCATCTACAAAGCCTAAATGTCCAACGCAGGGACATGGATGAATAAAATGCAATCACTCATATAATTTATTCATTCACTCACAAATGTTTATTAAGGCTCTATTAAATGTCGGCCTTCATGCCTCCTTTTCAGGGCCCTGAGAATTGGCCAAAAAGACCTGGCTCATCCATGGTACGCTGTTGCTGGTCTGGTCACTTCTTTCTGAGGCTGCTTTTGCTCAACTAGACTCCTATTTGTTTCTTTCTTAAAGCTGCAGCAAAACTTTGGACTGAATGCATCATGTCCCATTTATTGGAAATCATTGTTAATGTCATATTTCACAAGATATCATATAGGAGGCAAACAGAGCAGTGTGGTCCCTAAAGTCTTGGCTTCCCAGTCCCAGCTGGCAAGACCCTAGAGCTAACTACATCTGGGTCAGGCAGAGCATGTCCAACCGATTACCATTAAGTATTATTAGACACTTTAAGTGAAGCCAATTTTTACATCCGTGAGAATAATCGAGGGGTTGCGTACCTCTGAACAGAAAATGGGAAAGAACTGACGGCATGATTGACTCAAATTCCACCACAATTACTTTATCAATTTTATTATTTATGTTCTTCATTCAAAATCATCTGTCTTTAAATGACTATTCTTGAGGATTCAAAATCATATAATCAATTTAATTATATGTTTGATTTTAAGTTATAGAGACACATTCATCCTATTATCTGTTTATGAATAAATATTTTGACACGAACGTATTCTGTATAATGTAGAAGTATTCACATTTATGATTTGTTGTACATCTCAATTCCATTCACCCATGCTGAGTTATCAAATGCAGGTCACTAACCACCACATGCTGTCCCATGGCTGGAGGAAATGAGCGGGGCTATGAGGTGACCTCCCACTGGAGACTGGAGAAAATAGCCCGCACCCCAAAAGATATGCACACACACACACACACACACCCTCCACAGTGCTGTGAGACTTATTTCTTCAGAAAACAAGCCAAGAAAATGGAGGAGAACAGGCGTCTGAGTCGGCCAAAGTATGTGCCTATTGCCCTAAAGAGAAACTCAACCTCATTCAGACCCCCTTTACTTTTGTTTTAGAAACAATCTAACAGCTGACTATGGGGCTCTGACCCACACCTTCACCTCCACCTGGTGGCTCTCCCAGCTCACCCACCCCACCCTGGGGGAGCAGCTCCCACATGCCCTCAGGGGAAATGCTTCCTCCTTAGGAATGTGAGCCAGTGGGCCCCAAAGGGCCTCACGGATTCAGCCCACCCTTCCAGCTCCAGAGCCCAGGCCTTGACCTGCCAATGTGTCTTCTCCACAGGGTCTTCCAGGTTAGTGCAGCCCCCACCTCTGCTGCAGCAGTCTCCCTCTGGGGTGTCCCCACCTCTGACCCCCGCAAGCCCTGATGCAGGACAGGCACTGTGCTGGCACAGGCAGTAGGTGCCTGTTGCATGAGATAAAGGCCAGGCTCTGGGCATGTCATGAACCACTCTAGCCATCCCACCTGCCATTGCAAGGACCTCCCCACAGGCCTTTGGAAGAGCAGCCTTTGCCAGAATCTCCCCAACTCTGCGCAGCTGCGGGGGTGGGGGTCGAGCCTCCACAGTGCTCCCTCTCGGCCTCAGAGGGCACCCTACACCATTGCTCACCCCTACCATGTACCCCTGCCTCTGCCTATGTCGGGCCCCTGCTGCAGTGCCTTCCCCTCTGACGCTGCTCTCAGTCCAGTCCACCTCCACCCTATCCCTGAGCTCAGTGTGTCCCCATCAGTGCCACCCTGCAGTGACCCCACCTGCCAACGGGTCGCTCCTTCCTTTCACCCTCCCACAGGGATCTGGGCTGCTGTGGGGCCCCCTGAGGAGTACTGTCCGACAATGCTAGTGCCACAGCTTCCATGGGATTCCTCCACTGCACCTGTTTCCTCCTGCTCAGACCGAAGTAGGCCTGAGTTGAGTGTCATGGGGCTCTCAGAACGCCCTTCCCTTCCTGAAAACCTCTCCTGATGTCCATGACCCCCGCGCCATCCCAATCTTAAAGCTCATGTGATAGGTTGGGATCCCTGGGAAGCCACCTCTGAGATGGGCTTTGGCAGGGCGGGTGTTTATTGAGAAGCGTCCCCAGGGTCAGTGCCTATGAAGGAAAGGGAGGAGGTTGAGCTATGAGGCAGCACCGAGGACAGGCTCTGTTGCCTGCTCTGGGGGTCCTCAGGCTAGAATGGCCTTTGGGGCTGTCCTGAGTTGGGCCCGGGGTGGCCAGGCCTCTGTGCTCCTGCCTAATAGAGTCCTGGTTGTCTGGGGTGCCCTGAGCGAATGGCTCTCTACAGCTGTGGTGCTGAACTGACAGTGGGCCTGACCGCTGCAGCCTTCAGTCCCTGGAGCAGCGAGCTCTTCATGGAAAGGGCCCGCCAGACCTATGCTCTCCACCAGGTCTGTGTTTCTTTTTGGAGTTTCTCTTTTGGGTTTGCTTTTCATTCCAGCCTGGCACACAAGCCCTCTGCGACTTGCTCCAGCGACTAACCTGTCCTTCTGCCTGAGCGTCCCCTTGCTGCCCTCCCTCTATTCCACTCTTACCCACTCAGACTTTGAGAGCCAGGCCAGAGCTCCCCCTTGTACAGATGGTTTGCTGAAGGGCCTGGCAGGTGGGGTCACTCTGCCCTCTGTAAGAATGCCTGGACAGAGAACCAGAGACCACCCCGACCATCCCTTTCCATCAGTGACAGCAGAAAAGAGCACCTCTGTGGACCTTCCCAAACAGAAAGACCAAGGTCTTGTGACCGGGGTTTGCTGAAGGAAAAATGGTCATCAGCACTGGAAATAGTAGCTTTTAAATGTTGTCACTGAGGTGGGTTCCTGTGCAGGACGAGGAGCAGGACCAGCCATCTTGGCCATGCTCAGAGACACAGAAAGAGGTGGATTCCTTATGGAGAGAGAGGTGGATTCTTTATGGAGAGAGAGGTGGATTCTTTATGGAGGGGGAGCAGAGAGAGGACAGGGGCTCAAGGATGGCCCCCACACAGCTCACTGGGAGGCTTGCTCTGAGTCCCAGCCTCCTGCCCAGGAGATTTGGGCAGTTGGGGTTGCAGGAGTGAGTTAGTACCAAAGGTGTACCCGACTGTGTACACTTGTGGAATAGATAATGCAACCAGGGATGGCTGCAGTGCTTGAAGGAAGAGTAATGTCATTACAGCCATGTGGGTGAATGTGAGTGTGTCTGTGCCACGCACACCCACCCAGAGAGTCCAAGAACAAAGGCATGACTGTTGGACAAGCATGAAACTGCAAATTAGTGCTTCTGATATGATATTGCCTCATGAATAATCAGGACATTCTCCTAACCTCGGGTGTGATTTGAAACTGGGAGTGTGGCCATATGGCATCATTATGCAGCAATACCACCGTCAACCATGGCTCCAGGAATAGAATTATTTCTTAAAGAGGTCAGCCTTGTGAAAGTCTCTGTTTTGTTTGGGTTTGTTTCTAAATCCTGCTAAGCAGAACAGTGAGCTAGGGCCATAGGACAAGAATTCCTTGGCACAGTCAGCTTTGACTAGGAATTGCACTCGGTTAATGATGAATCTTGGCAGCTTCTCGCTGTGGCAGCCTTTCTCCACCATTTCAACTCTATTTTTAAATGCTAGTTGCTCTCCCACTTTTACTTTGTTAGTGGAGAATCTCACATGCATTAATGGATACAGCAATTAATACCCAACTGCCTGATCTGAGGTTTGCAGGCTATGTGACCCGAACATCCTTGGTTGCATACTCTGTCCTGTAAGTGTTCATGGGCCTGGCACAGGTGGTACCCGCAGACATTCTTAAATGTGCCTCAGTAAGAGAGTCCAGGGTTATGAAGCAGGCATTGCAATGGAGAGTCTCCACTACTGAATGATGTTCAGCCCATACAGGCCACTGATGTGCTAGAACTCGATTCATGGTATTGTGTAAGCTCACCTTTCACTGCCATGAAGAAATTAGGAGCTTGCGTTTCTCACACTGGATTCTTTGTGTCTGTCTCATTTGTGTCCTGTGAAGCTTCCAGCATGAGGCAGACACACGACTTCCGACTATAGGGAGGTGATATGTGAGCACTCCTCACCCTCACTTTCTCATTGGCACAGTCCACTCCAATCCTCAGAGCCACTCTCAGGGAGAATGGAGTCCTCTAGTACACGAAGGAGACCTCCTCCTACTCCTCATCCACTCACTGAGCATTAGCAGGACGGACTGTGTGGTCTCCAGAAGACACTGAACTCCAATGCTTTAGCAACACTACCTCCTAGACTTCTCAGCCAAGTAATAAAATCTACTTCTGTCCCACCCCGTTCCTTCCACTCCACAACGCTGCACACTGCCTCATTCTACTGCATTTTATTTCAACTCCACTTGCTCTATTATGTTACAGTCAAGTATTACTACCATGCCTTGGGAAGCACAGAAGAAAAATATGGAGTGAAGCCAACCTTTCTTTTTCCCTAGATTGACTTTATTGTGATACAGTTTACGTAGAATAAAAAGCAGCAGATTTTAAGTGTATAATTTGATGAATTTGATAAATGGATGCCCCTGTCTAATCCACATCCTGATTAAGATATATGACTTTTCATAAGCCTAGAAGATTATTTTATGCTCTTTTGCCAGCTATTCCCCCACGTTAGTCAGACATGAATCTGATTTCTTTCATCATAGCTTAGTTTTGCCAGCTCTGGAGCATCATGTAAACAGCATTCTATAATCTGGACTCTTTCACTGAACGTAACATTGTTGAGATCTACCCATGCTGCTGCATAGCTCCATAGTTCATTGTCATTTTGAGTAGTGTGTTATTGTATGGGTATACACGACATGTTATATACAAATATACACTGAAACAAATATACATGTGTATAAATATACCACATTTGCTTATATATTCACCTACTAATGGACAAATTAATGATGGGATTTTGGGCTATCTTTTTCTTTTTAATGTGGAAAGATTAAATGCATGAAATGGTGAGAAAATAGTACAACAGTTTATTTCAAATAAATAACTAAATATATAATTTACAGTGTAAATACAGAATAAAAATACTAGTATAGTGTGTTGGAAAGAATATGAGATTTCAAGTGAAAGAAAGGTTTTGTTTTCACTTCTGCAATTACCTAGGAACCTGGGAAATCTCACAATCTATTTAATGTTGGCTTTTTTCCCATATAAAAACAAGCTATCATCTTCTGGGAAGATAAAGTAAGAAAATTTTTGCTTATTCTTCTTGCTAAGAATAACTAAAATCACTGGAGATTATATAAAAAAACCAACATAAGAAGATTCTGAGTAGTGAAGAGAATGAAGCACACCAAGAAGGGACTTTGGGACCCAAGGAACAATACCAATGAGTTCCCTGGGCTTCCTTTTGCATTATACATCCCTGACTTGGAGTTGAAAAGCCAGCAACCCAGAAGAGCAAACAGATGCAGATTTTAAAAACCACAAAGGCCAGGCACGGTAGCTCACACCCATAATCCCAGCACTTTGGGAGGCTGAGGTGGGTGGATCACCTGAGGTCAGTCATTTGAGACCAGCCTGGCCAACATGGCGAAACCCCATCTCTACTAAAAATACAAAAAAATTAACTGGGCGTGGTGCCACATGCCTGTAGTCCCAGCTACTCCGGAGGCTGAGGCAGGAGAATCGCTTGAATCCCGGGAGGCGGAGGTTGCAGTGAGCCGAGATTATGCCATTGCACTCCAGCCTGGGCAAAAACAAACAAACAAAAAACCAAAACCAAAAACAAACAAAAACACCACACATACATACAACAGCAACAACAAAAGAAACACAAAATACCCTCCTGCTTTCTCTACTCAAAGCACCAGAAATGGGGTCATTCAAGAAAGACAGAAATATTTTACACAGTAACCACTGCATGCGCAAGTCAAACATGAAAGAAAAGCTCAGGCTAGCAAAGGCCACCTGCAGCCTAGATGTCTACCCTGGCCAGTCTGTAATAAGACAGCCAACGCCCCTTTCTGGTACTATGTGTGTCATCAGACAAGGCCAAGTAGGGACATTACTGCCCACTCCCCTTCCTGCCATGGTGTTAGTGGAGACCACAGGGAGAGATTGGTTTTCTGTCCCCAACCAGCAGCAAGAACACTGCTTCCCTGCCCTAGTGGGATAGTGTCAGAGGAAGCCTAGTGGAAACTCAGGACTTTAGTAACAACACACAGGTAACAAGGCCACCTACTTCTATGGTGCCAGTGGACGCCAGGTGGGGAGCTGGGTCATTGCTACCTCTCTCAGCCAAGGATATACCAGGGCAGGCCTAGAGGCAAGCTAGCACCCCACACCCAACCAACAGCAAACATGAGCCTCCTGAACTCAGGTAGCTGTAAAGACCAGGTGGGGAACCTGGAATTCCACTCCCACCTGGGGGTAATGAGGTAGTTAGCCCCTTTCCTCCTCACAGGGGCTTATCTAAGATCCAGAGACTCCTGAGTTTTATCAACAATGTCCAGGTCACTTATGATATTGGGAGCCAGGAATATCTCAAAAACTTGAGAAGAGACAATCAATATATCAACACCAAGATAATAGAGATGTTAAAAATATCTAAGATTTTAAAGCAAACATGATAGGGGTGCTCCAAAGAGAAATTATAAGTATTTGGAAAACAAATTAAAGAGTAAAAATCCTCAGCCAAAAAAAAAAAAAAAATAGGAAGTCTCACCCAGAAACCAAAGTTATAAAGAAAATCCAAAGGGATATTTTAGAACTGAAAAACACAGTAGCCAAAATAAAAAGTTAAGTGGATGGTATCAACAGCAGAATGGAAGGGGCAGAGAGAAGAATCCATAAACTAGAAGACAGAGAAGTAGAGATTACTTACTTAGAAGAGAGAAAATAGATTGTAAAAATTAAAAGCCTAAAGAATTTGTGGTACTATCACAAACATCTAATCCTATCATAAGAATTACAGAAGAGGAGAAAGAGGATAAGTCCGAAAACGTACTTGAAGAAATACTGGATGAAAACCTCCCAAGTATGGAAAAAGAGAAATAAACTACAAATTAATGAGGCTAAGTGACTTTAATGGACTTAAAGAAATCCACACCAAGGTAAATCATACTTAAAGTTTTAAAAACTAAAGCAAAGAAAAAATCTTTAAATTAGACGGAGAAAAATGACAACTAACCTATAAAGGAGAAATAATCACTCATGCATACAGGTGCAAAAATCCTTCTAAAACTGTAGAATTCATCAATCAATAAAAAGAAGTACACACTGTGTCCAAGTGTGGGATGCAAACCTGGTACAGTATTTGAAAATCAGTCAATGCAATTCATCATATTAGCATGCTAAAGAATAAAAACTATATCATCATAGCGATTGATACAGAAAATCATTTGACACAATTCAACAATCATAAAAACTCTCCGAAAATAGGAATAGAAGAAAACTTTTTCAACTTGATAAACAGCATGTACAAATAACCTGTAGCTAACACGGTACTTAATGGTGAGAGACTGAATGCTTTCCCCCTTACGTTAGGAACAAGGCAAGGATGTTGTCAACTCTCATAACAATCAACTTACTGCTGTAAGTTCTAGTCAGTGCTATAAAGCAATAATGAATAAAAATAAAAGGCCACTTGATTGCAAAGGAATAAATAAAATTATTTCTACTTGAGTTGCCATGATTGTCTACATATAAAATCCCAAGAAATGTGCAAAAATCTCATTGAATTAATAAGTAATTTCAGCAAAGTTGCAGTTTACTACATCACCATATAAAATTAATTTAGCATAGACATTAGTAATGGAAACATGGAGACGAACTTTAAATAAAATATCATTTAAATCACTGAAAAACATGAGAAAATTTGGTATACATTTAACAAATCATGTATAGGACTTGTATGTTGAAAAATAGAAAAATGTTGATGAAATAAATCAATGAAGATCTAAATAAATGGAGAAGCATAATATGATCATGGATTGGACGACTTAAAATAGTGAAGGTGTCATTATCCCCAAATTAATATACTAGTTAAAGATAATTTCTATGAAAACCCAAGATTCTTTCTGTAGATATGAGCGAGACTATTCTAAAATTTATACTGAGAGACAAAAAAACTAAAACAGCATAAGGAATTTTTAAAAAATAAGAATAAAGTGGAAGTAATAAGTCTACCCAATGTTAAGATCTCTTCTATAGCTACAGTGTCAAGACTGTGCCATCCTGAAAGAGGGATAGGCCCATAGATAATCCTATGAGGCATACGTGAATTAGAGGTGTGTTACTTAATTGCCAAATGTTTGCAGAATTTTGGACTATCTTTCAGTTATTTATTTCTAGTTTAATTCTATTGTGATCTGAGAACATAGTTTGTAAGCTTTCTCTTCTTTTAAATGTGTTAAGGTAGGGTATAGAACCTGGAATAAAGTGCAGCTTGGTGGGTATTTCATGTGAGCTTAAAAAGAATGTGCATTCTGCTGTTGCTATGGAGTATTTTATAAATGTCAGTTATATAATGTTGATTAATACTGCTGTTTGGGTTCCAACTTTTTTTTTACGTAAGTGAAAAAGGAACTCAAAAAGGAAAAATAGACTTTTCGACAAATGTAGCTAGAGCAATGGAACATCACGTAGACAAAGAAAAATGAAGCGTGACCCAAACCTTACACTGTGTATAAAAATTAAAGTGCACCATGGACTTAAATATAAAATTGTAACTTATAAAATGTTTAGAAAAAAACACAGAAAGTCTTGCAACCTATATGTATGACTAAGCCAAGGAGTCTTTCACTTGGTACCAAAAGCACAGTTCATAGAAGGAAAGGATGATAAATGAGACTTCATCAAAATTAAATATTTTGCTTTTTGGAAGACTGTTAAGAAAACAAAAAGACAAGCTACGGCTGGGTTAAAATAGAGTAAAACACATACCTGGCAAAAGGACTAGTATCTAGGATATATAGAAAACTTATGAGACTCGACTTTAAGGAAATAAATGATCTAATTATTAATACATGGGCAAAAGATTAAAAGAGAGATTTTACCAGAGGATATACAGATGGCAAATAAGTATAAGAAAATATATTTTTCATCATTAGTCATCAGGAAAAAACAAATTAAAGCCACACTGAGATATCACTGCACACCTCTCAGAATTTCTAAAATATAAAAAGATGACAATGCCAAATATTGGCAAGAATTAAGAGAAACTGTATTGCCCATATATTGTTCGCATGAATGTAAAATGGTACAGTTACTTGAAAAATGTTGAGCAGTTTCTTAAATGGCTAAATGAGCAACTACCATATGACCCAACAAATGGACTGATGAGCATTTATTCCAGAGAAATGAAGACTTATAATTACTAACAACCTGCACCAAAACTTATTGCAGCTTTATTTGCTATAACTCCCAAACAGAAAAAACCCAGATGTCATTCTTGACGTGAATGGTTAAACGAACTGTAATATATCAATACTATGATATAATACTTAGCACTGAAAAAGAGTAGACTATTAAAACATTCAACAACCTAAGTAAATCTTCAAAGAATTATGCGGAGAGGAAGAAGCCAATCTCAAAGGTTATATACTATACGATTCCCTTTATACCCTGTGTGTATATCACACATGCTATTGATTCCATTTATACCCTTGAAATGCCAAAGTAATAAAAATGGAGAACAGATTAGGGATTAATGAGTGAGTGGGGGCAGAAGAAATGTGGGTGTGGCTATTAAGAGGCAGCATTGGCGGTCTTTGTAGAGATACAATGTTCTGTACCTTGACTGTATCAATGTTGATGTCCTGGTTGTCACATCTTACTATAGAATTGTGAGATGTTTTATGAAACTGGGTGAAGGGCATACAAGATCCCCATATTATTTCTTACAACTGTTTGTAAATCTATAATAAACTTCAAATTAAAAGTGTAATAAAAATTAAAGAAGCTATTCACACCTACCTTCTCATTCACACAGCTCTATAATCTAGACACAGATTAAATATACTTTCTTTATTGTTTTATTTGTAATTGATATAATTATATTAACATGATAAAATTTAATATTTTGATATATATGGTTCATATATTGTGGTATGATCATATCAAGCTAAGTATAAAAATATACTTTCCTAATTTATATTCCTTTCTTAGTGTTTAATGGCAAATTCAGTTCATTACCATTTTGGCTACCTGCTGATTACACAAACAGAACTGTTTAGGGCCATTCTTACATCACATTCTTACATCAACAGAGGTGTGAAGTTTGCTTTTTGCCTAAAATTAAATACCAAAATATACCACATATTCTAGTAACACTATGGTTGTTAGGCTAAAACTAGCTCAAGAAATTTAAAGGTTTTATATAAACTGTATATTTCCATGTAAATATCAATTAGGTTCACCTAATACAATTCATCAAACTTTCTTAATTGCCCACTGATTGCCAGAAACTCATGATATAATGGTAAATGACATGGGTTCTGTGTACTCAAGACACAGTACTGTGGGAAGAGAATTAGGCATACAACACAGACACGTGGATGAGGTACAAAAATGCATAGAGAGACATTATCAGCTTCCTGAGAAGGGGCAGGGGAGGCTTTAGTAAAGCAGGCCTATCTGGGCTGCATCATTAAGAATGACTTAGAAATGTCCTCTGTGAACACGGAGGGGAACCGAATTTTAGGAGAAATGGATGTCATTTGGAAATTCACAAAAGTATGAAGCAGCATATCAGTGATGATGACAGTGACAGTGATAGTAGTGGCAGTGGTGGTGGCAGTGATAATGGTAGAGGACAGTGAGGGTCACTAGTGATGGTGGCGTGGTGGCGGTACTGGTTTTGGTGGCAATGTTGTGGGTGGTTGATGGTGGCGGTAGTTGGTGAAGGCAAGATTGTGGGTTGTGGCAACATTGGTGGTATTGGTGGTGGTGAAGGTAACGCTGGTGTTAGCGATATTGTCGTGGTAGTGGCAGAGTCAGTGATAGTATCAGTGGTGATTGCAGTGGTGATTGTGGTGGTGGTGGTGGCAGTGGTGAAAATGAGGAGGATGGAAGTAGCGACAGGGATGGCCGTGATCTTGGCAGTAGCAGTGGTGGTGGTTGCAACAGCAGTGTTGTACTTGGTAGCAGTGGTGGTGGCCATGTTGGTGGGGTTGGTGGTAGTGACAGTTTTGTTGGAGGTGTTGATAATGGTGTTGGAGATAACAGAAAAGCGTTGCTGTGATTGCTATTTGTGGTGGTGTTAGTAGGATTCATGGTGATATTGGTGTTTGTTAATAGTATGGTTGGTTCTGGCAGTGGTGGTGACAATGTTGATAGTAGTGGTGGTGATGGTGGTTGTAGCAATGTTGTTGCTGGTTCTGGTGCCGGTGGTAGTAGTGGCAATGTTGATGTTGTTGCTGGTGGTGGTGGCAATGTTGATGTTGTGGTGGTGTTGTCAGTGGCAATGTTGTTAGTAATGGTGGTAGTGGGCAGCAATATTGGTCGTGGTGGTGGCAATGTTGATGTTGTGGTAGTGGTGGTAGCAATGTTGACGTGGTTGTTGTTGGTGGTGGCAATCTTGATGTTAACGGTGGTGATGATGGTGGCAATGTTGTTGCTGTTGGTAGTTGGTGGTGGCAGTGTTGTTAGTGATGGTGAAAATGGTGGTGGTGGTAGTGGTGGTAGGAATGGAGATATACATAAACTGGGAAATAACTTAGGACCAGACTGACATTCTCTAATATGGTTACAGAATGGAGGTTGTGGACAGCCAGGGGCTAACAGGTATGTTCCTAGGAAATGTCTTTAAAAGGACAGAATTGAAAGTGTGTGTGGTGGGGGTGAGTGGAATAGCGAAGATCAACAGTTTCTTACAATTTCAACAATATTCTCTATAAGAGTGATTGTATGTCTGAAGGCTTATCCAACTGTAAAATCTTGCTGCTATCTTTCTCCATTTCTGCCCTTCAGTCAGGATGTGACCTTCAGCACATGATTTCAGCTCATTGCCTACATGTTCTCATTCCTCAAATTAAAGCATCTGCCTCACTAATAATTCTCTTAGAAAGGATGACTACTCTTGTGCTCAAAGGAGACAAAAAGGCACACACTTTCATTATCAAGATAAAATACAAAGGGACTTCTCTTTTGGAAAATCAGGCTGACAAGAACTGTGGGCTGAAGGTCCCAAGGCTGCCGCAAAGAGGAGGAACCGGGTGTCTGTGGGCTGAAGGAAGAAAAGACAGTGCAATGTTTGGAAGTCCCTTACTATTTAAGGATTAAAAGTGGGAGAGAAAAAGAGCAAACAGATTCAGAGTGGTGTTATTAAGAGATCTTGGGAAGAAGAGAAAGCTAAAGTTGCCTGTTATTTAAAAACATAAAGAACAAAGGAAGAAGTAACTGAAAAGAATGATTATTTGCATCACGACCATGCTCTTTTCAAATTGCTTTTGCAAGCACCATTATTCCTGAAAATGGCTTGCAAGTAGGATAGGTATGTAGAGAATATAAATTCAGGAACCTGAAGAAACTTGTCTAGTGGTACAGAGCTAGTTGATGGTAGAGCTTAAGTTAAAAGTCTTGGCACATTGGAAAGAGCACAGAGAGGGGTCGTTAGAGTTCTGAGGACACACTCCTGACTACCTACCTTTCAATTTCTTCACCAGAGAAGCTCACTTCTGAAGCAAGGGCAGGGTCCACCACAGACTTCTCTTCCTCGTACACTCAGAGAGCGGCATGAGGATGAAGCATCCCCTGGAAGCAGGGGTCTCACCTCCCAGCCTTCCCCAGAATGCTGCAGTAGTAGTAGAGGGGAAGAGAGACCAGGCCTCCAGACATACAACCAGAGAAGGTTGAGGGGGAAAAGAAGAAGTGGGATGAGCTGGTGTCTTCATCACTCCTTGCAGTGCAGCCAAGACTTGTCTGAAGACAAATGTTTTTCAAATAACAGAGTGGCAATAAATAACCACTTAATTTTTCTTTTTGTCATTAGTTTTTTTTTCTCCTTAACTTCAGAAGAACATTTTAGAAAACTCGTATCTTCTGCAGTGATGAAGCATTTAGCTAATTGTTAATTGTTCCTTCCTGTTAATTTTTGATTTAACACTGTTTAAACTTAAAATGATATGTTCACATGAGTTCGTTTTTATTAAATATTATCCATCTAACTTTTTCATTGAGTGACATCTGGAGTGATGTTTAATAAATTTTAATTACAATTAATGCTGGACCAGGGTACTTGGATTAATAATTTGTTTTTACTTCTCCATGTTGCTGCAATTTTTAACCGAAAAATAAAGTCATCAATATTTAAAACAAAACAGTAAGATAATCCCTAAAATAATAAGGCAAGACAGGAATGTAGCAAATTACAAGATAGAAAGCATAGGTTTTATTTAAAGGTCAATTTAGCAAAAGTAAAAAAAGGAACAAGGGGAAAATAAATAGAATGGATTTCAATTGGCAACTATGGAATGAGGTGGAGAAAACATATCTAATCATATCCATTATAAAATGAAGTTTACTGAATTGCCTTTAAAAAGATATAGGAACTTGTATTTAACTTCAAAACAAAACAAAGTGAAAAAATAAGAGGAGGTTTGTAAGAAAGTGATAAAGATTTATTGACAAGTAGAAACAAAGGAGCAGTGGTTCAATATCACCATCAGACAATGTGCTCAGGGCCATAGCCACCAAGAAGACCTGAGTCATTGATTTTACTACCTCATAATGAAATTCAAAACATTTAAATAATAAACTATTAGAGTACAGGTTCTGGAAAAATGGAGTAGATGTACTTATCCTTATTCCTTCAATAAGAAAACAAGTAAAAATCCTGGAGCCTGTACAATACAAACCTAAGAATACTCTAAAATGTAGAAAGTAGAAGGACAATTCACTGGGGACCTCAGGATGCAAAGAGTAGTGGGGTGGAGCTGGGTGGAGAAACTGGACTCCTCCCCATACGGCAGTAACAAGAAGCAGTTTGTTCCCCCAGTGGAGCGGCATCATTAGAGGCCTGCTGAAGCAAAAGGCTTAGATAAGATCCAGCGTCTTATAACATAATACCAAAAATTCCAGGTTATAATTGAAAATCACTTGTCATACCAAGAAACTGGAAGTTCTTTAAGAGACAATAGACACCAACAGTGAAAACACACAGATGTTAGAATTATCTGACCAAAATTTTTAAGCAATCATCATAAAAAAGACTTCAGTGAGCAATTGAAAACACACTTGAAACAAATTAAAAATTAAAAATCATCAGAAAAAATAGCCTCAGCAAACAGATAATATAAAGAAGAACCAAATTAAAGTTTTAGAACTGAAATATGCAGTAACTGAAATATAACCTCAATGGAGAAAGGCACAGCAGCAGAATGCAGATGACAGGGGAAACTTGGAGATAGAGCTAGAGGAATTACCCAGTCTGAACAAACACCTAAAAACATCGTGGATGAAATAAACAGAGCCTCTTCATCCTGGGATGAAAACCTAGGACCTGTGGGGCTATAAAGTAAAATACCTAATATTTGTATCATTGGAGGTCCAGAAAAAAAAGAAGCAAATGGAGCTGAAGAAGAATTTGAATAAATAATGGCTGAAATTTTCCTAAATTTGACAAAATATAAGATCCAAGAATCACAGCACACTTCAGAAAGTATAAACTCAAAGAAATCCATACCATGACACATTGTAGTAAAACTTCTTTAATGTGTACAGAGAGGGAGACTGCCTAACAATGAAGATTAATTCACCAAGAAGACATAGCAATCCTCAAAGTGTATATGCACCAAACTACAAAGCTTAAAAATATGCAAAGTAAAAACTGAGAAACAAAAGGAGAAAGTCAAATCCACAATTAATTGGATACTTCAACATCTCTCAACAATTGACAGACCAAACTGACAGAAAATCAGCACATATATAGAACTCAATAACAACATTAACCAAAAGGAACTTATGAACGTTTACAGAATACTCCACCCAACAAAATCAGAGTATACTTTCTTTTCAATAGTCTATTGATCACAGAACAAATATAGACAGTATAATGGGTCACAATAAAAAACCCTTACAAGTTAAAAAATTGAAATCATATGGAGTTTTTTGACGATCAACGTAGAAACCAATAATAGAACAGTAACAGAATAATGTCAAATAATTAGAAAGTAAACAACACACTTCTAAATAATGTATGTCTCAAAGAGGAAGTATCAAAGGCAAAAATACATGGACATAAAACAAAAGACAAGCTATAAAAATTGGGAAATCACAACTGATGCAATGCTAGTGGGAAATTTACAGTGCCAAATATTTACATGTTTTATACACCAGTCCAAGGCTTGCCAGTGGCCTGATCAAATGGCCAGGCCACTAGCGGCAACCTATGAATCTGGTAGGTTCAGAGTTCTCCACGTGCGGCAGGAACATGGACATAACTGCAGCAATTTCCATTGCAGCATGGGAGTGAAGGCTAGCAGTGGTGCACACAGACAATAAACCAATACCAATGATCAAATCCATACCAACTCCGTGGTGGGAGCTATGAAAATAGAGGTTTGTCGGGCCCCAAATGTGCCTGCCCATACCCCAGTTTGGTGACTCAAAACCAGAGAGCTGTTTCCCCTTGTCTTGGGGACAGGGTTGTGTTGACCACAGTTACCTGTGCACCAATAGCTAAAGGGCTCAAGAAGTGCAACTTTCCCATTTCCCCATTAATTCTAACCCTGACATAGGATCTCCTGTCTCCCCAGGGGACAGAGGAACATTGGGTTGATCGACACCTAGTCTTCTTCATTTCTGAAAGTAAAGAAGTTTGGGCAAAAGCAGGTGGGCACTCTGACCTGCCCCCAAGACCACAGGGATGGGCAGAAGGGACAGACCCTGCATCAGTCACGGGGGCTGCCAAAGGCCAGTTCTGGCCTCACCTGTCAGGATTTGAGCACGTGCTTTCCGAGGTGGGAAGGGGTGTGGGGAGCCAGTGGGCAGAGGACCAGGGTGTGGACAGCTGTTCCTCAGTCAGGACTGCCAGGGTGGTGCAAGACGGTCGCTCAGAAGGCCACGGTGGCGGTTGGTTGCGTTTTGTTCTCCTGGCAGAGGCTGCTGTCAGCGCACTGTGAAGGGTTTGCAGTGGTGCATCCCACATCATGCACTCTTCCTTGCTAACTTTAGCAGGATTGCCTCTGGAGGGGACTAACTCTAATGGGCAGCTGAGCAAAGTGACCAAAGGGCTCCATAGTCTATTTCTTGTGAAATTTTAACAATTTGCTGCATTAAAAGGTGTTTATAGGTTCCAGGGCCTGCTTAGAGTGACTCAACTTATAAGAGCCTCCAACAATCTTGGGTCCCATTGTCAGAGTGCCATAAGCTGTGGCTGGAAGCTGCTTCCCTAGCCTTCTCTGAACCCCTCTACTGGATCCCTGATCTGGCCCACTAGGGGAGATTAACCGGGGAACTGGGGCTAAAATACCTAACCCCCATCTCAGAGCCAAAAGGCTTATATAAACAATCTGCTGGCATCCTCCAAAAATGCCATGGCTTCTGCTAGGATGGCATGAGACCCTAAGACCCATTGGCCTGGCTGGCAAAGTGCCCCAAGGGATCCTCTAGCACCTTCCAAGACCCACTGGCAAAACAATCTGTGGGACTCTCAAACTTTCGCAAAGGATCAACCCTCTAGAGCGCCCCGTGTTCTCTACTAGAGCCTCCCAAAGCTGCCCATGGAATCCTCAGGCTTTTTGCTCTTCCAGAATGGTATTGTGCTTAACTGGCTACTCTGCTTAATGTGCCACTTTGTCAGGGGCTGAGCTGAGCTGGAGAGAGCTGAGAAGCCAGGTATCAGAGCAGCCAATTAGGACAACACACAAGTGAAATTAACAGCCAAGTGTTGGACCATGCACGGTGACAGTGTAAGCAACAGACTAAATTGGAGAAAGCACAGCTACCGCCTGTTCTATTGTCCCCAAAAGAAAGTTGCCAGTCAAGGGTGGCATCAGTTTTCTATCAGACATGAGGACTGTCTCCCTGCCAAGGGTATCCCAAACAAAAGGCTCCTGCATTTTACAGGCCTGGGGGCCTGGAGAAGAAAGAGGTGGAAGACCTAGGAGTGGAAAAGTACTTCGTACTGACTCAGAGGAGAGAATAAGTGTCCTCAAGATGCACCCTTCCTTCCCTTATAAGGAAATCTCAGCAGAAGCCCCAGAGTCAGAGGCTTCTAAGTGGAAGCAACCAGGTTAGGGATGCACACCTGTGTAAGAGCAGTGCCAGCCAGATACTCCTTGGCTGCAACTCCCTTTGGGGACTGCAATGCACTGGCATACTCCAGGCTCTGGTGTGGGGAGGGCAGGTAAAGCCTTTGTAATGGCCTGTGGTCAGGCCTGAAAAGTCACGCACAGATCATTTAACCAGGAGCTGGACTCCTCATGAGAAAAAAGCAATGTAAACCGAAAACAAGGAGAAAGAGAGAAGTAACAAGGATAGAGCAAATCAATTAAAATTAAAATTAAAACAGGAAACAACATGGAAATCAATGAATTAAAGTGCTAATTCTTAGAAAAGATCACTAAAATTGACAAGCTTATAGCAATTGAGACGATGATAAACGGAGAAAAGATACAAATTACCAACATCAGGAATGAAACAGGTGATAACTATCACAACTCACCCAATAAAATTATTTAAACAGCTCTATAACTGTCAAGACAATTGAATGTAAAATTAAAATATTTTTCAGAAAAAAAATCTATATGGTTTTATAAAACAAAATATAACAAATATTCAAACAATTAACACCAAATCTACATAAATCTCTTCTAGAAAATAAGAGATATCACTTCCCAATGTATCCTATGTAGCCAGTAGTACACTGGTAGCAAAATCAGATAAAGATTAGGGGAAAAAAAAAGGACAGAGGAAAACACACACCAATATTTCTTTTGAATTTATGTGCAAAAATCTTCAGCAAAATAATAGAAAACCTAATGAAACAATGTGAAAAAAATATAACACACCGTGACCAAGTAAGTTGAATTTCAGGGATGCAAGGCTGATTCAGCATTCAGAAATCAAACACTGTGATCCCCCATATCCACAGGCTAAAAGGAGAGCTATCCTACGATCATATCAATTCATGCACAGGAGCATTTTACAAAATCTAACACCCATTTATGATTGTAGCAACTCTCAGCAAACTGGGAATAGAGGGGAATATCCTTAATGAAGACAATCTACAGAAAAACTACAACTTGCATCATGTTTCATGGTGAAGATTAAATGCACTTTCCACATTAAATTGAGAACAAGCCAAGGATCTCTGCTATCAATCAATGAGTTAAAGTATTAGTTCTCACTGCTGCCATTCAACATAATCCTGGGAGTCCTTGCCAGCACAATATGGCAGGAAAAGGAAATAGAAGCCATGCAGTTTGGAAAAGAAAAAAATTAAATTTTCCTATTTGCACATGACCTGATAGTCTAATAGAAAATCCAAGCAATTCTAGAAACTCATGGAACTAATAAGGGAGTTCAGTAAGTTTGTAAGACACAAAGTCAAAAATATCAAAATCAACTGTAGTTTTATATACTCATGATGAACAGGTTGAAACAAATTAAAAATATAATACAGTTTATACTTGCTCAATAAAATAAATATTTAGGTATAAGTGTATCAAAACATATAGAGGACTTACAAACTGAAAAGTATAATACTGATGAAACTAATCACATAAGATTTAAAAAATGAAGAGATATCTGTGTTCATATTAATTGAAATTTATTAAAATTAAAACTTTTTAGGCTAGGTGCGGTGGCTCAAGCCTGTAAACCCAGCACTTTAGGAGGCCGAGGCGGGTGGATCACGAAGTCAGGAGATCGAGAACATCCTGGCTAACACGGTGAAACCCCATCTCTACTAAAATTACAAAAAGCCGGGCGTGGTGGTGGGCACCTGTAGTCCCAGCTACTCGGGAGGCTAAGGCAGGAGAATGGCATGAACCTGGGAGGCAGAGCTTGCAGTGAGCCGAGATTGCGCCACTGCACTCCAGCCTGGGCGACACAGCAAGACTCCGTCTCAAAAAAAAAAAATTTTTTTTTTCTTCAAACAACCCTGCTAAGAGGATGAAGACCAGCTACCAACTAAGTGAAAATATTTGCAAGCCACATATGTAGCAAAGGAGTCAGATCAAGGTTATAGGAAGAAACTCAATATTAAAGAAATAATCCAGTTAGAAAATAGGCAAAAGATATGTAGAGACATTTCACCTAAGGGGATATTCAGATGACTAATGAGCACCTGAAACGATGTCCAGTATCACTAGCCATTAAGGAAATGCAAATGAAGACCACAATAGTATACCAGTATACATCTATTAGAACAGCTGAAATAAAAAATAGTGGCAATAGTAAATACGGCTGAGGCTGTGAAGAAACTGTATTTCTCCCATATTTGTTTGAAATGTGAATTGGTACAGTCGTTCTGGAAAAAAGTGTAAGTTTGACAATATCTTTGCAAATTAAACCTACTCATTGCTGAATTAAAGAGATTAAATCAAAATTATCAAAAAATGATACTCTCTTATAAAACCATAGTAATACAATTTCCTAAAAAGAAAATCACATTCACACTGGCAGAAAGGATTACAAGCTATGTGAAAAACAAACGTCCCACTCAATGTACAAGACACTTACGAAAACAAAAAAATTGTACCAAAAATAAGAAAATATTTGAACAAACAAAAAGACAGTGTTTCTGACTGCGAAAGGTCTACATTACAAAGTCACTGGCTTTTCTCTTAACCTACACAACCCAATCCCAATCAGAACCTAAAGACACATGTTTAGTTCCAAATAATGGACTGAGACCATATATTTATGTCTCCCCCCACCTCTACACTTCACGTAAATGATAGCAAAGCAACAAGGAGATATGCGAAGGCATTGGCAGAAAAGAGAATTTAAACTCAAGCAAGAGAATTTAAACTCAAGAAGACAGGAGGTAGAAGAGGTTCACAGGTTTCAGAAGCACTGTTGCTAGGCCACTGGAGAGTGCCAGCCAGCCTTGCTCAACCCTGAGGGCTCCTGGATTCACAAGCTGTAAGTTAATGGAGGATTGGAAGATAAGTTCCTGGGAAGTGGAGAATTAAGTTCTATATATGCAGAAATGGATCCCCATCCCCACACCATTGTTAGAGGAGTTCTTGTCCTGCATCCAGGAAGAATGACAAAAGCAGACAAGTGAAGGGTGAAGAACATGAGTTTTAATGTTAGAACGACTCACAGAAATGGGTAGTTCCTCTCTGTAGGCCGGTCATCCAGTCCAGTGTTCAGCGTCTTAGCAAAGAGACCTCCCTGGAGAAAGTGACTCATCTCTGCAAGAAAGTCATTCTGACCTCTCTGCAGGTCTCTGAAGTTCTCAGCAAAAAAGGACTGCTCTGCAGCTTGTCGTCCCACCGCTGGAATCCCACTCCCATCATCTCGCCACCTTTGTCGTCCTCTTGCTGTCTTCTGCCTTGCGCTGGCTGAGCCCAGGGCTTTTATGGAACTCAAAGGGGAGGAAGTGCGTGCTGATTGGTCCACGGGCAGCCATGGGCGGGCCAGAAGAGGCACTACGAGTTCCCACTCCAGTCCGTGGGACTGGAAGCCCAGCCCCCAGCCTTCAGGCCCTCCCTGGCCTGAGGGTGGGGCATTTCTGGGGACCCCGCCCGCTTTCTGCCCAGGAATCAATCCGCCTCCTGCTGTGGTTCATGGACCCGGGGCTTGGCCCAACCCTTCTCTGAGATGGGAGTGGGTGCTGGGAGCTGAGAGAGACCAGGCAGTGGAAGCAGACATCCCTGAGCCTGCAGGGCCGGCAGCTGGGGTGGGGGGGGTGGTCCTTCCTGGGGCGCCCGAGGGTGCAGGCTGCAGAGACTCCTCAAGTCCTGCGCCTGGGAGGGCGACCGCAGCTGCCCCGCCAACTCGGAAGGGGCAAGGCTCCCGTTTGTCCCCTACTCCTGCCTGCTTCCTGGAGCCAGAGGCAGGTCTGCAGCCGCAGGCTCCACGGCTGCAGCTGCACCTGGGAGTGCAGACCCTTCCTGTTCCCAGCTCCCTCAAGAGGACAGGGAGGCTCATATCCACAGCTGCAGGTTGGGTGGCTGTAGCCCCTCCTAGGAGGGCTCCTGCTGGCTCCATAGGGGAGGAGGCCTGGGTCTGCAGCTGTGGTTTGGGCAGCTGCAGCTGCCCGGGGAGCTCCCGTCCCACCTCAGAAGGGGCGGGCTCCCACCAGCTCCATGGAGTGTGCTGACCCAGCGGCACTTCCATGCTGCAGCTGGCATGACCGCGGCAGCCACTGCCGTAAGCATCATCCACAAGCAACACAGACACTCCAGAGTCTCAGCAGTCAGACTCATTCTCTGCAGGCAGAAAGGCAGAGAGTTCTAAAGGATTTGAACCTGAAGGAGAACTGGAGTGCCTGATGCAGTCATTAGAAGACTGCAAACAAGCATTCAATCCCCTGGCCCTGCCTTCTCCTCCACTCAGTAAGGCTGTCTGGGACCTCACCAGCTCATTCCTACCTAAAAACCTCTAGTAGACAATCTCTAGCCATGGGTGCTCAACCATGCTTATCATGGCACCCCTCTTAAACATGAATTTAAGCATAATGACCAAGGAAACCAGACATTTAAGGAAAGACCACTGAGGGACTCCAAGGGCTAGAACTGTGGTTGCACATAGAAGACATTCAATAAATATTTGCTGAATGAATGACTGGCCACGAGAGAAGTAACAAAGACTCACAATGGAGGGAACAGATAATTCCGGAAATGAAAGATATGTTAACATCTTTAAAAAAATAAAAACTCTAGTATCCTTGGTGAAATTTAAAACTGTAATGTCTGATAAAGCAGAAACAGGCTACCAAAAGAAAAAGACAGTAGTGAGAGGAGCTCTTAAAAATTAAAAAAATGCAATCTTCCACCCCCCCAAAAAAGAGTTGAAAGATAAAATGAAGGAGAGTGAGAAAAATATTGAACAAATGACAAGGAGACAAAATGCATTACAAAAGGCCAAATTGAGGAGGCACTAAGGGCACATAGTCCATTTTTTCTGGTGGTGTTCTTGAGTTGTTGGGGAGTGTGCTCAACAGCATGGCCCTATCCACATTCTGGAGAGGGCACACGCATGCACACACACAACACACGTGCACTGCACACATACATGCACATGTGCACACACATGTTCCTGCACACACATAAGGCCTGCACACACATGCATTGCACTGGCAACACCCCCATCTGGCTGCTTTCTCTTGCCCTCACTGTTGAGCACCAGATTCCTACACTCCCATGATCTCAAATTCACCCCGGGGTGGTCTCCCAGTAACCCGGCCACAGCACATGCACACCAATTGTGTGTGTGGAGGTGCTACCAGTGGCCAGCGAGCACATGCAGATGTGCCCAGCACACAGCTGCTCCTGCCTCACGTGATTCAAAAATTAATTACAGATGTAGTTAATCTAGATGAGGTCACACTGGAGTAGGGTAGTCCCTAGTCCTATTGGCTTAGATGTCCTTATAGAAAGGGGGGATTTTGGACCCAGGCACACATAAAGGAGAAGATTATGTAGAGTGCAGTTGTGCTGCCACAGGCCAAGCAACTACCAGAAGCTTAGGAGGAGGTCTGATCAAATGTGACAAAATGTGACAAAAATGGTGTATCACTGATTTAAGAAGCTTGATGTCTGCAGCCAGTTTTTAGTTGAAATTTAGGTGATCTTATTCAACCCCCAAAACAGCATTCCTAATGCACTTCCATCTTCCCTTAAACATCTTTGTATTTAGTCCAAGCCCAGGATCACTCAGGGTCCAAGGGACAGCTGCCATGTTTCTGGATTTCCATGTGAAAAAACATGTATTTTGACCCTTTGACCATTATTAGAAATTAATTTGAAATATATTATAGAGCTACATGTGAGAGTTAAAGCAATAAATTTCTAGAGGAAGAAATTTTTTAAATGTCTTCATAGTCTTGGGGAAGGAGAAGATTTCTTAGAAAAGATGCAAAACATTCTAACCAAAAATTAAAATCAAATAAAACTGACTTCATCAAAATTTAAAATTATGCTTACCAAATACATTAAGGAAGTAAAAAGACATGTTTAGACTGAGAGAAAATATTTGCAATAAATGCAACTAATGAAACAGAGTATATTAAAATCACATAAATCAATGAAAACACAAAACTGAATTAAAAATTAGAAAAGCATTTGAACAGATACTTCACAAAACAACATGTCCATAGGACCAATAAATGTATGATTAGGTGATTACATTCATTATTTATCAGGAAAATGCAAATGACCAAAATAAAAAATATGGACAGTCTAAATGTTATCAAGAGTGGAGCTTTTGGGATTGTACAACGACTTTGGAAAATGACAGTTTCTAACAAAAACCAGTTCTTACCCTATGTCACAGCAACTCTCCTTCTAGCTATACTCCTGTAGTAGTCTGCTAGGGCTGCCACGGCAAAGTACCACAGACTGGGAGGCTTAAACAGAAACTTATTGTCTCACAGTCCTGGAGGCCACAAGTTGAAGATCAAGGTGATGTCAAGGCCATCCTCCTTCCTGACCTCTTCCTAAGCTTCTAGTAGTTCTTTGGCCTGTGGCAGGACAACTGCAATCTAAATAATATTCTCTTTTATGTGTGTGTGTGTCCAAAATCCCCCCTTTCTATAAGGACATCCAATCCAATAGGATTAGGGACTACCCTACTCCAATATGACCTCATCTAAATTAATTACATCTGTAAGGACCCTATTCCCAAATAAGGTTACATTCTGAGATAGTAGGGGTTAGGACTTCAAAATATGAACACTTTGGGAGACACAATTCAAGCTGTAACAGTACTCAACAGAAAGGAGTGGGTATTGTCCACCAAAAGTCACAGGCAAAAATGTTAATGGCTATTTAATTCATAGTAGTCAAAACTGAAAATAAACCAAATGCACAACCAAGAGAGAATGGGTCAACAATATGTCATATATTCATACAATGGAGTACCATATGGCAATGAAAACAAAGCAAAATGATTACTACGCTCAACAACACAGATAATGCTCAGAAACATATTGAGCCAAATAAGCAGACACAATAGTGTATGCACACTGATTCCCTTTATATAAAGTTTATACGAACTACAAATGCTTATATCTGTGAATCCATGAGGACAGAAGTCGGAGGAGTGAAGAAGTGTTATGGTGAAGGTGGGAGTGAGGGAGTGGGTATTGACCAGGAGGGGGTGTGATAAAATTTCCTAGGGAGATGAAATGTTTCATGTCTTCATTTGAGGACTGGCCACTCAGGAATACATGTAAAATTGATCAAGATGTACAATATGTACAAGATATAAAATATGTGTGTTTTACTGTGTATATTATGTCTAGGAAAGACTGTAAGAAAAATAATAAAAACATACTGTTGATTAGTAGGTTTCAATGCAAAGCCTTTGCCTTTTCTGTACAATTTCATTAAAATGTTGACAAAAAAATGGTTCATTAGAAGGATGCTTAATAAAATCTACCCTGCAGGGGCTGATTAATCCATAGCTTCCAGGTCTAGCCAGCATAAGGCCAGGGACACATTCTCTTATGTGCTCATGCTGCAGCCTCTGAACAAATAAAACCTAGTGATGACTGGTTAGCTGTATCATCTCTCAAGGATCCACTTTCATCTGAAGCTTATGTATACCACATGAGTAGGGTTCTCTAGAGAAGCAGAACCTACATATCTATATCTATTAATATACATATAGGTGTGTATGTGTGTATATATATAGGTAGTATATATATATGTGTATGTATATATATACACACATTCACATACATACATACATATATATGAGGAAATTTATTGTAGGAATTTGCTCATGTGGTTATGGAAGCTGAGAAATTCCATGGTCTGCCATCTGCAAGCTGAATAACCAGATAAGCTGGTGGTGTAATTTAGTCCACACCAGAAGGCCTGAGAATCAGGGGTCAACAGTTTAAGTCTTCTTCTGAGTCCACAAGCTGGAGAACCAGTTTTGATCCCCCAGGACAGGAGCAGGTGGATGTCCTAAATCAAGAAAAGAGAGAGCAAATTCGCCCTTCTTCCTCCTTTTTGTTCTATCCTAGCTCTCAATACATTGAAAGGTGTTAACCCACACTGGGGAGGACAGATCTCTTTTACTGACTCTGCTGATTCAAATGTGAATCTCTTTCAGAAACACCTTCACAGATATACCCAGCAATAACATTTTACCAGCTATCGGGGAATCCCGTGACCCAGTCAAGTAGACATATAAAATTAACCATCACTGTAAGCAAAGAGAAGAGGGAGACAGAGGAAATTGAAGGCAAAGATTGGTATGGATATCCCCGTGTTGATGCACAGGAGATAGTCCATTCTCCGAGCAGGAGGCAAGCCCTCCTGCTGAGGCAGCTGACATCTGTCAGTTTTTCAGGAAATCACATGTTAGGGCTCTGGCTTGAGTCAAGACCATCTGCAGTATTGACAGAAGAGTGAAATAATGGACCTTAATATTGAAAATACTTGAATTTCTCTCCCAAAATTTATTACTCTTCTCTGTTTTCTGTTTGAGAAAATAAAAGTATGGCTATCCATTTTCTAAAGAGTACATTCATGGCACACATAGAATCATTTTTCATAAAGGATTAAGAGAAATAATAACACATACCCAGAAAATCGGATTGCTTGAGATGCGTATGTGATTTTCAACGTGAATAATGCACAGTTACATTCTGAAGAGGGATTGTGGAGGCCCCTTAGATAAGCCAGTCAGTAGGAGATGCAACCTCAGGTCCCCATCCCGCGTGAGACAAAGGGGCTATTTAGAAGCAATCTGGTACAATGTTGGCTGTTAGCAGGTTCTTTCTTGAGGGGTGCTATGCAGCCCAGGTGCCTCTGATTGAGGATGAGCCTGTGACTGCCCTGACTGGTAAGTCCAGGTTCAGTTGTCATGATGTTGGAGGACCCTCTGTCCCTCAGAGCCAAAATCACCCGCTCCTGGGTCCTAGTTAAGACCCCTGATGCTAGTGCCTCTTTGTTGTGATGATGCTGGTTCTACCCTTTGCCTCTCCTCACCCGCAAACACATTCTCCAGCCCCCTCTTCCTGCTCTGCATCTCCACAAGCTGATACACAGAAACTGTGTCATCTGGGCTTCTTGCCCACTGGTTCCAAGTGGATTCAGCCATGGACAGCAGCAACGGGAGACTGGTGGGCAGGAGGAGAAAGAGCTCCAAGTATCTTTTCTATTTACTCCCTGCCTGGCTGCTGCATCTTGGGTAGTAGCCCTGTACTTCCCTTTGCTTGCAACAGCCTGTCCTCCACTTGTTCAACCCTCCCTGTGGAAGAGCTGACACTCATCAGGATCCCAGACAGTCCTGGGCCCCTGAGCATTCCATTAAGCCACCTTCTCATGCCTCCGGACTAGTAGCAACCCAATTCTCCCCCACTTCTCTAGCTACCTGGGGCTTCACTTCTTCATAATATTTTTACTCTCCCAGTTTAAAGATAAGTCAATTATTTACCACTGAAACAAGAAATGCCATAGAAGCTGAGTTATTCAGATTTCACTTTTTCTTCAGCTAATATACCCCCAGGCCCCATAAAAAAAATCTGAACCATTCACTTGTTCACTACCTGTTTCCCCTCATTTTCCCTCATTCAAGGGTAGGCTCCACAGGATAAGGAAAGTTTATTTCATTCCCTATTGTATCTCCAGGACCTAGAACAACAATGCATAGCACAAAGTAAACAATCAACACATATTTGTAGAATAAATAGATGAATGAATAAGTGAATGAGAGTATAAATGAATAAGACAGCATCAAATATTTTAGGCCTATTCTGCTAGTGACACAGGAAGTAAGTCCACTCCCTTTTACTAAAATTATGGTTACATGAAAAACTAATTAAAATGCAAGGCAGAAATAATAAATGTAGAAGCAATGAGGGAAACAGAAAATCACCATCAGAACAGCACAGTAATAATTGCTCCGGGCAATTGATGCGTGCTAAAATTAGTGGGTGGAACTTTGAGGAGAAACAGGAATTTGCATAGCCTCAAAGTATTTTCTGCAAAATATTTAATTACTGTGCTGGCTTTAACATATGTTCAGAAATCCTTTGATATTACTCCTTCTAGAAGATGTAGCTTAATTCACTTCCCATTGAGTGTGGGCTGACTATAGTGAATTGCTACTAATAGAGTGGGGTTTCTTGGCCTCAGCACAGTTCTCTGTTGCAGGGATGCCCTTTGCAGGGTTTAAGATGACAGCAGCATCTCCAGCCTCTACCTGCTAGATCCCAAGAGCAACCTCACTCCCATCTGTGACAACGAAGCATGTCTCCCCTGAATATCCTCTGGGGAACAAACCACCCTTCGTTGAGAGCCACTGAAATAGAGGGTGGAAAAGGACACAGAATAACTTCCAAGTAGAAAATCCTAGGCCAGGCACAGTGGCTCATGCCTGTAATCTTAGCACTCTGGAAGGGCGAGGCAGGAGAATCACTTGAGTATAGGAGTTCAAGACCAGCCTGAGTGAGACATCTTCTCTATAAAAAAAAGTTTTTTAAAAAATTAGCTGGGCATGGTGGTGCACACCTATAGTCTCAGCTACTCAGGAGGCTCACCTGAAGCTCAGGAGGCAGAGGTTGCAGTGAGCCGAGATTGCATCGCTGCACTGCAATCTGGATGACAGAGTGAGAACCTGTCTCAAAAAAGAAAAGAAAAGAAAAAAGAAAAGAAGGAAGGAAGGAGAAAAAAGGAAAGAAAGAAAAAAGTAAAGAAAATCTTGACTAAAATCTCCTTAACCAAAGGATAAACATACACATCATAGTGGAAACCAGGTTAACTTCATGTACCCCGCGATGTGATAGGATGAGGATAGTACACAGCCCAATCATGAGAAGCATCAGATAAACCCACATCCAGGTGCATTCTACAGCTAGATCTCTGACCACTGCTGCTCTTCAAATGTGGCAAGGTCATAAAATACAAGGGAAAACACGGAAACAGTCACAGATTGGAAGAGACTAAGGAGACACAATGAGTGAGTGCAACATGGTATTCTGGAGTGGATCATTTCACAGAATGGAAAAATAAACATTAGGGCAAAAAATATGAAAAACATCTAGAATTTAGTTCATGGTGTTATGCTGATGTTAATTTATTAGTTTTGATAAATGTTCTATGGTTATGTAAGATGCTAATGTAAGGGAAGGAAGGTGAAGGAAGACAGGAACTCTCTGTATTATCCTCACAACCCTTCTGTCAACCTAAAATTAATTCAAATAAAGTTAAACAGTGCAAAATGTGAGGTAGAGAGTACTAACCACAAACGAATGATAGAGAACACCTTTCAATCTTTCTGCAAATACACTCCTTGCCTCATTATCCATTTGCTGACCCTACCTTCTACCACTACAAATATATAATTCAGCTTATACTTTGAGTGACTTCTGGTTATATATTTTACTCCAGTTCCATGGCAGCCTCATTCACTAGGTAAACAAGATGATAAAATCTCTAGGCCTCGGGCTAAAAGAAATAGCTTGGGCAAAGTTTCCTCTAACCCAACACAATTGATGGAAATCTCTTGGAAGTAAATTGCTTCCATTTATCCCAAATCTCATTGTCTTCTGAATGTCTAGCTGATGCTCCAGGCTCTTTGAGAATAGTGCCTCATTTGGAGGAATGGGGCTTCTGTTGCTTCGAATCTTTTCTTCAGTAATTCATTTATAGACACGCACAATGGGGTCTCCTAAGTTACGAGGGGTGCCCTTCTAACTAGAGAGCTATCTGGCCCATAGTTGGAAATGCAGAAATGTCTCACTAAGGCCAGGCATAGGTGAAATGCAGTATAGCTTCAGTGGAGGCAAGGGCAGTGCATAATAAGACTGTGATAGTTTTGACAGGAAAAAAAATACATTGACCAGAATTCCAAAGCCTCCACTTGGTTCCCATGGAATTGAGCCCCTGGAGGCAACTTCCAGGCCTGCTTCTCCAGCCCTCTGCACTGGACCAAGCAGGGGGCCTGTGGAACCTGACATCCAATGAATTTAGGTCTATCCTGGAAGAAAGATTGAATAACGTGCTCATAGACTACCTGCGTACCTTGCCCCAGCACAGTGGCTGCCGAGAGGGAATAGAGTGTGGCTGTACTACACTTCACTGAAGAGAGTCGGTGTCTACCCAAGAGGCGTGAACCTTTCTCCTAGGAGATGGGGTAGGTGTGTAGCCAAAAATATATCTAAGAGAACAACTCCTAATTTATAACACTGTGATGATAACATCAGTCATCCTGTCTGACAATATTCAACAAAAAGGTTATTAGGAACTGTGGATGGAGTCATGAAACCATCAATCCAATGGAGGCTGACCCATCAGCTCTAACCAAATATGGTGAGCCTCATGCTATAAGGAGACCTGCGATGTCAGTCCGGCTAATCTGGGTATGCAAATGCTTAGAATATGCATTTTCCCAACTATAAAGTACTACTGATTTTTTTTATAAAAGAAAAAGATACATTTAAAATAAAATAACAATACAATCCTAAAACTCTAAGCATGAAACAGACCCCTGACAGAAGCCATTAAAGAAAAAGGTGGCAAGATTTGACTTCATAAATATTAAAATTTTTAATACTGCAAAAGTCATCATATAAATGGATTAGTGACAACCTGGGAGAAAATATTGTCAATACATGTGGTGAACAAGGAATTAATATGCATGGTGTATAGGGAATGCCTATATAACACCAAACAAAAAAAATAGGGGTATTGATAGTGGCTATGAATAGACAAATTACATATATAAAACCACAAATGGCCAATAAATAGTTGAAAATATAATACAATTTTATGAATAATTTTAAAATAAAAATTTAAACCAGAGTGATATATTTTATTTATCTGATCAGATGGACAACAATTTAAAAGAATATTGATATCAATTCAGTACTGGAAGAAAAATTGGAGCTACCACCTCTTCTTGGCAGAAGTGCAAATTAGTATAAATTGTTATAGTTTGAACGGAAGTAAATTCATATAAATATCTTAAAAGACAATTTGCCAAATTTACCAAATTTTAAAATTTGCATGGCTTTTACATCCAGAAGTTCCTCTTATAGCAAGCATCCTTATACATAGATACATTTACAAAAACATGCCCAAATGGTTTTAACACCAACCTCCCAAAAAGCGATGAGACTTAACAAATAACCCAACTAGAAAATGGGCAAAGAACCAAACAGATATTTATCAAAAGATGACATAAAAATAACCAACATGCACATGAAGAAATGTTCAACATCACTCATCTTCAGGGAAATGCAAATCAAAACTGCAATGAAATAACACCCCATACCCATTATAACAGTGATCATCAAAAAGACAGAACATAAGTGTTGGTGAGGATGTGGGGAAGAAAAACACTGGAACACTTCTGGCAGGAATGTAAATTCGTGTAGCCATAAATGGAAAACCATATGGCGGTTCCTCAAAATATTAAGAATCAAACGACCATATGATCCAACAGTCCCACTCCTGTGTTTATATCTAAAGGAAATAAAATCAAGATCTCAAAGAGGTGTCTGCATTCCCATGTTCACTGCAGCACTATTCACAATAGCCCAGGACATGAAATCCACCTAAGTGCTCACCAGTAGATTCATGGAGAAAGAAAACATGGTATATGCAAAATTCGACAACATTCAACCTTAAAAAAGAAGAAAATCATGTCATTTGTGACAACATGGATGGACTTAGAGGACATTATACTGGATGAAATAAGCCAGGCACATGAAGACAAATACCGCATGATCTCACTTACATGTGGAATCTAAGAAAGTGGAACTCATAGGAGCAAAGAGTAGAATGGTGGTTACCAGTGACTGGGGAGAGGTGGGGTGGAGATTCAGGAGATGCTGGCCTTAGGACACAAAATATCAGTTAGACAGGGGAGATAAGTTCAAGAAATCTATTGTACAACATGATGACTATAGTTAATAACAATGTATTGTATTGAGAGGTGAAGCCAGTTGGACTTCCTGGGTTGAGTGGGGACTTGGAGAACTTTTTTGTCTTACAAGAGGATTGTAAAATGCACCAATCAGAGCTTTGTAAAAACACACCAATCAGTACTCTGTAAAACGCACCAATCAGTGCTCTGTAAAATGCACCAATCAGCACTCTGTAAAATGCACCAATCAGCAGGATTCTAAAAGTAGCCAATCGGGGGGAGGATTGAAAAAAGGGCATTCTTATAGGACAGAAATAGAACAGGGGAGGGGACAAATGAGGCAATAAAAGCTGGCCACCCCAGCCAGCAGCTGCAACCTGCTTGGGTCAGTTTCCAAGCTGTAGAAGCTTTGATCTTTTGCTCTTCACAATAAATCATGCTGCTGCTCACTCTCTGGGCAGTGCCGCCTTTAAGAGCTGTAACACTCACCAGGAAGGTCTTCAAGGCCTGTGGCTTTATTCTTGAAGTTAGCCAGACCACGAACCCACTGGCAGGAGCCAACTCCGGACACAGTATGTCTGAAATTTATTAAGAGTAGATTTTAACGCTCTTGCCACAAAACAATAAGCATGTGAGGTCATGAATATGTCAACTGCTGTATTTAGCTGTTCTACAGTGTGCACATATATAAAAACATCACGTTGTATTCCCGAAATATATACGGGTTTTCTTTGTCAATTTATGAAAACGAATTATTTTTTCAAATGTGCATAAAAAATTTGGGACAATACTTGATGATTTGTGAATATTTAATAATGTCAACTATTATTTTTACAAAGCGTTTTAGTAGTAAATATAGTAGTCAATAGCATTTAAAACTACCCAAATATTCCTTATAGGAAAATTCTTAAATAAAATATATCATATCTATATTGGCAAATGATTGTTGATCAATAGGTATTTGTTGAAAGAATGCTTAATTCTGGTTGGTTTGGATGAAACTGCTTTATAGTGTGGTTTTCCACGCATGCTGGCTGGTTGAGAACATCATCTGTCTTGGTTTGAGAAGACGCATCTCTCTGTCCTGTCAGATGGGAGCCGCAAGATGGGTTCACAAGGGGATCAAACTGAAGGCTGTCTTCCAAGTGGGGGGACTCCTCTGACCTCAGGGTGTTACCAACCGCGTGAGCCACAGTCCTGACTCTCCAAACCCACATATATCACCCTGATGTTCCTTAGAGCAATTGCTGTCTCTTGTCCCTTGATCCTCTAGAGGATGGCAGCTGCCCTGTTCCACACCCTGAGGACTGTGGTAGCTGCTGACTCTGAGCCACAACCTAGCACTGCTGTAGCAGTTGCTGTGTGCTCATGTTATGAAATGCAGGCTCTTATGCATGCTTCACTCCATGTAGGATCTGGTTTGTTTCCACTTTTAGTAATTCTCACTCACCTGTGGTATGCTTTTCGTTCTCCAAAGCTATCTGATTCGATGATTTCATGTGCTGGGGAAGGTGGAGGGCAAGATTCCTGAAGGCTGGCTGAGTGCATTCTAGGGCATCAGGACAGGACTGGGTCTTTGGACAATTTCACATTTCAATTTTTCTATCTCTGGTGATAGTAGTGGTTATTAAAGTTTCTGGTCCAGGAACCCTTAGGGGTTCCCAAAATCCTTTGAATAACTCCATGAGTTCAAAATCATTTTCATAGCAATGCCAAAGTATTGTGTCTTTTTTAATGTTACCATAGCTGTAGAGCAGGGTTTTCCAGAGATTACGAAACATGTGCTATCACAATGGAGTGCACACAGGCAAACCAGGTAGAGTTGATTTGTCTTCCATTAAGCCGGACGTTAAGGAGATTTGCAGCCTGTCATGGTGGCTCACGCCTGTGATCCCAGCACTTTGGGAGGCCGAGGCGGGCGGATCACGAGGTCAGGAGATTGAGACCATCCTGGCCAACATGGTGAAACCTTGTCTCTACTAAAATACAAAAAATTAGCTGGGCGTGGTGGCGCACACCTGTAGTCCCAGATACTTGGGAGGCTGAGGTAGGGGAATGGCTTGAACCCAGGAGGCAGAGGTTGCAGTGAGCCAAGATCACGTCACTGCACTCCAGCCTGGCAACAAAGACTCCGTCTAAAAAAAAAAAAAAAGAAAAAAATTTGCAAAAGGGTAAAGGAATGTCCGTTTTCTCACTAGTTTCTTTTTTTAATAAAATATAGCTAATTTTTTAATAAAACATAATTTGTTACTGTCAACTGGTTATTTTTAAATAAATAATGAATATATTAATACATCTCCGTTTAAATTTCTAATACTGAAAACATTGATAGACAAGATCTTAGGAGTGCTCAGTAATATTAAGAGTCTGAAGGAAATCTGCTACCGAAACTTTTGAGAAGCACTGCTCAGTAGGATCATGTTCTGACCCTCCCTTGGGAGTAGGCTGGCAAAGGGCAGGGGCCTAAGAGCCCAGGGTTACCGGATCTATGCTTCTCCAGTCCAGCCTCCTGCAGGCTGTCAGACTCTAGGCTGTGTCTCCCGTGATCTGTGGTCGCCTCCTGCAGGCTTCCCGCCTTGGTTGACACAGGCCCCGAGAGCCTCATGAGTACTGGTAAAGTAGGATGTCACTCTCCTCTGCTTCACATTCTGTCAAAGATTCCTGCGCTCCAGCTTGTTAATCTTTTCCCTAGTGAAGCAACTGTGGTTTTACTGCTCAACTAGTTAGTTCTACTTGAGATCTAAAGAGGAAAATAAAACACATCTAACAACATGACTGATTTTAGTAATTTTGGAAAACTCCTCATCTACTACCCCCCCGCACACACACAATCACATCTTCCTAATGATGCTTTTCAGTCTTTAGTTTTCAAGATTATTAATTATTTATTTTATAAAGTAATATGTGTTTTAATTTAAAATTATAGGTAGGATAAGAATATAATAACTTAAAACTACAAACATTCCTATAAAGATAGTTTGTATAAAATCTTGGTTCATTTCTTTTTTTTTTTTTTTGAGATGGAATCTCGCTCTGTCGCCCAGGCTGGAGTGCAGTGGCGCGATCTGGGTTCACTGCAAGCTGCACCTCCCGGGTTCACGCCAATTCTCCTGCCTCAGCCTCCCGAGTAGCTGGGACTACAGGCGCCCGCCACCACATCTGGCTAATTTTTTGTATTTTTAGTAGACACAGGGTTTCACCATGTTAGCCAGGATGGTCTTGATTTCCTAACCTCGTGATCCACCCACCTCGGCCTCCCAAAGTGCTGGGATTACAGTGGTTCATTTCTTTATACATACCTTCTTTTTTTAAATTTCATAAAACCAGTAATGTGTTTTCATTATGTTGCGGTTGTTTGATGACACGTGATTTCACGGGATCTATGTAGTTGCATCATAGCTTCCATCCTGGGGCACTTTTGTTACATCTGTTTGTTTTCCTATCATGAGTACAAAAAATCCTTATATTTTAACCTTTCTTCCAAACTGTGATTATTTCCTTAGTACAAATTCCAAAATATTGGCCTATAAAGTACAAAAACTGTTAAAGTTCTTCCATTTTCAGCCAAGTTCTTTCCCAGAAACATTATACCAACTCCTACTCCTTCCAGCAGCCTATGAGAAAAGCCGTCTCATGGACCTACTCAGAATTAAATAGTTTGATTTGAAAATCCAATTTGGCAGATGTATTTCACTGTTGTTTAAAATTGCAATCCTTGATTACTAGTGTGATTGAACATTTCCCCCAGTGACCTTCCTGGGCAGGTTTTTTGTCTGGTGTATGTATTGTGATCATTCTGCCTATAAACTTTAGCTTGATTTCACTTGTCATTTTTTCCATGTTATTGATGCCTCTTTGTAAACATACATTTTAATTGCTGGGTGACACAGCATTAAATGCATATTCCACATTTACCGAATCATTTCCTAACACGGTACATTTAGGTCTGAGCTGTGCTGCTATGTCTGTCTGTATTAGTTGTCAAGGGCTTCAGTCAAAAAGTGCCACAGACTGGGCGGCTTAAACAACAGAAATGCATTATCTTACAGTTCTGGAGGCTAGAAGAACAAAATCAAGGTGTTAGCGGGATTGCTTCCTTCTAAGGGCTGGGAGGGTGTGCCCTAGGCCTTTCTCCTCTGTGCATGGCTGTCTTCTTTCTGCATTTCTTCATTTCACCTTCTTCCTCTGGTTGTCTGCGTGTCCAAATTCCCCCGCCCCCACCCCCCGCTTTTTTTTGAGATGTAGTCTCGTTCTGTCGCCAGGTTGGAGTGCAATGGCGCGATCTCGGCTCACTGCAGCCTCCGACTCCCTGGTTGAAGCAATTCTCCTGCCTCAGCCTCCCAAGTAGCTGGGATTACAGGCATGCACCACCACGCCCAGCTAATTTTTGTATTTTTCAACATGTTGGCCAGGATGGTCTCAATCTGCTGACTTCGTGATCCGCCCGCCTCGGCCTCCCAGAGTGCTGGGATTACAGGCATGAGCCACCGCCCAGGCCCAAATTCCCCATTTTTATAAGGACAGCAGTCATAATGGCTTAGGGCCCATCCTAAAGGTCTAATTTTTACTTGATTATCTTTGTAAAGGTCCTATCACTAAATAAAGTCACATCCTGAGGTACTGGGGACATCAATATATGAATTTTGGAGGGACACGATTCAACCCATAACACTCTTCGAGCTTAAAATTTGTCTGGATTTGTAACTATTTTCTAAGATTAAATTCTCTGGAGTAAAGATAATGACTCTAAACTTTTGTGATGCATACTGTCGAAGTGATAGGGAAATAACCTCTTATTGACAATTAGCAATGAGATGTAATAAGAAACATCTTGAGTCCCCTGGTAAGAATAGGATCTTTAATACAAACTGAAGGTAGGGACTAAGAGTCACACTCCTTCCTGGAGTCATGCCCTATAGGGTGGGGGGGGGGGCGGGGCATGAGGCTTTCACTTGCAGAAGGATTGGGAGAGGAACCCTGGAGGAGACCCCGGGTAAGGAGACACCACTGCCACAGGCTCTACTCACCCCTGCGCCAGGGAGGCCTCCTGCCGGGACTGGAAGTCTGCTAAGAATTTCTCCCAATAGGCCATGGCTTGTCCTCCCTGGGAGCCATGGAGAGTGGCACTTCCTCAGGGGCTGGAGAAGTGGGCCTGGGCGGGTTCTGGCAGGGAAACAGAACCTCCCAATGAAGCATCCCCACTGATGACAAAGACCATCTCTGAGGGACCCTCCACTGTCCGTTTCACCCCAGAGGTCTGCCCTGCGTCTCACTCTGTTCACATCTATTTTCCACCGGACAGACTCTAATTAAGAAACAATTCAGAATAATTAGAAGCCAGTAATGAATAAAAGGTAATGAGACATTCGATCTGCCAGTATTTTAACAAGAGCTATGCCTTTGCTAATTAGGAAGTAAAACACCCTCATGCACTCGAGGCTGACCCGCAGTGTGCCAGTTTCTGTGGCACAGACGTGTGCCTGCAGAGACGGCAGCCGAGGGCATCAGCAAAGTGAGGCTGGATGCCCTGTCCCACTCCACAGAGAGTGATGGCCAGGACCGCAAGGCTGCAGGGGCCAAGGAAAGACACAGGCAGTGCTGACGGCCTCAGGTCGCCAAGCCCTTTCTGAGTGGCAGTCACTGTGCAGTGGCTTTAAATAGACGCTCCCATTTAATCCTCGAACAAACTGGAAGGTACAGACTGTTCCCCTCTATTTAAAAATAAAGAAACTGGCTTCTGGTGGGAACTCAACCAGTGAAGGGAAGAGCTATTATTAATAATTCAAGTCTGTCTCGTTTCAAAACCTGGGATTTTCCACTTTTTGTAACGGCCTTGGAAATCTTGAGACAATTAATCAATTGCTTTAGGCAAATTCCTGCTGGTGTTCTGTTTCCTTCCTAATTAATGTTGGAATAATTGAGATGGGCAGCTCAGCCTTACTTCTAGTGTGACTGTTCTGTCAAGTCAGCTGCAATGGCCCTGATGAGATTTTCCCCATTTTTGAAGAAAAAGTGGAAACAGTAAATTAGCCTCATTTCAGCAGACGCCTCCAGGAGGTGTCTTCCTCAGCCCACCAGGATGAATGCATTTGCTTAAAATGGTTGTGACTAAACTTCTCATCACAGCTCCAACAAGGAAAAAGCTTGGAAGCCATTACATTAGTCCTTACGACAGGAAAAGGTTGGACAAGGTGAAAATCAGCAACTTTCTGGGGTCCAGGAGAGGCCTGAGGTCCAGGGCACATCTTCACCCTGAAATCTGTGGGGTCAGACACATCTAGAGTGATATCACACCTGAGCTTCTGCACCACGACCAGAAGTCACTGGAACCATAACTTGATGGAAACATTTATCTACCTGTAATGTTTGATAAATTGCTGGAGGCCAAGTACAGATTAGCATGATAATGAGAAAATTCTGAAGGGTCTCTTCCCCACTGTCATTGGTTGGGGGGGACATTTCACAGGCTTTCTTTCCAGTTACCCCCACCAAGTTTCTCATGGTGAGGCTCTCAGAAAGATGCCCTGATGGCCTTGGCAGGGGCAGGAGACGAATGGCCCTGGTATGACCCTCCCAGGCCCTTCTCCCTAACAGAAGCCCACTCTCCAGGGGCAGGACATCCCCAGAGGGCAACACAGTAACCTCACCTCAGCAAGGGGTTGGGGAATACTGCCTTTCCCCAGACCCCTCCAGCTTTTCTGTCTCACCTAAAGGAAAACATTAAAGAATGTGGTCAATAGGGAACATGAATCCAAGGATATGGATCGGAAATGGAGGAACCGAGACTTTTGTGAAGACCACAGCATGAGGAAGGCCCTGCACCTCACCACCACAAAAACAAGCTTCCAGTATAAAGACCGGCCTGTGGCTGAAAGAGTCAAAACACAGTCTCTCTGAGGAGCAGTGCAAAAGGAAGCCCCCGAGCCAAGAAGAGATGTAAACCAAGACACCGAAGGAATCTGCAGCCTTGGCACCTACAAACAGCCCACATTAGACATGCCCAACTTCAGCTGGATTCACATAAGTTCTCACACAAAAGGCCTTTAACCTCAGTTCCTGTAACCTAATACATCATGTCTAGCTTTTGACATAAAATTGCAAGGAGGGCTAAAAGGCAAGAGAAAACACAGTCTGAAGAGACAAAGCTATCATTAGACCCAGACTCATGTAGGACACAGCTGGTAGGATTATCAGACAGGGAATCTAAAATAACTATGACAACTATGGTAAGGACTCTAATAAAATAATGTGCACAATGTGCAAGACCAGATGGGTGACGCTAACAGAGAGAAAGAAATGAAAGAAATGGAATCCAAGGGAAATGGTAGAAGTAAAAATCATTGTAGTGAAAATGAAAAATGTCTTTGATGGGCTCATTGAGGAGACTTTATGCAGCTAAGGAGGAGTCACTGAACTTGAAGGTAGCTCAAGAGAAACTTCTCAAACCAAAACACAAGGAGGGAGGATGAAAAACACAGAACAGAATGTCCTGGGACAATTTCAAAAGGCATGCCTATACTTAATAGGAATGAGAGAACAAGAAGAAAGAGAGGATAGAGCAGAAGGAATATTTGCAGTGCTCATAGCCAAGAAATTTCAGAAATTACTGAGAGACATTTAAAGACTGAGACTTACTCAGACTATTAATCTATAACATAGAGATTAGCCATGGAACAAGAAGGAAAAGGGCAGAAGTTTTGGATGACTGTTTCTTTGAAGCCTCAAGTCCCTTCAGATGTGTTCCATGGCCTTCCCACCTACAAAGGCTCTGAATCAGGGTTACTGCATCCTCCACCTGGTTGGCTTCCTCATCGAGGAAACCTCCCTTTGAAAAAGCCTTTTCTACCTGGCCCATACCTGCCCAGCTTCCATGAGCTTCAGGCGGCCTCTGGCCTGACCCCTCTGTCAGACCAGCTATAGGCAGTTCTGAAGATGGACATCTCTACTGGCCAAAGCTCCATCCTCCACCTGCTGGTTAAAATGTATATGAGAACATGCGTGCGTATGTGTGCATGTATGTGTGTGCGTGTGTGTGCACGTGTGTGTGTGTGTTGAATATTTGTTCTTACTCCTTCACCATTTACAGTTGACTGCAACATATTAATTTATGCAGTCCCTGTGTTTAATTTTTCTTCAAATAGAAATGTTTAGTCTCCCAGGCTTTCTTGAATGTTTCCCTAAGAAGGCGTCCAGGTTTATGAAGCTGAGCAGCTTCTGGATCTTTAAGGCAGTGTGGGGAATGGCAGGGAAGAAATCCACAGTCTCCTTCTGGGCTTTAGCTGGTGTCTGCTGGTCTCTAGGTGATGTGCCTTGTCTTCCTGTTCCTATTGTGCCCCGATAAACTCTGATGATGCCAGCTATTGCTGCATGGACTTGTGGATCATTCTCCTGCCAAAATAGTGCTCATGGAGGGTCCCACCAGGTGACTTGGCCCCATATAGTAGTTCAGTAGCTGCAGATCTTCTTGGCAGCCCCTTCATCCAGCTTGCTGTTCCAGTGAGCCACTGTCTAACGTCTGCTGCAAGGTCAGTTCCCCAGCCTCAGTGGATCTCTTCGCAGGACATAAATTGCATCTCAAAAGGAGGGCAGGGAAGATGTAGAGAAATCATGGTGTGCTCCCTTTGCAAAGGGAGCTCCTCTCAGTGACTCAGAGGTAAAGGATTCAGCCAAGGCCGGGCGCGGTGGCTCACGCCTGTAATCCCAGCACTTTGGGAGGCCGAGGCGGGCGGATCACGAGGTCAGGAGATCGAGACCATCCCGGCTAAAACGGTGAAACCCTGTCTCTACTAAAAATACAAAAAATTAGCCGGGCGTAGTGGCGGGCGCCTGTAGTCCCAGCTACTTGGAAGGCTGAGGCAGGAGAATGGCGTGAACCCGGGAGGCGGGGCTTGCAGTGAGCCGAGATCCCGCCACTGCACTCCAGCCTGGGCGACAGAGCGAGACTCCGTCTCAAAAAAAAAAAAAAAAAAAAAAAAAAAAAAGGATTCAGCCAAGAGACCCTTCTCCACCCTCAGTGTTACTTTCATTTTTTAATGTACCTCATTCTTTCTAGGCACTAATCAGATTTGCAAGTACTGGGAGAAGAGGTACATTGCTGACTGCAACCCATGTGAATGCTAGCAAAAGGCTCAGTTTCTAATTGGTATGCATTTATATAAAATAGCCTAGGGGAGGTCTTTGTAATTGCTTATGGTGTGACCTAAAAGCCCAAACATAGGGTTTGGCCAGGACAGGAGCTGACTCCCCAGGCAAGATTCAATAATGGCTTTAGAATGGATGGACACAGGGTTGATACCTTTTCACTTTTGCTGCCTCCTCACACTATATAATTTCATACTCCCAGAATGAAAGATCGGTGCTGATCAGGCTTTCACATGAGTTAGATTGGTTCTGATCAGGCTTTCACATGAGTTCTAAACAGCCCAGAAATTAGTAGCACTGTCTTAGGCAACTCTGGAGGCACAGGCAAATCAGGGTGGCAGAATCTGCCCCAACACCATGGCTACCAGAGCAGCAACACTTATACACTGGGGATCCCTCTATGTTTTTCTCTTTAAAAAGTTACTTCTGATTTTTAAAAAGTTAGAAATTGAATGTGCTAGATGGCCATCATTTCTCCGTTTATTTTTCAGATCCTGTGACTGCAATAATGTTTCTGCCACCCCCATGCCTCTATTATGTGATACTTTCGCTTTTTTGACCCAGAGGAAAAAGTTAAACATACATGCTGATCTCACTGAACCCCTTTATTGCACAAAGCTTTGCTTGCATCCCCCAAAGGTGTAATGAGACACAGGGATAGGAACGACCTTTCAGGTCTCAGAGTAAGATGGACCAGGCTGAGAGAGTAGGCAAGTTCTTAATTCTCATCTGAGCTTTGTCATCCTCCCAAACTGTCATCTTAATGCTGCCTGCCATGCTTCTGTTCCACATTTCTTTTTTAACAGCTTCTCCAGTAACTAGGACATTTTTATATTATCATTCTTGGAATACTAATGTGCTTTCCATCAAAAGCTTTAGGGTAATTAAATTGAAGAGAGGGGAAAATGAATAAAATTTGTCATATAAAATAATGATCCAGTCTGTTGATTGTATCATGTGGACCAATTATAGCCTTGCCAAAGATCAAAGTCACCTGAAATTGCCATTTCTACTTATTGACAATGATTTTTGCTAAAGTAAATTTGGTGCTATAAAGCAGTATATTGGTATAATAGTTCAGTGAGGGGAGGTGATTGTGAAAAATAATTTAATATAACAGTCACAATAACAACATATGGAGATAAAATATTATTTTCTCCAATTTTGTAGGATGGAGCAGTCAGTGCTCAAAAACTAATGGCATGAAGGTAGCACTTCCAGAATGGTGCTGCAAAGAGCCCTGGGAAAGCTCTCCCCCAGGAGAGACACCCGCTAAGCTTATGAAATTTAGCAATCATTCAAAGTCTGTGGAGATTGATCAAAGGGCTTAAAGCAAATTGAGAACAAAATCTATGGAATTTCTCAGCAGAAGGCTGGGCCTTTGTTCTAGAGACTTCCCCCACCTCCTCCCCCACATTTCTGCCTTGTGGCTGAGTTGTCACAGTGGTCTTGTCAGTAAAGTCATAATTCCCATTCACCCTAACTTTCTAGAAGCCAGTGAACACCAGCAAATCACATTTTGCCCAGCTCCCTGCTGCAGAAGATCTATGTTGAGTGCATGGTAGCAGTCAGTGGCAATGCACATTTCCCCACTCCCAAATTCCATTAAGTAAGTAAGATTGGCAGGGCAACTGGTGAAAAATTCAGTCTCCTTTTCCCATATATCTTTGTATTATGAGGGAGCTTCTTTAGTAGGATTGGTTAAAATAAAGAGCCACTCTCCTCGCTTCCAGCTTTCTGAGATAAAGCTATTATTATAGGTAGGCTTACAATCTGGAAAACCACTACATTCTATTCTCATTCATTCTGAGATACAGAAGATTTATAATGGATAGTGCTCAGAAGAGGCACCAGTTTTCACCTGTCCAGCACCACACTCCATAGTTGCTGATTCATAAAAAAACACATGGGGCAGTCATGGAGAGCAAGCACCACCCCCACCCCCCAGCTTCACACTTCAGCTCCATACAGCAGAGGTTCTACTCAAAGGAAGGTCAGAACAAGCTCAATGTCCGTTAACACCCTGCTGCTGTCAAGGGGCCGGACTTCAAGTGGATCAGAGTATTGAGTAAATTTTATCCCAAGTATAGTTGAAGTCAGCTAGTAATTAGTGAAGTCTAACAGCTTGATGTAATAGCAATACAAAGAGACTAGCCAGAAGTTTATTAGGGAGATCAGGAAAAGAGAGAGACTAAAGAGAGCTAAAAGAATTTCCAGTCATCGCTGGTGGTCAGGAAGTCTGTGCATAGTCAAGGATCTTCCATTTGAGGAGTGACTGGAAAGACAACTTTTGAGATAAAAGTCCTTAGCTGAATATGAAGGAAACACAAACTTCTCTAACAGTCTTCTTTTAGAAGTCTCCAAGCCACATACAGATGTTATGATAAAAGGGAGGGGGCACTTACTAGCTCAGAGGGCTTAAGCACAACCTTGAACCAATCAGAGGCTGGCAACTAAACAGTGTTGATCATGTGACAGGCCCTAGGAAGATAGGCTTGAGATAAAAAGAAGAGAAATTTGAGCATGACATCGCACACAGCACACTTGAAGGGAAATAGCTTTTCTGAACCACCACAGCCAAATAATTAACATATAAAGCAGCAAACAACATCAATAAGCTTGGAAGAGGGGATCAGTATCTAGAGTTACTACAATGTATTTTCCTTTAGAAGTTTTCAACAAAAAATTACCAGACATACAAAGAAGAAAACTCAGTCATACACAAGAAGGAAAAAAGCTGCCAGTAGGCTCTACCTTTCAGGAGGCCCAGATGTTGGTCTTATCAGGCAAAGACATCAAAGTAACTATCATAAATATATTCAAAGAATTAAAGAAAATTATCCTTAAAGTTATGATGACAATGTCTCATTAGATAAAGAAGATCAATAAAGAGATATAAATTATAATAGACCAAAATGGAAATTCTGGAGTTAATAATAGCCCAAATACAAATTTTAATACAGAGGCTCAACAACAGGTTTGAGCTGGAGAAGAAACAAGCAAAACACTTAAAAATCTAAACTATAAATATTATACAACACAGAAGAAAAGAATTTAAAAAATGGACACTTACAGAAATATTAGACATTAAACACACCAATATAAAAATAATAGAGTACCAGAAAAAGATGAAATAAAGGAGAATTTAAAATGTTCAAAGAAATAATTGCCATCAACATACCAAATTCAATGCAAAACATTCTTCAACAAACCCAAGAAGCTCTTCACAAAGAGATCCACACTTAGACACATTATATTCAAAAAGAAATCTTGAAAGCAGCAAGAGAAAATGAACAAGATAATTCCAATAAGATTAATGGTCAACTCCAAATCAGACAAAATGGAGGCCAAAAATCAGTAAGATGACATATTCAAAGTGCCAAAAGGAAAGGGGGGAAATACTCAATCAGGGCTCTTATATCCATCAAACTACTTTAAAATGAAGCTAAAACAAAGTCATAGATTGAAGCCCCATCCTGCAATGTGACTGTATTTGGAAATGGGACCTTTATGGTGGTAATTAAGATTAAATGAGGGCCCTTATTCAATAGGATTCACGTCTGTACAAGAAGAGGACAAAGTGTGCACTCGCATTCTCTCTCTCTCTTTCCCTCTCTCTTTCTCTTTCTCTCTTGTTCTCTCTCTGTGGATGTGTGTGGGTGTGTCGTGTGAGGGCGCATTGAGAAGACAGCCATCTGCAAGCCAGGAAGAAAGCCCTCACTAGAAACTGACCATGTCAGACTTCGATCTTGAACTTCCAGCATCCATAACTGTGAAAAAATAAACACTGTTGTTTGAGCCTTCAGTCTGTGGTATTTTGTTATGGCAGCCCAAGCTGACTAATACACCAGATAAACAAAATCTGGACGAATGTATTGCTAGCATACTTGCCTTACAAGAAATACAGAGGAAGTTCTTCAGGCTGAAAGTGAGTGACATGTGAGAGTAATTTGAATCCATGAAAAAAAAAAATAGTTTCATTAAAGATAATTACATAGAAAATTGTAGAGAATAGTACAATGGTATATTTCTTCTACTTTTTTCTTAACGTGTTTTTAAAAATTTTTAAAAGCATTGTGAGGGCTGGGTGCGATGGCTCAAGCCTGTAATCCCAACACTTTGGGAGGCCAAGGTGGGCGGATCATGAGGCCAGGAGTTTGAGACCAGCCTGGCCAAAATAGTGAAACCCTGTCTCTACTGAAAATATAAAAAATTAGCCAGGCATGGTGGCAGGTTCCTGTAATCCCAGCTACTCAGCAGGCTGAGGCAGGAGAATCGCTTGAACCCAGGAGGCAGAGGTTGCAGTGAGCCGAGATGGTGCTGCTGCACTCCAGCCCGGGCGACAGCATGAGACCCCATCTCAAAAAAAAAAAAAAAAAAAAAGCATTACGTGTATAATAGTATTGTGTGCCTATATCATATGGAAATGCAATGTATTGGAAAATAATAGCTCAGGAGGAAAGGGATGGGGCCAAAGCTGCACCGCAGTAAGGGAGACAGCAGATGATGATGCAGACCCAAGCTAGGAAATAGACTACTACAAATTCTCCCTCATTATCTATCTATCTGTGTGTGTGTGTGTGTGTGTGTGTGTGTGTGCTTTCTTTTCTCAGCTTCCTTCAAAAGACATAAAATATTGCTGAAATTAAATTAATGTAAATTGAAGGTGGGTTCTGATAAGATGTATCTTGTAAGCATTAGTTCAGTGAATAAAAAGATTACTAACAATTATAAAATAAAAATTCATTAAACACTGAAATCTTCCACTGGAAAAGATTCACTTCATGTGAAAGAAGGCAGTAAATAGAGAACAGAGGAATGAGAAAAAACATGAGACATAGAAAACTAAAAGCAAAATGGCAGATGTCAATATAATCAGATGGGTAATAGCATCCAATATAAGTGATTTAAGCAATCCCATAAAAAAGCATAATTTTAAACTGAATAAAGATCCAACTATGCCGTCTTCAGCAGATACACTTTAGATTAAAAGGCACAAATAGGGTGAAAGCAAAAGAGTGGAAAATATATGCCGTGAAAATAGCACTTATAAGAGAGCAGGAGTGGCTATAGAAATATCAGGGGAAAAGAAACTTTAAGACAATAGGCCAGGTTCAGTAGCTCACACCTGTAATCCCAGCACTTTGGGAGGCTGAGGTGGGTGGATCATCTGAGGTTGGGAGTTTGGGACCAACGTGGCCAACATGGCGAAACCCCGTCTCTACTAAAAAGTACAAAAATTAGCTGGGCATGGTGGCACACACCTGTAATCCCAGTTACTTGGGAGGCTGAGGCAGGAGAATTGCTTGAACCCGGGAGGTGGAGGTTGCAGTGCGCAGGGATTGTACCATTGCACTCCAGCTTGGGTGACAAGAGCAAAACTCCATCTCAAAAATAAGTAAATAAATAAATAACAACAAATATTACTAGGTATAAAGACAATTTATAATTGTAAACATATCAGGAAGACGTGACATTTATAAATATATACACATCCAACAACAGAGTCCCCCCCAGTACTGACAGAATTAAAGGGAAGAATAGACAAGTTAACATTAATACTTGATGACTTCAGCATCGGACATTAATCATTAGAACGACTAGGCAGGTCAGCAAGGACGCAGAAGATGTGTGCAACACTGTAAACCCAACAGGACCTAAGGGACATTTATAGAGCACTCCAACCAACAACAGCAGAATACACATCCTTCTCAAGCACACATGAACATTGTCCAGGATAGACAATATGATATATAATAAAACAATCCTCAGTAAATACAAAGTATGTTCTCTCATCACAACAGAATTAAATTAGAAATAACAGAAAACAACTTGAGAAATTGAGAAATCAGTGGAAATTAAGTAGCACTTTTTAAAATGACCAATGCATTGATTAAGAAATTACAGAGAAAATAAAAAATACTCTAAGATAAATAAAAAGAAAAACACAACTTACCAAAATTTATAGGATACACCTAAAATAGTGTTTTGAGGGAAAATTATACCTATAAATGCCTACATTAAAAAGGAAGAAATATTTTAAATCATTTAGCTAACATTTATTTCATGTTAGCAAACTAGAAAATAAAATAAACCAAAATAAAGCAAACAAAAGGAAATAATAAAGAGTGAAATAGAAATTAATTAGCTGAAAAATGAGAAAAATTCAATGAAATGAAAAGTTCATTAAAGATCAGCAACACTGACAAAACTTTAACTAGATTAGTTAAAAAAAAAGGACTCAAATTACTAAAATCAGGAGTAAAAGAGGGGGCATTACTACCAATATCATGAAAGTGCAAAGTATTATAAAGTAATACTATGACAAACTGTATGCCAACAATTTAGATAACTTAGATGAAATGGGGAAAAATCCTAGAAATATACAAACTATTAGAAATGGTAAATAGATTCATTAGAAGAAATTGAATCCCAGAGAGAAGCTCAAACCGAAATGACTTCGCTTATGATATCTACCATTCAAAGAATTACCACTAATCTTCACAAAATCTTCCCCCCAAAAAGAAGAGTAGGAGGCACATCTGAACTCATTATTTGAGTCCAGTAATACCCTGATACCAAAGACAGACAAAGAAAATTGTAGAAAAGAAACTGTATTCTTTTTAATATGGACAACATGCCATAGACACTTTTTGCCCTCCTCTCCCTACTAGACTATAAGCCCTTGGAAAGGTACAAGACACAACCAAAGGAGAATTCTGAAAGCTTAGGAGAAGCAGGTGCACTGGTCTGGGAGAAACTGTATAGCTACAAGTTTTCTTGTCACCACTCCTAATAGTTGAAGGCCACACAGAGCCAGTATTTTATGACCCTCAATCTAGCAATCAAGTGGGATGATTTTCCCTCCAAATGTAACAGTGTTCCTCTGACCAAATCAGGCAAGTTTTACCAAGGTAAAAATAGATCAATTATTAGGACTGCAGGAAAAAAAGTTATCTTCAGGGAAAGTTGTCTTATGCCCTGCTGGGCCCAAGACTACCCTACCCACCCAGAGCCACCAGTGCAGGCAGCCCGGATGAAAAGTAAAACATAGTAGATCAAAAGCGTGCTGAGAAGGAAATTCATAGCACTAAATGGTTTCATTAGAAAAAAAGAAAATACTCAAATTAAGAAGTTCCAAACTAAACTGGAAGCAATGGGAAGGAATGAGTAATAAAGATAGTAGCAAAAATGAACCAAGTTGAAAATATAAAACACAAGGGAAAATCAATGAAACCAAACACTGGTTCTTCCAAAAAAAACCAGTAAGTTGATAAACTTACAATAAATGTGACAAGTCACCAATATAAAAACTGAGATGGGGATGTCACTTCAGACATTACAGCCATTAAAAATAACATATGACAAAATATGAGTATCTTTATTCCCATAAATTTAATAATTTAGAAGAAATAAACCCATCCCGCAGAAATCAAACTATCAAAAATCAATCAAGATGAAATAGATAATCAATATTGCAACCAAGCATCAAATAAATTGAATTTATACTTTAAAAACTCCTTAAAAATAATTTCCAGAACCAGAGCATTCTACAGGGAAGTCTATCAAACATCTAAAGAAGGTTTAACATCAGTTTTACTCAATCTCTTTGGAAAAGTAGCAGATGAAGAATTATGTCCCAACTCATTTATGAGCCCAATATTACCTTGATATCAAAACTAGACAAATATAGTACAAAAATAGAAAACTATGGACTTATATCTGTAGTTATCTGTTGTAATCCTACCTCACACCATACTCAAAAATAAACTTAAAATCATGGACCTGAAGGTAAGATCAAACACTATAAAACTCTTAAAAGAAAATACAGGAGCAACTCTTTCTGACTTGGATTAGACAATAGCTTCTTAGCTATAACCACAAAAACAAATGGCAAAATAAAAAAATAGATACATTGCAGTTAATCAAAATTAAAGCTTTATATTTCAAATGATACCGTAAAGAAAATGAAACAGCAATCCAGAAAATAGGAGAAAATATTTGCAAATCATATATCTGATAAGGGCCTTATATCCAGAATATGTATTTAAAACAACACAACTCAAGAATAAAAGGACAATTCAATTAAAAACAGACTATCTGAATAGTCATTTCTAAAAAATATGGTAAATAGCCAATAAGCACATGAAAAGATGCTCAACACATTTAGTCCTTACAGAAATTCAAATCAAAATCACAATAAAATACCACCTCACACCTACTAGGATGCTATAATAAAATAGAAAGTTACAATTGTGAAAGATGTGGAAAAATTGTAACATGTATCTTGCTGGTGGAGATATAAAATGGTGTAACCTCTTAGAAAACAGCTTAGCAGTTCCTTCAAAAGTTAAATATAGATTAATCTTATTAATCAGTAATTTCTCTCCTAGAAATGAAACATATGATTACAGAAACACTTGTAGGCAAATATTTACAGCAGCATTGTTCATAGTAGATAAAAATTGGAAACACTGTAAACGTCCATCAAATGAAGAAGGGGTGAACGAAAGGTGATATATCCATACAGTTGAATGTTGTTTGACGATAAAAAGGAATGAAGTGATGATTGATGCATGCCACAACATAGATGGATCTTGAAAACACACTTTGTGAAAGAATCAAGACACAAAAGACCACATATTATAGGGTCCTATTTATTTGAAATGCCCAGAGAAGGCAAATCTACAGAGACAGAAAATAGATTAGAGATTGCCCAGGCTGAAGTTGGAGTGAATGGGAAGTGACTGCTAGTGGTACAGGATTTCTGTTTCAGGTGATCAAAATGTGCCCAATTTTATTTTGATGATATTGGCACAACTCTGAATCTAGTTAAAAAACATTGAATTGTACACTTTAAGTAGGTGAATTTTATGGTATTATATTTCAATAAAGCTGTTAAAGAAAAGTGGCTAACATTAGGTTCCATGAAACCAGCAGTACTATTCAAGCTTTTTAAAACTACCAAATAAAATAAATTGAGATAATATCTTAACATTTATGTACCACTGCTCATTTTGTTCTTAAGTTAGGAAATGTCCTTCAAGCTACAGCATAAAATTTGCAGAGAGGCACCCTGGGCTGCCATTAGTTCTGTGTTTGAAACTTCAGGGAACGCTATCCTGAAGAGGTCAACGTCTCCACTGACGTCCCAGCAGCCTCCTGACAAGTTGTGCTGTGACCGTCTTCCACTCCCATCTTGGACGGCCCAGATGTGGGCTGTGAAGCCACCCTCTTCTGTCTGCACTTCACGCTTGCTTCCCCTCCATCTGCTGGGTCCAGCTCACCTCATAACCAAGAGTCTAATGCTGATGGCTCCCGGGAACCACCACTTTCTTGGCAAGAAGGATCCATGCAGTGTTTCTCATCAAGGAGTAAGGGGCGTGCTTCTGCATTTCTGTTCACATCGTCTTTCTTCCTACCTTTCTATTGCTTTTTCTTGTTTTTGCCTGCATTCCTTTTATTTGCCTATCATATTTTCTTCTTATTTTTTGTTTACTTTAATATTAGCTCAAACTCCAGTTTCATTATGAGGCTTTCCTTGGTTACTGTAGTGTACCATGAGTTCTCAGTTCTCTATTTTATTGCATGCATTCGTGTTCTGCTTGTCTGGTGCAGACCATAAACTTCCTGGCACTGTGTCAGCTTTCCTGAGTATGCACTATGTGCCTAACACTGTGATAAGAGCCTTCCACTTGCCATGAGGTTTAATCATGTGAGTTGATCTTGTTGTCTTTGTGAGCAGGCAAGCAAGCCGTTCTGAGAGCCTCCATTCTCTTCTATGATTCTGTATGTATCAAAATGCTCCCCAAATTTTATTATACCCAAGTTAAGGCTCAGTAAATTCTGCTGAATTGCTTTAATTATTGGCTTATTTTCTGTTTTTCTGGTTTTTTGTCTTTGATTAAAGTACTGAAGAAAACTTTTATTAAATTGATAAAACGTTGTTTACTCACTGCCACATCTCAGTGAATTCCAGTAACTTTTTTCTTTGTATTTTTTGATTAATACACTGTTTTTACAGCAGTTTTCGGTTTACAGAAAAAAATAAATAGGAAATACAGAGAGCTACCATGTATTTCCTAACCCCCTCAGCTCACCATTTCCCCTATTATCAACATTTTACATTAGTGTGATAGATTTGTTACAACTGTTGAGACACTATTGATACCTTATTAACTAGAGTCCATAGTTGAGGGTTATTCCTTGTGTTGTACATTCTATGGGTTTTGGAGAAATGTATATTGACATGTATCCATCATTACAGTGGTATACAGACTCATATCCGTACCCTAAAATTCCTCCATATTCTGCCTATTCATCTCCCCCCATCCCCGAAAATCCCTTGCCTTTTCCGGGATGTCATATAATTGAAATCATACAGTATGAAGCCCTTTAAGATTGGCTTCTCTCACCCCATGAATTAAGTTTCCTCCATGTCTTCATGTGGCTTGATAGCTCGTTTCTTGTTTATCGCTGAATGATATTTTATTGCATGTATTATCAGAGTTTGTTTATCCTTTCAGCTACCAAAGGACACTTTGGTGGCTTCTAAGTTTGGGCAGTTATCAATAGAGCTTCTATAAACCTATATGAGGCTTTTTCTCTAGACGTGAGTTTTTAACTTGGGTAAATACCAAGAAGGACAAGTGCTGGAATGAAGATGTTTAATTTTAGATGAAACTGACAAACTATCTTCCAAAGTGGCTGTCCATTTGCATTCCCACCAGCAGTGAATGAGTTCCTGTTGCTCCACATCCTCTCCAGCATTTGGTGTGGTCGGGGTTCTGGATTTTGGCCATTCCTATAGGTGTGTAGTGGTGTCTCATGGTTGTTTTAATTTGTGTTTTCCTGCTGACATATGATGCTGAGCATCGTTTTATATGCTTATTTGCCATCTGTATGTCTTCTTTGGTGAGGTGCCTGTTCAAATCTTTTTTTCTGCTTTTTAAATTGTGTTGTTTTGTTGTTAAGTTTTAAGAGTTCTTTGTGTATTTGGATCCAGTCCTTGATCAGATATTTGTTTGGCAAACGTTGTTTTTTCTTCAGTCAATAGTTTCTGTTTTCATTATCTTATCCATGTCTTTTGCAAATCAGAAACTTTTAATTTTAGTGGTGTTCAATTTAACTTCTTCTTTCATGGAAAGTGCTTTTGGTGTTGTATCTAAAAAGTCTCCACCAAACCCAAGTCTCCGAGAATTTCTCCTGTGATACCTTCTAGGAGTTCTACAATTGTGTGCCTTAGACTATGATCTATTTTGAGGTAATTTTTGTGAACAGTGAAAAATCTGTGTCTATTTTTTTGGCATGTTGATGTCTACTTTTTTCAGTACTATTTGTTGAAAAGCCTCTCTTTTCTCCATTGGAATGCCTTTGCTCGTTGTCAAATATCAGTTGACTATATTTCTGTGGATTCATTTCTAGGCTTTCTATTCTGTTCCCTTGATTTGTCTGTCTCTCTCTTTTTTTTTTTCTTTTTTTGCCAATATCACACTGTCTTGATTATCGTTGGTAGTGTCAGTTCTCTGACTTTTGTTTGTGTCCTTCAATATTGCACTTGCTATCTTGGGTCTTTGCCTTCCTTATGAACTTTAAAATCAGTTTATCCCCATCCACAGAATAGCTTGCAGGGATTTTAATCAGGCTTTCATTGAATGTATAGATCAAGTTGGGAAGAACTGACGCCTTGACAATGTTGTCTTCCTATCTATATACATGGAATATCTCTCCATTAATACAGATTTTATTTGTTTTTCTCATCAGTTTTACAGTTTTCCTAATATGCGTCTTGCATATATGTATTTTGTTAGATTTATGCCTTGAGTATTTCATATTTTGGATGCTGATGTGAATGAAATTTTGTTTTTAATTTCAAATTCCAATATTCTTTGCTAATATATATTACTTGTATGTATTATATAAAGCAGTTGATTTTTAAATGTTAACCTTGTATTCTGCAACCTAATTATCACCACTTACTAGTTCCAGGAGTTTTTGTTGTTGTTAATTCTTCGGGATTTTCTACAGACTATCTTATCATCTGAGAACAAGGACAGTTTTATTTCTCTATCCAATATGCATGCCTTTTATTTCCTTTACCTGTTAATTGCATTAGCAAAGATTTCCAGGGCAATGTGGAATAAAAGTGGTAAGAAGAGTGGCCACCTCACATGTCTGTAGTCCCAGTTACTCAGTAGGCTGAGGCAGAAGACTAGCTCGAACCCAGGAGATGGAGGTTGCAGTGAGCCGAAATCACGCCACTACACTCCAGCCTGGGTGACAGAGGGAGACTCCATCTCAAAAAAAGAAAAAGAAAAAAAAAAGAAGAAGAAGAAGAGTGGCCACCTTTGCTTTATTTCTGATTTGGGGTGAGACGCATTTAGTTTCTCATCGTTAAGTATGATGTTAGCTGTAGGATTTTGCAGATGGTTTTTATGAAGTCAAGGATGTTCCCCTCTGTTCCTAATTTGCCATGTAAATGAATCTTATTTTCTTTGTCAACAGGCAAGTCATTCTAAGAATGTTAATTTTTTTCTATGACGCCATATATATCAAAATGACCACAAAATTCCATTATTACGCAAAAGTTAGGGCTTAATGAAGTCAAGCCAATTAATGAAATTATTAGTTTATATTTTCTTTTTCTTTTGTTCACTTGATTAATTACTGAATTAATTAAATATAGTAAAAAGCTTTCTGTATACTCCCTGCCACATACTGGTGGATTTGAGTGATATTTTTTCTTTGTACTTGTCTTCAACCGAAGCCTCTAAGTTAGAATTTCCCAATGTATCTTCTGATAAACACTGGCTCCATGAGATGTGCAGCTGAAGGGCACTGGAGGACACTCTTACCCTCCTTGGAAAGACAGACCGTACATCACCATACTGACAGCTCTGAGAAACTCGGTAGCAAAGAATCCTGATGAATTCTGCCAAGTATACTCGATTGTGGAACTTACCTTTCACTTTTCAGCCACAGACATCCCACAGATTTAGTGATTGACAAAATACATCTTGAGTTACACTTCTAGTGGTTGTGTCCAGGTCAGAGAACACATAAGGCACAGATAGTTTTCTTTCTCTACTAAATATATCTTCAGGCACATATAGGATATTGATACATCTTGCACAGCCAGCTTCCTTTCTGAATTTATAGTCTGGATTATTTCTGAGACAAGGTGAGGGGTATTCTGGCTGTGGATGTGGGTGAATAGTGAATATTGAATTTTATAGAATTACTCTATGGCCAGCTTTGAAAAACACTAGAGCCACTCCTTGCTTCTCACAGGACAGGGGAGGTAGAGAAACTGAATAGCCAGTTGTGTCACTGGGACCCAATCGCTGCTCATTTCTGGGCCTCTCTCATTTTATCTTCAGGAGAATCAGTTTCCAGCGCCTCCCCAGCTCTGGTTTGGTGCCTGCCTGTACCTCTGTTCTGACCAGTTACGCCTATCCTCCCTTGGCCCTGACTCAACAAGTGTGCACCTCGGGGCTGGAGCCACTGACATCCCATTGTCAACTAGAAGGGCAGGAGCTGTCAGGAGTGAAGCAGAAAATGTTATGCGGGCTTTTTCAAAGAGTCTTAAAAAAAACCCATTCTGTCAGGGTAACATCTAACATCTTTTTCCCTTTTAACTCTATAAAAATACAAAGTACCTTATAACCTAGTGATTCCCAGTAGAATATGTATTTATATTTTAAAAAGCTTTAAGAGTTCTTTAACATACTGGGGTTATCATTGAAGTATTTATGGCAAATTATAATATAAAGTAACAGCCTCACTCTGTGGTTGGTTACCTTATTATAGGGTCATAAAATGAGCAAGAATAAAATTGGAGGGGAATTTGGAGGTCACTGGCCTGACTTTCTAAGCAGAGCAGGAATCCTTCAAGCTTTCTTGTGGGGATCATTCACCCCTGCCCTAACTCCTCCAGCGAGACCAGCTTTACAGCCCCATGCTACTGACTCTGCTCTGGGGCAGCCCCTTGCATCGCCAGGTGCAAGGATGCTACAGTCCTAGTCCTGAGCCGCCTTGCCTTTCTCCAAAGCCCTGACACTAACCCGCAAAGATAGAGCCCACTTTAATCTTGGCTTAAGATTGACCTTGTCACTGCCAAGGTTAGTTAGCCATAAGATACCCCTAATACCAACAGAAGATTCATCTCTAATGCTGGACAGAGAGCCATCCACTAACCTTAGGCACAGGCTTACTCCTAACCCGAGGCTTGAAACTTCAGCAACCTTCTCCATTTCAACATCTCTTCATGGACTCTACCTCATTGAAACTTGCAAAGACTCCTAGGGAAGAAGTCATAACCACATTGATGGAGGGCCAGAGAGGAGTCTCAGTGAAGTCAGATGGCAAATCTCAAACCACACACACCCAGGAGGCAGCCAAGCCAAGGCCCGAATCTCATGTCTGCTGTTGTCTCCCTAAGGGATCTCGGCGGTGCTGTTCCCAGGGCGCTCACCCGAAGCATGCAAATGGGCGATCTGGTGGGCTCAGATGCAGATTCCTGAAGCTGCTGACTTAAGGACTCTGGGGGCCAGGTCAGGAGGCTAGACCCTGATCAAGGATGGACTCGCACCGTCCTCAGCACAGCTGGCAACCATAGTGGTAACGGTTTCTATTCCTGCTATGAGGAGTGTGCCCCATAGAACCCTTAATAGAGGGGCTCAGCAGTGCCACCTCCATCTACCTCCACAGGAGCCTACCAAACAACCCATGCAGAATCCAAATATTCCTCCTTCTGATTCCCAAGTAATCCTGCCCCATTTTCCTAGAATTGTAAAACTGCAAGATTGCAAGGGCCCTTAAAATTCTCCTGATTCAACCAAGCTTACCCGTTTAGTTTTGTTTTATTACCACAAAGTGTAAAACATGCTATTTTATGTTTCAATTTGTAGTGCTCTTAGACACTGTTCAATTCCTTGGGATACGCCATCGTTGTGAGCCATAATGCTGTTTTATCTGATAAATATTTATCAAGTGCCTACCATGTGCTCATCACTGTGCCAGTCCACAGCAGAGAACATAACAAAGTAGACATATCCCTGTACTCTTCAGAAATTTAATTTTATGCTCCATTGTTTTAATTGAGATCTCATTTTTATGGGGGAAAATAACTAGTCAAAAAGAATGTTAAAGCTATCTATGCTTTAACAAGAAATGTCTACTAATGCCTGTTTGGAGTCACTTTGCATTATAAAGTCAGACTTTGTAATAAAGTGGCAGAAAACATTAGATGTGCTCAGACAGAGAGGCAGACACCATGAAGCTGTGTGGCTGTGGGAACACCTGTACACAGCAGAATGAGTGTGCTCTAGCCTAGTGCAGCCCGAAGTCAGAGGCCAAATGTCATCCTCAGCAAGGACCTCAAGGTCAAAGGGCATCGCCCATGTGTCTCCACTTCTGGTATCTTAGTGGCATGCTGAGAGCTCAGAGGGACCTGGGTCGGTGTTGGAGGATGGATTAAGGATGGGTAGATGCATGGAATACTACACAGCATGTATGCATGCATGGATGCAGCTGGACACCAGGATCCTAAGGGAGCTTATACAGAAACAAAGTAACAAATACTGCGTGTCTAGACTTGTAACTGCTATCTAAACAATGGTACACACGGACATAAAGATGGAAACAATAGAAACTGGGGATGACACAGGGAGGGAGGGAGTGGGGCAAGGGCTGAAAAACTATGGATTGGATGCTATGCTCGCTCTGTGGGTGATGGGCGCACTAGACGCCAAACCTCAGCACTGTGCAATATACCCATGTAACAAACCAGCACATATTCCCCCGAATCTAAAATTAAAAAAATAGGAGTGGTAGATGATTGGATGGGAAGATGACGGATCAGAGTCTAATTTTCATTAGAGCAGAGATGATCAAGATTTTTTTAAATTTACAGTACTAACTTCATCTCTTGAATGGTAAAGAAAGAAAAATGGAATTATTTTGCTTTTAATTCTTGTCCTAAAGGAAGAATGAATCCAGTGGTTGATGTAAAAGCGAGATCCTGGGAGAAGGAGCTGTTGAGTCCTTAGGACTGGAGCACCTGGCCCAATATACAGTGGGCTGTCCTCTTTCCACACTTCCCATTGCATCCCAGGACAAAAGTTCTTAGTCATCTGTAACCAGACCACAGGACAAGGTAAGAAATACTAAATGAATAATGATTGAATGATGACCTTACTCAGCTCCCTTTTCCATCTGGCTAATTCCTACTTATCTCTGAGATGTCAGCTCAGCTGCTACCCCCTTTTGACATCCCCTGTGAGTCCAGGACAAATGGAGCACACAGGGATTCCCTCCACCAGAACATTCATCTCACTGTGGAATAACCGTCATCCCCACTGTTAGAATAAAGGACAGGGGTGATGCATACCCCATGGATTATCCCATTACCATGACAATGCCCCTCACAGAATCAACACCAGCTAGTAACTGTGGGATGCAGGAATGAATCCTGCACAGCCTCGGTGCTGAAGCTGGTGTTGCAGCTTAGTCTGAAATGCCAACAAGTCATGGTAAAGGTGGCCTTATGTAAATTATTGAAGTAAAGATATCCATACTCTATGGACCAGGGTGGTATTTGCCACCCACCTGTGCATGGAGGTGCACTGGAGAGTCCTCTAGGGAGAGCCAGAGTCATTCACTAAAGCCTCTTGAGTCCTGCTTCAACACAGGCCCTCAGTGGAAGCCAAGAGCTCTCCCATTCCCAGTGGAGATGGTTTGTCCTAAGCTCCTGTTGCGGGGCCCTTCAAAAAGCATTCTTCTTTCACCTCCTAATACTTAGTTACCAAGGCAGGCCTGTGTGTCTTATTTCAGGAAGTTTCAGTTCAGAATGAGCAAGATCCATCCTAGTAAAACAAATAAACTCTTCAAAGAATGCAGGTTTTGTCAGTGTGTGCTCATGATGCATGCATATTTTTCCATAAACATTTACTGAGTACATGTTAAGTGCCAAGAGATGGGCTAGATGCTGCCTTTGCATGAGCAATCCACTCTTTATAATTTATCTGAGAAGTAGGTGACATTATCTCTGCTTAAAAAATGAAGACAGCTGGGCACGGTGGCTCAGGCCTGTAATCCCAGCACTTTGGGAGGCCAAGGTGGGTGGATCACTTGAGGTCAGGAGTTCAAGAGCAGCCTGACCAACATGGTGAAACCTCATTTCTACTAAAAATACAAAAATTAGCCGGGCATGGTGGTGGGCACCTGTAATCCCAGCTACTCAGGAGGCTGAGGCCGGAGAATCTCTTGAACCTGGGAGGCAAATGTTGCAGTGAGCTGAGATCATGCCATTGCACTCCAGCTTGGGTGATGAAGTGAGACGCTGTCTCAACAACAACAACAACAACAACAAAAAATGAAGGCACTGAGGCTGAGAAAAATTAAATAAATGGCATGGGGTACCCAACCCCATATTTGCATAATTCCAAAGTTTGTGCTCTGTCCTCTCCAAGGCAGGATCAGATACCTTTTTTAACCATTACGAAGAAAAACCAACACATGAACTATCTCCCTAAGCTGAGCAGGCTCTCGCTGTTCCTAACTCTCCCAGACTCATTCTTTTTGCACCCTTAAGTCCTGCAAAGCCTCATCTCATATGGTCTGGAAGTCCCCAAGAAGAGTCTCATCTGTGTCCTTGTGTCACCTACCTCGGAGACACTGTGGTCTTCTGCTTGGAGTTGCCCTCAGCATGCTGGGGTGAAGGTTCCTCTCCGAGCAGGGTCTCAGAGCCTAGAGCCTCACTGCTTGGGCTTTGATGTCTTTGTGAGGCTTCAGTGCAGCAGCTCTCAATCTTAAGTCTAGACACCCTGCACCCCATGAGACCCATCTCAGTCAACCTGGGCTGCTAAAACAACTATCATAGACTGGGGCGATTTATAAACAACACAAATTTGTCCCTGTTCTGATGTGTGGGAAGTCTAAGATTTAGGTGCCGGTAGATCTGGTGTCTGGTGAGGATCAGTTTCCTAGTTCATACACGGTGTCCTTGCATGGAAGAAGGAAGGAGAGGTCTCTCAGGGACCTCTTTAGTAAGAACACCGATCCCATTTGTGAGAACTCCACCCTCATTAGCTAATCACACTTCAAAGACCCCACCCCCACAGTCTCATCTTGGAGGTCAGGATTTCAACATATGAGTTTGGGGGTCCACAAACATTCCATTCTCAGCAAGACCCAAACCTGAGTCCACAGGGAGCATGCCTGGGGAGAGCTAAGTCACCCCACACCCTCACCCAACCTGCTGTCCTTTGTGTTACTAGAGCAGCCTGGCTGTGCTGCCTGAACCCTTCCTTCCTTCTACTGCAAGCCCTTCAGTCCTTGTGAAAATAGATTTCTCTTGCTTCATGCATGCAACCTTTTAGGGTCTATCTTGGAACCTTGCTACATGAATATCATCTTAATATAGTTGAGGACACCCAGGTTCTGTACATACTACCAAGAACAGACAAGCAAAACGCTCGGTGTCCACTGCTGTCTGTAAAAGACAGTGCATAAAATGAGCTGGTGTGGGTTTAGCCCCTGTGCTCTTCACTGCCAACTTTCATGGTGAGGTTGTGTGAGGGTAGGAAAGCTCCAAGCTCCAGAGTCTTGTCCTGAAGTGCAGTGGCAGTGACCTTCTCCCCTCTAATGCCCCTCATGGGTGTCCCTGCAGGATTCCCTCAGTGTCTACAGGGCGCTCTGCTGTGGCTCTGCTCTAGGAGGTACCTTACATGGTGCTGCTTCCTACTGCCAACAGTGGTCACTTCCTGGGACTCATCACGTCCAGTCTTCAGTGGGTTCACTGTGAGCCTTGCTGTGACACCCTTGGCTCTCTGCAGCAGATGGGCAGGGAGCTCCCAGCCCCTCTTTGGAAGCCCACTCTATTAGACAGCCGTGGATGCTGGATGAGCACGTTCTCTGGGAATCAGTGGAGCAAAAAGGCGAGACTACCCTAGGAGAGAAGAGGGGAGAGGAACAGACAGACTCTGCACCCACAGGCAGAAGAGGAGCCCCGCAGACTCAAGTGAAGAGACCTTCTGTGGGTCCAGGCCTCCAGTTACTGGGCTGACAAAAGAGTATCAAGAAGGGACAGTGTGGCCACAGCATCAAGGAAGTGATGCCGGGGCTGGGGAGGATGGGCACCCCCTGCAGCCTTTCTGCTTCTGTGTCTTGGACTGGTCCATGCTTGATATGGCTTTGTTCTCACCAGCTGTAGACTGATGTGGGACAGGGTGGCCATGCATCCTCTGGGTCCTGACACACTTGCTTCTGCGACTCAGGGCTTCGTTGCTCAACAAATGGCACTGGCATGGTGAGATTGCTGCTGATGACAGGTGATGACACAACTGTCTGCCAGAACCTTGTGGCATCTGGAAACACACACACACCTGTACACACACATGCATACATTTTCATGCACACTTCATTATGTCCAGCAGTGACAGATTCCTGAAATAAATCATCTGAGTTCTGCTGCCTGATTTGGGTTGGAGATCTTTAATGGTTCTACAGAAGCCAGCTAAGAAACCCATAAAATATCCCTGAAGCATTTATGGTGTTTTTCTGAATATTTAATAGGAGCTGCTGGAAAACTTCTTCACACGTTACTGAGACTGGTAGGTGGTTTGCTGTTTTATTTGAAGGACAATGTATTTGATAATCTTGCTTTGCATAAAATGCTTCTCTAAAGAAGAAAAGTTATACTTAAGGATGTCCTGGGGTGAGGACCATGATATAGAGAGCTTGGGATGGGAATTCAAGCCGACAGACAGGAGCAGCATCAATGACTGAGACACCCTCATAGACCATCCATGCCCCTGAGGTCTCTGCCTGGGGATGCTCCTCCTGAACCTCCAGGACGTGCAAAGTCACCCTTCAATGTGCCCCAAAGGAGCTGCTTGGCCAGGCAAAACCCCTCTTGTGAAGAGCCCTCTTCAGGGTAGGGAAAGGAGCTCTGGGTAAGGAAGGCAAAATGGGGCAAGGTGTGGGGATTAGGCCTGGTAGAGAAGGTCTTGGAGTTCCTTTGTTACTCTCTTTCCCTGTGACTTCACAAGAGAAAAGATAAAATCCATGGAGCCAACAATCCTTGGATGTGGGTGTAGGGGAAAGATCGAGACAGACTCCTGAGCCCAGGTTTCTGGGACAAGAGTGTGTCCAGGCTGGTCTGACCCACTAAGTGGAGAGGCCATCCAGGCTTTGGAACTGAAGACCTGGGACTCAGACAAGTGTGCAGTTTCTAACTTGTGATTGGTGACCTGCCTTAGCTTATATCTATGTCCCTGGGTCATATGTGTAGATCTCTGTCCATCCTCAGAAGCCGGGCAGGGTGCAGCAGTCATGGCAGAAAGGGGTGGAGATTAGGGGAATGCTGGCCGCCTCTGCTCATCAGGTCATGCTGACATTTTGCGTTCACAGGGAGTAGAACCGTTCCATATTAAGATGGATTAAAGACAAACATAAGACCTAAAACCATAAAAACACTAGAAGAAGACCTAGGCAATACCATTCAGGAGATAGGCATGGGCAAAGACTTCATGACTAAAACACCAAAAAGCAACGGCAACAAAAGCCAAAGTTGACAAATGGGATCCAATTAAACTAAAGAACTTCTGCACAGCAATAGAAACTATCATCAGAGTGAACAGGAAACCTACAGAATGGGAGAAAATATTTGCAATCTATCCATCTGACAAAGGACTAATATCCAGAATCTACAAAGAACTTAAATAAATTTACAAGGAAAAACCCCATCAAAAAGTGGGTGAAGACATTTATTTGGAACAGACACTTCTCAAAAGAAGACATTTATTTGGCCAAGAAACATATTTAAAAAAGCTCATCATCACTGGTCATTAGAGAAATGCAAATCAAAACCACAATGAGATACCATCTCACACCAGTTAGAATGGTTATCATTAAAAAGTCAGGAAACAGCAGATGCTGGAGAGGATGTGGAGAAATAGGAATGCTCTTACACTGTTGGTAGGAATGTAAATTAGTTTAGCCGTTGTGGAAGGCAGTGTGACTGTTCCTCAAGGATCTAGAACAAGAAATATCGTTTGACCCAGCATTCCCATTACTGGGCCCAAAGGATTATAAATCATTCTACTATAAAGACATATGCACACGTATGTTTATTGCAGCACTATTTACAATAGCAAAGACTTGGAACCAACCCAAATGCCCATCAATGATAAACTGGATAAAGAAAATGTGGCACATATACACCATGGAATGCTATGCAGCCATAAAAAAGGATGAGTTCATGTCCTTTGCAGGGACATGGATGAAGCTGGAAACCATCATTCTCAGCAAACTAACACAGGAACAGAAAATCAAACACCACATGTTCTCACTCATAAGTGGGAATTGAACAATGAGAATGCATGGACACAGGGAGGGGAACATCACACACTGGGGCCTGTTGAGGGGTGGGGGGTTAGGGGAAAGATAGCATTAGGAGAAATACCTAACATAGATGATGGGTTGATGGGTGCAGCAAACCACCATGGGACATGTATACCTATGTAACAAACCTGCACATTCTGCACATGTATCCCAGAACTTAAAGTATAATAAAAAATAAAAAGAAAAAAAGACTAAAAAAAAAAAAAGAAAAAAGAAAGAGACACTGAGAACAGAAGTGTGTGGAAGATGCAGCCAATTCATTTTTGAGCACATGAATGTGACACTCACATCTTGGCCTTTACAAGCAAATGCCCGAAGACAATGGCTGGAGTGGAAGCTGGGCTGCTGGTCACAGGTAATGGTGATGACACCATTTGGACCAACACAGAGGCCAGGGAGGGCAGCGAGACCAGATCAGAAGCAGCCCTGAGAAGTAGAAGTCCAGGAGCTGGGAGAACCCATGGAGGCTCTGCAATGACTGCGGCCTCTGGCGTGAGAGCTTCTCCGGATGAGAACCCTGGCTTCAGCACCACAGCCCACAACTGTTCAGAAGAATGTTTACACCCACACCTGCTGGGGAAATGTCAGGGCCTTGGCAGATTGCTGCTTAGAGATTCCTGCAATCAGAGTGCTTCCCTCCCCACACTGCTTCTCTAGATGTTCTTATAGGATCTTCACTGCTCCTTATTCTTCCTCTCCCTCCACGTGTGCTGCCGGCCTATGCCATGCGAGGTCCTATTCCAGACTCAGGGTGCGGCAGTGACCAGGTAAGTCCCTGAACCTGCCTTCTCGGACTTTTTAATCTAGGCAGAGACACCTTCCAAAAAGACAGGGAAATGAATGTACCAGTATGAAGTTTTAGATCAGGATCACCCCTCTGAAACCAATAAATAAGGTGTTATGTTATATACACACTTATCTGAAGGCCCGTGTATCACAGGAGACCTTTTAGCCTTGAAGACTGAAGAACTGCCCACTAAATCAGTTTATTTAATGTGCTACTAAGATACTATGGAGGGTGTGGACTGCTGGACCAAAATGGCTTCATATCATTGGCAGTCTCTGCATTACTACAAAAGGAAAGGCCCTGGCAATGCTGGGGAGGGGACAGACGACTCTTCTATAAACAAACAAATTTGGGGATTTTTATGGCAAAACAAATGTGTGTATTTACATATACACATTAAACAAATAGAATTATTTACAGGTATTTTTAATCCTAATACACAGTATGATCCTTTAGAACTTAACTATCTCTAATTGATTGTTTTGTTTTTTCTTTGTTTTTGTTTGTTTGTTTGTTTGTTTTTGTTTTTTTTTTTTTTGAGACCTAGTCTTGCTCTGCCCAGGCTGGAATGTGGCGGTGCAATCTCCACTCATTGAAACCTCCACCTCCCGGGTTCAAGCGATTCTCATGCCTCAGCCTCCTTAGTAGCTGGGACTACAGGCACCTGCCACCATGCCCGGCTAATTTTGTACTTTTAGTAGAGATGAGGTTTTGCCATGTTGGCCAGGCTGGTCTCGAACTCCTGAGCTCAAGTGATCCTCCCCTCTTGACCTCTCAAAGTGCTGGGATTACAGGCATGAGCCATCATGCCCAGCCTTTCTAATTGAGTTTTAAAGCCACAATAATATGCTGGCAAAGGCCCTTTATATAGTTTTATTGGGGAAGGAGTAACAAACACTTGTTTAATGATGACTTCATGAGTAACGCAACTCACATATGACTGGGGTGTTCACTTTGAGCTCTGGGGTGCAGTTGGTGCTCTTTCTGTAGCATCTCAAGGTAAAACAAATGAACCATCAGCAATTTCTGTTATACCCTTCCACCCCCAGCCCCTCCCACCCAGGAAGCCCAGAAACCCCCTGGGCACTTATATACTTCCAAATGTCCCTAGGGCCAGGGATCAGTTTCTGCCCCCCGGGTAGGGACCTCACAGCCCACCAAGAGCAAGTGCACTGTGCTCCCCAGGGAGGCTCACTCAGCATGCTGCACAGGTGCAGAGGTGTCCAGGAGCCTCAGCTGGTGCATGGTGGTCACTGCTGAGCCATGACTATACTGCTGATGCTGGGTGCACCCCATCTCGGCCCTCTTGCCGTGGTCTGGAGCCTTGAGTGGGAGCTCCCAATCACTATGACACCAGGGACTGTGCAGGCTGGGGCAGGGGCACTCATCCAGGCAGTCTAAGAAGGAGGGCTCCCCCACAGCTGGACCCAACCTCCCCCTCTTGTGGTCCCCCACAGCCTCTGCTCCTCCAGGCCTTGAAGGCTGTGTAGAGGACAAAGCACCCCTCCCCTGAGCTTAATGTGCAGGAAAGATGGCTCACAATGTCACCATGCTTTGGATCATTCAGAGCCATCATTTTTAGGAGCGGGCTGACCCAGGAGGCAGACCATGAGAAGCCCCCAAGCTTACTGCCTGGCCGTCTCTGCCGCTGGCCTGCCTTCCCCAGAGCTTTCTAACCTCAGGGCTTCATGGCCTCCACGCACTTGGATTTGCCTAGGGCAACCCTAGGCCATCAGGGTTACTAAACATGTCTCCCCAACACATGCCCGCACTTTGGATCCAAGGGGAGCTGGGCAAGGGGTGCTGTCCCTGTCATCTCTAAGGGGTGCTGTCCCTTCCATCTCTAAGCTCCTAGGTGCTGCACATTCCCTTCCCATTCCCAAGCAAGCTGCCAGCTTTGCACAGGAGTCTCTTGATAGAGAATAAAGCATTAAAGGCCTGACTTAGCAAACTTCCCCACTAAAATTAGAATTGTTCTATTTTGTTGTATTTATCTTTTGGCTATTTTTCCTCAAGAACCTTCATTATGCTCCTTAAAAAGCCAATAGGAATTAGAAGAGTTATAGAGTTCCAGAGCCTGGGAATGTATGGGGAGCTCAGCAAGCATGGGTTCAGGCCGCCCTCCCTGACTGGGGCACCATGCCACCACGCGGTGCTGACAGCAGCCTGTAGCCTGAAGCGCCTCGGGCCACGCTTAGGAAGGCCACCCAGCCATTCATGGTGTTCGTACGGACACATTGGACCATTTTAATGCCAGTGAGTGTGGCCAGATTTACTGCCTGGGGGCTGGGGGTGAAGCCAGCAGCCTTGAGCATTCTATTGAACACACCCTTGGTATCCACCCAGAAATTCCCAACAACTCCCAGTGGAGATGCAGGACAACAGTGCGTGTGGAAGTGCCATGCAAACTGCAGCCCTAACTAAATGTGAGCAACAGTGATCCGTTACTATTACTGATCATTCCTTGGGAGGTCAGGGCTGTCTCCTAAACAGTGTGCCTCTCTAGAAAGCTAGTAGATTGGAGATTCAGAGGCACACTTGGCTGTCTGAAGACATGTAGCCCTGGCTCTCCGTGCCACTTCCCGTGCTTCCTAGGTGAGCTTTGTAATGTTTCTCATCTCAGTTTCCCAGCTGGGAAGCAAGAATGCTCACCGTCCTCACCCTCATCACCTGCCATTGTTAACATTGGCCACCTGTTCACTCTGGGCCACACTCTGCTCTCAAGGACCCTTGCAGATGGAGCCATCCAGGCTCCCCAGAGCCCTCTGGATGGTGCTGTGTTCCCTTATTCCCATTCCACAGATGATGAAGCAGAGAGGTGAACACTGCTCAGGATGACATGGGAGGTACAAGTGCGAGGCTTGGGGGCCCACCTGGCTCAGAAAGAGCTCAGCTTTTTTTGTAATCTCCACACTCACCAGAGCTGCTCCTGCTTGGTCCACCTGAGGGCCAGCTTTGGAGAAGAGAAGGAGGGTAGAGAGCAACATGCACCTCAGCCTAGGTTTGTCCAGCCCAGCAGAAACCACTGTGCCTAGCCTCCTGGCTTCTGACTTGTGCCGTTTCCCCTCCTCCCATGCCTTTTTCATACATACACCCCTCTCTCACACACACCCCTCTCGCATGCACACACGCACAGACACACACAGAGAGCCCAGCATCCCCACCCTACACTGGTTTTAGTGCTCCTCCTCTGTGCTTCCAGGCCTCTGTGCGTCTCTCTTGTAGAGCGAACCCCGAGACCAGCTGCTGTGCTCTGGGCATGTCTAGAAGTCCATGCCTAGCACAAGGATCTTCTCCTCCTACAGGAGATGCCTATAATGATATTTGACTTAAATTAACTGGTCCTTAGGAGGAAAATAAAAGGGATGTAGTTTGGATTCTGCATATCTATTCACTGATTAGCAAGATGCACTCTGAGCAGTGGGACTGTGTGCGTGTGCCATGTAGCTTTTCATTTATTTATTTTCAAAGTGGTGGTATTCTTTCTAGGAAATACAACCAGAAAAACAATGACAGGAAATATTTGCAAATTACTTGACAAATATAATATTAGGAGAATTGCTATTGGCAATATGAGTGAAGGGATGAGGTGCATTGCTATGGAAACTAAAGGAAATGCAAAGTTAATATTGGCCAATCATACAAAGTCAGAGTCCTCCAATAAAAGGCCGTGACTCATTCCACTGCATTTGTCATCTAAAAAAAAAAGACAATTCTCTTATTTTCCTTGTTTCTCTCACTGTCTCTCCATTGTATTAAAGTCGGGCATTTCCATTTGAGCCAATGCAGTTAGTTGGACCAGCATTGCTGAATAACTCCCATGTACCCAATGCCAGACCAGGCTCTGGGGCACGTAGAGACAAGTAAAACAGAAGGTCACTGCCCCTCCTGTTGGTGGACACTATCCTTTCCCTACCTGCACAATTGCCCATCCGCTTGCCCCTGAACAGAACTCCAGGTTGGCCCACACATACAATGACTGTAGGCTTGGGGGAGCAGAGGCTATCTAAGCCCAGAGAGGGCATCTGGGTTGGTGTAAACTGCATATGGTGTCATTATTGCCTATGCTAAAGAATGAGTTAGGTCTAGGTTTCTGGGTTCATAACTTAATCACAGCCACTGTTCCCTGTTGAAGAGTCAACTAGGCTTCGGTGAAAAGTTTTCCTCACTTGTAATACCAGAGGCACAAGAGAAAATGTTTCCTTTTTTGGTTGCTTCACCACATCTGCAAGTGGCTTTCAGGTTTGGTGACATTGGAGAGGAACATCACCTGCCTGTTAGTAAGGCAGGGCAGAGAGACACAAAAGGCCTCTTAGAGACCTTTAGAGACATTGCTCCATTGACCAACTTTGGACCTTATCCCACTGTCTTTAGGCGAGATGAGACTGTCATTGTATATGCTGCTTTAGTGGGGTTTTCTACAGCTCGTGATTGAAAATATACCCTACGATCAAACATATCTACCTTGGAGAAAAGTGCGTTATCCTCCAAGGATCTACCCAATGTAGCAGAACAATTCAAAGTGGCCAGAATATCACATTTCCATCATCAAATCAAGTTCTAGTTTAAAAGCTTCCCCCAGTGGATAGTTTCTTTGCTACTTTTCTGCATTTCAAAACACCTGTGCATATTCCTAACATATCCCTTAACATTATGCCTTGCTATACTTCTTCATACGTATTTCTTCCACTTAGACCAGGCTATCAGCTTCTTATCATCTGGGAAAATTTTTTTCTCTATTTGACTTTGAATTCCTAGGGTTGTTTCTAATGCCATCATATATACTTAGTAAATATTTGTTGGTAGATTTGATGCACTCATAAAATGCATGTTTATAGATAGGTCCTCTAAAAATAATATTTATTAGGTTTTCTGTTAACTGACTGCACTTAAGATACTTACATACATCTCTGCAGCTGGTCTGTCCCTTTCCTGATCCTTTGGCCAGAGAGAGCAGCCTTTTTGGTTTGATGTTCTTGCCCACACCTGCTAGCAGTTCCAGCTTGCAGGACTCACTGGAGCATAGTCTGGCATGTACAGGAAAGTTTTAAAAAGCCAAGGGACCCACCGCAGTGTTGATCCTCGAGCCTTAAGGTCTGCAGCACTCTACCTTCTTCTCTTTATCTTTCAGAGACCTTTCATATTTGCCTACTTACTTATTCCCAGGGATTTTCACAGTGCTTAGAGGAAGAACTGTGGAAAAGGCATCTCCATCATCTTGTCCCAGGACATACAAATATTCATTTTTACACTTTTTTTATTTTATCCTCATGAATATTAGAAACTAAGTAATCAAAGAAATGACTAATCTTGAAAAAATAAAACGAGAGCACTTTGGCTTCTTCCTCCCCTCCCCATGGGGAAGAGAAGACATGTCCCCCTCTCTAGCCAAGTCGGGGTCCAGTAGGCAGCACTTAGGAGACCTGGGGGTCCGAGAAATGAGTGTCCCGCCTCCTTGGCTAGGGACTGCGGTGATTCGCAGGTGCATGGCTTGTGTGTGTGTTGGTGTTAGTGGGGATGATTTGTTAATAGTGGAGGTTAGGAATGAAATGTTAGGGAGGGTTGGGAAACAGGATCTAACCAAAACCAAGTAAATTTAAGTCATTGTCTCTGGGTTTTATTCTCTGATGAGTGGCCCCACCCTCCCTGTCTGGGCTGGAGCCCACTCCGTCAGCACCCCGAGGGTAAAGAAAGGGCAGACCCTTTTCATGTGTGTGTCTCCACACCCGCACACCCTGCCAGAACACAGCAGGGCCCCTTGCACATGCTGCCTTGCTAGAGTGGAAGTGTCTGCTGAGCTTCTGCAGTAGAACACATGCGGTCCTTCCAAAGGGGCTGTCAGAGCACATGTGGGCCTTAGGAAGAGCTCTGGTTAGGCGACCCTGGAAGCCACTCATTCACATAGAGAGGATACAAGGTCAGATCGTCTGGGATTACAGCCACCTTCTGTAAAGGATTTTTTATTTGAGAGAGCTTCTGGAGTATGTGAGTCCCATTCCCCACGCAGACAAAAAGGATTAAAATAGAAAATCAGGTTTCCTTTGACCCTTTCTAACAGGCCGTTGTGGGTGAGGGTGCAGGTGAACATGTCTCAGTGAAGATGCTGGAAATGCATCCTGTGAGCAGCAGGAGCTGAAAATGAAGTGAGCAAACAGAAAGCACACCCGTGGGTTCCAGTGTGGACTCATGTGGGTCAAGGACACCCCACACCAGACGCCAGTGTCAGTGAGGTGGCAGTAGAGTCCGAATGAGAGCTTCAAGGAGAGACTCCACTTAAATATCTTCCAGGCACAGAGCACAAGGCCAATTTCCACTATGGCACTCAGGAAAGAGCATCCCTGCCTCCTTTCCTTCCCCTCTCCACACCCCTTTCTCAGCAAGGTGGTGGGTGAAGGTGAGGGGAAGGAGAGGCAAACGGGACCGAAATGGGACCATGCCTCGCCCCAGGACCTAGGATGGCAGGATGCCCCTCTGCAACCCTCCTGAGAGGGAACTGAGAAGGCGCCTTATTTTAAAATAGAGTTATAAGTTTTGATTAATACAGGAGATTGTAAATTTTTAGTTACTGAAATAGACAGCGTCAGCCAACTTGCAGTGACTGTGAGGAATCTCATTAACAAAGAGTGACAGGAATAGCTCAGGCCCTCCCAGTGGTGGCAAAGGAAACGGCTCCACTGCATGAGGATAAAGGGGAAGCAAGAGAAGCAAATCACCTTCCCTTTTGATCACAACCACTTCGCTGCATCTTGTGCCATTTACTGAGGGTCTGCCATGTGTAGGTGGCACATTCAGAACCTTTGGGGAGACATGTCACTGTCTCCTGGGAACCTTTATTTCTGATGGCTGTTGTCCCCACTTCATGGGAGTCAACAGGCCCCAGACATCATGCAACTCTCCGGAGACCTCACAGGTAGGAAGCGGCAAAGCAGCACTTCAGACTCAGGTCTGCTTAGCTCCAGAGCTCGTGCTGTTTCTACCAAGTGCGTAGGCAGCCCTTCTCTTGAACGTCTTCTACTTGCCATGGAAGGTGCTGGAGACACCATGCTGAGAAGAATTCCCATGTCTTCTGCCTTCTCATGGAGCCTGTAGATTAGTGGACAAGTGAGACATTCACAGGATACTCACAAATACACTTATTTGTATGTAGTGCCTGATCACCAAAGAAGATGAGTGCTTCAGAGGAAAGCAAGGGGTCGAGGGCAGCATGGGAAGAGGCTAGCTGTGAGTCAGATGCGGGAATGAGAAGATAATTAGGTAGGAGGAGAAAGAGAAAGAAGGGCAGGCAGTGGGAGCAGTGCACACAACACTGCTAAAAGGGAAGAGGTTCAGGTCTTGAAGTCAGGGACTGGAGTGGCAAGAAGGTGCTGGAGGCTGGAGCAGAGGGAGGAAGAAAGAGTGACGTGATGAAGGCCAATCAGCAAAGGTGGTGGAGGGCGGTCTGCAGGGGCCACTGCATGGGGCATTGTGGTTCATGGCAAGAAGTGTTGTCTTCACCTTAAGAGCCAGGTACTTCCTTCCCATCCTGTAACTGAGACCTTGGGTCTGCCTGGTCATTGGATCCACGGGTTCCTTTTTAGGTAGGGGTGAGGTTCACACTGGGGAGCCAAGTGTCATGTTGATCGCCTGCTAGCTGTGTGACCCCCAACCTTGTGTCTCCTCACTTTAATAAAGGAATAATCATGGTGCCTATTTCACAGAGTCATTTGAGCAATGAATAAGTGGGCTGCTCTCACTGTTGGCTTCCAGGGAACTAGTGTGTGACTATTCTAAACCATGGGGGCTATAACGGCTAGAGTTTGGGGTGAGAAGCTTTCCCCCTTACCTTCATAATTAGAGAATAAATTTCTGAGCAGTTTCATCTGCCTCTGTCCTCACTAAGTGAAATACAAACTTCCCTCCAGGCCACTCCGTCCTGCCATGAAATGAGCATGCTAAACATAGTGATTTAGCAAATAAGAAAACCAAATGTATTAATCATACACAAGGCTGCCTAACCAGAGAAAGGATGAGAACACATGAAATGAATAGAAGCCCAGACATTTGTTTCAAGGGGTGGTTGGAAGAAGAGCAGGGGGAGGGGTAACATTTTACATTAACCAACGGTGGAGAACAGTAGCATTGCATCACTCTGACAGCATGTGGACACAAAGATGTGGGTGGGGTGGGGGGCTCTTTCAAAACATGCTAAATTCTAAAATTAAGTCCAAGGTAGTAAAAGCAATCTGGAGGAATCAAGTTAGGAAGACCACAGAAGGGAGATACATGGGCATAATTCCATTATTTTCCATCCAGCTGGATTCATTAATAATATGACTAAAACTTGCATTAATCAAAAGCACAGGTGTTCTAGTACCTGTGTTTTGTGTTTTGGATGTCCAGTATGCAATGGAAAAGCAGATTTTTGTGGAACATGCAAATACCTAATTTTTCACCTAAATTTTCACCACTGCTTAGAAGAGTGACAAAATCAGTTTTTTTCTGAGCATAAATTTCTCTTAACATAAAATATAACTTATAATACGTATTTATAGAATTGTTGATTAAAAGGAGATGGGCATCTGGTCGAATTCTAGTGTTGGACTCTGACAAACCCAGTGGGCATGGGTTGGGCTATGATGTGTGCTACCAGCACTGCTTAAGATGGGGCCAAGCACAGACGCGGGGCGGAGACCCAAGGCAGAGAAAAGCCTCTCCCTGGCATGCTGCGCCCCTGGCCCTCAACATCCCTGTCACACTTCTCTCACTGGGTCCCCAGATTGACCTGGAATTCCTGCATGTCTGTTTCCACGTATGAGGACCGTGATCGATTCCTGTCTCTATTACCAAGTCCATGGCACAGAATCTACCATAGAGCACGGGCTCAGGACATTGTTATTGAACTGAAGTGCAGTCCCCAGTGTGAAATCTGAGGGCTATGACTAAATCTCTTATAGGAAACTGGACAGGACCTTGAATTTAGACAGAAAAGCACCCAGGTTAGTCAGGAGGGAAAACCCATGTGTGGCTTTGGTGGCCTGTGGGAAGCTATCAGGCAGTTTATTAGCAGATGTGTGCATGCCCTGCAGATAATGATCTGTCTCTTAAAACTTCTCACAGACTTACACTTTCAAATAGAATGGAGTAACAGAAACTGGGTTTGTCCTCCTGTGCAGAAAATTAAAAAATAAAAAACACTAGAACAAACATATCAAACAGTGGTCTCCAAGACAATGGGCATTAGACAAGGAAACCTGGATCATACAGTGTAGTAGGTACATGTTTAGCTTTTTATGAAACTGCCAAACTGTTTCTGACAGTGGTTGTACCACTGTCTTTCCTTTTCTTATTCTCTTTTTACATGTCCACCAGCAGTATATTAGAATTTCAGGGGCCGGGCGCGGTGGCTCACACCTATAATCTCAGCACTTTGGGAGGCTGAGGTGGGCGGATCATGAGGTCAGGAGATTGAGACCATCCTGGCTAACACAGTGAAACCCCATCTCTACTAAAAATACAAAATACAAACAACAACAACAACAACCACAACAAAAAACATTAGCCGGGCTTGGTGGTGGGTGCCTGTAGTCCCAGCTAATTGGGAGGTTAAGGCAGGAGAATGGCATGAACCTAGGAGGCGGAGCTTGTGGTGAGGCAAGATGATGCCACTGCACTCCAGACTGGGAGGACAGAACGAGACTCCATCTCAAAAAAAAAAAAAAAAAAAAAATTCAGGACCTTCACATCCTCTCCAGCACTGGTTTGGTTGGATTTTTTCATTTAATCCTATTAATGGGTCAGTACAGACACCTTATTGTGGTTTTAATTAGCATTTTCCTAATAGGTTATGCCCTTACATCACTAAAAACATGTTTGCTTAACCCAAGGTTACAAAGTGTTTCTCCTTTGTTGTCTTTTAGGAGTTTTATAGTTTAGGTTTCACTTTAGGTCTATGATTCACTTTGAGTTAGATTACGTATGTGATGTGAGGTATGGGTCCTTTTGATATATTGTTGAATTCCATTTGATAAAATTTTGTTTGGAATTTTGGACTCTATAATCATGAGGGATATCATTTTATAGTTTTTATGTTTTCAAAACAAAATTTTTTGTTATAGTAGAAAAACGATCTTTCTTGTTTTTACATCCTATTTCTTGAAGATAATAATTTAAGTCTAAAACCGTCAATTCAGGTAAAATGAAGTTTCTCATATTACTGCAACTTCTATTTTAATTTGTTATTCTCCAGAGTGAGCTCTGCTAGTGAGGAGAGGAAAGCCAACTGTAGTTTTACCATAGCTTACTATACAGCATATTTAAATTTGTAAATACAATGAATGCAGGTGTATACTCTGAACTATGTTCCTGTAATTGAGGCTAGGTGTGCTGATGTCATTGAGCTAGGTGTGCTAGAATTCACAATTTTTTTCACCGCTTCTGATGGAAGGCACAGCAGGAAATCTAGATTACCTCCCTCCAGCACTCCAGCTTACAAACTAAATCTTCAGGTTTGAGTGACGAGTGTTGATGCTACAATGATGTGCTTAGAGCAGGACGGACGCTGCATTCCAGCCAGAGCAGCAGTGGAAACAGAAAATGGAGAGTCAGATGAGCAGCTTACCTAGAAGCTGGTCTTCCATCTACAGCATTTTAAAGGGAAGAGGGAAAAATCCATGAAGCCAGCACACTGTAGATGAACCAAATCTAAAATTAAGCCTTGGTGAGTGCCATCTTTTGATGGTTAAGGTAATGAGGAGAGGCATTCGAGTTATACTTTTCTTGTCCTGGATGCTATCTTTGGAGTTGATGACTGTCTCTGCTTCAGGGAAAGTAACCAGCCAGGAAAATAGCACTTTCAGGTCCCATTCCAGGGGATGCATGATGCAGTAGAAAGAGCATGAGATGTGGAGTCAGTATCCTACTTGCCAGTGGCATTGGGCAAGCAACTTTAGCACTCCAACTCCACACCACTCTTCTCATCTGAGGACTGGAAACAATTCTCCTACCTCACTAGACTGGGCTTGGCATGCAGCTAGGCTTCAAAGCCACTGCCTTTGTCCATAGAGCTGAGTGGCCACCACATGCACCTGCCCCTCCCCATTATGAGTCTTCATAAGGCTTGCTAGCACCTGTCTGCGCCTTCCTGACACTGTGTAGGAGCAGCCCCAGGTGAGCTGATCCATCTGTCAGCCACTTTGTGCAGCAGGGAGGCTCTGGCCTGCATGGCTTGTCCCTTCCTGCTGGTCCAAGCGTTGAGGCCTGCTCCTGAGCTGGCGCCTGTGGGGATGCTGAGAAGGAGCTCCACCAACTCTTGACTCAATGCTGCCCGTCATTTTTATGAGCACTTCAGGAGCCAAATTCTGGCTGAAGGGAAAAGAAAACATATATTTTTATATATCTTTACCCCAGAAATAAGTAAATCAACCTTTCCTCTTTTTGAATAGCATGAAAAATTTTTTTGCTTTAGTGGAAACTTTGTAATAGCTGTCTTGGCTTTTTGCCATCAGCAGATGTTTATAAGCTAAGGTCTCAGACAGAGATAAATTGATTACTTTTTTTCTTACTTCAAAGCCTCACAAAAGATAGCGTGCCTGAGAGTTTACTGGGAAAACAGGGTTTGTCACTATTTCTAAAATTGTATTATTTTATGACTAACAGTTTAAAGCCATGAGTAATAGTTTTTTATGTTTCATTGACTGCTTTTGACCATACTAATTATATTGTAAACAGAGGCTGAGATCCTCGGAAAATAGCAACTTTATGTTATTTCAAGGTAAAGGACTTGTTCAGCATCATTTGAGCATGACTCCATTCCTCTGTGCAAGGAAAAGCAAAACAAGCCTTTCATGGAAGGCCCTGCACACTCATTTTATTTTTACATATATTAAGGCTCATATTTGCAGCACTAGGAGGCAGAGGTTTCCATCTATAGATACACAAAGCAGACAGCAGTGTGTGTGTGTTTGTGTGTGTATGTGTGCGTCTGTGTGTGTGTGGTGGGGGTGATGCGGGGGGCAGGTGCCAGCTTTCAGGGAGCCTCTCTAAAAGCTGTGTGAGCTTGTTCCAGCCCACCTTGGAAGTGCGCGCAGATCTTATACTGCTGCCATACCTGCAAGGCCTACCCTGGACTCTCATGGCAGTTGTGAGGTCCCATACGATGAGCCACAGCAGGTCTCTATCTTCTTTATTGTGATATCACCATGGGGCCCACAAGCCAGAAGATAAAAGCACGGTCCTTGACCTGTTACTCTCACCCCCAGGCCCAGAGGGCAGTGTTTGTATTCCATCCCTATGCCCTGCTCTGGGATTCTGCATGGGTTTCTTCCCGTCTTTACTTATTGCCCTGACTGTCCTCACTAGGGTAGGAAGCATGGACCCAGGCTGTGCTCAGAGGCATGCACTGGCCCCCACGTCCCCTCCACCAGTCCCATAGAGGCCAAGGTCCTGTGCATGGAAAAGAGTATCCCGGGATTCAGCTCTTCTCCCTCCATGATGCCCAGCTGTCATCAGATGTGAACCTCAGGTCTTTCCATCAGGGTGCACTGTAGGGCTCAACCCTTTGACTTTCCATTGAATGGGAGGGGGCGTGGTCTCGCCTCTGCATTGGTGCTCCCCTTCCACAGTGCATAACTGTGGCCAGCTGGGGCTGCTGGCCAAGCACTGGCCTCCTGGCTCTCTGCATCAGGCATGACCACATGGCTGGGTCTTGCCGATGGGGCACCTGTAGAGATGCTGTACATCACTTTCCAGCTGAGGGTGCCAAGCATTGGGTAAGAGGAACCCTCCATCCATTCGTCTTCCCCCATCAGCAGCTGGGTGATGCCAAGAGAACTTAAAAGCCGCAAAATGGCAAGGCCACAGGGGATGCAGCCTGTGGGAGGACTGTCTGTCCAGGAGCAGCCACTGTGGACTTTGCCTGAGTGAGGGAGAAGTTGTATTAGATTAAGTCGCTGAGATTTGTCAGCAGCTTTATATGGCAGGTAGTACAAACAAACTTGGAGAATGCATGGCCAGGTGGATGTGAACTGAGTCCTGACTGCCACACAGGCTTCCATGCTGCAAGCTACTGAACACCTCTGAGCATATACAACCAGAGCACAATGGGGATTTGTGAAAATGATATACAAACTGAGTTTTCTGATTAGACTGAGATGAGAATGGGATGTATTGGCTGCACAATCTGAAGAAACTTCAACACGGAGGCCATGGACAGAGCTATGGGGCTCTCCTCCAGTGCTCCTGGCCTGAGGTGGCAGTGTCAGGCAGGTGTCTCCATGTCACAGCTCAGCCTTGCACGTTCGTTGTCTCCAGGTGCCACCTTACTTTCCTTTACTGATGATCAGCTTTCTCTACATGGCCACATTTGTAAAATCAGAGCTGCCAACAACACCCATGTGTTTTACATCTCACAACTTCCTGATCAAGTAGGATCCATCCATTTGCTTTCAAGTTCCCAAGTTTGAAATGGCAGGACAGGGGTTAGGGGCAGGGCCTGTGTTCAGAGCAGTCAGCTGCAGTAGGCAGGGTGGGCAGCAGGTGCTGGGCTGTGTCGTGAAGAGTAGCTCTCTCCTGGCAACGCTAAATGCCCAAGACACAAGGCTGACCCACAGACCTCTCAGCAGGACAAGAAAACAGTAGTCTCAGCTGCATGCAAGCTCTCCTTCAGCCCTGAAAGACTTGCAAGACCTGGATTTCCAACTGCCTAACAGGCCTCACCATGACCTGTCTGAAGTTGGGTTTTGGTGGCCCCAACCCACCGGCCTCCCTGGGTCCCTGTGGTTGCCAAAGGTGGCACCTCTCAGCCATTCAGGCTCAAAGCCAGTCAAAGGTGGCACCTCTCGGCCACCCAAGCTCAAACCCAAGCTCTGGCCAGTCCCCAAGTCTTCCTGTTCTCTGACCAGTCCACGGGGTTTCCACACACACTCAGCAGCCAGCTGCTCTGGCTGCCCCCTTCCTCGGAACGCTCATCCTGCACTGTTGTCTCACTCCCCTTCTCCCCCACAATCAGTTCTGCACAGAGTGCTCCAGGAAGCCCCACATCCTGCTAGGCCACCTGGGACCTGGCTGTGCGCGTCAATGCCGTGGGTTCCTTTTGCAAGCCTGTCTGCTTCCGGACTGGACTGTGTCTTCCTAAAGGCTTTGTGGGCCAGTAGCTATCCCCTTGTGGCTGCATTTAACTATCAGTGTGGCAGGTGCTCTGAAATGCATGTTAGGCTGGATTCAGTTCTGGGAGAAGAGCATGAGAGGCATCCAAATCATCCACTCTACTGTTCCTCCTCACCTATGGCTCCCTTTGGCTCTGCTGGTCAGAAAGGTTCCTTTCTGCTCGCTTAGCCCTACTGTGGCCTCACAGCCCCCAAGTCCCCCACACCCACCAGAGCTCAGCCCTCCAGAGCCTGGGGTACTCTGTAATTTTGAGGTTTTACTGGACCTCTGTGGAATGTGCCTGGCCTCAGCATGTCCACAGCACAGCATAGGGATGGGGGAGGTGCACAAGGGGCAGTTCACTGGAGGGAGCTAAAGTGACTTGTTCCTAAGACGACAAACCTTGAATACAGGAGGCAGCATGGTGTAATAGCAAAGAGCCTGGGATTTGGGAAATTTCACTGGGAAGTGTCCCTTCCAGCCAAGTGCCACTGAGGGACACACTGGCTGTGCCAGCTGCTACATCTGTCAGAAGAGGTTAATAAGAGGGACTGGGCACCATGCAGATAAGTAGCTTCGCAGCTGCAGAAGCAGCACCAGGGCCTGAGGTAGAGGGAGATGCAAGGACTGCTGGATAGCATCATGACTGCCCCAGGTGATCCTTCTTAGCAGAATCAGGAGTATGAGTGTCCTATTAAAGCTGAGCAAATGCGGTGTTAATGATTCAATAATTTGCCTTTATAAAGGATAATAAAACCACGAATATATGCATCAGGTTCATTCCAAATGCTCTACATAAATAGATTAATTTTCAGAACTCTCCTAGAAGTAGGGCTACCAGTATCCCTATTTTACAAAGAAACTGTCAACAGAGGTTAAGTGACTTGCCCAAGGTCACCCAGCTTCGCCAGGCAGGATGGAATTTGAGCCCAAACACACAGCTCCTGACGCAGTGATCCTGAGTGGAAGGCAGTGTGCACTGCCTCTCCTTGCAGGCATGTAGCTGAGGAGCAGTTGGCTCACCGCACAGCCTGGGTGTGTGGGAGGCTATGCCAGCTGGGTGTGTGTAGGTGCCCTCTATGATGTTCACACAGTGATGATGAGATGGCGTAAGGATGCAATTCTCAGAATTTTGCATCCCTGTCTCTAAGCGACGCAGACTATTTTGTTTTGTTTTGTTTTTCTTTAATGGTAAGTGTGTGTGTGTTCAGTGTTTAAAAGCATAATGAAAACATGATACTCGTCATGCCTTCCTGGGCCTCGCATGTCCAACCCTCAGCCCTGTGTTCAGCCTTGTCTCCTAGAAGGCAAGCAGAGTTCCCTGACCGGGCCCCTGAATTGTCATGGGAAAGAAGAGAGCTTCAGAATGGAGCAGGCTCTGGCCCAAATTTGCTCAGCCTCACATTCTCTGTGTGACCTTGGGCGAGTCACTTAGCATTTCCATATTTCAGCTTCTTCAGTTCAAAAATAGAGCTAGAATTGCCTACCCTGCAGGGCTGCTATGATAATTAAACAGTTGAAAGTGTGTCACAGGCTTAGCACCGTGCTGAGAATTCAGCCTCATACCCCACAGATGCTGTCAAGAGCTGTTGGTTTAGGCACCAGCCATGCGTATTTCTTGAGGACACGTTGCCTTTGCTGCCCCAAATGTCCTTCCAACACCTGCACCTGGAGGATGTGCCCATGAGGCTGCCCATGTGTGCACCTTTGCGTAATCTAGGGCTTGGAGGGGCTTGCCCCAGGAGGGTGGCACTGTCTCTCCAGCATTAACAGAGACTCAGATATATCCTCTGTGCCAGCAGGATTCCAGTGGATCCAAGGTCAGCTCAGGCCGTCGGGTGCAGGAGGCAGAGCTCTGGTGGCCACATGGATGAATGACGGTGAGGATCACGGTCCACCACACAGATGGCAGAGGCTATTACCCCCCAACTTTTTATTCTGCCCTGCCTCGGAGGCAGTCACTTCTTGATTTTTTTCTCGGTGCTGTGGCTCCCCACCCATTGCAGGCGACTCACACTCCTGGAGGCAGCGTCAGAAGGGGCGGGGCAGGACACTCCGGAAGCTCCCCTCACACCTGGTGCTCTCCTGGAATGCCTTCGCTGGATTTTAAAGTGTTCCGCCAGGCCATAGTCAGCCATCATCCACCTGCATGGACAGATTCAAGGCAGCTCCACCTACCCCAAACTTTCACCATCCACCCGCGTGAGGTCAGCCTGGCAGGGTAAACTGCCCACAGCTCCCACATGTTGTCACATCACCTCTGGTCCTGCCCTGTGTTCTCGTTTTTGGTTCAGAAAAAGGTGCCAGGTAGCCAAGGCTATAGAAGCATGGTTTTGTTCTCAGTGCCTTTTCCATATGTGGGAAATGAGCTGCGCTAGTACTAGAACCTCTTAAACTCCCTAATGCCCCACCTTCCGCTCAGGCAGAGGGAGAGAATCAATGCTCACAGCTGGATCCCAGCCTTCCCGAGCCCCCTGCCAACCCTGGGGCTGTGGGGCTGTGAGGCTGAGCCTTCCCTGTCTGCCCAGGGCCTCACTGTTCCACTGAGCCCAAGAGGGTGCCAGTTGACATGATGTGCTGGGGGCAATGCCTGCACTGAGGGTGACGGTTGGCAGAGCAGGCAGCCTGACACAGAAACAAGCTGCCTGCAGACTTCAGACAGAGAAAAGGGCTGTGAAGCCCAGGGCCCAACCTGCTGGGAGCTCAGGAAGGCTTCATAGGAGCTGGAGGCTCTCCTGTCATCCAGGTCCCTGGCAAGGACTCAGAGGGTATCTTATAAACTCTGAAGCTTTCAGGAGAGGAAAAGGATCTTTGACATGGCCCAGAAGGGAGCTATATGGAGAACATCACTGCGGGGAACATGTTTTCAGTATTCATTCATTCATTCATACAAATGCAGAGGCCTGCCTTTATCAGCCCTCCATTCTGGGCCAGGACTTGTATTAGACATAGGAAATAAAATGAGTGGTTGGATGCGGTCTCTGTTTAGAATCCAGTGAGGGAGATGAAAGTGAAAACAAAAAATCGCCACATGATTGAATTTCACAGTCACTTTTCAGCACCCATGACAAGCTTTGTATGAGGTTCCTGGCTATGAAGGTGAGAAGGGCCTGACAGCCACTTTCTGGGCACAGTCTGGACTTGTGCTGGAGACTATAGTTAAGGTTGGTCCTGTGTGCTCTGAGAACTTGGGGAAGGAGTTGGCACTCCTGGAGGGAGGGCGATGGGCTCCACTTTTCAGAGGAGATGACATCTAGGCCAGATCTTAAAAGGGGAGTGGGAGGTTACAGAGAGGATGGATGGCTGGGGAGGGCATTTCAGACTGAGGGACAAGCCATGCAAAGGTACCGAGGCACACACAGGGGCTGTGAAGTTGCTGGGCTCCCAAAAGCCCTGCAGGGAGCTGGGTGGGCTCACAGGGTTGAATCCTGAGCCAGTGGTACATGGACTCACCTGAGCCATCCCTGAGGGTGGAGGCTTCAGGAATGGTAGAGGTTCCTCTTAAAAAAGGTGGTAGGCAAGGCACAGGAAGAACAGAACTCGCCTTCCCTCAACCCTCCCCGCATGCTCCTGGTGTTTCCTGGCGCATGCTAGTGAGCACACCTGCATTCTAAACCCGGAGCTGACCCAAGCTGGAACACGCCCCATGAACCTTCACACCCTGGCTCTGCCGCAATATCTGCCACAGACTTTGAGCTTCGTAAATGCTTGTTGACCATGAATTGAAAACTGGACACCTTTCCATTCTCATGGAGGGCAGATCTTCTGGCGAGTCCTGAGTCACTTTAAGGGAAGGAAATACACTATGGGAACAAAAGCTCGCCGTGCAAATTGAAGTGCTGTAGGGAATGGCTATCTGGAAATTAGGCTCTGAGGATTCAGAAGAGAATTCCTTCTCCATCCGGCATGGCCTGTATTATCAGGGGTCCTTGTTCTATCAACACTTATTCGTTGAAAAGTTAAAGCCTGGAGAAAATTAAGCAAGATCTTTCAAGTTTTCAAAGTCACTCGGCGCCAATATTCAAAGGCATCAAGTGCCTGGCATTTCATAGCTGTGGAATTAAACAAATGTAATTTGCACATCCTCTACAAGTTTTCATAATGAAACGTAACTTTAAATATTACAGTCCCCAGAAAGATCCCAGCATTGCTACATATAATAAATTAGATAAAAGCATCCTGGATGTCTCATTAATTTTTATCTACCTGAGAGACAAGATTTCTTTTGACATGTCTAAAGGAATTCAGTTAATGCCGTTTGCATCTCAGCTGCCTCTGATGGATTCCAAGAGTGGGCTTCATTCTGACTTGAGTTTCAGGGTTCTCAGATTGTCTTTAAGATGTGGAGGTATCTCAGGGAAGTAAGAAAAGATATTAAATTATAACCAGAATTCTGAAGCTGTAGGGCAGTATCAGGACTGGAAGGAGGGCAGGGTGTGTGGCTCCTCTTGACTCCACAGGCTGCTGGAGCTGCATTCCTAACCCTTCCATTTTGTGACAGGCAGAGCGGGGTTCAGTTCTTGGCAGCCCAGATTCTGGTTAGAATTTTAATGGTCATCAATTATGTGTTTTATGAGTGCATACCTGCCCATCCCAAGGTATATCTGAAGTACTATTTCCAGAGAAGCAGTGTCATCTGGGGTGCTACCCATGGATCTGGGGGCCCAGAAGGTTATGGTTTCAGTTTCTCTTCATACTAAGTGAGTTTGACTGATCACATTCATGGACTCCTGGCATCTGTATGTGTGGCCATGAGACTCTATAGTCCCCTCCCTCTCACTGTGGGCCTGATCAGTGGCAAGAATGACAAAAGCAAAGTCTTGACAAAGTGCATATGCATTTCACTCTCTCACTTCCCTGTCATTGCTATTAAAAACAAAAACCAACAACAAAAAGAAAACCCACCGAGGCCCTCCCCTAGAGAATGTGCCTGGGCTGGCCCACTAAAGGGAAGTGGGAGACATGCATGTCTGAGCAGCTCGTGGGGAGGGGCCACGCTGGCCCAGCTGAGGTCCATCTGGACTGGCCTGCAGCCAACTGACCCTCAGATATGTGAGCGAGCCCAGCCAAAAGCAGTAGAGGTGTCTATCCCACCTGCAAGAGTACAGACCCCTGCACCAGCCAACATCTACAGGTGAGGTGGAGTCAGTACTTACGGTAGTTTGATGGTGGGGTTAATTACAGTCATAGCCAATGGGAAACTCACTGAAAATTTGAGCAAATCACATGAAAGCAGTGAGCTCCTAAGTGGATGCATGCACACACCCACACTCGTGCACGCATGTGCATGCACACGCACACACACACACACAGCTTCTCTTTGGGTTGCTGTGAGTGCCAAGTTAATGTACTTGGCACTGAGTAGGTTTCCTGCAAATGAATTCTCTCCACCTGTTGCCCTGTAGTCACATTCTCATAGGACTTTTCTTATTTTTCTCCTCTTCAACTAGTTCTACATTCGCTATCTGATAAAATTCAGATTTACTAATGTGCTGTTCAAAAGATTCTGCCCTATGTCATTTTCTCTGTTTCCACAATAGAGAAATAGACTCCTCAACATTAGGTGGGCAGGGCCAAGTTAAAGTGTAGGGGAAGCTGATCAATGGAATTTCAGCCAAGGGTCAGTGGACAGTGAAAGCAAAGTGTGCAGCCACCTAAGTGAGCAAGCCTCAATATCAAAACTTATTACTTGGAGAAAGCAGGCCAGGGGATTGGCAAGGGGGCAAATACAATGGATATTAAGGCAAGTGCTCAACTAGCAGATATGCTGGAGAATCAACTCACTGAGAAGATATGGGAAATAAATAAATAAGGACCTGTACCTTCTGGCTTGGTGTTTGGGGACCCAAAGGGAGCATTGTAGTAGACAGGTTTAAAATGAGACAGTAGACCAGTGTTGGAGCCTTACCTCCCTCCTCATGTTCTTAACCATTCGAACAAGGAACAAAAGGCACAGAGCTTTTTTTAAAAAAATGTAAAATTGGCCAGGCATGGTGGCTCACGCCTGTAATCCCAGCACTTTGGGAGGCCGAGACAGGCAGATCATGAGGTAAGGAGTTCAAGATCAGCCTGGCCAACATGGTGAATCCCCATCTCTACTAAAAATACAAAAATTAGCTGGGCATGATGGCGGGTGCCTGTAATCCCAGCTACTTGGGAGGCTGAGACAGGAGAATTGTTTGAACCTGTGAGATGGAGCTTGCAGTGAGCCGAGATCGTGCCATTGCACTCCAGCCTGGATGACAGAGCAAGACTCCATCTCAAAAAAAAAAGTAAAATCACCATTTCTTCTCATATGAAACAATTTGAGTCATACTAAATATGAGAGTAGTGAAAGTTCTTAAGAAATAGCCACCCTATCACCTTTGTTACATTTTTTCAAAAAATTTTTATTTTGAAATAAATATAATTTTACAAGAGAGTGCAAAAGAATGTCCAGAGAGATCTTAGGTACCCTTCGCCCAGACTCTCGCAATGTTAACATCTTGCAAAACTATAGCACAATATCCCAACCAGGAAATTAACATGATGCAACCATCGAGCTTATTCAGATTTCACCAGTTATATGCATTTGTGTTTATGTAGCTCAATGCCATTTTATCAAATGTGAAGCTTTGTGTAATCACTATCACAATCAGTGTACTTAACTGTAAAATCAGCACAACACTCCCTCATGCTATCCTACATAGCCACACGCACCCTGCCCCTTCACACTAACCCCTTGACAACCACTACTCTGCTGTTCATATCTGCAACTTTGTTGTTTCATGAACGTCCTATATAAGGAATCTTGCAATGAGTATTATTTTAAGATTAGTTTTTCTCTCCCTTAACATACCTTTTATGAGGTTTATCCACATAGTTGTGTGTGTCAATATTTTGCTCCCTTTTTTGCTGAGTGACATTTCATGGTAGAGGTGTACTATTAATACAATAAATTTAACTATTCATCTACTGAATAGTTAATACCAAAAATGGTATTTAGGTAGTTTCCAGTTTGGGGCTATTTACAGATAAAGCTGTTATTAATATTCATATATAAGTTTCTGCCTGAAAATAACTTTTTATTTCTCTAGGATATATGCCAAGAGAGCAATTGTGGGATATTATGGAAAGCTCATTTTTAATTTTGAAAGAAACTTATAAACTCTTTTCCAGAGTGGTTTTACTATTTTACATTCCCACCAGTAATGTATGAGAGATCCAGTTTCTCTGCATCCTCACCAGCACTTAGTGTTATTGATTTTTTTATTTTAGCCATTCTGGTTGTATGTATTAACACCTCATTTTAGTTTTAATTTGCATTTATCTAATGGCTAATGATGTTAAACATATTTTCATCTGCCTATGTGGCATCTATATAATCTCTTCAGTGAAATGCCTGTACATTTCTTTGCCCATTTGCTTTTGAATTACTTGTGTTTTACTACTGAGTTTGAGAGGGATTTTTAAATATATTCTAGACATGAGTCATTTCTTGTATATGTAATTGGCAAATATTTTCTTCCAGTCTGTAATTTGTAACAGGGTCTTCCAGAGTCAGTTTTTAATTTTGATGAGGTTCAATTTAGTTTTCCTCTTATGTATTGTGCATTTGGCTTCAGGCTTAATATCGTCTCCTATATTTTATTCTAAAAGTTTTACAGGTTTCTGTTTTACATTTAAGCATGGTGATACATTTTGTTTTAATTTTCGTATAAGATATGAAGTTTAGCTCATAATTCCTTTTTTTGCCTGTGGATATCCAGTCACCCTAGCAACAGTTATTAAAAAGGTCATCCCTCCTCAACCGAGTTGTTTTTGTTCCTTTGCCAAAAATTAATGGGACATGTTTGTATGGATCTTCTTCTGGACTTTCTGTTCTGTCTCACTGATCTGTATCTGTTCCTCTGCCAGCACCACAGTGTCTTGATTATTGTAGCTATACAGCAAGTCTTAACATCAGGAGAGCAATTTTCACTTTACCTCTTTTAGCTGTGTTCTGGATATTTAGAGTGTTTCCCTTTCCATATAAATTTTAAAGCATGCTTGTCTATATCCTCAAAGTGCCTTGCTAGAATTTTGATAGAAATTGTGTTAAACCTACATATATCAATGTAAGGAGAATTGCTTTCTGTATGATAAGTCTTCCAACTCTGGGGCATTGTGTGTTCCATGAAGTACTTAGGTCTTTGGTTTCTGTCATCAGCATTTTGTAATTTTCATCACACAAATCCTGTACATGTTTTATCCTGTTTATACCTCAGTATTTCATTTTTTGAGAAAGTATTGCATTTGATATGCATTTTCATTTTTTTTATTGTCAGTATATAAAAATGGAATTGTGTTTTGCATGTTTACCTCATATCTTGTGACCTTGCTGAACTCACTTATTAGTTCTGGGAGATTCATTGTTGTTGATATTGTAAAATTCCTTAGTATATTCTATGTAGGCAATCGTGTTGTCTGCAAATCAAGAATGTTTTATTTCATCTCTTCCATTTTATATGCTGTTTATTTCTTTCCTATGACTTACTTTGATGGCAAAATCTTCTAGAACCATGTTTAATCTGCATGGTGAGACAGCACATCCTCTCCCCTTCCCAATATTAAAGAAACAGCATTCAGTATTTTACTATCAAGTATAATGGTATAGCTGTAGATTTCTCCAAGTGCTCTGAGCTTGAGAAAAAGTTTCCTCTGTTCCTAGTGTAATCAGACTTTTTATCATGACTGAATTTGAGTTTTGTTAAATTGTTTTTCCACATCAATTGATATGGCTACATTTTTTTTCTTTACCCTGTGAATATGATCAATTATATACATATATTTTAAAATATTGAACTAGTCTTGCATATCTGGAATATAGTCCACTGGTAGAAGGTACAGGACTATATACATGTTGATGGGTAAGGTATGGTAAAATTTTACTAAGGATTTTTGCATCTATAGTCTTGAGAGATATTGTTCTCCAGGGGTTGGGTGTGTGTGCTTGTGTGTGTGTGTGTGCACCGGTGCCTGAGTGTGTGCATTCATGTGTGTGTGTTTGTGTGCTGTTTGTCTTGGTAACAGGATAATTCTGACCACATAAAATGAGTTTGGAAGGGTTCAATTCCCTTTCATTTTCTAGAAGAGGTGGTAGAAAATAATGCTAATTCTTTTAAATGATTGGTAACATTCTGCGGGGAGACCATCTGGACCTGAAGACTTAGAAGACAGGGGTAATTACAAATTCAATTAGTGTGATGGTTATAAAACCATTCAAGTTATCTTTTTCATATTGACTGAGTTTAGGTAATCTGTGGAGTTTCTTTATTAATTGGTCCTTATCTTCTAAGTTGTCTAGTTTGTAAGCTAGAATTTGTTCATAGTATTCACTTATTATCCTTTTGATGTCTACAGGATCTGCTGTGATATCTTCTATTTTAATATTAATGTTTTGCTTTTTAAAAAAAAATCTTTGTCAATCTTGTTAAAGTTTTATCAACTTTTTTTGAAATTTTAGTACAAACCTTTTTGACTTGTTGATTTTCTCTGCTGTTTTCCTGTTTTCCAAATGTATTCATTTCTGCCTGTCTCTATTTTTTCTTTTCCCCTCCTTTGAGTTTATTTTGTTCTTCTTTTTCTAGCTTTGAGGTAGAAATGTACATTGTTGACATGAGGTCTTTCTTCTTCTCTAATGTAATTATTCAGTGATATATGTCTCCCTTTCAGCAATGCTTTAGCTGCCTTTCACAGATTTTGATACACTGTGCTTTACTTTAATTTCATTATCTGCATATTTTTTTGAGACTTTCTTCTGGGAATTCTAGAAGTGTGTTGCTTTTCCGAGTTTTTGGAGTTTTCCTTTAGTGTTTCTGTTTTTTATTTCTAATTTAATTATCTTAATGTTAGAGAACTTACTCTATTATTTCAATTTTTTTATATCATTAAGGTCTGTTTTATGACTAGAATATGGTCTGTCTTGGTGAAGGGGCAGTTTAAAAGAATGTGTTCTCCTGTTATTGGATGGAATGTTCCACAAATATCAATTAGATTTTGATGGCTAAGTGTTGTCCAATTCTTCCATATCCTTGCTGGTTTTCTCTCTAGTAGCTCTGCAGTTCCTGAGAAGGGAGTGTTGAAGTCTCCAACTATGCATGAAGATTTGTCTACATCTCCTTTCAAGTCTACCAGTGTTTTGTTTCATGAATTTTGAAGCTGTATTGTTTGATGCTTATACATTTAGGATAATTATATGTTCTTGATGAGTGGATTGATTTTTTTTTTTTTTTTGAGACGGAGTGTTGCTCTGTTGCCCATGCTGGAGTGCAGTGGCACTATCTTGGCTCACTGCAATCTCCGCCTCCTGGGTTCAAGCAATTTTCCTGCCTCAGCCTCCCGAGTAGCTGGGACTACAGGCACTCACTACCACACCTGGTTAGTTTTTTTTTTTTTGTATTTTTAGTAGAAACGAGGTTTCACCACATTGGCCAGGCTGGTCTCGAACTCCTGACCTCAGGCAATCCGCCTGCCTCAGCCTCCCAAAGTGCTCAGATTATAAGCTTGAGCCACCGTGCCAGGCAGATATATCTATTTTTATCATTAGGCAGTGTCGTGTTTGTCCCTAATAATTTTCTTTAATCTGAAATTTTCTTTATGTAATATTAATATAGACATAACTTTTTTCTTTGATTGTTTACATTATATATCTTCTTCCCTCATTTTACTTTCAACCTACTTATGACATTATGTTCGAGCCTTGAGTTTCTTGTATATAGCATATGGCTGGGTTGTGTTTATTTCATACACTCTGACAATCTCCTTTTAATTGTTGTTTTAGGCCATTTACAAGATATAATTACTGATATCTTAGACATACATTTGCTATTTTATCAATTGCCTTTGTTTAATCCTTATGTTTCTTTTTTCTTGAGTCTGTTACTAGAACATTTTTGAGAATTTTCTTTTGATTTATTTACAATGATTTTAAGCATGGCTTTTGAATATTTTTCTTAGCAGTTGTTTTATTTATTGCTATTTACATATGTAAATGATTACAGCCTACTGCTGTCCATGGATTACCATTTTGTGAGAAGTATAGAAACCTGACTTCCATTTAAGTTCCTTTACTTCACCACTTTTTGCATAAAATTGCCTTGACATTTTTCTACATTGAGCATCATATCAGATATTGTTATAACTTTTGCTACAACCATAAAACATTATCAAAGAAACTCGTAAGAAGGACAGTCTACTACATTTGCTTCTACTTTTACAAATTCCATTATTCTTTTTTTCCTTTCTGAAGGCCCCAGGCTTCTCCTTTGTTTTCCCATTTGTTGGTAAATCTTTCTTTAGCTATTTTTAAGGGAAGGTCTGTTAGTAATAAGTCCTTGTACCTTTTCTTCATCTGAGAATATCTTCCCTTAATTCCTAAAGGTTGTTTTCATCAATATAGGATTTTCAATTGACGGTTCATTTTTTTAAAGCACTTGAAAAATGTTGAGGCATTTCCTCTGGCCTCTGTTGTTTCAGATGAGAAATTTGCTCTCAAATTGTATTCTCCTATGGGAAGTGCATCATTCTTCTGGTTGCTTCAGAAGTTTAAATATGATGTGCATGGAATGAATTTCTATGAGTTTATCTTACTTTGGGCTCTCTTTGCATCTTGGATCTGTGGGTTTATGTCTGATGCCATATTTGAGGAATTTTGAAATGTTTTATTTTATCAAATACTTTTCAGGCACAAATTTGTACTTCTCTTCTTCCGCAACTCTGATACAAATGTACATTGTTGCTTTAATTGTCTCACTGACTCTTTAGACTGTTCAAGTTTTTTCAGTCTACAGTCTCTCTGTTTAGATTGAACAAATACTATTGACCTGTTTTCAAGTTCACTGATTCTATGATCTGTCATCTTGACTATAATATTTTGTCCATCCAGCCTTTTTTAAAATTATTTTATTTTCAGTTTTATAATTTCACTTGATTTTTATAAAATTTCTGTTTTTGATATTTTTCTATTTTTTATTTGTTTCAAGAGATTTGTAATTGACTGTTGAAGAATATTTAAGAATCAGCTTTAAAATCCTTGTCAGATGATTTCAACATCTAATGCATTTTGGTTGGCACTGTTGGATTGTCTTTCTCATTCCACTTGTGGTATCCTAGTTTTTTTCATAAGTGATTTTTCTATTATATGCAATACATTTTGTCTATTGTGTTGGGAGACTCTTGATCCTATTAAGTCTCCTATTTCAGTGGATAGTTGTTCTATTTATTCCCCTCTGCTTCATTCTTTAGGTGTTAGTGCTCCTCCTCATTCCCTGCTGATGCTAGCTGCAGTTGTGGGAAGCACTTCCCTGGGCCACCTGTTGTCACTGAGTGACATTCTGGGAAAAGGAAAGGCAGAAGCCACTGGGCCTGGATCTCCTCATGCCACTGCATGTAGGGCATTCCTGTTGCTTCCACTGTGGGTAGATCAGTTCTCCTTCTAGTGCACTGGTTGAGTAGCATGGGCTGGGATGACCAGGGCTTTGCTGCTGCCGCTGATGGATTGGACCCCAGGGCATAGGTTATGCAATAAGAGGGGGTGGCTGGGGCAGATCAGACCACCTTCCAGGGATCCAGGTTGAAGCAGGGGTTGGGGGTCTACACTTGGTCTTGGTTGGACTCCCCCCTTTCCCACCGCTTTGGATGGAGAGGGCAGGCTTTCTTTTTCTTTGTAGGGAGAGTTAGTGTATCAGGCCTCCCTGACATTCCATCCACAGTTATATGGGAGATAAAAAGAAAACCTCCATGATTCACATCACTGTGGTGGATCAAGCCCTACGGTCCTTCCTTAGTAAGTTCAATTTCTTTTCCACCTTCAGAACCATCTTATTTTATGTTGTGTAATATCCAAGTATTTATTAGTTGTATTTACAAGAGAGATGCAGACAAAAATTTGCATCTAGCATAGATGCCAATAAAAATGTACCTATGCCATCTTGTTCTGGAACTGGGCAGGAATATCTTTTGCCCTTTGTAAAGATAAAAAACATTCAGCCTGGTATGAGAAGTGGGTGGGACTCTCATTTAGTTACTGGACTTAAATAAAAACCCTATGTATTTTCCATTTCTCAAGAAAGAGTGAGGGAAAGATTACTTATCTAAAATAATTACCAAAATCTCTACCCAGCCTTGTTTTGCAAAATCTGCAATTAAATAATGATTTTTTTCCTTGGACTGATACGTGGGTTTTTTCAATTATCCTTCTTTATAATGACTCTACACCTTTTAGTGATTAACATTATGATAAAAATAGTTATTTGGCCACTATGGTCACTTCCAGCTGAATTTTGTGAGTTTTAATATAAAGGGGAATGCTAATTCTTTCCAGAAGTCCATATTGGTGGTTCCTGGGAAACAAGAAGACTAAATAAGGGCACGAATGTCAGAAGCACTAGTGAGAGAAAGACTGTTGGAAGAAGACTACGAAGGCAATAGAGTCTGACTCCAAATTCTCTTGGGCTCCACTCTGCTCAAGGTGGGAAGAGGGTCTATCTCCAGCCCTAAGGAGCCCCTCAGCATTCCCTACCACATAACCAGCTTTATTTTCTTATTAGGGGATCTTATTATCCTGTATTTTGGAATGCATTTATGTGTTTGTGCTCTGTCTCCCTGCATTGGCATAAGCCTATCGGTGCAGGACCCTTGTCTAACTACTATAACCTTTGCACCTAGAAGTGGACCTCAAACGTTAGAGCAATGAGAGGCATTTAAAATCTCTGGCATCTATAGCTTCAGCAAACATTAAACACAGCCAGTTCCACTGAAGACGTTAAACACAGCCCAGTTCCTACAAGTATTGATGTGAAATCCCACACTAAAGGCCTGTTTACCTCAGTATCAATTACTCACTATAAGATGTCTGCTGTCAACAAAAGAATTACAAGTCATGGCAAAGGCAAGAAAAAAAAAGTAGTCTGAGGAGACAATGCAAGCCTCAGAGCCAAACTCAGATGGGACACCCATGCAGAAACTATCAGGGAATTTAAAACAATTATGATTAATATGTTAAGGGTGCCAATGAAAAAATAATATGCAAGATCAGATACGAAATAGTAGAGAAATGGAAACTGTAAGAAATAATCTAAAGAAAAATTTTGAAATCAAAATAGCAACAACAAAAATGAAGAATACCTCCAATGGGCTCATCAGTAGACTCAACTGATGTAAAAAATTAGTAAATTTTAAAAAAGGTTAATGGAAACTTTCCAGCTGTAACACAAGTAAAATACAAAAAGATAAATATAACCCTGTGAAACCCAAGAACTGTGGGTGTTACTAAAAGGTGTAACACACATGTAATTGAAATACCAGAAATAGAAAAAGAGAGAACAAACCAGAAGAAATACTTGAAGTAATAATGGCTAAGGGTTTTCCAGAATTTACAGGCACCAAAACACACATCAAAGAAGATCACGGAACACCAAAGACACGGACAGAACCTTGAATAAAGCCAGGAAAAGAAAAATCTCACCTTACTGATACAGAAATAAGAATTACAATGACATCAGACTCCTCTTAAGAAACCATACAAGCAAGAAGAATGTGGGGTGAAATATCTAAAATGTAGGGTGGAAATACACCATCACAGAATTTTATATCAAGTGAAATTATATTTCAAAAATAAAGGAGAAATAAAGATTTCCTCAAACAGTAACTGTTTCCTCAAACAGTAACTTTTCAGACAGAGAAAAAATAAATAGGCAGAAACTAGGATCCACCTACAGCAACGAAGAGTATCAGAGAATAATAAGTGAGGGTAAAATAAAATGTCATTGTTCTTATTCTTCATTGATCTAAAAGCAATATACTTAAAGCTATATAGCTAATATATAGTAGCAGTGATATACTGGATTATTTATAGCATAAGAACAGAAATGAATGACAAAAATGGTCCAAGGGAAGGGAGGGGAAATTGTGAATATAAGGTACCTACACTCCATGTTCAGTGGTATAGGGCTATTTGAAGGTGGACTTTTATGTGTAAAAGTATATACCGCAGGCTGGTGACAGTGGCTCATGCCTGTAATGCATGTTTGGGAAACCAATATTGGAGGATTGCTTGAGCCCAGGAGTTCAAGACCAGCCTGAGCAACAGAGTGAGACCCCATCTCTACAAAAATATTTTTTTTAATTAGGTGGGTATGGTGGCATGCCTGTAGTTCCAGCTAATAAGGATATTGAGGTGGGAGGATCGCTTCAGCCCATGACTTGGAGACTACAATGAGCTATGATAGCACCATTGTACTACAGCCTTGGTGACAGAACAGGAACTTGTCTAAAAAAAAAAAAATGCTGGGTGTGGTGTCTCATACCTGTAATCCCAGCCCTTTGGGAGGGTGAGGCAGGTGGATCACCTGAGGTTAGGAGTTCGAGACCAGCATGACTGACATGGTGAAACCTCATCTCTACTAAAAATACAAAAAAATTAGCTGGGCATGGTGGCACATGCCTGTAATCCCAGCTACTTGAGAGGCTGAGGCAGAAGAATCTCTTGAACCCAACAGGCAGAGGTTGCAGTGAGCTGAGGTCACACCGTTGCACTCCAGCCTGGAGGACAAGCAAAAATTTTAAAAAGTATATTGCAAACTCTAGGAAAGTCACTATTTTTTTAAATATAAATGATACACTGAGAGAAGATAATGCAAAGTCATATAAAATGTTCAGTTAAAACAAGAGAAGGCAGAAAAAGAGGAAAAAAATAAAAAGCAAATGCAGCAAATGAAAATAGTTACAAACTAGAAGATCTGAATCTAGCAGCATTGACAATCACTTAAAATGTGAATGGTCTAAATAAACCAATTAAAACTCAGAGATTGTCAGAGAGGATTAAAATAGACTAACTATATGTTGACTATAAGAATCTCATTTTAAGTATCACAATTCAGGTTAATAATAAACAGATTGAGTGACATATGCCCTGCTAACACCAATCAAGAGAAAACTGCAGTAGCTATATTAATTTAAGACAAAGCTGACTTCAGAACAAGAAGGATAATCAAAGTTAAAGAGGGGTGTTATTTAATTACAGAGGGGTTAATTCTCTAAGAAAACATAAAAATCCTAAGTGTTTATGCATCTAATAAAAGCGCATCAAAATATGTGAACAAACCCTGATAGAAGTGAAAGGGGAAACAGACAAATCCACTGTCATACTTGGTTATTTTAACACCCCGTTGTCTATCAATAACACCCCTCTGTCAATAAGGTATAGATGAACAACACCATGAATAAACTTAATCTACTTGACATTTATAGAGTGGTTTACATGCCCACAGCAAAATACTCATTACTGTCAAGCTAATATGAAACTTTCATCAAGATAGACCATATTCTAGGCCATACAAAAACACCAAAGCAAACTTAAAATAATAGAAGTCATACAAGTGATGTTCTCAGATGACATTGGAAGTAAGTTAGAAATCACCAGTAGAACTATAGCTGGAAAATCCCTCAAATATTTGGAGATTAAACAACACACCTCTAAATAACAGTAAATAAGTATAGAAGAAAGGAAATAATAAAAATTAGAGGAAAAGCAATGAAATTGGAGATAAGAAAACAATTTAAAACAACAACAACAAAATGAAAAGCTAGGTCTTTCAAAAAAAATATCCAATTGAAAATCCTCTTGCCAAGCCAATGAAGAGATAAAGAGCTAAGACACGAGCTACTAATATCAGAAATGAAAGAGCTTCACCATGGCTGATCCCATGGCCACTGAAAACACAAAGGGGGACAGATACTATGAACAACTTTATGCCTAAATTTTTTTTTTTTTTCTGAGACGGAGTCTCGCTCTGTTGCCCAGGCTGGAGTGCAGTGGCATGATCTCGGCTCACTGCAAGCTTTGCCTCCTGGGTTCACGCCATTCTCCTGCCTCAGCCTCCCAAGTAGCTGGGACTACAGGCGTCTGCCACCATGACCGGCTAATTTTTTGTGTTTTTAGTAGAGACAGAGTTTCACCGTGTTAGCCAGGATGGTTTCGATCTCCTGACCTCGTGATCCACTCATCTCGGCCTCCCAAAGTGCTGGGATTACAGGCGTGAGCCACCGTGCCCGGCCTATGCCCACAAATTTTATAACCTAGATAAAATGACCAATTCGTGGGAAGAACAAAACTACTAAAATCCACATCGGGTTAAATAGATAGCTTAAATACTCTATATCTTTTTTTTTTTTTTTTTTTTTTTTTTGAGACAGAGTCTCGCTCTGTCACCCAGGCTGGAGTGCAGTGGCACAATCTCGGCTCACTGCAACCTCCGCCTAACAGGTTCAAGCAATTCTCCCACCTCAGCCTCCCGATTAGCTGGGATTACAGGTGTGTGCCACGACGCCGGCTAATTTTTGTATCTTTAGTAGAGACGGGGTTTCGTGATGTTGGCCAAGCTGGTCTCCAACTCCTGACCTCAAATGATCCACCCGCCTCCACCTCCCAAAGTGCTGGGATTACAGGACCAAGGATGTCCTCTCTTAGCTCACCAATTCAACATTGTTCTGGAAGTCCTATCAAGTGCAGTAAGCCAAGAAAAGGAAATAAGAGGAAAAAAGTTTGGAAAGGAAGAAATAAAACTGCATTTATTCCCTGGTAGCGTTATTGTCCATGTAGAAAACCACCAAGAGTCTACTAAAAACCTCCTAGAAATAAGCAAGTATAACAAGGTTGCAGGATACAAGATCAATATGCAATACATAATTGCCTTCCCATATCCCAGTAATGAACAACTGGAATTCAAAACTAAAGAAACATTATCTTTTACAACAGCAACAAAAATGGAGTACTCAAGTATAAATGCAACAAAATATGCATAGAATCTATATGCAGAACACTACAAAACACTGATCAAATGAACTTAGACATAGACCTAAGATCTTGTGCAAAAATGAACTAAAAATGGATCACAGATCTAAAAGTAGTAAGCAAAAGTATAAAACTTCCTTAACAAAACATAGGAAAAAATTCTATATGACTTTGGTAATGATTTTTAAAATAAATGCCAAAAGTATTGTCCATGAAATAATAAATGGGCTATGTTATATTAACAAATATGCCATGTTAAATGAAATAAGACAGGCACAGAAGGACAAATGTTGCATGATATTTGTCTTTCATTCACTCATATGCGGAATCTAAAGAAGTTGATCCCATGGAAGCAGAGGGTCGAATAGTGGTTACCAGAGGCTGGGGAAGGGTTGGGGAAGGGGCTATTATTAGGGAGAGATTGGCCAATGGGTACAAAGTCACAGTTACAGTTACATAGGGGAGAATAATTTCTGGTTCGAATTAGGGTGACTATGGTGAACAATAATGTATTGTATATTTCAAAATAGCTAGAATTTTGAATGTTCTCACCACAAAGAATGATAATGCATCAGGTGGTGGATGTGCTAAATACTCTTATTTGATTTTTATGCAATGTATATACGTGTTGAAATATCACACCATACCCCAAAATATATGTAATTATTAATGTGACAATAAAAACAAAATAAATATAGATAGATAAGTTGAACTTTATTAAAATTAAAAAAAGTATAGTCTCCAAGGACATGGTTGAAAAAAGACAATTAAGGATGGTGTTGAGAAATGACAAGTAACTTGGAGAAAATACTTAGAAAACATGTATCTGTATAGGATCTGGATAATACTGTATGATACTGTAAAGCTAGACACATGGCAACACACATTTGTCAAAACCCATGGAACTGACAACACAGAAACTGGAGCCTAGCACACACACTCTTAAAAAAAGTCATTTAGAGCAGGGTGTGGTATCATGCACTTATAGTCCCAGCTACTTGGGAGGCTGAGGCAGGAGGATGGATTGAACCCAGGAGTTCCAGATTGCAGTGGGCTATGATCACACCTGTGAATTGTCACTGCACTCCAGCCTGGGCAACAAAGCGAGACCCTGTCTCTAAAATAAAACAAAACAAAACATTTAGGAAGTTAGGGTATCCCAGAATGGAATACAGATGGTGATAGTAAAGTCTAACTGTATTACAAATATATAACACATCCTTATTGAAAGAGGTATGGGAAAAAGTGTGACCTGATTACCTTTGGAAATGAGTGAAGACAGGAGGACTAAAGGCAAAAAAGACAGTGCATAAGCACTCTACTCTACTTCGTAAATTTGATTTTCACAGAGCTTCAGTTAACAGTTCTGAAACCACTATGCATACTGGAATTGAAGCACAGGGATAGCAGATGGTGAGAGCCACTTTTCTTGCTTTTGGAAAGGGAGGTTACAGGGAAGAAAGCCTGGAATGGGCCATGCGGACATGTGGTACTTCCTTGGCATTGGAGACAGCAGTTGAAACTAATGTTTGGCTTGACATCCATACAGATTATTTCATATAGAAATGTTTGTAGACAAACCACTGCTCAAGGAAATAAAAGGACACAAACAAATGGAAAAAAATTCCATGCTCATGGATAGGAAGAATCAATATCATGAAAAGGCCATACTGCCCAAAGTAATTTATAGATTCAGTGCTATTCCCATCAAGCTGCCATTGACTTTCTTCACAGAATTAGAAAAAAACTACTTTAAATTTCATACGGAACCAAAAAAGAGCCTGTATAGCCAAGACAATCTTAAGTAAAAAGAACAAAACTGGAGTCATCATGCTACCTGACTTCAAACTATACCACAAGGGTACAGTAACCAAAACAGCATGGCACTGGTACCAAAACAGATATATAGACCAATGGAACAGAACAGAGGCCTCAGAAATAACACCACACATCTACAACTATCTGATCTTTGACAAACCTGACAAAAACAAGCAATGGATAAAGGAATCCCTATTTAACAAATGGTCTTGGGAAAACTGGCTAGCCATATGTAGAAAACTAAAACTGGACCCCTTCCTTACACCTTATACAAAAATTAACTCAAGATGGATTAAAGACTTAAATGTAAGACCTAAAACCATAAAAACCCTAGAAGAAAACCTAGGCAATACCATTCAGGACATAGGTATGGGCAAAGACTTGATGACTAAAACACCAAAAGCAATGGCAACAAAAGCCAAAATTGACAAATGGGATCTAATTAAACTAAAGAGCTTCTGCATACCAAAAGAAATTATCATCAGAGTGAACAGGCAAGCTATAGAATGGAAGAAAATTTTTGCAATCTATCCGTCTGACAAAGGTCTAATATCAAGAATTTACAAGGAGCTTAAACAAATTTACAAGAAAGAAACAACCCCATCAAAAAGTGGGTGAAGGATATGAACAGACACTTCTCAAAAGAAGACATTTATGCAGCCAACAAACACTTGAAAAAAAAAGCCCATCATCACTGGTCATTAGACAAATGCAAATCAAAACCACCATGAGATACCATCTCATTCCAGTTAGAATAGTGATCATTAAAAGGTCAGGAAACAACAGATGCTGGAGAGGATGTGGAGAAATAGGAATGCTTTTACACTGTTGGTGGGAGTGTAAATCAGTTCAACCATTGTAGAAGACAGTGTGGTGAATCCTCAAGGATCTAGAGCCAGAAATAGCATTTGACCCAGCAATCCCATTTCTGGGTATATACCCCAAGGATTATAAATCATAAATCCTTCTACTATAAAGACACATGCACACGTATGTTTATTTCAGCACTATTTACAATAGCAAAGACTTGGAACCAACTCAAATGCTCATCAGTGATAGACTGGATAAAGAAAATGTGGTACATATACACCATGGAATACTATGCAGCCATAAAAAATGAGTTCATGTCCTTGCAGAGACATGGATGAAGCTGGAAACCATCATTCTCAGCAAACTAACACAGGAACAGAAAACTAAACACTGCATATTCTCACTCGTAAGTGGGAGTTGAACAATGAGAACACATGGACACAGGGAGGGAAACATCACACACTGAGGCCTGTTGGGGGGTGGGGGGCAAGGAGAGAGATAGCCTTAGGAGAAATACCTAATACATGTGAGTCTTAAAACTTAGATGACTGGTTGATGGGTACGCAAACCAACATGGCTCATGTATACTATGTAACAAACCTGCACGTTCTGCACATGTATTCCAAAACCTAAAGTATAATTTAAGAAAAAAAAATGTTTGTAGATGTGTGTATGTGCACAGGGTTGTATATGCACGGAAATTCCCTTGCTAGATCAACTGAGAGGGTCTAGAAGCAACTACACCCCACTAGTAATGATCATAGCCAATCCCTAGGTGTGGTTTATACTGTGATTCTCCTATAAAGTAAAACAGGGATCCTTGGAGAAATGGCTGTTTCTAGGGTTGATACAATACAGGAATATGCAATATGGGTCTGGAGCATCTTGTAATGCCAGAAGTTCTCAAAAACATATAAACCCACACAGATACAGTATATCAACGGAGCACAGAAACCAACTGAAAGAGTTCCCAGTGGTCAAAGCTGGAACAATTAGAGTAGCACAATAAATAATGCAGTATAAAATTTTTAGCTTAAAATATAAAATAAATAGCCATGAGTCCATGCTCATATAAAGAAATTATTGAATAAGTATGGGCAGAGTCCAATCTCTTGTGCAGAATAATTTCAAAAATTGTATGTAGATATTCCCCTAAAGTATGTGGGCTGTTCGTAGTGGCTTCCTGTCAAAGGAATATGGAAATACGGAAAAGGGGAAAATAAGAGTAACTTTAGAGTAGAGAAACCTCACAAACACTCTCAGCCAGGTGGTCAAGGTCAACATCAACAGTAATAGATATAGGTCATGTTGGAATAATGGAGTCTTGATATGATGTACCTCTCTGGTCTTCTTTCCATAAATATGTACATACATATACAAATCCAGTCTGATTTGAGAAAAGCAGCAGACAAAATCCAACAGAGGGCATTCTACAAAATACCCTACCAGGACTCCTCATGAGTATGGATAAAGAATGTTTTGAAAATTCAATTAATATGCCTAATATAACAGATGAAGATAAAGCCCAAGTCAGAAAGCCCAAAGAAAGTAGCAGAAGGAAAACAGAAATATAGCAAAAAATAAGGAAAATATAAAAGGAGAAAGTTCATCAAAAAGCAAGTGTAATAGTCAATTTATTATTTTATTTAACAGCTATTTAGTGAGAGGTGACTCTGTGTCAGGCAATCTTCCAGCACGGGGAAGAGAGCAGAGAAAATGTGATACAAATACCACTGACCTCAAGGATCTGTGTGCTGGGTAGGAAGACAGTTCATTACCATCACTAAGTCAATAGTAGATTGATTAGTTAATGATTAGTAACATGGAGAAGAAATATGCAAGGAAGGCAGTGTTATTTTTAATCAAGTCTTCATGAAAGCCTCTCTGAAACTAATATTTGAGCAAAGAACAGGCAGGAGGATCTGTAGGGGCAATGCCTCGGGCTGAGCTTATGCTTGCTGTGTTTCAGGAACAGTAGGGAGGCCTGAATGGCAATGCAGTCTGCAGATCCACAGGTACTGGCGTGACTGGCATCCATACACCCAGCTTTACACAAGAGGGTTGGACCGCATCAGAGATGGCAAATGTGTAACATGGTCCCTGCAGCTTTCATCACAGCCAGCACTAGAGACAATCCTGATAAGTCACACTCCCTTTTCCAGGTGCACCCTCAAAACCTATTGCCATCATATGCTGCAGCCCACTGCCACCTACAGGCCAGAGGAGACAGAGTTCCCTTCTACAATGCTATGGCTTTCTTGAAGGAAGAGGGAAACATATGAACTCAGTAGTTACCTGTCATCTGGGAGTGTCTTGAAAAAACTGAACTGAATGAATGGGGGCTGAATTAGAATAGGATGAAGAAGAAAGTAGACACCATGTGTAACAGCCAAGGCAGCAGCTTTGAGAGGTAGCAGAACATGCCCAAGTTGAGCATTCTCCAGGGTAGACTCTGGGGACACTGAAGGTTCAGAGAAAGTAGATAGTGAATGTCCCATTGTCCAAAACGTCTGCAAGCTCCAGGCCTAGAACCTCCCATTTGGCCCCCTCACTTTGCTGTGTCTTCCTTCACTTTGTGACAGCACTGCTGTTCATTCTCCTCGTGTCTTCTTTAATATATCAAGTAACCACAGCCTTCTATTGCAAAACATTGCTGTTACTGAAGAAACAAATCTGTCCTTCTCTATTTGCATTCCAAACACTGAATAGAATAATTATATCAATTATAATTTCTCCCAGTTTGACATGGTCCAAGAATAAAAGAGATGAAAAACATTGCAGGGGAATGCCATTACATTATGGCCCTCAAGAGTAAGGGCTTAATTGGTGGTAAAATAAAACATAGTACTAGGTATCAAAAGGCTTTTCTACTAATACCAAATTGCTTTTTCCCAGGGAGGACAGACCGGTACAATTTAATGTCTAGGAGGAAAAAAAAGTGACTTCCCTTCTGCACGTTGAGCAGAGCGCAACAGTCTTTATATGTATATTTAAAGCAAAATTTAAAAAGGGATTCTGTAAGTTGAAATGGGGACATGAGGGAAGGCCCTGATGAAGCTGGAGATATTGAGCCCCTAAATTCTGATGAGGCTTCTTTGCCACTGGAAAAGGCCTCCTAATCCCCAGGAAAAGAGTTCTCCCTCGCACAGGGGTAGCCGTGCCTCTATCCCATCTGAGGGTGTTACCTCTGCATTGCCTGAGGAAACTGCAATGTCCTCCCCTGAGGCAGCTGCCATGAAAGACAATCCACCCCTCCTTGCTTCTAGACTTACAATTCAACTAAAGTCCCAACAGGCTCATAAAGATGAGGAGATGCATTATACTCACCTATTTGATTTTTCAATCAAAGAACTAACAAATTTTTCTAATTATATAGGCAGACATTTGGGAAGCTGTGTGGGAATGGATGTTGAGAGTGTGAGATAATGGTGAAAGAAACACAAAGTTGGATCAAAACAAACTTATTGATATGGGCTGACTAAGCAGAGATTCTGCATTTACTGTTGCAGCTTAGGGAGTTAGAAAAAGGGCACTGATTTGTTGGTTGGTTGGCTGAAACATGAATCAAAAGATGGCCCACAATAAGCAAGTTGGAGATGCCTGAGCTTCCTTGTTTTAACATAGAGGAAGGGATTCAGAGACTTAGGGAGATTGGAATGCTACAGTGGACTTGTCATTTTAGACCTACCCACCCATACTGGGAGGGTCCAGAAATCATACTTTTGACCAGTACTATGAGAAATAAATTCGTAAGGGGATCCCTGGTATCCTTGAAAAGCTCAGTGATCACTCTTCTCTAGGCCAGAACTCACAATGGAAACTGAAGTCACTCAATTGAAAAACTTAAATACAATGGGAGGAATTGGATCTTGGGGTGCAAGGGGCCAAGTGGGAAACTCAGTCCCCAAGGGTAGGGTGAGGGTGGCTACCTTGATGGACAGTAGAGTCAGAGCAGCAATCAGAATAGTCTGACTCATACAAACCTATGGTGTTGGCTGCTTGATTGTGGTGGTCCTAGAAGTGAAATAGAGAAGAAGCCTACTAAATCCTTACTTGTTCTGTATAAGCAGAAAAGTTCTAGGTCAAGTGAACGAAAGTCTTACTTGAATCATAAAATCAGAGAGTTACTGCTGCTCAATAAATTCCCAGAATTGAGCCAGTTTACAGACCGTGAGCCCGTTGAATGCAGGGAAGGCTGGGTTCTCCCATGGAAAGAAACAGTACACTACCAAAAATATATACTCTTGATCTTTATCCAAGCCTTTCCCAAAGAGCCTAAAACCTTTTACCAGGGTAACTGTGTACTGGGGAAGAAAGAACAACCAGTTCAGGGACCACTCGATCCTGCTCTGAACTGACACTGATTCCAGGAGATCCAAAACACCACTATGGCTCTCTAGTCAGAATAGGGGCTTATGGAGGTAGGTTAATCAATGAAATTTTAGCTCAGATCCATCTCACAGTGGGCCCAGTAGGTCCTCAAACTCATTCTATGTTACTTCCCCAGTTCCAGAATGCACAGTTGCAATAGGCATACTCTACGGTTGGAGGCATCCCCCCACATCAGTTCCCTGACCTATGGAGTGAAGGATATTATGATGAGAAATTCTAAATGGAAGCCACTAGAACTGCCTCTGTGTAGGAAAATAGCAATCCAAAATCAATGCTACATTCCTTGGAGGGCTCAAAGAAATCAGTGCCACCACCAGAATTTGAAAGATGCAGAGGTTATGATTTCTACCACCTCCACATTCAACTCATCCATTCAGCCTGTATAGAGCACAGATGGGTCTTAGAGAATGACAGTGAATTATTTTAAGCTTAAGCAGGCAGTGACTTCAATTGCAGCTGCTATTGAAGATGTGGTTTTATTGCTCAGGCAAATTAACACACATTTCCTGGTACCTACTATGTAGCTATTAATCTGGTAAATATTTTTTTCTCCATAGCTTTAGTTAATGAGGACCATCAGAAGCAGTTTGCTTTCAGCAGGCAAGGCCAGCAATATACCTTTACCGTCCTCTCTCAGAATATATCAACTCTACAGCCCTGTTATAATCTAGTTTGCAAGAGGCATGATCACCTTTCTCTTCTACAAGATATCACAACTGGTCCATTTCATTGATAACATTAGACTGACTGGACCTAGTGAGCAAGAAGTAACAACTACTCTAGACTTGCTGACAAGACATTTGCATTTCAGAGTGTGGTAAGAAAATGCAACAAAAAATATGAGGAGGAGCAGGGTACAGTGGCTCATGCCTGTAATCTCAACACTTTGGGAGGCAGAGGTGGGAGGATCGCTTAAGCCCAAGAGTTTGAGACCAACCTGGGCAGCAAAGACCCCATCTCTACAACAATTTGAAAATTATCCAGACATGGTGGCACGCACCTGTGGTCTCAGCTACTCAGGAGACCAAAGTGGGAGGATCACTTGAGCCCAAGAGGTCAAGGCTGCAGTGAGCCACAATCATATCCCTGTACTCCAGTCTGGGTGACAGAGCAAGAACCAGTCCACCTCCCCCCCAAAAAAAAAATCCCAGGATCTTCTACTTCAGTGAAACTTCTAGGGGTCCAGTGGTATGGGCATATTGAGCTATCCCTCCTAATACGAAGAATGAGATGTTTCATCTGGCCCCTCCTACAACTGAAAAAGAGACACAATCACTAGTGAACCTCTTCGGATTTGAGAGGCAACATATTCCTCATTTAGGCGTGCTACTCAGGCCATTTACTGAGTGACCTGAAAAGCTGCTAGCTTTGAGTGGAAACCAGAGCAACAGAAGGCCCTGCAACAGCCCCAGCCTGCTGTGCAGGCTGCTCTGCCACGTGGGTCACATGACCCAGCAGATGCAATCATGCTTGAAGTGTCAGTGGCAGATAGGGATGCCGCTTGGAGCTTTTAACAGGCTCCTGTAGGTGAACTGCACAGCAGGACTTTTAGAATTTTGGAGAAAACTCCTGCCATCCTCTACTCTCCTTTTGAGAAACAGCTCGTGGCCTGCTGCTGCGCCGTAACAGAGACTTAACACTTGATCATGAGCCACCTAGTTACCATGCAAGCTGAGCAGCCCTGATGAACTGGATGTTTTCTGACCCAGCAAGCTGTAATGCTGAAAGTGCACATAGCACTCCATCAACAAATAAAATTGGTATATGTGTGATCAGGTCTGAGCAGCTCCTAAAATTACATGAGGATGTGGCCCAAATGTCCACAGCCCCTACTTCTGCTACCCTCCCTTCTCTCTCCTTGCCTGCACCTATGGCCTCAGAGGGAGTTGCTTATTATTGGCTGACTGAGGAATAGAAGGCTTGGGCTGGTTTAAAGATGGGTATGCAGGCACCACCAAGAAGTGGGCACTGCAGCACTACAGCCCCTTTCCAGGATCCCTAAAGGACAGTGTTGAAGGGAAGTCCCCCCAGTGGGCAGAACTTCGAGCAGGGGACCTGGTTGCTCACTTTGCTTGGAAGGAGAAATGGCCAGACATGCAATTTTATACCTATTCATGGGCTGTGGCCAATGGTTTAGCTGGATGTTTGTTGGTCAGGGACTTGAAAAGAATATAGTCGAAAAAATATGACAAAAAAATCTGGGGAAGAAGCATGTGGATAGACCTCTCTGAATTTTTTTTTTTTAAACGAAGCTATTTGTGTCCTATGTAAGCACTTACCAAAGGGTGGCCTTAGCAGAGGAGGACTTCAACAATCAAGCGGATAGGATAACCCATTCTGTGGATACAAGTCAGTCTCTTTCCCCAGATACCCCTGTCATCTCCCAAGGGGCTCGCAAACAAGCTGGCCATAATGAGAGACATAGAGGTTACACATGGGTTCAGCAATGTAAGCTTCTACTCATGAAGACCTACCTGGCTACAGCCACTGCTGAGTGTCCAGTCTGGTGTTTCATGCAGCATTGTTTCTGATTTTAAAAATTCACTTCACAGCCAAATATGTGGGCAGTTGGGTCCATGCTTGTGGAATCCACTGATGTTACCATGTTTCTTACGATCCTGAAGCAGCTGGTTTGACAGAACAGTGGAATGACCTTTTGAAGACTGTCACAGCACAGCTAAGTGGTGATACTTTGCAAGGCTGGACAAGGTTCTCCAGACGACTATTTATACTCTGAATCAGTGTCCAATATATGGTGCTGTTTCTCCAACAGCCACAATAAAAAGATCCAGGAATCAAGGGTTGGAAATGGGAGTGGCACCACTCACTCTTACCCCTAGAGACCCATTAGCAAAAAATTTGCTTCCTGTTCCCACAGTCTTATGTGTGCTGGCCTAGAGGGCTTAGTTCCAGAGGGAGAAATACTTCTACTGGAAGGCACAACAATTATTCTATTGAACCGGGAGTTAAGATTGCCACCTGGCCATTTTGGATTCCTTATGCTTCTGAATCAACAGGGAAAAAAATGGAATTACTGCACTGGCTGGGGTGATTGATTCTGACTACCAAGGAAAAATTGAATGGCTACTCCACAATGGAGGTAAGGAAGATTATGCCTGGAATACAGAAGACCCCTTAGGGCATCTCTTAGTATCACCATGCCCTGTGATTAAAGTCAATAGGAAGTCACAACAAGGCAGGAGTACTAGTGGCCCAGACCCTTTAGAAATGAAGATTATGGTCACTCCAACAGGTAAAAAACACAATCAGCAGAGGTGCTTACTGAAGGCAAAGGGAATAGAGAATGGGTAGTGGGAGAAGGTAAGCTATAAATATCAGTTATGGCAGGGCGCCATGGCTCAGGCCTGTAATCCCAGCACTTTGGGAGGCTGAGGTGGATGGATCACGAGGTCAGGAGATCAAGACCATCCTGGCCAACATGGTGAAACCCTCTCTACTAAAATACAAAAAATTAACCAGGTGTAGTGGCATGCGCCTGTAGTCCCAGCTACTCAGGAGGCTGAGGCAGGGGAATTGCTTAAACCCGGGAGGCAGTTTGAGCCCAGATCTGGGCAGTGAGCCCAGATCGCACCACTGCACTCCAGCCTGGCGACAGAGCAAGACTCCATCTCTCTCTCTCTCTCTCTCTCTCTCTCTCTCTCTTTCTCTCTCTCTCTCTCTCTATATATATATATATGTATCAGAGATACATGTATCTCTCTCTATATATATATATACATGTATCAGTTATAACTACATGATGACAAAAGGAAGATTGCAATGGTCATGTGCATTCCTCCTCATTTTGTTATGAATGTGTGTGAAATATCTTTTTTATTTTATTTTTATTTTTTGAGACAGAGTCTCACTCTTGTCACCCAGGCTGGAGTGCAGTGGTGTGATCTTGGCTCACTGCAACCTCTGCCTCCTGGGTTCAAGTGATTCTCCTGCCTCAGCCTCCCAAGTAGCTGGGATTACAGGTGCCCGCCACCACGCCAGGCTAATTTTTGTATTTTTAGTAGAGACAAGGTTTCACCATGATGGTGAGGCTTGTCTTGAACTCCTGACCTCAGGTGTTCCACCCACCTCAGCCTCCCAAAGTGCTGGGATTACAGGCGTGAGCCACTGTGCCTAATCGAAATATCATTTTCTTTTCTCTCTTATTTCTTTATTGTGTAACATGGATATATTGATTCATCATAGTATTTATATATTATTAATTTTACATAACAGTATTTAATTTATAAGATATCAAAGAGAGGAGTAAACATCACTCATGGGCTTGACCTCCTTGTCTGGGGAAGTGGTTAGGGCATTTCCAGCTGGACACAGGATAGTTATATCATGTTATTCAGAATTATGACATCGTTATTGTCTTTTAAGATTAAGTATGGTTTGAGGATATACATATGGGTGCCCAGTTGACAAATTAATAATGATTAATTTTATACCTCAACTTAACTAGACCATGGGGTGCATAGTTATTTGGTGAAACATTATTTCTGGGTGTGCCTGTGAGGGTGTCTGCAGATGATATTGACATTTCCATTGGTGGAGTGAGTAAAGCAGATTGCCCTCCCCAGTGTGGGCAGGCCTCACTCAATCTGCTGACTGCTTAACTAAAATAAAAGACTGAGTAAGAAAGAATTCTCTCTCTGCCTGACTGTCTTCAAGTTGGAACATAAGTCTCCTCTCACTTTTGGACTCAGATTGAGACTGGAACTATTATCCTTCCTGGTTCTCAGCCATTGGACCTGGACTGGAACTGTATCTCCAGCTTTCCTACTGCAGATTGTGGATTTCTCAATCTCTATAATTGCCCATAACGAGAGAAACAGAGAGATCACTTCTGTGTCCCTGGAGAACCCAGACTAAAACAGCTGGGGTAGCTCAAATAGAAGTAACAGAATACCCTGTAAACTCTCAGCCATGGCTCACCTCTTGTGCCTTCATCTGAGCCATGGCCAGCTTCACAGGGACTTTGACTTTCAAGTGATGTGTGGCTTAAACACTAAGGGCTGTTATTTGTTGTTGTTGCGTAATAGATTTCTTGGTTGGCTGTATAAGTAACAAATTATTGTTGAATTATAAGAGCCCCTTATTTATTCTGGACTGACATCCAAATATATGATTTGTAAATATTTTCTCCTATTTTGTTGGTTGTCTTTTCAAATCCTTAATGGTGTTCATTGAAGTACACAAGTTTTGAATTTTGATGAAGTCTCATTTTTCTCATTTTCTTTTGTTGCCTCTGCTTTAGTGTTTCATCTGAAAAGGAACTGCCAAACTCAAGGTCACAAAGACTTAATCTTACATGCTATTCTAAGTTTTATAGTTTTAGTTCTTATATTTAAGTCCGTGCTTCACTTTGCATTAATTTTTATATACAGTGTGAGGCTGGAGTTCAGCTTCATTTTTGCATGTGAATATCCAGTTATTCTAGCACTATTTGTTTAAAACACTATTCTTTTCCCCATTGAAATATGTTAGCATTCTTGTCAAAAATCAATTGACCATAAACATGAATATTTATTTCTGAACTCTCAATTCTATTCCATAGATCTTTCTTTCTATCCTTATATCAATACCACAGGGTATGATAATTATAGAGTTGTGGTCCATTTAGAAATCAGAAAGTGTAAGTCTTCCAACAGTATCTTTTTTAAGATTGTTATTGCTCTTCTGTATTCTTTGCATTTCCATGTAGATTTTAAGATCAGTTTGTCAATTTCTGCAAAAAAGAAAGATTTTGGGATAACATTGAATCTTTTGATCAACTTGGGGAGTATTTCCATATTAACAGTATCAAACTTTACATCCAGGCTGGGTGGAATGGCTCTTTCCTGCAATGCTAGAACTTTGGGAGGCCAGGCAGGAGAGCTGTTCCAGCCCAGGAGTATGAGACCAGCCTGGGCCACATAGTGAGACCTCATCTCAAAAGAAAGAAAATAAACCAAAGAAAAGAGAGAGAGAAACTTTACAGCCATAAACATAGGGTATCTTTCCGTTTATTTTGACCTTTAATTCTTTCAATGATGCTTTGTAATTTTGAGTGTATAACCCTTGAAATTTGTGTTCAATTTATTCCTAAATGTTTGCTTTTTGTAATGCCATTTTAAATAGAATTATTTTCTTAATTTCTTGTTTATATTGTTTACTTCTAATGTTTAGAGTATAACTGATTCCTACATATTGATCTTATATCCTGGACTTGTTTATTAGCATTGTTTTTGTGAGTTTCTAATAATTTCCTACATAAAAGATTACGTAACTTGTGAATAGAGATAGTTTTGCTCTTTTCTTTCCAATCTAAATGTCACTTACTTATTTTCTTTTCCAATTACCCTGGCTAGACCCTCCAATAAAATAATGAATATAAGTGGTGAGAGCAGACATCCTTATCCTGTTTCTGATCTTAAGGGGATAGTGTTCTTTGTCTCACCATTGATATGATGTTAGTTATAGGTTTTATGTAGATTCCTTCACCAGGCTAAGGAAATTCCCTTCCATTCCTAATTTGTTGAGGGTTTTTTTTTTGTATCATGAAAGGGTAAAGGAGTTTGTCAAATTCTTTTACTGTATCTATTAAAGTAATCCTGTGTTTTTGTTCTTTATTCTATGAATACAATGTATTACATTGATTGATGTTGTTATGTTAAACCAGTCTTGAATTTCTGAAATAAATCCCACTTGCTCATGTTGTATAATCCTTTTTGCGTATTGCCAATATATATATTTAAATATATTTATATACGCTATTTGCTAGTATATAAATGTAAATAAATGTAAAATAATATAGTAAATAAATGTAAAATATAAATTTTACATTTATATTCAAAAGAAACACGGGTCTATAGTTTCTTTTCTTTTGATGTCTTTATTCAGTTTTGGTATCAGGGTAATACTGGCTCATATAATAGGTTGGAAATGATTTTCTCCTCTTGCATTTTTGGGAAAAGTTTGTAAAAACTTGAGAAAAGTTTGTGAAGAATTGTTATTTTATGCTTTAAAATTCAATAGAATCAACTAATGAAGTGCACCTGGGTTGGGTTTGTCTTTTTGTTTTTTGACGGCGGGTTTTTGCTTATTAATTCAATCTCTTTGCTTATTATACATATTCAGATTTTTTATTGAGTCAGAGTTGGGAGTTGGTGTCATCTGGGAATGTGTCCATTTCATCCAAGTAACTTCAGTTGTTCCCACACAATTGCTTATTGTATTTTTTTCTAAATGCTGTTTTACCTGCATCCTCTAAATTTTTGTGAGTCGTTTTTTTGTTTTCATTTATCTCAAAGTATTTTCTAATTTCTCTTATGATATCTGCTTTGATCCATTAGTTATTTATGAGTGTTATGCTTAATTTCCACATTTTCTCTCATTTTTGTGAATTTTCCAAGTTGCTTTCAGTAATTGACATAAAATTTAATTCTATTGTCTTCAAAGAACATTTTTTGTACAATTTTAATTCTTTCAATATTTACTGAGATTGTTTCATGGTGTTACATATTGTCTATCCTGGAGAATGTTCCATGTGCACTTAAGAAGAATGTGGATTCTGTCGTTTTCAGGTGGAATGTCCTACAGAGATGTGTTAGGTCCAGTTTGTTTATCCTGTTGTTCAAGTTCTCTACTTGATGTTTATTTTATGTCTAGTTGTTCCATTCATTTTTAAATGTGGGTTACTGAAGACTCCAATTTTATTGCTGTTTTTCCCTTTAAGTCTTTCAGTTTTTGTTTCATGTAATTCAGAAATCAGTTGTTAGAGTTATATATGATAATAATTTGTAAGTCTTTTTGGTATTTGGCCCTTTTATTCTTTTAAAGTATTCTTTTTTCCTAGTAACAATTCTTTATTATGAGTTTATTGTGTCTGAAACAATTTTTTCTGCTTCAACTCCCTTTTAGTTACTGTTTGAATAATGTCTTAGTCTGTTTGTGCTGCTATGACAAATTATCTGAGGCAGGATAATTTACAAACCACAGAAATGTATTTTCTCACAGTTCTGGAGGCTGGGAATTCCAAGATTAAGTTACTAGCATTTGATGTCTGGTGAGGGCCTTCTTGCTGTGTCCTCATGTGGCAGAAGGTGGAAGAACAAGAGGGCCAAATGCTGTGTGAAGCCTCTTTTATAAGGATTTTAATCTCATCCACCAGGGAGGAGCCCTCATGGCCTAATCACCTCTTAAAGGACCCACCTTCATGGCCCAATCACCTCTTAAGGGCTTACCTCTTAACATCATCACTTTAGCCATTGAGTTTCAAATGGGACAATTCAAACTATAGCATAATTTTCTATCTGTTTACATTCAACCTGTTTGTGTTTTTGAACCTAAAGTCTTTCTCTTATAATCAGCAGATAATTGGATCTTTTTAAATCTATGATGACAATCTCAGCCTTTGACTGTGGATTTTAGTGCAGTAAAGTAAGTACCCAGAAGGTAGGATATACATCTGCATGTTGTCATTTGTTTTCTACCTGGCATTTTTGTTGTTGTTCTTTGATTTCTCTATTTTTTTCTTCTTTTATGACTAATATTAATAATTGTTTACTAGTCCACCATTTACATGCCATTGTTTCTTTTACTATATTGGTTTGTGTTAGTTTGTTGTTGTTATTTACCTGGAGGCTAAACTAACATCTTACCCTAAAACAATCTAGTTTAGATTTAAAATAATTTCATTTCAACTGTATTTAAATATGGCTCCATTTCCTCCCTCCTCCTTTGTGCTTTAATTGTCATACAAATTATATTTTTATATATTATTATTCCATCCACATATTATTATAATTGCTGTTTTATACAGCTGTTTTTACTCCTGAAAATTATTTGGGAGTAAAAAATTGTTACAAAGAAAAATATATTAATACTGTGTTTTACATTTATCTATGTAGCTATCTTTCTTGGTGCTTTTTACTCCTTCATATAAATTCGAGTTACTGTCTAGGGTTCTTTCACTTCATCCTGAAAGATTATCTTTACCATTTCTTGTAGGGCAGTTTGGCTACTTCAGTAAAACTGAATTCTCAGTTTTACTTTTTCTGTAGTAACTCCTTCTGCTTTAGAATAGATTTTGCTGGACATAAAACTCTTGTTTGACAGTTTTTTTCTTTGAGCACTGTGAACATGTCCTCCCACTGTCATCTGGCCTCTCTGGTTTCTACTGAGAAATCAGCTGTTAATCTTTTGAAGATCCCTTGTATACAACTAAATCGACTCTTTTTGTTTCTGCTTTTAAGATTTTCCTTTAGTATTTGGCTTCTGACAAGAAATTTGTTTGCTAAATCTCCTGTAACAAAATATCACTGGGTGGCTTAAATAATGGAAATTTGGTTTCTCCAGTTGTAGTAACCAGAAGTTCAAGATTAATGTGCTGGCAGGTTGGATTTCTCATGAGACCTCTCTCCTTAGCTTGAAGACACTGCCAGTTCACCATATTTTCACATGGCCTCTTCTCTGTGCACATACATCTCTGATGTCTCTCCTGAATCTTTTATAGTACTTCTTATAAGAACACTAGTCGGGTTGGGTTAGGACATACCCAAATGGCCTCATTTTAACCTAATTACCCCCTTTAAGGGGGCTATCTTTAAATAGTCACATTCTGAGGTCTTGGGGGTTAGGACTTTAACATAAAATTTTGGAGAGGAAACAATTTAATCTATAAGACAATTTTAATATAATTTTTATTGTGGCTCTCACTGAGTTTATACTATTAATACTTAAAGTAGTTTAACTTCTTGGATGTGTAGCTTAATGTTTCTCATTAAATTTAGGCAGTTTCCACTCATGATTTCTTTAAATATTCTTTCTGTTAATACTTGATGCTATCTGATTTTTTTCATCTTAGCCCCTCTGATGTGTGTGTAATGATACTGAATCATTGTTTTAATTTGTAATTCCCTGAAGAGTAATACGGCTTATCATCTTGTTCTACTCATTATCTATTTAGTTGTTTTCTTTTATAATGGGCTTTGTAGAATTTTGACTATTTTTATGAGTTTGCCTTTCATCTGCTTACTGATGTGTAGACACTTTTTATATATTCTAGATGTGAGCCATATCTGAACCCAAGTGGACCTAAATGTGGCTGTAAAGAGAAAATTTTTATTTTATACATAATATCCTAGGTCCTCTGTTTTCTTGATTAACATATAATGATTCCCTTGTAGGAGAATAATAAAATGAGCTATGATCCTTCCACATTCCTTTCATTTGTCCCATTATTACAAAGTGATATCCTTACTCCTCATTAATACTTTATAGGTAATTGGAAAGCTTTTTATATTTTCCATACATCTTCCCTCCACACATTCTGCTATTTTTTGTATTTCCTAAGGTGTTATGGATTTGGATATGTATTTATGTTTATGTATTATATATACACACATGTACATATATATATATATTAAAATTCTGACACTTTTATCACCATCATTGAGCTTTAGTTCTAAAATTAAATATAAATTAAACATATTCAATACTCAGCACAAGACTTTATGCCAAACCTTTCCTGACGTTTGATTGTCTATATCTCACTTTCTTGATTCCATAGAAAAAACTAAAGAGAAAAGGAATTGCATGCAAATTTATACCTGTTTCTACACAGCTTTATAGTTGCAGGTTAGCTTCACTAAATAGCATTCTTGGGTCATGTTTGCATTTCTTGAGTATCTTAGATATGGTGCCCTATTGTCTTCTCATAGGAAATATTGATTTCAAGAAGTCTGAACCATCTGGGTTTTTTCCTTGTGATTGGACTTTTTTTCCTTGACGGAAACTAGTATTTTTCTTTATATTTAAGGTCTTACAGTTTGCTGAAATATGTTTCAGTGTTGTTTTTTCTGGCTGATTTTCATAGCTGCACACTGTGGCATGTCAATATATACCTGAAGACTTATCCTATATAAAGATTTTTATTGAATTATGGTTTTTGGTTTTGTTTTATACTTTTGCTTCTTTTTTCCTTTGAGAATATAATATTTTTCCCTTTTTGTCTTCTACATTTATTATTATTACTTATTTATTTATTTATTATTATACTTTAAGTTTTAGGGTACATGTGCACAATGTGCAGGGTAGTTACATATGTATACATGTGCCATGCTGGTGCGCTGCACCCACTAACTCATCATCTAGCATTAGGTATATCTCCCAGTGCTATCCCTCCCCCCTCCCCCACCCCACAACAGTCCCCAGAGTGTGATGTTCCCCTTCCTGTGTCCATGTGTTCTCATTGTTCAATTCCCACCTATGAGTGAGAATATGTGGTGTTTGGTTTTTTGTTCTTGTGATAGTTTACTGAGAATGATGATTTCCAATTTCATCCATGTCCCTACAAAGGACATGAATTCATCATTTTTTATGGCTGCATAGTATTCCATGGTGTGTATGTGCCACATTTTCTTATTTCTCTCATTTTTATTTTATTTTATTTTTTTTTGTTTTTTGTTTTTTTGTTTTTTTGTTTTTTTGTTTTTTATTATACTCTAAGTTTTAGGGTACATGTGCACATTGTGCAGGTTAGTTACATATGTATACATGTGCCATGCTGGTGCGCTGCACCCACTAATGTGTCATCTAGCATTAGGTATATCTCCCAATGCTATCCCTCCCCCCTCCCCCGACCCCACCACAGTCCCCAGAGTGTGATATTCCCCTTCCTGTGTCCATGTGATCTCATTGTTCAATTCCCACCTATGAGTGAGAATATGCGGTGTTTGGTTTTTTGTTCTTGCGATAGTTTACTGAGAATGATGGTTTCCAATTTCATCCATGTCCCTACAAAGGATATGAACTCATCATTTTTTATGGCTGCATAGTATTCCATGGCGTATATGTGCCACATTTTCTTAATCCAGTCTATCATTGTTGGACATTTGGGTTGGTTCCAAGTCTTTGCTATTGTGAATAGTGCCGCAATAAACATACGTGTGCATGTGTCTTTATAGCAGCATGATTTATAGTCCTTTGGGTATATACCCAGTAATGGGATGGCTGGGTCAAATGGTATTTCTAGTTCTAGATCCCTGAGGAATCGCCACACTGACTTCCACAATGGTTGAACTAGTTTACAGTCCCACCAACAGTGTAAAAGTGTTCCTGTTTCTCCACATCCTCTCCAGCACCTGTTGTTTCCTGACTTTTTAATGATTGCCATTCTAACTGGTGTGAGATGATATCTCATAGTGGTTTTGATTTGCATTTCTCTGATGGCCAGTGATGATGAGCATTTCTTCATGTGTTTTTTGGCTGCATAAATGTCTTCTTTTGAGAAGTGTCTGTTCATGTCCTTCGCCCACTTTTTGATGGGGTTGTTTGTTTTTTTCTTGTAAATTTGTTTGAGTTCATTGTAGATTCTGGATATTAGCCCTTTGTCAGATGAGTAGGTTGCGAAAATTTTCTCCCATGTTGTAGGTTGCCTGTTCACTCTGATGGTAGTTTCTTTTGCTGTGCAGAAGCTCTTTAGTTTAATGAGATCCCATTTGTCAATTTTGGCTTTTGTTGCCATTGCTTTTGGTGTTTTGGACATGAAGTCCTTGCCCACGCCTATGTCCTGAATGGTAATGCCTAGGTTTTCTTGTAGGGTTTTTATGGTTTTAGGTCTAACGTTTAAATCTTTAATCCATCTTGAATTGATTTTTGTATAAGGTGTAAGGAAGGGATCCAGTTTCAGCTTTCTACATATGGCTAGCCAGTTTTCCCAGCACCATTTATTAAATAGGGAATCCTTTCCCCATTGCTTGTTTTTCTCAGGTTTGTCAAAGATCAGATAGTTGTAGATATGTGGCATTATTTCTGAGGGCTCTGTTCTGTTCCATTGATCTATATCTCTGTTTTGGTACCAGTACCATGCTGTTTTGGTTACTGTAGCCTTGTAGTATAGTTTGAAGTCAGGTAGTGTGATGCCTCCAGCTTTGTTCTTTTGGCTTAGGATTGACTTGGTGATGCGGGCTCTTTTTTGGTTCCATATGAACTTTAAAGTAGTTTTTTCCAATTCTGTGAAGAAAGTCATTGGTAGCTTGATGGGGATGGCATTGAATCTGTAAATTACCTTGGGCAGTATGGCCATTTTCACGATATTGATTCTTCCTACCCATGAGCATGGAATGTTCTTCCATTTGTTTGTGTCCTCTTTTATTTCCTTGAGCAGTGGTTTGTAGTTCTCCTTGAAGAGGTCCTTCACATCCCTTGTAAGTTGGATTCCTAGGTATTTTATTCTCTTTGAAGCAATTGTGAATGGGAGTTCACCCATGATTTGGCTCTCTGTTTGTCTGTTGTTGGTGTATGAGAATGCTTGTGATTTTTGTACATTGATTTTGTATCCTGAGACTTTGCTGAAGTTGCTTATCAGCTTAAGGAGATTTTGGGCTGAGACGATGGGGTTTTCTAGATAAACAATCATGTCGTCTGCAAACAGGGACAATTTGACTTCCTCTTTTCCTAATTGAATACCCTTTATTTCCTTCTCCTGCCTGATTGCCCTGGCCAGAACTTCCAACACTATGTTGAATAGGAGCGGTGAGAGAGGGCATCCCTGTCTTGTGCCAGTTTTCAAAGGGAATGCTTCCAGTTTTTGCCCATTCAGTATGATATTGGCTGTGGGTTTGTCATAGATAGCTCTTATTATTTTGAAATACGTCCCATCAATACCTAATTTATTGAGAGTTTTTAGCATGAAGGGTTGTTGAATTTTGTCAAAGGCTTTTTCTGCATCTATTGAGATAATCATGTGGTTTTTGTCTTTGGCTCTGTTTATATGCTGGATTACATTTATTGATTTGCGTATATTGAACCAGCCTTGCATCCCAGGGATGAAGCCCACTTGATCATGGTGGATAAGCTTTTTGATGTGCTGCTGGATTCGGTTTGCCAGTATTTTATTGAGGATTTTTGCATCAATGTTCATCAAGGATATTGGTCTAAAATTATCTTTTTTGGTTGTGTCTCTGCCCGGCTTTGGTATCAGAATGATGCTGGCCTCATAAAATGAGTTAGGGAGGATTCCCTCTTTTTCTATTGATTGGAATAGTTTCAGAAGGAATGGTACCAGTTCCTCCTTGTACCTCTGGTAGAATTCGGCTGTGAATCCATCTGGTCCTGGACTCTTTTTGGTTGGTAAACTATTGATTATTGCCACAATTTCAGAGCCTGTTATTGGTCTATTCAGAGATTCAACTTCTTCCTGGTTTAGTCTTGGGAGAGTGTATGTGTCGAGGAATGTATCCATTTCTTCTAGATTTTCTAGTTTATTTGCGTAGAGGTGTTTGTAGTATTCTCTGATGGTAGTTTGTATTTCTGTGGGATCGGTGGTGATATCCCCTTTATCATTTTTTATTGTGTCTATTTGATTCTTCTCTCTTTTTTTCTTTATTAGTCTTGCTAGCGGTCTATCTATTTTGTTGATCCTTTCAAAAAACCAGCTCCTGGATTCATTGATTTTTTGAAGGGTTTTTTTGTGTCTCTATTTCCTTCAGTTCGGCTCTGATTTTAGTTATTTCTTGCCTTCTGCTAGCTTTTGAATGTGTTTGCTCTTGCTTTTCTAGTTCTTTTAATTGTGATGTTAGGGTGTCAATTTTGGATCTTTCCTGCTTTCTCTTGTAGGCATTTAGTGCTATAAATTTCCCTCTACACACTGCTTTGAATGCGTCCCAGAGATTCTGGTATGTGGTGTCTTTGTTCTCGTTGGTTTCAAAGAACATCTTTATTTCTGCCTTCATTTCGTTATGTACCCAGTAGTCATTCAGGAGCAGGTTGTTCAGTTTCCATGTAGTTGAGCGGCTTTGAGTGAGATTCTTAATCCTGAGTTCTAGTTTGATTGCACTGTGGTCTGAGAGATAGTTTGTTATAATTTCTGTTCTTTTACATTTGCTGAGGAGAGCTTTACTTCCAAGTATGTGGTCAATTTTGGAATAGGTGTGGTGTGGTGCTGAAAAAAATGTATATTCTGTTGATTTGGGGTGGAGAGTTCTGTAGATGTCTATTAGGTCTGCTTGGTGCAGAGCTGAGTTCAATTCCTGGGTATCCTTGTTGACTTTCTGTCTCGTTGATCTGTCTAATGTTGACAGTGGGGTGTTAAAGTCTCCCATTATTAATGTGTGGGAGTCTAAGTCTCTTTGTAGGTCACTGAGGACTTGCTTTATGAATCTGGGTGTTCCTGTATTGGGTGCATAAATATTTAGGATAGTTAGCTCCTCTTGTTGAATTGATCCCTTTACCATTATGTAATGGCCTTCTTTGTCTCTTTTGATCTTTGTTGGTTTAAAGTCTGTTTTATCAGAGACTAGGATTGCCACCCCTGCCTTTTTTTGTTTTCCATTGGCTTGGTAGATCTTCCTCCATCCTTTTATTTTGAGCCTATGTGTGTCTCTGCACGTGAGATGGGTTTCCTGAATACAGCACACTGATGGGTCTTGACTCTTTATGCAACTTGCCAGTCTGTGTCTTTTAATTGCAGAATTTAGTCCATTTATATTTAAAGTTAATATTGTTATGTGTGAATTTGATCCTGTCATTATGATGTTAGCTGGTGATTTTGCTCATTAGTTGATGCAGTTTCTTCCTAGTCTCGATGGTCTTTACATTTTGGCATGATTTTGCAGCGGCTGGTACCGGTTGTTCCTTTCCATGTTTAGCGCTTCCTTCAGGAGCTCTTTTAGGGCAGGCCTGGTGGTGACAAAATCTCTCAGCATTTGCTTGTCTATAAAGTATTTTATTTCTCCTTCACTTATGAAGCTTAGTTTGGCTGGATATGAAATTCTGGGTTGAAAATTCTTTTCTTTAAGAATGTTGAGGGCCGGGCGCGGTGGCTCACGCCTGTAATCCCAGCACTTTGGGAGGCCGAGGCGGGCGGATCACGAGGTCAGGAGATCGAGACCATCCCGGCTAAAACGGTGAAACCCCGTCTCTACTAAAAATACAAAAAAATTAGCCGGGCGTAGTGGCGGGCGCCTGTAGTCCCAGCTACTTGGGAGGCTGAGGCAGGAGAATGGCGTGAACCCGGGAGGCAGAGCTTGCAGTGAGCCGAGATCCCGCCACTGCACTCCAGCCTGGGCGACAGAGCGAGACTCCGTCTCAAAAAAAAAAAAAAAAAAAAAAAGAATGTTGAATATCGGCCCCCACTCTCTTCTGGCTTGTAGGGTTTCTGCCGAGAGATCCGCTGTTAGTCTGATGGGCTTTCCTTTGAGGGTAACCCGACCTTTCTCTCTGGCTGCCCTTAACATTTTTTTCCTTCATTTCAACTTTGGTGAATCTGACAATTATGTGTCTTGGAGTTGCTCTTCTCGAGGAGTATCTTTGTGGCGTTCTCTGTATTTCCTGAATCTGAACGTTGGCCTGCCTTGCTAGATTGGGGAAGTTCTCCTGGATAATATCCTGCAGAGTGTTTTCCAACTTGGTTCCATTCTCCACATCACTTTCAGGTACACCAATCAGACGTAGATTTGGTCTTTTCACATAGTCCCATATTTCTTGGAGGCTTTGCTCATTTCTTTTTATTCTTTTTTCTCTAAACTTCCCTTCTCGCTTCATTTCATTCATTTCATCTTCCATTGCTGATACCCTTTCTTCCAGTTGATCGCATCGGCTCCTGAGGCTTCTGCATTCTTCACGTAGTTCTCGAGCCTTGGTTTTCAGCTCCATCAGCTCCTTTAAGCACTTCTCTGTATTGGTTATTCTAGTAATACATTCTTCTAAATTTTTTTCAAAGTTTTCAACTTCTTTGCCTTTGGTTTGAATGTCTTCCCATAGCTCAGAGTAATTTGATCGTCTGAAGCCTTCTTCTCTCAGCTCGTCAAAATCATTCTCCATCCAGCTTTGTTCTGTTGCTGGTGAGGAACTGCGTTCCTTTGGAGGAGGAGAGGCGCTCTGCGTTTTAGAGTTTCCAGTTTTTCTGTTCTGTTTTTTCCCCATCTTTGTGGTTTTATCTACTTTTGGTCTTTGATGATGGTGATGTACAGATGGGTTTTCGGTGTAGATGTCCTTTCTGGTTGTTAGTTTTCCTTCTAACAGACAGGACCCTCAGCTGCAGGTCTGTTGGAATACCCTGCCGTGTGAGGTGTCAGTGTGCCCCTGCTGGGGGGTGCCTCCCAGTTAGGCTGCTCGGGGGTCAGGGGTCAGGGACCCACTTGAGGAGGCAGTCTGCCCGTTCTCAGATCTCCAGCTGCGTGCTGGGAGAACCACTGCTCTCTTCAAAGCTGTCAGACAGGGACACTTAAGTCTGCAGAGGTTACTGCTGTCTTTTTGTTTGTCTGTGCCCTGCCCCCAGAGGTGGAGCCTACAGAGGCAGGCAGGCCTCCTTGAGCTGTGGTGGGCTCCACCCAGTTCGAGCTTCCCGGCTGCTTTGTTTACCTAAGCAAGCCTGGGCAATGGCGGGCGCCCCTCCCCCAGCCTCGCTGCCGCCTTGCAGTTTGATCTCAGACTGCTGTGCTAGCAATCAGCGAGATTCCGTGGGCGTAGGACCCTCTGAGCCAGGTGTGGGATATAGTCTCGTGGTGCGCCGTTTCTTAAGCCGGTCTGAAAAGCGCAATATTCGGGTGGGAGTGACCCGATTTTCCAGGTGCGTCCGTCACCCCTTTCTTTGACTCGGAAAGGGAACTCCCTGACCCCTTGCGCTTCCCAGGTGAGGCAATGCCTCGCCCTGCTTGGCTCGCGCACGGTGCGCACACACACTGGCCTGCGCCCACTGTCTGGCACTCCCTAGTGAGATGAACCCGGTACCTCAGATGGAAATGCAGAAATCACCCGTCTTCTGCGTCGCTCACGCTGGGAGCTGTAGACCGGAGCTGTTCCTATTCGGCCATCTTGGCTCCTCCCCTATTTCTCTCATTTTTAAATTTCTTTACTTTTTGTTGTCCGTCTTTTATTTCTGTTTTCCTTTACTGTACTTTCTGTGTTACCTATTTATTTTTCCATATAATTTATTCATTTCTGAAATGATTTTTTTTCACATTTTAGGCACTGTCTTCTCTTTTTCATATTATCCACTTTTTTATGATTTAAATTCTGAGATTTTCTATTTTTTACCTTTGATATTTTTCATAGACTTTATATTTCCTTAATTTTGTATTTTTAATATTAAACTATAGTGTATATATATATTCTAAGCCATAATTTTATTATATGCCTTTAATATCTGTGAGTATATAATTCAGCTATTAATTTTTATGTTTTTTCATCATTTGTCTCCTAATATCAGCTAGTATCATTGTATGGAGTTCATTCACCTCATGGTGGCTTATGGAAAATGAGGTGGTGTTCTGTGCCTTTAGATGGAAGTTCCAGCATAGATCAGAGGTGTGGTTTTCCTAGCTTGACACTTAAGAATTCTCTCTGCTGCTATTATCAAAGTTGCCTCTCTGTGGGGTCACCTCCATAGCTCTGAGATCTGAGTCCCACGGACTTTTTAACCCTGAATCAGAACCTTCTTTTTTACTTACTCTATAATTTGTATCTGGCTACATTTGCATTTTATATCTATTTTTCTTACCAAGGAGTTTTGAATTCTTAGAACACATTTTTGAAGTTTCTGGGAGTTAGGACGGCCTTTAAAAAAAACTCACTTATAAATTAAAGTTTATGCTGGTTGCTCTTAGAGAAGTATCTACTCAAAGTAGGCTCCTCTCCTTCCTATGGGGACATTTGATAGTGATTTCTGGGTCTTTTGGCAGCATCAAAAGACACCATTATCTTATCTCCACACAGTTGTGTATTCTCCATGAAACCTGCCTGAGTTCTGCCATTATAGATGGTTTGGCACCACTCATCCATATTCTGTCTCTATAAACTTACCTACTATGGAAATTTCATGTAAATGAAATTATACATTATGCAGCCACTGTGGCTGGCTTTTTAAAGTTAGTATAACATTTTCAAAGTTAATCTGTGTTGTCACATGCATCAGCACTCCATTGTTCGATGACTGAATAATATTCCATTGTATGGATATATCATATTTTGTTTGTCATTCATCAATTGATGGACATTTGAGCTATTTTCATTTTGGCTATAATAAATAATGCTACCATGTACAAGTTTTTATGTGAACAGATTTTTTTAAGTTCTCTTGATTATAAGCCCAAAGAAAAGAGTTATAGAGTAACTATATAATAGCTATACTATAACTAAATATAGCTATCCTAGTAGTAATGAAGTGCAATCTCATTATGGTTTTTATTTTCATTTCTCTAATGACTAATGAAGTTCATAATCTTTTCATGTGTTCATTGGCCATTTGTATAATTAATTATTAATTTATAAAAATCTAATTTAGATTAGTTACAAATGAATTTCAGTAGTATACAAAACTTTGCTCCTACATAGCTCCTTCTCTATATGCTGTTATTGTTACAAATTACATTTTATATATTGTGGGTCCATCAACAGAAACCAATTATTATTACTTTGTGTCATTATCTTTCGAATCATCTGATCTAAAACTGTATTAATACTGTCTTTTATATTTATCTATGTAGTTATCTTTACTCTGCACCTTTATTTCTTAATGTGAATTTAAGATACTCTCTTGTATCTTTTATCTGAGCCTGAAAGACTCCTTGTAGTATTTCTCATAAAGAAGGCCTGCTATTACACTTTCAATTCCAGAACCTACATTGCATGACGTCTATCTCTTTATTGATATTCCCTATTTGGTAAGACATAACTCTCATACTTTCCTATAGTTCTTTAGACATGGTTTTACTTAGCACTTTGAACATATTTTAAATAGCTAATTTAAAGTCTTTGTCTAAGAAAAACAGTGTCTGGGATTCCTCAGAGACCATTTCTATTCCTTGTTTTTTTCCTTAGCTCTGGTTTATACTCTCTTTTTCTTTGCATGTCTCATATATTTTATTGCTGTTGAATACTGGAAAGTTTCATGCAGCAATTCTAGAAATAAGATCTCCCCCTCTCCACAGGGTTTGCTGTGATGTTGCTTATTGTAATCATAGTGGTTGGTTTGTTTGGTGATTTTTCTGAACTAATTCTTTAAAGTCTGTATTTTTTATAAAGTGTGGCCACTGAAACCTTTACTCGATTAGCTTAGTGGTCAGCTAATGATTAGACAGAGGTCTCCTTAAATGCATGAAACCAATAAATCTCCAAGTATTTGCCTAGGGATTCTGTGTGTATACTAAACACTCAGCAAAGCAATTTACAGTTCCACCTTAGCCTTCACTTCCTGCCCATGCAGAGTCTCCGAGTCAGCTAGAATCATGAGTCTGGGGCATTCTCAGGTATTTCCTGAGCCTGAACACAGCCCTAGCCATTTCTGAGACCTAATAGAGTCTCAAAAGTCTGTCATGTCAGAGCTTTTCTATGCCCCTGTGGATGGTCCATCTTTCAGCTTTTTCATTTTAAGAATTTTAGTTAGCCTATTGCTTTCCTCAACTCTCATTCATCACCTCTGGCAACCACCAACTTAAAACACTTACCTGTAACTTGCTTTAACAAAAGTGTGCACCAAGGAGATGGCTGTTTATACTGGGTGAGCTCTGAGTTACCTTTGTAGGTCAGGTTTTTGTGGAAACCATCAGACAGGTGCCATAATGAGAATTATTTAGGGATGTGATTTTGAAGAAGTTACAACACAATACTGCTCCTTCAGGCGTTGTGAAGCTTTCATAGTAATGTGGGCTGTTATTTTTCAATGGTATCTCTGAGATGGAGAGCAAGAGATGCAACCAGGGAAAGTTAAATGCCACAAAGCTTGCTTGCTGTTCTTATCAAGATTTAGCTGTTTTTCTTAATTTATAAACACTCCGCAGGAAGCCACAGGCAATTTTCTGAAGTTCTGCGTAAATTAATTTGGACAGCTTTTGCCATTTTAGAAATTTCTTTTATGTAGTGTGAAGTTTTGGAGGTCTTAGTCCACTATTTTTACTGACATCATTATGTTTGTTTGAAAAGTCAATTTGGAAATAGTTTTAAAATCTGCTGTTATCTTTAGCTTGCCTCAACTGGAAGGTAACCTCATCTTTGGTTTTTGAGGGTATTTTTCCTCAGTCTTCAAGGAGAACTTTTTAGTTAAACACTTGCATTATAGGAAAACTTTTATTTAAGCACTTTGAAGATGTCATTCCACTGTCTTTTTAATTCTTTTATTTTTGAGAAGTGAACTGACAGTGTAACTGTTGCTTTTTTGAAGACAACATGCACCCCCCCAACAGCTTTTAAGCTTTTCCTTTTTAGTAGGTTTGTGTTCTTTTTATTTATTCTGTTTAGAGTGTATGCACTTTGAATTTTTGGCTTGTTACCTTTTCTTTGTTTTGAAAATATTATTAGCCATAGTCTTCAAATATTGTGTCTTCTACATTCTTATTTGCCTCTCCTAATGGACTTTAATAGCTTTATACCTCTACATTGTATGACCTATGTTTTCACCTTCTCTTTGTATTTTCAATGTATTTTTGATATCCTCTAAATTTTAGTTAAGAAGTTCCTACTTCTGCTGGTGCTGTGGCTCATGCCTATAATCCCAGCACTTTGGGAGGCCGAGGCGGGTGGATCACGAGGTCAAGAGATCGAGACCAGCCTGGCCAACATGGTGAAACCCTGTGTCTACTAAAAATACAAAAATTAGCCAGGCGTGGTGGTGTGTGCCTGTAGTCCCAGCTACTTGAGGGGCTGAGGCAGGAGAATCGCTTAAACCTGGGAAGCGGAGGTTGCAGTGAGCCAAGATCATGCCACTGCACTCCAGCTTGGCAACAGAGCAAGACTCCGTCTCAAAAAAAAAAAAAAAGTATAAAAATGCAAGATAATACCACCCACACTTAAAAACATGATAAAGCTGGATAATCTATACAGTCATAACTTTTCTTAAACTGATATAAGAGCTGAAGATGAAGACAACCAAGTGAACTAAATTCCACAGAATAAAAAGTCCCTCCAAGAATAGACAGAATTCTTTCATTTTTGGCAAAGGAGGAAAAGTAGGCAACCACAAAAATGGATAAGAAAAGGTCATCCCCCAAACTTTACACATCTTTTGAAGATCAACTATGCATGAACAGATCATTTGAAATGATCAAGATCTCAGTCAGCAAGCAAGCTTTCAATCACTGGCAAGCTTCTTTCATTGAACCTCCAGAAGTACAGAGATCGGGGAAGCAGACATAGTGAGCCCCACTTAGTGGACTGGCAGGAAGGCACTGGCTGCTGCTCTGAGATGGGCAGGGAGCACTGACTGCTCCCTTTACCTTTCCTCTTGCAAAATAAAAACCTTAAATTACGGGGGGAGGAACAGAAAATTCCCCTGTCCCTAGGACCTAACCAAGGATCCATTCTTTCTGATGTAAGAGTACACATGAAAGACTTCTGTCTTCCGCGAAGAACAAGGAAAAGTCAGGCAAACTTCTGCAAACCAAGGGCATTTTTAAATCAGATTAAGGAAAAAGAGACATGTAGAAAGTAACAAAGATGAGAATTACATTATCATTATAGTCAGTGGCCATTGCCAGATCTCATGGAATAGGCAGCTGAAATTTCATAGCTAGCAGATTGGTGTGACCACTTTTTTCATTATTATAAATGACTGTCTAGGACTCGAGGAATGGACATTCATCTGTCAAAATTTCCAGGCAACTTGCAAGGAATGCTATTTAATTCTGAAGGACATATAATTCACTTATGCCTCACCACTATAAAGAGCCTAAGAGACCAGTCCCAGAAAAGAGAGATAATTGGAAATGATTTTTCTCTTGCTCCTAGCAGACCATTAGGAATAATTACATCATGCTGTATACCCCTCTTTAGGTTGTTGTAACAAGAAGCCCAAGGCACTCCTCATGAAGACTCTCACTGAGTTTTCTCTTTTACTTAATCCTACTCAATCTCTCAACAAGCCTTCATCACCCAAGTCCTTCCACTCTGCTCCGCGGATTGCAAACCCTCATCGGCAAAATAATCTATATGGTAAATCTCTTCTTTGAAAATTCCCTTCACTCACTTGTTCTAAACAAAACTTAGCTTTTCTCTGAACACATGTATTTCTCTATTGCCCTAGGAAGTGCTGGAATTGTTCTCTCCTACAGCTCATATAACGTCCACACAGCATAAAGGTGCAGTTGGTAACCTTGTTCCACAATTGTTGTTTTCTTCAGAGCACTATGTCTCCATCCTTTCTGAGACTTCCTAGGCCCTTGGAAGTAAGTTCTATCCATGCTCGCTCCTGTCTCATTTCCTGTACTTGCTACCTCCCTCCTTTCACTGTTCCTCACTGAGGCCACTAGTGGAGAATTTTACTGCCTACCTTTTGCTTTTTCTCTGTAAGTCAGTTGAAGCTAAAACTCCAGCCTTACACTATATCAGAAATCTGACTGCTTCTCCATGACCACCCTGGTCTACACCACCCTCAGCTTTCTCAACCTGACAAATAAAATAGCCTTCTCCTTAGTATCTGTGAACCCACTCTTGCCCAAGTATAGCCTGTTCTGTCAAATAAGCCAAAACAAGTCTTTTAAAATTTAAGCCTATCACATTAATGGTCCTCACTGCACTTAGGATGAGGCGTCAAAGCCTCATTGAGACTTACAACCCACGTTTATCCCTTTCCCACTTACCTCTCGCCAGTTACCAGCCACGCTGGTCTTGCTATTCTTCAAGCTTGCCAAGCACATTTCTGTCTCAGCATCTTTGCACTTGCTGTTTCCTCTCTCTGAGTGCTTTTCCTTCAGCAGACATAGGGCTTGCTTCCACTCCATCCCCTCTCTACTCACATGTCACCAGAGCAGAGGTCTCCCCGACCACCTCGTCTAAAAGAGCATGCCTGCCTTCTCACTCGCTCTAGCCTTACTTTGCTTCATAGCACCTGCAATTCATTATGTTCTGTTTGTTATGTGTATGTACTTTCATTAATAGTTGAGTGCTTATTGCTAATAAAGTGTTTATTTCAGAATAATTTTAAATTTCCAGAAAAAAATGGTAAAGGTGTAGTACAGAGAGTTCTTTCTCTGTTTCTCTTTCTCTCTCTCTCTCTATATATAGGTATATATATACACATCTAGATATATATCTAGGTGTGTGTATATATATGTGTATATATGTATATATATGTGTGTGTATATATGTATATATATGTGTGTGTGTATACATATATATTCCATGTTTAGTGTCCCATTTTATTAACATCCTACCTTAGTGTGAGACATTTCTTAAAGCTAATGGCCCAATATTGGTACATTATTATTAACTACAGCCCACCCTTTACTCAGATCCTCTTACTTGTAACCTGATGCCCCCTATCTGGCTAAGATCTCTTCAGGGGCACAACATTCCCTTTAGATATCAAGTCTCCATAGGCGCTCCTGATAAGTGAGAGTTGCTGACTTTTCTTGTCTTTTTGTGGCCTTGACAAGTAGCAGGGGTACTGGTTAGAATGTTCCTCAATTTGATTTTGTCCGGTGTGTTTCTCATGACTATATTGTGGTTGTGGGTTTTAGGGAGAAAGACCACAGAGGTAAAGTGACATCTTCATCAGGTCCTATCAAGGGAACATACTATCAACAAGGCTTATAGCTGTTGATGAAAACCTTGGTGGTTAACATGTCCTTTCTTCTTACTTGACATGTATTTTTTGTTCATGAAAAGCTGTTTAAATTTTATCAGCAATGCAATAAACAATCAACAGCACTTGAGTTAAAGAAATTTAAGACATTTGGTTTTTTTTTTTTTTTACTCTCCAAAGTTTATTTTTATTATTATTTTTAAATTATACTTTAAGTGCTAGGGTACATGTACACAACGTGCAGGTTTGTTACATATGTATACATGTGCCATGTTGGTGTGCTGCACCCATTAACTTGTCATTTGCATTAGGTATATCTACTAATGCTATCCCTCCCCCCTCCCCCCACCCCACGACAGGCCCCAGTGTGTGATGTTTCCCACCCTGTGTCCAAGTGTTCTCATTGTTCAATTCCCACCTATGAGTGAGAACATGCGGTGTTTGGTTTTTTGTCCCTGTGATAGTTTGCTGAGAATGATGGTTTCCAGCTTCATCCATGTCCCTACAAAGGACATGAACTCATCCTTTTTTATGGCTGCATAGTATTCCATGGTGTATATGTGCCACATTTTCTTAATCCAGTCAATCTCTGAAGGACATTTGTGTTGGTTCCAAGTCTCTGCTATTGTGAATAGTGCCGCAATAAACATGTGTGCATGTGTCTTTATAGCAGCATGATTTATAATCCTTTGGGTATATACCCAGTAATGGGATGGCTGGGTCAAATGGTATTTCTACTTCTAGATCCTTGAGGAATCACCACACTGTCTTCCACAATGGTTGAACCAGTTTACAGTCCCACCAATTGTAAAAGTGTTCCTATTTCTCCACATCCTCTCCAGCACCTGTTGTTTCCTGACTTTTTAATGATCGCCATTCACACATTAAAAATATTAGCACACTTTATCCTAAGTAAACATCAAAAATGGCTACTTTACATGGACTCATTCCTAATATAGGAACTCCAGAGTCTTTTGTTCCCCAAATTCCATTGACTTACCAGATTCTCTTGTATTACTACGGCAGTTTAGTTCTAATTTATCAACTTACTGGAATGCATGATATCTTTTGTCATGATTATCTGTCATTTCAACCACCCTGAATCTTAGGAGCACCCTTGTGAACATTCCTGTATTTGCCTCCAGGGCTAGCTACACTTTTCCAATACAAATTCAAAAAATTATTTTTTCAGCTTCCCAGGAAGAAGACATGTGATTTAGGTTCTGCCTATTTTCTGAACCCATGTAAGACTTTTGAATGGACAGGAGTTTACTTGGGGATAGAGGGAAGCACTGGACCTTCATGGTTCTTGAGCCAATGCCTACAGGGAGGTCATTACATAGGACCAGAGTTTCTGATCATGGCGGGGGCAGCAGCTCCTGTGGTGACCTGGCTTACCGTGTGGTGTAGGATGTTTGTTGCTCCTGGAGGCTTAGCCTACGTGCTGTTTCTTCAAGCCTCCCAAGAATTCTATGAGCTTATCCCTTAATAAACCCTTTGTGTATTAATCTACTAACATGAATCGTTTTATGCATCCAAGACCCGAATCAACACTTAGAGAATTATTTCCTAATATTTGCATGAAGGCTCACAAAAACATTAAAACCAGTCATTTAACATTACTTTAACTCTTGCTGGTTTTGTTATTCAATATTATTTACTTAATGCTCGTGACTTTCACACTTTAGTTTTCCACATAAACGTGTCCTTGTGGAATACTGCTCCTTACAATTTATTTTTATTTATTTATTTATTTATTTTAAGATGGAGTCTCCCTTGTCACCCAGGCTGGAGTGCAGTGGTGCAATCTTGGCTCCCTACAACCTCCGCCTCCTGTGTTCAAGTGCTTCTCCTGCCTCAACCTCCCTGGTAGCTAGGATTACAGGCCCCTGCCACCACGCCCAGCTAATTTTTTTAATGTATTTTTAATAGAGATGGGGTTTCACCATGTTGGCCAGGCTGGTCTCCAACTCCTGACCTCAAGTGATCCACCTGCCTCGGCCTCCCAAAGTGCTGAGATTACAAGTGTGTGCCACCACTCCTGGCCAGCTTTTTGAATTCATGGAAAAATACATTGCTATAAAAATACAAATATTCATGTGTATATAATTTAAAATTCTCCTCTATTTCCCAGTGGTAGGAATGCCCTATTTTGGCAAACTGTATTCCATACCACACCTTTTACTGCCTTGAGCTATTCTATATCAGTTTCTATTTGCAGCAGGCTTTTCTAGAGCATTTATGACCCCAGCCCAGAGAGGCCAGACAAGTGCTAAGGAAGTTTTTTTCTGAGACTTTGCGTCGGAATTATCTTGTTTCTTTACATATAATGAAGAGTAAAGTATTCTAGAGCCTTAATAATTTTCAGAACTCTGTAAATATTATTCCATGTTTCCTAATTTTCAGTATTTTAGTTGAGAAAGTCATTTTCTCTGTTTGATGCTTTTTTAAAAAAAACAATTTTGTCTCTTTTTTGGCTGGTTAAAAACATTTTTCTGTGTAGATGAAATTGAGAAATGTCAGCAGGTGCTGCCCAGTTTTCAGTATTTTCTTCAGTTACTTTAATCAACATTTAGTGAGCTCATTCAGTCAGAAAACTCAGGCCGTTAGTTCAGAGAAACAGTTATTTCTAGCCTTCCTCCATCTGTTCAGTTCTGTTCCTATGGAATTTCTAATGTCCATGTATTAGGACTCTTGGGAGTCTCCTGTCATTCATATTTTTCCTCTGTTTATCACTTTCATCTGAGCTTCAAGAGATTCCCTTGAACTAATTCAATACTTTTTGTTTTTTTCACTCTTCAGTGTGCCATTGACTTCAGTCACCACACCTTTTGTATACTTACCCCTTCTTGAGATGACTGCTTTCTGCAGCAGCCTGTGGCTGTTCCACCGTGTCCCTCCACCTTTTCCTCTCTCAAAACACATGATTTGGGGTTGTGGTTATTATTGTTGAAGTCATTTTTTCTCTCTTTTTACTCTTCTTTTCTCCTCCCCATAGTATCTTTATTTAATGATAGGAATCCATTTGCTTTAAATGGTCACACTGGGGTGGGCCGGGTGACTCACGCCTCTAACCCCAGCACCTTGGGAAGCCAAGAAGTTCAAGCCCAGCCTAGCCAACATGGCAAAGCCCTGTCTCTACTAATAATACAAAAATTAGCTGGGCATGGTGGCGCATGTCTGTAATCCCAACTACTCGGGAGGCCGAGACAGGAGAATCACTTGAACCCGGGAGGCGGAGGTTGCAGTGAGGTGAGATCGTGCCATCGCACTCCAGCCTGGGCGACAAGAGTGAAACTCCGTCTCCAAAAAAAAAAAAAAAAGTTCACGCTGGATGTTTTTGTGGTTTATGAATGTGATGATTGGGTTTTCACACTCAAGTGTGAGACGTGCCTCTCTCAGATCTTGTTCCAATGTCAGTACATTACCGATCTGACATTTAAAAAGAAGTGTTCACACTGGTACTGCTCTTTGGGATTTGTAGCCTTTCCATTCTGTGATCTTGCTCTTTGCAAACATTCACATAGAGATACCTGGTTCATTCATACTGAGAGTTGAGATGAAATCTGTCAGATGCTTTGTAGGTCAGTGTTCAATTTTTTATGGTTACTCACTGTGAGATATAATTTTGCCTTTTCTACTAGTCGAGTTATTTCAGTGGGAAATAACTGCAGGAATTGGTAGAGGAAATTGCTTACGTATTCTCACTTAGGATACTATCTTGATCCTGGAGGACCTTAGGTTTATTTCTTTAAATATTACCATAGCGATAACTGTAAGATAACCTCTTACATAGAGATAATAGTAAAACAAAACTACAGCAAAATACACCACTGTGTTTTGTTTTGTTTTGTTTTGAGGTCACTCTTGTTGCCCAGGCTGGAGTGCAATGGCACGATCTCAGCTCACTGCAACCTCCGCCTCGTGGATTCAAGTGATTCTCCTGCCTCAGCCTCCTGAGTAGCTGGGATTACAAGAACACACTACCATGCCCAGCTAATTTTGTATTTTTAATAGAGACGGGGTTTTGCCATGTTGGTCAGGCTGGTCTCAAACTCCTGACCTCAGGTGATCCACCCACCTTGGCCTCACAGTGTTGCTGTTTTTAAAAGAAGAATGCAAATGAGGCCTGGCTTGCAGGCATTTTTGCCGGGGTGGTTTCCATGCGGAGGCTGCCTTCCCTGGTGCTGTGCTCTGTTAGGTAGCACCTACGGAATTGCAGCACGCTCCTCCAGGAAGCTCATCTGTCTGGAGGCTGAAGCCCCAGCAGTGCCTGCACAGGGCTTGCTCTAAAGCTGCCAAAGTCCCCACTGTTTTGCATATGACATAAGCTCATGCCTGCCTAGTCTGCCAAGTCCTAAACGGCCAAAACTTCAACACCTGTGAGCCCTTCCTGAGCAAGCCTGCTCACTGCCTGTGTGCACCTTCTATAAGTATTCTCAACAATTCTCCGGGACTTTCCCAGGCCTCCCTCCGATGCCTTTATCCACTCCTTGCCTCCCATCTGGGCTTCTCCATGTATGCTCGGTCCTTCCACAGATAGACGTACCATTGTGACTTCCTGGGAGCCTCTTTGGCCCACGTGATGTCTAGGTCTACCTGCTATCTCCATTTGTTACAGCCTTTGGTCCATACACCCTGGCCCTAGGGCCTACCCCAGGCCTCAGCACACCTCCCAGGTAGCCCTGCCTTGCCCAGCCCACTGTTGACAGGGGACAGGCTTCAGAGAGCTGTTTCCGACCTGTCCCTGTGAGGTGTCTGAAGGCAGACAAGCTGCTCCTTAGGCAGGTGCATGGATGCTCTGCCCTCCCTCCACCGTGCTGGTTGCCCCAGATCCCATGGAGAGTTGCGCTGAGCTCAAACTCATCGCTGGGTAACTTGCCAGCTCTTTGGTGTCTTATTCTTCTTATTGTGCCATCATGTCTTAGGCACTCATTTTCATCCCTCAGTCAGAATGTAAGCCTGTTGAAGGTTTTCTGTTCCTTTTCTTGTTTTTTCTTTTTTCTTTTCTTTTCTTTTCTTTTCTCTCTGGATGGAGTCTCACTCTGTCACCAGGCTGGAATGCAGTGGCATGATCTCAGCTCACTGCAACCTCCACCTCCCGGGTTCAAGCGATTCTCCTGCCTCAGCCTCCCAAGTAGCTGGGATTACAGGTGCGCACCACCACGCCTGGCTAATTTTTGTAGTTTTAGCAGAGACGGGGTTTCACTGTGTTGGCCAGGCTGCTCTTGATCTCTTGACCTCGTGATCCACCTGCCTCGGCCTCCCAAGGTGCTGGGACTACAGGTGTTAGCCACTGCACCCAGCCATTTTCTTTCTTAAATTGCAAACAGATTTAGAGCTAAAGTTTTAGAAAGACTTGCATGTAACTGTACTCTAATTGCTCTCTTCTGTGACAACTGGGCAAGATACTCAACCATGTTAAGGCTTATATTTCTTGACTGTCAAATGGTAGTAACACTGATCAAGAAGGATTCGGGGACCACCGGCAAGAATACTGCGAAATGTCTTGTATTCACAGGAACATTTCATTAATGACTTTTCTTTTCTCTTTTTTCTTTTTTTTTTTTTTTTGCCTAGAACAGGACTATACAAATAGGATAAATACTCTGTACCCATATTGAACAAACAAATCACATTGTGATTAACAGTAAGAGACCAAGAGTAATGCTTCTAGTTCCAACTTGCCCACTGAAATATTTTGCTACATGGGTTTATGTCTCAAATTCCATAATCATTTTTATGATTAGTTCCAACATGACTCCTTCCCCAGGTGAAAAGTGAAGCTCTCCTGAGTTCAGGCCACCACTTCAAGCCCAGGACTTGCAACACTCCCTCGGGAGGGCCAGCTGATGGTGTGGCTTTTCTCCAAACTGCACCAGAGTTCATCCCTGAGAGTGATCCTGGTGACCATCTCAGACACCCATGTCTGTGTTCACCCAGGCTCCTCCCCTGCCCCATCCTTCAGTGCCCCTTGCTGACCATGGTTCCGGGCATCAGACATCACAACTACTTCCTTCTGGATCTCCAGGAGCCCTTCTTGCCTACCTGCTCCACCCAATCAGAGCAGACTCAGGAGCATCCAAGAGCTGCAGGAGCCTGTACGTCTTCAAATATCTCACCACCTAGTGGGACCCACAAACCGCCATGCACTGTGATGTGCAGCCTCAGGAATATGTGTCATGCTCGCGTGCACTCAAAGCAGACTCTCTTCTCTGGACCTGAGAGGATAAGCAAGTCTTTGAGGAGGAAAATGAGCTCACAGGCAGACCTGGCTTGAACACAAAGCACCACTCCACTGCATGGTCACATGCTTGTACCACCTGCATCTGTGAAATGGGATAATACCTCCTCCTCTAGTCATGGTGCAGATGGCATTTGTGAAGCACTTTGAACTTATGTATCTTATAAAAGTTATCCATCTCTGTACTGAGTCCCAGAAAAATAGTTGAGGTTGGTCTAAGTTCATTTATCCATACAGTTACCATTTCTTAGTCACTTACCCTGTGCTCATGGAAGGGAATGAAGTGATGCGTGAGACACATTCTCTGTCTTTTGTCTAATGGATGAAAACACAGCTCTCCCCAGGGGAGCGCAATGGGTTCTGTCATTAGGTAACTGATGCCAAAGATGAAATGACTGTCAATTAAAGTCTCCTTCTTCCTTCAACATCTTTGCCATCAAGAGTGGAGTGCAGGCAGCTTTCCAGCCCATGCCAAAGGGGAAGGCAGGCATCCCCACAACAACCAGACATCATGCTCTTGGCTGAGGAAAGATTCTGCCTTCCAGGCCTGGGCCGGAGTGGGATGCGATTCCAGGATTATGGCAAGTAGCAATAAATTACAGTGCAAGCCTCAGCTGCCCTCCATGCCTGAACCTGACTACAAGCCAGGCTTAGGAACACAGTTAATAAAAATTTTTTTAAAAAAATAGAGCAGCCCTATCCTCTTGCTTAATCCCTCAGAACTGGAGAAGCTGTCTCCCAGGGCTTGACTTATAGGCCCCTAGAGAGTTTGCTGCACCCCAGGACCAGCCCAGCAGCACACAGAGCACAGGATAGAGGCGCCGTCTGCCCCGCGCATACCTCCTGATACCTGCAGAGGAGTCCACCATACTCAGCCCTAAGGCAAGTAGGGATTTGACAGCTCCAGGGAGGATGCTCCGGCTCGCTTCTGGCTTTTATAACTGGCCTCAGTGGGCGTATTTCACACTTTCCTGCTTGGTCTTTAGAACTACGATCGATAAAAGGCTTTTGCATACCTCTCTAGTGACTTCACAATCTACAAAGGAAAAACAAATTGTCAAAATAAAAAGAAAATCTTCAAATTCCTTCACAAATACAAACAGAACATTTAATATCAATGGAACATGCTGAAGGTTAGAAAAAGTGGACAAATCACACCTTGCCCTTCCCCTGAGGAATCCCGCAATCTGTGAGCGGTGGGGTGAATGGAAACAGAACCAGGATCTGTGGTCAAAGTCCAAATTCACACAGAGTGCCTGGGAAGTAAGTCAAGGGAGCTTCCTCAGGGGCTGAGGACTGAGCTGGGTTTCAAGGAATGGCAGTTGGCCGGGGAGTGGGGACGCAGGATCAGATCATCACGGGGAGGGTTTCTGTGGTCCTGCGAGAGCTAAAAGGAGCCTAGCACTCGCTAGGAACCCCTGATGTGCAGCAGGGGACCACGCTGGCAGAGCGGAACCTGAGAGGTGAGCCAGGCACACTGTGGGCAGCTCTGGCACCAGGGGAGATCTAATCTCTGCTGTCACCAGGGGAGTGTCACAGGCAGGGAAATGGCACTGAACCACTCCACACACACAGAACAGAACTGAGAGGAAGGAGACCACAGACATCTGACAGCACCCACCATGGCGCCAAGACCCAAGATTCAGCTTCTCGAGAGACCATCCAGGAGGCAGGAAGGCAAGCCGGGCAGAGGGGCTGCTCTCCAGCCCCTTTTCTTCACAGGGTGGCCCAGGCACGGAGCTGGCTGCTGTGTTGTGGTGCCACAGGCCCGTGCACACCAGCCTCCCAGGACTCGGCTGGCCTCTACTTCTGCCCCCATGAGTGCTCTTCCTGCCTGCCCCAGGGCCTTCGGCCCACACTTGTCCTCACTGCTTAGAGGCTGGTGTATGCTGTCACCCCACTGCCCAGCAGCCAGTGACATCACTCACTTTGGCCACCAGCCCCAGAAGGAAGCTAGTGTCCTCCAGAATCTTATGCCCATGGGACATATGCACAGAGAGGACCAGCACTTTCTGTCACTGGGTCTGATGGAGGGAGGAGGTTTTGCTGGAGTCGGCTTTCACTTTCATGCTGCAAACTCCTGAGTTTGTGGGCCTGATCCCAGCCTCTGGTCCTCTCTCTGAGACAATCGCCCCCGTAATGAAAGCCATCCTTTGTGGGGCCATGAGTGTGCTTGCATGGTTTAGGTGCTAAATGTGGCAAACGCACATGCACCTAGGACAGCCCAGCTGAAAGCAACAATGCCTGCTCGCACCTATCTAAATGGCCGGGGTGACACTTACCAATGCGTGCGTCACCAGTGCATGCTGGGTCTCCCTCACATTCAGGCCATGCGAGGTTCATTGGTGCTTTGGATTTTAGAATACAGAGTGACTGTCTCTGATGAGTGATGTCTTCTAGGGGCATCATGGGCTGCTCCTATGTGGAGCCCAGCTGAGCAGCAGTGAGAGGCTCACTAGAGTCCTGTGTTCAGAGCAGAATTAGTACCACCACATATGATGCTGTGTCCTCACATGTGTGCAAGCGATAACAGGCTAGCATGGCAGCTCTGGTAATGTGGACGTGGCGGCTAAGAGTCAGTGCCATGAGTGCCGTCTCTTCCAGTTCTTCTGTCCCTTGGAGAAATAAAGCAATCAATGCCTTGCTCATTGTCAAACCTCTTGTAAGAGGATGGTGGATGGAACTCAGTGAAGGCTGCATGCCCTGACCTGTTATTTTCAAGCCTCAGTATTATACCATGGAAGCTACTGCACTATTTCCACCAGAACAGCACAGCCACACATGACCACGCACTCTATTACATGTCGGACATTTATCAATAATAGCTCAAGGACAAAAGAAGCTTGAGGTTACAAGAGGCTTTTGGCAAAAGCATCTTACTAAGTTGCATATTTAGGTGCTGAGGAAAGAAGCCTCAAACAGTAGTGAAAATTTGTTAAACTCTATGTGCTCAGAAATGGCAAAAATAACATGGGACAGAAGGAGCCAAGAGCAGCTTCTGCAGATTTCCTTGTTAAATTGCGTAAACCTCCCCCGGTATTCTCCAGACTCAGTGGAGAGATCTTGCAATGATACTTCATGGAAGGTGTCAAAGCAAGTCCTCTTAAAGTGGGTACTCAAATCACCTTGGCTACAGGCAACTCTCCGGATTTTAAAGAGATCATTAAAAAAATAAGAACTTTTGTAATCAACCAAGGAATCAAAAAGAATTGTTATACATGATCTCGACAGAGAATTAAAGAGTAAGAGCCAGTTCATTTGGAACCAACAATATCCTACAGCATGAGAAAAATTAATCAAGATCTGTTCTCTGTGTGAAAAGAGTAGCTCACGTGATCTCCACTCTCATTTATTTGCCAAAAAAGATACTGCCTCCATAATTGCAGGATGGGTGCCCTCCTAAGCTGACTACCACAGGTGTCATCCAAGACTCATTCTAAGCCAATGCCTCTCCCTGGCTGGTGGAGCTCACTTGGCATGGAGGCCCCTATATGCGTTATTCCACCTCAGGCTTGTTAAAATCATCTGAAATTTTAAATATCGATTAATTTATTTGCCTCCAAATGTAATATTGTTGATGGCTTTGAAAATGCAGGGTTTGTCATTTGCCTAAGCTCTTCCCCTGTCTATTCTTTATTTGAACTCCTTCTTCAATGCCAGTGGCAGGGTCTGGTGGTCCTGGTGTGCTACACTGACCCGTGAATCCTAAGACGGGGAACAAGGAATGGGGGAAGCTCCGGATGTGGGTGGACACTCCATCTCCCTCTCAGTGATTCTCCCTTTCCTACAGGCTGACCTGCTTACCAATGCCAGCATGTTCCTTGGCAGCAGAGTTGAAAGTCACACATGTGAGCCTCATTGAAAGAGTGGTTCATTCATCTGGCTTCATTCTAGGTCCTGTAGCCCCTCTGGTCTATACAGGAAGCCTCCATGTGGAGCAGCCATGCTCTCTGAGATTCCACTCAGGGTATTAGGGCCAAAGCCAAATAGCAAGTGCTCCTTTGCTAATCATTATTCTCACCCACTAGAGACCTTCTGATGCACACAGCTAGACTAGGAGGGTGTTTAGAGTCCCACGTTTCAGACAAAATACGATTATCACAAACCATCTGCTGCAACAGAGCCATGCTGAGGCTGCGGTGGTGGGAACAGCCCACCCAGGGGTCAGCAATAGGGGATGCATTGCCTGGAGGGGATTTTAAAACAATATGAAAACTTACTAAAAGTTGATTATCACCAAGTTTTTATTACCACCATTCTAAAGAATGTTGGCAATAACATGCTTCTCTCCACAAACATCTTGTATTGGTCTGAGTTCTAAACAATTGCCATGGTTACTCTTGAGTTTTAATAATATAAATGTAGGTCTCAAATGAGCAGATCTTCACCACATATCCTTTTTGTTTTTAATTTTACTTTAAGTAAGTTCTGGGACACATGTGCAGAAAGTGCAGGTTTGTTAGTTACATAGCTGTACATGTGCCGTGGTTGGCTGCACCTATTGACCCATCCTCTAAGTTCCCTCCCCTTGCCTCCCACTCCCCCACGGTCCCCTGTGTGTGACGTTCCCCTCCCTGTGTACGTGTGTTCTCACTGTTCAGTTCCCACTTATGAGTGTGTTTGGTTTTCTGTTCCTGTGTTAGTTTGCTGAGGATGATGGCTTCCAGCTTCATCCATGTCCCTGCAAAGGACATGATCTCATTGCTTTTTATGGTGGCATAGTATTCTTTTTTTTTTTTTTTTTCCTTTTTTTGAGGTGGAGTCTTGCTCTGTAGCCCAGGCTAGAATGCAATGGTGCAATCTTGGCTCACTGCAACCTCCACCTCCTGGGTTCAAGTGATTCTCCTGCCTCAACCTCCCCAGTAGCTGGGATTATAGGTGCCCATGACCACGCCTGGCTAATTTATTTTTATTTTTATTTTTAGTATAGACAAGGTTTTGCCATGTTGGCCAGGCTGGTCTGAAACTCCTGACCTCAAATGATTCTCCTGCCTCTGCCTCCCAAAGTGCTGGGATTACAGGTGTGAGCCACCACACCCGGCCATGGCTGCATAGTGTCCCATGGTGTATATGGGACATGTTACATAGGTATACATGTGCCATGGTGGTTTGCATGGCACATGCATACCTATGTAACAAACTTGCATCTTCTGCACATTTTCTTTATCCAGTCTATCATTGATGGCCATTTGAGTTGATTCCACGACTTTGCTATTGTGAATGGTACTGCAATAAACATCCCTGTGCATTTGTCTTTATAGTAGAATGACTTATATTCCTTTGGGTATATACCCAGTAATGAGATTGCAGGGTCAAATGGTATTTCTGGTTCTAGATCCTTGAGGAATCACCATACTGTCTTCCACAATGGTTGAACTAATTTACATTCCCACCAACAGTGTAAAAGCATTCCTATTTCTCCACAGCCTCACCAGCATCTGTTGTTTCCTGACTTTTTAATAATCGCCATTCTGACTGGCATGAGATGGTATCTCATTATGGTTTTGATTTGCATTTCTCTAATGATCAGGGATAATTGAGCTTCTTTTCATATATTTGCTGGCCATTCAGAACATAGGCATGGGCAAAGACCTCATGATGAAAATGCCAAAAGCAATGGCAACAAAAGCTAAAATTGAAAAATGGGATCTAATTAAACTAAAGAGCTTCTGCACTGCAAAAGAAACTATCATCAGAGTGAACAGGCAACCTACAGAATGGGAGAAAATTTTTGGAATCTACCCATCTGACAAAGGGCTAATATCCAGAATCTACAAAGAACTTAAACAAATTTAAAAGAAAAAAAAAACCATCAAAAAGTGGGCGAAGGATATGAACAGACACTTCTCAAAAGAAGACATGACGTACTCTTTAATAAATATTATACCCTACAGGGAAGTTGATTCAGAGAGCTCCGAGTTATATGGAATGCCCCACAACTCACAGCAATTCAGCTATTCACCTTTTTTTTTTAATTCAAATCCTGCTCAGGTGCAGTTTGTGACCCCAGCCCTGTGGTACTTCATGTTCTTATATTCTAATAGTACACTCAAAAGAAGCAATGGTCTCACAGTGATTGTAAAGGGAATCACACATCCCCAGAGCTATCCCAACACTGTGGCTGCAGGTGACCACATGAACTTCCCCTTTATGTTGAAAATCCAACACAGCGAAGCAGCAGAGATCACAAGATATCTTTTGTTTGGTAAGCGCAAACTTTATTTCATACATGAAATAATTTATTAAATTTAATGATATATTTGAAATTAAAAGTTTTTCTTTTTAAATAATTTATTGTCTTAAACTAAAGAATGACTCAAGAAACCATTACTGGTTATTGCACGATTATCAGTGAAAATGATTTTGTTTAATAAAGGAAGGAAAGATGATCCACTGTGCGTGATAACTTTGAGGGGTGTGCCCCTCTCACCTAGTTGGAAAAGCAGCAGTTCAGTCTTTTCAACAGTGCTGGGGAACCTAAGCCTCGGGAGAGCTGAGTTCCAGCCCAGCCCTGCCCCATACCTCCTTTAGCCTAGGAGACTCATTCGAACTTTCAGGCCAGGGTCCTTCGCCCGCAAAGTGAGACCCTGGGAGAAGAGGACCTTTCAAAACAGAGATCAAATGCTGATTCTGAAGCATATGGTGCAGTCTCAACCCCTGAGGCATTTTGCAATATAGGCAAAAAGATGAGACATGCACACTCATGAAAAGTTAAATAGCTGTAGAAGATGCCAGCACAAAATAAATCACAAAGCAGAAAATGACAGGCACCAAGTAAACGGAGCCAGCAACTCCAGTCCTCAGTCAGAACCTGGAGAGACCACATGGCCTGGAGGGAGCTGGGAAGCTTTCTAAACACAACCAAGCTTGGGGCAGTTTCTGGAGGCACTTTGCTTGGTTATATTTAATTTATAACCCCAGGCTTATTTAGCTGTGGTTTAAAACTGGATCGATGCATCTTCTTTCAGCCAGAGCCTCAGAACTCCAAGGACAGCACTGATGGTGTGCATTGAAGGAAGGGCCTGGAGGGTCTCCTGCCTCTCCGCAGTCCCCAGCACACGCACTCCCCATGGAACAGAAACGGTCTATGGCTCCCTATGAGCCCTGAAGGGCCAGCTTCTCAGGGCTTTCTCACCTCTACCTTCTGCCACTTGGGTTCCTGGCACCTGCTGCCCATCTGCATGACCTGTGCGATGGAACATGGTCCCTGTGCTCAGGCAGCTCAGCAGGACACAGGTAGATAGCATGTGGCAGCTTAGGCACTTCTGGGAACAGCCAAGGTGAGCATATGTGCCTGCACTTGCCTGAGTTTCCACACCAGAAAGCTGATTTTAGTATTTTTCTTTTGCACCCCAAAAACCAGCTTTCCCACAAGCAGGTTTGCAGTGTGGCCAGCTGCCAGCCGGGCTGGGTAGAGCTGTCCTCACTCTTAATTCTTCTGGTTTGTTTATAAGGCTGCTTTCTTCATTCTTGCTTCTCCAGATTATCTGTTCCCCTGAGGGCAAAGGGAAACCAGGCAGCCCCACATTGACTGCAGCTCAGTGTTCTCTGAAATGCAATTAAAATGTTAAGAAAGATGGACAATCAATACTTTGTACTCTACACAAAAAATTCCCCTCCTAATGGCCTAATGTGGGAGGTGATGCAGTGAGTGAGCCCAGGGCTGTGTCTACAAAATGCCAACACAACCAGTGGCAAAACGAGTCATTTCTGTCTCATTGCCAATCTCCCCACCTGGTTTCCCTCCTGGCGCCCCACCCCATAGTCAGTTAACTAGATGATTTATTCTGACATCGTGGAAGGCAGGGCCACAGAACAGGAGAGCCAGGTGCAGAGCAGCTTCACGGGGCACGATGGGGCTCCCTTCACTCTTTCCATGAGAAGAACTACAAATTTTTACTCTTCTGAGTTCTTGCAAAGACAAAATGGCAGATACAGGCACACCTAGGGCATGCATATTACACCTGCCCAACTTTCTCCATGCCCCAGACCTGGCCTCAGCATCCCTCCTGGGACACCCCCAGGCGTCCTCAGCCACCTTGAGACAAAACTGAAGGACCTGCTATCCGGGGCCAGGTGGTGCCTCTCTTATGTGAAATCACTATTCCTTCCAGCAGCCCAAAGACCAGCGACATACCTTGTTTTATAGATGCTGAAGTGGGCCTAGCAGCCGGTCAGGATTCCCAGCTAGGACGAAAGAGAACCCCAGGCTCCCTCTCCCTCCCCAGCCCATCAGCCGCTCATCCCCACACTGGGAGTAAGCATTCACTGTGCTCCAGGCACCGTGTTGGACGTGGGCGTGAGTATAATAGAATAGTCTTTCTCTTCTGAGCACTCACATTGTAGGGAAAACCATAAAACATTAGACTCTCTCATGAAGGAGGCCCGATTTGGTGGCTAAGACAAGGCTGACTAATGGCAACATGTGTACCCATCCTCCTCTTGCCTCCCACACCAGCCGGTCCTTACTCTATCACAAGACTTCCATGGTTCAGCGGAGCACGAGCCCAAGCACAAGGAGGTTAAAGCCTGGCTGTGCCACGGCTGCTCTTGTGGACCACTCTCGTGCTCGATCAGCTTGTCTGCTGGATCACACAGCCTGTGGGCTCATTTCCATGAATGCTTAAGGCTTTCTGGGTACCTTCTCAGGGCCCAGCCTAACAAACAGAACATTATCAGGAGCACCCAGAAACTGGGTGAGGAGATGATGAAACAGATGGGGCAGACAGGGGGCTGCAGCTGGGGCTAAGTCTGCAGAGAAGCCATGGGTGCTCAGCCAGGCACACCCAGATTTGAATCTGGACTGTCACCTGCTGCTTGTGAGTCTTGGGCAAGGTGGTGATGGAATATAGCACAGCATGTCATGAGGTGATACCCCAAATTTTTCAGATAATCAGTGTTAACAAGCCCAATGTGGGCTGACGGAGTCCAGGAAGGCTTCTTGGAGGAGGCAGTGCTGGAGTCCTGTAAGTGTCCAGGTGGGAGTGGGTGGGGACATGGAGTGGCAAGAGGAGAGGTTATGGGGCTGGAATAATAGGCTGCCTTCCCAGACCGAGGCATGCTGGGCTTTCCTGAAGCAGAAGATGTGGGAGAGTGAGCATCAGGTGAAACTTGGTACAGGGCAGGACGGGCCAGGAGGGCTCCCTTGATATGTCGCACCCATCTGCAGCTGAGGCAAACACGTCTTCCAGTGCCCACTTCCACAGCTTTCTAAAAGGACCAATTATCACCTTTCATGCTAACGTTATTGTTGTTCCTCCTCAGTGTGGGCCATGGGCCAGGAGCCACCAGTACATGTCAGTTCTGCTTAATTAGGAGGGGAAGTCATCTGTTTTTATTCATACAAGCGTGTGGTGGAAAATAAATTCATGCAAAATGTTAGGTTTAAATACTAGATGTCAGAAAACAGTGCTTCAGTTTGGATCCCTTGGGCTCCTGCGAGGGCTTGCCTCCAGGCTCCTGGGCTGCACAGACCACTTGGTGCTGAGAGTGAGCCTGGGCATTTCCCATTTGTTCTCTCCCCTCATCCTTATCTCAGCCCTAAGAGGCACCCAGAGTCAGAGGCCCAGATGCACGATAAGTCATTAGTGGCATCAGAATCCACACAGCAGCAGCCCTGCTAGGGGCCTGGCCTTCTGCCGCCATAGCAGGAGCATCAGGCAGTGCAGGCAGCCAGTGGACCCTCATTCTGTCCCTCATGTGGGGCCTCCTCTATAGCCCTCCACTGTCCATGCTGCCTCCTAAGTGTTAGCACCCAGCGCCTTCTGGCGCTCCTGCAGCCATGCTTGGACTGACTGCTTTGTCAGCTCACTCTGGGGTCCACGACCATGGCCAGCAAGGTGCTGACAGCCAGCCTTTCCCGTCTGTGCCCAGTTGTGACTTTGTGGGGTACACCCAGTACTTTGGCTTCTTGAAGAAAGAAGAACCACATAGCTGAGCCGAGAGAAGATGTGCATTTCCCAAGCCCCAGCCATCTGCCAGAAGGCCACTCTGCCGGTGGCCCCGGCTTTACCTAATGATTCATCAGCAATTCTGGAAGAGAAAGGTGTTCTCCTAGTGATGGATTTACTCCATATCGCTGACTCTGGACAGAAAAGAGTAAAAAGGAAACACAATTTTCCATCTGAAAACATGTGTTCTCTTAACTTACCTTAAGAAAGAATGTCAACTTCTTTGTGACTGCTCTCTCCTTTTAAGAGAACATTTTCTCAGTTATTGCTCTGACAACACAAGGAGGGCATGTGTTCTGAAGAGCTCAAGGTATAGAATACCACACCTGTTCTGCTAATTCCATCAGCAACATGCTTAGTGTGGGCGTCGTAGATAAGGGCTTAATAATGTTCCGTCAGCACCAGATCCAGGAGTAACACGGATGATGGTCACAGTTCACTGAATGCATGCAAGCATTTTTTTTCCAATTTGTTATTATCATTTAAATTAGAAATACTTTGTGTTACTAGATAAGCAGGCCAGGAGCATCAAGATCCAACCTAGCCAAAGTTCATTGTCTGGGGTCACACAACCAAGGCCTCCCAACCCCCTGCAGTGAGCTGTGTGGGGCCCGTGCTCTTCAGTCCCTGAGGCATGGAGCCTCAGCTTGTGGGATCCAGGAGCGGGGCATAGGGGGACTTCCTTGAAGAAAGCCTCAAAGCTGGTGAGTGAGCACTGCCTCTCAGGGCCTCTTTCTCCCAGAGACATCAGGGTCTCACTGCCCCTTCCAGCTATCCAGCCAACCAGGTGACACTGGGGAGACAAGCAGTCAGAGGGACTCAAACCAGGCAGCTTGCATTTGAGTGTGACGTGCAGATGGTTCCAGGGAGCCCTGGTGTTCCAGGGAGCACCTCAGGGTGGCTGTGTGGGTGGTGGCAACAACTTTCCACACAGATATACACCTGCTTCACACTGCTATTTAACCAGAGCACATTTGCCTTTGGCCGCTCTACTGAAGTCTGTGTTTTAGGCAAAGTTGTTAGACCCGAAAACATGTGAGTCATTACAATAAAAGCATTGCCCTTGGACATAGACAAACTTTGTTTCCATCTCAACTCCCTCATCCACCATTATGTATCATTATTTAGGGCTTGCATTCACTTATCCAAAAACTATTTACTGAGCATCTTCCATGTGACAAGAACTGTTTTATTAAATGAGATTACCTGCAATAAATTATAGCTATACGATGCGTATTGGTAAGAAGTGTGGGAGTGTCTACAACTTTACCCTCAAAGTATCCATGCAATGATACCAATAAATGCATGTCTCTGCCACTTATGTAGTATGTATATGTGCACCCCATGTCTGTGTACATGTATCTCAGCACCTCTCCCATGGATTTGGTGCTAGGTAGCAGGATGTTACAGACACTGAAGGAATGCACAGCTTGGAGGTAGAAACAGGACTGTAAAAAATGAAGCAGGTAAACAGAACAAGCAGACACTCAGTAAATCAGAGAGGGCTTCCTGGAGGAGGTGAGATTTGAATTGAGGCTTAAACTCTCACTCAGTAGGTAATTGCTTGAGCACCTAGCACTCATCTTACCTCCCAGCACCCTGATTTCTCTTAGCTGACTCCCTTTATCCTATTGGCATATTTCATTTACCACAGTGGTTCATCCTGGGAGGTGCACAAATCCCAGTAACAGCCAATGAGAATGACATGTGGGCCTCATGCTGGTGCCATTGGCACTAGAGGCTCCTCTTTTTGCTGGATGTGCACAAGGGAGCATGTTGGCCTGGAGCTCTGGAGATGATCCCAAGAGGGCAAGGCTGGCAGAGAAGAATAGGGCCAAGAGATGAAGGGGCCACATCCTGATCCACCACCGAGCTCAATTCAGACATGACCAAACTGCCCTGACCTCGAACTGTTCAGTTATTCTGAAACCACCCCTATAAACTTTATGAAAATTAATCAAGGAAGAAGAGAGATGGGTAAATGAAATGAAAGCTGGCTTGCAGCACATTCAGCATTCATCACCAGGTTAGGCTGCTGTCTCACCTGCTTCCTCATGGTTGCTTGTTGCCTGATGTCCTAGAATCATGTAGACTCTGTTACAAGATTCCAGTTATCCTTACCTGCTCTATAGATAACAACTTGAATATTATGAAAGGTTAAGTTTTCCCTTTGAGAAATTCTTTTAGGTCCTGTATAAGAGTGAAACTACCAATGCCAGCTGGTCTGAAGGATGCCGCTGATGCCAGCTGGTCTGTAGGGCCCCACTGATGCCAGCTGTCTGAGGACCCCAGGAGGAGCTGACTCACCGAAGAGTGCAGTTTCCACATTCTGATAATTTCACCTTCTTTCCCCCAACCAATCAACGACCCCAGTCTTCCAGGCCCTCACCCTCCATGATCCCCATAGAAACCCCAGGCAAAAGTTCCTTGGGTAGAGGAATTTGAGGGTCTCCTCCCTTCTCCTTGCTTGGTGGCCTGCGATCACTACACTCTTTCTGTGCTGCATCCCTGTAGTCTCAGTGTTTTGGTCTGTTACTGTGCAGCAGGCATACAAACCTGTGAGTACTACAACAATTCCAGCAAGTCAATCCAATTCTAGTAGGATTTTCTGAAATGGAAACTTTGACAGACAAAGACAGAGAGTATATTTTAACAAACACTTCCCCTCATTCTTCAGGAAAAGACTGGTACAAGCCCTGAGGCAGATGGATCTATGAGAAGGGTCTGTCTGGATCAGCTCTGGTTCTTCTCCCTCTTATCACCAGGGTTTGCTTGTCCCCAGAGCCATGCATTTAATTTTCATTTGTTTTCTATATACTTCCAGTCAGATTTCAATAAATAATATATTCTCAGCCTTTCATCATAAATTTGTATCAGTCTAGAATAATTCCCAATTATATAACCTGCTTTGCCAGGAGGTTTGGCCTCCTGCTGGCCTCTGCAGAACTAAGACTGACTTATATCCTCTGTTTCTCACTTAGCCCCGTGGAAGCAAAGTCCCCATTGGATGCCAGCTCACCCCGACTTATCCTGGAGTTTTCTGTCCTGAGTTTTCCAACTTCTGCATGCAATTTTCTCTCCCACGCCAGCAAGTAAGTATTCACTCAGTTCACTGTTATCTTTAAAGGAATCTCCAGTGTGGATCTGACTGAGAAGCCTCCATTAGAGGAACAGGATGATGTGACACTTCCTGTGTTGCACTATTAAACCTCCCCTTGCCCCCACAACTTAGACTTTTTGGTTAACGTTCCTCACTCAGTCTCATTTGGGCTGTGTTGTTTATGCCCTTCCCTTCATCTGGAATGCCCATCCCTTCTCCACCTTTCTCTAGGTCCTCAACATTCAGGGACGGGAAGTTTCCCACCCTGTATTCTGAGATGATGACCTGGGCTCTGTATTGATGCCCCTTGTGCCTCTTTACAGACACCTGCCTCCACCTGCCTTGTTGTTTGTCTGTTTGCCTCCCCCACTAATTTATGAGATCCACTTAGAACATAACTCCCACCTCAGTCTCTTGGGAAAATGTAGGTGGTTAATAAATGTGTGTTAAAATATACTTAATTGAGCTAAACATGAAGTAATCTAAAAACTTGCAGTGGTAAAATCATTTAGTAAATTAATGTCTCTAGACAGGTGTGATCGCAGGGCTGAGAGTGGGCTGCCAGCATCTAATGATTCGGTGCATCCTTTCAGATTGAGCTGTGCACAGCTTTGTGGGCACTCTGAGGGACTGGGCAGCATTAATAATTCAGGTGCTCCATTCGGAGAGGCTTGGGCGGTGCCAGAGCCGGAGGAAAAGGCAAAATGACTCAAGCTGAGAGAGGAGTGGGGAGGAAAATGCCAGAACACAGCTCTAATCTTGACTACTATTTAAAAAAAATCTTCAGCTGTCAATTTTGTATGCAGAGCTTGTCAGACTCTCAAATGAACCAGGGGAGATTTCCTCACTAAAACTAGGAAAAGGTTATATTTGATGAGGGGGTTTGAAAGAGGAGCATTAAAAATTACAATTCTTGATAAAAATGTGGAGAATTTTTTAAACGTTTGGGAGAGCAATTTTGAAGGGTCACTGGGTGTATTCATCCCTGAAGTGGTCTCCCCCAGCTTTGTGCAGTCTTGGTGCAGGAAGAACAGCATTTCTGTGAAATCCTACAGTCATAATGAAGGCAAGCACCTTGGGAAAAGAGCAGTTTATATGCAGAGGTGAAGGAGAAGGAGAGGAAATGGATCACACTAGCTCCTCAAATCGACAGATAGTTACTGTAGCCTCCGCTCCCAGGGGCAGCTGCGGAGCTGGAAGCTCAGTAAATACAAATAGGCTCGAGGCCCTGCCTGTGCTCCCTCCCAGTCATGCCCAGGAGGAGCTCACTGTGGGATGCAGCACTCAAGGCAGGAACCTATGAAAAGGTGTCTAGTGACCTAATATCTGTATCAGGGCCCTGGTGAACACAGAGAGGCATAGAAGGCTGTTTTCTCCTCCAGAAGCTCACAGCATACTTGAAAAACAGTCCACAAACCCACACAAATTTACAAAACAGAAGTTTGCTCATGGCACAGAAAAACAATGAAGAAAGGTTTATAGTGTGTGCAGGCCATGTGTGGTCTCTAGATGAGATTGAAGGATGGGACGAGTGCTCTAGGTCATGGCGATGGAAAAGACTGTGGAAGATGCAGAGCTGGAGCTACAGAGTGAAGAGCAGGTTGGATGAATACCGACAGGAGCAAGTCGGAAGCACCGCTGCGCTGTGGGAGTGAGAGCACATGATGGATAGGTGGACACTGGCATCTAGCACTGACCAGCAGGAGCCATTCTTTCCCCTGCTGGAGTCTCAGCCCCTGTCCTTAGGATGATTGGAGGCTAACCATGGACAATTCCAGTTCGGCATCCTACGTTCTTTAAATAGGTGGTTGGAAAATTGGGGTTTGCAGGGGTTGAGGGCAAAATAGCAGAGAGACTAATTCAAAAAATGTAAAGAGAAGAGGAGTGTTCCTGTTTCCCCCTGGGATTGCAAAGAACATACACAGTCCACTCCATGGCCACTGGGACACTGCCAACCTAGACTAATTAAACTCAAATATCTAGCATAATGTCAAGGATTCTAATAATGTAACAACAACATTTTTTGAAATAATTATTAAGCAAAAAAATTAAATTGGTAAATACAAGTTTTGGCCTGATCATGAATATTTTCCAATGCTCAAATCAAGAATCTAAGATTTTTCATACCCAACATAATGTCAGGGACAGGCTGGCAGCAGGGATGACAGGAGATATGATCAGGACAGTTATTCCGGAGAGAGCATCCCAGAAGTTCATCACTCACTTATGACTATTTCAGTTTTTAAACAAGGCTCAAGTCTCATTTTCAGATATTCAATATTAAGTTAAGAAAAAGAAACTAAAGGGATAGAAAAAGATATACCAGGAAAATATTAAAGAAAACTGGTTTAACAAAAGAAAATTTAAAGCAAAAGGCAATTGTTATTGAGAAAAAGAATTCTTGAACACAATAAAATGACCGATTTTCAAGAAAGCTATAGCGATCCAGAGCCTGTAAATGCCTCATAACATGGTTTAAAATATACATAAAGGTAGAACGGACTGAATTACAAGGGTAAATTGAGGAACCTAAACAGATAAATAACTCCGATGGGTGAAAATGTATAAAGTAGAAAACCAAAAATAGAGAAGTTCATGAAAAACAAAAGTTATACTTTAAAAAAGACTAATAACATTAACAGACTCTAAAAATAAAAAGAAAAAATAATGCTAAGAATAAAGTAGAGACTAAGTTGCCCCTTAGTATCCACGGACAATTGGTTCTATGACACACCACAGATACTGAAATCTGAGGATACACAAGTCTCTGATATAAGATGGCATAGTATTTGCATAACCTATGCACATCCTCCTGCATAATTTAAATCATGTCTAGATTGCTTATAATACCTAATACAGTGTAAGTGCTATGTAAATAGTTGTTAAAGTGTATTTTTAAATTTGTGTTATTTTTTCATTTTTGTATTGTTACTTTTTTTTTCAAATATTTTCAATCCATAGTTGGTTAAATCTCTAGAGGAGGAACCCACAAATAAAGAGGGCTAACTGTATAAAAATATGTAGATATTTTAAAATTATAAAATAGATATCTTAGGGCTGCTATAAAAAATACGTTAGGTTGGGTAATTTATAAACAACAGAAATTTATTGCTCACTATTCTGGAGGCTGGGAAGTCCAAGATCAAGGTGCCAACAGATTTGGTGGAAGGTGTAGGCCTGTTTCTCATAGATGGCACCTTCTATGCATCCTCACATGGCAGAAAAGGCAGACAAGCTCCCTCAGACCTCATTTAAAAGGCCATTAATCCCATTCATGAAGGCTCCAAAGTCCCCATATCTTCATATCATCACCATGGGGGTTAGATTTCAACATATGAAGTTTAGGAGGGCACATACACCCACCAAAAATAAACAAGCCACAAGCTCAGGCAGTTTTGGAAGGAAATTCTATATTCCCAACCAAAATAATATAAAAGAGACTGTATATATTTATCTAGATAAAACAATCTGAAAAGTAGATCAAATATGTAAAGCCATGGTTTTTAAGACACTGCAACAAAGGACAGAGATTCTTGAGAGAGAGGAAATGAATGAAGTGAGCCCTAAAATTGCTACAACTTACTACACTGAGACAGTTTCAAAGTCATGGCACAGGATGGAAAAATCCCAGGGGAGCCCATTAGACTCCCTGCATTAAGAAGATGGAACTATAAATCATGCTGCTATAAAGACACATGCACACATATGTTTATTGCAGCACTATTCACAATAGCAAGGACTTGGAACCAACACAAATGTCCATCAATGAGAGACTGGATTAAGAAAATGTGGCACATATACACCATGGTATACTATGCAGCCATAAAAAAGGATGAATTCACGTCCTTTTAGGGACATGGGTGAAGCTGGAAACCATGATTCTCAGCAAACTATCGCAGGGACAAAAAACCAAATACCACATGTTCTCACTCATAGATGGGAATTGAACAATGAGAACACTTGGACACAGGGTGGGGAACATCACACACTGGGGCCTGTTGGGGGGTGGGGGGAGAGGGGAGGGATAGCATTAGGAGATATACCTAATGTTAAATGACAAGTTAATGGGTGCAGCACACCAACATGGCACATGTATATATATGTAACTAACCTGCACATTGTGCACATGTACCCTAAAACTTAAAGTGTAATAAAAAAAAAGAAGATGGAACTGAGACCATGGGGAAACCAAGACATAGATTTCCAAAAGCAGAGTACTAGAGAGAAGAGAGCTGCATAGAGAGAACCCTAGAGGGTCCCCAACACGTATTTAGTACAGTAGTGATCACCACATATTCATGAGAAAACTGAGGCTGAAGAAGAACAACCGAAAAAGATTAGAATGATGAATACCTGCCACACACACAGAACTCAATAGAGCCTGTTCCGACAGCCCCACCGGAAATATCTAGGACACACAGATCATTGGGTAGAGTTCTCAGAAGGGTCCTGTCTCAGTAGTAGGTAAGGATCAGCTCTAAGCTGAGCATTGCTCTGCACTCAGCTAAAACACAGTAAAAGAAAAACTTGAAAGCACCCAACTGTTTCAAACTAGGTAACTGCATCCCTGAACAAAGCTCAAGGATGATGATAGAAATACAAAAATACCCAGGATCTAACAACACAATTCTCAATATTTGGCATCTAATCAAAACCTCCAAGTGAGAAGAAAAATCATTCAAATGAAACTAATCGAGAACTGACACAGATGTCAACTCTGACAATGATGTAAAAAGTTATTATAACTGTACTGCATATGTTCAAAAAGATGAACTGAGGCACAGAGATATAATAAAGGCCAAAATCAAACTTGCTGAAATGAAATCTATATCCTAGGAGATGGAAAATTTACTGGATATTTTCAGTTTCAGATTCAACCTCAAAAGAGCTTGGAAATTATCACTTTATTCCTTACAACAGGAAAACAGCTGGACAAACTGAAAATCAATGACCTCTGGACCCATCAGAGAATTGAGGTTGCAGAGGAAACCACCTTAAAATTTGGATAGACAGCTGAATGCTGAGATTCAGAGCTGAGATCCGCTTACTAGGAGCTAAAGCCTGAAGTCATAAGCTAATAGAAACACTTAAAAGGTAATTTTGACAAATTGCTGAAGGCTGAGAACTAGCAGGAGAGTGAGAAACTCCTGAGGCTGTAGTCTTCGGGAAGGGCCCACACTTTCACAGGTTTTACCTCCAGAAACCCCACCAGGTTCTCACAGTGAAGAGCTGGGAAAAAAATTACCTTATGTCTCTGGCAGGGGGATGGGGAAAGTAGCCATTTTGATACATGATCAGTACAGTCTTCACTGGAAGGTTATCTTCTTCATGAGAACCAAGAGAGAACCACATTCAGGGTTATAAAACACACCTTAACTAAAATAAAGAGTCTGACTGCATTTTGTGATGTCTCACTACTAACATCTTCTAAGCCTCACTCCTTTTTCCTTTCTGCACCACATCTAGGTAAGCTAATAAGAATCCTAGGTTATTCCCCCTTTGGTACCAGTGGGAGTTTTAAACCATGCAAACTCCGTCCCATATGGAAACCCTCACTGTATCCCTACCTGAGCAAATTCCAAACTGAATATATACAATGAAACTTAAGTCAAGATACAACAAAATTAAAATTCTGAAAACTAAAGAGGAAAATCATGACAGTAGTCAGACATAAATAATAGATTACTTATGAGGGCACAACAATTTGAATAACAGCTGATTTCTCATCTGAAATCATGGAGGCTAAGATAAAGCAACACAACATTTTTAAGCACTTATAGCAAAGAACTGTTTCTTGTTAATTCTATGTCTTCAAAAATACCTTTTAGAAATGAAGGTGAAAAAGAAAAATTTCACATGAATAGCCTAACCTCCCACTTTAAGAAACTAATAAAAGAAGAGCAAACTAACCCAAAGGCAAGTAGAAGGAAGAAACATATATAAAGATTAGAGTAAAATTAAAAACTAAATAGAGCTAGAAAACAATAGAAACAACAAACCCAAAGCTAGGTCCTTGAAAAGATCAACAAAGTGGCAAATCTTTAGCCAGACTGATGAAGAAAAAAAGGGGGAAGAATCAAATTAGTAAAAAATTAGTGCAGTGGCTCACGCCTGTAATCCTAGCACTTTGGGAGGCCAAGGCAGGTGGATCACGAGGTCAGGAGATCGAGACCATGCTGGCTAACATGGTGAAACCCTGTCTCTACTACAAAATACAAAAAATTAGCCGGGTATGGTGGTGGGCGCCTGTAGTCCCAGCTACTAGGGAGGCTGAGGCAGGAGAATGTCCTAAACCCGGGAGGTGGAGCTTGCAGTAAGCCGAGATCATGCCACTGCACAGCCTGGGCAACAGAGCAAGACTTCATCTCAAAAAAAAAAAAAAATTGTAATGAAAAAGGAAACATCACTACCAACATGACAGAAATAAGAATAGCTATAAGTTAATACTATGAAAAATTGTATGACAAAAACTTACATAATCAAGAGGAAATGGACAAATTCCTAGAAAAACAAAACTAAGTAAAGAATACAGAAAATTTGAATATATCTATAACAAGTAGATTGACTGAGTTTTCTTTAAAAATTCTACAAAGAAAAGCCCAGTAGCAGTGGACTTCACTGGATAATTATATTAAACATTTAAGGAATAATTCACACCAATCCTTTATAAATTCTTTCGAAAGTAAAAGAAAAGGGAATATATCCTAATGCATTCTATGAAGCTGGTATCATTCTGATTCGAAAACTAACCAAATAAATCATTAGAAAACACAACTATTAGACCAATAATCCTTATGAATATGAACACTAAAATTTTCTACAAAATAGTGTCAAATGGAATCCAGCAGCACGTAAGAACAATTACATACCATGATTGACTGGAATGTACCTTAGGAAGACAAGATTGGTTTAACATATAAAAATCAATGTTATACACCACATTAGTAGAATAAGAGGAGGAAAAACACATAATCATCTCAACAGACACAGAAAAATCATTTGACAAAATCCAGCATCCTTTCATTAAAACACACACACACACACACACACACACACACACACACACACACACCTCAAATACTAAGAATAGAAGGGGAAGGGAACTTACTTGATCTGAAAAGGGGCATCTAGAATGAAAACACAGCTGATATAGAACTTAATGGTGATAGACTGAAAAATTTCCCCTAAATTCAAGAAGAAGTAAATGATGTCCACGCTGGCCACTTCTATTCAACATTGTACTGGAGGTCTAGCCAGTCCTTCGGTCAATAAAGTAAAATAAAAGACATTCAGCAAGAAAAGGGAAAACAGCAAAGCTATCTCTATTTGCAGATGACATGAATTTATACTGAAAATCCAAAAGAATAACCTGCAAAAATGTTAGAACTAATAAGCTAATTCAACAAGGTAGTAGACACAAGATCAACATATAAAATAATCTCCATTTCTATATATTAGCAATGAAAAATCTAAAAATAAAATTAAGAAAACAATTCCCAGGTACAAAATCAACCAAATGCAAAGAAAACCTACAAGATGGAACTCAAAAACTATGCATCTGATAAAGGCCTGATATCCAGAATCTATAAGGAACTTAAATCAACAAGCAAAAAACAAACAACTTTATGTGGGCAACGGACGTGAACAGGCATTTCTCAGAAGAAGATATAGAAGCCAAAAAACATATATAGAAGACAAAACACATATGAAACAAAAACACACATCACTAATCACCAGAGAAATGCAAATCGAAACTACAATGAGACACCATCTCACACCAGTCAAAATGATTTTTGTTAAAAAGTCAAAAAATGACAGATGCTGTCCAGACTGTGGGGAAAAGGGAAAGCTTATACACTGTTGATAAGAATATAAACTAGTTGAGCCACTGTGGAGAACAGTTTGGAGAATTCTCAAGGAACTAAGAGTTGAGTTACCATTCAAGCCAGCAACCCCATTACTGAGTATATAGCCAAAGAAAAATAAATCATTTTACCACAAAGACACAGCACCCATATGTACATTGCAGCACTATTCACAGTAGCAAAGACATGGAACCAACCCAGGTGCCCCATCAACAGTAGATTGAATAAAGAAAATGTGATACATATATGCCATGGAATATTACATAGCTATAAAAAAAATCATGTCTTTGCAGCAACATGGATGCAGCTGGAGGCCATTATCCTAAGCAAACTAATGCAGGAACAGAAAACCAATACCACATGTTCTCACTTGTAAGTGGGAGCTGAACACTGAGTACACATGGACATAAAGATGGGAACAGTAGACACTGGGGGATACAAGAGAGGGGAGGGAGGCAAGTGTTGAAAACTACCTATTGAGTGCTATGCTCACTTCCTGGATGATGAGCTCAGTTATACTCCAAACCCCAGCATTACACAATATATCTTTGTAACAAACCTGCACGTATAACCCCAATTCTAAAATAAAAGTTGAATAATAATAACAAAATTTAACCTTAAAAAGGGAAGACTTGTGCACTAAAAGCTGCAAAACATTGCTGAAAATTTAAACAAGACCTTAAAAATGCAAAGATAGCTTATGTAGTGGATCAGAAAACTTAATATTGTTAAAATGGCAACAGTCCCCAAATTGATCTACAGTTTCAATACAATACCTATCAAAATACCAAGTGCCATTTTTACAGAAATGGGTAAGTGGAAACTAAAATCATATGGAAATTTGAGCAAAGGAATAGCCCAATAGACAGGGATAACAAGGAAACAGCCAGAATAGATAAACAAGTCTAGAAAAAGAAGAAAAAAGTTGGAGGACTCACACTTCCCAAATCAAAACCTACTGCAAATCTATAGTGATCAAGAAAGTGTGGTGCTGGCATTATGTTAGAAATGTAGATGAATAAATACAATGGAATTGAGGGTCCAAATATAAACTTGTAATTATATGGTTAACTGATGATTGGCACTTATGCCTAAATCATGTAAGGGGATACAGAATAACCTTTTTGTCAAATGATGGTTGTACAACTGAATGTATACATGCTAAAAAATGAACTTGGAACTCTACCTCAAATGGTATACAAAAAACAACTCAAAAGGGAATCAAGACCTAGATGCAAGAGCTAAAATTACAAAACCATTAGAAGAAAGAATAGGTATAAATCTACATGATTTTGGATTAGGGAACAATTTCTTAGATATGACAAATGCATGAGCAACCAAAGAAAGAGTAGATAAATCTACTTCATCAAAATTAAATTTTTATTCATCAAAACATACTATCTAAATAGTTATCTATTTAACTAAAAAACTAATATAAAACCCACACCATATATATAAAAGCAGTAATTAACTAAATTGAAAATATTAGTATATTGAAAATTGTAAATGCTTAAAAAGGAAATCAAATAAGACCTAAATAAATACAGACACATGTCATGTTTACGGATTGGAACATTCAACATTGTGCAAACATCAACTCTTCGCAAATAGATCAGTAGGTTTAACAGAATCCTGATCCAATTCCCAGAAAAGTTTTTGTAGACATAGATGCTTACTCATAAATGTACATGAAAAAGCAAAGGACTTATGATAACTAAACATGATTTTAAAAGGAAGAGTAAAGTTAGAGGGATAACTCTACCCAATGTTAATGATAACTATATAGCTAAAGTAATCAAGGCAATGTAGTATTGGCACACGAATAAACACATAGACCAATGAAACACAATAGAAAGCCCAGAAATAGACTGATACAAATATACCCAACTGATTTTTGAAAAGGTGCAAACGCAGTTCAGTAAAGGAAAGGAAGAAGAGCTTTTCAACAAATGGTCCTGGAGCAATTGATCATCCACAGGCAAAAAAAGAGAAGATATGCTTAAATGTAACACCTAAAACCACAAATCCTTTAGAAAGCATAGGAGGAAATCTTTGGGACTTAGAGCTAGCTGAAGTTATTAAAGTTGACACACAAAAAAATATGTAATTGAATCTCATCAAAATTTAAAACATTTGGTCCGTAAAAGACCCTTTAAAGACAATGAAAAGACAAGCTACAGAGTGGAAGACAATGTTTTCAAATCACATATCCTTCCAGCTCATCCATGTCTCTGCAAAGGACATGATCTCATTCCTTTTTATGGCTACATAGTATTCCATGGTGTATAACAGCAAACTAATGCAGGAACAGAACACCAAACACTACATGTTCTCCCATGTTAAGTGGGAGCTTAACAGTGAGAACATATGGAAACAGGGAGGGAAACAACATATACTGGGGCCTTTTGAGGGAGTTGGGTTGGGAGAGGGAGAGCATTAGGAAAAATAGCTATCGCATGCTGGGGTCAATACCTAGATGATGGGTTGATAGGTGCAGCAAACCACCATGGCACATGTTTACCTGTGTAACAAACCTGTACCTCCTGCATGTGTACCCCAAAACTTAAAATAAAAATAAAATTTTTTTAAAAAGAAAAAAACGCATATCCTTAAAGGGACTTATATAGAGAGGATATAATACACTCTCAAAACTTAACAGTAAAAAATGCAAATAATACAATGAGAAAATGGCAAAAGACATACAGAAACATTTTACCAGAAAGGATATACAAATTGCAAATAAGCACATGAAAAGATGTTCAACTCACTAGCTATTAGGGAAATGCAGATTAAAAACAATGCTCTCTCTCTTCACACCTATCGCAAAGGTTTAAAAAAGAAAATGATAGCACTAAATGCTGGTGAAGATACAGAAAAACGAACTCATACAATGCTGGTGAGAATGCCAAATGTAGACCAAACCCTGGAAAATGGTCACTTTCTTAAAACTAAACATGTACTTGCCATGCAACTGCACTCTTTGGCCATTATCCCAGAGAAATAAAAACTTACTTTCACACAAAAACCTGTACAGGTATATTAATGGTAGCTTTATTCTTAATAGCCAAAACCCATGAACAACCCAAATGCTCTTCAAGAGCTGAATAATAAAGAAACTGAGAGGTACCCCTATACCAAGGTATATACTACTTAGCAGTAACAAAAATGAAAGAAATATTTATACACACGGTGACCTGAATAAACCTTAGGAATATTATGCTAAGGGAGAAAAGCCAATCTCAAAAGTGCACATAGTATATGATTTCATTTATAGAACATTCTTGAAATAACAAAATTACAGAAAGGAAAACAAAGTAGTGTTTGTCCAGTGTTAGGGAGGGGGGTTGTTGTGTGGGTGTGGCTGTATAAGGGGGTAACAGGGGTGAGCTGCTCAGTGATGCAACCGTGTTTCTTGACTGTAGTGGTGGTGATGCAAATCTACATATGTGACAAAATCACACACACACAGGCAACGATGTCAAACTGGTAAAATCTGAATAAGCTCTGTGGATTGCTAATTTCCTGGTTTTGGCATTGTACTATAATCGTTCAAGATGTCACCATCGAGAGAATCAGGGTGAAAGATAAATGGGTCCTCCAGAACATTTGTTTGCAACTCCTTGTGAGCCTGTATTTCAAAATAGAAAGCAGGGCTGGGCGTGGTGGCTCACGCCTGTAATCCCAGCACTTTGGGAGGCCGAGGTGGGTGGATCACCTGAGGTCAGGAGTTCAAGACTAGCCTGGCCAACATGGTGAAACCCCATCTCCATTAAAAATACCAAAAAAAAAAAAAAAAATTAGCCGGGCGTGGTGGTGCATTATTGTAACCCCAGCTACTCGGAAGGCTGAGGCAGGAGAATCGCTTGAGTTCAGGAAGCAGAGATTGCAGTGAGCCAAGACAGCGCCACTGCGCTCCAGCCTGGGTGACAGAGAGAAACTTCGTCTCAAAGAAAAAGTCCATTTAGGAATGGACTTTTGACACATGCAAAAATACAGAGGAAGCTCAAAATAATTACACCAAGTGAAAGAAGCCAGACAAAAGTGAGTATATAATCTATGATTCATTTAAATAAATTTATTAAAATGCCAATTAAGCTTTAGTAATAGAAAGCAGAGCAGTAGTTGCCTGGGACTATTTTGGGAAAATTCAGAGGAGGGAATGGGATTCAAGAAGGAGGAAGAATTTTTTGTGGTGGCCTGTATGTTCATTACCCTGCCGTGGTGACAGCTTCCCAGGTGCATACATGCGTCAAAAGATAACAAACTGTATGCATTAAATATATGTAGTTTATTGAATGGCAATTACATTTCAATAAAACCAACTTTTTAAAAAGGCCCTCCCAGAGAAGAAATTAAAAGGAATGTCCCACAGCTACTTTATAAAGCAAGCGTAACCCCTTAATACCAAAATCAAGGACAGTAAAGAAGGCAAAAATGACAGCCCATTCTTATGAAGTAAATACAGAGATCTTATATAACATACATTAAGTTGAGTTTATGCCAGAACTGCTAAATATTTAAACATTAGAAAACCTATCAGTGCGTTTTGTTAATCTGAAATGCTATTGATTATAACACATGGATGTTTAATGCAACACTAAGCAGAAAAGACTTTCCATTTGAAAAAAAAAATCTTCTCCAAACCTATAACAGACTATTGATTTTAAGGTAAATCCCTATTTTGGAAATATTGATATGCATGTCTTAGATAGATGATAAACAGTAATTAAAACAAGCCATTGGAAAATGAAATACATTACTCATGTTTTAACACGGAAAAATATTTGGGTTGTATCAATAGATACTAAAAAGGCTTAAATCAAGTTTACCACCTATTATTCATGGTTTAAAAATAGGCAATTTCAGTGAGCAAGAAATAGAATTTCCTAAATGATAAAGAACATCTACAACAAACACTTAATAATGAGTCATTAAAAACATTTTCTTTAACACAGAAGTCACGATAACCACACTAAGTCAGCTAAAACAAAACAAGACAAAGAAGTCAGAGACATTATGATTGCTTACTTAGAAAATTTAGGAAATTTATTAGAACCATTAGAACTAATTAGAATAAATGGTTAAACATGGTAGAACTAATGGTGAAACTACTTAGTATAAATGGTTGATTATCAGATGGATATGCAAAAATTAAAAACATTTCCATTGATTAGCAATAACCACTAAGAATAGGCAATAAAATAGAAGATTCCAGTCATGATAGCACAGAAAATAAATCATATAAAATAATTCCAAATAAACACAGGCAGGACTTCTGTGTATATCAATGATAACTTGATTGAAAGGCACAGCAAAAAGCTGAACAAATGAAGAACTCCATCAGCCTAATGTCTGCCAAGATCCAACAGCTTAAAATGTCAGCTCTCCCAAAACTCATCTACAAATTCAATGTCATTCTAATCTAAATCCCAGCAGAGTTTTCCCTGAAATTTGCCAGCTGATTCTAATATTTATGTAGAAACTTAATGGCCCAAGTATAACAAAGATGATTTTGCAAAAGAATAAGAGGGGGACACACCGTATCAGGGCTGGGACCTGAACAGAGGCCCACCCACCCTGCATCCCATGGGATAGCTGGCAGACCCCGGTCCAGCTGTGAGCCAGGGAGGAGAGCTCTCTGCTCGGCCACAGAATGACCCAGCCCTGGGCTAAGTGCTGGCAATGCAGCTGCTCTAGGCATGGGTGGGCACTTGTAGCTGATGTTCATTTGGCTTGACACAGGTGCTGTTTGATTCTCCCTCCCCAATTAAATTCTGCAGTTCCACCAGTCATGGACATCATTTTGTAAAAACAAACATGCAATTAAGTTGCTTAGTGTCTAAGCTAGCTTGTAATGTAAAATGGGATCGTTTATACTGGTAATTCTGGAAGGGGAAAAAAGAGAAGAATTCTTTCTGCTTCCAGTTCAGGTCCTTATCTTATTTTTGCACATTTGCTCTCCTCTCAAATATGATGTGTTCCAATTGCCATTTTTCACAAGGAATGAGTTTGAGTCATTAAAAAGTTGCTCCCAAACACTGCAGCTGTGGCTAGGGGCTAGATAGCCCCCTCACCCACCCACCATGCATCTGGGTTTTGCAGCTACTCACTTACCTGTGACACTTGATCCAGCTCTCACCCATGAATCAAGGGACTCCCCAAGAGCCTGTTCTCACCCAGAGAGGACCTTGGCAGAGAGCTGTGGACCCCCTCACCACACACACAAGGAAGAAAAGGAATCTCTTTCCTCACTACATCCACCCCGGGTGCCTGCCACCTAGCCCTGTGGCTCAGGGTTCCACAAAAGTGGGAGCCACTCCAAACAGCTGCCAACAGCTCCAGACAACTGGAACCATATCCCGGCCATGACTTGGTTGGGGCGGGGGAGAGTTGCCAAGGTGAGAGAGGACATTTTGCTAAGATTTATGAAACGACCAAGGCAGTGTTTAGGCCAACCATGGAAAGGAAGTCTTCTGTAGAAAGTTCTGGCTCCAGAGAAGGAAGACACAGAAGGTGTCTTCTATGGTGACACACAACACGTGGCCAAGCCCAAGCAAGGCCCAGGGGAGGGATCACAATACATGTCTGGTGTTGTGGGATGAGTTGGGTATTCAAGCAAGAGGGAGCCCTAAAGAGGCGGGAGCTAGCAGAATTAGTGTTGCTGCCTCTGTGAGGCTGGTTTTCTCCCAGAGTAACCTAAATATCTGGTTGTCACTCCTGAAACAAACACACGTGCACACACACAGGCATACAAACACAAGCAAACCATTGCACCAAGTACTGCAGAGCCACACACTTGCTGAGGACCCTGCAGGGGAGAGCAGTGAGGGGCTCTCCCCACGAGCCACAGGTCAAAGCCATGTGGGTAGTCAACTCCTTTCAGCCACGTCTGCTCTCCTGGAGGCCTGAGCTCTCCCCCACCCTCTCTGGTTGGGAGGGAAACCAGCTTCCACTCCCAGATCCCAGCTCCAGCCTGAAGTTCACCGCCACCCTCAGTGGGCTTACCAAAGGCTCCTGCCAGCTGCAACTACCATGCCGGTGGTGGAGACGCCGTCACATGTGCATCCATCTGGGACAGAAGCCTGTGCTTGGCTTTGCTCTATCAGGCCAGACCGATGTGGCAAAGCTGTAATAACTGCAGCAGCTGCAAATGGGCTCCAACCTGGAGTTTCAGAATCACCCTGCTCAGCAGAGCAACCTGGGAGCCTTGCTCTGGGGGATTCAATAAGAGGTCAGGAGACTTGCCGCAAAACATTTATAAAATGACAGGCCAATCAGACAATCTGTGAACTTCATTTTTTCAGCTGCTGAATGGGGATAATGAAAGCTCCCTGCCACACACCAAAGGGTGAGTAATATGAGAAGAAACACACATGGTCCCCAGGGAGGGAGGGGATGCCAGTGTCAGGGTCACTAGCTCCACCCGCATGGCCGAGCCCATGTGGATCTGTAGGAAACACTGCCTGTTCTGTGAGACGAAGCCCCCTTTGACTTTCTCGGCTGCACTCATTTTACGCTCCTGCTCCCACTGCTGCCATATTAGTGGGCTCTGGCTGCCGTAACAAAGTGTCACAGACAGGGCAGCTTAAACCACAGAAATGTATTTTTTCAAGCTCTGGAGCCTGGAAGTCCAAAATCAAGGTGCATGTAGGTTTGGTTTCTCCTGAGGCCTCCCTCATCTGCATGGAGGTGGCCGTCTGCTCACTGCATCTTGGAGTGGCCTCTCCTCTGTGCCTGTGCACCCCTGGTGTCTCCTCCCCTTCCTATCAGGACTCCAATCATATCAGATTAGGGCCCACCCTCAGCCTCATTTTAACTTCATCACCTCTTTACCTACCCTGTCTCCTAATACAGTCACATTCTGAGGTTCTGGGGGTTAGGGCTTCAACATATAAACTTGGGGGACACAGTGTAGCCCATAACACCCCCCATTGAGCTCTCCCCCTTCTCAGTTCAGTATAAATGCAGGGTGGGGTGGCAGGCACTCTCACTAAGTTTCCTCCTTCCATGATCTAATCCAGTCCATGGCCTGGCGTCCCATCTTTAGGCCATGCATTCGGCATGGAGGGGGTAGCTCAGGAGGAGCTGGTCACAAAGGGAAGGAAGTGCAGCTGCAGCTGCATGGAATGGCATCGGTCAAGGAGGAGGCCCTGGACACTTCGTGGCCGCTGCTTCTCCCCTACGCTCAGTGGCCTCCTTTTTGGGGAATCGAAAGCCGGGGGCTGAACTGTCCTGATCAGACAGAAGCATGAGCAGGACTCTGCTGCTGTATTGCTCAGCTCCCAGCAGCCTCGCTGTGGGCACGGGCAGATCCAGTGCCTTCCCTGGGGACCTGGAGGGACAGCTGTAAATGGGAAGACAGCGTGAAATGTTCACTGTGCACTAATGTGTGCTAACAACTTTGCCCAGATCAGCACAAAATGAGAGGCGACAGCTGTGCACAACCCCACTTCCCAAGGATGTTGGTGACATCACACCCATCATCCCTATCCGGCATCAGTGCCATCAGCTGTCCTGGCTGTGAGGAGCAGGCCAGGTGAGGCAGGGCCGGCACCAGAGTGAGTGGCCACAGCCGGCAAAGGCCTATAGAACCAGCAGGTCCTTCCCTCAGAGTCAGTGTAGAGCATCCAACACCCATGCTTGCCACTGGCTTTTCTTTCTACACATTCAGGACACCCGGGAAGATCTCCTGCCTAGTGGGAAAAAAACTCACTGTTTCCCTGAGACAACTGGGACAGGGTCACAGCAGTGCCTGGGCCCTCCAGCTGAGACTGCAGTCGACAAGCGTGAGTTTAAGGAGAGGACAAGCAGGGTCCAGTGGAAAGCCTCACAGAGACCTGGGAGAAGGTGCTGTCTCAGGCTGGCCTGGAGAATCCACTGCCTCCACAAGCGTGCCCTGCTTGGCGACCGGCCGCCTAGGAGGAGGCCCTGGGGTTTCTCCAGAGCTTCTCACAAGCTGAGTTCAGGGTGGAAATCCCTGCTACAGCATCCTAATCATCCAGATTCTTGAACACTCATTCAACCCAGGTAGTCCAATCTGCAAAGGGACAGTTTATGAGAAAGGCCTTTCTTCATTTGAGCCCATAACTGCTGTACACTGCTATGTGTGTGTGCGTGTGAACCTGCAGGTAATAGGCAGCACCGTGTGAAGTATGTATACCCCTGCTCAGCCGTTCCACAGACACCTATCCTTCAGAAATACCCACAGCAGTGTGAAAAACAGCAGTGTGCCAGGATGCTCACTGGGGAATAGTAATGATGCAATTATTGCATTAGGCAGGATGCACTGGGACTGTCCAGATGACCATGTCACAGGGTGTGGTGGCGATTCCAGGGTCAAACGATGGATTGTATGTGACGACCTTGGAGATTATTCCAGTTGTAGGCACTTGACTGTTCAGCTATAGGAAGCTTTGGTCTCACTGTCTTCTATCTCACTGTCTCTTCCTTGCTTATGTCCCCACTCCCACTCCCACTGGCACAGGCTATGGAGAAGGGGACAGGCATTGGTGAGCACCCAGAGCCTCTGGGCCTCCCCCAGTCACTCTGCAGGGAGGGAACCCAATATGCCCCATTGAGCTCTCTTCTTGGAAGACCCCGCGAATCTGCCAAAGCACGCGCTCTCCTGCAGGCAGGAAACCTACAGAGCTGCCGTGGGGGCACATCACATCTGCCCACCCAGGGCAGGTAAGGCAGCAATGGCCTGAGGGCTACCAGGAATGGAGCTGGCAGGTGGCAGGGCCTCCAGTCTCTCCCCAGAGCACAGCACAAGTGTGGTTATGGAGGAGCAGAGACCACAGCAAGGCCCTAATGGAAACAATAAGGGTCAGTCTGGGGCCGAGTGCCAACCTTGCAGAGTGAAGTCTGAAGCATGGATAGGAGGGAAGCTGGAATGTTCCCCAAGCCAGTGCTGAAGCCCAGAACCAAGAGGAAGAAGAGAAAAGGAGGCCAGATCATGCAGTAGCAGCAGTTTCTACGTCTTCAGGCAGTGCAGAACCACTGAGAACAGTGAGAAAAATTGATAGACCATCTACTTATTGACTTTTTGCAGGTGAGAATTTATGCCCTCATTTGCCAGACATTTTATTCAATCTAAAGTTTCCTCCCTCCTCTCGGGGTCTTTGGAAGTGGTGTGTTCAACCAGAGGAGCAGTCTACCAGTTATTTTCTATGCATTTGTGAAAGTTACAGACACCAGGATGAAATCACTCTTGTCAGACAGACCCAGACAAAACAGGGCAAACTAGACATGAAGGAGGGTGCTCATGCTTGCCTGTATAAAAACAGTTTCCAAGGACTTTCTCAAACCCCACAAGAAAACCCTTCACATCTTTCATGCATCTCCCACTCTGCATGGCTTGCACATTTCACGTGCATGCGTATATTTCTACGATAAGGTTTATCACTGGACATTCTTTGGGACGGCAGCAATTCAGATAAAATGCCCTTGAGAGAGCACCTGCCCAGTAACAACACCTCCACCAACGGACTGATGCCAGTGCTGACTTTGGGCCTCCAGAACTAGTGAAATCTATTTCCCAGCAGCTTAAGTGAATTCCTCCCTTTTGGCCAAAAAAGCTTCCTCTTACTGGTCGTCACTGGTCACACCTATGGCTTGCCATGGTATATTCCAGATTGTAATCCTCTTTTCTATTTATCAATAAATTTAACACATTTGGAGATTCTTTTCTGGTATTCTTTTTATAGGTTGACACATTCAACTGAACTTTGCTGAGTTCCCGTTCATGCTGGAGACATAACAGCAAGCATCTTTCCCCTCAGGCTGCTCCTTGCTGGGATGGTTGAGGAAGGGCAAACGAGGAAATACACCTGCACAATAAGGTATGCTCAGTGCCAGGATAGTGTCAGGTCAGGTGCTTTGGTTGTACTAAGAAGGGTCACCCACCCAGTCACAGGAGTCTGTGGCCATTCTTGGAAGGAATGACAGTCAAGTCAGGGCCCAAAAAATGAGCAGAAGTGAACTTGGCTGGGAACCAGGATGGGCCCAAGAAGAGATGAGGAGTCAGCAGACCATTGCAGGCACACAGCAGAGGGGCAGGTGCACACGAAGTCAGGTAGCAAGAATAAGAACGTAGGTGCTTGTGAAACCTCAGCACATCAGTGTGATGGAGCCAAAAACGGGCAGAGAACTGGATGGGGCACGTTAGGAATGTGGACATTTTATGAAAGGCAGTAGAAACCTAGAGAGTGACACAATTAGGTGACTCCTCTCTCTTTCAGGGTCCTAGCTGCCTGTTTGTTGCTTCTGTCCTGAAGCTCTGGGTACAACAGCAAGACCCAGATAAATCGAGGCCTGCATGGGAATGCTTTTCTAAGGGTTTCCTAGGCAGGTGTGTGAGGCTCAGGCCAGCCTGGCTCTCCTATGGTTTAATAATGTAGATGAAGGTTTGCTCCAGGAGTGCTGAATGAAGCAGTGTCTTGAAACCACTGTTGGGTTTCCTTGGATGGGTTTTCATCTTAATAACCATTGTGCATACACATTCAGCCTCAGAGTTCCCTTTGCCATTACTATAGGGACCTCAGGGAGGACAAAGCAGGGAGAGAAGAAATGGCTCTGCAAAGTAGCCAAGGCTTTCACGGTAGTGAGCATGAAAGGAGAAAGACCAGTCGGCTCCCTGAAGCTCCATTTTATCCCGGGCTTTCTTGTTGAGAACTGGGTGGGAACAAGTTTGCCTAAAGCTGCTGTGAGGTTTAGCATATACAAGTCTCCTTGCAGTGGAATCAGGGCAAAGGATCTCTTTCCCTAAACCTCCTTCTTGGTTTAGGAATGAATGTGCTCTCAGCCACTGGGTAGTCCTTGGCTTCCTAGATGTGGCTCAGAGAACAGCCAGAACAGGCTGTGAAGGCAGAGCGTCCCCATTCCACAGGAGCAGGGCCTCCATCCAGGGACAGTCGCTGCCTTGGGCCTGTGCCACTGGGTCTGGGTTCTGCCCTTTGTGGTGATGGAGGTTGTGCTGGATGGTCCACAGTTTTCTCCTAAGAATAGAATTCTGGGCATGGGGTCCGGGCACAGTGGATCACGCCTATAATCCCAGCACTTTGGAAGGCCCAGGTGGGTGGATCACTTGAGATTGGGAGTTCAAGACCAGCCTGGCCAACATGGTGAAACCCCGTCACTACTAAAAATACAAAAATTAGCTGGGCATGATGGTGCATGCCTGTAATCCCAGCTACTTAGGAGGCTGAGGCAGGAGAATTGCTTGAACCCAGGAGGCAGAGGTTGCAGTGAGCTGAGATCGTACCATTGCACTCCAGCTCTGGGCGACAGAGCAAGACTCCATCTCAGGGGAAAAAAAAAAATTCTGGGCGTGGGGTCTACTCACAGCTGGTGTGTTGGAAATAGTCCATAACCTCCCGCAATGCACTCCTTACCTGGTGGGGGTGACCAGGTGCTCCCCATGTCCCACACCACCCCTCTGAAAATGCAGGAGAGCTAAGCAGGGGAGATGTTAGGACCCCTCCTTACCAGCACTGGTGGATCCACCTGCCTGAAATCAGGTTGATACTCCAGTGCTCTTCTGGTGGGGGCCAGAACTGAATTCAGACCTCAAGTTCTAGGCACCATAACAGCCCAGGACCTTGGGGACACACTTACCTACAGGAACCAAGAAACCCTCTGATCCCCAGAGTTCATACCATAAATTTACTCAGAAGACCTGCAGGGCTGAGCCCAAGTCCAGGGTAGCCACCGCCACGTGCATTTCACCTCCTTACCTTGGGTTTCACCACTGTCTTCCCTGTTTCTTTCCCTTGCTACCTGGAATCCATTCCCAAATAAGCTAGCTGCATGTGGGTTTTTGTTTCAGATTATACCTCTACTTTTTGAAAATGTCAGTTACTTCTACCTAGGTTTTAGAATTGAGACAAAATTCTACGAGCCTTAGATGGAAGAACTGAAACCCCCAGCCGACCACAGCCTGGGCGCATTTCCCTGGCTTTGCCTGATGCAAGTTTCCAGTCATCGCACAACTGTGTAGCTGGTAAAGCAGCCCAACCCCTCAATGACTTATATAGATGGTGTTCCTCTTTTCCATGAGCAGCAGTGGTGACTTCTCAGAGACTTTGAGAGGCCTGAAGTATATCATGTACTGGTTCACATTTTCTGGGCCTTCTCTGTGCAAATCTACATTGTGGATGGAAATGGTGGACAGAACTAAGTACCACTCCTGAAGAAACCCATCCTCGTGTCTCAGAGGGCAAAGCCAGGGCCACATTCAGGCTCATGCCCTCCTCAAGCCCATAGTGCACCTCACCCGGCTGACCTTCACTTCCTGCTGCTCCCTCTGTTCATTCCCTCAGCTCCCTCCCACTGTGGGTTTTGCCAGTTACTTCCACACTGACGCCCCCACCCCACCAGTCCACATGTGACGGCCATCCAGGCCTCCCACTATCCTTCCCTTCCTAGCCAGGACCCTGCCCTCTTCTCCAGGTCCCTGCCATTCCCTGACAACATTGTGGGGAAGGATTCCCCAGGCTGGCCCTCTCCACCCTGCACACAGGCTCCGCCCCAAGGCCAGGATGGAAGTTTCATTGATGTGGTCACATGGTCCCAAGTGATCAGCCCTCTGGGCCTCCCCTACCCCCACGCCTCATGCACACCGCCACCCTCAAGAGTGGGAAGCCAGGGAACCATCTCAGGTCATCTCAGGTCATGCCCATCAGTACCTTCCTTCAAGATGCCCGCGCTGGCTGTAGGAGGGACTTTCTTCTTGCTAGAGACTTTTTCATGGTTCAGTAAGCATGGCCATTCTTGCCCTATGATGACATCCTTGGATGAGTGCTATGATCAATGTGACATTTCAACGGTGCCTGACTGCTCACTCTGTGGATGTGGACTGTGGCTGACCCACTGCCAGGCCAACATCAAAGCCTACTCACTGCTCACTTCTACTGCGAAATGGACTCAACACAGGCCGTGCAGACTCCGGCGGAGCCTGGGCTTCATCTGGGACAGACTGACTGTGTGGACAGCTGTGAGGCTGTTATGGTGAGGACGTGCCCCTATATGCGCAGGAGGCGAGGGGCCACCCTGTTTCCAACCTAGACAAAAGACAGGGCACGCGCACAAAATATAAAATAAGAGCCCTGTTGACATCCCTTCAGCCGGTCCTCCCAGCCCCATTGTCCAGACCAAGCCCAAGGGGTGGGGGAAGCACAGTGTCCTCAGGGCAGTGGTCTGAGGTGCCTTCTGCCCCTTTCTGGGCTCTGGGGGGTGCTGGAGGCCTCCTCAGGGTTGCCAGGGCTGGGTGCTGTGCGTGCATGGCTCCTGGGCACCTGCTGTGGTTGGAATGCTTGTGCCCCTCCCAAATTCATGTGGGAACAATCTCCACTGCAAAAGTGTAGCTAGATGAGGCCTTCAGGAGGTGATTAGGTCATGCGGGCTTCTCCCTGTGAGTGAAATGGAGGCCTTTTAAAAGAGGATTCACACAGCATTGGCCTTTTACCCTTCTATCCTCCACGTGGGAGATGCAGTGCTGAAGGCGCCGTCTTGAAGCAGCAAGCAGCGCTCACCAGACACCAAACCTGCCCCCAGAACTGTGAGAAATAAATGTCTGTTCTTTATAAATTACCCAGTCTCAAGCATTTTGTTATTGCAGCACAAAACAGACTAAGACAGTGCCCTTAGGTGGCATGGCTGTTCCCATCACATCAGTCCCCACGTGGAATCCTGCAGCCTCTTTCTCACTTCCCACCAGACAGATTGACTTGAGCACACAGGACACAACATTGACTGAAAAAACAAATAGCTGAGTGTTGTAATGGAGTTCAGGCTGTGCAATGCACTGCAAATAATTTAAAACCTGCACTCGAGGCCCGGCCTTCATAAGTCATTTTGCCCAGCTCAGGCTGGGGCTGCTCTCCTGCCGTCTGGCGTGGTCTCTCAGCCTCCTGAATCAGTGAGACTCGGTGCTACAGATTAAGGAGGCTCTTCCCTGAGCACCCAGCAGACTGTGGGCAAACCCACTCCCATGTCCTCATTCGTAGTGTGCTCTTCTATTTTCTCACCCGTCACAATTGTGTTTCTTCTTGTTTTCTTACTTAATTCCTACCTCCTTCACTAGAGGGTCCTTTCTATGACAGCCATCACTAGAGCTGGCTGTCAGTAAATACACGTTGGGCACATGTGGCAATCAGTGCCCTTCAGTGTGCCAGGTGAGCCAGTAAAGAAATCTGACCGATGAGGCCGGGACACCATGGAGGAAGCCGCCATCATACCCAGAAGGGACCAAAAACTTAACTGAGAAGGTGACCCTTCACTCGACTCTTCCCAGAAGAAGGTAAGCATCTGCCACATGGCGCCGGCAGAGGAGGGGAGGAAGAGAGACGCTGAGAGCTGGGGCCGTCCTCGCAGGTGGAGGCCTGCGTGTGGTCTGGCCCACAGGAGCGTGTCCACCATGGTGGGGAGGGTGAGGGGTTGGCTGAACACAAGGTGCGAGGGCCTTGTCCTCCAGCAGAGTCTGCAATTCCAGCTGCACATTAGAATCATTTGGCGAACTTGGGAAGCTCAGACTCCCTGATGCCAATCCATCACATCAGGGTTTCTAGGAGTGGGGCTAGCTCGGTATTTTTAAGGCCAAGTGATTCTAAAGGGCAGCCAGGGTTGGGCTAATGGGTTTTAATTGAGAAGTGGCGCCATTTGATTTGTAGCTAGGCAGAGTCACTTGGACGGGGCCAAGGGGAGAGCAGAGACTTGAGGCTGGACACCAATTTCTGAAAGCGGCATTTCTGGAAACTACAAAAATAATCTAAGAGACAGGGAGTGAGCAGTTAGAATGAGAAACAGACTTGAGGAAGTAGAATCTCCTGGGGTGGTGACAGGTGATGAGATGGGGCTGGCAAGAGAGGAACGGGACTTCAGAGCACTGCCCAGGTTTTTCCCTTAAATGGCCAGAAGAAGAGTAGCATCATTCATTGGGATAGTGCAGGACAAGGGAAAGTTCCGGAGAAGCTGGGATGGCTCTACCTGGTGCAGGCTGATTGGAGGCGTCCTGGGTGGCCTGCAGGAGATGCCTGGAGGTGGTGGGCCACGTGAGAAAGAAGGCTTAACACACACGTTTTGATTAGGTTCACGTTAAATTGAATTAGTTCAGGAAGTAGAGGAAACATTATCTTTGGGCCAAAAATCCCAGCTCGGACATGGATAAGACAGGCACTTTCTGGAGAGGTACCAGAGTCCAGCTCGATTCTGAGGGACTTGGCCTGGGGAGTCACCCACAGCACCAAATAACAGGGACAAAACAGCAGGGTCCACTGGACGGGTGAGGAATCAGAGCTGGGGCAGACAGCACTGGTGCTAAGTCTGGGGAAGCACTGTCCTGGGGCGCAGCGGGGCTCTGTCTCTGAGGCAGCATGCTGGGCAGGTGCCCTCCAGGCCAGATGCAATTTGGAGGGCCCTGTGCTCTCTGGCTCTAAAAAGAGAGACTCCATGTCCACACTTCTGTAAAGGCTCAGCAGTTTTTCTTTTTGATGTAGGGTGGGAAATCAAGCAACCAAGGCTATAGAATAGCATTGAGAACAGAAGCAACTAGATTGGAGGGGAAAAAATTCTATTCTCTGACTGGTGAGTAAAACGCATGAAATAGAGTGCATGGTTATTCTTGTGGCTTTCCTACCTTAAGGGTTTTGTTGCTGCTGTCCTGATCTTCAATGATTTAAAGAGCTGAGAGATCATGTGACATCCAAATAAGTATGATGTTTTTAGCTGTTTGGGCCATAGGCTGACAGCTGCCCAAAAGACCACTAAAAACTGGTGACTGAGGGCTGGACATGGTGGCTCACACCTGCAATCCCAGCACTTTGGGAGGCTGAGGCGGGTGGATCACTTGAGTCCAAGAGTATGAAACCAGCCTGGGCAGCATGGCAAGATCCTATCTCTGCAAAAACAATTAGCCAGGCACGGTGGTGCACATCTGTAGTCCCAGCTACTAGGGAGGCTGAGTTGGGAGGATCATCTGAGCTCAGGAAGTCGAGGCTGCAGTGAGCTGTGATCATGCTGCTGCACTCCAGCTTGAGCAACAGAGTGAGACCCTGTCTCAAAAAAATAAAAATAAGAAAGCTGACTGGGTAAGGCTGAGTTTATCAAATTATTGCATTAAGGAAGAATACTACCTTGACAGAATTCTAGCAACATCTCAAAAAGGAGACCCCTAGGAGGATATCTGTAGGATTTTAGGGTATGAGCCAGATTACTTTAAGCCTGGCCTTTTGAGGAAAGAAATAGACTAGGATTGGAAAGGATTTTTGCATAACAGATTAGGATCCATGGACACAGACAGGTGAGGGTCTTGAAGTGAGTACTGATGTATCCAGCAGTTAGTTTGGCAAGGAAGCTGTTGTATTTGCCTCCCAGTCTTACCTTTCAGGAACAAGTGAGTGCTTTCCAAAGCAAAGTAGCTATGTTATTTTTGCTTGGTCCAATATCCTTTAGTATAGGCAATAGGAAAGATGTACGTGACAGTTTTCAGATACCATATCTAACTTTCTAAGAACTTTTCTTCAAATAATTAAGATGAAATTAGGAATGCTTTCGAAGTGAAATGCATTCTTCCAGGTAACACATGGTTCCCTGGAACACATTCTTCCAGGTAACATATGCTTGAAAGCCCTTCACATCCACCCTGTGGGTTAAACAAGGCTGATGTCTTAAACTATTTTGATTTTGTCCTTTTGGCCAAAGAAGCCATACAGACTTGGGTAAATCTGTCAAAGGTCAAGAGTCTGGTAAGGAATGAGGCCAGTACTGAAGCCAAAGTGTGCTGATTTTTAAGTCGCTGATACCTCTAGCCACGCGCCACTTTGTGTAAGCGCTATCTCTTGAATAAATCACATTTTCACAAAATCAAGATGTAGCTTATTGTGCAACTTCCCAGCACTAGGCATGATGCTAGAGGCTGGTTAAAAAGAGAGCATAGTTCTGTGTCTCAAGAAGCTAGGAATCTAGTGGGGACAAAAGAATGACAGTACTTGTAACGTGTTCAAAAATGGGCTTTTACTAGACAGGGTGAGTGTCCATTTGATATTTTGTTTTTGTTTTGTGTGTTTCTTTTGTGGGGAGAAGGGGATGGTTGTGGGGTCCAGCAAAGAGGAGAAGTAGGGAAAATTTAATAGAGGTTTCAGCTGGAACAGATCCTTAGAGGATGCCTGGAGTTTTTCAAATGAAGAAGGCAGAGACCGAGTGCAGAGGCAGAGTGTACTGGCACGTTCGGGGCACCACAGAGAGTTCAGGAGTGATCTGCTTCACTTCTATAGATAAAGTTCCCTAATCAGCTCCCCAGCTGTGCAGGGAGGCACTCACTAGCTCCCTTGCCAAGAATGCCGTCTCTACTCCTTGTGCCCGGTGAGTAGAGGATGATTCATGTGAATCCTGGCATCACTGCAGAAGGATTGCAGAACCATAGCCCTGTGGAGCCCAGAGCAAAGTGGTCTTTGGGTATCATGTCTGCCATGAGGTTTAGAAGGAGAGGCTGGGTTTAATTGAGCTTGAACTTAATGCTTGAGAAGCCAGCACATAGCAGGGAATAAGAAAGTCTAAAATCTGAAGATTTAGCACAATGTGAGGGATCAATGGGAGAGAGGCTTCCCAATTTGGGTAGAGGATTGCAGAACTGGAGCAGGGGCTGCTGCCACATGTGTTCTGAACCCAGCAAGCTCTAGACACCAACCAGTAAGCAGGCCCTGGATCCTGCTAATCATTTGGATGTGAAATATATCACAGAATCAAAATGACTTTCCCTCAAAATGCATGCTGCTTTAGGCATGCTAAATGTTGTACCGAACGCTGGCATACATAATTCATGTGTCATTTACCGTGCCCACACTCTCGAGTGGAATGCATACCAATGAGGCTGCATGGGCTGCTACTTGCCTCGGCTTAGCTGATTTTAGGGATGTTCAAGTGGAATTAGAGCAGCTCTTTAGAATGCTACCTCACCTAATGGGGTCTGAGAAGGGAGCAATGCAGGAGGGGGCAATGTACAAGCACATTCCAGGAAGCCCTGCTGAGAAACTTGCCTATAAGAGTTGGCCAACATGAAATATGCTTATGTGAGGGAGGAGGCAGATGAAGAGGAAGATGAGGAGAAAACAGAATCAACGTGATAGTTTGTTTCATGATCTGCAAGGACTGAGTCTCAGACTAAATCTCTACTCCTGGGGTCATTGAATAACAAGAACACCAATAATACCAACAATCATTCATCAGATTTCTACCACGTGCCAAGTATAACATCAGCCTTTCAAAATAGGTAGAGATTGTTCTCCCCACTTATAGATGGGATTACAAATGCTAAGAAAGATCAAATAACTTGTCAATGTACCTACAGTCCATGGCAGGAATTTCAGGCCTCACACACAATACACTGGGCTTATAGGAAAGGGGCTTGAGTCCTTTTTCCTGCTGGTTTCTGAGGCCAAGGTATCTGCATGTGCTTATTCCATTGCACATCCAGGTGCCATATACCTTTCTAACCCTTTTGTGAGAAGTATCTTGTTTAATTTTCAAAAGAACATTATGAAACATACCAAGTTTACAGATGAAAGATTTGACTATTAGGGAATTTAAAAATGTACCCCACCCCAGTACATATGGTAAAAGTCAGGCTTCTATGCTACATTATTTAACTTGAAGTCTATGTCTATACTACCACATGGACAGTGAATTGTGAAGAAGCTCATTTGAAGGAAGGTTATCAGCCTGGCATAGTGGCTCATGCCTGTAATCTCAGCACTTTGGGAGGCTAAGGTTGGAGGTTCATTTGAGTCCAGGAGTTCAAGACCTGGACAACATAGGGAGATTTCATCTCTACAGAAAATTTAAAAATTAGCCAGGTGTGATCCCACCACTGCACTCCAGCCTGAGCAACAGAGCAAGACCCTATCTCAAAATAACATAAAATAAAAATAAAGGAAGGTTATCATCCCTGTACACATTGCATCACCTGGGAGGTTTTGCAATATTGTTTTAAATATATATAACATAGGCCAGGCGTAGTGGCTCACGCCTGTAATCCCAGCACTTTGGAAGGCCAAGATGAGTGGATCACTTGAGGTCAGGAGTTCAAGACCAGCCTGGTCAACATGGTGAAACCCTGTCTCTACTAAAAATACAAAAAATTAGCCAGGTGTGGTGGTATGTGCCTGTAGTCTCAGCTACTCAGGAGGTTGAGGCAGGAGAATTGCTTGAACTCAGGAGGCAGAGGTTGCAGTGAGCTGAGATCATGTCACTGCATTCCAGCCTGGGTGACAGAGTGAGACTCAGTCCCAATAAATAAATATATGTGTGTGTGTGTGTGTATACACACACAAAATTGTACAATTTGTGGCATTAAGTAGACTCACAATGTTGTGCAACCATTACCACTATCCATGTTCAGAACTTTTTCATTACCCTAAACAGAAACTATACCCAGTAAACAGTAACTTCCATTCCCCTTCCCCCAACCCCTGGTAACCTCTATTTTACTTTGTTTCTATGAACTTGCCTATTCTATGTACCTCACATCAGTGGAATAAGACTATACTTGTCATCTTTTTGTATCTTGCTTATTTTACTTAGTATAATGTTTTCAGGGTTTGTTCATGTTGTAGCTTGTATCATAATTTCATTTCTTTTTAAGGCTGAGTAATATTCCATTGTATGCATACAGCACATTTTGTTTATGTGTGTTGATGGACCTTGGGTTCTTTTTGACTTTGGGTTATTGTGAATAATGCTGCTATGAACATTGGTGAACAAGTATTTAGTGGAGACCCTGCTTTCCATTTTTTGGGTGAGACACATAGCAGTGGAATTGCTGGATCATATAGTAATCCTACATTGACCTTTCTGAGGAACAGCCAAACTGCTTTCCACCACAGCTGTACCATTCTATATTCCCATCAGAAATTCACCACAGTTCAGATTTCTCCTGAATGTGTTTCTTTTTTTTAAATAATCCAAATGAGTGTAAAGTGGCATCTCATTGCAGTTTTGATTTGCATTTACCTAATGACTAGTGATACTGAGCATGTTTTCATGTGCTTATTAGCCATTTGTATTTCTTCTTTGGAGAAATATTTATTCAAGTTATTTGCCTATTTTGAATTGGGTTGTTTGGGTTTTTTATTGTTGAATTCTTTATATATGCTAGATATTAATATCTTATTAGATATATAATTTACAAATATTTTCCCATTCTGTGAATTGCCTTTTCACCCTCTTGATAGTGTTCTCTGATGCACAACAAATTTTAATTTTGATGAAATACGACTTATATATTGTTTTCTTCTGTTGCCTGAGCGTTTGGTGTCATATCCAAGAAATTATTGCCGAGTCCAATGTCATGAAGTTTTTCCCCTATGTTTTCTTCTAAGGGTTTTATAAGTTTAGCTCTTATGTTTAGGTCTCTAATCCATTTTGAGTTAATTTTTGCATATGTTAGAATGTAAGAGTCCAGCATCAATATTTTGCATGTGTATATCCAGTTTTCCCAGCGCCAGTTTTGATAAAACTGTTCTTTTCCTCCATTGAAGAGTTTTGATGCCCTTGTCAAAAATCCGTTGACAAGGATTTCTTCCTGGGCTGTCTATTCTATTACATTGATCTATATGCCTGTACTTATGCCAGTAATACACTCTTTTGATTACAGTAGGTTTTTAATAAGTTTTGAAATAAGGAAGTGTGAGTCTTCCAACTTTGTTCTTTCTTTCCAATATTGTTTTGGCTGTTTGGGTTCCACTGAGATTCCATATAAACTTTAAGATGGGTTTTTCTATTTCTATAAAAAAGTGTTGTTTGGATTTTGATAGGATTGCAATAAATCTATACTTTTACTTGATAGTATTGTCACCTTAACAGTAAGTCTTTCAATCCATGGATTGAAACACAGAATGTGTTTCCATTTATGTATGCCTTCCTCAGTTTCTTTCAGCAATGTTTTGGCCTTTTCTGTGTGCAACTCTTTAACCTTGCTTAAATTGATTGGTACATATTTTATTATTTTTAATGCTACAGTAAATTTAATTGTTTTTAACTTCCTTTTTTGGACTATTGATTGCTAGTGTATAGAAGTTGACAGACTTTTGCATGTTGATTTTGTATCCTACAACTTTGCTTAATTTCTTTATTAGCTCTAATAGTTGCTTTGTGGAACCCTTAGAGTCTACATATAAGATCGTGTCATCTTCAAACAAAAATAATTCTACTTCTTCCTTTCTAGTTTATGTGTCTTTTATTTATTTTTCTTGCCTAGTTAGTATACGACTTCCAATACTCTGATGAATAGAAATGGCAAAATTGAGCATGCTTGTTCCTAGTTTTAGGGAAAAGCTCTCAGTCTTTCATCAAGGAGTATGATGTTAGCTGTGAGTTTTCATAGATGGCCTTTAACATGTTGAGAAAGTTGCCTTCTAGTCCTAGTTTATTGAATGTAAAGGAATTGAATTTTACCAAATGCCTTTTCAGCATCAATTAAGATAATCATGTTGTTTTTCACCCTATGTTCTATTATGTATAGTTCAATTCCAGTGTACCTATATGAACATTTCAGAAGCATTAACCTGTTGCCCTGTTAACTTATACCACTGTGGGAAAGAAGTGAACAACAAGCATGCAGTACTTACCAGCAGTGTCTTTTGTACTTAGCCTCACAGTCCCCATTCATCTCCAAAGTTACTTAGGTTAGCACCTTTTTCTCTTACCTCCTTTATTGAGGTCACTTTATACACTTATAATAGATATTTTCTTTCTCATAGTCGACTTTCCACCCTGGGATCTGCTGATATTTTAAAAATTAATTCCTCCTAAATTATTTTTTAAAAATTTGTATACATTAAGTTTTACTCTCTATGCTGTTAAAGTTCTAAGGTTTTTAAAAAATGCATAATGTTATGTTTTTACCAATACAGCATCATACAGAATAGTTTCTCTGCCCTAAAAAAATCCCCTGTGTTGCATCTATTCAACCCTCTCTTCTCCTCAAACTGGTGGCACCCACTTATCTGTTTACTTTCTCTATAGTTTTGTCTTTTCCAGCATGCCATATAAATGGAATAATAAAGAAAGTAGCCTTTTCAAAGACTGGCTTCTTTCACTTAACAACATGCACTTAACACTTATCTGCCTCTTTGTATGGCTTGAAATCTTATTCCTTTTCATTGTTGAATAGTACATGTGTATAGATAGAACCACATGTATGGATATACCACAGTCTGATTGTCCATTTACCTGTTGAATCTTAGTGCTTTCAGTATTAATAAAGGTGCTATAAATATTCAAGTATGGGTTTTTGTGTTTTCAAATCATTTAGGTGAATACCTAGGAGTGTCATTGCTGGATCTTATGATAAGACTTTGTGTAGCTTTGTAAGAAAGTGCCAAACTGTCTTCCACTGAGGCTGGGCAATGAATGAGAGTTTCTGTTGCTCTGCATTCTCGCTAGCAATTAGTATTGTCAGGTTTTTTTTTTAACTTATATTTTTAGTGAACAACACTAAAAACATTTTTCTCAATGCATATAGAACATTTTTCAGGATGGATTATACATTAGGCCACAAAAAAGTCTCAATAAATTTGAAAAGATTGAAATCATGTAAAGTATATTTTCCAATTATAGTAGAATAAAACTACAAATCAATCACACAATGAATCTGGAAAATTCACAAATTTATAGGAATTAACTGGCACACTCTTAAACAAACAATAAGTCAAAGAAGAAATCACAAAATAATTAGAAAATACCCAGAGGCAAATAAAAATAAAAACACAACAAAAACTTATAGGATGAGGTAAGGCAGAGATAAGAAGGAAATTTACAGCTGTAAATGCCTACACTGAAAAAGAAGAAAGATCTTAAATCAATAACCTAACTTTATACCTTAAGGAACTAGGGAAAAAGAAGCAAATGGAATCCAAAACTAACAGAAGAAAAAAATACTAGATAGTAGAGAGGAGAAAAATAAAATAGAAATAGAAAAACAACAGAGAAAATCAACAAAACCAAATATTGATTATTGGAAAATATTAACAAAGTTGACAAATCTTTACCTACATTGACTAAGGAAGAAAAGAGGGAAGACTCAAGCTACTAAAATCAGTAATCAAAGTGGGAATCTTACTACCAATTTTATAGAAATAAAAATAATTATAAGAGAGTACTATGAACAATTGTACACTAACAAATTAGATAACCTAGACACATTCCTAGAAACACACAACCTAGCAAGACTTACTCAGGAAGAAGGAGAAAATATGAACAATTCAGTTAGCAAAGAGATTTAATCAGTACTCAAAAACCAGCCAACAAAGAAAAGCTGAGGACAAGATGGTTTCACAGGCTAAGTCTATCAAATATTTAAAAGGATTAATTAGTTAAATAGTCCTTCTCGATTATTATCTAACTCATACAAAAAGTTGTGGAAGAGAGAATAATTCTTAACTCATTCTATAAGGCTAGCATTATCGTGATGCTAAAACCAGACAAAGACACTACAAGAAAAGAAAACTATATACCGATATACCTTAAGAATATTGATACAAAAGAGCAAACCATACTTGTCAGTATATTAAGCAGCATGTTTAAAGGATTATACACCATGGCCAAATGTAATTTATTCCTAGAGTACAAGGATGGTTCAACATACAAAAACCAACCAATGTCGTATACCACATTACAGGTTGAGTGTTCCTTATTTGAAATGTTTGGAACCAGAAGTATTTTGAAATTTTAATTTTTTTTGAATTTTGGAATATATGCCCTACATTTATGGGTCGAGATCCCAAATCTGAAGATCAAAAATTCAGATGTTCCAATGAACATTTTCTTTGAGTGTCATGTTGATGATAAAAAAATGGAGTTTTTAATTTTTGGATTTGTGATGCCCAACCTGTATCATGTAAACAGATGATGAAGGGTGAGAGCTAAGTTTGTTATTGTTAGCATAGGAGGTGTGGCAAAGGGCAAAAGCTAGAATAATTCATACAGTAATGGAGCATAATTGGAGACATGAGGATGAATTTGTGTTTATTTTAGTATACAGATGAAAACATTTAGAAATACTTGATGATATATATGTAAGTGGGTCAGTATACATATATTTTCTTGCTCTGATAACGAGAAGACCTAGAAGCAATGACATCCCAGTAGCAGTGAGCACACTCAGTGACCAGCTCTTGCTTTCTACCAGGAATCTTCAAAGAAAAGGATGATTCTAGGTTGGAGGCAGGAGATACACCAGATGAGCCTGGGTCACCTTGTAGTGACAGAACGTAAGGAAATGCTTTTAAAAAATACAATGATGGGGGTATGTCAAAGGAACCCACAAGACAATGGAAAAAGTTGTCAATGGCCAAAGGTGGAACAATCTGAGCAACAAAATAAATAACATAGTATTGGACTATGACCCAACATACAAAATAAATATCTAAGTATCCATACTGATATAAATAAATGATTGAATAAATAAATGAATAAATGTGGAACAACAGGCAAATCTCTTACTCAGAAAAATTCCAATAATTTATGTAGATACTTCAGCTCAAGGAGAGGGAGTGAATATAAGTCTCCACGCTTTATGTATGGACTATGGTAGTGACTTCCTTCCAAAGAGTAACAACCATCTAGTAATGAGGAAGTAACCTTACAGTGGAGAATTCTCACAAATACTAACTCAGCCAGATGATCAAGATCAACATAAACAGTAAGTCATGTTGATAGTATTTATCCCTGATATGATGTGATAAGAATAGCACTTTTGTGTTTTTCCTCCCAATTATCCAAAACTCAGTCTAATCATAAAAAAAAAATCAGACAAATTCCGTTTGAGAGAACAGCCTGTGGCATGGCAAGAGTGATGCCATCTTAAAGCAAAACTCCACATCCCAGGTGCTCTGCAGCAAGATCTTTAAACGACATCTGCAGCATAGATAACTCCTTATAAAGATGTTTGTCTAGGCCGGGCGTGGTGGCTCATGCCTGTAATCCCAGAACTTTTGGAGACTGAGGCCAGTGGATCACTTGAGGTCAGGAGTTCAAGGCCAGCTTGGCCAACATGGTGAAACTCTGTCTCTACTGATAATACAAAAATTAGCCAGGCGTGGTGGTGCACACCTGTAATCCCAGCTATAGGGAGGCTGAGGCAGGAGAATCACTTGAACCTGGGAGGCGGAACTTGTAGTGAGCTGAGATCGCGCCACTACACTCCAGCCTGAGCAACAGAGCAAAACTCCATCTAAAAAAAAAAAAAGTTTATCTAACTTCCCTGTGGTTGTGAATTTATCAAGGAAGTCTGAAGACATCAGCAGCTGCCTGTGTTTTATCCTAAAAGCTTGCTGTATAAAGGATACTTTCTGGAGGGCAGGAGCGGAGATCCACCATCTTGCAGCTGCCTGAGACATGGCTTCTGCTTGTAAGTCTCTATTAAGGGTTTCTTTCTGAGAAACTGGATTTGTCAGCTTCTTTCTTCAGCTTCTCAGTTCCCTTAGCCTTGTGGGGATATGTGTGCATAGATTTGATCACTGCAGAACATCCCAATTAAAGGACATTCTACAAAAGAGCAGACCAGTATTTTACAACACTGTCAAGGTCATCAAAAACAAGGAATGTGTGAGAAATTGTCACAGTCAAGAGGAGCCTAAGAAGACATGACAACTATTATTTCCGAATGAGATTCTGGAACAGAAAAAGACACTAGTTAAAAACCAAGGAGATGTAAAGAAAGTATGGACTTCAGTTAATAATCATATATCAAATTTGGTTCATTAATTGTGATAAATGTACCATATTAATGGGAGATATTAGTAATAAAGGAAGCTGGGTATGGGATAGATGAGAATTTTGCAACTTTTCTGTGAGCCTGAAACCATTATAATGTAAACTGTTTACTTAAATACATCTGTATGCATTTTGGGCACATACACAAAATATTCCAGATTTAAAGATGGAGGGAGGTGAAAACTAGCAGCAAGCATAAGAATCCCAGAATAAATAGAATTTCCCAGTATTTTGGCCTGTCCTCTTCCCCCTTTGTGCAGATCGGCCATCATTACCACCTGTCCATACTCACTATTTGTTACATGCCATAAACAGGCAGGCGGAATGGTCATTATTCCTTTATCCAGTCTGGTCCCCCTGAAATATCTGACTTTCATTTTAAATGCATCATCCCAGAGCATCTCAAGTGATTTTGACTGTAGATAAGGCAAACTGATGACACAGATGTGTGGCAGCTAGATGCCCTGATGGTGGGCTGGATACAATGGTGAATCCATAGTATGTGAAGGTGCTTGGGCCAGATCAACCCCAGAGGGGTCCAGAGGATGTTTCCTCTCCTTACAGAGAGGTGAAGGATTGATGTGGGCCTAGTCTTACTGCTTAATTTCACCAACTCCCCCAAAGGTGGGGGGACAGACACAGCTCATGGGAAGGCAGATGGGCACAGGATGTTCAGTGTTTCCCCTAAATTCCAACAAGTCTCTTCTACTAAATCTGGGCCCCACGAGTGAGGCCCCCAGGATAGGTCTAAGATGCCATAATTTCACCTGGTCTAAAGTGCATTTTCCCTTCAATCATCTCTTAATGTTTAGTAATGTAAAGGCACTAAGAGGAGATTTCTAAACATAAATGTTTCACCATCAAAATTTTAGGAGAAATACAACAAATTCCAGTTCCTCTGGTGGAAGTTGATAACCCTGAGAAATAGCTTCAACTCTGCTTAAGCCATTCTCAAACACAATCTGCTCCTTCCTCCTCCGCTTCCTCCATATGTATCTCTATTATAGCACACTGTCTCTCAGACCATGCTCCTGGCATTCAGTGTCTTGAGGGCTCTGATTTATTCACTTTGGATTCCCACACCAGCTCTGAGAGAGTGGCTGCTGACTGTGAAGGCAGAGTGAGTTAAGTCCTGCTGCTTCTCAGGAGCTTGAGCCTGATGCTAAGGGATGAGAGTGCATTGATCATGACCCATGGGTTGTCAGACAGCACTACAAGGTGCAAATGGCTTGCACCAGATTGACTTATTCAGTGCATATGCTGTTTTTGGCATCCCTGATCCTGCAGCACAGAAATCTGCAGAGCATCTCATTTCAAGAGACACTGCTGCAGGATGAGGCCATATGACATTCCCAGGGAGAGGAGATCGCATCAAGCTACAGTGTGGGCTTATGAAAAGTCCCTTTTCTCCCCGGGCTTGACAGGAAGGCAGAGTTATTGCTAAATCAGACCATAGATCAGGAGGCTGACATTCCCAGTGTCAGCATCCTGAGGAATAATTCCTACTCTGTAGCCAAAGAAATGATTCTGTTAGCCTTTTCTTGGAGATGAGACATTTTTAAGGATTTGCCCAAATGCATGGCTGTGCCATTCTTGCCACTGTGCCCTTTGATTAGTTCGTACTCCTCCACCCCAGGTGGGACTCTCTCCTTCTATTAGTTATTAAGAAGAATGAAGCATTCAAGGTGTTTTGAAGCAAACTTTCTGTGTTATTACTGTCTCTGACGAGCAGCATTAACACAGAAAGCTTCCTTCCAAAAGAGAGACATCATCCCCCTCTCAGGTTGAAAGAAAACGTAGGGGCAAGGAAGGTTTTACTGTCATAAGCAGTATTATCTAACTGAATAGCTGCTCTCTTTGTATCCCCTGTGTGCCTCTACATAATCAATTTAGATTTATTAAATCAGATACAACAGTTTATGTCAATGCAAAGTGAACACATTATTTGGTTTTGAGGAGGCAAAGACCTTCCCTCCTGGAGTGTCATATCTCCTTTGACATTCCATTGCACTCTTTAAGAAGCAATGGGAAGGAATGTTATCGTAACACCAGGGGGGCTGTTTCAAAGTGGCGCCTGAAGATTTTGCTGTGCCATTTCCATTAACAGTGATGACAGGCATGTAACGAAGTCCCTGCTTTCTGTGCTGCAAATTTCCTGCGGAGCCTATGGTGGGAGTGGGAATTGCGGAGTGAGTCTGACATTTATCACATACAGGACAATGTCTCGGGTGTGAATCCCTATCGGTTAAAATAATTTCTAATGAAAGCAGAAAGGGATGATGGTCACCAGGCTGGAGCTTCCCATTCTGACCTTCAGGAATCTTCAGTCCAGAGCCAGTTTCTGTCTTTTAAGGAAAAAAAAAAAGAGAGAGAGAGAGAGAAAAGACCAATGCCTGGGGCTCTCTTCCTGGGCTTTTTGGGGTCTCTACTGAAGGAAGCCTGAGAACAGCAGGGAGGGTGAGGATTCCCAGGAACCTGCCCATCACAGCTAATGCTTCCGGAGACAGGAGCCTGTCTGACCAGGAGAGGAGGTGACCACCCACTGCAGTCCTTTGCAACCTTCTCATGTACCTATTGCCACCAGTGAGCCAGCCACATGCTCATCACAGGTGTTTCCTGTGTCCCCTCCCATGGTCTCCATTCTGTAATGAGTTCTCCCTCCTCTCTCGACCCCCATACTAAGTCAAAAGGTCTCTGCTTTCATAGTCCTTCTTTTCTTTTCCCTCTAGACCTGGCTAGAAAATGCTTTCCCTTTTTTACAGATTTGCAAAAAAGCAGTGAAAGCAATCCTAGCTAGCTATTACTTTTTAAGGAGTGGAATTATCAATTTCACTAAAAGAACACATTTTACTGCCAAAATACCCTGAGGTCCAGAGCCAAGCCCCAGCTCGGGACCTACGGAGTTGAGCTGGTGCCTGGGCCTCCCTGTGGACTGCCCTTTCTAACATCCAGGAGGTGCTCTGTGAAAGCGGCCACCATGTTGGACTTCACCCTGGAAGGAAGGCCAAGTCTCTGCTCAAAGATGCCAAACATTGCTGGGGTTCTGCTATTTCACTTCTCTGCCTCCAAGTCCTGACCTTTTGTGGGGACAAGTTCCCCTTTTCAAATACCCCCCTCCACTCTCCATCATTTCTCTTTCTCCACCTCCCCCAGTCTAGGCATGTTTATCTCTTTTCACCTAAGGAAACTGCTCTGCAAGTATTTTACAGACATGTGTAGGATGGACTTAATGTCCTGAGTCCTCAAATCTTCAAAGTTAACTTTGCAAATTGCCATTGCAAATCCTTGATTTCAAAAGGATTTATTTATCTCTGACCTGAAGAAAGCAAGTTGCCATCTCCAGTGCTGAAGTTTTCATCCAGGAAACACTGTGCATCTCATGGAACAAGGGAGAGCTCGGTCCAGGAGCAGCTGGACTGTTTGTAGAGACCCTGACTGAACAGGAGGAGACACAATAGAGTGTCAGCAACTGAAAAGTGCTGGAGCTCTCAGGCGCTGTGCTGTCCCTTTGTTTAAAAGTCACAGCCACTGTCTTGTGACCCCATTCTTTGGCAAGGCAAGACTTCCCCAGATTTCCCCAGACCTTCCCCAAGGAAGGGACAGTTTGACCAGCCATCACTCTTCTGCATTCCTCTTTATTTCATTTGCACGTGGCTTTCTCAATATAATATCATTACCATTGTGATGGTTTAAAACATGGCTCCAAAACCCTTTGACATTCTTCTCCCCTTGAATCTGGGCTTGGTGACTGCCTGATCAGTATTATGCAGAAGTCATGCTGAGCCAAGATCCAGGTCCAGCCCTTAGGAAACCGGCAGCTCCCACTCCTGCCCCAGGAGGTTCACTCTTGAACCCAGGTACCATGTCATGGGGATGCACAAGGCACTCCATGGTGGATGGAGTTGACGGTCAGCACCCACTTGCCAGACGTGGGAATGAGCTACCGTGGGAATGGATCCAGTGGAGCCACCCCACCTAATTAGTGCTTGATTAAGGTTGGGTGGGTGAGGGCTGGGGGTAGAATGCTAATTGGTAGGGGATTTTTCTGAGGGAAATGAAAATGCTGTAAACTTAGATTGTGGTGATGGTTGCACAGTTCTATGAATGTACTGAAAGAATTGCATCATACATTTTAAATTGGTGGCTTATATCTCAACAGGGCAATTAAAATTAAAACATATATATTTTTAAAAGGAAGAAGAAAAGAGTGAACCAAATCTTAACAATTGTTAAATTGTGGTAGTAGGACCAGAGACAGCTTTTCCTATTTTCTAAAATGAACATCTCCTACTTTTATAATGGGGAATGCTTTTCTTCCAAAGAGAATCCATTTTTACTGTACTCAAAAATCTGAATACCTTTTAAAGTAATCTACATGGTAAAAACATATCTAAGCCTGTGTATTTAAAGACATCAAATAAATATGTATATTAAATATGCACATGTATAATATTTTTTAATCAAACTAGGAGCCATCCCAGAATGCTCCTTAAAAACAAACAATCAAAAAGCCATACTCCCGAGCAAAGTATACACACTCCTAGAAGAGTTGTTGCTTGTAGGTTAACAAGGGTGAATCCCAGTGCCATATGAGGATTCCTGCCTTGTCATGAACCACTGAGAGTTATGGGTGGCTTTTGTCATCTCCACTGCCCCAGCAATCTTTCATCAATTACAAACGTGATGGAGAAACTGATGTTCCCAGGCTTATGCCAATCCCCTGCCTAACTTGGTGCAAGTACAAGTCTGGGGAAGAAACTGTCCCAGTGCAGGGTTGGCCCATGGAGACAGCAACACCAGGACCACCATGAAATTACCACGTCCTGGAGGATGCCTTTGCCTGAAGAGTCTGCTGTTGCGTGGTCGCAGCATCTGCCCAGGCCGACGGAGACACACTGGGCCTCTCTGTCCCCAAACCTGAACTTGCCCTTCTAGGGTTCTGTCCTCTAAGGAAGGAGTGCTCTCAGGTCTAGCACACTCAAGGACAGACTTACCCAGGCTGTCATTGTTCTGGGTGCAAAAGGACAAATGTGCTTCTCACCTCGCCTTGGTTACATCTTTGCATGTCAGGCCACAGCAGTGACCTCCAGGGAACAATTTCCTGCGGAGTAACTTGTTACTGAGTGCTGAGGAGGCCAACATTCCTGCCTCACTCCTCTGCTATACTTTAGCCAGAATAACCTTTCCCATTCTAGTCCATGGCATTCTAGATCCCACCAAGTGCTTTTGAGTAAATCACTACTTCTATCTTGAAGGTCTTTCCTCCTCTTTTCCACTGGGCACACTCTTCCTTCAAAATCTTGTTTGGCCAATAATTCCTCTATGAAGACTCTCGGCATTTTTTCTCCAGATCACATCTCCCAGATGAAGGAGTTGCCCCTCAAGGCATCTCCCAATGTAGATGTGCTCGGACCATACTCCAAAACTCTAACACCTGCCCCAGCATGAAACTGCAACACTTCCTACTTTCATTGCCTGCACCGTCACACATGATGCAGTCACTATAATGATCTGTGATAGGCACTGGGCCACATGCCCACCATGTGTAGGGCTCCCTGCTAGGGACTCATTTTAGAAAGTGGGAACCGAAAACAGTGTAACTCCCAGCCCCCATCTAAACTCTGCTGAGCATCCTTCCCTGTTCCTCTGTTAAAAAAATCATGCTAAAAAAAACAAGCAGAAGTCACTCAGCAGCTTGCTCCAGGAAATACTGACTCCTGGGAGGTAGGACTGTCAGCCGGCTGTCAACCAGGCTCACTGCAGGCCCTCCACTTGCCATCATTTCAAAGCCACTCTCCTTCACTCTGTCTGATGCCAATCAGCCCCAACCTGAGTCCTCCCCCATTTTCCTCTTTCTGCTCAGACTTAGTTAAGGGAGTGCTCTCCCTTATTTCAACTAGGTTTAACAAATTAGCTGTACCTGATCAATAGTTTTTCCAGAAGTCTTTTAAGAGGATAATATGCAAAAAATGTTCAGAATCCTGTCCACCGTCAAATAGCTGTTAAGGGGCAGAGCTGAGCGCTGTCAAGCTCATGTCTGTCTGATGCAGCGGCAATAACCTTTCTTTTAAATGGACATGAGTGTCCCTTTGTGTGTTTAATGGCACATGCATGTGCTCCACTGATCTACATGGCCCTGGAAGACCACAGCAGCATCCCCAGAACAAAGTCGCACTACAGCGTGTTCTTCCTGAGTGTGTGCAGGTGACAGCAGTGTGAAAATCAGCCTAAGAGTCCTGGGACTTCTGCCCCTTGTCAAATGATCAAAAATACCTCTAACCTATTAGTTGTTAGCAAAATAACCCAACTAATATCTTGAGCTCTTGTAATACTAGGGAGGAGGATGAACACGAGGATCCTGGAGGTACCAGGTCCATCCAGCCCCTGCTCCTCAGGAGGTCACTGAGAGTTGAAACAGGAAAACTGATAGAAAGGAAAAGTTCCATAAGAGTGCCAGACAAGGTATGGTAGTAATTAAACGTGTGGGTTCAGCTGATGCCTGGTCTTGCCATTTTTTTATTTTATTTTATTTATTTATTTATTTGTTTATTTATTTATTGGGATGGAGTCTCGCTCTGTCACCAGGTTGGAGTGCAGTGGCGTGATCTTGGCTCATTGCAACCTCCACCTCCTGCGTTCAAGCAATTCTCTTGCCTCAGCTTCCTGAGTAGCTGGGACTACAGGCGCCCGCCACCATGTGGGACTAATTTTTGTATTTCTAGTAGAGACGGGGTTTCAACATGCTGGCCAGGATGGTCTCCATCTCTTGACCTCTTGATCCACCTGCCTCAGCCTCCCAAAATGCTAGGATTACAGGCGTGAGCCACCGTGCCCAGCCCCTTGCCATTTATTTATTTACCAGGTGATTTCAAATGCCTGTCTGTGACCTTTCTGAGATTGAGACTGCATTCTTGCCTGCAATACAGAGGTAATGACAGTGCGTATCTCACAGAGTTGCTGTGGAAATAAAATCTGGGAACTGATATGATATTCCCAGCACCACACATGACAGAGGGTCGAGGTATGTGATCACATGCAATAAACAGAAAGTTTATGTAAGAACAGTCAAGCAGGAAAGACTGCTAAGAAGTCCCACCCAAGTGAGCCTTTGAGTGCTTGCTGCTCCACGAGCGAGCATCTGTTAACAAAGAAGACAGCCCTGCTGTTGATGGTGTTGATGAGAAGAGCTCCTTTTGTGGAGGGTGGAGCTGGCCGTGTGGGAAGCCCTGGTGGTGGGCCAGGCAGGTAAGGGTGGACAACGGAGATGGGGAGGGAGAGTCATCAGGAGTCCTCTGGGTAGTCCAGAGAGTGGGTGAGGAAGGCAGGGAGGATGGAATGGAAGGCCACTGAGCGGCAGGAGTCTCCCTATAGCCACAATTGCTTCAGTAAGTTCTACCAAACTCAGGGGTGCTCTGTGACAGTGGAGAGGCTCTCATGGAAGCCTGTCTATAGCAGCCTCCTCCCCATGGGCTGTCCCTCCCTGATGTCATGCTCGGCCTAAGTCAAGGGCCTTCTACAAACTCAGGCCCTTTCATTCTTCCCATACAGAGCCATTTTGTTTCCCAGGGTTTTGAGCAAACATTTAATAGCTCCATTCTTTGTTCATTGTTCTTCAAAGATAGAGAATGAAAAACCCCTGCTCTGTGGACCCTCCAGGCCTGGCTCCATTCAGTCAAAACAGCGTACGGCTGTCTCCAGGGCCAGGTGCTGGAATGCACAGTGAATTAGGCCATGTGTGCCTTTGCTCATGGGCCTAAGAGGTTAATAGATGGAGGCCGCTTAAAATGCACAAGATAGAGCCATCATTCTCTGAGGGGTGGTGTTTTGTGTTAGAAACAGGCCTCCTGACATTTGTAGGGTTCAGGGCAAGAACACAAATGGAGGTGCAGGAACCATATGTCCAAATAGTTTAAAATGCTAAGTCAAGTTAATAAATTGCTGAGCAATTTATGTTCTACCTTTCGTCTTTAATGAGTATTCCTTCATAACAACCGGGAAGATGAGATTCAAATTTAAAATTCTTGGACTCCTCAGAGATCTGAGCCAGAAGAGAGCAGCAGGGTGAGCACCAGCTATAGGTCCTGTCTGCCCTGAGGCTTAACTTGACTGGTCCTCTCCCCACACCAGCACTGTCCTACTCCATGGGGCTGGGCTCATGCAGGGCAGACACTTGAATCTGCCTGTCCAAGCTCCACCCCACCCTCTGCATCACTTAACTCCTGCCCCAGTCAGGGATCAGGCACACACTTGCACACTTTGGTGTCAGAGGCAACCTTCAGGAGGGCAGGCCCAAGCAAGAGGCTCACCTAGGTCAGGAAAGGAGTCTATATCTAGAAGGAAGGATATCTTTATTCCAAGCAGACAAATTTCTTTGGCCGACAGGCTCCTTGTACCATAGGAAGGGCACAGATGGCACAAGGTCAGTGTGCGATCCCCTTCCAAAGGAATGCAAGAGGCTCACATGACACAGGTCTATAGGCAAGACTCAGAAAAATTATGGATTTTAAGCAGACAAAAGCATACACTACAGAAAAGACACCCCACTGAACACATGGTGCTGGGAAAACTGGATAGCCACATGCAGAAGAATGAAACTGCATCACTACCTCTCACCATATACAAATGTCAACTCAAGATGGCTTAAAGACTCAATGTAAGACCTGAAGCCATAAAAATCCTAAAAGAAAATCTAGGAAAAACACTTTTGGACATTGGCCTGTGTATGCAAAGAATTTATGACTAATACCCAAAAAGCAAATGCAACAACAACAAAATAAATGAGACGATTAAGCTAAAACGTTTTGCACAGCAAAAGAAATACTCAACAGAGTAAATAGACAACCTATAGAATGGGAGCAAATATTCAAAAATTGTATGTCTGACAAAGGATTTATATCCAGAATCTATAAGGAAGTCAAACAAATCAGCAAGAAAAAAACGAATAATCACAATCAACGTGAGCATACCTTTTTGAAAAGTAGATATACAAGTGAACGACAGTAGTATGAAAAAATTGCTCAGCATCACTAATCATCAGGGAAATGCAAATTAAAACAAAGTTAAATATCACCTTACCCCAGTCAGAATGGCCTTATTAAAAAGTCAAAAAACAGTAGATGTTGGCATGGATATGGTGAAAAGGGAATGCTTATACACTGTTGGTGGGAATGTAAACTAGTACAACCTCTATGGAAAACAGTGTGGAGATTTTTCAAAGAACTGAAAGTAGAACTACCATTGGATCCAGCAATCCCACTACTCGGTACCCACCCAAAGGAAAAGAAGCTATCATATCAAAGAGACACCTGGACTTGTATGTTTATTGCAGCACAATTCACAATTGCAGATGAGAAGATAAAGAAAATGTGTGTGTGTGTGTATTACACACACACAATGGAATACTACTCAGTCACAAAAAAGAACAAAATAATGTTTTGTGTGGCAACTTGGATGGAACCAGAGACCATTATCCTAAGTGAAGTAACTGAGGAACAGAAACCAATTACTGCATGTTCTTGCTTGTAAGGGGGAGCTAACCTATAGGTATGCAATCGCATACAGAGTGGTATAATGGACATTGGAGATTCAAAGGGGGGAGTGTGGGAGGGGGACAAGGAACACAAAATGACCTATTTGATACAATAAACACTCTTCAGGTGACAGGTACACCAAAAGCCCAGACTTTACCACTATACAATTCAATTTAGCTTGTACCCCTAATGCTATTGAAATTTTAAAACATTTCTAGAGTTTTCGGCATCCATTTGAGTTTGTGCAGTGTGAATGCCTGCTCAGTCCAAATGAGCTTTGAGAGCAAAAGCCTTGATCTCTTGGAGACTCGATGTTCTCCCTTGGGAGATGACAACAGTGGCTGGTGGTTTCTGCTTAGTGGGCTGAGGGGAGCATTTCCAGGAGTGGGATGTCTAAGCCAGGACTTAAAGGAAGGGAAGTGCACACAGATCCTCACAGCAAGGGTGCAGGTGCTAAAGCAGGAGGTGTGTTCTGGAGCCCCTAGTGGGTTGGCAAAGCTGCCTGTGCACTCAGGGCCTGCGGAAGAGATGGAAAGCTGCACCCTAAGTGGGAGGAAAATGCAGACCATCCCTACAGATGCTTGGACTCCTCTTTCCATGGCCACATCCAGAACCACTCCTTCTGTGACCTGCTGCTCAGGCCCCAGCTAAGTGACATAATGCACATTCAGGTCTGCTTGAGGAGGGCCACATGTGATCTAGTTCACAACTATTAGGACTTGGGGACCCCAGTCCAGGTCCTTTTCACTGTGCCACCAACTCCCTTCTCCCAGCTGCCTCCCAGTCTTGATGCTGGGACACTCCTCAGAACATCAGAAATCTCTGTTCCTCCCCAGACAATTCAAGACTCTGCCTGGTTTTATGTTGACTTTCTTTCAGTATCTTCCAATGCTGATTGTTCCCCATAATTCTAAAATGCCATCAATTCTATTTCTCATGCCAAATGGTTCTGCTTGGAATAATAATACTCTTTAAGTGCCTGTGGGGGACATTAAGACTATAAGAACAGATTTCATTAAAAGCTTCATTCACCTGAGCTGAAATGAAACCAAGCTGACAACTAAGCCAGCTAATTCTAGTTCAATCTAGTTTTGTGGAAACGTCACTTGTGCTTTCCTGACTTGGGCAGCGAGTTCAGACAGATGGTAGGCTGAGCTAGCGACAAAATACTCCTGCAAGTACTGATGGTTTCCACAGAGCAGGGGTCCCCGCAATGCCCTGGATACTTGCAGAGATGCTAAGCTTGTAAAGGAACTTGCCCTACCATAGGCAGAGGGTTTGATCATCAGAACACACTTGCAGGATATACAGACCAGAGACCATGTTTGTCCACCCGCTGTACAGATGGGAAAGCTAAGCAAAAAGTGATTCATTGAGTGGCCTAAGGTCACATGACCCGCATGCAGCATGGGGTCAACTCAGAGCCATGTTCTGACAGTCAGTGTGCTTTGCGGCCATTCCTTTTGTTTCCTTTTGGGGGTGTGGGGAGAACTGGTAGTAGTGTTTTTATTAACAAATAAAAATTGTATATATTTATGGTGTACAACATGATATTTTGAAGTATATATACATCGTAGAATGACTAAACTAAGCCAGTTATCATATCTATCAACTCACATATAATTTTTTTGGTGAGAACACTTAAAATCTACTTTGTAGTAACTTTCAAGTATACAATATGTTGTTATTAACTGTAGTCACCATGATGGACTGTAGATCTTTTGAACTTATCCCTCCAGTCTGACTAAAATTTTGCACCCTTTCACTAATATCTCCTCCTAGCCTTTGACAACCATCATTCTATTTTCTGCTCCTGTGAGTTCATCTTTTCGAGATTCTATACATAAGTGAGGTCATGCAGCATGTGTCTGTTCCTGGTTCATTTCACTTATCATAATGTCCTCTGAGTTCATCCACGTTGTCACAGATGGCAAGATTTCCTTCTTTTTTAAGGCTGAGTAGTATTTTGTTTTGTGTTTATACCACATTCTCTTTCTCCTCCCATTCAGTGATGGACAGTTAGGCTGAGTGCATATCTGTTTGTTTGTTTGTTTGTTTGTTTGTTTGTTTTTGAGATGGAGTCTTCCTGTGTCGCCCAGGCTGGAGTGCAATGGTGTGATCTTGGCTGACTGCAACCTCCGCCTCCCAGGTTCAAGCAACTCTCCTGTGTCAGCCTCCTGAGAAGCTGGGATCACAGGCACACGCCACCATACTTGGCTATTTTTTTTTTTTTGTATTATTAGTAGAGACGGGGTTTCACTATGTTGCCCAGGCTGATCTCAAACTCCTGACCTCAGGTAATCCACCCGCCTCAGCCTCTCAAAGTGCTGGGACTTCAGGCATGAGCCACGGTGCCCGGCCAGCTGAGTGTATATCTTGGGTATTGTGAATGGTGCTGCAACCAATATGGGAGTGCCACCATCTCTTCCTATGCTGATTTCATTTCTTTGGAGATATACCCTGTAATGGGATTGGTAGCTCTATTTTTTTTTTTTTATTCGTTGAGCCACTCCTTTTCAACTCTAGTGAATTTTAAGTTGAACCTCAAGTTTTTTGTTCACATGACCACATATTTACCTGTGTGCTATTCTCGCTTTAAATGGGAAGAGTTCGCAGTTTTAACAGCCAAGGCCTGAGGCATCAACGCCATGCAGCCGACTGCGCTGCTCCACGGCCTCTCTCAGGGTTCTTTCCATACCTCTCCCACCATAGATAGTTGTTCATTCAGCAGATAAACACCAGATGCGTACTGTGTGCCAGGCACTGTGTCAGCAAAATGGATGTGGTCCGTGTACCCAGGAAGTTCTAGAATTTGGTGGGGCATGGGCACCAAGCAATCCTCAAAGTACAAATGCAGTTATACAAGAGAGTGAACTCCTTCCCCTCTCTGTCCAAAATCACTTGAAAATTAAGAAAAATAATTTAAAATAAGGAAAAGTTCCTCAGGGGGCCTTATTTAGATCACAATACTACATAGAAAATAAGGGAGTTCTTAGCAAACCAAAATTTTTTAGATTCCTGGAAGATGCTAAATAGAGAGGCTCATCCTGAGAAGAAATCAGAGGGAAGAGAATCTTAGCCTAAAGTGTGCTGGGGAGAAATGTGGTGTCAAATCTCACAAATATTCTGAGCCAAGTTTGTGAGTCAAACAACAAGGCCACAGCGAACCCTGGGGTGGAGCCATAAGGCTTCTGTGCTAAGCCGCATGGAAATTCCTCTTCCTCATGGGCACATGGGGAGAAAACTCCTCCTAGCCATGCTACAAGGGAGGACCATGTGACTGCTTCTGTGCAGCAGGGCGTGAGGAGAGGTGATTCCAGCATCCATGTGCCAGTCATGCTGAGGCACAGAAGAGTGAGCCTGAGTCCCCCTCACCCTCCCACAGCTGCAACAGTGAGGCCCTGGGTTGTCATGGCAGAGCCACGAGATGGAGCCAACTAGATCTCTGCGTCTGCATGGGCCACCGCTTCCCGGAAAACTGCATCAGAATTTAAATGAGTGAGAAATAAGCCCTTGATATGAAGCCACAGAGGTGGCCAGGTTGAATTTGTTCCTCGGCAGGGTAGTCTGTTCTGTCTAATGCAGGTATTTACTTGAGCAGATGTTGAGACCCTTTTCCTCCTTTGCAATCCCTCAGCTGCAGGGACCAGTCATGTTTGCACTCAAAATTAAATCCAAGTACTATTTTCCAGAGAAAGAACTCAATCTGCCTGGAGAAGAGCGCTCCTATAAAAGCCGTGGCTTGTCAGAGAGGCCAGAGCAGAGCCTGAGTAACACCAGCTCCCCAGGTCAGAGAAGAGGGGAAAGAAGGCCGTTCCAACTGGGAGGAGAATATCCTGAATGAGTGACTCTCTCCTTGACAGCTGGGCTTTTGCCCTGCACCCACACACCCTAATGCAAAGTTCACCAAGAGACTGTCTGAGGACAGCTCGGAACTCTGCTGAATATGCAATATGACATCACTAAGACTTTGTTCCCTGGGAAAGAAAGGTCAGGAGTGAAATGAAATATATGTTTACTAGATAAGATGTGGGTAATATTTCCATGACTTTAGCTGCAGGCATGGCTGTGCCAGAATGCTGACTTCATCATTTCCAACAATTGGTAAAGAAAAAGGAAAAAAGGGAAAAAAAAGGAAAAAGATACCCAGGATACTAGAACCAGCCAGAACAGATACGTAAATTGGAGGAAGAGCCAGTGCTGTTGCTTCTGGGATTCTCCATGACTGACAGTCATGGGTTGGATCTAGCCCAGTAAAGCAGCCAAAAGTGAATCACAGACCTGAAGGGATATGTGCAGCTCCTGGGTGAAGGACACTGGACTCCTTTGGTCTGTGAAGGGCAAATCATACATTTTTTGTTTGTTTGTTTTTGAGACGGAGTTTTGCTCTTGTCGCCCAGGCTGGAGTGCAGTGGCGCGATCTTGGCTCACTGCAACCTCCACCTCCCAGATTCAAGCGATTCTCCTGCCTCAGCCCCCCGAGTGGCTGGGATTACAGGTGCCTGCCACCATGCCCAGTTAATTTTTGTATTTTTAGTAGAGACGAGGTTTCTCCATGTTGGTCAGGCTGGTCTCAAACTCCTGACCTCAGGTGATCCACCCGCCTCGGCCTCCCAAAGTGCTGGGATTACAGGTGTGAGCACTGCACCTGGCCAAATCGTACATTTTAAAGAGGATGGACAGGCAGATATGAGAGCCAGTTGATTACCAGCTGGTGATATTGAGCACGCACTGAGACATCACAGCTCCCTCAGTCACAGGAGCGTGCATGGCACTGGTCTGGCGAGCATGGCACTGTGCTATAGGAGAAATGAGGTTAAAAAAAAAAGCAGGAATTCTGGAATGGTGCACTGAGAGCTAGCGTAAATCAGCCCTTCCATAAAGCATCAAAAGTACTCGCAAAAATTGTCCGAATAAACTTTTGTAGAGCTCTGGAAATTAACCATGTTTGCAACAATTGCAGGAGAATTTATTCTAGAACACCGCACCTCAGTCAGAACAGTGGGGCTTGCGGCAACATAACCTGCCACACCTCATTCTGCTTGCCCAGCTCAGGGAGCCTGGAAAGCCTCACAGCCACAGTGCCTGTGAAAACCAGCAGCCATGGAACCATCGGAAAGGGGGAAATTGTATTTGGAGTGACTCAAAAAGTCCCATCCTCAGAGTTACGTCACTAATTGGCCTGTCTCACAGGTCTGTGGAAAAATCCCATTCACAAGCCATTTCTCAAATCATGAATGACATGTGCTTAAATGTCACAGCTGCCTGAGGCTGCAATGCCAGCTGGGGCAAATGAGATCCTGGCCAAATCATGAAAAGGGAGACACAGGGAGCAAAAGGCCCAGCATGGGGCCGAGGATGAAGGGGATTGAGGAGCTCTGACATATTCCTGGGGTCCTGGAAGGGCTTCTGTCGGGGGGGTGCTGTGACCATGCCCAGGTGAGACCTGGCCAAACCCTGGGCTCTCACCTGCGGCTGCCCTTGAGGACACGCACAGGCAGTTACAGACTGTATTCATGTTGCCATGTGCCTCAGCAATCGCACAGGGTGCCTCCGCAGAGGGGCAAAGGCTTATCAGTTCAAGGAATTTAAGGAAACCTCTGTTCAATTATTGCCTGACCACCAAGGTAACTGAGCAAAGAGTTCGTGGCTTGCACACTACAGAGAATTCAGACTCCACAGAATTAGTGCAGAAAAGTTACTTAATAAACAAACAGCAATAATAGAAACAAAACAGAAACAGTAGCAACAACAAACTGTTTTTTGGGGTGGGAGGGGGAGGGATCTGATCTCCAAAGTTGCCACATTGCAGTATCTAAAATGTCTCACTTTCAACAAAACTATATGAAACATACAAGGAAACAGGACAGTATGGGCCATCAACCGGGATGGGGAGAGCAGTCAACAGATACTTTCTATTAGGATGCTGAGGTTTCAAAAAAAAAAAAAAACCACTTAAATAAGCTATTACAACTATGGTCAGGAAACTGAAGGAAACCATGTGTAAACAATAGAAGAAAAATATGACAATAGTCTCATCAAATAGAGATTATGAATGAAGAGAGATATTATAGAGATTATTAACCAAGAGTGATATTACAACCAAATACTGAATACAAATTCTGAAATTTGAAAGTACAATAACTGAAATAAAATAATCACTCGAGGGCCTCAACAACAGATTGAGCTGGAGAAGAAAGAATTGATGAACTTGAAGATAGATCAAATGATATTATACAATCTAAGGAAGAGAAAGAAAAAGAATGAAGAAGAAGGGACAGAGGATCAGAGACCTGTGGAACATCATCCACCAGCTGTGATACACATAATCAGAATCCCAGCAGGGGGATGGATAGGAGTGCAGAAAAAATATTTGAAGGAATAGTGGCCAGAATCTTTCTAATGTAATGACAAACATTAATGGGCATGTCTAAAAAGCTCAATAGCTCCAAGTAAGATAAACTCAAGGAGATCCATATCATAACACATCAAATCATCAAGAGAATCTCAAAAGAGAAGAAAAGAGGCCTCCTCATGGACAAGGCTTCCTCAGTAAGATTAACAGCTGTCTCATCGTCAAAAGACATGGCAGCTAGAGGGAAGCAGATGCATTATTCAAAGTTCTGGGGAAATAAGACTATAAACCGATAATTCGCCATTGAGAAAATATATTTTTCAAAAAATAGGAAAAAAAATAAGACATTCGCAGATAAACAAAAACACAATTTGTCACTAGCCCTACAAAGAAATAATAAAGGGAGTAATTCAGGCTACTTTGAAAGCATACTATAAAGTCACTCAGATGTCCACAAAGGACACAAGAGCACCAGCAAAATACCTACATTTTATGTGTAAATATAAAGAACAGCAAAAATGTATTTTTCAGCTTTATTGAGGTATGACTGAAAGCCAAAAATTGTATATATTCAAGGTATACAGTGTGATGTTTTGATATATGTATACCTTGTGAAATGCTTACTACAATCAAGCTAATCAGCACATCCACCACCTCACAAAGTTGTCTTTTCTGAGTGTGTGGTGAGAATACTTAAGATCTACTCTCAGCAAATTTCAGGTAGACAATACATTATTATTACTATAAACACCCAGCTGTACATTAGGCCTCCAGAAATTATTCATCTTATAACTACAGGTTTATACCCTTTGACCAACATCTCCCCATTTCTACCACCCCCAGCCCCTGACAACCACCATTCTATTCTATTACCATGAGTTCGACTTTTTAAAGATTTCACGTAGAAGTGAGATCATGAAGTATTGGTCTTTCTGTGTCTGCCTTATTTTACTTAGCATAATATCCTCCATGTTTATCTGTGTTGTTACAAATGGCAGAATTTCTTTCCTTATTAAGTCTGAATAGAATGTATATTCCATACACATCACATTTGGCTTTATCAATTCATTCATCAACTGATGCTTAGGCTGTTTCCATATCTGGGCTATTGTGAATAGTGCTGCAATGAACAGGGGAGTGCAGACATCTCTTTGATATCCTGATTTTATTTTGTTTGGATAAATACCCAAAAGTAAGATTCAAAATGCAGAAAATCCTCAACAAAGTACTAACAAACCAAGTTCAACAACACATTAAAAGGATCATACACCATGATCAGGTAGGATTTATTATTGGGATGCAAGGATACTTTACCTTAAGCAAATGAACAAATGTGATATATCATATTGAAATAATGTTAAAAAAAAAACTCTCTCAAAAAATTATATGATCATCTACGATACGGAAAAATTTGTGATGAAATTCAACATCATTCTTGGATAAAAAAAACTCTCAAAAAATTAGGTATAGAAAGAATATACCTCAACACAATAAAGGTCATATATCACAAGCCACATCTAACATCCTACTCTACAGTGAAAATCCAGCAGCTTTTCTTCTAAGACGAGGAAAAAGACAAAAATGTGAACTCTTGCCACTTCCATTCAACGTATACTGGACGTTCTAGCCAGAGCAATTAGGCAAGAGAAAGAAATAAAAGTCATCAAGTCAGAGAGAAAGAAGTAAATGTATTTTTCGGTAATTCTTCTCCTGTCTGATGTAAAAGACAGCAGTGTGAAGCAATTATTAGAATGCTGTGTTGATTAATTTAGACTGCATAAAGATGTAATTGTATAACAATAATAGCACTAAGCAGTAGAGAAGAAATGAAGTTATACAGGAGCAAAGTGTCAATATACAAGTGAATTAAGTTAATATTAATTCAGGTTAGTTTGCTATAAATTAAGATGTTAATTGTAATATCCAGGGTGACCATTAAGACTAACTCAAAACTCATAATAAAGGAAACAAAAAGGGAATTGAAATGCTACATTAGAAAATTTTTACTTAAGACAAAAAAGTCAGTAGGGCAGCAATAGAAAAACGAAGAAATAAGACACACAAAACACACATAGCAAAATGATAAAAGTAAATTTTACCTTATCAGTAATGACATTAAATGTAAATGAATTAAACACTCTAATTAAAAAACAGTTTTACACAATGCATAAAAAATGAAAACAATGTCTATGTATATTCTTTCTACAAGAGACACACTTTAGATTAACAGAAATAAACAGATTGAAAGTAAAAGCATGAGACATAATGTAACATGCCAACAATAAGCAAAGAAAGCTGAAATGTCTATAATAACAACAGGCAAAATAGACTTCAACAAAAATGTTATTAAAGCCTTTGTAGATGCCGCTGCCACCAGGAGCCCTGTACTATCAGCCACGGTCAACCCCACCGTGTTCTTCAACATTGCCATTGACAGCGAGCCCTTGGGCCACGTCTCCTTCAAGCTGTTTGCAGACAAGTTTCCAAAGACAGCAGAAAACTTTTGTGCTCTGAGCACTGGAGAGAAAGCATTTGGTTATAAGGGTTCCTGCTTTCACAGAATTATTCCAGGGTTTATGTATTAGGGTGGTGACTTCACACACCATAACAGCACTGGTGGCAAGTCCATCTATGGGGAGAAATTTGATGATGAAAACTTCATCCTAAAGCATACAGGTCATGGCATCTTGTCCATGGCAAATGCTGGACCCAGCACAAATGGTTCCCAGTTTTTCATCTGCACTGCCAAGAGTGAGTGGTTGGATGGCAAGCAAGTGGTCTTTGGCAAGATGAAAGAAGGCATGAATATTGTGGAGGCCACATAGCGCTTTGGGTCCAGGAATGGCAAGACCAGCAAGAAGATCACCATTGCTGACTATGGACATCTCTAATAAGTTTGACTTGTGTTTTATCTTAACCACCAGACTATTCCTTCAGTAGCTCAGGAGAGCACCCCTCCACCCCATTTGCTCACAGTATCCCAGAATCTTTGTGCTCTAGCTGCAGTTCCCTTTGGGTTCCATGTTTTCCTTGTTCCCTTCCATGCATAGCTGGATTGCAGACTTGAGTTAAGTTTATGATTATGAAATAAAAACTAAATAACAATTGTCAAAAAAAGAAAAAATAATCAGTCAAGATTGATTGACTGAAGATCTAACAATTACAAATATATGTGCACTTAACAAACAATACAATCCCAAAATACAGGAGAAAAAAAACCTGACAGAATTGAAGAACGGCATGGACAATTTAAGAACAGATGGAGACTCCAGTAATCCACTTTCAATAATAGCTATAATAACTAAACATAAGATCAGCAAAGAAAGACAACACTGTAGAGGACCTGAACAACATTAAAAAACAAATGGAGCTGGCAAACATTGACAGAACATTCCACCCAACAGCAGCAAGATACATATTATCTTCAAGAACATATGAGATATTCTCCAGCATAAACCATATGCTAGTCTACATAAAAGCCTCAATAAATTTAAAAGAACTGTAATTATACAAGTACGTTTTCCCACCACAAGTAATTAATCAGAAATCAATAACAGGAAAATATTTGGTAAATTCACAAACATGTGGCAAGTAATAACATACTCTTAAATAACCAACAAATTGAACAATAAATCACAAGTAAAATTGGACAATACTTTGAAATGGATGGCCAATGAAAGAAAAATTGCCAAAACTTATAAAATGCAGCTAAGAGAGAATTTTATAGCTGTAAATGCATATTAAAAAAATAAGAGCCGAATACATAGAAACAGAGTAGAATAGTGGTTATGGGAGAAGAGAAAAATGGAAAGACATAAATCAAAGTGTATAAAGCTGCATTGATCCAGGATGAATAAGCCTAGAAATCTGATGTACACATGAGAACTATAGTCAATAATATTGTGCTGCATAATGGAAATTTGCTAAGAAAGTACACTTTAGGTGCTCTTGCTACACACCCACATAGATCAAAAAGAGGTAACCTTGTGTTTGTGATGGATATGTTCATTTGCTTGTCTGTAGCAATCATTTTACTATATATGTATGTCAAAACCTCATGTTGTATGCCTTAAATATACATAATAAAAAATTTTAAAGTAAGAGGCAAAATCAATAGGTTAACTCTCAACCTTAGGAAACCATAAAAAGAAGAACAAACTAAACCCAAAGCAAGCATAAGAGGGAAATAATAAATATGTGATTGGGTTTAAGTGAAACAGAGAGCATAAAAACAGTAGAGAAAATCAACACTATCAACAACTGTACTTTTGAAAAGATAAAGGTTAACCATTCTTTAGCAAGACTGATCAAGAATAAAGAAGACAAACTCAAATTAATGAAATTAAGAATAAAAGAGAGGACATCCTTACTGACTTTACAGAAATTTATTTAAAAAACAAAAACAGAGATTAGGCTAGGTGCATGTGGCAGGTACCTGTAGACCCAGCTACTCAGGAGGCTGAGGTACGAAGATCACTTAAGCCCAGGACATCAAAACCAGCCTAGGCAACACAGCAAAAACTCTGTCTCTAAAAAAGTTTAGTTCAATAAAATTTTACAGAAACAGAGATTATAAGGAAGTAGTACTATGAAGAAATAGTATGAAAAAGTCTCTGGCAAAAAAAAAAAAAGGATAACCTATAAAATGAACAAATTATTAGAAAGAATTAACTCACAAAACTGACTCAAGAAAAAAGAGAAAATGAAATAAACTTACAACAAGATATAGAATGAGTAATTTAAAATACCCCACAAAGAAAAGATCATGTCTAGATGGCTTCACTGGTTAATTTAACCAACACTCAAAGATAAATTAATCCCCATCTTTCACAAACTCTTTCCAAAATAAGAAGACTCTTTCCATCTCATTATATGAGACCAGTATTACTCTAATATGAAAACAAAACAAAGACATCACAAGAAATGGAAGCTACAGACCAACGTCTCATGAATATAGATGCAAAGAACCTCAACAAAATAGTAGCAAAATGAATACTGAAATATATAAAAAAAGATAATCAAGTGCAGTTTATTTCAGAAATGCAAGTTTGATATAACATCTGAAAAGTCAATTTAAGAAATAATAAGAATAGAATAAGGACATAATCCATATATTCATCCCAATAGATACATAAAAATGATTTAACACAATCTTGTTGAGATTAAAAAGATTGAACAATAAGAACTCAAAGTAACTTCCTCATGTTGAAAAAGAGACTCTATGAAAAACCTAAATCTAAAAATGGCAACAAGGCATAGATGTCCCCTCTCACTACTTCCACCTCACACTGTACTGGAGGGCTAACCAGGGCAATTGGGAAAGAAAATCGTAGGAATAAAATGCATTGAGATTAGAATGGAAGAAGCAAAGCTATCTCTATTTATAGATTACATGATCTTGTACATAGAAAACCCTACAGAATACACAAGCACACACATACAAACTTTAGTATACAAAAGTGCTACAATTTAATGTAATAAATGGTCACTGCATAGTACAGAATATAAACATTAAAAGCCACTAGAATAAGAATAAGTGTGGCAGCAATTATTGGGTGAAGGACCTATACTTTAAAGCATCCAAATCAGCTTGGTGCTAGGATTGTTGGCTGTGTTTGTTTTGTGTTGTTTACAGTGATGAGTAGAAGCCCTGAGAATTTAGGACACAGTAGAACTTGAGCAAAGGGTGTTGGTGGGCATGGGGTGTGTGATGAACAGAGCACAGGGAGAGGGTGTGGAGGGGCATGGGTCTGACTGGAACAGCAGAGACCAACGAAAGTGTCTTTGTATCCAAAATCCCATCCTTGGAATGCACTGAGACAGGAAGATGGACAGCCCCAGGGAACAGGTAATTTAGGTTGTGTCCACCTGCAGGATGGGAAGCCTCTTACTATTAAGATGGTACTCTGAATACATTGGAAAGCTGGGGACCCTGGCATTACTGCAGCCATCTAAAAACAAAGGGGAAGAATCCAGACTGAGAAGAGCCAAGAGAGGTCCCTTCATGAAATGGTACATGAATTCCAACCGACCACACCACTTCCTGTGCTGTGAACCAGTGAAATCCCTTATTGCTCAATCCAATATGAATCATGTTTCTCTTCTTTGGAGCCCAAAGCACTCTAATCGATTTTTAACAAGAAAAATAATTATACAGTATTTCTTCACAATTGATATAGATAATTTTATCTGGTAATATGACTACTTCATTTGGTACATCTGCTTGTCATTCATGATTTTAGCAAGATCATAGATCAAATAATCCTTTTCCAAGTGTGATTTACAAGGCAACAAGGAGGCTCTCTTTTAATTGTGCTCAGACCCTGGCATGGATATTAGCACAGAGGCTGAATTACATATTTTTCTAAAGTAGGTTTATAAGAAGGAGACCCACAAGGGATCCAGATGCCTATATTACCCTCCTTGGAGATTAATGGATCACACAGGAAAAGGAGATTCCTAGGGTCAGACAGGAAATTAGGCAGATAAAGGACAGAAAAGGGAAAAACAGAGAGAACTGAGAGACAGAGAGGTGAAACAGGGCCAGAGGATAGGACAGAGATGTGAAAATTGGATTTAAGGGAGAAATGTCTATGCCCACACACTCTGCCCGAACATCCACAGCATATTGGTCTTTACCAACACTTCTAATGTAAGTTCCTGTTATTGTCATAAATAGTTGAGTGAAAAAAGCTTTGTAAGACATGGGTAGCGTCGGGGAAACGTGATGAATTTTCCATTTGATGGATTGATCTGTGGTAAGTTAACCTAGACTAGCCTATCCCTATCTCCATCTGCACTGCAGGGAAGCCCATACTTGTGGTCTTTGCCCCCAGAGTTCTGGGAAAACATCCGGTTCCTAAATATCCTGGCCCAGGTTCTCCAGGAGCCTCGCATCAGCTACCCACATCCCAGAAAGCTGAGCCACACAAGCTATTTGTTACGTGTTGGGACAGATGCTCATGTAAGAATGATAGCTCATCCCAAAAATGACACCCATGTCACTGAGCCTCATCCCTTGGGGACACTTGAGGCAGGGGAGGAGCATAATGGAGGAAAGACAACATATCTACTCCTTTCACATCCTCTCATGGCTTGAGAATGACTCCAGGAAAAACTGTTGACTATCACAGATAAGCCCGTGTCCTAAAATCTGAGTGTTTGTGGTGAGATGTTGCCATGGGCTGCATCTGTCTCAGCCTCCACATAAGAGAAGCCAAAGGCTTTGCCTCATAAGTTTTTTTTTTTTTATTATTATACTTTAAATTTTAGGGTACATGTGCACAATATGCAGGTTAGTTACATATGTATACATGTGCCATGTTGGTGTGCTGCACCCATTAACTCGTCATTTAACATATTAATGCTCTCCCTCCCCCCTCCCCCCACCCCACAATAGGCCCCGGTGTGTGATGTTCCCCTTCCTGTGTCCACGTGTTCTCATTGTTCAATTCCCACCTGTGAGTAAGAACATGCGGTGTTTGGTTTTTTGTCCTTGCAATAGTTTGCTGAGAATGATGGTTTCCAGCTTCATCCATGTCCCTACAAAGGACATGAACTCATCCTTTTTTATGGCTGCGTAGTATTCCATGGTGTATATGTGCCAAATTTTCTTAATCCAGTCTATCATTGTTGGACATTTGGGTTGGTTCCAAGTCTTTGCTATTGTGAATAGTGCCACAATAAACATCCGTGTGAATGTGTCTTTAGAGCAGCATGATTTATAATCATAAGTTGTTTTTAAATGAACAATTAGGAAAAATAAAAACAGTAGCAAGAACAGCAACAGCAGTGCACCCTCTGCCATTGGAGGCAATGTCAAAGTTAAATCTTTTTTTTTTTTTTTTTTGAGACAGAGTCTCACTCTGTTGCCCAGACTGGCGTGCAGTGGCGTGATCTCAGCTTACTGCAACCTCCGGCTCCCGGGTTCAAGAGATTCTCCTGCCTCAGCTTCCCAAGTAGCTAGGATTACAGGTCCGCATCACCACACCCGGCTACTTTTTGTATTTTTAGTAGAGACGGGGTTTCACCATGTTGGTCAGGCTGGTCTCAAACTCCTGACCTCGTGATCTGCCCGCCTCAGCCTCCCAAAGTGCTGGGATTAAGTTAATCATTTCTTAATGAGCAATTAGGTTTCTAGTTAATGTAAAACTTAATAGGCAACATTTCCTCCTTGAGTCAATAGGCACCATGATAAAAAGACACAAAATGTGCTAATGCATGCTTCTTACGGCACATGTCAGGCCTGAAAACACATCTCAGCTTATCACAGACAACAGGAAAGAATGATGGTATATTCCTGAACAGGGACCTATTTATGTGTCTTTATAAAAGGCACATTATCTGTTTCAAGTAGCTTTCACTGAGATTGAAATCACTGCCTTTATGAATAAATAGTAGTCTCCCATTTCACAATCCAAGGCCTAATCTAAACCTTCCCTTTCTTTGGGTGAACTGTGTAATAATGTGAATTGGTTCGCTGGTACTGAAAGCAAAGTGGGAGTCAGACAGCCAGGTTTAAGTAGAGGTTCTGCCAAACCAGTCTGTTGGTGAATTTGGACAAATGAGTTCACCTCTGAGCCTCAACCACCTCCTTTCTGCAAGACTAGGTGAGTACAGCGCAGGCACTGGAGCATCACACAATGTAGGCATATTTGATGCCCAATAAGTGACGTCTGTGACAAAGATCATACAATGTGAGACACTCCACCACAGCAGCAAGCATGGAATAAGCTCATTTTATCCCAAATCAACAGAGTCCATAAAGCCGTTTTCCTCTTCTGTGCTCAGTTTTTACTATACACATAAAAATGTGGTCTTAATTTAGAAATTTGTATGTCATTAATTTTATTGCAGGAATGGCTAAATTTGGCCTCTGTTAATAGAAGGCATCAGCATCTACATTTCAAATCCCAAGTCAATTTTTTCAAGGTTGTGCAAAACAGTAATTTAATAATTATCCACCAATCTGTAAGCACTAAGTCTGCCTGTAGTGGATGTTCTAATTTCACTTTTCCTCTTTTCATCCGTTGTGGGCAGGAAAGGAGCTCATGTGATATGTCTCCTTGAAGGCTTGCTGTGTTGGTCACGACCCATCAGGAAGCAGATGACTCATCTATCTGGGTTATTTGTGGAAAGGTTAATAAAAAGACCATGCAAAAAGCGTGGTGAAGGTACAGAGAAAGCACAAGAAATGGTCGGTCAGGTATTCTGGGGGCAGTAGCAACTGCCAGGAGAGCCTGGCAGAGCAAAGGAAGAAAACAGTTTCCTAACTCCAAAGAGGGCGGCCACATGGAGAGAGCTGCTTGTACAGAGGGAAGGGAGTTTGAATTCCCAAACTTCCTTCACTTCTCACCCTCTGATCTCCTAGTGCTTCCACTGGCTGAACTCTGGAAGTCAGAGGGAAGGGAGCCCATTCCAAATGAGGCACAGAGAAAGGCAGATGTATTAGAACTTTTTGCTGCAAAATAAATAAACATAATGTTAGCAACTTAGGGCAAAGTTTGTTAAGTCACAAAACATTTGTCATGTTACAGTTTCTGTAACTCACAAGCCCAGGTACAGATTAGCTGGGTCCTCTCCTTTAGGGTCTCATCATGCTAGAATCCAGGGCTGGGCTCTCATCAAAGTCTCAACTGGGGAAATATTCACTACCTTGTGGTTGTTGGCTGAGTTGCATTCCTGCAGTTGTAGGACTGAGGTCCTGTTTTCTTGCTGGATGTCATCAGTGTCCACTCTCAGCTTCTAGAGTTCCCTGCCATGTGGCCTCCCTGGGCCCTCTCACTATGTGGCTGCTTGCTCCTCCAAAGCCAGCAAGGGGGAGCCTCCAGCTCCAGTTTGCTAAGATGGAGTCTTATACAATGTGATGGACCCATGGGAGAGAAATCCCATCACCTTTGCCATATTCTCTTGGTTAGAGGCAAGTCACAGGTGACACCTACCAATAACACACAGGCATGGACACCAGCAGGAATTATTGGGGATACTCTAGGGTCTGTCCTTCTAGGGGAGAAGATTAGAGAGGGGAGGGGAGGGGATCCTGTGGGACAAACACACAATGCTCAGCATCCTGAGGCCCGGCTCCTTCTTAGTCCTTACCTGACTCTTCCAGATGTCAAGTCATAGACACAGATGAGCTCAACTCTGTGGGGCTTTACAACTCATCCAGTCTCACCTGCTCACTTTGGAACTGAGAAAGCTGAGGGGTAGAAGATCTCCAACTTCTCTAGGATCTGAAAGCCAGAACCCATTTCCCATGTTCTTCCCCCCTGGCCATGGTTCAGTGATTCCTTGTTAGAACTCAAATTAGAATGCAGGGACATAAGCTGTCAATGCATGGATGTTCCTCACAGTTCATCTAATGACCAAGAACTTAGGTGGGAAGGGCACTCTTCACTCAAAAGTAGGTGCCACTTCTGTTTGGAAGGCATGATTCCAGAGGGTAAGACTTCTGTCTACCATCATGTCTTCTTGTTCTTGGTAATGAGTTGTCAAATCTCACCAGCTCAACTTCCAGATGGTAGCCAATGCATTGTTCCCCAGAACAAGCAGATGAGATCATTTTTCCCTCCCCTCAGGCCAGCCAAGGAAGGTTTCTCTTTGGTCTGTGTGTTTATGGTTCTCTCCATCTTCCAGCTGTATAGCCACAAGCCACCTTGCCAATGTCTTTCAGTATTTATTGGGGAACCTTGGCTATAAAAGGTTTCAGGAGTATGAGTTTTCACAAATCCTGTAATACCTGACTGTTTTATCAAGATAGTTTTCTTTGAGGGGAGGGGAGATATGTGCAGGGGTGGGGAGGGGACCCTCTGCATTCCTTATACTCTTACATTTCCCGAAGATTTCACTGAGTCCTCCTGACTCTGTTTCCTGGAGGCAGGGCTGCACAGAGATGAGGAAACAGCCATAGATGATGATTTCTATATGGGCTCCTGGGAATAAAAATGGCCTCAGGCTATATAGAAATGAATCACCAAACCTGGCAGCTCCTTCCTCATTGCTATTCCAACATCCCTTCCAGACAGATTTTCAAATAAAGTACAGGGAGTAAAAAAGACACCAAATAAAGTACAGGGAGAGAAAAAGACATACATCCCATGCATATGCTCCCACGGAAAACATATGATCACTTAGAAAAGACGTTAGACAGGTGAGGGGTTTGTGAGCAACTTGTCATTAATTTTGGTTTCTAAATTTGCTTCACAGCTCATCCTGCTTCATACTCCTTTCCAATGAAGATTTTTAAGTTTTTGGCACATGTGGAACGAAGTAAAAAATATCCTATCATATTCCACAAAGAATAAAATTCTTCACACTCTAGAATTTCCAGTAATCATAAACTTTCTCTAAGCAGGTATGCTTAACTTCTCATCTCACAATCACTCAATATTTGTCCCCATCTCTAGAAATAGAAACAGGAATCTCATTGCCTTGAAAAGTTATTATTAAATTGGCAAGCAATGAACTATTTACTAATTAATAAATGAATATTTATTTCATACCTACTATTTTCTAGACATTTTCAAGGCTCTGGAAGTAGAAAGACAAAAAAGATTTAGTTTCCTGTCTGATTGATTTTATGTGTCAACTTGTCTAGGTTATTGTGCTCAATTGTGTGGTCGAACACCAGTCTAGATATTGCTGTGAAGATACTTTTATATATGATTAATATTTTAATCACTAGACTTTGAGTAAAACTGAGTAAAGCAAATTATCCTCCATGATGTGGGTAAGTCTCACCCAATTAGTTGAAGGCTTTCAGCACAAAGACTGAAGGAGAGGGAATTCTCCTGAAGACTGGAACATAGAAACTCTGCCTAAATTCCAGCCTGCTGCCCTGTGGAATTCAGACTAAAGACTGGAGCGTCAACTCTTGCCTAAGTCTCCAGCCTGCAGGCTGGCCCTATGGATTTCAGACTTGCTGGTCCCCACAAGTGCATCAGACAATTCCTTAAAACAACTCTAGATAGATAGATAGATAGATAGATAGATAGATAGATAGATAGATAGATAGATAAATGAGTCCTGTTTCTCTGGAAAGCCCTAACATATGGGTCTTAGTGCCAAGAGAGCCTTTAAAGGAACAGAGTTTTTTTTTTTTGTTTCATTTTATTTTCAGCTGACAAATAATGATTGTTTATATTTATAGAGTACAAAGTGATATTTTGATACATGTGTATATGGTAGAATGATCAAATCAAAGCAATTAGCATATCCATCACCTCATCCAATTATCATTTCTTGTGGTGAGAACATTTAAAATCCTCTCTCTTCACCATTTTGAAATACACAATATATTATTATTACCTATAATCACCCTACTGTGCAAACACTAGAACTATTCCTCTTATCTGACTGCAACTTTGTGTCTGTTGACCAACGTCTTTCCTTTCCCCATCCATCCTTCCCCATACTATCCCCCAACACACTCAGCCTCTGCCAATCACCATTCTACTCTCTACTTCTGAGTTCATATTTTTCAGATTCCACATACAAATGAAATCACATGGTATTTGTCTCTCTGTGCCTGGCTTATTATACTTAACATAATGACCTCATTTTGTATCCTCATTTGTAGGATCCTCATTTGCAGGATACAAAATGTTGTTGCAAACGACAGAATTTCTGGCTTTTTAAGGCTGAATGATATTCCACTGTGTATCTCTACCACGTTTTTCAAAATCTATTCATCCATTGATTTTTTAATCCATTCATCCAATTTAATCCAGTTAGGTTGTTTCCATATCTTGGATATTGTAAATAATGCTGAAATGAACATAAGAGTGTAGACATCCTAAAAATGCCACCAAAAACTGTTAGAACTGATAAATTTAGTAAAGTGGCAGGATACAAAATCAATGTACAAAAATCTGTAGTGTTTCTATAAACTAACAACAAACTGTCTGAAAAAGAAATTAAGAAAAAAATCCCATTTACAATAACATGAAAAAATACTTAGAAGTAAATTTAACCAAGAAAGTGAAATACCTGCATACTGAAAGCTATGAAACATTGATGAAAGAAATTAAAGATGACACAAGTAAATGGAAATATATATCATGTTCATGGATTGGAAGAATTAATATTGTTAAAATATCCATACTATCCAAAGCAATCTATGGATTCAATATAATCTCTACCAAAATTCCCATGTCATTTTTCAAGGAAATAGAAAAAATAATCCTGAAATATACATGCAACTATGAAGACTGCAAATAGCCAAACAATCTTAACCAAAAAGAATAAAGTTATATGCATTACACTACTGGATTTCAAAATATATTACAAAACTACACTAATCAAAACAGCCTGATACTGGCTGAAACTGAAGATCCACATACAGAAGAAAGAAAATAGATCCTTATCTCAGCCCTTATACAATAATTAATTCAAAATTAATTAAAGACTTAAACATGAGACCTAAAGCTATAAAACTGTTAGAAGCAAACCTAGGAAAAGCTCCATGGCATTGGTCTGGACAGAGATTTCTTGGATATAATCCTAAAAGCACAAGCAATAAAAGGAAAAATAAACAAATGGGATTACATGAAACCAAAAAGCTTCTGCATAGTAAAGAAAACAGTTTAGTAGAGTGAAAAGACAACCCATGGATTGAGGGAAAAAATATGTTCAAAGCATACTTTGGCTAAGAGTTAATATCTAAAATATACAAGGAACTCACTACTCAATAACAGCAACAACAATAACAACTAAATCTATTTAAAAATTGGAAGAGAAAAAGAATCTCAAGGATGAGTTTTCTGAATTGATTCTGGAGTTTCTGGAGTTAGTCCTCTGATTTGATTAGATATAAAGGCACTCATGATTCTATTTTCAGTAGTAAGGAGAACACTAACAGTACATAGTGTGATGTGGCAATAGAAATGCACAAAATACCACCACTACACACTCCTAATCAAATACTTGTAAGAGGCAAAATTCCAGGTGACTATATTTGATACCTTAGAACATTTTTTTTTTGTCAAACTGACAAGCATAATGAGATTGGCTGATAGCTTCTAATTGCACTGAACAAAGTGGGAAAAGAAAAGGATGAGCTCAGAGATTCTAATTTTCAGATCTAACACTGTATAAATGACCTGGAGGTTTCTATGTCTTCCCTGAAAGAGACCCTATTTCCTGAAGCCGCAGAGCTGAGATTGCTAAAAACCACATCTAGTATCTCATCTGGTGAGTGGCTGAATTATAATGCAAATTTATTAACTTCTCAAGGTAGGTGCTATTAAAATGATGGTATTAACTGCAAAGAAATGGGACCCTGAGAGCTGGAATAAGACATACTACTGATGATGGTATTATAAATTAGTACAGCCATTTTGGATTCTTAACATTAGGTCTCTAAATTCTGGCAAGTCTTTTTTGCCAGTGGAAGCAGCCACTCAACCCGTCTGAGGAGATAAACCCTTCATTGCCTGAGAAACCTGTTATGGCTCCCCTGAGATAGGTGCCTTACAAGATAATTCTGAGTCTCCCAGGACTCCCCTTCTTGCATTCATCTTTGGTTCCAGACTTTAGTCTAGTCCCAAAAGACTAGACTTTTAGGACTAGACTCAAGTCCTAAAAGAGAGGTGCAGAGTGCGCCTGTGAGAAGGTGTACTACACTTCAAAAGAACTACTTGATTTTTCCAATTTATGCCAACAGCAACAGGGAATATATATAGAAATGAATGCTAAAGATGTGGAAAAATGGTAGAAATTAACTTGGATCAGGCCAAATTTACAAATATGTTCCCACTAAGCAGAGATTCTGGACTTCATGTTGCAGCTCTAACCATTTGTTTGGTTGGTTGACCAAAACATGAAACAAAAGCTGGCTTGCACTAAATAAAGTAAAAAAGGCAGACTTGTCCTGGTGTACTGCAGAGGAAAAAATTCAAAGGCTTAAGAGATTGAAATATTAGGGTGGATTTATTATTTAAGATCTGCTCACCCATGCTGAGAGGGTCCAGAGGACATACTTTTCACCCTGACTGTGAAATAAATTTATAAGGGGAACTCTAGCATCTTCAAAGAGCTCTGTGGTTGTTCTTGCCTGTAGGGTAGAAATTACAGTGGGAACTACTGCCATAGAATTGGGAAACCCAGATGCAGTGAAATTAATTGGATCCCAGGGTAGCAGGGGTCAAGTGGTGGCACTTAATAACCAAAGGCAAGGTGGGTGTGGTTGCCATAATGGACAGCAAAATCATAGCAATCATCAGAATAGTCGGACTCTCAGAGACCTGTGGCATTTGCTAAATGATCATGGTGTTCTTAGAAGTGAAAAGATAAGCAGACTATTAAATTCTTATGTGATTTGCACGAGCAAAAGAGTTCTAGGTCAAGTGAACTAAAATTTAACTTGAATCACAAAAACACAGAGTCATGACCCCTTAATCAATACCCAGAATTGTGCCAGTTTACAGACCCAGGTCCCCTTTAATGAATGGGAGGCTGGGTCTCTTGAGGAAGGGCTCTGCTACACTGCCAGAAATTTATACTGTTAATTTTTTCCCAGCCTTTTGCAAATGGATTATAGCCTTTTACCAAGGTCATCATCACTGGGAAAAAGGAATAACCATATTTTAGGGAAGAAGAGTGGACACTGGCTCTGAACTGATGCTAATTTCAAGAGAGCAAAAATATCACTGTGGTCCACCAGTTAGAGTAGGGACTTGTGGAGGTCAGGTGATCGATGAAGTTTTAGCTCAGGTTCATCTCACAGTGGGCCTTGTGGGTCTTTGAGCCCATCCTGTGGTTATTTCCTGAATTCCAGAATGTGTGATTGTAATAGACATGTTCAGCAACTAGCAGAGTCCCCATTTCGACTCCTTGACCTATGCAGTGAGGTCTATTATGGTAAATAAGGCCAAGCAAAAGCCACTAGAACTGCCTCTACCTAGAAAAATAGTAATGCAAAAGCAATACTGCATTCCTGATGGGATTTCAGAGATTAGTGCCACCATCAAGGACTTGAAGGATGCAGAGGTGGCACATTTAACTCACTCATCTGGCCTGTATACACCATGGAATATTATACAGCCATAAAAAGAACTAGATCATATCTTTTGTAGGAACATAGATGGAGCTGGACGCTGTCATCCTTAGCAAACTAATGCAGGAAGGGAAAACCAAATACCACATGTTCTCCCTTATTAGTGGGAGCTAAATGATAAGCACTTATGAACACAAAGGCTGGGTGTGGTGGCTCATGCCTGTAATCTCAGCACTTTGGGAGGCCAAGGTGGGTGGATCACTTGAGGTCAGGAGCTTGAGAAGAAAATGGATCTTGGAAAATTAAAGTATATTACTGTAAACTTAACCAAGTAATAACTCCAATTGAAGCCACTTTACCAGATGTGGTTTCATTGCTTGTGCAAATTAACACATCCTCTGGTACCTGGCATGCAGTTATTGATCTTGTTAATGCTTTTTTTCTACCCCTGTTAGTAAAAACCACCAGAAGCAGTTTGCTTTCAACAGGCGAGTCCAGTAATACACATTCACTATCCTACCTCAGTGGTATATCAACCCTCCAGCCCTATGTCAGTATCTAGTTTGTGGGGATCTTGATCACCTCTTTGTTCCACAAGTTATCAAACTGGTCTATTACATGGATAACATTCTGCTGATTGGACCTAGTGAGAAAGAAGTAGCAACTACTCGAGACTAAGGCATGAAGACATGAACATAGAAACTGAGACATGGAGACAAAACAATGAACTCAAGACTGCTATCTGGCCACTTTGGACTCCTCATGTGTCTGAATCAACAGGCAAAATATGGAGTTACTATACTGGCTGGGTGATTGGCACTGGTTACACAGTGGATGTTGGACTGCTTCTCCACAATGGAAATAAGGAATAATATGTCTAGAATACAGCAGATACCTTAGGTTGTCTGTTAGTACTACCATGCCCTGTGTTTAACATTAATGAAAAACTACAACAACCCAATTCAGGCAGGACTACTAATAGCCTAGATCCTTCTAGAATAAAAATCTGAGTCGCCCCAGCTTAAGAACCACAGCCAGCTGAGGCACTTGTAGAGGGAAAATGGAATATATAATGGTCAGTGGAAAAAGATAGCTATAAATACTAACTATGACTATGTGACAAGTTGCAGAAATAAAGACTATTTGTTATGAGTATTTCTACCTCATTTTTATGAATATGTGTATATATAATCTTTTTCTTCTCTATCTTATCCCCTTATCAGATTTCAGTATTGTTAATTTTGCAATGTAGCATTTAAGTTAAAGGATATCAAGGAGAAAAGGGAACACTACCCAAAGACTTTGTAATAAACAGCCTTTCCCCAAAGAAAACTCCAGGCCCAGATAACTTCAATGGTGAATTTTGTCAAATACTTTAAAAAGCAACAATGTCAGTCTGACACAAGCTCTTTCATATAATAGAAGAGAAGGGCAAAAAGGAGCAGCGAGTCCTACTCGCAAGAGAATAAGGATAAGCTTCATATGAGACGCAATGCTTTAGAAGTCCTAAAAGATGTGCATGTTCTGGGCGCGGTGGCTCACACCTGTAATCCCAGCACTTTGGGAGGCCGAGGCGGGCGGATCACGAGGTCAGGAGATCGAGACCACCCTGGCTAACACAGTGAAACCCCGTCTCTACTAAAAATACAAAAAATTAGCCGGGCGTGGTGGCGGGCTCCTGTAGTCCCAGCTACTCGAGAGGCTGAGGCCGGAGAATGGCGTGAACCTGGGAGGCGGAACTTGCAGTGAGCCGAGATAGCGCCACTGCAGTCAGGCCTGGGCGAAAGAGCGAGACTCCGTCTCAAAAACAAAGAAAAAAAAAAAGATGTGCATGTGTTTGTCAAGTACTGAGTTTACATTTCTTTCCTACAGCTTCTACATCTTTGTCCCATTTCTGTCCCTTTGACACATGCAGATCACATGTAGCTTAACTATCACAGAATGGCCTTTGAAATACTCAAAAGAGTGCCTTTGTGACACAGTTACTTCCTCTGATTTCCAGTCCCTCACTATTTCTGGCACATTCATCTTGAAAACTCGCACTTGTCGATATCACTCTGGAGACAACATGGCAGAGTGGATAGAAACCCTCAGGCCCTGATATCAGGAAGATGTGGGCTGAGATGCTCTGCTACTATTGTGACTTTCAGCAGGTCATTCAATTTGCCAGTGACAATTTTCACATTTTCTAAATCAAAATGATAACACTACCCACCTCTAGAACTGTTGGAGATTTAAATGAGAGAATGCATTTGAATTTATTCACTAGTTCCTAGGCTTAATACATGTTTATGTTGTTCTTTTTCTCATTATATAAAATCCTAAAACTGAACATAGCTCTCCTAAGAAAGAGGAGCCAAGAACCATCCTCCCTTTATCTAATATACAGTGAAAGTGTGGTTTTTAAAAGTAATATTCCTATTAAGGAGATCCCAATTTCACCAATTTTTAGCAATCACAGTACTCTACTGATTTATGTTAAGTTTATGGCTGATACAAATACTAAGAGCTTTTCTTTGCATGCCAGTGATGCCAACGCATGTTTCTACCCTGCACTAGAATCTCTGTTTTGTTTTGTTTCTTAATTTAGAAATACTAAGTTAATATATGCATATGGAAATTCTTTCCAATGTGCAACAGGGAATTCATTGAAAATAAAGATGCCCTTCTACCACTAAGTCAAGAGTTTCCCTGTTTCTTTCTCTAAAATTGACCATCATTACTAACTTCTTGATATTCTACCAGAGACGGTATCTGTCTCTCCCAAAGCCTCCCCTAAAAAAACTCTACTATTTTTATAAAATACTACTTATCATATTTATCTTTCATTGATTGGCTTTTGGTATTTTATCTAAAAGCTTATCACCATATCCAAGGTTATTTTATTTTCTTCTATGATCCCTTGGAGTTTTATAGTTTTGCATTTTACATTTAGGTCTGTGATTAACATTAAGTTCATTTTTGTGTAAAATGTAAGGTCTGTGGCTAGATTCTTTTTTCTTTTTTTCTTTTCTTTTCTTTTTTTTTTTTTTTGCATATAGGTGTGTCCTCCAATATTTCTAGCACTGTTTGCGCTGAAAGCTTGTCAATTCTCCATTGAATTGTCATTGTTGCTTTGTCAAAGGTCAATTGACTATCTGTGTGAGACTATTTCAGAGCATCTATGTGTCTATTCTTTTGCCAGTGCTGCACCGTCTTCATTACTGTAGTTTTATAGTAAGCCTTGAAGTCAAATAGTGTGAGACTTCCAACTTCATTTTCCTTCTTTAGTGTTATGTTGGCTATTCCAGATTTTTTTGCCTATAGAATCAGTTTGTTGATATCTAAATTGGCTTGCTGATATTTTTATTGGAATTGTATTAAATCTAGATCAAGTTGGAAAGGATTGATGTCTTAACAATATTGAGTGTTCCAATTCATAAGCACAGAGTATCTCCCTGTTTAGATCTTGAATTTCTTTGATCAGAGTGTTGTAGTTATTCACATATAATTACTGTACATATTTTGTTATATTTAAACTTAAATATTTTATTTTGGGTTACTATTGTGAATGCTATTTTTTAAAAAATTCAAAATCCCATTGTTTGTTGATGGTGTGTAGCAAAGCAATTTACTTTTGCTTATTAATCTTGTATCCTGCAATCTTGCAATCAGTTATTAGTTTTAGGAGCTTTGTTGTCAATGACAATCATGTCATCTGTAAACAAAAATAGTTTTATTTTATTTTCCTAATTGGCATACCTTTTATTTTGTTTTCTTGTATAATTGTACTAGCTTAATTGGACTACCTAAGACATCCAGTATTATGTTGAATAGAAGTGGTGAGAGAGGGCACCTTGGCCTTATTATCAATCTTAAGGGAAAAGCATACAGTTTACAGGTAGATATGTTTTTTTTTCTTCCAACACTAAATATTTACCCAACTCTGTTGTTTGCCTGGTTTCTGATAGAAAGTCCAAAACAATTTTTATCTTTGTTCCTTTGTAAGTTAGGTGTTTTGTTTTATTTTGAACTGCTGACTTCTTTCTAGATTTTCTCTGTATATTTGGTTTGCTTCAATGTGGATATTATAAGTGTACTTGTAGAATTTGGGGGTATTTATTCTGCTTGGTTTTTCCAAGATTTCCGAATCTGTGGTTTTAAGTCTGTCATTAGTCTTGGAAAGCTTTTGGCCATATTACTTCAAATTTTTATTCCACTTTATTCTGTCTTCCTTCTTCTTCTGGAATTCTGCATAAGTTATTCCTGTTAAAATTTTCCCACAGTTCTTATACATTCTATTATGCTTTTATTCTCTTTTCTCATTGCATTTTCACTTAGGAAATACTTGCTGACATATCTTCAACCTCAGATCCTTTCCTTGGCTTTGTCCAGTCTGCTGCTGAGATTATCAAAGGCATTCTTCATTTCTGTTACAGTGTTTTATTTTTAGCATTTTTCATTAATTCTTTCTTAGAGTTTCCATCTCTGTGCTTACATTATCCATCTGTTCTTGCATGTCGTCTACTTTTTCCATTAGAACTCTTAACATATTAATCATAATTAATGTAAATTTCCCATCTGGTAATTCCAAGATCTGTGTCTTTTTTCAGTCTAGTTCTGATGCTTACTTTCTCTTTAGACTCTTTTTTCTTGCCTTGTAGCATGTTTTGAAATTTTATTTAAAACCTGAACACAGGTAACAGGAACTGAGGTAGATAGCCTTTAGCATAATATGTTATGTCAGTGTGGTTAGGAGTGGGATTTGCCTAATATTTCTTCATGTGCCAGCAACTTCAAGTTTCTCTAATGTCTTTGTTTTTGTATCCTCCTTTGCTTTTGGGTTTCCCTAAGAACTCCTACTTAAATAGAAGTTGTGTCTTGCAGTTCTGTCAACTGTAGCCCACTGTTATTATACTGGAACAAAGCTGTGGTAGGGTATTTTTCCTTGGATAGCAAGTCTTTGTTATGGAGAACACTCTAGGTATATTTCAAAATGATTAATTTCCTACCCTTGTAAGAGTCATGAGGTAATTTTTCTTGGATATTCCCATATATTCATCAAATTTGCCATTTAAGTGTTCCTACTGATTCATATTTCCTGCAGGTTCCACTCCAAGTAAGCAGATATTCACTGTGACTCTTCGTATTTGCCTGTCTTTCCTGATTTCAGGGAGGTGGTTTGCTCTGTGACCTCAATTCTCTGGTGATTGATCTTTAGTTTTTCAGCTTTTTTGTTGTCAAAAACAAATGGGAGTAATGACTCCCAATATATTTATATGCTAGAGCTGAAACTAGAAGTCCTAGGGTACTTTTCTAAATTCATTTTAATTGAAATAATTGCAGATTCACTTGCAGTTGTAAGAAATATGAGATATATTGTACAATTTTCCCAGTTTGCCTTAAGGGTAACTGTGCAAAACTATAGAATAATTTCAAAACCTGGATTTTGACATTGATAAAATCCACCAATCTTTTTTACTTTTTCACAATTTTACTTGTACCCATTTTTCTGTGTGTGTGAATGTGTGTGCATGCATATTTTAGTTCTATACATTTTTTTATTCCATAAACTGTAACTTACTTATCTTTTACTGGACTTTATAATTTATTTTTTTTAACTTTTACTTCAGGGGCACATATGCAGGTTTCTTATACAGGTAAATTGCATATCATGGGAGTTTGGTGCACAGATTATTTTGTCACCCAGGTAATAAGCATAGCACTCAATAGGTAGTTTTTCAATCCTTTCCCTTCTCCCACCCTCCACCCTCAAGTAGGCCCTGGGATCTGTTTCCTTCTTTGTGCCCATGTGTACTCAACATTTTGCTCCCATCGATAAGTGAGAACATATGATATTTGATTTTCTGTTTCTGTGATAGTTTGCTGAGGTTAATAGTCTCCAGCTACATCCATGTGGCTGCAAAGAACGTGATCTCATTTCTTTTTATAAATGTGTAGTATTCCATCATGTATATGTACCACATTTTCTTTATCCAGACTACTGTTGATGGGCATTTTCATTGATTTAATGTCTTTACTATTGTGAGTGGTGCTGCAATGAATATACGCATGCATGTGTCTTTATGTTACAATAATTTGTATTCCTTTGGGTATATATCCAATAATGGGATTGCTAGGTCAAATAGCAATTCTAAGTTCTTTGAAAAATCTCCAATCTGCTCTTCACAGTGGCTGAACTAAATTACATTCCCACCAACTGTATATAAGTGTTTCCTTTTCTCCATAATCTCACCAGTGTCTGTTGTTTTTTGACTTTTTAATAATAGCTATTCTGACTAATGAGAGATGGTATCTCATTGTGGTTTTGATTTGCATTTCTCTAATGATTAGTGATGTTGAGCATCTTCTCATATGCTTGTTGGCTGTATGTATGTCTTCTTTCAAAAAGCATCTGCTTATGTTCTTTGCCCAATTTTTATTGGGGTTGTTTTTTGCTTGTTAATTTGTTTACATTCTTTATAGATTCCAGATTTTAGAACTTTGTCAGATACAAAGTTTGCAAATATTGTCCCCCATTCTGTAGGTTTTCTGTTTACTCTGTTGACCATTTCTTTTTCTGTACAGAAGCTCTTTAGTTTAATTAGGTCCAATTTGTTAATTTTTGGTTTTGTTGCAATTGATTGTGGCATCTTCATTATAAAATTTTTGCCAGGACCTATGCCTAGAATGGTATTTTCTGTAACCTTCTAGGGTGTTTATAGTTTTAGGTTTTATGTTTCTGTCTTTAATTCATCCTTTTTGGTTTTAATTGATATTTATTTATTGCAGTGTTTTATCCCTCACCGCCCTCTCACCCTTTCCCTTGAGTTCCCAAAGCCCATTATATCATTCTTATGCCTTTGTGTCCTCATAGCTTAGCTTCCACTTATGTTTGAGAACATAACGACATTTGGTTTTCTATTCCTGACTTACTTCACTTAGGATAATGGTCTCCAATGCCATCCAGGTTGCTGCAAATGCCATTTTTCATTCCTTTTTATGGTGAAGTGGTATTCCATTGTATATACAGACCACATTTTCTTTATCCACTCATTGATTGATGGGCATTTGAGCTGGTTCCACATTTGTGCAATTGTGAATTGTGCAGCTAAAAACATGTGTGTGCAAGTATCTTTTCCATAGAATGATTTCTTTTTCTTTGGATAGATACCCAGCAATCCAGTGGGATTGCTGGATCAAATGGTAGATCTACATTAAGTTCTTTAAGGAATCTCCACATAGTTTTCCATAGTAGTTGTATTTTCCACCAAGAGTGTAAAAGTGTTCCCTTTTCACCACATCCATGCCAATATCTATTATTTTTTGATTTTTTGATTATGTCCATTCTTATAGGAGTAAAGTGGTATTGCGTTGTGGTTTTGATTTGCATTTCCCTGATAACTAGTGATACTGAGCCTTTTTTCATATGTTTGTTGGCCATTTGTATATCTTCTTTTGAGAATTGTCTATTCATGTCCTTAGCCCACTTTTTGATGGGATTGTTTGTTTTTATCCTGCTGATTTGTTTGAGTTCCTTGTAGATTCTGGATATTCGTCCTTTGTCAGAAGTATAGATTGTGAAGATTTTCTTACACTCTGTGAGTTGTCTGTTTACTCTGCTGAATAATTTTTTTGCCACGCAGAAGCTTTTTAGTTTAATTAAGTCTCATCTATTTATCTTTGTTTTTGTTTTGTTTGCTTTTGGGTTCTTGGTCATGAAGCTTTGTCTAAGCAAATGTCCGGAACGGTTTTTCCAATGTTATCTTCTAGAATTTTTATAGTTTCAGGTCTTAGATTTAAGTATTTGATCAATCTTGAGTTGATTTTTTTATAAGGTGAGAAATGAGGATCCAGTTTCATTCTCCTACATGTGGCTAGCCAATTATCCCAGCACCATTTGTCGAATAGGGTGTCTTTTCCCCACTTTATGTTTTTGTTTGTTTTGTCTATGATCAGTTGATTATATTTGGCTTTATTTCTGGGTTCTCTATTCTAGTGCACTGGTCCGTATACCTGTTGTTTTTTTTTTGTTTTTTTGTTTTTTTGTTTTTTTTTCTTGTATGCCTGTTTTTGTAACAGAACCATGCTGTTTTGGTAACTATGGCCTCATAGTATTGTTTGAAATCAGGTAATGTAATGCCTCCAGATTTGTTCTTTTTGCTTTGTCTTGTTTTGGCTATGTGGGGCTCCTTTTTAGTTCCATATGAACTTTAGAATTGTTTTTTCTAGTACTGTCAAGAATGATGGTTGTATTTTGATGGGAATTTCATTGAGTTTGTAGGTTGCTTTTGGCAATATGATCATTTTTACAATATTGATTCTATCCCTCCATGAACATCGGATATGTTTCCATTTGTTTGTGTTGTCTATGACTGCTTTCAGCAGTGTTTAGTAGTTTTCCTTGTAGATGTCCTTCACCTGCTTGGTTAAGTATATTTCTAATTTTTTTTTTTTTTTTTTTGCCGCTGTTGTAAAAGGAATTGAGTTCTTAATCTGATGCTCAGCTTGGTCGCTGTTGGGGTATAGCAGGGCTACTAATTTGTGTACATTAATTTTGTAACTTGAAACTTTGCTGAATCATTTACCAATTCTCAGAGCTTTTTGAATGAGTCTTTAGGCTTTTCTAGGTATACGATCATGTCATTAGCAAACAGCGACAGTTTGATTTCCTGTTTACTGATTTGGATGCCCTTTATTTCTTTTTCTTGTCTGATTACTCTGGCTAGGACATCCAGTACTATGTTGAATAAAAGTGGTGAAAGTGGGCATCCTTGACTTGTTCCAGTTCTCAGAAATGATTTCAAATTTTCCCTGTTCAGTATAATGTTGGCTGTGGGTTTGTCACAGATGGCTTTTATTACCTTAAGTTATGTTCCTTCTGTGCTGATTTTGCTGAGGGTTTTAATCATAAAGCAATGCTAAATTCTGTCAAATGCTTTTTCTGCATCTATTGAGATGATCAAGTTATTTTTGTTTTCAATTCTGTTTATGTGGTGTATCACATTTATTGACTTGCAGATGTTAAACCATCCCTAAATCCCTGGTGTATTGGTCCATTCTCACGCTGCTATAAAGAGCTGCCTAAGACTGGGTAATTAATAAAGGAAAGAGGTTTATTTGACTCACAATTTCACGAGGCTGGGGAGACATCAGGAAACTTACAATTTTGGCAGAAGGGGAAACAAACACGTTCTTCTTCATATGGTGGGAGGAGAGAGAAGTGCCGAATGAATGGTGGGGAAGTCCCTTATAAAACCATAAGCTCTCATGAGAACTCCCTCACTATCACAAGAGCATCAGAGGGAAATTGCCCCCATGACTCAATTACCTCTGCCTGGTCCCACCCTTGACACATAGAAATTATTACAATTAAAGGCTGGATTGTGTTAGCTTGTATTTTGTTGAGAATTTTTGCATCTGTGTTCATTGCGATATTGGTCTGTAGTTTTCTTTTTTGTTATGTTATTTCCTGGTTTTGGTATCAGGGTGATACTGGCTTCATAGGATGATTTAGGGAGGATTCCTTCCTTCTCTATGTTTTGGAATAGTGTCAATAGGATTGGTTCCAATTCTTCTTTGAATGTCTGATAGAATCCAGCTGTGAATCCATCTAGTCCTGGACATTTTTTTGTTGGTAACTTTTAAATTATCATTTCAGTCTCACTTCTTGTTATTGGTCTGTTCAGAGTTCCTATTTCTTCTTGATTTAATCTAGGTTGGTTGTATAGTTCTAGGAATTTATCTGTCTCCTCAGGGTTTTCTAGTTTCCATGTGTAAAAGTGTTTGTAGTAGCCTTGAATTATCCTTTGTATTTCTGTGGTATCAGTTGTAATACCTCCCGTTTTAATTCTAATGGAGCTTATTTGGATCTTCTGTCTTCTTTTCTTGGTTAATTTCACTAATGGTCTATCGATTTTATTTATATTTTCAAAGAACCAGCTTTTTGTTTAAATTTCATTTAGTTCTGCTCTGATCTTGGTTATTTCTTTTCTTCTGCTGGGTTTGGGTTTGGTTTGTTCTTGTTTCTCTAGCTGCTTGAGGTGTGACCTCAGATTGTCTATTTGTGTTCTTTCAGACTTTTTGATGTAGACATTTAATGCTGTGAACTATTCTCTTATCACCGCCTTTGCTGTAGCCCAGAGGTTTTGATAGATTGTGTCAATATTATCATTCCGTTCAAAAAATTTTTTAATTTCCACTTTTATTTCATTGTTGACCAAATCATTCAGGAGCAGGTTATTTAATTTCCATGTATTTACATGGTTTTAAGCATTCCTTTTGGAGTTGATTTCCAATTTTATTTCACTGTGGTCTGAAATAGTACTTGATATAATTTTGATTTTCTTAAATTTGTTGAGACTTGTTTTGTGCTCTATCATATGGTCTATCTTGGAGAATGTTCCATGTGCTGATATACTGAATGTATAGTCTGCAGTTGTTGGGTAGAATGTTCCGTAAATATCTGTTAAGTCCATTTGTTCTAAGGTATAGTTTAAGTCCATTGTTTCTTTGTTTGACTTTCTGTCTCGATGACCTGTCTAGTGCTGTCAGTGGAGTATTGAAGTCCCCCACTATTATTATGTTGCTGCCTATTTCATTTCTTAGGTCTAGTAGTAATTGTTCCATAAATTTAAAAGCTCCAGTGTAAGGTGCATATATATTTAGGATTGTGATATTTTCCTATTGGACAAGGCTTTTTATCATTATATAATGTCCCTCTTTGTCTTTTTAAACTGCTGTTGCTTTAAAGTTTGTTTTGTCTGATATAAGAATAGCTACTCTGCTCACTTTTGGTATCCATTTGCATGGAATATCTTTTTCTATCCCTTTACCTTAAGTTTATGTAACTCCTTATATGTCATGGGAGGAGTTGCATAAACTTAAGGTAAAGGGATAGAAAAAGATATTCCATGCACTTGTACAGCACTTGTTGGTGAATTCTTATCCATTCTGCTATTCTGTACCTTTTAAGTGGAGCATTTAGGCCATTTACTTTCAAAGTTAGTATTGAGATGTGAGGTACTATTCTATTCACCGTGCTATTTGTTTCCTGAATACTTGTTTTTTTCATTGTGTTGTTGTTGTACAGATTCTGTGACATTTTTGCCTTAAAGAGATTCTATTTTGATGTATCTTGAGGATTTATTTCAAGATTTAGAACTTTTAGCACTTCTTGTAGTGCTAGCTTGGTAGTGGAGAATTCTCTTGGCCCTTGCTTGTCTGAAAAAGACTGTATCTTTCCTTCGTTTTGAAGCTAAGTTTCACTGAATACAATAATTGCCTTTGCTTAAGGAGGCTAACAATAGGACCCCAATTTGTTCTAGCTTGCAGGGTTTCCATTGAGAAATCTGCTGTCAATCTGATAGGTTTTCCTTTATATGTTACCTGATGCTTTTGCCTCACAGCTCTTAAGATCATTTCCTTTGTCTTGACTTTAGATAACCTGATGACTATGTGCTTAGGTGATGATCTTTTTGCAATGAATTTCCCAGGTGTCCTTTAATTTCTTATATTTGGATGTCTAGATCTCTAGTAAGGCCAGGGATGTTTTCCTTGATCATTCCCTCAAATATGTTTTCCAAACTTTTAGATTTCTCTTTTTCCTGAGGAACATCAATTATATATTAGGTTTGGCCATTAAACATAATCCCAAACTTCTTGAAGGCTTTGTTCGTATTTTTTTTCTTTTTTTTTCTTTAATTTGAGATGGAGTCTTGCTCTGTCACCCAGACTGGAGTGCAGTGGCACCATCTTGGTTCACTGCAACCTCCACCTCCCAGGTTCAAGCAATTCTCCTGCCTTAGCCTCCTGACTAGCTGGGATTACAGGCACGTGCCACCATGCCCAGCTAAATTTTTTGTATTTTAATAGAGCCGGGGGTTTCACCATGTTGGCCAGGCTAGTCTCGAACTCCTGACCTCAAGTGATCCACCCATCTCAGCCTCCCAAAGTGCTGGGATTACAGGCATGAGCCACTGCACCTGGCCCATTTTTTAATTTTTTTATTTTTATTTTTTGGCTTTGTTGAATTAGTTTAATTTGAAAGCCTTGTCTTCAAGCACTGAAGTTCTTTCTTCTACTTGTTCAATTCTATTACTGAGAATTTTCAGTGCACTTTACAATTGTCTAAGTGTGTCCTTCATTTCCAGAAGTTGTGATTGTTTTTTATTTATGCTATCTATTTCACTGAAGATTTGTCCATTCGTATCCTGTATCATTCTTTCGATTTCTTTAAGTTGAACTTTACCCTTTCTCTGGTGTCTCCTTGATCAGCTTAATAGTCAACCTTCTCAGTGTTTTTCCTGGCAATTCAGAGATTTTATCTTGGTTTGAATTCATTGCTGGTGAGCTAGTGTGATCTCTTGGGGATGTTAAAGAAACTTGTTTTGTCATATTACCAGAATTGTTTTTCTGGTTCCTTCTCATTTGGGTAGATTATGTCAGAAGGAAGATCTGGGACTCAAGGGCTGATGTTAAAATTCTTTTGTTCCTCGGGGTGCTCCCTTGATGTGGTGCTCTCCCCTTTCCCCTGTGGGTGGGGTTTCCTGAGAGCCAAGCTTCAGTGATTGTTATTTCTCTTCTGGATCTAGCTACCCAGTGGAGCTACTGGGCTCTGGGCTGGTACTGGGGAGTGTCTGAAGAGTCCTGTGATGTGATCCATTCTCAGCCATGGATACCAGCACCTGCTCTGATGGAGGTAGCAGGGGAGTGAAGTGGACACTGTGAGGGTCCTTGATGGTATTTTTCTTAAGTGTGCTGCTTTTGTGTTGGTTGGCCTCCAGCCAGGAGGTGGCACTTTCAAGAGCACATCAGCTGTGGTAGTATAGAGAGGTAGCAGGGGAGTGAAGTGGACTCTGAGGGTCTTTGGTTGTTTTGTTTGTTTGTTTGTTTGTTTGTTTGTTTTAGACAGAGTCTCACTCTGTTGCCCAGGCTGGAATGCAGTGGCACAATCTGGGCTCACTGCAACCTTCCCCTCCTGGTTCAAGCAATTCTCCTGCCTCAGCCTCCCAAGTAGCTGGGACTACAGGCATACACAACCATGCCCGGCTTTAGTAGAGATGGGGTTTTGCCATTTTGGCCAGGCTGGTCTCTAACTCCTGACCTCAAGTGATCCACTGGCCTCAGTATCCCAAAGTGCTGGGATTACAGGCGTGAGCTACCACGCCTACACTGTATTTTTGTTAAGTGCACTGGTTTTGTGTTGGTTGGCCTCCAGCCAGGAGGTGGCACTTTCAAGAGCACATCAGCTGCAGTAGCATAGGGAGGATCAGATGGTGGGTGTGGCTATAGTGCTTCCAAGAGATAACATCTTTTGTCTTCAACTACCTGGGCAGGTAGAGAAAGACCATCAGGTGGGGGCAAGGTTAGGCATGTCTGAGCTCAGACTCTCCTTGGGTAGGGCTTGCTGTGGCTGCTATGGGGGATGGGGTGTGGTTCCCATGCCAACAGAGTTATGTTCCTGGGGGATTATGGCTGTTTCTGTTGCATCACACAGGTCGCCAAGGAAGGAAGGGAAAGCCACAAGCCTCACTCAGCTCCTATGCAGCCCACAGCCCAAAGGGCCAGTCTCACTGCCACCGTATTTCCCCAACAGCATCAAGTTTATTTCCAGGCAACCGGTGGGCAGGGCTGACAACTTGCCTTGGGCTGCAAGCCTCCCAGCTGAGAAAGCAAACAGACTCACAGTTCCTTAGCTGTCCCACAGAACCTCCAGTGGCAATTCAACTCCTTCAAAGGGTCTGTGGATTCCCTTGGCTTTCCTGACATGTTCCTGTGGTAGTTCTTGGAGCAAAAGTTCACAGTGGGGCTCTCCAAAGACTGCTCTGTCTGTCCGAGCGGGAGCTGCAAGTTCGTCCCACCTCGTGTTTATCATTTTCCCCCCTCTGAAAGGCTCAAGTCTTCAATTCATCTTGAGTTGATTTTTGTATATGATGTAAGGAACAGGTCCAGTTTCAATCTTCTGCACTTGGCTAACCAGTTATCCCAGTACCATTTGTTGAACAGGGAGTCTTTTCCCCATTGCTTATTTTTGTTGAATTTTTTGGAGATCAGATGGTTGTAGGTAGATGGCATTATGTCTGGTCTCTCTATTCTATTCCATTGGTCTATGTATTTGTTTTTTGTACCAGTACCATGCTGTTTTGGTTACTGTAGACTTGTAGTATAGTTTGAAGTCAGGGAACATAATGCCACCAGCTTTGTTCTTTTTGCTTAGGGTTGCTTTACTATTTGGGCTCTTTTTTGGTTCCATATGCATTTTTAAATAGTTTTTTTTTAAATTCTGTAAAGAATGTCATTGGTCATTTGATAGGAATAGCATTGAATCTATAAATTGCTTTGGGCAGTGTGGTCATTTTAGTAATATTGATTCTTCCTACCCATCAGCATGGAATGTTTTTCCACTTGTTCATGTCATCTCTGGTTTCTTTCAGCAGTGTTTTGTAATTCTTGTTGTAGAGTTCTTTCACCTCCTAGGGTAGCTGTTTTCCTAGGTATTTTTTTCTTTTTGTGACTATTGTGAATGGGATTGAGTTCTTGATTTGGCTCTCAGCTTGGACATTCTTGGTATACAGAAATTCTACTAATTTTTGTATCCATAAACTTTGCTGAAGTTGTTTATCAGATCATGGAGCTTTTGGGAAGAAACTACAGGATTTCCCAAGTATTGAATCATATAATCTGTGAGGAGAGAGAGTTTGATTTTCTCTTTCTATTTAGATGATTTTTATTTCTTTCTCTTTCCTGATTGCACTGGCAAGGAGTTCCAATTTTGTGTTAAATAGGAGTGGTGAGAGTGGGCATCCTTGTCTTCTTCAAGTTCTCAAGGGGAATGCTTCCAGCTTTGGACTATTCAGCATGATGTTGGCTGTGGCTTTGTCATAGATGCTTCTTATTATTTGTAGCTATGTTCCTTCAATGCCTAGTTTGTTGAAAGTTTTTAACAGGAAGGGATGTTGAATTTTATCCAAAGCTTTTTCTGCCTCTATTGAGATGATCCCGTGGTTTTGTGTTTAGTTCTGTTTATGTGATGAATCACATTTATTGATTTGCGTATGTTGGGCCAACTTCATATCCAAAGGATAAAGCCTACTCGATAGTGATTGATTAGTTTTTGATGTTCTGCTGGATTCAGTTTGCTAGTATTTTGTACCAAATACACTCTTGAACCACAGTGCAATAAAAATGTAAATCAATACTAAGAAAATCACTCAAAACCATGCAACTACATGGAATTTAAACAAGGTTTAATTCCTGCTCCTGAATAACTTTTGGGTAAAAAATGAAATTAAGGCAGAAATCAAGAAATTCTTTGAAACCAGTGAGAACAAAGACACAACATACCAGAATCTCTGGGACATAGCTAAGGCAGTGTGAAGAGGGAAGTTTATAGCACTAAACAACCACATCAAAAGGAAAGATCTCGAATTAGCAAATTATCATCACACCTAGAGGAACTAGAGGAACAAGAAAAATACAACTCCACAGTTGGCATAAGACAGGAAATAACCAAAATATAAGAGCCGAACTGAAGGAAACTGAGATGCCAAAAACAATATAAAGGCAGAGCAAGATGGTAGAATAGAAGTTTCCGTTGCTCATCCTCCATGCAAGGACAGAAATTTAAGAACTGTCTACACACAAATAAAAGTACCTTCGTAAAAACCCCAAACCTAATGAGCACTCACAGTACCTGGTTTTAACTTCATATCACTTAAACAGGCACTGAAGAAGTAGAAAAAAAAAAGGCTTCAATTGCTGATGCCACTGTTTCCCCCAAACCCCACCCTGGGCAGCAGCAGTATGGTGCAGAGAGAGACTTTATGTGCTTGACAGAGGGAGAGTGTACCAATAATGAGACACTGCATTGAATTCAGTGCCTCCCTGTTATAGCAGGAAGTAAACCAGACCCAACTCAGCTGACATCAACCCATGGAGGGAGTATTTAAACCAGCCCTAGGCAGAGGAGAATTGCCCATCCCAGCAGTCAGAATTTGAGTTTCTGCAAGCCTTGCCACCTCAGGCTGGAGTGCTCTGGGGCTCTAAATAAATTTGAAAGGCAGTCTAGGCCACAAGGACTGCATCCCTAGGCAGGTCCTAATGCTGAACTAGGCCCAGAGCCAGTGGACTGGAGGTTTGGAGGCACACAATTTACTGATCCACCAGCTGGGGCAGCTAAGGGAGTGCTGACATCACCCTTTCCTTAACCCCAAGCTGCACATCTTTCAGCTCCAAAGAGATTCCTTCTTTCTAGTTGAGGAGAGGAGAGGGAATTGTGGGAATAATTGTGTATTGCATCTTGGATACTAGCTGAGCCTCAGTAGGATACAGCAACAGTCAGACTTATGAAGACTCATTTCCAGGCCCTAGATCCTGTTCATTTCTACACACATCCTAAATGAGAAGGGAACCCACTGCCTTGAAGGGAAGAGCCCAGTTCTGGCAACATTCATCACCTGCTAACTGAAGAGCCTTTAGGCCATGAATAACTAGTAGTGATACCCAGGTACTACATGCAGGGTGTTGGGTGAGTCTGAGATTTGCAGGCTTCAGGGGAGACTCGGCACATTGCCAGCTTTAGTGACTGACTATGGAGAGAGACTCCTTCGGCTTGAGAAAAATGGAGGGAACAGTAAAGGGGACTTCGTTTTACACCGTAAGTACTAGCTCTGCCACAAGGGGATAGAGCACTAAGCAGGCTCTTGGGATCCCCAGTTGTAGGCCTTTGCTCTTGGACAGCATTTCTGGACTTGCCCTGGCCCAGAGGGGAGCCCCAAAGGGTGAGTCCTAGTCCAGGCAGCATTCACCACAAGCTGATCAAAGAGCCGTTGGACCTTAACAGAACATCAGCAGTAGCCCAGCAATACTCCCAATGGGCCTATGGTGGGTGGGGGCCACGGGGTAAGAATCCTCTGTCTTTGGAAAGTAGAGAGAAGAGTGGGAAGGTCTGCATCTTGTGGCTTGAGTGCCAGCTCAGCTGCAGTACAATAGAACATCAGGTAGACTTCTAAGCTTTTTGACTCTACTCCTTCTCTCCCAGATGGCATCTTTGGACCCACCTGAGGCCTCAGGGAACTTGTCACCCTGAAGATAAGGATGCAAGCCTGGCTGGCTTTGCAACCTGATGATTGTAGAGCCCCAGGCCCTTGAGCAAACATAAGCCACAGCCAGGGAGTGGTTACAGCAGGCCTTGGGGTAAGACCCAGTGCTGTAGTGACTTCAGCTCTGATCCAGTGCAGTCCTGGTGGTGTTGGCAACAGGGTTGCTTGTGTCACACCACCCCTGCTTCCTGGTGGCTTAGAACTGAAAGAGAGCTTCTGTTTGTTTGGAATAGAGTAAGGGAAGAGAACAAGAGTATCTGCCTAGTAATGAAGAGAATTCTGGATCTTGTCCAAGACCTTGTACCTCTGTAAGTCTATAAGAACTACAGTGTTAATGGTCTTGGGGTGCCCCTGAAAGCAGATACAAATTAGATCACAACATCCGAGTCCTTTTGAACATCTGCAAAGCCTTCTGAAGAAGGATGGGTACTAACAAGCCCAAACTGAGAAAAATACAATAAATACCTAACTCTTCAATGCCCAGACACCAAACAATATCTACAAGCATCAACATCATCCAAGAAAACATGACCTCACCAAATGAACTAAATAAGCCTCTAGGGACCAATCCTGAAGCAACAGAGATATATGACCTTTCAGACAGACAATACAAAATATCAGTTTTGAGGAAACTCGAGGAAATTCAATATAACAAAGAGAAGAAACTTAAGATTCTATCAAATAAATTTAACACAGACATTGAAATAATTAAAAAGAATCAAACAGAAATCCTGGAACTGACAAATGCAATTGGCATACTTAAGAATGCATCAGAATCTTTTAATATGAGGACTATCAAGCAGAAGAAAGAATGTGTGAGCTTAAAGATAGGCTATTTGAAAATACATAGACATAGGAGACACAATAAAAAAAGGTTAAAAAATGAAGCAAGCCTACAGGATTTAAAAATAGCCTCGGGGCAAATCTGAGAATTTAAAGAAGAGGTAGAGAAAAAGATAGGGATGTAAAGAATATTCAAAGGGATAATAACAGAGAACTTCCCAAACCTAGAGAAGGATATCTATATCCAAGTACAAGAAGGTTATAGAACACCAAGCAGATTTAACCCAAAAAAGACTATCTGAAGACATTTCATAATCAAACTCCCAAAGGTTAAAGATAAAGAAAGGATCTTAAAAGCAGCAAGAAAAAAGAAACAAATAACATACAATGCAACTCCTCCAATACATCTGGCAGCAGACTTCTCAGTGGAAACTTTACGGGCCAGCAGAGAATGGCATGACATATTTAAAGTGCTGAAGGAAAAAAAAGAAAAAAAACATTTTACCTTTGAATAGTATATCTGGAAAAAAGAAAAAAAAAATTCTTCAAACATGAAGAAATAAAGACTTTCCCAGACCAACAAAAGCTGAAGGATTTCATCAACACCAGACTCCAAGAAATGCTAAAGGGAGTACTTCAATCAGAAAGAAAAGGACATTCATGAGCATTAAGTAATCACATGAAGGTACAAAACTCACTAGTAATAGTAAGAACTACAGCAAAACCCAGAATATTATAACATTCTAACTGTGGTGTTACAGTGTTATTAGAAAACACAAATCTACAAATCCAATCAAAAAATGGGCAAAATATTTGAATAGACATTTCTTCAAAACGAAGACAAATTGTGAACAGTTATAGTAAAAAGTTCTCAATATTATTTATTGCCAGGGAAATGCACATCAAAACTACAATGAGATATTATCTCACTCCACTTAAAATGGCTTATATCCAAAAGACAGGCAATAAAAAGTGCTGGTGAGGATGCAGAGAAAAGGGAGCCCTTTACATTGTTGATGGAAATGTAAATTATTACAACCACGAGGGAGAACAGTTTAGAGGGTCCTCAAACACTAAAAACAGAGCTACCACTCTATTGTATACCAATGCCACTCCTAGGTATATACTCAAAAGAAAGCAAATCAGTATATGGCAGAGATATCTGCACCATCATGTTTATTGAAGCACTATTCATAATAGCCAAGACTTGGAAGCAACCTAAGAATCCATCAACAAAAGAATGGATAAAGAAAACATGGTACATATACACAACGAATTATTCAGTACTAACAAAGAATGATATCCTGTCACTTGCAACAACACGGATGGAACTGGAGGTTATTATATTAAGTAAAATAAGCCAGGCACCGAAAGACAAATATCACATATTCTACTTATCTGTGGGAGCTAAGAATTAAAACAATTGAACTCATGGAGATAGAAAGTAGAAGGATGATTACCAGAGGCTGGGAAGGGTAGTCAGTGAGGTAGGGGCGGGGAAGTGAAAAGTGAGGATGGTTAATGGATGCAAAAAAGTATTTAGACAGAATAAATAAGACCTGGTATTTGCTAGCACAGCAGGGTGACTATAGCAAAAAATAATTTAATTTAACATTTAAAAATAACTTAAAATTATAATTGGATTGTTTAAAACACAAATGATAAATTATTGAGATGATAGATACAATATTTACCCTAATATGATTATTACACATTGTATGCCTTATCAAAAAGGCATACGATGTCCCTTGTAACTCATAAATATATACACTTAGTACATACTCACAAAAATTTAAAATGTAAAATTAATTAAAAAGAATACAAAAGAGTTTGGTTTATTGAGAGAGTAAATAAGATTGATAGACTGATAGCTGGACTAATAAAAAAGAGAGAAGATCCAAATAAACACAATCAGAAATGACAAATGGGACATTACCACCAACTGCAACAGAAATACAAAAACCTCTCAGAGACTACTATAAACACTTTTATGCAAACAATCTAGAAAACCTAGATGAAATAAAAAAAAATTCTGAAAATATACAAGCTCCCAAGATTGAACCAGGAAGAAACTGAATTCCTGAATGGACAAAAATGAGTTCTGGAATTGATTCTGTAATCAAAAGCCTACCAACAACAAAAGGCCCAGGACCAGACAGAATCACTACTAAATTTTACCAGATGTATGAAGAGAAGCTGGTATTATTCCTACTAAAACTAGTCCAAAAAATTGAGAAGGAGGGATTCTTTCCTAACTCATTCTATGAGGCCAGCATCATCCTGATACCAAGACCTGGCAGAGACACAACAAAAAAAGAAAACTTGGGCCAGTATTTTTGATAAATATAGACACAAAAATCCTCAACAAAATACTATTTTATCACATATGCAAGTTATAGCATCCACACCCAGAGTCAGATACTGAACAGTTTCATTATCACAAGGATCCTTCACGTTTCCTTTTTATAACCATAGTTCCCTCACAGCTAATCCTTGCCCATCAGTAATCTGTTGTCTATTTTAAAAAGTTGTCATTTCAAAAGTTATATAAATAAAATCATACAATATTTAACTTTCTGGATTAGCTTTTTTCACCCAGCATAACTTCCTGAAGATTCATCTAAATAGTAGTGTGAATCAATAGTTCATTCCCTTTTAGTGCTTTTATTATATGGTATGTGTGTTCCATGTTTTTTTGAACATTTACCTGTAGAGATACTTCTATGCTAATGCCAATTTTTTACCTATTGTAAGTAAAGCTACTATGAATATTCATGTTCAGGTTTGGGTGTGAATATAAATTTTCATTTATCTAGAAAATGTCCAAGAGGGCGATTGTAGAGCAATATGATAACTGCATGTTTAGTTGAAATTAAAAAAATTCTAAACTCTTTCTAGAGTGGCTGTACAATTTTATATTCCAAGGAGCAAATATATGAGTAATACAGATCCTTTGTTTTCTCACCTGTATTTGTTGTTGTCACTATTTTTTATTTTAGCTATTCTGATAGTTATGCAGTGATATCTCTTTGTGATTTTAACCTGCATTGCTGATCACTAAATGATGTTGAAATCTTTTCATGTGCATATCTGTTATCTGTATACCCTATTTGGTGAAATGGCAGTTAATATATTTTACCCATTATCTAATTTGATTGCCTTTTTTGTTACATGTTGAGTTTTGAGAGTTATTTTTAATATATTCTAGATATCAGTTTATTACTGAATGTGTGCTTTGAAAAATGTCTTCTCTCACTCTTTAATTTGGCTTTTATACTTTTTACATGTGTTTCAGACAGTGAAAGTTTATAATTTTAAAGAGACAAATGTATCTATTTTCTCTGTATGGATTGGCTTATGATATCAAGTCTATGAACTCTTTGCCTAGACCTAGATTTTAAATATTTACCATTCTTTTACCAAAAAAACATATTTTACATTTAATTCTATTATAGTCATTTTATATGTCAACTTGATTGAACTACAGGGTGCCCAGATATTTGGTTAAACATTATTCTGGATATGTCTGTGGGGGTGTTTTTGTATAAGATCAACATTTGAAACTGTAGCCTGAGTAAATTAGAATGCCCTCTCTAATGTGAATGGATCTCATTCAATCCACTAGAGGCTTGAAAAGAACAAAAAGGTAGAAGTAGGAAGGATTCTCTTTCTCTGACTTTCTTTGAGCTGAGATATCAGTCTTCTCCTGCCTTCAGGCTTGAACCCATACTGGAACTTACACCATCAATTGCTCTGTTTCTTAGACCTTCAGATTCAAACTGGAATTTATAATTGTCTTTATACACATGTATGTGTATGTAAAAGTATATATGTATGTGTATAGCTTATGTATCTATTATACATACATACATATATATAATATTCTTCTGTTTGTTTCTGTGGAGAATACTGTCCAGTGTAAATTCAAAAATTCAATTTGAATTTACTTTTGTGTAAGGTGTGAGGTAGTTTAGATTGAGGTTTCTATGTTTCTTTTTTGTTTAATTGTTTTGCCTACAAATATATATTGCTCAAGCACAACTTGTTGAAAGGGTAATTAATAATCCTTGGCATTGCTTATTCATCTTTGTCAAAAATCATTTGAATTGACATCAAAGGAGCTCCACAAAATGTGATTATAAATAAAAGAAATTAGAGGGAGGAGGTTCCAAGGCGGCCGAACAGGAACAGCTCCAGTCTGCAGCTCCCATTGTGAACGATGCAGAAGATGGGTGATTTCTGCATTTCCAACTGAGGTACCAGGTTCATCTCACTGGGGCTTGTCAGAGAGTGGGTGCAGCCCATGGAGCAGGGTGGGGCATCACCTCACCTGGGAAGTGCAAAGGGTCAGGGAATTCCCTTTCCTAACAAAGGTAAGCCATGACAGAAGGTACCTGGAAAATTGGGACACTACCCCCCAATACTGTGCTTTTCCAACAGCCTTAGCAAACGGCACACCAGGAGATTATATCCCGCACATGGCTCAGAGGGTCCCACACCCACGGAGCCTCACTCACTGCTAGCACAGCAGTCTAAGATCGAACTGCAAGGCAGCAGCGAGGCTGGGGGAGGGGCGTCCGCCATTGCTGAGGCTTGAGTAGGTAGGTAAACAAAGCATCCAGGAAGCTCGAACTGGGCGGAGCCCACCACAGCTCAAGGAGGCCTGCCTGCCTCTGTGGACTCCACCTCTAGGGGCAGGGCATAGCTGAACAAAAGGCAGCAGAAACTTCTGCAGACTTAAATGTCCCTGTCTGACAGCTCTGAAGAGAGTAGTGGTTCTCCCAGCATGGAGTTTGACATCTGAGAATGGACAGACTGCCTCCTCAAGTGGGTCCCTGAGCCCCGAGTAGCTTAACTGGGAGACACTTCCCAGTAGGGGCTGACTGACACCTCGTACAGCCAGTTGCCCCTCTGAGATGAAGCTTCCAGAGGAAGGATCAGGCAGCAACATCTGCTGTTCTGCAATATTTGCTGTTCTGCAGCCTCCGCTGGTGATACCCAGGCAAACAAGGTCTGGAGTAGACCTCCAGCAAACTCCAACAGACCTGCAGCTGAGGGTCCTGACTGTTAGAAGGAAAACTAACAAACAGAAAGGATATCCACACCAAAACCCTGTCTGTATGTAACCATCATCGAAGACCACAGGTAGATAAAACCACAAAGATGGGGAGAAACCAGAGCAGAAAAACTGAAAATTCTAAAAATCAGAGTGCCTCTTCTCCTCTAAAGGAATGCAGCTCCTGACCAGCAATGGAACAAAGCTGGACGGACAATGAATTTGACAAGTTGAGAGAAGAAGGCTTCAGACGATCGGTAATAACAAACTTCTCTGAGCTAAAGGAGGATGTTCGAACCCATTGCAAAGAAGTTAAAAACCTTGAAAAAAAGATTAGACAAATGGCTAACTAGAATAAACAGTGTGGAGAAGTCCTTAAATGGCCTGATGGAGCTGAAAACCACGGCACGAGAACTATGTGACACATGCATGAGCTTCAGTAGCCGATTTGATCAAGTGGAAGAAACGGTACCAGTGATTGAAGATCAAATGAATGAAATGAAGTGAGAAGAGAAGTTTAGAGAAAAAAGAGTAAAAAGAAATGAACAAAGCCTCCAAGAAATATGGGACTATGTGAAAAGACCAAATCTACATCTGATTGGTGTACCTGAAAGTGATGGGGAGAATGGAACCAACTTGGAAAACACTCTTCAGGATATTATCCAGGAGAACTTCCCCAACCTAGTGAGGCAGGCCAACATTCAAATTCAGGAAATACAGAGAACACCACAAAGATACTCCTCAAGAGGAGCAACTGCAACACACATAATTGTCAGATTCACCAGTTGAAATGAAGGAAAAAATGTTAAGGGCAGCCAGAGAGAAACCTCAGGCTGCCCACAAAGGGAAGCCCATCAGACTAACAACAGATCTCTTGGCAGAAGAGAGTGGGGGCCAATATTCAACATTCTTAAAGTAAAGAATTTTCAACCCAGAATTTCATATTCGCCAAACTAAGCTTCATAAGTGAAGGAGAAATAAAATCCTTTACAGACAAACAAGTACGGAGAGATTTTGTCACCACCAGACCTGCCTTACAAGAGCTCCTGAAGGAAGCACTAAACTTGGAAAACTGGTACAGTGGCCTGTACCAGCCACTGCAAAAACATGCCAAATTGTAAAGACCATCAATGCTAGGAAGAACTGCATCAACTAATGAGCAAAACAACCAGCTAACATCATAAGGACAAGATCAAATTCACATATAACAATATTAACCTTAAATGTGAATGGGCTAAATGCTCCAATTAAAAGACACAGACTGGCAAACTGGATAAAGAGTCAAGACCCATCAGTGTGCTATATTCAGGAGACCCATCTCACATGCAGAGACACACATAAGCTCAAAATACAGCAATCAAAATAACAAAGATCAAAAGAGACAAAGAAGGCCATTACATAATGGTAAAGCGATGAATTCAACAAGAAGAGGTAACTACCCTAAATATATATGCACCCAATACAGGAGCACCCAGATTCATAAAGCAAGTCCTTAGAGACTACAAAGAGACTTAGATTCCCACACAATAATAATGGGAGACTTTAACACCTCACTGTCAACATTAGACAGATCAATGAGACAGAAAGTTAACAAGGATATCCAGGAATTGAACTCAGCTCTGCACTAAGTGGACCTAATAGACATCTACAGAACTCTCCACCCCAAATCAACAGAATATACATTCTTCTCAGCACCACATCACACTTATTCCAACATTGACCATATAGTTGGAAGTAAAGCACTCCTCAGCAAATGTAAAAGAACAGAAATTATAACAAACTGTCTCTCAGACCACAGTGCAATCAAACTAGAACTCAGAATTAAGAAACTCACTCAAAACCGCTCAACTACATGGAAACTGAACAACCTGCTCCTGAATGACTACTGGGTACATAACAAAATGAAGGCAGAAATAAAGATGTTCTTTGAAACCAATGAGAACAAAGACACAACATACCAGAATCTCTGGGACATATTTAAAGCAGTGTGTAGAGGAAAATTTATAGCACTAAATGCCCACAAGAGAAAGCAGGAAAGATCTAAAATTGACGCCCTAACATCACAATTAAAAGAACTAGAGAAGCAAGAGCAAGCACATTCAAAAGCTAGCAGAAGGCAAGAAATAACTGAGATCAGAGCAGAACTGAAGGCGATAGAGACCCAAAAAACCCTTCAAAAAAATCGATGAATCCAGGAGCTGGTTTTTTGAAAAGATCAATAAAATTGATAGACCGCTAGCAAGATTAATAAAGAAGAAAAGAGAGAAGAATCAAATAGATGCAATAAAAAATGATAAAGGGGATATCACCACCGATCCCACAGAAATACAAACTACCATCAGAGAATACTATAAACACCTCTATGCAAATAAACTAGAAAATCTAGAAAAAACGGATAAATTCCTGGACACATATACCCTCCCAAGACTAAACCAGGAGGAAGTTTAATCCCTGAAGAGACCAATAACAGGTTCTGAAATTGAGGCAATAATAAATAGCCTACCAACCAAAAAAAAGTCCAAGACCAGATGGATTCACAGCCGAATTCTACCAGAAGTACAAGAGGAGCTGGTACCATTTCTTCTGAAACTATTCCAATCAATAGAAAAAGAGGGAATCCTCCCTAATTCATTTTATGAGACCAACATCATCCTGATACCAAAGCCTGGCAGAGACATACACACAAAAAAGAGAATTTTAGACCAATAGCCCTGATGAACATCAATGCAAAAATCCTCAGTAAAATACTGGCAAACCGAATCCAGCAGCACATCAAAAACTTATCCACCATGATCAAGTGGGCTTTATCCCTGTGATGCAAGACTGGTTCAACATACGCAAATCAATAAACGTAATCCAGCATATAAACACAACCAAAGACAAAAACCACATGATTATATCAATAGATGCAGAAAAGGCCTTTGGCAAAATTCAACAGCCCTTTATGCTAAAAACTCTCAATGAATTAGGTATTGATGAGACATATCTCAAAATAATAAGAGCTTTTTATGAAAAACCCACAACCAATATCACACTAAATGGGCAAAAACTGGAAGCATTCCCTTTGAAAACTGGCACAAGACAGGGTTGCCCTCTCTCACCACTCCTATTCAACATAGTGTTGGAAGTTCTGGCCAGGGCAGTCAGGCAAGAGAAAGAAATAAAGGGTATTCAATTAGGAAAAGAGGAAGTCAAATTGTCCCTGTTTGCAGATGACATGATTGTATATTTAGAAAACCCTATCGTCTCAGCCCAAAATCTCCTTAAGCTGATAAGCAACTTCAGCAAAGTCTCAGGATACAAAATCAACGTGCAAAAATCACAAGCATTCCTATACACAAATAACAGACAAACAGAGAGCCAAATCATGATTGAAATCCCATTCACAGTTGCTTCAAAGAGAATAAAATACCTAGGAATTCAACTTATAAAGGATGTGAAGGACTTCTTCAAGGAGAACTACAAACCACTGCTCAATGAAATAAAAGAGGACACAAACAAATGGAAGAACATTTCATGCTCATGGATAGGAAGAATCAATATTATGAAAATGGCCATATTTCCCAAGGTAATTTATAGATTCAATACCATCCCCATCAGGCTACCAATGACTTTCTTCACAGAATTGGAAAAAACTACTTTAAAGTTCATATGGAAGCAAAAAAGAGCTCACATTGCCAAGACAATCCAAAGCCAAAAGAACAAAGCTGGAGGCATCACACTACGTGACTTCAAACTATACCACAAGGCTACAGTAACCAAAACAGCATGGTACTGGTACAAAAACAGAGATATAGACCAATGGAACAGAATAGAGCCCTCGGAAATAATACTACACATCTATAACCATCTGATCTTTGACAATGCTGACAAAAACAAGAAATGGGGAAAGGATTCCCTATTTAATAAATGGTGCTGGGAATACTGGTTAGCCATATGTAGAAAGCTGAAACTGGATCCCTTCCTTACACCTAATACAAAAATTAATTCAAGATGGATTAAAGACTTAAATGTTAGATGTAAAACCATAAAAACCCTAGAAGAAAGCCTAGGCAATACCATTCAGGCCATAGGCATGGGCAAGGACTTCATGATTAAAGCATCAAAAGCAATGGCAACAAAAGCCAAAATTGACAAATGAGATCTAATTAAACTAAAGAGCTTCTGCACAGCAAAAGAAATTACCATCAGAGTGAACAGGAAACCTACAGAATGGGAGAAAATTTTTGCAATCTACTCATCTGACAAAGGGCTAATATCCAGAATCTACAAAGAACTTAAACAAATTTACAAGAAAAAAATCAAACAACCCCATCAAAAAGTGGGCGAAGGATATGAACAAATACTTCTCAAAAGAAGACATTTATGTAGCCAACAGAAAAATGAAAAAAATGCTGATCATCACTGGCCGTCAGAGAAATGCAAATCAAAACCATAATGAGATACCATCTCACACCAGTTAGAATGGCAGTCATTAAAAAGTCAAGAAACAACAGGTGCTGGAGAGGATGTGGAGAAATAGGAACACTTTTACACTGTTGGTGGGACTGTAAACTAGTCCAACCATTGCGGATGACAGTGTGGCAATTCCTCAAGGATCTAGAACTAGAAATACCATTTGACCCAGCAATCCCATTACCGGGCATATACCCAAAGGATTATAAGTCGTACTGCTATAAAGACACATGCACACGTATGTTTATTGTGGCACTATTCACAATAGCAAAGACTTGGAACCAACCAAATGTCCATCAATGGTAGAATGGATACAGAAAATGTGGCACATATACACCATGGAATACTACACAGCCATAAAAAAGGACGAGTTCATGTCCTTTGTATGGACATGAATGAAGCTAGAAACCATCATTCTGAGAAAACTATCACAAGGACAGAAAACCAAACACCGAGTGTTCTCACTCATAGGTGGGAATTGAACAATAAGAACACTTGGACACAGGATGGGGAACATCACACACCTGGGCCTATTGTGGGGTTAGGGGAGGGGGGAGGGATAGCAGTAGGAGATATACCTAATGTAAATGACTAGTTAACAGGTGCAGCACACCAACATGGCACATGTATATATATGTAACAAACCTGCACGTTGTGCACAGGTACCCTAGAATTTAAAGTATAATAAAAAATTTAAAAAAAAAAGAAATTGGAACACTGGCCAAAAATAAAGTAAATATCAACATTTAAGGACTCTGGAAATCATCCAAAGGCTTGCAACAATCCAAGGACCATTTATTTAAGAAAATATTTAATCTCAGTAAGAACATTAAGTTTTATGGCATTTTAACTTCTTATATTCAAAATACACTGTCTCTAGCTCTGCAGTTGCCTTGTAAATAATAGCTCCACCGTCATGGAAAAACCCAGCAACCTATGAGCCATTGGAGGGGAAAAATAAGTTCAGAGCTCCCCCAACAACAACATTCTCAAAAAATAGTCATAATTTGATCTTTCTGGAAGTTCTCTGAAAACTCTTATTTACAGACAGAGACTCTAATGGTCACAAGTGACAAAGAATACAAACCATACCAAATCAGTTCGAGAAAGTCACTAAACAAACAGCAACAATAAAAAAAAACAAGCAGCAACAACACCAAATCCTCAGCAAGAGAGGAATCTGAATTCCAGAATTGCCAAATGATTTTTTTTAAATATCCAGTTTCAAAAACAAATTACAACATACACAGAGAAACGAGCACAGGAAAAAACAGTGAATGGAAAATATCCTTAAGGATGTAGACTTACTAGAGAGACATTAAATCAGCTATTTTAAATATATTCAAAGAACTTAAAAAAAGCATAAATATATAAAGAAAACTATGATACCAATTTCCCAACAAATTAGAATATCAATACACAGAAATTATATTTTTAAAAAGTATCAAATATAAATTTTTGAGTTAAAAAGTACACCAATTGGATGGAAAAATTTACTGGAGTTGCTCAACAGGAAATTTGAGCTGAAAAAATAATAGAGAATTTTAAGATAGATCCATTGAGATTGTTTAGTATGAACAACAGAAAGAGAAAATAATGAAGACAAATTAATAGGACCTGAGAGATCTGTCAGACATTAGCAAGCACATCAACAAACATAAAATGAGAATCATAGAAGAAAAGAAGAGAAGAAAAAGTGAAGAAAAAATATTTAAAGAAATAGTGGATTAAAACTACACAAAGTTATGGTAAACATCCATTCACATATTCAAGAAGCTCAATAAACTCCCATATAGGATAAAATAAGACATTCACAGCTAGACATATCAAAATCCAACTGTCAAGAAACAAAGGCAAAGATTTTGTCTTGAAAGCAGCAAGTGAAAAGCAGCTCATCACAAACACAGAACCCCAAATAAGATTAACAGCTGATATTTTCAGCAAAAATAATGCAAGCCAGAAGTCAGTGATATAACATACTCAAAGTGATGGAAGAAAATGACTGTCAACCAAGAATCCTATATCCAAAATATTTTCCTGCAAAAGTTAAGGAAAAGCTGAGACATTCCTAGATAAATATAAGCCAACAAAATTTATTGCTGTTAGATGTATCCCACAAGAAGTACTAATAGATGTCCTTAGGATTTAAATGAAAGGACACTTGATATTAACTGAAACCTACATACAGAAATAAAGAGCACCATTAAAGGTAACTACATAGGTAAATATAAAGAGTATAATTGCATATTTTATTTTTAACTCTCTTCTCCCTGACTTAAAAGACAAAGGCATAAAGCAAGAAGTGTAAAAGTGTTTATAGGTATATACTATATAAAGACGTAATTTGTATAATCATCATAGCACAAAGTAGTGAGGAAGAAATAAAATCATAACAGCAAAGTTGATACTGATAAAATATATATTTTTAAAATTCATATCCAAATTATGAATTTAATTTGGTATTGCTACATATATATAACTTTAAATATATATAGTTTTAAGTTAAGATGTTAATTGCAATCCACAGGGAAAGTACTTTTTTAAGTCTCAAAAATGTAGTAAAAAAATGGTTCACCATATAACATCAATTTAGCAAAAAGAAATAGCAATAAATGAATAAAGAAAAAGCTATGACATATAGAAACAAATAACAAAATTGCTATTTACTTTAATTATCAGTAATAACTTTAAGCATACTGAAAATGGATTAAACACACCATTAACAAGAGATTGGCAAAATGGATTAAAAACTATGACCTAATAACATGTCTATAAGATACACAATTTAGATTCAAAGACACAATAAATTGGAAGTAAGAGAATGAAATGATATACTATGTAAATGCTAAGCAAAAGAGAGATTGGGTGGTTAAGACTAATAAATAAATTACTCCTTATACAATAGTTGTTACTAAAAACAAAGAAGGATTTTTTGTAATGACAAAAAGATCAGTCTATCAAGAGTAAATAACACTTATAAACATATATGCACCTAAAAACAGAGCCCCCAAACCCATGAAATAAAGACTGACCAAATTTAAGAGAAATACACAATTCAACAATAATAATTGGTGATATCAATACCCCATTTCAAATCCAAAACCGTACAGAAGATAATCAAGAAAAGAGAATATTTGAGCAACACTCTAAACCAACTGGACTTAGCAGACACTTATAGAAATCTCCACCCAACAACAGCAGAATACCCATATTTCTCAAGTGCACATGAAACACTCTCAGAATAGTCCATATGTTAGGACATAAAACAAGTCCCTATATATTTGAAAGGATTGAAAACATATCAATATGCTCTCCGACCACAGCAAAACAAATTAGAAGTCAATAAAAGAAGGACATTTGTAGAAACTAAGCAATATATTCTTTAATAAATAATGAGGCCAAGAAAGAAATCTCTTAAGGAAATTAGAAAATACAACACACCAAATTGTATTAGATGCAGTTAAAGCAGTGTTATAGTGAAATTTTCTGTTGTAAATACCTACATTGAAAAATAAGACTTGGAACCAACCCAAATGTCCATCAATGATAGACTGGATTAAGAAAATGTGGCACATATACACCATGGAATACTATGCAGCCATTAAAAATGATGAGTTCATGTCCTTTGCAGGGACATGGATGAAGCTGGAAACCATCATTCTCAGCGAACTATGGCAAGGACAAAAAACCAAACACTGCATGTTCTCACTTATAGGTGGGAATTCAACAATGAGAACACTTGGACACAGGAAAGGGAACATCACACACTGGGGCCTGTTGTAGGGTGGGGGGGAGGAGGGGGGAGGGTAGCATTAGGAGATATACCTAAAGTAAATGACGAATTAATGGGTGTAGCACACCAACATGGCACATGTATACATATGTAACAAACCGGCACATTGTGCACATGTACCCTAGAACTTAAAGTATAATACAAAAATATATATATATATAAAAACAAGAAATGCCCCCAAACAATAACCTAATTATCTACCTTAGAAAACTATAAGAAACACAAACTGAAATAAAAGCAAGCAGAATGAAATAAATTAAAAATGAATAAGGATAATAAATGAAATAGAAAACAGGAAAACAATAAAGAAACTCAATGAACACAAAAGCTGTACTTTTTTGAAAGATCAATCAAGATGACAAAACTTTAGCTAGTAAAAAGAAAAAGACTAGGGAAAAAAAAAACGATTAAGTTACTAATACCAGGAAAGAAAGAGGGAACATTATTACTGACTTTATAGGAATAAAATAGGATTATAAGGAATACTACACAGAACTGTATGTCAAATATTAAACAACCTGGATAAAATAGACAAATTTATAGAAATAAACTTTAAAAGCTGACTCAAGAAGAAATAGAAAATCCAAATAGAACTACAAGTAAAGAAATAAAATTAATAATTGTAAAACTTCTCACGAAGGAAAGCCCAGGCCCAGGTAGCTTCACTGGTGAATTCTACCAAACACTCAAAAAAAAAATTATTACCAGTATATTACAATATCTTCCAAAAAAGAGAATAAGAAGGAATATGTTTCAATATATTGTATGAGGTGAACATATACTTACACTAAAACCAGACAAAAAAGTTATAGGAAAAAAATAGACATTAATATTACTTAAGAATATGGATGCAAAAAAAAAACTCAATAAGACATTTACAAACTCAATCCAGGGATAAATGAAAAGTATTATAAACCTGAACCAGTGATATTTTTGTCAAGTATGCACAGTTTATTTAACATTTAAAAAGCAATCAATGTAATCAAATACATAATCATATTATAGACAGGTTTATATTCATATGCCTAAGGGATACATAAAAAGCTATTAGACTTAATAAAAGACTTTAGCAGAAGGACATGAGCAAAATGACACCCTAGGGATCTCCAAGCTCTCATTCCCTGACAAAAACATCAAGAAAACAACCAGAAGCTGTTAGAACCAATATCGTAAGAGCTCTTAAAAACAATCAGGGCTTATAGCACCCAAGCAAACACCCAATCAAGAAAAAAGCTATCTCCAAAATGGCAAAAGATGTGTGTGGTGTCTTCATTCCCCCTTGTCTCACTATCTCCCCAGCATGACGGCAGTCTTGGTCTTGAGCAGCAGCCACTAGGTTCCCCTCGAAGTGGAGGGAACAGAGCAGACCTTATTTGCAAATTATTACGTACATCTGTTCAAACCTGGATGGGGGATACTTGAAGGACTATTACATTCATCTCTGTCTCATTTAACTAGGAACACAGATGGGGAAAGTGGCAGGCACTACTTATAAAGATACCAGGGGACAACAAACCACAGATGCCTGGGGCAAGAGATTCTGGGTGGGGACATACAGTAGACCATCTAAGTCATGGAGAACAAGCTGGGGTAATACATTTTTTGGGAAATTAGGACATTACAAAGCAGCTGCATATGTGGGATAATTTAGAAAGCTACATGTATGCCGCAGCAAAATGGATGGTCTGAAAAATGCTGAGAAGCCTTCAGCCTTCACCTTAGGCTAATCGCTAGGCTCAGAGGAAGCTGAGCTAATTGGTGAAGAATTGACAAAGTCTAGGAGAGATAGTTTTCGTGTGTGTGTGTGTGTGTGTGTGTGTGTGTGTGTGTGTGTGTGTGTGTTTCAGCTTCTGGCATCCAAGGAAATCTCTGTAAAAACATTAACTGAACATGAGCTAAAGAAGCAGAGATTTCAGTAAGCACACGTAACAAGAAATAGTGTTTGCATAAATAATTTAGAAAAGTTTCAAAACAAATAAACTACCACAGTCTTCAACAATTTCTGAAAATCTAGCAAATCCTGGTGTCATGAACTGAATGTTTGTGGCCCCCCAAATTCATATGATAAAGCCCTACCCGTACCCACAGTGTGATGGTGTTTGGAGATGGGGCCTCTAGAAGGTGACTAGACCTATATAAGGTCATGACAGTAAAGCCTTCATATGGGATTACCGGCCTTAGAAAAAGAGAAAGAGAGATACCTCTCAATGAGCATTTACCAAGTAAAGGGTGTGTGAGGATACAGCAAAAAGGCTGCTGTCTGCAACCCAAGGAAACAGAGCACTCACTAGACACTGACCCTTCTTGTACCTTGAACTTGGACTTCCTAGCTTCCATAACTGAGTGAAATAAATTCCTGCTATTTAAGCAACTCAGTCTATGATATTTTGTCATAGCAGCCTCAGCTGACTAAGACACCTGGAAAAGGGGACAACCGAATTGCCAGAGTTGCCACATTACAATAACCAAATGCCCAGTTTTGAAGAACAAAAAATCACAGAACATGCAAAGAAACAGGAAAAAAACGACACATTCAATAAAATAAGGTAAATTGACAGGCACTATCCATAAAGAAGCACAGACACTGGATTTACTAGACAAATACTTTAAAGGGGCAACACAAAGTATTTTCCTCTGCTGCTCAGGTATTTTTCTTAAATGCATGTGCTGATAAATGCACAGCTGAAGATTCAAGGGACTTTTCTGGAGGGCTGTAGAGCTCTCTCTCTCTCTCTCTCTCTCTCTCCGCAGCTCTCCTACCCAATGTGGTGCTCTGCCCTGCTATTTCTCACCTCGTTGCACACCCTGGAATCCCGGCACTGTCTCCTTAACTCAGGAAGGCCAATGAGCTTCACCTGGGTTTCCCCTTCTTAAGCTGTGGCCTGAAATGCCTGTACAGGAAGTAAGGCCAAGCAACCCCAGTTGTGCTGTGCTTCCTGAGGTCTGCTAGCCAAACACCCTTGTTTTATATCTTCTGTCTGGTTTGTGTTGTTGTTTGTTCAGGTAGGAGAGTAAATCCAGTCCCTATTTTTTTATCTTGGACAGAAGTGGAAGTTCATGTCTTATCTTTTTACTTTATTTATGATATCTTATGTGGAAAGTTTAAATTTTCAATCACTCAACTTATCAATCTTTTACTCTATAGCTTTTTATGAGGCTTTATGTCAATTTAAGGATATGTATCTATTTAATTTAAGAAATGTGTCTATTTGAGAAGACCTTCTCCAATGTTATGAATATATTTGCGTATATTTTATTTAATAGCTTTAGAGTGCACATGGGCACAATATAAATAAAATATTTTTGTTAGAGAGTTTTTTATCCTCTTTGGTTTTATTTTCTATAACTCTTTTGAGGTTGTGAACCACAAAATAAATAGTCAATTGTCTTCAAATTTTGTGTTGTATAGATTTTCCCCATTGATCTAAAATGCTACATTTGTTATAGACTGAATGTCCATATTTTTATTTTTAAAATGTTTTGTTTTGTTGACCTATTTGTATATTCCAGTCATTCTCTCTGTCTGTTTTCAGTTATGTTTAGCTGTGCCATTCTTGAGCATTATATTTTCCAGATCAATTGCATAATTATTTTCTCCAGTTGATCAAGGCTTTTTTAGAATTTTGATTGAGATAGCATTGAATTCATAGGCTAAGTTGTGCAGACTCAACATCTTTAAAACAGTGAACTTTCCCATCCAAGAATGTGCCATATGTCCATTTATTTGGGTCTTCTTTCATGCTTTTTAGAAATGTTTTATAGATTATTATTAATCATTGTGAGTTTCACATGAAGTTTGTTTCAGTTTTTTATAGATTTTGTTGCTGCTATAATTGAGACTTTTTTCCTATTTCATTTTCTAATTGTGTATTATTAATAATGGTGTAGGAAATTCGTCACTTTTTCTACTCCTGGATTTTGTTGGATTGGTCTTATTTTTATTTGTCCTATTTCCCCCCTGTAGTGTGTGTGTGTGTGTTGTGTGTTTGTTTGTGTGTGTGTGTTGGGAGGGCCTTAACTGTATGCTCACCTGTGACTGTAAGGCTCCTTGCCAGCCTGTCTGTGAAGCACTTCTGTGTGCTATTCTGTGCACAGGGAGGGCAGGCTGTGCCAGCAGCAGAAGTGACACCTTGGGGTAACAGCTTGCGTCTGGGCAGGTGCACCCATGGCTCCTGCCCCAAGATGGAAGCCTCTAAGGATTCCAGTTGGCATGAGAGAGAGGAGAGGTGAGGTGGAAATGCCCTTTCAGTGGCAGAACCCCCTCATGTATGCTCCAGGCTCCCAACACCCGGTCCACTGCCCCCCCCCCACGCCCCAACTCCCTGCCGGCAGCCATGGGCTCTGGGCCATCTTTTCTAAATATCTTTCTTGCTCGTATTTCAGGAAGTGGCTTCTTCCTTCTGCACTCTTCCATCTGTCTCCTGTTTTTCATGGATTCCTCATTATTTTTTGTTCACAGAAAGTGCCCCACTTGTTTTCTAGTGTTACAAAATTAACTTTCTATTAATGCCATTTCTAGGGAATTGGAATAGGAGCAAGTAGGTAAAGGATGTTCTCAGCCCCATTCACTGGATTGCTTTTCAACAAGATCCCACATAGTGCTCTAGTTCCACGTTTTACCCCATTGCCTACCTGTTGGTACTCACACCTGGGCCATGCCTACTGCCCACCCCACAGCTCTTCTCCCACTAAAGTGCCCAATGTTGGAGGAGAACATCCCCAGAACTCAGAACCTTGTTCTCTTGAAGCTTCTCTGCCTTCCCGTTTTTGGCTCAGCCTGGTGCTTTTCAACCTGCTGTGCATGTTAGGTACTTTTTGAGGGGATGTGTAAAAGATGTTTCTAAAAGTGCCAGCTGTATGAATGAATTGGGATGGTGTTACCTCTGCTGAGTGCTGTGCTGTGATCCACTTTCTACTACACAGTTAGATCCTAAAAAAGGGCTAGTTCCAGACGACAGTTACATTTTTTAATGAAAATCTTCACACTAGGTGTATTAGTCCATTCTCACACTACTATAAAGAAATACCTGAGACTGGGCAATTTATAAAAAGATTTAATTGGCTCAGAGTTCCACAGGCCATATAGGAAGCATAGCAGCATCTGCTTCTGGGGAGGCCTCAGGGAGCTTTTACTTACGGTGGAAGGCAAAGTGGGAGCAGGCCTCTTACATGGCAGAAGCAGCACCGAGAGAGAGCGGGGAGGTGCTACATATTTTTAAAGAACCAGATCTCATGAGAACTCATTCACTATACAGTGCCAACGGGGATGGTGCTAAACCCTTCATGAGAACTCCACCCCAGTGAGCCAATCACCTCTCACCAGACCCCACCTCCAACAGTGGGGATTACAATTGGACATGAGATTTGGGTGGGGACACAGATCCAAATGATATCAGTGTGTTCACCTGTTTTTGTTTTGCTGTAAAGGAATACCTGAGACTGGTAATTTATAAAGAAAATAGGTTTATTTGGCTCATGGTTCTACAGGCTTTACAGGAAGTATGGTACCAGCATCTGTTCAGCTTCTGGTGAAGCCTCAGGAAGCTTCCAATCATGGCAGAAGGCAAAGTGGGAGCAAGCACATCACATGGCAAGAGCAGGAGCAAGATTCAGGTTGCAAGGAGGTCCTAGGCTCTTTGAAACAACTAGAGCTTGCATGAACTCAGAGCAAGAACTCACTCATTACTGCAGGGAGGGAAACAAGCTATTCATGAGAGATCTGCCCCCATGACCTAAACACCTCCCACCAGGTCCCATCTCCAACACTAGGGATACATTTCAATATGAGATTTAGAGGGAACGCACATCCCAATCCTATCACTAGAGAAATCAAACAAAATTGTATAATAAATCCTTATATATCCATCACTCATCTTCAACAATTAACATTTTGCCTCTCTTGTTCCATCTATACCTTCTCCCACCCCCATCTCTTCACTCAATGGGTTATTTTTATTATCATTATTACAGTTTTTTTTTTACTTTAGGTAAAATGTATATATATGCAAACCTTAGCCATAAAATTTTGACACGCACATATACCTGTGTAACTTAAACTCCTCACAATTTGGAACATTTACATTCTTTATAGAAAGTTTTCTCCTATTCCTTTCTACTCAATCCCTCAATCTCACAAGGCAATCACTGTTCTAATTATTTTTACCCCATATTAGTTTTGCCTGTTCTTGAGCTTCATATGCTTCTTTTGACCAGCAGTCTGTGAGATTCATCTATGTCAGTGTGTCAGTAGTTTGTTTCTCTTCGTTCCTGAGAAGTCTGTGTGAATATATCGTAATTTGTCTACCTTCCTTTGATGGGCATGTTTTTTCCATGTTTTGGCTATTACATTTATCTACTCATCTTTGTATGGACATAAATTTTCATTTTTCTTAGATGAACCTGTAGGAATGAAGTGACAAGGTCAAAAAGTGGGTGCATGTTTACATGATATAAAAGTATAAGCCATTGTCTTACACTGTAGGATTTTCTTATAAATCATATCATTTCACATTCCCATGAGGAGCATATAAGGGTTCTGGCTACTCCACATTCTTGCCAACATTTAGTGCTGTCACTCGTTTTGGTTTTAGACATTCTAGTGCTTAAAGTGTGCTACCTTGTGGTTTTATCTTAAATTTCCCTAATGACTAATAATGTTAAGAACCTTTCCATGTGTTTATTGACCATTCATATATCTTCATTTGTAGAGTGTCCAAATGTTTTGCCATTTTTAATGTGACAGTTTTATATTACTGAGTTGTTTGAGTTCCTTATATATTCTTGAAATTCCTTGTTAGAGATATTTTTTGTGAATATTTTATCTTTTAGGCTTGTCATTTCATTTTCCTAATGGTATCATTTCTGTGAAGTCTAATTAATCATCTTTTTTCTTTTGTGGTTATCAATTTCTAAGCCTACTTAAAAAATATCTGCTTATCCCAAGCCACCAAGATATTTTTTCTTGCTTTCTTCTAAAATCTTTATAGTTTTAGCTTTTATGTTTAGGTCTATGATCCCTCTTAAGTTAATTTCTGTATATGGTGTGTAGAAGAAGATGGAAATTTTTTTCTCTCTCCTTTATTCAGTTGTTATAGCACCAATTGTTTAAAAGACTTTACTCATTGACTTGCTTTCATGTGTCTGTTCAAAATCAATTGACTCTATTAACATGGATCTCTTTGGCCTTTGTATGCCCCACTGATCTTTTCATCTGTTCTTATGTCAATACCACACTGTATCTAATACTTTAGCTTTCTAAGAAGTCTTGAGATCAGGTAACATCACTTCTACCAACTTACATTTGAGCTTATACCTTACCCCACCCTGCTGTTCATTTCCTAGTATCAATCATTCCTTCCTTCCTTTCTTCATTTACTTAACACTTATGGAGTGTCTAATATTTGCAAGGAGTTTTGAATACACCCATAGTGAACAAAACAGATGAAATCTTCATCTTCCTGGAACTTACATTTCAATATCATCTTCTACTCCTGACTCCTCACACTCACACTCAGGCTAAGCTGGGAGCAGTGTCTGACAGTGCTCTTCTGCTTCACTCAGCCTCCCCGGCAGGCCATAGTTTCTGTGTGCTGACAACCGCTCTGACACATACGCATGCACACATGCACACAGCCAGCTCACCTCAGCCTGTAGGCTCTAGCAGACACCCAGCCCTGGGGCAGGGCCCCTGGTTTCCTCCAGCCCAGCATCAGGACACCATGCCTATCTTAGCTGAGCCACCATTTCCTTCCCCCTCTGGCTGCCCCAGGCCCATCCACACTTCCAGACCCCCGATTCCACCCTTCTTCACGAGCCTCTTAATACAGGAGTCTTCCTTACTGAGGAGATCTGGCTCTCCCAGGTGAAATTTCTCAAGCTCTGCAGCTATGGACTTGGGTCAGCCGGAAAGAAAAACCCAGCAAACTCTGCCAAATTAACAATTTTTCTACTGCCAGCCCTCACTGTGATCTCATCTTGGGTGTGAAACCTCCAGCCGCAGTGAGGCTGTCCACACAGCAGGTAACTCTGATAGAGGCCTGATTGCTGGGTGGAGGCTCCACAGCTCTGAGGTATGAGACAAGTCCCTCTCCTCATTTTCAAGTAGGACCACAGGAATCTTTGTGGCAGGGTTTTTAACACCTTTCAATTTTTCGCAGCATGAGCTCCAACAGTTCTATTCAATACTAACCCCCAAAGCTGATATTGCTGCTTAGATGCTTTCCTATTGCTTGGTATTTATTGGAATTAGGAAATATTTTTACCATCCTCCCTATAGAAAGCACTTAAAATTATGTAAAGATCATTTTTGAAAAAAAATTATACATGCTTATTGTGAAAGGCATTTAAAATGCATGAAAGTATAAGGAAGGAAGGCAAAAATGATCCCTAACTCCTCCCCTGCCTCCAGGATAAGCACTGTTGGAAGATGGAGAGAGTGCTCCCACCTGCTCCGCGCCTGGCTGTGCCTGGTGCAGGTCTCAGGAGCCGGACCCTCATCCGTGCTATGCCACTTACTGACCTGCCTGTGACGTCAGTTCTTTTCCACCAACAATGCTCCCTGACAAATACATCAAGATGCAAGAAACGCTTGGTGATTGGAGAAGGCTATTAAATCCCCTAATATGGTATTTATTCTAATATATTTTTATGCCTGAAGGTGTCTTATAGAGAGAATTACCTAATGCTGAGCTTTTTGTGATGCCTGCAGAAGTCCTGAAATGCATTTTCAGTCTGGTCCCCAGATTTGTTTTAAACCAAGAATATCCTGTGAATTAACTGTAAGTTACCAATTAGGAATATTTTAGGAAGCTGCAACTCAAGATCTTACATCAGACACTGCCTGCCAGTGAAAATAAGACAAATGTTTTTGTTGTTGTTGTTGTTTTTATGTTTATTTTGCTTCCTCAACCTCAAAGCCTGCTCCCTCGATCTCAAAGACAGGTGAAAGGGAAGGGGGAGAGAGAGAGAAAATGTGTGAGCCCCTGGAGGCTTGTGAAGACACACTTCTGATTCCCCATGGTGCTTTTTTGTGCACAGAAGCGTCTGTAACAGAGCTGGGACTGTAATGATACAAGTAAGTTCCTAGCCTGGGGCAGACACCCAAAAATTAATGAATAATATTTCCATGTAATATTTTTTAAAATCAACATTAGTACAAAATCCACAATGAACAAAATATCAAAATCTTAGATAACAGGACCAGAAACAATGTTGTGCCAAGCCCTATGGAAGCTTGAGGCAAAAGGGGAAAAAGCAATACCACTTTTTATTAATTATGATTTTCTGAATATTAAATTATATGGTATTTATGTCAATTACCGAGTTTTTGGTGTCCCCTTCGATGTTGCACCCAAGCAAGTCTGTCCCTCCCCTCACCTGATCTCACCCTTGTCTGTCCCTCCCCTCACCTGATCTCACCCTCGTCTGTCCCTCCCCTCACCTGATCTCACCCTTGTCTGTAACTCAGGCTAAAAGCATCGCCCGCTTGGACCCAGGGATCCATTTTCTCCCAGCCTAGAGCCTGACCCCTGAGAGATCTGAAAGAGGCCTTGGGGAGCAGGGATGGGCAGGCTGAAAGACAGCTACATCTCCTCCAGCTGAAGCACTGACTCTCTACAGTCAGGAGAAGCTTCTCCAGGACCACATCTGCCAACAGCCACGCAGGGAGCAAAAGTTCATTTTATTGTAAATGAACTGTGTGATATGAAAGCCTTATGCAATACTCTAAATATTCCTTTAAAAAGTCAGAAATCAAAGCCTTCTCACAATATAGTTTGCGCTCTTACTTTTGCTCAGTGTTGGGCATAATTCCAGAAACCTGAGAAGTTGGTGTTAGTAGCAGCATATCATGTTGTTTGCAATTATTCAGGTGTGCCACAGCCACAAGCACCTCAATGCCCTTTTACAGCACGTCAAGGGTGGCAAAAACGGCAGCTCCCACGTGCTTGCGAAGGCCCTTCCTGCTTCCACAGTTCGCTATTCTCACATCCTCTGGGGTCTGCCCACGCCTGCGCTGACCCTTGGCTGCCCAAAGGTGCAGGAGTCAGCATCATCTTTGGGAGGTTCTCAGTGGCAAATTGCAACTCTAGTGTTTTCTGATGAACACAGGTCTGTTTCAAATACATTATCACTCATGAGAGTTAAGGTAGTAAAGTTTGCCAATTTTATTTTTATCACTCAGAATGGATTCAGTGTTATCCCTGTAACACGAACATGACAAAACCAATTTCCTTTTATTGTTAGTGTGTTTTTCTGAATAATGGCATAAAAGGCTGAGGCAAGGTTTGTGCACAGTCCTGAAGGCCAATGAAGAGCTGAGGCTGTGGCCAATTACTAAGGCGCATCCCTTCCTAGAAAGCATTTCCCCAACTCTGGCCCCACCTCTTGGAATGCCATGCTTGGGAACAGCCTGCCATGTGGATGTGGCAGAAAGAAAAACGCTGAGATTGGCAGATTAAGGGATGGCCTTCATGCAGCCTGGCCCAAGGAGGGTGCCCGGGCCCCAGAGGAAGGACTGTCAGAGCTTCTTCTCAACAGGCCCAGGAAAAGGGAAGGCTTCTGCCTGTTTGAGGATATGCTCACACCCCACATCTTTCCAGAGCTGATAACAGGCATACCTTGCTGAGGTGAATATGACCTGTTTAATACCACTAAAGGCCTACTGCCCTAGATACAGGGCCTGAGGGTACCTGTTCATCCCTATACATTTGTCTAGACTAGTTCTGTGCCAGACCTGTGAGATTCTGGGACCAGGGATAGAAAAGAGCCAGGCCTTGGCCTCGGGGCTCCCAGTCCAGGGCGGATGACTGAGGTGAGCAGAGAGAGAAAAGGGTATCTTGCCCTACCTGGGGTACAGGGTAAGGAAACAGGGAGCCTCCTGGGGAGGGGTGATCCAGAAGAATGGGGAGTCTAGGTAGAGGGAACAAGACTAGCAAAGGTGAACCTGCAGGACAGTCCCTTCTTTCCCTGTATCCTCATGATCTGGAATGATGTCTCTACCTGGTAGATATTCAGTGAAGTTATATTGAATCAAACAAAACAGAAACACTATACAAAGAATGTGCACAATCATCTTTCAAACTTTTTTCTTTTTGAGAAGGAAAATCAGAATATCTTTTTCATATAAATCAAAAATGCTGCTAGCACCTGGGACACATGCCTGTCCCTACTGGCAGGAGCCTTCTTCCTCAGAGCCTGCCCACAGTCCAGTCAAGGACAGTTCTGGTCAGTGGCCACATTTGTATAAATAGTGCTCCAGTGATACTCACATTTATAATGGAAAGAGTTCACATTTCTTTCAAGTGTGGAAGTGTTTGCTTGTGATGTTTTGTAGATAGCATTCATCTCTTCCTGCCCCCACTTCCCCGCCCAACATCAGACTCACTGTGATATAGACACACTCCCTACTCAGGCCTTGTATTTTCATGGAAAATGAGCAATTCCAGGCAGGGGGCATGGATCTTCAGTTTGTTTACAAATTCCACTTTGTTCATCTGTGACAGGTCCTTGAGACCCTTGGTCTCTATCCCTGGATTTTCAGAGCCCAGCAGTATGTACGAAGTAGGATTTCTCACCAAACTGAGGCTCTATGATTCCTGCCTGGAATATTTCCCACTCTTCCCACTAAGCCACTCCTCCCGTTCTATTGTTGCCAAAGGAAAGCATTGGCCCAGGTGTCCAGGTAACCCCACTTATCCATCTACAGCTCATCAAATCTGGAAGACCTAGAAGTCATATTATCTCCCTAAGACTTTACTTTGCCCAGCTGTACAATAAGGATATCATACAACTTCTGAGAAGTTTTCAGAATTGAAAGCACTAGGAGTTATCAACATACTTTGAAAGCTCTAAGACATTCTGCTTTTACAAACATAATGTTTTATTGCCCTCTACCCCCTAAATACCTTTGCAACTTCATCAGTTATGCTGCTAAGAATCTGGTGGATACCATTTTAGTTCTGCATGTCGAGGAAAGAAGAGCTCATTTATTGACAGTCTCTTGACTCATGGAAGAAAAATAATTAAGAGTCATAGAAAAGTATGACTTAGGTTGATTTATTTTTCTTATGTACAGAGAGAAGGGGAGACAGTGTTAAGGGCTGCAGGAAGTCATCCAAAGAGCCTAAGCACTGTCTACCTGAGGAGGTTACTGCCCCCATCTACCTAGCAAGTTCATATATGCTCCTCGGGTTCAGACTCTCCTCAGGATACCTCCCCCGTGCAGCCTTCCTGGGAGGTGGCTCTAACCCTTGTCTCTATCATGGCCTGGACCTGCCCCACTGTTGCAGCAGCCGCCTTGCTATGTTTCACTTATTTCTTTGCATGCCTGTTTCTTCCGGACTCTTGAAGGTGGGATGAGTCCCTACCAGGACCCACCCTGGGTATACAGGTGACCCAGAACTGCAGTCTTAACCACAACCTGGGAGAACTGGCAGGGAGACACACAGGCGTCCAAGTCAAGGTCACACCCTTGATTGACAGTGGAGGTGGGGTGATAGGATGAATAAAAACTGGAGTGGCCAATGCAGTGCTCCAATGCCAGAAATCCCTGGGGGAAGCCTGTTGTTCCACAGAGGCCAGAGCACAAACCCCGCAGTCACCGATAGCAGCCCCATTGCAAGGTACCTAGCTGCAAGTCCCACAGTCTTGGTAGTTTTTCAACCCTCTTTCTTCTGCAGGTTATTTGAGCCAGCTTCGATTCCTTTCCCTTTACTCAAAAGAACTCTACCCTGTTGCTTCAGGAAGTCCAAGTATCATTTTGGAAATGCTGGGTGGGAACAGCATGGGTTTATACCACATCCAAGGCCAGTGGAGAGTCAGCCTCAGGGTTCAGTGGTCTACACGTTTACTGTTACTCCTTGCTCACTGGGCTGCCACATCCTAGGTAATTTGTAAGTGCTTTGCAATTTTGGCCGATCTTCTAGTGCATTGAGTTTTTGTGATATTTTTCTAGTCCTACCAAGAACAGTGGAATACTTCATTTAATTAAAAAGACACCAAAAGATTATCTTTGTAAAAAGGTTCATGAAAGGGATGGTTGCTACTTCTCAGGCTGCCAAAACTTGCACCCCCAGGTCATACAGAAAAGAGGCCGGAGCTGAGGGGAATATTTGCTTTTTTACGGAAGTCAGCAGGCACAGAAAAGAGTCAACAGTCAGGATAATCCTCCCTCTCTACCACACTGAAGCATCAAACAATCATTGCTTTTTCTTGAGAAAACATACATGGATAAACTAATGCCACATATAGGAGTTCATATCTATCAGGATCAGTGAAAAAGCCAGGACTGTGAGCTGGGAGGCGGAACAATAGCATCACCAGCTGAGATAAGTAGGGGTAGGGGGAGAAATGTAGCACATTTGCAGGGCAAGAAATGTTTTTGGGACTGTGGAAACACAGTTGACCATGGAACAGCAGATCACCCTGCCTCTTCTTCCTCCCATTCCCCCTGAAATCTGCCATGCCAACATTCTATAGCCTAAGCTTGCCCCGGCTCCCCACCGATCTGGGAATGTTGTCCCAACTCCCCATCTGGCAGGGCCCTCCCTCTCTCCAGCTGTGTGCTCTGCATCAGCCACGGCAGCCTATGCTGCAGTCAGGCTAGATAATTTGGAACTTTCTGGACTTCCCATCCTCTTTCTAACAGTTACTTTGAATTATGATTCACATACCACACAACTTACCTATTTAAATTGTATAATACAGTGGTTTCTAACATACTCACAGATGTGTGCACTCATCACCCCAGGCAATTACAGAATATTTTCATCAAAAACCTGTGCTTTTAGCTGTCACTTCCTTAGGTGGTCTGCACCCACCCCCAGCCCTGTGCAACCACTAATCTATTATCTGTCCCTATACATTTCCCTGTTCTGCACATTTTGTATAAATAGAATACAACAATATGTTGTCTCTGGTGACTGGCTTTTTCCATTTAGCATGTTTCAAATTTCATTCATGTAGTTTGTATCAGAGTTGCATTCTTTTTATGGACAAATAATATTCCATTGTATGAATATACCAAATTTTGTCTCTTCATTCATCAGTTGATGGACATGTGGGTTGCATCCAACCTTTAGCTATTGTGAATAATGCTACTATGAACAGTCATGTACAAGGTTTTATGTGAACATGTTTCCCTTCTGTTGGATATATACCTAAAAGTGGAATTGCTGGGCTCCATGGTAATTCTATACTTAATCATTTAAGGAACTGCCCAACTGTTTTCCAAGTTGGCTGCACAATTTTTATCTTCCTACTAGCAGGATATGAGGGTTCTAATTTTTCCACATCATCACCAACACTTATTACTGTCTAACTTTTTTGTTCTAGTCATGCCAGTGGGGGTGAAGTGGTATCTCACTGTGACTTTTTTTTTTTTGATGTTCGTTTCTCTGATGACTAGTGAGGCTGATTATCTTCTCATGTGCTCATTGGTCATTTGTACATATTCCCTGGAGAAATGTCTACTCAGATCCTTTGTCCATTCCTTAATTAGATTATTTGTTGTTTTATTACTGAGGACTGAACTGAAAGTTCAGTAATAAAGAACTGAAGAGCTCTTTATCTGTTCTGGATATAAGTCCCTTTTTAGATATGTGATTTGCAGATTTTTTTCCGTTCTGTGTGTTGTCTTTTCATTTTGTTTATGGTTTCCTTTGGAGCACAAAAGTTTTTAATTTTGACAAAGTATAATTTTTTATTGCTTGTACTCTTGATATCACATCTAAGAATCCTTTGCTAAATTCAAGATCATGAAGACTTAATCCTACTTTTTCTTCCATGATTTCTTTGGTTTTGCTTTTTATATTTAGGTCTTTGCTCCATTTAAAGTTAACTTTTAAATTGAGTGAAGTAAGAGTTCAACTTCATTCTTTTGCATATGGCTGCATACATTTGTCCCAGTACCATTTGTTGAAAAGATTATTCTTTACTCACTGAATGGTTTTGACACCATTGTCAAAAATCAGTTGACTATTAAATGTGTGGATTTATTTTTGGACTCTCTCCATGACATTTCATTGATCTCTCTGTTTTCTTAATGCCAGGATCATATCGTCTTGATTTCTTTTGCTTTGTAGTGAGTTGTGAAATCAGGAAGTATGAGTACACCTACCTTATTCTTCTGTTTCAAGATTATTTTGGCTCTTCTGGGTCCCTTGCAAGTCCATATACATTTTAGAATCAGCTTCTTAATTCCTATAAGGAAGTTACCTGAGATTCTCATGGGGACTGCCTTGAATCTATAGGTCAATTGGGAAGCATTGCCATCTAAACAGCGCTAGTCTTCTGATCCATGAATACAGACTGCTTCTCCAACTATTTAGATGTCCTCTAATGATGTATTACAGTTACATTTCTCCCTGGAGGTCTCACTGTTTCCTGCTTGTGCTGCTTGAGAGAATGAAGAAGCTTCCCCAGCCTGGCTGCCTATTGCCTCTCGGTGACGGGAATGCAGTCTCTGAGGAGTAGAGACAAAGTCACCTTCCCAGGCACACGTCGTGATGAAATTTTCCTCACAGGTAACCCCAGCCCTGTGTCTGAGTGAGGGAGAGTACTCTCAGGCTGGGGAAGGAGGGCACTTCCTGGGCTGGATCTGCTGGTTTTGGCAGGACCCCCTTCCTGATACACTTTTGCAAACCTGATGTGGTTGACATCATTAAAAGACCATTTAAATCCTGGATGGCTGGCATTAAGACTCAAGCATTTCTTTCCAAAAATTTCAATTTTCTTTCTTAATCCCATCTCTGTGAAGACTCAGTGGCAGTGTCTGCTCCTGGAGATATGGCAAACACTAGAGGGGCTCAGCTCCCCTTTACTGATGTCCATCTGGACCCTGCCCTGTCCCTCACAGGCATTCACAAGGAATTATGTGGGCTGGGCTTTTTTGTGAGTTAGAGAACATGAAAACAGGCTCTGTTTCCAAGTAGCTTCCCACCCGCCTAGGGTGCCGGGATCAACCACACAGCACCCGAAGCACCACGAGGGTTGGGCACCTCAGAGCTGCAGTGCAGACGAGGGTTGGGCACCTCAGAGCTGCAGTGCAGACAGTGACTCCTGCACAGCTGCTTGGAGCAGGCAGAGTCGCAGCAGCTGTGCTCCTGCAACGCACATCTCCTGAGCTTCTCTGCAGGGTGAGACTCTGCCCTTGGGGGCTGGGGATATGAGGATGAAAGCCATGCTTGTTTCCTTCAAGGAGGGCACAGTCTAGCAAGGGAGAAAGACAAAGCCGGTGCTTATAAAACAGCGTGGTCAGAACCGTTAGAGAAAGGAACACAGATGACAGGGATCATGGTGGAGAAGCCAACTGAGGGTAATCAGAGGGTTCCCAAATTAAGTGTGGCTCCAACTGAGACTTTGAAAGACAAGATGCTATTGCCCTGCAATGACTGGGTGGGGCCTGCAGCATCCCAGCTGAAAGGAGAGCCTGAGGTGAAGCCTGGAGAGACCTGCAGGATGAGGCAGGAGGGGAGGAGAGGGTAAACTGCACTGCATGTAGGGTGTTGATTGAGCTGGGATTTTCCACAAGGGCAGGATCAAACCATAAGAAGAGGGGCAAGCACTCCACTTCCAGGTACCAAATGATGTGGGTTTAAATATGGGTTCCTGCTGCAGCTGCAACAGAGGTCCCCTGAGAATGCTTTTATGAGAAACAATAGGAAACCTCTTTCTTACCTCAGATATGCTTCCAATTGTCCCTTTCTTCCATTTTAATTCACATGTTTCTTTATAACTTCTCAACCTCTTTCAGGTCACAGATCTCTTTAGAATGTATCCAGAGCCACAGACTCTCTCTAAGGAGAATTACATAGCATATAAATATAATTGCAAGTTTCATCAAATTTCAATAGTTTAATGGCTTTGCTGAAACGCATCTGTAGACACCAGGGTCAACTATTGTGACCTAAAAACTAGACTCTGGCAAGTTTTTGTGCTCAGTGATCCTTTCAATGGGCCTTGGAAGTGCAGCTAGCACCATGCTAAGACAGGCAGAAAGGCACAGAGATGGTAGAGAAATAGGTGCGTGATTAGATGAAGTGTTTTAGGTGCTAAGACCTAGTCATGACAACATCTGAATGAAAAGGAAAATTCAGATGGCAGAACTTTGCTGACCATATTCCTTGCTTTCCATCCAGATGCTTGGTCTATGTACATACACTTTTATGTTCTGGAAGCAGCGTTTGTGAACAACACCCAGTGGGTTTCTCCACTGGGCGGAGAGTGGCAATATCTCCTCTAGCTAGCTAGAGTAAGTGCAGTCTCTTGCACAGTGTTATTTTATAATCGACTCAGTGCCTTTATAATCGACTCAGGAATGAAATCAAGCTGGGACCAGCTTCACTGGCATGGCAACAGGAATATTCATACTTTAGTAATTATCCTAATGTCATCGTGGTAGCAGATACAGATGACATCTGTCTGAATGGCTCTGCATCAAGGCACCTTCTTTCCTAAGTTTTAACATATCTGTTGTGCGTGTGTCTTGGGAACCTGAGGTTGTAGAGCAAATGATTCATTTTTAGATTCAACATGCAGTGAGCATTATTTACATCTACTGCCTTTCTGCTTTGGTATATATCAATATTTATTGCTAATTCAATGCCAAATTTTGACCTTACTTTTTATAGTCAATATATGCTTCTTGGAGCAATAAATCTTTATAATCACTACAGTTTAAATCAATACCTGTCTATTATCTATTTACCATCTATGAGTCAACCTTTCTACACTTCGGATCCTTAGCAACCTGGGCATCAGATTTCTAAGGATGGAGCTCCACTGAAATGACTATGGAGGTACAAAGGATTCATATTACCTGCTTTTAAAGTTGGACGTAAGAGCTCAAATAAGAGCAATTACAACAAGAAAGACTCATAAAGTGGTTTGCTGGGCCAAAACAGCTGTTGAGTTATAAAATATTTACAACAGAAGAGATCTCCAAATTTATTTAAGTATATCCAAACAGTATATCTTTAGCACTGGGGTAGAATTCTATCTTTCCATGGAGAGCAAGCGACCTAAAAACATGCTTAGCAGCAGACAGCACTAAAGCTGGCTTTTCCCATCACCGTGCTCTCAGTTTAGTTGTGGGAGTGAATTTAAAGATAGACATGAATCAAATCAGATAACACCACCTGCCAAGGCCTTCTACAGGGAGTCAGTCGATGGTCCAGTCAGTGATGGGGCTCAGGCCCAGTGTCTGTGTTGTGGGGAGCCATGTGTCACCTCGAAGAGGAATGAGTCAGCAGTGGCATCAGGCTGCTTGGCTGTAGCAGCTCCTCAGCCCTGCCAGTCCCCCCGTGCGTGCATCCTCCAGAGGACCCTCGGGAAGGACTCACACCGGCTGGAAGTCAGATCATGCATCACAGCCCAGAGCTGCTTCAGTTCTTGGCTCTCCTCTCCTCACCTGTGAAGAACCAGCTGACCAGCGGCCTCTCACAGCTGCAGAATCCTATAATTTAGAGAGCCCTTTGGCATCTATCGAGAGGATAAATCCACACATCTGGTTATATGCATGTCCTGCTGGTACTCTGTACGTTGACGCTGTGGGACAGTGTCACTGGATAGCCTTTGAACGAACCCTCTTTATCACTTGTAGTTCTCAAGAATAACTGTAGAATGTGCTGAGAATGCAGCGTCCTGAGATGAGGAGATACTGGCTGGAACAGTGCAGGCTCTGTCCGCATTTCTCCTAAAACAGAATGTCTTGCTATGCTTTAGCCCAGTGAGTCCCATTTCCTTAAAGTATAAAACCAAGGATGGGCTGCTTTCCAAGGTCCCTCAGCTGTGGTGCCAGTGGGGCACAAGCAGACAAGACTCCATCTGAGCAGCTTTCCTGAGCCTTGGAAGGCCCTTGTCACAAATCCTAGGCTTCTGTGATCCATTGCTGCCTATCTGTGAGTGACAAACCCACTTCATGTAACCTGTATGTGGATGTTCTGCCTCACAGGACTCAGACAAGTTGGCGATCTGTGCCCAGTAAACCTGTTTCACAGACATCAGCTTCCATGACTGCCCTGAGCAAAGTGCTGAAGGGTAGATATTGTCCTAGACACTCAGAAAGCATTAGCAATCCAAGAACCTAAGGTCTCTACCCATTTTTCTGCAGTAGCTGGAAGTCAGGCAGGGTTCCCTGGCTATGTGGCTTTGAATTTGGCCTGCCTCATGTGGCTAATGGTGAGAGGGTTCTGGTGCCAGAGTGGCACACCCCAGCAGCACTTCCCAACCACCTTGCACTCTTCCCTCTTTCTGCCATCTGCCCAACTTGCCCCAGCCAGTGGGGGGGTCCTCATTCCTTTTAGGACATGAATTATAAATTTGGCAGCAGATACACCCTGGGTACCTATCACGTATGGAGGAAATGTAGTTCAGAGGTTAAGCAACAAGACTTTTGAGCCAGGAAGGACTGGATCAATCTACTGGAGTGAGCCTTGGCAAGTTCACTACTCAGGAGGCGGCAATCTAACTCGTACAATTGGGATTATAGGTTTCAAGGACTGGTGAGACACTGCATGTTAAGTCATTTTCCCAGAATCCAGAGTGGAATCTATCCACAATAAATGTTCATTGTCATTCTTTTCCTCCTCCTTCTCTTCCTCCTCCTTCTCTCTCTGTCCCCTGACCATGTTATTGTTAAAACAGGTTTTTTTGTTTGTTTTTGTGTTTGTTTGTTGTTTGTTTGTTTTTGAGATGGAGTCTTGCTCTGTCACCAGGCTGGAGTACAATGGAACGATCTCGGCTCACTGCAAGCTCCGCCTCCTGGGTTCAGGCGATTCTCTTGCCTCGGCCTCCCGAGTAGCTGAGACTACAGGTGCCCACCACCAAGCCCAGCTAATTTTTGTATTTTTAGTAGAGACAGAGTTTCACCATGTTGGCCAGGATGGTCTCGATCTCTTGATTCATCCACCTCGGTCTCCCAAAGTGCTGGCATTACAGGCATGAGCCACCGCGCCAGGCCAACATTTTTTTATGATATCATAGCTTTGTGCTAGGTGCCCAGGGAATGCAATAGGAATTGGTCCCTATCCCTTTAAGGCTTAGTTGGGGAGGTGAAACTAATTTATGTGGAAGAAATGAGGCCCAGGTATGTGGTAAACTAGTGATCATGGTGAACAGTCTGGAGAAGGACAGAAGAGGGTACTGCTGTCTGCTGAATACCTGCTCTGGCTTAAAAGTGTTACTTATAGTATCCCATGCAACCCCCTACCAGCCCTCCAAAACAACTGTCCTTTCCTTTTACAGAGGAGCAAATTGAGCCCTGGTGAGATGAATCACTCGCCCCAGCTGTTAAGTAAATAGGTTCTGGAATTAGGATCTATACCCAGTTGGGAGGGGGGTGCCAGGCTGCCTGACTTCTAAGTCAGGGTTTTTTCTATCCTGCCATGTTTCTCTATGGGAAACAAGGAGATCCAAGCAGGCTGCAGTAATCAAAAAGGTAATTAGAAATGGAATTTGAATGAGGCCCTAAAATATGGCAGAATTTGACAGTCCCACAGGGACTGATAAGCTTAGCTCTATCACAAAGCATGGGGTCTCTTTGGTAAATATTTAAGATATTGAAATCTCTTGACTATAATGTGTACTCTGAAGTTGTTGGTTGAATGCTCTACCAGGTCAGTTGCTTCAAGTTTGCTAATTGTGTTGTTTAAATATTCCACATCTTGGCAGGGCACTTTGGCTCGCAGCTGTAATCCCAGCACTCTGGGAGTCTGAGGCCACTGGATCACGAGGTCAGGAGATGGAGATCATCGTGGCTAACACAGTGAAACCCTGTCTCTATTAAAAATACAAAAAAAAAAAAATTAGCCAGGCGTGGTGGTGGGCGCCTGTAGTCCCAGCTACTGGGGAGGCTGAGGCAGGAGAATGGCATGAACCTGGGAGGCGGAGCTTGCAGTGAGCCGAGATCACACCACTGCACTCCAGCCTGGGCAACAGAGTGAGACGCCGTTTCAATAAATAATAAATAAATAGCCTGTAATCCCAGCACTTTGGGAGGCCGAGAAGGGTGGATCACCTGAGGTCAGAGGTTCAAGACCAGCCTGGTCAACATGGTGAAACCCCGTCTCTACTAAATATACAAAAATTAGGCGGGCGTGGTGGTGGGCACCTGTAATCCCAGCTACTCAGGAGGCTGAGGCAGGAGAATCGCTTGAACCCGGGAGGCGGAAGTTGCAGTGAGCCGAGATCGCGCCATTGTGCTCCAGCCTGGGCAACAAGAGTGAAACTTCATCTCAAAAGAAAAAAAAATAATAAATAAATAAATAAATATTCCACATCTTTACTGTTTTTGTTTGGGCATCAAATCAGCAGAGAGGTTTGCCAAAATCTCCAGGTATGATTATTGATTTGCCTACCTGTCCCTTTATTGCTGTAAATTTTTGCTTTATATCTTTGAGGCTGTGCTGTTAGATCAATACAGATACAAAATGTTTACATATTCCAGTTAAATTGCTGCATTTTCATTATGGAATGTCCCTTTTTATCATTATTAATACTTCTTGCTCTAGAGTCTGCTTTGTCTGATCTTAGTACAGGGATAACATCATTCTTTTGGTGTTTGCATGGAATATGATTTTCCTTCCTTTTACTTTCAATCTTTCTGTGTCTTCATAGTTAAGGTGTGGCTTTGAATGCAGCCAATAATTGGGTTTTTTTGGTCTGACAATGTTTGTCTTCAAAAAAAAATACAAAAATATACATTTAGGAATGGGTGTGTACCTTAAACCTCTCAGTAAATTTTCATTAAATGAACATCACTGTATAATCAGCATGCAGATCAAGAAATAGAACATTTGGCAACCCAAAAGCTTTCATGCCCCTTCCTAGACACTGCCTCTCTGCAGGGCCTACCACTATTCTTACTTTTAACACCGTATACTACTTTTGCCTGCTTTTGAAATTTATAGAAATGAAATAATGCAATATTAAGTCTTCTGTGACTCTCTCCTTTCACTCAACCTATGTTTGTGAGATTCATTCACATTGCTCTATCAGTAGTTTGCTTTTTGTCTTTCTGATAGTGTTCTGTTGTATGGTACACAGCAATTTTTTTAATGCATCTTTCTATTGAACTTTTCATAACATCCAGTTTGAGACCTTTACAAACAGGGTTGCCATTAAAATGTTTCTACAGTTTTATAAACACATACACACATTTTGTCTCTCTATATATCTAGGAATAAAATTGCTGGGTGTTATGCTACATTGATGTTCATCTTTGGTAGATAGTACTAAACCATTAGCCATAGTGATTGTGTCAGTTACCAATCCCACCAGTGGCATAACAGAGTTCTTGTACCTTGACTTGGCATTGTTTGTCTTTTTCACTTTACTTAGAGCAATGGGGCCTTATAGATTTAATCTGCATTCATCTAATGACTAATGAAGTGATGCACCTTACTTAGGTTTACTATTTAGATATACTATGTGCCTATTCAAGTACTTTTGCTCATTTTCAATTAAGATGTCTAACTTTTTCTAATTGGCTTGCAGGAGTTCTGCTTTGTGTGCTGAATATGTGTTCTTTGCCAGCAATATCTATTGCAGATCCCTTCCCCACTCTGTGGCTTGTGTTTTTGCATTCACTTAATGATGCCTTGTGATGAACAATTTTTAATTTTAATACATTACAGCCTATTGAGTTTTTTTCTTTGTAGTTGGTTTGTAGTTGGTGCTTTTTGTGCTTGTTTAGGAAATTTTTGCCTACCCCAAGATCACAAAGTTATTATAACATATTTTATTCTAAAGACTTATTTATTCTTATATACTTACTATACCTTTCACATTCAGATTACAATACATTTCTAGTCATTTCTGAGTATGGCTCAGGGTTTTGTTCCATATCAATACCCATTTGATTCAATAGCACATTTTGAAAAGTTAATCTTTCTTCACTGTGCTGCATTGTCACCTTCATTATAAATCTATGTCTACATGTGTGGAGAGCTTTCACTTTTAATTCGATTAATTTAATTGGATCATTGACAAATACAAAACTTATATTTAATGAATATATTTGCATTTAAATTTACCTTTTTATTTCATTTTTTCTTTTATTCTGTATAACTTTTCCGTAGTTTTTTCTTCATTTGTATTAATCAATATGGTGTATTATTCCATTTTTTCTCTTTATTAAGTTTTTCCATTATGTATATGTGTTAATATTTATGAAATAACAATATATGTTCTTGATTTATTATAGCCTGTCTTAAACCATTGCTTCAACACCTCCAGAACAATGCAAGAATGTAAAAACAATTTGATATCATTTGCCTGTCTCACACCTGTTGTGTTAATATTGTTGTGTATTTCTACATATATTTTAACCCCGTAAGACATTAGAATCATTGTTTCAAAAAGTCAATATTCATTTGGAGTTATCCATTTATTTATCATTTCCTGTGCACCTCGTTCCTTTCTCCCTACCAGACTTCCGTCAGGAGAAATTTCCCTTCTTTGTGAAAAACTCACACTTAAATTCTATTTTTTTTATGAAGGTCAACAAATTCGGTTTTTTGGTTTTTGTTTGCGTGTAAATGTCTTTATTTTGCCTTCCTTTTCTTGAAGAATAGCACCAGTAACATGTATTTTAGATATTTCACCATCTTCTATATATCTCTTAAGTTCTTACTTTTAAAAAATATAAAATTCCTGGCTGGGCGTGGTGGCTCACGCCTGTAATCTCAGCACTTTGGGAGGCCAAGGTGGGCGGATCACAAGGTCAGGAGATCGAGACAATCCTGGCTAACACGGTGAAACCCCATCTCTACTAAAAATACAAAAAAATACACACACACACAAAAAATACACCACGCCAGGTGTGGTGGTGGGCGCCTGTAATCCCAGCTACTTGGGAGGCTGAGGCAGGAGAATGGCATGAACCTGGGAGGCGGAGCTTGCAGTGAGCCAAGATCGCACCACTGCACTCCAGCCTGGGCAACAGAGGGAGACTCCGTCTCAAACAAACAAAACAAACAAACAAACAAAAATATATATATATATAAAATTCCTCCATGATACAATCCAGGACAATATTCCAATTCATTTTCATCCATTTTCTTGTGCCTAATCTGCTAATCTACTAAAAATAGACTCGCTATTTTTAAATTCTTAATTTCAGTTATTATACCTTTTTATGTACAAAATCAGTATTTCATTTTTCAATAAATTCTAGTTCTCTGGTGGAATCATCCATAATTTTCTCTATTTTCTTGACTGTATTAATCATAAAATCCAATATTTTAAAAATTCCAGTACCTGGAATGTTTCCATTGTCTGCCTTTTTCTGTGACTTTTAGTCATTTGGTCCTGTTTTTTGACATGTCTGGTAATTTTTTATGAAATACACATATATCACATAGGAAATAAATGTAGGGTCTATCTTCCCCCAGAGAGGATGTCTCCTTCTTCTGAGAGATAGATGGCAGGTCGTCTCTGGCAGATCACTCTGACCGTGTTGAAGCTGTGTTTTGGGCACGGTTGCCTTCCCAGTTAGCCTTACTCCTAAGGCATAATTCTCACTCCCAGGGCATAGTCTTCCCTGGTCCCAGTGGGAGCCTTCTGTGTTCACCAGGGCCCCTCCACACTCCCTGTTCCCAGCACCATGAGCCTGTGGGAATCTCTGCTCAGATATTCATCTCCGTGCTGCTCCTTTCATCTTGGACTCTCAGTGCCTTGTTGCAAGAACATACAGCTTGGAAGGTAGCCAATCCCTCAAAGGGAAGTTGCAAGCAGGAGTTCTGCCTCAATCCTGTGTTTCCTACCTCTCCAAGATCTTACCTTCTTAATCCACGCCACTGTGCTGCCTCAGAGTCTGCATAAGCCCTGGGCTGCTGTGGACCCAACCCTACCTCCCATACTGTGAATCAGCAGGTGCCCCGAGGTGAGTAGCAAGGCATTTACATGCACTTTCCTGCTTTCTTGGAGTGCGGTCCCTCAAGTCCTGCCTGCCTTGCTCTGGCTCCAATGCCTTCATACGCTTCATTTTATTTTTAATCCAGATTTTATAGCTGTCTGCAGTGAAAGAGTTATTCCAATATATGCTACATGATTTCAGCTGGAAGTGTAAGCCCACTTTCTCTTTCAACATGACACTGTCGTTATCATTGTGTCTCATGCTGGGTATTTTCTTAGATGTGTTCTCATTTAATTCTCACCCTTTGAAGTCAACTGTATTCCCATTTTTAAGGATAAAAATGTGGCTAATAATAAAAAGCTGGGGCTTAAGCCCAATTCAGAGTGTTTTGAAACCCTATCTATTTTCAAATAAACCAGACTGCCTCATAACGCAGTCATACCAAACTCTGCAGATAAAGTCTCATTATTTTGTTTATGAGAATGTCACTTGAGTCTAGTCCCTTTCGATGAAGCCCCTGGCAGACAACTGGAGAATTCACTTTTCACCCTAATGTCCTATGTCTGTCAAGAAGGAAACCAGAAAGATTTTTTGACTTCCCAGAATATGACACCAAATTTTAAAATATGTCAGACAGCTCAACTTGACAAATTGCCAGGGGGAAAAAACGATGGGGTGCTGCCTTTCCTCAAGAACTTTAAGGTGATTTGGAGTTATTTTGTGTGAAAAGTGCAAAAGAAATGATGAAAATTACTTAGAACAGCTGTACTTGCCTTGAAGCTCTGAGGATGCTGGAAATTTCAGCGAGTGACTTTTCTGTGTTAATGTAAAGGTGGGAAGCAACGCATTTAATATTGGATGACTTCCAGGGGAATCATCACTTCCAGGTGGATTCTGGAGAATGATGGAGATAAATCAAGTACAGTGGGTGCATAGCACACCTATTAAACATTTCTTTTTTCCAGTGGTCTCCTGATACTCTGCACATTTTAGCAGCTCCTGAGACTTGTTTACTGTAGGTTTTAAGAATCTTCCAGAGTCACCTCTTAAAACATGGCAAAATTAGCAAATGTGGACATCCTATCTGCTATAAGCAGAACTGCTGGATAAAATATAGTTTAGAAATAGTAGAAATGGAAAGAAATAGAAATCTTCAGGCAACATTAAGCGGGGAGGACTACACAGCCAACAGTCTAAGCAGGTGAGCTAATGCCTCTGAGACCCAGACAACTATGAGAAGTGAATACAGGCACTAATAGCCAGGGCCAGAGTTTGACCAACCAAAGGAGAATAGAAGAGGAGGGCTTGGGCCTGTGCTAGGCAAGGAGCTAACACTAAGAACTCTGCATAAACCTGGTACTAATGCATTATCCATAATGATTATTAACCCTTTATTATGTTCCAGTCATTGTCCTAAGTATTTCACATGTATTAACTCATTTAATTCTTGTAATAATGATGCATGTATAGGCAGGCTGGCTCTATTTCAAAGAGATCAAAGTGTGTATAATGGCTCCACCATCATAGTAGCTGGTTTCTGTCTCCTGTGACAGCATTGGATTGGACAGGTATCTAGGTCAACAGGATGGTCCTTCTTGCAGTCATCCAGGGACTCTGACTGATGGAATCTCTGCTGTCCTCAAACTTGTTTTCCAAGATTACTTTGAAAAACTAGACTCTATTTTAGCCGTCGGGATGGTGAAAGCAGGTAGAAGATACCCGAAGAAGGTTTTTAGGGGCCAGACTGGTGTGGTTCACATTGCCTACACCCATACTCTATTGGCTAATCAGTTGTGGGGCTACAATAAACATCAAAGGAGGCTGGGAAGTGTATTCTAGCTGTGTGCGCTGGAAGAAGAAGAAAAAGGTTTAGTGAACAACCAGCAGTCTCTGCTATAAACCTATGAGAGGGGTTGCATTATTTTCATTATTTTACATATAGGGAACCTGAGTACAGAGCAGATGACTTCTTGAGGTTACAGAGAAATTGCGATTAAAACTCCAGCTGTCTGGCCCCCAATTCTACATGCCTCTTTCCTACCTGGAGCACACTGTTATGTAAAATTGCCTTTCCTCATGGAAGAGGAAATCAGAACTACAGCCACCAGGACCAGGAAAGTGGGAGAAAAATATATAACTGCTCTGGTAGAAAAAGATTCCTATGGAAAAAAAAAATTGAGCTGTGGACTGTGCCATGTGCTACTGACACATGGTGCAAGAATTCCAAGCTGATTCCCTAGTACATGATGTACGATTCCAAGCTAAGAAATTAATGAGCAAACTGGTTCCTGACTCAAGAAGACCCTCAGATGCTCAGCAGAAGCAAACCTAAAATGACGTTGAAGGGACACGACCACAATGAGGGCTGATGTGAATAACAAAGGGGGAAAGGAAACACACAGGAGGAACTCACTTGAAGCTGCATAAGGAAATCAACTCAGTGAAAGATCAGATCAAAAGTACGGCTGTAAGTTTCTTTGTTAAGACCTTTCAGCTGGACTAAAACGGCCACCCAGAAAGCAATGTCACACATGACCCATCCCAAGAGGAAATGGAAGAGAATTTTAATTTGATGTGTAATAAATTACAATTTTTTAGAAGAACTTTTACCAGCTTGGTCTGAAAGAGACTGATACAACTCAAAATGGAAAGTATTATCAGAGGCCTCAGCAGTCTCTGGGAAGGAGGCAGCCTGAGAATGCTAAGAACTACAAGTGGGACCACTCCCCATGGACAGGAAGACTCAGAAGACAGAGCCAATGCCATGGAGAACCATTCCCAGAGGCAGGACTGCAGAGATGCGGCCACATCAATTACAGGATCGAAGTGGACCAGTGATGTCCATATAACTTCAGTCTCCCACCTTTTCTCCTACAAGTTTGTCTGCTGTAATGAATGCGTCTCTGCCTCATCATTACATGTTGGAAGATGATGAACAGGTCATCTGCCTCTTTATTCCTAGTCTTCTATTCACAAGGAACAATGACTGAGATGAACCTAAAAAACTGCCTGAGGCCCTTTGTCTGCTTCTGGAGCTGATTTGGGGGACAAGAACCTGTACTTCAGCCTGAACCTGATCTATGCTGGAATAAGACATTGGAGGAGCGGAGTGTGTTCTACATGTGGGAAGGAGATGGATCACTGGATGCCAGGAGGACCAGGAAAGCCAGTCAGTAGACATGGCCCCCCAGGAAACACACCCCTCCCTCATGAATCTGCTATGCCTTGGGACTTGCATTCACCAAGAGAGCATGGTGGGAATGGTGTTGTGCCCATGCTGGGCCTAACTAACCCTTCCAAAGATCTAGAGGTTTCTACTTTGCAACTTTGGAGCCCTGAGTGGTCATATAAAAAGTCTGCCTGCTCTCTAGATTCCTCCTCTCTGGGCAGGGCATCTCTGAAAGAAAGGCAGCAGCTCCAGTCAGGGACCTATAGATAAAACTCCCATCTCCCTGGACAGAGAAACTGGGGGAAGGGATGGCTGTGGATGCAGCTTCAGCAGACTTAAATGTTCCTGCCTGCCAGCTCTGAAGAGAGCAGCGGATCTACCAGCACAGAGCTCGACTCTGCTAAGGGGCAGACTGCCTCCTCAAGTGGGTCCCTGACCCCGGTACCTCCTGACTGGAAGATACCTCCCAGCAGGGTTCAACAGACAGCTTATACGGGAGAGCTCCAGCTGGCATCTGATGGGTGCTCCTCTGGGACAAAGCTTCCAGAAGAAGGAAAAGTCTGTAATCTTTGCTGTTCTGCAGCTTCTGCTGGTGATACCCAGGCAAACAGGGTCTGGAGTGGACCACCAGCAAACTCCAGCAGACCTGCAGCAGAGAGGCCTGACTGTTAGAAGGAAAACTAACAAACAGAAAGGAGTAGCATCAACATCAACAAGAAGGACGTCCACACAAAAACCCCATCCAAAGGTCACCAATATCAAAGACCAAAGATAGATAAATACATGAAAATGAGGAAAAACCAGCACAAAAAGACTGAAAATTCCAAAAACCAGAATGCCTCTTCTCCTCCAAAGGATCACCACTCTTTGCCAGCAAGGGAACAAAACTGGATGGAGAATGAGTTTGATGAATTGACAGAAGTAGGCTTCAGAAAGTGGGTAATAACAAACTCCTACGAGCTAAAGAAGCATGTTTAGCTTGAAAGGAATGCAATGCAAGGAAGCTTGAAAACAGGTTAAAGGAATTGCTCACTAGAATAACCAGTTTAGAGAAGAACATAAATGACCTGATGGTGCTGAAAAACACAGCACAAAAACTTCGTGAAGTATACACAAGTAAAAATAGCCAAATCGATAAAGCAGAAGAAAGGATATCAGAGACTGAAGATCAACTTAATGAAATAAAGCATGAAGACAAGATTAGGGAAAAAAGAATGAAAAGGAACGAACAAAGCCTCCAAAAAATATGGGAATATGTGAAAAGACCAAATCTACATTTGATTGGTGTATCTGAAAGTGATGGGGAGAATGGAACCAAGTTGGAAAACACTCTTCAGGATATTATCCCGGAGAACTTCCCCAACCTAGCAAGATAGGCCAACATTCAGGAAATTCAGGAAATACAGAGAACACCACAAAGATACTCCATGAGAAGATCGACCCCAAGACACATAATTGTCAGAGACACCAAGGTTGAAATGAAGGAAAAAATGGTAAGGGCAGCCAGAGAGAAAGGTCAGGTTACCCATAAAGGGAAGCCCATCAGACTAAAAGTGGCTTTCTCTGCAGAAACCCTACAAGCCAGAAGAGAGTGGGGGCCAATATACAACATTCTTAAAGAAAAGAATTTTCAACCCAGAATTTCATTTCCAGCCAAACTAAGCTTCATAAGCAAAGAAGGAATAAAATCCTTTATAGACAAGCAAATGCTGAGATATTTTTGTCACTACCAGGCCTGCTTTACAAGAGCTCCTGAAGGAAATATGGAAAGGAAAAACCAGTACCAGCCACCGCAAAAACATACTAAATTGTAAAGATCATCAGCCCTATGAAGAAACTGCATTAACTAATGGGCAAAATAACCAGTTAGCATCAGAATGACAGGATCAAATTCAAACATGACAATATTAACATTAAATGTAAATGAGCTAAATTCCCCAATTAAAAGACACAGACCGGCAAATTGGATAGAGTCAAGACTCATTGGTGTGCTGTATTCAGGAGACCCATCTCAAGTGCAAAGACATACATAGGCTCAAAATAAAGGGATGCAGGAATATGTACCAAGCAAATGGAAAGCAAAAAAAAGCAGAGGTTGCAATCCTGGTCTCTGATAAAACAGACTTTATAGCAACAGATTGAAAATGACAAAGAACGGCATCACATAATGGTAAAGGGATCAATGCAACAAGAAGAGCTAACTATCTGAAATATATACTCACCCAATACAGGAGCACCCAGATTCATAAAGCAAGTTCTTAGAGACCTACAAAGAGACTCAGACTTCCACACAGTAATAGTGGGAGACTTTAACATCCCACTGTCAATATTAGACAGATCAATGAGACAGAAAATTAACAAGGATATTCAGAACTTGAACTTAGCTCTGGACCAAGCAGACCTAATAGACATCTACAGAACCCTCCCACCCCAAATCAATAGAATATACATTTTTCTCAGCAACACATCACACTTATTCTAAAATTCACCCCAAATTGGAAATAAACACTCCTCAGCAAATGCAAAAGAATGAAAATCATAACAGTCTCTAAGACCACAGTGCAATCAAATTAGAACTCAGGATTTAAAAATTCACTCAAAACTGTACAGCTACATGGAAACTGAACAACCTGCTCCTGAATGACTACCAGGTGAATAACGAAATCAAGGCAGAAATAATTAAGTTCTTTGAAACTAATGAGAACAAAGATACAACGTATCAGAATCTCTGGGACACAGCTAAAGCAGTGTTTAGAGGGAAATTTATAGCACTAAATGCCCACAGGAGAAAGCAGGAAAGATCTAAAATCAACATCCTAACAACACAACTAAAAGAACTAGAGAAGCAAGAGCAAAGAAATTCAAAAGCTAGCAGAAGACAAGAAATAACTAAGATCAGAGCAGAACTGAAGGAGATAGAGACATGAAAAACCCTTCAAAAAATCAATGAATCCAGGAGCTGGTTTTCTGAAAATATTAACAAAATAGATATACTGCTAGCCAGACTAATAAGGGAGAAAAGAGAGGAAAATCAAATAGACACAATAAAAAATGATGAAGGGGATATCACCACTGATCCCACAGAAATACAAACTACCATCAGAGAATACTGTAAACACCTCTATGCAAATAAACTAGAAAATCTAAAAGAAATAGATACATTTCTGGACACATACACCCTCCCAAGACTAAACCAGGAAGAAATCAAATCCCTGAAGAGATCAATAACAAGTTCTGAAATTGAGGGAGTAATTAATAGCCTACCAACCAAAAAAAATCCAGGACCAGACGGATTCACAGCCAAATTCTACCAGAGGTACAAAGAGGAGCTGGTATCATTCCTTCTGAAACTTATCAAAACAATAGAAAAAGAGGGACTTCTACGTAACTCATTTTATGAGGCCAGCATCACCCTGATACCAAAACCTGGCAGAGACACACACAAAAAAAGAAAATTTCAGGCCAATAAGCCTGATGAACATTGATGCAAAAATGCTCAATAAAATACTGGCAAACTGAATCCGGCAGCACATCAAAAAGCTTATCCACCACGATCAAGTTGGCTTCATCCCTGGGATGCAAGGGTGGCTCAACATATGCAAATCAATAAATGTAATCCATCACATACCACATGATTATCTCAATAGAGGCAGAAAAGGCCTTCAATAAAACTCAACACCCCTTCATGCTAAAAACTCTCAATAAACTGGGTATTGATGGAACGTATCCCAAAATAATAAAAGCTATTCATGACAAACCCACAGCCAATATCATACCGAATGGGCAAAAGCTGGAAGCATTCCCTTTGAAAACTGGCACAAGACAAGGATGCCCTCTCTCAACACTCCTATTCAACATAGTATTGGAAGTTCTGGCCAGGGCAATCAGGCAAGAGAAAGAAATAAAGTGTATTCAAATAGGAAGAGAGGAAGTCAAATTGTCTCTGTTTGCAGATGACATGATTGTGTATTTAGAAAACCCCATCATATCAGCCCAAAATCACCTTAAGCTCATAAGCAACTTCAGCAGTCTCAGGATACAAAATCAATGTGCAAAAATCACAAGCATTCCTATACACCAATAATAGCCAAATTAAGAGTGAACTCCCATTCACAATTGCTACAAAGAGAATAAAATACCTAGGAATCCAACTTACAAGGGATGTGAAGGACCTCTTCAAGGAGAACTACAAACCGCCACTCAAGGAAATAAGAGCGGACACAAACAAATGGAAACATCCCATGCTCATGGATAGGAAGAATCAATATCAGGAAAATGGCCATACTGCCCAAAGTAATTTATAGATTCAATGCTATCTCCATCAAGCTACCATTGACTTTCTTCACAGAATTAGAAAAAAACTACTTTAAATTTCATATGGAACCAAAAAAAGAGCCCCTATAGCCAAGACAATCCTAAGCAAAAAGAACAAAGCTGGAGGCATCATGCTACCTGACTTCAAACTATACTACAAGGCTACAGTAACTGAAACAGCATGGTATTGGTACCAAAACAGATATATGGACCAATGGAACAGAACAGAGGCCTCAGAAATAATGCCACACATCTACAACCATCTGATCTTTGACAAACCTGACAAAAACAAGCAATGGGGAAAGGATTCCCTATTTAATAAATGGTGTTGGGAAAACTGGCTAGCCATATGTAGAAAACTGAAACTGGACCCTTTCCCTATACCTTATACAAAAATTAACTCAAGATGGATTAAAGACTTAAACATAAGACCTAAAACCATAAAAATCTTAGAAGAAAACCTAGGCGATACCATTCAGGACATAGGCATGGGCAAAGACTTCATGACTAAAACACCAAAAGCAATGGCAAGAAAAGCCAAATTTGACAATGGGATCTAATTTAACTAAAGAGCTTCTGAGCAGCAAAAGAAACTATCATTAGAGTGAAAAGGAAAGCTACAAAATGGGAGAAAATTTTTGCAATCTATTCATCTGACAAAGGGCTAATATCCAGAATATACAAGGGAATTAAACAAATTTACAAGAAAAAACAAACAAGCCCATCAAAAAGTGGGCAAAGGATATGAACAGACACTTCTCAAAAAAAAATTTGTGCAACCAACAAACATGAAAAAAACTCATCATCTCTGGTCATTAGACAAATGCAAATCAAAACCACAATGAGATACCATCTCATGCCAGTTAGAATGGCAATTCATTAAAAAGTCAGAAAACAACAGATGCTGGAGAGGATGTGGACAAATAGGAATGCTTTTACACTATTGGTGGGACTGTAAGTTAGTTCAACCATTGTGGAAGACAGTGTGGTGATTCCTCAAGGATCTGGTACCAGAAATACCATTTGACCCAGCAATCCCATTACTGGATATATACCCAAAGGATTATAAATCATTCTACTATAAAGACCCATGCACACGTATATTTATTGCAGCACTATTCACAATAGCAAAGACTTGGAACCAACCCAAATGCTGATCAATGATAGACTGGATGCAGAAAATGTGGCACATATACACCATGGAATACTATGCATCCATAAAAAAGGCTGAGTTCATGTGCTTTGCAGGGACGTGGATGAATCTAGAAACCATCATTCTCAGCAAACTAACACAGGAACAGAAAACCAAATATCACATGTTCTCACTCATAAGCAGGAATTGAACAATGGGAACACATGGACACAGGGAGGGGAACATCTCACATCGGGGCCTGTCAGGGGGTGGGGAACTAGGGGAGGGATAGCATTAGGAGAAATACCTAATGTAGATGAGGGGCTGATGGGTGCAGCAAACCACCATGGCACGTGTATACCTATGTAACAAACCTGCACGTTCTGCACATGTATCCCAGAACTTAAACTATAATAACAATTTTTTTAAAAAAGTCTGCCTACCCTGTGTGACAGGCCACACAGAGACCACATGGAAGGCAATGCCAGGAGGAGAGGCACTGAAGCCACCTAGTGGGAGAGAGGCCCAGGCCTCACCAGCCTCCCAACTGAGCCTAATCTTCCAGCCATCCCCACCAAGAGGCCCAATGCGGAGATGAACCAGCCTAGGCTTTCTAGCCCACCCAAACCCCAGACGATTTTTTCCCCAGCCAACATTACATGGAGCAGAGCAATAACTTAAGTTAGAAAGACCCCTCCCAATAAAATGTTCAGTTTTTCTTTTGAGGGTAGTTTGTGATGCAGCAACAGAAAACCAAAATCGCTGGGGTTTAATCCTTCCTACACCACAAACTCCCAGGCTCCTGTGTGAGCTGACCCACCATCTAGCTCGCCCTCCTCCGCTGCTCCTTGCCTACACGGGCCCTACTGCTACTCCCATGCCTTGACTGACATTCCCCTAGTTTTGGGGGGTCTTGTCTTCCCCCAAAGAAGCAAAAGAAAAACTAAAAAAGAGTAAAATACCACAGTATGAAATTAGGAGCTCCAGTGATTAGACAAAAGGAAAAGATTAGAGGAGAGTAAGAAGGGTGAACAGGGAAAGTCTGCTCCGTGAATGTTAAGCAGTGAACCAACATATGGCACCTATTTCATGCATATTTATGCATATGGATTTATGGTAATGGTATGGCCCATATGGAGAAAGCTGTCCACCTGCCAATAGGTGTACTCATCCGAAATGGCCAGATGTCTCTACCTAAACCCAGAGAGCAATTTTGGAGCCATGAAAAGCCAACTCAGGTAGAAGTACACTTGCAAAGAAGCCCATTACAAATAAAATTTCAAATTACCTCTGATTTTATGTTAGAAATACAAAATAATGAGGCCAGGAGGTCTTCCAGAAAACACTAAGTTATTCTGAAGGCCAGATGCCTACAAGGGCATGAGTGTGCAGTTCTTAAGCCCTCATGAAATATTTTTCTACATTTTTAATTTTGAAAATTTCAAATATATACAAATGCAAAAAGAATATCATAATGTCCCCCTTGTCCCCGCCTCTGGGGGTCAGCAATTACCCAACCCCATTTTCCACATTCCCCATTTTCCACTTCCCCATTTTCCACTTCCCCATTTTCCACATTGTTTTGAAGAAAATCCAGGACATTTTATAATTTTATTCACAAATGTTTCAGTATGTGTCTTTAGAGCGTGAGGATTGTTTTAACGTATCGTGCCTAAAAAATTAACAATAATTCATTCATATCATCATACTGCCAGCCAGTGTTCCTACTCTAATTGTCTCATAAATGTTATTTTCTCAGTGATTTATTAGTTTGTATCAATATCCAAATAAAGTCCATGTACTGTGATTGGATGACATATTTCCTAAATCTCTTTTGCCTATAGATATTTTGCCTCCATCTCTTTCTGTTCCATGCAATTTATTTGTCAAAGAAATAGGTTGTTTGTCCTACAGATATTTCACAATTTGGAGTTTCCTGATTGTATCCCCAGGGTGTTGTTTTATATGCTTTTTTATCCTTCATATTTTTCATAAATTGGTACTTGGATCTAAAGTTCTGACGAAATTGGGGTGTTTTCTTCTCCCCCTCCTCCTCCTCCTCTGCAAGACTGCTTGATCAGGAATGTGTGCTTTTCCATTAGGATACCCATAATGCGTTTGTCTCTCTTTTTGTGATGACAGCAGCCATTGACTATGAGCACTTAGACCCACTAATTCATTAGGAGCTACACAATGGTAGGCAGCATTCTGATGTCATATGCCTTCTTCATTTATAAACTAAAATGCTTTATAAAGAGAAACTTTGCCTACCAAGTGGCACACATGGCATGAGAAAGCCAGGGAAAATGCTTGGTTCCCTTTATTTACTTGTTTTCTACTAACGAGTTGGTTCACTTTCCTTCTCCAAGATTAAACATATGCGTGTTTTTTCAATGAGATTACAAATGCATGGATTTAATCCCATTTTATGTGTTTAATCCATTGAGGTTTATATCTCCCCTTTGGCTAATGGGACCCTATTCAAGACAGCTCCTGAGTTTTGCTGTGACCTTGGTAGTAGTTGTTAGCATCTGTGCTATCTGCCATGACAAGATATTTCATGCTTATTCTTTATATTCCTTGCCCCAAACCTGGAATCAGTCATTTCTCTCAGGCGTTCTGGTTTCTCTTAATAAGATACAGTATTTCAGGATCACAATCTCAGCTCTAGAGCTCCTCCTCACTTCTGAGTTCATCGTTATTTTCCTAGGACATTTTAGTTGACAAAACTAGGAAATATGTGTATTTCTGTGTTTTTAAAGGAAATGTAATATATCATGAGTTTATGCTAATACTTCTAATCCAAATCATAATTATAAGGCTTTTATTTAACCCTTTCAGTCTTAACATCTGTATTTTTTTCTCATACAGTGAATCCCAGTTCTCAATAATACACAAACTGATAGAATTGGAGAACCACATAATTATTCCCAGGCTCTGTTTTTATAGCCACAACATACCCACAACAATTTAGAATAGCAATACCAGCACTCCTCCAACAATATGATTACTGTAAAGAACTTAAGTTTTGCTTTTTGTTTTGCAAATAGACTTTATCTAAGAATATATTCCATTAGGGATACACAAATTACTGTGTTTTAAAGCCACTTGGAATATTTCTTTCTGTGTGGTTATGCAACCAACTGGATACATATTTAAAAGTTTCTTTGATTCATTTTATTTTTGAGTTTTAAAGATCATTTTAATTTAAATTTGCTTTATAATTGTGTAAAATAATTTTGTGGTGCTAAAATCAAATCTATAAAAACAAGCTCTTAAAAAAAGTATAGCTTTTACCCTTGTCCTCTCTATTCTATCCCTTCCATAGGTGAGCTATCCTCCCATTATTTGTGGTTTGTGTAATACAGAGAGGTATATAGAACCATATCTCCCCTTCTCAGCTAAATGGCAGCACAGTATACCTACTTTTCTCTACCTTGCTTTATTGTTATTTCACACAGATACTTGACATAACCATGTAGAGGTCAATAGAGTATTCCTCATTACTTTTTTGTAGCTACATGGTATGCCAGTGTGGAGATATATCATAGTATAGTCAACCTTATGTATAGATGTTTAGGTAGTTGCTAGTTTTTGCTGTTATGGAGTCCTGCATAAACAGCCTTTCATCTATGTCTTTTTTTTTTTTTTTTTTTTTCTGAGACAGGATCTGGCTCTGTCACCCAATCTGGTGTGCAGTAGCATGATCTTGGCTCACTGCAACCTCCACCTCCTGGGCTCAAACCATCCTTCCACCTCTGCCTCCCAAGTAGCTGGGACCACAGGCATGCACCACCACACCTGGATAATTTTTGTAGAGATGGGGTTTCGCCATGTTGCCCAGGCTGGTCTCAAATTCCTGAGCTCAAGTGGACCACCCACTGTGTCCTCCCAAAATGCTGGAATTACTGGAATGAGCCAGTATTTCCATCTATGGAAATCCATGCCCAGCCATCTATGTCTCTTAGAACTTCTGTCAGTGTAACTGTGGGATACATTCATGTAATTCCAATTGCTGCGGAGAAGGAGGAAGGTATGTATAATTTTTCTAGGCATTGCTGAATTCCACTCCTGATGTCTGGTCTGAAAAAATGGATTCTATTTTAACTTTTCCTCACTGATTTCAAGTGGTACACATCAGATTATTGCTACTAACAATATACAGCAGTGCCTATCTCCCCATAGCCTGGCCAAAAGAATATACTGTTAAAATTAGGACTTTGCCAATCTGGTAGGTTAAAAATGGAATCTTCATGTAGTTTTCATATGGATTTCTTTTATATCAGCAGCTATGAGCATCTTTTCATGTGGTGTAGAATCATTTGCACTTATTTTTCTGTGAATGAAACATTACTCTGATCTTTCCATAGGGCTCTAGGTTATTTTCTTCTGTAGTATTAGAAGCTCTTTGGATATTAAGAATATAAACCCTTTCTCTGCAATATAAGTTGCAAATATCTTTTCCTAGTTTGTCATTACTTTGTTTATGGTGTTGCCTTGAAAATTACTTTTTAAAATTTTTATTATTCAAACATATCCAATTTTATTCTTACTCTTTCTGAATTTTAAATTGATGCCAAATTATATAGGAATTTCATCTGTGTTTTCTTTTACTGTACATGTGATTCCATTTTTTTACATTGAAATCTCTTATCCTTTTGTAATTGACATGATACATGAAAAACGAATCCAACTTCTTTTTTTTTTTCCCATAGGGTCACTCAGTTATTCAATTTTTTAAAGTTTTTCTTATCCCCTGATGATTTGAAATCCCACTTTCCTGTTACGGTAAACTTTTAAATGTAAGTGTATCTGTTTCTGGATATTTTATTCTATTAATCTGTCTGCTCTTCATGGACCTATGTCACACTGCTTTACTTATAGGCTTTATTGCATATTGAATGTCTTGCAGAACCCCATATCCTTGCTCCTCCAAACAATCTTTATAGGCAAATTGTCTTGATCTAGAAAAAAAAGTTATGGCTATTATTGTGCTGGGATTTTAAAAGTTAGGATAATGTTAGCTTATCTATCCAAGAATATGGTGCCTTTCCATGTCTTCAAATCTATTTTTATGTCTTTAAAAGTATGCATAGTTTTCCTCATATGGATTTTGATCATTTCTTGCTACATTTATGTCTTTATATTTTTGTTACATCTATTTTTGTAAATGGGTTCTTCTCTTCCATTATATCTTCACATATGTGTGTGTATGTGTGCATAGTACCATATATATATAAATATATATACATATATAAATATATATATATATTTGTTTCTCAGCCTTTAGGCTTAGCCTTAGGCTAAGATCAAGTACAGAATAAATACTTATTCATATGTGTATATTAATAAATATTAGAATATATATTTATATGAATATAATACAATTTAATATATAAAATGCATATATGTGTATACAAATATATACACATACTTGTATGCATGTGTGTATATACTCACTCTATAAACTGATATTTTCTTGTATAAATTTAAGGGGTACAAGTACAATTTTGTTACATGAATATATTACTGTATTAGGATATTCTTGCATTGCTGTAAAGAAATAACTGAGGCTGGGTAATTTATAAAGAAAAGAGGCTTAATTGGCTCACAGTTCTGCTGGCTGTACAAGAAGCATGGGGCTGGCATCTGCTGCTGATGAGAGCCTGGCAGAAGGAAAAGGGGGAGCAGGTGCATCACATGGTGAAAGCAGGAGCAAGACAGAGGGAGGAGGTGCCATGCTCTTTTAAACAACCAGGTTTCATATGAATTACCAGAGCGAGAACTTGCTCATTACCAAGAGGAGAGTGCTAAGCCAATCATGAAGGATCCACTCCCATGACCCAAACACCTCCTACCAGGCCCCACTTCCAACACTGGGGACTACATTTCAATGTGAGATTTGGAGGTAACAAATATACAAACTGTATCATTCAGCCCCAAGTCCCCCAAATTTCACATCTTTCTCACATTGCAAAATATATTCATTCCTTCACAATAGTCACTAAAAACATTAACTCAAAAATCCCAATTCCCAAGTCCCAAGTCCAAAGTACCATCTAGAGATGAGTTCCTGCCACCTATGACCCTGTAAGATCAAAAGATGTTATTTACTTCCAAGATAGAATTGTGGCACAGGTATTGAGTAAATATTCCCATTCCAAAAGGGAGAAACTACCCAAAACAAAGGGATTATAGACCCTACACAAGTCTGAAACCCAGCAAGGCAGTCATTACATCTCAAAGCTCCAAAATAACCTCCTTTGACTCCATGCCTTGCATCCATGACACATTGGTGAAAGGGGTGGGCTCCCAAGGGCTTAGGCAGCACCTCCCGACATGGCTTTGCAGGGTACAGCTGCTTTCACAAGTTGGAGTTAAGTGTCTGCAGCTTTTCTAGATGTAGGGGGCAAGCTGCCAGTGAATCACTATTCTGGGGTATGGAAGGCAGTAGCCTCCTTCCCACATATCCACTAGGCAGTGCCCTGGTGGGGACTCTGTGTGAGGGCTCTAACCCCATATTTCCCCTTGGCACTGCTGTAATAGGGGCTTTCTGTGAGGGTCCTGCCCCTGTAGCAGGATTCTGCCTGGGCACCCAGACTTTCCCATACATCCTCTGAAATCTAGGGGCAAGCTGCCCACCACCCTTCACTGTTACATTCCTCACATCTTCGGGCTTAACACCACATGGAATCTACCAAGGTTTATGGCTTGTGCCCTCCAGAGTAGGCTGAGCTGTGTCTGGGGCCCTTTCAGCCAAGGCTGGAGCTGGAGTTGCTGGGATGGAGAGAACAGTGTCTCAAGGCTGGGCCTCGCTCTCAAAACCATTCTTTCCTTCTAGGCCTCTGAGCCTGGGATGGGAGGAGCTGTCCCAGAGACTTCTGAAATGCCTTTGAAGCCTTTTTCCCATTGTCCTGGATATTACCACATGCCTTTTAGTTAGGCTACTCTCTAGCAAGTGTTTGCTCCACAGCCTGCTTGAATTCCTGTCTTGAAAATGCTTTTTCTTTCTCTGACGCATGGCAAGGCTCCAAATTTTCCAAACTTTTATGTTCTGCTTTTCCTTTTAATAGTAAGTTCCAATGTCAAGTCATTTCTTTGCTCCTGTACCTGATCTAAGCTATTCGAAGCAGCCAGGCCACATCCTGAATGCCTTGTTGCTTAGAAATTTCTTCCACCAGATAACCTAAGCCATCACTCTTAAGTTAAAATTTCCACAGATCCCTACAGCTTGAACACAATGCAGCCAAATTCTCTGCCAGGTTGTAACATGGGTGACCTTTATGCCAGTTCCCAATAACGTCCTCATTTCCATCTGAGACCTTGTCAGCCTGGCCTTCACTGTCCATATTTCTATCAGCATTTTGCTTACAACCAGTTAACCAGTCTCTAAGATGTTCCAAACTTCCCCTCACCTTCCTGTCTTCGTTGGAGCCCTCCAAACTCTTCCAACCTCTTCCTGCCATGCAGTTCCAAAGCGATTCCACATTCTCAAGTATCTTTATAGGAATGTCCCACTTTTGGTGCCAATTTTCTGTATTTGGCTGTACTTGCATTGCTATAAAGAAATACTGAGGCTAGGTAATTTATAAAGAGGTTGAACTGGCCCACAGTTCTACAGGCTGTACAAGAAACATGGTGCTGATATCTGCTGCTGATGAGGGCCTCAGGAAGCTTCCAATCATTGCAAAGTGAGTGCAGGTTCATCACATGGTGAGAGCAGGAGCATGAAAGAGACAGAGGAGGGGCTGGGCACAGTGGCTCATGCCTGTAATCCCAGCACTTTGAGAGGCCAAGGCAGGCGGATCATCTGAGGTCAGGAGTTTGAGACCAACCTAGCCAACATGGTGAAACTCCGTCTCTACTAAAAATACAAAAATTAGCCAGGCGTGGTGGCATGTGCCTGTAGTCCCAGCTACTTGGGAGGCTGAGGCAGGAGAATTGCTTGAACCTGGGAGACAGAAGTTGCAGTGAGCCGAGATCACACTACTGCACTCCAGCCTGGGTGACAGAGAGAGACTCCATCTCAAAAAGTTTAAAAAGAGAGAGAGAGAGAGAGAGGAAGTGCCACACTCTTTTAAACAACCAGATCTTGCATAAACTACCAGAGCAAAAACTCACTCATCATCAACGGGATGGTGCTAAGCCATTCATGAGAAATCTACCCCCATGACCCAAACACCTTCCCACCAGGCCCCACCTCCAACAGTGGGGATTATATTTCAACCCAAGATTTAGAAAGGACAAATATCTAAATTGTATTAATTGCATGGTAGCAAAATCTGAGCTTTTACTGTATCCATCGTCTGAATAATGTACATTACACCCATTAAGTAATTTTTTTATCCTCTATTCCCCTCCCACCTCCCCACCCTTCTGAGTCTCCAATGTCTATCAGTCTATACTCTGTATATGTGTATACATTATTTAGGTTTCACTTATAAGTAAAAACATGCAGTATTTGTCTTTCTGTTTCTGAGTTGTTTGACTTAAGATATATTTTTACTCAGTTGTCATGTTATTTGCAGTTTTTCCATTGATTTGGATGAGGAGGAACTTCCAGATATATGATCATGTTACTTGCAAAGAAAAATGGCATTACTTCTTGCTTTGCCATTATTGTGCCTCTGGTTTTTTTCTCTTATCTACTTGCTTTGATTAGCATCTGTAACACAATATTCAATAGTACTGGAGGTGGTTGGCATCCCACATTAGTGACACAGTCTCTAGTTTTCCCATTAAGCAAAATTCAACTTTTGGGCTGGTACATGCACAAATGCATGCTTGTGTGTGTATTCGTGTTAAGAATATATCCATATATTTATATTTTATTTCCATTTTTAAGGATTTTTTTCAAATACTTTTATGTATCTATGGAGATTGGAATGTTTTTCTTCTTATCTCTATAAATATGATGGATTGTATTAATGAATTACCTAATATTGAATAACCTTTACATTCCTGGAATAAACTCAGCTTGATAATGACATATTATTTTTAAAGTGCTGTTAAATTCTGCTTGCTAATATTTTATCTAATTTTTTTGAAGTAATATATTTCAATTAATATAGTGATTATATCATATATTTACTACAATTATTTGTCAGTTTTAGTTTTGATGTAATACTTGCTTCACAAAACTATAAGGTTTTTTTCTTCTTTCTCCATACCCACAAGCTTTATAAGTAGTTTTGGAATTTATCTGACTGGTAGAATTCCTGTCACTCCATCTGAGTTTGATGCCTTCATTGTGAGGGTGCGCTTCAACTATGTTCTTTATTTCTTCTATCATAATTGGTCTGTTAGACTTTGACTAAGGTACATTTTGGCAGATTGTATTTTTCTTGACAATTATCTATTTCATCTAGAATTTATGTGCATCTGCAAATACATGATCTGAATAGGCCTATACCTATTAAATAAATTCAATCAATAATAAGTTTCCAAAGAAAGCACTAGGCCTGTATGGATTCACTAGTATATATTACCAAACATTTAAGGAATAAATTATATCAATTGTCTATAATCTTTTCCAAAGATAGAAGCAGAAGGAATACTTCCTAACTCATTCTATAAGGCCAGCATTACCCTAATATCAAAGCCAGAGAAGAATATCACAAGAAAATAAAACTACAGAGCAACATCTCTCATGAATATAGATACAAAAATTCTCAACAAACCATTAGCAAATAAAATCCAACAATGTAGAAACAGAATTATACACCATGACCAAATGGGATTTACCCCAGGTATACGAACCTGATTCAATATTAGAAAATCAATTAATGTAATCCACCATATCGACAGGCTATGAAAAAAATCATATGTTCATATTAATTCATACAGTAAAAGCATTTGACAAAACCCAACACCCGTTCACGATAAAACCTCTCAGAGAACTAGGAATAGAAGGAAATTTCTTCAACTTGATAAAGAACATGTACAAAAACAAACCCCACAGCTAACATCATACTTAACAGTAAGAAAATTGAAGCTTTCTTGATAAGATCAAGAACAAGGCAAGGATGTCTCCTCTCCCCACTGTTCTTCAACACTGTATTGGAAGTACTAGCTAATTCAATAACATAAGAAAAGGAGATAAAACATATACTTATTTAGAAGAAATAAATAAAACTGTCTTTGCTTCCAGATAACATGATTGTTTATGTAGATAAAACAAAAGAATCAACCAAAAAAAGCTCTTGGAACTAATAAATCATTATCAAGGTTGCAATATACAAAAAAAAGGTTAACATACAAAAATCAATCACTTTCCTATATACTAGCAATGAAAAAGTAGAATTTGAAATTAAAAACACATTACCATTGACATTGGCACCCCAAAAATAAAATAGGTATAAATCCAACAACATTCACATATGATCTCTCTAAAGAAAACTATAAAACTGTAGGGAAAGACAACAAATAACTAAATAAATGGAAAGATATTCCATGCTAATGGATAGGAAGACTCAATATTGTCAAAATGGCAGTTTTTCCCATTTGCTCTATAGATTCAACACAATTCCCATCAAATCCTAGCATGTTATTTTTGTGAGTATTAAATTGATTCTAAAGTTTATAATGGAGAGACAAAAGATCCAAAATAGCCAACTAAATATTAAATGAGAAGAACAAAGTTGAAGGACTGACACTACCCAGCTTTAAGACTTACTATAAAGCTACAGTGATCAAGACAGCAAGGTATTGGTGAAAGAATAGACAATTAGATCAACAGAACAGAATAGAAAGCCCAGAAAAAGACTCAAATAAATATAACAGATATTTGATAAATGAGTAAAGATAATACAATAGCACAAAGGTAAGTGTCTTCAAGCAGTGCTGGAATGATTGGAAAGGCACATGTAAAAAAATGAATTTAGACACAGATCTTATACACTTCACAAAAAATTAACTCACAGTGGATCACAGACTTAAATATAAAATGTAAGACTATACAACTCCTAGAAACTAACAAATGACAATGCCTTTTTAGATACACCACCAAAATTAAAAACTTCTGCTCTGCAAAAGACACTGTCAAAAGAATTAGAAGACAAGCCACCGATTGGCAGAAAATACTTACAAAAGACATGTCTGATAAAAGACTATCTAAAACACACAAATAACTCTTTAAACTCAACAATGGGAAAACAAACCATCTAACTGAAAATGGGCAAAAGCCCTGAACAGAAACCTAGCCAAAAAGCCATGCATATGGCAACTAAGCATATGAAAAGATGGACAACATCATACATCATTAAGGAATTGCAAATTAAAACAATAAGAAGATACCACTACACATCTATTAGAATGGCTAAAATCTAAAACACCAACATCAAATGCTGACAAGGATGTGAAGCAACAGGAACAGGATGTGAAAGAAGCTAATCTGCAAAGGCTACATACTCTGTGACTCCAACTATAAGACATATTGGGAAAAGCAAAACCACAGAGATAGTAGAAAGATTAGTGGTTGCAGAGGCAGCTGGAAGAGAGGTATAAACAAGCAGAGCACAGAGGAACTTTAAGGCAATGAAACTATTGTGTACAATATTATAATGGTGGATAGATGTCATTATACCTTTGTCAAAACCCATGGAATATATCACACCAAGAGTGAACACTTCTTTAAACTCTTTGCATTCACATGTGAACGGAAATGAAAAATGTTTTCCCTATTTCATCTGCTGTTTACAAATAAGCCCACTACTGTCCAGTAATTATCCAGGAGTGCTTTGAGTCTTCTGCTCTCAGATCTATAAGATATTGTGTTGCTTCCCTCGGCTTACTCCTTCCAGATGCTGGTGCCACATGGACTTAGCTATAGGGAATTTGTCCCCAATAGCTTTCATCTTGAGGCTTGTGGATAAAACTTGCTACCTAGTTTTATTGCAGATGTGGTCCATTTTGCTCTACCTGTTTGTATGGAGGACCTGAAGAGATCAAAAAATTACACTTAGACTATCACCGTCATCCCATCATTACCCCTTCTGATTTTTCCTCAAGCAACCAAACATTCTAGAATATTAAAATATTTGAGCCCACTTTTCAACCTCAGGCTAATGCCACAGTAAATGGACTCCCCTCACCCCCTCCTACACTACATATGTAAAGGTTCTGTTTATTGAGTGCTTTTCCACGTCTGTGCTCATTTTTAATTTAAAATTTCAGACCCCGTCCTCACAATAATTTTTTAAAGTAGACATTGCTGGCCCTGAATAGATCCTTTGCTCCTCCTCAAGTCATTTTAATGACACGGTCTTGCACTGTCACCGAAGCTGGAGTGCAGTAGCCTGACCATAGCTCACTGCAGCCTCAACCTCCCGGGCTCAAGGGATCCTCCCACTTCAGCCTTCCAAGCAGCTGGGAACACAGGCGTGTACCACAGCATCCGACTAATTTTTGTATTTTTTGTAGAGATGGGGTCTCACTTTGTTCCCCGGGCTGTCTATGCTATTCTTATATCCATCTCTGGCGACAGATGTTTCTTTTCACTTTATGAAAGCTTACCCTTCTATGGCGGAGTTTTATCTTCAAGCGTCTACTGACCAGAGCGTTTTCTGGGACTCCCCTGCCCCTTTGCTCCCTTGCTGGCAGGCCAGGCCTGTGTTTTCCTCCACAGTTCCCCGTGGAACTGTGCAGTCCCTCTTCAGAGACTGTTCCAGCCTCAGGGGTGACGCCACGAGCTAAGATCTGGACAGGTGGTGGGGTGCATGATTGCCACCAGGTGTCTTCCTTCCCCAGGGCTGGATGAGACTCTGGCCGGGGGGGGAAAGAGACAGTCTGTGGCGGACTCCCATTCTCCTGCCTCTGCACAGGCTACTTTCTGGCATTCCTGCTCCCTTGCAGAGCTCCTGGAAAGGGGACAGTGCATTCCTGAAAACGCAAAGCCTCTTCTGTATCAATTACTCCGTTCTTGCCTGGGCTCCACACAGGCCAGCGCGCGCTCAGCTCGGTGCATGCGGCTGGGCCCTGCGAGCCACGCTTCTGCGGCCCCGCTGGCCCTGCCGATAGGGGGCGCGAATGAAAGGCCGCGCGGCTGGAGAAGGGCGGGCTCGCTCCGGTCTCCACCCTGTGGGCTCCCGGCGCCTGCGCGTCCCACGCCCTTGCTGCTGAGTCCTGCACGTGCGGAAGCGAACTCTTTGTGAAGTCGGTGTGAAGGAAGCGACCTCTCCGTGAAGTCGGTGTGAAGGAAGCGACCTCTTTGTGACGTCTGCGACCTCTTTGTGACGTCGGCCCTTGCCGGTGCCCCGCACAGCAGCCAGCAGCTCCCAGCCCAGGCAGGAGGTGCACTGGCCTCCCGGCGGCCTTTTGAGGCCTAAGAGCTCCAAGCCCTGCCCTTCGTGCCCTCTGCACTAGACGCGTGGCCACAGCCGACAGTGGATACCTCATGGCGACTCAGAGTCCTCTCTTTAACCTCTCAGCTACCTTCTTCTCATGACGTTTTCTCGGTAAAATAAGTGGTGTGGCTCCCCTCTCCTGACCGGGCTGTGTCCCAGGACAGAGCCGGCTGGAAACGCCCCGCTTGACTGGAGAGCACTGCCCGGGCTGCTGCAGGTGCCCCTTTCACAGGAGCTGGAGCGCGCCTCAATGCAGAGATGGTGTGGCTGGGAGGGACTTCCCTTTCCCAGTCCTCCACTTACATCACAGGGCACAAGAGCCATTGGAAAAGCATTTAGAGAAATCATAGCGAAAATTTTCCAGATGTGGCAAAAGACATACAGCTGCAGATTTAAAAAGTTAAGCAAACCTCAAGAATCGTAAACCCAAAGAAGTTCATGCCAATCACATCATAATTAAACATCAAAAAAAAAAAAGGCAGAATAAATTTTGAAAGCAGCTGGAGAGAAATCAAATGTTGTTCATGAGGCAACACCAATTCAAGTCAGCTGAGCTTTCACCTGAAACCATAGGACGCAGAAGGGAGTGACTGGTTTTTAAAGTACTGAGGGAAAAGAACTGTCAACTGTAGATTCAATATGTGGCAAAATTCCTCCAAGGAGTGAAAGGAATAAGTACTTAGCAAACAAAGGAAAACTAAGAAAATTTGTTGTATCTTTAAAGAGTACCTAAAAGAAATTCGCTAAAAGGAAAGGAAATCAACAACAACAAAAGGACTTGGAACTTTAGAAAGAAAAGGAAAACATTAAAGTAGATTTTAGAAATTAGGAAAGATATAATAAATATCCTTCAATTCATGAGTTGCCAAATTCATATTTGATGGTTAAAGCAAAAGTTATATGACCATCTGATACAGTTCTCTTTTTATGTAGTGAAAACACTTAAGCTCACTATACATAAAAAGTGGGAAGAATAAAAAGACCTGAATGACAGTAAGGTATCTAAACTTCACTCAAACTGGCAAACATTGATACCAATAGACCATGGAAGGTTACATACATGTATTGTAAAACCTAAAGCAATAACTAAGAAAACTATACAATAAATACTACAAATAAGATGGAATCCTAAAAATGTGAGTTACCCACAATTAGGTAAGGAAAGGGAACAGAAGAATAACAAACAGAGAAAACAAAAAGAAAGCAAACAATGTCAGATGTATGTCCTAACATATTACTTAAATGTGAATAGTCTAAATATGACAAAAGGTAGAGACTGGCAGAGTAGATAAAAACACAGAATCCAACAATATGTTATCTATAAGAAACTCTCTTTGAATTCAACACCACAGGTAAGATGAAAGTAGAAGGAAGGAAAAAGATGTATTAATGCAGACATTAATTAAAGTAGGAGTGGCTATATTAATATAAAGTAGACTTCAGATGAAAGAAAATTGCAAGTCAAAGAGCAACATTAAATAATGTAAAAGGATCAATCCATGAGGAAGATGTTGTGATCCTAAATGTGTATGCTGCAGACAACAGAGCCTTAAAATATATGAAGCAAAAACAGAGTTGATAGGAGAGAGAAACAATTCCACAATTATAGGTGGGAAGTTTAACATCTGACTCTCAGCAGCTAATAGAGCTACTAGACAATCAGCAAGAATACAGAAGACTGAGCAAGGCCATCAACCCACAGGATGTAACTGACATATAGAGAACACTCCCACCAACAGCAGCAGAGTACACATTTTCCAAGGGCCGTGGAACATTCACCAACCCATATTCTGGGTGATTAAGCGAGCCTCAAGCAGTTTAAAATAATTGAAACCATACAGAGTGAGCTCTTTAACCGTAATGAAATCAAATTAGAAATCAATAAAATAAAAACAACAGAAAATATCCAAATACTTGAAAATTAAAAGACTTCTAAATATTTCATATATCAAAGAGGAAGTCTCAAAGGAAATTTTAAAAATACATAGAATGGGAAGAAAATGAAAATATCTCAAAATATGTAGGGGGAAAAAACTAGAGCTGTGAGGAAATTTTTAGCACTAAAAACAGAAAATGTCTCAAATCAATAACCTAAGTAATTCAAGTAACTAGAAGAAAAAAGAGCAAAGGAAGGAAATCATAAAGATAAAAGCAGAAATTAATGATTTTTTAAAAAAAATGAAAAGGTAACCAGCAGCTTAACTCCATAATGCATTTTAAAACTTTTTTTCCATTTTAGTCTCAAGATGTAATCTTGAAGCAAACTGCAACAGCCTTTTCCCTTAACCTTAAAATAGACTGCATGTTCCTTCCTTTCCCACTGTGTACTCCCTTCACATTCATCTAATTATGCCAGTATCTAAGTATGTGCTTACTTAGGAGTTCAAGGGCTAACCTTGAGACAGATAGACCGAGCCTAGAGACCGAGCAGAATTCCAGAGATTACCTCAAGGCAGCTAGTCACCAACCCAGCCATTGTTCAGATGATGTCAGCCCACACTCCAGGTAGACAGAGATCCAAGATAGCCAGTGAAAAAGGACACACACACCTTGCACTCAACACAACTGCATGTGTCCCATACGAAGTTTCTCTTTATAAACCCTAGCCTTCTCCCTACAAGTTCAATGTGATTCCTTTGGATATGAATCCAGCCACTTCCCTACTGCTAGTTTTTGTTAATGAAGTCACTTTCCTTTTACCAGACCTCACTCATTCTTAAGACTTCGCAAGCAGCAAACAGCTGGACCTGCATTCATTTACAAAAATAGAAAAAAATGAATGAGGCAAAACACTGTCTGTTTGAAAGAAAATCAGTAAAATGCATAAACCTCTAGTAACACTGGCCAAAAAAAAAGACACATAAAAATTAGAAATGAAAAAAAGGAAATCACTATGAATCCTTTGGCCATTAGAAGAAAAATAAAGGATATGATGTATAACTTTAAACTCACACAGTCAACAACTGAAAAGAAAAGAAAAAAGTCCTTGAAAACCTAAAACTACCAAACCTCAATCAAGATAAAACAGACAATCTGGGCAGTTCTGTAATCTTCAAAGAAATTGAATTTGTAAATAAAAGTTTCCACAAAAAGAGATCTCCAAGTCTGGATAGTTGTATTGAAGATTTCTACCATAAATTTAAAGAAGAATTAACACCAATTTTACACATTCTCCTACAGAAATAGAAGAAGCAAAACACTTCCCTACTAATTTTATGAGGTCAGTATTACCCTTATAACAAGCCTACAAAAGACAATACAATGATTTATATCACTCATCAATTTAGAAGCAGATATTCTCAACAAAATATTAACAAATTGAATCCAGCAATGTATACAAAGAATTCTACACCATAACCAGGTGGGGTTTATTCCAGGTATGTAAGGCTGGTTCAACATTTGAAATCAATCAATGTAATCCATCATAAGTTAAATTTAAAACTTTGCGTGATCTTAACAATTGACACACAAAAAAAGCATTTACCAAGATCTGTGATAAAAATAAAAAAGAAGGGAACTTTCTTGGCTTAATAAAGAGCATCTACAAAAAACCTTCAGCTAATATACTTAGCATTAAAGGAATGCTTGCTTTTCCTTTAAGATTGGGAACAAAGCAATAATATCCACTGTTATGACTCTATTCATCATACTACTGGAGGAAGTTTTAGCCACTGCAATAAAACAAGGAAAATAAATAACATATACAGATCAAAAAGGAAGAAATAAAACCGGACCTGCTTGTAGGTAGCATGATTGTCTACATAGATATAGATCTATGTAGACCAAAAAAAAAAAAAAATAGAATCCTAGAACTAATAAGCATGAGGGCTTTCTTAAACTCAGATCAATGCATAAAAATCAACTTTATTTCTGTATACCGACAATGAATATGTAGAAACTAAAATTAAACATAACAGTTTACAATTGTTCCAAAGAAAATGAAATAGGGATAAGTCTAACAAATTGTATACAGAATCTGTATGCTGAAAACTTTGAAATGCCGATGAAATGAATTTTTTAAAGTCCTAAGTAAATAGGGAAACATACTGTATTTATGAGTTGGATGACTCAACATAGAAAAGTTGTCCATTCTTCCCAAATTGATCTACAGATATAATCCAATTCCTACAAAAATCCCAGCAAGGGATTTTGTAGACATAGAACACCTTATCCCAAAATGTATCTGGAAAGCACCAGGCCCTAGAATAGCTAAAAAAAAAAAAAAAAAAAAAAAAAAAAAAAAAAAATCTGTACTAAGAACAGAATGGGAGGAATTATTCTACGTGGTATTAGATTTGCTATGTAATCATAGCAATCAAGACACTGTGGCATTGAAAATGCAATAGACATATTGATAAATGGAACAAAACAGAGAACCCAGAAATAGACCTACACAAATATGCCCAACTGAGTTTTTTATAAAGATACAAAAGCAATTCAATGGAAGAAGGAAAATCTTTTCAACAAACAGTGCTGGAGGAATTTAACATCGATAGGCACAATAATGAACACAACCTAAGTCTCACAGCTCATAAAAAATTAATCAAAATAGATACAAACATAAATGTGAGACATAAACTTTAAAACTTTTAGAAAAAAATAGAAAGAATCTTCAGGATCTAAGATTTCTTAAACTTTACACCAAAAGCATGATCCATAAAAGGAAAAACTAATAAATTTAACGTTATCAAAATTAAAAAATTTTACTTAGTGAAAGATCCCATTAAAAGAATGAAAAGACAAGCTATAGACTGGGGAAAATGTTTGCAAATGCCACTACCAATGAAGAATTAGTATCTAGAATTAAGAAAAAAAAACTCTTAAAATTTAATAGTAAAAAAATCCGGTAACATGAGCAAAAGACATGCACAGAAATTTCGCTGAAGAGGAGATACAGCTGTGGAAAATAAACACATGAAAAGATGTTCAGCACCACTAGCTATTAGGGAAGTGCAAATTAAAATCATAATGAGATATCACTACACATCAGTCAAAATGGCTAAAATTTTAAAGATAGTGACACCACCAAATGCAGGCATGAATATGAAGAATACAGATCATTTATATATCACTGGTGGAACTATGAAATGGTACAGCCAGGTTGGAAAACAGTTTGGCACTCTCTTAGAAAATTATGTATGCAATTACTGTACAACTTAGCAATATCACTCTTTAGTATTTATTCCAAAGACAGAAAAACCCATATCAAAAAAAAATCTGTACACGAATGTTCACAGCAGCTTTATTTGTAATAGACAAAGACTGGAATCAGTTCAGGTATCCTTCAACAGATGGAAAATTAAAAATATGATTCATCCTTTCCTTGGAAAACTAGTCGGCAACGGAAAAGAACAAAGTGTTGATAGACACAACTTAGATAAATACCTAGGGAATTATGCTAATTTTTTAAGAAAGCCAATTTCGGCTGGGCATGGTGGTTCATGCCTGTAATCTCAGCACTTTGGGAGGCTGAGGTAGGCAGATCACGAGGTCAAGAGTTCAAGAACAGCCTGACCAAGATGGTGAAACCCCATCTCTACTAAAAACACATAATTAGCAGAGCATGATGGCGCACGCCTGTAGTCCCAGCTACTCGGGAGGCAGAGGCAGGAGAATCACTTGAATCCGGGAGGCAGAGGCTGCAGTGAGCCCAGATTGTGCCCTTGCACTCCAGCCTGGGAGACAGAGCAAGATTTGTCTCAAAAAAAAAGAGGAAGCCAATTTCAAAAGATTCCATATTGTTTCCTGTATATAAGATTTTTGAAAGGATGAAACATTAAATATTGAGAAATGATTGGATGGTTTCTAAGAATTATGGATGATGAGTGGAGTGAGCAATGAGGGAGAGGAAAGGGGAAGAAAGGAAGGGATGATGAATGTGCTTATAAGAGTGCAACCCGGGGTGGGCGTGGTGGTTCACGCCTGTAATCTCAGCACTTTGGGAGGCCAGGGCAGGCAGATCACCTGAGGTCAGGAGTTCGAGACCAGCCCGGCCAACATGGTGAAACTCCATCTCTACTAAAAACACAAAAATTAGCCAAGCGTGGTAGCACACACTTGCGATCCTAACTACTCAGAAGGCTGAGGCAGAAGGATTGCTTGAACCCAGGAAGCAGAGGTTGCAGTGAGCCTAGGTCATGCCACTGTATTCCAGCCTAAGCGATAGAGTGAGACACCATCTTAAAAAAAACATATATATATGTATATATGTAGAAGAGAGAGAGAGAGAGAGAACAACACAGGATCCTTGTGATGATGAGTGGTGGAACTGTCCTATTATCTTTACTTCAGTGAAGTAAATATACATGAGCAGGTATATCTATACATGAATCTACACGTGTGATAAATTTTATAGAACCAAATACACAAAAAATGAATGCAATAAAATTAGTGGAATCTGAAGAAGAAAGGTGTATTGTCTCAATGCCACTTTCCTGGCTGTAATATTGTGCTGTAACTTTATAAGATGTTATCATTGGACAAACTAGGTAAAGGGTACATGGGATCTTTGTATAATTTCTCTTTTTATTTATTTATTTATTTTTGTTTATTTTATTTTATTTTTTTCATACAGGGTCTCACTCTGTCACCCTGGCTGGAAGGCAGTGGTGTGATCATAGCTCACTGCAGCCTTGGCCTCCTGGGCTCAAGCAATGCCTCTGCTTCAACCTCCCAAGTAGCTGGAATTACAGGTGAGCACTACCACATCTGGCCAATTTTTTTTTTTTTTTAAGAGATGGGGTCTTACTATGTTGCCTAGGCTGATCTCCAACTCCTGGGCCTAGCAATCCTTCTGCTTCAGCCTCCCCAAATTTTGGGATTACAGGCGTTAGCCATCGCACCCAGTCAACTTTTTTTATGTTTTTAATTGTGGTGAAATTTACATAACATAAAAAGTACTATTTTAACCATTTTAAATGTACATTTGGTGGCATTACAATGTTATGTAACCATCACCACTATGTACTTCCAGAACTTTTTCATCATCCCAAACAGAAATTCTGTACCCATTAAGCAATAACTCCTTTATACCCTAAATCAGGTATAAAGTAGGATCCAACTTTCCCTTTACCCAACCTCCAGTAGCCTTTACTCTACTTTCTGTCTCCTTGAATTTACCTATTCTAGATATCTCCTATAAATGCAATTATTCAATATTTGTACTTTCATCTCTGAATTATTTCACTTAGCACAATGTTTTCAAGCTTCATCCATGTTGTAGCGTTATCTGAATTTTAGTCTTTTTATGTGTGTAATGCCACATTTTATTTATTCATCTGTTGATAGACACTTGGATTGTTTCCACCTTTTGGCCATTGTGCACAATGCTGCTATGATCATTGGTACACGAGTATGTGTTTGAGTCTCTGTTTTCAATTCTTTTGGGGTATATACCTAAGAGTGGAATTGCTGGATCACATGGTAATTCTATGTTCAGCCTTTTGAGGAACGACTGAACTGTTTTCAAAAGCAGCTGCACCATTCTACATCCCCACCAACAATGCTTGAGATCTCTAATTTCTCCATATTTTTGCCAAAACTCGTTATTTTCCAATTTATTGACAATAGCCATCTTAATCAGTACAAAGTGGTACCTCAGTGTAATTTGTGTTTGCATTTCTCTTACAACTAGTGATGCTGAATAATTTTTCATGTGCTTATTGTCATTTGTTTATCTTCTTGTAGAAATGTCTATTTGAGTCCTTTGCCCATTTTCCAGTTGGATTGTTTGTTTTGTGGTGGTGGTGGTGGTTGTTGAGTTGTTGAACTTTTAAAAAGACTCTGGATATTAATGCCTTTTAGACGTATGCTTTGCAGCTATTTCCCTATTCTGTAGGTGGTTAAGAAATCATTGCAGAATCCAACAACATGACAATTTTCATTTGTTTTCTTCCAAATTTTGTATAGTTTTTGCTTGTCAATTTAGGTCTTTAATCCATTTTTAGTTAATTTTTGTAAATAAGGTATAAGATACAGTCCTGTTTCATTCTTTTGCATGTGGAAACCCAGTTTTTTTCAGCACCATTCATTAAAAACACTGTCCTTTCCTGTTGAATGGTCTTGACACCCTTGTCAAAAATTATATGACCACATATGGGAGAGTTTATTTGGGGCTTTATAATCTATTCCATTGTTTTATGCCAGTACTCTACTGTTTTGATTTCTATAGCTTTGTAGTGTGTTTTGAAATCAGAAAGTATGAGTTCAACTGTATTCTTATTTTACAAGATTGTTTTTGGCTATTGAGGGTCTCTTGAGATTCTTTAAAACCTATTTTAAAATAGGTTTTTCTATTTCCGTAAAAAATGCCATTAAGATTTTGATAGAGATTGTATTGAATTTATAGGTTGCTTAGGGTAGTATTGGCATCTTAACTACATTAAGTCTTCTGATGAATCAACATGGGATGTCTTTCCATTTATTTTGTCATCAAAATTTTTTAGTTTTCAATATACAAGCCTTTTGCCTCCTTGGTTAAATTTATTCCTAAGTATTTTGTTCTTTTTGAATATTATTATAAAGGGAATTTATTATTATTTTTCCTTTTGGGATTGTTCAAGGCAAGTATTTAGAAATATAACTTACTTTTATCTGTTGATTTTATATGCTGCCACTTTGCTGAATTCATTTACTAACTCAAGCAATCTTCTGTGTTTTCTTTAAGGATTTCTACTTATAAGCCAGACAAACACACTACAAGAAAACTACAGATCAATATCCCTTGTGAATATAGATGCAAAAATCTCTAACAAAATACTACCAGACAAAACTCAGCATATTAAAAGGATTGATTACGTAACAGGACCAAGTAGGATTTATTCCTGGAATGGAAAGATAGTTCAACAATAAAAATTAATGAAGAAAAAAACTACATGATTATCTCAGTTGATGCAGAAAAAGCATATGAAAAACATTAATATCTTTTAATGGAACACATACTCAATATAGGAGAAACAGAAAGAAACTTCCTCAAAATGATAGGGCCATGACAAAAACCCACAGCTTGTATCATAGGACATGATGAAAGATTGAAAACTTTTTCCCCTTAAGTGAGGAATAAGACAAAGGTGCCTGCTTTTGCCACTTTTATTTAGAATCATTCTAGAAGTTCTAGCCAGACCAGTGAGGCAAGAATAATAAATACAATAATCCAAGGTGAAAAAAGATGGCATGAACTCTATTATTTCTTATGACTGCATGTGAATTTATAATTATTTCAAAATAAAAAATTATTTTTTAAAAAAGGTCTATGGGCCATGTGAGCCTCCAGTAAAAACAAAAACAGGCTTTTCTGTTAAAAATAAAATTAATTGGCAGGGCACGGTGGCTCACACCTGTAATCCCAGCGCTTTGGGAGGCCGAGGTGGGCGAATCACAAGGTCAGGAGTTTGAAACCAGCCTGACCAACATGGTGAAACCCCATGTCTACTAAAAATACAAAAATTATGGGCGTGGTGGCACACACCTGTAATCCAAGATACTTAGTAGGCTGAGGCAGGAGAATCGCTTGAACCCAGGAGGCAGAGTTTGCAATGAGCCAAGATCGAGATCGTGCCATTGCACTCCATCCTGGGTGACAGAGTGAGACTCTGTCTCAAAAAATAAAAATAAAAAATAAAATTAAATTAATCACACCTGTAATCCCAGCACTTTGGGAGGCCAAGGCGGGCAGATCGCCTGAGCTCAGGAGTTCGAGACCAGCCTGGGCAACATGGTGAAACCCCATCTCTACTAATTACAAAATAATACAAATAAATACAAAAATTAGCTGGGCGTGGCGACATGCGCCTGTAGTCCCAGCTACTTGGGAGGCTGAGGCAGGAGAATTGCTTGAACCCGGGAGGTGGAGGTTGCAGTGAGCAGAGATGGTGCCACTGCACTCCAGCCTGGCGACAGAATGAGACTCCATCTCAAAAAAAAAAAAATTAAAATTAAAGAGGACTATGGGTTGAAAATGGCAAGGTCTAATTATTCATGGGTCAAACCAGCAGGGCTTGAGGGGTGGATCAGAATGTCTATCAGGTTAGAAGATCTGCTTTAAATTACAAACAAAACAATGCACCTTTTTCCTTCCTACTGTATGGCTGGTTGTCCTTTCTGATAACAATAATCCTATCCTAGTTAATATATTATTTTCTTGATTTGTCCTTTTTATTGGTTTTTATTTGGGGGCCAGCTGAGCCAAGCAGCGTTCTGGTTTTGGTTTATGTATAGTTTTGAGTTTTTCTATGCTGGTTGTATATCTATTAAACTCTGGCTGATAGTTTAAACAATAATACAAATGAGCAAGGCATGGTGGCCCTTGCCTATAATCCCAGCTACTTGGGAGGAGCCAGAGGCAGTGGCTCCGTTAATGCTTTGCTTATGTTAAACCCGTGAAGTGTCCCTGGACTCGTTTGTTGTCAGCCCACATGAGGAACCTGAAGGCAGGGAGGCTCACGTGAAGGGGCCGCCCCTGGGACCCACTTGCTCATGAGCGCTCCATGCATTGCCAAGTATTGCAGACTGTGTCCAATCACATGTGTTTACAAGTTTTCGATAAACTAGTACCCCCCAAAATGGACATGAATTTCTTAACAATTCCTGTAAGGAACTGTATCGCAGTTTAAAACAGTGACATGCAAGGCCAACTACGCCATACCTTATTTTCAGAGCTGACATTTTTTCTACTCCAAATACAGAATCTGTCAACCAAATCATACCAAATAATAAGTGAAAACAACAGCAAATTAATCACACCTGGCATGAAGCAGCTCAAGTTAGAAATTGTCATAAAGACAATATGATATATAAAATTATGTCCATTTTTGAGGGTGACAAACTTTTTAAATGTACACTGTGGCTTAGGATATTAGCTAAGAATATTGGTGCATGCATACATATTTATAAAAAATAAATATGTGTATATTTGGAAGTGTTGACAGTTTTTCAGTGATGTAGTAAATGATGAAAGTTTATTAAAAACTTCCAATTTTTAAAATACTTTGATCTTTCCAAGATCAAAATACTTTGTTGATCTCTTCCAAGAGTCCTACTATTTGAGTTTACCAAATAATTCTTGATTAAAAATCAGAATTTAGTTTAGCAGGAGATTATTTCTCATTGTTCCTTGTCACACCCACCACCTTTATCTCCCACATGTTATTAGAGGAAGCCAGGCCAATAGGTCTATGAGCCATGATTCCAACATGACTTCTTTGGCATGATAAAGGGAGAAGGCCAGGCAGAATTTTTCTGTGATTCATACTCAGAACACATCACACACTCATTTATGTGACCTGGGAGCTGAAGAAAATCACACAGTGCTATCACTTGCTTCTTTCTTCCTTTATCGGCTTTTTTTCCTTTTCGCTTTTGTTTGTTTTTTAGTTTTGGGTTTTTTTTGTGTGCGTATATATATATTTTTTTAACTTCAAGTTCCAGGATACGTATGCAGATTGTGCAGGTTTGTTACATGGGTATACATGTGCCATGGTGGTTTGCTGCACCCGTCAACCCAACCCATCATCTAGGTTTTAAGCCCCACATGCATTAGGTATTTGTCCTAATGTTATCCCTCCCCTTGCCCCCTGCGCCCCCAACAGGCCCCAGTGTGTGTTGTTCCCCTCTCTGTGTCCAGGTATTCTCATTGTTCAACTCCCACTTATGAATGAGAACATAGGGTGTTTGGTTTTCTGTTCCTGTGTTAGTTTACTGAGGGTGGTGGCCTCCAGCTTCTTAGTTATTTCTTGTCTTCTGTTAGCTGTTGAATTTGTTTGCTCTTGCTCCTTTAGTTCTTTTAATTGTGATGTTAGGGTGCCAGTTTGAGATCTTTCCAGCTTTCTGATGTGGGCATTTAGTGCTATAAATATCCCTCTTAACACTGCTTTAGCTGCGGCCCACAGATTCTGGTACCTTGTCTATTTGTTTTCATTGGTTTCAAAGAACTTCCTGATTTCTGCCTTAATTTTGTTATTTACCCAGGAGTCATTCAGGAGCAGGGTGTTCAATTTCCAAGTAGTTGTGTGGTTTTGAGTTAGTTTCTTAATCCTGAGTTCTAATTTGATTGCACTGTGATCTGAGAGACTGTTTGCTATGATTTCGGTTCTTTAGCATTTGCTGAGGAGTGTTTTACTTCCAATTATGTGGTCAATTTTAGAATAAGTACCATGTGGCAATGAGAAGAATGTATATTCTGTTGATTTGGGGTGGAGAGTTCTATAGATGTCTATTAGGTCCACTTGCTCCAGAGCTGAGTTCAAGTTCTGAATATTCTTGTTGATTTTCTGTCTCATTGATCTGTCTAATATTGACAGTGGGGTGTTAAAGTCTTCCACTATTATTGTGTGGGAGTCTACATCTTTTTGTAGGTCTCTAAGAACTTGTTTTATGAATCTGGGTGCTCCTGTATTGGGTGCATATATATTTAGGATAGTTAGCTCTTCTTGTTGCGTTGTTCCCTTTACTATTATGTAATGCCATTCTTTGTCTTTTTTGTTTTTTTAATCTTTGTTGGGTTAAAGCCTGTTTCATCAGAGACTAGATTCCAACCCCTGCTTTTTTTTGCTTTCTATTTGCTTTGTAAATTTTCCTCCATCCCTTTGTTTTAAGCCTATGTGTGTCTTTGCACATGAGATGGGTCTCCTGAATACAGCACACCGATGGGTTTTGACTCTTTATCCAATTTGCCAGTCTGTGTCTTTTAATTGGGGCATTTAGCTCATTTATATTTGAGGTTAATATTGTTATGTGTGAATTTGAACCTGTCATCTTGATGTTAGCTGGTTATTTTGCACATTAGTTGATGCAGTTTCTTCATAGTGTCACTGGTCTTTATATTTGGTGTATTTTTGCAGTGGCTGGTACCAGTTTTTCCTTTCCATATTTAGTGCTTCCTTCAGGAGCTCTTGCAATGCAAGCCTGGTGGTGAAAAATTCCCTCGGCATTTGCTTGTCTGTAAAGGATTTTATTTCTCCTTCACTTATGAACCTTAGTTTGGCTGGATATGAAATTCTGGATTGCAAATTATTTTCTTTAAGAATGTTGAATATGGGCCCCCACTTTCTTCTGGCTTGTAAGGTTTCTGCTGAGAAATCCACTGTTAGTCTGATGGGCTTCCCTTTGTAGGTGACCTGACCTTTCTCTCTGGCTGTCCTTAACATTTTTTCCTTCATTACAACATTGAAGAATCTGATGATTATGTGTCTTGGGGTTGATCTCATGGAGTATCTTAGTGGTGTTGTGTATTTCTTGAATTTGAATGTTGGCTTGTCTTGCTAGGTTGAGGAAGTTCTGGAGAATATCCTGAAGTGTGTTTTCCAACTTGGTTCCAGTCTCCCTGTCACTTTCAGGTACCCCAATCAATACACATAGTCCAATATTCCCATATCTTTTCACATAGTCTCATATTTCTTGGAGGCTTTGTTCATCCATTTTCACTCTTTTTTCTCTAATCTTGTCTGCATGCCTTATTTCAGCAAGGTGGTCTTCAATCTCTAATATCCTTTCTTCTGTCTGATCGATTCGGCTATTGATACTTGTGTATGCTTCACAAAGTTCTCGTGATGTGTTTTTCAGCTCCATCAGGTCATTTATGTTCCTCTCTAAACTGGTTATTCTAGTTAGCAGTTCCTGTAACCTTTTATCAAGGTTCTTAACTTCCTTGCATTGGCTTAGAACATGCTCCTTTAGCTCAGAAGAGTTTATTACCCACCTTCTGAAGCCTACTTCTGTCAATTCTTCAATCTCATTCTCTGTCCAGTTTTGCACTCTTGCTGGAGAGGTTTTGCAATCATTTGGAGGAGAAAAGGCATACTGGCTTTTGGAATTTTCAGTGTTTTGGGGCTGGTTTTTCCTCATCTTCATGGATTCACCTACCTTTGATCTTTGAGGCTGATGACCTTTGGATGGAGTATTGTGGGGGGATCTTTTTTGTTGATGTTGTTGTCATTGCTTTTTGTTTGTTTTTCTTCTAACACTCAGATCCCTCTTCTGCAGGTCTACTGCAGTTTGCTGGAGGTCCACTCCAGACCCTGTTCACCTGAGTATCACCAATGGAGGCTACAGAACAGCAAAGATTGCTGCCTGCTTCTTCCTCTGGAAGCTTTGTCTCAGAGGGGCACCAGCCTGATGCCAGCTGGAGTTCTCCTGTATGAGGTGTCTGTCAACCCCTGTTGGGAGTTCTCTCCCAGTCAGGAGGCAAAAGTGTCAGGGACCCACTTGAGGAGGCAGTCTAGTCCCTTAGCAGAGCTGGTGTGCTGCGCTGGGAGAATCCCACTTGTCAGGATCCACTGTTGTCTTCAGAGCCAGCAGGCAGGAAAGATTAAGTCTGCTGAAGCTGCAACCACAGTCACTCGTCCCTGCAGGTGCTCTGTCCCAGGGAGATGAGAGTTTTATCTGTAATTCCCTGACTGGAGCTGCTACATTTCCTGTGGAGATGTCCTATGCAGTGAGGAGGAATCTAGAGAAGCAGTCTGGCCACAGCCGCTTTACTGCGCTGTGATGAATTCCACCCAGTCCAAACCTCCCAGTCTCCTTAGCACTGTCAGAAGAAAACTTCCTACTAAAGCCTTAGTAATAGTGGATGCCCCTCCCCTTTCCAAGCTCAATCATCCTAGGTTGCCTCCAGACTGCTGTGCTGGCCGTGAGAATTTCAAGCCAGTGGTTCCTAGCTTTCTGGTCTCCTTGGGAGTGGGACCCACTGAGAGGGACTGCTTGGTTTCCTGGCTTCAGCCCCTTTCCAGGGCAGTTGATGGTTCTTCTGTCTTGCTGGAGTTCCTGGCACTGCTGGAGTATGAAGAAACTCCTGCAGCTAGCTCAGTACCTGCCCAAACAGCCACCCAGTTTTGTGCTTGAAACCCAGGGCCCTGCTGGTGTAGGCTCATAAGGGAGTCTCCTGATCTGCAAATTGCAAAAATCCATGGGAAAAGCATAGTACCCGAGGTGGGTAGCACAGTCCCTCACCACTTCCCTTGGCTGTGGGAGGGAGGTCCCCAGCTCCTTGCACTTCCTGGGTGAAGCAGCACCCCACCCTGCTTCTGCTCACCCTCTGTGGGCTGCACCCACTGTCTAACCAGTCCCAATGAGATGAACCAGGTACCTCAGTTGGAAATGCGGAAATTACTCACCTTCTGTGTTGGTCTTGCTGGGAGCTGGAGACTGGAGCTGTTCCTATTCGACCATCTTGGCCCCTCCCCTGTTGTTTAGTTTTTAATGAACTTTCCATTTTAGAGTAGTTTTATATTTACAGAAAGGCTTTGAAGAGAGTACAGAGTTCCCACACACCTCACACCCAGTTTTTCCTGTAATTAGCATCTTATATTAGTATAGTACATTTTGCACAATTAATGAGTGAATACAGTTAGGTATTATTAACTAAAATGCACGCTGTATTCATATATCCTTGGTTTTCACTGCATGTCCTTTTTCTGTCCCAGGACCCCACATTACATTCTGTCATCATGTCTCCTTAGGTGCCACTTGGCTGCAACAGTTTTGCAGTCTTTCCTTGCTTTTAAGGACACTAAGAGTTGTAAGGAGTACTGATCAGCTATTTTGTTGAGCATCCACCGGAGGGATTTATCTGCCATTCTTCTCGTGATTAAACTGGGCTTATAGGTTTTGCAGAGAAAGACCACAGAGGAAAAGTACCATTCTCATCATGTTATATCATGGGTATACACTATCAACTTTACTAACCACTGTTGGTGTTGACCTAGAACACCTGGATATGGCAGCTTCTGTCAGGTTTCCCCACTGTAAAGGTATCCTTTGCTCTCCTTTTCCATAGGATACTCTTTGGAATGAAGTCACAATGCATAACCCACAAGTACAAGGCTGGGAGTTACCTTCCACCTCTTTGAAGGTGGATTCTTCTGCATGGAAGAGCTGTCTATTGTCTCCCATTTGTTTATTTATCAATTATTTGTTTATATCAGAATGGACACATAGATATTTAGCTTATACTTTGAGTCATAATTCAATACTCTCTTATTTAATTTTGTTCTCAGTTTTCTCCAGCTTTGTCCATTGGAGCTCTGTCAGTTAGCTCCTGTGTGTTTTGACATTTTCCCATCATTGTTGGGGTAATTCAACTATTGCTTTCATTAAGCTTCTGTCTATAGTGAAGTCATTGTGTCCCAACATTAGGTAACAAGAGCATATGCTTCTTCCCAAACTGCGAGAGTTTAAACTTTTCCTACAAGCAGCGATAGCATCAGACTTCACAGCTGTGAGTCATCCAGCAGCAGGTGAATGCAGAGAGCACCATAATTTCTTTAGTGGTATTAAAGATCAGCTGTCAGAAGTGAATCTACCCCCCAAAATCAGGCTGGATGTGCAGACCACAGCAAGAATGTCCTATGCCCAGGGACACCTGCACAGCAGAGGAGCATTTGCAACATGACGCATTTGCTGCTGGAACCTCTATTGAGGCAACTGTCTCAGCCACGGCCTCGGAGGATGAAATGAGCCAACTGGTTCACAGAGACAATTATAGACCACTGGATTTCTGGAAATGCAGCAATTCTCACTGCCTCAGCTGGACAGAGGAAGTGCATGTGAAGCAAATTTGCAAATCCCACCCCATCCCTGCAGGACCACAAATGTTTCCCCATACACTGAGTACAAGCAGTGTTTTAGGTAGGGTCAGGAGCTTTCTCTCAGCCTCTGCAGATGGGGAGAGGGTGAGCAGGAATGAGAGACTCGGAGTCTTAAGTTGAGAGAGTGATTTTGAGATTGCTCTGGGGAAAAAGGAAATTTCCCTAGGTCTTCCAACACTTTTGAAGGCATCTCATTCACTCGGTTAATCTTCGGCACAATATTCACTGACCATCACTTCATGCCAGGCAGGTATGAGAGTGCAGAGAGCCCAGCCTGCGAGGAGGGCTGCCACAGTGCCCTCCAGAGAGGGCAGTGCTGTGCTTAAAAATGAACAGACGGACTGCTGTGGAAAGCAGCATGCAGTTCCTCAAAAAGTTAAAAATAGAACTATCATATGATCTAGCAATCCTATTTCTGGTATATTCCCAAAATAATAGAAAGCAAGGTGAGGCCTCGGGAAACCCCAGGGTGCACCCAGCCTGGCCTGGGCCTGAGATTTTCAAAAGAAAGAGTAAGAGTCCATCTAGTTTTGGTCCCATTCAGAGCAACTCCACCAAACCAGGGAGAGATCAGCAGTACATTACACAGTGACCATGCTCCGAAACATAGCATTCCTCACAACTGACCCAGGAGCTGTAACCCAGCCTGAGAGCTCAGGCGGCCGTCCCCTCAGGGACCCACACCCCCACCCAGCTCTCTCCTGTGGACATCCCCTGGCTTACCAGCAAGCAGATGGGTCGCAGTAGTACAAAAATTCACAGGGAAAAGTGAGTGTTATGAGACACAAATGATATAAGTGTGAAAATACTTTGAAAAAGATCCAACACTCCTAATCATGTAAACCATCTTGTGTCATAACCATTTTATTAATATTTATGTCAGTTGTCATGCAATTTGTCAAACTCCTCTCTGCTGATTTTTTCCCATTGATTTGTACTGGGGCTGGGATGAAGAAATGAAGTAAAATGTGTAAGAATCCCAGAACTAGAAGCTTGCACTTGACAGCCACCCCAAACCAGATGATGCTGTGAAAAATGGCTACTGTGCATTAGCAGTCAGCCCCAATTCCTGGGGAGTAACTTATGGAAAAATAAGTGCTGGAATGGAGTATGCAGTAAAGTCTCCTGAAATGAGATAATTCATGCAAACTACTCAGAACAGTGCTTGGCACATAGTAAGTGCCCAATAAATGTTCACTATTATTGTTGTAAATATTAAAGTCATTTTTATACTCCAGAGGGATCCTCTATTTCCTTATATGACACTGAGCATTCCTCTGGAGAACAGTAAGTAACACTTTGCTGTGGGTTAGATTTGCTGTCTTCTGCTTTTTTCAGCTGGCATGACTTTTGGCGTTAGGCCAGATCTGGATTCTAACCCCAGCTCCCTGGCTCACAAGCCCTGCCACCCTGCGGGAGTCACTTCACACCAATGAGCATTCACTCCTGGTTTGTGAAAGGGTAGTAAATGCAGCCGGCCCCTTCTCCAGAGCTGAGGCTGCAGTCCACCAACTGCTTCCTCTGCACGTCCACTGCGTTCTCCTCTCTGCCAACGCATCCCCTCAGCTTACCCCTTGTTGCTGCTTCCTGGGATTTCCAGCCCATCTAGGTTCTCAGCTCACCCCCACCAGCTCTTCCTGACCATTACTCCTGAGACAGTTTCTCCTTCCACCTCTCCACATGTGTCAGAGATTCCTGCTGAGCCTTTGGGTGGGCGCCCTTGGATCATGACTCCCCTGGGTACCAGCGGGACTTGGCTGGGTGCAGGGGTGGCATTTGGCGAGGAACACAGCCATCCAGGGCTGAAGGGCTGTGGCCACAAGGCAGACAGCTACATCTAGCTCACTCTTCACTCATCACAGCCGCGTCACTTCTGTTTCCTCTGTCATTGGTGCCCTTCCCTGACTTTCTGCCTTGGAAACTCCTACTTTTCCCTCAAAGCCCAGCTCTGCTGTGCCTTTCTCTCTGAAATCTCCCCTGAATTCCCCTCCATGGCTGGCTGAGTGGATGCACCACCCTCTGTCATTCTAGAATTCCTCCCACAGGACCCGTGAACTTGTGTTCCCCAGGGCACTGTGTGCCCTGTCACAGAGGGGACCACATATATGTCTGTCGTGTAATACGTGATTCCTATCACTCACTGGCTCCAGGCTACCCTGCAGCGGTTCCAGTCTTGCTCCACATCAGCACTCCCGAGGGGCCGGGAGGCTTTAGGAGAGAAGATATGAACTCCAGATTTGGCTGGGTGAGGAAACCCCATGTGTGTGAACAGGAAGGAAATAGCATGAGAGTGCTGAGAACACAGCGGGAGAGAGAAACCCAAGAGAAGAAGGAATGCTGAATACTAAACTAACAGCTCTCCAGCTAAGAGTTAGTGAATGCAGGCTACAAATCAGGCAGCATGCCAGGTACATGAAATTTTTTTAATTGCTTTGTTCTGGAGATATACAAAATATGAAATAGGCCATTTCCTCAAAGGCTCATATAGTCTAATATATGAAGCCCAAAAAAGAGTGTTGGCAAGAACATGGGCAATGGCCTAATGGACTGGGGTGGACTACCCTGGGGGCCCAGGTCCTAGCACACAGAGGTCTCTAACCTGCGGCACGCATTGGGCCTCACTCCCTGCAGCCTTCTGTTTCTCTTCTGACACACTGGGAGGAGACACTGAGTTCCCTGTCATCATCAAGCTTTGCCCAGCTCCTTGAATGATTAGGATAGAACTGGACAGAGAGGTGGGCGTCTGTGCCTCTCTCTTTAGTGCTGTGAGGATCTTCTTGATCTGGCCCTTGCTGAGGCGGCGAGCAGTGTTCTCAGATGCAAGTGTGACAGTGCACCCGAGAGCATGCCTGGAGCTTTCCCGGGGCACTGCCCACCCCAACCCAAAAGGGGCCACAGGTCACCCAGTGAGAAGCCTGAGGACAAACACAAGGTCATTTCCCCTCCTTTGTTGATTATGGTCCCCAACAATTATTATGGGATGTGGATTACTGTGGTGATAAACTGGACACATGGAAACTGAGTTTAAAAATCACTGTAAGTTGACAAGTGGGACCCAGTTAAACTGAAGAGCTTCTGCACAGCTAGAGAAACTATCAGCAGAATAAACAGACAACACACAGAATGGAAGAAAACATTCACAAACTCTGCATCTGACAAAGGCCTAGTATCTGGAATCTGTAAGGAACTTAGATAAATCAACAAGAAAAAAAAAACCTTTAAAAAGTGGGCAAAAGGACATGAACAGACACTTCTGAAGACATACAAGTGGCCAAGAAGTGTGAAAAAATGCTCAGCATCACCAATCACCAGATAAATGCAAATCAAAACTGCAGTGACATACCATCTCAAACCAGTCAGGATGGCTTTCGTTAAAAAGTAAAAAAAAAAAAAAAGTCGGTAAGGTTGAGAAGAAGGAGGAAAGCTTATACACTTTTTATACACTGTTGATAGGTGTGTAAATTAGTTTAGCCACTGTGAAGAGCAATTTGGAGATCTCTCAAAAAACTAAAAGTTGAACTACCGTTCAGCCCAGCAATCCCATTACTGGGTGTGTGCCCAAAGGAAAATAAATTGTTCTACTGAAAAGACTCATGCACCTGTATGTTCACCACAACACTATTCACAATAGCAAAAACATAAAATCAACCTAGGTGCCCATCAGTGGTGGACTGTATAAAGAAAATGTGGTCCATATACATCATGGAATACTATGCAGCCATAAAAAGAACAAAATCATGTCCTTTGCAACAACATGGATGCAGCTAGAGGCCATTATCCTAAGCCAACTAGTGCAGGACCAGAAAGCCAAGTACCACGTGTTCTCATTTATAAGTGTGAGCTAAACATTGAGTACATATAGACACAAAGAAGGGAACAACAGACACTGGGGAATACAAGGGGAGGGAGGAGAGGGGGGCAAGTGTTGAAAAACTACCTATTGGGTACTGTGCTCACTTCCTGAGTGATGGGCTTAATCGTACCTGAAACTCCAGCATCACACAATATACCTTTGCAACAAACCTGCATATGTACCCCTGGAATCTAGAATAAAAACTGAAAAAGAAAAAAACAAAACTCTTTTAAAAATGGCAGTGTAAAAAGTGCCATGCTATCAGGATGCATAGATGATGGTAGAGTGATCAAGCCTTGCCTCTCTAACCTAGACTTAGCTGGCACATTAGTCACACCCATTAAGCATCATGAACCAACAATGCCTGGGGAGAGTTGATAAGCCAGATCTGTCTCTGGCTTTCATGGCCATGACCTCTGGGATGGCTCCCGTTGTCGCTAATAGTAAAGGGCATAGGAAGGCAACCCTGGGGTAGAGGATGCACAAGGAGCTGAGGAAGCACCAAGTAGGGACCACCCAGCCAAGCAGAAGAAAAGAGTGGAGAATCATACCTCGGAGACAGGACCTGGGCTGAGTCTAGAAGAAGGATTGATGAATAATCCAGATATATCAACAGTCACAAGATGTTCTAGGATGACTGCAGGGCCCATGTGAAGACATTGCAACAGGATGGGGATCTGCAAGAGCTTTTGCATGGACATTGTTTGTGGGGGTTTGGGGGCGATGAGGAGTGAAGGTAAAAGAAAATAATCTAGTGATGGAGACATGAGCTGGATCTTAGAGGGCCTCCCAGGCTATACCCAGAAATTTGAATTCTTCTGAGGCATTAGAGGATCACCGGGAATGTTAAATACAATAAGTAACAATAATCAGTTTACCTTTGGCATAGACTACTATTTTGGATTCTTCTGCTGAAAGCTATAGAAAATCCTGATTCATTTGGTTTAAGTATAAAGACAATATTGTCTCGCCTAACAAGAAGTCTGAAGTTAGTAGCTGGTTAACTCAACAGCTCAAAAATATCATCAGAAACCAAGATTTTTTTTATCCTACTCCAATTCATAGATCGACATTAGTTTTATCTTTTTACCCTTCATGCTGGATTGTTCTTGTGAGATAATTCCTCTTGATTGCAAGATGGCTGCAACAGTTCCAAACTTTCATCCAACATCCCATGCTGATTATCCCTCAGTTCTTTTTATTGGAGGGAAGAAAACCTTCCCAGGAACACTGCACCACCACCCCCAACACAGCACACTACCCCTGTGTCTCCCGGCCAGATTTGCAGCCTACTCTCCTGCTTAAATGAATTACTGGAAAAAAGCCTGAGGTCACTGGGCTGATTTATACCAATCCAGATGAGCTCTCTGAGGCTGGACAGCTCAGGGCTCACAGAAGAGAATGGATACCTTAAAAATTGGAATTATGTTGAAAAAGAGGAAGGGATGGGGTGAATTTTGAGAAGACAGCTAGTTGGGTCTGCCATAATCACTCAGAGTGCAGGTGAAGACCCAAAGTAGGAAATCCTTGCTCATGTTAAAGGGCCTCATGTGTGGTGATGAGTGAAGAAAAGGCAAATTAGGGTGACTTTAGGGATAAAATAAAAGCGACTTTGTGGGAGGATTGTGAAGACCTCCCACCAAGCAGCAGTGCCTCCCCTGGATCTGCTTCCGCATCCACCAGCCACCAGCCCCATGTATTTCCAGAAAACTCAGGAAGATAGAAACCTGGCCAGAAGCTGCATCAGCATGAAACCCATGGTGGCAGCCTGGGGCTGGAAGCTACTGCAAAGGGTGAAAGGTGCTCAGCCTGGATGGTGCTAAATTGCTGTTTGTCTGATTTTGCACTTTGACAATAAGGATCTTGGAGGAATCACAGCTAAATGACTTCCAGAATAGAGTGCATACAGCTTCAAAATCTGAGTGCGTTCGTAATGACTGCATGCCCTGCGAATTCAGGCAAACACTGTTTACATACACATGGGAAAGACAGAGTTTTCACTGCATGCAATTTACATTAATGAATATAATTTTACTAATACAGTCAAACTCTAACATTTACAAGTGCAAATAGCTTAACCAAGGTCAGGTGCATCTACCTCCCAGCTGTTTGAATAAAGCAATATTTGGAACCTCCAACTCTCACATAAACCTAAATATTTTTAAAAATACCTTTTCTGCAATTTTTTTCAGTTTCAACTGTATTCAGTTACAAGTGTAAATATGGCTGACCTTCCTCGTGTCAGGCAGCATGGACTTTCTTTATTGGAACTGTGAGAACCTTGAATCCAGAGGAGGTTATCGAGTGTGCTGGAGAGGTCAGAATTCTAGGCAGCATCAGGGAAACCCAGAGTCAGGGTTAAGGGACACCGTCAGCTTGGAAAGGAAATGAGCCCACGAGGCTCCTGATGTCTGGTATAATATGGTGACATGAAGACTGAAATCAGTCCACACAAGTTAAAACAACAGAAGCTGAGACATTTCTAGCATAATTCTCTTCACCTTTGCTTTCACTGCAGAACATACATAGCCCCTGGTTCTAACAGGGACACTTTTACTTCAAAAATGCCGTTTTGCTTGTGGATCCAAGCAAGAGATGAGCAATGACACACATATGCCCTCACCCGGGGTGGACGCGCATCCCACCACCATCTGTGGAGCCCTCCTCAAGACACCAGCTGCAGCCCTGCTAGACAGCTATAATTAGCTCCTCTCCACCCTGGGCAATAACATTTTGTCAGGACAATGTGTTTCTCCAAAATTTCATCTCATTTCTTCAGCCGTGCTCAGATACAGTCGTTAAATACTCAGTTTGCTTTCAGTGAAAGCAATGGCTTATTTTTGATGTTAGTACTTGCTATGAAATGGATAACACCCATTAGGAATAAATGCTTGTTTTTATAACACACCATCAAGAATGAGAACATTTGAGCCCTGGACAATAAAGGAAAAGGGAGGCTAAATTCACTCTATCAAGTACATTTCTGGATAAAAGCACAAGACAGATTCTGGGTCAGGGTTGGAGGTTGGGACACCTCCTCAACTCTAGAAAAATACACCCAGTGGCCCCTACATCTTAGAGCCAAGGGTGCACTGCAGAAAGGCGGGGTGCAGGGATGCCATTCAGACATGGGGTACAGATTATCTGCTTCTCTTATTCTTCAGGTGTAGAGTTCTGTTGGGAAATATGACCCCCCTCCCCAAGCATGGGAACTGGTGGCAAGAAAGTGATGATTACCCATCACCCTGGGTCCTCTGCAAAGACTGGAATCCCTTTGTTATTCCTGGTCATGATTCCATTCAGCCTCTTCTACAAGCTCCACACCCTCAGGCAGGCACATCGCATCACCCGCTTCAGCACAGACAACAGCCAGGCCCCAGCTGTGAGCTTTCGCTGTTCCCGCCAGATGCACATCTGTGTCTCTGTGAGAAAGCTGAGCCTCCTGTGCAAGTCTCACCTGTGGCCTAGACATATCCCTCTCCATCTGCTCCATATATTGCCCTGATTTCCTCTGCTTCTTCATGTACTGCCTTCGGTGCCTCCCATCCTGTCTATAAACGCACTCAACTCTCCCCGTCATAAAAAGAGAAATTTCCCTTTACTTTGGGTTCCTTCCAATTGCACTCCTGTTTCATCCCTCGTTAAATCCACATTATTCATTTCTTTTCTCATTCAATAAATAATTACTGAGCACCTACTATGTGTTAGACATTTTTCTGGATTTTGGGAATACAGAGAGAAACACCTGCCCTATGGAACTTACATTCTAGAGAGGAGACAGACACCACACCACCCACTCTCAACTACCAGTGAGGGTAATGATTAGATAGATATGATATCCAAAGCACAAACAGAAAAAGAAAAAATAGATACATTGAACTTCATCAAAATTGAAAACTTTGTACTTCAGAGAACACAATCAAGAAAGGGAAAGACGAGAGAGAGAGAAATTGGGGATGGTTAATGGGTACAAAGATACACTTAAGTAGAATGAACAAGATGCAGTGTTCGTAGCACAACAGAGAGACTACAGCTGACAATAATTTATTGTATGTTTTAAAATTACTAAAGGAATGGAATTGGAATGTCCCCAACACAAAGAATTAATAAATACTTGAGGTGGTGGATATCCAAATTACCATGATTTGATCATTAAACATTGGATGCCTGTATCACAACATCACATGTACCCCATAATATTTTATATTTATAAATATTTACAACTATTACATACCCATAATAATTAAAAATTATTTGTAAAAAAAGAAAAAAAAGCTTTACTCCCCTAACAGGAGGAATGACGAAAAGATAAACAATGAAGGACACAGAACGATTGGCAGGTGTTTTGGCCAGGTATTTGGCAGTCCCTGCCCACCTTTACATGGGGAATTGGTGGCCTCTTTTAATCCTCGGCATTGAAAATTGGCCCCTCCCCCATTTTCCTGCATTCCTTGGGATTAGACTGGCTATATAACAAAGACTACAGATACTTTAAAGAAGAAAAAGAGAAGACAACAAAGAGAATGAGGAAATATATTTTCAAATTGTATACCTGATAATGGCCTTGCATCCAGAATATATAAATAACTCCTACAATTTAATAATTTTTTAAAATTTCAAAATGGGCAAAGGATTTGAGTAGGTATTTTTCCAGAGAAGATAAATAAATGGCTATAAGCACATGAAAAGATGCCTGCAATTATTAGTCATCAGGGAAATGCAAATAAAAGCCACTATGAGATACCACTTCACAGCTCCTAGGATGGCTAACATCAAAAAGACAGACAATATCAAGTGTGGCTGAGGATGTAGAAAATTGGAAATTTCACACTTGTTGGTGAGAATGTAAAATGGCACAGCCACTTTGAAAAAGAGTTTGGCAGTTCCTCAAATTGTTAAACATAAAGTTACCATACGACCCGGCAATTCCATGTCTAGTTACATACTCAAGGGAAATAAAAACATATGTCCACACAAAAACATATACAAAAACTTTTATAACAATATTATTCATAATAGCCAAAACTTCTAAGCAATCCAATGTCCATCAACAGATGAATGAATAAATAAAATGTAGTACACCCATACAATGGAATAATATTTGGCCATGAAAAGCAATGGAATTCTGACCCATGCTACAACCCAGATGAACCTTGAGAACCTGATGCCAAGTGAAAGAAAGCAGTCATGAAAGACCTCATATTCTATGGTTTCATTCACATGAAATATCCAGAATCAGCTCATCTATAAAGACAAAAAATAGATTAGTGTTTACCTAGGTCTGGAGGTGGAGGCCGTGAGCAACTATTAATTGATGCAGGGATTCTGTGAGGAGATTAAAATGTTCTAAACTGAGATTGGGGTAATGATTACACAAGTCGGTGAATACATTGAAAACCATTGCATTGTACCCTTCTATATATCAATAAAGCATTTATGAAAACAGAAACCTAGAGTCCTAGCTAGATTGCCAGATAAAATGCAAGATGCCCAGTTAAATTTGAATTTAGATTTTTTTAAAATGACATTTCAGTCTGACTACTCTTTAGATATTGCATGGGGCATACTTATACTCAAAAAAACTGCTTGGTTTGTCAGATATTTAAATTAACTGGTAATTATGTGTTTGATCTGCAACCTATTATGGGGAATGGACCGGTACCGGGTTGATGTGTAGGATCCCAGTAGGAATGCAGAAGTTGGCTGAGGCCTTCGTGCAGGATTAGCCTTGAAAGCCAAGGGAAATTCAAACGGTGGAGACTTTGGGTAGTGGGGCTGAACAGTTTGCCCTTACTCTTGTATTGAGTGGCCTCCAGTCAAGATGTTGTGAGGGGATTGGGGTGGGTGTTGGTGTTGGAAGAAAGTGTACCGCAGGCTTGTCCAACCCGCAGCCCACAGGCCGCATGCAGCCCAGAATGGCTTTGAATGAGGTCCAACACAAATCGTAAACTTTCTTAAAACATTATGAGATGTTTTTGTGATTTTTTTTCTCATCTGCTGTTGTTAGTGTTAGTGCATTTTATGTGTGGCCCAAGACAATTCTACTTCCAGTGTGGCCCAGGGAAGCCAAAAGACTGGACACCCCTGGTGTACAGTCACCTGGATCCACTCATGCCGTTGACAGGGAACCTGATGCCAGCAACAATCTGTGGCCTCCTGGTAGTCATGTTTGATGGACCACAAATGCCACGAACAGGTGCCGGGAGACCAGGTAAGTGATATTCTCACAAGAGCTTACCCTGGGGCAATGATAACTGGAAGGGGAAAGAGGAGACAGTGGTGTCAGCCATTTCAGTGAAGAGATGAAGGGATGGCTGGTGGATGTGAGAGGCCAGAAGTGGGAAGCTTTGGGGTTTCCAGCCTGAATGACAAGGAGGGCACGGTGGCCCCTAATGAGATAGGAAAACCACAAGAACAGGAAGGAGGAGGGGGGAGGATTGGTTTTGCACACCAGTTTGAGCGCATCAGCGGTAAGAAACTGGATGTGACTGTGGTGACAGAGAAGGACAGGAAAGAACATCGGGGCTGGACTTGGATGTGCTTCCCTCTGTGGCAGGGCTGGAGAAACATTCCCATGCAAGTAGCCAGAAGGACCATCAGAGAACGTAATGCAGGGCAGAGGGTTGGGGAAGTTGAAGAAAAATGAGTTTTTAAAAAATGCCATATCCGCAGTGACATAGGTCAAAGAGAAGTCTCACAAGTAAGGGTGGAAACATGCCCTCTGCTTTCGGAAGCGGACACTGACCACATCCCCAAGGCTGAAGGGACCATCCTCAGCTGTACTGCTCAATACTGCAGGGGACACAGGTTCACTTCACCTGTGTGGTCGGGTCTGCCAACACCCCTGCAGAGTTGTAAAGAATCTCTGGCTGATTAGGGAAAAAAAAGAAGATGTGCAAACGGCCAACAGATATGTGAAAAAAGGCTCAACCTCACTAATCACCAGTGAAATGCAAATCAAAACCCCAGTGAGAGATTACCCTACCTCAGTTAGAATGACTGTTATCAAAAAGGTGAAAAAAAAATAACAGATGCTGGTGAAAACAAAAACTCACACACTGTTATGGGAATGTAAAATAGGACAGCCACTGTGGAAAACAGTAGGGGGTTCCTCAAAAAACTAAAAAATAGAACATTTGACCCAGCCATCCCATGATTGGGTATATATCCAAAGGAAATAAAATCAGTATGCTGAAGATATATCTGCATCCCATGTTTATTGCAGCGCAGTTCACAATAGCCAAGCTATGGAATTAACCTAAATGCCCATCTCCAGCTGAATGAATAAAGAAAATGTGGTATATATACACAATGGAGTACTCTTCAGCCATAAAACCAATGCAATCTTGTCATTCATGACAACATGAATGAACCTAGAGGACATTATGGTAAGTGAAATAAGCCAGGCACAGACAGACAAATATTGCACATTCTCACTCATTCTAAAAAAGTTGATTTTGTAGAGGTAGAAAGTAGAATAGCAGTTACCAGAGTCTGGGGAGGGGAGGGAGAAGGCAGAATGGGAGAGGCTCGTTAACAGGTATAAAGTTAGAGTTGAGGAGAATAAGTTCTGTTGTTCTGCTACACAGTAGGGTGACTATGGCAAATAATAATGTGGTGTATATTTTAAGAAAGCTAAAAGAGAAGATTTTTAAGGTTATCACTACAAAGAAGTGATAAAAATGTAAAGTGATGAATATGGCAATTGCCCTGATTTGATCATTACACAATGTGTGCCTACACTGAAACATCATTCCACCCCATAAGCATGTACAATTATTATGTCATCTGTGACTTTTGACAGAGCAGGAGCATCGCCATCTTGGACAAACACTGCCATTTTAAGTGCTCCTTTGTTAAAAAACCACCTAAATCCAGCCCCAAAACATAAGCCTAACGGCTAATGTCAGCATCACCAGAAAATTCCAACCCTAAGATAAACCCACCTCCAACCAGAAACATGGCAACCCTGAGATAACCTCACCTTCAAACAGAGATTCCAACCCCCCAATAAACTTTCCCTCACATAGAAACATCCCGAGCCTGCGATAGGCTCCCCGCATTTCCTAAATCCTTAAACACCCATAGTCTGTGAGAAAGAATGCTCTTGACCGAAATCAGCCAGAAGCCTGTCTCTGGTTTATTCTCCAAAATAACCCTGTCTTTGACTGTTGAGCTGCTTTCCGTGTTTCTTTCCTCCTTCTTTACTTACAATAATTTCTTTAAAAAAGCTAAGTCTGAGCATGTTTCTTCAGAGATGCACTGTGCTCTGCTTTATTACAGTGAATTGAATGGGAAAGAAAAGATGTTTTATTGCTGGTGATATCACCAGGCAGAAATGACAGCTTCCAAAGTTCTAAATAGCAGGGGTATTCCATCTTTGTTGAAGGTTATCATGAAACTCAGAAAGAGAAGTAGAGCCTGTTCTGACAATGTTCCTCACAGACGAGCAGTCTAATATTCTAGGTTCAGTTCCCATGAGGTTTACAGAGTTGGGTTTATTTTCAAATGATATAGACTTGCTTGGGTTCAACTTACTTCTGAGGTTGGTGAGAACCTTCCAAATAAGAACATCAGTGCATCTGCAACATGGGGACATTTTGGACTCAGAAATTTAATAATTTTTGGTGATAACTTTAAATTAATAATGACTTTTTAACTGCATTGCTTTTTAGCTTAATGTCATTTTTAAATTAACTTTATTATGTAAGGCCATGAATTTTATTTTTCCCCTATTTTTCCTGCCCTTCCCCAGAGCCCCAACTGAAATGTGTGCTTCAGTCATGCATGTGCAGTGGGAGAGAGAAGGCAGGAGGAAAGGTGTCCAGGTATTTTCAGTCACACAGAAACATTCTTGATTTGGCCAACTCTGCACGAGGAGCTAAGGCAAGCTGGCAGAGCAGGTGTCTGCAATGTGTCAGGCGCATGCAGGTGCAGCAAACGGGCAGCGAGCATGGGAGGGCATCACGGGGCTGCGGTGATGGCAGCCACACAGGTGTGCACAGATAAGGAGAAATATGACAGGATCTGGACCTACGTTTTCATGTGAAGAAACATTTCATCTGCTGAAGAAAAGTGAGGGGCCCTTTTGATCTCAGGCTCTCCCCAGTGTCTAAAATGTAGGGTGACCAGCCAGCCCAGTTTTCCTAGGACTGTCCCAGTTTTAGCACTAAAGTTTGGTGTTCTGGGAAACCCCTCAGCACTGGGAAAACTAATGGGTCTGGCCACCCTATATCCCCACCACTTCTCAGACTCTGCATCATGGGGCTGAAGGTCAATTTCCCATTTATCATTGGCTAGCCCACCTGTGCTTTTCTCCCCAATATTCTTCCATCGTTGCTCCTCCTCCTCCTCTTCTAAGGTAGAGAAATAATTCTCTCTCTCTGTATCATAAGAGGCACAGTGAAACTGAAGTCAAATTTATAGAGACAGAAAGTGGGAATGGTAGTTGCCAGGGGCTGGGGGAAGGCAGAATAAGGAGTTTGTGTCTGATGGGTACAGAGCCTTAGTTGGAGAAGATGGAAAAGTTCTGGAGCTGGGTGGTGATGATGGTTGCACAACAATGTGAATGTATTTAATAGCACTTTAAAATGGTTACCATGGTAAATTTTATGTTATGCATATTTTACCGTAACAAAAAAAAAAAATAGAATGGAAAACAAAAAGTGGTACTGTGAAAGCTAGACCAAGAAGAGCATCTATGCCAAGGCGAATGGAAGAGAGAACCTTTCCTTGCAGAATCGAGAATTTGTCCCACTTGTTTTCTCTCATCCTTCACGTGCAGCACATAGAACCCATGTAGGGTCCTCATGTTGCTCCTGTAACCATTTGAATTTAGAGGTAGGAAAATTGAAAGGATGCTTGAGCAAGAGGCAGCATACTGAGGAAACCTGAGGGCTAGTGTGGAAAGTTCTATGTCAAACCCTTTTGAAAGGGAAGGTTGGACAAAACTGGCTCAAAAGCCATTAAGTCCAGGGTGCTAAGAACTCCTGAGTGTGGACTCACCTGTGACCCATCTCATCCTGGCTCTCAGGGCTCCAGACAGAGCTATTCTCAAGTAACTTTAAGTTCCATTGTCTAAAATGTGCCCCACAGAGCAGTGAGAATAACATGCTTTGCACAGGGGTAGGATTGTGACATTTTGTACTTCACAACTCCAGAGGCACCAGCCAGAGGAATTCCTAGCTGAGCAGATGACTCCAGCAGAGAGAAAGTACTTTCCATAAAAAATAATGCCACCCCTAACTTTCACCAACACTGACTCACTTGGCCCCTTTTAGTAAAAGCCTTTATATACTTGCTTTGTCAAAAGTATGCTGCCATGTCTCTATTCCAACCATCCCTGAGCAGTTTCATTTTAGCGAGTGCTCCTTCATTTGAGAGGAGTGTGTCTGTAAGTGGTCCCAAGAGTACCATATCTTGCCTTCTCTTGCATAAGCCACCGCCTTGCCTTGGAGGGTCTCTCTGGGCTCCTCCAAGTCATCCTCTGGGCGGGGAATGTGGCCATCGACCACGGGGTGCCACAGCATCTAGAGTCTGGGGAGTATTCTGTGCTCCCACCTTAGTGGTGAGTCTGGAGTCACAGATCTTCCAGGAGTAAGAAACTGCCCAATAATTGTGCATTTCTTTAGGTATTAAACACAGCCATGCAATGTGCAGCCTCTTTGTCTTGGGGGTGCTGTGCCTTCTCCCCTCTGGCGATGCACAAGGTCCTTGGAGTTTCAGCATATGCCTGAGGGATGCATTGATGCTGGATGGGAGACAAGGGTCTCAGGGACCCACTGGTGCCTAGAGTCATCAAGGCACACAGCCCCATGAGGCCAGGAGCCCCAAAGGGGAAGCTGAAAGGGATGCTACTAGGGGAGCATCTAGTGCCAAAACATCAAGCTAACCTGGATCTTTCCATCATGCACCCGAGTGTCACCTGAGGTGGGAGGTCCCAGTGCTGAGAGAGGGCGTAACACTTGAAGCAACTGAGAGATGTTGGGGGAACGGGAGCGGAGTTTTTCTTATTTACCATCTACTCAGAATGTTCCTCTGGCACATGGGTAGCATTATCTTAGACTAGTCTCCATTTTCCTCCCCAGCAAAGTAATCATCGAGAAGCAAAACAAAAAACCAAACAAACAAACAAAAAAAGAAACAAAAACAAAAAACACCTCTCAATATTCTACGTGTCAGAGTGATTTTTGTTTTGTCTCAACTTTCCCCAGGAGTACTGAAATGGGATCCTGGCTCTGGTAACAGGGAGCAGGTGCCTAAACTGCTTTGCGCCTGCAGGAACACCAGGCATTCAACAGGCACTTAATGAACACCTGCTGGTCACTGGTTGAGTTCTGCTTGAAACACCTGGCAACAATCCCAGGAAATGGAGCAAGGGCAGGAAATGCCTTTGCAAACCCAGAACGCCACTGATGTCTTGAATGTCTGGCAGTCACTGAGCTCATGGCCAAGCAATCTCAACGAAGCACGGGGCTCAGGAAAGGAGGACATCCAGGGGCTCAAGGACCTGATGCAGCCTTGCTCCTGAGTGTTTTATCTCAATGTCCCTTTATATACATTTGCAGCTTTATGCAATATGGCCTCATCGAGGTCTGTGTTAATATGATCATCACACCACAGAGCATGCAATGAGTATAGGTAGGGTCAGAGGATTTTGAGGGTGGGATGGGGGTGAAAATTCTGCAAAACTCTGGGGTTCTAGTAAGAAATACTTGGGAATAAATTCTTCCATGACACCATGATCGGGTTCAAGAGGCAAGACTGCAGTCCTAGATATGGAGAGATGACAGCCTTCCTGCCTCCTTCACTGCTGTAGGGTGGTGAAAACAGAGGGCAGCCCCCTCAAAAATGCCTGGTCCCTCTGCATAAAGGAGAACATGGCAGGTGGAGGGGTTGTGGAAAGGGTGCCTGCCCGGCATCATTCTGACCTTGCAGGATGGGCACTCTCACAGGATGAAGCACAGGAGTTGGGGATTTAGGGTCTATAAACGAATTTTCTCTCTTTTATAAGGGGAATAAGCCTTACGGGATTGTTCTGAAGATGACATGAGATCATATAAAAAAGTGATTAAGATGGTGGCTGGAACACAATCACACCAAAGACATGTGAGCCCTTGTTTTCACACTCCCTGTTTTATAAATGACAATTCTGAGGCTCAAAGTAAGAAGCCGAGCAGCATCCAGAAAAGCACTGACTCAACCAGATCTGCCTATTCCAAAAGCCCATGTCTTTACCCACCACCCTGCTTCCAATCACAGCACAACACAGTGACAGCGAAGGCATCTGAACTCAGAGGGCATTTCCGCCAGCTCAACAAATATTTCAAGCTTATTTAGCATGATGAGTCTTGCTCTTTGTTTAGTGTAGATATGCTAGAATTAGCAACATTAAAGCAATTATCTGTGAAATTATCCCCAAATTATATTAGCATGCCCATAGAACAGTATTTTGCATGTAAATTGATAGCAGGTAAGTTCAACAGAACTGCCTTTAAAATGAGTCCGAGGAATCCATAATGAGTGACTATTTATTTTAGCGGTTCTGAAACTACGCAATGTGTGTGCAACTACCAAAAGCATCAGAAAGAAGGAAAAGAAATCTTCCTACAAGCCAGCTGCTTACTAAAAAAATACATAAATAATTCCCTGAAATTCCCACTGCTTCAGTTTTAGGAACAGGCACTCTTCTTTACCATCTTTACCTGTACTCCCTCATGCTGTGGTCACTTGCTATCCAAACATAGCAGACATATCCAAACATAGCATACATAGCTGAAGCACCCCTCATTAATTTAAGCCTAAAAGTGCATTCGAAAGTCCATCCTCCTGTGTGATTGTAAGGATGATGCACTGGTCACTTTGGCATCTGAACCAATAGGGAATGTAGAGGAAACATGCTCGGGACACGTCAGAGGTGCTGGCCAGGCAGGCTTGCTGCAGTCTCTGCTTTGCCAGTGCAGCGCCTAAGACCAGGTGTGGCAGGTGGGGACGGTAGAGTCGATAGGAACATCCTCCATAGCCTTCTCCATAGTACTGGTATTGCCCTTTGCAATTTGTATCAATTGCTATGTTGATCCTTGCTATGAGGTGAGCAAGAAATCTGAGGCCCAGAGTTTAAATGACTGACTCCAAATCTCCCTGATATGGGGGATGGAGCTGGGATTTGACCACAGATGTACTAAATCTAACTCTATATTTCCAGTATGAAGAGGCCTCAGAGCTTATTCAATCGAACTCAGTGTCTGGCGGAAAAATCCCATGTATAGTAAAGTGAGTGTAAAAAGGCGAACAACAGCAAGTGTTGAGAGAAAGTAGAAAAGGGAACCCTGGCACACTGTTGCTGGGAAAGTACATTGGTGCAGCCATCACAGAAAGCAGTTTGGAGTTTCCTTAAAAAAATAAAAACACAACTACCTTATGATCCAGCAATCCCACTGCTGCACACATACCCAAAGGAAATGAAATCAATATGTCAGATGAATGGATATAGAAAGTGGGGTATATATACACAGTGGAATATTATTCAGCCTTAAAAATAAGGAAATTCTGTCATTTGGGACAACACAGATGAACTTGGAGGACATTTGGTAAAATAAGTTAGATGCAGAAAAACAAATACTGCAGGATTTCACTTATATGTGGAATCTAAAAGCATTGAACTCACAGAAGCAGAGTGGGATGGTGGTCACCGGGGGCTGGAGGTATGGTGGGTAGATGAGGTGGGGAGCAGGGGAGTGGAACTGGGGATATGTTTGTGAAAGAGTACAAACTTCCAGTGATGCAAAATGAATACATGCTCAGATCTATTGTAATGCATGGTGACTCTTGTTAATAATACTGTATTGCATAGTTGAAAATTGCTAAAAGAATCGATGTTTTTACCACAAAAAATAAGCATGCAAGGTGGTAGATAAGTCAGCTTGACTTAATCATTTCCCAATATATACATATATCAATACATGAAATCATACACTATAAATGTATAAAATTTTTATTTGTCAATTATACCTTAGTAAAGTCAGGGTAACCATGAGAGAAAACAAGTAAAATTAAATGCATTGCATTCCATTACATTAAAAAGTCAGCATGGGCCAGGCCCAGAGGCTCCTGCCTGTAATCATAGCACTTTGGAAGGCTGAGGCAGGAGGATCGCTTGAGACCAGGAGTTTAAGACCAGCCAAATCAATAGAGTGAGACTCCATCTCTACAAAACTAAAAATAATTAGCTTGGCATGCTGGCACATGCCTGTAGTCCCAGCTCCTTGAGAGGCTCAGGGGGAGGATTGCTTGAGCCCAGTTCAAGGCTGCAGTGAGCCATGATCACGCCACTGCACTCCAGCCTGGGTGACAGAGCAAGAACCTGTCTCCCAAAAACAACAACAACAAAAAAAAGAAAACAAATTGAGCATAGTAAGTAATTGAATACTGGTTGGATAAAGAGTGAGACAAATGGTCTGACCTAAAAGAACTCTAGTTCCAGCAGGGGAGAAGCAAGAGGACAAAGAAGAAGAGGGTGGCTTGGTGTGGGCTGCAGGCAGCGGGTGTCTCCATAGAGTGAAGCAGGGGACGGGGTCGTGGGCATCTGAGGGAGACTGCGAGGCTTCAGGGAGAACATGGCACCCAAGGTGTGCCCCAGAGGAGGAAGGAGCAAACACCAGGCTGAGAAAGGAGAAGTGCGTTTAGCAGAGGGAAGAGCAAACAGAAATTTCGGAGACAAGAAACATGGGCGTGTTCCAGAAGGGTGTGTAAAGCACTGTATGGAGACTCACACAGAGGGGAATGGCACCCAGCCTGAGGGGTGTGAGGGAGCACTCCAAGCTCGGACAGATGCACTCTATTCTGCAGCCCAGGAGTGGCAAGTAACAGTTACTACCAATAATGAGGGGACAATCATTTACAGAATCCTTTCATAAAGTAGACCCTACAATCATGCGTAGCATAAGAACACTTTGGTCAATGACAGACTGCATATACCACAGTAGTCCCATAAGATTATAATGCTGCATTTTTACTGTACCTTCTCTGTATACACACAATACTTAGCAGTGTGTTAAAACTGCCTACAGCATTCAGTACAGAAACATGCTGTACAGGTGTGTAGCCAAAGAGCAACAGGTCATCCCACTTAGCCTAGGTGTGTAGCAGGCTGTACCGTCTAGGTTTAGGTGAGTACGCCCTATGATGTTCACACAATGACAAGATGGCCTAAGGATGAATTTCTCAGAATGCATCCCTGTCCTTCAGTGACATATGACTGTATGAAGGAATCCCATAAAACACAATCACACGTTCCGATACTTTTCTTCACTGGGAGAAAAACTAGGGAATTGTACATAATCATACTGCAGCCGGTAATGAATGACTGATGATACCTGTGATTAATAAAACTTGTCATGTTCTTTTTCTTCACAACATTTTGGAGGGCTTATGTGAATATCAGAGTAGGTTGGTACTGGTATAGTGCACATGAGAACATTACTCATCACGTATGTTATAGACAAACTCGGGGAGCTATTCAGAGAACTGGTGTAAACAAGGCGTTTGATCATGGGGCACTGGTGGCATTAAGATGACCTGGGATCCAGGGGCCGGAATTCCCAGTCGGGCTCAAGTCACAGCTGCTTCCTCCATACTCCTCGCATTAGAATGCTGATCATCCCCATTTGTCTGGAATCAAGGGCATTCCTGGAATGTGGGACTTCAAGTGCTAAACCCAGGACAGTTCCAGGTAGACCAAGGAATTGCTGGTCTCTCCACTCCCCACATATGGCAAATAGGAATCAGGGACTTCTTAATGACTGGGAGGTTGTTTTCTAAAAACTTCAATCTAAAACTCAGTACTCCTGAGTAAACAGGTGTGGGGTGGGGAGCTGAGGTGGGCCTGCAGAGTGGGTGTCTGCCATGCTCAGGTGCACACAGGTGCAGCACATGAGCAGGAAGCATGCGAGGGCAACGTGGGGCAGCAGTGACAGCAACCAGCCTGGTGTGCAGACTTAAGGGGGGGTTGACCGGGACTGGACCCACATTTCCATGTGGAACAATCCACTGAAGAAGTGAGGGGCCCTTGGACCTCAGACTCTCCCTAGTGTCTAAAATGTAGGGTGACAAGCCAGCCCAGTTTTCCTAGGTCTGTCCCAATTTTAGCACCAAAGTTCGGTGTCCTGGGAAACCCCTCAGTCCCAAGCCTTGCAAAACTAAAAATAATTAGCTGGGCATGCTTGCACAGCCCTTCCCCACTCCCTGCTCCACACACATTTACTCAGGAGTACTGAGTTTAGTCAACACCTAATGTGGCACCCGGGAGGGTTCTTCCTGCCTAACTCCCAACACCAGCTGTCCCGTGGACAGCCTGTCAAAACCAGAAGGGCTTCATCTTATCCGAGGCCTCCCAAGGGCAGAGTGTAGAGCACAGCTTGCCATGGTAGCAGGAACAGTCAGAGGAGAAGGGAAGGGCACACCAGCACATGTGGACGTTGAGCCCATGGTGACCCTCCCTGTGAGGTGTATGTCCTGGACATTGAACCCGTCTTCACAGTGTTCCCGCCTCTTGGGGAGGAAGGATAGGGAATGAGGTAGAACTTTTTCTTCCTACAAAATCCATTAAAGATTTTTTTGTTGTTGTTTATTATTTTGTTTTGTTTTGTTTTGAGACAGAGTCTTGCTCCTTTGCCTAGGCTGGAGTGCAGTGGCACAATCTCGGCTCACTGCAACCTCCGCCTCCCAGGTTCAAGCAATTATCCTGCCTCAGCCTCCCAAGTAGCTGGGATTACAGGCGTGCGTCACCATGCCCGGCTAATTTTATTTTTTTGGTATTTTTAGTAGAGACAGGGTTTCACCATGTTGGCCAGGCTAGTTTTTTGAGATAGAGTCTTGCTCTGTCACCCAGGCTGGAGTGCAGTGGTGCAATCTCTGCTCACTGAAACCTCTGCCCACCATGTTCCAGTGATTCTCCTGCCTCAGCCTCCTGGGTAGCTGGGATTACAGGCATGCACCACCATACCCTGCTAATTTTGGTATTTTTAGTAGAGACGGAGTTTTGCCATGTTGGCCAGGCTGGTCTCAAACTCTTTACCTCAGGTGATCTGCCCACCTTGGCCTCCCAAAGTGCTGGGATTACAGGCATGAGCCACCACGCCCGGCCCCATTAAAGGGTTTTGTGCTATGAAACAGCATGATGATGGAGAATGGCCCTACAGAAACCCACGCATTCGTCATTTCCTCAGTGAATATGGATTATGTATCTAGTAGGGGTCAGGTACTGTTCTACACACTGGGCATAAGGCCCTGAACAAACAGAGCAAGTCCTGCTGTCATGCAGCTTCTGTTCCAGGAGCACAAGACAAAATAAAGACATACATGTAGGGATAGGTGGGCATCCATGCTCAGAGGGAAAGTTGAGGGTGGCATTTGGGGGTTGTCATTTTAAGCGGAGTGGTATGAGAAGCTCTGACTATGAAGATGCTACCTGAGGAGAGGACAGAGCAGGAGTGTGGGGCTAAGCCACCCAGCTCTCCGAGGGAAAATTTTTCAGCAAACAGAGTGACAAAAGTAAAGTTGTGGAGACAGATGATGCTGCCTGTCCCAAAGCAGTGGGGTCCAGTGTGCCGGGGAGAGTGACAATGAGAACCGAGGGGGGCTGGCACCCACCATGCAGAGGGCTTCCAGCCACTGTGAGGGTGCAGCTTCTCTTCACATCCATGGGGAGGGAGTGGCCGAGTCTGCCTGCTGTTTCAAGGGCTTTGAAGAGAAGTGACTGGGAGGTTGTTTTCTGAAAACTTCAATCTAAAACTCAGTACTCTTGAGTAAACAGGTGTGGGGTGGGGAGCTGAGGCGAGCCCGCGGAGTGGGTGTCTGCCATGCTCAGGTGCAGCACATGGGCAGGAAGCATGGGAGGGCAAGAAAAGAAGAAGACCAATTTAGTCTAGATGGAAAATGATGGTGGCTTGTAGCAAGGTGGCAGCCGTGTGTGAGAAATGGCTGAAGTTTGGGTTTTTGGGAGGCTGGAGTCGACAGGATTTGCTAATGAAATTCACATGGGGTATGACAGAAGAAGTGCCTTGCAGGTGACTGGAAGGCAGTAAACAGAAGAAAGCATTACCATCCACTGAGGTGGTGAAGGCACAGGCAGTGGGCTAGAGAAATCGAGACATGAGCTTGGGATATTTTGAGTCTGCAGTGCCTAACAGGCATTCAGATGGAGATGTGGCATAGGGAACTGAATTTTCAAGTTCAAAGTTCAAGGGAAAGGGTCAGGTGAATAAGTCAATCAAGAGTCCTTAGCACACAGACAGGATGCAAACTCATGGGAATTGATGAGATTATAAAGAGACAATGTCCCAGACTGAGCTCCAGGCATCCCCCAGTTTAGAAAGCTGAGGAAGGTACAGGGAAGGAGCCCAGAAGGAAGTCACCTTTGAGGCAGGAATCCAGCAGGCTGAGGGAAAGGCATGCTCTCCTGGAGAAGAAGAGGCCCACTGTTGGGTGAGAAAGATGAGGGCTGGCAACCAGTTGTCCACTTGGCCATGTGGAGGGCTCAAGATAAAACAATGAGAGTGGGCAAAACTCTTCTGATTGGTAGGTGAAAGAAATATGAGAATAATATGTTTGTCAGGGAATGATGTGCTTGGAGCCCAGCAGGCCTTCTGGAACATCTTTTGACACCCCTTGCCTGATTCTGGTGGTTGATGAACAAGTGCGACGATGGTGGCCTCTGTCCAATCATGCTCCCCTCACATGCCCAGGAGTTTGTCTGGATAGCATTTCCCAATGCACTTCCTGTCAACAAGCCCCCATCTCAGAACCTGCCTCCCATGTAACCCAGCTGAAGACAGCGGGTAGACAAGATAGCGGGAGGAACAGCAAGAGATGTGAGGATGTGTGTGAGAGAACAATTACAAAGTTGAATTGCAAACTCTAGGCAGAGCATGGGGAGAGGTAAGAACCTTATAGGTCACAGGAGAGTGAAGGGGGCTAATTCATTGGGTCAGAATCCCCTGGGTGCCAGGGTGGCTGTGGTAGGGGTGCTAGAGAGTGTGCACTGGAAAGCTACTGCCAAGTGTGCTGCTCAAAAGCATGGTAACAGAGTTGTTGGTAATGACAGAGTCTAAGATTAGACAGTGGCAGAGGTGGCTGAGAGGGGTGGAGGACAGGATCATGGGAGGTGGGAAAGTCGTGGAACTGAGAGGCCAGGAAGTTGCTTGAATCATCGAAGCGGTCATTAAACTCATTAGGAAGAATTGCATCTACATTGGTAGAGAGGAAGGCAGGGGCTGCATCCGCAAGGAAAAAGGGCATCATCCTGAGGCACTGCTGTGGTGAAGCCTGATGGGGCGCACTTCTGAGGAGCAGGGCTTGATTTTAGGGAACCTGAACATGGCAACACCCTTTGCTTCTTTACGCTACACTCCCTCAGTGCTTTCAGCAGAGGTTTGCATTCACAGTTCCCAAGCTTTCTCACCTCTGCGTGTTTATTCTTCGCTCAGACTCTGCCTGCCTGTGTATGCCTCAGGTGAGCAGGCGTATCAGCCCACATGGCTCTCTTTGCTGTCACTGCCAGCACTGAATGTGGCTGGTCCTTAAAGCTGCTTGGAATGACAGGGCCTGCTACTGTGAGATGAACCTACAACATGAAGGGACTTTTTAATGGGCAATTAAACCTACAGAAATGAACCTTTTTTTTTTTTTTTTTTGAGACAGAGTCTTACTCTGTTACCCAGACTGGAGTGAAATGGCATGATTTCACCTCACCGCAACGTCTGCCTCCCAGGTTCAAGTGATTCTCCTGCCTCAGCCTCCCAAGTACCTGGGATTACAGGCACCCACCACCATGCCTGGCTAATTTTTGTATTTTTAGTGGAGATGGGATTTTGCCATGTTGTCCAGGCTGGTCTTGAACTTCTGACCTCAGGTGATCCACCCGCCTCAGCCCCTAAAATTGCTGGGATTACAGGTGTGAGCCACCACGCCCGGCCGCAAATGAATCTTATCACTACAAAAAAAAGAAAACCTCACTTTGGAAGTCTGCCCTCCACCATTGTTCTAAACCCTTTGTTTCTTGTTGAGGTCTTCCTCAGGCCCTCACTCTAATTCCTTGGATAGTGAAAGCCAATCGTTAGCTCATCAAGATAGATATGTTATTGATATGGCTTGGATATTTGTCCCCACCCAAATCTTATGTTGAAATGCAATCCCCAGGGCTGGAGGCAGGGCTGGAGGTTCATGGAGGCGGTACCCTCATGGCTTGGTGCTGTCCTTGGGACAATGAGCTCTCATGAGAGCTGGTCATTTGAAGTGTGTGGCACCTCCCCACCCTCTCTCTTGCTCCCGCTCTCGCCATGGGACGTGCCTGCTCCCGCTTCACCTTCCACCAAGAGTAAAAGCTTCGTGAGGCCGCCCCAGAAGCCCAGCAAATGCCGGTGCCGCGCATCCACAGCCTGTGGAACCTTGAGCCAAATACACCTCCTTTCTTTATAAATTACCCAGCCTCGGGTATTCCTTTAGAGCAATGCAAGAATGGCCTAACACAGTTATATGTAATTTCTACAAATGTTTAACTTAGAATAACTTCAGATTTACAGAAAAAAAAATTACAAAAGGTGATACAGAGTTCCCACACAACCCGCGCCCAGTTTCCCGTGATGGTAACCGCAGTGTGCAGTACGGACAGCACAACTCAGGAGCCAGTGTTGACGCGTTATTAGTAGCTGCCTTCCACATTCTTTCGGCCTTCCTTAGCTTTTCTCTAATGTCTTTTATCTGTCCCACAGTCCCACATTACGTTTTGTCAACACGTCTTCTGAGGCTCCTCTTGGCTGTGGCAGCTTCTTAGTCTTTCCTTGTCTTTGAAGACCCTGACAGTTATAAGAAGTGCCAGTCAGGTATTTTGTAGAATGTCCTTGAGTTGGAATCTGTCTGATGTTCTCTCATGATTAGACTGGGGTTCTGTGGGTTTTGAAGAGAAAGAACACAGAGGTAAAGCATCATTCTTGTTGCATGATATCAAAGGTAAATGCTATCAACATGAAATTTCACTGTTGATGTAACCTTGATCCCCTGGCCGGAGCAGTGTTTGACAGGTTTGTCCAGTGTGAGAAAGTCACGATGAGCAAACTAAGGTTAAGGCCTGGGGCACTGTGTTCTACCTCCTTGAAGACAGAGTATCTGCATGAATTACCTGAAATTCTTTTGCATAGGATGTTCAGCTGTTGTTTCTCATTCCTTTATTTATTCAAGCATTTATTTATATCAGTGTGGACTCAAGGATGTGTATCCTATACACTGGGTTATAATACAATACTACATTTTTGTTGTAGTTCTATTTTTCCAGCTCTGTCCATGGGGAGCACTGTTAATTGGCTCTGTGTCTCACTGTGATACCCACATAACTGTGAGGTTTTGTTTCTTTTTAACCGCTTTCTTAGCTTTCTGGAACTACGAGATGTGCTAGTCTCATCTTGTATATTTTGCCCCCAGCCCCAGAGTCATCCGTTGTTTCAAGGAGTTCTGGTTTCTTTAGTTAGAGAATGGTATTAAAAACCAAAATCTGGGCCCTGAGTGTGTTTAGTGCTCCTAGGATGTTGTTACTTCTAGGCATCTTCAGCTGACATAAAAAAAATGTGCATATAATAACACAAAATGATACAAATATCTATGCCTATTTCTCTCTATATCCACATGTATTTATATTAAGCTAAACACGAGTGCATCCTCTGACTCTGACCCACTGCCTCACGTGCAGTCCAGCCTCTCCCTTGCCTATCTGTATTCTACCCTGCAGCAGCGGGAAACCTGCTTCTCACCACCTGCCCTCCTTTTGATTAACTGTTCCATCCCAGTGAGTATGAACAGTGGTTTCAGAATTGTTAACCTGCACCCCAACTGGAAATAACATCACCTACGAGATTCCAGTGCATAGGAACATTTCCTTCTGCCTGTACTCCTGCAATCTCCACTAGGTCAGCACCTTTCTCCCAGCCACCTCAATAAGGTCATTTCATATATTTGTGATGTGGTTGGATTATTTTTTCACACTATGCATTCTATCCCAAGTTCCTCTACCTACTACTTTTTAAATCCGCACACATTAAGGTTCACTCCTTCTTCTGTAAAGTTTTATGGGTTTTGGCAAATGTGTAGTACCATGTGTATGACCATTACTGTGTCATACAAAATAGCACACTGCCTTAACACTCCCCTGGACCTCACCTCTTCAACCCTCTCCCCCAAATCCCCGACAGCCACTGATCCACTTACTATCCCCATTATTTTCTCCTTTCTCAAATGCCATATAAATGAAATAGCACAGTAGGTAACTTTTTCATACTGGCTTCTTTCACTTAGCAACATGCATTGAAGATTATCCATGTTATCACATGCCTTACAGCTCACTCCTGAATCGTTTTCTTATTGTATGGATAGGCCACAGTTTATCCATTCATCTACTAAAAGACATCTTGGTTGTTTGAGTTTTGTCAATTATGAATAAAGCTGCTGTAAATATGTACTTGGAGGTTTTTGTGTGGACCAACATTCTCATAACAGTTGTGTAGATGTCTAAGAGTGTAATTACTAGATTGTATGGAAAGACTACATTTAGCTCTTGCATTTAGCTCTGCAAAAGACTGCCAAACTGTCTTCCAAGGTGGCTCTAACATGCTGCATTCCCACCAGTGATGAATGAGAGTTCCTTCTGTATCCTCAACAGAAATTGATATTGTCAGTGTTTTGATTGTAGCCATACTAAGAGGTGTGTAGTGGAAGCTCATTATTTCAATTTGAATTTCCCTAAATGACAAATGAATGTCAGTGTCTTTTCATATTCCTACATGAATAATGCAAATGGGTATGTTGTCCAGTTTTACATTGTGTTGTTAGTTTTCTTCTTGTTGAGATTTGAGAGTTTGTTTTATATTTTAGATACAAGTCCTTTATCACATATGGATTTTTTTTCAAAATATTTTCTCCCATTTGGCGACTTGCCTTTTCATTTTCTTAACATTGTCTTTCATAGAGCAAAAGTTTTAGTTTTAATAACGTCCAACTTATCTACTTTTTCCTTCATGGATCATGATTTGGGAGTTGTATCTAAAAGCTCATGACCATCTCCAGTGTTACATGGATGTTTTCCTGTGTTTTTTCTAAAAATTTTATAACTTTGCGTTTCATACTTAGACTTATGACCTATTTTGAGAGAGCTTTGTGAAGCTGTAAGGTCTGTATCTAGTTTCATTATTTTGCACATGAATATCCAGTTGCTCCAGAACCATTTCTTGAAAAGACTACCCTTTCCCATCATTGAATTGCCTTTGTGTGTTTGTCCAAGGTGAGTTGAAACTGTATTTCCATAGGTCTATTTCTAGGCTTTCTGTTCTTTTCTGTTGATATATGTGGTTTTTCTTTCTCAATAACATGCTGTCTTGAATCCTGTCATTTTGTAGTAAATCTTGAAATCAGATAGTGGGTGTCTTTCAATTTTGTTCTTCTTTTACAGTTTTGTTTTGGCTGTTCTGTGTCATTTGCCTTTCTACGTAAATGTTAGAATCATTTTCCCGATATCTACTAAATAGCTTGATAGGATTTTCTAAATTTATTAAACCTATAGATTACATTGATAAGAATTGAAATCTTAACAATATTGACTTGTCAATCTGTTAAAACAGTATGTCTCTCCATTTATTTGCTTTTTTAAATTTTTTACCAGTTTTTGTAGATTTCCACATATAGGAAATTATAAGTATTCCATGTTGGAGTATACTATTGTTTTCTTTAAATTTTACATTCTAATTGGTCATTGCTGATATATACGGAAGCAACTGACTCTTCTTTTTTGCATCTATTAAAAAGAAACCCCATATTCACTAGCAGTCATTTCCCATTACCTCATCTCCCCATTCCATGGCAACCCCTAATCTACATTTTGTCTCTAAGGATTTGCCTAATCTGGACATTTGATATAAATTGAACTACACAACGTGTGGTCTTTTGCATCAGGTTTTCTCAATTCACGTAATGTTTACAGCATTCATTCATGCTGTAGCATGTATTAAGACTTCATTCTTTTTTATTGACAAATAATATTCCATTATATGGATAGGCTACCTTTTGTTTATCCATCCACTTTTAGGCTACTAGGAATAATGCTTCTATAAACATGTATAAGTGGAATTTTGTGTAATCCTAATGAAATCTTATTTTAATTAAAGCCCTGTATAACATTAAAAGACAGAGTGTTTTAAACACCATCAGTTCCACTATGACAAAACCAACTGATTCCAAGAAGGAATCCATGAATATGCGTTTATCTGTTTTAATTAAGAGAATTGTAGAGTTACCTGCAGTTGTAGGAAATAATAAAGATCCTTTGTATACTTTTCCCAGTTTCTTCCAATGGTAACATTTTGAAACTCTATAGTATATTGTTGCATCCAGGATATTGACAATTTTGTCATCTGAAAATAACAATAAGGGAATACAGCACTGTATACAGTGGTTAGGGACAGAGAGAAGAGAAGGAAGGTGAACAGACAAGAGGGACCCATGTGGTGCTGGAGCTCTCCAGTATCTTACTAATGGTGGGTGTCACTAACAGGTGATAAAATTGTATAAAGTTAATATGCACACACCCACTCTCCTCCACATAAACACACACACACACACACACACACAGAAGCGAAGCTGAGTGAATCTGAATATGATTAGCGGATTATATCAATGTCAATATTCTGATCAGTAGTGAAGATCCCTCTCTCATGTAACATTAGTAATTTGTACCTTCTCTCTTTTTCTTTGTAAGCCAGGCAGATGACTACCAACTACCTTGATCATTTCAAAAAACGAACAGGTTTTGTTAATTTTTTTGTATTGTTTTCCTGTTTTCAATGTCCTCGATTTCTGTTCTAATTTTTACTGTGTGCTTTAAGTTTACTTTCTTTTTCTTTCTCTAATTCACCAAAGTGGAAACTTAATTTCTTATTTTATGTTTTTCTTCTTTACTAATATATGCATTTAATTCTATTAATTTCCTTCAAGATACTGATATACATTTCATATATTTTCATAAGTTATATTTGTTTTTATTTTACTCAAAATATTTTTCAATTTATCTTGAAATGTCTTTGACCGACAGATTATTTAGAAGTGTCTTGTTTCATTTCCAAATATTTGGGGATTTCCCAGCTATCTTTCTGTTATTTATTTCTAGTTAAATTTTGTTGTGGTCTGAGAACATACTTTGTGTGACTTCCATTTTACCTTTATTTGTTCAGATGTGTTTGTGGCCAGAGTGTGGTCTATCTTGGTGAATCCCTCATGTGAGCTTGAGAAGAATGTGTATTCTGCAATGGTTGGCTAAAGCATTCCATAAATATCATTAGATCATGATGATCATGCTTTGCAGGTCACTATATCTTTACTGATTTTCTGCCTGCCTCCTCTATCAATTACTGAGAGAAGAGTGCTAAAGTCTCCAACTCTAAGAGTGGATGAGTCAATGTCTCCATGCAATTCTATCAGTTTTTACATCATGCATTTTGATGCGCTATCATTAGGTACATGCTGTTAAGGATTGTTATGTCTTCTTGGGCAATTGTAGTTTCTGATTCCCCTCTTTACCCCTGATAACCTTCCTTATTCTGAATTCTGCTTTGTTTGAGCTTAATATAGCTACTCCAGCTTTTTTTTTATTATTGTTAACATGTGTTTCTTTCTCCATCTCTTTGCTTTTAACCCATTTGAGTCTTTATATTTGAAGAGGTTTTATTTTTAAGCAGCATGCTGTTTGGTTTTATTTTTTTTAATCCACACTAATAATCTCTGTCTTTTAATTGCTATGCTTAGACCATTCACATCTGAAGTAATTATTGGCTGGGTGCCGTGGCTCACACCTGTATTCTTAACACTTTGGGAAGCCAAGGTGGGAGGATCCCTTGAGCCGAGGAGTTCAAGACCAACCTGGGCAATGTGGTGGGTCCCTGTCTCTACAAAAAAATACAAAAATTAGCCAGGTGTTTTGGCACATGCCCATAGTCCCAGCTACTTGGGAGGCTGAGGTGGGAGGGTGGCTGGAGCCTGGGAGGTTGAGGCTGCAGTGAGTCGTAAGCGTGCCACTGCACTCCAGCCTGGGTGACACAGTGAGATCCCTTTTCTAAAGAAAAGTAATTATTGAACCATTGATATATTTAGACTAATATCTGTTATCTTTTTAACTGTTTGCCTTTTGTTGTCTTTGTTTTTTTAACCTCTTTTTAGTCCCCTTTTATTTCAATTGAACCATTTAGATGATTCCATTTCATCTCCTCTCTCAGTGTATTGTCTAACATTCTTTTAAAAAATATTTGTGGTCAGCCTAGAGTTTACACTGTATGAAAAGCTTTATTTCTTGCTCATAGCCCATGTCAGTTGCAGATCAGCTCTGGCTAAATTGCAGGTTGGCTGCAGCTCTGGGCCCATCTTTCTTATTCCAGGATTGAGGCTGAAGGAGCAGTCTCCAGTCCATGCTGGCCTCATGCTCAAGAAAAATAGCAAGAAACAGGGACACATACTTGTAGCCCTTAGAGCTTCTGCTCAGATATGGCCAAGTCCGACATCAGCAGGAAAGGGAACAGGCTTCTGTCACGGGATGGCACTCAACTCTCCCAGAAACCGGTGGAGATGTGGAATCCTCTTACGGAGCAGGCAGAATAGATGCATGTACAGCCTGCACAGGCTCTAACAGGAATGGGGGTTAGTCGGCTGGCTCCCAGGGATGTGGGGTCAGGGTCTTGGCTTATGCTGTGGGCAGAACTCATGGTCCACTCAACAGGCAGGCCCAGCAGCTCTCCTCTTCCCAGCACTGCAGCAGCAGCCTGTCACCGACTCCATCACTGCAGGGCAGGGAAGGGGAACTTTTCTCATTCCTCTTTTACCAGGGGTTTCTGTGCACTGAAGCATATCTTGCTTCTCCATTGCCAGATGATGAGACTGAACAAACAAACAAAATTTGAACTTGTAAAGTTTTCTTCAAGGCTAAAGAGTTTGAGCGTTGTTCTGATTGTGGTTCTCCTATCAAGTAGAAGTCCCTTACTGAAATCCATAGAAAATTCTGGAGTCAGGGCTTCTCATTTCCTCAGACTGCCATTGCCTCACCAACGCTGATGCTACAGTGGATATGGAAGTCAGCCAGGGTGCTGGGGAGGAATATCAGTAACTCCAGAAGTTGGGAGAAAAGGAAATAAGAGGTCATCACAAGAGTAAAAGGAAGAGAGGGAGAAATGAAGACAAAACCACCAGCTAACCCTTTTTCTCGATGCTCTGAGTAAAGCACAGGGCCCCTTTCTGGGAGGCCACGCAGCCTGAGACAGGGAGACTGGTGCACCCATCCGTTCAGCACCGAATGCCTGTCATGGGGGCAGATGGGCAGAAGCAGCAGCCTGGGCAGTGCGGCTGCAGAGGTGTGGTTAACCACTCAGTGAGAGCTGCCTCCGTGAAATGATAGAAGAAAAAGCCAGACTACAGGAGTTTCCAGAGTGACAGGATAGGGAGAAAGGGGCAACTCCACCGGGTAAACACAGAATGACAACACCTGTGCCATCCGCCCTCCATGGCCACCCTCCTGTAAGCCCCCACTGGCCCCACACCAACCCTGTTGGTGAGACAGGCCCTGCCTTTGTTCAAACCCCCTTTCTGTCAGCCACAGTGTCACTTACACAGGGCTACAAATTCACATATGCAAAAGCAGAGTGCCTAAGTCTGTTTGGGCCACTTTAATAAAATACCATAAACTGTGCAGTTTATAAACAACAGGAATATATTTCTCACACTTCAACAGCCTTGGAAGTCCAACATCAAGGTGGAACTGATTTGGTGTCTGGTGAGAGCCCACTTCCTGGTTCACAGATGGTCACCTCTGTGTCCTCACATGGCCAAATGGGAAGGCAGCTGCCTGGAGCCTTTCTTTTTTTTCTATTCTTTTTTTTTTTTTTTTTAACGAGTCTTGCTCTGTCACCAGGCTGGAGTGCAGTGGCACAATCTCGGCTCACTGCAACCTCCGCCTCCCAGGTTCAGGCGATTCTCCTGCCTCAGCCTCCCGAGGAGCTGGGAGTACAGGAACACGCCACCACGCCAAGCTAATTTTGTATTTTTAGTAGAGACAGGGTTTCACCATGTTGGCCAGGATGGTCTCCATCTCTTGACCTCATGATCCACCCCCTTGGCCTGCCAAAGTGCTGGGATTACAGGTGTGAGCCTCCGCGCCCGGCCTGGGCCTTTCTTCTTAGGGTACTAATCCCACTCAAGAGGGTTCCACCTACAAGACCTACTCACCTCCCGTAGCCCCACCTCCAAATACCAGCACACTGAAAATTAAAGCGTCAACACACCAATTTGGGGGAGACACAAACATTCAGAGCCTAGCACAGAGCTATGCCTCCTGTCGTGTAACTTAACTTAAATCCCCGACTTGCCTGGGGTAGAGTGACACATCGCTTCTACACAGCTGAGCTGCTTCGGAGCTTTTGGCTTGTCCATCATATCCAGCTCAGGTACTGGGCCTGGGCCATACCCCAGTCCCCCAACCCACCCTGCAGCTTACACAGTGCTGTGCATTGGCAACCCGGCCTGTCCCCTGCTGGCCCTGATCTCTCCGCTGTGGCCCACCCTGGTCTTGGGACATTGCCGACACACAGTGCACAGCCTGCAAAGCGTCTATAGAAATGAGCTTCTTTGCCTCCACCCTCAATGCACTGCGCTATTCAATCCTCCCAATGTCTTGCAGGATTCCTGTTGCTTCTGTTCCTCCTAGTTTGAGGTTGTTGTTGTTTTTTCAAACGTTCAACACATGTCTAAATTCTGTTACCTTTAGGGTTCCTTAAATTGCTGCGGGAAGAAAGCCCTGGCCCTAGTTTCTACGACAGTCTATTTGATCCCAAGGTCAAATGTGGATTCTGGTTCTGCACTATGGAATAAGGTCCTGTAGTCCCGTAAACTTGCTGTTGCAGGGGCTCAAGGCTTTTGCAGATAGAAGCAGGCGTCTCCTTTGAGCTACCTGGGTGGGAGGTGGGAGAATCAAAGGCCCCCTCTTGAGAAAGATTGTGAGGCCTGCACGGTCCAGCCAGGCAGGGGAGCGGCTGCTGGGGTGGGGCACCAAGTATTTCATCACCTGGTCTGTGTCTTTCTCGGGCTATTCACTTCATTATTTTAAATGTTAAAGATTTTACTTTCTTTAGTTTTGGATAGTGAATGCACTCATATTTCAAATATTAAATGATACAAAAAGATGTGATTAGAAAGAAGTTCATCCCTATCTTGCTTCCTTACCCCTCCCTAGTTCCTATTTTCCCACATGTAGTTACATTTCTTCCCTGCTATATAAACCTTCTTTTTTTGACGGAGTCTCACTCTGCCACCCAGGCTGGAATGCACTGGCGTAATCCCGGCTCACTGCAGCCTCTGCCACCTGGGTTCAAGCAATTCTCCTCCCTCAGCAGCCTCTGCTGCCTGGGTTCAAGCAATTCTCCTGCCTCAGCCTCCTGAGTAGCTGGGAGTACAGGCGTGTGCCACCACACCCAGCTAATTTATTTTTATTTTTTGAGGCAGAGTCTCACTCTGTTGCCAAGGCTGGAGTGCAGTGACGCAATCTCAGCTCACTGCAGCCTCTGCCTCCCAAGTAGCTGGGATTAGAGGCACCCACCACCATGCCCAGCTAACTTTTTTATTTTTACTAGAGACGGGGTTTCACCATATTGGCCAGGCTGGTCCCAAACTCCTGACCTTGTGATCTGCCCACCTCGGCCTCCTCAGCTAATTTTTGTATTTTTAGTAGAGACAGAGTTTCACCATGTTGGCCAGGCTGGTCTCAAACTTCTGACCTCAAGTGATCTTCCCGCCTCAGCCTCCCAAAGAGCTGGGATTACAGGCGTGAGCCACCATGCCCAGCAGAGCTTACTTTTTCAGTCTATTTTCTCTCTCATTCAGAGTGGGACATTTCTATTGTCCTATGGTTGTGTATGGATTCCCTCCTCTGTCCCCTTCGTTCTGCTTTAAGACTCTCTAGTTTTGTTTTTCTTTTAGTTTTTGGTTACTGTATTTTTCCAATAGAAAGTTCTAAAATTCCCCTTTGGTTCTTCTTTGTATCTTCTATTTCTTGGTTTAGACTTTCTATTTGTTTGCTGAGACTTCCTATTTTTATCATTTGTTTCAAGTTTGTTCACAATTTCTCACCATTTTGTGATAACTGCTTTACCGTCATTCTCAGATCATTATACCATTTCTGTAAACTGGGTGTTGACGTCTAATGATGTTTTAAATTCAGTCTGAGTCCTTCCTGGTTCTTGGCGTGCTAGATGATATTTTCATTGGAACTGGGGTGCTTGGAGTATGATGTTACGAGACTCTGGACCTGATGGTAGTCTGGGCCCCCGACAAGGCTTCCTCAGGCACCATGAGCAGGAGCCTGTTTGCTGGTGATGGTGAAAGTCCTGAAGCTCTGCCACCACCCAGTGGGGGGGAAATAGCACATTGTGAGAGGTGCATGGCTGTTTCTAGAAAAATGTCCTCTTCCTCAATCATGGGCCTGTTTCCACAGTCCTGGCCAACAGACCTTTGATTGTGGGTCTTCTCAAAGCTGTGCACAGTGGTACATGCTGAGGCCAAAAGCAGAGGAAGCGTTTCATGGTTGTGGAAAGAGTGTTTGGCCCTAGAACCCGCCATACCTGAGGTTCATCAGTCATGTGACAAGGAACAGGTGGCTCATCCTCTTTGGATCCAATTTTCCTTATATGTAAAATGGGAAGTAAAAGAAAAAAACTTCTGATTTTTCAAGGTTTCCATATGGATCAAACAGCATTAGGTGTGTAAAATGTCTGGCCCTGTACCCAAAAGAATGTTAATAGCAAATCAAAAATCACTGTTACTGTTTCATGGACAGGAGACCCAACATTATAGTGTCATAATGGGTCCCTAGATTTCAGGCACACCTAAGTTAACAGGGACACCTCAAGGAGAGAGGATTGAGGGAACATACTCCTCCCAAATCAAGCCCCTCGAGGATATTTCTGTGGTGTTTGGATGCAGTTTCTGTCTTGCTAGGCTGCCCCGTTCCTAGTCGTTTGGCTGGAGGGAGCAGGATTTTCTTGCGGCTTTTTTTCTCCATGTTCATTGACGTTCCTGGGTTGCCAGCTTTTCCATCATCCAGTCTTGGACGTACTCAGCACGAAGAAAACCCAGGGGACTCGACGCGCATGCTTCCTCACATCCAGTGGTCCCCAGCCAGCCTGCCTTCTTCTCTCCACTTTTCAGAGTCTCCCCGTGTCTGTTTTATATCTAATATCCGGGGTGTTAATTGTACTTAATGGAGAGAATAGGGAAAAGAATGTCTACTCCATCTTCCAGAAGGGAGAGTCCCTGGCAGGAGCTATTTGTGCAGTTCTGTGTTGAGTTTGGCTTTTTTGTGTTTTTGTTGGTTGTTGTTGTTACGGGGGGCATGTATTGCTCTTATAGTTAAATAAAGTATATTCGTACAGTTGTTCCACCCACCCCAACCCAAAAGTACCTCTGTGTATCAAAACATTTACTGGTTTTCTCCTGGGCATAGTCCTATGCATAGTCTCCCCTGGAAAATGAGAGTAAAGCCATCCTCTGCGGGGTATTTGCTGTTTGGAATTGAAGACATCCCTAGATATCCCCTTCCAACTTTAATTACAGCATTATAATTGAACATTTTAATTAAAAGCCAGCCTTGCTTAACAAGTGCTTTCCGTGGCTGGATGTGAACAGCTCCACATCTGTGGTGAGCCTCCTTTCCTTCTCCAGCAGCTCCGACACTTGGCTTCACCGGCTTCACCTGTGTGGCCTCCTGGGCTCAGACCCTCCCTCAGCACTTAGTCACATCAAGGCATTCTGAATTGTAAACTGCTGGCCCAAATGAAGGAAAGCAGATGCCTTAGCCCTCAAGAATAGCACCAGCAATGGAGCACCATGGGGTGTGTGTGGGTGTGTGTGTGTGTGTGTGTGTGTGTGTGTGGTGTGAGGTTGTGTGTTTAAAAACTGTGGGCAGGTATAGAATTCTTGAAGCCAGTGTTTCCCACTGGCAGTGTTGCCTGTTGCCCCAGGGCCTTCCACAAGGGCCCTCATGGCTCCCACTGTGGATGTAACTTGGTGCAAACAGAGCACAATGGCCAACTATAGACACATCAGCAGAACTTTCTTGTTGAATGAGATACGGCCAAACTACTAAGCCCCTTCCAGGAGTTAGGGCTCGTGGCTAGATACCTTAGAAAACGGGCCATGAAGAAGATGTGGTTCCATCCTCGAGGGGTTTGGTTTGGGAGGAGTATGTTCCCTCAATCCTCTCTCCTTGAGGTGTCCCTGTTAACTTAGGTGTGCCTGAAATCTAGGGACCCATAATGAGGCTATAATCTTGGGTCTCCTGTCAATTAATCTATAATTAAGGGCAGTTCCCATGTGTCGTCCATGAAACAGTAACAATGATTGTTGATTTGTTATTAACATTCTTTTGGGTAAAGGGCCAGACATTTTACACACCTAATGCTGTTTGATCCATATGGAAACCTTGAAAAATCAGAAGTTTTTTTTCTTTTACTTCCCATTTTACATGTAAGGAAATTGGGATCCAAAGAGGATGAGCTACCTGTTCCTTGTCACATGGCTGGTCAACCTCAGGTATGGCGGGTTCTAGGGCCAAACACTCTTTCCACAACCATGAAACGCTTCCTCTGCTTTTGGCCTTAGCATCTACCACTGTGCACAGCTTTGAGAAGACCCACAGTTAAAGGTCTGTTGGCCAGGACTGTGGAAACAGGTCCACGATTGAGGAAAAGGACATTTTTCTAGAAACAGCCATGCACCTCTCACAATGTACTATTTCACCTATAAATGAGCCATTTGACATGTTTCTTATTATATTAGTAATATATATTCATAAAATGATGCAAGTATGAAGATAAACAAATAGAATAAAATAAATGCTAACCATTTTTTTCAGAAATAGTCACATTCATGGGTATACCAGTTACCTATTAGGCTTAAAATTATACTTATTTAAAAAAAATCCAAGGGCTAAAATAGCAATTGTTTTATTATGTCTCACTATTTTGTGGGTCAGGAAATCGAATAGAGTTCATCTGGGAAATCCTTCTCTTCCATATGAGGCCACCCAGCTTGACTTAACAGCACTCAGGTAGCACCTGGACTGACCTGCAGTGCCCAAGGCTTCTTCAGCCACATGGCAGGGACAGCAGGAGGCTGACTCCAGTGGGCAGGGGGCCCCTCTCCCTCTGCAGGTGGACTCAAGGCTCTCCAGCAGTTGAGTTGCACATCCCTCCTGGAGAAGGGCACCAGCATCCTGATGAATGTTGCCAGTTTCAAGTTATTGTCATGATAATACACGACAGACTTCCTGAAATGTTAATGATGGGCTCCTATGTGTTGGTAGGAGCTGACTCTAGCACATCCCTGCTTCTAAGAGGCCCAGGGGAAGGGGCAATTCCTCATGAAGACTATGCCTGGAGCTGGCATCACGTCATTTCTGCTGGTCTCTATTGGTTAAAGCAGGCACAGGCCAACTCAGATGTAAAAGGAAGGACCATAGACCCCCACATCTCAATAAGAGGGATTTCAAATGATCCACAGCTATCTTTAATGCCTTGTGTGTATGTGTATGTTTGTGTGTAAGGGTGTAAGTATATGGATGAGAATCTGTGTGGGCTAGGGTTAGATGGCAAATACTGTTTTGTAGCCTGTTTAATGTGTCACGAGAATGAATCTTTCCATGTCAGTAAGTATTCCTTTGTAGCATTACTTTTAATATGGCAATAGTATTTCACCATCTTGCTTGACTATAATTATGTATTCATTGGTTACATTTTTTCCAATTTCCTACTCTAGCAACATTGCAGTAATGAGAAAAACCTTGGTATCATCTTGATTTCCCGTGACAGGCTGTTCCATCACCCCACCAGTCATCTCTTTGCCTGTGCTCTTTGCTAACAGTTTGCCTCTCACGATAGACCCTAAAAATGTCTTGAAATCATTTAGTGGCTTCCCCTGCAGCTAGAGAATGGACATGTGATATAGTTCGGGCCAATCAGATGACAAGCTAAGTTGACCAAGACAGTCTAGGAAAGCTGCTCCTCCATGAAAATGAAAGTTCAAATCCTCAGGGAGAAACCACCTCTTCCTCTAACCTTTGGCTCTGGCTGTGTATAAAGTGCCACTTCGAACCCTAGCAGCCACCTTGCTGTCATGAGAGGGGGCAGGGGGTCTGTATGGAGGCCCCCCTGAGCCCTCCTGTGAGAGTGCCATGAAGCCCTGGAGTTGCCTCCCACAGGCTTCTCTCTAGACAAAAACAGTCCATCTTTAGGTAGAAATCATTTTCCATGTGTTCTATGCTTGCATATTAGAGCATCCTAGTTTTTCTTACAAGAAATTCCTAGGTGAAGAAATAATAGGACAACAGAAAAGCACGTGAGATTTTAATCCTTATTGTTAATTTACTCTTGCCTTTGTTCATTTCGTTACAGGCTCATGGACATAAATTTTGCTGTATGTTTGCTTATGTAAAACATTGGTGTCAATTTAATGGGCAAAATAGTGGTGTCTCATTTACATTTGTGTTTTTATTACAAAGCATTTGAAGTGCTTATTAGTTATCTGTATTTCTTGTGATAGGAGTTACCCGTGCATATTCTTTATGCATATTTCTGTATTGAAGTCTTTATCTTTTTAATGCTCACTCAGACCTCTTTAAGTTTGTAGAAGAGTAACCCAGTTCTATTTGATCGAAATTTTTTCCTGAGTTAAACTTTGGTTCTTAATTTTGTTTATAGTAATTTTTATGTGTGAATGTAGAAAACGTTTACATAATCAAATCAGCCCTTTCCCTCTTCTGGTTTCTATTTCAGAAGCTCCTCTCCCGGGATTATGGAAATATTTACTTCTGCGTTTTTTTAATACGTCTATGATTATAATCTATTAAAGATGCAAGCCTTTAATGCCCCTGGAATTTATGCTGGTGCGCACCTAGCTTCACTTTCTTTCCCAGCTGTTCAGCAGTGCTGTCAAGCACATTGAGTTTTGTGATACATCCTTTCTCCACTTAGGACCTGCCTCACACTTTGTGGATTGCTCCTGCTCCTGCTTCCAGCCATTTCTTGACTTTTTAACATTATCAAACCGGTTATGAGATTAGCGACTAACCATGGCCAATGTTGATGAAAATGGCCTGCTGAAATTGTATATGTCTAACCGTTCCCCATTGGGAAACAAAAGAGCTCTACTACATCAGTGTGTGTGTTTCTAAAGTGCAGCCTGCCCACATCTGGGTGGTGACGTTGCCTTGTAGTACCAGATGGCATTTTCTTTATTGACTGGGTGATCCTTGACCTCAGTCATAAGAAATGGATAGGGAATTGTAAAAACGTATCCATATTTCATGAGGAGATAAGAAGTCAACACTCTTCCCTGTGTTCACCTGTTCCTGTCCCAAACATACACTTTTGCCTGTCCTTTGCCCAGATGTCGTGGAGTTCGGGATTGAGGTATAGACCAGTAACTGTAGAAACAGGCTGTTGAAAAGAAGAGAATATCAACTATTCCCTCTTATAAGGGGGTACTTTAAGGTAATGAAACAAGTCGCTTATAACTAAAATACTTTTTTTTTTTTTAGATAGAGTCTCGCCTTATCGCGAGACTGGAGGGCAATGGCATGATCTTGGCTCACTGCAACCTCCGCCTCCCGGGTTTGAGCAATTCTCCTGCCTCAGCCTCCTAAATAGCTGGGACTACAGGTGCATGCCACCATGCCTAGCTACTTTTTGTATTTTTAGTAGAGACAGGGTTTCAGCATGTTGACCAGGATGGTCTCGATCTCTCGACCTCGCCATCAGCCCAACTCAGCCTCCCAAAGTGCTGGGATTACAGGCATGAGCCACCTCGCCTGGCCAACTAAAATATTTTTATGTACAGATCCTGTGTTCCAATAACATACCTTACTCTGTGTTGATAAGGAAAGTGTCTTATGTTCTGTGGTCTGGCATGGACTCCATTGTGCATAAAGAGAAAAGGACTCTCTCCATACTGAGATCTTGTTTTGTTTTCTACAGAGTTGGATATTTCCTATTCAAAATGTAAGCTTCTGTGCTTTGTGGTGTTTTAGTGACATCCAGTCATATAGTGTAATGTAGTGTAGTGTAGTGTAGTGAAATTCATCCAGTGTAATGTAGTGTGGTATAGCGAAACATGTTTTAAGTAATGGCAAAAAGTCATAAAATGTGAAAAATGTAGGAAATACTGATCTTTTATAAAATTTACCTATTAATCACTTGAGATATAGCTTAAGGTAAAGTCACTAAAGTTTTTTAGCCTTTGTCTTTTCTTGCCTTTATCAGAGCTCCTCTGTGTGGTTTAACACAAGTGCTTCCATACAAGTGCAATGCCTAAAGGTAACCACGAGGCAGGGTCTCATTTCTCTACGATGATGCTTTCCAGGTGGATCCAATAAAAAAAGAAACACAACATCTCATCACAGAGTCCTTTTGTCCTCTGGGTGGGATTTTTTGCTGGAGCTGACTGCATTTGTCCTTTTTGCTCAGTTATTATTGAAATCCATGCATGTCACTTTCTACCATTTATTAAGAAAGCTATGAAGGCAGTGGGTATGAGGTTTCTGACAGCAGCCCCCGCTGTGCCATGGAAATGGGCTGTATAGATGGCTACATAAATGGGTCAAGGGAAGTAAATCCAGCTTCCTGTATCCATTATGTGAAATCTTAGGTCATAAAGAGTTCTGCATCTAGTCAACCCCCTGTGGAAAGACAGCCTAAAATACACAGCAATTTTACTCTCATTCACCTACTATCATTTTTTTACCCCATTTTCATCCTAACATTCATAAGTGAATGGACATTGTAATTTTTCTCACGTTGGGTTTCCATCCACTTTAATCTCCTGAAATTGACCACTGAAGGCCAATATTCACCAGGAATATCCTTTTTGCCAAATGTAGGAGCATTTCCTCAATTCCCTTTTGTGCTCATTCTGGGTCAGTCATTATGGATATTGTGGATGACTCTCTTCCCTGGAGAAGCCCTGTGTCCCCACCCCTGACTTCTTACATTAACTCCATTCCATGCTTCCAACACTCTAGAGTCACATCCACTAATACTGAGCTGGACTCAAAGTCAGCTTGTCCTTAGTGATCATAACATTATCAGTATGCATTTGCCTGTCACGTATGTTGTGCAGCACTCTGGCAGGAGTGTGGCAGGTGTGTGGAGGGTGAAGCCATTCTTCCTCCCTGTTGCCCAGCTGGTAGCTGTTCTCACCCTCCTTGTCTGATCCTAAGCCTTCTCTGTGGGTCCTTGCCATTCTCAGTGGCAACAAGGGCAAGAGAATAATGTAAATGTCAGGACACCACCATTTCTAGCAATTCTAGCAAAATTCCTAAAGCCACTCACCACCAGGGTGAGGTCCACTACCTCCTGGTCTTGAGGATTCTGACCATGCAGTAGAGCAGTTTCCTGGCAGTGGAGAGGAGAGCCCACGCCTCTAATCATCCGCACCTATCTCATTTCTACAGCAGTGACCCAGCATGGCTCCGTGTCCACAGCAGTGACCCAGCATGGCTCCGTGTCCACAGCAGTGACCCAGCATGGCTCCGTGTCCACAGCAGTGACCCAGCATGGCTCCGTGTCCACAGCAGTGACCCAGCATGGCTCCTTGTCCACAGCAGTGACCCAGCAAGGCTCCGTGTCCACAGCAGTGACCCAGCATGGCTCCGTGTCCACAGCAGTGACCCAGCATGGCTCCGTGTCCACAGCAGTGACCCAGCATGGCTCCGTGTCCACAGCAGTGACCCAGCATGGCTCCGTGTCCACAGCAGTGACCCAGCATGGCTCTGTGTCCACAGCAGTGACCCAGCAAGGCTCCGTGGCCACAGCAGTGACTCAGCATGGCTCCATGTCTATAGCAGTGACTCAGCATGGCTCCATGTCCACAGCAGTGACCCAGCATGGCTGCTCCACTCAGAACAGTCATCTTGGCCAACTGCACAAAGGCCTCCTGAAACCTTCTCCTGACCTCATACAGTGCGCAGTCGCTGAAGACCATTTTCTCATGTTTGCAAGAATGAGGGGCATGAGACTGGCTGGGACACCCACTGTCAGGCTCGGTCCAACTCAGCCAGGCTCCAGAGTGCTCCAGGGCTCAGCTCTTCCTAGGAGCCGCAAAAGTTCGATTTAAAGTAATCTTCTTTGCCATTATCTTCTTTTTCTTCTGGAGAGCATGCAATTTTTAATCTTTATTGCTGACCAGGACAACTCAGCATGGCTTGTAAATTATTCTTCAACACTAAATGTCCTGATGACTGTTCTCCTGACTTCTAAAAGGGTCCTCATGAAATGCTGTGGGCACCCATTTTTCTACATAGTACTGTGGTTCTTAGTCCAGCACGGTAAAATCGCTGTTCATTTGTCAGAATCCATCAGCGGTGTTCAGTGGCAGATGAGGGGATTCTGATGCAGGGCCTTTGAGGTACCAGCTGGAAGAAACTCCTCTTTCTCTAGGCTTCATTCTCCTTTTGCTGTCGTCCCCCAGGTGACAAGGGGTGCTGTGTCACACACAGAGGACTGTGTAGTTAGGGAGTATGATCATGAAGTATTACATTTATTAGACAGCAGAATAAGCAGAGACTTGAAGGGGGCCTTTTATGTGAACTGACTATCACAAAATTGGGACGGGTGAGAAAGAGAGGGAGAGAAGGCAATGCCACCGTCTGGGTAGCAGGCAAAGAATGGAACAAAGCACGCCACACAGATTAGTCATCTCAACACCTGTCCCACAGCAGAGTAAGCCCTTTCTGTGGGTCTGCTGCTTAGCAAGATAGACACCAGAAACCTGGTATCCCTAGCAGCAGGGGTGCAGGCATGTGACCTTGGCTCAGCAAGGTCAGCTCCAGAGAACAGGCTGTGGAGTCACTCAAGGCATCATCCTGCCTGCGTCCCACCCACCATCCTCTCTGGCCTCCCTAGAGAACTCATCTTTCACCCAGTGCCTTCCACCACTTGCCTCTTCTGATTACACCAACCTAGGTGGTTTTCTGCAACAGTATAACTCAGATTTTAACTGGTGCAAATCAAAAGACCTTCTCTCCCATGGATGCCCGCACTCAGAAGTAGGATTGTAAAAGTGCATTTACAGAAAGTTGATGCCACCCATGCACCATAGTCACAAAGGGCTCTGGAGTGACTCACAGTACCAAGAAGGCCTCCCAGTGGAAACTTCCTGGGGCACTGCTGGACTTTGGGCTCTGGGGGCAAAAGCTGTGTGCATGCAGCAAGGAGGTCCCAGTGCCCAGTGTGGAGCCTGGCACAGAGGAGACACTCAACAAAGAGTTGCTAAGCTAAATGGCTGGGGCAGAGGGGAGATAAATGGGCATCCCAGCTGGGTGGGAGAAGGCAGGGAAGCAGGTAAGAAGCGAACTCTTTCCTAGTAGTATTACTCTCCAAAATTTCATTTCCACCAAAGGGCTTAGAGATGGTATAAACCTAGTCCAAATTATTCTCTTCTACTACATTAGACCATGCAGGTATAAGAAGGGTAGAAGGCAAGTCAAGGAATGAGGGGCTGAGTTTACTCTGATTCTTTCTCAATCATAAACAATGCCAATCCCACTGATAATAAGTCAACCAGTAAAGCCCCGCAGTGTATTGTCAGCACAGCACGGGGAGACATGTGCTCTACTGTGCTTTCATGATCATCGAGTTCATTACCTGGGATGCAGTCACAGAGATAGGCCTTTGGGAAGATTGAGAGCCCTCTCTTTCTCTATTCTTGTTATTGTGTTGGGTAACAATTCTCCTAGATGATCTGGAATTTTAAAACAGGCTACAATGAAGACAGAGTATATAAGGCTCCTTCCTTTACCCGATGCCTATAAATTTAAGATTTCTACCTCCAAAGCTAGGAAGGACAACATTTGTCAAAAAAGCTATTTTTGGACAGTTTGTATCTAATCGTATTTACTCTTTCCATGGCTCTGTGACATCCATGTCATCAACATCATCATCATTAACATACTTTTTAAGAGAAGTTAGAAAAGTTAAATAGCCTCTGGTTGCATATCTAGCAAGTAATTAAGGAAGGTGTATTTGAACCATGGCCTCTGGTCCCTTGTTCTGAGCACCACCATGACTCCAGGCTGCTTCCAGAGGCATTTCCCGACCTGTCCGCCATTTTGTAACAGGCATCATGTCCTATCAGACTAAGCCTGGGATGTTTCTGCATTTTAATCAAGGCAATTCCAAATCCTAGCTGGGGAAGGAGCATCTCTAGACATAGATGAGGCATTCCTATGTTTAGTTCATTGTGTCAGGCTTTTTCTGATTGCCTGGAATACAGCTGTGAACATGATGGAACACGTTCACAGGTGAGGAAGTGAGAAGAGGGAGTGTGGGGTACATCTCCCCCTAGATCTGCACTCTATCCCTTTACTCACAGCCATGGCTCTCAATAGCCGGCCCCTTACCCATGGCCACAGCCCTCAACATACCCACTGCCACCGTTAACCCTTTAGGTCAACGGGTGGTGAAGGTCTCTTGCAGCTGCTAGGCCCTGGGTTTTCCCCCCTCCCTTGTTGCCCCCATTACCCACCCCACTCTGTAGAGAGCCCCTTATTAAACTCTCTTCAGCTGCACCCACTGAGGGGCCCCTGATTCCTGATAGGATCCACTCACAACCTGGTTCCCGGAAAACACCCAGGAATGGCCAGCTCTGACCGTAGGCTCATGGGCCAGAGCTTCACTCCACACTGTACTAGTTCCAGGACTCTAAAAGGACAGATCCTGTAGTTTAAAACCTTCCCTTTTAATTGATATCTTTAGTTGACTAGTATTGATATTTTAGAGTGTAAATTATCTTTACACTGAAACATTAATAGTTTCTTCCTCGGTTCAGCAAGGATAATAACAGAACCCACCTTTGGGGTTGTTGTAGAGACTAAACAAATTAATGCACACATACATACAAAGAAAGTGCTCAACAAATCAGCTATTCCTGCTCCTATCATTTATTTTTGAAATGATTATTTTATTGTGAGTTCTATTTCTTATATGGCACAGCTAAAACTTCAAAGAAAAATACCTGATGAATAAAATATGCTGCTAGAACTCCAGGAACTAGGATGTCACTGGAGTACAGAAACCTATTTAATTGTGTTTAATACAACCTTTCCCAAACATTTTATGGATGCTATTAACATTTCCTGGAATCATTAACATTTTCTTGGAGCTAATGTTCTTCAGAAATAATTTGCAAAGGGTTGGTTTGTTTGATTGATAACTTTTGCTCCTTTTTCTCTACTCTTGCTAGGAAGTGGCATCCTGGGTGGTGGCTGGAAGAAAGGAGGGACCATCGGTGGTGGCTACTGTCCTGAGAGGGCAGCTCAACTGATGCTGGGGACCTGTGCATGGTGTGGGGCTCTGGACTTCCCCATGGTAGAGACGTGGGGTGTGGGGCTGCCTCCACCTCCTTCTCTAGGAGGTGGGTGGGAAAGGAGGGTTGGGACTGCCTTCCTTACAAGACAATTCTGTTAGATGACAGCTTGGCCTGAAGGAGGTTCGTTGTGTAACAAAATCTGCAACCTACGGAATTGAAGAGGCAGCCCAGATGAGCGTGAAGAGGGTCCATGAGATGAGAGGCGGTGGCGGCGGGTGTGCAGGGAGCATTTGTGTGCACGCTCATTGCTATTGACTTCGATTTAGAGATGTATTTTTCAGCTTTCATTTTGAGCCCTATGTGACATTAATTCCTTCAGAATATCTTTCTTTTCAGCTGGGAATTCTGCTTTTCAAACATATATTTCAAAACAGGATTATTGTGGGAAGTCCAATTTCATTGCATAGAGTTTGCGGAGTGAGTCTTTCCTGCACTCTGCCTTTATCCAGTTTATTACAGAAGAAAATCAATACTATACAATGGTCTTTAATACAATATAGGAAAGGGCTCTTTTTTTTTAATAAAATCTACTGAGACTGAAAACTGTATACATAATAAATAAGGTAGGTCATCAACCAGAATTGATATCTCTTTTTGTAAGAGATTTTATTTGGTTTCTCAGGTTTTATTCATGAGGAGGACAAGCAGAAATGTGAGAAATCCAGAAATGCTTTGGTGTAGGGTGACATCCACTTTCACTGGGAAGAATGCAGAGTGATGCCCACTTCTTCCCTGGAAGCCTCCGGGCCAGTCCTGCTGAGACCTGGGTCTTGTTTGGCTCAGGGCACACAGGCACAGGGCTGTACAGTGCTGGATCCTAGCACTGTGGCCTGGAGTGTCACTGCACCGGTCCCAGCTACCACGGGGCAGCCTTACCACATCCAGACTTCCTGAAACACCTGCCTCTATGGGTGGGCTTGGAGGTTCTGTTATACTACAAGCCTTTTCACATTCTTAAACAAAATACATTTATCCAACAAACATTTCTTGCCAATCTGATTTTTTAAATGAGATGAAGATTTGGGATCTTGCTGTTTTAATTTGCATTTTCCAAATGACTAGTGAGGCTAAGAAGTTTTCACCTGATTATTGGCCATTTGTATTCTCCTGGGATCCCTTGTCCATTCTTTGAATGCATTCATCTGACTTTTTCTTATTATTTAAAATCTTTGAGGGAGCTACATTCCAGAGTAACAGGAATTCAGCTTATGCTAGAGGATGTAGTAGGTAGAATAACAGGCTCCAAAAAAATCCAGGCCTTACTCCCTCAAACCTGTGGATGTGTCAGGTTCCATGGCAAAGAGGAGTGGAGGTTGCAGGTGCAGCTGAGGCTCTGACTCAGCTTACCTCACACAGGGAGATGCTCCTGAATTATCTCTGAATCATCTGGGTAGGTCTTGGTCATCACAGGGTTCCTTATAAGTGGAAGAAAGCAGAAGGGAGATCTGGAGAGACGGCAGCATGAGAGGGCTCAGCCCAACACTACTGGATTTGACGACGGGGAACCTTCCACAGCCAAGGAATGTGGGCCCCTCTAGAAGCTGCAAAAGGCAAGGAAACAGGCTCTCCCCTGGAGCCACCAGGAGAAAATGCACCCCTGTGAGACACATGTCAGACTTCTGACCCCTAGAACCATCAGATAATAAATCTGTGTTGTTTTTAAGTCACTACATTTGTGTCCATTGCAATGGAAAACTAATGGCAGAGAATCTTGTGAGAGCATTCATTTTCTCTAGACTTGTCTCCAACATCTCAGGGCTGCCTTACTGAAGGTTGTGCTCCTGAATACAGACTGTGCGATGATTCCTGCATGATATTTTCCTGCACAACCTGGGCAATGACTCTTATGCAGCATATTCCTAAATACAGATTGTTCATGGCTATCGCATGATGTATTCCCAAATACAGACTATGCAATGACTGGCAGCTCCACCTTCCACACTTCTCAAGACAACCAAAGAGGTTCCCAACAAGACCCCAGTTTCCAAACACAAGCTACTGATCTGGTACCTTAGGATGCAGCGCTTACTCAGGAACTTGAAGACAGACAGGAGAATTTCATGGTTAAAGGAATGAAATCTAGTATTGGAACACCAGGGCTGAAGTCCCAGCCATGTCGTTTATGGCCAGAGCAACTTAATTGACAAGTATAGAATAGTGAGTCGGATGATGACAGGCATTTGTCCTTTGTAAGTACTCACGCAACACGATAAAATTTGATCATATGCTGATTTACAAAACAGGATTCAAAACATTTCAAAAGGTTGAATATTTTCTCTGATCATATTAAGTGAGAAATAAGTAACAAAAGTAAAATAGCAAGAAAATCCTGAGTTGTTTCATAATTAAGCCAGTAACTTCTAAAGGATTCAAGTGTGAAAGAAGATTACAAGTGAAATTAGAAAACATTCCGAACTTTAAGAAATGAACAAGATCATATTAAAGTGTGTGAAATGCAGCTGAAAGTGCTTGAAAGAACACATATAACCTTAAATGTTCATATTTTTTAAAAGGTAAGCTTCTATCTCAAGGTTCTAGAAAAACAGCAGCAAATTAAATCCAAAAATGTAGACTAAAGAAAACAATATGTAAGAATAGAAAGCAATGAAATTAGGATACTTTGAATATGTTAAATTTTCTGTTGGTTTATTATATTAATTTTTAAATTACTTTAAAAAGGAAAACTATAAAATGACAGTAACATCTGTATCCAAAAGTGTGCACCTGAAGAATGTGTCTGGTCTCCTGGTCTACCACCACAGGAGGGTCCAGTGGCAACAAAATTGAGACAATAACCTGATGAATTAGAGACACAGGGTGAGCATTCCTAATCTGAAAATCTGAAATCCAAAATGCTTCAAGTTCAAACATGCTGCTCAAAGGAAATGCTCATTGGAGCCTTTCAGATTTCATACTATTGGAACAGCGACACTCAACCATAAGTTCAGTATAATGCAAATATTTCAAAATCGGAAAAAACTTGAAATTCAAAATACTTCCAGTCCCAAGCATTTCTGATAGTCCCAGATAGTCAGCCTGTAGTAGCAACAAAATTTCATTTTTTAGAGTGTTAATTTCTGACCACTTACCATGAAAATTTGAAAATAGATAAATAAAACAATGTTTTCTAAAGCAGGATAATTATATGAAGAAATATCCAAATGAGTTGCATATCTGACTTTGATTCTATTAATTGAAATAAGAGAAATTTGAGGACACCAAAATACCAGTCAATGTATTCCTTACGTGATTTTAAAAAAACCATTGTTTAGGTATTATTTTCACTTAATCATCTGTCTGCTCAAGGTGTTCTGTCTCTGAATGTTCAGACAGGCAAGAAGGACAACATGGCAAAGCCTGTATGGCATAAACACAGTGACTTCCCTGCCACCAACACGTAAGTTCCGCGGGCTGCTCCAAAAGAACAAGGCACTTTGAGTCTCTGTCCACTGGGGCAGACAACATGAACTGCTGCTCTTTATGTCACAGGTTGGGTTGTTTCCCTGAATGCCCACCCAGAGGTAGAGATGTGCATGTAGGAAGTGGGTCCTCAGGATGAGTACCCAGATGGAGGGTGGGGGCAGGACTGGGTGGAGAGAGAAGCTGTGTGCAGTGCAGCAGCAGCAAAGGCCTCAGCCCATCCCACAGGCAACTCTGGAGCTGAGATGAATGTGCAGAGTCAGGGCGAGGAGGATCAGCCTTCCCACCTCTGCACTGATCAGCTCTTGCATGCAGGCTTCCCCTGAGGAGGGGCTAGTGCTCTCTTCACCCAAGAGCTCAGCTGCGAGATGTCAGCCTTCAAATTCCCAGACATGAAGAGAAGGAAGTCCTGAAGAGGAAAGATTCTGGGCAGCACCCTGAAGTATCCACTACACCTTAATCTGGAAAGGTTTCATGATGACACTCAATTCTAATTTCTGTGTCATCTTTGAGATACATAAATAAAATATATTTGTACTTGGAAAAATAAATATTGAACAAGAAACATATACCAGCTGTATCAATGTGGGCAAGTAACTTATCCTCTGTGTGCCTCTACCTTCTCATATACAAATGCAGACAAGACTACCTGCTTCCTAGTGTGGCTTTGAAAAATAAAATTAGCTATTGTTTGTGGAACTTTTTAAAACCTGCAATCTCTTGGTAGCTCTCTTTGCTATTTTCCTGGACCAACTGACATTCTCAAAAGACTGCTTCAAAATTACAAATGCTTGCCCTCACAAAATGTATGCACTATGTTATAAGCAAGAAAGACACTGAACTTGTACTACATTATTTATTATTCATCATGGTTAACTTCGTTGTTACCTCAGAAGAAAAAAGGATGTCCTTGAATGACAGTGTGAGCAGATCTCCTTAAGGGCTGCCACAGAACCTGCAATAGAGCTCTGACCCTGTCCCCATGCGTCCACAGGGATATCAGACACAAAGCAGGGCCCCCTTCCACAGAACCTGACCTGTCCCCATGCACCCACAGAAACATCAGACACAGAGCAGGGTCCTCATCCACAGAGCCTGACCTATCCTCATGTCTCCACGGGGACATCAGACACAGAGCAGGGACCCCATCCACAGAGCCTGACCTCTCACCATACGGCCACAGGGACAATGAACACGGAGCAGGGTCCCCATCCACAGAGCCTGACCTATCCTCATGTGTCCACAGAGACATCAGACACAGAGCAGGGACCCCATCCACAGACCCAGACCTGTCCCCATGCATCCACAGTGACATCAGACACAGAGCAGGGTCCCCATCCACAGAATCTGACCTGTCCCCATGCATCCACAGTGACATCAGACACAGAAAAGGGTCCCTATTCATCCACAGTGACATCAGACACAGAACAGGGTCCCTATGCACAGACTTTGACCTGTCCCCATGCGTCCACAGTGACATCAGACACAGAACAGGGTCCCCATTCACAGAGCCTGACCTATCCTTATGTGTCCACAGGGACAACGAACACAGAGCAGGGTCCCCATCCACAGAACCTGACCTGTCCGCAAGTGTCCACAGGGACAGCAGACACAGAGCAGGGACCCCATCCACAAAGCCTGACCTGTCCTTATGTGTCCGTAGGGATGGTGGGCACAGAGCAGGGACCCCATTCACAGAGCCTGACCTATCCCCATGCATCCACAGGGACAACAAACACAGAGCAGGGTCCCCATTCACAGAATCTGACCTGTCCCCATGCGTCCACAGAGCAGCCGCAGAGCAGTGTCCCCATCCACAGAGCCTGACCTGTCCCCATGCGTCCACAGAGAGAGCAGACACAGAGCAGGGTCCCCATCCACAGAGCCTGACCTGTCCTTATGTGTCCGTAGGGATGGTGGGCACAGAGCAGGGACCCCATTCACAGAGCCTGACCTATCCCCATGCATCCACAGGGACAACGAACACAGAGCAGGTCCCCATCCACAGAATCTGACCTGTCCCCATGCGTCCACAGGGACAGCAGACACAGAGCAGGGTCCCCATCCACAGAGCCTGACCTGTTCCTTGTGACCACAGGAACAATGGCCGTGGCGGAGTGACCCCAGAGACATTGTGGCTGCACCTGCTCTTCATAAAGCCAACTTATTGCAGGTTTCTTAGATCTACATATGTCCCAAGCATTGTCAGAGACTAACTTTCCTAGAAGTACAGTTAACTTCCAAATGTATGTAGAGGTTGTCATGAATTAAGTGTAAATTCATTTTTTAATTTATAGCTGCTTTGTTTCTGTATAAAGTTTTTGAATGCAAATATGCTGAACGTACCACTGCTTATTATCTGTGATCCTGGGAAACTCGACACTGAGAAGGATTATTCCTTTGTAAAGTTCTGGAGTCAACAATACAGGGGAAACTGATGGACTCTGGAGTCAGGTGGACTTGGAAAAAAGTCCCATCTCTCCTCCACTTGCCGGCCTGTGGTCTTGGGCTGGCCGGTGCTCAGCTCTGAAGTTCTTTCATTCCACTGATGACACGAGGAGTGAGAACAGTTTCCATGGGGAGGAAATGATACCATTCCCATGGGTGTCCCAGGCACATGGCAGGGGCTCAACCACCATCTCACCAATGACTATGGTTGACATTCATACAACTCTTAAATTTATTGTGAATTTCTGAATTCCATTACACCGTCTCTGGAATTTCTGTCCACAGTAACATGGCCGGTTGGAAGTACCAGCATCTCAGGCTCAGCCACAGTCTTGGGGGAGGCCCACACTCAGCCTCCCCTCAAGCCCGGGGTATACTGGAGCCTCCCCAAGAGAAATTCCCTTGTTTTTGTCCCAGGACATAAAACGTCCTTGACACTGCATATCCAAAGTGAGACAATAAAGTGAAACTCTCTTATTTATTTTTTTCTTCCTCTAGAAATTTTCCCTTTTAGTTGGATGGAAGGAGAGAAAGAGAGTGAAAAAGCTAGCAGGAAATATTTAAACATCAATTAAGTTTCACAGAGGACTTTCATTGCTGAGAGCTGCCCCAGGCCAAAGCTTAGAGCAAGTTAATTTCCGGGGATTTATGATGCTACATAAAACCTATAGTTGCACGTCATGGCTTAATAGATTAATTTTATTTCAAAAGGAGACTGTGCATAGCTGGGAGCTGAAGACTCACTCCCTGGTTTGCAGGGAGGTGGCAGCTTTCTCAGAGCCTGTCCACCATAGCTTTGTGTCGTCCATCTCTGCCAAACTAGGAAATGAAAGCTGCCTCAAGAGAAAAGAGACAAAAATAGACTAATGATTATTTTTATCTTCCCATCCCCTATGTCACACTCTCGACCGCACTTTAATTGAAAGATTTTTCATGTCTCATATGTCTTAATACAAGAGTTAGGTTGACATACACATAATTTCCAAACCTGGGAGTTCAGTTCCAACATTTGGGTTTCAGTTGCAATTTTTGAAGTTGCATGGCCATGGGAAATTCACTTAAATGTTCTGAGCTTTAGTTTCTTCCTCTGTATCAACCCTCCTCCCTGGTTTTGTTAGCACACTGATGCCCACTAATTTTTCTTCGCTGAAACTGAGCAACACAAACGCAAAAAAATAAATACCCTGGGTGGTGACGAACCTCTGTGATGACTCCTATAATCTCTTTTTGACAGCTATGCCCTTGATAGACATGCCCTTGACAGCCATGACCTTGATATCCATACCCTTGATAGGCATACTCTATCCTTGAATATAGGCTGGAACTTGTGACCCACTTAAGCCACAGAAGAAGGTGGGTGTGCTAGTTTCCCAGGACTGCTGTCATAAGGTGTCACAAACTGAGTGGCTTAAAACAACAGAAATTTATTTTCAGGGTTCTGGAGTCCAGATGTCCATACAGGGCCATGCTCTCACTGCAGGCTGTAGGGAAGTATCCTTCTTTGCCCCTTCTAGTGGTTGCCAACAATTATTGGTATTCCTGAGCTTGTAGACACATCAAAGCAGTTGTAGTTTTCAGAGCAGTTTTAAGTTCATAGCAAATTGAGCAGAAAGTACAAAGTTCATAAGCCTCCTGCCCGCCACCCGCAACCCCCTCCCCCGCCACACACACACACAGCCTCCCCCACCACCATCATCCCATGGCATCCTCCCTTTGTGTCTGTGTCTTTGTCTGTATTACATTCTTCTCATAAGGACACAAGTCACATAAGGCCCATTATAATCAATTACATCTGAAAAGACTATTCCCAAATAGGATCACATTCACGGATCCAGTAGACATAAATTTTGCGGGACATATGCCTGGTTGGATGAGGCGTATTTCACAACGATTACTTTTCCCTCCCCCTGCCAGAAGCACAAGGAGATTTTTCTCTGACCTTCACTGTTAGAACCTAGTAGGGGGTCCTGGGGGTAAAACTCACAAAACCCCTATGACTGGGTCTCCTGCAGTTTTTAATTCGCAGATTTGTCCACAGGGAGCCTCAGCAATCTGTCAATTACAGTTCAGGTTTTCTTCATGAGTTTCTGCTCCAACAAGTTGTGACTCTTTGTATCCACCTGTCTCTCCAGCGTTTGAGGCAGCTGTTTTCCTGTGAGCCCAACTCTCTGAAGGATCTAAGAACAGTTGTTGATTTTCACTGTGTTCTACTTTTTACTTGTTAGGACAGAGGGATGACTTCAAGCTCCTTACATGAGGACTGGAAACTGGAAGTTTTTGGGAGTGTTTTAGGGTATATCTCTTTCAATAGCTTTTCTAATAGTTGCTCTGGGTATTTATATAGGAAGAATATATATATACATATTCCTATATTTTTATATATATATGTATTCCTATATTTATGCATATATGGTATTTATATAGGAAGAAAATATAAATATGTGTGTATATATATATATATATATATATATTCTTCCTGTATAAATACCCAGAGCAACTATTTGAATATATATATATATATATATATATATATATATATATATATATATATATTCAAAATCAAAATCCACTGGTATCAAAATTTCACCAGTACTGGTGAAGAATAGAAATGCTACCTCCCTTTGCACCCTTCCACTTAACATAATTGTTTTAAATATTTCCTCTATGTATATTGAGACCCATATAAGACAGTGTTATAATTTTGGCTTCAGCCATCAAACGTAATTTAGAAAATGCAATAGAAGCAGAAAAGCCTATTGCATTTTCCCGTATTTTGCTCTCACCATGGTCCTGACACTCCAACATTCTTATTTTACTATTTCCTTCCTGTTTGAAGTGCTTCCTTTAGGTGATCTTTAAAATTAATTCTATTAATGACAAATTATTTTTGCTTTCTTCTAATTGAGAATGTCATTATTTCCCCTTCATTGCTGAGGATAGTTCCACTGGGTATAGAAATCACATGACAGTGTTTCTCCTCCAGCACTTGTTAGCTGTTGTGCCTTGTCTTTCTGTCCTCGTTAATTTCAGATAGATGTGCTCTGTCATTCAAGTTGTTGTTCTTGGCCGGGCATGGTGGCTCACACCTGTAATCCCATCACTTTGGGAGGCCAAGGAGGGCAGATCATTTGAGGCCAGGAGTTCGAGACCAGCCCGGCCAACATGGCGAAACCCTGTCTCTACTAAAAATACAAAAATTAGCCAGACATGGTGGCGGGTACCTGTAATCCCAGCTACTCAGGAGGCTGAGGCAGGAGAATGGCTTGAACCCAGCAGGCTGGAGGTTACAGTGAACCAAGATCATGCCACTGCACTCCAGCCTGGGCAACAGAACAAGATCCCATCTCAAAAAAAAATGAAATAATAAAATTTTAAAAAATGTTGTTCTTCTCTGGGTAGAGCCTTGTTTCTCCCTGGCTGCTCTCAAGGCTCGTTCTTTGTCTTTAGTTTTTAGAAGTTTAATTATGATGTGTCTTGGTGTGAATTTCTTTGGAGTTATCCTTTTTGGGATTGTCTCCATTTCTTAGATCTGAAGATTAATGAGGGGGGTGGCCAAATTTGGGGAATTTTCAGCCATTATTTCTTTTGGGTTTTTTTTTCCTGTTTGCTTTTTCTGTTTTGTTTGTTTGTTTGTTTGGTTGGTTTTTGGGGTTTTTTTGTTTTTTTTTTTTTGAGACAGAGTCTCACTCTGTCATCCAGGCTGGAGTGCAGTGGCATGATCTCGGCTCACTGCAGCCTCCCACTCCCAGGTTCCAGCATTATTTCTTTAAATATTTTTCCAGCCTCACCTTTCCTTGCTTCTGGGATTCCAATGACACAAATGTTAAATATTTTGTTACAGTCCAATAGAACTCTGAGGCTCTGTTCATTTCTTTAGTCTATGTATTTTTCTTTGTTGTTCAGATGGGATAAGTTCTATGGTTCTATCTCCAAGTTCACTGACTCTCCTCTAGCATCTCTATTCTGCTGTTGAGCCCATCCATTGAGATCGTTTTTATTTCTGTTATTTTATTTTTAGCTCTAAATGTTCATTTGTTTACTCTTTATATCTTCTATTTCTTGATGAAATTTTCATTTCTTTGCTGAGGCTATCCATTTTTTCATTTGTTTTGAGTTTGCAATTTCTGGCTGAAGCATTTTCATAATAGCTGCTTTGCAATATCTCTTTTAAAATTCTAACATCTTAGTCATTTCAGTACTTATGTCTATTGATTACCTTTTTTCATTTAGTTTAAGAATTTTCTCATTCTTAGTATAACAAGTGATGTTTTATTAAAACCTGGACATTTTAGGTATTATAAGACTCTGAATCTTCTTTAAATCTTGTGTTTTAGCAGTGTTCTCCATTTAAGTCCTTGGTGGTAGGACTTATTCAGCAATGCCAAGTGGGGGTGAAATTCCAGCTTCTTCATTCGGCCTCACTGATACCCAGGGGTGGAAGAATTCCTGGTTACTTTGGGAAGGGGTGGGAGTTCATGGCCCCCACCAGGTCTCTGTCTTAAGGGGTGAGAGCACCTCATTACTGCTCCCCACATGTCATCACTATCAACATGGAGATGGGGTTGGCCTTGTTACCCTGGGTGAAGGTCAAAATCCTGACTCTCCATTAGGCCTCCTCTGAGACCATCCCAACCGGGAGGCCAGGGGGATCTCAATGCAAGCACACAATGGTGAAAACTCCAGATTTCAACTTGGTCTCCTCTACACCCTCCCACGGGGTGTTGAGTGCTTCATTACAACCTGGCGAGGGCAGAAGTCCAGGTTCACCACTCGGCCTTTATTGGCAAAGTGGGTGGGGGACAAGGTTTTTTCTGAGATGTTTGAATGGAAGAGAGCATTATTATATAAAAGTTTCCTGTCCTGCTAGGCTGTTGCTTTTCTGGTTCTTTCAGTGGTAAGAGCAGGCTTTACTAGGGGGCTATTTTTGTCAATGGTCATTGGCGTTTCTGAGTTGCTGGCTATTTCAGCTAAAAGTCTGGGATATATTAAGCAAAATAAAATTCGGGGGACTCATCACCATGTTGTTCCTTGGATCCCAGGGTCCTTAGCTTGTCTGCCTTCTTCTCTCTACCTTTCACAACCTCCTTATATTTGTTTATATATAATATCTGGAGTTTTGTGTTTAGGGATTTTTTTTTTTTTTTTGCATTTAGCAAGAAGAAGAGAAAAATAGATATATATACCATCTTCAAGGAAGCAGAAGTCTCTCCAAAGAGTTTTATGCAAAACTATGGTTTTCTTTAAATACAGAGTTTTATACTTTATACCAAAAAGTAATTCAGATGGCTTCATAAGTTTCAACCAAATAATAAAATAACAAGGTATATATTTGTTATTTGGTTGAAATTTGTAAACATAAATCTGCATCTCTCTTTATCATCTGGAAAGGAAAAATAAGAAGCAGCTAGGGTTGAAAAATCATGTACAACTAAAAGTCCATGATGCTCTAGACATGCCCTAGGTGGGCTACAGATCTTGTTTTTAGTTGTCTTCCAGCCATTGCAAAAGTGAGATAGATTTCATTAGCTCTCACCTTTGATCTCAGGGTATTTATAAACCAAATACAACTCTCCCCTTTAAGTTGGAAGGGATATCAGGAATATCTTGATATTCTCCAGACTCAGGCCCCCAGCACCTTCGCTAAGGTGTGGGCAAGATACTGCAGAACACACTTTCAAGTATTCATGGAACATTTACCGAGAAAGACTTACACAGGGCTTTAAAATAAATCGTAATGTATTTGAAAGTAATGAAATTGTACAGAGTATATTCTCTGACACAATGAAAATACATTCAAAATCAATGACATGTAAATATCAAGAAAAAGTTCCAGTGTTTGGACATTAAACAATACACTTTTATATAGCCAAGATACAAAGAAGAAATCACAAAAGAAATTAGAAAACATTTCAATACTGAATGATAGTGTCAAGAAGACATATCTATATTTTAGAAATACTGCTCAAACAGTGCTTATAAGAAAATGCATAACTTTAAATGTCTATATTAAAAAGGAAAAAAGTCTTAAAAGGCTACACATGATATGATTCCATTTACACAACATTCTGGAAAAGGCAAAATTATAGCAATGGAAAATAGATCAGTGATTACCAGCAGTTTACGGGGAGGAATAGATGACTAGCTAAAGAAAGAGAGTTTTATGACTATGAAACTATTCTGTATGATACTATAAAGGTGAATACATGACCCTGTGTTTAAGCCAAAACCCATAGAGCTTTAAAGCACAAATAATTAACCTCCATAGATATGAATAAAATACTAATTAGGAAGTCAGGAAATTTCAGGATGAAATATAGACTATGACAAAATAATCTTACTGCATCATCGGTGTATGACATATCTCATTGCAGCAGGGATGTGCTGATCTAACTAGCTTTTTAAATGAGTGAAGCCTGCAAGACTAAAGACAAAAGGAAATATACAAAGCACTGCACTCTAGTGGGTAAAGTTGTGTCTCACAGGGACATTAGTTGACAATCCTGAAACCATTATACTTGTATACTGGTACTGAGTAAATGGATGGCAGGTGGTAGGGGCTAGTTTTTTCACTGCTGGAGTGGGACATTACAGATAAGCCAGGTGAGAGAGCAAGAATGAGCCAAGTAAAAATGTGTTAGAGCTGGAGATGTCAAAATGAACTCAAGTGTAATTTAATATAGATATAGATGGATGGATATAGAAATACTTCTGTAAATGTGTATATACACAGGTTAGAAGACACACATATATTTCCTTTCTCTGTTAGCAAAGAGGGCCTAGAGGCACAATACCCCAGCACCAGCAAGCATACATCATACATGTATTTTTGTTTCTAACACCATTCCTCTGTAAAAGGAGCCAGGGATCCCTGGAAAAATGGCTGAGTCTAGGTCTAAGGCAGGACTCATCTGTGTAAGATGAGCCTTGAGAATATTATAGTATCAGAGAGTAAGGAAGTGTAAAAATTAAATAAAAATAAAGTAAAATTTTAAGTCAGCAAAAACACCACACACATGAAATGATGAGGGTATGTCACAGAAGCCCAGGTGCTCCCAATAGACAAAGATGGTACAAACTGACCAACACAATAAATCATATAGTCATTTATAACCCAAATGATACAGCTTATAACCTAAAGTATCAAACAAATAACCATGCATCCATACTGATATAAATAAATGACTGAGTACATAGATAGGGGACATTGAAAAATCTCCCATTCAGAATAATTCCAAATAATTTATGTAGTTACAGACTCCTCCTCAAGAAGATGGAGCACAAGTCCCCAGCCCTCAAGGGTATGGTCCACACAGTGAGCACCTTCTAAAGAGTACAGGATGGGCAGGAGGGAAAGAACAGCACTGCAGTGGGAAAACCTGACTCTGGCAAACACCTGCTCAGCCCGGCGATGGAGATTGACATCAAGACGAGAAGCCATGCTGACAGCATATGCCTCGAGGCCACGTGATGCGAACTACACTTGAATGCTGTGATCTTCCTCCTGGAAGCCCATAATCTCAGTCACACCATCAAAAACACATTAGATAAACCCCAGTTGAGGGGCATACCACAAAATACCTGACCAGTACCCCTCAAAACTGTCAAAGTCATCTAAAACAACATTAAGTCGAATGAGCTGTCACAGTCCAGAGGAGACTAAGGAGACTCAGTGGAATGTGGGATACATCATGGGATTCTAAGAAAGGTAATGGACAGTAAATAAAAACTAAGGAAATAGGAATAAAGTATGAACTTTTGTTAATAACGTGGCTGGGCACGGTGGCTCACACCTGTAATCCCAGCACTTTGGGAGGCTGAGGCGGGTGGATCACCTGAGGATGGGAGTTTGAGACAAGCCTCGCCAACATGGCAAAACCCCATCTCTACTAAAAATACAAAAATTAGCCAGGCGTAGCGGCTCATGCCTGTAATCCCAACAACTCAGGAGGCTGAAGCAGGAGAATTGCTTGAGCCCATGAGGCAGAGGTTGCAGTGAGCTGAGATCACGCCACTGCACTCCACCCTGGATGACAGAGTGAGACTCCATCTTAAAAAAAAAAATTAATTAATTAATATTGGTCAAAGTTGTATCAAATGTGTCATAGTAATGTAAGATCTCAAGAACAGGCAAAACTGGTTGCAGGGTATACTAGAAATCTCTGCACTATCTTTGCAACTCTTCGTAAGCCTAATACTTTTATAAAATAAAAAGAATTTTTTTAAAAAAGGTATAGCTAATATCAATTATCTAAGTTTCTACCTTAAGAAACTAGCAGAAAGAAGACTGACAGCACAAACTAAGGAGAAGAAAAACCGTAAAGATAGGAACAGAAATAAATGGAATGGAAAGCCAAATATACAGAGAATTAAAAGTGCACCTGTTGGAAAGATTAGTAAAATTGACAAATACTAATCTAGAAAATCAGGAACAAAAGCACAAAGTAACCACATCATTAACAAATTGCATGATATCACATCATAAACCATAGATGCTAAAAGGACAATAAGGTAATTTTTGAGCAACTGTATGTAAGTAATTTTGATAACTAAACCAAATAGGTAACTCTTTGGAAAACTCTATCTATCAAAACTTAGCAAAGAGAATATCTGAATCTTTATCTATTAGTGAAATTAATTCAAAAAATGACTTCTCACAAAGAAAATTAAGGCCCAGTTGGTAAATTCTATTAAACATTTAAGGAAGAATTAATATCAGTATTATGCAAACTCTTTCAGAAAGTACAGGAATAAGGGAAGCCTTTCAACTCACTTTGATACCACTATAATACTGGCACAGAAACTGGGCAAAATCCTTATGAGAAAAGAAAGCATAACCCATTATCTCTCATAAACATAAGTTCAAAAATACACTATAAAAGATTAAGAAATCTAATACATTGTATCATGATCGAATGGAGTCAATCCTACAAAAGTAAGGTTAGTTCACAATTCAAGAATAAAATCAATCGCTGCAACTCACTACTTTAAAAGAATAAAGGATAGTTTATCATATCCTACTTGACCTCAATAAATACTGGAAAACCATTTGATAAAATTCAACAGCTTTGTTTTGATAAAAAATTTTCACCAAATTAAGAATGAAAGAATACTTTCTAACCCTGATAAAGGGCACCTAAAATAAATAATAAATTTATCTTTACAGCTAAAATTATACTTAAAGATGAGACACTGAATGCTATCCCCTGAAGACTGGGAGCAGAACAAGAATGTTCCCTCAACACTTCTATTTAACACTGTTACTCGAGGTCCTAGCCCATATAAAAAGACAGTAAAAACAAAGTTATAGAGATCAGAAATGAAGAAGTAAAAACGCCTGTATTTTCAGATGAAATGTTTGTCTATGTGTAAAATTCAGTCTACAAAAATCTTGCCTGCACTAATTTACAAGGTCACAGGTGTTTAACAAGGTTACATGTATTTAATAATGTCACAAGCAAAAAAATTAGTATGTATGTACTTCTATATATTTGCATAAAACAACTGGAAAACTAAATTTAGAAACAATATCATTAACAAAATATTGAAATGTATAGAAATAGGTTTATCACAAGATGCATAAAACCTGTACACTCAAAACTACATAATATTATCGAGATAAATGAAAAAGGATATAAATAAATGGAGAGGTAATCTGTGTCCAGGGATTGGAATACTGAATTTTGTTACAATGCTCACCCCCTCCAAATTTATTTATAGATTCAATGAAATCCAATCAAAATGCCAGCAGATTTTTAAGGAAATTGACAAAATGATTCCACATATTATATGGAAGTGCAAAGAACCTAAAATTGCCAAAACAACTGTGAAAAAGAAAAAAATTAGAAATTACACTATTTGATTTTAAGACTTACTATGAAGCTGCTATAATTAACACAGTGTGGTTTGGCCCTAAGAAAAGATATAGAAATCAATAAAACAAAACAGAAAGTTTAGATATTATCCAGTCATGGTCACTGGTTTTTTATAAAGGTGTTGAACTATCTCAATGAGGAAAATATACTCTTCAAAACAAGCAGTGCTAGGACAATGGAGCTGGACCCCAGCCTTGGACAATACACCAATATCATCTTGAAATGACCCAAAGACCTCAACGTAACTGCTAACATTGTAAAACGTCTCAAACAAAATGTAGAGGAAATATCTTTGTGACTTAGAGTATGCAGTTTTATTAGAAAGACCTGTGGTTTGATAGCACAATGGGGTGACTATAGTCAATAACTTAATTGTACATTTTAAAATAACTTAAAGAGTATACATATGTAACAAACCTGCACATTGTGCACATGTACCCTAAAACTTAAAGTATAATAATAATAAAAAAAAAGAAAAGAAAAAAAAGAGTGTAATTGGATTGTTTGTAACTCAAAGGATAAATGTTGGAGGGAATGGATACTGTATTAGTCTGTTTTCATGCTGCTATAAACAACCACCTGAGACTTGGTAACTTAGAAAGAAAGAGGTTTAATTCACTCACAGTTCCACATGGCTGAGGAGGCCTCAGGAATCTTACAATCATTGCAGAAGGCGAAGGGGAAGCAAGGCACATCTTACATGGCAGCAGGAGCGAGAGGGGAGCCACCACACCCACACACTTTTAAACCATCAGATCTTGTGAGAACACAGTATCATGAGAAGAGCTTGGGGGGAACCACCTCCATGATGCAATCACCTCCCACCAGGTTCCTCCCTCAACATGTGGGGATTACAGTTTGAGATGAGACACCCTATTCTCCATGATGTGCTTATTTCACGTTACATACCTGTATCAAGACATTTCATGTAACCCATAAATACATACACCTACTATGTATCCACAAAAATTAAAAATAAAAATAAAATTTAAGGCCAGACATGGTGGCTTACACCTGTAATCCCTACACTTTGAGAGGCCAAGGTGGGCAGATCACAAGTTCAGGAGTTTGAGACCAGCCTGGCCAACATGGTGAAACTCCATCTCTACTAAAAATGAAAAAAATTAGCCGGACGTGTTGGTGTGCACCTGTAATTCCAGCTACTCAGGAGGCTGAGGCAGGAGAATCACTTGAACCCAGGAGACAGAGGTGGCAGTGAGCCGAAATTGTGCCACTGCACTCCAGCCTGGGTGACAGAACAAGACTCCATCTCAAAATACATAAATTAATTACATTAAAAAATTTTTTAAATTAAATAAAAAAGATGTATTATATATGACACAAAAAGCACGAACCATAAAATAATAATATTGATAAATTTAGTCTTCATCAAAATTAAAACCTGGCCTTCAAAAGACAGTGAAGAAAACTAAAAGGGAAGACACAGACTGGGGGAACACTTTTACAGCACTTGTGGAGGTACAAGCTGATGGGAAGCCCCTTATAAAGGTCTACACACTTACACCCCCAAGATGGGGAAAAGCCACTCTTCAGTATTTACTCAAGAGATCTGGAGGCATGAGCGTTCACACAAAGACTTACATTCGAGTGTTCATCACAGCTTCATTCATATAGCCAAAAACTCAGAAGAACCTAAATGACTATCAACAGATGAATGGTCAAATAAATTGAGATGTGCATAGGATAGAATACTACTCAGCAATAAAAAGAGAACAAACTACTGATACACCTAATAACATTGATTAATCTCACAGACATTTCGCTGGGTGAAAAAAGCCAGACTCCAACAAGTCCATAGTGTTTGATGCCACTTACCCGAAATTCAAGAAAAGCCAAAGCTAAGCTGTGGGGACAGATCAGAGGTTGTTTGGAGATAGGGGCTGAAGGATGACCAAAGATGGGCACAAGGGAACTTTCAGAGGAGTTGGAAATGAGAGGAAATGCTTAATATGTTAATTGTGGTGACAAGTACATGGACATGTATGTATTACAAAAATCATACATATGAACATATAAAAATGTAAATTTTACAGTATGCATATATTATAGATTTAATTGCATCTCCCTGAAACTCATATGCTGAAGTCTTAATCCCCAGGACCTCAGAATATGACCTAATTTGGAAACAGGGCCATTACATATACAGTTAGTTTAGATGAGGTCATACTGGAGTTGGGTGGGCCCCTATCGCCAATGTTATGATAAAAAGAACACCGCGTGAAGAGAAAGAGATAGTGCAGACAGAATTAAGGTGAGGACACAGGGAGAAGAGAGCCATCTACAAGCCCAGAAGAGGGCCAAGCACAACCTTCCCTCAGTCCTCAGAAGGAAGCAACCCTGCTGGTTGGCTGATCCATTCCAGCCCCCAGACTATCAGAAAGTTTCAGTTCCTCAGGCCACCAAGTCTGCAGCACTTTGATATGGAACGCTAGCAGACAAATAGGGCATATTATTCCCTGAGAAAGTTGATTAGGAAAACTAAGGACATTCTGTGGAAACTAAAATAATGCTTAGCAGTTCTTGATGTCATGTTTAACCCACTCAAATTTTAAAGTGTTACAGTTGTTGCAAAATCAGTGTCTAAAGTCTGGAGAAAGGACCGGGCGTGATGGCTCACAACCCGTAATCCCAGAGAGGCAGAAGCAGGCGGATTACTTGAGGTCAGGAGTTCGAGTCCAACCTGGACAACATGGCAAAACCTGTATCTACTAGAAATACAAAAATAGCCAGGCATGCTGGTGCATGTTTGTAGTCCCAGCTACTTGGGAGGCGGAGGCAAGAGAATCACTTGAACCCAAAAGGCGGAAGTTACAGTGAGCTGAGATCTTGCCACTGCACTTCAGCCTGGGAGACAGAGCGAGACTCCATCTCAAAAATAAATAAATAAAAATAAAAAATATAAAAAGTCTGGACAGAGGCAGGCATGAGCTAAGAGGCCGAGTGGGGACACTGGTGAATGGGTTCCATCTTAAGGCAATGAGAGCTACAGTCTCCTAAGCATGTAAGCCTAGGTGGCCACACCTTAGAGCATCTCGAGTGAAGCCAAAAGCCCAGCTTTTGAGTGAAATCTGCTAATAATTAAATGCCATCAATGAATTGAGGAGGATTTTGGTGAGTATTTTGGTTGCATACCACAAGGGACCAAGAGCAGGATTCTGCAGGGGGCTGCCAGTCTGCAGCTCTGCTCTAACGGAGTGGGCCTGACATCTGACCCTAGGCAGGTGGCCACACAGATCCTTCCCTCCTAGGCGGCTGCCAGTCCTGAGCACCTGTGAGCCATAGGCTGCGTGCCCCTAGATTCCTGGGTGGGGACGCTGTGTGTACCAGACACCAAATGCCAACACCATTTCAAAGGGCTCTTATCGTCCACTGTGGAGTGGCAGGCACCCAGTGTTGCCCTGACTACCCATGGTGCTCTGCTCCTGCAGCGGTGGGGGTCAGGAGGAAGGGGATGGGGTGTGGGTGGAGGAACTTGGAATGGGTGCATCCTGCCTCTAGACCACGGGGATGGCCTTAAAGCATGTGCCCAAGCATCACACAGGCTGGCACTCAAACGGACAGGCTTGGTCCAAGCTCAGCATCACCATCCTGTTGAGGTATTTTATTAGACAGAGTTTCACTGTATTCCCCAGATTGGAGGGCAGTGGCCCCATCTCAGCTCACTGAAGCCACAACCTCCCTGGGCTCCTGATCTTCCCACCTAAGCTCCCTGATTAGCTGGGACCACAGGCACCTGCCACCACATCTGGCTAATTTTTGTATATTTTTTTAGAGACAGTGTCTCTCTATGTTGCCCAGGCTGGTCTCAGAACTCCTGAGCTCAACACATCTGCCTGTCTTGGCCTCCCAAAGCACTGGGATTACAGGCATGAGCCACTACTACCGGCCTGAATTTATTAATAATGTTTTGCCAAGGAACCCGCATGAGCTAGCCGAGTCCTGAGACTGCCAGGGTCCACACACCCTTCCCGGGTGAGGTGTTGGCTCGGTGGGCCTGTGCACCAGGTGGGCAGGACCCCAGTGGCTGCCCCATCATCCCAGCCTCCGCTCAGTCTTCCCTAGGACCTGGGGTCCCCAGGTAGGGTGGCCTCATTCTTTTCTTTTCAGATATGCTCACCACAGGTCTTTTCTTCCCTACTCATCACAGGCACCTTAATCTCAGGGTGGGCCCCCAGCATCTAGGGGGCACATGCTCATCTTTGACAGTGGCTGGGATCCCAGCCACCCAGTGCTGGGGCCTGCAGGTGACTCAGCAAGAAGGCAGCATCCTGGCTTCTGGAGGCAGCGCCTCCCCAGGCTTGTGTTCTGACACTTATAAATCTCTGAGCCAACTGAATGAAGGAAGGAACCGGCTGAGAATGGAAGTGAATGGCTTTGGTCTCAGAGGCTGTTACCAGCAATGGGAAAAAGAGAAGAAACTTCTTGCAGTAAAAATTTCCTGGCCGGGTGTGGTGGCCCACGCCTGTAATCCCAGCACTTTGGGAGGACGAGGCGGGCAGATCATGAGGTCAGGAGACCTAGAGCATCCTGGCTAACATGGTGCAACCCTGTCTCTACTAAAAATACAAAAAATTAGCTGAGCATGGTGGCACTCACCTGTAATCCCAGCGACTCAAGAGGCTGAGGCAGGAGAATTGCTTGAACCCAGGAGGCAGAGATTGCAATGAGCGGAGATCAAGCCGCTGCACTCCTGCCTGGGTGACAGAGCGAGACTGAATCTCAAATTTTAAAAAAAATCCTTATGTTTTACAGAAACAAATTCAGAATTACAACAAATCAATTATACAAACTAAAAAAATGAATACCTAATTAACCCAATAACTATCTATATATACTTCACAGGGAAATAATAGTTTAAGCTATTTCACCATTGTGAATATTATAACATAATGAAATTAAAAATTCCAGACTGTAGTGCTAGGAATTTACCCCATGGATGTAGTCACAACAGGATTTCAAGAAAGTTCATTGCAATATTTACTGTGTGGAAAAAAAAGAAAGGAACAAATTAAAAGTCCATACGCCCATCATGGAAGATCATGCAGCTTTAAGATTTAAGAAGATCTAAAGGAAAAGGACAGTTTGATGATGTGATAATTTGCACACACACACATTACATACACTTCTAAACTCACACACACACGCACACACACAAGTTCTAGAAGGAACGGCTAACAGTAGTAGATTCACAAGGGTGACTGGGTCTCTGGGAAGTAGTCTTATTTTCTAGTGAGTACACGCTTGTCTCCCATTTGGACGTATTCTATTCATGTGCAGATGTTATTCTGAAGGTAAAAGCGAGGTGACAATGAGATGGTAGGTCTGGCAGACTGTTTTGCCTTTGCTTTTGTTTTCCGTGAGCACACAGCCAGGATATGTTCCCTACCTTCCCACAGTCAGGTGTGAAGTGACACGTGCCATCAACCCCAGCCCCACTCATGACCTCCAGCTGATGCAGATGACTGAGGTGACGTGGAAGCCATGCACGTCCAAGGGAAAGAACTTGCATCAATGCCTAGTGGAGAGCCACCTGCTTAACATGAACATTTATTGTGGATGTTATGTGGCTAAGAAACAAGCGTCTGCTGGGGATTTTTGAGATTTCTGAATTTGTTCTGTTATACCAATAAAATCGGCTTAACTGAAATGGAAATTTTAACTTAAAGTGGGATACTGAAGAATCCCTCACAGACTTAAAATGCATATGGGCCGGGCGCAGGGGCTCACACCTATAATCCCAGCACTTTGGGAGGCTCAGGTGGGTGGATCACGAGGTCAGGAGTTCGAGACCAGCCTGACCAAAATGGTGAAACCCATCTCTACAAAGAATACAAAAATTAGCCAGCGTGGTAGCAGACACCTGTAATCCCAGCTACTAAGGAGACTGAGGCAGGAGAACCACTTGAACCTGGGAGGCAGAGTTTACAGTGAGATGAGATCACACCACTGTACTCCAGCCTGGGCAACAGAGTGAGACTCAGTCTCAAAAAAAAAAAATGTATATGGGCATTGGCTTGGTGGCACAGTGGAACAAGGAGCCCCATGGTTTGCAGCGGCAAGGCATTTAGCTACAGTGCTCACTTGGAAGGCAGGTCCCATGGCTGGGGAGCCTGTGGCTCCAGAGGAAGTGTGGGAGATAGAGTACGTTGCTTTTACTTTCTGCCTTAGGCAAGTATTATAAGGAAGATATGACCTCTGGAAAGAATTGGCACGTTAGCAAGCAGAAATTAAAGGGAATACAAATGGTTCAAAAAGCTGGGAATCCAAACGTTTTAGAAAATCTGATAGGTTATACACAACCAATAATAAGAGATAAGGTTGGGGGAGGTTTGCAAAGACATTTCCCCCTTCAACTCAGCTCCAAGACAGAGGTCAGGTGAGTGCGACTTTGATCCACATTCTTGGGTTCTGATAGACTCATGGTTCAGAGAGCAGGACAGGCATGAAGCAGTAAAACAAAATGATACAAGAAATCTGGCTTGAGAATATGCCTAGGAAGTAATTTTCACTATGTTTCGAGGCACGTAGAACTGATTAGAGACAAATAGATCAAAAACTTACTAAGTTTTTCCAATATCTACATTGTCCAAGACATTATGAACTCAGTCTGAAACCAGTTTTGAATGTTGGTGCCTTACAACCATTTTATTAGGATTATCACGTCCCTGTTCCATCATTGGATATTGCAAAGGATTGAGGGGGATGCAAATAACTTCCCTTCGTAATTCATAAGTTGCTGGGCTTCAGGGAGCCCCACCTAGACTTGATGGAGAGCACTGCACACCTCTTCCATCCTTTCACTCAGTTGCAATAACTGGATAACCCATAGAAAATTCTTTTTTCCTGAAAATAAATCACATTCCCTCCATCTTCAAGGGTAGAATGGATACGTGATAACCAGGGAGGTCGATTACATGAGCTGCTCACCTAATCCACCGTCTCGTTTTTCCTGGGCTTGGACTGGACCACGTTTCAGTTAGGATTTTCTAAAATGTTTGAATCCACCTTTGCAGTTAGGAGAAGCGTAGGGTTAGTTCTAACCAATAGATCTAACAAACTTTAAGGCTGGCTCCTAGGAAACCATCACACTGACACCCTATGTTCTGTCACCCGCTACATCTCAATGCAAATGAGCACACGGCCCTTGGAAGTGGTATGGAGCAGCAGGGCGGAAGGAGTTTCCTTCTGTGGAAGAGAGCTGCCTGCCTGTCAAGAGCACCTGTTTGGGACAGTAGAGCAACAAATTAACTTTTATTGCATTCAGCCACTGAGTGTGGGGGTTGATATGTTACAACAGCTTATGCTACCTTAGCTGATAGCAACACACAAATTCTGATAAAGAAGAAATGAATAACAAGATATGGAACGGTGTACATGTGTGATACCATCTTACAAATTTTAAAAACACGTAGCAGATGGTCCCCAACTTATGACAGTTCAAATTAAGGATTTTTCTACTCCTCTGTGGTGCAAAAGCCATACACATTCAGTAGTAACTCTACTTCAAGTATCCATACAACCATTCTGTTTTTTACTTTTGGTACAGTATTCAATAAGTTATGTGAGATATTCAACACTTAACTATACAACAGGTTTCATGTTAGGTGATTTTGCCCAATGGTAGGCTAATGTCAGTGTTCTGAGCCTGGTTAAGGTAGGCTAGGCTGAGCTGTGATGTCTGGTAAATTAGGCATTTTAGATGCATTTTCGACATGATATTTTCAACTTACGACAGGTTTATTAGGTGATAGCTCAATTGTAAATTGAGGTGAATCTGTATTTGTATATTCACTGCTGAGACAAAACTATTAGCAACAAAGAAATTAGAAGAAAAATACTCCAGAGAACATAAAATTAACTGTGACGCTGGTCCCATCTGGCACTGAGCCAAAAATAGAGTTGCATGGGAGAATAAATGAAGAGATCACAGCACAGAGAGCTTTGGGTGAGTGAATTCAGGAGAGACAAGAACAGTAGGCACTGACGTGGTGGATATAAGATGCACACAGGGATTACTTTCAGCAAAAAGACGTTGAGTGCCCCTTGGTGATGCCTTGGTCCCACAAGCCAGCAAGCAGTGAATGAAAAGGATGGCCACCCTGGGGACTGTCTCAAATAACCAGCACCACAAATGTTACATTCTGTAAGGATAGGGATCACTGACATTGTTGTTTGGAGAACTCTGAAATTGGCCTGACTTTTACATTTTTCATCTGAATTATGGTGGAAGGTAGACACAGGCGTGCTTCTAGTTAAATAAGAAGTTAAATAGTGAGAACTATGTAAGCCAATCAAAATAAGATGCCTGACAGTTTTTAACAGAGTGCAGCACACAGTTCTGTCATTCCATCAGCATTACAAATGCTGTCATTACAAATGCACGTTGACGGTCGACGAAAAGAAACCGCTTTTAAGTCTCACAATGCCATCAGAGAGAGAGGCACTTCTTTCTTGGGGGCGGGTGTGTGATTTGAGGACAGACTTCTCTCTTCCTCTCCTTTCCTTGACATGCTTGTCAAGGGCCATTTTCTGGTTTCAATATCTGTCAAGTTATAAAACAGACATTTGCGGGAAATGTGTCAAAAGCAGCCGTGCATGTAAGGCAAATGCTCTTCCTCTTCTCTTGCCTCAAATACTCTTGAATCATGATGTCGTCTCCCAATTAACCCCAGCTGTTTACTGGGACTCCAGCATAAACTGGAGCTGTCAGTCCCCTCCTGTCCCTAGCAGTCAGCCTGTTCAGCAGCTGTCGTCAGCCTCCCTGCCATTTCCTGAGAGCAGGGGGTAGAGAGTGCCACAGGGTGTCATGACTGACCCTTTCAGAGGCATCTTCACCTGGACACAGAGACAGGGGACGTGTCCTCCATTTCTCATTCATCAAGACAAGTGTCAACACAAAGAGATGGCCTGTCAAGCTAAGGAAGCTTTCTGGCTCCTCTTAACGTTGTGGAGGGTGCACGGCCACTTAAATCAGCACAGAACACCCTGACAGACTAGCCACATGAACACGATTGTATGCTGTGTTTGTCCTCACTGTGTTCATGAATCAATTCCACATTGATTAACACTTAATTATCTTCTAATATTCCATATGCCTGGCTCTGTTTGTCAGTTAGCAGCTTCTTAGGAGAAGGGGACACATATCTTAGCTTTCCTGGTGGTGGGCATTATAAGGCAGGCAGAGTGCTTCGGTGGAAATAGACAAACCTGGGTTTGCACCTCATTTTAGAAAGTTTTCTGTGGTCGCTGGACCTCAGTTTCCTTATCCATAAAGTAGGAATAATACCGTCTAACTTTCAGTGTTAAAGTGAAGAATAAATGAGCCAATGAGTGAGACAGGGCGCCCCCACATAATAGCTTAGGGAGTTCTCCCTCATCAGGTGCTGATACTGTTTTAGAACACAGCTTCTTCACTGGTTGTTTGATGGGCAGGTGATATGCATAATACTTGGAGATCTCATGCCCGGTAACAGCTCAGAGGACCTCTTCTGTCCTAGTATAATTTTTTTTTTAATCAGATTGACAGTGAACTCCAGGTAATTCTATATCACTATACAGCTTCCAGATTTACTTGTGCATTAGGATAACCTGGGAGCCTTTTTAAAAAATAAAATGCCCCATCCCTAGAGATTCTGGTTCAGGAAGTCCAGCGTGGGTAGCGGGCATGAATCCTCCATTAGAGAGCCCCAGGCTGGGGGACAGGCTGGATGCATAGGTCTATGTCCCTGACTCCAGTCCCACAGTCACTGTGGGGCTTTCAGGATTCCCCTTCCCTTCAGTGCAGGCCCGAGAGCCAGGCCCTGGGTGAGAGTGGGGTGGGAAGGGTGGTGTGCCAGGTGCAGCAAAGGGAGAAGAATGGAAGCCACACTTCCTCAGTGTGGGTGCTGCTTAGGGCATGGCACACACAGTCCCATCTCACACATCCATGCATGGTGCAATTTAGAAGTACAAGAATCTTTTTGTTGTGTTTTATCCCTACCCAGCATTACCTGTACTGGTTCTATTCCAGCTGGGTCTCTCCCATACAGCCCTTCCTCTCTCTGTTCACTGGGATGACCTCAGTGCATGTCCCAGCCTCTCTCTCTCCCTGAGGGCGTGGGTTACACACCCCATTCAAGCTCCCTCGGTGACATGGGAGGCATGCAGGCCCAACTCCCCTCCTTCCGTGTTCTTGGACTCACGTGCATCCTCTCTAATTCAGGGCCGTGGCAACCAGTCCTCTGCTCCCTGTTTCTATAATTTGTCACTTAAATAATGTTCTATCTGTGGGATCATATGTGTGTAACATTTTGGAATTTTTTCACTCACCATAATTTCCGAGAGATTCACTCAGTTGTTGCAAGAGTTTGTTCCTTTGTATTGATTAGTAGCATCTGATGGTATGGATGTAAGGGTTTTTTTTTTTTAATCATTCACATCTAGGCAGTTTCCAGTTTTAGGCTTGTACAAGTAGAGCTGCCACAAACATTCATGTACAGATTTTTGTGTGACCATAAGTTTTCATTTCTCTGGGACAAACGCCCAGGAATGCAATTGTGGGGTCATATGTTGCATGTTTGGTTTTATAAAGAAGTATTTTCCAGATGATTTTCCAGAGTGGCTGTACCATTTTACATTCCCACCAGCAGTGTATGGGAGATCCTGTTTCTCACCTTTCTCACCAGCATATGCTGCTGTCACCTATTTTAAATTTTGTCCATTCTGATAGGTGCATCGTGATATTTCATTGTGGTCCTAATTTGCACTTCCTTAATAGCTAATGATGTTGAACATCTTTTCATGCACTTATTTGCCATCTGTATATCCTCTCTCATAAAGTATCTCTTCACATATTTTGCCCATTTTCTAACTGAATTGTTTATTCCATTACTGTTGAGTTTTAAAAGTTCTTTATATATTCCAGAGACTAGTCCTTTGTCAGATGTGTGATTTGCAAATATTTTCTCCCATTCTGTAGCTTGTGTTTTTATCTTATCAGGGTCTTCCACAAAGCAAACATTTTTAATTTTGAAAAATTTCAGTTTATTACTTTTTCCTTTTATGAGTCAGGTTTTTGGTGTCCAGGCTAAGAATTCCATATTAATGTATCTATATTCTTCTTGAGCATACTCTTTGGACAGTTTTGTTACTGGCTGCTCTATGTATTATGGTATATACATAATTTATTACAGTTTATTGGGTCTTCATTTTAACAGTTTGAGTGAAGTATAGAAACTATGCCTCCCTTTATATTGTTTTACCCTTTTGTTTACAATATCATTGCTTTAAATATTTACATATAATAGGAACACATCAGACAGTTCTAAAATTTTTGTATCCAGCATCATTTAGAAAACCCAAGAAGAGAAACAAAGTCTAGGGTATTTACCAATTTTGGTTTACCATGTCCTTTTTCCCTTCTTGACATTCTGAACATTCTTCCTTTTGCTTTCTTTCTGTTTAATTAACCCCCATTAGCTATTCTTTTAGGGAAGGTCTGCTAGTGACAGATTCTTAGTTTCCCAATATCTGAAAGTCCTGATTTCCCCTATTTCTGAAGGATAATTTCACTGGCTATAGGATTCCGGGTTGATGACTTTTCCTTTCTCTTTTTTTTTGTTTTGAGACAGGGTCTCACTCAGTCACCCAGGCTGGAATGCCTTGGGGCAATCTCGGCTCCACTGCTGCCTCTGTCTCCAGTGGTCAAGCAATCCTCCTGCCTCAGCCTCCTGAGTAGCTGGGACGACGGTGCCTGCTACCTTGCTCAGTTAATTATTTTGTCTTTTTTGTAGAGACAAGGTTTCTCCACTGATAGTTTTTCTCTTTCAGCTCTTCTGGCCCCATGGTTTTGAGGAGAGTTGCTGCTGCTCACAGGTTTTCTTCCTAAAGACAAGGTCTTTTTTCTCCCTTACTGCTTTCAGGTCAGGTTTTTTTTTTACTTTATTTTCCATAAGTTTTACGCTACTGTGTTTTCATGTGGATTCCTTTGGGTTTATTCTGTTTGAGTTTTACTCACCTTCTTGAATCTATAGGTTTATTCTTTTGCCAGACTTGGGAAATTTTCAGCCATTATTTTATCAAGTACATTTCCAGCCCCACCCTCATTCTCCTACCTCCAGGGTCCCAGGGACACAGGTTGGATCTTTTGTCGTAGTCCCACGAGGCCCTGAGTCTCTGTTTATTTTTTCTTTCTATTGTCTCCCCATGTTTCAAATTAGGAATTTCTATTTTTGTTTCTTCCATTGCACAGATCTTTCCTCTGTCCCCCTTATTCTGCTTTGAGCCTATCCAGTGAGGTTTATTTTTTAACATCTGTTACTGTGTTTTTCAGTTGTAAGAAGATTTTCATTTGGTTCTTTTTAATTTTTATTTCTTTGCTGAGACTTTTTTTTTCATTTGTTCCAAGCATTTTCATCATTGCTCATTGGACCAACTTTTAAGCTGGCTGGTCTGTGTGTGGTCATCTCAGCATCGCCAACATCACGGTGCTGGTGTATATTGATTGCCACTTGTCATTTACTTTGAAATCTTCCCGGTTCTCTGTGTGCCATATGATTTTCATTTGAAACCTGAATATTGTGGGTGTGATTTGATGAGACTCTGAATCTTGTTTAAACCCCCATTTTAGCTGTCTTTCTCAGATACTACTCCCCCAGGGAAATGAATGGCACTACCGCATTATTTCAGGGGAGGATAGACGTCAAAGTCCCCCATTCAACCTCTGTTGGTACCTGAGCAGGGAGGAGTTCACAGACACTGCTGGGCAGTGTTGGGAATCCAGCTTTCTCTGGTCAGCTATTCCCAGCCAGCAGGAATAGGAGCATCCCATCGCTGCTCCTTTGCCACTTCCAGCCTTGTCAGTGCTGGGCGGAGGGGATGGCCCTGACCCTCTCGTCAGTCCCTTCTAACACCCCGCAGTCAGGGGGTGCCTCATTAGCCAGGTGGGGTGGAAACTGAGATTCCTCACTCAGACTCTGCTGGCACGGGTGAGGATGGGGCTTCTGGTTTTTCTGTGTTGTTTCACTGGGAGTTTTGTCCATCTCAGTTGCCCCCTTTCTGGTCCCTTTTGGCTAGAGAGGGCAAGCTTTTGAGGGGGCTTTTTAGTCTGTTCTCATGGGCTTCCCAGGTGGCCTATAAGTCTGGGATATACAAGGCAAATAGGAAACCCAGGGATCTCACTGCCCACTCTTTCCTCGTGTCCTGAGCTCTCTAGCCAGCCTGCCTTCTTCTTAGGCTGGTTTTGTACACCATGCCCAAGGCTTTTAGTTGTACTGAGAGGGAATAACAGCGGAAACCTTGTCTACTTCATCTTCCCAGGAGCAGAAGTCCAGAAAAAAGCAGCAAATATTGTTTTAATGGGATAAAAGCCCATATGGGAAAATCAGTCATCAATAAACAAACCGTTAAGCTAAGAAGGGAAATGGCAACATCAGCAAAATCTGGTAATTTACTGCGGGCCGATGGCCACCGGAAAGGAAGTCGGGCTGATGTGCGAGCACACACATGGTTCAGGGAGAGCCATGGATTTGCGGGGTGTCTGGCCTGTTGTTGTTTTGAGGGTGGGAACTGGAGGGCTCAATGCACAATAAAATGAAGACAGAGTCACTTATTTCCCGATTGGCTCCATTTTATATACTCATGAGAGTGATTTTCTGTTTAGAAAAGGTCATCCGAATCTGGGAGACAAGGGGATCAAGTTCCAGGAAGGGGAGAAGGTCGTAATAGAGCACCCAGAATCAATGGAGGGGGAAGGCCTCCCAGCCCAGACTTGGGGTTCAAGCATATAAAGTAACTACCATTAATGATTACAGCACCACAGCCTATAATTTTTGAGAAGTGGCAAATAATTTGGCCAACTGAGAAATGCTTGGGGCCAAAATTGTTATCACAGCTTTAACAAAACTAGTAGAGGAGCAAACTGAACTGCAGACTAGCAGGTCCTCCAACCCAGGGACAGTTTTATGCAGATCATTAAGCAGCTTCTTTTGAGTAATTAGAACAAAAATAAATAGCCATAGTTCAGAAACAGCACATGCACACCTAGAACAGACTGGACTCAACCTGTCTTTTTGATGTTTTCATGATCAATTTTTAAATTGATTGAATTAATACATCCACATAGTGCTATGAATATTAACTTGTTCAATCTTTTTAACAACCTTAATGGGTAGGTACTGTGATTATCCCATTTATCCATTGAAAGAACTGACACACAGATGACCTAAGTAACTTGCCCAAGGTCACATGGGCAGCCAGTCACAGAGCCAGAAGTCAAAACCAGGCAGTTTGGTTCCAGAGTCCAGATTCTTAACTTCATCAAATCTAGCCTCAACACAGAGCACCACAATGGTCACAATATCTCTGGAAAGCAAAAAGTCATCTGAGTCAAAAGATGAATTAAAGGCAGAATGCAACTAGCATTTGCTGAGCATCTATTGTGGGCCAGGAATGCTGCCAGGCCTGGGAATATAGCTGTGAATAACCCAGAAACATCAGCCACAGCCCAAGGGAAGATGCAGATGAGGAAATGACCACCACCATATCATGTAAGTGCAGCAGCCCTGATGGTAAGAGCAGGGAAGCCCAGGGAGAGCCGGCTGATAAAGACATCCGGCTCCTGTTTTGACCAGCTGACCTTTACACTCCAACCAAACACAGCATGGATTTAAAGACTACACCTAGGGACAAACAGTGCAGGCCCATTCATTCCTCCCTGCATCTCCTGACTAAGCAGAACCCTGGAAATAATTCAAAAGACAATCAAGGAGAGGCCTAAAAAGATGGTAAGAAGGGCCAGGTGCAGTGGCTCATGCCTGTAATCCCAGCACTTTGGGAAACCAAGGCAGGCAGATCACAAGGTCGGGAGTTTGAGACCAGACTGGCCAACATGGTGAAACCCCGTCTCTACCGAAAATACAAAAATTAGCCAGGCGTGGTGGTAGGCACCTATAATCCCAGCTACTTGGGAGGCTGAGGCAGAAGAATGGCTTGAACCCAGGAGGCAGAGGTTGCAATGAGCCAAGATCATGCAACTGCACTCCAGCCTGGACAACAAGAGTAAGACTCTGTCCAAAAAAAAAAAAAAAAGTTAGAAGAAGGTAAGCTGGTTTGGGATCCCAGGACTGGAGGAGCAGCACAGTGGCAGCACACCTGACGTCCCCCCAGTCAATCTAAGAAGCTGCCTCAGAACCAGCATTTTTCTGCCCCTGATCTAGCAACAGAAGGTAGTCCAGGTAGGTTCATCCCTACTCAGGATCAAAGAGGAATGCATCTGACAACATGAGGTGAACCCATCAGCACTATTAAAGGGTATCAGTTGGAAACTTCACCAACAATAGGCTAAGGGAAGCACTGTACTTTCCTGCCAGATCCAAGACTTCTTTCCCCTGCCAGGAGATACCAGGGCAGGCAGAAGCATCTAATTGGAGGGACCCAGAGACAAGCAACATGGTCCAGGAAGCCCCTAGGAAGAAGCCCATGGGCCAAAAAATCTACTGCAATCCTAGCCAGAGGCACCTCATCACAACAAGCAGCTCAGTCCAGGAATTATTTTTGACATCACCCTTCTAAGACACTTCTCCCCTTCTGGAGACATGGGATGGGAAAGTGGAGCCAGTTCATAGCAAGCAAGACAGGCTGGAATGCCCCGTTCACTTCATGAGCATCATGAACCTAAAAGTCCTGAAACTCCCCTCTTCCCCCAGAAAGCATGAACAGGTGGACAGGCTCAGTAAGAGAGACCTAACCATAGCAAGGAAGATTCTTTGACCTTGCAGTCTTGAGATTCCCCTTCCCTGGCTACAGACAATGGGGAAAGCACAGTGCAGCATGCCTTACATCCCCCCACCAAATCTAGGAAGTTGCCTCAGACCCAGCATTTTTCTGCCCCCAACCTAGCAACAGAAGGCAGTCCAGGTAGGTTCATCCCTCTTAAGGGTCAAACAAGAATGCATCTGACAACATGAGGTGAACCCATCACCACCATTTAAGAATATCAGTTGGGCTGACCCCTGGGCAGCCAGGGGTCATCAGTGGGAGGAGTCCCACCAAACTCCCTGACCAAGAGAGGCTTAGCCACTCAGCCTGGGGAAACCCTGTCTTCTATCTTAGGCAGCACCAGAAAAGTCCAGTGGGTCCAGATAAATCACGTAAACCAAAACAACACTGCAAAGACTTAAAAAATTAAATTACCATTGTAACCTCAAAAGCAGTTCAAGACCTGAATGCTAAACCTAAACAGAATGATTGCCTGTTAAAACAAAAGATTTAAATAATTCCTATAGTCTCCTAACATAACAGATAAAATATCCAGGATACAATAAAAAATAACCCACCATACCAAGAACCAAGAAAATCACAACTCAAATGAGTAAAGATAATCAACTGAGTCCAACATCAAGATTAAACAGATGTTAAAATTATCTGATAAGGGTTCTAAAGCAGCCATTTAAAAATGCTTACATAATCAATTACAAATTCTCTTGAAACTAATAAAAAACGTAAAATATTAGCAGGGAAATAGAAGCTATAAAAAAGAAACAAATGGGAATTATACACCTAGAAACCAAATAACAGAAATTTTTAAAATCACTACATTTATTCAAAAGTCAAGTGGAAATGAGAGAACATAGACTCAATCAACTTGAGGCTAGATCAATAGACTACCAAATCTGAGCAACAACGAGAAAATAGACTGAAGAAAACTGAACATAGCCTCAGGCATGTGTGAGAGAATAACAACAGCAACAAAAATCTTTTTTTTTTTTTTTCTTTTTTTATTTTTTATTTATTTATTTATTTTATTATACTTCAAGTTCTAGGGTACATGTGCACAACGTGCAAGTTTGATACATAGGTATACATGTGCCATGTTGGTTTCCTACACCCATCAACTTGTCATTTTTTTTTTTTTTATTATACTCTAAGTTTTAGGGTACATGTGCACATTGTGCAGGTTAGTTACATATGTATACATGTGCCATGCTGGTGCGCTGCACCCACTAATGTGTCATCTAGCATTAGGTATATCTCCCAATGCTATCCCTCCCCCCTCCCCCGACCCCACCACAGTCCCCAGAGTGTGATATTCCCCTTCCTGTGTCCATGTGATCTCATTGTTCAGTTCCCACCTATGAGTGAGAATATGCGGTGTTTGGTTTTTTGTTCTTGCGATAGTTTACTGAGAATGATGGTTTCCAATTTCATCCATGTCCCTACAAAGGATATGAACTCATCATTTTTTATGGCTGCATAGTATTCCATGGTGTATATGTGCCACATTTTCTTAATCCAGTCTATCATTGTTGGACATTTGGGTTGGTTCCAAGTCTTTGCTATTGTGAATAGTGCCGCAATAAACATACGTGTGCATGTGTCTTTATAGCAGCATGATTTATAGTCCTTTGGGTATATACCCAGTAATGGGATGGCTGGGTCAAATGGTATTTCTAGTTCTAGATCCCTGAGGAATCGCCACACTGACTTCCACAATGGTTGAACTAGTTTACAGTCCCACCAACAGTGTAAAAGTGTTCCTGTTTCTCCACATCCTCTCCAGCACCTGTTGTTTCCTGACTTTTTAATGATTGCCATTCTAACTGGTGTGAGATGATATCTCATAGTGGTTTTGATTTGCATTTCTCTGATGGCCAGTGATGATGAGCATTTCTTCATGTGTTTTTTGGCTGCATAAATGTCTTCTTTTGAGAAGTGTCTGTTCATGTCCTTCGCCCACTTTTTGATGGGGTTGTTTGTTTTTTTCTTGTAAATTTGTTTGAGTTCATTGTAGATTCTGGATATTAGCCCTTTGTCAGATGAGTAGGTTGCGAAAATTTTCTCCCATGTTGTAGGTTGCCTGTTCACTCTGATGGTAGTTTCTTTTGCTGTGCAGAAGCTCTTTAGTTTAATGAGATCCCATTTGTCAATTTTGGCTTTTGTTGCCATTGCTTTTGGTGTTTTGGACATGAAGTCCTTGCCCACGCCTATGTCCTGAATGGTAATGCCTAGGTTTTCTTCTAGGGTTTTTATGGTTTTAGGTCTAACGTTTAAATCTTTAATCCATCTTGAATTGATTTTTGTATAAGGTGTAAGGAAGGGATCCAGTTTCAGCTTTCTACATATGGCTAGCCAGTTTTCCCAGCACCATTTATTAAATAGGGAATCCTTTCCCCATTGCTTGTTTTTCTCAGGTTTGTCAAAGATCAGATAGTTATAGATATGCGGCATTATTTCTGAGGGCTCTGTTCTGTTCCATTGATCTATATCTCTGTTTTGGTACCAGTACCATACTGTTTTGGTTACTGTAGCCTTGTGGTATAGTTTGAAGTCAGGTAGTGTGATGCCTCCAGCTTTGTTCTTTTGGCTTAGGATTGACTTGGCGATGCGGGCTCTTTTTTGGTTCCATATGAACTTTAAAGTAGTTTTTTCCAATTCTGTGAAGAAAGTCATTGGTAGCTTGATGGGGATGGCATTGAATCTGTAAATTACCTTGGGCAGTATGGCCATTTTCACGATATTGATTCTTCCTACCCATGAGCATGGAATGTTCTTCCATTTGTTTGTGTCCTCTTTTATTTCCTTGAGCAGTGGTTTGTAGTTCTCCTTGAAGACGTCCTTCACATCCCTTGTAAGTTGGATTCCTAGGTATTTTATTCTCTTTGAAGCAATTGTGAATGGGAGTTCACCCATGATTTGGCTCTCTGTTTGTCTGTTGTTGGTGTATAAGAATGCTTGTGATTTTTGTACATTGATTTTGTATCCTGAGACTTTGCTGAAGTTGCTTATCAGCTTAAGGAGATTTTGGGCTGAGACGATGGGGTTTTCTAGATAAACAATCATGTCGTCTGCAAACAGGGACAATTTGACTTCCTCTTTTCCTAATTGAATACCCTTTATTTCCTTCTCCTGCCTGATTGCCCTGGCCAGAACTTCCAACACTATGTTGAATAGGAGCGGTGAGAGAGGGCATCCCTGTCTTGTGCCAGTTTTCAAAGGGAATGCTTCCAGTTTTTGCCCATTCAGTATGATATTGGCTGTGGGTTTGTCATAGATAGCTCTTATTATTTTGAAATACGTCCCATCAATACCTAATTTATTGAGAGTTTTTAGCATGAAGGGTTGTTGAATTTTGTCAAAGGCTTTTTCTGCATCTATTGAGATAATCATGTGGTTTTTGTCTTTGGCTCTGTTTATATGCTGGATTACATTTATTGATTTGCGTATATTGAACCAGCCTTGCATCCCAGGGATGAAGCCCACTTGATCATGGTGGATAAGCTTTTTGATGTGCTGCTGGATTCGGTTTGCCAGTATTTTATTGAGGATTTTTGCATCAATGTTCATCAAGGATATTGGTCTAAAATTCTCTTTTTTGGTTGTGTCTCTGCCAGGCTTTGGTATCAGGATGATGCTGGCCTCATAAAATGAGTTAGGGAGGATTCCCTCTTTTTCAATTGATGGGAATAGTTTCAGAAGGAATAGTACCAGTTCCTCCTTGTACCTCTGGTAGAATTCGGCTGTGAATCCATCTGGTTCTGGACTCTTTTTGGTTGGTAAACTATTGATTATTGCCACAATTTCAGAGCCTGTTATTGGTCTATTCAGAGATTCAACTTCTTCCTGGTTTAGTCTTGGGAGAGTGTATGTGTCGAGGAATGTATCCATTTCTTCTAGATTTTCTAGTTTATTTGCGTAGAGGTGTTTGTAGTATTCTCTGATGGTAGTTTGTATTTCTGTGGGATCGGTGGTGATATCCCCTTTATCATTTTTTATTGTGTCTATTTGATTCTTCTCTCTTTTTTTCTTTATTAGTCTTGCTAGGGGTCTATCAATCTTGTTGATCCTTTCAAAAAACCAGCTCCTGGATTCATTGATTTTTTGAAGGGTTTTTTGTGTCTCTATTTCCTTCAGTTCGGCTCTGATTTTAGTTATTTCTTGCCTTCTGCTAGCTTTTGAATGTGTTTGCTCTTGCTTTTCTAGTTCTTTTAATTGTGATGTTAGGGTGTCAATTTTGGATCTTTCCTGCTTTCTCTTGTAGGCATTTAGTGCTATAAATTTCCCTCTACACACTGCTTTGAATGCGTCCCAGAGATTCTGGTATGTGGTGTCTTTGTTCTCGTTGGTTTCAAAGAATATCTTTATTTCTGCCTTCATTTCGTTATGTACCCAGTAGTCATTCAGGAGCAGGTTGTTCAGTTTCCATGTAGTTGAGCGGCTTTGAGTGAGATTCTTAATCCTGAGTTCTAGTTTGATTGCACTGTGGTCTGAGAGATAGTTTGTTATAATTTCTGTTCTTTTACATTTGCTGAGGAGAGCTTTACTTCCAAGTATGTGGTCAATTTTGGAATAGGTGTGGTGTGGTGCTGAAAAAAATGTATATTCTGTCTAAATTTTTTTCAAAGTTTTCAACTTCTTTGCCTTTGGTTTGAATGTCTTCCCGTAGCTCAGAGTAATTTGATCGTCTGAAGCCTTCTTCTCTCAGCTCGTCAAAATCATTCTCCATCCAGCTTTGTTCTGTTGCTGGTGAGGAACTGCGTTCCTTTGGAGGAGGAGAGGCGCTCTGCGTTTTAGAGTTTCCAGTTTTTCTGTTCTGTTTTTTTCCCCATCTTTGTGGTTTTATCTACTTTTGGTCTTTGATGATGGTGATGTACAGATGGGTTTTCGGTATAGATGTCCTTTCTGGTTGTTAGTTTTCCTTCTAACAGACAGGACCCTCAGCTGCAGGTCTGTTGGAATACCCTGCCGTGTGAGGTGTCAGTGTGCCCCTGCTGGGGGGTGCCTCCCAGTTAGGCTGCTCGGGGGTCAGGGGTCAGGGACCCACTTGAGGAGGCAGTCTGCCCGTTCTCAGATCTCCAGCTGCGTGCTGGGAGAACCACTGCTCTCTTCAAAGCTGTCAGACAGGGACACTTAAGTCTGCAGAGGTTACTGCTGTCTTTTTGTTTTTCTGTGCCCTGCCCCCAGAGGTGGAGCCTACAGAGGCAGGCTGGCCTCCTTGAGCTGTGGTGGGCTCCACCCAGTTCGAGCTTCCCGGCTGCTTTGTTTACCTAAGCAAGCCTGGGCAATGGCGGGCGCCCCTCCCCCAGCCTCGTTGCCGCCTTGCAGTTTGATCTCAGACTGCTGTGCTAGCAATCAGCGAGATTCCGTGGGCGTAGGACCCTCTGAGCCAGGTGTGGGATATAGTCTCGTGGTGCGCCGTTTCTTAAGCCGGTCTGAAAAGCGCAATATTCGGGTGGGAGTGACCCGATTTTCCAGGTGCGTCCGTCACCCCTTTCTTTGACTCGGAAAGGGAACTCCCTGACCCCTTGCGCTTCCCAGGTGAGGCAATGCCTCGCCCTGCTTCGGCTCGCGCACGGTGCGCACACACACTGGCCTGCGCCCACTGTCTGGCACTCCCTAGTGAGATGAACCCGGTACCTCAGATGGAAATGCAGAAATCACCCGTCTTCTGCGTCGCTCACGCTGGGAGCTGTAGACCGGAGCTGTCCCTATTCGGCCATCAAAAATCTTTTTTTTTTTGGATTAATATTTTTATTTAGAAAGAATGACATTTTTTACCCCATCCTCAGATTCAGGACTCAATCACTCAACATATATTTATTTAAGAATCAATTTTTTCAATGTTCTTTTCCAAGCTCTGTGGATGATACAAAGATGAAACAAGTATAGATCTAAAGACTCCTGTGTATAATAGAGTGCAATAGTCCTCTTATAGTACCTGATACTTCTGCTTCATAGCTTTAGCAGGATGGTTATAATTATTTCTACAACTATTTGTCTAATGCTATCTAATGCTCTAGTAATTTCACAAATTCTATTTAGGTTACAGGCTGTACCTATTTTCATGACTACATCCTCAACAGCAAATACCCTGCCTGATATCTAGCAGGGGATGTTCAACAATTATGTGTTGAGTAAATTATAAAAGAAGAAAACTACTATGGTAGTCAGAGAGGGAGACAATCTTTCCAAACAAATGTATGCTTCTTTAGATTTGTACCTCCTTTTGCACTGACAATATTTATCTGGTCACATTTTTGTTTGCAATGTGAGAGACTCTCCTTGTATAGGAGAGACTATGCTTATTTTATTTAATTTTATATCCCCAAGCACTAGCCTAGTGCCTGACACACATGAGCTCAATAAATATTTGTTGAATCAGTGCAGCAACAAAAATCTAACATTCATATCGCTGAAGTTCCAGAAAGAGAGGATAAAGAGAATGAGAATGAATTCATGTTTGAAGAAATAATGGTCGAAAACTTCCAAAATTTAGTAAAAGCCTCAATCCTACGGCTCCAAGAAGCTGAGTGAACTCAGATAGACTGAATTAGTGATTGAGAAAATATGGCTGAAAACTTCCCAAATTTAGCAAAAGGCTCAAGCCTGCAGCTCCAATAAGCTGAACCCAAAACAGGATAAATCCCAACACATCCATGCCAAGCTACATCAAAATAGAACTTTTGAAAACTAAACACACTGATAAATCTTGAAAGCAGCCAGAGAAAAACAACACATTACCTACAAAAGAATAACAATGTGAATGACAGATTTCTCATCTAACCTTGGTGGCCAGAAGAACACAACATTCTTTAAGTCTTAAAAAAAATATATGTCAACTAAAAATTTCATATCCAGCAAAACTCTCCTTTAGGAACAAGAAGAAAATTAAAACATCCTCAGATAAAGAAAAGCTTAAGAATTTGTAGTTTGCTTACATGCTCTTGAAGATTGATTAAAGGGAGTCCTTCAGATAGAAAGAAAATGACAAATGGAAGAATCTTAAAGCATCAGGGAAAAAAAGGAACATAGAACAACCATAAATGTGGGTAAAAATATTAGACTATTCTTTTACTCTTTAATTTTATAAATTATATTTGATAATTGAATAAAAATCATAATTCCATTAAATATTCAGGACAATAAAAACTGGTGAATACCTAAGGACTTAAATGGAAGCCAACTTTCAACATTTCACTCAAAGTGGTAAAATGTTGAAACCAGTGGAATGTTATAGGCCACAAATGTATACTGTAATAATAAGAGCAACAGCTATAAAAACTAGTTTAAAAGATATGCTCAAAAACATTACAAATCAAGCAGGATGGAATTCTTTAAAAAATATTCAAATAATCTGCAAGAAGGGAAGACAGAAGAAGCAGGAGGATAAAAACCAGAAGAAATAAACATAACACAAATAATAAAATGGTAGACTTACGCGGTAACACAGAAATTACATTAAATGCAAATGATCTAAATACACCTATCAAGAGACAGAGATTGGCAGAGTAGATATAGAACCATGACCCAATTATATGCTGATTATAGGAAACTCACTTCAAATTCAATGACATACATGAGTTCAAAGCAAAAGAATGGAAAATTGTACCATAAAAACATTTATTTTAACAGGCAAATGTAGCTATATTAATATCTGATAAGGTACAGTTGAGAGCAAAGAAACTTAAGGAAGACACAGAGAAAGATTACATAATCACAAGTAGAATCAATCTGCTAGAAAGACATAATGATCCGAAATTCAACAAACAGAGTCTCAAAAACATGTTATTTAAAAAATTAAAGAACTAAAAAAAGAAATAGACACATTTACAATTATAGGGTATTTAAATATCCCCCACCTCTCAGGAACATGCAGAACTATTACACAGAAAATCAGCAGGGCATTTAACAACGATCAAGCAACAGGACCTAATTAATATCTGCAGAAAACTCAAAGCAACAACAGGAGAATATATATTCTTTTGAAATGCCCATAAAATGTTAAACAATATAGACTGTGTGCCAAGCTTAAACAAATCTTTAAAAAATGTATAGAATTTAAATTCTATACAGTGTCTTCTCTGACCACAATAGAATTAAAGTAGAAATTAATAACAGAAAGAAAAAAGGAAGATCTCTAAACATACGGAAATTTAAAAACACACTTCTAAATAGCCTACGTGTCAAACTGAAAGTCTGAAAATTTTTTTAATATTTAGATATAAATAAAAACATAAATGCGACACATCAGACATCAGCAAAAATAGTAGAGTAAGGATTTCCACAAGCTCTATCCTCCATAAAAGCAATGAGAAAACTGGCCAAAACAGTAAGTTTTTCAGAACTCTAGATACTAAGCAAAGGCTTGCAGCAATCCTGAGTGTGAATTTAAGAAAAGCAGCTGAATCTCTGTGAGAATAGTGTGCTTTGTGGCATTTAACATGTCCATTTCCTGTTCTCTCTCTAATTTTGCAGGTTAAAAAAAAAAAAAAAAAAAAAACAGCCGTTTGGCAGCAACTAGAGGAGGCACAATGTGGTCAGAGATCCTTCAAAGCCTCTTTCTCAAAGAATTGTCATTATTTGACTAGTCTGTTCATTTCCCAAAAGACTCTGCATGCAAGGCTGTCTTTTTGTGACCTGATTCAGAGCTTGTCCAGTGAAAAAAACCTTTTCCCAGGGGCATTTGTTGAAGCCATTCATAGTCAATTTTTTAACTTTGTGACTGCCTAAAGAAGTGAATAACAGTGGAGGCTAATAATAGGCTAACCAAATGTTTAAAAGGAAAAGTGGGACATTGAGGTGTATATAGAGACTCTGTAAAGCTATGACATTTCTGGTAATCAGAAAGTTCTATACACATATATAGGGCTATGTGCATGCTCAAGAAACACCTGAGAAGGCCCTAAGGCCTTCTTACTTCTGTACTTTGAGGCTCTGCTCAAGCAGGAAGTAAAGGGTAAGGCAGGCTTGTTAAATGCCTGGCTGAATGTAAAAGGTGTGCCCGATATACAGAAAGAGCTCCTCAGCAAAGAATGGTGACTTATTGATACCATACGTTTAAGGAAATTTGTGTCCACTCTTTAGTTAACCATTAAGCGAAGTGAGCAGAAATTTTACTGGTCACTGATGCAGTTTGGCTCTGTCCCCACCCAAATCTCATCTTGAATCGTAGTTCCCATAATCCCCACATGTCATGGAAGGGACCTGGTGGAAGGTAGTTGAATCATAGGGGCGGTTACCCTCATGCTGTTCTCATGATAGTGAGGGATTTCTCACGAGATCTGATGGTTTTATATGGGGCATTTCCCCCCTTTTTTTGGCACTTCTCCTTGCTGCTGCCATGTGAAGAAGGATGTGGTTGCTTTCCCTTCCACCATGATCGTAAGTTTCCTGAGGCCTCCCAAGCCATGCTGAACTGTGAGTCAATTAATATTCTTTCATTTACAAATTACCCAGTCTTGGTTATGTCTTTATTAGCAGCGTGAGAAGAGACTAATACAGTCACACATGGCAAAGAATACAGACTATACAGAATTAGCCACTAAACAAACAACAAAAAAAACCTAAACAAACCCCAGGAGTGGGGAAGAATCTGATTTTCACAGTTGCCAAATATACTACTATAAATTTCCAGTTTGGAAAAAAAAAATTACAAAATGCAAAGAAAAAAGAAAGTATGACCTATACACAGGGTAAAAAACAATCATTAGAAACTTGCCTCTGAGCAAGCCCTAATATTGAACATACAAAAAAAAAAAATTAAGCTCAGCTATTTTAAATACTCTCTAAGAGCTAAATGAAATCATGCCTTCAAAAAGTGTTAAAGTCTATGAAAATGATGTCCCACCAAATAGAGAATAACAATAAAGAGACAGAATTTTTTAATAAAGAATCACACACATTCTGAAGTTGAAAGGTATGAGAACTGAAATTAAAAGTTTCCTAGAGATAATAAACAGCAGATTTGAGCAAGTAGGAGAAATAATCCAGGAATATTTCAATTGGGATTGGAACAATTGAGATTACACAATCTGGGGAAGAGACAGAAAAAAATGAACAGGAAAAAAAAAAGATTAACAGAGCCTCAGAGACCTACCCAGCAAACCAATATATGCATAATGGGAGTAACAAAAGGAGAGAAAAAAAGGGGGAAATGGGAAGAGAGAGTACTTGAAGAAATAGCCAAATTTTAATGGAAAATGTTAATCCAAGAAATTAAATAATTCCAAATAAGACAATTTCAGAAATCCATACCTATTTACATTATAATTATACTGGGGGAAGTCAAAGACAAAGAGACACTCTTGAAATTCACAAGTTTTTCATTTAAAGCTATGGATGCCCAGAGGCAATGGAAGAGACAGTCAATGTACTAAAGAAAAGGCTGTCAAGATTTCTATGTGCAAAAAAAATCCTTCGGAAATGAAGGAAAAATTAAGACATTCCAAGATAAACAAAAACTGAGATAATTCAGCAATGGCAAACCCTTTGTATAACAAACACAAAGGGAGTTCCTCAGGATGCAATGAAAGAATACTCATTGTAAACTCAAACCTAAATAAAGAAATAAAGGAGCACTAGTAAAAATAACTCCATATATATAAATAAAAGACAGTATAAATTTATTTTAAATTCCTTTTTTCTCTAATAATGTGAGGTACATGCACAATTCAGTGAATATACTAAACACCATTGAATTGTACGTTTAAAGTGGGTGAATTCTACATGTGACTTAAATCTAAATAAAGCTGTTTTTAAAACCACATAAATAATTATACTACTGTGTTGATAAGCTTATAATATAAATACTTGATTTATATGACATTAATAATACAAAGAAGAGGAAATGGAGATAAATTGGAGTAAATTTTCTCTATGATTTTGAAGTCAAGTTAGCATTAATCAAAACTAGAAAGTTTTAAACCAAGACAATAGTTGTAATGCCATCAGGAAGCCATGAAGAAAATAACACAAAAATGTACTAGTAATTAAAGTGGCATACTAGAAAAATTCTACTTAACACAAAAGCAGGGAGTATTGAAGAAAGAGAAGAACAAAGATATAAAACATATAGAAAACAAAAACCAAAGGGACAAATGTAAATTCTGTTATAGCTGTACTTACATAAATGCAAATGAATTAAACACTCCAATCAAAAAACACAGATTGATAGAATGAATAAAACACATGATCCAACTATGTGCCATCTATAAAAGCCAATCTTTTGAGTCAATGATGCAAATAGTTTGAACATAAAAAAAATTGAAAAAATAATACCATGCAAGCAATAACCAGAAGATAGCTAGAGTGGCTACAGTAAATCAGAAAAATTTAGACTTTCAGACAATAATTATTACTAGAAATTTAAAGGGACATGTTTCATGATAAAGATTTAACCCATCAGGAAGATGTAGCAACTGTAAACATATATGCACCTAACAACAGAATCCAAAACACAGGAAGCAAAAGCTGACAACTAAAGAGAGAAATAGATAGTTCAACAATAATATTTGGAGACTTCTGTACTTCACTTCAAATAATGGATAAATAACTAAGCAGAAGGTCAACCAGGATACAGAAGATTTGTACCACACATTAACTAGACCTAACAGACATCTCTAGAACATTGCACCCAAAAATAGCAGACATTCTGTTCAACTGCAAATGGAACATTTGACAGAATAGAAAACTGCAAAGCCATTAAAAACAAACCTCAATATATTTAAAAGGATGAATTAATATGAAGTATGTTCTTCAACCAACCAGAACATTTAGGAAACTCACAAGTGTGTGAAAATTAAACAAGACACTACTAAGTAACTAATTGTTCAAAGAAGAGCTCAGAAGAGAAATTAGACAACACTTTAAGATGAATGAAAACAAAAACACCAGATACTAAATCTTGTAAGATGCATCTAAGACAGTGCACTGAGGATATTTATAGCTATAAACTTATTAAAAAAAGAAGAAAGCTCTGAAACCTAATACTTAAGTGTAAGAATCTAGAAAAAGAGGAGCAAACTAAATCCAAAGTAAATAAAAGGAAGGAAAGAGAAAAAAATAAATAAATAAATGTAGATATGAATCAGAGAATAGAAAACAATAAAGAAAATCAACAAATAAAATTGTATTCTTTGAAAGATCAATGGATTGGCTAAACTTTACATTTCCTGGGGAAAATAAGAGAGAAGACTCAAATTACTAAAATCTGAAATGAAAGAGGGGATGTCACTACCTTACATAATTAAAAAATGACTACAAGCAAATACTATGAACAACTATTTGCTGATATATTAGAATACTTAGATCAAATGTTTAAATTTTTAGGAAGATAACAAATTATCAAAATTCACTCAAGAAGCAAAGAATCTCAATTAGCCTGCAACAAGTCAAGAAACTGAATTTCTATCTTTCCCCAAAGAAAAGCATAGGCTCGGATGGCCTCATTGAAGACTTCTAGATAATATCTGGAGAATAACTAATACCAATTCTTCATAAATTCTTCCACAAAATAGAAGAAGACAGAATACATCCTGACTCATTCTATGAGGCCATTATTAGGCTAATATCAAAACTAGACAATGATCTCACAAGAAAATAAAACTACAAACCAAAATCTCAATGAATATAAACTCAAAATCCTCAAGAAATCCCTCAAGTAGTAAATCAAATCCAGCAACATATAAAAAGTAATACACCATAACCAGATGGGTTTTTCCCAAGAATATATTTGATTTATCATCAAGATATTAATTTAGTAAAGCTTATTTATAAAGTATAAGAGAAAAACCTCATGATCATCTCAAGGCATGCCAAAATAAAAAAAAAAAAAAGCATTTGATTAAATCCAACACCCTTCCATGACAAGAACATTCAACAAATTAGGACTAGAAAATAACTTCTTCACACTTATAATGGACGTCTCCAAAAACCCACAGGTAACATATACTTACTGGTTTAAGAACAAATATTTCCTCTAAGTTCAGGAACAAGACATGGATATCTACTCTCACCACTTCTGTATTCAACATTGTACTGGTGGTTCAAGCCAGAGAGCAATTAGGCAACAAAAGGAAATAAACACATCAATACTGGGGAAAAAATAAAACTATCTTTATTCACAGATGACATCATCTTGTATATAAAATGTCTTATAGAATACAATAAAAATTATTAGAACTAATATATAAATTCAGCAAGGCAAAAGAATATAGGATTAATATATAAAAATCAATTGTATTTCTATACACTAGTAATGAATAACCTGAAGATGAAACTAAGAAAACAATTCCATTTACAATAGTATCAAAAAGAATAATAAGCTTAAGTAATTTAATAAAAAAGTATAATATTTGTTCACTGAAAACTACAAAAACATTGAAAGAAAGTAATAAGATCTAAATAAATGAAACATTGTATTTTATTGATCTGAATATTTAATATTGTTAAGATAGTAATACTTCCAAAATGTAGCTACATATTTGACAAAATCCCTAACAAAATCAAAAATTAATTTTTTTCAGAAATTGGCAAATTGATCCTAAAATTTATGTAGAAACACAAGAGACCCAGAATAGCCAAAATTCTTACAAAGGAAAAGCAAAGCTGAAGGATTCACCCTTTTCAATTTCAAAACTTATACATCTATAATAATCAAGGTGATATGATTCAGTTATATAAATAGACATTGAGAGTCCAAAAGTAAATTCATATATTTATCATCAATTGGTTTTCCACATGGGTGCCAAGAGCATCCAATGGGGAAAGAATCGTCTTTTCAAAAAATAATGCTGAAACAACTGGCTATCCACATGCAAAAGAATGAAGTTGGACCCTTATCTCAAGCCATACACAAAATTTAATCAAAAGGAGTCATAGACCTAAATGTAGGAGCTAAAACTATAGACACCTGAGAAGAAAACATAGAAGTAAATCATGGCCTTAAGTTAGGGAATAGTTCCTTAGGTGCAACACTCTAAGCACAAATGATGAAAGAAGAAATGATAAATTGACTTCATCAAAATTTAAAACTTTTGTGCTTCTAATAATACTATCAAGAAAGTGAAAAGAAAATCCACAGAATGAGGGAATATGTTTGCAAATCTTATATCTAGTATGAGGCTTATATTCAGACTATATAAAGAACATTTACAACTCAATGATAAAGATAAATAATCCAATATTAAAATTGGGCAAAGAATTTAAAGAAAATTCTGCAAAGAAGGTATGCAAGTGGACCTGTGTCCAGCTGCTCCAGCCATGGCTAAAAGGGACAAATGTATAGCTCAGGCCATTGCTTCACAGGGTGCAAGCCCCAAGCCTTGGCAACTTCCACATGGTGTTGGACCTGCGAGTACCCAGAAGTCAAGAACTGAGGTCTGGGAACCTCCTCCTAGATTTCAGGGCATGTATGGAAACGGCTAGATGTCCATGCAGAAGTTTGCTGCAGGGGCAGGGCCCTCATGGAGAACCTCTGCTACAGTAGTGCAGAAGGGAAATGTGGGGTCAGAGCCCCCAAACACGGTCCCCACTGGGACACTGCCTAGTGGAGCTGTGAGAAGAGGGCCACCATCCTCCAGACCCCAGAATGGTAGATCCACCAACAGCTTGCACCATGAACCTGGAAAAGCCACAGACACTCAATGCCAGCCCATGAAAACAGCTGGGACAGGGGGCTGTACCCTGCAAAGCCACAGGGGCGGAGCTGCCCAAGGCCATGGAAGCCCACCTCTTGCATCAGTGTGACCTGGATGTGAGACATGAAGTCAAAGGAGACCATTTTGGAACTTTAAGGTTTAACAACTCCGCTATTAGATTTTAGACTTGCATGGGGCCTGTAACCCCTTTATTTTCACCAATTTCTCCCATTCAAAACATGTGTATTTACCCAATGTCTGTACCCCTATTGTATCTTGGAAGTAACTAACTTGCTTTTGATTTTACAGGCTCATAGGCAGAAGGGACTTGCCTTGTCTCAGATAAGACTCTGGACTTGGACTTTTGGGTTAATGCTGGAATGAGTTAAGATTTTGGGGAACTGTTGGAAGGGCATGATTATGTTTTAAAATGGAAGACATGAGATTTGGGAGGTGCTAGGGGCAGAATGATATGGTTTGGCTGTGTCACCACCCAAATCTCATCTTGAATGATAGTTTCCATAACCCCCACATGTTGTGGAAGTGAGCCGGTGGGAGGTACTTAAATCATGAGGGCGGTTATCTCCATGCTGTTCTCATGATAATGAGCGAGTTCTTACGAGATCTGATGATTTTATAAGGGGCCTTTCCCCCTTTTGCTCAACACTTCTCCTTGCTCCTGCCATGTGAAGAAGGTTGTGTTTGCTTCCCCTTCCACCAAGATTGTAAGTTTACTGAGGCCTCCCCTACCATGCTGAACTGTGAGTCAATTAAAACTTTTTCCTTTATAAATTGCCCAGTCTCAAATATGTCTTTATTTGCAGAGTGAAAATGGACTAATACATAGGCCTTATAAAAGAGGCATGAGGGAGCTTGTTTGCCCCTTCCATCATGTGAGGACATAGCAAGAAGTCACCAGCTATGAGAAAGCGGGCCCTCACCGGATACCAGCACCTTGATCTTGGACTTCCCAGCCTCCAAAACTGGGAGAGGTAAATAACTGTTGTTTATAATCTACCTAGTTTGTGGTATTTTTTTATAGTAGCCCAAATGAACAGTATATATGCAAGAGGAAAGAAAAAATATATTTACACAACAATTTGTACACAAATGTTTACAGCAGCAGTATTCATAATAGCCAAAAAGTTGAAACATCTCAAACTTCCATCAGCTGATGAATGGATGCACAAAATGTGGTGCATTCATATAATGGAACGTTATCCTGCAATAAAAAGAAATTAAATATTAAAACATACTAAAATATGGATAAACTTTGGAAGCATTAAGCTTCATGAAAGAAGCCAGTCATGAAAGACCACATTTTGTGTTGTTCCATTTATATAAAATATCCAGATAAGCATATCTATAGAAACAGAAAAGAGGTAGTGCTTGCCTAGGACTGGGATTAGAAAAGAGATAGGGAGGGACTTCTAATAGGTACTGGGTTTCTTTTCAGTGATGAAAGCGTCCTTAACTTCGATTGTGGTGATAAATGCAGAACTCTGAATATGTTAAAAGCTTCAGAGATGGGCCGGGCGCAGTGGCTCAGGCCTGTAATCGCAGCACTTTGGGCTGCCAAGGCTGGCGGATCACGAGGTTAGGAGTTCAAGACAAGCCTGCCCAACATAGTGAAACCCCATCTCTACTAAAAATACAAAAAATTAGCCAGGTGTGGTGGTGGGCACCTGTGATCCCAGATATTTGGGAGGCTGAGGGCAGGAGAATCACTTGAACCTGGGAGGCAGAGGTTGCAGTGAGCAGAGATTGCACCACCGCACACCAACCTGGGCGACAGTGTGAGACTCCATCTCAAAAGAAAAAAAAAAAAAAACTGCAGAGATGTACACTTCGAATGGGTGGATTTTTGGGTATGTAAGCTATATCTCAAGGCTATTTAAAATAGTCTTCATGTAGATATTAGAACTGTTAAACAATGATATTTCACACTTCAGTAATTCTTAATAATTCCAGAGACACCAATGCTTATTCATACCTATAGTTGTTGTTCATAGACACATCTTAATTGTAGAAGATGTTGATGAATAAATAAAAGAAAATTGCAACATGATAGCAAAAAGGAATTAGTCAACCCTTACTAGATTTATAGTTCTTTTAAAAGTACTTAGCATGGGCTGAGCTCTGTGCTAGGCATTTTTTAAGAGTGCTGAGGAAGTGGCATGGGGATTCTATCTCAGACATGCACAATTCAAGCTGCAGGTTAGAGTAATCTGAAAGTTTTTAAAAATTACTGATTCCTCAATCGTGCCCAAGACTAAGGAAATAAGAATTCCTTGAGGGCTGTTCCCTGGCATTAGTATTCTAATGTGCCCCAAATATGGGGAACATCATTGTGTCTGAATAACCTGGTTTAGAGGTCAGGGAGTGTATCAGTAGCTACTAAAATATGAGATCTGAAGGAGAAGGGTGGGGAGGAGATAGTGGTGGGGGTAGGGTGGTGTTTGTCACTTGCTTAACACTTATGATCCAGGCACTATGCTAGGCTTGAGCTAATGATTACGCTTTTGCCAAGAGGACAGTCTTGGAAGGGCATTCTAGGCAGAAAGAGAAGAGTGATATGGGCTTTGATATGCACAAGCAGACAGCTTGGGTTTTAGAAACAGCAGACTCCAGGACCAGAATGCCTCTTGGGCTCCGCTCAAGGAATTCCCCTCCTAGACCAAATGAATACTCCTTTTTACCCCAGGCTTCCACATCTGCCATGTTCCCTTCTGTACCACTTTCCAGGAACTCTGGTTTTTCCTGCATGGCTCTGTTGAACTCCCTTAGGCTGTCACCCCAACCCCGGCACACAGCCAGCTCCACAGAAGGGGCAGCTCTAGTTCCTGTTCCCTGTTCACTACCTCCATCCTGAGCCAACACCCTGACTGGTTCATACTCCACATTCCTGATCCCGGGAATTCCCTCACTTATTTGTCCCCATTTGATAACCTGACCTGTTGGACACTACCAAGAAGATAAGGCCTTGGCCCTCCTTGGCTCTAAGTCAAAATATCTTTGTGGTCATAACACCCACAGTCACAGCGGGAAACACAACTTTCAGCCTAGCCCAGCCTCCAACACCTCCCCCACTCACAGTGCAGCCTAAGTGATACAGCTTCTATGTGCTCCAATCCGTCTAGTCGAACTCGAACCTAAGAGAAGTTCTGCAGTGAGCCCATCTTTTGTTGATTCAGTTTCACTGGGTCCATCTGAAGAGGCCACATTGTGGGAGGGGAGGGCAAAGGGCAGGAACCCTCACATTAGTAACCAACCCACCGACCAACCGTCCAACTACACAGCCTACAGAACTCAATTCACCTGCTCATCTAAGACGTCCGAGTGGAGGAGGTGACCTGAAAACCTGATTTCAAAAGCATATGCAGTGTTCCTTTTAAGCCAATGCAATTACATGAAATAAAGTACAAGAAAATCTCAATTGATTTAAAGCATGGCTAAAAGGAGGAAGGAACATTGGCCTTGAATACCTCTGGGGCCCCCCTTCCAGGACAGACTTCTTTGAACCTAGCACCAGGGCATGGTTCCAGGATGGAGGATGAGGAAGCAGGCTCTGAGCTGCCCTTTGCTGGGGACCCCCTGTGCACTGGTGTCCCTGCCAGCTATGTAAATATATCATCTCCAATTCCCATTACAATCCCTGCAATGTGTACATCACCAGCTGCCTTTTACTGTGAGGTTATATCAATTTCAAAGACTCAACCACTGCAAGAGGCAGCCCCGGATTTGAAGACTGGCCTGCCCCACCCCAAGCATGAATATCTTCCATCAGGCCCCTCCTCCATGATAACATAAGACCCCCAGCTTGTTGGGTAAGGTGAGTCCTGCTTGACAGCTGGAGGCCACAGCAGGTAGTCTTTCCCATCTTTCCAAGTTTGCTTTCACTTCTGGAGTTTTCTGAAATTAGGCCCAGTGTTGCCAGATGTGCAGCCAGAAACCCGGGAAGGTTAAATGACTTACTCAGCTATTTCACAAGAGACTGGGAATTGACACATTGTATTAGAGCACTTTCTGAGCCTGTGTGGACAAGTTAAAGGGCTCAGCAGACCACGCGGGACTGGATTGGCAGCCTCCTTCGCTGGTAGCCTCATTTCTGTCTACAGGGCTTGTTCCATGGGGTCAGCACCATGACCAGGCTGGAGAGCTGGGGCAACTACAAGACACCTTCCTCTCTGCTTACCATCCTGAGGGGCAGGGCAGTTGCTTCAGTGCTTGGAAAATTAAAGGTCAAGAATAAGGCCATTAAAGCCCTCATTTTTAACCTGGACAAGAAAAATTTTGTTGTAACTAAACACAAATTGCATCACATCAGATGTTCCCGAACCTCAACCTTCAGCTACATCATCAACAGTGGTTGCCATGTCAAAGATGATTCTAATTACAAGAGGTGACCAGTCTGCTGCTCAGCACCCATGTGGGGAAGAGTCAGGGGTTCTTGGCACGGCCTTGGGTCTGCGAGTCTGCACACGGTGGAGGAAGCCTTCACGCCTCCTCCTGACTCTGGCCTCACATATTGCAACAACGAGAAGCCAGAATAAGTGCAATGGGAGGAAATGCCTCAAGAAGATGGATTTTTGTTCAATTTTTTTCATGATAAAATACAGATAACATAAAATTTACCACCTTAATGATTTTAAGCATACAGTTCAGTGTTATTAAACACATTCATAATGTTGTGTAAGCATCACCACCATCCATCTCCACAACTCTTTTCATCTTGGAAAACTGAAGCTGTATCCATTAAACAATAACTCCCCATCCTTCCAGCCCCCGCTCTTCCTGGACCCTAGCAACCACCATTCTACTTTCTTTTTCTTAAGTATTGCTTGATTTTTAAGTTTTTTACTTTGTTTTTACTTGATACATAACAATTGTACATATTTATAGATTCAGTGTGATGTTGTGATGCAAGTGTACATTGTGCTATCATCAAATCAGGGTAATCAGCATATTTAGCACCTCAGACGCTTGTCATTTATTTGTGGTGAAAACATTCAAAATATTTTCTTCTAGCCATTTTGAAATACACAATACATTACTGTTAACTATAGTCAACCTACTGTGCAACAGAGCATCAGGACTTATTCCCTTTACCTAACCGTGACTTTGTATCCATTGACCAACCCCTCCCCACATCCATCCCTCTTGTCCTCCCTGTCCTTGATAACCACTAGGCTACTCTCTACTTCCAGGAGATCAGCCCGATCCCAGGAATTCCCTCACTTACTTTTCCCATTTGGTAACCTGACCTGTTGGACACCACCACTACTGGGTATGTATCCAAAGAATTTGAAATCATTATGTTGAATTAACACCTGCACTCCCGTGTTTATTGCAGCACTATTCACAATAGCCAAGAGAAGGAATCAGCCTGAGTGTTCATCAGTAGATGAATGTTGTAGGGAAAAGAAAGAGAGATCAGTCTGTCACTGTGTCTATGTAGAAAGGGAAGACATAAGAGACTCCATTTTGAAAAAGACCTGTACTTTAAACAATTGCTTCGCTGAGATGCTGTTAATTTGTATCTTTGCCCCAGCCACTTTGCCCCAGCCACTTTGACTCAACCTGGAAATCACAAAAACATGTGTTGTATGAAATCAAGGTTTAAGGGATCCATGGCTGTGCAGGACGTGCCTTGTTAGCAAAATGTTTACAAGCAGTATACTTGGTAAAAGTCATTGCCATTCTCTAGTCTCAATAAACCAGGGGCACAATGCACTGTGGAAAGCCACAGGGACCTCTGCCCTTGAAAGCAGGGTATTGTCCAAGATTTCTCCCCATGTGATAGTCTGAAATATGGCCTCGAGGGATGAGAAAGACCTGACCGTCCCCCAGCCCGACACCCGTAAAGGGTCTGTGCTGAGGTGGATTAGTAAAAGAGGAAAGCCTCTTGCAGTTGAGATAGAGGAAGGCCACTGTCTCCTGCCTGCCCCTGGGAACTGAATGTCTCAGTATAAAACCCGATTGTACATTTGTTCAATTCTGAGATAGGAGAAAAACTGCCTTATGGTGGGAGGCAAGACATGTCTGCAGTAATGCTGCTTTGTAATTCTTTACTCCACTGAGATGTTTGGGTGGAGAGAAACATAAATCTGGCTTACGTGCACGTCCAGTCATAGTACCTTCCCTTGAACTTAATTATGATATAGATTCTTTTGCTCACATGTTTTTTGCTGACCTTCTGCTTATTATCACCCCGCTCTCCTACTACATTCCTTTTTGCTGAAATAATGAAAATAATAATCAATAAAAACTGAGGGAACTCAGAGGCCGGTGCCAGTGCCGGTGCAGGTCCTTGGTATGCTGAGCACCGGTCCCCTGGGCTCACTGTGGTTTCTCTATACTTTGTCTCTGTGTCTTATTTCTTTTCTCAGTCTCTTGTCCCACCCGATTAGAAATACCCACAGGTGTGGAGGGGCAGGCCACTCCTTCAAATGTGGTTTTCAAATGTGGAGTATATACAAAATGGGATACTATTTATCCATTAAAGAAAATGAAACATGATTCTAATTTCTGTCTCTATTATTTTGACTGTTCTAGGTACCTTACATAAGTGGAATCATATAGCATTTGTGTTTTTGCGACTGGCATCTTTTACTTGGCATAACGGTTTTGTTACTGAAACACAAGCAGTTTGGCCTAGGTCCATTGCTCATCACACAGAAAGTCAATCACTGACACAACGAGTATTGGCAGGAGGAAGGCTGTATTTGGGTGCTCCATCCAAGTGGAATGAGAGATCAGTCTCAAATCCTTCTCCTCAACTAACTAAAATTAAGGCCTTATATAGCATAGAAGAAATGTAACTGTGGGTAGGAAAACAGGATTTAGAGAGGGGTAAGGAAGATGAGTTGATAGACAGGAATCATGATGGATGGTCTGGCATCTCATTGTCTGGATGCAGTGATTTGGTGAGTTTCACTTCCTTGATACTATCTGGGAAGAGTAAGAGTCGGTACCTTAAGGAAGGAACTGAGATAAGACAAATGTAAGTTTCAAGCTTTAAGACCAGTAAGGGTCAATGTCTATGTTTATACAAGAAACAGGTGGGCCAGTTTCATTTTCAAGTTTCATCTATGTTGTAACATATGTCAGAAGTTCCTTTCTTTTCAAAATTCTAACATATGTCAGAATTTTCCTTCCTTTCCTTTCTATTCAAGACTGAATAGTATTTCATTGCATGAATATGCCACATTTTGCTTATCTCTTCATCCACCAAAGGACACATGGTGTATTAGTCCATTTTCACACTGCTAATACAGACATACCTGAGACTGGGTAATTCGTAAAGAAAAAGAGGTTTAATGGACTCACAGTTCCACATGGCTGAGGAGGCCTCACAATCATGGCAGAAGGTGAAAGGCATGTCTTACATGGCAGCAGGCAAGAGAAAGAATGAGAGCCAAGCAAAAGGAGTTTCCCTTACAAAACCATGAGATCTTGTGAGATTTATTCACTACCAGGAGAAGAATATGGGGGAAACAGCCCCCATGATTCTTATCTCCCACGGGGTCCCTCCCACAACATGTGGAAATTATGGGAGATACAATTCAAGATGAGATTTAGGTGAGGACGCAGCCAAACCATGTCACCTGGGTTGCTCCCACATTTTAGCTATTGTGAATAATGGGGCTGTATACAAGTATCTCTTCAAGATCCTGCTTTCAAGTCATTTTGGTATATACCCAGAAGTGGAATTGCTGGATCATATGATAATTCTATTTTAATTTTTTAAGGAACCAGTATACTGTTTTTCATAGGAGCTATACTATTTTACATTCCCACCAACAGTACATGAGGGTTCTAATTTCTACACATCCTTGCCAACACTTGTTATTTTCTGTTTTTTTTTTCTAAATAGCAGTCATCCCAATAGGTGTGAGATGATATCTCATTGTGGTTTTGATTTGCATTTCCCTAATGATTAGTGATGTTGAGCATCTTTTCATGTGCTTCTTGCCCATTTGTAAATCTTTTCTGAGAACATGTCTATTCACATCCTTTGCCTATTTTTAAGTCCAGTATTTTGTTCTCCTTATCGAGTTTTAAGAATTCTTTAGATATTCTTACCCTTAGAAGATAGATTTTTAAGGGGGATTTTTAAAAATTAAGTTGTGGGCTTTGTGTTTGTTTGTTTGTTTATAAAGACAGAACATGCACAAAGATTGAAAGTCAAACAGAACCACAGGACCTAGAGGAGGCGGGAGCAGGGCCCTCCCTCCTTCTCCTCTTCTGGAAGCCCACTGCTCAGAGGCCAGGCCCCAGTCCCCGCACCTGTTCCTGCTGTGTGGCACCTCCTGTGTCCTGTGTGCTTGTGCTGACCCTCACTTTGAGATGTTGTCTATGAACTCCTGCTGCAGAAGAGAAGCACTTACCTCTCATACTCACTCCCTTCACACTTACACAGGCTCACCACTATCTGGGCCTGCCATTGTGATTTCCTCACACTTTCTGTATAAAAGACGACTTGAGGTTTAAATTATCATAACAATGAAGTTTTTTGTTTCTAATTCAGAAAGTATACCATGACGACATTTTATTTCTTTTACACCTTTTTTATTTTTGTGGGAGTTAATAAGTCCTTTTTTGCTTGTTTAGTTTTCTATGTGCCTTTCCCTACAGTAACCCAAAGCTCTCCAATGTCAAAAGCATCAAGAAGTTCATCAGCTCCTTTTTTCCCTTGGGGCCCTCTGCACCTGGCTGCCATCTGCAGAGTTCCCCTCACCATCTTTCAGGGGACTGCCTTCACCTCTCTCCTGTGTGAGGTCCCTTGATTCCTGCATTCTATGTTTTCCATTTTCTTGATTTACTCCCTCATTTTGTTGGGGCACATCTTTCAGACAGATTTCTTTAAAAGGATGCCTAGGAGATCAATTTTCTAGGATTGTAGATGACCAAAAACATCTTTATTTTAGACGCATCTTAATCTCCTTCCACAGGCAAAAGGACACACAAACTGTGTATAATTTACAAATATACACATACTATATAGCAGTAGCACAGGTAGACTAGATTTTCATGTATGAACACAGATGTAACTCACAACAATAATACTGAAAGAAAAAAGCAAGTTTCAAAAGGATACATAAGTCCAATAATGTTTTATACACACGCACACACACAGTCAAAACTCATAATTCATGGAGTTCATATTTATGAATTCACCTACTCACTAAAATTTATTGGTAACCTTCGAAATCAATACTTGCGGAGATTTTATGGTCATTCAGGGACATGCAGATCTGGGAAAAACTTGAGTCGCCCTTCACATAAGTCCCTCCCCTGTGGTTGAATAGGGCAGGGCTCTCTGCCTTTTGGTTTCCTTCTCAGAGATGACCAGAGAGGGGGCAGGGCAGTGCAGTGCAGTGCAGCGCTGTGTGAGAAGCTCCAGCCGGGGCAGTGGCACAAGCTTGGTTCCAATCCCAAGAGGCACCTGCTAGCTGGGCGTCCTCAGGCACATGACTTAAGAGTTCCAAAACTCATTTCTGTTCTACAAAAAAAGAAGATAGAATCTACCAGGATGTGCTGTTTTAGGATTTAAGATTAAAATCTATGTGCAATACAATATGTACATATTTCCCTAAGGAGTAATGTTTCAGTATTCACTAGTCCAGTTTTCATGGCAGCTTTATAGAACATGGCAACTGAGAATAACAGATCTTTCTCTATAGCGAGAGATAGAGACTGATAGAAAATGTTAAGGCATTGCCTCATTGTCTTCTTTCAAGGGTGCTATTGGCAATGCCATCTTAACTAATACTTTATTTAATAATTATCTAGTTCTTTTGATCTGGCAACTTAGTCCTTCAATTCTGGATCTTTTCTTGTATTATTCCTTAAGTTAGGTCTTCCCTTTGGCCTGATGGTCCTCACTGTAGAGCAGTCAGGGAGGGACCTGGCCATTCCATTGAACTTGGTAGCTCTGACAGCTACCAAGTGTTCTGACAATTTCCTTCTGGACTGGAGGAAATTTCTTTCTCCAGAAAGAAATTCTCCTTCTCATGCCTTATATTAATAAGTACCTGATTAAGTAGGAAGATATGCCATTTTCATAAATATAGTAAACTTTATAAATGCAATAAAATTGCAAATATTTTAAATGTGCCTATGTGTGTCTGCATATGTGTGTATGTCTGTATGTTTGTGTGTGTGTAAATATGTGGGTGTAGGGTTTGTGTGTGTTTCATGACAAGTTCTTCTTAAAACACATAGGATGAAAAATAGGCAAGATAATTTTGGAAAACCAATGGAGATACCCTAACAATCACCACTGCTGCTATAAAGCTAAGGTAATTTAGACAGAATGGTATTTTACCACAAGAATACAATGGAAAAGAGAGCCCAGAAAGAATTTTTAAAATTATAGAATAGTTTTAGAAATTAGAAGGGTAAAGATGAACTATTCAATAAAAGTTGCACACCAAAAAAAAAAACAAAAAACAATTATTTCCTAGGCTGGAAATCAAATCAACAATGAAGTCTGTGGAGGCCATTCTGATGAATGGGTGGCCCATCTGCCTGGTCTGCCTGGCACAGTCCCTACCCCATCTGTTGCTCAGTGTCATTGTTACCAATGCCCTCTTCTCACTCTCAGAAATGTCCAGCCAGCATGATATACCATAGATCATTCTACATATAAATAAAAAGGATTAGTATCAAGCAACGATTATGAACCCTGGCAAATAAGTGAAAATTTAAAAATAAAAATCACAGGAAATTAGACAAAGAAAGCAAAACAAAGTGAGCAAAAGATGTGAACAGGCAACTCACAGAAGAAGAAACCTTAATGCTGTAAACTTGTGAAAAGATGCTTGACTTCACTAGCAAGTGGAAAAATACAAATCAGAACTGCCTAGGTTCTGCACTCATCAGATTGGCAATATCGAAAGCCTAAAAATGCCAAGCGTTGGAAGGACGTGATGAAACAAGGATGCTCCCACCGCAGGTGTGAGTGTAAGAAGACTTCCTGCCTCACAGAGCACTCTTGTGTTATCTGGTTAGGATGGAAGGTCCAGAAATTCTATGACGAGCACCTGTCTTCTTGAATCTTTTATTTATATCCATGAAGAGACATGAACAGGACAGGTTTCTTTGTAATAAAGAAAAATTGAAATCACCTAAATGAGCAAATAAATTAAGCCATGTTTATGCAAAATCACACAATAAAATATTCATATTATCTGGATCAATATTGAAATGATCTAGTCCTAAAACATTCGCATAGATAAGCCTCAAATACAATAGTGATAGGGATAAGAAAGTTGCAGAAAAATATGTAAAGCATGATGCTGCTTATAGGAAGTTAAAAACACACAAAGCAGTGCTACATTATGTTTTTAGAAGACAGGGTCTTACTCTATCACCCTTGCTGGAATGCCCTGGCACGATCATAGCTCACTGAAGCCTCAACCTCCTGGGCTCAAGCGATATTCCTGCCTCAGCCTGCCAAGTAGCTGGGATATCAAGTGTGTGCTACCATGCCTGGCTACTTTTTAAAATTTTTTGTAGAGACAGGGTCTCCCTGTGTTGCCCAGGCTGAACTTGAACTCTTGGGCTCAAGTGATCCTTATGCTTTCGCCTCCCAAAGCGACGGGTTTACCAGGTGTGAGTCACGGCACCCCCACCCCCCACCCCCCAGTGCTGCTCTTAAGGATGCATAAGCACATAGGGGAGGTATAGAGATGCATGAGGATGAGACACTAGCAGCATGCTAGCTACACTTCTGGAGAGAGAAATAGGATGGAACAGGTCCAGTGGGTCATTCAGTGTCACTAACCTTGCTTTCCTTGGGGCCCTCCATGGGCACCCTGATGAATCCCTTTAGGGCTGAAGGGATGAGGCCTGAAGGATGCACCCTGCAAAGAGAACCAGAGCTGCCCCTAGAGGCCTGAACGTGGACTCCCTCGACCACCCGCAAACCCTGCCTGCATGGGCTCCCTGGGGGAAGCTCCCACAGGCAGAGACAGGAGGGCTGAGGCCCTGAGAGGCAGCAGGAGCAAAAGGAGCCATGGATCTCCACCTAGTGCCACATGGGCATTTTCAACCCATTTCACAGATGAGAAAATAGTGGCTCAGGAAGGTTAAGTAACTAGGCCAAGGTCATGCAGCTAGTAAGAAACCAAGCTGAGGGCGCATGGGAAGATCACACTCCCTGCACTAATGGGGCTGAGGGAGGGTCAGGGACCCCTGGCCTCACCATTGGGAGGAAACCAGGAGGGAGGCAGCTGTCAGCTTCTGAAGTAAAGAACCAGATTTGCTTGGCTTGAAATGTAACCTACACCTACGCTAAGGCAGCATAACCTTGCTGTCCTCTCAAACAAGCATTGGTCGGCATTGGCTCTTTAGCGGGCTCACGTCTGTGAGGGTGATAAATATGAACCATGCTACAACCGCATGGTCAGGCTCCACCGCAGAGCACCAGGCAGGGGCCAGGCATTGTGGAGGCTGCGTTAAAAACTTTCTACACTTGACACTTGCACGTGAGTCCTGTGAGCTAAGTACTGCCAGCTCCGTGTAACCCATAAGGAAGTGCCTCGCGGGTGAGGTGGCCCTGCCCAAGGTCACACAGCTGCAAGCAGGACTGGAACTCAGGCTGCGTGGTCCTGAATGCCCGGGCTGTCCCAGCACCCGTACCACCTCTCCATGTCAGTATGGGGCTGCCGGCTGCCAGGCAGTCACTGGTCACCGAAGCACCCCTGAGGAAGGTGAGGAAGAGCCCGCGCCAAGAGGGTGCTCAGGCCCAGCCCCAGGAGAACCTACCTGGGAGCCTGGAGGGGACCAGGCACCCTGGGCTATGGGAGCAAATGGCAGGAGTGCTGAATAGCTCCCCCTTCAGGAAGACAAAAGCTCCAGAAGTAGGCTGGCTGGGTTCTTGGCATTTTGAACAAAGAATTGGACAAAATGCACAAACAAAGCAAGGAAAGAATGAAGCATCAAAAACTTATTGAAAATGAAAATACCCTCCACAGGGTGGGAACGGGCCCAAGCAAGGGCTCAAGGGCCCCGTTACAGAATTTTCTGGGGTTTAAATACCCTCTAGAGGTTTCCACTGGTTACTCACTGTATGCCCCATGTAAATGGAGAGGATATTTCATGTCACAGCTGAAGTGTCTCCGTTTGATTTCGTTCTAGGAAGTCCTTAGTTCCCTGCCTCCAGGCCCTATTCTCCTGCCTCACAGCCACCATCTGCTGTGGCCCAGTGGGGAGCTGCCTGCTGGGGGCTGCCGCCCTCACCCTGGTGACTCCAGGCTGGGCTGCCACTCTGCTACCGTGCTCTGCAGAGCCTCCATGAACTCCCACTCTCCCTGGCTCATTACTCACGGATTTTTCTGCTAAGCCCCAGAGCCCTCTTTTGAGAAATTGTGCACCGTGTGAGCCCTGGAGGCAGCCCCAGCCCCTCTTGAGAAGCTTGGGGCCATGATGATGTCCGCAGCTCCTGGGCAGCCGGACTGCAGGGCATGAAGACCCTGCCACAGTCCTGCTGCCTGCAGCACTGGCCCAGTCAAGGAGCAGCTGCCACAACCACACTAGCACCCCCCATCCCCCCAGAGCAGCTGCAAAGAGAACACAAATGCAGCAGCAGCCAAGGGCTGGGGGTGGGAACACTTACAAAAGGCAGAGAGGGTGGTGGGGAGCACCAGAAACCCCCAGCAAACCCATGATTTTGCTGAGGGAGTGGGTGCACGTGCTGGCCTCCCTTAGTCCAAAGCCTGTGCTCTGAATTCAGACCAGAGGTGAGGCCCACAGCCCCACCAGGTGCCACTGACACCTTGGCTTCTGGGGACCTGACCAAGGAGGCAAAGGGCACATCCACCCAGGGAGGGTCGTGCTTCCTGTGCTCACAGAGGCCCCTCACCCCTGCAGCCGCACCCAGGACGCATGGTGTGAGGCCAGGCTTGGAGGCAGCTCTGGAAGGAGCCGGGGCCTCTGTGTGCTGGAGGAGTGGTGGCTGGTCTCTTGTTTTGTTTTCTTGGGCCCAGGTGTTCCTACCCTCCTTTCACCTTCTCCTTTTTCAAGGTGCTTCCCAGGTTTCCAGAGCCCTCACGCGGCCCCTGGAGGCCTGCAATCCTGATGGGTTCACCCCACCCTTTCTGAGCCTTCCCCTCCAGATGCAGGTGCCACACCTACCAAAACACTTCTCTGAGGAAGCCCCATTGTTTCCCTAGGGACGCCCTCACCGCACGTGGCACGTGATGACTGCCCAGCAGTAGGTGCCAGGAGAAAACCTCCCCTTTGCCCTCTGAGGGTTTGCTGGAAAATCAACTCACAAAAGGCAGATTAATTGGAGAAAAGGCATACAAATGTATTCACACGCGCACAGGAAGAACCACAGGCGGACTTCCCACCCCCGGATGGAGTGCAAGGGCTTATGCACCACCTCAAGGTTACAGAAAAGTTGCCGGCTCAGAGTACAGCCAGGACCAAGAGATGGTGGTAAGACATGGCCAGAGGGCAGAGGGAGGGAGGGAGGGCGCCTGCTGGCAAAGGCCTTGTTGCGTAGATGAAGCCTCACAGGTGGCAGCCTTTGGAGAGAATAGAAGGTAGATGTTTCTTTCAGGCCTTTAAAGGTGGCAGGCTCTCGGTTAATCTCCCTGCATCTACACAAGGAAAGGCCTGGCTGCATCCACGCGGATTCTCTACAGACTTAATTTTCCCCACAAAAGACAGCTTTGCAGCCACTGCTGTTGGCTGGCTCCCTGACAGCCACCTCAAAATATGCCAAAGAAATATATTTTCGGATAAAATATTTTTATTTACTTCACAGGTGTCTTCACCAAACTTTCCTGGACCCCCATCACTCACAGGAGGGCGTTCCAATCAGCCTGCCTGGCAGGCAGGGCCTTCCGCTGCCCCGACCCTGGGTGCCCCCTCCCCATTCTGGGCTGCAGGGAACTCTGGGAGGAAGCTGTTCCCGCCACGCGTCCGCAGGAGCCTCCTCTCCATCAGTGCTGAGCCTCCTCTCCATCAGTGCTGCCCCTCCTCCAAGGGCCTGCTCAGACGCCAGGCTCCAGGAACACTCGCGGTCTCTCCCCGGCCTCCTCTCCTCTCCATCCAGAGCCCTCTGTTCTCACCCCGTTCCAGGTGGATCCCAGCATGGCAGGCCGCAGTCAAAACCTCCAAACACGACAACGACTCCGAGGCACCGCACCTCCCGCTGAGAAATGATGACTTGACTGAACATTGAATAGGGCTGGGCAGCCACACGGCAAAAACAGAAGGAACAGAACCCCCAGGCTATTGCTCCTTTTCTATCCTTTCCCCATATCCATTCCCCACTGCCACCCTTCCCATCTTGCCTCCTTCTCTTTCCCAAGCTATAACCCCCCATTCCCTCAGCTCTGGCCCCCGGCAGTCCCACTCCTTATCCGGCAAACAAGACACCACCCACCGCCCCTCAAGTGGCCCCGTGGAGCGGCACCAAGGTGCATAGGCACACTGCCCGCACCACGCAACCGCATCGCTCCATCATAAGAGCCCAGAGAGGGTTTGGGTGGAGACTGCACGCCCCACCCCTATCGAATATTATTGGTCCCCGAGTTTGCTCATCAAGGGAGAGAAATGCGGTATTCATCAACAATGCAGTCTCTCTCATGGGAGCAAGTTTTGAAAAGAAAATAAGATTTCTGTCCAAATCATCACATGTAAGAAGTGTGTATTGGTCAGGGTCCCTGCAGGGTAGTGAGCTCAACCCAAGCAGGGGTTTCCCTTCTCCCGTGTACCCCAGATCAGCCTGCAGAGCTTGGTCCTGAGTGTCTCTGCACCACAGTGCCACGTGTGAGATCAGGACAGAGGCAGACCCTGCTCAGTGGTGGGGGCGCTCTCCCCGGCCACCACTGCCGCTGTCATTATCATCCTCACCACTGCTGTTCCCGGTGCACAATAAATATGCCCTGAACTAAATGAACTGCAGGTCAGTTTGTGGGCACTGGCTAACCTGGTGACTTGAATGCAGGAAGGAATGTCATCATCCTGGAGATTCCATATTCATGCACTGGGGTGGTGCTTGTTCTGCCAATAGACCAGTGGGCCATGAAGACAGGACAGATGAGTCATGTCTTCTGGGAAAGCTAACCCTGAGCTTTCATCTATGCAAAGACTTGCCTTAGGGACCAGCAGATGCAGTGCACCCTGGGGACACAGTTTGAACTCCAGCCTCCCGGGCACTAGAAGCTGGCAAGCTGGGGAGGTGAGGGGTCACAGGAGGGACTGGCCCCTGGCCATGCAGTAGGCTGACACCATAGGCCCTAGAGTGGTTCTCGGAGGAACATGAATAAAGATAAAGCCCACAGACCATCGCCTCCATGACAAGCCTGCAACGCTTGTCACACACATCTCTTTTTATCCTCCTCATCCCCAATCTCTGGTGTGAAAGGCCTCCCATGACATACTTCTTTTAGTCTAGAGGGTGCCTGGGGAGGATGACAGGTGGCAAGATCTAAGAATACCATCATCTGCCTTCTAAAATGCAATGGAAACAGCCCCAGCAGGGAACGTTTGTGCTGAAATATTATTATTATCAATTACGTTGACACTTTCCACAGTACAATTCTTTGTGGTATTTCCAAACATGTCAGCATCTGCTCTTTTGTTTGGCTCTCCCCAGATGCCTTAGGAAGAGAAGGGCTGTGACCTCACCCCTGGTAGGGGAGGGGTTGGAGGTGGACTCCAGAGGCTGGCCCAAGGCCACACAGAGGGAGTGAGCTCTATAGACCAAGTCCTCTTGGTGCCAGAGGACGTGTGGCAGAGCCTGAGGACCAGGGAGTAAGAGGGCAAGAAAAGCGGAACTGACGGGGCCAGCCCCAGGCATCCCATGCTTTGGTGACTGCCGTTCACCGTGAGGAGCTATAGCCTGGCTCCCGCAGAAAGGCGGCCTCTCTGCTCCTTGCACCCTCACCACTGCCTGTCTGGGGCTGGGATCACAGGCTTGTGTGTTGTGATCTCTGAGTGTCTGTGACAGCTCATGAGCAGGTAAAAGCATGCCCCAGGAGCTTTAAAGACATTCATGTCACTTAACCCAGTCACATTTCTGGAAACATATCCATGGCATAGCTGAAAGAGGGCAGCCTTAAACTTCAGAGGTGCCAGGGTTCAAATCCTGACCCCATCATTTACCCTTCAAGTCTCCTGGAAAAATGCAGCTGTCTCCTCTCACCTCCTGCTCCTTTGTCTATGAAATGGGCGGCATAGTTCAGTGGCCTGTGCTGAACCACAACAGCCCCTCCATGAATAGTGACCAGTGTTATCAATGCAAAAAGGCCAGAGTCACAAAGATGCTTGCCAGAGATGCGCCTAAAGAGCAGAAAAATTAGCAACAATCATACCATCCAAAAAATAGGGAAAGCTTCTTCCAAATATTTAAGAGTTTAACAGAGAGTATTTTTTGTTTTTGTTTTTTTCTTAGAAAGAAAAATTTAGTAGGGACTTAGGAACAGAAGCCACGTGTGTGTCTCACGCATTGGCGAGACAACATGGTGGGCCCCCCGCCATAAGAGAATCTTTAGCGTCACTGCCCCAGCGGTGGTGTGTCTCAAAGCCTGAGCAGCCTGTCCTGCTGAAGGTCACCCAGCTCCCTGAATTCCGATGAGAAAGGATGGGAGGACACGAACAGCCACAGTGGCCAGAGGTGCAGGGGACCCTGGAAACCACCACACAGACTGCAAAAATTCATAAATGAAGAGATCTAAGCCCCAGACAGAGACACAACCCATGACACCTTGTGGGCCCCATTGGTAAGTTCCTGACTCCAAGACTCTTCCAGAGTCTCTGCCATCAGGCCGGAGCTTAACAACATATCACTTTTAAAGCATGACTTTCACTTAGGTTCACAGATGGTTCTTCCAGGATATATTTTCTTCATTATGATTCCAAGTGTTTGCGAAGTTACAAAATGTAAAGTGATAGTTATCGATAGGCTGTTCAGCAGAAGCACATCACACATGACAAAATGATCCCAGGTTTATATCATTGTCCTCAGGTGCTTCAGATACAAAAGCATTTAATTCCAATAATGGTTTGATCTTCTTGTCAATCTATGGAATCAGCATCCAACTTTTGTACATTCATTTTGTCAGTGGTGAGGCATTTCACATTAGTAGGACTGCCTTTACAAATGCAGCATAAAAGTCCAACACTGAAGATAAAATGATTGTTTTGCAATGATGGCATGAATACAAATTGTGTTGGAGCACAGTACGTGTTAAAAACAATATTCCTACTAAATTTAAAAAATGTGTTTGACAGAAGATATTTGCAATAGATTGTGATGTAACTGATAATTGCATTCAAGCAAGCTGCACTATTCCATTCAAATAGAAATTACAGTTTTCACATGTTTAAATACTTTTATTTGTACATAGAGAAACTGAACTTCAAAATGTTTATAGCAACACTGATGTGGAACCCGCACAAAAAATTACCAGTGTAGTCCAGAGTTTCTCTCTTTGCTGTCATCAAGCTAATGTTAGAAATATTTGAGACTTCAAAGATCCAGTACACCCACCTAAAGAGCTAACAATCGTATTGGACCCTTTTGTAAATGAGTCCCTGAAATACTAATTGCATTTAGATCAACCATAGTTGAAAATCATTAAAGTATTCAACCAAAGAAACACAAAAACACTGTGTTTGAAGATTTATCAAAATGTAATTGTTGAAAATAAACGGGAAGCCCTTGAAATTTATCCACCTCAAAAGTAAGCTGAACAAATTAAACAATGAAAGCTCAAACTGTGCATAAGGTTTTATTCTGAAATTGTATAATGTTTTGGAAGATCTCAACTGATAGAGGTATAGTATTAATTGCATAAATTTCTATTCTAAACAAGAATGAAATAAAATTGAGAAGTTCCATGATTTTGCAACACCTAAATTTAGCAAACCCTTTCAAAGAATCATAAATAGAGACAACATATTTAATTAGTTTTGCCATATAAAAAGTTTTGTTCAATCCCAGCTACCCAGGAGGCTGAGGCAGGAGAATCACTGGAACCTGGGGACCAGAGGCTGCAGTGAGCCGAGACTGTGCCGCTGCACTCCAGCTTGGGCAACAGAGCAAGACTCCATCTCAAAAAAAAAAGTTTTGTTCAAAAAAGCACCTTAGCAAACCACCATGGCACACATTTACCTATGTAACAAACCTGCACATTCTGCACGTGTATCCAGGAACCTAAAATAAAATAGAATTTTTTGAAAAAGAAAAAAAAGCAAGGCCATAAGACAATTCCTAATTCCTATTGACATATTTGGGCTGACATAGTTTTGCCAGAAATTAAAAGTTATAATATCCTGCATGATGTATTAACCTTACTGGGTACCTTAGTACCTGTAGAGATAATTTCCTCAATGTAAACATTATATTCTACAGGAAGCATCTATGGAAAGCAACTTCAGTTTTATTTTCCATAAAACACAATTCTGAAAAAACAAATATGCGACTTTTGTGGGAAGAAGAAGTCTGCATTAAAAAAAGTATATTTTTTAGAAAAATACCAGGATCATAGTATTAGAAAAAGAAATAGCTAAAAATCAAATTAACAGTGACAAAATTTTAAGTCAAATCTATGATAGATTAAGTCAAGCAATAATTAATAACAGTTAATGTTTCATAAAAAAGTGTTTTGAAAGAATGTATTTTGCTATTTTATTTATTTTGTCATATTTAGACTAGAATTGCATGTTTACACAACTATTATACAGCGCATCCGCTCATTTATACTGTTGTTTTAAGATGCTGCTTGTGCAATATGCATAATTGTACTGCACGTTAGGCCACCTGAGGCACCTACTAACCACACCCCGCATAAACCTATCCCTAGTTTTTAAATGATGCCGTTGCTCTCCCAATAACAATGGCTTAGTTGGTGACTCAATGCCTAGAAGGAGCACTAGAACACTTCTATTTGCTTCCTACTCACTGAGTGTGTACTTCCCACTCACTAAGTGTCAGGAAGGACATAAATAACCTGACAAACCTTAGATCCCAGTTACTGTCACCCTCCAACTTATCAACAAGGGAAACGAGATCCAGAAGGCTTAAGGTCCATGCAGGTCCACATATGCAGAAGAGGGGGTCCATCTACCACAACTGTGAGACTTCCGCTGTGTTGTACCCACCCCAAAACAACAGGCATCACAAAGCACCTACAGCCTGGACTGCTGATGTTGTACAACAGCTCACACCAACAGAGATTGTCTCTGGATATGAAGGTCAAGGGTGATCTTAAAAACTCTCTTGCTCCGACTTTTCTTTATTTTGGGGAGTATCTATAATGAATGCCTATGACTTTTATAATAGAAAATGTATGTTTTAATTTGTAAAAGGCCAGGAAAGTTAATACGGTAGCAATGTGCAGAATAGACAAAAGGCAGAAACTAAAGACAGAAAACTCAATTTGCCAGAATAGGAAATAGTCAAAGCGCAATTTCAACCTATATAGAAGTGGTGAAACCACTTGTCTTCAAAAAAGTAAACAAGCAATATTCAAGAGGATTTCCTAAACTACCTTTTCAAATATAATTTTTTTATTAATTGGTATTAGAAAACCAATCATCACAGATTGATGCACCAAGTTATCAGAAAGAGGAGTCCCATTACCCTGATACTTAGCTGTCTCTCCACATCCTGAGAACCAGGGGGCAGACTAACCCGTCAAGCCCCACAGATCTGGTGGGGATAGTAAAATGGCAGACAGGGTCTCCATCTTAAAGGTCTATTAGAAATCAAAACAAGCATCTTTAAAATCATAAGAGGTGCTCATGGGAAATGGGTTTGAGTGTCAAAGTTGGCTAACACGTGGTTTCTGCAGGAGTCCCTCTGCGTTAGAAATTAAGGCAGACAAGCACGTGGCTGCCTGGAACCACTGGAGGAGGCCATCAGCCCACGATGGCCTAAAGCTCCACGTCAAGTGAACAAGAAGAAAGACTGTCCAGAAAGAGGGAGCGGCACAGGCAGAGGCATGGAGAGTGAGCAGGTGAGGCTCCCTCAGGGAGCAGCAGGGAACTGAGCAGGACTGGGTGTAGAGCAAGGGCAGTGGGGAAGGAAAGGTCTTGGCGAGAGGGTTGTGGAAGGAAAGACACACAGAGGAGATGGGGCAGGAGCAGATCCAAAGGGGCCTCCCACAGTCTGGTGTGCAGGTTAAGTGGGTGTGTGTGTAGGTGTATGTGTGAGTGTGTGCATGTGAGTGTATGTGTGTGAGTGCGTGCATGTGCACATACACTAGTTTCTATCCTATACTTTCCTGTCTAACCCCCTCTCATCCCCCAAGCCAGGATCCCAAGGAAGGCCCAGATCTGATGGCTGAATGTGCTCAATTCCAAGGGCATTTGACCAATGTCCTGCGGTAACCAATGAAGCATCCCAGCTCACCTGCAGCCACGCTGCACACGATAGGCTGGTCCAGGATGAGGGATGCCAAGGGGCTCACCCAACTCAGAAGCACCCCCAAAGTTCCCTGCCAGCCACCTGTTTTTCCAGTTAGAAACACTCCCTCTCTTCAGCCGCACCCTGCCCCGGGCCCCAGCAGGTACTCATAACCAAACAATTGCCCCAAGTGAAGCCGTCAAGGCCTTTGAATTCCACAAATCTGCAGCTGACAAGAGCAACCCTGGCTTCCTGTTGGGGTCAGCCCGGTGTGGGGAAGAAGGATAGGGATAATGGGGTGGGCTACATCCCCCTCCCAGTAGCCACAGCTCCTGCCAGGAAGCCCTCTCCACACCAGTTCCTTTCCAGGTTCTGGAAACCTCGCCCTCTCCACCCCTTTAAACCTGGGAACAGTGAAGCTCCCTGCAGCTGCCAGCCCCAGGACACAGTCTTATTCTCTGAAAGCTTCCCTGGTTAGGTTGTTGCAAAGAATCCCTCCGTTGTAAACTTGCTGCAAACTCCTGGTTTGGAGTGAACCATCTGCCTCCCGCTGGGACTCTGATGCCTCCTGGGAGGTGCTGGTTATCACCAAGAGCCTCACTGTTCCTACAACTGACTGCACAATGGAGAGTGTCAGCAAACTGTTCTCTGAGGAGCTTGGCTGCAGCATAAACACGGCACTCCTTAGAGACACGGTCCACTCGCTTCAGCTCCTCCCTACTCGGTGACAGATTGCACCTGCCGCAGTCGAGTGTTAGGGCATTCTAACTCACACCCACACCTTTTACTGACCCCAGACTAACCGGCCCTTTTAAGGGAAGCAATGAACCTCCCATGAAACCATCACTTCCACACCTCCTTCCTGGACTTATTGCTATCACATTTATGTCCTGTTACTGATTTTTTTAAATCTTTGTTTCACTTGTAAGATATCAAATGTTCTCTGGACAGCAACTGTAACTATCAAGAAGAGAGAAGCAAGAAAGGTGTAGGTACACTGACCAATGGAACAGGAATAAACAGCCCAGAAATAAACCCATGCATCTCCATTCTATTGATTTTGACAAAAATGCCAAGAATATACATTGGGGAACTAACAGGCATTTCCATAAAGGTGCTGGGAAAACTAGATATCCACATATAAAAGAATACAATTGGATGCTTATCTCACACCATGTGCAAAAAATCAACTCAAAGTTGACTAAAGACTTAAATGAGAGACCCAAAACTGTAAAGCTACTAGAAGAAAACATGGGGGAAAACTACACAACATTGGTCTGGGCAATAACTTTTTTTTGATTTGACCCCAAAAGTAGGCAACAAAAGAAAAAATAGACAAACTAAAAAGCTTCTACACAGCAAAGAAAATAATTAATAGTGTGAAGAGGCAACCTACAGACTGGGAGAAAATATCTACAAATCCTAGAGCAGATAAGGGCCCATATCTAAAATGCATCAGAAACTCAATAACGAGAAAACAAATAACCCTATTTAAAAATAGGCAAAAGACCTAAATAGGCATTTCTCAAAAGAAGACTTACAAAGGGCCAACAGATACATGAAAAAAAATGCTCAACATCACTAATCATCAGGAAAATGCAAACTTAAACCATGAGATATCACCTGTTAGAATGGTTCTTAACAAAAAGATAAAAGATAATACGTGCTGGCAAGGATGTGGAGAAAAGGGAACGCTTGTATGCTGTCTGTGGGAACGTAAGTTAGTACAGCCATCTTGAAGAATAGTATGGTGGTTCCTCAAAAAACTAAAAAGCAAGCTGTCCTATGATCCAGCAATCCCACTTCTGAGAATACATCCAAAAGACTTGAAATCAGTATGTCAGAGATGGCTGCATTCCCACGTTCCCTGCAGCACCATTCACACTAGCGACGATATGGAATCAACTTAAGTGTCCATCAATGGAAGAGTGGATTTTTTAAATGTGGTGTATATACACAACACAATATTATTCAGCCTTAAAGAGAAGGAAATCCTGTCATTTGTAATGTGAATGAACCTGGAGAACATTACGTTTGGTGAAATAAGCCAGGTACAGAAAGATAAACATCTCATGATCTCATTTATATGTGGAATCCAAAAAAGTGGAACTAAGAGCAGTTGAGAGTAGAATGGTGGTTCCCAGGGGCTGGGAAGGCAGAGGGGACTGTTAGTCAAAGGGTGTAGAGTTTCAGTTGGAAAGGAGGAATAAGTTCTGGTGATCTATTGCACTGCAGGGTGGCTATAGTTAATAATAGAACATTGTATATTTCAAAGTTACCAAATGAGTAGATTTTAAATGTTCTCACCACAAAGAAATGATAAGTATGTAAGGTGATATTGCACTCCAGCCTGGGCAACAAGAGCAAAACTCCGTCTCAAAACGAAACAAAAAAAAAAAAAGAAGTATGTAAGGTAATGAGTATTGTTAATCAGCCTGATTTGCTAATTCTGCAATGTATACATGTATTGAAAAATCACATTTTGCCCTATAAGTATATACAATTATTATTTGTCAACTAAAAATAAAAATTAAATTAAAAAGAAGGAAACAAGGATTAGAAAGGGAATCTTATAAACTGAAATTGAATCATGGATAACTGCAATGCAGAGGAAATGCTCTCACAATTTTATTGGGGCACAAAGTTAAAGGCTAGAGAGAAGAAATGATCACAGGGTTGAGTTTGGAGGGAGAGATAAAAATGACCAGTTTCCCACAAGTTATAGGAGGCTAACATAATGGGAACATTTGCTACATTTCTTTTCCTGTAAGCTGGACACTGTGAAATGTAGCCTGTGGACTCAATTTTGCCCACAAATGGGTTTTATTTAACCTGGAAGAGAATTCTTTCAGTGACTTTGGGCAGAGCGTGTACTTATCAGTTTGCCACAGTCAACACTACTCCTTATTGCCTTACAGCAGGTACATCACTGATTTATATGACTTGCCTGGCCCTGTGGTTATCTGAGCAGGTGACTCTTATATATAAAGTCATCAGCAAGAATGCGCAGCATGTTCCTTCCCTGCTCAGGTAACCACACAAAATCAAGATGCTATTTGTCTATCGTCAAATTGGGAGACGTGGTATTCCTAAGGCCACAGCTTGTGAAAGAAAGGAGCTAGTCTGTGAGAGGGATGGCTTGGGGAACTGAAAGTGAACGCTGGAGTCCAGCATATGGAAAAAGATGGGCTTAAGGCTTTGGGAGGGCATGTGATATCAGGAGCCTGGAGCCGGCCCCTCCACAGGGCAGGGCTCGGTGGTCAGAGCTTACCAGCTGCTAGTGGGCACGTCACCTTGGACAGTGCCAATGTCAGTAGCAGATAGAGGCCCTTCCATAGATATCCTGGTCTGCATAACCTCTGCAGGACCCTTGAAAAACCCTAGCAGTGATAACTTGAACCCCATCTTAAATATGACCACACTGAATTTTTTAGCAATTCATTTGGAGCCAGATTAAATTTGATTCCAACACATGAAGGAACACACTGGTGCACACAGCCTAGTGGTAGGACACATGTGCACCTGTTCCATGGCCCTTGATAAACGCATGTGGCTAGGGGGTGGGCTGACAGGTGTGTTTCTAGAAGAGTGAATGGACAAATGTCCCGTGTGGAGGTCCAACCAGTGCAGCCAGTACTCCGGCCCTTCCCTGCTGACAGGTCTGTCCTCCTGGTGGGCTGGGTCCAGCCATCCTGACTGCCAAGCATTTAGCACATCTCCCTGGGTGTAAGCCGAGAATAGGAGGTGAACTAACAAGGCCCTGGACTGCTCCACCAGCCACAGAAGAGGGGTGCATAGTAGATACGGCTAGAGCACACCCCCACACAGCAGAGGGATTGTTAACGTATGGCTCACCTGGAGCATGTTTTCCTCCAGCCACAAGCAAATCATTAAACATGTCTTCTCCACCTCCAAATAGGAGGTGATGGGCATGAATGAAACAGGTAACAGGACATGGTGTAGGCATTTTGCAGAGCAAACCTTGAGGCAACATAAGCCCCTTTCTATTTCAGCATTTTCTCCATCTTCACATTAGAATAAGCTATCACTGGAGCCTTAGAATGACAGCTGGCAGGGACTCAGTGCTTACTGCATGAGTGGGGAGCAACTGCAAAGAGAGAGGTGGGGACTTGTGCATGAGGAGGAAGCATGTGCTTTGTCACCGATGCCCGGGCCAGGCATGGCATTGCCACAGGGAGAATGACACTGAGGGTGTGCATGTGTGTGTGTGTTATATGACATATACTATGCATGTGTGTATATATGCACGATCTATGTGTATGAATGTGCTGTATGCAATATCTATACACATGTATCATATATATGCTTATATATACACACATACATCATATATGACACATTCATACACACATACATATCTGCATATATATATACACATGTATATATTAAATATCTCACACATATGGATGAGCCAGGAGCAACTGCAAACTGAGAGGTGGAAACATATATATGTGTAAGTTGATTCTGTAGTAAACCATATATAGTTCTTTTTCATGGGGTGGCTTCAATTATTCTCATATAACCACTCTGTTTCTTCCCTAAGTCCTGCACTGAAGGGCCCCTCTGGCTGGGGACGGGGATGGCTGCCTAGGCTTGCCTTTCTGGGGTGAGGTGGGCGGGAGCCGTCTCCACAGCGGGGCCTGTCACGCACAGGGGCCCAGGCACACCTCCTCTGTACCGGCAGACCCCGCCCACGTGGACACCCCACTCCCAGGGCAGGCCCAGCGGCCCCACCCCCGCAGCAGCTGGTCCCCTCAGGGCCACACCTCAGTCAGGGCCACAGCGCAGGAGGAAGCTGCCACCCCTACTGCTGTCGGAGGTTTGGGAAGTCATCAGTCAGGGCCAACAGCGCAGGAGGAAGCTGCCACCCCTACTGCTGTCGGAGGTGCGGGAAGGCAGGCATGTGGGTCTCCTGCATTTTGCTCCGCACAGTCATGTGCCAACACCAAGCTGGGAAGAACACAGTCTATACAGTGAAATGAGCCAGGGTCTGAATTGCGGACCGACCCCTTGCTCTCTATGGTATTTGGGGCCCAGCTATCTGAACTTTGACGACCTGGTCTCCTCATTTGTAAAATATGCCAGTAACACTCGTCATGGCCCTTGAGGAATTTCACTGCTGGCCCATGCGAGAAATTCAGCAAAGGTCACTGTTCTTCCCTGGAATGTCCTGCAGCCTTCGCCCAGCCAGGCCAATGAGGAGGCCTTCCTGATGGAGAGCAAAGTTAAAACCCCCGTTTCCTCAGCGGGGCGTCGGCCTCTCTGTGGGGCCTCACCCCAGCCTTTGTGCCTGACTCCTGCCCTTGACTACAGGAGAATTGGAGTTAGAGGGAGGACCACAGGGCAGGCAGATGGCAGACTCCTGGTTCCTGGGCCACCTCTGCTCCTCACTGTCCTCTCCTCTCCCCAGAGCCTGAGGCCCCGCTGCACTTTGCTCATGCGTGCAGCGTCCCTGCCCCTTCCCGTCTCCCTCTAGCCAGTTCCCAACGCCCTGGGCTCTTTGCACTCAGGATCCTCAGGGCCGGGAAAGAACTCTGCTGCGCCAGGCAGGGCGGGGAGGTGCGGGGCTGAGGGCTGTCTTGGAAGGTGCTCAGTGATTGTGGGTAGGGGATGGGGGAAAGGAAGGGATAACTCGATGAATACCTGCATGAACTCAGACTGAGCCCTGGACTTTTCTTCCACTTACAAAATAAATGCATGCTGCCAGGCATCAGATGTCCAAGTCCTTAATTTTCAAAGAAAAGAGCATAAACCTTCTCTCAGAACAAACTAAGGTTTGAGGAAAGTGCACGATGGGGGAAGGAAACAGTGGGAAAGTCAGATCAAACCTTGTGTTTCTCAGAGGAGCTCTTTTTTTTTTATTGCCGCCCCCGCCCGAAGGATGTCTTATTTCCATGGGTCTTGGCCTCTGGGGTGTACCTCTCAGAGCATTTTCACACCGAGGGCTGTGCTGTTACTATGAAAGCTAAGTCAGGGGAATTCATCCAAGGTGAGACACGTGTACCTGGTGAGACCAGCTTGGCCCTTTCACAGCAGGACCAGAGGGAGACCAGCCACTGGGTCCCGGCCTGTGGTTAATTTTGGAACCATTTTTCTCGTATTTATTTAGTGCTATTTGATGTGTTTCCCAGGCATCCATTGCCGGAGGCCAGTATGTTAAGGCAAGCAGCAGGAACGTGAGAACTTAGAGAAATGCAGCAGCTCCACTTCTCTGTAAAGGCGCTGAAGCAACTGCAGACTGGGAAGAAGGAGCCCCAGAGAGGCCTCATACCAAGAGGAGAGGGGCCAAGGAGGTGGCAGAAAGCCCATGTCCCCATGGAAAGTCTGTTTTCACTTGTTCTGTGTGGCTAGAACCTCCGTAGGTGTTTTGGAATATTTGGGTCATTTGAAACCTGCAGGTTATCAGGATGTACCCAGCCCTCCACACGGCAGGTGTCTCCCTGGAGGGTCCAGATGGCTGAGCCTCCACTGTGTGCCCTGCTGGGACATGCCGAGCTCCCAAGAGATGGGGCAAGGGAGAGCAGGCACCCCCGGCTTGGGAGCCCTGCAGGAACAGGCATCGGACTGTGCTGGCTCTGCCATCCCCTTCCTGCAAGGCTGGCAGGCTGCAGGGATTCCGCCTCGCTGGCTGCCTCAAGATGCTGCCTGCTGGGCTTCTGACCCCAATGTCCTGGGACCTCCTCAAGCCCTGTGGTCTGTGGCCCTTAGGTGGCCCTGCTCCAATTCTGCTTCCCAGGCTCTGACTGCTGGGGTGGGGAGAGTCATCCAGGGTGGCTTGGATTTGGAGAGCCTTCACCCAGAGTGCTCTGCTCCAGGCAAGCTGGGCATTCACAGACTAGACTCGGGGAGGATGCCAGGAGAGAGGAGGCCAGGCTGGGCATTCACCTGCTGCATCACGCCCACCAAGGGGATTGGGGATGGCAACCTGGCAGAGGATCCTGTCCTCAGCCACAGGTTCCTGTGAGAGGGAACTGTATGGAATTGGGGTGGCATACCTGGGGCTCTGGGTGACCTTTACCTTGCAGCTGCCCAGCAACAAGGCTGCCCAAGGAGCATGGAAACGCTGCAGGCCTAAGGCAGTGACAGAGGACAAGCAGGGCCCCAGCCCTCCGAATGCGCCAGACCCTCATTGTTCACCTCCACCAGGTACCATCTCGAGTCCCTGGGCTGGTGTCCCACCCTAGCTTCCACCTCTACAGGCTCCTCCTGCAGGCTGTGGCCTCACTCAGGCACCTAGAACAGGGGCCAGCAAACCCAGTCCAGCCCACCATGTGGTTTGTAAATAAAGTATTACTGGAGTACACCATGCCCATTCATTTATGTATGGTCTATGGCCGCTCTGGGGCAATGACAGCAAAGGAGTATGGTGCTACCTAGAACGGAGACTACGTGACCCCATAGTCTAAAGTGTTGACGCTCCAGCCCTTTACAAAAAAGTTTGCCCATCCCTGACACAGAATGTCTCTCCCCAGAGATTACCTACTCTCAGTCCTCCCCAGCGTCTCACAGTGAATTCAGGACTATGGCCAAGGAGGCAGGGCTTCCAAACTCCCAGCCTCTGTCCTCAGCAATGCTCTGTGCAAACTATCCCTCCTGCTCTTCCACATGGGATCCACCAGGCCTGCTCTTGGAAGGAACCGTGCCTTTAGTTTTAAGTCTTTGTTGCATGACCAAACGAATGTACAAGTGTGTGACCCGGATGGTGAGTGTTCCTGGTTCTTTCTAAGCCGTGGTTGAAGGTGTCCTTGAATAACGGAGCATCTTAATTTAGCTCCTCCTCATCTAATCCACACATTAATAAGAAAATGAAAGGGTGCCTTTGGAAATTATAGCCTGGAGGAGAAATCAATTATTTACAACTCATATTCAGTTAAGTAAGCACACTGAATGCCTAGCGAGATTTCTCCCCGGGACTAACGCTAACGCATTAAGGCCACACTCAGGCACAGTTTGCAGCGGATGCAGCCCCTCATCCCCTACCAGGTCCTCACACTCTCTGCTCTTACCACACCCCAACCTACCTGCCTCCTGGTTACCTGAAGGTGGCTCACCTTTATGAACTCTTTCCCCCTGATTTAAGTAGTTGCCCTGCTGTGGGAGGAGTGCATCTCTGCCCCATTTATACATGGGCACATGCTACATCCATGGACTTGTTTTGGCAAAAGGAGACTAAGTGCAAGTTATATATGCCACATCCAAGCCAAAGCTTAAAAAGCAATTGCATCTCACCTTGCTTTTCCCTGGCTCCTGCAGTGCCTACTCCTTCAGTCAGGTCTGGAAGGAGGAGATGTTGGAATCAGAGCCAAACAGAGACAAGCGGTACAACCAACCTCAGCACGGAGAGGACCAGAATATGCCCCCACCAAAACATGCCTCTTTTGCACGAGGAATGTTGAGCTGAAGGCAATTAAGAAGAAGCTGAGGCAGGAGAGCTCTCTGCTCTCCCTCTTGCCTAAAAGCAGGACGTATATTTACAAACACAGAAGGTAACCCACCACCTTCCCCTCTCTACCAAGGAGGACAGAGGTTAAGCACTGAAGACAACTTGAGACCCTTGACTGCCGGGAGATGTTAGCAAGCTCAGCTGAAGAGTCTCATCTGCCATTTGTTTGCCTCAAGGACTCAGAGTCCTTCCCTTGTCTTGTCACTTCTCTAAAAATGTACAATTCTTTGTTGAAGATGTTGAATAAGCTAGAATCCAAAGCCACCCCTTTGAGGATTACACATCCCCTGAGTGTCTCCCATGAAATATGCATGTTAATAAATTTGTTTTGCTTTTGTTCTACTCCAAATAAGAACTCATGAGGGTTGGGGAGAAAATTATTTTTCCTTCCCTACAATGCCAACATGTAACATGAGCTAGAAATAAATGTTATCCCAAGTCACTGAGATTTCAGGGTTGTTTGTTATGCAGTCAAGTTGGCTAACATAGACTTTGGAACTTTCCAGGACTTTTCTTCCCTAAAACAACCTTACCCTTCTGATGGTTTTGAGAACTAGACTCCGACCTTTCTCCTTACTCAGATTCCTTTCTAAAGGGTCCTGCAGAGAGTCATGCCTTACAAGCCATAAAACCTTGTTAAACAGGTCTTCTGGACTCAGTATACAGTGGCTCACTTTTGTAAACCTGACTCTGGCATGGCACCACGTGACAGATAACAGCAGCCCTTATCTTAAGCATTCCTTGGCCAGGCACGGTGTCTCACACCTGTAATCCCAACACTTTGGGAGGCCGAGGCAGGCCGATCACTTGATGTCAGGAGTTCAAGACCAGCTTGGCCAACATGGTGAAACCCTGTCTCTACTAAAAATACATAAAATTAGCTGAGCATGGTGACACATGCCTGTAATCCCAGCTACCTGGCTGAGGCAGGAGAATCGCTGGAACCCAGGAGGCAGAGGTTGCAGTGAGCCGAGATCGCGCCACTGCACTCCAGCCTGGGTGACAGAGCAAGACTCCATTTCAAATAAAAAAATAAAAATAAAAATAAAAATAAAAAAGCATTCCCTTTATGGACTCCAAGTTTTTAGACAAAGCTTAACTCTTTTAACCAACTGCCAACTAAATAATCCCTAAACCCACCTATGACTTGTGAGCCCCCACTTCAAGATGTCCCATCTTTTCAGGCCAAACCTACATAAATCTCCCATGTATTGATTTAGGATTTTACTGACATTCCTGTCTCCCTGGAATGTATAAAACCAAACTGTCACTTGACTGCCACAGGCGCACTTTCTCACAACCTTTTGAGAGTGTTTCCCCAGGCTGGGGTCACTCATATTAGCTTAGAATAAACTATTTAAATATTTTGGTTTTTCCATTGTCAGTATCAGCTCTCTCAAATGTATCCCTGTATTCCAGAACTGTCTTCTATCTACCAGAGGTCTTCGTAGCGGTCATAGAGGCACCTCAAGTTCAACATAATCAAAAATAAATTCACCATCTTCCCTAAAATACTGTTTTCTGTTCCCAGCGTTCCAGTGGCAGTTTGTGCCATGTCTATGGGATGAAGCTGGAACGACACTTCCCAGGATACCTGACCTGTGTGGTTCCAGGCAGCACTGGCCACAGGACACATTGTGCATAAGTGTTGGAAGGTGGAGCAGCAGCAGAGCCACATGTGTGATTCTGTGAAGGTTGCTGCGGGGTGCAGGATCGCACCAATGGCTGGACAGCTCACCCTGTGGGCCTGGACAGCACACAAACCTGCCCCTTCTCATCCTGGGCCTGTGGGAACAGCTCCATAGAGAAGGTCACCAGCTTTCTGTGCAAGTTTGTTACTGGAAAGGGGTCCTGATCCAGATCCCAAGAGAGGGTTCTTGGATCTTACACAGGAAGGAATTCAAGGAGAATCCACAGAGTAAAGTGAAAGCAAGTTTATTAAGTAAGTAAAGGAATAAAGAATGGCTACTCCAGCCAGGCACGATGGCTCACGCCTGTAATCCCAGCACCTTGGCAGGCCGAGGCGGGCAGATCACTTGAGGTCAGGAGTTCAAGATCAGCCTGGCTAACATAGTGAAACCCCATCTCTACCAAAAATACAAAAATTAGCCAGGTATGGTGGTACACGCCTGTAATCCCAGCTACTCGGGAGGCTGAGGCAGGAGAATCACTTGAACCCAGGAGGCAGAGGTTGCAGTGAGACGGGATTGTGCCACTGTGCTCCAGCCTGGGTGACAGAGTGAGACTCTGTCTCAAACAAAAAAAGAAAGAAAAGAAAAGAAAAAAGAATGGCTACTCTGTAGGCAGAGCTGCTCGACTAAGGATACTTACAGTTACCTCTTGATGATATGCCAAACAAGGGGTGGATTATTCAAGAGCTTTCCGGAAAAGGGGTAGGCAGTCCCCACAACTGAGGATTCCTCCTTTTTTCAGACCATATATGGGAATTGACGTTGCCATGGCATCTGTAAACTGTCATGGCTCTGGTTGGAGTGTCTCTGAGCATGCTAATGCATTATAATTAGCATATGATGGGCAGTGAGGATGACCAGAGGTCACTCTTGTGGCCATCTAGGTTTTGGGTGGTTTTGGCCGGTTTTGGCCGGCTTCTTTACCGCATGCTGTTTCATCAGCAAGGTCTTTTGGACCTGTATCTTATGCTGACCTCCTATGTCATCCGGTGACTCAGAATGCCTAACCTCCTGGGAATGCAGCCTAGTAGGTTTCAGCCTCATTTTACCCAGCTCCTATTGAAGATGAAGTTGCTCTGGTTCAAACGCCTCTGACAGGTTCAATACAAGGCAGATGGTAGGGCCTTGGGGACTCACCCCTGACCATGCAGGGGTGATGGGGTCAAAGCCAGCAGGGTTCCCTGTTTGTGCAGACGGACCTGTGGTCATTGGGAACAGCTCTAGGAGGGGCGCTGGGTGAGGCCTGGGCATGGGCCCTCCTCAAAAAAGCAAAAAGGGCAATAGGGGAGCACAGACAACTTAAGGGGGGCCCACATAGAGGGAAAACCCTCAGTGGAGAGAGGAAGTCAAAGGTGAGCCTTCCAAATGCTTGCCGCATAGGCTGCGGAACAGACTATGCTGGGCCAGGTGGCACCAGGCCCAAGCCAGGGGCGGCTGCACACAGGGACCTAGATATCTTCGGCCCACTGCATCACATCTTGGCCCTTTGGTTTCCCCCACTGTGTAAAGACAGCAGCAAACCAGAGGATGGCTCTCTGAGGTCCTTTTAAGCTCTGACATAAAAACTGTGCTTTTGTGCTTTGCAGTTTCTTCCGCCAGCTGTTTCTGCATTTTCTAAAAGAAAATCAACGTGCTTGTGCATCTTTCCTTCTGCCATGCTCTTTCCCACCACAACCCCTCTCATGAATTATGCAAACTGCGTTCACCACCCAAGGTGAGGCTAATTAAAAATGTTAAATGAGACTTTAAATGGAGTGTCTACCACCACTTCATCTTGGTTAAGGCTGGTGAGCGACTGTCATCCTCACCACAGAGCGTCCTGCCCAGATCCCAGATGCACGCTGTCATTAACAGTGATTAACAGGCACAGAACACATAGCACTTAAAGGTGCACGATGAATACTAAAACCGCGGAGTGGTAGAATCATTCTGGGGTTGTTTAGATGTTGCCTCCCCTTCATCCCCACAATCACACAAACTTTCATTAGCATAACTTCAAATTTCTAGTGCCCACTTCAGCTGCTAATGAATTTAATGAAAAGTTCCCCCAGGGTTGGTCTCTCAAAAATTCCTCTTTATTTTGTGGAAAAGACATTTAGAACTATAGCAAGAAAAATCCCAGCTACAAAACGGAAGCAGCCATTCAACAGTATCAGTCCCTACAAATGCAATCAAAATGACACTTTAAAAAATGCAAAAGCGCCGCTGACACCCAGCAATCTGACTCTTCTAGAAACAGCCTCTTCCCTGGCTTTTGTGACAATGCCTCTCTCACACCACCTTCCCACATCTCCAGCCTCCCCAGCTGCTCCTCAGCCTCTGTGGCACTCACCCTCCTGGGCCCTGACTCAAGATGTCTGAGCTTCTCAGAATGCCTCTGTCCTCACTTCTTACCTCCACATGTGTCATGCTGGCCAACCCCAGCCACAGCCACCACCTGCACACCAGGAACTCATCCATTACTTGCCCAGTGCCAACCTCGCATGTGGCCTCCAGACCTGCTGACCTGCCATCCTGCTCTACCTCAACATGACGGCATTATGAGGAGTGAGAAACATAGGAAGTAAATCCATCAAGCTTTTCATACAAGAATGTAGATAAACAACAACAACATTGACAAAATAAACCCAAGGATCACACAAGGTACAGAGAAAGAAGCACATGAAGACAACCACACAACCAACTTTACTTAAAGAACAAAGATGTAACTATCATAAACAAAATACACACAACTCACATCCAATAGTTACCAAGTTTTATTCCCAAAATGCAAGGATAATTTAGAGTATGTGTTGTCTTTTTTCCCTATTGAGTCCTACGTTCGCAAAGCAGAGCAGGAAAAGCAGAGCTATGGGGCAGGCGCCTGCCTCTGGAACCATCCATCAGAGCCTTGAGTTTGGAATCCAGCAATGAGAGCAGACCTCCCTGCATCTTAGCTCCACAAGCTCCAGAGCCCTGCATCTTCATAAAGGGTGCTTGACAAAGTCTTAAGGAATTAATGAATATATGACACTGATGTGATGTGGTCAATGAAATGCTAATGTTTTATAGTTTCAGTTTTCTTCATTAGATAACAGCCTTCATGCTTTCTCATTAAATGTGTGGTGGAGGTAATTCACAATGTTTACATAAGGAGATCCAGGCACAATGCAATCCAGGGCCCACACAGAGCCACTAAGCTAGTGAGTATGGGGACAGCTCCAGCCCGGGTCTTTCAGGCAAATTCAGCACTGTGTTTCTTCCGGAGCTTCGCATGGAGCAAAGCCATCCAAAGCTAACCCCAAGAAGCTTGCTCTGCAAAAAGCATGCTTAGAAATGCTATTTGGGAAGGTCACGTTGTATGTTAGCATGTCCATAGCTTGGAGAAGTCCTGCAAAAAGGAAACCTCCTTAATAGTCCCCAAAGTTACTAAAACACCAGCTAATTTTCTTTTTCTGCAATACCCACCAACATCAAGGATAAACAATTTGGGCAGCTGTCCTTTGCTAACAGTGAAAACAGCCCACATGCAGGTATTAATGGTTAGTAGCCTAATTTGTTCTGCCAGCCTGGGGATTTGGCATTTCAATCACCCAATAAAAGTGGAAATTCTGTAATGGTGGGAAGTGCAATCCACCTGCTAAGCAGGAGGAGCTGATTGCTTTTTGGATAAATGTTCTCTGAAATGTTAGCCCACAAGGAAGTCCTGAAAGTCAGTTCTGGGCAGCAGGAGGAGAAGTGGAGCAGTAGGGACCACCCAGGGGAACCAGTGCAGAGGCCTGGGGGAGCCCCGGCAGGGACAGATTTAAAAAGAACCAAGTTCCGTTCGCGTCAGTACTTCACCAAGCCTGGGCATGTCTGGGCCTCAGGTTCTCAGGTGTAAAGTGAGAAGTGATTATCCAGTCTTTGCTGATGTCTACAAACATGGTGCTCAGTAAGTATTTACTCAGCATCTACTCTGCAGAAGAAGCAGTCCTTGTTCCCAAGGAGTTTCAGCCAAGGAGAGAGAAGAGTCAAATGCAGTGTATTCTAAAGAACAATAAAGGCCAGGCACTGTGGCTCATACCTGTAATCCCAGCACTTTGGGAGGCCGAGGTGGGAGGACCACCTGAGGTCAGGAGTTCGAGACCAGCCTGGCCAATATGGTGAAACCCCATCTCTACTAAAAATACAAAATTAGCCGGGTTTGGTGGCGGGTGCCTGTAATCCCAGCTACTCAGGAGGCTGAGGTAGGAGAATCACTTGAACCCAGGAGGCAGAGGTTGCAGTGAGCCGAGATCGCACCATTGCACTCCAGCCTGGGTGACGAGAGTTAAATTCCATCTCCAAAAAGAAAAAAAAGTTAAAAATAAAGAACAGTAAATACAGCAGACACTGTGGGAACCAGGCAGAGCACCAGGCGTGACCGGAGGCTGTACCTTGGCACAGATAATGCCAAGGTCTGCTGGGGTACAGTTCTTAGAGCTGGATTATTAGATGTGAGCCTATGATAACAGCAGACAACGTGAAGGCACCCCCAACACACACCAGAAAAATTAAAAGAGAAAGAAGAAAGGAAATGCTCTTTCTGGCTGCAGGGGTATAATCGATGACGTAGATCACTTTTTTTGTAAAGAATTCCTCTCCATTGTACAACCCAACCAGCCATGTCTCTGAGCTATGCACCATGCTGTGTACAGAATATATTTATATCCCTTAATCCCCATGCTCTCTGGGCTAATACTTCCTTAACCTGAAATAGTTTTCCTTTTAGTGCATTCCTCCTTGCTTCTTAAGCATGTCACTCTAAAGAAATAGAGCCAGTGCACACACGAACTTGAAAATTTAGCTCTGTTCCCAAATTACTAAAATCAGCATCCACTGACAATTCCATTTTCTTTACAACAGGTCAAAATGTTGAACAGCAGCCGAAAACAGGTATCCCAGAATGAAAAGCACCCAGCAGACAAGCAGTTCCCAGCTCTCTAAGCCTCCCCCTCCTCCTCCGTAAAGTCAGACCCATATTGCCTGCCCAGGGAGCCCCTGCAAGGAAATACCAGGACATATGTGACAGCTGTTTGATATATAAGCCATCTCACAAGGGAAGATGACTGTTATTACTATCTAAACAGATAAATGGAGGTATCTGTGTTGATAGTACATTGTATTATTCTCAGTAGAAACATTAAGTTAATCAGCTCTTGAGAGTTAAATCCTATGACTGGGCAAGGCCTAGAAAAGGAGCAGATTTGGGAAGGGGAGAGAAAATAGGCTTGGTTTTGGTGTAGGAGCTAGGGATTAGGGAGCAGGTAGGACCACAGACGGACACCAGAGACCCAGTTCCTAGTCACCCACGTGCGTCCAGCACCTCATCCTCCAGTCTCCCCTGAGACAGCGCTTCTGCATCCCAGCCATGGCCATCGACCCTTGCACGGGCGCAGATCCAGGTGCAAGCTCTTCAGCCTCTCCCTATCTGCTGGGTCATCCTCACCAGCAATCAGCCATGCTCTGGACTGTCTCATGGAAAAACAAACAATGCCTTCTAAAGACTTCCTCATTTCTCTTGTTATTTTTTTCTCACATAAAACTTTCCAAAAGAATTCTCCAACTCTCTGCCTCTACTTCCCCTCCCACTCGCTCTGCTACTTTCTCTAGATGAGCCTCAGTTCCTCCCCACCATACTGACCTCTCATGATATTCAGTGCAGGGGAATGTTCCCTCTGAAAATCCGTGTCCTCTTGGCTCCTGCGACACCATCCACTTTCTCTCCTGTCCCTGGCCCTCCTCCTCCAGCCTCACCAAGTGCACCCTGCCCCTCTTTCCTACATGTCTGTCCCTCTTCTCAAACACCTTCAGGCAGTTGCTCTTGGGGTTCCTTCTACCCACAAAGTGCATCCTAGGGCAGCCCCTCCTCCTGTTTGTGCTCCTTCCCATTCCCTGAGTATCTCTCTCATGGCACAGTATGCAATTATCTTGTTTCTATATCATTCAGCTGTCTGCAGCCTGTCCTCCTTCTGGGATGTAAGGTCCTTTTGGATAGACACCACATTTGTCTGCTATCAGTACCTGCTGCTGTATTCTACCTCAATACAGCATAGAAACTCAATAAACATTTTCTGAATGAATGCATAAATTCACTCATTCATTCATTTATTAAAGCACAGAGAATAGCCATGTATCAGTCAACATAAGCTGGGCTGAGCTACTGCAACAAACAACTCCCAAACCTCTGAGGCTCAAAACAATACAGGTTTATTTTGTTGGTGAAACTATAAAGCCACTGTGGGTTAGCAGGGGAATTCTACTCGCTGTGGTTGTGTAAGGAGCCAGATGGACAGGACAGCTACCAGGCCAGAGAGGGGAAGAAATCCCTGGAGGGCTGCAGGGCAGCAGTTAAATGTCCCAGCTGCAACAGGATACCCTTCACTTCCACTCACAGCTCACTGCTCAGATCCAACCACAGAGCCCCCCAAGCACAAGAAGATGAGAAAGAGCAGCCTTCTATGTGCCAAGGGAATGGCAAGCCTGGTGTCAGAGCAGCGCTAGGACTGCCACAGCCATGAATTGGGACACTGGGAGGGGTCGCAAAGAGTGAGAGGATAATCAGAAAGCATTTCAAAGATGCGGTGCTCAGTAATCCTCACTCCTGCAGAAGGAACAAAGAAGAGGAGATCTGCGAGTGTTCATCACATTTGGCAACTAATTGGTGACTCTGGACATGAAGTGCTAGTGCACTGGGGATGTGTCAGAGGCCAAACTCACTAGGTTGAGCAAAAGAGAGAAGTGAAGAAGCAAACACACAACAATAGACAACATTTTCAGGAAATGCGACGGCTGAGGAGGAATTGAGGCAGTAGCTGGAGAAAGACAACGGGCCAAAGTGGTGATGCTCCTGGGTAAAAAGACAGTCATGTATGCATTGGGGAGGACAGGCTAGAGCCCCCAAAGATGAAATAGATGGAAATGAAGGAAATGGAGCTAGTGGCTCTTCTGCAAGCTTTGGAGTGGGAATGGAAAAAGGTAGCAATTTAGGGGCGATGAGCCTCTGGCTGGGGTGGGCTGGGAATGGGACCAAGATCCTGGCAGCTCTGCGGGGACCCCGATGAACCCCTGCAGGACTTTTTCAGCTGTTGCAGGATCATCATCTTACATTCTGCTCACTCAACAGATCAGAAGCTGCAGCTGTGAGAGAAGGAGGCCCGGATGACAAATAACCGTTAAAGTAATTTTCCTGGGTCAAGTAATTACTGCCCCACAAAGATGAGAAGGCTTGAAAGGAGAAGGGTACAGCCAATAGCAGTCAGAGCACACATGCTGAGGCTAAGCAGCCAGAGAGGTGGAGGGAGATACATGTCGGGAAGGGGATGGGCAGAGTGACCAGAAAGGTCAGTCCCAAGGGTGGACGAGTCAGATGGGCAAGGTCAGCACAGATCCAGCTGCCTCGTCCAGGCTGGCATGCAGGCCGGCAATGACAGAGCAACTGAGGTTGTGCTTAGTATTTTTTAATTTTTTCATTTTTAAAATCAAAGAATTCCTTTTTTTAACTAATTTAGTAAAAGGATTTAAAACAATATCTGGGATACGAGGGCCTCAGTAATTATTTGTTAAGTGAATGATGGAATGGGAATGTTCTATAGTATCCCTCAAATTTTCTTCAGTTCCCTAAATTTCATTTCACTTACTAAATAGAAATAATGATTCCTTCCTTATATTGTTATTCTGAAAGAAATAAGATCATGTTACACAAAGTGCTTTATTAATAGTAGCTGTGGTGGTAGTGGTGGTGGTGGTGATGGTTGTGATAGTGATAATGATGGTGATGGTGGTGGTGGCGATGGTGGTGGTAGTGGTGACAGTGGTGGTCATGGTGATGGTGGTCATGGTGGTAGTGACAGTAATGGTGATGGTGGTGGTAGTAATGATGATGGTGGTGGTGATGGTAGTGATAGTGATAATGATGGTGATGGTGATGGTGATAGTGATGATGGTGATGGTGGTGATAGTGGTAATGGTGGTGATAATGATGATGCTGGTGACAGTGGTGATGGTGGTAGTTTTGGTGATGTTGATTATGATAGTCATGGTGGTGGTAGTGATGGTGGTGGTGGTGGTAGTGATGGTGGTGGTGATAGTGGTGGTGGTAGTGATGGTGGTGGTGGTGATAGTGATGGTGGTGGTGGTAGTGATGGTGGTGGTGATAGTCGTGGTGGTAGCGATGGTGGTGGTGGTAAGGATGGTGGTGATGGTGGCAGTGGGTGACGGTGGTGATGGTGGTGGTAGTAGTGATGATGGTGATGGTGGTGATAGTGATGATGATGGTGGCAATGGTGGTGATAGTGGTGATGATGTGTGATGCTGATGATGACAATGGTCGTGGCAATGATGATAGTGATGGTGGTGATGGTAGTGATGGTGGTGGTGGTGGTAGTGATAGTGATGATGGTGATAGTGGTCACAGTCGTGGTGGTGGTAGGGATGGTGGCGGTGGCAATGGTGGTAGTGGTGACAGTGGTGGTCATGGTGGCAGTGATAGTAATGGTAATGGTGGTGGTAGTAGGGATGGTGATGGTGGTGATAGTGATGATGGTGGTGATAGTGGTTTTGGTGATGGTGGTGATGACAGTGATGGTGGTGATAGTAATAGTGGTGGTGGTGATAATAGTGATGGTGGCAATGATGGTGGTGGTGGTGGTGATAGTGATGGTGGTGATTGTGGTGGTGGTGGTGGTAGTGATGGTGGTGGTGGTAGGGATGGTGGTGATGGTGGCGCTGGGTGATGGTGGTGATGGTGGTGGTCATGGTGATGGTGGTGGTCATGGTGATGGTGGTCATGGTGGCAGTGACAGGGATGGTGATGTGGTGGCAGTGATGATGGTGGTGGTGATAGTGGTGGTGATGATGATAGTGATGGTGATGGTAATGGTGATGGTGGTGGTGGTGGTGGTAGTGTTCATTACTGTAGTTAAGACTGTGTTGCAGATTGTTGAAGCTGTTGAAAGCCTAACCTTAGAGTATAAAGACCTTCATTTTGGTGGGGGAAAAAGGATCTTTACATCCACCTCTCCTCTGTAAGTGGGCCTGTATGTAAAACTTTCCAGGACAAGTGAGAAATGGTGGCACTCTTTTAAAACCTCTGTGAGATGATTAGCAATTAGCTTTTGTGGTCTAACCTTTAAACCCTCCCTCTACAGTGAAGAAACAAAGCCCTTGAATGTGTATATGCTCTTAGGGCTCCATGTGACCAAGATGAATAATGATGTACTCAGTTTAGACAATATGTACATGAATATGGTTCTTGAAAAATCAAACCAATTTTTGAAAATTAAATCTTATTTTATATTTATTTAAGGAGGTGGATATTTATGAATAAGTCTCCCTGTTTCTTTATAAAAGATTCAATTTTCACATATTGGGTTCATTTAAAGGAAGGGGCAGCATCTGTCTTCATTGACTGTCTCTATGACCTTCCCAGGCCTGAGACAGGCTTCAGAGAGTAGCAGACAAGTTCTGGGCACTGCTCCTGACCTTATGGAGCTCTGTGGCACCATCCTTGGTAGCTCCCAAGCCTACACGTGAGGTCTTTGTGCTTTCTGAGGAGCCACCTCTTCTACCATTAGTAGGGGTTTCTAAAGGATTGGTCCTTGGTGGAAAAGACCCAGATGGGAATCTCATCTGTTCTTAGTTATGTTAGCTTTCTTGGGACTCAGAAGAAGTCCTTAGTGTGAGCTGGTCAGGGACTATTGGGATTATTAGTTTTATTACCATTGTATAAATGAACAGAGCAGCAGATCTGAACCCAGAACCAGGTCTCTTCACCCAAAGGCAGGTGGGCTTTCACCCTCCCTACCCTCAGCTGCTCTAAGGGTAGACCAGTTACATTGGTCCCACTGGCCCATTCTCTGAGAGTAGACCAGTTACACCACCACCATCATGCCAGACCACCAGAGATGTGATCTCACCTAAGCATCCTTAATTTGGGGCCAGATATGTCTCTTTCCTCCTGAGTCTTTAAAAAGATGTGTTAGATAAAATAAACTGAAAAATTAAAGGATATTCAATTCAACTGAACAAATACTATAAAGCAGCCTCCACTAAGCACTGGAATTCTGGTGATGCCTTCAAGGAACTCAGAGTCAAGTTGGCACAGAAGAACAAACAAACTAAGACTTGCTGCCACATGCGGGAGCCGAGGTGCCCACACTCACCACCCAGGGCCAACAGGTCTCTTCATCTGGGGCCTGGAGGTGGGGAGACTTCCCAGGGATGTGGCACTTGCATGGGGTGTTGAAGGCAAGCAGGAGTTCACCAGGGCTTCAAGTGGCTGGCAAGCTTCTGGTCAACCTGAGCAGCCTGGGCTCACTGGGCAGAGATGTTATTATAATGACGATGTCACAATTTGGCTGGGAGTGGATGGCCCACAGACTGCTTCCCTGGCTTCAGCCCTGCCTGGACCACTGCTTGAAAACCACTGATTCCCTGACCTTGGGGCTCGCACCTCCTGCTCTCCTGCCCTCCTGCCCTCCTGCCCTCCTGCGGGGACAGTGCTCACTCTACAGGAGGTTGTGAAGCAGAAGGCATGCACGTTCCAGCCCTCAGGTCACAGGGCTCAGGCTGGGACAGGGCCTCACCATCTCAGAGTCCAGAGGGAGAGCCACTCTCCACATCCAGATCCCAAGGTGGAGCCCACGACCCACGAGCCCATCTGTCCCCCTCTCCAGCCTCAGACACCTCCTGGGCTCCATCCTTCCATTCTGAACCCATCCCAGGGAACAGGGGAAGTTCTGTGCTCTCTGGGCCACAGCCTGGCACTACGCCTCCGATACAGGCAATTCTGTCTTCTCGCCGTCCCCTGCACAGTCTTCAGGGCCTGCTCAATGCCACCTCCCCATGACGCCTGCCCACGGTGCCCCAGCTGAAAGCCTCACAGCACCACCCAACTGGCCCAGACCCTCTGTGGATGCATCTTAGGGCAGACTCTGCCTGCTGAGACCCTTCGAAGGTGCTCCTCCATGTTTCCCTGGGGTCCTCAAGCCAGCTGTGACCTGGGATTATGCCACAGGCCAGAGAGCTGATTCAACCCCTCCTCGGGGCAGCGCTTCTCAACTTTTCACTGTGATTATCATCATCACCCCCTAAGAAGAAAAACTGAGATTAATTTTAAGAGAGAAATTAAGGAAACGAATAGGAAAAGCAGTAGAGATTGTTAAAGCTGTTCACAGAAAAGAGAAGTAATGTCAGTGACGATGTCAGATGTGCAGTAATTTAATTTAATTAGAGAGAAATTAAGCACTGAGGAATGAGTTTGCCATGTAGGACCAAGGCCTGGAGGCCATGGACCATTGTAAAATCTGTTGATTTGCACTCCCAGGAACCAATCTTCTCTCCCTGGAGGACGATATCACCCTGTTGAAAATGCACGCCATAGAGGAGAAATTCAAGTGAACAATTATGTTAAAATGTGGCCTTGACAAGACCTTCCCCCAGCCACACGTCCCCACGTCCCCACGTCCCCACGTCCCCACGTGTTCGCAGACGGTTTGGGCCAGCCGGGTGGTGCTGTCAGGCTTTCAGCTGGGACACCATGGGCAGGCGTCATGGGGAGGTGGCATTGAGCTGGCCCTGAAGGCTGTGCAGGGGAGGGCGAGAAGACAGAATTGCCCTTTCCCGGAGGGGTAGTGCCAGGCTGTGGCCCAGGGAGCTTGGAACTTCCCACAGTCCACAGAAGGCGGCCTAGTTCCCCACTTCTCACAGCTCTCCAAGATCTGGAGCGCAGCGCCACCTCCTCTCCAACTCATCCCCAAGCCCAGCCTTGGCCCGGCATTCCTCCCAAGGTTCCCACCACTGCTTCAAACTCAGTTTGCCCCAAACTGTGAAGCACCTCTGCTTGGGCAGAGGAAAAATACTTCCAAATGCCTTCCCAGAAAACAGGGAAGAGCTTTCCCCCAGAAGATAGGATCCCTGTATTGGAACAGAGCTCTGCTGTCCCCAGGACCCTACCTTCCCCAGGTTCTGATGGACAACCCTGTGCCCACATAGGGCTAGGCCATCCCAGCCCCCGCGGTATGGAGGAGGTTAACCGAAATGTGAAACTGGGTAACAGCTCACAGTTTTATAGTCCCTGTAATTATTTACCAATTAAAAAGAACCACAACTGTTTATCATAGGGCTGCGTGCATATTAATGGCCGGCAGGCTATTCGTGTGATGCTTCTGCTGGGGAAACTCAATATTACTTGATGCCTTACTACAGAGCTTTCTGACAGGGCTTTAAACATCAATCAATTATTTAAAGTCCCACATATATTGACTTTTTTTAATTACAGAGCTTTCCAGAGCTGAGGGAACGTAAAGGAAGAAAGAATGAGTTTGCTGCAAAGAACACTCCATTTGTCTTAGATTTTGATCTATTTCCCTTCTGCTTTATTAAGACCTCGCTTTGTTTTATAGATCCTATGACCAGGTGTCGATTTGTTTCCAAGACATGGTGCTTGATTATTTTTTCTTGGGACAGGAGCCTCTCCACCTTAATTGGCATTCTGGGAGGGATGGAGCCTTCTGGAGAGGGCGTGCATTCTGAGCAGTTCAATGTTGCTTCTGCAGTGCTGGAGGCCCCAGGTAGCCTCCCTGATCCACAACGTTCACTCTGGTTCTATTGGGAATATCACACCATGGAAGGGGATAACAAGAGCGTGCAGGTCTGTCTCCAAAGAGAGGACCATAGCTACACATTAGAAAATAGAGCTACATTTATGAAAACTTTATATACGAGATGTGATTTAAAAGACAGCCAAGGGAAATACAAGGGGCAGTGTTTCTGCGTCTGAGAGCAGCCTGCAGTCCAGCAGTCAGGCAAGCTCACTGACTTCTAACATCGAGCCTTGTCCTAGAAACTGGAAACACGATGTGGATGAGGGAGAGCGGCTGCCCTCAAAGAGCTTTCAGTCTACTGGGTAAAGGTAGCCAATAAACACTTAAGCAGATAAAGAGGATAATTTCAGATATGGAGAAGCTGAAATGGGTGTCATGGAGAGGTGAGGGAAGTGCTATTAGGGGTGGCCAAGGACAGCCTCGCTGAGATGGTGACATCTGAGGAGAGGCCTGAATAACAAGAAACAGGCAATCGTGTGCAGAAGTGAGAGAAAGTCACACCAATGGCAGGAATAGCAGATGCCAAGGCCCTGAGACAGGATGTGGCATGTTTGAGAGAGACAAGAAGGTGCGTGTGGATGGGCATGAGGCCAGAGTGTGGGCAGTGTCCAAGGCACGCAGAGCCCTACAGGGCACCGCGAGAAGGCTGTGCTCTCTCTCCTGGGCATCAGAAGAGGCCTCCGGAAGGCTCCAGCAGGGGCATCCAGGATCTCCTTTGTGCATAGAAACAGCACGCTGGCTGCTGGACAAGAAATGGACCCCAGCAAACAAGATGGGGTGGGGAGCCCAGTAGAGATGCTACCACCATAACCCAGGTGAAAGGTGTGCTGGGCTGGACCAGGTGGGCACAGTGAGGAGCATTTATGGCCAAGATATATTTTGAAGATGGAGTCAAGTGGACTCTGAGGACCAAAGACAGGCATGGCAGAGCTGGGCAGGGAATTGGCTCTTACCCTGGGCCAGGGAGCAGCTGGGAGGCCATGGGAGCAGGAGTATATCTGGCCCCGGGTCCCCAACATGAGTCTCTGCAGCCCCTGCCTTAAAAATATAGTGTATTAATAGAAAATCCAAGGCATATGAAGCCCAGCAGACCAGGAGGTGACTGCCATTAGATAGTCTGTACTCACAGTTCCCAGAGGAGGCACATCACCCACACTGGGCCACGGAGAAACACGGAGGTGGGTCAGGAGGCAGAAGGAGGGGAAACATGGGCAGGAGTCTTCACTGTGGTTTTGTGGGAAGAAAGAGGAGAGGCAAGGGTCCGCGGGTCCAGGACTGGCTGCTTTGCATAACCTCGGGGCTCTGTTCTGCAGCAGCTGTCCCTAGTTCTCTGACCTGACTTTGGGGTGACTAGGGAAGGGGGACAGTGGCCTGGAGTATGAGAGTCCCGTAGAGGAGTGGGTAAGACTCTGGATTGCTTGGTTCGCATGGGAAAGGCACAGAGTTGTTCCCTGTCTCTAGGAACTGACACCCTGGGAGGAGCTGTCCCTTCAGTGTCAGCAAGACACTAGATGTCAAAGCCTCAGAATACAGACCCTAGAAGGCAGGATGCACACAGCCTCCCACCTGGCCTCTGCCTCTGCCCTGCCCACCTGAGTGCACCCTGCCTTGGGCAGCTTGCTTTCCCACACTAAGGCGCACTCCTAGAGAGCCCTGGCCCTCCCTTCCTCCTGCCTGTTCCCCAGCTGCAACCCAGCCCAGCCACCACAGTCTTTGCCCACACTGCTCTACCCCCACACTTGCCCCGGCTTTCCTGGCCGGCGGTTCCGAGGCTAGCAATTACCCTAAGGGTCCAGGAAAGGAGCACAGGGGAGAGGAACAGCAGTGTGCTCAGCTCTGCTCAGGCACGAGCCAGGACACCATGGTCCTCGAGAAATAAACTCCAGGCCGGGTGCGGTGGCTTACGCCTGTAATCCCAGCACTTTGGGAGGCGGAGGTGGGCGGATGACCTGAGGTCAGGAGTTCAAGACCAGCCTGGCCAACGTGGCCGTCTCTACTAAAAATACAAAAATTATCCAGGCGTGGTGGCATATGCCTGTAATCCCAACTACTTGGGAGGCTGAGGCAGGAGAATTGCTTGACCTCCAGGAGACGGAGGTTGCAGTGAGCTGAGATCACACCATTGCACTCCAGCCTGAGCAACACGAGTGAAACTCTGTCTCAAAAAAAAAAAAAAAAAAAAAAGAAAGAAAGAAAAAGAAAAGAAAAAGAAAAAAGAAAAGAAATGAACTCCCCACACATCCAGCGCCCCAGGCTCTAACAGCCAGGGCTGGCAATTTAGTTAGGGCACAGAAGGCCCACTGCAGCCTCGCCTGGGGATGCGCTATACTGTTCCTAGGAGGATGGACTCCACGCTTCTCAGTTTGAGGTCCTGTGACAGCAGCAGACCTCTGGCCAAGGTCTTCTCAGCTTCTAGCTGGCCAGGTATGATGGCACGCCTGGCTTAAGGCCCACGGGGACCCTCCTCAATCCTTTCTCACACCTCAGCCGCGGCCACTTCACCCCTCCCAGCCTCCCTAGCACAGGGCTCCATCAGGGGCTGTGTGGCTGCGTGTGGCTGCGTGTGGCAGGTGAAGCAGGTGAGGTCTGGGAGGGTGGCGCCCAGTCCCAGCTGAGCACTTGCTCAGTGTACTGACCTTCTTTGCACTCTCTCTCCCCAGCCTGATTTCAGAGCCATTTTAGATGGGGAGGATTCGCCTACTATATCCAGCCGGGCTGTGGGTACCAGGAAAGGGATTGAAGAAACATTCTGTCTAGGGCCGAGGAGCAGCTCCCAGTCTGCAGCCCCCACGAGTGCAGAGGCTTTGTGCTCTGCAGGTGTTCATCCGCAAATGAGGAGCGGTACTGGCTCCGCCTCTGTGGAGAATCAGGACAAAAGCCTTCAGGACACAGAAGGATACAGTTATGCATATGTGTATTAATAACGAACGGATTTGTGAGCCGAGTCCTCAAAGGGGATTATCCTGGGGACGGGGTTTCCAGTGCATTTGCTCTGAGGTCTTGTCTTTGGCTACTGCTGCATGTCGGAGACAAAGTTCAAGCATGAGGGATAAACGTAAACCTCGGATCTTACTGTTTTCTTCTGGAAGGTGGGCCTCCGTCCTGTCCACATTCTTGCAGAGCAGTGAAGCTGGAAAGTCTTCTGATTAAGCAAGTCTCTCCTCACACCCGAAGCACATTTGTTCCTGGGGTAGGACGTGGGAAGTCAGTGTTGGACTAAGGGACCTGGCTCACACTCCAGGTGAACTTGGAAGAACTTGTAACCCCCATCTCCGTTTCCCCCATGTATTAAGTGAGGGCTTTAACACCTGTCTTTCAAACCTTACACAAGTGTTGTGAGGTTCAAATAAGAACATAGGAAGCATGAACCTACATGATAAATGAATGGAACCATTAACTGTCAAATGCAATTAGCAGATTCTTAGTCAATAAAATTTACTGTGGACAAACGAATGACCTAGGATCCCCACTCCCCCTACACACACACACAAAATTGACTTTAGCTAAAAGAAAAAAGCATTTCTATGTTGTAGTATTAGGTAGGTCAGCCAGCCTATCTCTGTGTGTAATTCATCCTATAAGCAACTAAACCACATAGATTCCCATGAATATGTGTGGATTCTGATAACAGTGTCAAGATACAACTATTCCATTGGAAAGACACCCCAGCCATGATACCAACAGCGTCCCGGATCCTCCCTCCTTACCCCAAGATCGCTGTGGCCAAAGTCCTCCTCTAGAACTTTCTTGACAACCTCTTTTCCATCAGAGTCTTCATTATGCCCCAAAGATTATTCATGGGCCTGCTAACCATTGATTTCTATATTCAGGGGAGAAACACTTTAATTAACAGAACAATCAAAATGTGCTGGACTATTTTTCATGGCTCACATCTGCTGAAGAAATGCAAAGTGTTAATTTAGGAAGGTATCAATGTGTCTATTGTAGATAATACAATGCGCATTGCCTGGTACATTTTAAAGGAATTGGAGACAGGCACGGGGCATATGCAATTATGAGCTTTGTGAAATACAGATACGACATCCTGTGTTAATAAAAACCCTGGACACCACTGAGCATGAGCAAGTGATGGAAAAGGCGCTAATTATCACTGCAGGTTGGGGCAGTGAGCCTCAGCAGAGATGACACGGCCTTTCTGCAGGTGGGAAAGGGCTTGCTTTGGTTTTTGCTTTTCACAGAAACATCTTTACATATAGATGAGGTCATCTTTGATGTGTGCAGAGACCATCCTGAGGGCCTTTCCAGGCATCCTGGGCCACCACGCAGCCTCCTACCTCCAGTGAGACCCTCCCATCCATTCCTCACCTGAAGGCGCCTTCTTGCTGCGCCTCACATAGCGGGAGGAGACAGTGAGCTTTCTGGGGCCTCTTTTAAAAGGGCATTGATCCCATTCTCAAGATTCTCAAGGGCCCCACCCTCGCAAGAACCCAATCACTTCCCAGAGGCCTGAAGGCCCCACCTCCTAATGCCTTCACCCTGGGGGTTAGATTTCAACATGGAAATTCTGGGAGAACACAAGTATTCAGTCCATAGCAGAGGGCCCCACAGTGTCACCTGTGCCAGGCCCACAGCAGGTCCTCCAGAAACGTTCGTGGAATAAATGAATAATCAAGCGAATGGGGGAGCCCTTGAACAGAGCCAGCTCAAGTCTCTGACCAGTTCCTAGGGGCTCCACATGAGGCCGGCCTGTGAACACAATGACAAGCTAACATCTGTTTAGAGTAGAAGGGGGAGTAGCCTGGGCGGGTGTCCAGAGGCAGCACTGGCCAAGCCTGAGCTCCACCTGCAGGAAGGAGTGGACCCGCAGAGCTCTCCCACTGCTAACCCAGGCTGAGGGACAGCTTGAATCAACACAGCAGTGAGCCCGCGGCAGGCCCAGGAAGGCTGATGGCCAATGTTCCACTCTAAGAAATGTTTCCTCCTTCTCTTATGAGTAGATAAACAAGCATGACTGTCCTTCTGTGTGACTGGGCCACTGCGGTGGGAGGGGATCTAAATAAAGAGGAGTAGATTGTCCCAGAACATTAGCTGGAGGTGTTGCTAGGGTCAAAGCTCCACAAAGTACCTGAATGCAGGAAGAGGGGACAGAGCAGCAAAGCCCAACCCAGGGCCAGCTTTCCTGAGAGAAGAACAGGATCCAGGAAGAGTCCAAAGACGCCATACAGAAACAGGGCTATTGATATTAGTTAAATAATAACATGAGAGGGCCCATGGCCCTCAACAAGTAAGGGCTCCTGTAGGTGAGGCTTCCTGCAGGTGAGGGAGAAAGAGAATGGGAGAAAATATCTGCAAATCATTTATCTGATAAGGGACTTGTATCCAGATATATGAAGAACTCTTACAGACCAATAAGAAAAAGTTAAATAGCCCAATTTTTAAAATGGGCAAAGAATCTGAATGAACATTTTTCCAAAGAAGAGATACAAATGGCTAAGCACATTAAAAAAATTAACATCATTAGTCACTAGGGAAATGCAAATCAAAATCACAGTGAGATTCCATTTCACACCCATTTAGGATGGCAGTACTCAGAAAAATAAAATAACAAGTGTTGTGCAGGATGTGGAGAATTTGAACCCTCGTACATTGCCTGTAGGAATATAAAATGATACAGCCACCATGGAAAACAGTATGGCTGTTCCTCCAAAAGTTAAACATAGAATTACCATTTGATCCACCTATTCCCCTCCTATGTACATACATACCCAAAAGAATAAAAACAGATACTCAAACAAATACACATACACCCATGTTCATAGCAGCACTCTTTACAGTAGCCCAAAGGTAGAAACAGCCCAAATGTCCATCAATGGATGAACAGTGATATGATTTGGCTCTGTGTCCCCACCCAAATCTCATCTCAAATTGTAATCCCCAGGTGTCAAGGGACAGACCTGTTGGGAGGTGATTGGATCACAGCGGTGGCTTCCCCCATGCTGTTCTCATGAGACCTGATGGTTTTAAAAGTGGCAGTTTCCCCTGCGCTCTCTCTCTCTCCTGCCATCTTGTGAAGAAGGTGCTTGCTTCTCCTTCCCATGATTGTAAGTTTCCTGAGGCCTCCCGAGTCATGCAGAACTGAGTCAATTAAACCTCTTTCCTTTATAAATTACCTAGTCTCAAGTAGTATCTTTATAGCAGTGTGAAAACAGACTAATACAAATGGATAATCAGATTGTGATATATCCATACTATGGAATATTATTCAGCCATAAAAAGACATGAAATACTGATACATCCTGCAACATGGATGAACCTCCAAAACAATATACTAAGTGGATGAAATCAGATACAAGAGGTCACATATTGAATGAGTCCATTTGCATGACATGTCCCCGTTAGATAAATCCATACAGACTGAAAGTAGATTGGTGATTTCCAAAAGCAGGAGGGAGGGAGAAATGGGGAGTAATTTCTTAATGGGTGTGAGGTCATAATTTGAAGTGACAAAAATGTTTTAGAACTAGATAGAGGTGCTGGTTGCAGAGCATTGTGAACGGGTGTACCAAATGCCACTGAATTGTTGACTTTAAAATGATGTATTAGTCCATTTTCACACTGCTGATAGAGATACCTGAGACTGGGAAATTTACAAAAGAAACAGGTTTAATGGACTCACAGTTCCACATGGCTGGGGAGGCCTCACAATCATGGCAGAAGGCAAGGAGAAGCAAGTCACATCTTACATGAATGGCATCAGGCAAAGAGAGAGCTTGTGCAGGGAAAATCCCATTTTTTAAACCATCAGATCTCGTGAGACTTATTCATTATCAGGAGAACACCACAGGAAAGACCCGCCCCCATGATTCAATTACCTCCCACCAGGTTCCTCCCACGACACATGGCAATTGTGGGAGTTACAATTCAAGATGAGATTTGGGTGGGGACACAGAGCCAAACCATATCAAATGGTTAACTGTTTTATATTATGGGGATTTTACCACAATACATATGTTTTTAACTATCCAGTGTGTGCAGATTATATATGGAGGTAAGAACCACAAGAAATGAAACTGATTGTTCATAGCAAGCAGGGCCAGAGATTGGGATGGGTGGGAAGTGGGCGCTGCTTCTCATTGGAAGTCTCACTTAACTTAGTAGCATAAAATGGAATGTATCAATTTGATGAAAATAATTTCTTATAACATGCATGAAACTAGTTTTTTCCCTAACATGGCAGATTAGAGGCTTTTAGCTTGCCCTGGCTACTTGGAAATAGCAAAATAGTGCATAAAGACCAACTCTGAGTTTTAACTCAAGAAGGAAAATAGGAATCCACAAAACAGTGAAGGACACCCCAGATCCTAGGGAGGAGAAGGCAGGCAGAAAGCCCCGTGACAGTATCCATCCAGCCACTGAGAAAAGTGAGTGAAGCCCCAGGACCTGCGAGGGGCAGAACACCTCCCCTATCCCCTAGGGATCCAAGCAACCCACAAAGAGGGGAGCACTTTTTCTCTCCCAAGTCCTGGAGCTGACTCAGAGACAGGCTTGGAGACACTGAGAAAGAAAGACACCTAGAAAAGCTGCAGGCATTTTCCCAGACCTGGGACTGAGAGCAGGATGGCCTTTTTAATCCAGGCTCATACAGAGTCAGTCATTCTTTGGCAACCCAGCAGCATGGCCATGCATGCATTTTGGTCTCAGGCCAGAGACTGGAGTGCTTCCTCTGGAGCAAGTTAGGGGCCTACACAGCCAGAATTCATGGCAAGTGTGGAAAGTGCCCCAGCAGTAGGCACTGGAATTGTGATCTTCCCTGTCACAGGTCTGAGGTGGGAGGAGAGCTGCTGCAGCGTGGTTTCTCCTCGTCCCAGAGACTTGTGGCCAGCGCCTAGTTGGCAACCTATAACTGGTCTGTGCACGTCATTGCCGGGGTCCCAGCCTGCTCCTCTGGAATTGTGGTGCATCAGGACCCGCTCTTTTCCATCCCCAGGCATTCAGAGCACCTGCTCACCCAGATGAGAAGCCTGAGTTGCCCCACCCTTCCTGAGCAGAGATCCTGGTACAGGAGAGCCCTCTCTGCTTCATGCCCAGGCAGGCCGCCAGGCATCTGGAACCCACCCTCTCCTGGATTAGGAATTTAGGCAGCCACCTGAGGTTCCCATGCAGAGCTACTTGGGGCCAAAGAGGTTTTCTAGCTCCACGCCTAGGAACATCTCTGGGCACTGGTGGCTGCCCACTGGACTCCCACTCAGAGCTGGTGCTTGTGCCACAGCCAGCTCCTACCCATACAAGCCACCGAGCCACTCGTTGGCTTAGAGGCCAAATGGGGCAGCACAATAGAAAATCTGCTAACACCAACGCAGAGCAATGGGGAACTAGAGGAGCTCCTGAGACTGCTGCCTCCCTGCCCCCACAAGAGGCACAGGCCTGCCCACACGCCCAGCATATGCCACTACAACCAGCATCTGGGGAAGCCACCATACAGAGGCCACAGTAACCAAGGAACTCAGACAGGCTCTTTGCTAGTGAAAACACCCAGACCCAGAGAGCTAAGCCTTGGCCCCTAAGAGAGTGATGGACCCAGCACAGCCCGCCAAAGCCTCCCTTGAGTCAAAGGAAATGCAGGCATGACACTACCGTTGGCCTGAAACAGACTCAGAGAGGGGTCTTTCCTTGTTGCCCTCCCTCCTTAATGCACTGTTGTTGACTCAGCAGCAGCTCTTCCTGTCTGGGTTCAGGGAGGATGGGCTAAAAGAGACTGCTTCTGGGACTGCTCCAGCAGCTCCATCCTCACTGAACGTGCATTTCACCCTTCTCCATTGCCTCTGTCCCCACCCGTACCTGCCAACTCTTAATCTTAAGCTCCACCTACTGGACAACAGCCTGAACCTGTATGCAATCAAGGAACACGTACAGTGCGTTGGCACACTGAAAGCGCCCAGAGACAAAGCCAATGGTTCATACACAGTATACACCACAGTCATTCCTTTAAGAGAAAAAAGAGCTTAAAAATCAAGAAGCTTCATTCAAAGAATAGCAAATTCAACATAAAAGAAAGAAGCAGCAGCAGCAGCTCTCTCAGATAATAAGGAACCTACACAAGAACTCTAGCAATACAAAAAGCCAGAGTGTCTCATCACCTCCGAAGGATCAACACCAGCTACCAAGCAATGGATCCTAACTAGAATGAAATGTCTGAAATGACAGAGAATTCAGAATGTGGGTGGCAAAGAAACTCAATGAGCTCCAATAGAAAGCTGAAATCCAACACAAAGAAAACAGAACAAATTATCCAAGTTTTGAAAGACAGCATAACTACGTTAGAAAAGAACCAAACAGAACTTCTGGAAATGAAAATTTCACTATAGGAATTTCAAAACATAGTTGGAAGACTTAACAACAGACTAGACCAAGCAGAAGAAAGAATTTCAGAGCTCAAAGACTGGGGCTCTGAATCAACCCAGTCAGACAAAAATAAAGAAAAAAGAATGTTAAAAATGAACAAAACCTTCAAGAAACATGGGATTTTGTAAAGTCACCAAATAAATGACTTAAGAAAAGAAGGAGCAACTTGGAAAATAGATTTGAGGATAAAATTCAGGAAAATTTTCCCAAACTTGTGAGAGAGGTCAATATGCAGATACAAGAAATCCAGAGAACTCCTGGAGATATTGTACATGATGACCATTACCAAGGCGCATAGTCATCAAACTAGCCAAGGTCAATGCAAAAGAAAAAATCTTCAAGGCAGCTAGAGAAAAGTGTCATATTACCCATAAAGGGAAATCCATCACACTAACAGTTGACTCTCGCAGAAACCTCATAAGGCAGAAGAGATTGGGGGCCCATTTTTAGCGTTCTGAAAGAAAGAAAATGCCAGCCAAGAATTTCGTATCCTGCCTCACTAAGCTTCATAAACGAAGGTGAAATAAACTCTTTCCCAGAAAAACAATCAGTAAGGAAAATTGTCACCACCAGACTGGCCCAACAAGAGATGCTTAAGGGAGTTTTAAATATGGTAATAAAGGAACGAACGATACTTGCTACCATGAAAGCACACACAAGCACATAGCCCACAGACCCTATAAAGTAACTTGCTAACAACACTAGGACAGGAATGAAACCTCACATATTAATAGTAACCTTGGATGTAAATGGCCTAAATGCCCCACTTAAAAGACACAGAGTGGCAAATTGGTAATTAAAAACAAGACTCATCCTTCTGCTCTATGCAAGAGACCCATCTCACAAGTCACGACACCCATAGTCTCAAAGTAAAGGCATGGAGAAAGATCTATCATGTAAATGGAAAACAAAAAGAGCAGAAGTCACTATTCTTGTATCAGATAAAATAGGTTTTAAAGCAACAACAGTCAAAAAGGAAAAAGAAGGGCCCAAATAGCCAAAGAAATTTTACGCAGAAAAAATAAAGCCAGAGGCATCACATTATCCAACTTCAAACATACTACAAGGCTACAGTAACCCAAACAGCATGGTACTGATACAAAAACAAACACATAAACGAATGGAACAGAACAGAGACTCCTGAAATAGAGCCACATACCTATAACCAACTCATCTTTGACAGTCAACAAAAAAAAAAAAAAAAAAAATGGGGAAAGGACACACTATTTAATAAATGGTCCTGGGAAAACTGGCTAGCCTATCAACATATATAAAAATTAATGCAAGTAGATTAAATACTTAAATGTAACACCTCAAACTACAAAAATCCAGAAGAAAATCCAGAAAATACTCTTCTAGACATTGGCCTAGGCAAATAATTTATGATGAAGACCCCAAAATCAAAAATAGACAAATGAGACTTAACTGAAGAGCTTTTGCACAGAAAAAGAAAAAAAAAAGAAACAAACAAAAAAACACCTCTCAACAGAATAAACAGACAACCTACAGAATGGGATAAAATATTTGCAAATCATGTACTCGACAAAGGACTAATCTCCAGAATCTATAAGGAACTTAAATGAATCAACAAGAAAGAAACAACCCCATTAAAAAGTGGGCAAAGGACATGAACAGACACTTCTCAAAAGAAGACATACAAGCAGCCAACAAACATATGAGAAAATGTTCAACATTACTAATCACCAGAGAGATGCAAATCAAAACCACAATGAGATACCACCTCTTACCAGTCAGAATGGCTATTATTAAAAAGTCAAAAAATAATAACTGTTGGAGAGGTTGTAGAGAAAATTATATGTTTATATACTGTTGGTGGCAATGCAATTAGGCAGAAAGCAGTTTGGAAATTTCCAATGAACTGAAAATAGAATTGTCACTCAACCCAGCTATCTCATTACTGGATGTATTCGCAAAGGAAAGTAAATTGTTATACCAAAAAGACACTTGCACCCATATGTTCATCACAGCACTATTCACAATAGCAAAGATGTGGAATCAACTCAGATACCCATCAATGGTGGACTGGATAAAGAAAATGTGGTACATAATGCCATGGAATACACCATTGCCGTAGAAAAAGAACAAAGTCATGTCCTTTGCAGCAACATAGTTGCAGCTGGAGGTCATTACCCTAAGTGAACTAACACAGGAACAGAAACCAAATACCACATGTTCTCACTTATAAGTGGGAGTTAAATCTTGGGTTCACATGAACTTAAGATGGAAACAGTAGACACTGGGGACTCAAAAATGAAGGAAGGAGGAAGAGGGGGAAGGGGGCAAAGGCTTAAAACCTTCCTATTGGATATTATGCTCATTATCTGGGTAACAGGAACAATAGAAGCCCAAACCTTATTACCACACAACATACCCTTGTTACAAACCTACGTATGTACCCCTGAATCTAAAATTAAAATCTAAATTTAAAAAATAGTAAAACTAGCAGTAAAAATGGCAGGTGGAAAAATCTTCAGACATGCAAGAATTCAAACGATATAGTACCCACAAGTCCCAGTTTTTAAACTTTTATTGAAATTGTTTTAAAAGTTAATACTCAGAGTTTGTAAGATCATTTTCTCATTAGGATAGCTTAAAGAAATAAGTTATTTACCTTTAGAATTCCTAAAGTGTCCAGAGAATTTCCATCAAGTACAGTTGGGCTTAGTGAAATTAGAAAATAGCTTGATACCCACTGGAAAACATTGTGGGGAACTGAAGGAATCGTCTAAATATGTCACAGCAAAAAGATAGCAATGGAGAAACCACCTGGGGTCATTTGACCTGAGGAGGTGAGATTGTCTGCCTGTGTGAGGTGTTTTGAATACTTAATGTATTCTATATTAGCCTTGCCTGGGCAGGCATGGCCATGACCGCAGAGCAGGAATCATGCCTTCATTGCAGAAAATCCCTGGAGCGATTCAAGATGGGTTATGACTCCAGATTAAGATCCAATTAACTGAAACATTCCTGAGACAGCAGGAATAACCCTTGTACAGTATTTTCAATTTGAAATGCACTTTATAACTTAATGGGTCTGACAGATAGAAATCTAAATATTTCAGTTCCCCAGGACTGCCCCTCCATTAGGCAAGCATGAACACACTAACCCTCACACACACATAAGTCAAGAACTCACAGCACAAGTATTAAGATATAAACCTCTGCAGCCTCCTTTTAGATGCTTTTAGCAGAAAAACAACTTAGAGATGATAAATTTGCCATGAGGATGAGCTGGTTGTGACAGGGGCCCCTTCCCCATCCCAGAATTCATCATGACCAGTTCAGTGAGAGTCTCTGAGGCTGGCAAGGCCCAACAAAGAGTGGTTCCGGGTTAGGCGGGTAGCGTAGGGGCAGGGGGGAAGCTCCCTGAAGGATGTTATGATGCTATTTGATAATTCTCAAAGAAAACTTTGGCTGAGGGTTCATGCAAACCATAGCCAAAAGGAAGACAAGCTAGAACCTCAAAGGAAGCCGGACGGTGTGTCCAGCCCAGGAGCGAGGCGGCAAAGGAGCCGTTCAGGGAGCTCAGGAGTTCTGCAAAGGTGGGAGGTACCGAGATGGAGGCTGAGTGGTTCGGAAAGAGGGCCCTGGAGTATCCTGCCCACAGACAGTGCAATTTTTCTGCAAATCTTCCTTCCTCCTCTCCGCTTTCCCTCATCTCCCTCAACCAGCTTCCCTCCCAAGGCCAAACATTGAGGGACAACTCCCCTCCCCTGGAGAGGTTTAACCAGCTGTTCCCTCAGTATGCAAGCCTTCTGGGGAACTAGCTCTGCCCACTTTGCCAATAGAGTGGAGAGGAAGAGATTGTTTTCCAAGCCAGACATGGAATACATCCCATCAGCGTGTGTTGAAGATGATAAAGCTCTCCTCCTTCGGTCTCCTTTCCTGCGAGCCATCTTTACCTGCCACTGCATGCTCTGAAACAGAGATTCTCACACTCTATCCTCTACCGGACTCACCTGGAGAGCTGTGAAATGCAGAGGGCTGCGACATTCCCAGGTGGTGATGAAGTTGCCGGTGTGGGAACCACATTTTGAAAACTACCACCTAAATGTTCTTCCCCAAGCATTCCGCACATTCTCTAAGCCTCCAGGCATGTTTGATAGCTGTGTGACCTCAGAGACGTCCTTTAACCTCCCCATGCCTCAGTTTCCTTATGTGTGAAATGAGGAAAATAATACTTTCCACCATATAGGGTTGTTGTAGGGATTTAATGAGCTAACATACGTAAAGATTTAGGACAGTGGGCCAGGCACGTTGGCTCACGCCTCTAATCCTAGCACTCTGGGAGGCCGAGGCGGGCAGATCACGGGGCCAGGAGATCGAGACCATCCTGGCTAACACGGTGAAACCCTGTCTCTACTAAAAATATAAAAAATTAGCTGGGGGTGGCAGGCGCCTGTAGTCCCAGCTACTGGGGAGGCTGAGGCAGGAGAATGGTGTGAACCCGGGAGGCAGAGCTTGCAGTGAGCCAAGATCGTGCCACCGCACTCCAGCCTGGGCGATAGAGTGAGACTCCATCTCAAAAAAAAAAAAAAAAAAAGATTTATGACAGTGGCTGACATGTAGTAAGCATTGTATATGTGTTTGTGATTTTCACTGCCTCCGTCCAACAGGAAGCTCTGTTTCATTGCACAGGATTCTATTTCAGGAGTCCCCCTTATCCAAGGTTTTGCTTTCCAATGTTTTAGTTACCCATAGTCAACCACAATCTGGAAATAGATGAGCACAGCACAATAAGGTATTTTGAAATCAAGAAAGACCACAGTCACATAACTTTTTGCAGCATATTGTCTTATTTTATTATTAGTTATTGTTTTCATTTATTATACCTAATTTACTTTAATTAAGGTTTATCATAGGTATGTGTGCATAGAAAAAAACAGTGAATATAGGGTTCGGCACAATCAGTGGTTTCAGGCATCTTGGAACGTATCCCCCGTGGATAAGGGCCGACCGCTGTAATTGATGTATTCATCATGTCTGGTGGGAACCCTGCTAATTTTCTCACAAGAAAATGGATCAGCTGCAGTTGTGTCTGCCAATACCCCAGTTGGACGTTTCCAGTTAGATGCCAGCTGTACATTTCTCTTCACAGGTGAGTACATTCCTTGGCGCTTTAAGTGATCACGTGCCTTCCGAATGCCAGGTGCGGCGCCCGCTCTGCGCTGCTCGCTGCAACTGCTCCCACCCTTTCCCAGGGCGGGTGCTCCACTGCGCCATTCCCCTCAATCCAGGGATTTAACTTCAGCGAGGCTGGGAGCGCTCCGAGGCTGGCCTGTCCAGTCCAGGCAAATCTTGGGCAATTATTTTACTCTGTGTCATAGATTTGTATCTTTAAATAAACTGTAAGTTCTTTATAGACAGCACTTGTATCCCCTGTGCTGGCTAGAAACGTGTGGCCTGCTCAGTTCCTCACCTACAAAACGGGGATAAAGGCACCCCCTTCACAGGCCTCTGCAAACACAGGTGAGGCAATGGCTGTGAATAAGGGCCTGGCACACACTTGGTGCTCAGTACAAGTGCATCCTTTCAGCACCCACCATGTGGAATGTCTGTTGGCCTCTCCCCAGATGCCTGGGACAAAGGCGGGCTCTGCCATCTCTGACCTCGGCACTCAGCACAGTGCCTGGCACATTTGTGGCTCAGGAAGTGCATGCAGAGTTGTGGGGGGGGCTCTCAGTTATGCCCCTGGAGGACAGGGCACCCTCCCTGCTGCAAGAAGAGCTGGTCCTGATGAAGGGAGATCAATCATTCTCTCAATCGTCACGTCTGCATTGAGTATTGATTGCTACGGTGTAGCTGCTGCTCTCTTAGGCGATTGTAAATTGATCGTTTGATGATTTGTTCTGCCATCTTCTCTCTTTTCCTGTTAAGCTGAGAGATATCTAATGCTGGCCCCATCCTTGCCGAGGATGGATGTTCTATGGCTGATACTCCTTGGAGGCCTGCAGGGGACTTGAGGAGAACTGAAGGGGGCCAGGGAAGTCCATGCAAACGTTCAATTTTGCTCTAAGCTAAGAGAAGTTCTTTCTTCAAGTATTTGATCTGATCCTCTAAAAACAGTGGTTCTCAAAGTGTGGTCCCCAGGACTGGGAATCTATTGGAAGTTCAAATTCTCAGGACCCAGCCCAGATCTGCTGAATCTGAAACCTGGGGTGACGTCCACCAATTTGTGTTTCAGTGCCTTCTAGGTGATTCTGATGCATGCCCCAGTTTGAGAGTCACTTCTCTGGAGACACCAGGAAGAACTTAAGATGGAGACTGTAACCCTTTGTTGAAGATAAAGAAACTCAAAACCAATGCATATGATTTGTTCTGTCTAATGCGGGGAGGCAGAGAGAGAGGAGAGAGACAATTAAAATACACCAGTGCTTCCGCAGATGCTCTCATGAGTGTGCCAGGCTGAAACTCCCAAGGGTCCACTTGGTCTCAGGCACTCTAATTCCAGGTGCCTCAGGGGATCCCAAGTGAAGATGTCCAGATAGCAACTGGATATAGGATCTGAAGCTCCCATAAGAGATGGGGCTAAAGATGAGCAGATGACGATCTCCATCCCTGGGGGTCTCTGGAGCTGTGAGACCACATATGGAGGGAATGCATGCAGGGAGGGAATGCCGGCAGACGGGCACGGGGGAGGCATGAAGGAGAACTCGAGAAGTTCGGCTCTGAGGACATGACTCTCTTGTTTGCTTGGCTGGTTTTTGTCTGTGTAAGACCAGAGAGATGTAAGGGTAGGAAGGAAGAGGTGGGAGAGTTTGGAGATGCGGGAGTAAGGGGTTCATGGACAGGCGAGTTCCCTGAGCAGAAAGAAGGGGAGGAACCCAGAGCCCAGAAGGGCCGACAGCCTCAGAAAGAGAATGAGCACAGCCCTCCACTGTAACAAAAGGAGGGAAGAAGAAATGGCTGCAGATGCCAGGTGGCAGCCAGGCTTGCGGATGGAAACTGGAGAAACCCCAGAATGGCTTCCATGTTCCCAGAGAAGTGGGGTCACCCGCCGAGGGTGAGGGAGGAGCTTGGGGTGGGAGAACAGTGCAGACATCTTGAACTGTTGTTGCTGTCATTGCCCAACCGGGTTCTTCTCGCCCACTGCCCAAAAAAGACAATGCACTGAGACTAGCAGGAATTGCACCAAAGAATTTAATAATTGCAGGGTCAGCCGAATGAGGAGGTGGGGAGAGAATTCTCAAATCTGTCTCCCTGAGAATTCAGAGGCTAGGGTTTTTCCGATGCTTTGGTAGGCAGGGGCCTAGGGAATAGGGAATCCTGATTGGTTGGGCTGGGGATGAAACCACAGGAGTGTCAGCACTGTCTCTGTGCAGCCAAGTCGGTTCCTGGGAAAGGGATCACAGTCCAGGTGGTGTCTTTTGGTCTGCCAAAATGCTAAATCTGCAAAACATCTCAAAGACCCATTCCTTACATTTCACAATAGTGATGTTATCTATAGGAGTAGATGGGGAAGTTAACCAACCTTGCAATCTCCAATTACCTGATTCAGGGGCAGCAAACCAATGGCAGGTCATGGTTTCCCTCTGAGTCTTCTCCAGCAAAGCTCAGGCCCTACCATATCCTAACCTTGTCTTATAGATGCAGTTCAATCTCCAAACAAGGAGGGGTCAGTTTTCCTTGCCTCAAAGTTTAACTACAAACCAAATTCCTTTCATAGCTCTCTTGGCCTCCAAACTTGAATAAGCAAAAAAATCAACTTAGCCTGTGAGGCTAGAAGCAAGATGGAGTCTGTCATGTTAGATTTTTCTCATTACATGTAACTCTGCAAAGGTGGTTTCATTGCCGAGAGGGGAAGAGCACGTGAGCCAGCAAATCCAGCAACAGTGCTGGGGGCAGGGAGGGTGGCCTGACCAGCCACTGCGGGAGTCTTTCCACTCTTGCAGGCAGCCCTCTGCTTTCTCTCCCGAATGTGCCCAGAATAAGTGTCCCAGACATCTGTCTCCAACCTGTGGGGAGAAATTTCACAAAAAATGGCTCTGCCCTTAGTGGGTCCAGGCACCAGGCAAGCTTGGTTCAAATCTTGGCTCTGACTAGAATTTAAATGGTGGCCTGGGGGTGGCTGAGGGGCCACCCAGCACCTCATCTGCCATCTGCAAAGAGGGAGAGGGACGATTACACACCGATGCCATTAGACTCAGCCTTGATGTGCCCAGCACCTGTGCCACGCCGGCCAACAGCTGTGGGTCCACAGTAGATGGTGGCTGCAGCTGAAGCCACCTCGTGGGCTCTGCATCAGACACCTACAGATGTGTTCCTTGAACCACATGCTGGGAGAGGCCCCGGCTCAACCTCCTTTTTTTTGCCCAAATCCAAAGTCTCTTGACCGTGAGCCACAACAACGCTTGTCAGTATAGGCTGAAGTGGCCATTCCCTTTAAAAAGACATCTCTGGGTGTTCTAGGATTCCAGGGTCAGCTAAGCTGCTAAGCTGGTCTTCCTTAAAGAGGCTTCAACATACCGAGCCTGCCCAGGTCCCCAGAGATGGGAGTGTGGCAACAGTGGATATGGACAAACAGCTTGCTCCAGCTGGGGAGTGGAAAAGCACCCAGGCTCCACAGACCCCACTTTCCTCCCCACTCTTGCCCCAGGGTTTGCAGGAGGAAAGAAAGGAGCCACATCTCACACTCAGAGAACCAGGGAATAAAGATGCCATTCGATTGCTGAGGTCCCAAAGGAAGTGGCCTGCAAAACGTGACGCTGCCTCAGGCAGAGCAGCTTCTGGCCCAGAGACCTGCATTACAGAGCTTGGAACCGGTTTCCAGGCTGAACGCTGATCAAGCTGCACTTCTGAAACTAGGCACATTAACACTCTCATTAGGGCCCAGGCTCGCTACAATACAGGCCTATTTAAATGTAAATTTTGACATTCAGCCCAGGACTAGAAAAGAAATAGTTTCCACACCTCAGCAATGGAAAGGAGAATGAGGATTATGAAGGAGGACTTTTTAATCATGTTTACTTTCAGGCCATCGTGGTTCTAGGTCTTTTTTCCTTCATGGAGAATACTGGATTTTTAATTACCCGAAGCTCAGAGACAGCATCCCAGCCTCTCAGATTCCCCCTCGTGGCCACAGATAGTCTGATTAAGTGTAATTTTGTTAAAAGTGTAGCTCCAAGCACAGTTAATTGACAGGGGTCCTGGAGAAGCTGAAGCTAATCCAGGAATGAAAACATGTAACTCTGCTGAAAACGAAAGGAGCCCTGCTCGTCTCATAAATCACACCGGAGGGAGAGTGCCGCTCTTGGTGGCTCCCTCCCCTGGGCTCCAATCCCAAGCCTTCCAAGTAGCCCAGCGACTTTCCAGCAACATTAGCCTATCTGAGCCTCAGTTTGCTCATCTGCAAGGTCGGGCGAGGACCCCCAGCAGAGTGCTGTGAGTGTTCAGTGTGCGTCCAGGAGGGTGGGCACCCATGCCCCACACCCTCACAGCCCCTGCCTCACCCAGCACCCACAGCAGCCCAGCTGCCTGCAGGAGCCAGGACCGAGCGCTCACTTTTCTTATTATTGGTGGTTCTGCAACCCGAGGATGGCAACCAACTTCTGCAATCCCAGCATGCTTGTCTGTAGACAGCAGAGCCCCACCTTCCTGGAGGCTGGGTGAGGAAACAAATGGTATCACGCGGGTGGAGGAAGCACAGCCCCACCGTCCTGGAGGCTGGGTGAGGAAGCGAATATGGTATCACCCGGGTGGAGGAAGCCTCTCCCTGGGTTCCCTGCAAGGATGGCTCATCCCCTGTAAGGACACCAGGTGCCTAGGGGCATCCTGTGGAGTGGGAAGCAGCAGAACCAGGCTTCCCCCAATTCCACACATCCCCCACACACCCCATCAGCAGCGCACAGTCACCATGGGCGAATTGAAGACAGGGCCCCCCGGGGGTCCATGGCATCTGTGGGCAAGTCCATCCTGGGATCTCAGCTGAGACCCAACCCAGCACCTGTTAACCCCTGGGTGCCCTCTATGCCCTCAGCACTCCATGTCCCATGGGTGTGCACACACACACACACACACACACACACAACACACACCACATATACACCACACACATGCATACACCACACACACACCACACCCATACCACACACAAGCACATGCCACACATATACACACATACACACACACCACACATATACCATACACATGCATGCACCACACACATACCACTCACATGAGCACACCACACATGCACCACACACACATGTACTGCACACGTACACACACCACACATATACCATATACATGAACACACCACACACATAAACATCACACAGTGCACACATACATGCATACACCACACACACCACACATATACCACACACATGAACATACCACACATACCACACATATACCATTCACAAGAACACACCACACACAGCACAGAGTATTCACGTGAACACACCACACAAAGCACACATACACTACTCACATGAACACATCACAGGCACACCACACACACACACACACATATACCACATAGCACATATATACCACACATGCACACCACACACATACACACCACACACACACACCATACACATACCACACACATGCACACATCTCATACCACATGCATACCACACGTCACACACACATATACACACCACACACACCACACATAGGCATACACACACACACACTACACACATACACCCACACATACACACACCACCCACCACACCCAACCATGGTAACGCAAACTCTCGCTCGGCCCCCAGGGCTCCTACTGGGCTTTCAAGGAGGTCCCCATGTGTGAAGCTCCGGTCCCCTCTCCAGCCCTCAGAGCACTAGCGTCTCAGGTACTTCACTCATATGTGACCTCCTTGCCAGGGTCCATGCTATCCCTCAGTCTCTCACGGACACTGGTCACCATACGCCAGCCGGGGCCAAGCACTGGCGTTAAACAGCAGTGGTAGGCCGAGGCGGGCGGATCACGAGGTCAGGAGATCGAGACCATCCCGGCTAAAATGGTGAAACCCCATCTCTACTAAAAATACAAAAAATTAGCTGGGCGTAGTGGCGGGCGCCTGTAGTCCCAGCTACTTGGGAGGCTGAGGCAGGAGAATGGCGTGAACCCGGGAGGCGGAGCTTGCAGTGAGCCGAGATCCCGCCACTGCACTCCAGCCTGGGTGACAGAGCGAGACTCCGTCTCAAAAAAAAAAAAAAAAAACAGCAGTGGTTCCCCGGGGGTCCTTGAACATGTTCAGAAGCCCAGATGTTCAGGAGACCAGCCCCAACCCACCCTCATCATCACTGATGCCAGCAAAGGCAGCCTGTTGTCCTGAGGCAGCTCCTGAAGGGTCACCACCTGCCTCCGCCAGGCTGCCCCCGCCCGCCATCAGCCCCTCCACTGGGTGACCAGGTGAGCAAGACCAGGCCTGGCTCCGCAGGACCTCACCATCCAGGAGAAGCTCTGGAGCACATCCCAGCACAGCAGGGCTCAGGGCTGAGGCATGACCCTCTCCGTTCCTAACACCAGACAGGGCGTGCAAGACTCAGGGAATGATGGGGCCACAGCAGGGCAGGGACTGAGACTCAGGGACCTGCGTTCCAGGAAGCAGAGCCTGAGCTTTAGCAGGACAGTTTTGATCTAGGGAGTTGTGACTAGTCAGCTGGAACCTTAGAAAAGACTCGCGGCCGGGCGCGGTGGCTCACGCCTGTAATCCCAGCACTTTGGGAGGCCGAGGCGGGTGGATCATGAGGTCAGGAGATCGAGACCATCCTGGCTAACAAGGTGAAACCCCATCTCTACTAAAAAAAATACAAAAAATTAGCCGGGCGCGGTGGCGGGCGCCTGTAGTCCCAGCTACTCGGGAGGCTGAGGCAGGAGAATGGCGTGAACCCGGGAAGCGGAGCTTGCAGTGAGCCGAGATTGCGCCACTGCAGTCCGCAGTCCGGCCTGGGCGACAGAGCGAGACTCCGTCTCAAAAAAAAAGAAAAGAAAAGAAAAGAAAAGAAAAGAAAAGACTCACTCATCATAGATGTGGAACTGCAGGAGCCCAGGGGCAAGGGGACCCACAGTGCAGCAGCTGCTGCAGGCACCTGGGTCCAGGAAGATGGTGCCCAAATGCAGGCAGTGGCCCACAACACGAAGGGAGTATCTGAGGACCTCTGAGGGATAGGGGCTGATCATCGGCAACGGGGACCGAGTGGCAGCAGATTCTATGTCACCTGGGTAGGAGATGTTCACTAGGCCTGGAGAACCTGGGAAGGAAGAAGCCGGGCTGATCAGGCTGCACAGCTGTGGCCAAGCAGCAGGGCCCTGTGGAGCACAGAACACCCCTCAGGACTGTCCCCACTTGTCCGAGATGGCCAGCCGTGCACCCTCTTGTCACAGCCCCGGTGGGACCAGGCGCTGATGGCTGGGTGCCATCTGTTCTGGGAGGGCACCTCCGGGCCCAGCACTGACACTCACCTGTAGGGGAGATGGGGCCATGCAGTGATATCTCTGGCTCCATCACTGGGCACCTGTGGAGCTAGGTGGAATCACAAGGCAGAAGGAGGGGCCCACCACAGCCAGTCGGAAATGCTGTTATACATTCCTGTTTCCTGACTGAGCACTTCTAGTGGGCAGGACTAAGCTCACAGCAATATGGGTCCCTGGAGCCTAGCACAGTGCTAGCACACAGTAGCTGCTTAATAAATGTTTGATGCAAAACTGCACCTGCACCAGGAAAGCCGTGCAGGCACTATGGAGCAGGGTTGCAGGGCTGGTCTCAGACACCCCAGCACTGCCATCACCAGGCCCTGCTGCCCAGCTCCTGCCCACTGCTGGCAGCTTGCTGAGAGCAGGAGCTAGGCTTACTGCAGCCAAGTCCCAAGCACAGTGTACAGTGCAGAGTAGGTGCTTAGCATGCTTTCTGGAACAGCTAAATGATGAAAGAGAAGTGCCATTGACAACACATAAGGTGCTTCTCCAGAGCATGACCTGGGAAAGTTGTTGAACCCCTTGGGCTCTGTGGCTTTTAATGTGTAGAATGTTCTAGAACATGTCAGAGGTCAGATAAGAGGCACCTTGGGAAATCCACTAATTCCAGGTCCTCTTAGTCTGCTGCTACCTGAACAAGGTAAGGCCGTGTATATTCATTTAACAGACAGCATTTGCTGTGGGCCTTCCGTGGGCCTCACACACAGTGTGGTGGCAGAAGATAGCATGGCCAGGACAGGCTTGTCACACCAGGGTGACAATGCTCCCAATCCCAGTGGCTTTACTGCACAAAGTCTAATCTCCCTCAGGGCTTCAGGTGGAGGAGGCACCACTGGCTGGAGCTGAATCAACCAGAACGCACAGTTCCCTGGAGGGTGGGCACTGGCTCCTGGAGGCTTTTGCTCAGAGGTGATACACAGCACTTATTCTCACAGCTCATTAGCCAGAACAAGTCACCTGTCCCAGCCTGACCCCCAAAAAGACTAGGAAGTGTGGGGAGCAGACAGAATATCTGATGAGCATCCCCTCCTCTGCCAGAGAGGGATTAAAAAAAAAAAATGCCAAGAGGCTCAGAGAAGTCAAGCCTGTGGCCCAGGGTCTCACAGCAAGGAGGTGTCAAAACCAGGCTGTCTGGCCCAAAGCCTCTCCATGTAACAAGTGCACTTTACCGGCCCTCTTACTGCCCTGACTGATGTGAACAGTTTAGGCCGTAAGTTGCCGTCCTCCTGACGCCCACCTAACACCATCCCACAGGGAGCAGAGGCGTGGGGGAAAGAGAAGGGGAAATGTTACCTGGGACCAGGAAGAGCTCAGCAGCATGACACACTAGTGCCTGCCTGTGTGAACCCAGCGAGCATCCCCATGGAAGGACAGCAGCAGCTGACAGTGCTCCTCTGAAGGTCACCAAGCCCCCAAGCCCTTGCAGGTTACGTGGCTCAGTGCTCAGCCCACTAGGGAGCAGCCAGGCTGGGTGGGCCCGCATTGGGCTGTGGCAGGATGGACTGTGCCCAGCAGAGCCCTGACCACAGGTTTGCATGAACCACGTGGCCTGGGCAATGGGGAGAGTGTCCCATGAGATGAAGCATTTGTGGAATTTGTCTGCCACAGAACAGTAGAATCATGACTTAGATGAGCAACGCACACTCCATGCCACCCTCTGGATGCCAAATGGCGCCCTGAGAGCCTGGAACCTCAGGGCTTCTCCAACGCACCCTCCAGGCATGGAAAGTGCCCCTGTGTGCTTGACCTCAGCACCTCCGTGCCCACCACAGGGCCTGGCATGACCAGCACTGGGCACCATCTGGGTGGAAGGAGATGGAGTGAGGGGTGGGTGGGCACATGGGGCTGCCCAGAGAGCACCCTCAGACCTCCTCTAAGTGTGTGCTTCCACAGGTGGAGTGGGTTCGGCCAAGGTGTCAGGGCTCCCTGGACGGGGCTCTGTAGAGATGACAGCCTTTTCCTTGACGACATGTTTTGCATTTCTGTCCCCTCCCCCTGGAGTCCCCAAACACCCTGCTTATTTCAGAAAGAAGGACATCTAGCAGGTGTTGCCAGGAAAATAAAATGGTCTAGAGCAAGAATTCTGAAGGAAGCAAGCTCTACTTTGCATATTTGTAGTAAAGGGAGCTGCTGCCTATGAAATTATATGGCCTCCTCCCTTTATAGTCCAATGCCACAGTGAGCTGTGAAATACTGGAAATTTCAAGATTTAATTAAAACCCAGTTCACTGCACTGAAGTTCGCTTACAAAATATAGCAAAGATTAATGGGAGATATCAAACCAAACTGTTTGTGCAAGACCTGTTGAGTCATAATTTATGGGAACAAGAGGAAAAAGCAAGATCATTACCTTAAAATAAATTTACTGCTTCTCCGACTAAGTAAAATGGAAATAATAAAAATCCCCGGGTCAGCGCAACTGCACCAGAATGAAATGGCAGGCCGGCCAGGCAGGTGACTGTCAATCCATAGACATTACCAGGGCCACAGGAGGCTTTGCTGTCATGCTGGGAGGGCACAGGGCAAGAGGGAACTCTGCCTCTATTCATTTAATCCTCGCAAGGACTACCATGGCAACAGTCCCTGCTTTTCAGATGAGCAAACTGAGGCCGAGAGGGATCAGGTGACTTGCCCAAGGCCATACCACCAGTGGGTGGCAGAGCTGGGACCAAGACCAGGCCGTCTGGCTCAGCCAGTGCTCCTGCACCACAACATGGAGCTAGCCGCCTTCACGTCCATCCTTGGAAGGACCTGACCATCTAGGTGAGGGGGGGACATTGGCTGGACGAGCACAGCACCGGCCCGCAAAGGTTCTGGGGCTAGGGGATAGTTGAGCAGTGCCCCGATAAATGTCCCCGTCCTGATCCCTGCAACTCATGTCATCCTATATGATGGCTAAGCTATTGTGCCCAGTTGCCTGGTCACACACAAATCTAGATCTTTCTTCAGAGGTGCTTCTTAGATAAGACTAATGTTTAAATCAGTAGACTTTGAGCGAAGCAGACCACCCTCCATAGTGTAGGTGGGCCTCATCCAACCAGTTGAAGGCTTTCAGAGCAAAGACTAAGAGTCAACTCCCGCCTCCTGAGGAAAGCAGAACTCTGCCAGCAGATGGCCTTCCCACTCCAGCTGGGATGCTTCTCTGGGTCTCCAGCCGCCCACCCTCCTTGCATGGTTTCAGACTTGCCAGCCTCCATAATGGACACCATGGCTGACCCACTCCACCCTGTGGAAGCACACACTTCGAGGAGGTCTGAGGGTGCTCTCTGGGCAGCCCCATGTGCCCACCCACTCACCATTCCATCTCTTTCCACCCAGATGGTGCCCAGTGCTGGTCATGCCAGGCCCTGTGGTGGGCACCAAGGTGCTGAGGTCAAGCACACGGGGGCACTTTCAGTGCCCGAAGTGTGCATCAGAGAAGCCCTGAGGTTCCAGTTCCTTAAGAGGAACCCCTCTCTCCTGATCCCCCCCTCCCTGCCTCTCCCTCTCTCTGTGTGTCCATCTGTATGAACATATGTATTCTATTCTATTTCCCTGGACCAATACACCCTGACCCATACACCCTACAGGGCAGTAAGGCTCTTTGGGGACAGGGGCATCACCCTGGGCTTTCCTGGTGGGTGTAGTGCAATCCCAAGCCCCTTAGGGAGGGAGGCGAAGACTCAAGGGACACAGGGCCACAGCCAAGGGACTACAGCAGTTACCAGAAGCCAGAACTAGCAAGAAGGACTTCTCCCCAGAGCTCCGGAGGGCAGCGGTCCTGCCGACACCTTGATTTGGGTCTAGTGATGACTGATTTCAGACCTCAACGTCCAGAGCTTTGAGAGAATAAATCTCTGTTGTTTGAAGCCACTGGTGTGTGGCGGTTTGTTGCAGCAGCCCCAGGAAACGATGTCAGTGGCCGTGTTCCCAGGAGGGCAGGCGTGCTCTGGGCTTTTCTCCTCGGGGGTGGGCTGTGTGCTTGCTATCGAGAAAAAGTGAGGGCAGCCTGCTTGGGGTGCCCCCCTTCACCCACCCCAGAGTTCTACAAGTCTCTCCCCTGATGCCCCACTGCCTCCTTTCCTTCTGGGACAGAGCTGGCCATCACCTCCTCCTCCCGACACTGCCATGCAGCTTCCCAGCCTGACACAGTGCCGCCAATCCCAAAACAAGCACGGGTTAACCTATGTGGCTGGGAGTGTTTGCAGGAAGATCTGGAGAGCCACGGAGCCCGGCAGCGGGGCATGATTTCTTCCTGAGTCAGACTGGAGGGGAGGATGGCGCCTCTTCAATCACTCACTCTAACAACCCAGAGAAACCCTGCAGCTCCAAAGCAGGACCCAGTGACACCCCACCCAGTCCGCACTGAGCCACCCTGGGTCCTGGGCCCAGCCCTGGTGTGTGGACAGCTGCCCAGGATGCCTCACCAGCCCCACTCAGCCCACCTGCCTGTGCAGCCTCCAGGAGCAGGACGTGCAGGCAGCAGCTTAAACTGAGAGTCCCGGGGAGTAGGGGGAAGTGAGGACATTAAGGGGCCTGACCTCAGAGGCATCATCTGAATGGCCACACTGCCTGCCCCCCATGCACTCTGAACTCACATGGGCTTCAGGGAACCCCGTGACTTGGGGTGACAGCAAGTCATTCACCACAGCTGGATGGTGTGTGAGAGCGAGGCAGTGTGAGTCCGTGAGGGGCTCCATGTGCTGCTCTCATCCTGAGAGCGACAAGAAGCCACTGAAAAGCATTCAGCGGAGGAGCGTGTGTCCCAGTGAGATGGCAGCCTCCCGGGAGAGAGCTCACCCCATGCTGTGGCCACAGTGAAGTAACGCTCGTCACCAAGAGCAGCTGCGTGCTGTGTGCACTATGACACACTCCCAGGCATCACCACTCCTCGCACTGGGGACTGTCGCCCCATCCACACTGTCCTCAGCGGCATGCATGAGAATGTCTGCCACACAATTGCTCCCAGATGCCCACCAGTGGGGAAATGGATAGAAATGATGTGGGTGACAGGATGAGATGAAGCAACGAGGATGAGGTCACCTTTGAGGGAAGGACGGAGTGGTGATCAGGAAAATAGGAGACACGAAAACACTCTTGGAGAAGAAAATATGATGAAACTTTGTTTAAAAGTGCCAGAAAGATTTAAAAATAAAGCTAAGGGGATCTACAGGAAAGGAGAGCTGATGCAAGGAAGCACAAGAAAACCACCCTCCCCTCTGGAGCACACAGCATTCAAGGAGCCACCTTGGAGCAGAGAGTAGCCCTCACCAGACATTGAACCTACCAGTGCTGTGATGCTGGACTTCCCAGCCTCCAGAACTGTGGGGAATATATTTCTGTTGTTTATAAATTCAAAACAAGAAAAGAAAATGGAAGGATGGATCCAGGATGTCTAACACAGGATTTGGAAGGCAAGAGGAGAGGGCTGCAGGGCAGGAGCTCCCAGCCTCTCCCCAGGCAGCCCAGCTTCCCCCTTACAATGAGAAGCGAGCAGGGACGCCACCTAAACCCTGTGTCGTAGCACTTCCATCTCCCAGAGAGATGGGCCACACGCAAGAGGTCCCTGCCCAGAAACGTAAGGAAAGTAGTTCCGTGGCCTGGATTGGTAAAGCCACCATGTGTGAGCACCGGTCCACCTTGGCCAGGGGTAGAGGGCCTGTGAGAGCATCGACACTTGCTCTTTCATCCACCAGCCACACACTGAGAGCTCGGTGCCGGGCCGCCTCTGTGCTGCAGACTGGGATGCACTGGCATCCAACCTGCAAACACTGACAGTCTAGTGGGTGTCCTGTGGCCACAGCTGCCCGCATGTGAGCATCCCGTGCCATAGGAAAGGTTTATTCTTCAGCCTCGTTGGAACTAGAAAATACCACAGGACGTCACTGGGAATTGAACAATGACGTGAAATCTTGAGCTCTTGAATTTCTCGCTTTGCAATCACTTTTGCACAACCAATTCCCTGTGGTTGTTGTCTTCTGGGGAAAAGGAGACCTAACTACTTCGTAAGCTTCTGTTTGGTTTTTACATTTAATTAACTACATGCTTCAGAGCACCTGCACCATGAATGAACGTCTCACTGGGGAGGCAGCAGAAATGGAAGGAGAAACGTGCACAAAATGGAAGGCAGAGAAAACGCTTGAGGGAAACGTGTTATTTTCATGAGGCTGAAACACCTCAGCGTGTGTGTGGTGGGGAACTGTGCTCCTCACCCCTGGAGTTGCTTCCCTGTGGAGGGACCCTGCTGGTGTTGACCCCTGGCCGGCCCCTTCAGTCACTTGTCCCATGGGGAGAGGAGAGGCCATCCTACTGTGTGGCTAGGAGAGGAAAAGTGCTCTGGCCTGCCCTCTGGGCACTCCGCCAGACTGCAGTCACCCACGGGTAGCCAGCATCTGAGGAAGCCGGTGCACGTCCAGCACAGGCTACTCACTGAGTCCCCTGAAGCTGAGATTTAGCATTAGAAAACTCAATTTTTACCAGAAATAGAGTCCAAATGTTGACATTCACAATCCCTCTACTTGCCTTTCCCTGAGCTGATTCAGAACTTGGGATGTGGAGAAGGGAGATGAGTACTGGGCTTCCTCATACCCCCAAAATTTGGCTAACAGGGAAAACCCTCAATTTCTCCAGAGTGTGTCTTGGGGGTCTTAGCTCCATCCCGGTATTAGCTCTACCCCTTCCACAGCCACAGGCTCCCCACGCCCTCTGCTCCACCATCCTGGAGCAAGTCTCCCGCAGGCACCACTGCTTCACGCCCCACCCAAATGCTCTCCTCTGCAGAAGCAAACAGTGCCCTCCATGAGGAGGCTCCCACCACAGCCTGGAGCTCAATAACTGTGTCCAACCACAAAGGGGCCAGCCCCTGGCTGCATCCGCCTCCCAAGTCCTGATCAGGACTTCTCACGGCATCTGGAGAAGGACCCATTTCATTCACTCCGCTACGTTGCAGACGGATACTTTAGCTAAATATAATAAAAATAAAACACTAGAAAAATAAAATGAAAAACAAAGATACATAAAATACAAGCCAAAAATCTTCATTAGGTCTAACAGATGTAAAATTACTCCAAAGAATTACTACAACATTTTCTAGATGGTGTGTGACCTCTGTTCTGTCTTTATCTCCTTGTAAACAGCCCATGCTGAGGACTAATCCCATCAGAAGCCCATACTGTGAGTGGAGGTGGCCTGAGATGGCACTGTCTGCCAGGGAGGAAGGAGCACACAGCCCCGTCAGCCTCTGCAGGTGAGCTTGGCCTGCATCCGAGCTCAAAACACACCAGGCAATCTGACCAAACACCCTGCATTCATTCCAAAAACAAATTGCTTTTCTGGAGCCATGAAATTAGCTTCTGGAGTAAAATATTAAATTCCACTGGCAAAACAGAATGATTTATGCTCTTTACAAAAGAAAAACAACAGTACAGCTTTCGACTTCTCAAAATGATTTAAATCTCAACTTAGTTTCAACCCAGAGGGAAAATACAAAATAAATAGTAACCACAAGAAGAACTGCTGAAGTCTTTCCCCTCCTTCCTCAGGGGGCCGGGTGGGGAGAAGATTGCAGCATGTTGCGACCCTTGTGTGTTCTTCAAAGTCCAAAGCCAGACTCCCTGGGGGACACTTCAGGAACCTCAGAAGCCCTATCTGCTGCTGTCTGTCCATCGCCCTCCCCACACCTGTGCATCACGTCTGCCTCTGATGGGATTGGTCTCCAGGGCAGGAGCTGAGTGAGGGCCATGAGCAGTTGTGCCTTGTGGCCTTGGTCCCTTTTCTACCTGGAAGGCACTGCCTGGGAGCAGCCGCAGGGCAGATGTGGAAGCGCCACCACCCCGGTCAGGGCCTGAGATTTTCAGTCTTGGCGACACCAACAGTGGACCGGGCACACCCTCTCCAGGTCCCTCTGGCTTCAAAGACAAGCGGCATCATTCCACTCCCAAGTCAAGCAGCCATTTAGAAAGCAGCTACTGAGAGGCTGAGAGCTGAGCAAAGCCTCTGGCTACCTCTCAGGATTGAGGGGGAAAAGGCAGAGTTCAGGGCCTGGGGAACACTACAGGTTCCCCAAAGGGGCACAGTGGATGAGAAAAAGGCTCACCTCACAAACAGTGGCACAGCTTCAAGTCCATTCAGACTTAGTGGTCTTCCTCCTACTCTAAAAGCCTGCCAAAAACAAACATACACCCTCCCTGGAGGAATGTAACCTCCAAGACTTCAAATCATGCCTGTGATCTTATGATACACATGCTGGCCTTCAATAGGAAAAAAAAAAAAAAAACCCTGTGCTAAAAGACAAGAAGTGACTGAAATTAAAAGGAAAAAGACATTAGAAACAGACCACTGGAGACCTAAATATTAGCATTATCAGAAATGGATATAAAAATAGCTGTGATTAATATGTTCAGTAAATATAATGATATGGAATTTTAGCAAGAATAAATCAAACAAAATTTCTAATTTAAATTTTCTTCCATGAAAAATGAAAACATTTGTCCACAGAACAGCTTATACAGGAATGTTTACAGCATAATTACCCATAATAGTCCAAAAGTAGAAAGAACCCCAGTGCGAATCAATGGGTGAGTGGATAAATGAAATGCAGTATATCCAAGCACTGGAATATTATGTAGCAATGAAAAGGAACAAAGTACTGATACATGCTATGACATGGATGAACCTTGACAACATTATGCTTAGTGGAAAAACATTGGGCCGGGCACAGTGGCTCATGCCTGTAATCCCAGCACTCTGGGAGGCTGAGACGGGCTGATCACGAGGTCAGGAGATTGAGACCATCCTGGCTAACACAGTGAAACCCCGTCTCTACTAAAAATACAAAAAATTAGCCAGGCATGGTGATGGGTGCCTGTAGTCCCAGCTACTCAGGAGGCTGAGGCAGGAGAATGGCAGGAACCTGGGAGGCAGAGCTTGCAGTGAGCCGAGATCTCGCCACCGCACTCCAGGCTGGGCAACTGAGCGAGACTCCATCTCCAAAAAAAGAAAAAAACATTGACATTGTGCTTAGTGAAAAACATTATGACAACCTTATCCTTAGTGACAACATTATGCTTAGTGGAAAAAATCCAGAAAGCTATATGTAGACACAACCAGAAATCTATATGTACAGATTTCACAGATTAAAAGAGTAAAGTCATATGAGCATCAACAGATGCAGAAAATGCATTTGATAAAACCCAACATCCATTCAGGAAAAACAATGTTAGAAAACTAAGAATAAGAGGTAACTTTCTTAATTGAATAAAGAGTATCTACATTTCCTATAGCAAATATTATACCTACACAGTGGAATACTGAAAACCTAACCCTGAAATCAGGACCAAGAAAAGATGCCCGCTAATTACCCTAATTACCACTTCTACTTAACATTTTATTACAGGTACTACCCAATGCCCAAAGCAAGCAAAAAATAGCAAAAGGTTTAAAAACTGGAAAGGAAGAAATAAAACTGTTAATTCATATTTCTATATACCAGCAACAAAAAAATTAGAAAATGGTATTTTTAAAAGGCTGTCCACTTACACTAGCAGCCAAGAAATATCAAATGCCTAAGACTAAATCTAGCAAAGAGTGAGCAAGTCCTCTACACACAAACCACAAAACATTATAGATGGAAACCTTAAAAAGATGCAAATAAATAGTCAATAATTCCCACAGATGGAAGTCTCCATAATGTAAACACGTCAGTTCTTCCCAAATTAATCAACATATTCAGTGCCCTCCAGTCAAGACCTCAGTCTGCTTCTCCCCAACCCTGTCAGTCTTGGCTGTGAGCTGAGCACAGGGCCACTAGGGCCGCCAGCTCCATGCCTGGGGAGCCCAGGGACTGGTTTACAAGTTCTCAGGTGTTACTTCCAATCACCAGACATTCCTGGCATCATCTTCAATGCGGTATCTTGTGCATTTCCTGGTCAGTCCCTTATATACTTACCTTCTCCATCATGCCCTGAGGACACTGCCTGCAGCCACCTGCCCCATTCCAGTGGGCACACGCAGTGTCCAGGCCCCACTCTCCCCTAAAGCAGCAGAGTCTGGAATCAAAATGGCCCAAGTTCTTGTCCCGGCTCTGTGAGCTGCTCAAGCCATGCCCCTCCTGATCTTGACCTTGCAAGGTTGTGATGAGAATTCAGTAAGATATTATGCAAGGAGCACCTGGCCAGTTACCTGACACATAGTAGATGTTTCAGAGAGGAGAGATGAGAGATGGTAGGAAAACCCGCTTTGCTGTGGGAGCTCTCACAACTTCCTTCTGGGCTGTGAGATCTGAGGTTCTGGGTTTAAGTCACACTAACCAAGATTTTCCTCTCCCTCCTGAAATATTCTCAGCCCCCCTGTGCTTGTCTGTCCAGGCTTCCCCATAACACAAGTATTCTAAACATACTACTCTACTCCAGCCCAATGTAGAGTAAAATGAAGTCTTCAGAGTACAAATCGGTGGCAGGTCCCACCCAATTAAGACTGATTTCATGTGAGGATCTTGAGAGCCTAATAATAGCCACATGATGTTGCAATAGCTTTGGAATCCTTCCTTATTCCGGACCTCAACATCTGCTTTGGAAACATGCTTCTTAGGTACAGTTTAGGTTTGCTAGTTTATTTATCTCTTACTGAGCATCTGCTACTCATTTTACATGCCTTGTCTCCAGACCTCAAAAAAACTTTACAAAATTAGGCATTAATATTCCCATTTTACATATGAGAAAAATGACATTCAAAGAGGGCTGGTGTCTTCCCCAGGACCACACAGGGAACAACTGCTGCAGCTGAATTTACACACAGTTTAATCCCACGTCATACTGCCTCCCACCACCAATAGCTTCAGGGGTGTGGTACAGTAAACCTTAGACTGAGAACTTTTCCAGTTCTACCCAACAAATCTTAAAATTCCAAAGGGTCAAACTTTTCCAAGTCATTTAACCACATCCCACAACAAAGTTCAAAAAGGAGGAGTTCAAACCATCTAGCACCCAACAAGGTAAAATTCACAATGTCTGATATCCAATCAAAAATTACAAGGCAGGCTGAGCGCAGTGGATCATGTCTGTAATCCCAGCACTTTGGGAGGCCAAGATGGGTCAATCAGCTGAGGTCAGGTGTTAGAGACCAGCCTGGCCAACATGCCAAAACCCTGTCTCTACTAAAAATACAAAAATTAGCTGGGTATGGTAGCATGTGCCTGTAATCACAGCTACTCAGGAGGCTAAGGCACAAGAATCACTTGAACCTGGGAGGTGGAGGTTACAGTGAGCCAAGATCACACCACTGCACTTTAGCTTGGGTGACAGAGCAAGACTCTGTCTCAAAAAAAAAAAAAATTACAAGGCAGATAAAGCAGAAAAATGCACAATAAATCAATCAATCAAAACCCATTCAGAACTGACAGATATATAGTCATGGTTAGCCCCTCACTTCTTTCAACTCTTTGCTCAAATATAAATTTCTTCATGAGACCAACCCCACCTATGCCATTTAAAATTGCAACATACCCACTCTGTATTTTTAATTGACAAATAATAAATTCTATATATGTATGGGGTACAATGTTATGTTTTAATATATGTATACATTGTGGGATGATTAAATCAAGCTAACTAAAATATCCATCACCTCATCTACATATGATTTTTTGTGGTAAGAACACTTAAAGTCTACTTTCTTGGCCATTTTCAAGTATACAATACCTTATTATTAACTATAGTAACCATGGTATTCAATAGATTGCTAAAACTTCTTCCTCCTGACTAACTAAACTTTGCACTCTTTGACCAACATTATCCCAATCCTCCTCCACCCCAGCCCCTGGTAATCACCATTCTACTCTCTACTTCAATGAGTCCAACTATTTTAGATTCCATATATGAGTATTTGTCTTTCTGTGTCTGGCTTATTTTGCTTAGCCTAGTGATATCCAGGTTCATCCATGCTGTTGCAAATGATAGATTTTTCTTGTTTTCTAAGGCTATAAAGTATTCTATTGTGCATATACATTTCTTTATATATTTTCTTTATCCATTCATCTGTTGAGGGACACTTAGGTTGATTCTGTATCTTGGCTATTGTGAATAGTGCTGCAATAAACATAGGAATGCAGGTATCTCTTCAACATACTGATTTCAATTCCTTTGAATATATACCCAGAAATGAGTTTGCTGGATCACATAGTAATTCTATTTTTAGTTTTTTGAGGAACTTTCAAACTATTTTCCATAATGACTATACTAATCTACAATCCCTCCAACAATGTGCAACATTGTGCAATGAGAAACATCCCTTTTCTCTACATTCTTGCCAACACTTATAACCTTTCATCTTTTTGTTAGCAGCCATTCCAACAGCCATGAGGTGATATCTCACTGTGGCTTTAATTTGCATTAATTTAACTTAACACATTTTCACATTAGTGATGCTGGAGATTTTTTCACATATCTGTTAACCATTCATATGTTTTCTTTTCAGAAATACCTATTCCAATCCTTTGCTCATTTCTTAACTGGATTTGTGTGTGTGTGATTGAGTTGCAATATATTTTGAGTATTAATCCCTTATCAGATGTATGGTTTGCAAATATTTTCTCCCATTCTGTAGGTTGTCTTTTCATTCTGTTATTTCCTTGCTATGCAGAAACTTTTTAGTTTCATGATATCCCATTTGTCTATGTTTGGTTTTGTTGCCTGTGCTTTTAAGATACTACTCAAGGCCAGGCGCGGTAGCTCATGCCTGTAATCTCACCACTTTGGGAGGCCAAGGTGGGTGGATCATGAGGTCAGGAGTTCAAGATCAGCCTGGCCAAGATGGTGAAACCCCATCTCTACTAAAAATACAAAAAATTAGTCAGGCGTGGTGGTGGGCGCCTGTAATCCCAGCTACTCAGGAGGCTGAGGTAGAGAATTGCTTGAACCTGGGAGGCAGTGATTGCAGTGAGCCGAGATTGCACCACTGCACTCCAGCCTGGGTGACAGAGCAAAACTCTGTCTCAAAAAAAACGATACTACTCAAAAAAACCATTGTCCAGATCAATGTTTTGGAGACTTTTCCCTATGTTTTCTTCTAGTAGTCTTAGAGTTTTGGATCTTACCTTTAAGCCTTTATTCCATTTTGAGTCGATTTCTGTATATGGTGTGAGATAAGAGTCCAATTCCATTCTTCTACATGTGGATATCCAGTTTTTTCAACACCCTTAATTGAAGAAACTATTTCCCCACTGTGTGTTTTTAGTGCCTTTGTCAAAAACTAATTGGCCATAAACTCAGGTTTATTTCTGAGTTCTCCATTATGTTCCATTGTTCTATGTGTCTGTTTTCACGCCAGTACCACACTGTCTTGATTACTACCGCTTTGTAGTATATTTTGAAGTCAGTTTGATTCCCCCATCTTTGTTCTTTTTGTTCAAGATACCTTTGGCTATCTGGGGTCTTTCATGGTTTCATATTAATTTTAGGATTTTTTTTTCTGTTTCTGTGAAATATGTTATTGAGATCTTGATAGGGATTGCATTAGATCTGTAGACTGCTTTGGGTACTATGGACATTTTAACAACATTATTTCTTCCAATCCATGAACATGCCACCCCAGATTTCTGATTTCCTTTACCTGATCCTTAATAGTTACTCATCAAATTTTTTTTTATTATTTTTTAAGACAGAGTTTTTGTTCTATTGCCCAGGCTGGAGTGCAATGGCACAATCTCAGCTCACTACAACCTCTGCCTCCTGGGTTCAAGCAATTCTCCTGCCTCAGCCTCCCAGGTAGCTGGGATTACAGGCACCCACCACCACACCTGGCTAATTTTTGTATTTTTAGTAGAGATGAGGTTTCACCATATTGGCCAGGCTGGTCTCAAACTCTTGACTTCAGGTGATCCACCTGCCTAGGCCTCCCAAAGTGCTAGGATACAGGCGTGAGCCACCATGCCTGGTCTCAAATTTTTTTTTTTAGTGAAAAAATGACTCTACCATAGGAAATATTTTCCAGCATTGGTGAGACTAGGAAAATGTTACTGTTTATGCATTCGTGAGCTCCTTTTTTCTGACTATAGGCTGGAAAAAAACAAAAGGAAATTGACAGGACAGGAAGAGGTGCTTCTGTTTAACCTTGGGTTATTTGTCTTTCCCAAAAACTTCATTAAAAAACCACTAAAAATGTTAATCTTCTTAGAGGATAATAGAAAAGAGATCATCTGGAGTTTATAAAGCATCTTGGTTAATAGGTTCATTTTAATAATAGCTGATCTTTTCATCCACAGAGAGGCTGTTCTGCCAGCTCAGCAAATCTCCTCAAAGACTTTCCAGGGTGTACTTTATGGCTAAGATATCATAAAACACAGAAGGTGGTTGCCATTCTCAGAGAACAATAACACCCTGGCCTAAAACCTGACAAGTTATTTGATTCATTTTATAAATTCGTTTTTATAAACTTTTAAGCACTGCTGGGCCAGAACTCATCAACACAACTTCCAGTTCACAGAGGGAAGGATTTGCCCAAGGCATGGCTGTCACAGTGAAGGAACTGCAGACACAGGACCAGACCCAGGCCTTTCCTAGATGGGAGTGCACATAGAGCCCACCCCAACAGACCCTCACCGGCTCCCAGAGGCAAGGGGTCATCTCAGCAGCATATCCATCTGGCCTCCAGTCTCCTGCCAGGCCTACCATATTCAGCTCCCTAATTCTTAAAGCGCTCCAGGTTTGAGCCCCTTAGCCTTCTTTCTTGCAGAGTCCCCATCCTCACCCCCAAACCTTACACTTTACACTGCAGACCCCTGGCATGCTTGTATCCTCACTCTGCTTAGCTGTTCCTATCTCTACACCATTGTTCACATGACACCTTCTCTTAGGAATGCTGTCTCCCACCCTACAAGTGTTGCAACCTGAGCCCTAGAAATATAGAGATGAACGGAAAGGTGCCCCCTGCCCTCTGAACAGCACCAAGGTCAGACAACCAGAGGCTCTGCCCATCATTCCCCAGGGCTGGAGAAGGCCTCTGAGCAAACAAATGTCAGCCACCCTCTGGGAAAGTACCCTCAAAAACAGGTTTTTTGTCCACAGAGGGTCAAAGCGCAAAGACATAAAGTGTTTAGAAAATATAAAACACTAACACGTGGATTCCTTATTGGCCACAGCTTTGCCTTTCACGAGACCATCCCAGACACGCTGTGCCTCTGACCAAAGCATGAAGTAGCCTACACTCTACGCCACACCCTGCATTAAAGCTCCTTATGGACTGATCCTGCCAGCGAACATGTATGAAATACGCACTAAAATAGCCCTGACTATGTGTCCAATACAGAATGAGAAGACTCACCCTAGGCTTCAGGGAGTCCACAGCACAGAGACCAGTCAGATCTGGACAAGTGGTGCTAATTCACAGCCCAGGAATGGAGTGTGGCTTGTTGATCTGCACACATCTCACCCAATTGTTCTAATGGGGTCAGCTCCCTTTTCTGGGTCTGTATCAGGGCTCAGCTGCCTGTAGCTCACTGTGGCCACTGGGCAGCTGCCCCAGCCCAGGTCAGGCCTCCGACTGGCCACAAAGAAACCTGAGCCCCAGGTTGTCCTCAGCTCTGCTCTGTCTAACCATCTATGCTTATTGTAGTTTATTTTTCGTTTTAATTTTATTCCAAAAAGGGCAAAATTATTACTTTAGTTGGCCTGCAAATAAGAGTTAAATACTTATTAAGTTGTAAAAAGGAGTATGTTATAAAATGAATTCTAATAGGCTTCTTCCCTCAAAAGAAGCAATTTAATGAATACAGTTTGACTTCTGTTAAATTAATAATGTGCCCAATCACTCCTGCTTTGCAAGAAGTGACTATATGTAGATGATATTATTGTAGGACCCAATTTTTCCTGCAATTAACTGCATATATTTCCTGACAGACTAATTTATGTATGAATGCTTTTTAAAAGCAAAGGCATTTTGCATGTAATTGTATTCCTTTTTAATCCATCTGTTGATAAATTTGCGTGTGTCTCTGTTTATTGGCTAATGCCTCCCTCTGCTCTAGGACGACAGGCACAGGAGTCAAAATATTTTGGGGATGAAATAAATAATAAAGGGTAATTGAAGGCCAGATGTAGGCTGCTGGGAATGTCTCCATGGGTGTGGTGAATCCCACAGTAGAACTTTTTACTGCTGCTGAGTGGAGAGTGAATAAAAACATGATTAACATTGTTGCTCTGGATTTGCTTGTTTGCAAATCATGCTCTGTAGCAGGTAAAGGTCATTACAAGTTTGCTGCACTTTGATTTCCAGTGTCATATTTGGCCCTCTTCACTGCAGGTCCACCAAAAGCACAGCAGGGCAGGGTGCATTGCTTGCTGCAGCAAGGGAGGCTGCAGGCACGGCAAGCCCCGGGGGACGGTGATACAAGGGAGTGAGTCCAGAGGAGCTGGCTGTAGGATTTGAGCGGAACTTGGTGACTTTGGGAGAGTTCAAGGAACCGGGGTCTGCTGTTAGGAAGTAGAGGCAGTCCAAGGAGCAGGCATCTTAGTAATTTTCATCTAAGAGGTGAGAAGAACAGGCCAAGGCTCAGTGGTCAGGGAAGAACAAGAATCAGTGGAGAAGCCAGGCCATGCCATGGCAGTCTGGGAGCCTTGTCTGCCCATCTGTGTGGGTGTGGCTCCAGAGTCTTGTTCCCATCTCGATCCATCACACTCGCCCACAGCCCTTCATCAGCCTGGCTATTCTGTGCAAGTGTGTGCTCTGCAGGGGGCCCCACAGCCTGGCTGGCGGCAATGCGCCAGCCCCCACTGTGGGGCTGCATTTCTGAGCAAATGCACAGTTAAGACGGGCTTCATCAGCACGTGTGGGTGGGGACATTCAGCCTCGGAATGGAGCTGGAGGGAGAAGAAACCTCACTGACCCAGGGCTTGAGAGGCAGAGCTAGAGACCCATTGAGTGCAGGAGCGTATTGCCAACACCTGCTGTAACACTCTCGACCGTTCTGTCAGCACCAGACCCACTTTACAGATGAGGAAACTGAGGCTCCCTGAGATGAAGTGAAAGGCCCAAAATTAACACATATTTTGCACATAATTACATAATTAGGCAGATAATTACATTATAGGTACATAATTACATAATTAGATGCATAATTAAGCAATAATTACATGATTAGATGCACAATCAGGCATATAATTAGCAAGCGGGCTGGCATTTGGCCCATGGGGGTCTGACTCTGATCCTCCCATCTTTCTACTGCACCAGTGTGCCTGGGTCAGGACCCAGGACGCGTGCAGGGGTGCTGCTGGGCACAGGGACCCTGTGAGTATCTGTTGCCACTCACTCCTCAGTGATGGAGCAGGAAATTGAACCTCAGATCACAAAGCCAGTGGGATCCAGCTTCAGGGGTGAGGGTGGGGGTCTGGCTCACTGCAGAGCCTGGACTCATTCTACTTACCACCGCCATCCCTGAGAAAGGGAAGAGGCCCTTCCTGAACACACCAGTGGCCTAGGCACTAAGGCCTGGCCCTCCATCCTCATCTGCAGAGGCAGATACTCACAGAGGAAAACCAGGGCTGGGACCACAGAAGGCTGGGGCCCTGTGGCTGTGGAAGGAGCCCCCAGCCAAGCCTAAAGGAAGATGTTTCAGGGCAGCTTCCTGGAGGAGGCCTCCTGAGCTGAAGGACAGAGAGCAGCTACCTCTGAAGACCTAGGAACAGCATGATGCATTTAAGAAACAGCAGCCACAGGGCAGCCTTTCCTGTCCCCATCATTGTGTGACAAATCGAATTCTCAGGGAAGGCATAGAGTGAGCAAGTGGTGCAGCTAGCACTCAAGGTTGGGTCCACCTGTGTCCAATATGCACATTTGTTCTGTTGTTGGGCTGCACACAACAGATGGAATTGAGCTCCACTTCGAGATGGTGGAGGAAGGATGAGGGGAGACTAGGCCTTGGCTCTGCCACTAGCCCACTCTGTGTCCTTGGTCTCTCCAGATCTGAAGTGGACGATGGCCTGAGTCCATGCTTTCACACCATGTTCACAGAGCACTGTGGCCTCACAGGAGTGTCAACCCTGGGAAGGCTCAGCCACGCATCCCAGAGCCTGCTCCAGTCTGGCCCCGTGCTGGAGTTGACTTTGGGATGCATCTGGCTCTGCTGCCATCTCTCTGGGACCTTCCTGTTCAGAGGAGCCTCCGCGACTGGCCACCCTCATTCAGGCTCCCCAGTCTCCTGGGTCCCAGCCAACAAGGCTGATACAGCCATGTGAGGTTCACCTGAGTGCCTGCCCAGCACACGGGCATTCATGAGACTGGTCTGGCACACACTGCCCTCTGCTCTTGGCCTTTCCTGCCCACCTCACTGCTGCCTCCACACCTTCTGTCCGGTCTCACCCCCATGAGGCCAAGTAGCTTAGGGTGCCCTCCTGTCAGGGAATTTGCATTTTATTAGGATAATTGAATACTTTGTGACCCAAATAAATGGGAAGCTCCCCGGCCACACAGCCTCTGCCAAAAGGAAGGACCCCAGGTTCTCCTTCAGCCATGAATGAGACTTTGGGATGGTCTTTAGCCCAGAAACACACACCCTGCAGGGCTTCTGGGGACTCAGGAACCAGCCCCCTGGACTCTCAGACGGGGAAGTGCCTCTCCCAACCCCTCTCAGAGGCCCCCGTTTGGCTTTCCATGCTGGAGGGGAGGCCCCCATCCTGACCACAGCCCAGACTCCCATAGCCCGCACCCCCAGGGGTTCGCCTAAACCCCAGATGGCCTCCAAGATTCAGGCGCCAGGCGAGGGGACAGGGCAGGGATGTGAGGAATGGTCCTTCTCAGGAATGTCAAATTCTCAAGGACCCCTCTTGCTCAGCCAAGGCTCACCCCTGTGCCGCCGGCAGGGGAGACACCCCTGTCACAGGCTGTGCTCCTGCCCTGCTGGCCCCAGTGTCTGAATCACTACCTCTCAGCACTGTTAGACACACAGCTGGGTTACTTTTCCTCTGGCTCCTTTTGGGACTGAATTTAATCTTGCAATTTACATTTTCTGATAAACTATTCCTGACTTTGGGTAAAAGACCAAGGTCAGATTAGAATCCTTTCCCTCTCACGGTAAGTTAGTGCTTTGTGGTTTGGTTTTTGTTTGCTTGCTTGCTTTGCTTGGTTTCATTTAATTTTGTCTTTATCTTGAAACTCAGAGTTGCAAACCTGGACCAGCAGCTGGCTCCTGTATAGCAGAGGGGAAGTGGGGCCTCCCTTTTCTTTCCAAATTACTGAAAGCATAAATCCTGTTGGGACGGCACCCAGCAGAGAGCAGGACAGCAGAAGAAAGGGAACGGAGTCTTCTCTGATTCCACAGCAAAGTGCTAGTGGCCGAAGGCTTGAACTTGCCAAAGCACTCCGGTGAACTCACCCTTGAGTGCAGGCCCCTGTGCCTTCCTGAACACCCCCTGAATGGTCCTGGCTCTGAGGAGGAGGGGAGCACTGTGCCTGGGGGATGAAGGAGCCGGCGTATGCAAAGAAGCTATCAGCAGTTGGTGAGAAAAACTTTAGCTGAAGGGCTCGTGTTGAATTAGGTGTCATGGTCAGGTTAGACAGAGGCACAGAGAGAGAGAGAGAAATAGAGACAGAGACAGAAACAGACAGAGACAGACAGAGAAACAGAGGCAGAGAGAGAGAGATAGAGACATAGAGAGAGACAGAAACAGAGAGACAGAGACAGACAGAGACATAGAGAGACAGAGACAGAGAGCAAGGGGATAGGAGAGGGCAGCAAGGCTGAGCCGCCGAGCGAAGAGGAGGTTGGGGTGGCAGCCCTGTGCATGCGGCTGTCCTTCCCAGTCCTGAGGGTCCCCTCCCGCAGCCTGTCCCGTCCCCACAGCTGTCTTACGCACAGTAGCTGAGAAAATTGAGACACTGAGATTTTAAGTAACTTATTTAAGGTTGAGCAAAGAATATCTGACCCCAAAGACATCATCACTTGTTGATTTTTCAAAACGTCAGTGGCTAAAGCTCGAAGTGGAATCAATAGGGCGGCAGCCCTAGGGGGCCATTTTTCCTTTCACCTGTGCCTTTGTCCACTCATCAGTGGCTGAAAGTGCCCCAGCACCGTCTGTGCCCTCGGAGCTCCCGGGCACAATACACCCTCCTCCATGGGGATGTGTGTCCTGATGGCCAGGTATCACCTGAGAGCCTCACAGACCTCAGCCAGCCCCCTCCTTGAGTGCTTGCCCTCCAGTGATCTGGCCCCTTTTTTCAATAACTGAGAGGAAGCCCGGCACACAGGCTGCCTTCTCTCTGTCCTCGTGCTCGTGCATGCCTGCCAGGAGAGATCCTGCATACAGACAACACACAGGCAGCGCTGGGAAGGGCTGTCCTGCTTACAGCTCTGCGCTCTCTAGGAAACACTGACAGAGGTTGAGGATGGGGTGGCTTCCACCGGCCTGATCCCATCTGGATCCTGGGTCCTGCTCAGTGAGGCCCTTGATGAAGCCGGCAGAACAAAGACTGGAGGGAGAGCGTCCCCACCCCAGTAATGAGGGGTACCACAGTTTGCCTGTGTGGTTACGGATTTGGTTACTGGCACAGGTTAGGTGGCTCCCACCTGCTGCCTGTGAAATCTGGGGCAAGTGCCACCATCCTCCTCACCTGCAAAACCAGGGTGACAGGAATGACACCTCCTGAGACTAATCAGACAGCGAGGCTCAGCACCTAGCACGCCCCGGCATGGAGGAGCCCACACAGCCTGTTATTATTATTAGGCACAAACAAGGCCAGGTGGGTTGATTCCATCTGTACTTCCTCCTTCTCAGGAACAGTGGCTGAGAGGCTGTTCTGTTGGGGTCCCCACACTATCTCCAGCTCTTGACCCTTGTGTCCAGGCCTGGCGCACATCCACAGCCTGATCCTAACATCCTGTGTGCACACAGCGTGCGAGGGACCTGCCTTCTTGCTCCAGCTCTCTGTGGCTCGGTGGTGGCCGGGCTCAACCACCCTCTCTCCCAGGGTGGGGGTGGCTTCTCTGATGTCTCATGGGTCTCTCCTCCTCCCAGGGTTCTGTTGCTCCCTTCATGAGGGTAGAAGCCTCCTTCCACTTCCCTTTTCAGGGTACTCAGGTGTCACCAGCAGCAGCCTGGCTTTGACAGCCTGGGCACCACTGTGGGGTCCAGAAATTGCAGCCATCCTAAACCTGCATCTGTGGGATGGGAGTGTGCACGCCAGGTCGTGGAGGGCTCCTCGTCCTGTGGCTCATGAAGTTGAGAAAGGTGTTTGCAACCTTGGGACCCCACTGCGAGCATTGGGCTCCATTCCAATTAGAAAAGCCAGGGAGCTTGGGCCGACCCTGCCTTTCCTCCATCAGTGAGCAGAAGCTACATGTGGCTTGATATACTGATGCTTCTTACATTGTGTCACTCAAAGCACAATAAAACCAGTGGCTTGAAGCTGCATTGTTTCCAGACCATACACACACACACACACACACACACACACACACACACACAAAATCACACCAAAGTCCAGGTAGAATACAGCCAACTTACCTGGAGAGTTATTCACATTAAATTGAGGGGTTTATGGAACTAAAATCAGTATACTCACACAATTCTCTCTCATAATAACATACTGGGGAATGGGTGGGTGCAGAATTGTGGAATTAAATACATTTCTTGACAATAATAATACAGTCTATCTGACACTATCAAAAATGAAATGATATCTAGACATAAATCTAACAAAACATATTCAGGATCAGTGCACTGGAAATTAGAAAATGCTGATGAAAGAAATCAAAGAAGGCTTAAAAATTTGAGCCACAGCGTGCTCATGGATTAGAAGGCTCAGCATAGGAAAGATGCCAGTACTACCAAAACTATTCTACATGCTGAACACAATTCCTAACAAAAGCTTAGCAAGAGTTTTTGTTCAAATAGACAATCTCGTTCTAAAATGCATATACGGAAAGGGGGAAAAATAAAGATAAGAAAGTGGGAGGAATCACTCTTCTTGGTGTTAAGGCTTCCTGTGTAACCACAGAAATCAAGACAGTATAGTTAGTATTGGCAGAGACATAGACACATTGATCAACAGGAAAAAAACAGAGAACCCAGAAATAGACCCAAACAAATAGACCCACATGGATGTATTATAAAAGTGGAAAAGCAAATTAAGGGAGGAAGGACCACCTTTTCAATAAATGGTGCTGGAAGAAGTTGAATCTCCATAACCCAAAACATGAACCTCAACCTAAGTCCCACACCTTCTATAAAAATTAACTCAAAACAGACAAGTGTACAATGAAAAATTCTAAAACTTTAAGTGAAAAAATACAGGGGAAAATCTCTAGGACCCAGGGCTAGGGGAGGTGTTCTTAGAATTGACACCAAAAGCCCAATCCACAAAAGAAGACAATAAATCAAACTCATCGAAATTAAAAATGTCTACTCCTCAAAAGGTCACATGAAAGATTTTTTTTGTAAAATCATTTGCAGACCACATATCCAACAAAGGACTTGCCTTTAGAATACATAGAAAGCAAACTCAACAATAAAGAAAACAAATCAATTAGAAAATAACAAAAGGCAAGAACAGAGAGTTCACTGCTGAGCATATACAGATGTCAAAAAAAAACACATGAAAAGATGTTGAATATCATTAGTAATCAGAAAATGCACACTTAAGCCACACTAAGATATGGCTATATGCATATCAGAATGATTAAAATGTTTTAAATGATAAAACCAAAATTCTGGTGAGTATGCTGAGAATCATACACTGATGCTGGGAATGTAAAATGGTACAGCCACTCTAGAAAACAGTTTGGAAGTTTCTGTGAAACATGTGATGGTAGTTACCTACACATGTGATAAAATTGCCTAGAACTATATGTACATGTGCACGCACACACGCAAACACATACAAATGAGTGCTTGTAAAACTGGCGAAATCCAAGTAAGGTCTGTGGGTTGTACCAACGTTAATCTCAGGTTTCATATTGCACTATATTTATGCAAGATGCATTCTTCCTTCAAAAGCCATCCATTAACATTGGAGGGGGCTGCGCAAAAGAAATACCGTACCCGCCCCCCGACATTTTTTATAGTTCCCTGTGAATCTACAGTTATTTCAAAGTAAAAAGTTCTTTTTAAGGAGCAATCTTTTTCAGAGACAAATAAAGAAAAAAACTATTTTCTGAAGACTCCAGCAATCGAGTTCCTAGATCAACTATAGATTTCTCTCGAATTCTTTGCAGACACTTGGAGAGAGATAATAGCAAACCGTAGCCTGAGCACAATGAGATGGGGTGGTCTGGGGGAGGGAGACCAGTCATGTCTGAGCAAATGGAATGCCTGTTCTGTGGTCATGACCCACTCGAGCTTTTTGAATAAATGTATGACTCCCCTCGATGGGCAAGCTGGGGCCTGAGCCTCAGGCCAAGCTTTGACCTTCTCCAGCCACACAGCTGGGTGCTGCTGCTGTGTCTCCTTTCCCTTCCTAGAGCATCTCTGGGAACTTAGGGAGCATCTTACATTATTTAAAAACATGGCTTCAGGCTTTAATCAATGAACCTGCAGAGGACAAACCTGGTTTCCACAGAAATCCGGATGGAGTGTGGTCTGCTCATGCAATGACATCTTCTGCAGCAGCGTTCTTGAGGCATTAGCACAGTATCGGAGTGAGAAAGGAAGCTGGCCTAGGCTTCACAGAGTTTGCTTTAAGCATAGGCTTGGCTAATTCCATTCTAATTAAATTTAGATAGAACCCTCCACCACTCCAAAAATAGAACAAAAGTAAACTCTACCAGCTCAAAAATTCTGCCATGAGACATGTACTCTAGTTTGAAGCAAATGTTCTCAACAGAGACCTTCACACTGGGATGGGGAGGCGTCCCTCTGTCCAGGGGACCTCAGAGCCATTTTCCTCTAAGCTGACTTCATTTTTTTTTTTTTTTTTGAGATGGAGTTTCACTCTGCCTCACAGGCTGGAGTGCAGTGGCATGATCTCGGCTCACGGCAGCCTCCACCTGCTGGATTCAGGCGATTCTCCTGCCTCAGCCTCCTGAGTAGCTGGGACTATAGGCACCCACCACCACGCCCGGCTAATTTTTTTGTATTTGTAATAGAAACAGCGTTTCACCATGTTGGCCAGGCTGGTCGCAAACTCCTGACCTCTGGTGATCCGCTCACCTTGGCCTCCCAGAGTGCTGGAATTACAGGCGTGCGCCACCCCCGACTTCATATCTTTTTAAAGCAAGAATGTGAGTCCCTTGCTTCTACTGCTAAAAAATAACAACAGCCAAATTCTATCAAGCATCTACTGTGCCGGGCACTCTCACATTATCATGCCCACTTTGCCAATAAAGACCCCTGGATTCTGAGTGATAAGGTGATCTGCTCAAGGTCACACTGCCAGTAAGTGCTAGAGCTGGACTCTCACCCCCAGCTAACCCTAGTCCAAAGTGCATGCTCTTTCCAGCCCTCCATTTCCTAGGCGCCCAGCACTGTGGTCAATGTTATGAAAATGAGAACAAAACTAAGGGCCGTGCCCTTAAGGAGTGAGAGCCACATATGCATGACAATGCAAGAGGAGTCACTGGATTCAGCGCATGTACACTAGAGCATGAGAACAAGACAGGTTAGAAAAGGGTGGTGGCCAGAGGGAAGGGTGGCTGGAGAGGAGCAGCACCTTGGAGAATAATAATAGCACTTGCGAAGTAGCAGGTAGGGTGGGTATGGCATGGTTATTGTACTGTGGTGCCGAAGCTTGAACATTTTCACTTTATTTCATTTTCTTTTCTATCTAACTTTGACTTCCCAAAGCAGGTGTCCCTGAGGATGGGAACAAGTCAGTATATCAGGGAAGCTATAATGTTCATTATACTGTTTAATATATTTTATATTTTATTTTTGAGAAAAAGTGAAACATATTTTCCAACCCCACTCTGGATGTAGAACAGCTGACCTGCCAGGCGAGTGGGTCAAGCAGCCTCATGATAAAAGCAGTCATCATTTATTGAAGAAAATGTGTGGATCTTTCGTTCACTCACTTATTTATGCCCTTTTTTCCAAAAGGATTTCAGGGAGTGAACAAACACCACCACGTGCTGAGGTTTTTACACTGGTTTCTTACCACCATGCCCCCAACATCTCTGGGAGGTGCATTCAGTTGTCCACATGAGGGCAAGGGCCATGCACAACATGCTGTCTCCAAACTCTGACATGAGGGAAACAAGGCCACCTACTAGAGTCCAACTACATATCACATCACAAAATATGGACAAAAAGAAATCTAACTCCATCTTACAGGGAAAGAATGACCCACTCACCAGGATGAGATTATCTGACTAAAGACAATTAGTTACACAAAGGTTATAGTTTATGGTCCTGAAGGACATTAACTAGTTTTGTATCTAACCCAGCAAACCTGTCCTAACATTTCTTTATGAAATTACATATAAATACCTAGCTCCTCAAATGCTCCTTGGACTGGTTTTCACATTTTACTGCCTCCATCATTAACTGATGAGCTAAATAAGCTCTTTGACATATGTTTGTTTTATATTTGCATCAGTCATGTTTTTTTTAACTTTTATTTTACTCTCAGGGGTACACGTGCAGGTTTGTTCTATAAACAAGCTGTATGTCACAGAGGTTTGGTGTACAGATTATTTCTTCACCCAGGCATTAAGCCTGGTAGCCATTAGTCATTTTTCCTGATTCTCTCCCTCCTCCCACCCTCCATCTTCCGAAAGGCCCCCGTGTGTGTTGTTCCCCTCTCCATGCCTTCATGTGTTCTCATCATTTAGCTCCCACTTATAAGTGAGAACATACGGTGTTTGGTTTTCTGTCCCTGTGTAAGTTTGCTAAGGATAATGGCCTCCAGCTCCATCTGATATGTCCCTGCAAAGGACATGATCTCATTCTGTTTTATGGCTGCATAGTATTCCATGGTGTACATGTACCATATTTTCTTTATCCATTCTATCATTGATGGGCATTTGGGTTGATTCCATGTCTTTGCTATTGTGAATAGTGCTTCATGAATGTATGCATGTGTGTATCTTTACAACATAATAATTTATATTCCTTTGGGTATATACCCAGTAATGGGATTGCTGGGCCGAATGGTATTTCTGTCTTTAGGTCTTTGAGGAATCACTACACTGTCTTCCACAATGGTTGAACTGACCTACACTCCCACTGACAAGCATAGAAACATACCTTCTACTCCACAACCTTGTCAGCATCTGTTATTTTTTGACTTTTTAATGATAGCCATTCTGACTGGTGGGAGATGGTATCTTATTGTAGTTTTGATTTGCATTTCTCTGATAATCAGTGATGCTGAGCTTCTTTTCATATCATTGTTGGCCACATGCATGTCTTCTTTTGAAAAGTACTTGTTCATGCCCTTTGCCCACTTTTTAATGAGGTTGCTTGTTTTTTCTTATAAATCTGTTTCAGTTCCCTGTAGATGCTGGATATTAGACCTTTGACATATGCATAGTTTGCAAAAAATTTTCTCCTATTCTGGAGGTTGTCTGTTCACTCTGTTGATAGTTTCTCTTGCTGTGCAGAAGCTCTTTAGTTTAATTAGATCTCGTTTGTCAATTTTTGCTTTTGTTGCAATTGCTTTTGGCATCTTTGTCATGAAATCTTTGCCTGTACCTATGTCCTAAATGGTATGGCCTAGGTTGTCTTCCAGGGTTTTTATAGTTTTGAGTTTTACATTGAAGTCTTTAAGCCACCTTGAGTTAGTTTTTGTTTGCAGTAGAAAGAAAGGATTCAGTTTCAATCTTATGCATATGGCTAGCCAGTTATCCCAACACGATCTATTGAATAAGGAATCATTTCCCCATTGTTTGTTTTTGTCAACTTTGTAGAAAATCAGATAGTTGTCGGTGTGTGGTCTTATTTCTAGGTTCTTTATTCTGTTCCGCTGATCTATGTGTCTCTTTTTGTACCAGCATCATGCTGTTTTGGTTACTGTAGCCATGGAGTACAGTTTGAAGTCAGGTAGCATGATGCCTCCAGCTTTGTTCTTTTTGCTTAGGATTGCTTTGGCTATTTGAGCTCTTTATTGGTTCCATATGAATTTTAAAAATGGTTTTTTTCTAGTTGTGAAGAAGATCAGTGGTAGTTTAATAGAAATAGCATTGAATCTATAAATTACCTTGGGCAGTATGGCCATTTTCATGATATTGATTCTTCCTATCCGTGAGCATGGAATGTTTTTCCATTTGTCTGTGTCATCTCTGATTTCTTTGAGCAGTGGTTTATAGTTCTCCTTGTAGAGATCTTTCACCTCCCTGGTTAGCTGTATTCCTAGGTATTTTATTCTTTTTGTGGCAGTTGTGAATGGGACTACGTTCCTGATTTGGCTTTACTATTTTTGATGTATAGGAATGCTAGTGATTTTTGCACATTGATTTTTTATCCTGAGACTTTGCTGAAGCTGTTTATCAGCTTAAGAAGGTTTTGGGCTGAGACTATGAGGTTTTCTAGATATAGTATCATGTGGTCTGCAAACAGGGATAGATTGACTTCCCCTCTTCCTATGTGGATGCCCTTTATTTCTTTCTCTTGCTTGATTCCCCTGCTTTGCCCTTTTTTTGTTTTGTTTTTTGTTTTTTGTTTTTTGTTTTTTTTTTGAGATGGGGTCTCACTCTGTCACTGGGCTGGAGTGCAGTGGCGCTATCTCAGCTCACTGCAACCTCTGACTCCCTGGTTCAAGTGATTCTCCTGCCTCAGCCTCCCGAATAGCTGGGATTACAGTCACGTGCCACCACGCCCAGCTAATTTTTGTATTTTTAGTAGAGACAGCGTTTCACCATGTTGGCCAGGATGGCCTCGATCTCCTGACCTCATGATCTGCCTGCTTCGGCCTCCCAAAGTGCTGGGATTACAGGCGTGAGCCACCATGCCCAGCCTTTGCCCACTTTTTAATGAAGTTGTCTTTTGCTTGTTAATTTGTTCAGAGTCATGATTTTTAACCTTAGAAAAATTAGGCCTTCACAAGCTAGACATGAAAACACAAGGTATTGTCTCTGGAGCAAACAAGGGCTTTGTGGGCAGGCAGATGTGGGCTCAAGTTAAAGTCTTGCTACCTACCAATCAGGACAATGTGCAAATTACTTCACCTCAGACATCTCCAGCTTCCACATCTGCAAAATAAGGATAATATGCGCCTTGTTAATTTGTTGTGAAAATTAAATCAGATAATACACAAAAGCATTTAATTCATTGCATGAACCCAGTAAATGGCACCTATTACTATCATAAATATGGATAATATTACTGATAACCATTGGATTATCTGCCTTGGGACCACATTGTCCCTTCCTATACTTGATTAGACCAGGCATGGAGACACGGGACCGAAATTTGAACTATAGAGAAGTGAAGTTGGAGCTGAGGCTACTAGTGCTGTTCCTGGGCCTCTTTCCTCCTCTGTTAAGTGAGAATAAAGTGAAACTAAATTCACCTTCTTGCTGTGAGGGTGAATGAGAAATTGTGTACATTGTTTCAGAGAAGGTGTTTATAAAACTCTGCAAGATAGAACCTCACCTCCGAGTTCTGGCTTTCCAGGGCTCCAGTGGACACACCATGGCCCCAGTTCCCCCTTGAAAACTGGCAACTTTTGGCTATGTGTGCAAAGTGGAGGAAGCTGTTTTATAAAGAAATTAAACTTGACGTGCAGAGAAATGGAAGCAAAGGATCCTGAGGCAAAAGAGAAAGAACCAAGCATGAGAGAAAAAAGAAATCTTAGAAATCCTAGAGGATTAAAGTACCCGTATGAGGCCCAGGTCCCTGCCTGGGATCCACCAAGTACCCCTGAATGCTTGCCATAAATACTTCTTTATAGTTTATGCTGCAATGGAATGCTTTCACTTACTATTGGGTGACCTAGACTAACATTATTATTGCTATTATTATTAATATACCATTATCCTAAAGACTCACAGAGAATGAGACAAGGCTCCCATTTGCAGCTGTGAGGTCCAGCAAGTTGCAGGAAGGGCAGGACACAGAGCAAGGCTGGTTGCCCTGGGTTCTCCAACTTCAGCTCAGAGTAGTCCTGGAGGATCAAGAGACCAAGCCTCAGGCAGCCCCTGCATCAAACCTCGGCATCCTCACCTGTTTCTACATGATGAAAACGAAGTTCTCTTCCAGCCCACTCCACCAACATGTGCCCTTTTCAAAATTCACCGAGAGAAATCATCTGGAGGAGATTATGCAAATTCTCCATCCTTTGCAGGTGAACCCCACTTTAATAAATATGCATCTGATTAACAAGGGAAGGTGTTTGCTTTGTAGATCTCACCTCAGTGTTCCTTCTGGAAGCCAGCTTTCCGAGTTCATTTAAACATGAAATTTCCAGCCTGATGTTTTTCATGTTACACAGGGCAAGGGCATAGATCTTAAATGCATATTTCCTGTTGATAAACGCACACATCCATGTATCCGTGATCCAAATCAAGGCACCTGGGAGACCTTCATGGCCCTTCCCAGTCCACCTCTGGTCCCACAGGATGATCACTGCTCTGGTTTCTACCATCAGAGATCTGTTTTGCCTGTTCTCGAGCCTCATATAAATGGAGTGTTGGGGTATATCGTCATTTGAGTATGGTTTGTTGCACTCAGCATAAAGATATGGGATTTATCACCCCCGAGTGATAAATCCAGGGCTCCGGTGGACACACCATGGCCCCAGCTCCCCCCTTGAAAACTGGCAACTTTTGACTATGTGTGCAAAGTGGAGGGAGCTGGTTTATAAAGAAATTAAACTTGACGTGCAGAGAAATGGAAGCAAAGGATCCTGAGGCAAAAGAAAAAGAACCAAGCATGAGAGAAAAAAGAAATCTTAGAAATCCTAGAGGATTAAAGTACCCTCATGAGGTGCATTCCCAGCACCTCGTGCATAGAGACCAGCTGTCCAGAAACTCCCACAAAGACTGGCGGTGGGGGACATAGGCCGGAGGAGCCAGACCCGGTGAGGACCCGTGAGCCGGGGAGAAAGGAAGCTGCTACCGCAGGCTATGGAGGCCCATGTCAGAGGGCCCCGCTCCCTGTGAGCAAGCATGTGTGAGTGTGAGTGGGCATCTGTGGGAAGGCGTTTACGTGTGCCTGAGTTTCTATTTAGAGAGCAGATGTATGTGAGTCTTAAGTGTATGCAGTGTTTCTGTGTCTGGGTCTGGATGTGTTTCTGAATGTGCACTCATGCAAGTGTGTGTGCATCCGTGTGCAAGGCCTCACTCCTGCCCCTCGCTGGTACCTCCAATCCCTGCTCACATTCTAAGGTGGAAGTGGGACCATGGTGTGGCCGTGGGAGTCCTGGAGAGCCAGAATTCAGGGGTGAGGTTCTGTCCTGCAGAGTTTTCTCAGCACCTTCTCTCAAACAATTTACACATTCTCATTCACCTTCACCATCACAGCAACTTACAGGGTTTTTATTCTCACTTTACAAAGGAAAAAACAGGCCCAGGGACAGTGCTAGTAACGAGGAAAGGAAGTAGCTCTAAGCCTACCCTGTCCAATCTCTGGCCACCAACTTCTGGGCCCAGCAGGCCACACATCCAGGGTGCTCCTCGGATGGGGACCCCAACCATCCCCCAATACCTTGCTTGGAGAAGAGGCCCACCTAGGTGCTGGCAGTCAGTGGTGGGGCGGAGCAGAGTGCAAGGCAAGGCCAGCTGCTGAGGCTTCGCAGCATCCCTCCGCCTGGTTAGCTCATCCCCGCATAAACAGTGGGTCGGGAGCCTGCCTTCCAAGTCAGCCAATGCAATGGACACTGAAGGTAAGGAGTGCTATGACCCTGAGATAGTGCAGTTTAACTCCATCACAAGCAAAATAAAGATGCCATGGCCTCGTTTTTTTTGGAGTTACGTCCTATGTACCTTGCCCAAAAACCAGTGTCCTCTGCCCTATGGTGTGAATGTTCCCTCCAAAACTCATGCTGAAATTTAGTTACCACAATGACAGTATTAAGAAGAGGGGCCTTTACGAGGTGATTAGGTCTGCCCCTGATGAATGGATTAATGCCTTTATCATGGGTGGTTTAGTTATCTCAGGAGTGGGTTCCTGATAGGAAGGATGAATTCAGCCCAATTTTTCTCTCCGTGTTAACATCCTTCCATCCTGTTATGATGCAGCCTGAAGGTTTTCACCAGATGTTGGCACCATGTTCTTGGACTTCCCAACCTCCAGAACCATGAGCCCAATAAACTTCTTTTATTTATGAATTACCCGGTCTATGGTATTCCATTATAGCAGTCAAAAACAAAGACTCCACCACCAGTGGAGTGAGGAAGCCATTTGCCCTCGGCCTGTCTAGAGTTGCATTCCATACACATCAGCCAAGAACAGATGCCCTCTGCTTTGTGGGGAGCTGGGACACTATGGATTTCTGACCCAGCAGCCCACCACAGGACGACGAACGCAGCTGCCCCTGTGAGAGGAAGCCTTGTGCTACCCAGACACAGGGAGAAGGCACAATAGGGTGCTGTCCTTAACATTCATTCTGTAGTCACTGTTTCCTAGTGCCTCGCTTTATACTTTTTCTGTTTCTACTTCAGAGGACATTTTTTGGTTTTCTGTCCTGGTCTAATGCATTATTGAAAGGCTTCCTGATCACCAGTCATGCATATGGAGGAGGCTCTGGCCTCATGCTTATGTAGATTTTTCTCTGGCCTCTGAAGTCTGCTGTCAGGCTCTGGAGAGCAACTGCAGCCGCCGGCACTGCCGTGCCAAAAACCCTGCATAGATGACAACAGACAGCATCAGTCTGGCCAGGGAGCCCACCAAGGACACAAGACACCACAAGTCACAGCAATACTCGGTCCTTTCCCAACACTGGCTGTTGAGGTAAAACTGCTCAAAACTGGAAAAATAAGCAAAGAGATGCAACGAGTCACACTCCTGAAAATGAACAGCAATTATTAACCTGCCCCAGGGCAGACCTGTCAGCCTCTCCATAAAAAAAACAAAGCTCAGAAGCCAGATCTCAGCCTGTTCATGGGCAGGCTGCCCAGCCAGCCCCCAGCCTTCTTTACACTCAGTTCAGCTCATCCATCACTGAGGCCACAGTTGTCTGGGGGGCCAGGTCTGCGCTGGGCACAGGAGCATGACAGGCCCACCTGCCCTGCCCTCATCTTACCCAGTCCAACCAGGAGATGAGACAGAAGGCTTCATTCATGCCACTCTGTGGATTGATCTATTCCACAGGTATTTACTGAGCATGCGCTGAATACCTAATTCTATTCTATCAATAGACAAATGGAGCTTATGTTATAGTGAGACGAGACAGAGAATAAACAAAGACAACATGTAGCTAACCAAAGGTGACACTGCTAATGAGCGATTAAAGCAGGGAAGGAGGCAAGGGGTACTGGGGAAGGGTGGTGTCACACATCCAAATGTTTTCAATAGAAGAGAGAAGCTTGTCTTCAGTGGAGAAAGCAAATCTGCACAGACCCCTGTGGGAGGGATTTGGGTGGGTGTTGGGGAGACAGCATGGTCAGAAGGAACAGCAGATGCAGGACCTTCGGGTAGGGAGTGCTTAGCAAATCAGGGACAACCAGGAGACCGTGGGTGGAGGCCGTGCTGGGCCTCAGATTTGCTTCTCTAGGGCTCAGGCATCTTCTGGAATGTGCTGCTGCCTTCTGGGGATAGTCATGCCCCTTGCGGGAGAGGTGGGAATTTGCAGGGGCCTGTTTTGGTTGTCACAGAGATTGGGAGCATTTCTGCCCTTTGCTGCTGGACCAGGGGTGGTGTTGAAGGCTGTGTGCAGGAAAGCCGCACCCCACGAAGAGTTGCCATACCCCAGACCCTCCAATGCCCACCAGGCACAGGCAGGACCTGCCCTCCGGCGCCACCACCCACACCTAACTCTGCTTTGCATGCAGACTGAGGCGTGTGTGCCTAGTGCCAACACACAGTGAATGTTCCGGGACTGCCATGCCACGTAAAAAAAGTTCTCATCACCATGGGCCTCCGTCTGTGGCCACAGCACATTCACCCAGCCCCTGACTCATGGTGTCGTCGGGCTCATGGTGTCGTCCGGCTCACGGTGTCGTCCAGTGGAGCCACGCTTGGCATTTGCTTATTGAAGTGCCTGTCATTTTACTTAAATTGTTTGGTGTTGTTTCTCTTTTATATCATGCACAGCATGGTACAGTTTTTGGAGATGGTGGGTGTAGATGGAGGATACTACAGGAGAACTATGGAGCAGTGGATGCTGGGACCGCTGTCATAGAGGGAATGCGTGGAGCAGGCACTGCCCGGCTGGACCACGGGAGGGGCAGATGGGCAGGAGTCCAGTGAAGAGGCTGGCACCCCAGTCTAGGTGAGAGACAGTGGAGGCATGGGTCTAAGTAGCGCCTGAGGAGGTGAGCAGAAGTGGTCACATTCTGGTCACATTTTAAAGGTAAAACTTTTGGATTTGCTGATAGACCATACATGAGTGTGACAGAAAAACAGGCCTCAAGGATAACTCTAAAACTTTTGGCCCAAACAACTGGAAAGATACAGTTGTCACGAACCGAGAAGGGGAAGATTAAAGATTAAAGAAGTATGGGACTGGGGGGTGCCAGGAGTACAGTCATGGATTATGGAGTTGGAGTTGCCTTTTCATGGAGATGCCAGATAGCCAAATGGATAGTTACTGGGGACAGTAAGAGCAGACAAAGGGCCATGAAACTTAGCCTGGGAGACCAGGTAACTTCCAGGAGGAACAGACACCTGGGCTGGGACTTTGAATGATCAGCAGGAGTTTCCCTGGATAAAGAGGATGCTCCAAGCAGGGAAGTAAGCAGTGTGAGCAGAGGACGTGCTAAAATACATGGCGTCCCAGCCTCCAGGCCACTTTGATGGACAAGCACTGTGTACCCAGGATGTGAGGGCCAGAGCTGATGCCGGCAGGCCACGTGGAGGCTGGGGGTCTGTCTCACAGCAAGGAGGAGCCCTTAGAGGTCTCAGAACAGGCTGAATTCTTCCATCTCTTCTGGAAAGATGACCGCTTTGATCCAGCCCCCACTTCTGAACCAACATCTGCTCACACACCTTTTCATTTTGTTTTGTTTCCCTCTCTCTCCAAATGGACTACATGCTCCTTGGAAGGAAGGTGCCAAGAAGCTTTAGGGAGTTTGGGAAATCACAGCTACACCCCTTGAGAGGTCTCAGGGATGGAACCCTGTTCTATAGGTAGTTGAGCAGAGCCCAGCTCTCTGGATGGAAAGGTGTCCCAGGATAACATGAGACAGTGCATGAGTGCCTGGCACCTGGAGGTGCCCAAGAAACCGCCCTGAGTGAGGCCTTTTCTGGTCACCCTCCAACAGATTGGGCAGAGGTGTGGGTGAGAGCAGGGAGTGTGGCAGGGCCAGGATCACCCTCTGCCTGCCACTGTCCACGCAACATGGGGACACCCACCACCCTCCCAATGCTGTTCCAGGGAAGTCAGACCATGAGCACAGTCGCACCACAGTAAAAGCGGCACCTGCATCTGGATCAGGGTGCCCTGCCCAGTTGCAGGGCCTGGCCACAGCCACCGGGCCATTTGGCCTCCCCATGTGAGGGAGGGCCCCAGCTGTGTTGGGAGGAAGAAAGCTGGTGCCAGGACAGGGGAGAGGTCCAAGCCTCGGCCCCCAGGGCCTTCTTGGGGGTGACCCTGGCCAGCTTCCCACTGCAGTGAAGGTCGATTGGTTGTCACAGGGGCAGCTGGGGTGCCCACAACCTTGCCCCTACGCTGGGGAGCCAGCCGTCCAGGCAGGAGAAGCACCATGACAGGCAGGCCCTGACAGTACCCCTGTAGGAGACAGGGGTGAGGCCAAGAGTAGCAGCTGTGCAGGACCAGCCTGGCTTGGCCTCACCTCCTAGCGATGTGGCCTCTGAGCTGAACCCTGAAGGCTAAGCAAGCACAGCTCCCTAGCCAAGGTGCAGCTCACCTTGTGTCCATCACACCCCACCCCAGGAACCCCTTCAGACATGGTCCTCCTGGTCGCCAGCACATTGCATTTGAATAGGACAGTTGTATTGTACATCTACCTGTGTGCTGTACCCATGTGCCTATGCTTTATTTATGAAAAGATTAAGAGGCTTTCCAGCCCCAACACCCACCATCACCGTGGGGCTGCCTGCTGTGCAGCCATGAGAGGCAGCAGGTGTGAGTTCCAGTCACCCTGGAGCCCCAGGCCTTGAAGGACCAAAGGGCTGGATTCCTGGCCTCATGGGGCCACACCAAGGGGTCGAGATTGTCCTTTGCCCCAGGGAGTTGGATTTTGAGAGGCAAAGGATGGCTAGAAACTGAGGGCACCTGAGCCTGAGCAGCTGGGAGAGCATTGTGGACATCCCGGCCTGTGGCTGAGCTCTGGGAGAGCAGGAGATCATGGACAGCCAGACCTGTGGCTGAGCTCTGGGAGAGCAGGAGATCATGGACAGCCAGACCTGTGGCTGAGCTCTGGGAGAGCAGGACGTCGTGGACAACCCAACCTGTCACGAGCCTGCCACACCAGCTGCCACCCGCCCTGGGTCAGGATGAGGGCGCCAGGAGCCAGATGCTCAGAATTGAGCATGACCCTCATGGATGGCAGGGATGAGGTTTAGTCCCAGAGTCCAAATCCTGAACCCTGTGAAGCCTCCTGGGTCACAGAACAGGCTGCAGCTTCCCAGAGCACACCCTTGGGGGCAGGCAGTAAACAAATACATCACATGACGCTCAGGACGTGGGTCTGAACTGCTGTGGAGAGACTGAGAGTGCCGGCCAGCAGGACCAGGGTGCCCCACAGGTTTCCAGGACCAGAGAGGGCTGGAGCTGCCACCAAGGTGCTGGTGGATGTCCAGGGCCCAGCCAGAATTCAGGAGGGACACAGCAGGGGCAGAAGTGGATAGGGCCACAGAGGCAGAGGATGATGGGTTCTGAGGGAAGAGGCCTGTGGCTCAGACACTGTGGTGAGGCCGAAGGGGCAGCCCATGAGTGTGATCAGGCATTGCCCACAAGGCATTCACAGCATGCAGAACCTCGTGGGAGCCACAAGGTGTGGGAGGAAAGTCCGGGGCCTCCAGCAGCTCGGGGAGACAGCAGGCCTCAGTAGCACCATCCTTGCACTGATGGGCTCAGTGAGTAAGCTCAGCAGGAGCTTCCCTCCTCCTCTTGTCACCTGCGGCCTTCCCTTCACCACAGCCCAGATCTCAGTGTGTCTGGAAAGATCTCGAATCTCAGGGTGGCCTGATCCACACGTGTGTGGGGGAGGGCTTTCACTGAGGTTGGCAATGACTGGCTGATTTCTTGAGAGTTAGTGTGGGTGAGTGTGCGTGTGCATGTACATGAGCATGTGAACGCCAGAGCCAGTGTGCAGAGTGTTTTCTCTTGCCCACTGAGGGATTGAGGCCGTCCTTCAGTCTGCACCACCCTCCAAAGGCAGGAGCAGCTCCCGAAACTGGAGAAACATCGCTCCTGGGTGAGCCCATGGGGGACTCATGGAGGAGGAGGTTGGGCGGCAGAGAGAGGCTTCCCCAGGTGCTGGGGTGAGGCCTTGCCCCTGACGCCCCCTCAGAAGCCCGTGTCCTTCCCTACAATCCCTCTAAATGGTGGGAGCTGCCGATTCCTGAACAGCAGAGATGTGCAGAAGCCACAGCGGCACTCGCCCCATCTCCTCCGTGACCCCTGTGGGAGGACCCATTACCCACAGGAGGGAACTGAGCCCGGGCAGGGATCAAATTTTCTGTTTAGCTGCGGCTTCCTTCTTCTGCATTCGGTGCAAGGAGACATAAACTAAATATAGGTGTTGGGGAAAAAAAGGCAACGGGAAAATGAGAGCAAAAGAGTGTGAGGGAGGCCAGAGTTCACAAGAGAACATTCGATCTTGCTGAGCAGGGACCGCCAGCTGCAGGCCAGGCAGTGGGGCGGCCTGCACGCCTTCACCCACAGTGCCCATCAGGGGAAGCAGTGCTGTGGAGGTGGTGCACTCCTGCTGTGAGGAGACGCCTGGGCTGCAGGAAACACCTCCCTTACTCCCTGTGTCCTCCCTGCACACAGATCCTAGGAGATGCTCCAGGTAAGCCCAGAGTCTGGGGAAAACCTGGGAGCGGCCAGCAGTTTTGGGGGTGGGACAGAAGGTGAAGCCCGTAGCATGCCGCACGTTTGGTCTGATGGCTGGCCCCACAGTACAGCAGTGAGGAGGTCTCCTTCCACTGGGGAACATCACATGAGCTCCCAAATGAATCAAATCCAAGTGGAGCTCCCAGCTCTGGTACCTCTAAGGCAAACGGAGACTTTACCGCAGAAACTCGGCTTAGCACCACTAGTGCGGAACAGTAGTTTCCACCCTGATGTCTTCCAGAGGCTCAGTAAATGGCCATTTCCATCCACACCTCCCATTAAAAAGAGGCAGGCTTCCACGGGGGGGTGCTACATGGGAGCTGAGGGAAGACCTGCACCGGTCAGAAATCTTGTCTGCGCTGTCTACACTAGTCCCATAAAAGGTCATGGAGCAGGGGAGAGGTGTCCTTGGGGCATCTTCAGGTCCTCTGGGTTCATCTCGCTCACCTCCTCCTCTTTCCTGAAACTGCAGATTCAGTTCACTCATTCTTTCATTCATTCATTCATCCATTCATTCATCCAACAAAGATTTAGGGGCAGCTACTCTACCTGGGGCTGGGGCATGGCAATGAGCAAGGCTGGGTTCCCACACACCATGAGGTCAGGTCTGGTGGGAGAGCCGGGCAAGCAACCACCCACAGTGCATTTACACAGTCACCATGGCCACAGTAAAACACTGCCCCACAGTCCTGGGAATGATATCCCAGCCAAGGACCGAGGAATGTGAGGAGTTGGCCAGGTGGAGGCAAGAGGAAGTGCCCAGTGATGGGAGTGGAGCCTGCAAGGGCCTCAAGGGAGGATACTGGGTGACTGGGGCCACCCGGGGTCTCAACATGAAGTGGCACCTTCTGTAACTGGAAATCGCAAGCTCGCCTTTGCCGCAAGGCTAGCAGCACGTGGAGCTGCCTGAGCAGTCCTCCCTGGGTGTGCAGTTTGCAGGGGCCTCTCGCCCGGCTGACCTGCAAAGAATTGTTTTGAGACCTCCCTCGCAGTGTTCACATTTTCACATTTTCTATCTTTTTTAAAAAATGTAAAAAGAGTTGCAGATCCTCCTGTAGTAGCACCCTGTCAAATTCTTTTCCCATCTTGTCCCTCACTTCACCTCCCATTCCTTCCACCTTGTGAACTCCGGCCCCTCTGGTTCCAGACGATTCCAGGTCTCCATCAACAAGTTTGCATGAAGACAAGAAAAGGAAAAGCACTCGTCTCTGTGCACAGCCCTCAGCGGTACACAGAACATGTTTCCCCAGAGGAGCCCAGTACGATGCCAACGTTAATTTACAGCCTGCAGATCCCTCATCACAATTGTAGTTACATCATTATTGGTGCCATTTGGGGGGTAAGTTTTCAAAGATTCTGTTTTGGTGGTTTGTGCACATTGAGTGCAGAGATGAGTTTATATTCCACAATATACAGACTATGCCCTGTCTACTTCTATATTAAAATTTATAGATCTATTGATGTCAACATAGGTATAAGTACAAATGACACAGAGATAGAGACATACAGCTCACTCCCTCATTGCTTATTCCCATCCTCATTTCCTAGATGCACACGGGAGCCAACTCCACCGTATTTGATACATTGAATATGCACGTCCTTAAATATGCACATCTCTTTGTAAAAGATGTAGTGGTGTTTGGTAGATATACATATGCCATAAATTATGTGAGTTACATCAGATGTTAAATCTCATTCTGTTTCTTCTTCGTTTTCACTTGACCATAAGTTTTCAAGATGTACCGTGTTGCTCTAGCTACAGCTAGATTATTGCTTCTCAGTGCTGCCTCGTGTTATTCCACAGTTTGTTTCCACCTTATTTTATTTCCAGCTCTCTGTAGTGGACACCAAGTTCCCACACCTCATTGTATCATAAACAGACAGGCAATCCCCTGCGAGTATCTCCTGATGGATCTGGATCAGGGTTCCTCCAAGACGCTTAGGAGGAGTTGGGCAGCTGGTACCAGGCCAACCCACACACTGCACTGGGCCGAGTCCTCTGGGGTGGCTGCAGCAGTCCACACCCCAAGGCTCCCGTTAGCCCACAGCCTTCTCAATATGTGAACCCATCCCTGGTCTGATTGTTGCTATTCTGTTGCATGTAAAGCACTGTCTTGTTTTAATTTTAACTTGCATTGTGAACATGTTTTCATGGATTTTTTAGTCATTTGGGCTTCCATTTCTGTGAATTGTTATTCATTACCTTTATTCATTTTCCTATTGCAGCGGTCTCTCTTTTCCTTGTATTTTGAAGGAATTCTTACTGGCTTTGCCTACTCCTATTGGTTTTCCCTACTGTAACCCTCACTGAACAGAAATCCCTAATTTAAGGTAATCTAATGTCCACCTTTACACTTTAAGTTATGATTTGACAACTTTGTTCAAGTAATTATTTGCTTAATCTCTGCCATCCCCAGTAGACTCCAAGGCTAGGAACCATGGCAGTCTTGTACCACTCAGTATCCAGAAGAGCATTTATTCATTCATGAATAAATATTTGGGGAAATGAATGAGACCAGCACCTGGCACATTGTACACACTCAGTAAAGGGAAGCTCCTATTTTGAATGAATGAGATTTTCTCAGGGGAAAGCTCTAAATAAATGTAATGAAACAATCTTCTGCAGAGAGAAACACAAAATCAAAACCAAGAAAACTGAAGCTAAAACGGTAAGCAGGAAGGACCTCCTGGATTTCAGAAAAGGTTTGAATGTTTTCATCGAGCACAGAAAGCCTTTGTGATGCATGGATCCAGATCTCTCTCTGACTCAGGAATGACATTGCCACTGCAGGGTCTTTGTTTGTTTTGGCTTTAAAATAGAGATGTGACAGTTATGCATGGATGATGCAGAAGTCAGGATGATGCAGAAGTCAGGATGATGTGCCAGGTTTGAGTGACTCACATGCAATACAGTGAGACTCTCTTCCTGGAATCCCTCTACAATATGTGACTAGCTCCTCTAATTCCAGAACCATGTTCCATGAGCACACCATTGCCTTCTCTGGATTCTTTGGGAGTCATCTGTGAGATCTTAATCATTACAATTGGATTGTCTTACTATCTAAAGTTTTATAGAAGGAAAAATAAATCACATATTTAGCAGAGTTTCAGGAAGGGTCACCCACCCCCATTCTTTCCCCTACTATTGGGAAACTGCCTGATGCCAGAGAGCAGCACAGACGTGGGACACAGATCAGGCCCTCATGAGCCAGTGAGGATCAAAGGACATCTCGGGAGGATCAACTTCCAGCGTGAGGGGCTCCACTGAGCTGGTCCCCAGGAAAAATGGTGAAAATTGGTTTAAAATACACAATCAGTAAAGATTTCCAAAAACAGTAGCAAAAAGCAAATGAAGAGACATCTATTCAAGAAAATGTATAAAACATAGGTGAGAAAGGCACATATCTAGGCATATACTCAGGAGAGTCTATGATGTTAGAACCAGGACAGCTCCTTTCCTCCTCGCTCTCAGCTAGGTAAGGCAGAGACTCCACTCCACACTGCCTCAGCCAACAACACAGGGCTCCCTCTCCCCTCTGTTTCCAGTCAGAGAGCTTTCTTCCTGCGAGGAGTTGGATGTCAGCATTTCTCATCCTGCCCCCGCCACCTGCTGCTGAGGCTAAGTGCTGGGTGAATGCAATCGAAAAGTGGAGACTCCACTCTTCCTTCCAGCTTCCACTCAGGAGTTGAGGCTCTACCTTGGGCACAGTGCACTGAAAGTACTGCAGCCTGATAGCAACTCTTCCAACTCGGGAGGTGATGGTTCCACACCAGGAGAGGACCCCAGGATACCGCCCCCCACCCTGCCAAGCATTCAGTTACTGGAATGGGGGTATCCCTCAGAAAGAAGCTTGTCATTGTCCCCACCCCCAGCTCCAGAGCCCTGGCTCAGAGATTTTTGCCTGGAGGCCTGGGGGAGGGGAGAAGTTAGAGAAGAAGCAGGTCTGAAACAGATAACTCCTATGTCTTCCCAAAGGAATTAATTTCATTTATAACAGAGTGTGCAGAAGTTCAAGTTCAAGAGCACTCTTAAGAATGGTGGAGGTTGTGGTGAAAGCAGTTGGGAAGAGATTCATGGATTTAATGAAGACACAGCCTAGACTGTAGGCTGGCTGGCTTGTAGGAGAGAACTGGTGAATAAGACAGCTGGACAGGAGCCCTCCTAGGGTCAGAACAAATATCAAACACAAATCTCAGACTATTTCTGAAAAGGAGCCATGATTTCACTGGTTTAAGCTGAAGAGCAATTTATGCCCTTAGAACATTATTGAAAGGAAGCATTATGCAAATAACCAATAAGTACATGAAAAGATGCTTGACATCATTAGTCATCAGGAAATTGCAAATACAGATCACAATGAAATACTACTGCACACCCACCAGGATGGCCATAATAACATAGTCAGATAATAACAGGTGTTGGCAGGGATGCGAAGAAATTTGAAGCCTCATACACTGCTAATGGGAATTTAAAATGATGCAGACACTTTGAAATACAGTGTGGAAGTTCCTTAAACAATTAAATGCAGATTTACCATATGACCCAGCAATCCTACTCCTAGGCATATACCCAGGAGAAATGAAAACATATGTCCACACAAAAACTTGTATGTGAACGTTCATAGCAACATTGTTCATAATAGACAAAAGGTGGGAAAAACCCAAATACCCATCAATTGACAAACGAAGTGTGGTATAGCCATACCATTCCATAAAAAGCAATGTAGTACTGATACGTGCTACATCATGGATGAAACTTGAAAACATGCTAAGTGAAAAAAACAGGCACAAAAGACCACATATTATATAATTGCATTTAAATGAAATGCCCAGAATAGGGAAATCTATAGAGACAGAAAGTAGACTAGAGATTGCTTAGGACTGGGGGAGGCATATGGAGAGATAGGAAGATGAGCTAAAAGTTCTTTCTGGGGTGATGAAAATGTTTTAAAATCGGCTGCAGTGATAGTTATGCTAAAAACCGTTAACTTGCAGACTAAATAGTTAAACTTTATAGTATGTGAGTTATATCTTAATAAAGCTGCTTTCAGAAGTCTTAAGCTGTTTCCATGAGTAGACATATAGAACAGTCTCATTTTTATGATGACTTCATAGCATTCCACAGCACAGATGTGCCATGATTTTGTCTTAACCACTACCCTAATGACGGATACTCATGCTGTTTCTGATTTTGCACTATTACTGACAATGAAGTAAAGAACGCCTTGGCAGTACTTCCTTGTGTTCATATGTAGACATTTAGTGGGCTGTTTTCCTAGATCTTTTAGCCCACAGAAGACTAGAGTTATTGCTAAAGATTTTAAAAGTTAAATAAATAATTGTCTTCTGAGAGCAACATGACAGGGTTTTGTCTGCTACGGCAATCCTGGCTCAAGCCTTCTGTGATCGGTTATCAACATTTATTCATTTGGCTATTCCTGTCATCTTTAATTTGTCAGATTTATTAACGATCAACTTTAGCCAGGCCCTCGACTGCATGCTGACGATCTAGGCAGGATCTCAGGCTGGGGCAGGGTAGCGGGGTGTGGGTAGGGGTGGTGAACAGGTGACTGCAACACTCTCTGGTGAACACCAAGCACTCAACCCAGCTTCCTGAGGGTGCTCTGTCCTCCAGAATGGCTGGCTAGCCAGGCTCACACCAAGCCCTTGGCCACCACCATGCCCCACAGACAGACAGATCTAGTCTTCCCATATATAAGAGTTATAAGAGTAATCGTGGCAACATATGCTTAATAACATGAAAATACACACTACATGCACACACACACACACACACGAAAAAAGTCTAGGAGCACACAAATGCCCATCACAAATAGAAGGATGGGCAACTGTGGCATGAGCATCTGAAGGAACAGCAAGGGAGCAGCACAAAGCTGCAGCTTGGAGTGTGAGGGTTCGCTTGTGTTCATGTGAAATCGCTCCACATGAACACACAGGGCACGGCAGCACCCCTAGAAAGGGGCCCAGATGACGAACAGGATGGGAGAGACTCACTGTTCAGCATACCCTCTGCATCTTTTGGATTTTGTAGCATGTGCATATTTAAAGGAGTAACAAGATTACTCCTTCAGGGGCTCCCGTTGCCTCCACAGTGAAATCACACTTTCAATACATGATGAGACTGCGTCTTCACCTTCTCCCAGCGCATCCTTATTTCACTTCTTCCTTCTTCCTGGGCACCCCTCCAGCTGCAACTCCTGGGTGGAGCATGCCTTTCCCTCATTTGCATCTGCCTCTTTGCCTTGGAGGTACCCTCAGGCCACTTGGAGAAACCTCCTCTGGCCCCTTGACTACTCTGGGGTCCCCTCGACTACTCTGGGGGACCCTCTGAGCTCAGAATTCCCCTAGAGGAGTACCCCTCATCCAAACTGGCAGTGGGGCCACCAGACCCCAACTTCCTGGTTCAGGGCTTGCAACATGGTAATGTCAACCAAAATTAAGGCTGCCGAGGCAGAAATAAATTCATGAAGGCTTACTGGACACCAAATGTGACGATCATCCAAGGAAGACATGTCAGCAGAGTTAGGCATGCTCCACAGTCGGCCACACGTGGAAGGATTTTCTGGGAAAGCTGAGGAGAAGGGAGGGGAGGACTCATGCCGGAGCTGTCCGCTTCACTGCAAGCTCCAATGCAGGGGTTCGGTCATTGGCCACGGACAGCAACACACAGACTAAAAGGCCCTACATGCAAGACAAGCAGCAAAGCTTCATGATTTAGAAACAAATCAGTGTTTTTTCAGCGTCAGTGGGTTGTTTTTTTGTTTGTTTTGTTTTGTTTTGTTTTGTTTTTCTGAGACGTCATCTTGCTCGTTGCCCAGGCTGGAATGCAATGGCATGGTCTCCGCTCACTGCAACTTCTGCCTCCTGGGTTCAAGCAATTCCCCTGCCTCAGCCTCCCAAGTAGCTGGGATTACAGGCGCATGCCACCACACCCAGCTAATTTTTGTATTTTTAGTAGAGACGGGGTTTCACTATGTTGGCCAGGCTGGTCTCAAACTCTTCACCTCGTGATCCACCCGCCTTGGCCTCCCAAAGTGCTGGGATTACAAGCATGAGCCACCGCGCCCAGCCGGGTTACCTACTAATCTGTACTTCAACAGTTTGAGGAAACTCACGACAAGATCTGTGGGACTCAGGATAAGATGCTTCACTCAGGCACAGGATGCAAGCCACGAAGCTTAAGGCCTCCCTGAGGGAGCAGTGTGGCAGCTGCCAATATGGGCTGCAGGTTATCAGCGAGCACTCAGGCACCATTTGTCAATGTGTGCACAAGACGGAGGGGGAGAGAGAGGCAGAGGGAGAGTGAGGGAGAGAGAAAAGAATGAGTGAGAGAGCAAATGAGACACGGAGTGAGACGGTGAGAGAATGAGAGAGAGTGGGAGATGGAGTGAGTGGGAGTGAGACGGGGAGAGAGATGGAGAGAGTGAGACAGTGAGGGAGACAGCAAGTCGCCAGTCTCAGGCCCAGTTCCGCTGCTTCCTCCTAACCTGCTGAAAGCCCCACCGGCACCACAGAGAGGCGAGCTGACCTGCCCCAAGTCTCCAGCTTGTAAGAGGGGCCTGGGACTCAGACCGGATTCCAAACCCCAGCCTCCTTCAGCTTCCCCACCCTGCATTCCAGAAGGTTTCTCAACCCCATGCAAGAAGGAGATTATCGCCTACTAAGAAGCTTCCTGGGCTCCCTGGGGCCTCCTCAGCCTCCATCCACCTGTCAATCCTCCCTCAGGCTATCTCTGCACGTTTTTCACCATTTGGACTGACAGAGGTTTAGAACATTTTTGCTTTGATTATGTCCATTATTTAAAGATTCTCCCTGGAGTTTTGTAGCTAAAGACACCAAAAGGTGAAAAAGAAATTCACTAACCAAGTTCTATAATATGGTGCTTTATTCCAAAAATGATAGTGAGATATTTTAGTCGTTACCACTTACCATGACTTTCTTGTGGTGTTTTCCAACTTCTGGCATTTCAGCTACAAATAAAATAAAATAAAATATTACGAATCCTCAGTTCTGTTCCTTGGAAACACGGGCCCCCGGATGGAGCCTAAGTCACAATCCCTACCCTTATGCCTTCTATGATCTGGGAGGGAAACCAGAATAAATATGCTAGGATGCAGTAAATGAGATCAGAGAAATACCTCATCCATACGGGAATGTAAAGGCACAGCCACCTTGGCCCAGTGCGGGACAGCCCAACTGCCACTCCGGCATGGAGCTGCCTGTCCTCAGCCTGCCCCGGAGCTCAGCTCTGCCCTGCTCACTCCCACTTCCTTCTGATTTTCAGCACTCTAATGGCTTATACGACGCTGTGAGTTTAATTTGCATTTCTCTAATGACCAATGACGTTCAGCACTTTGCATGTGTGTAACAGCCATCTGCATATCCTCTTTGGTGATGTGTCTGCTGAAATTTTTGGACTATTTTCTTACATCTTCATAATTGTTTATAGGGACTATCTCCACTGTCCTTCCTTCATGCCTTCATCAAAATCAGTTGTTCACACGTATGTTCATCTCTTGATTTTCTACCCTATTCCGTTTATCTATTCATCTATGTTTACTGTTTTATTACTACAGCTTATAATGTCTTTCCATTTTCATTCACTTTAAAATTCTTTTTTTTATTTTATTTTTTTTTTTTAGTATTTATTGATCATTCTTGGGTGTTTCTCGGAGAGGGGGATTTGGCGGGGTCATAGGACAATAGTGGAGGGAAGGTCAGCAGATAAACATGTGAACAAGGGTCTCTGGTTTTCCTAGGCAGAGGACCCTGCAGCCTTCCGCAGTGTTTGTGTCCCTGGGTACTTGAGATTAGGGAGTGGTGATGACTCTTAACGAGCATGCTGCCTTCAAGCGTCTGTTTAACAAAGCACATCTTGCACCGTCGTTAATCCATCTAACCCTGAGTGGCCACAGCACATGTTTCAGAGAGCACGGGGTTGGGGGTAAGGTTATAGATTAACAGCATCCCAAGGCAGAAGAATTTTTCTTAGTACAGAACAAAATGGAGTCTCCTATGTCTACCCCCCTTTACACTGACACAGCAACAATCTGATTTCTCTTTCTTTTCCCCACATTTCCCCCTTTTCTATTCGACAAAACCGCCATCGTCATCATGGCCCGTTCTCAATGAGCTGTTGGGTACACCTCCCAGACGGGGTGGTGGCTGGGCAGAGGGGCTCCTCACTTCCCAGACGGGGCGGCCGGTCAGAGGCACCCCCCACGTCCCGGACGGGGCGGCTGGCCGGGCGGAGGCTTCCCCCAACCTCCCTCCCGGACGGGGCAGTTTAAAATTCTTTCTGATCTTCCTTTTGATTTGTTTTGACCCATGAATTATTTAGATGTGCATTATTTAATTTCCAAACACTTGGGGATTTTCCAGATATCTTTCTAATGCTGATTCCTAATTTAATTCCATTTTGGCCAGAGAACAGGCTCACTATGACAGAAATCCTTTCGCATTTACTAAAGCTTATTCTGTGGCCCAGAGAATACTTTATCTTGGTAAATGTTTCATGTGCACTTGAAAAAATGTGCATTCTTCTAAACATAGGAGGGTTCTATAAATGTGAGTTAGATCACATTTGGTTTCCAGTTTTGTTTCTGTATTCTTACTGATTTTCCATCTACTTATTTTCTCTGTGTGTCACCCAGGTTGGAGTGCAGTGGTGCAATCAAAGCTCCATAAGCTCAAACTCCTGGGCGCAAGTGATTATCCCTCCTCAGCCTTCCGAATAGCTGAAACAACAGGAATGTGCCACCAGGAAATTTTTTTTTTTTTTTTAGAGACAATGTCTCACCATATTGCCCAGGCCGGTCTTGAACTCCTGGGCTTAAGCAAAATAGCCGCCTTGGCCTCCCAACACACTGGGATTACAGATGTGAGCCACTGCACCCGGCCCTGTGTACTTATTTTCAACAATTATTTAGAGAAGAGTGTTGAATTGTCTAACTATATTTTTTGATGACCTTCTCTGTCCATGGTAACATTTTTGCTCTGAAATCCACTTTACTTGGTATCAAAATGGTGACTCCTGAATAGCACTGGTGTGAAGTGTGTTCCATTCTTTCACCTCTGATCCAATGTTGCGTGTTGCATATGTGCACACTTGTGTGGTTGGCACTTGCTTTTTAATCCAATTGAAGCAATCTCTAACCTTTAATTGGGCTATAGTTTAGGTTTGTTTCATTTAATACAATTATTGATTTGGTTAGGTTTAAAGCTAGTGTCTTGTCATTTGTTTTATCTTAATCCAATCTGTCACTTGTTTTCTGTTTCTTTTTTGGCATTTTTGATTAACTAAGGATTTCTTACATTTTCACATTATTTCTTTTATTGGATTATCAGCTACAACTGTTGTCTTATTTCAGTGGTTGTGTTAGGGCTTACACTATACTTCTTTTCACAGTCTATACACTAAAGAGATATTATGTCACCTCAACTGCAACACAGGTCGGGTATCCCTTATCCAAAATCTTGAGACCAGAGGTGTTTCAGATTTCAGCTTTTTTCAGATTTTTGAATATTTTGAAATATTATACTTACTGGTTGAGCATCCCTAGCCTGAAAATTTGAAATCAAAAATTCTTCAATGAGCATTTCCTTTGAGCATCATGGCAGCATTCCAAAAGTTCTGGATTTTTTTAGAGCATTTTGGATTTCAGACTCTTGGGTGAGGAATGCTTGCCCTGTCTATGACCCTTATAACAATATACTGTGTTTTCTCTCCTGCATTTGTGCTAGTGTCTCACAGTTTACCTGTCCATATTTTACAAATCCCCAATGCACTGTTATTTTGTTTTAAAAAGTTGATTCTCTCTTTTAAATAACATTTCTATTGCTTTTCATTCCTTTGTGTAGACACATTTCCATCTGGTGTCACTTTCCATCTGCCTAAAGGACCTTCCTTCACATTTCTTGTAATGCAGGTCTGAGGCTCATCAGTTCTTTCCGTTTTTGTGTGTTAGGGGGAGGAAGGTCTTTATTTCATTAAGTGAAAGATATTTTCTCTAGGTAAATGTTTTCTTTCAGCACTTTAAAGATGTTGTTCTGTTGTCTTCTCATTGCATTGTTTTTAATGAGAAATTTGCTGTCATCCTTATATCTGTTCCTTTGTACCTAATGTTTCTTGTGTATCTGACTACTTTTAAGATTTTCCCTTATCACTGGATTTGAGCAACTTGATTATGATGTGTCTTGGTGCTATTTTCTTTATATTTCTTATGCTTCGGGTTTGTTGAGCTTCTCGAGTCTATGGGATATAATTTTTAACAAATTTGGAAAATTCGAAGAAAACCGTATTCCTTAAAATATGTTTTCTGTCTCCCTCTCCTTCTACAACTATAATTACTCATGTATTTGGATATTCAACTGCTTAAAGTTAACCCACAGCTCACTACTATTTTTTTAGTCTTCTTGTTTCTCTATTTTTCATTTCTCTGTTTTGTATTTCTTGATAGTTTCTTTCCTTGTCTTTAACTTCTCTAATCATTTTCTCTGAATTGTCTAAACCATCCTAAGTATTTTTGTCTCACGCATTGTGGCTTTCATCTTGAGAAGTTTGTTTTGGATCTTTTCTAAATCTTCCTTGTATCTAGTTAACATGATCAACCTCTTCCTCTATTATACTAAATATATGAAACATTCCTATAATACTTGCTTTGATGTCCTTGTCTACCAGTTCTATTATATCATTTGTCATTTCCGGATCACTGTTGGTTGATTGATATTCATACCCATTGTGGGTCATTTTTTCTTCTTCACATGCTAGTAACTTTTGATTGAGTGCCGTGCATTGTGAATTTTACTTTGTCAGATGCTGTATATTTTATATTCCTGTAAATAGCTTTGAACTTTGTTTTGAGTTTGATCTTTTTGATCTTGCTTTTATGCTTTGCTAAGTGGGATCAGAGCAGCATTTAGCCTACGGCTAATTTAATCCTTCACTGAAGGAAAACCCTTCTAAGTACTCTAACCAGAGCCCACTGAATTTGTTTTCTACTCTGGCTGGGGAGAACAGGCACTATTCCCAGCCCTGTTTGATCTATGGAGAATGCTCCTTCTAACGTTATGTGTAGCTCTTTCTCTTTCCCATCCTCTGACCAGTATAGCTGAGTGGTCGGGGAGGATCCTCTGCAGACCTCCACAGCTCTCACTGTGTACCCTTCTCTCCTGTGAATTCCAGCTGCCTTGGACTTCCTAACTTCATCTCTGGTTTTTCATCTTAGTGAGTATACCGAGCTTTGCCTGGCCTCTTCCTTTTACCACCTGTGTCGTGCACTGGGCCCAGCGCAAGGCTCCACTCACCTGCTTCCCTGTTCTCATGGATCATTCCCCCTTCATTGCCTGGTACCCAATAGCTGGACAACTGTTATTTCAATAATGTGTCCCATATTTTTACATTTATCAAACAGGAGGTAAATCTGGTCCTTATTACTCTATCTTTTCCAGAAGTAGAAGCTATAGAAATGTTTGTGTCATCCGAGAGTCACACAGATGAATGCTGGCCATGCCATTCATACCCTTTCTCCAGGAGGTGATGCTCTGTCAGCTGGCAAGAGTCTGGCTTGACAGGCAACCTCAGCCCTGATGTGCAGGTGAGGACCTCAGCTCTCCGACTTCATGTCATTAAACACCAAGTCAGTCACACCCTTTGGAAGTCATCTGTAACTCAATTGCAAGGAGGGAATCCACAACTCAGATAGCGGTGAGTGTCTGGTAATTGCGTTCCCCATGGGGCACCAGTTAAATTGGCAAGTCTGTGATGCCAGGCTCTCCTGTGAGCTTTGTGAGCCCAACTCAACCTTGGGAATGTAAGGATGTAGGCTTTCTGAGTCCCCAGGCTCTGGGTAGATTATCAAGGTGAGAGCAGCTGTCAGAAACTGGCCCAACTGCTGTTCCTCATGTGACACCCAAAACACACTGCATGTCATCATGCCTAACATTCTGCAAGCTGCTGCATATAATAGGGTTACCCAAACAGTTGGACCTTGTATCTCTAAAGATCCAAAAACTTCATGTTAACCGTTTTGATGGAGTTTATGCTAATGTGTCTATTTTAAATATTTTAACAATAACAGGCAGAAATAAATGAGCAACTAAAGTCACACACTATTGTCAGCACAGTAAAGAGAACATAACATAACCCCTGCATGGTCATGCATCAGGATCGCAAGCACCCCTTCTGTGAGAGGGTGTTAGCTCTGAGGACCTGGGAGGGTGACAGCAATTGGAAGATGTCAGTTCCTTCCCATTTCTATGAACACTAATGAGCTGTGTGGCATACAGCCAAGTCTGTGGCCCTCTCTGTCTCCACTTCCTCATCTGAAACGATGGCAGTAGAACTTTCCCTTCCTGGGTTGTCAAAGTCCACGGAGAAGCATAAACCATGATTCACATGTGAGGAAGTACGCAGGTTTCAAAGGCCCTGGTCTTTGTATAACAGCATGCTGTTCAGGCCACACTCAACAGAACCAGTCATCAGTTTCCACCACATCAGATAAAACACTTCCCACCTGAGGCCTTTGCCTCTGACAGGGTGTTTTCTTAGGAGAGACATTCTGTTAAATGATAAAGCAGATTGCTTAGAGGGGCAGTCTGCAAAGGCTCTTGTTTTTCTAGAGAAGTTATCCTTAAAGGGACAATCTGGGATTTCAGAAAATGGGACTAAGCCAGTAAGTGTTACGTATTATAAAGAGAATTGAGCAAACAGGGCCTTCAGCAACACTGCCCTGCAAGTGGTAACCAAGCCACCTTTGATGGAGACATTTTATGGGGAATTCTTTGCATCAGCATGAGAGGTCAGGTCAGTGTTGGTCCCTCAGAAAACTAAAACCCATCAGCTTCCCACGGAAATACAATCTCCCTCCCCATTGTCCCAGTGGGAAGGCGGGTTCATCCTGGGTGCAGCCTCACAGGAAGTGAGTCTGGAAGCTTGCAGGTGTGCCCAACCCTCCCCTTTGCTCAGGCCTCTTCCTCCCCTCCCACACCTGCCCACACACAGGCCAGTGCCCTCTCACCTCCCCTCTGCTCAGGCCTCTTCCCCGCCCCCCCACCTGCCAGTGCCCTCTCACCACCACTCTGCCAACTGCCAATTGTTAGCCAGTCCATCTCCCTCACCATCCCAGACTCCTTATCCCCATTCACCCCCTGATATCCCCACGGCACCTAGAGTGCACTGGCCATCCAGGACATGCTGCTCAATGAAACTGACCTGACTCTCCTCTCATCCCTCAGATCCCAGTTCCTGTGGCTTCCAGAATGAAAATTCGACTGCATCATCCATGTTTAGCCCTTGGATTTAGCCCATGGATTCCCTCAGGTCTTTGGGGGTGCCTACAGCCTCCCATGCCTGGGCCCTGTCTCCCACTCCAGCTGCATCTCTTACTATGTCCTCCTTGAGGTTTCCTCATTCCTGACCATCTGCAGTTCTGCAAAGATGTCCTGGACACAGCAGACACAGAGCATGGGGAGAGACAGCCCAACCTACATAGAGGAGGGGTGGGTAGTAGGGGAAGGAAACGCCTTAAGATAGGCAGAGGGGACCACATTTCCTTCTAATCACAGTCAGATCCGCTGTAGCAATTTTTTCTGAATGGGTTATTTCACAAGCACTTACTGAGCACCTAAAATGTGCTAGTACCTAGCCTAGGAGGTGAGTAGTAAACTATGTCGCCCTCTAAAGGACAGCATTCAGCATAGGGCAGACACTGAGTGCAACAACACAACAATGGGATTCTCAGAACATAGGGTGCTCAGGGAGAGGGGAAGTTAAGTATGCCTTGGTCTGGGCAAGGGACAGTGATATGGTTTGGATCTGTGTCCCCGCCCAAATCTCATGTTGAATTGTAATCCCCAGTGTTGGAGGTGGGGCCTAGTGGGAGGTGATTGGAGCATGGGGACAGATGTCAACCTTGGTACTGTCCTGAGTTCTCATGAAATCTGGTTATTTGAAAATGTGTGGCACCTCCCCTCTCTTTCTGTCTTCCTCCTGCTTTAGCCATGTGAAGTAGCAGCTCCCCATTTACCTTCCACCACGATTGTAAGTTTCCTGAGGCCTCCCCAGAAGCTGATGCTGCCACGCTTCCTGCACAGCCTGCAGGACCATGAGCCAATTCAACCTCTTTTCTTTATAAATTATCCAGTGCCAGGTATTTCTTTACAGCAGTGCAAGAGTGGACTAATACAGAAAATTGGTACCAAGGAGAGGGATACTGCCATAAAGATTCCTTAAAATGCAAAAGTGGCCTTGGAACTGGGTAGCAGGCAGAGGTTGGAAGAGTTTGGAGGGCTCTGAAGAAGACAGGAAGATAAGGGAAAGTTTGAAACTGTTGACGAAAAGAGTCAAACTCTGTAAAATATTTGAAGAGATTTCTGAGCCAAATATGAGTGACCATGGCCCATCACAGCCCTCAGGGGGTCCTGAGAACATGTGCCCAGGGTGGTGGGGGTACAGCTTGGTTTTATGTATTTTAGGAAGGCATGACACATCAATCCAATACATTTAAGAAATACATTGGTTTGGTTTAGAAAGGCAGGACAACTCAAAGAGGGGGCTTCCAGGCTATAGGTAAATTAAAACATTTTCTGGTTGACAATTGGTTGAGGTTGTCTGAAAACCTGGGATGGATAGAAAGGAATGTTCAGGTTAAAGATAAAGGATTGTGGAGACCAAGTTTTATTGTGCAGAGGAAGCTGTTAGATAGCAGACTTTAGAGAGAGCAGGTTGTAAGTTGTTTTTTATTGGACTAAAAGGTTTCCTGGCTCTTAGTTGATTATCTCCTAGATCTGGGAAGGAAGGAAGGAAAACAAAGTGGGAAGGGGATTCTCTATAGAATGTGGATTTTTCCCAGAAGAGACTTTGGAGGGCAATTTTAAGGTATGGCAAGGAAATATATTTTGGGGTTAAATATTTTTTCCTTGTCTCATAATGTTATGCCAGAGTCAGATTGAAGAGCAAGACACAATATACATGGTCAAATAAAACCCATCTGAAGAGAATATATGGTTTGTAGGGCATGACTCCCTAGACCCCTTAGGTAGGAATTTGGGTAAGATAAAAAATCAGAGCTTAGTCCTCAAAACTTCCTTGAGACTGCTTAAATTGTTGTGACCAAAATGCTGGTAGTGATGTGGACAATGAAGTCCAGGCTGAGGAGGTCTCAGATGAAAATGAGGAACTTATTGGGAACTGGTGTAAAGGTCACTTTTGTTATGCTTTGGTGAAAAGCCTGCTTGCATTGTGCCCCTAATCTAGGGATCTATGGATTGAACTTGAGAGAGATGATTGAGGGTATCTGGTGGAAGACATTTCTAAGCAGCAAAGCATTCAAGAGTTACCTGGCTGCTTCTAACAATCTAAGCTCATATGCATGAGCAAAGAAATGACCAAAAATTGGAACTTATTTTTAAAAAGAAGAGCATAAAAGTTTGGAAAAATTGTAGCCTGGTCAAGTGAAAAGCCCATTTTCAGGGGAGGAATTTAAGCAGGTTGCAAAAATTTGCATGACTAAAAGGAAGGCAAATGCTGATAGCCAAGACAATGGGGAAAAGGCCTCGAAGGCATTTCAGAGACCTTTGCAGCAGCCCCTCCCATCACAGGCTCAGAGGCATAGGAGGGAAGGATGGTTTGGTGGGCCAGACTCAGGGCCCCACTGCCCCCCACAGCCTCAGGACATGGGATCCACATCCTGATGGTGGATCCGTGAATGACTCTGTGGAGCAGGCCACCTTCAAGCCTTCCCTGCCACTGGTCAGACCTTTGGTGAGGCAGAAAAAAAAATGTGGACTGTGATAAGCCACAGAGACAGCAGGGTTTTCTGCCTATCAGCTACAATTATCTTAACAAAGATATGTGCAAGAAGTTCAAAAGCACATAGAAGAAAAGTATAAACTATGCAGAGAACGTATGGGGTGGGTATTAGGATAACTTCCAGTGAGTGTGTGTTATAGGACCACCAGGTTAATGTGCCTGCTCCACAGTAACAGAGCAATACACTGAGACAGCAGGGATGCAGCAGAGAAAGAGTGTAATGATTGCAGGGCACCAAGCAAGGAGATGGGAAGAGTCCCTTAAATCCATCTCCCCAAGAAGTTCTGGGCTAGGGTTTTTAAGGGGAATATGGAGGGCGAGGGGCTGGAAAACTGGAATTGTTGATTGATCAGGGTAAGAGGGATGAAGTCATCAAGATGTGGAAACTACACTCTTTGGTGAGTCAGCTTTTTATAGGGTCTTTCAGTCAGCTTTTCACAGGGTCTTTCAGACCAGCTGGCACCAGTGGGGTCCTACAGACCAGCTGGCATCAGTAGTTTCACTGATATATAGGACCTGCAAGGATATCTCAGAGGGAAAACCTAACATTTCATAATGTTCAGGTGGTTATCTCTAGAGTGGTTAAGGGGACCTCTAATCTTGTAACAGGATCCATGCAATTCTGAGGCAACAGACACCAAACAGCTATGAGGAAGCAGGTCAGAGAGGAGGCTGACCCAGTGATCAATGCTGAGCATGGAGCAAGCTGTGTTTAATTTTTTTCTGCCCACCCCCCTTTTTCCTTGATTAATTTTATAAATGTTACAGGGACTGTTTCACATATACAAAATTGCTGCTTTGCATATATACATTTTTCTGAGGAGATGGTTGACCACATTTATCAGATTTTTCAAAGGGGTCAGTGATATAAAACTGCTAGGATTCACTGCCTTATGTTGTCTTATTTAACCATGTGAGTTAGGCATTATTGAAGCTCAGTGATCTAGGTTCACCAAGCCGGTGCATTCATCCATTGGTGCACCACGCATTTATTGGACATGCTGTCTGCTCCCAGCAGCCTCCAGGCCCTGGAGTGCACTAGAGAGCAAGGCAGCCCAGCCCTCGCTGTGGCAGGCTGGCGTGGGAAATACGGCAGGCATCTGAGGAGCATGCCAATAGTGTGGCAGCATCAGGAGGACCTGTTATCTGGCCTTGTGCCCAGTGGAAAGGCCCTTTTAGAGAGGAGGGCACAACAGGACTGGAAGGGTGCTGCCCACAGAAAGGGTCCCATGTGAACCCCCAGCAGCAGGGGGCAGGCCCAGGGCTGCCAGGAGGAGGCTCTGGAGCTCCAGGAAAGGGCAGAGGAGCTGGGGAGGCAGACAGCTGAGCCACGAAGTCTCTGTGGAGAGACCCTTAGAGAGACCATAAACACGAGCACCTCCAACCCAAGCCCAGCGCCACCATCACTCCAATAGTTTTCTCAGCAAACCACCTGTGAGCCCTCAGGCCCTGGGAGCGGCCAGAGGAAGCCATCTCCAGGTGACCCTCTGTCACCTGGCACTGGGCACCTTCCACCCTGGGAACCACCAGAGCCTGAGCCAGCCTGCCAGGGGCCGCCCCAAAGTGCCCCGTCAGCACAGTCCCCCAGGCCTGACACAGGCAGACGCAGGCACGGCGCTCACCGCATAATGGGCACCTTTGATCTCCACTCTCCTGATCACGCAGAGCCAACAGCAGCAGCCTCGCGGTACAGAGGCCGGCTCAATGTCAGGGCGGCACTTGGCTACTTTGATGTCTCAGTGCCTGCCTGTTTGAAATGGAAGGTTGTCACATTAAGAAGATTATGCAGAATCCATTTGTCACCACCCTTTTCCCACTGTGGTGAAGTCTACCCACCACCTGCCACTAAAGTCATAGCTGGAACAGACGAAGATAATGGAAACAAGTTAAGGTGCCAGAGGCACTTGTGGTTACCAGAAATTTTATGAGGGGAGCAAGGTCCAGATTCTTAAAATGTTAATACAGTTGTCTCTTGGTATCCACAAGGGATTGATCCCAGGACCCAGGGATAGCAAAATCTGCAGATGCTCAAGTCTCTGGAATACAATGGCATAGTGTTTGTATATAACCTACACACCTCCTCCCGTATGCCTCAAATCATCTCTAGATTACTTGTAATACCTGAAACAATGTAAATGCTATGGAAATAATTGTTTTACTGTATTGTTTAGAGAATAATGATAAAAAACTCTGCACATGTTCATCACAGATGCAAATTATTTTCCAAATATTTTCAATCCCACAGTTAATTGAATTTTATGGATGCAGAACTCACAGATTTGGAGGCCCAACTGTACAGCAGCCTTCAAAACCCTGCCACAATCCAGGAATTCTGGCATTAATGTGCCAAGGCTTCCAGGTGAAACTGTCTAGTGACATTGATGAAAGGCAAATTTACGAAACATCCCCAGCCAAGCATGGTGCCTCATGCCTATAATCCTAGCACTTTGGGAGGCCGAGGTGGGTGGATCAACTGAGGTCAGGAGTTTGAGACCAGCCTGGTCAACATGGCGAAACCTCATCTCTACTAAAAATACAAAATTAGCCGGGCATGGTGGCTTGCACCTATAATTTCAGCTACTTGGGAGCCTGAGGCAGGAGAATCACTTGAACCTGGGGGACGGAGGTCACAGTGAGCCAAGATCGCGCCACTTCACTCCAGCCTGGGCAAAAGAGCAAAACTCTGTCTCAAAAAAAAAAAAAAAAAAAAAGCCATCCTCAAACAGCCAGGAAGCCATGCGGACTGCAATGTGTGAGGCATGGGCTCGGACACTGCCTCTGCATTCAGTCTGTGTGTGTTTTGTTGGCTTGGTCAGAGTATGAGAAGAATATTCCGCCTTGTGCAGATACAGAGTTCGAAAAGAAAGGAGTCTTCCAGTAGACTTTCGGCTAACTGGATATTCTGTTTAGGTTTTACACCAAAATTTGACAAGTGGTACTTCCTTAAAGGTTGGTTGCAATTGTGGAACCTGAAACCATACCAGTAGAATTGTCATACTCGGATATGTTAAAATTCATTGGTTTGTCTCACTTTGAATGGCTCTTTTGACCATGCGCGATTTTGTAACATTATGCATGGGCCATTTGGAAAATATTGGGTCCCTGAGTTGAGCAGACCTTCCAAACACACATCTGTGAGAAAATGACAGTGAAAAAGGTCAATAATGTGTCAGTATTATCATGAAAATAGTTTTGACCTGACAGCCCCCGTGAATGTGTCTGGGAACCCAGGTGTTCCCAGACCAGCTTTGAGAACTACTGCCCTCCAGAATTCCTGGCACATGCACACGAGTGGGTACTGGAACATTCACAGCAGCTGTGTCATAATTGCAAACACGTGGCAACGGCCCACATGCTCCCCAGGACCAGAACAGAAAAATCAATCATGGCAAATGCCCACCATCAAACACAACACAAGGTAAAACGAAGCAGACTCCTACAGCCATATCCATCATCACAGATGAATCTGCAGCACATAACAGGAGCGAAAGCAGTGAGCCACAGGATGAGGGAGGGTGGTACCAGTCCCACACTGTCCAAACAAGGGGGAAAGTGAGCAGCAGATGACAGGAATGCACATGCTGGGAAAAATAAGGCTATTTTTTTTTCTTTGTAGAGATGGGGTCACACTATATTGCCCAGTCTTGTCTTGAACTCCAGGGCTCAAGCAATCCTACCTCAGCCTCCGAAAACGCTGGAATTACAGGTGTGAGCCAGCACACCCAACCAGGCTATTATTAACACAAATTTCTAGACCATAGGCACCGCTGCCAAAGACGGAGGAATGGCAAGTGTTAGCAGTCTTGTCTCTTAACCTGGGGTAGGTACTCTAGGGCCTGTGTTATTATTCTTGAAATGGCACAAATTTCACACTCTTTTATATAATGGGGACATTTCACAATAACAACTGCTGAGGATGAGAATAAAAAAGAATAAAAATGAGAATGGCTAGTCTGGTGAGGCCTGCTGTTTCTGAGCCGTGTCACTTTGCAAACTGTCATCATGAAAGCTGTCTCCTTCACTCACTGAAACACACAGAATCATGCTGTTTGAGAGTTACTTGAATCTTTCACAAAACTGAAGGTTTTTTTCACTGACAAGTGAGCACTCTTCAAAGCTAAGGGAGGAGCTGCCTCTCTGGGGAATCCTGCCCTGGCCACACTCTGGTCACCTCAGTCACAGCCTCTCACACCAAGACATGTGGGCACCTGAGTCCACTGCCTCATCTGTGAGCTCCCAAGGGCAAGAACCATGGGTCACCATGGAGAACGTGGGGCCAGGCAGCCCGAGGGGGCAGAGCTGCAGTCCCTCTCTCCCCGTGTGTGCTCCATGCAGGTTGAGGTGATGAACACACCTGGGCTGCCCGTCCAGGGCACTCCCCTCCTTGTCAAGGGGTGACCACCCACCACCACCGTGAGTGTCAACCTGGGTGTGCCACACTAATTCCACCCACTTCTGCCCACTGGGGAGGCCTATGGCAAGTCAAGGAGTTTCGTAATAACCACCAGCTACTGTATTCACGAGAAGCAAACCATAAGAACATGCGGTGCTGCGGAATCAGGAGGACCAGAGAAAGAGACCTTCGGGTGTATACAGGAGAATATCTTTATTCAGTGCACTCAGACCCAGCGCACTTAACATCCAAAGACTGGGCCAGAACAAAGACAGCACTTGACTTTTATACACCCTTCAAAAACGAGGTGGGTTAGCTTGAAGCAGGCTTACAGTGACAGTGGCATGAAAGCAAGGATACAGAGGCAGAACAATTCATCAAATTGTGACAGGTTCATAACTCAGGATTACACATGACCATTGCCAAGCAACCCAGATGTCTGTTTTCTAGGTTTTGCTCTAAACAGCCTTACACTGGTTTATCTCATAACCTTTACTATGGTGCCCAGACAGCTGTAGTTCAGGCCTGCTCAGGCTTCTCATGACCTTCGTTGTACTTCTTAGATACAACAGAATACTTGAAGTTACTAGTTGCAGAGAACAAGAATCTATAAACTCATAACATAAAACAAAGGAAAATTTGTTTTTCTTCTCCCTGTGTTGAGGGAGTCCTGGGAGAGTCTCCAGGTCACATTCCTTTGTGTCCCGGCTTCTTAGATAGTATTATCAAGACTTTCCCTAGGTCTGGGCTGTGCCCGTTGCTGCCTCTGGGATAAGTCAGCCTAATACAGGAAAGCTTATTTCTTTCTCTTTTTAATTTTATTTTTCTTTATTTCTTTAATTTCCCACCTGACAGACACCTTTTCACCCATCAAGGTGTCTCCGATGGCTTGCAGAGTGCCCAGGCACAACCCACTGCTCAGGATATTTATTGAACACTGACATGCCAGGCCCTGTGCTGGTGAGAACTGTGCCCAGTGGGCAGCGTGCCACAGTGCCTGATGCCAGTGCTGAGCTGTGCCACATCCCCTTTCTAAGAGCCGAGCACCCTGCAGGGGCATGTCTGAACATTGGGATCCACTCAAGGTCTCCCTGAGAAAAGGCCTGTTGGGTGGCCTCCGTCCACCTCATCCCCAACTCCTGTGCTGTGAGCTGCTGGGCGCTCCCCAGCCTCGTCTTCACCTGCACTGGGCCTCTCACCTTCTCACCTGGGCCCACCCCTTCCCCTCATGCTCAGCCCGGCCTGGCTGCTTTCAGTGCTTAGTTAGCTGTCACCTCCTCCAGGTAGCCCTCCTCTGTGCACCGCCCTCCCCATGCTTCCATCTACCTCGGCACATTACACAAATCTTTTCTGTTCCCTCTGTGCAGGGAGCTCCCTAGAGGCAGGAACAAGGCCCTCTGTGTCCCCAGGGCTAAGCACAGGTCTGGCTGGGTAGGTGTGACATCATTTTTGAATGAAATAAGGAATGCAGCAACTCTTATCTCCTCTGGGGCTTCCCAGGCCGAATCATGGCATGAGGACAGTGGATTGCTCAATTCCCAGAGTGCTGGGGGCGCCCAACGGCAGGTCCAGGAGAGGACCCTGAGGAGTCCAAGCTATCCCCATTCCCTGCCACCTTGTGGAAGTTATGCAGGCTCTGGATAGTAGAGGCCACAAACCTAAAACTTGAGCTCAGACCCTCCCACAGATGCTGGAGAGGCCTGAGGGAACTGCCCAAACCCAGCTCGTTCCCTCTCAGCACAGCCAAGCCTGTGCTGGGAGAAAAACGGCCTCACCCCAGGTGCTCACTGCACACCTGTGCTGTGTCAGGGGACACTGGCGCAGGGACCAGCCCCAGGGTGGCAGGCGAAAGACACACCAAGGGACCTCCCGAGTCCTTCCAGGGTCATGGCCAGAGCGCACAGATTGCACTGCACCATGTTAATTTAATGATTCTGTGAACTTTTTCTATTTTCCTTCTTCATAATGTTTCCCCACAAGGCTCAGAACATTAGCAGGGAGTTTCAGATGGAGAGACTCAGATGGCTAGTTTTATGTGTGACTTGGCTGAGCCATGGTGCTCACATATGTGACCAAACATTATTCTAGGTGTTGCTAGGAGTGTTTGGAAGGAGATTAACATTTAAATCAGCAGAATCTGAGGAAAGCAAATTGGCCTCCCTAGCATGGGTGGGCCTCGTCCCATGCTCTAAGGCCTGAACGGAACAGAATGACCTCCCTCCAGCAAGAGGGGGCTCTGCAGCAGCCGCCACCGGCCTCCAGCCGCACCGTCAGCTCTTCCTGGCTCTCCAGCCTGCTGGTCCACCCTGCAGCTTTGGACCTGCCAGCCTGCATAATTGTATGAGCCAACTTCTTATCCACTTATGCCATAGTGTTCCATTATTGGAACGCTAAGCATGTGAGAGTTATTTCTATCCTACTGCTCAAGGTCGTTGCCAAGGCCTGATTGCAAAAATTCAAAATATCGCAACCTCAGGCATAAATGGGTGAAAACAAATCTCTCCCTGTATATCTGCACAATCTACTGGAGCTGTTTCTCTGGAGACCCTGACCAGTACAGAGCCCTCATGCTAGGATCTCTGGGCAAGGGGCAGTCTCTCTGCACCTGAATTGGCTCACTTGGTACATGGGGTAAGAATTGCATGGCCTCATGGGGTTTCCTGAGAATTAAATGAGGTTGAGGGTGTAAAGTGGCATGGCTCTTCGGGAGCCTGCAGTAAATGTTAGGGATTGTGGAGAAGCAGGAGAGATGTGTGAGAAGGAAAAAATAGGTAGAGGGAAGAGGAAAGGGGAGCAGGAGGGAGGAAAGCAAGGGAACCCCTCTCAGACCTGAGGAACCATGCTGAGGGGGCCCCACCTCGTGCTCGCAGTAGCTGCTCTCACCTCCCAGCATTGGACAATCATCCTCCTTCCCCAAGAAGACCAAAGCGGCCTGGCTTCCCCTTGGGAGGTGTGAAGGGAATTCCTCACTTCTGTGGCTGATGTCAATGAAAGACCCAGGCCCCGCACGATGTCTTCATGGCTAGCTGTTTTGCCTCCCCAGGTGAGCAGCCAAGGACAGCTGACTCAGTCCCTCCGCGGCACCTCCAGAGGACGCTGGGAAATGGTTTCAACATGAGCCAAATCCTGCGGCAGCAGGAGTGGTGAGAGGAGCAGGAGGCCAGGCTGACAACGTCAGCCACAGGCAGGCACAGCAGTGTCGCCAGTAGGCATCATCAAGTGAGCATATGCCCATCGGAGCCTGCATCTAGCCCCCTGCCCTGTACCCTTGCCCTGTGTATGTCTACATCTTTTAAATTCCATTTTAGCATGGTCACTTTGGGTGTCATTAACTATTCATGAAAAACTTGATCACGATGGCTGCATAATTAATCCTCATAGAGAGGTGGCATAACTAACACAACCATTTCTCTATAGTTGAGTGATTCCATCTTTCACATTTTTTTGCTATTATAGATAATGCTGCAGTGAAACTCCATGCCCATAATCTTTATGTCTTTAGGATAGAGACCCAAACCCAAAGTTTATACTCTTGAGTCCGCTAGTATAAAGTTTTTGAAACATACGTCAAGCTTAAAAGAAAAGGTTATTATCAATTTAAGCTCTCACAGTTGTGTTTGAGAATATATATATATACACAACAGTTTCCTGTTGAAAAAGAACTCTGAGAATCCAGAATTGCACTTTTTTTTTTTAACACTACCCTCGGCTCATACCTGCAGAATTGCACTCTTGAGACATTGTGGACACAGAGTATGGCCAAGGGCATTCTTTAAAAGAAGGGTCTTGAGGATGCTAAAATTAGACATTGATTTTTAAAATCCACTTATAAGCAAGTTTATGCCAGGAAAACATCTATTTTCTTAAATTAATACCACTCTTTGGCTGGGCATGGTGGCTCATGCCTGTGATCCCAGCACTTTGGGAGGCTGAGGTGGGCAGATCATGAGGTCAGGAGGTCAAGACCATCCTGGCTAACATGGTGAAACCCTGTATCTACTAAAAATACAAAAAATTAGCCGGGCATGGTGGCAGGTGCCTGTAGTCCCAGCTATTTGGGAGGCTGAGGCAGGACAACAGCTTGAACCTGGGAGGTGGAGGTTGCAGTGAGCCGAGATCGCACCACCGCACTCCAGTAAGACTCCGTCTCAAGAAAATAAAAAATAAAAATAATAGCACTCTTCTGAAAAACAGAATTTTCTATGATTTCTACAACTGAAACTAAGGGGCCCTGTGTATGAACACTATGCAGAACTCTCACTCTCTCTCTCTCTCTCTCTCCTGTTTTTCTTTCTTCTTCATTTCCTCCCTTTATCAAATATTTGTTGTCAAACATTTTCAGGGACACAGGACATGGCTTTTGTTCTCACAATAGTCATAATCCAGTGTGAACAATATGCAAAAAGTAGTCAACTAGAACATCAAGTAGCTGGCTTCTGTCTCAAAAGGTAGTCATTCTAACAGCCTGATTTGCCTTCTGCTTATTGGAACTTCAATTCCCACAAAAGCCAAGTCATAATATCGGTCAACAACCCGATGGATACCAGGTAAACTCTCCACTAGCCAGAGCACAGAGGTGGCCCTGCAAATTGTTATAATAATTTATAGATACTATGATTGCCTACTGAGCAAGCCAAGATAATCAATTGAACAAGTTATTAGAAATAGCCACATTTAATAACATGTTTGTTATAAGGCAAGGCAGGTTAGGTTTTCTGAGGGTAGCAGAAAACTCCCAAACAGTGGCTTAAACAAGATAGAGAATTATACAGGATTTATATGAAGAAAGCCACAAACTTGACCAGGGGACATCAAAAGAGATTTGAGTAAACTGATGTTCCTCAACAGTCATGTTTCTCAGTGAGCAGAACAGATATTGGGGAGATACTGAATTTAATAACTAAATCTATCACAATTTCAAACTAAATATTGCTGGGATGTTTTTTGTATTGAAAACATGAGTTCATCTGGAGAAACTGACAAAAGAAAATAAGACAATGTTGGGAAAATATTTTATGAGGGAGATATATCTTCTTAGATACTGAAATGCTTTATAAAGCTACAATCAATAAAATGGTGTTACTGCAACAGTAATAGACTGATAGACTGAAAAACTGTTAAGATGACTAAAAGTCCATAAACACGTGTGCATTATATAAAATATAAACTTATTTGTTATGTACGTGTACAGACACATACTTAGTTTATGATAAAGCTGGCACTTCAGACCAGTGGGTGAAGCATAGATTGTCCTGTAAATGATGGTATTGGGAAAACTGGCTAACCGCTGGAATGAATAAAGACAAAGCCATACATCACAGCATGTACCCAAATGAATTCTAGAAGGAATTAAGGTTTATGTATAAAAAATGAAAACATGAGCATGGGAAGAGATTACATAGGTGAATATTTGACTTACTCTGTGGCAGGGTGAGTTTTTCTAGCACAGTGTCAAAGTCATAAAAACATGGTATGATTTAAGTACGTAAAAATTAAAAGAAAATTTTGTTTCAAAAAAGTGGCTGGAGGGGGGAGGAAACAAGAGGGGTGCTGGAGGCTGCAGTCAGGGTCATGAGCAACGTGTCCACTAGCATCCTTCATTCCTGGGCCTGCCATGCTGGTGGAAAGGGCTCCAGATTGCCGTTTGGGAAGCCCCACTCTGGTCCATGAAAAGGCCCATGTAAAAGACCCAGGACAGCCTGGCATCTGAAAGGCCCCGACTGTAGGGGTGGTGTTAAAGATACTGCCTCACAGGTATCGGAGGAACCCAGGCCACAGGGCTGCCATCCATCAGTGTTACTTCAAGTAATTCTTTGGACACATGAGGAGGAAATGACCTCCAACACCAGCATGAGGCAGGCACACGCGTCTGTCCGTCCCCGTGGGCAGCTCGCAGGCTGTGTTAGGAGCACCTTCAGGGCCGACCTCAGCTGGCCACCGCCACTCGCCCCCGCAGTCGGTCATCCCAAGCTTTTCTCCCAACACTGTGACAAAAGTTGGGCTCAATGTTAGAAGGATGAGGCCTGCAGTAAGGGAGGGCCACAGGCTGTTTAACGAATACAGCAGGACTGCCAGCTAGGAGGAGGAAGTTCTCATGTCCTATAGTGCCATAGGGGATTATAATTAACAACAATTTGTCATGTATTTTCAAGTAGCTGGAAGAGTGGACTTCTAATGTTCCCAAAAGAAAGAAGTGATACATGTTTTTAGTGATGGATATGCTAACTACCCTGATTTGATCATTACACATTGTACAGATGTATTGAAATATCACACTGTACCCTATAAATATGTACAATTATCATGTGCCAATTAAAAATACAAAAAGAATGAAATTGGTCGGGTGCAGTGGCTCACACCTGTAATCCCAGCACTTCGGGAAGCTGAGGCGGGCAGATCCCCTGAGGAAAGGGTTCGAGACCAGTCTGGCCAACATGGCAAAACCCTGTCTCTACTAAAAATACCACAATTAGCCAGGTGTGGTGGTGGGTGCCTATAATCCCAGCTACTAGGGAGGCAAAGGCAGGAGAATAGCTTGAACCCAGGAGGCCGAGGTCGCATTGAGCCGAGATCACACCATTGCACTCCAGCCTGATCAATAAGAGACTCCATCTCAAAAAAAAAAAAAAAAAAAAATGAAATCATGTCCTTTGCAGCAACATGGATGCAACTGGAAGCCATTATCCTACATGGATTAATGCAGGAGCAGAAAACCAAATACTGTATGTTATCACTTATAAGTGAGTGCTAAACATGAGCACACATGAGCACAGGAGAGGAACAACTGACACCGGGACCTACATGAGGGTCGGGGCTGGGAGAAGCAAGAGGATCAAAAAACTACCTATGAGGTACTATGTTCACCACCTGCATGAGGAAATCATCTGTACACCAAACCCCAGAGACATGCAATTTACCCATGTAAGGAACCTGCACAGGTACCCCTGAACCTAAAATAAAAGTGGAAGAAAAAAAATAGAGTTGACATTATTTAAAAATATATAATAATATTTAGAGCAGAAAAAGAAAAAGATTAGGCCTGTAGAAATGATTTAATTCGAAAATGTCTCTGTATTCTAATCCGGTGGGCTTGGATTTGTTTCTGTCCACTTTTCTGCTGTGCCTGTCACAAAAGCCCTGCACCTTAAGCACGAGCTGGGGCCTCGGAGCGTGGGGCTTGCTCTGGCCTCCTGAACCCCACTGGTGTAGCCAGAAGCCCTGGGCTCAGCCCCCACTGCTGCGTGCTGGGCGCAGTGTGTCTTGGGCCGGACCCTGGCCTGTGCTGTCATGGTAAGTGCGGGAGGTGCGGGAGGGGCAGGAGGTGCGGGAGCGTGGGCGGGCGGGGCCGGCTGAAGGGGGCCCCCACTCTGAGAGCCACCAGCACAGCAGTGAAGTAGGGGGATGAGGAACAGGGCTGAGCTCCATGGCGGTCAGGGACACTCCCCAGGACGGGGCCTGAGAATCAAAGGAGGATTCCCCGCCCACAGCCAGCAGAGGAGCACTCCCAGGAGCAAACCACCGGCAAACGTGCTGGGGCGCCCCCGGGTTGGGCTCAGGCCGGGAGAGGCAGAGGGTGCGCGGTGCAGGCAGGGCCCTGCTGGGTCAGAGGCCAGGCCAGATCCCGCACAGAAGCAGGCGTGGCTCAGCACCTTGAAGCCGAGAGGCTTTGTGATCCGATTTACATTTTCCAAAGGTGACTTTGTCAGGTGCCTGGAAGTGGATTAGGGCAGGCCATGGATTAGGGCAGGCCCTGAGGACAGAGCGCTGAGGGTCTGCTGCCTCCAGGCAGGGAGAAATGAGGAGGCCTCAAACCACAGGCAGAGAGAACAAAGCTCCCACCCCCATCTGTGTGGCAGATGAAAGAATCTGCCTCCGACTGCAATCAAAAAGCAGCACCAGATAGTATGTAATAAAACATATTTGTAGGCAACGTGAACTTAAATGAAAAGTAAGGGAATCCTCAGAAACAAAAGCAGTCACTGAAAATTGAATGGACAGCCTGTGACATGAAGCCCTGCGCCTAGGGCCAGGAGCAGCAGAAGTGGGGGACGGTGGCCCTCTGGTAGCCCAGAAGATTGGGTTTCTACAAACAGGAATGGATGGGGCAGATTGAGAGGATGGGATAGAGAGGAGCTGAGAACTGCTGCGTGAAGTTAGGACTCTCCAGGGGCCATTGCCTCAGAAAACAAAAGACCAATAACTGGAAAAATATTTACCTGCACGTATCAAATGACAACATGAAATTTTGTTATCTTGGCCTAAACATTTCCCTGACAATTTCTAATCGTTTCCCTGCTTTTATGCAGGTTTGAACTTGAAATTTATACTATTTAAGCCAAGAAGTTAACCTTAAACTGTCCCCAAAATATTATATTCCTGGAAACCAACACAGAAACAAGGGCTAATTTCTCTGGACAAATACACCATCAACCGAGGCTTTTCAGAATCCCTGTGGCAGGCGGAACTCTCAGATGCCCCCGGGATTCTGGTCCCTGTGTGTGTTCACACCTTCTCCTAGTTAGGCACTCATCTGCATGCTGCGCTGAAGAGACTTTTCAGATGTAACCAATGTCCCTATTCAGCTGAGTTCAGAAAAAGGCTATCCTAGGTAGAACCCCTAATCCGGTGATCCCTTATTAAGGAATAGGGTTCTTCCCGGAAGAAGGGATTTGAAAAGAAAGAGACTCCGTGGCTGAGAAATTATCCATTGTTGGTGTTGAAGGAGGAGAGAGCCATCAGCCAGCCAGCTGGGCAGCCTGCAGATGCTGGGGGGCCTCCAGCTGGCAGGCAGTGAAGAGGCAGGGACCTCAGCCCTGCAACCAGGACTGCCGGGCAACCTGAATGAGCTTCAGAGCATATTCTTCCCCAGAGCCTGCAGACACAAACTCAGCCAGCACCCTGATTTCAGCCTGGCGAGACTGAGCAGAGAGCGCAGACGCATTACATCATCATCCCTCTCGCCTACAGAGCAGCACACTGATGGACACACTGTTCCAGCCTCTACGTTTGTGGTCATTTGTTATGCACCAATACACATTTTGTTACCTAAAAGTGGGGTGTACTGTAACAAATACCTAAAAATGTGGCTGTGCCAGTGGAAGCTGACAGCAGGCAGAGGCATTCTTCTAAGAATGTTGAGGAGCGTGGCAGAAAAAGCCTGAAGTGCAGTGGACAGACTATTAGTAGAAATCTGTACTTGGAGGATCCTAGTGGTGAGACCTCAGAAGAAGAGGAGGGACATGTCATTGGAAACTGAAAGAAGGGGAATCTTTACTGTTTATTGGCAGAAACTTAGCAAATTGTGCCCTGCAGTTAGGCAGAAAGCAGAAGGTATACATGACTGACTTGAATAAATTGCTAAGGAGATTTCCCAGCAAAGTGTTGAAGATGTGGCTGAGTTCATTGTTGCTGCTTATAGTAAAATGTGAGAGGAGGGAGATAACTTGAGAAAAGCACTATTAAACAAAAAGCAACCAGGACTGGATGATTTGGGGAATTGTCAGCCCATCCATATAGCTACGGACAATAAAATTAGGAGATTGCTTTCAAAGGCATGGCAGAGAAAAGAAGGTGAGGGCGTGACTGTACAACCTTTTGCTAAAACCTCAGAAGGATCAATGAGTCAGAGAATTCAGTCGTACAAAGGGCTCTTTCAAGAGATAGCATATGTGCCTCACAGGTCTTCTCAACCAAACCAGAGGACCACAGCCCTGTAGCATCTGGTCCTCAGCTGCATCAGCAAGAGCCAAATATAGCAAAGAGATTATCTCAAAAAGATCTGTGCTGCAGTAAACTTACAAGTGCTGATATTTCTTTGACACACTGATTTCATTTCCTTTGGTTTATATTGCCAAGAGTGGAATTGCTGGATCATATGGTAATTCTATTTTTATTTTTTGAGGAATCTCCATACTGCTTTCCACAGTGGCTGTACCAATTTACATTCCCACCAAGAGTGTACAAGGGTTCCCATTTCTCTACACCCCTTGACTTGTTTTCTTATGTCTTTCTGATAACAGCCATTCTAAATGGAATGAGGTGGTATCTCATTATGGTTTTGATTTGCATTTCCCTGATGAATGTTGAGCATTTTTTCCTAGACCTGTTGGCCATAACATGTCTTTTCATTAAAGGTAGCAGCATTTGCAACTTCCTAGACATGTCTTCCAAGATATGGAATCAACCCAAGTGTCAGCAGACAAATGGATAAAGAAAATGTCGTATATATACACAATGGAGTACTAATCAGCCATGCAAAGGATGGAATCCTGTCATTTGCAACAACCTGGATGAACCCAGAGGACACCATCTTAAGTGAAATAAGCCAAACACAGAAACACAAATAAATACCACATGATTTCACTCATGTGGAATCTTAAAAAAAAAAAAAAGTTGACATCACAGAAGCAGAGGTAGAACACTGGTTACCAGAGACGGGATAAGCAGGGTAGAAGGGAGGATGAGGAGAGTTTATTCAATGGGCACAAAGTTACAATTATGTAGGAGGAGTAAGTTCTATTGCACTGTGGAGTGATGAGGATTGACAGTACAGTACTGTGTATTATAAAATAGCTAGAAGAGAGAATTTTGAATGTTCTCACCACAGAGCAATGATAAATGCATGAGGTGATGGATATGTTAACTACCCTAATTTGATCAGTATACAATATATGTTTATCAAAACATCAGACTGTACCCCATAAATATGTACAATTGCAATAAAATAGTGACCACTAAAAGGAGATCTGTGGGCATGGCTTTTGCTTAATGGTCTGAATCCCAGTGTAATTCATGCAAACCCCACAAGGTTCTTGACTAAAATTGGGAAGAAATACTGCCAGCTTGGACTAAAAGGAACAGAGAGACTCTGAAATTAAAAAGACAGTCAGACCCTTAGGATTCCAGCAGCAGGAAGCGGGTTGATGAAACTTCAGCTGCAAATGCTCCTACCTTTAATGAAAAGGAAGAATGACTCAGAGCTCAGAGAACAGAACCAACAAGAGCCCAGAGGGTGAGCAAGATAACTGAGGAGCAAGGAAGGATAATTCCCAGGCATGGAAACCTAATCAAGGGTCTCTGGCTGGAAGTCATCCAGCTAGATTTCAAAACTGCTTTGGAGCAGTGACTCCTTTCTGTTTCACCTTCCATTTTCCTCCTTTTTAAACTGGAACATCTATAACTGTCACTCTATGTCTGTCCCACCGTCATATACTGGGAGTGTTGGGGAGATCACCTCTCTCTTGGATAGAGAGGAAATGTGTCTCAAAAAATTAACCCAGAAGCCTCATCCAAATCTGGGCCTGATTTACCTGATGAGATTTTAAACTTGGAATGATGTCTGAATGGGATTAGATTCTAGGGAATGTTTGGAAGGGCTATAAATCATTGGGGTCCAGGCCAGGCACAGTGGCTCATGCCTGTAATCCTAGCACTTAGGGAGGCCAAGGCAGGTGGCTCACTTGAGGTCAGGAGTTCAAGACTAGCCTGGCCAACATGGCAAAACCCCATCTCTACTAAAAATACAAAAATTAGCCAGACATGGCAGTGCACATCTGTAATTCCAGCTACTCGGGAGGCTAAGGCAAGATAATTGCTTGAACCAGAGAGGCAGAGGTTGCAGTGAGCCAAGACTGTGCTACTGCACTCCAACCTGGGTGACAGAGTGAGACTCTGTCTCAAAAAAAAAATTATTGAAATGTGGTAGGCAGAATTCAAAGATGGCCCTCAAGATTCACATCCCCTGATGTACACACCTTGCATGATTCCCTCCCTATGAGTGTGAACAGAACCTGTGAGTATTACGGAATACCACCCCATGATTATGTGTCATTATATGGCAAATTGGGTTTTGCCAATGTAGCTAAGAAGTCTAATCAGTTGACTTTGAGTCAGTCAAAAGAAAGATTTTCCTGTGGGCCTAATCTAATAACAAGAGCACAATACAGCTGGTTCAGAGACAGAGAAAATCAGAGATTCTAAATAGCAGAGACATTTCTGCTGTCCTTGAAAGAGAAACTCCCATGTTGTGGAGGGGGCAATAGGGAAGGAAAAGGCAGGCAACTTCTAGGGGCTGAGAGTAGTCCCAGTAAACATGGAGAAACCCTGCCTCTACTAAAAATACAAAATTAGCCTGGCGTGATAGCACATACCTGTAATCCCAGCTGCTCAGGAGGCTGAGGCAGAAGAATTGCTTGAACCTGGGAGGTGGAGGTTGCAGTGAGCAGAGATTGTGCCATTCCACTCCAGCCTGGGCAACAAAAGCAAAGCTCCGTCTCAAAAAAAAAAAAAAAGAAAGAAAATTGGGAAAATAGAGTTTTATCTCACTCCTTATACAAGAATCAACTCAAAATAAAGACTTAATTTTAAGACCTGAAACAATAAAACTAAATGCCAATACACCTAATAACAAAATTTCAAAATACGTGGTGCCAAAACTGATAGAATTCCAAGGAGAGATAGACAATCCACCATTGTAGTCAGAGATTTTAATGCCCCACTCTTAATAATTGATAGAACACAGAGACAGAAAATCAGTAAGGTATTTGGGAGATTTTCACACACTATCAACCAACCTGACCTAAAAGATGTTTATAGAGCACTTCACACAATGAGAGCTGAATGCAGTTTTTTAGTGTACACAGGACACTTACTAAGATAAAAAACATATTCTGGACTATTAAACAAGTATACAAAAAGCAGGACTGATGAGCAAATTCAGTGGAGTTGCAGGATACAATACCAACTTGCAAAAATCAATAGCACTTCTCTACACTAACAACAAATGCCTGTAATCCCAGCACTTTGGGAGGCCAAGGCGGGTGGATCATGAGGTCAGGAGATTAAGACCATCCTGGCTAACACGGTGAAACCCAGTCTCTACTAAAAATACAAAAAAAAAGGCTCTCCCTCCTCCCCCCCCCCCCCACAGTCTCCCTCTGATGTCGAGCCGAGTCTGGACTGTACTGCCGCGATCTCGGCTCACTGCAACCTCCCTGCCTGATTCTCCTGCCTCAGCCTGCCGAGTGCCTGGGATTGCAGGCGCGTGCCGCCAGGCTTGACTGGTTTGTGTATTTTTTGGTGGAGATGGGGTTTCGCCGTGTTGGCCGGGCTGGTCTCCAGCTCCTGACCACGAGTGATCTGCCCGCCTGGGCCTCCCGAGGTGCCGGGATTGCAGACGGAGTCTCGCTCACTCAGTGCTCAATCTTGCCCAGGCTGGAGTGCAGTGGCGTGATCTCGGCTGGCCACAACCTCCACCTCCCAGCTGCCTGCCTTGGCCTCCCAAAGTGCCGAGATTGCAGCCTGTGCCTGGCCGCCACCCCGTCTGGGATGTGAGGAGCCCCTCTGCCCTGCCGCCCAGTCTAGGAAGTGAGGAGCGCCTCTTCCCAGCCGCCATCCCATCTAGGAAGTGAGGAGCATCTCTGCCTGGCCGCCCATCATCTGAGATGTGGGGAGCGCCTCTGCCCCATTGCCCCATCTGGGATGTGAGGAGCGACTCCGCCCAGCAGCCGCCCAGTCCAGGAGGTGGGGGGCAGCCCCCACCCGGCCAGCCGCCCCGTCTGGGAGGGAGGTGGGGGACGCCTCCGCCCTGCCGCCACCCCGTCCAGGAGGTGGGGGGTGCCTCTGCCCTGCCGCCCCGTCTGGGAAGTGAGGAGCCCCTCTGCCCGGCCACCACCCCGTCTGGGAGGTGTACCCAACAGCTCATTGAGAACAGGCCATGATGACAATGGGGGTTTTGTCGAATAGAAAAGGGGGAAATGTGGGGAAAAGAAAGAGAGATCAGATTGTTACTGTGTCTGTGTAGAAAGAAGTAGACATAGGAGACTCCATTTTGTTCTGTACTAAGAAAAATTCTTCTGCCTTGGGATGCTGTTAATCTATAACCTTACCCCCAACCCGGTGCTCTCTGAAACATGTGCTGTGTCCACTCAGGGTTAAATGGATTAAGGGCGGTGCAAGATGTGCTTTGTTAAACAGATGCTTGAAGGCATCATGCTCGTTAAGAGTCATCACCACTCCCTAATCTCAAGTACCCAGGGACACAAACACTGCGGAAGGCCGCAGGGTCCTCTGCCTAGGAAAACCACAGACCCTTGTTCACATGTTTATCTGCTGACCTTCCCTCCACTATTGTCCTATGACCCTGCCAAATCCCCCTCTCCGAGAAACACCCAAGAATGATCAATAAATACTAAAAAAAAAAAAAAGAAAAAAAGAAAACTTGTAAAAACCAAACCTTTCACATTTGTGCATTTCTGAAACTGGCATTGGGCAGATGTTTTGCATTTTTAATACACATGAAAGACCCTTTAATAAAACCACGGAAGAGATTGAAAAAAAAAAAAAAAAAAAGCCAGGTGTGGTGGCAGGCGCCTGTAGTCCCAGCTACTCGGGAGGCTGAGGCAGGAGAACCCAGGAGGCAGAGCTTGCAGTGAGCCAAGATCACACCACTGCACTCCAGCCTGGGCGACACAGTGAGACTGCATCTCAAAAAAAAAAAAAAAAAAAAAAAATTCACAATCATCAAAAAATAAAATGAAATACTTAGGAGTAAATTTCAACAAAGAAGTGAAAAAATCTGTATGCTGAAAACTATAAAACATGAATGAGAAAATTAAGATGACACAAATAAATGGAAAGATATCTCATGTTCATGGATTGGAAGAATTCATATTGTTAAAATGTTCATGCTACCCAAAATAATCCACAGATTTAATGCAACCTCTATCAAAATTCCAATGTCTCCCTTCACAGAATAGAAAAATTAGTCCTAAAATGTGCATGGAGCCACAAGAAACTCTGAAGAGCCAAAGCAATCTGGACCAAAAAGAACAAAGCTAGAGGCAAAACACTACCAGATTTCAAAATCTATTACAAAGCAAAAGTAATCGAAACTGCATGGTACTAACATAAAAACAGGCACATCAACCAATGAAATAGAATGAAGAGCCCAGAAATAAACTCATACATCAATAGCTAATTGATTTTCAACCAAATTGCCAAAAGCACACAATGGGGAAAGAACAGTCTCTTCAATAAATGGTGTAATTGTATATTCAAAACAGAAGAATGAAAATGGACTCTCGTCTCACTCCTTATACAAGAATCATCTCAAAATAAATTAAGGACTTAAATGTGAGACCTAAAGCTACAAAACTACTAGAAGAAAGCATAGGGGGAAAGCTCCATGACATTGGTTTGGACAGAAATTTCTGCATAATTCCAAAAGCATAGTAAACAAAAGCAAAAATAGACAAATAGGATTACAGTAAACTAAAAAACTTTTGCACAGCAAGGAAAACAATTCATAGAGTGAAGACACAGCCGACAGACTGGGAGAAGATATTTGCAAATCATACAGCAGATAAAGGGTTAATATCCAAAATATACAAGGAACTCAAAGTAGTCAACAAGCAAATGAATAATTCTATTAAAAAATGGGCAAAGGCAAAAAGAACAAAACTGGAGGAATCACATTACCTGACTTCAAATTATACTATAAGCTATAGTAACCAAAACAGCATGGTACTGGTAAAAAAAACAGACACATAGACCAATGGAACAGAATAGAGAACCCAGAAATAAATTCATAAACAAGCAGTAAACTCATTTTTGACAAAGGTGCCAAGAATATACACTGCAGAAAAGACAGTCTCTTCAGTAAATGGTGCTGGGAAACCTGGATATCCATATGCAGAAGAATGAAACTAGACCCCTGTCTCTCGCCATATACAAAAATCAAATCAAAATGGATTAAAAGAATTTAAATTGGCTGGGTGGGGTCTCATGCCGGTAATCCCAGCCAGCACTTTGGGAGGCCCAGGTGGGCAGATCACTTGACGTCAAGAGTTGGAGACCAGCCTGGCCAACAGGTTGAAAGCCTGTCTCTACTAAAAATACAAAAATTAGCTGGGCATGGTGGTGTGCACCTGTAAGTCCAGCTACTCGGGAGTTTGAGGCACAAGAATGGCTTGAATCTGGGAGGCAGATATTGCAATGAGCCAAGATGGTGCCACTACTCTCCAGCCTGGGTAACACAGTGAGACCCTGTCTCAAAAAAAAAAAAAGAACTAAATCGAAGACATTAAACTATAAAACTGCCACAAGAAAATATTGAGGAAACTCTCCAGGACATTGGTCTGGGCAAAATTTTCTTGAGCAACACTTCATAAGTACAAGCAGGCAACCAAAGCAAAAATGGACAAATGGGGTTACCTCAAGTTAAAAAGCCTCTGCACAGCAAAGGAAACAATCAACAAAGTGAAGAGACAAACTGCAGAATGGAAGAAAATACTTGCAAACTACCCATCTAACAAGGTATTAATAACCAGAATACATAAGGAGCTCAAACAAGTCTACAGAAAAAAAATCTAGTAATCCAATCAAAAAATGGGCAAAAGATTTGAATAGACATTTCTAAAAAGAAGACATACAATGGCAGACAGGCATATGAAAGGGGCTCAACATCATTGATTATCAGAGAAATACAAATCAAAACTACAATGAGATATCATGTCACCCCAGTTAAAATGGCTTTTATCCAAGAGACAGGAAATAGCAAATGCTGGTGAGGATAGGGAGAAAAGGGAAGCCTCGTATACTGCTGGTGGGAATGTAAATTAGTACAACCACCAAGAAGAAGAGTTTGGAAGTTCCTCAAAAAAATAAAAATAGAGCTATCATATAATCTAGCAATCCCACTGCTGGATACATACCCCAAGAAAAAGGAAATCAGGGTATCAAAGGGATATCTGCACTCCCAGGTTTGTTGCAGCTCTGTTCACAGTAGCTAAGATTTGGAAGCAACCTAAGTGTCCATTGACAGATGAATGGATAAAGAAAATGTGATATATACACACTGTGGAGTACTATTCAGCCATAAGGGTAGTGGAGGTGTGGGTGGGAGGTGAGGATGACTAATGGGTACAAAAAACAATAGTTAGAAGAACAAATAAGACCTAACACTTGATAGCACAACAGGGGGACTATAGTCAATAATAGTTTAATTGTAATTTTTAAAATAACTAAAAGAGTATAATTGGATTGTTGGTAACACAAAGAATAAATGCTTGAGGGGATGGATACCCCACTCTCCATGATGTGATTATTTCACATTGTAGGCCTGTATTAAAACATCTCATGCAACTCATAAATATATACACCTACTATGTAGCTACAGAAAATTAAAAATTAATTTTTTTTAATTTAAAGACAAAAAAAGTAGCAAAGGAATTGAATAGACATTTCTCAAAAGAAGACATACAAATGGTCATCAGATATATCAAAAATGTTGCCCGGGCATGGTGGCTCACACCTGTAATCCCAGCACTTTGGGACGCCAAGGCAGGCAGATCACCTGAGGTCAGGAGTTCAAGACCAGCCTGGCCAACATGGTGAAACCCCATCTCTACTAAAAATACAAAAATTAGCTGGGCGTGGTGGGATGCACCTATAGTCCCAGCTACTGGGGAGGCTGAGGCAGGAGAATCACTTGAACCTGGGAGGTGGAGGTTGCAGTGATCTGAGATCACACCATTGTACTCCAGCCTGGGCAACAGAGTGAGATTCCATCTCAAAAAACAAACAAACAAAAAAAATGCTTGTCTCTAGCCATCAGAGAAATACAAAGGAAAACCACAATGAGATATCACCTCACACTGTTAGAATGGCTATTACCAAAAAAATGAAAGATAACATGTGTTGGCAAGGATATGGAGAAAATGTACAGATTGTACATTGTTGGTGGCATTATAAATTAGTATAGACGTTTTGAAAAACAGTATGGAGGTCCCTCAAAAGCCTAAAAATAAAATTGCTATGTGATCCAGCAATCCCACTACTGGGTACACACCCAAAGAAACTGAACTCAGTATGCCGAAGAGATGTCTGCACTCCATGTTCATTGCAGCACTAGTAAGAATAGCCTAGCTATGGAAACAACCTCAGTGTCCGTCAACGAATGAATGGATTTTTTTAATGTGGTAAATATTCACAATGGAATGCTATTCAGCCTAAAAAAAAAAAACAAAACCAGAATTCTGTCATTTGGGACAACATGCATGAACCTGGAGATTATGTTAAGTGAAATAAGCCAGGCACAGAAAGCCAAATGCCATATAATCTCACTTTTATGTGGAATATAAAAATGTCAAACACACAGAAATAGAGAGTAGAATGGTGGTTACCAGCGGCTGGTGGTCTGGGGGTCAGTGGACAGGGAAAGAGAAGATATTAGTCAACAGGTACAAAGTTACAGTCAGATAGGAGAAATGCATTCTGGTGTTCTATTGCACAGTATAGTGACTATAGTTAATAATAATGTATTTCCAAATAGCTAAAAGAGAGACTTTTAAATATCCTCACCACAGAGAAATGATAAATATTTGAGGTGAAGTACATGCTAATTGGCCTGATTTGATGGTCCCACATCATACACATAATGGGAAACATCACATTGTACCCCCAAAATATATACAACTATTGTTTGTTTAAAATTATACTTTTAATTGAAATAAAATAAAAGTTTTCAAGTGATTTATGTTCTCTCTCCATAATAAATCAGTATATAAAAATCAAATTCATTTGTATCTACAAGCGACAAACAACTGTAAATTCATATTTTAAAATATCATTTATAATAGCATCAAAAATCATGAAACACTTAGGGATAAACCTACAAGGGTCAGCAAATTACTTGCTTATCTGCCAGATCTAGCCTGCAGCAACTATGAAATAAGTGAGTTTGCATATTTAAAGGATTGGGGAAAAGGTGTTTAATAAAATAAATTTTTAAAAAAATGCTGAGACTATATATGTCCCACAAAGCCTATTTATTTTCTGGCTGTTTGTAGAAAAGTTTTATCAACCTCTGTATTAAACAAATATGTTCCAGATATTAAACCAAAAGAATGACTCATAAATTTAAAAATTGATAATTTGGACCTCATCGAAATAAAGTCTGCTCATTGAAAGACTGTTAAAAGTATGAAAGGACATACCACAGATTAGAAGAAAATATTTGTAAATCATATATCTGATATAAGATTTGTCTCTGGCATATATAGGGAACTCTCAAAACTCAGTAATAAGAAGTCACAACCCAATTAGCAAAATATTAATTAAACGAATAAATATTTACTCAATTTTTTAAAGAAACAAAACTCAACGAGGACTAGAATCAATGTCATGGAGAGCATCTGTGCAAACACTAAGGTAAGCATCATGCAATGACCACAGCCACAGAGCTTTCTCATTTCACGTGGGGAGCAGGAGCTATCAGCATTCTAATGGGAGTCTTAACAAACAGGTCAGATAACAATGGGAAATCAGGTGTGTACAAGCTGTCTAAATAAAGATAAACTGTCCTTGTATGAAGACTCCACAAACCATCAGAATTAATAAGAGAATGTAGCAAGACTTTTGATACAGTCTACAAAAATCAATAGCATTCCTATACACTACCAATAATCCATTAAAAATGTAAAAATAAAAAGATCCTGTTTACAAAAAGAAATTTTAAATAAGAAACTAGGAATAAATCTAACAAAGTATAAGCTCTTCATGGAGAAAATTACAAAATCTATTTGATGGGTGATAGAACAACTAAATGGAGATGTATGCCTGGTTCATGAACTGTATACCTCAATATTGTAAAGATGTCTGGGCCAGGGGCGGTGGCTCAAGCCTGTAATACCAGCACTTTAGGATGCTGAGGTAGGCAGAGCACCTGAGGTCAGGAGTTCAAGACCAGCCTGGCCAATATGGTGAAACCCCATCTCTACTAAAAATACAAAAATTAGCTGGGCGTGGTGGCAGATGCCTGTGATCCCAGCTACTCGGGAGGCTGAGGCAGGAGAATCGCTTGAATCTGGGAGGTGGAGGTTGCAGTGAGCCAATATCTCACCATTGCACTCCAGCCTGGGCAACAGAGTGAGACTCCATCTCGAAAAAAAAAAAAAAAAAAAAAAAGATGTCTCTTCTGCCCCAAACTCAGTACAATTCCCATTGAAATCCTACTCAGGTGATTCTGAATTTAAGATAATATATTCGTCATAAGATAAGCAAATGAAAAGGGGGAGGGGACAAATTAGAAAGCCCAGAAACATCTTTTGAAACTTGTTAAAGACAGAGAAAACATTTCAAATAAATGAGGAAAAATATTTTCAATAGGTGATACTGTGACAATTGTTTAACTTTATTCCTCCAATAAATAGAATAATCTACCTAATTTACACTCAACAAAGATTGAAAGTGGAGTTAATGTGAATAACAAACCCTTAAAATTGTATTTTAAAATACACAGAATACCTTTACAACCTTAGAGTAAGAAAAGATATCTTAAACAAGAGCTAAATCATATACTATTTAAAGGAGAAAATTGTTAATTTTGACCATATTAATATTAAAATCTCTGCACAAAATAAAACCATAAACCAAACAGTAGCAGTAGTCACAGAAAGATTTGCAGGCACATCACAAAGGATTCATTTCTATAATATGAAAATTCTTCCAAATCAATTTTTAAAAGACACAAAACAATAAAAATGGATGAAGAATAGGAACAGACATTTCCAGAAGGGAAAAAACCCAAATGGCCAGTAAATATTTGATAAGATGCTCAGCCTCATGAAACATTCAGAAATCCAATTTCAAAAACCATAATATTTGCAGGGTTTTTTTACTACTAAAATGCATTATTTGGATGCAATATTTGATTATGCGAAAATATATTCTGGGCGGGATGCAGTAGCTCACACCTGTAATCCCAGCACTTTGGGAGGCCGAGGCAGGTGAATCACTTGAGCCCAGGAGCTCAAGACCAGCCTGGGCAACATGGCAAAACCCCATCTCTACCAAAAATACAAAAAATTAGCTAGGAATGGTGGTGCACGCCTGTGCTCCTAGGTACTCGGGAGGCTGAGGTGGGAGGATGACTTGAAGTGGGAGGATGACTTGAGCCCGAGAGGCAGAGGTTAGAGTGAGCCCAGATTGCGCCCCTGCACTCCAGCCTGGGCAACAGGAGTGAGACCCCATCAAAAAAAGAGAGAGAGAGAGAGATTCTGTATACTGCTATTTTTGCCACTTGTATATATGTATGTGTCACTGTCTGTTTTTATGAAAAATGTTATTGAAGGATAACATACATATTCAACAGAGTGCACAAATCATCAGTGTACAAGATGACTTTTCACAAAGTGAACACCTCATAGAGCAGAACAAGATATTAGCATCCCCCCAGAAACCCTCCCTAGCACACAAGGAGAACAATTAACCCTGACTTCTAACACCACAGATTTGTTTGGCCGGCTCTTAACTTTATATCAATGGGATTGTACAATGCATAATCTCTTTTGCCTGCTTTTTTTCAACGTTTTGTGAGATTAGTGTTGCATAAATCACATGCTCAAGATTCAGTCTCACTTCCAAATAGAATTTTGTCACATATGCAAACTACAATGTATTTATTCATTTTACTATTGATGGATATGGGTTGTGTTCAATTTTTGAATGTTGCTTTGACATTCTTTTTTTATATATACTTAAGTTGTAGGGTACACGTGCACAACGTGCAGGTTTGTTACACAGGTATACATGTGCCTTGTTGGTAAGTTCCAGGGTACATGTGCACAACGTGCAGATTTGTTACATAGGTATACATGTGCCATGTTGGTTGGCTGCACCCATCAACTCATCATTTACATTAGGTATTTCTCTTAATGCTATCCCTCCCCCAGCCCCCACCCCCCAACAAGCCCTAGTGTGTGATGTTCCCCACCTTGTGTCCAAGTGTTCTCATTGTTCAATTCCCACCTATAAGTGAGAACATGCAGTGTTTGGTTTTCTGTCCTTGTGATAGTTTGCTAAGAATGATGGTTTCCAGCTTCATCCATGTCCCTGCAAAGCACATTAACTCATCCTTTTTTATGGCTGCATAATATTCCTTGGTGCATATGTGCCACATTTTCTTAATCCAGTCTATGATTGATGGACATTTGGGTTGGTTCCAAGTCTTTGCTATTGTGAATAGTGCCACAATAAACATGCATGTGCATGTGTCTTCATAGTAGCATGATTTATAATCCTTTGGGTATATACCCAGTAACGGGATCACTGGGTCAAAAGGTATTTCTAGTTCTAGATCCTTGAGGAATCGCCACACTGTCTTCCACAATGGTTGAACTAATTTACACTCCCACCAACAGTGTAAAGGCGTTCCTATTTCTCCACATCCTCTCCAGCATCCATAGTTTCCTGACTTTTTAATGATCGCCATTCTAACTGGCATGAAATGGTATCTCATTGTGGTTTTGATTTGCCTTTCTCTGATGACTAGTGACAATGAGCATTTTTTCATCTATCTGTTGGCTGCATGAATATCTTCTTTTGAGAAGTGTCTGTTCATATCCTTTGCCCACTTTTTGTTGGGGCTGTTTGTTTTTTTCTTGTAAATGTGTTTAAGTTCTTTGTAGATTCTGGATATTAGCCCTTTGTCAGATGGGTAGATTGCAAAGATTTTCTCCCATTCTGTAGGTTGCCTGTTCACTCTGATGGTAGCTTCTTTTGCTGTGCAGAAGCTCTTTAGTTTAATTAGATCCCATTTGTCTATTCTGGCTTTTGTTGCCATTACTTTTGGTGTTTTAGTCATGAAGTCCTTGCCCATGCCTATGTCCTGAATGGTATTGCCTAGGTTTTCTTCTAGGGCTTTTATCGTTTTAGGTCTAACATTTAAGTCTTTAATCCATTTTGAATTAATTTTTGTATAAGGTGTAAGGAAGGGATCCAGTTTCAGCTTTCTACATATGGCTAGCCAGTTTTCCCAGCACCATTTATTAAATAGGTCATCCTTTCCCCCGTTTCTTGTTTTTGTCAGGTTTGTCAAAGTCAGATGGTTGTAGATGTGTGGTATTATTTCTGAGGCCTCTATTCTGTTCCATTGGTCTATATCTCTGTTTTGGTACCAGTACCATGCTGTTTTGGTTACTGTAGCCCTGTAGTATAGTTTGAAGTCAGGTAGCATGATGCCTCCAGCTTTGTTCTTTTTACTTAGGATTGTCTTGGCAATGTGGGCTCTTTTTTGGTTCCATATGAAACTTTAAAGTAGTTTTTTTTCCAATTCTGTGAAGAAAGTCATTGGTAGCTTGATGGGAATGGCATTGAATCTATAAATTACCTTGGGCAGTATGGCCATTTTCATGATATTGATTCTTCCTATCCATGAGCATAGAATGTTCTTCCATTTGTTTGTGTCCTCTTTTATTTCGTTGAGCAGTGGTTTGTAGTTCTCCTTGAAGAGGTCCTTCACATCCCTTGTAAGTTGGATTCCTAGGTATTTTATTCTCTTTGAAGCAACTGTGAATGGGAGTTCACTCATGATTTGGCTCTCTGTTTGTCTGTTATTGGTGTATAAGAATGCTTGTGATTTTTGCACATTGATTTTGTAGCCTGAGACTTTGCTGAAGTTGCTTATCAGCTTAAGGAGGTTTTGGGGTGAGACAATGTGGTTTTCTAAATATACAATCATGTCATCTGCAAACAGGGACAATTTGACTTCCTCTTTTCCTAATTGAATACCCTTTATTTCTTTCTCTTTCCTGATTTCCCTGGCCAGAACTTCCAACACTATGTTGAATAGGAGTGGTGAGAGAGGGCATCTTTGTCTTGTGCCGGTTTACAAAGGGAATGCTTCCAGTTTCTGCCCATTTAGTATGATATTGGCTGTGAGTTTGTCATAAATAGCTTTTATTATTTTGAAATACGTTCCATCAATACCTAGTTTATTGAGAGTTTTTAGCATGAAGGGCTGCTGAATTTTTTTAAAGGCCTTTTCTGCATCTATAGTATTCTCTTTTTTTCTGCATCTATAGCATTGTTTTTTTGTTTTGTTTCGTTTTGTTTTGTTTAGATGGAGTCTCACTCTGTCACCCAGGCTGGAGTGCATTGGCGCTATCTCAGCTCACTGCAACCTCTGCTTCCTGGGTTCAAGCAATTCTCCTGCCTCAGCCTCCCGAGTAGCTGGGATTACAGGTGCCTGCCACCACACTCAGCTAATTACTGTATTTTTAGTAGAGACAGGGTTTCGCCATGTTGGCCAGGCTGGTCTTGAACTCCTGACCTCAGGTGATCCACCCGCCTTGGACCCCCAAAGTGCTGGGATTATAGGCATGAGCGACCATGCCCAGCCTGCTTCAACATTCACTGAGGCACAGTGGGATGAAGTGATGTTGAGTAGATTGCCTAGATGTGGAACTACTGGGCAGTTGTAGGCTCAGCTTTAGCAAATAAAGCTGAACTGTTTTCTAAGAGATTATACCATTTGCACCTCCACCAGCTGTGCAGAAGTGTCTCTGTTGTTCGACATCTTCACCAGCAGTGTAGCTTTTAAAGGTAATGTAGAGGTAGACATCACACCATAGTTTAATTTGAATCTAATAACTTAAGAGGTTGAGCATCATTTCAAATGTTTATTGGCCATTTGGACGTCTCTTTTGTGAAGTACCTAGTCAATTTTTGATTTTTGGTTTGTTTTTCCCCTCATTTTGTTATTGGGTTGTTGTTCTTTTCTTACTGATTTGTAGGAGTTCTTTATATAGTCTAGATCCTAGTTCTTTGTTATATTATGTCTATTAAAATACATTCTCCCATTTTCGGGGCTGACTTTTCACTCTCTTAAAGGTATCTTTTGATTTCTTTAAAAGGTCTTAATTTTAACATAGTCCATTTGATCAATCTTTTCCTTTGTGTCTACCATCTTTGTTTCTCATTTAGAGAAGCCTCTGCTTATTCAAGTTCATGTAGACAATTGTGCTATTCTTCTACAACTTTTGTTTAGATCTGTGATCCTACTGAGATGTATTTAGATCTGCAATCTATTTGAAATTCAGGTTTTTTTTTGCTTGTGGGATTATTTTTGTATGTTGTGCAGAGGGCAAGATGGTTTTCCCATATGGACACTAGCATCTTTGATAGAAGCCTCCATCCTTTCCCAATGCACTGCAGTGTTATCTGTGGGGAAATCAAGTGACTGTTACATACGGGGCTGTTTCTGGACTCTATTCTGTTCCACTGGTCTCATTGTCCATTCTTGAATGCTACCACATTGTTTCAAGAAATCAGATACCTGATAGTCACAAGAGTTTGTATGTGCACGTGTGTGTGTGTGTGTGTACGTCTGTGTGTGTGTGTGTGTTTGGGGTTTTATTTTGTGTGTTGGGCTTTCTGTTTGTTTTTTCAAGACTGTCTTAGGTCTCTGGACCCTTCATTTCCATACAAATTTTAAATCTCCCACTCTATGAATATGACATAGCTCTCAATTTATTTAGATCTTATTTAATTTCTCTCAATAATGTTTTAAAATTTTCTATGTAGAGTTTTGCAAATTTTTAAAAATTTCTTTGTAGGATTTTTATTATTTTGTCACTATTATAAATGGCATCTTTTTAAATTTCAATTTTTAATTGTTAATTGCTGGCATATAGAAATAAAATTAATTTTCATACAAGCCTTGTATTGCCTACATTGTTAATTTCACTTATTCATTCTAATTCTTTTAACTAGAGATTCTTTTGGATTTACTATATATACAATCATGTCATCTGCAAATAATGATAGTCTTATTTATTATATTCATATCTTAATTACTTTTATTGCTATTTTTTTCTTGCCTTATTGCACTGTCTAGAATGTCCAGAACACCACCCAGTAGAGGCAGTGACAGAGGCATTTCTTTCTTGTCATCAATCCCAGGAGGAAAGCTTTCAATATGCCACAATGAAGAATGATTTTGCCAGAGTTATCTTTAAAGGTATTTTTTACTATATTAAGGAACTTGCCACTTATTTCCAGTTTACTGAACGCTTTTGTCATGAATGAGTTATTGAAACTCTATCGAGTGATTTTTCTCCATCTCTTCTTCATTCTGATAATGTGGTGAATTGCACTAATTTCCTAAAGTTATACCAATTTTACAATCCTGGGTAAAAAATTAAAATGATATCGCTTCCTTTTCTGAAAATATTTTGTTTAGGACTTTTTACAACTACCTTCATAAGTGAAATTTACTTGTTGTATTAGTTTGTTTTCACATTGCTAATAAAGACATATCCAAGACTGGATAATTTATAAAGAAAAAGAGGTTTAATGGGCTCACAGTTCCACATGCCTGGGGAGGCCTCACAATCATGGTGGAAGGCAAAGGAGGAGCAAAGGCACACCTTATATGGTGGCAGGCAAGAGAGCGTGTGCAGGGGAACTGCCCTTTATAAAACCATCAGATCTCGTGAGACTTATTCACCATCAGGGAAATAGCAAGGGAAAAACCCATCCCTATAATTCAATTACCTCCTACCGGGTCCCTCCCACAACAGGTGGGGATTATGGGAGCTACAATTCAAGATGACGTTTGGGTGGGGGCACAGCCAAACCATATGACTTGTGATTTTTCTTTCTGTTACTATCCAGTATTTGTATGATGTTTATTCTAATCTCATGGTACTAATTAAGCATATTCTCACTTCTTCTATTTTCTAGAAGACTTTGTGTAATATCTGTCTTATTTCTTCTGAATAACAAATGTTCTGAAGAATTCACCAGAAAAGCCTCTTTGTGAGAAAGATTTTAAGAAAAATTTCACTGTTCATATTTTTGTGTCATTTTCAATGTCTTTCAGAAATTTATTTCATCTAAATTATAAAATTTACTGGCATAAAATTATTCATAATATTTATGAAAATTTTTTTTTGAGACAAGGTTTTGCTCTGTCACCCAGGATAGAATGCAGTGATGCAATCTCAGCTCACTGCAAACTCAACCTCCCAAGCTTAAGTGATCTTCCTACCTCAGCCTACCAAGTACCTGGGACTATAGGCACATGCCCCCACACCTGGCTAATTTTTGTATTTTTGATAGAGATGACGGGGTTGCACCATGTTGCCCAGGCTGGTCTCAAACTCCTGAGCCCAAGCAATCTGCCCACCTCAGCCTCCCAAAGTGCTGGGATCAGAGCATGAGCCACCATGCCCAGCTGTTTATGATCTTTTTGATGGCATTAAAACCTGTAGTTATGTTCCATTCCCAATACTAGCTATGATTCATATATGACTCCATTCCTGATATTGGCCAAACAAGTCACATGGCCATGCTTAGCTTCAAGGAGGCTAAGAAGTACAATTGCCCCATATGCCCAGAAGTAGGGAGAGTCAGCCTTCAGGGAACATAAATAATGTTTCTCATACTTTATTTCCAAGAGCACAAAGGTTATTAGAAGAAGACAGGACTCAAACTCGTGGCCATGCATGAAGCAGGGCACTGCCTCCCAGGGGAGTAAGCAGCTCCTCCAGTTGGACCTGACAACTGCCTTTCCATCCTGCTGAGGAACGCACACCCTGAGCGGGGCACCTGCAGTCCCATGGGCCCTGCCCCAGCCCTGGGCAGGCACAGACTGCTGGACCTAAGCACACAATGACTTTTAGAATAGACAGCTCTTGGAATAGGTTACAGCCTTCTTTATTGTGTTTGAAAAGTAACAATTTTCCCTGGCAAAGTTTTGCATTGAGCAAGTAGGTGTTAAACTTATTATAAGAAAATTACCCTTGGTAATGATCTGAACTTTTAAAAATCCATTTCCCATTTCTGAAATGAGAGCTCAATTTCTCCCCACATTTTATTTGTTTCATGGCACAGATTGGAAATAGTATCAATTTTCTGCCAGCATATTAAAACATGTTTTTATTAACTAGTAATTGCAGTGAGACTTGGAAATCAGGAACAAAATGCTTCTGGAGAATTGAAAATATATATTTCTGATTTCCTTAATAAAAATTATAACTCTACAGTTACTGTAGTTTCTTATGTTTGCCAATCCTGATATAGCAGCTCACAATGGGAATTTTCTCTATTTTTCTACCACATATGAATATTGAGAAGCTCAAGGTCGTACGTAGGTAACTCTGAAGACCACACATTAGCCTTACTATATTGTGCAGTCACTTTGGCAGAGTTTCATAAATAAAGCAGATAGCATAAGATGGTGCTGGCTTATGGAAACCTAATCAGAACATCTCAGTCTGGGAAACACAGTGGAGACGTGGAAAGTCAGATGCACCATATCCGAACACCAGCCTCACCCATATGTGCTGTGGAATCTCAATCTTGGTGGGCACTAGTTGCCATATCTGGATAGTGAGAAGACTGAAGACCAGCTTGCAAATTGCCATCAGGATTAATTGTGAAAAATATAAGTTGAATGCTTAGCAGCATTCCTGGAATGTGGGTGGCACTCCCATGGAGAAACTGAACAACACCTTGACCAGGTGATGAAAATTAACATCACCACTGAGAAACAGACAGGCACCATATGCCTCGAGATGGGCTGCCCTGAGGGGGACACAGCATCGCCTCTCTAGCATTCTGGCCTAGGATACATAACCCAAATCTAGCCATGAGGAAACATTAGGCACCATTCTATTTAAAAAGTTGGGGGGAGAGGGAAAGTGACTACATTCTTCAAAAATACCAAAGTTATAAGAGACAAGGAAAGGCTATGGCAATGTTCCAGATTAAAGGAGAGTAGAATGACAGAGCAGCAAATGCAATACCTGATCCTAGACGGGTTCTCTATAGGAGCAGGAGAAATGCTGTAAAGGACATTACTGGGACAATTGACAACACTGGAATATGGTTAACAGATTAGAAAAAAAGTTACTGAAGTTGTTATTTGCTTGTTCATTTGTTTGTCTGTTTGAGAGGGAGTCTCGCTCTGTCACCCAGGCTGGAGTATAATGGCTCGACCTCAGCTCACTGCAACCTCCACCTCCCGGGTTCAAGCGATTCTCCTGCTTCAGCCTCCCAAGTAGCTGGGATTACAGGCACACACCATCCCGCCTGGCTAATTTTTGTAGTTTTAGTAGAGACGAGGGTTTAACCATGCTGACCAGGCTGGTCTCGAACTCCTGACCTCAGGCGATCCACCCGCCTCGGCCTCCCAAAGTGCTGGGATTACAGGTGTGAGCCACTGTGCCCGGCCTGAAGTTGTTATTTGAACCAAAGAGTGTGTGAGAATGCTTTTTCTTAGGAAATACTTACCAACGTATTTAGTGATAACTAAATGGATATATAGATATAGATAGATATAGATATAGATATAGATATATAGCACAGAGACAGGGAAAGAGAAAACAAGATAAAGCAAATGAACAAAATGTTAATAAAAGGTGAATGTGGGAAAAGAGTATATGAATATTCCATGTTCTATTCTTATTCTTGCAACTTTCCTGTAAGTTTGAAAGTATTTTCAAATAAAAGGTTTTTAAGTGTCTCTAGTGACAATAAAGACACTTATGAAAGATAAGCATGTAAGGAACTTTCATAAAGTTGTTCCATGAAATATGAATGAAAATAAAGTGATATTTACAAATTAATGATTCTATATATTATTTCAAATATGTATATGTAACTAAATGAGTTAATTAAACATTATGAGTAGATATTGACTATCTCTTTCTCACCTTCAAAGTTTTTATATATAAGTTGGCCAAAACTACGTTTTTCTTTCTCTTTTTGATTCACTGAGAAAATGGAAGGTTCGCCATTATTCCGTTACCATATATTCAGCATGTATAAACCACATGTTACAGTGACATCTTCTGGTGGAGTATAATATTGCAGTCTAGTTCTATTACATCTTCAAATAAACTGTACTAAGGTGGTTCCACAGAAGCATGCAGGAAAGGAGCAAGAAGCAAGCATGGGGGCTCCAAGCTTCACCCTTACTTCAAGCAAAACAGTTCAGTTTTTAACGTGGCTTATGCAGGCCTGGAAGCTGCGACAGTAAGACTTGAGTAACTTATGGTCAAGTACAGGTGGATGAGTAAACCTACCAAGAGTGGGCAAAGGTGTTGAAAAGTGCATTTTTTATAAAAAGAGTCATATCATTACCTGCTCTTTCTGAAAAAAAAGTGTTGATCCTTCAAAAGCATTTGACAAATTAATGCTATGAATGAATGCTTAAACGGTGCATGAGTGAAGATCAGCTTCAGGGACTTCAGGAGCACCATTTATTTAGCACTAACCAAGATGCAAACTACAAATAAGTGAGGAGGACTTCACAAACTCTTTTTACACATCCTCAAAAGACTATTGGGCATCTTGATTGTGCCACACAAGATCTAGCAACAATATTAATTTGAATACATGTCTGGCAAGAAAGGAATAATGTTTTCATCAAGAGGCAACCAGGGATGATGTCACAGAAAATGATGGTATACATTGCTTAAAGAATTGATCCCTCCGTTGAAACAATCATAAGCTGTCAAAGACTGAAATAATCAACGTTTTTAAACACTGAGCTCTAATCTCAAATGTACAGCCACAAAGGGGTGGCTTAATAAAGAAAAGGGAAGCTAGCTTTGGTAAGAAAGCCTAGTGGCATTTTTGCTCATCCACCTTCCTTCCATTCCCTAGCACAGCAGCATCAGCCATGATGACAGAAGGCTGCATTCCCTGTGTGGCTTTCTGGTGCCAGGGGTTAATACAGAGTTTATTCTTAAAGTTTTATGGTACTGTGTATTCATCTGTCTGATGGTTCCCTGGAAGACTAAATTGACCTTTTTCTTGACCTTTTCTTTCCACCTGGTGTAGGGAACTGTGCTCAGGCAACTGGCAGACCAAAAGCCAAAAAGAAGGAGCCCAAAAAGGAAGGTTGTTGGAAGAATAAGAGCTCAGAAGGGCTACTGTGTATGCTGGCAAAGATAGAAGATAACACACAGGCCCAGAACAGGACACATATGAGAAAACATCTAAAAGGACCCCAGGCTTGTACCTCTGACAGATCTGTGGGCTCCAGGCAAGCAAGAGGCAAAAGCTAAGGCATAGTTGCAGGAAGCCTGGCTTAGCACTGAAGGAACTCCTGTCCCAGCTCAGAGCCAAGCTGCAAAAGTCAAAACACGAGTATCTTCTCTCTTTCTTGTTTTCTCGTTTCATTCATGTATTTATTTATTTCTCCCTTTCTTTTTTTCTTTCACTCCAGATACTTAAGGAAATCTCTGGAATGTCACTGTTGACCACTGAGATAATGAAACAGAGACTTCAGTGACCACAAATGACAAAGAATCCAGTCTTTGCAAAATTAGTTTGGAGAAATCACTAAAGAAATAGAGGACAACATTCATCAAGAAGAAAAAATAATAACAAACTCTAGGGAATGGAGATAATCTGATTTCCAGGGTAACCACATTGTAATATTCAAAATGCCCAATTTTCAGCAACAACAACAAAAATCACAAGATATACAAAGGAATAGGAAAGTGTGGCCCAATCCTAGAAAAAAATTATATAAACCATCCATGAGGAAACCTTAGTATTGGACTTACTGGACAAAATTTTTATATCAATCATCCTAAAATGTTTAAAGAACTAAAGAAAACCATGAACAACAAACTAAATAAAACCAGGAAAACAGTGCACATACAAAATGAGAAAATCAATAAACAGATATAAATTATAAAATAAACCAAACAGAAATTCTGGAACTGAAAAGTTAAATCACCGAAATGAAAAATTTGGCGAGGCATGGTGGCTCATGCCTATAATCCTAGCATTTTGGGAAGCCGAGGCAAGTGGATCACCTGAGGTCAGGAATTCAAGACCAACTTGGCCAATATGGTGAAACCCATCTCTACCAATAACACAAAAATTAGCTTGGTGTGGTGGTGCACACCTGTAATCCCAGCTACTCGGGAAGCCAAGGCAGGAGAATCACTTAAACCCAGGAGGCAGAGGTTGCAGTGAGCCAAAATCATGCCACCACACTCCTGCCTGGGTGACAGAGCAAGATTCCATCTCAAAAAAATAAAAAAATAAAAAGAAAAAGAAAAGAGAAAGAAAAATTCACCAGAGGGGTTAAACAGCAGATTTGAACACACCGAAAAATGAATCAGAGAAATCAATGATAGGATAATTGGAATTGTCTGATATAAAGAGTAGAAGAAAAAAAGAGAACAAGACACTATCAAGCAGGACAACATATGCAGTATGGAAGTCCCAGAAGGAAAACAGAAAGAAAGGGGCAGAAAGAACTGTTGATGAAATAATGAATGAAAACTGTCTAAGTTTAATGAAATATATTAAACTCCAAGTAGGATAAATTCAAAGAGATCCACACTTAGACACATTACAATCAAACAGTTCAAAGACAAAGATAAAGAGAAACTCTTGTAGTGGCAAGACAGAAGCAACTCATTATGTACAATAGATTCTCAATAAGATTAACTGTAATTTTCCCATCACAAACCATGGAGAACAGAAAGCAGTGAGACAATATTTTTAAACCACCAAAGAAAAGAAAAAAAAACTGTAAACCAAGATTAAATAACCAGAAAAACTAATCTTGAAAAATGAAGAAGTTAAAACATTCCCAACCATCAAAAGCTGAGTGAATTTGTTACTAGCATATCTACCCTACAGGAAATTCTAAAGGGAGTCCTTTACACTGAAATGGAAGGACACTAAACAGTAACACGAAGCGACATAAAGAAATAGAGAGGTTTCTAAACATCAAAGCCAGTATTACATTTTTTTAATTTGTAACTCCTTCTTTATTCCCTAAATAGTGTAAAAGATAAATGCATACCAAATTGAAATCCATGTAAATGGGCCCACAATGTATAAAGATGTAATTTGCAACACCAACAATTTAAGGTGGGGATGGAGCTGTATAGGAGCAGAGTTTTCATATGTTAGTAAGACTGAGTTGGTATCAGTTGAAACTAGATGGTTATAAATTTAGGATGTTCATTGTAATCCTCATTGTAATCATTAAGAAAATATGTTTTTAAAATACACAAAAGGAAATGAGACAGCAAAATGGTTCACTACCAAAAAAAAATTTAAAAAGAAGTTAGTAATAGAGGAAATGAGGAACAAAAAGTATAAGACATAGAGAAAACAGACAGAAAAATGGCAGAAATAAATCCCATTTTATCAGTTACTACTTTAAATGTAAGCAGTTTAAACTCTCCAATCAAATGGTGAATAGTAACAGAAAGGATTCTTTTAAACATAGTCTAACTGTATATTGTCTAAGATATTTTAGATTCAAATATTTAAAAAGTGAAAGTATAGAAAAGATACTCCATGCAAATAGTAACCAAAAGAGAGCTGGGGTAGCTATGTAAAGATCAGACAATACACACTTCAAGTCAAAAGCTATTACAAGGCCGGGTGTGGTGGCTCACACCTGTAATCCCAGCACTTTGGGAGGCCAAGGCAGGCGGATCACGAGGTCAGGAGATCAAGACCATCTGGCTAACATGGTGAAACCCCATCTCTACTAAAAAAATACAAAAAATTAGCCGGGCGTGGTGGCGGGTGCCTGTAGTCCCAGCTATTCAGGAGGCTGAGGCAGAAGAATGGCGTGAACCCGGGAGGTGGAGCTCGCAGTGAGCCGAGATGGCGCCACTGCACTTCAGCCTGGGCAACAGAGTAAGACTTCGTCTCAAAAAAAAAAAAAAAAAAAAAAAGCTGTTACAAGAGGCTGGACATGGTGGTTCACATATGTAATCCTAGCACTTTGGGAGACTGAGGCAGGAGGATCGCTTGAAGCCAGGAGTTCAAGAGCAGACTGAACAACAAAGCAAGACCCCACCTCTACCAAAAAAAGTTTTTTAATTAGCCAAGCATGGTGGCACACACCTATAGTCCTACCTACTTGGGAGGCGTAGTTGGAGGACTGCTTGAGCCCAGGAGTTGGAGGTCACGGTGAGCTATGATTGCACCACTGCACTCCTGCTTGAGCAACAGAGTGAGACTCTGTCTTAAAAAAAAAAAAGAAAAGCTGTTGCAAGAGACAAAAAGAACACTATGTAGTAATTAAAAGACCATCAGAAGATACAATTACAAACATATACACACTAAGCAACACAGTCCCAAATATGTGAAGCATACATTGACAAAATTAAAGGGAAAAGTAGTTCTATAGCTGGAGACTTCAATACCTCATTCTCAACAACGAATCGAACATATAGTCAAAAGATCAATAAGAAAATAGAGGGTTTGCACAACATCACACACCAACTAGACCTAAGAGACATATATAGAAAACTCCACCCCAAAAAGAGCAGAATACACATTTTTCTCAAGTGTGCATGGGACATTCTTTGGGGTAGACCATATATTAGACCACAAAACAAGTCTCAATAAATTTTAAAAATTAAAATTATGTAAAGTATCTTCTCTAACCACAATGGAATAAAGCTAGAAATCAACATCAGAAGGAAACTGAAAAATTTGCAAATATGTAAACATTACATTTAAATAACCAATGGGTCAAAGAAGAAATCACAAAAAAATTAGAAAATATCTTCCTACAAAGGAAAATAAAAACCCAACATATCTAAATTTATGAGATATAGCAAAAGCAGTAATCAGGGCAAAATTTATAGCTGTCAATGCCTACATTTAAAACAAGAGAAAAAATCTCACATTAATAACCTAACTTTACAACTTAAAAAAACTAGAAAAACAAGAGCAAACTAAATTTAAACCTAGCAGGAAGAAGGAAATAATGAAGATTAGAGTGGAGATTTATGAAATACAAAATAGAAAAATAACAGGAAGAATCACAAAACCAAAACATTGTTCTTTGAAAAGATCAACAAAATGACAAAGTTTTAGCTAGACTGACAAAGAAAAAAAGAGAAAGATGCAAAAACCTGAATCAGAAATGAAAGTGGAAACATTACTACAAACCTGACAGAAATTTAAAGGATTATAAGAAAATACTGTAAACAATTATACACCAACAAATTAGATAACCTAGGTGAAATGAAAAAAATTCCCAGAAACACACAAATTACCAAAACTATCTTAGCCTGCCAGGGCTGACATAACAAAGTACCACAGACTAGGTGGCATAAACAACAGAAACTTATTTTCTCACAGTTCTGTAGGCCAGAAGCCCAAGGTCAACGTGTCAGCAGGTTTAGCTTCTTCGGAGGCCCCTCTCCTTGGCTTCCAGACAGCTGACATTTCACTGTGTGCCCACATGGCCTTTTCCTTGTGTGCACACATCCCTGGTGTCTGTTCCTCTTCTTATTAAGGACACCAGTCATATTGGATTAGGGCACCACATTTTTGGCATTATTTAGTCTTAATTAGCTCTTTAAAGGCCCCATTTCCAAATACAGTTACATTGGGGTTCAGGGTCAATATATTAATTGGGAAAAGGACACAGTTTTGTCCATAGCACTGATTTAAGGAGAAATAGAAAATCTAAACAGATATATAACAAGAGATTAAATTAGTATCAAAAGTCTCCCAACAGAGAAAGGCCCAGGACCAGATGGATTCCCTGGTAAATTATACCAAATGTTTAAATAAAAATTAATGCAATTCTTGTCAAAATCTTCCAAAAAATACAAGAAGAGGGGAGACTTCCTAATGTATTCTATGAGGTCAGAATTAACTTATACCAAAGCCAAAGACACAAAAAGAAAAGAAATTACAGATCAATATTTCTAATGAATAGAGATGCAGAATCCTCAACAAAATACTATATATCCAAATGCAACAACATATGAAAAGGATTGTACATGATGGCCAAGTGGGATTTATCCCGGGAATGCAAAGGTGGTTCAATATATGAAAATTAATCAGCGTAATATGCATTTCTAGAACAAAAGGAAACACAATTATCTCAATGCAGAAATGAGCATTTGATGAAATCTAATACCTTTTATGATTAAGAAATAGTCAGAAAACAAGAATAGAAGTAAACTTTCTCAATCTGGTGAAGAATTTTTATGAAAAACTCACAGCTAACAGCATATCCAAGAGACATATTCTGCAGGCATATTCAAAAAGCTAAAAGATTTCCCCCTTAGATCAGGACCTTCAGATCAAGGATGCCTACTTTCACTATTTATTTAACATTGTACTTGAGATGCCAGCCAGAGCAATTAGGCAAGGAAATTTAAAATATCCAAATTGGAGAGGAAAAGGTAAAACTATCTCTATTCAAAGAATACATGATCCTACATAGTAAATCCCAAACAGTCTACACAGAAAGTACTAGAGCTAATCAACAAAGTTGCAGGGTAAAAGATCAACATGCAAAAATCAGTTATGTATCTATATGTCAGCAATAAATAATCTGTAAGGGAAATTAAGAAGTCAATTCTATTTACAATGACATCAAAAATAATAAAATACCCAGGAATAAATTTAACAAAGGATATGAAAGACTTGTGTACTAAAAACTATAAAACACTGCTGAAAGAAATTTAAAAGACCTAAATAAATGGAAAACTATCTCATCTTTCTGGATTGGAGGACTTAACAATGTTTAGATGACAATACTACTCAAAGTGATCTACAAATTCTATGCAATCCCTGTCAAAGTTAATGGTCTGTTTTTCAGAAATGGAGAAGCCAATTCTCAAATTTGCATGGAATTTTAAGAGGCCATGAAAAGCTAAAACAATCTTGAAAAAGAAGAAGAAACTTGGAGTACTCCGCTTGCCATTTTCAAAACTTACTGCAACGCTACAGTAATCAAAACAGTGTAGTGCTAGTATAAGAATAAACATACAGACCAATAGAATAGAACTGAGAGTCCAGAAATAAACCCACTGTCTATGGACAATTGCTTTTCTACAAGGGCATCAAGAACATTCAAAAGAGAAAGGACAGTCTTTCAACAAATGGTGCTGAGAAAACTGGATATCCACATGCCACATGCAAAAGAATGAAATTGGACCCCCTACCTCATACCATATACAAATATTCACTCAGAATAGATCCATGAACCTAAATACAGTAAAAGAGCTAAAACCACTTTTTCAAATCTTAGGATAAAACATAGGGATAAATATTCATGACCTTGAAACATGTTGGAACTAGATAGAGGTAGTGTTGCATAACATTTTAAATGTACAAAATGCCATTGAATTGCTCAGTGTAAAATGGTTAAATTTATGTTATATGGACCTCCCCTCAATAAAAAAGAAATTAAAGAAATGAACAGGACTGAGAGTCAGATTAAAAGTTCCAATTTCTTTTTTGCAATGTTTGATCTTGTGGCGGAATGCCCTTAACCTCTGTCTCACTGAAAAATTAGAGATGAGAGTTCCTGCTCTGTATATGTTACAGGATTCTTAAAAAGGTCAAAAGAAGTGTTGTACTGAAACAGTCCTTTGATACTGCTAGGTGCTCTGCCAACACAAGCTGCCATGGCGATTCCTGCCCAGTCCTGTCAGTGCCGTGCCAGGCGCCTGGGCTGGTGTGTGCATTTGTAGTTTCATTCTCACAGTGTGGGTGTGGTTACAGAGGGGGAAACTGGGAATTGGAGAGGTGGAAGGACCTGCCTCGTGGCACAGGACTGGAGCTCAGATTTCTAATTCCAGACACACAAAGCTCTTTCCACCACAACCTACTGGCCCCTGCAGCAGACTCTCCCAGCTCTTTGCCTTCAGAGTTGCCTGTTTTAGTGGGAATCCTGTGCAAATGGCAGTAATTATTGAAACTTTTCTAAATAACTCTTCTGTCAGCCTCACTCAATCACTTGGTTTCTATCCCTAATTCAGATGCCACTCCCGGTCAAGACCACACTCTCAACAGCCACCAAAGGGCTTGGAAAGAACAAGAAATACCCGCAGCAGCTGCTCCATTATGAGAGATGGTAGTTTGTGCTGAAGAAAAGCCTCCACATGAGCTGGAAAGCTGGCATGCACAGACCACGATGCCCCCAGTCTCCCACCCCCCCACCACCCCTCCACAGCGGGCTGCATACACTGGAAGAGCGGGTGCATAGGAAGAGGAAATTAATAGGCAGTGTGGAAAGGCAGGGGGGTCCCGGGTGGCCACTGTGCCTCTCTATGAACTAAGAGAGTAATAGTAGCAGCAGGTATTTGCTGTGAGCCTTCCTGTTGCAGGCATGGTCCTTAGGAGAGATTCACTATTCTCATAACAACCATACCAGGTGGGACTGTTTCCCCATATTCAGAAACAATGACTGAGACTCTGGTGATGTCCCCCATTCTTGCAACTGACAGGGTCTGGGGTAGGTGCTGGCAGGGAGCTGGGCAGTGAGGGCAACAGGCACATTCCTGCCTCAAGCAGCTGACAGTCTTGTGGGGTTAGGGGCTGGGGAGACCCTGACCTCCTGCAAAGCGCTTGGTGTTGGTATGTTGCCATGATAGGCCTCAGTAAGAGGCAGCCTGGACAAGAACAACTGCACAGAGAACAGGAGGAGAGGTCAGGGGAGCCGGGCGTGGGGTCCCAGGTGGAGGGAAGGAAAGGCAGGAGAGAGCCTGCCAGGGCCCTGCAGGGTGGCAGGAAGACCCAATCTCACCCCTCACTCAGCTGTGCCCTCTGGAGATGAGGTTCCGGGCTGCCAGCCCAGCAGCCGTCCACCTTTCCCAAGCTCAGAGGCCCAGCTGGGCGCTGGGAGCAGGAGTGTTGTCATGCGTGAGGAAACCTCCAGAGGAGAGCATCAGGCACCCAGCCTGGAGGCTTGTGGGACCTCTCTCCTCCCAGCACCAGGACACCTTTCCATACCTGGGGTTCCAGGCCACACTTAGTGACCTCCTTAGGGAGGTCTGTCTCCCAGCAAGTCTGTCTCTCCAAACTGAAACGTCCCTGTCTGAACAACAGAGAGCACCTCCCGTAGGGCACCAGGGGTGAGTAAGGCAGGCTTTGGGGCAGGCGTGGGGGTGACCCTTCCTGTACACTGAGCACAGTCATAACCCCTCTAATCCTTGTGACACCCTGGGAGGTAGCAACTATTAGACATTTGACAGCCTAGGGAACTGAAGCACAGCAAGGTTATGAAGCCTGTGAGGTCACAGAGCCAATGGGTGTGGGGTTGGAGTTCCACCTGCAGACGCTGGCTCTGAGTGCCCACCGACCCCAAATGAGGGCCCACACCTGCCTATCCCTCCACCTGCCTAGGATCTGGACGGCAGATGCCCCACATCTCCTGGTAGAGGTCAAAGAAACAGACACCCTGATGGAGCTGGGCAGAGGACACTGAAGGCAGGGGCGCCACTGAAGATTCCAAGCAGTGGCAGTTGCAGACATGTCACAGGCGCATGGCAGAAAGCACCAGGCTAACCAGGGAGGGGCTGTCAGCGTCTCCTGAAAAGCAGTAGAGATAAGGAAAGGCACAGCCTGAGGCCCGGAGCTGTGAGCTCCGTCTTCACCTAACGGAGGGCTTTCAGGGCTCATCAGGTCCAGAGAACCATTAGGTGGAGCTGCTGATGTCCGAGACGAGAGGATGGAACGTGGTTTTGCCATATTAGACTCCATGCCTCTGTGATTCATGTGATTTCAATTACTCTCTCTGATCTTACTGAACACTCTTTATACATACAATTCATGTCGTCAAAAATCAATGTGTCTGAAGGTATTGAAGTCTTTTAAAATAAAGTCAATATTTCTCACAGACTCCAGTCCCCCAGTGGATAAGTGGTCAGGCTTCCTCAAAGATCACTTTATGCTTACTAATATCACATCAACCAGATGCAGGGTGACCATATAGGGTGATCCAAAAGGGGACACTTTTGAGAGTGAATGGGGGCCCTATTATGATGCTATAACAACAGGCAAAACTGGATGTGGTCTGCCACCTGGGGCATGTGGTCAACCTGGACAGAGAGGACATGAGCAGTGCCACCATCAACCAGATGTGCCCCAGTGGAAAGACATCTGGCTTCTTGCAGAGTGGCATATATTTTCTTGAAGAACAATAGTTTCCAAACACAGGACTATGGTTTTTGTGTCTTCAAATACCTGCCGTATTATGACTAGTTTATGCCATTAAGCTGATGTAAGATGAACAGAAAAGGGTAGTAAAAAGACAGGTTGCAAAGTTTAAACTTTCAGTGTCCTTCATCCAAGGAAGTCCTTTAAATGTGGATTAAGTTATCACTTCGGCAGAATTTAAGTATGTTTTTCAGATTTAGTTACAATTTAGGGCAGAGTTATAAGTACATTTTTAGAAATAATGACAAATCATTCTCAAAATAGATGGTTTAGGCCATGCAGAACAGTCATTTTAATAAAATTTAACCCAAGCATCAAAAATGGGCTAATCTATATTGTTCCATTTCTTTCCATCATTCTTTTATCTGGCTCCCTACAGGGAGCTAATTTAATTTGAAAAGATGGGAGATATTGGCTCCAATGTGTGTTCCCAGGGACATCAGAGCAGAATGAGATCACTCAGAAGGAAACTTCTCTCTCATATCTGTAAATGGTGAGGTCTACAAAGTCTTCTTCTTGAGGAAGCTCTTATAAACCACAGCAGTCTTCAAAATCTGATTTTCATCAAAAACCCTTGGTCAGGATCTAGTTGTATTGTGGGGGAAAAAATCCTGAGCCTGGTGTTTTGTCAGTGTCCTGAGCCAGACACAGTGGCCACAGGTCCCTGCCAAGGGAGAAATCACGAGGTGCGACGAACACCTTGCAAATGTCTGTAGACATCCCACTATTTATTACTGGGAAGAAAATCTCATTTGATACAAGTTGGGAATTTGGACTCTGACCTGAGAAAGGTAGGTTCTCTGATTCAGTAGATAGAAAAAAAAATAGACGCTCTGTCTGGACAGGAGTACAAGCTGGAGGAAAACCCAGCTTGTAGCAGTCATGACACCTGACCTGTGTGAAAACCAGTCCCTTCATGCATTTGATTTCAATTGTCACAGCAGCGCTGTGGTGGAACTGGCAAACTCCCACCAAACCCCTTCCCTTGCTCTGGGCACACAGTATGGAACACACTTCCCGGCAGCCTTTGCAGCCCTGTGACTGCTCCAGGGCTACGCTCCAGCCATGTGACTACGCTCCAGTCGTGGACTGGGAATGAAGTTGACGCATGCTGAGTGAGCTCAGGCAGGTCTTCTACTCTCTCTCTCTTCCACTGTCTGCAGCCACATGTCAATGCCAAGGGTATCCAGGACCGGACCTTGGGGATGGCAGGGACTCTGTCAGCCTGGGTCTGTGAGAAGTGCAGAGAGCACCCTCCACTTCTCACCTCTATGGACTGGGCTTCCCTGAGTAAGGAATTAAATTCTAAGGTGTTAAGTCATGCCACCGAGAAGCTGAGGTTGATCTACTATAGCAGCTAGCTTTATCTTAGCTGATAAAAACAGCACGTGGTTAGGTGGCACTGGGCTGGTGGAGGGAGGGGATGCAAACATGCGTGGCCTGCCTTGAACCTAGGATGCCCCAGGCCTCCTGCCTGCACCTACCATATAGGGGCACGGCCATCCTACTGGAGAGCTATCTGACTCCATTTCACCACCAAGGAAAACATGGCTGAGAGGCCAAGTAATTTGCCTATGATTAAGCAGCTGGCAAGGGTTACAAGCAGGATTTGAATCTGGGTCCACCCAGATCCCAAACTGAATTATCTTATTAAAACAGAGCCCTGGCTGCCCTGGCCCCACACGCAGTGCTACACTCATGTGGCGGCCACATCCTGGTGCTTCTCACCCTCAGTTCAAGAATGAGCAAGATGGAAGTCGTGACCCCAGCAGTTTGTTGGGGTGCTCCTACCTGCTCCCTCCCATCCTGAATCAGGATGTCCTCCCCCAGGATGACTGCACCCTCCCCAGTGAGTAGCAGCTGCTGCAGAGGACCACTCACCCCTCAGACCCACCACACAGCGGCTCAGCCCGCCCCCTACCCCAATGCAGTCTCTGCATCTCCACACCGCCATCCTGCCCTCCCTGCAGCCACTGGCGGGAGCCCCAGGGCAGCGCCCCTGACAGTTGGTATGTCTGCACCAGCCCAGCGTTTCCAGCTTCCCACCAGGGTAGCTGGCTCCCCTGCTGGCAGCCCTGCCTGCTCTCCCTGCTCCTCTCCTTCACCTCCCAGGTAAGTGACTTGTGCTGGCCCTGGGCCTGATGGGCACCAAGCCTGACCTATCTCCCCCCATCCAGGTTCACCTGTTGACATCCCAGCTGCTCAGATCTGTTCAACTTAGTTCAAGAAACATTCCTGAGCCCCTGCTGGTGGCCAGCCCTGGAAACACAGAAGTGGCTCAGAGGGGTCTGTGGCTGCGAACAGCCCAGGGCTAATGGGAGAGGCAGGCCCAGAGAGAAAAGATTCTGACTTAAGGCAGTGAGTGTAGGAATCGTTGTTTTCTCTTAAACTCACCGAGCTCCTGATCTGCGCCACGGTCACACAGGGTCTCCACACACCAGGCAGGAAAACGAAGAAACACACCCTGCCCTCCAGGGCTATGATTTCACTGGGGGACAGCCAGCCACACAACATGTCAGATGGGGTCACTGCTGCAGGACATGCGGGAAATTCAGGAGGAGTCCAGGTGACTACCAGGATTGAGGCCTGAGCAAGCGGAAAGATATAGGCAGCAAGATGCCTTCATATCTGAGTAAGACGCAAAGTGCACAGTCGGGAACTCAGAGGAGAAGAGCCGGGAAGGAAAGTCTCGATGAATTTAAATTTTTTTAAAGTTATAACAAGATTTAAAACACTTATTTTATTACTCAATTCAATTGCTCAGAATTCTCCATGAGCCAGTCTGTGAAACGGAACTTTTACATTTCTCTCTATCCCCGCTGCTACAGAAAGTGCAGGGGCTTCCCTCTTGGAGGTGGGTGGAATGCGCAGCCTCTTCCCTCAGAGGTTTGGAGGCATCACTTCCCTTCTTCCTTGCTTTACCTCTGCCATGGCAGTTTTAGTAACCACCTCTCTGGGTGGCTGCAGGACCATGCTAAGTCCTGATGGAAACATACTAGTTACGCAAGAAATGTTAGCTCCTCCCTCTTCTCTCTCTCTGCACTGTGGGAGACTCCCTAATGCGACTTCTAACAAAAATGTGAGCCTGGCTGAGCGCAGTAGCTCACACCTGTAATCCCAACACTTTGGGAGGCCGAGGCAGGCGGATCACCTGAGGTCAGGAGTTTGAGACCAGCCTGGCCAACATGGCGAAACCCCATCTCTACTAAAAAAATTGCAAAAATTAGCTGGGCGTGGTGGTGCATACCTATAATCCCAGCTAGTCGGGAGGCTGAGGTGGAAGGATCACTTGAACCCAGGAGGTGAGGAGGCGGAGGTTGCAGCGAGTCAAGATCGCGCCACTGCACTCCAGCCTGTGAGACAGAGTGAGACTCCGTCTCAAAAAAAAAAAAAGTGAACCTGAAAGACCCACTGTGTTTGAGGATGAGGCATCCTCCCTGCAATGCCCTGTCCCGTCACCTACTAGACTCAGGATCCACTGATGCACATGGTCTCAGACACCTAGCATATTAGGCTGTGTGTGCTCTCCCATGGGTGGGTGGGGTGCCCCAATCTGGCCCACTGGCTGTGTGCGAGCTGGCTGTGACCGCCTGAGTACCAGTCTGAATGTGTGCTCCCAGGTGTCCCCTCCTCAGGGCCCAGCCTCATTCTAGGCTTATTGAGAATGAGGGCAAGACAGTTCCAGCCCCTGAGGACATCAGGATTGAATAGGACAAGTACACGGAGGACACTCACAGAGACCCCCAGGCTGAGTGAGTGGTGTTCCAGGCCACTCCCTCTTCCTGACCCAATCACCTCCTCCCTGCTTGCTGATGGGACACTGAAGCAGATTGAGAGAGGCCCTTCCTGAGGCTGTGTTGGCACAGGAGCACTCTGCCCCACACAAACACTCACAGCCCCCAGATGTGTCATCAAGGACTGCATTCAGCTGCAAGCAAAAGAAAACCCAACTGACAGTGGTCTCCACATATCCGGGAGAGGGTATCTTAAATGCAGCAAATGCCAAAGGAGGCAGTCCCAGGAGGGTGTTCACCCTGGTTTTACTCCCCCATTCTTTGGCCACAGATGGCTGATACCCTGGCCTCTTGTTTGTCTACCGAGAGAAGGAAGCAAAGAAGGAACATGCCTAGGCCACGAAAGCAAAAGCTTTGCCCAAAACCATCAGATGGTAACTCATCACCAGACTGTGTCACCTGGCAATGTGCAGATGGACCAGAGGCTGAGGAAGGGAGGTTTCTGTCTGGGCACGTTAACACCCAAACAAAATCAGGATTCCATTCTTGAGGAAGAAGGGAGATGGATGTTAGAAGGACAACTAGCCAAGCTAGGAGTTTAAAGGTTTTATGTTATACCAGATGGGTCTGAGAGGGACTGGGAAAATATTGGAGTCTACCCAAAACACCCAGAGAGACCATTAAAGGGGCAGAGGGAAGGTTGTAGATCCGATGTGGGGCCTGCTTGCCCAACACAGTAAGACCGGGTATCCACATGGGTTCTGCCGTGGCAGAAAGGAAGGCATTTATTTGCAAGGCACAAAGCAGGACGACCAGCAGCGAATGTTTAAATTCTGACTTCCCCAATGGCTTGCCCAAAAGGTTTCTAAAGGCAAGGGTAAATCTCACGAAAGCAAAGGTGATAGGCAAAATCTAAGTCAGTACATGGGAGTTACACATTGGTTTTGGCCCAAAAAGACGGGATATCTTAAAACAACGGGCTTACATGTCACAGGTAAATTCAAAGATTTTCTGATTTATAATTAGTTAATGAAAAAGAAGCTTTGTTTACAAATTTGAGGTCATCAGACAAGAATGTTAGCTCTGGCTGGTGGGTGTGACTCCCTCCAGGCCCTTCAAGAAGAAATTTAGAACAAATAATTCAGGTCTAGAATTCAGTCTTCAGGTCCCCCTTCCCAGAGGCCTATGTGCCACAGATCTGTTTGATGGGGGTCCAGATTTCTGAAAAACAACTCTGGGACATATGTTAAGATGGTATCTTTAGTTTCTATAGGGAACCAGGCATCTGACTCTAACTTCCCTGGCGGTTGTTTTAGACTACTCTACTACTATCTTTTTACTCATCAAGTTGCTCATTTACTTCTCAGGGCTAGCTGGGTACCTGGAATTTCCCTTAAAGGAACTCAAGATTTTCCTTTATTTCCATGCTTGGGGGGCCCTAAAATGGGGTCCCTGCTCTGTCCCAGGAAAATGAAAAAATGTGTGGCTTGCTTTTATCCTACCAGGTATAGTCAGTACAACAAAATGGTTAAATAATATTCACTTAGAAACATTTTTCTGGAATCCAGTGAAGATCATCAGGCCGAAAAAATCCCCAAACCAAAAGATATGCCTGAATAGAAGCATGTGGAAACTGCCCCATTTATAGCCCTCGAATTCATTCTTCAATTTTAAGTGTTTTACTTTCACAGCCTTCAAAAGCCACGTTCCCATTTAGAGAAGAAACTCTCTTAAAGGGAGTATTTTTTTTGCCCAAGATCTCTCTCCTGATAAAGTGCCCCAGGGAGATCTTATGCCACTTTTCATCTTTCACAAGAGGTCAAGAAACTCCCAGGAAGAGCTGGCTCTCAACCATGGGCCCACGCTTTCGGTATGTGCAGCCCCCACACGTGTGAACTTGCCTGCTCCCCTGCACCAGGGGTCTCCCCTCCAGAAACAGAAGGGAGGTTTCCCCATCAACCCTGCTTTTAAAAAAAAAGGTGGGGGGCGGGGAATCACTTAGTTGGACCTGACTTTCTTTTCTTTCTTTTTTTTTTTTTTTTGACATGGAGTTTCACTCGTCACCCAGGCTGGAGTGTAATGACAGGATCTCAGCGCACTGCAACCTCTGCCTCCCAGGTTCAAGTGATTCTCCTGTCCCAGCTGCCCAAGTAGCTGGGATTACAGGCACCTGTCACCATGCCCAGCTAATTTTTATATATATTTTTTTTTAGTAGAGATGGGGTTTCACCATGTTGGCCAGGCTGGTCTCGAACTCTTGACCTCAGATGATCCGCCCATCTCGGCCTCCCAAAGTGCTGGGATTACAGGCATGAGCCACCGTGCCCAGCCCCCAGACCTGACTTTCTAAATAAATCATTCCTGTTAGCAGGCCTCAGAACCACGCCATGCACCCAGTCACCCATCTGTTCAAAGTGAAGTGCAAGAGTCCTGAGCACGGCGTCAATGCTCCGCACCTCGAAGCGTCATTCCTAACCCACACAGCCAGGAAAATGAAAATGAGGCTTCTTTCCCCATTGTACCATGAGACGGCTGAAGCTAAGGTCGGTTACCTCATCCAAGGTCATCCAGACAAGCGAAGGGAGGCAACGGTCCACATTCCTTCCACTGCCCCACACACTTCCCTACACATCACGTATGATTTCCTGGGGGGAAACAAAGAAAAATAAAAGAAAATATTGCATCTATCTTATGCTAATAAATGCCCAGTATACCACTGCATCTCCTCCTCTTCATGAATACCCAGTTCCCAATAGTAGCCCCTATTACAGCAGCTCCTAGGTTCTTGTGTCTGGTGAAGCTAGCAAAAATCTTACACACTTAAAAGATGCAGAAGCACAATCCCAAAATTTTCACTGAGAGAAAAATTGAATTTTTAGAGCCAGGTTAGTTTTTTGTTCATTTGCGTTTTGAGACATAGTCTCTACTCCACCCAGGCTAGAGTATGGTGACACAATCTCAGCTAACTGCAACCTCCGCCTCCTGGGCTCAAGCGATCCTCCCACCTAAGCCTTCCAAGCTATCCTCCCACCTAAGCCTTCCAAGCAACTACAGCTATGCACTATCACACCTGGCTAATTTTTTCTTTCTTCTTTTTTGTTTTTTTGTTTTTTTGTAGAGATGGGGCCTACAGGTCATAGGTAGATTAAAAGATTTTCTGATTTGCAATTAGTTAATGAAAAGAAGCTTTGTTTATAAATTTAGGGTCCATCAGGAAAGAATGTTAGCTCTGGCTCACATGTGTGACTCCCTCCAGGCCCTTCAAGAAGAAATTTAGAACAAAGGATGGTAGTCCAGAATTCAGTCTTCAGTTCCCCCTTATCAGAGGTCTATGTGCCACAGATCAGTTCGGTGGGGGTCTGGGTTTCTGAAAAACAACTCAGGAACGTATGTCAAGATGTTAAGTTCAGTTTCTATAGGGGAACCAAGTATCTGACTCTAACTTCCACTTCCTTGGCCTGTTGTTTTAGACTACTATTACCTTCTTGCTTATCAAGCTGCTCATTTACTTCTCAGGGCTAGCTGGGTGCTAGCTTAGGCTAGTCTTGAACTCCTGAGCTCAGGTGATCCACCTGCCTCAGCTTCCCGAAGTGCTGGGATTCCAGGTGTGAGCCACTGCACCCGGCCTAGCCAGGTTTTTTGTTTTTGGGTTTTTGTTTTTGTTTTTTTTTTTTGAGATGGAGTCTCACTCTGTTGCCCAGGCTAGAGTGCAGTGGCATGATCTCTGCTCACTGCAACCTCCACCTCCCGGGTTCAAGCAATTCTCCTGCCTTAGCCTCCCAAGTAGCTGGGACTACAGGCACCCACCACAACGCCCGGCTAATTTTTGTATTTTTAGTAGAGACAGGGCTTTACCATGTTGGCCAGGCTGGTCTTGAACCCCTGACCTCAGGGGATCTGCTCACCTTGGCCTCCCAAAGTGCTGGGATTACAGGCGTGAGCCACCACACCTGCCCACCAGGTTAGTTTTTAATTAATCAGCCCATAATAGAAGAAGGAAAGAACATACCTAAGACAGATTGGCATATTAGTCATTCAGTTCCAATGCTGATACACACATGGCTACACAACCATACACATACATGTGCACACACATCTGACACACACTCACCTACAAACACACACACACATACACATGAGCACATATCTCTAAGGCAATTCATATATTCTAAAATACTCAGAGTAATTGATCATAAAGTGCTATCTATTTATCCATCAACTGTAATCACCATTGTCGTGTCTAAAACCCCCACTGTTTCACCTAAAATGTTAAATACTGCCTTTTGTTTTCTTGCTGTCTCTTTCACCAAGTAAGTTTAATTCCCGCTGGCAAAGGAAAAAGTTACACACACATGCATGCACGCACACACACACACATACACATAGAATTTCTCCAAGAATATTGTTAGGATTATCTCACCTGAGAAGGGAGAGTGAGAATCATGAGAAAGCTGAAAATGTTAAGATTGGATTTATTGTTTTGCGGAAAGGGAGTAGCTGAAACTCCCTAGTAATGAGCAGAAGCTTTGTTTTCGGTTCTGTGATATTAACCTTTATTTCACTAAGATAAAGCTGACAAAATTAGAACCCCTCACTTGCATTACAACTACACGGGGGTGGTGGGTCCATGAGGAGCAGACCCCCTACGTGACCACAGGAGCAGCAGCAGGACAGAGGACCCTCCAGGGTCGCCAACAGGGACATCTTGGCCCAGACATCATGGACAGGGTCCCCCTTGGCTCACCCGACCAGGCAGGTAAGACTGTGGGGCCAGCAAAGCTCGTCACCTCACTCAGGGACAAAGACATCCTGCCCAAGCATGGGAGTTGGAGGTGAGGATGAGTGCCAGGTGCCTTCTTTGCCCCCTGTACCCCTAACAAATAACTTTCTAATGCAAAGACCCAGCCTTAGAGGTGCTCGTCGTGATCAGCACGTGGGGGAGTGTGGGAAGGACTGGGTTAGGACACACACAGACACACACCTAAGGCAACACTGAAAGAGCTCTCCTCCCCACCCCTGAGGCCACAACTGGGGTTCTTGCTGACAGGGGCACCCACAGCATCTAAAAGGAAACCATCGCTGCCTTCTGCTCAGCAAAGATGACCCCATCCTCCCTCCAGAAGGAGAGCGGTTTCTGGAGAGGCCCTCCCAGGACCCTGCCCTTGCTGCACTCAGGTCCCTGGTGTTTGGATTTCTGCTTCCAAATTGTTTAAGCACAGGGCCTCTCATCTTTTCCCCCAAAGTGAAAGAAACCTCAGTGGATGCTTGGAAACCACATCAGGAGGCACAGGCGATTACATGTCCCAGAGCCAACACTTGTACATTCCCAAGCAGAGACCAGCTGCTAGAATGGCTTCTAAAGAGCCTGGTATCCCTGGAGCAACAGAATCCAGTGGCACATAAAAGTAAACCAAAGGCTAGTGTTGGAGGAAGCACACCCACCACTAACAAAGGATGCACAGTGGATCCTTTAAGACGCTTAAAGGACTCTTGGCCTCCAAACCTCACTTCCACAAAAGCTTATTTTTCTTCTCACAAGGTTTGTGTGTCCCTCCCCCAGCGTTTCTAAGACCTGGCTGATGTTTACAGTTCACTGTCATGTGTCTCTCACTTTCATCTGTATGAATTTCCCCAGTGTTAAAGAATCCATTGCGCCCCCCAACCAACTCAAGCACAGAGGTCGTTCCTTCTGGAAAGAGTCCCAATCCCAGCCTTGAGGATGAGGCTGGCATCCTCCCGCTGGCCGGGTCTTCTCCGCGAATTGGGATCTGCCTCCTGGGAGGATGATACCCGTGGCTGCTGCTCTGCGTGGCTCACCTTGGCCAGGAGCTAGATTCCTGCTGGTGGGAAATGCATAGCCTACTTGCTGCACCCAAGCGCCTGGAGCTTTCATTCTGCAGCAGTTTCTTCAGGAAAAAGGTCATCCCTAAAGGTCAAAGGATACCAAGTTTATAACTTGAGTTTATAATGTATTCAAATTTTTTTTTTTTTTTTTTTGAGATGGAGTCTCACTCTGTCACACAGGCTGGAGTGCAGTGGCGCAATCTCCGGTCACTGCAAGCTCTGCTTCCCACGTTCCTGCCATTCTCCTGCCTCAGCCTCCCGAGTAGCTGGGATTACAGGCACCCGTCACCATGCCCGCCTAATTTTTGTATTTTTAGTAAAGACAGGGTTTCACCTTGTTGGCCAGGCTAGTCTCAAACTCCTGACCTCAAGTGATCCCCCAACCTCAGACTCCCAAAGTGCTGGGATTACAGGCGTGAGCCACCATGCCTGGCCTTAAACTTTTTAATTATGAAAATGACACACATGGAAAAGTGCATAAAACATATATTTATAATTCACCCAATAATAGTAAAAGTCATGCCCAACCACACCGAGGTGAAGACCTAGAGCCTGCCAAAGCCAAGGTTCTCTCCCTGACCCCTGCCTCAACCCCCATGGTGCCCACCATCTTGACTTTTACCATAGTCAATTCCTTGCTGTGTTTCATTTGTTCACCTGCATATGCATCCCTACACAACGTACGGTATTCATAACATCTGTAAATTTTTTTTTCTTTTTTTTTTTCTCTGAGATGGAGTCTCCCTTTGTCGCCCAGGCTGGAGTACAGTGGCACGATCTCGGCTCACTACTGCCTCTGCCTCCTGGGTTCAAATGATTCTCCTGCCTCAGCTTCCCGAGTAGCTGGGACTACAGGCATGCACCAACATGCCCGGCTAATTTTTGTATTTTTAGTAGAGATGGGGTTTCACCATATTGGCCAGGATGATCTCGATCTCTTGACCTCATGATCCACCCACCTCGGCCTCCCAAAGTGCTGGGATTACAGGCGTGAGCTGCCGAATAAAATCCTAAGTCCCCTGCCAACTGAATGTACCCCCCTCTTGGGCAAAAGGACCCCAGAAAAACCTTAAAAACTGAGTTCTCAGCCATGATAGGATGGGAGGTCAGACATGCCTCATTATCCCCCCTCCCTTTTACTTGTAGTATACACACAACAACTGACCAGCATTCGTGTTAAAATAGAGGCCGTATGACTGACAGAACAGGCTCTGTGGCAATAAGATGCCACATTATAAACAGGACCCGAGGCCATGTCAGGCGAGGGTTAAGTCCCACACCCCTAAGCTTTAAAGAATAAACTATTTTCTAACTGTCATAAGGTTCTTCTTTTTCTCTAGCAGCAAAACAAGCACTGGCCATGAGATAAACAATGTTAAAGCAATTTGTAGCTCACCATTAGACAATGACTAACTAAGCCCGCTGTTTCATCAGCCATAACTACAGCTTTGATTGGACAAGAAATGGATTTCAATAACTTTCTCCAGATAAGAAAACCAACCACCACAGACTGGTTCTGGCCAGTTTACAGAGGCTGCCTTCAGGTCCTGAAAAGATCTTTTCATGTATAGGGCTTAATTTTAATGGATTTAAATGTTAAGTCTCCTCCCCAGGGTGGATATAGGTCATAGGTTACATACATGTGTGTTCAATACGCATGCATCAGGACCACCTTCATGAATATTCATAGCTCCTCCTGTAAGCTGTTGAATATGTATGTTCAGCCAAACTGTTCAGCACAAAGCTCAGCCCCTCCTCTTTGAAAATGCCTGTCTGTGGGCTTTGCCAGAGGCTACACTTCCCAGCCTGAGGAATGGCCACCTTGTAGACTCTAACCCTTATAAGAAATAAAGTCTCCTCTCAACATTTATAAATTTGTGATTTTTTTTAGTTAACACATTTAAACTCTATTGAATATGAAGTATACAATCATCTTACATACAGATAATGAAAAATGATGCAGTTAAATGAAAAAACACTTTCTTGATTAGAATTTTCATTTTATGCTTATTAAAAAGAAAATTTATGATGTGTGCGCACATCGATTTTATTATATATTATGCTCGTGCATGCATTAAAAAAGAAAAATTAAGCAAAATATTCTGGTTCAAGTAGTCTGAAAATCTCTTCCTAATTGGGATCCACATTCTCCACATCACTTTTGACCCAGATTGTCTGTGTCTGCATTTCCCTTGCTGTATCATTCTCTATGCAAAAAGAGTGCTTGCCATTGAGAATTTCTTACCATAGTGCAGCTCCACTCTTTCTGGGCTTTCTTACAGACCGCTGGCAGTCTTAGCATCATAATTACCACGAAAGTCAAGACCATTTGACTTCATTAGCCAATAGGTAACATCATCTTCAAACTTCCAGAGCCTCATCGGAGCTCATATAGAGGAGCTGCTGGTGCCACTGCTGAGTGTCTGGCTGAGTCCAGCTGCACAGCTGGCCTTTTTGGCAGTTTGAGCCGCTTAAGAATTTTTAATTTCTTTTCGTGTATGTGTGAGGCATCAGCCTGAGTTAGTAAGTTACAAGTGAAGTGATAAGTATTCTTTTTAATAAGCATAAAATGAAAATTTTAATCAAGAAAGTGTCAGTTTCATTGCATCATTTTTCCTTATTGGTACATAAGATAATGGCACACTTCACAATCAATAAGGTTTTAAATGTTAAGGATACAGTATGTTTTTTAGGGACGCATATGCAGTATTTAGGAGTGCACTGTGCTACAGATCGTGAAGGTGAAGATAGCAGGTTGGCAGGGCACGGTGGCTCACACCTGTAATCCCAGCACTTTGGGAGGCCAAGGCCGGCAGATCACGAGGTCAGGAGACTGAGACCATCCTGGCTAACATGGTGAAACCCTGTCTCCACTAAAAATACAAAAACTTAGCTGGGCATGGTGGTGGGCACCTGTAGTCCCAGCTACTCGGGAGGCTGAGGAAGGAGAATGGTGTGAACCTAGGAGGCGGAGCATGCAGTGAGCCGAGATCGCGCCACTGCACTCCAGCCTAGGCAACAGAGCAAGACTCCGTCTCACAAAAAAAAGATAGCAAGTGCCTTTGGAGGTGAGGCAGGGGTGGGAGAAACAGACCCCTGGGCTTCTGTCTAGGTCTTTACCCAGGTGTGGCTGGGTATTCACTTTCACTTACACCATGAGTGATGAGTCAGACATTCAGGCAGGGCACAGCTAGGCAGTTCTCTGGCTCCCAGTGGTATCATCTGAGGTGACTGAGCAGTAATCAGTTGATGGACGAACTGGAGGTTAGATGGGCTCAGGGCTCCCAGAAAGAATATCCTAGCAACAAGCAAGTCAAGAGATTTCACCTGAGTTTTTAACCTTGGTTTCTTCTAAAAGTTCTGTTGTTTTTTTTCAATACTACTATATAACTTTATACACTTTCCTATTCCCCACAAATATTTTCAAGCTTGTCTTGATAAAACATAGTAAGATTTGTTTTATATGCTATATCTGATTATTTCAACATTTAAGTCTTTGAGAATCCATTGTTAATTTTTTTGGGAGGTGGGGTGGTGTTGCTGATTTTCATTCATGGTATCTTACTTCTTTGTACTTGACCATCTTTGACTATGTGCAGTTATTGTACTTGGGAAGTTATTAAAAGAGTAATCTTTGAAGGCCTAGATGAAGGTATCATCCTTCAGAGAAAACTGGAAATACCTCTTAGGACACCATTTCATGTCCCCACAACTTCCACCTAACCCATAATATAATCACCTTCTGCTCTCCTCTCCCTGAAGTCTGGTTCTCTTGTGAGGCCATGTTAATGAGAGCCTTCTCCTTCATCTTGAACACCTTGGGGTCAACAGGTAGAGTTGGCTATTTCCTCACTTGTCAGTGCATAGCTACTGCCATTTTTTAAATTCCTCATTAAAAAAATACTTGTTCCATCTTTATTCACAGCATTCAGCTAAGTAACACCCTACACCTCAGAGATTTCATCTCTTGAGCTATATTGGTACAAGATTTTTGCACCTGGTTCACGACGTTCCTTTGCATCCAATTTCTGTCATCACTCAGAATGACATCAATATGTTTTATTACATCCACTTTAAATTCAACGTGACCATAGATGAGTCCTGCAAATCTGCACCCTCTCCTCCTGTATTTCCAGTAATAGTGAATGTGCGAATGTCTCAGCTACTCACCTAATCACCCAACCCAGAGGCCCAGACACTTTCCTAGACAACTCTGCCTTCCAGTGAGCACCAAGTGCTTCCTTAATATTTTTTCCAACTACATCTGTTCCTGTCCCCACTGCCCCTGCCTACATTCAGCCTCACTAATCCCCAGGCTTGGATGCTGATAAATGACTTGAGTGGCAACTACAAAACAGCTAATGAAGCTCCCCACATCCTCCCACCAGGGCCTCCACAGAGCTGGTATGAACTACAGAAAGGGGCAGTTACTTTCCCCATGACGCTGTCATTCCCATTCGTATTGCAAAGCCTCTATTTTTTAATTTGTCCCACAGCATGACAGACCCCAAACGCACATTTACTACTGGTATAGATACACATATTAAGACCAGTGGTGACTGTTACAGCTCACATAAAAGCTGAGTTCCATTGCTTGGGCTGACTTTATGTGTGGGGGGAATGCAAGCCTCTAGAATCCCATGAGAACTGACTTCTATATTGGGTGCTTTTCTGTCTCCTCCTGTGTCTCTCACATAAGACCCATCAATGAATGCTATTAAGTTAACATGGGAATAAGACTATATGATGAATCAGATGGAGGCCATGCATCTTCATTGAGGGCTGCGAGGTGGTTGTGCTGCTGTCCAGTCAGGATCTGGCAACAGAGTCACTGGGCTCAAAGTTCACACCTTCCTAGAATCCCACTAGGGTCAGCCAGTAACGCTTACAGAGCACTGACAAGTGCTGTGTCATAGGAACTTCAAAAAGCAGCAGCAACAGGCCAGGTGTGGTGGCTCACACCTGTAATCCCAGCACTTTGGGAGGCCAAGGTGGGTGGATCACTTGAGGTCAGGAGTTCAAGACCAGCCTGACCAACGTGGTGAAACCCTGTCTCTACTACAAATACAAAAATTAGCCGGGCATGATGGTGCACACCTGTAATCCTAGCTTGGGAGGCTAAGGCAGAAGAATCGCTTGAACCCGGGAGGTGGAGGTTGCAGTAAGCGCCATTGTACTCCAGCCTGGGCAACAGTTAGACTCTGTCTCAAAAAAAAAAACAAAAAAACACACACACAAAAAAACAAAAAAAAACACACAAAAAAAAACAAAAACAAAAAAAACAAAGCAGCAGCAACAGCACAAGGCCCAAACAATTACATCCCCGAGCCAAGGCCTGCACCTTCCCAAGCAGAGACCCAATGTTGGAATGACTTCTAAACAGCCTGGCATCCCTGGAGCAACAGAATCCAGTGGTACATGAAAGCCAACCAAAGGCTAGTGTTTGAGGAAGCATACCCATCACTAACAGCACCCTTGCTCTCCTTACAGAAAAGGGAGAAGAGATGACCAGCTAGGAACTGACTCCAAGTACAGGCAGGAAAACAATGGCTACTTAAGGATCTGAAGGCTTTTTTAGCTTCTCCTAGCTATTGCAAAAATGCACCTAGCGATGCTTCATGTAGCACCACCATGAGTGGCTTGCCTCTCAGAAGAGACAGGGACCCGTTGCCTGCGATGCACACCAACCTCAAAAGGGTGGAGCTATTTCTTCGCAGTGACAGAGCTGTTGCTACATGGAGCTATTGCTTCATTTGTAAAAGAGGTGGCTTTGGGGACAGAACTATTTCCCATCCATCAGCCAATAACAAATATTCCAAATACTTGACCTCGGTCTAACGATGTTGGAAATTATCTAAAGGAGCTTTATGCCCTTTAGAAGCTAGAATTTTCGTAAAGCTAATATATCTTGTTTTTGTTTTGGGGACAGGGTCTCACTCTGTCACCCATACTAGAGTGCAGTGGTGCGAGCTCGGCTCACTGTAACCTCCACCTCCCAGGCTCAAGTGATCCTCCCACCTCAGCCTCTCAAGTAACTGGGACTACAGGCACCCACCACCAGGCCTGGCTCATTTTTATAAGTTTTTGTAGAGATAGGGTTTCACCATGTTGCCCAAGCTGGTCTCGAACTCTAAGCTCAAGCAATCTGCCCACCTCAGCCTCCCAAAGTGCTGGTTTTGCAGGCATGAGTCACCATGTCTGGCCTAATATATCTTGTTAGCACATGAGGTGTTACCTATCAATAAATCATCCATATATATCCATATATGGACTCCTGAGGTGGGGGAAGTTTCTTTAAGTTCTTTTGTAAATGCCTAGAGATTATAGTTGGCAAATCTCTGAATCCCTGGGGGATGCATTGCCACCAATATGGAAAGCCTTCATAGGTAAACACAAAGAGATACCTTGGTTCCTCTGCTGAAGGTATAGAAAAGAAAGCTCAACATAAGTCTATTACTAAAATTAGTTAGGTCACACAATAGGAGGCTAAGAGGTTGAGTACTACAACTGTCAGACATACCAAAAATATATTTCTATCAGATTTTGTAAAAATATGTAAGCAAGCTAAACTTCTTTGTCAGTTTCCCTTCCTTTTTCATAGGTAATATAGGAAGACTATTACAAGGCAAATGTCCTTTCTTTATGATTCTCTTTCTAGTTCTCTAATTACAGGTTCAATTCCCCGTATTTGAGCTAGGGAGAGGATATAGCTTTACACATGACCATAATTTTTCTTTGGTGTAAGCTACGACAGTAGGGTCAATCAAATGATAGACTTAATGAGTCAATGTGTTTAAGAAAGACTTCAGCAAACAAGGCCTCTTGTCTGACCGAAGATGGCTACACATCCTCCAATTTGCCCAGTGGAAAGGCTCACTCAAGGTGTCCCATCCTTGTCACCAAACTTGTGGGGGCAGAAAGGAAACCAACACCCAAAGGAACATGCCAATTCAAAAAATAGAGAATGATTAGATAATTCTATTATTTAGAAAAAACCTGAATGCATTCAGGTAGTCAGCAAGTGTCTACACAGCTATGGTAGATTTTTAGCTCTATTGTTATGGAATTAAAGCTACAGTTACTATCCCTCATTCCGTTTTTAGTAAACAGCCAGAAGCTATTCAATTTGCATCAGTAGTTACGTTGAGTTTACCCTGATGGCCTGATTTTTATAATTCTTTATCAGGCTTACCCTGATGTTCTGCTATTATCATTCGTTACCACTACCTCCTGTAACCGCCCAAAAGTGTCCCCACACACACGAGGGCATGTTCAGTTTCCCACACTCCACCTCAACAACTGGCACCAGAATCGGCCCAGTTGCTCAAGCCAAAATCTCAGGAGTCATCCTGGTTTTCTCTCTTGCCACCCTGTGGCCCCACATCCAATCCATCAGCAAAAAACAGCTGGGAGCTGGAAAGGCAAGACTCTCTTCCTGTGAGTCCTTCACACCGCCTGCACCTGTCTAAGCCACCATTCCACTCCCTTTCCCACCTACAGCCTGGTGATATCTCCCTTCTCCTCTGCCTTCCCTCTTTGCAGCTCAATCTTTCTTTCCCTAGGTTATCAATTGTATAATAAAGATTATAAAATCACTCTATCCCAATAAATATAGCTTCTATCAGTCTTAATGACTGAAGCACCGCAGAATTCTCGGTTTGGAAGGGGGTTTTGCTGCTTAAAAAGTTTCAAAATCACTGCCAGAGGGAACCAGCAGCCCTTTTGTTGATAGCAGAGCCAGCTCCTCTCGCACGTGAATAAACAACCATAAATGAGACACGGCACATTTGAGCAGTCTTTTAAAATCATTTAAGCTTTAAAAATTATTTAAGACACGTTTGTTTTAAAAAAGCAATTCAAATCAAGCATTTGCAACATACCTACGATACCTCTATGGAGACTTAGCATCTACAAGACCCAGTTTGACAACTGCCAGCGCCAGGGAATAAGTGAAGTTTCTCAGCCCAAGTCACACAAGGCCCTAGCCAACCCACCTCTGCCTGCTCCCTGGGGCTCTCCTCTACCCCAGCCCTCTCTCCCTAAAGCCAGCGAGAGGCTCCGCGATTGTCCCCCCCAAATCCTTTCCCCCTTTTCGGGAATAGCAAGCGAGTCCAAGAGATGAGGTCACGTGATGCCGTCCGACCAATCTGGTGTGAGCAGAGGCCCCCATTCTTCCGGGGAGAGGGGCGGGGGCGGGGCCGGGCCGGGAGCGGAAGGAGCAGGGGTGGACAGAACAGCCTGGGGAGGGGGCGGGGACAGGGCGAAGCAGGGAGGGGAGGGGGCGGGAACAGGGCCAGGTGGGGCGGGCGCGCGTGTGGGGGGGCGGGCGCGCGTGTCGGGGGCGGGCGCGCGTGTGGGGGGGCGGGCGCGCGTGTCGGGGGGCGGGCGCGGGGGCGGGCACAGCAGGCGCAGGGTCTTTCCCACATGCTGGGCTGCAGAGTGAGGAAAACCCATCCCGGAGGAAGCTGGCGGTTAGGCTGGCTGAAGGCATTCTGCATGATGAACACAACAGTTCTCAAAAAAGTAATGATGTCATACCAGAGCAGCAGGAGGGGGTGGTCTGTGACCATGTATGCTTGATAAATTCTGGATTTAAGCAAAGTAGGCCGGCTTCTTTGTCAATAGACGTATTGGGTTATTCCCGGGGGGGCTGCAGCCGGAGCACCTCCCACTCCTTCGCAGGGGTTATTTCTGAAGACCCCCTCTTGGAGGAGCTCTGCTAGGGCCCTGCGTGCACCTGCTGCCCTGGCATCCTGGCCAGCAGCTCCGCCAGGCTCTAGTGTGTATGGCCTGGGCTACCTCCCGGTACTGTCGCCGCAGGCCTTGGGACCCGTTCCCGCCGCGAGGCTCCCGAGGTAGCCCCGGCCTCCGGTTCTTCTCAGATAGCCCCGTCGTCCAGCCCCAGAAGCGGGCACTAATGCCTTCCCTGAACGCTGAAAGTTGTTGAATGGATATGGACAATGATTAGAATCATGTAGAAAACATTAAGTGATGGTCAGTATGTTCTGTTTGGGAAATACTGAAATGTGCAACACAAGCTAGAAATAACAACATGCAGAACAGCACAACTTTGTAAGACCCGCGCTGAAGGAGGCAGCATTTGTGTGAGAGCGCCCGGCGCTGCCCAGAAGAGCTGGAACGCCCAAGGAAGGCCGCTGCTCAGCGCAGGACCCCTGGGCTCCCGGAAACGGGATAGCGTTGCTTATCTTTAAGGTAGGCTTGGGAAATACCTTGTTTCTCCGTAGTTTTGTGGGTGTATATACAGATACTCCTTGACTTACCATGGGGGTTACATCCCAGTAAACCCATCGTAAGTTGAAAATACCATAGTCAAAGATGCATTTAATACACTTGACCTACCAAACATCATAGCTTAGTGTAGCCTGCTTTTAACGTGCTCAGAGTTAGGCAAAATCCTACTTTATAGTTAAGTGTTGAATATCTCATGTCATTTATTGAATACTGTACTGAGAGTGAAAAAGAGAATGGTTGTGTGGGTACTCAAAGTAGAGTTTATATTGAGTGTGTATCACTATCACACCAGTAAGAAGTCAAAACATCATACGTCGAACCATCCTAAATTGGAAATTTGTGTGTGTGTCTGTGTGTGTGTGTGTGTGTGTGTGTGTGTGGTTTTTAACCGATAGGCAAGAGACACTTCCTAATGGCCTGTTTAATGACTCCAAATTACCTTGCGTCTCTTCATTGAGAAGGTGATTTAGTTTTCCCTAGGTGGTGAGGCACTATTTAAAAATTAATTTAAGCAACAACTCCAATAAACATGGGTTCATCTTTCAGTCTCTTATTAATCATATTCCAGAAAGAATTGAAGTTCTCTACCTGAGGCGTTTTGAAATTTTTTTCAATGTGGTTTTATGATAGTTATTTGAAATTACTTGACAGAGAGAAGACCATTTGTTATAGTTTGTGTACCAAGAGAAGTTCCAAGTGTGCCCCTGTTAAATTCCTTGAAAAGTTTTCACCTCTTGGGACAGACACTTAAAAGAAACTGAATTGGGCCCTGGTCAATAATCAATTTAAAAAGCTCTAGTAACTGAGAAAGTAAAATTCCATTTGCTCGTATGCCTGTCTTGCAAAGATCTATCAAAACTCCATGTTCTATTGCCTTTCTTTGGAATGAGAGCTGGAGCAGCTGACAGGGAAATCAATTGGTCCCCACCCTATTAATGCTTAATTAACATCGAGCTTGCTAGCATGTGAGCGCTCCCATAGGAAGGAGGCCTTGTATCAAGAGGAGGGAGCTGTGAGCACTGGCTGCTGGGGGGCTTTTGCAAGCGGCCCCCATGGATGGAGCCCAAAGGTGGAACACAGTTGCCAGTACTTTCTGGCTGACCGTGACCCCTGCAGTGTCAGGATGAGCCATATCACACCACCAGTGTCACACCAGAAGGGCACGAGGCAGCAATTCATGTGTGGTTGCACCTGCCCACCTCCCCGAGGTGGTCAAGGAAGGGGCAACATCAGAGGACCACCACTGTGAAGCCTCTGAGAAGCCATTTTTACTTCCTGCCACTGCAAAGCTCAGAATTGTGAGAGAGCCAGAAAAACTGCTGTCACCGCACACCCCATCAGAAGTGACCATAAGGGTGTTGTCTCTGCTCCAGGACAGGAGGCCCCCACGATGTGGTTGCAATAAGTGGGTGGTCCCTATGGTTGATGGTCCCTAAGTGGTGAGGTACTATTTAAAAATTAGTTAAAGCGATAACTCCAATTAAAGTGGATTCATTTTCAGCCTCTTATTATATTCTTATTGAATACAATTTATTATTTCAATGTGATTCAATATTTCAACAATGGTAGTGTCTCACCAACCACAACATGGTTGAGCCCCTTCTGGAGGGACCTTAAGGGTGTTACCATAACCAGTGTCCCATTCCAGCTGATTGGGCCCCATCCTCAGTCCCTGCTCAAGGAGGCAACACGGCTATTTGTTGCCCAGGAGAAGCAGCTTTGTGCACCTGAGTGGGCATTATCCCCAAAAGTGGCCCATAAAGTCAGCGCCCCTGACCCCCGGCCCCGTGATGGTGAGCTCCTAAGGGCGTGAGACTCTCATGCCACTGGAGGGCTTGAACAGAGGCTTAGCTGAGTGGGCCTTTTCTGTGGCAACAAAGGGCCAGAGAAGGGCCATCAGGCTTGGAGAGGGCTTGCTTACATTAGACAGCTGAGATGAGACCAAAGGAAGTGGGGGGTGCACACAGCCCTGACACTGTGGGCCTTTGCCTGCATGCAGTCTCTGCCCTGCATGGGACAGCAGCTTCCTCCACCTACAATTCCTGCAAGTCTCCCATTCTCATGGGGTGCTTCCTTTGGCTTTTTGCTTTTAGGTTTGTTTTGTTTTGTTTTGTTTTAATTTTAAGAAAAACCTGTTCAGAGCATGGGTTAATTTGCTAAAGCAATCAGGATGATTCCTTCTGAGATTCAGGGTAGAGGGGGTCATAGAAATCATGGGCCGTTCAGAGGCAAGAGGACAGGAAGCGGGCACCATGAGAGATGGAGGGAGGGGCTCATCCTGAACATGTTCCAGCCCCAGCCCACAACATTCCTGCAAAACCCCTCCTGGAATAGGGGCCACCCTGAGCCTCTGTTCCTTGCCCCACATAAGCTCAACCTTTACCAGAAGGACCACCAGATCCACGTTTGCCGGAGGGGGAGACCTACTGTTGGCTTGGACTCCAAGCAGGATGGAGGTCTTCCTGCCAACAATGCCCACGGCACAGAAAGCAGAGATGGCGGGGCCAGGTCATGATGCTGAGGGGACAGAGATCCTACAGTGTTCACTGTGCAGAGGGCATGGAGCTCCAATGAGGACTGGGCCCCTAGAGGCCACGCAGGGGCAGGTGCCAAAGTAAAGAACGCTAAGACATAGGTGGTCCTGCAGTGGGAAGCTGGCATCCAGCACCTCCACCAGGTAGGGTGTGGGGCATGAAAGAACCCAAGGAGCCAATGCAAGGACAAAGTCAATTCCAAACAGGCCACAACTACTCCTCTTGTTCCATGTTCTGATTTCCCAGGAATGGTCCAAGTTAACATCTGTCTTCCCAGTGTGATTTCATTTGCAGAATTGTCCTGGTTAAGATGATTAATCATATGATCTCTCTATTTAAGGGAGATTGGCAGGTTCTTCATAGGGAAGATATTAGTTACTTATTGCTGCCTAAATAATTATCCCAAAATACCACAGCTTAAGTTCAGGCGTGGCTTAGCTGGGCAGCTTAAGTTCAAGGTGCCTCATGAGATCACAGTGACACTATCAGTCTCACTGAAGGCTCAGCTGTGGCAGAGGGTAGGGACCACTTCCACGGGGTACTGCCATGGACTGCTGGACTGAGGGCCTCAGCTTTATACCATGGCAGTGGGCCTCTACACTTTGAGCCACTTTGGTGCCCTAGCACAGTGATCAGGAAGGGAGAGGGAGAACAGGAGAGCCCAAGACAGCCACAGTCTACTTATTACCCAATCTTGGGAGGGACATCCCATCATTTTGCCATATTCCATTCACTGGATGTGAGTCTCTAAGTCCAACCCACACTCAAAGGGAGGAGATTACATGAGGGCCGAGAAGGTGGGGTCATTGGGGGGTGTGTTAGAAACCACCAACCACCGTGAGTAAATGGGCTCTGGGCTCAGAACTTACCCATGGCAGTGCTTTGTGCCATACTGCACTGATCCCCCTTGATGCTTCTCACTCATTTCTGCTCCAGCTCGTTGCTGTTCCTCCTAGAGTTGCAGATTCAAGGGGCCTCACCAGTGACTGTGATGACTGTAAAACCCAGGCTTGTGGGTGCTATCTGGACACCAAGGAGACAGAGGCACATGGCACCACCCAGGACAAGCACTGAAGTTGGACTACCAGGTTCAAATCCCAGCTCCCCACCTTTAACTGTGTGACCGGGCCTTGGGGAAGTTATTTCAATTTTCTCTGCCCCCTGTCTATCAAGCATGGTGGTTGATAACACCTATTTTTCAGAACCACAGTGAGAATTGTGGAGATGCTCTATTTGAGATGTACAGGGTTCTCAGCTTACAGGCAGCACTCAGCGAATGTTAATTATCATTATCCAAAACTGGGATCCCCAGCAGGAGCAGCCCCAGCGCTCCCATGAGGCTTGGTTCGACCTGAATGATTGACACTGCCAAGAGCAACATCACCTTCCCTCTCCAAGCCTGATGGCCCCTTCTCTGGGTCTCCGTCATGACAGAAGTGGCCCAGCCAGCTAACCCTCTGTCCAGGCCCTCCAGTGGCATGAGAGGTCCACTTTCCTGAGATGAGCCTCCAGCCATCTGGAACTAGCCTGTTCCTCCCTCCCTCTGTTCCTGCCCTCCCGAAGCCCACAGTCCCTCAGACCCGCAGTTTGGTCCCAGCTCCCTCACTGCACCCCACCTGATGCCATCTCTCCCAGCCATGCAGAGCAGAGCCCTGATGCCTGACCCAGAGCTGATGTTCCTTTCCGGGATGATATGAAGCATCAGAGAGGATGTTCCAGCCCTGGGGAAGCCCAGCATGATTGGTTCTTCCTCTAACAACATTTACACACTTGACATCATCCACTTAACATTTTATCGGTAAAGGAGCTATGGCAACATGAGCTCACCTGACTGAGAAGGAAACTGATTCCACTTATAAAAGGGAACTTGTAACAGCAACATGTGTTCCAAACCCAGGAGCACCTGGGCCTAAATCCTGCTCTCCTTCTTACTCCAGGCATAAGGAAGCCTGGCTGTTGCCAGCCTCTCACCTGCAGAAGATGCACCTCATAGCACCCTGGACAGGTGAACCAAGACACATCACTGAAGTGCCAATACATGCACCCCTGAGGGCCCAAAGCCAACCTGAGGGCTCTGCCTGCCTGGCTCCCTGCACCCGAGTCCCCAGAAACGTGCTCACAGCACAGGGAGCTCCAGAGCCCAAGCCTCGGAGTGTTGGAAAACAACATCAACATGAGAAATGGGTGCTAGGAGTACCTTTGTAGGTGACATTAAAATGCTTACATTAGATAGCAGAGATGAGACCAAAGAAACTGGGGGGAGGGGGTGCCCCCAGCCCTGACACTGTGGGCCTTTGCCTGTATGCAGCCTTTGCCCTGCAAGGGACAGCAGCTTCCTCTGCCTATAATACCTGCAAGCCTCCCATTCTCATGGAGTGCTTCCTTTTGGCTTTTTGCTTTTAGGTTTCTTTTGTTTGTTTTTAATTTTAAGAATAACCTGTTTGGAGAGCTGGGCATGGGGGCTTGTTCCTATAGTACCAGCTTCTCAGAAGGCTGAGGCAGAAGGATCACTTAAGCCTAAGAGTTTGAGACCAGCTCTCATATAGTGAGACCTTGTCTCTAAAGAAAAGAAAGAAAAAGAACCTGTTTGGACACACAAAATCTAACTTTTCCCCCTCTCTTCCTGATCCCTTTCCAGCAGTGCTTTGGGGCTGAGCAGTAAAATCCAAAAGAGATTCAGTTGGGTAAAATACTAAAATCTAGCCAGGCACAGTGGCTTGCACCTGTAACCCCAGCACTTTGGGAGGCTAAGGCGGGAGGATCACTTGAACCCAGGAGTTTGAGACCAGCCTGGGCAAAATAGTGAGACCGTGTCTCTATAAAAAAATTTAAAAATTAGCAAGGCATGGTAGCATGCACCTGTAGTCCCAGCTACCTGGGAGGCTGAGGTGAGAGGATCGCTTCAGCCTGAGAGGTCAAGGCTGCAGTGAGCTGTGGTTATGCCTCTGCACTCTAGCCTGGGAGACAGAGCAAGACCCCGTCTCAGGAAGAAAAAAAAAAGTCTGCTCTCCCTGCAAATCGCGTGTGCTGGTGATGAGGGAGGCATGTGCAGTTCGTGAAAAAATAGGGTTTCTGATTTTCCACTCCTCAGGTACAGGGTGGGTGGGCCTGGGACTCCTGGTGAAGCCCTCTACAGGCAGGGTCATATCCTACCCTCAGGCTGGTGGGCAGGGCACACTCCACCCTCAGGCTGGTGGGCAGGGCACACTCCACCCTCAGGCTGGTGGGCAGGGTGGCCCTCAGTCTCAGGATGGTGGATGGGGGCAGACCCCCACCATTAGGCAGCGAACATGTGGGAAGACAGAAGAAAGAGGAAGGAAAGGCACTGAACATGTCCACCAGGGTATTGCCCAGGCCAGCATATTTGCAGGGTTAGTTTGTCCCCTCTGTCAGGAGGGGTCTTCAGCCCCTGGGGAAGTAAGGTGCCTAAGCTCTCACAGCTGATAAGTGGCAGTTCTTGCAGATGAGTCTGAGCTAGGTGCTAATGCCTCAGTGCTCATTTTTCCAGGCTCTGCACCACCAAGACCTTACTCAGGTGTGTCCAGGCCAGCATTTCCCAAGGGCATCTAGAGATCACTGTGATCACTGGTTGTTGATGTTCATTTCCCCCACTAGTGTCTAAGCCATATGAAATTCATATTATTTCTCAAATCTGGCTCTCCCACCTACTGCCTGTGTGACTGCGGGGACATCCCAGAGCCTCTCCAAGCCTCTTTTCTTATCTATAAAATGAGATGGTAATAATAACATTGACCTCAGCCGGGCTCGGTGGCTCACGCCTGTAATCCCAGCACTTTGGGAGGCTGAGGAGGTTGGATCACCTGAGATCAGGAGTTCCGAGACCAGTCTGGCCATATGGTGAAACCCCTTTTCTACTAAAAATACAAAAAATTAGCCAGACGTGGTGGCAGGCATCTGTAATCCCAGCTACTCCAGAGGCTGAGGCAGAAGAATCACTTGAACCCGGGAGGCAGAGGTTGCAGTGAGCCAAGGTCGCACCACTGCACTCCAGCCTGGGTGACAAGACTCCATGACCTCACAAGGCTGTTGTGAGCATTAAAGGTCTCCATCCACGTAAAGCACTTATAAAACTGTCAAGCCCATAATAAGTACTCAATAAATGTCAGCTGTTAATATTGTTATCTGAAAATTCTGCCTCTAACCTGAGTTCTTAATTGGGTTTACTTTTAAAGGGATCAAATCTAGTTCTCCTTGAGCACTTCATATACAAAGAATGCAGAATGAAAGGGCCCATGAGAACACGTGGTCAAACCTTTTCCTCTGGAGGACAAAGGTGCTTGACTGAAGCCACACAGCCAGTTGTCCACTCTCTGGGCTCCCAGGAACTTGCAAGCCTTACTGCCTGGAGCATCCTTTCCCTGAGAAGGACACAGGCAGCTCTCTTAGCAGTGTGTAGAATTTATTACTTTTTTGTTTTACTTGGTTTGTTTAGGGTTTATATCTTTTCTCTTCTTACTCCAGACAAAAGTTGCTTGAGAAGGCAGAAAAGAGATGGAGAAAGTTGGGGCCAACCAGTCCGAGCTTCTGCCAGTTCAGTCCCAGGCAGACAGTTGTTGGCCTGGATAGGGAAGCCAGCAGCCATAGAGCCCTCAGAAGCAGCAAGAAGTAAGAGAAGCGTGAGGGCTTCGGGGTTTGGTAGACCTAGGCACAGACCCTCCAGCGCATGTGAGCTGTGTGATTATGGCACCATCCAGAGGCTGCCTGGGGTTTTACTCCCCAGGGTTCCTCATACCCTCTGGCCTGGCTGTTAGCCCCACAACTGAGGAAAGCATTGTCACGGGTACCAGGAGTTAAATTCTTGGCTTTTACATTTTGGAAGTTTAAGCTCAGGGAAGGAACAAGAGATTTGGAAGATATGAGAAAGACTAGAGCAAATTCTCTCTTCTCTCCCTGCAATAGAAATTATTTCCTAAACTGAGGAAAGAGACGAAACCAGAGGAAAAAAAGAAGAGAAAATTTAAGCAATAAGAAAATGTAATTTTTAAAAAATATATGACATTTGTTAGAGATAAAACATGTAAGTGTTGACAAAGAAGAGTCAGACTCTAAAATATTCGAAGAGATTTATTCTGAGCCAAATATGAGTGACCAATGACCTGTGACACAGCCCTCAGGAGATCTGAGAACATGTGTCCAAAGTGGTTGGATTACATCTTGGTTTTATACAATTTAGAGAGACAAAAGACATCAATCAGTACATGTAAGATGTACACTGTTCGGTCCAGAAATGTGGAACAACTCAAAGCAAGGGCTTCCGGGTCATAGGCAGATTTAAAGGTTTTCTGATTGGCAATTGGTTGAGTTATTATCTAAAGACCTGGAATCAATAGAAAGGAATGTCTGTCTTGTGATAAGGGGTTGTGGAGATCAAAGTTTTATCATGCACATGAAGCCACCAGGTAGGAGGCTTCAGAAAGAATAGACTGTAGCTGTTTCTTTCAAATGTTAAAAGCCTGGCCAGGCACGGTGGGTCATGCCCATAATCCTAACACTTTGGGAGGCCAAGGCGGGTGGATCATCTGAGGTCAGGAGTTTGAGACCAGCCTGGCCAGCATGGTGAAACCTCGTCTCTACTAAAAATACAAAACTTAGCCAGGTGTGGTGGTGCACACCTGTAATCCCAACTACTCAGGAGGCTGAGGAAGAAGAATTACCTGAACCCAGGAAGTGGAGGTTGCAGTGAGCAGAGATGGCACCACTGCACTCCAGCCTGTGTGACAGGAACAAGACTCCATCTCAAAAAAAAAAAAAAAAGCATCTGTTTTATCAATCTTAAGATCTCTGTTTTAATGTTAATGCTGGTGAGTTGGGCCTGAATTCCAAAATGGATGAGGGTATAATGAGGCATCTCCAACTCACCATTCCCATCATGGCCTGAACTAGTTTTTCAGGTTAACTTTGGAGTGCCGTTGGCCAAGACAAGGGGTCCACTTAGATGGTTGGGGGTCTTAGAATTTTATTTTTGGTTTATATAAGGTACGTAGGAATTAACCTAAAACATAATATTCAAGACATATATAAAGAAAATTACTAAAAATGGTGAGATAAAATAATGAACTAAATGGAGAACTATACCAAGTTCATGAATAGAAAGACTCACTATTATAGAGGTCAGTCCTGTCCAAACTGAACTATAGATTCCATAAGTCACAATCAAAATTCCAATTGGATTTTGAAGGAATTTGACAAGTTGGTTCTAAAACTTAGAGGAGGAAAAGCCAAAGAATTCATAAAGACTTTTGCACAACCAGGCAGCTACACAGCTTCACGCCACCAGCCATCCCCTCCCCCACTTCCTTCCATGGTAGGCACTCATTCCTTACTCACCTGGATCAGCAGCCTCTCAGGTCACAACACACTCTCAGGCCCCATGCACCTGTCCTTGCAACTATCTCTCCTATGGGGCCCTCCATTGAACATGCCCTCTAAGCCTTGGCTGTGGAGGGTGAAGGATCTCACTTCACTCCATCTCTGGGCAGGCTGTCTGTAGGCCAGGCACACTCATCCTGAAGGAGCTCACAATGTGGGAGCACATCACCACACCTAGAGTAGGGAGGTGAATGGCAAGAGCACAGGCTGAACACAGCCCCAGGAAATGCTCCTGGGGACAGGGCCAGCCCAAGGAGGAGGTTATCCTAAGAGCAGTGGGGGGTCCAGGGAAGGATTTTCAGGAAGGTGGTGATGGGTCAAATGTTTAAAGATGCTAGGCATGGAAGGCTCACTGTCGTCATCAGCAGTAGAAGCAGGCAGGTGTCTGGGACCATGCATAGCCAGTAGGACAGACATGGGCATCTGCAGGCCCTCTGAATGCCCCCTTGGCACCAGGAGATCTGTGGATGAGACCAACAGGCAGCCAGACCCTAGGTAGGCATGCCAAGGCACAGCCCCAGCCCACCCAGGAGGAAGCCCCGGGAGGAGGCTCTTCCCTCCACCTGGACAGAGTGGGTGTGGCTCTGCTACTGTTCTGTTGACAAGCGCCTCTCAAATTTGAAAGGGCAGAGGCTGGAGAAATAAATTATACAGAATATCACCATGTGCTCCCAGATTGGAAGCATTCAGAGGTTGCTAATCATAATAAATTAATGTAAAAAAAAATCTCAGTGGGGTCCTATAGGCTGCTTCAAACACAGCCTTGTCCTCAGTGTGGGTGCCTGAGTTTTCCCGTGGCTGTGACATCCAAGTGATGTTTAGCAATAATATGCAATGTAAGATTTTGTTTATGTAGAGGGAATTTTGTTTCAGAGGCCTGAATACTCCCTTGACCCCACAGCAGGGCCCATGGGGCTCCGTTCACATAGGGTGAAGCCAGCATCCTGTGTGCACAACCAGCAAAACACACTCAGACCTGTGGACAACTCGCCTCCTGATTCCCAGAGACAATTCCAGGAGACCTGGCAGCCCTCCAGGCATGGTTGGTGATGGTGTGCATGGAAGCTTCTGAGCCCATGAAGAGTGATAGAGGGGGGTCTGGCCAATCTGATCCCACACCCAGCTTCAGTGATCAATGAGTGCTTGACCTCTCTGGGTCTGTGACTCTCTGCATTTCAGGGATGTGCCTATGTACCTCCCAGGGCCGTTGTGAGGACTCAATGTCGATGTTGCTGGAAGCAGCTGCCTGAGACATGCTCAGCAAAGGTCCACACTGCCTCCTTCCTTCCACTCCCCACTGCTTTGACACACTTAGCACATCTCGTTCCTCTGAGTGGTCCCAGGAAGATACCCAGAGCTGTGGGGGCTGTTCTTGCAGGGCAGGCTCTGATCCTTGTCATCACTGTCTCCAGAGGAGCTCAAGCACTGGGTGAAGGCTAGGGTGAAGCTGATCTCACCCCATCTCCTCAGTCCTCACACACAAGTCAGTTGGACATGCAGATTCCACAGGCCTGATGTCATCTAACAAGCTGAAGTTTCCCCTGGGATTCAGCAATCCAAGGCTCTTCCTGAACAAAGCCCTCCCATTCAGTCTATAACACTCTGCCTCTGTCCTCTCAAACTTTAGGTCCTTCTCACATTCAAAATACATTCATTTTATCCCGATAGCCCCAAAAGTCTTAGCTTGTTCCAGCATCAATGTCAGGGTCCAAAATCTCATCTAAATGTCATCTAAATCAGATATGGGTGAGACTGAAGGTGCAATTGATCCTGAGGGAAAATTCCTCTTCAGCCATGAACCTGTGAAACGAGACAAGTTATGTGCTTCCAAAATACAATAGTAGGGCAGGCAGAAGATAGACATTCCCATTCCCAAAGGGAAGAAAAGAAAAGAAGGAAGGGTGACAGGTCCCAGGCAAGTCCAAAACCTAGCAAGGCAAGTATCATTAGATCTTAAGGCTCAAGAATCATCTTATTCAGCTGGATTCTCTGCCCTCCAGACCTCCTGGGACAGCAGTCCTGCCTCTGCAGCTCTGCCATTTGGGGATCATGCCTCCCAGACTCTACAGGGTGGCGCCAAGGCTTTGGTCAGAGGCCACCTGGCCTATTCAAACTGAACTGGTGGTGTCCCTGTGATCTCTGAATCACCTTCAGGTTCTGTCTTCCCCTTCCTTGAAGAAGAGTGCACATGCGTAGCCAAATCACTCTATGGTCTGGTCCAGTCAGATCTAAGAATTCTGACAGCCTTCCATCACTTCATCTATTTTTTTCTGCCCCCTTTAGTTCAAATTAGCAGCGTCTCTGCTGGTATAATTCCATCTCTATTCCTGGCTTCCACTGAGATGGCTGAAGAAGTCCATGAGTCACACCCGTGATTTCTTTATCAAATGGCTGTACAGCCACACCTGTAGTGTTTCCTTCAGAACAAGATTTCTCACTTTTTGAAATACAGAGAGACTGAGAACTTCTCAGATATTCAAGTTCTGGTTCTTTTTTGTTTAAGAGTTTCTTCTTCAATTCCTCTCTCTTCTTTTGCATTTTACTATAAGCAGTCAGGAGGAACCAAGCTGCTCCTTCAGCTCTATGCTTAGAAATCTCCTTGGCTAGATATCCAACTCCATCACTCACAAGCTCCGTCTTCTACAAAACACTAGAACACAGTTCAGCCAAGCTCTGTGCCACGTTATAACCAGAATCACTATTCTTCCAATTTGCAATAACATGTTCCTCATTTCCAACTGAGACATCACCAGAATCACCCTAAATGTCCATATTTCTAGCACATACCTCAAAACTCTTCCAGCCTCTACCCATTACCCAGTTCCAAAGACACTTTCACATATCTATGTATTTGTTATAGTCAGGTAGAGTAGAGATTCCCCTTCTTTTTAGGGACCTGTGTACCCCCCAAGCATGAAATAAAGAAAAATCCCAAGGTCCCTTAAAAAAATTTCCAGGCATCTGGCTAGTCCCAGAGGTAATTAAGTCCTTGTTTAAAAAAGGTAATAATAGCCTAAGAACAATAGTCAAGGAAGTTAAAGCTCCAGAAATGTTTGCTTTCCCTATAGAAAGTAAAGATAAAATCTTAACATATGTCCCTAACCTGTCTCTCAGAGGCTGGGACGCCTGCTGAGGACCCCCTCCCCACCTACTAAAGATCCACTGGCACACAGACCCCAGATGAGAGAGAAACTAAGATGAAAGTTTTTAACTATTGTCTTTGTTCCAAGTTTCTTCCTGAGGGGCTGTGAGAAACTCACTCCCCCTAGCAAGTTAACATTTTTCTACTGACCCCCTAAATTTTAAACAAAGCTTCTCTTCCTTACCAATTGCAAATCAGAAGATATTTAAGTCCACCCATGATCTGTGAGCCCCCATTCAAGATGTCTCATCCTTTCAAGCTTAAACCAATGTGTAACCTCTGTGTATTGATTTAGGATTTTGCCTGTAGCTTCTGCTTTCCTGCAACTTACCCCTGCCTGTGAGACATGGGGGAGGCCAGATCTTGAGCATTTAGCTGCCTGGTCCTCCTTGCTTGGTGCTCTGCAGTAAACACCTTCCTTTCTACCACTGCAGAAACCCTGGTATGGGTATTTGGTGTTATTGTGCACAGAGAGTGGCCCCCAGTTTGGTTCTGTAACAATAGTTAGCACCTCACTTCTTAGTCCTGAAATCTGTATTCATCTGCTCAGCTGCCATCACAAAATTCCACAGACCAGGTGGCTCAAACAACAGAAACGTATTTCTTACAGTTTTGGAGGTGTGAGATCAGTGCCACCATGGTGAGACCCTGGTGAGCACTCTTCTTGCCTGCCTTCTCAAAAGCCCTCTGTGACTCTTCTCATAAGGATGCCAATCCCATCACGAGGGCCCCACCCTCAGGACCTCATCTAAACCTAATCACTTCCCAAAGGCCCCAACTCCTCACACCAAACTGGGAGTCAGGGCTTCCGCATGTGAATTTTAAGGAGACACAGCTCAGTCCATAGCCTCTCCCCTGGTGGCTTGGGAGTATACTGTGGCACCAAGGTGACATCCAGCCCAGGCCCTGGAGTGAGGAATCTTGGATCCTCAGTGTGGAGAAAAGCTGATGGGGCCAGACTGCATGCCCCTGCTCCACATCCATCCTCCTCCTGCTGCTGCTGTGCTGGCAGCAACTCAAGGAAGCTTGCATTCCAGGGACACACCTGTGTGAGCTGACTACAAGGAACAAAGCCTTTGTTCAGACTGGAAGATGCTAGGAGCTGTAGTCTGGAGGAGAAAAGCTGACCCCTGCCTTAAGCTGCCTGCATCTCCCTGCAGCCCCACTAGAGCGTCCCGCTCTCAGCCTCAGCCTCAGCCTCAGCCTGGCCCGTGTGGACAGCGCCGCCCACTCTGCCCCTGCCCTGGCCACGTGGAGCCCAAGGACACTGCAGGCCTCCAGCCTCCCCGCCAGCCTGGCCCTCCCATATATCTGCTGGGTCCCTCATCGGGACCCAACTGGCCGCTTCCCTGACTTCAGGTCCTGGGTCCCTTTCTCTATGTTCTTCGTCTGCCTCCTCCTTCCCAAATGAGGTGCCCTCACTGCACCTCAGGGGGAAATGGGGCCAGAGCCTGTGGAGCAGGAAGACCCCTCAGGGTGCTCGGGGCCCTGCTGCTGCCTGCTCCATCCCCAGGATGTCACCTCTGTGGAGAGAAAGATGAGAGAAAAAAGGAGGGATGGGCACGTGGGAGAGGACAAAGGGTCCTGGAAAGGCAGGGATGGAAGGAGGGGAGCCAAGGATTACGTTCAGAAAGAAAGAAGCCCATCTTGGTAGGGGTTCAGCTTCCAGGGAGAGGCAGAGTGGACACCCCCTCCCACGCTGCACCCCAGGGCCTGGAGGAGGTGCTGGAGACCTAAAGAGGTCGGTCAGAGAGCCCAGGTCCCAGGACGCACCAGCTCCACAGTGCGAGGGCCACCTGCCCCGACCTGGGTCTCCTTGGTGGTATGGTTGGTAGACTCTAGCTCGGGGGCAGAAATGCTGTGCCCAGGAGGGACGGGGCCTGAGGCCTCCTTGGCCCCTTTGTCACAGGAGCTTGGCAGGTACCAGGCATTCATGTGACTAATGCGTGAAGGAATGAGTGAATGAAGACAGAAGATTCACAAGAAACCTGCTGGAGAAGGTAGAGCGCTGTCCAGATGCCATCATTCCTTTTTTTCATTTCTGCAATTCTGCCTTGCCTTTTGGGTCCCTTCCATTCAGCACTTGGCCCAATGTCACACCTCTACCCAAGCAGCTTGTCTCCCGAGGTGTTCGGATGCCCTTATGCCCACTCAACCTGCTCCTCCTCAATTCTCTAAGCTGACTGTCAGCAAAACCCAGGGCCCCAGAAACCCAGGCCCCTCCTCTACGGAGCACCTCCTGGGTCTCCATGGGTGCTGCATTCACCGAGAAGGATCAGGCAGGAACACAATTTACCCTTTGCAAGTGTTCCCGTTGGGTTTGCTAGTCACTTTGCAGTATTTCTGCAGGGTGATGATGAGATGCTAGCAGGCTCCCCAGCACTCAACACCACACTCTCAGAAGTACATCCCCATAGGAAACTGGCCCATGGAGGGGACAAATAATAAACCTGCAAAAATGTCCACAGCCCGATCCCCCGAACATTACCATGTGGGGAAAGCCTTCGTAAATGTGATTATGTTAAGGACGTTGAGATGAGGGATTATCCTGGTTTATCCAGGTGGGCCAAGTATGATCTCAAGGGCCAGGGTTGGGGAAGGACAGGTAATGGTGGATGCAGAGGCTGCGGCGATGGGACATCTCGTTAAGGAGTACGGGCAGCCTCCAGAAGCCGCAGGCTCCAGAAAGAACACATCCTGATGGCATGTTGGTTCTACTTTTTAAATTTTGTATTTATTTATTTTTTGGGAGACAGGGTCATACTGTGTCACCCAGGCTGGAATGCAGAGGTGCAAACACAGCTCACTGCCACTTCCACCTCCCAGGCTCAGGCAATATTTACACCTCAGCTTCCCAAGTAGCTGGGACCACAGGCGCGCACCAACACACCCAGCTAATTTTGTTGTTGTTACTGTTTTGTAGAGATGGGGGTCTCACCATGTTGCCCAGGCTGGTATTGAACTACGGGACTTAAGCGATCTTCCCACCTGGGCCTCCCAAAGTGCATAGCCACTGCATCCTGCTGACACATTAATTTTAGCCAAGTCAGATTGATTTCAAATTTCCTGTCTCCAAAACTGTAAAACAGTAAATATGTGGTGTTCTCAGGTGCTGTTGGTGGCGTTTTGTTACAGCAGTTGTAGAAACTGAAAAGAAACACCCCTGCCCCAGCGCTTTTGCTCATTCCTTCACTCAAAATTCTGTTGTTTCACTTTTGTTATACAACCTTTATTCAACAATTGTCAAAAGCCCACCACAGAACATTTTCTAAATTATAAAGGAATACATTAAATCAGTCATACTCATGTCCCAAAGCTGACCACTGGCCATTCTGGGTGTTTCCTTCCAGTCTTTCCTCTTGTCTGTAAGCAGTCTTTTGCTTGCAGTGATACCACCATGTCTTTGTATTGGTCTTTTCCCACTTCACATCAAGGCACGAGCATTTTCCCTCCAGTTAAAGACCACTCTGTCCCATGAGTGGTCACACACCGTCATCAAGCCCGACCCTTAGCCCCCTCTCTGCAACCACTGATAGTCTCAGATGTGCAGCATTCTAAACAGTGCCAGGTGCTTCTGCTGTGGCTTTGTTTGGCTTTCTTACTGCTTCTTAGAACCGATTCCTAAAATCAGAATTACAACATCAAAACTATATAGATGTGAACCAAGTCAGAAAAGCACTTTCCAGCAAGATTGTCCCAGTGACCACCCTAATCACCATGTGTCTCCTTTCACACTTGCCAGAATGGCAGAATGGCTTTCATTAAATTCTAACTGGTGTGACTGCTCCCCATGATTATATCGTTTCTATTTTTCATGCCTGGGGCAGCTGGGAAATGGATAACTCAGACCACAGTGGTTTGCACTCTCTTCTGTGGGCGTTTTCTCAATGCCTTGTGCATGCTAGTTTGTGGGCACCTAAAATTTCAGAGGAAAATGAAAACAGACCCTGATATCAGGGAGCTTTCAAAGCACTTGAAAAGACAAAACTAGACACAAAGAGCAGATATACCACACCCTGGCCCGCCGCCGCCATCTGCCATCACGCCCTTCCTGGCACAAGCATGACAAAAACTCCTCTGCAGAGCCATGCCACATTGAAAACAGCCGACCCTCCCTCAGCACCCTCACCACAAACACAGCCGTCCCTCCCTCACTACCCTCACCCCAAACAGCCCACCCTCCCTGACCCTGACCCCAAACACAGCCAACCCTCCCTCACCACCCTCACCCCAACACAGCCGACCCTCCCTCAGCACCCTCACCCCAAGCACAGCCGACCCTCCCTCAGCACCCTCACCCCAAGCACAGCCGACCCTCCCTCAGCACCCTCACCCCAAGCACAGCCGACCCTCCCTCAGCACCCTCACCCCAAACACAGCCGACCCTCCCTCAGCACCCTCATCCCAAACACAGCCGACCCTCCCCTGGGCATCCTGACCCCAAACACAGCTGACCCTCCCCTGGGCACCCTGACCCCAAACAGAGCCAACCCTCCTCTGAGACCCTTACCCCTGGCAGGATTGACCCCTCCTCTGAGCCCCCTGACCCCGGGAAGGCCTAGCCCCTCCTGTAAGCCCCTGAACCAGGACAGGGCTGACCCTTCCTCTGAGCTCCCTAAACCAGGACAGGACTAACCTCTCCTCTGAGCCCCCTAACCCCTGGCAGGGCTGACCCCTCCTCTGAGCCTTGCTGGAATCCTGTGCCAAGAGGGGCTTGAGTGTGCCAATGAGCCATCCCAGGGCAGTCAGCATTTTACTGTTCTCAGTTCTGAGTATGGTGCATGGGAAAGAACAGGACCTCTGCAAATGATTTTAAAGAATGAATAAAACTGAGTACATATCCAAAGATGGCACAGACTATCAAATATTGAAACTGTGGAAGGAGAGATTGGTGGGGACCAGAGCAGCTGGGTTTAGGAGCTTTGGTGCCAGACAGAGCTGGGCTTGATATCACCTGTGCCATTTGCAAGCTGTGTGATGTGGCTGAGTTCCCAACCGCCTGAGCCTCCATATCCTCATCCATAAAGTACAGGGCTCACAAGACAATGACCTCATGCACTGCTGTGCCCACCACAGCATCCAGTGATCGGCCATGGCATGGGGGCCTGTCTGGGGAGGACAGGGCACACAGAGGAAGGAAGGATGGGTCTCAGGTGGGCTGACACCTGGGAAAAGGGTGGACAATCTGGGGAACAGGTCAGGAGAAGTATAGCTGGACCTCTTTCCCTGGGTTACCAACTTCAAATTCCCAGCATGATCATTGCCCTGCCCTGCACCCCCACCCCACAGCCACACATACTCTCTGACTTCAGAATGCCCTATGACTGGTGCAAGTAACTTTTTATAATTTAACTGCAAATGTCTTCATTAAAAAAAAAAAGCTATTGCATTTGTGTAAGCCAAACTCTAGAGGTACACCTTTGTTTGCACCCCAACAAGGTTAGCATAGGGGGAGCACTGAGTTGGGAAGATAGGGTCATTTTCCTCGCCCTACTTATTGGAAAACCACATGAATGGAACCTCCAGGACACTTGACAGCTTTGCCCCGTTGGCCTCAAGCTCCAGGACTGAAGGGCTGGAGTCAGCTATAGTCCTGTCCCCATCAGCACATGACCTGAGCTCAGCCTTGGGAGTGCTGCATTCCAAGGCCTGTCCAAGGAGGGCTCAGCTTGGGTGGGATAGACCCCTTGTGTTCATGACTGGCCTCGCTGAGGTTTCTGTGAAAAGGGCGAATAGGAGCCCATGTGTTATCACACCCTCATGTTTGTGTACTCCTACTCCTCCCACAGGCCACCAAGGTGACATAAGCAGGTCCTTCTCTCTCCTGCCCTATCAAAGTCCTGGGCCTTCAGACCAGCAGCACTGGTCACACCTGGGAGCTGGTCAGGAATGCAGAATCCCTGATCCCACTCAGATCTGGTGAGTCAGCATCTGCACCTCAACAAGATCCCCAGAGATGGGTGGGCACCTTCGGTCTGATGCCATGCCCATCGCCCACAGCTGGCTCCATGTATCTCTTGGCCCCTTCACACCCCGGAGAGCTATTTTCTGACAACCCACAGCACAACTGCAAGACCTGGTTTCTCCCAGCATGACCATGACCATGACCATGACCATGACCATGCATCACCATGAGCATCGAATCCTCCCTGCCCTCCCAAGATGGCCTCTTCTCAGTGCCATAGGGAGGGGAAAGAGCTTGATGAGTTGGTTGGATTTGCAGCAACTCAGAGGCAGGGGAAATTGACATCAAAAGAGAACAGAGCTGTCAACCGCCTAAGAGATTTTCTTCCAATTCCATTAAAAATGTATTTCATAAAAACAGAGGCCACTTAAATAAATCCATGTCAGGGAATGAGAGATTTTGGAGAGACTCACCCGTGTTTCCACAGGAAAGGGCTCCATCCAAAGGCAGGTTCAACTCCCAGGAGAAGCACCTTAATGGCATTCAGGAAACATTGCATTTCAGGAAACGGAATCCCAGAAATGTCTAACTTCATGACTGCAGGAAATTGGAGGAATGAGGTCTATTTAAAAGATCAGCCTGTGAGATGGAACTCAGAGAAAAGGTGTCCTAGAAATGATGATGGAAACATGGTGTTAGAGAAGTTAAATTAAAACGGAATCACCCTCTGGGCTGTTGTCATCACCTGGGAATTCTCAGTGAATCCTCAGGAACCCTAGAATACTGCAGTGCTATAATTATGGTGTGCAATCCACTCGTATCTAGTATGAAGCCTAAATGACAAGTCTATCAAAACAATAATAGCTTAATAGCAACCATTAAGAGATGGGCAATATAAAAATAATTAAATCAAGACAACCAAAAGTAAAAACATGGATAGGAGGGAGTTAAACTGTAGAGGATTTTTTGGTTTTTTTTAATTTCCATTTTTTGTGATCTAAGATAAGTTGTCATCCCTTTAAAATAACTCTTTATATCTATAAAATGTGTTTTGTAAGCCTCATGGTAACCGCAAAGCAAAAACATGTAATAGATTACTGAAAAAAAAATGAATTAAAACATGCTACCAGAGAAAAATTACTTAGTCACAAAAGGAAGACAGGAAGAAAGGAAGAGAGAAATTACAAAACAACCAGACAACAAGCAGCAAAGTGGCAGTAGTAAATCCTTACTTATCAATGATAGCACTGAATGTAAATGGACTCAGTTCTCTAATTAAGACGCAGAGTTCACACTGGAGAGAAGCCTCCAAATATAAAATTTTTTAAAAGACACAAAATGGCTGAACAAATAAAGAAACAAGATCCAGCTATATGCTGTATAGAAGGAACCCCCCTCTGCTATAAAGACACACACAGACTGGAAGTGAAGGGATAGAAAAATGTAATCCATAAAAGTAGAAACCAGAAAAGAGCAGGAGTAGCTACATTTGTATCAGTTAAAATAGAGTACAAGTCAAAGGCTGTAAGAAGAAACAAAGAAGATCACTATATAATGGTAAAGGGGTCAATTCATCGAGATGATATAATAACTATAAATATCTATGCACCTAACACTAAAGCACCCAATTATATAAACCAAATGCTAATAGATCTAAAGGGAGAGACTGCAATACAGTAGCAGTAGGGGACTTCAGCCTCCCACTCTCAGTAATGGACAGATATCCAGACAGAAAATCAACAAAGAAACATCAGAGTTAAACTACACACTAGACCAAATAAGCCTAACTGACATTCATAGAACATTTTACCCAATTGCTGCAGAATACACATTCTTTTCATCACACATAGAACATTTTCCAGAATGGACCATATTTTAGCCCAGAAAACACATCTATACAAATTCAAAAATCTAGAAATCACATCAAGTATCTTTTTTTTTTTTCCTGAGACAGAGTCTTGCTCTATTGCCCAGGCTGGAGTGCAGTGGCATGATCTCAGCTCACTGCAACCTTCACTTCCCAGGTTCAAGCCATTCTCCTGTGTCAGCCTCCTGAGTAGCTGGGATTACAGACGTGTGCCATCACACCCCAGCCATAGCAAGTATCTTTTTCACCACAGTGGAATAAAACTGGAAATCCATGACCAGAGGAACCTCGGAAAAGACACAAACACATAAAAATAAAAAACATGCTCCTGAATGGCCAATGGGTCAGCAAGGAAATCAAGAGGGAAAGTAAAAAATTTCCGAGGGCCAGGTGCGGTGGCTCATGCCTGTAATCCCAGCACTTTGGGAGGCTGAGGAGGGCGGATCACCTGAGGTCCGGAGTTGGACAAGCCTGGCCAACATGGTGAAACCCCGTTTCTACTAAAAATAGAAAAATTAGCTGGGCATGGTGGCAGGCACCTGTAATCCCAGCTACTCAGGAGGCTGAGGCAGGAGAATCACTTGAACATGGGAGGTGGAGGTTGCAGTGAGCTGAGATTGTGCCATTGCACTCCAGCCTGGGGGACAAGAGCGAGACTTCGTCTCAAAAAAAAAAAAAAAAGAAAAATTTCCAAAAAACAAATCACAATGGAAATACACCAAAATCTGTGGGAGACAGCAAAGCTGTACAAAGAGGGAAATGTATAGCAATAAACACCTACATCAAAAATGTAAACAAGCATCAAATAAGCAACCCAATGATGCACCTCAAGAAACTAGAATCACAAAAACAAACCAAACCCAAAATTAGTAGAAGGAAAGAAATAATAAAGATCAGAGCAGAAATAACTGGAAGTGAAACTTTAAAAATTATAAAAGATCAATGTAATAATGTGAAATATCTATGCAAGAAAAACTATAAAACACTGCTTAAAGAAATTGAATAGGACACAAAAAAGTGGAAAGATATTCCATGATCATGGATTGAAAGAATTAATATTGTTAAAACAACAATATTACCCAAAACAATTTACAGATTCAATGCAATGTCTATCAAAATACCAATGGCATTCTTCACAGAAATATAGAAAGCAATCCTATATTGATAATCCTAAAATCTATATGGAACCACAAAAGACCCTGAATAGCCACAGCAATCCTGAGGGGAAAAAAAAAAAAAAAAAAGCTGGAGGCATCACATTACCTGACTTCAAATTATACTACAAAGCTATAGTAACCAAATCAGCATGGTAGTGGCATTAAAACAGACACAGAAATCAATGGAACAGAATAGAGAACCACTATATAAATCCACACATTTACAGCCAATTCATTTTTTGAAAAAGGCCCTAAGAACATACAGTGAGAAAAGAGCAGTCTCTTCAATAAATGGTGCTGGGAAAACTGGATATCCATATGCAGAAGAATGAAACTAGACTCCTATCTCTCACTACATACAAAAATCAAATCAAAATGGATTAAAGGCTTACATCTGAGACCTGAAACTATGAAACTACTAAAAGAAAATTTTGTAGAAATGCTCCAGGACATTGATCTGGAGCTCAAAAACACAGGCAACAAAAGCAAAAATGGACGAATGGGATTATATCAAGTTAAAAAGCCTCTGTACATCAAAAGAAACAATTAACAAAGTGAAGAGACAACCTACAGAATGGGAGAAAATATTTGCAAACTATCCATCTGACAATGGATTAATAACCAGAATATATAAGTTACTCAACAACAGTAAAAAAAAAAAAAAAAGTAAAAATGGGCAAAAGATCTGAAATAGACATTTCTCAAAAAAAGACATTTGTTTAATGGCCACTACACATATGAAAAAAAAATGCTTGATGTCAGTAATCATCAGAGAAATGCAAACCAAAACCACAATGAGACATCATCTCACCCCAGTTAGAATGGCTTATTATCAAAAAGACAAAAAATAGCATGCTGGCAAGGTTGTGGAGAAAGGAGAACCCTCGTATGCTGTTGTGGGAATGTAAATTAGTACAGCCACTGTGGTAAACAGTATGGCTATTTCTCAAAAAATTAAAAATAGAACTACCATATGATCCAGCAATTCCACTACTGTGTATACATCCAAAAGAAAGGAAATCAATATCTGCACTCCCATGTTTGTTGCAGCACAACTCACAATAGCCAAAACATGTAATCAACCTAAATGTCCATCAATAGGTGAATATGTAAAGAAAATGTGATATATAAACACAATGGAATATTATTCAGTCATTAAAAATAATGAAACCCTGTCATTTGCAGCAACATAGATGGAACTGGAGGTCAGTATGTTAAGTGAACTAAGTCAGGCACAGAAAGACAAATATCACATGTTCTCACCCATATGTGGGAGCTAAAAAAAATAAACAGGGAGGGTCTCATGAAGATGAAGTATATTGGTAGTTATCAGAGGCCAGGAATGGTAGAGGGCAGCAGGGATTAAGTGAGGTTGATTAATGGCTGCAAATATATATTTAGATAAATGAAGTGAGACCTGGTGTTCAATAGATCAGTAAGATGACTATACTTAACACTAATCAATTATACATTTCAAAATAACCAGAAGATAATTTGAATGTTCTTAACATTAAAAAAAGATAAATATTTAAGATGATGAATAGCCCAATTACCCTTATCTGGTTATAGAAATGAATCAAACTATCACATGCACCCCAAAAATATGTACATCTGATGTATCAATAAAAATAAAAGACAGTGTCAGGCAGAGAGGGAGAGAATTCTCCCTTACTCCACACTTTCGTTCTATCTGGAACCTCAAATGATTAGACAAGATCCACCCACATAGGGGAGGCCATCTGCTTTATTCAGTCTATGAATTCAAATTAATCTCATCCAGAATCACCCTCCCAGAATAATGTTTGAGCAAATATCTGGGCACCCCATGGCCTAGTCAAGTTGACATATAAAATTAATCACAGAGACTAAACTGTATTTTCCAACTCTAGACCCCAGAATCATGACTTATAGATCCAGAAATTCTCCAGAATGTCTAGCTCCTCATACACAAGTATAATTAGAGGGATCTTAAACTTGGAATTGTATGAAGACCACACAGGGATTTGCTGGACCATCTGAGCCCACATTCTGGAATAAAAACTATGTATCGCATCATGAGTGAAGCAAACTTAAATCAATTCCGCTGTAAAGATACCCAGTGCAGACCTGGGGCTGTCTCGGTGAGGGTAGAGTGACTTCAGCAGAGAGCCACAGCACAGCAAAGTCCAACCTCACCACTAACAGCAAGGGTGAGGGCATTGGTAAGCTCCTATAACCAGGCCTCCATGGCTGGCTGGAGCACAGCCCTCCTCCTACACCTCTTCCTACTCCCACTGTCACCCCTCATGTGCTCTTGGCTGTGCCCACTGCTGAGTGTGGCATTGTCAGGTAGGAGCTGGCCACATCTAGACATGGAAATACCCTGAGGCAGAGAGGCTGCCCTCTTCCTTGAGACCCTTGCTCAGAGCTAAGTTCTCTTGCTCAAAGCCCCAGCAGCCACCCCAGGTCTCCTTGGCCAGAGTTGATTGCAGGCTGGACCCTAACCCAGCCAGATGCAAGAGGCACTGACCAAGCCACCCAGAGTGGGGCTGGGGCTGGGGATGGGGCAAGACCTGCACAGCATGGAGCTAGGTGAGGAAGTGCAGCCCAGCATCGGTGGTACAAACTAATGCCTGAGTTTCTGCTCACACAGTGAGGACAGCAGAGGGGAGGAGAGGCCACAGGACAGGTGCCCAATGCTGCCAGCAAGAATTGGCTCTGACCAGCTAGGATCAGGCTGTGGCTTGGGCTCACAAGTCTTCTCCTTCACCAGGAAGACGAGCATTTGTGGTATCAACTGAGATACTTCAGGGAAACTGCTGGTTCATGGTAAGCATCCGTGGAGCATGGTTTCAAGATCCTTACTTATGCTGCAGTTTTGAAATGACCAAGAAGGCCTCATTCAAAAAGTGTATGCTGTTGCCCTCATCCCTCCATCATTCCCCTACTTGCTGGCTGAGTCCTGGAAACCCTTTACCAAGAGACAAGGTTTTCCCTAATCTAATAAAGCACGAGGCTGGAAATAGAAATCCCTGCAGTGAGAGCCTGCCGTGGCCACACGCACCCAGAGTAAACCAAGCCGATGACAATATGGCCAGAGCCAGCCCTCAAGGGCCCAGCCTTCCCCACTAACAGGCCTGCTCATGTCCCAGACATGGTGACATCAGACCCTGGCCTGGACACGGATTTGTAACTGGGGGTTAGGGTGGGGCCTAACCGGACACAGGCACAGGAGCACTCCCGGAATCCTAAGGAGGAAGGACAATGTCAGGGGGACTGAGGACCCCCCCTGCCCAGCCCTAGGCAGCTGTTTGTGCACTAGGCAACATGGTGGGCCTTGTCCCTGCCCTGAGCCCTCCCTCCCTGAGGCTGAACTTGGTGTGTCCTTGCCCTAGTGCACCAGTGTCTGCTCCTATCTGTCCTCGCCCCTTCCCTCTGGGACCCACCAGACACATGCGATGTGGCTACAGTCGCCCCCTCCTCCCCATCCCCTCATTCTCTCCCCAGAGCCTGCCTATCACCTGCCCCAGCACCAGGGCCTTGTCTCTGGAAAGGTCTCTGCTGGTTCCTGTGGAAGGGCCAGTCCCGGGCCACGGTCCACGCAATGAGCACTGGACACAGGAGTCTGGGACCAAACCCACCTGCTCCCTGGCAACCCGAATCCTGGGCCTCTCACTCCCACCTAAATCCTCTAAGCCTTGGCTTCTGCTTATGTAAAATGGAGAGTCACAGTCTCTTCCCCCAGGCTCTCGCGTGAAGCTTTCTGAAATAGCAATGGCGATGTGCTTTGTTGGTGCTGGGCACTGCACAGCGCTTGCCACACAGCGGCCCTGGGCTGCTCCCTGACTCACTCACATCCTCCCATTGCCATTGCGGCCTCCGCCTGGAGAGCTGGGCTTCCCGGTCAGTCTCTCTGGACCCTGGGCCCTAATTCTTCTGCATCCTGGTGACCTGTGGGACCTGCTTCCAGCAGAAAACCACCCACAAAGCCCAGGTGCCACAAGCTGGGACTCCCATCACAGCAGCTGCAGGCCACAGTCGGGGGGAGGGGTGGGCAGTGCCCTCTGCAGGCCTGTTCCTCAGGAGAAAGCTGGAGTTGTCATCAGCCCGGTGGGGCGAAGCCAACTTTTCCCCAGGGCTTTGCAGCCAGCGCCTCCTCGTGTCCATTCAGCCATGCCAGCCATGTGCTTCCCCCGGCCCCAGGCACTGCCTCCTCGTTGGTTGAACGAATAAACAAGCAAAGATGGTTCTGGCGTTGGCCTGTGGAGTCAAAGCATCAGGGGCACACTCCCTCCACGGCCTTCCCAGGGCAGCGAGGGTGCCTGGATGCCAAGGCAGGGGCTTGGGTGGATCAGAACCCCTCAGGACCTACTCCTCATCCTCCCCCAGAGGCCTAGGGTTGCGGGGTGAGCCCACCCTCTCCTTTCCATGGGAATCAGAGCAGAAACTTGGGACCTTCCAGAGCAAAGAAGTGTAAGGTGCAGGAGGACGCCAGGTGTCTGCAGCTGGGCCTGCCCCACCGATGACTAACTTAGTTCCTCCAGGCTGCCACAGGGCTCCCTAATCAGCCCAACACAAAAATCAATACACACTCACCAGATCCATTACAGAGACGTGAGGGGGGGACGTGCTTTCACGCCTGCTTTTTGTAAATCAGCATATAATCTTCTGTCATTTTTCTGATTATAAATCTGTATTCATTGCAGAAAATTAGCAAATAGAGGAAAGGATGAAAAAGAAAGAAAAGCTCTCCATAATTTTCCTACCCAGAAAACCACGGTGAGCAACTCAGTACATTTCTTTATTTTTTAAGTGAAATTATATGGAATATTCAGTTTTGTAACCTGATTTTTCAGTTAGTCGTTTATAATACCATATTCCTACTTCCTTAAAAATTCTCAAAACCCAGGAAGCTTTCTTCCAGTCGTTCGCTGCTAGATGTGACGTCGTTTCCCAAGTTGCACCATCATAAACAGCAACACAATGGCAATTCCTACCCCACATCTCTAAAGCGGCCACTGCGGTCATCCCTCCCCACGTACTCCTCCTGGGCATGCAGCCAGGCTGTGTCCCAGCCTCCCTGCAGGTGAGAGTGAGTGACTGAGCTTGGACAGGCCCTGGAAGCCTCCCGCACACTCTTCCCCTTGGAAGCCAATGCTCATAGTGCCAGAGCCTTCATCATCATGGGTCCCTGAACGACCCCATGGAAAAGAGCGGCCCTACAGATCAGGTCCGCAGCCCAGGAGAGCCAGGTGACCAAGAAATGAACTTCTGTTTTATTAAGGCACCACCTGTTTGGGTCTACCTATGACTATGCCACTCTCACCAATCCAGGTACATTCCCAGAACATCTTACCAAACTTTGAGTGTGGCCCATGACCCCCAGCCCCTGAGTGTTAAGAGGCCACTGTAACGACCCTCGTAGGAGGTGCACAATGGGAGTCTGCAGGGAGAATGCTAACTCAGGGCAAAGACAGCGTGGGCCAGTGCCACGTGAGCTCACCTTGATGCTGGGAAGCAGTCCTCAAAGAAAGGCACCCTCCTACCTTCCAGCCGCCTTTGGGCTAGGTCATCAGCGCTCTCACCATCTGCAAGAGAAGACAGACGTGGAGCAAGTGCACAAAGGCAGGACTTGGGTTTCAAGAGGGAAGCACCCCGCATGGGAACACCTGGCAGGGGAAAAATCTACCCCCAGGAAGGGCAAAGCTGGAGGGTCTCCCTGAGGAATTGACCTCCACACTGAAATCTGAAGGATGAGATGACAGAATTAACCTGGTAAAGGGGAGAGAGACTCAGAAGAACTTCCCAGGCAAAAGACAGAATGGCTGAAAATTTCCCCCCAAATAATGGTCTTCTTCCACATTCCCCACCTTAGCAAATGGCCCCATCAGGCAACCAGCACCTCCAAACAAAGAGGCAGGAGCAATTCCACACACTCTCCCACCCCTCCGAGGCCAAAGTCCATCTCTGCGGCCCACCCCCTCCCTGGGTGCCTTCACCCATGGCCCCCAGCCCAGACTCCACCCTCAGCGGAGGGTCCTTTCATGACCACTCTGGTCACAGCATCCCAGCTTCAATCCCTGCATCCAGTCCCCACTCTTCTGAGGGCAAGACCAAAGCCACCACCTCCATGCGACCTCCTGCTTTCTCCACTATGGAAGGTGTATCCAACCCTCCTTGCTCCAGGGACCAGGTCCAGCTAGGGGAGCTGAGATGCTGAGGCTGCCTGCTTGTCTAGCAGAAAGACAGGTCTGTGCTATTTGGTGTACAAGTGCTCAAGATAGAAGCAAGCCCAGGGTCCATGACACCCAGAGGAGAGTTACCTCCTGGGCTCAGGCTGGAATCAGGGATGGCTTCCTGGAGGAGGTGGTACCTTTCCCAAGTCTCAAGTAGCAAGTGGGAGTTACCTGGAAAGAGGAGGAGGAGAATCGGGAAGACGTGAATGGTAGTCCTGAGGCCCCGGCTTTTTCAGAGAAGGCTAACAGGCCCCTGAGGGTGGGAGTCAGGGAAACACTCTAGCTTTCAAAACCACAACCCCCTGAGTCCCTCAGAGGACCATCCAGGCCAGATGTTGCTTCAAAGCTGTCAGAAACTTTGGGTCACCTCAGTTTACACCAGGGTCCCCATGTGAGGGCAATGCTTGCACTGTTTGCCGCTCTCCTGTGCTGTTTGCTGCTAGGCTCAGGGGTCGGCCTTGCTGGGTGTCCTGCGCTCTGGCCCCTGCCTGGATACATGGGTCTTCCTCAGTTTCCCAGGGAATTCTCATTTCACATGAACTCAGTCACTTGCAGGCTGCCCATTCCACGGGAGCCTTGCGTTGAGCTGGCCAGGGCGCTGGGCTGCAGAGGAAACAACTCCTCTCCTGCTGTCATTGCCCTGCCAAGTCCTGTTCACCCTTCCTGACAACAGTGATATTTTTACATTTGCATTCCCGGCCACTGGCCCTGTGTTGTCTGTGAGCATGTATTGAATAAATAAATGAGACCCTAGTGTCACACCAGGAGGCCCCAGCCGGCAGGAGAGCCTGGCATTGCAGGGCTTTGCCACGCTGTGCTTCCCTCCCCCGTGCCTGCCCGAGGGGAAGAGCTTGGGCAGGTTCTGCATCTCCCTAAGCATCATCCTCACTCCTGAGACACCAGAGTGGGCCCATAGTTACTGTGGTTACCCAGGCTGGTGAGCGCCCCCGCCTCCACATGCATCTGTCTTCCCAGGGCCATCCCCAGGGTGGAGGTTCCTGCAACGCCTCAGGACCAAAGTCCCACACTGAGATGGGCCGGTCCAGAGCCTCCTGAATCCCCTGGACTCCCTGTCTCTGCCCTTCTCCTGTCTGTGCCTGGCGTAGGTCCGAGGGATGCAACAGTGGGCAGAGCCCGCAGGAGGGGCCCGCAGGCTGGAAAGACAGTTGGTAAACAAGGAAGTATATCATCTCCTGTCTGGTGGTGATAAACGAGCAGGGTGGAGAGAGACGGAGGCATCTGTAGATCGGTGCTCTCTGACAAGGTGACATTGAGCCAAGATCGGAGCAGAGAGTATGAGAGAATGCAGGGGTGGGAAGTGTTGGTGGACACAGAGCAAGGACAAAGGCCTGGGGGACAGCAGGCGTGTGCCCCCGCATGAGTGACTGAGAAGGGACCACAGTGGCTGGAGATGAGAGGGGCACACTGGGGCAGGAGGCAAAGTGGGGAGGCAGATTTTGGGGGAGGCAGATCCAGGGGGCCAGGGCAGACCTGACCCAAGGGCTTACCCCCACAGACTCTTGGGGCAGAGCGGGAGGCAGAGGAGAGGGTGGACCAGGGGATGCTGGGGGGCAGCTGAGCAGCCAGGGTACAAAATCCATTTGGAAGACAACGGCCTTTGCCTCTAGGAAAGGGGGCTCCCTCAAACGGGGTGAGCCAGAGAGAGGAGCCACCATCTGCACGAGGGCATGAGCCACTCCTTGAAGTGGCCAGTGGACACTCAGCTTCTCCCCCGCATGTGAGAGAGCCTCCCACAAAATCATCACTACCCTTGGTTGCTTGACAAACAAGGCCCAGGTTAACACAAACATGTCTGTTCATCACGTGTGTGCTTTTCCCTGAGCACAGGACATGAATCCACCCCGCCTCCCCGGACAGAGATGGACAGCCGCAAGGATGTTAGCAGGTTAATAATGACAGTCACTTTCCTTCCTCCTAATCACCAGAGCTCATTGCCTCCAGGCAAGTGTGAGAGATGGCAGGACCTGGCCTCTTCGAGACCCCAAAAATGAGTCTTTATCCCCCAAAGAGAAGTGCAAAGCACCACGCTGTGCTTATTATGTGCCCTAAAGTGTGTCTTTCATTTCAGACCCAACAAGCCAGATGGTCACTGGTAATGCTACTTTAACACACATGGAATGCAACCTCAATTTATATCAATTTAAAAAGGTCCTAACTCCTACCGTGTGCAAGAGAGGCAGTTATACAATGCGGTATAATGCAACACAACAGCACAGTACAATGTAGTGCAACACAACAGCACAGTACAACGTAGTACAACACAACACAGTGTAACATAATATAATACAGTGCAGTGCAACATAGCACAACACAGCGAGTACAACATGGTCCAGTGCAACACAGTGCAATGTAATAGCATACAGTGCAGTACTGGAAAACACTACGTAAGCAGGAAGCACACTACAGCACGGCACAGGACAATATACAAGTAATGCGATGCAATCATTATACAGCCTGGAGGGAAAAGGGACATGCATTCAAATTCTGTGACTTTGGGCAAGCACCTTCCTCTCTCTCATCCTCAATTTATTCATGTGGAAAATGAGAAAACAGTCCCCTTCACAGGTTTGTGGCAGAAATGGGATGAAATCACTGGTAAAGCTCCAGCCCCCAGCACATTCACCACCATGCCCCACCCCAGGTAAGCATGCACAGAGAGCAGTGTGGGCGCCTGAAGAGGGTCAGGGTCAGAGGAGTCCAAGTCAGACCACGAAGGACACCTGGGAGGCCAGGGAGGAGGCCAGAGGGGCGCAGCAGGACCACCCAGCTGCAGCAGCAGCTGCAGGTGTTCAGGTGAGCGGCTCCTACTCCCTCGGTGTCAAGTGGCTGGAACCGCCTCCTTGAGCTCTCCAGCAACCCTAGAAGGAACACACAGGTGATCAAGCTGCGACAGCTCAGAGCAGTGGCTCAGCGCCTTGGCCTCATGGCCCCAAGTGAAGCCTGAGTGCAGCCCGGTGCCTTGAGGAAACCTGCCGTGCCCAGCAGCAGCCTCCTCTCTGCTCCTCGGGGAGGGCCAGCTGCGGGCAGCACTCACACCCAGAGCCATCTGGCTCTGCTGAACTCCCAGCTGCTCTCACATGGGGTCACCCGGCCTGATACCCAGCCACCTCCAGCCCCTGCCTCACCTCTGTGAGATGAAGATGGTGAAGGCCCGGTGCCCACTGAGGAGTGCCAGAGGTGCCCTGGGGGAGCCTCGCAGCAGCCAGATGAAGCTTGACCACCCATCTCCAGAGCTCAGCCTGGCCCTCCGCAACCCCCACCAGGCTCAGCGAGCCCCTCCCCACGGCTAGCCTTGGCCCCTCGGCCTGCTCACGCTCCACCCTGGCTGTCTGTACTTGTCCAGGGCAGGACCATTTGCCACAGTGGAAAGGATTTTCAGAGGCAAGCCGCCATCCTTCAACAATATTTATGAGGTTGTCACAAGGTGATACAGAAATATTCACAAATATAAAAAGCCCTGCCTCCTGATACCTATATTTTACAGTAAGCTCTGGATGCAGACGGTTTTGGTTACACAGAAAAATGATTCTGATATGATTATTAAACTCATTAAACAACTTTTTCCACATTTTTCCACAGATGGGGCCTCAAAGTTCCTCCAAAGAAGGGTTCTCTACAATGTTCAAATCCCCTCCCCACTGTCCACCCCCACCCCATGAGGGTCCTCCCAAAGCCCACTCCACTGTGGGGTTGCAGGACAGGAAGGGTGAGAGATGGCGGAGAAGCGGGAACTCCAGCCTGGGCCAGCCAGAGCCCGAGATGCTGAGCTTCAGATTCTTGCCCTCAGGGCAACGTGGCCCAGGAGGCACATGGAGTGTGGCCAGGAGAAGGGACACCATGCCAAAAAGCAGGCTACAGCCTTCCCGGGGTCCACAGTGTTCCCAGGTGCTTTTAGCTGTGGACTCCTTTTCCAAATGAAGTCTGAAAAGGAAACACCCCATATCAAACAGGTGAAAGCAGCACGGGCCTGGATGACGTGGGCGTGGAAGGCTCAGAGCCCTGACTGCCCTCCTGCCAGTCTGGGGACCCCTAAGGCACAGCCTGCAAGTTCCGCACAGAGAATCCTTCTCCGGCTCCTGAGACCAGGCCCACAGGCATTGTCTGACGCTCTGTGAATTGTGCAGCAGGGTAAGGCCTTTCCAGGAGTGACAGGCGAGACCCCTGAGGGGTGTTGTAGGTGGCACAGTCCACAGGGCCCCACCAGACCAACTGCTCAGCTCCTCAGCTTTCACTCCTTGGATACCATAGCAGGTCTGGACCCACGGGGCCTTGGGACCCCCCATGGGGGTGACGTCTTTCCAGCTCAGAGGCACCCCAAGCCCACCTGTGCCACTGAGGCCCACCAGCACCACAGGGACAAACTGGGAGTCCTATGCCTTGACCAAAGGGGTATGATCTAAGGATTACAAAGGCAAAAATCCCCTCTCCCATCACCATGTCATAATCTCTGGATCCAGCGTAGCTTCTTTCTGTCTCTAATGCTCATCATCACAACTCATCGCATGGTGGGCAGGGACAGGTGGCCAGGGACAGAGGAGGCAGTGCTGCCGTGGGATGGAGAGGTCTCAGTCTCAGGGGCTCCTGGCCCCAGGTGACACAGGCACTGCTCAGGAAGGGGGCCTCTCCTGCCCCCTGAAGTCCTCCCTCAGGTGTGATCTCAGTCTCAGTTATCACAGCCAAACACATGCAAACAAACCTCATGCAAAGATGAAGAGAAACAAGAAACCTGGGGAGGCAGGAGCCTGTGGCCTTGCCAGGGCCTGTTTAATGTGCCTCAGGCAAGCAATGGGAAGCCATGGCTGTCCCAGGCCTGGCCCTGTGGAGATGCCCACTGGAGACGCCCCGTCCTGATGCCACCGCTGAGGCAGGCCCCCTCAATTGCCCGGGAATCCCAGACCACATATACCCTCCTTCCTTTGGTTGGAAGGAAACTCCAACTCCACAGGGCAGGTCCTGGGCTGTGCATGGCATGTGCGGCCCCACCCCTGCACTGACGCTGGGGTCACCTTATGTTCCCTTTGCCCGCATGTGGTGTCTGTCTGTCCATTGAGTGAGAAGCACCCCCCTACAGGGTGCCTTGGATCCAAGGCATGAGGTCAGTCAGGACCCTGTAGCTGAGCACTGGGAGGAAGTGTGGCATGGGCTGGAGCCCTGGCTGGGGCCCTGTACTCACAGGTCCTGAGAGGACTGGGAAGGAAGCCCCGAAGGCCCCACTTGTTGTGCTGGGCTGGGTTCTGCCCCCAGGAAGATCTGAAGGGCCAGGAAAGAAGGGACTGGGCTTGCTCTGTGGCAGGACCAATCCTAACAAGTAAGGCGGTGGGAGAATCCCTGCAGGAGATGGACCAGTATCCCCAGGAGCAGAGGGAGTCCCACTGGAAGTGTTCAAGCAGAGGGGTCTCCCACAGTGGGATCTGTCTTCCCTCTGCCAGCGAGGCAACTGGAATCCGAACAGGGTGCCCCTTGTCCAACCTTGCAGTAAGTCGTGGCAACTGGAATCAGAACAGGGTGTCACTTGTCCACACCTTGCAGCAAGTTGTGGTCTCTGGCCATCACCCAGCCCTCCCCTGGACAGCACGCGGCATGGCTGGGGTCTGCGGTGGACAGACCTGGCCTCCATGGTACTGCCTGGGCAGTCACCAGCTTCTCATAGCCTCCTGCCCCATCCAGAAAAAGCATAGGGGCCAGTGTGAGGATAACTCGGGGATGTCTGTCATGCCCCATTGCTGTGCCTGGAATACAGGGGAAGCTGAGAAGACCTCAATCTTCTTTTCTGACCCCCACCGCAGCCGGGTCATTGAGGATCACTCCCCTTCCCAGGCCCCAGCCTCCCTGCCGGAGCTCCCACTCTCTGGGCACACCCAGCATTCAGCGTCCCCACAGGAAACAGAATTCATCCTGGTTGGCTCAAGTGAAAGGCTGACACTGAGGCATGAGTGGACCCTGGGGGGCCAGCCACAGTGGGGGCCTCTTACCACCCTCTTACCACGTTACCTTACCACCCGGGGAGGGTCCGGGCAAGTAGCACCAAGAAACGGAGCCCAGCAGGAAGCGGGCAGGGAAGGAATGCCCATCCTCAACCCCTGCCTGTGCCTCCCACCGGCCAGACCTAGCAGGAAGCCAATGGGCAAGGGAGCCCCAGGGCGTGTGCAGAGGGTCTCTCCCTAGGGCAGGGCAGGGCAAGGGAGGAGAGAAGCAGGGCAAAGGGGACAGCCCAGCATCCCACAAAGAGCAGCATGGAGGAGGCAGGGACCTCGGCCCTGCAACCAAGACTGCAGGGCAACCTGAATGAGCTTCAAAGCATATTCATCCCCAGAGCCTGCAGACGCAAACTCAGGCAGCACCCTGATTTCAGCCTGGCGAGACTGAGCAGAGAGCGCAGATGCATTACATCATCATCCCTCTCACCTATGGAGCGGCGCACTGACAGGCCGCACTGTCCCAGCCTCTACGTTTGTGGTCAAAGAGCAGCACCTTCCTGAGGCCTGAGGCCTAGCGGGCACGTGAGGTTCGCCACATCATTGTTTCAGGTCAGTCCCGCTGATGGAGGGTCACTAACTCCTTCTTACAGGAAGTTAAACTGAAGCAGAGTGGGACAACGACCTACCCCGGGCTCAGTCACCCCAGCCAGGCCAGTCCTGTCTGCAGGAAAGGGACAGCACCACAGACAGCAGGGCGCCTTCTCCAAAGGGCACAGTACAGCCCAGGACACATGTAGGGCGGGCCCAGGGTGAGGGCACAGAGGAGGGGCTGAGGGATGCGCAGGCTGTGCTGGTGGGAAGGGGGCACAGCTGGGCAGGATGCAGCAGGAGTCCGGAGAGCTGGGCGGCAAGAGCAGGAGCGGAGGCCCCGACACCGCAGAGGAGACTTGGCGAGGCAGCACCTGGGGTCTCTCCCAAACAAGGCCGAGTCCACTTGTGTGCCCAGAGTTCAGTGGAGTTTTGTTCAGTTGCTCATCAAATAAAGTGTGATCTATTTCCACGGGGAAGGAATCAAGTACCGGATAAAGGTCGTTTCCATGCAGTGCCCCTGTTGCCACACGTCCATGTGGCTGTGTGGGTGTCTGGGTGTGTGCCATGCAGGAAATCTGAGCATGGGTTTGATCATAGGGGTATATGTGTCTCCGTGTGGGCATGTGTGCACATGGATTCATACATGTGTGTTGTCCATTTCTTCGAGCTCTCCAGCTCACTCTGTGGGCATTTACCCCCCTCTGTGCCAAGGGCAGGCTGCAGCAGGGGACGAGCTGGCCCATGGCTCTGTTCCTGCAGCCAGACCTCCGTTCCCCATGGTGCCAAGGCCAGCTGAGGCTACGGCCCCAAACTACCAGAGGCCAGTCACAGGACAGCAGGGCGCATGTGGAGGCTGCACAGGGACACTGGTCATGGGGTGCAAGGCAGAGAGTAAGGTGGGCTCCCTGGTTTTCTTACAGCCATGGTGGGTGGTGCGAGGTGACCCAGGCAGACTAGGGTAGCAGAATCTCAGGCTCCAGCACAAGAGATCAAGTGATGTGAAAACTCTGGAAGCCACAAGCTCTCTGGGAATCACCAAAGACAGTGGAAGTGCAGCAGGCAGGCCCCATACAGAAGCCGCTTGGGGCAGGGGCCTGACACGCCAGGCCTATACCTCTCACTGTGAGAGCCGGAACACGTGGCCTCATGTCTGAGCCCCAGCTGTAAACACAGTCAGGACCAAGGGAGAGGGCACCGGAAGAGCACCCAGCCCAGAGCAGACCCCCGACAGAGGCCACTCCTTCCATTTCCCCTGCCGTCCGGCGAAGGCCTTGACTACCTGTCAGTCCAGACTCCAAGTGGCCTGGAGGCCTCTGGAGGCAGCCCAGGGGTGGGTTCAGGATCTCTCTCCCTTATACTCAACCCAACAAGATTGCATAGTAACTTAGAGGAGTCTGGACAGACGGGAATGGCTGCTTTGGGAGTCAAAACCTGGCGTTACATCTGCCATTGGAAGCCACATAACTTTGAGGAAATTATCCAATGCCCTGTGCCTCGCTTTCCACGGTGTAAAATGTGGTGCAACAAGCAGGATTTTCCTAAACTGACCCTGGGATTCCCTCCAGTTTGCCTGGACAATGAGCCACATGGGACCAGGCACCCCCTGATCCCAGTGGGAGTGGGTTAGCCAAGCTCAGCTTCTTCCCAGACCACACAGTCTCCAGGGGAGGGGCAGCTGAAGCTCCCAGACAGCTCCTACAAACATTGGGCACCCCAAACCAGACCATGCCGGACGTGTCTGCTTGAGCCCACTGAGAAGACTGCTCTCACACTTGCCCTGAAGGAGGGAAGTCAGCAGAGCAGGGCCACACACAGCGACACAGCAGTTCTCTGGCCTCAGAGTGGGAGCAGACATGGCAAGACAGGCACAATGACAGACTGAACAACCAGGCACAGTTACAGACACACAGGGCAACCAGGTACAGTGACAGACAGCAGGGCAACCAGGCACAGTGACAGACAGCAGGGCAACCAGGCACAGTGACAGACAGGGCAACGAGGCACAGTGACAGACACACAGGGCAACCAGGCACAGTGACAGACAGCAGTGAAACCAGGCACAGTGACAGACAGGGCAACCAGGCACAGTGGCAGACACACAGGGCAACTAGGCACAGTGACAGACAGACAGGGCAACCAGGTATAGTGACAGACACACAGGGCAACCAGGCACAGTGACAGACAGACAGGGCAACCAGGTACAGTGACAGACACACAGGGCAACCGGGCACAGTGACAGACACACAGGGCAACCGGGCACAGTGACAGACAGACAGGGCAACCGGGCACAGTGACAGACAGACAGGGCAACCGGGCACAGTGACAGACACACACGGCAACCGGGCACAGTGACAGACACACACGGCAGCTGGGCACAGTGACAGACACACACGGCAGCCGGGCACAGTGACAGACACACAGGGCAACCAGGCACAGTGACAGACACACAGGGCAACCAGGTACAGTGACAGACAGAACAACCAGGCACAGTGACAGACAGGGCAGGCAGACACAGTGGCAGACAGACGGGGCAACCAGGTACAGTGACAGACAGGGCAGGCAGACACAGTGGCAGACAGACAGGACAACCAGACACAGTGACAGACAGACAGGGCAACCAGGCACAGTGACAGACAGGGCAGGCAGACACAGTGGCAGACAGACAGGACAACCAGACACAGTGACAGATACACAGGGCAGCCAGGCACAGTGACAAACAGGGCTACCAGGCACAGTGACAGACACACAGGGCAGCCAGGCACAGTGACAGACACACACGGCAGCCAGGCACAGTGACAGACAGGGCAGCCAGGCACAGTGACAGATACACAGGGCAGCCAGGCACAGTGACAGAACAATCAGGAACAGTGACAGACAGAACAACCAGACACAGTGACAGAGCAACCAGGTACAGTGACAGACAGAACAAGCAGGCACAATGACACACACACAGGGCAGCCAGGCACAGTAACAGATGGCAGGTCTCACCAGCCTGAAACAGAGCTTAGTCATTCTATCAACAAATGCTCATGGAGCATCTACCTGTGGCACATTATTCTAGGGCGGTTGGCAGAGCAGGGTATGAAGCAGACAAAAGCTTGTCCCTCACAGAGCTTACATTCTACTAACAGGAGACAGATAATAGATTAATTAGCAGACTAGCATATTAGAGCATCTTAAGTTTTGGGTGGAAAATGCAGAGGGGACATTGGCACAGGGAGAGGTGCATATGTAAACCCCCATCTACCACCAGGCCTCTCTGTGGACTCACGCACTGAAATAACACCTCTGGGAGCCCTGCTATTACCTGGCCTGCACATCCCACTGTCCAGAGCACAGTCCCCCATCGTTTCAGAACAAGAAAACTGAGAAGGGTAGGACCTCACCAGATTCTACATTCAGACAAGTGCCAAAGAACACTCTTTCTCATAGGACTCCTCTAATTTGGTAGCACATGGAAGCACTCCGATTTCTCAGCCATTCCCCTTCCTATTTATAAATCAGCATCCTAAATGGTGCTGCCTCAGTGAGCTGGTGACAAATGCGCTTGAAATGCATTCTCCTGCACACCCATAAAGTTGATTTAATATTTCAATTAATCTTCCCTCTTCCTCTTCCACAATTTATGTGGCTGCTTTTTAAGCAAGTCTTTCTTGGAGCTTAAATGAGCACAAGCGTAAACATCAGTTAATTTATCTGTTTCACTAGACATAATTTCATATCCCTGAAGCACCTCTCCATCCCCTTTATGGGCTGGCAGAAGGGCTCCCCTGGCCAGCACATGGAGTGACAGTCTCTAATTGCATTGCCAGTGAGGGCATCTATCGTGTTGTGTCTTGCCCACTTTGAGAGGCCATAAATTCAGATGCCCAAGTAAATGAGGAGCAGGTATTCCCCCCACAGAAGAAGACACTGAGCAAGGCAGCCATGGCATGGAGGCTGGAAGAGACCAAGAGAGTCTTCTGGCAGGAGCAGAGGCAGGCAGCCAACAGCTCTCTCTCTGATGCCATCACCACCCAGCCGGTCTAAAAGGTTCATGTCAGCCTTTAGCACTGAACTAAGCTCAGCTCAGAGACTTGTTTTGTGTTCTGCAGGGAAAGCATCCAAAATCCGCACCTTAACCACTTTCTAGTATCCTGGTGGATACCTTGAGGCAAGGTGTTCATGTAGGTTAATGAGGAGAATTGCATTGCTTATTTCTGGCTTGGTAGGGAAGCATAGGAGGGCAATGCTGGCAGGATAGGGACCTCGATCATCCTGACAGGCCCACTATATTAGGCGATATGAGCTCTTATTCAAACTCTGTAACTGAAGTGCTAGTTAGTCTTGGCCAAGCCATTTTCCCGCTATGGCCTAAGTTTCCTCACATGAATAGAATAAACTGATTTCCAGGTCCTATAAGATGGTGGACTTAGCCATGTGCAGTGGCTCATACCTATAATCCCAGCACTTTAGGAGGCCAAGGTGGGAGGAACACTTGAGGTCAGGAGTTCAAGACCAGCCTGGCCAACATAGTAAAATCCCATTTCTACTAAAAACACAAAAAATTAGCCAGGCTTGGTGGCATGTGCCTGTAATCCTAGATACTCAGGAGGATGAGGCAGGAGAATTGCTTGAACCCAGGAGACAGAGGTTGCAGTGAGCCGAGATCACACCACTACACTCCAGCCTGGGCGACAGACTGAGACTCCATCTCAAAAAACAACAACAAAAAAAGATGGTGGACTAAAATGACCCCAAACCTCTTCAAATAGAGACACCAAGAAATACTGGGGTAAGTACAACAAATATTACATGCATAGCTAAGCTCATAAGAAATTTTTTAAAATCTTTGGACAGAAACAAAGAAAAAACTAAATTCTACACTCTGAAGTATATAAGCTGCTGCCATGATGCCAATAGTAGAGTGGGAAGGTATTAGTACCAGTTAATTAGAGGGCTAAGTGTTAACATTTACATAGGACCAGGCAACAAGAATTCAAGAACATAAAGATGGCACAATTTTATAAAAGTACATGCTGTTTTGAAATATATTCAAATATAACTTTCTGAAATTAAAAACATAGTTTTTGGATTAATAATCCAAAAAGATGGGTTTAATAGCAAATTATATATGTTTGAAGAAAGAAACAGTAAACAGGAAGACCTGAAAAACTCAATGAGAATAGAGATCAAGAGATGAAAAATATAAGAGAAAGTTTAAGAAATGTAAGGTAGTGATGTCAATAATATGGTGAAATAGGAGGTCCCAGTCCTCATCCTCCCATACAAGCATCAACTTAACAATGATATACAAAGCAAAGTACCTTTATGACAAGTCCATAATTTGAAAGAGAGAGCAGCCACATTGAAATGGGTGACAAGAGCAATTTTATCTAACTAGCATAGCTCAGGGCCTGCAGAAAGTATCTCAGTCCATGACTTCTCCATCAGTGAGAAACGAAAAGTGAGTGGAGTATATATTTATTGTTCCCAGTATTTTGGGGTGCTGCCCAAGGAATCACTTTCTATCCCACCTCACCCAGAGCTCTGGAAGAACTGGCATAATTTAAACACGTGATTGAAGCTAAAAGCAAATTAATGGAGTGGGTAGCTAATTGCAACTAGCATGGCTTTGTAAGACTGGGAGAAAGTGCACAATCCAGAGACTTCTCTACCAGGAAGGAAGGAGAGGAGTGGAGCATACACATTCTTACACAAGGTTTGAGAAGTTCCTGGAATCTGTAGCCAGGCTGATTGGCAGAGTTCTTTCCCTCTCAAAGCCAGTCCACAAAGATTGGGAAAGGTGTCTGTGTCTTCAAATGCACAAAACCAAGGCAAAACTACAAGGAACATGAAGAATCAGGGAAATATGACACAACCAAAAGGAAAAAATTAATATCCAGTAACCAACCCTGAAGAAATGGAGATCTATGAATTGTCTAACAAAGAATTCAAAATAATCACCATACAGAATGTCAATGAATTAAGCAAAATCAAGAAAATAATACATGCGCAGATAGCCTGTTCTCTGCTGTGCTGCCTGTTGCACCCTTGCAAGTGAAAGAAAGGAAAGAAAGAAAAAAGAGAAAAGAGGAAGGAAGGAAGGAAGGAAGGAAGGCAGGAAGGAAGGAAGGAAAGAAGGAAGGAAAGAAGGGAGGGAGGAAAGGAAAGGAAAGAAAGAAAAGAAAGAAAGAAAGAAGAAAAGAAAAAAAAGAAAAGAGGGAGGGAAGGAGGGAGGGGAGGAAGGAAGGAAGGAAGGAAGGAAGGGAAAACAATGTATGAACAAAATGAAAATTTCCACAAAGAGACAGAGCCATAAAAAAGAACCAAACAGAAATTCTGGAGCTGAAGAATACATTAACTAAACTGAAAATTCAAGAGAATGTTTCAACATCAGACTTGATCACAGACGAATAAAGAGAAAAAGAATGAAAAAGTTAAGAAAGCCTAAGGAAATTAAGGGACACCTTCAAGTGAACTAATGTATACATTACAGAAGTCCCAGAAGTGGAGAGAGAGAGACCCAGAAGTGGAGAGAGAGAAATGGGCAGAAAACTTGTTTAAAGAAATAATGGCTGACAGCCAGGCACAGTGGCTCATGCCTGTAATCCCAGCACTTTGGGAGGCCAAGGCCGGTGGATCACTTAAGGTCAATAATTCAAGACCAGCCTGGCCAACATGGTGAAACTCCATCTGTACTAAAAATACAAAAATTAGCTGGGCATGGTGGCAGGCTCCTGGAATCCCAGCTACTCGGGAGGCTGAGGTAAGAAAATGGCTTGAATGTGGGAGGCGGAGGCTGCAATAAGCCAAGATCACACCACTGCACTCTAGCCTGGGCAACAGAGTGAGACTCCATCAAAAAAAAAAGAAAAGAGAGATGAAAGAAAAGAAAGAAAGAAAGAAAGAAAGAAAGAGAGAGAGAGAGAGAGAGAAAGAAAAAAAGAAAGAAAGAAAGAAAGAAAGAAAGAAAGAAAGAAAGAAAGAAAGGAAGGAAGGAAAGAAAGAAAGAGAGAGAAAGAAAGGAAAGAAAGAGAAAGGTTGAAAACTCCTCAAAAGAGAAATGGACCTCCAGATTCATGAATCCCAAAGGATCCGAAATAGGAAGAACCCAAAGAAATCTGAGATAAATTTATAATCAAATTTTCAAAATTCAAAGACAAAGAGAATTTTGAAAGCAGTAAGGAAAAAGCAACTCATCATATACAAGGGAACCTTTAGGAGACCATCAGTGGGTCTCTCAGCAGAAACCTAGCAGGTCAGAAAGAAGTAAGGTAATATATTTAAAACATTGAAAGAAAAATGGTGCCCACTGAAAATATTATATCCAGAAAACTTATCTTTCAAAAATGAACAGGAGATACTCACTGGCAAACAAAAGCTGAAGGAATCCATCACCACTAGATCTGCCTTACAAGAAATGCTTAAAGAATCTCTTCAAGTTGAAAAAAAAAGAATGCTAAACAGCAACATAAAGCAAATAAATGCATAAAACTCACTGGAAAAAGCAAATACATAGACAAATACAGAATGTTGTAATACTATAAAGGTGGTATAAAAATCACACTTAATTTCAGTACAAAAATTAGACAAAACTATTAGGAATAACTATAACTACAAAAAGTGTGAGTAGAGACAATATAAATGTATAAATTTCGACATCAAAAACAAAGTATGGGGTGGGGAGAAGTAAACATACAGGGTTTTTAATGCAAGCAAAATTGAGTTGTTATCAGCTTAAAATAGACTGTTATAACTATGTTTTATACAAGCCTCATGATAATCATAAAAGAAATACCTATCGAAGATACACAATAGAAAAGAGAAAGGAATCAAAACATATCACTACAAAAAAACCAATGAAACACAAAGGCAACAACAGAGAAAAAAAGAAACAAAAGAACCACACAGACTAAAAAATGTTTAACAAAATGTCAATAGTAAGTCCTTCCCTAGGATAATTATTTTAAATATAAGTGCAGTAAATATAAGTGCATACAAATACTAAATAAAACAGGGTGGGGATGGACATACTTATAGCAGACAAAATACACTCTAAGCCTAAAACTATCACAAGAGACAAAGAAAGACATTTTAAAATGATAAAAGGATAAATTCATCAGGAAGATATAACAATCATAAATATACGCACCCAACATCAGCACATTTAAATATGTAAAGCAAACATTGACAGAAATGAAAAGAAAAATAAACATAAATACAATGATGGTAGAAAAACTTTAATATTCCCCTGTCAATAATGGATAGAAGACATCCAGACAGAAAATCAATAAGTAAACAGTGCACCTGAACAAAGCTATAGACTTAGAGAACCTAACAAACATTTACAGAATATTCCACTCAACAGCTGCAGAGTACATGTTCTTCTCAAGCACACATGGAACATTCTCCAATATTCATAATAGCCAAAAAGTCCAAACGACCCAAATGTCCATCAATTGACGAATAAATGAATAAAATGTGGGCCAGGTGTGGTGGCTCACGCCTGTAATTCCAGCACTTTGGGAGGACGAGGCAGGTGGATCAAGAAGCCAGGAGTTCGAGATCAGCCTGACCAACATGGTGAAACCCTGTCTCTACCAAAAATACAACATTTAGCCAGGCGTGGTGGTGCGCACCTATAATTCTAGCTACTCGGGAGGCTGAGGCAGGATAATCGCCTGAACCCAGGAGGCAGAGGTTGCAATGAGCCAAGATCATGCCACTGCACTCCAGCATGGGTGACAGAGTGAGATTCTGTCTAAAAAAAAAAATAGAATGTGGTATATTCATACTATGAAACATTATTCATCCATAAGAAGGAATGAAGTACTGATACATGCTAGAATACAGATGGCCCTTGAAAACATTATGCTCTGAGGAAAAAGCCAGATACAGCTAGGCTACATATTGTATGATTCTATTTACTGTGGTACCTCCTTACCTTCAGGAGATAGATTTCAACACCACTAGTGGATGCCTGAAACTACAATAGTATCTACTTCTATGATACTATGTTTTTTCCTATGCATGCATACCTATGAAGTTTAATTTATAAATTAGTCACCATAAGAGATTAGTAACAATAGCTAAGAATAAAATAGAAAAACTAGAACAATATGCCAGCTTCTGTGAAGGGAGAGTTACGTGAAAAACAACCACGTATGCCAGCAACACTGCTCTTGAACTTTGGGTCTTGATTAAGTGAATGAAGTGTTGCTGGAACACAAGCACTGTGATACTGTGGCCGTTAACCTGGTAACGGAGAAGGCTCCTAAGTGACTAACAGGCTGGAAGTGTAGACAGCGTGGACCATGCTGGACAAAGGGAGCGTTCATGTCCCGGGTGGGACAAAGTGGGATGGCGAGGGATTTCATCACGCCACTTAGAATGATGTGCAATTGAAAACTCATATATTGTTTATTTCTGGAGTTTAATCTTTTAGGACTGTGGTTGACTTCAGGTAACTGAAACCATGGAAGGTGAAACCACAGATAAAGCAGGACTACTGTATTTAAAATGTCCAGAGGAGGCAAGTTCATGGAGACAGAGATCAGTGGTTTCCAGGGGGGGTGGGGGGCAGCAGGAATGGGATGTGACTGCTTGATAGATACAGAGTTTCTTTCTAGAGTGAGAACAATGTTCTGGAACTGGCGGTGATGACTGCACAACTTCTGAATGTACTGGACGCCACTGCATTTGTACAATTTATTTATTTTATTATCATTATTTTTTTGAGACAAGGTCTCACTCTGTCACCCAGGCTGGAGTGCAGTGGCACAATCATGGCTCACCGCAGCCTTGGTCTCCAGGGCTCAGGTGATCCTCCTACCCCAGCCTCCTGAGTAGCTGGGATTACAGGCATGCACCACCATGCCACCATGCCAGGCTAATTTTTGTATTTTTTGTAGGGATGGGGTTTCACCATGTTGTCCAGGCTGGTCTCAAACTCCTGGGCTCAAGTGATCCTCCTACCTTGGCCTCCCAAAATGCTAGGATTATAGGCGTAAGCCACTGCCCCCAGCCTTACACAATTTAAAATGGTTAGAATGATGAATTTTACATTGAATTCCACTTCATAGGAAATTTTTTTTAAAACAACAACAAACCTCTTTAATGGACACATAAATTCCCTGGGGGTCTGATTGCAATGCAGATTTGGATTAAGGAGTCCGGGTGGGTCCTGAGACCGTGCTCCCCTTGCTTCTCACCTATGGCCACATTTTGAGACGCAAGGCCACTCGAAGGGCCCCCACCTCTGTGAATCAACCCCTGCTCCATCTGCCCCTATAAATAAGGGAATGCTAAAGCACAGATGGCGGGAGTGGGCGTGTCCCCAGGTCTGAGCCTGGAGGGGGTGGCCGGCCTCCCCCAGGCATGGAAGTGGAGGGAGAGGGGGCTGTAAACGGGTTACTCTGTCAGCAGACACAGAGGAGACCAAAAACAGTAGCTTTTATTTCACACGAAGCTGAGGAAGGAAGGCGAGAGGACAGCGCTGGCTATCAGAGGGTGCTGCCTGGCAGGTGCACCACCTCCAGCTGCTGGGCTCCAGCTCCGGGGCTCAGAAGCCATCTGAAAGAAAGCAGCGGCCTCCACTGAGCAAGCTGGGGTGCTGCAGGGTACCCGCCCCCGTGGTGCTCAGCAGTGCCTTCCCTCCCCTCCCCAGCCCCCGGGAACTCCTCCTGCGCCAGGGACACAGGGATCAAGGAGAGAACAGAGTGCAACCCCATCCCTGCCTGATCAGTGGGGGTGCCCGTCTTCCCTGCGACGGTTTTGGGGTGGAACAGGAGTGGCTCCTCAGGGGGAAATGAAAGGAACTGAGGAGCTCCAGTCGTGAGAAGGCCAATGAAGCAGGTAGCTTCTCTGCGCCGGGGTTGTGCTGAGATGTCATCTAGGGCCGGCTCTTCCAGAACCTCATTTGACGCTGGGAGGCAGCGACCGGGTGTGGGGGCGGGGTGGTAGGGGAGGGGAGCAGGGATGATGCGGTCCCGATTCCGTCCCCAGGGGGCGCTGGGACCCTCCCTGCTATCCAGGCTACACCTGTGCGGCGTAGCAGCCGTCCCCGTCTCGCCTGCACAGCGCCAGATGACAGCAGCCCAGAGGCTGTCCTCTGCCACCTGCACTGCTCACCTTTTCCGAGGAGGTCGGGGACGGGGCTGAAGGGTCCCCCGGGCAGGTTCCAGGCCAGGTCCTCTAGCAGGCCCAGCAGGCCTTTCACCTGTGTCCCCAGGTGATCCACGGTCTTCTCTACCATCTAGAGTGAGAAGGTGGGTAACGTCCAGGACAGGAGTGGTGCCACGTTCTGCTTCATTAGCCAGGTCCTAAGAAGCAGCTGGCGGTCCAGTGGGGTGCAGTGGAAAAGGACTGGGAGCTGCGGGACCTGGGTTTTCCTCACTCAGGCTCTGCGCCTACCTGCCTCAATCTCCCCAGATGACAATATCCTATGGGGCTCGCTCTCTAAGGCTCCTTCCTTTTTGGCACTCAGTCACAGGTTTGGATAAAGCGCGTGTAGATTACCTTCTCCCTTTTGGACTTTGCAGCCTGGAGCTCACATTCTTTTTGTTATTCTGCTCCCTGGTGGTGTCTCTGCCAAATGACAGGTCTGGGATTTTGAAATTTACTCAGGGTTCTTAATGGTTTTTCCCTGTGTATGCCATGGACCCCATTGGCAGTGTGGTGAAGCCTACAGACCTCTTCTCAGAATAATGCCTTAAATGCAAAAAATAAAACATATAGAATTACCAAGAGCACCAATTGCTTTAAAATATTATTCAAGTATTAGGCCAGGCGTGATGGCTCACACCTATAATCCCAACACTTTGGGAGGCCGAGGTGGACGGATCACCAGAGGTCAGGAGTTCGAGATCAGCCTGGCCAATGTGGGAAAACTGTCTCTACTAAAAATACAAAAAGAAAACGGGCACGGTGATGCATATCTGTAGTCCCAGCTACTCGGGAGGCCAAAGCAAGAGAATCGCTTGAACCGGGAGATGGAGGTTGCAGTGAGCCGAGATCATGCCGTTGCACTCCAGCCTGGGCGACAGAGAGAGACTCTGCCAAAAAAAAAAAAAAAAAAAAAAAAATTCAAATATTTAAAATTAAACTTTTTGGCCCAGCACGATGGCTCACGTCTGTAATCCCAGCACTTTAGGAGGCCGAAATGGGCAAATCCCTTGAGATCAGGAGTTTGAGACAAGCCTGGCCATATGGTGAAACCCCATCTCTACCAAAAATACAAAAAATTAGCGGGGCATGGTGGTGCATGCCTGTAGTCCCAGCTACTCAGGAGGTTGAGGCATGAGAATCACTGGAACCTGGGAGGTGGAGATGGCAGTGAGCCGAGATTGTACCATGCACTTTAGCCTGGGTGACAGAGCAAGACTCCATCAAAAACAAAATTTAAAAATTTGGATATATGTATTGGCCGGGCACAGTGGCTCATACCTGTAATCCCAGCACTTTGGGAGGCTGAGGTGTGTGGATGGCTTGAGCTTAGGAGTTCGAGACCAGCCTGGGCAATATAGCAAAACCTTGCCTCTACAAAAAAATACAAAAATTAGCCAGGCATGGTGGCACATGTGCCTGTAGTCCCAGCTACTTGGGAGGCTGAGGTGGAAGGATTGCTTGAGCCTGGGAGGTGGAAGTTGCAGTGAACCGAGACTGCACCACTGCACTCCAGCCTTGTCGGCAGACAGAGACCCTGCCTCAAAAAAAAAAAAATGTATTTATTAACTCACTAACTCACATGATCTAACATCAGGCCTAACAACAACTGAAATTTTGACATAATGAATGATATAAATGTTCTTCTATTCATAACTAGAAGAAGATGAAATTATCTGGATTTCTATTGGTGACAAAGTTATAGTACTATTAACACCACGGCTTGCTGTCTGTAATTTATGATGAATGGGAATGCTCAATTTCAGTTAAAGGCTTGTGACAATAAAGATGTAAACTTTTCCCCACACAAGTTAGGAATCGTGGCTATATAACAAAACAGTGACTGGATTTCCACCTTCCCATCCAGTAATGATGCTGAAATGTCCTGGTGGGGGTAAGTAAGGCCTTAGGGGAGGCAGGGTCCATTGGGGGCTCGCCAGCCTGGCAGCCTAGATGGGAGGGTGATGTTGGACAAGGTGGCCCCAGGGCAGGATTGGCCTGATGTCCTGACATTCCAAAGCAAGCTTGCATCTGCCCATAAAAACATCATCCTAGAAGGTGGTCCTGAAACCACATGTCCTTCCAAAGCACCCTGTTACCTCCTCTATGACATCTAGATGGCATTGCATAGCCATGTGTCTGTCACATGCTGTGCTCTGAGCTGAGTCTCCTCAGGGAGCGATGAAGGGTTCTGCAGCTGTGGGAAAACAAGTCTTGTCACTGTGGGACCCTTAGTTTTCCACAATGCCAGAGACTTCTGTAAATACTGGGCTCAAGTGAGGTCAGTCCTCAAAGCAAACTCAAGAGCAAGAAGAGGATGGCCCAGGTGGGGGTCAGTGTGCGACTGTCAGTTATCTCAATCCCACCAATCTCTACAGTGGCAGTCACCTACAGACCCAGATGGACTTCCTCAAGGAGGTGAAGCCCAGGGAGGAAGGGAAGGCGGGCTTCAGCCAGGAAGAATGGCACCTGCAATGATGGAGAGGCCTGAAAGAGCATGGCTCACTGTGCAAACCCTGCAGGGAGCCTGCAGTGGCTGGAGATACAGGGTGGGTGGGAGAGAGACTGGAGAGGGAAGTCCTGGAAATGAAGCCAAGGGGACAGAGCTTTAACCAAGAGGCTTTCATAAACCAGTTCTGATGTTTGTTTTTGTTGTTGTTGTTTTGTTTTGTTTTGTTTTTGATGGAGTCTAGCTCTGTTGCCCAGGCTGGAGTGTGATGGTGCAATCTCAGCTCACTCCAACCTCTGCCTCCCCGGTTCAAGCGATTCTCCTGCCTCAGCCTCCCGAGTAGCTGTAGGAATAGTGAGAAAGAAAATGAGAGGAGGTATTTCAGTAGCAGCATTGACACTGGGAACCCATTAGTAACAGCTGTCATGTGATGAGTGCTTACCATGCACCATGTAGGGTGATCACTTAACCTCTCCAACAGCCTGTTCTTATGCCCAATCTACATGTAGGAAAACTGATGCACAGAAGGGTGAAAGGATGTGTCCAGAGTCACTACTCATAAGCAGAGGATCTGCCATTCAACCCGCTCAACTCCTGATTGAGCACTGTTCTCCTTGAGTTAGCTCTTCCAGGCACCATCAACCTTCACAACAGAAGTCTGAGATCCCTGATTCCAAGCTCGGATTTCAGAGTTGGTAACCCTGAGATGCCTGTGGGGCATCAGGGTTGGCTGGAACCTTGGAGAACACTGACACTCAGGAAGGAGAGTGCTGCCCCAGCAGTCAAGAGAAGCCAAGAGCTTTACGGATTCTACAGGGGATGAAAAGTGTTGGCATAGCCGAAAGCAGCAGGGAGGTCTAGCAAAATAAGGACTGGAAACACAGCATGGGAAAGGCCCTGCTAAATTTCACCCCAGCACTTTTAGGAGTGGAGGAAAAGCAGAGTTTGGATTACCATGACATGAGAAGGGAAGGTGAGGTTGGGAGTGGAAACTTGGATTCTGGAAAATTTCATGAAGCTTGGCTGTGAAGGAAGGGAGATTGGATCGCAAGGTCTAGAGAAGTATTTATGGTTGTCATTTGTTTTTGTTTTTGTTTTAAACACTGGAAAACACAACCATGCTTACAGCCTGAGGGACAGGAGGAAGACAAGAGAACCCAAGGAATGCACTTCCTGAATTGATGGGAGGCCCTGGATCCAGAGCGGGTGGGAACACATCTGGAAGGAAGACAGAGGGAATGAAGCAAAAATGGGCAAAGGTAAACCATCTAACTAGAGGGCCAAAAAGTGGAGTGAGCTCCCACCTGATAGCCTCTATTTACTCGGTGCAGTAAGATGGAGATCACGTAGGGAGGAGAGCTAGATGTTAAAATTTCAAGAATTCTATGAGTAGGTTGCTAAAAACAGACATTAAAATAGTGACCATGGTGTCTGGAAATGGTAGCTCATGCCTGCAATCTTAGGACTTTGGGAGGCCGAGTGGGAGGATCACTTGAGGCCAGGACTTAGAGACCAGGCTGATCAACATAGTTAGACCCCTATCTCTAAAAAGAAAAATTTTTTAAGTAAAAAAAGAAAAAAAAATTGTGGCCATGATGAGAACATTTACATCACAGAAATCAACACCCCCCCCGTCCTTTTTTTTTTTTTTTTTTTTTTTTTTTGAGAGCCAGTCCATCAGTGTACCACTAGGTAAGGGACTTGAATAAAAAGAGGGCTTCAAAAGGGGATGTGCAGAATGAGGGATGCAGTGGAGGAGGACCATGAAGAATGAGCTGGCATCAACAAGGAATCCTGGAAGCACAAGTCCTCCCCCAGCAGTGCTCCACAGTCTGGGTGCAAAGACAGATGGCCGGATGGAGCTGAAACCTAGGAGTCTGCAGGATGGATGTGGTGGAAGCAAGGGGCCAAGGAACTGAGATTTGGCCAGCCAGGGGTTTAGGAGAGGAGCCCTGGAATCCAGCTGGGATAAGGAAAGAAATGAGGCCAAGAAGAGGGCCAATAAATTGGGAGAAATGGGGGCTGAAGAGACTGGAGGTCTTAGGAATCACAGGAGGAACAAGAGGTAAAGAATATTGCAATTTTAGCTTTTAGAGTTAGGGCAGCTTCAGATAGTGACAATATTAAGGCTGTGGCCATGGATGTGGGCATCCAAAGCTCAGCTGGGGGAGAGAGTTATGGAACGGATCTCTGTACATGCAGTGTCTGTAGCTGTAAGGCCTTGGTGTTGGATGGGTTGGCCAAGGGGTCATCTGCAGTTGTCTAGAAGTGGGGCAGGTCTTGAGATAGGATGGAGCTGGTGATGGATGTGTAACTCTGAGAGGCCGAGTGATTTGTCTAAGGTCACACCATCTGCAAATGCCTGGAACTCAGGCACCCTCACCTCCAGGCCTCATCTCAGCAAGATGGGGCCCCCTGCCCTGTGATTTTCTGATTTCAACTCTATCTAGCTCTCAGCTCTTCCACTCAGGGATGAGAACAAGACCAGGAACAAAACGTCCTTCCACTCTGAGCATCTTTTGTGGAGAACAATCTGTTTTTCAAATTCTCCTTTTCATTATTTCCCTCCACTGAACTTAGAAAAGATTCTGCAAAAGATCATGGTGTTATTGCTGAATCTGGGGAGGGAGGAGGACATTATAATGGTGCTTTGGTTATTTTTTTATGGTGAGTCCTTTAAAGACCTATACTGAAATATTTACAGATGAAATGCTATACTGTCTGGGATTTACTTCCAAATAATCCAGGCCTGGGTGGGGATGGGGGAGAGGCATGCGTGGATATTTAGAGCAAAGAGGATGGGCTGACAGTTGCTAATTGCTGAAGCTGGGTGATGAGCACACGGGGGTGCATTCAGCAATTCTCTCTACTTTTGTGTGCATGGTTTGAAATGTTCCATAACAAAAGCTGGCTGTCTGGCGGGGTTGTCAGCAGAAAGCAGCAGCCATGGTGGGCTGCAGGCATCCATGTAAAATATTCAGAGAGAGAGAGGCCACTGGGGGCTATGCTCCATCCTGGCCCCACATTCTGAGAAGGCCCTTGAGAGGCAGGAGCAGGTCTAGAGAAGGCTATGGGAAGGGACTCCTTTTTTTTTTTTTTACAGGGTCTCACTCTGTCACCCAGGCTGAAGTGCAGTGGCACGATCATGGCTCACTGCAACCTCTGCTTCCCAGGTTCAAGTAATTCTCCCACCTCAGCCTCCAGAATAGCTGAAACTATAGGCACACATTACTGAGCCTGGCTAAGTTTTGTATTTTTTGTAGAGATGGGGTTTCACTATGTTGCCCAGGCTAAGCTCGAATTCCTGGGCTCAAGTGATCCGCCCGCCTCAGCCTCCCAAACTGCTGGGATTATAGGCATGAGCCACCGCACCCAGTCTGGGACTCCAAATTTTAACTCAATTGTCTCAGCTGAAACTGGGCTGCTCGGCTTGGAGAGGAAAAGCTCTGAGGAGGCCCGAAGAGCTGTTCTCACCCACAGAGTGGCCGACCTGGGAGAGGGCCTGTCATCATGAGTCTGTGGATACACACACCCCCTGCTGGCTCTGTCCAGAGGCCTTTGGCCAAGCCTTTCCCCGGAGGCTCACCTGCCCTCTCCCAGACCCTAGCCACTCTCCCCTCACACACCTCCCCCAAGCTCAGACCAGGAGGACGCAGTGTGACCCTGCCAGCCAAGTGGGAGTCTGGCTGCTTTGGAAGTCAGGAGCAACCAGAGCCTGCTCCTCTCCACTGGCCTAAAACACCCTGTTCTCTACGTGTCTGTGACAAGGTCTAACTTGGCTCCAAAACCCCTCCAGGGAAAAGGCTGGGCTGAGGTCACTCCCCACATGGCTCAGCACTAATCCTTCACATCTGGACACAATTGTGCTCTGTGCACCCTGGAGCAACTGTCCATGAGGTCATCAAGGCCTCCACGGAGTGCATCTGAGAGAACAAGCTTGGAGCAGGGCCTAACATTGTACTGCCTGCTCCCTCTGCACCAGAGTCCTCACCATGGCGCTGACTTGAACGCATCATGGCAGAAAACATGCTGGAGACCCCTGTTCTCAGCCTGGTTCAGCCACTAATGATTGTGGGATTGTGAGACAGTTCCTTCTCCTCCCTGAGCCTCTGCTGCCTCCTCCATAAAATGGGGGTAGGGTAGGCTTGAGGCCCTGAATCCCCCATGTAGCTCATCCTTAATTCTTCTCTGTCTTTCAGAAGCTGCAGAGAGGCCTCAAAAATTAGCTACAGGGGCTGGGCTCAGTAGTTCACATCTGTAATCCCAGAGCTTTAGGAGGCTGAGGCAGGAGGATCGCTTGAAAAGAAGTTTGAGGACACCCTGGGCAACATAGTGAGACTCTGTTTCTACAAAAAAAAAAAATTAAAAAATTAGCCAGGATTGGTGGCTTATGCTTATAATCTCAGGTATTTGGAAAGCTGAGGTGGGAGAATCGCTTGAGCTCAGGAGTTTGAGACTACAGTCAGCTACGATTGCACCACTGCACTCCAGCCTGGGCAACAGAGAAAAACCCTGTCTTGTATTAAAAAAAAAAAAAAAAAATTAGTAGACACGCACATGCACCCACGGGGCTGTCAGTGGCTCAGACAAGGGGAGTGGAAAGGCTGAAGGATTATGATGATTAACCCTGAGCAGCCAAGGCTGTGGCTCCACAGGGCTCCCTTCCTTCTTTTCTTCCCGCTCTCCCAGGCACCGCCAGTTGGGAAATGGACCTCCTTGGATGCTGCATTGTTTTCTCTGGCCCAGCTCCTGCTTGGGGCCTGATGTACACCCTGGATGGTGGCTACAGGTGGGGCACCCTGTGCTGGTGAGTACAGGCTGCTGTGGAGCCCAGAAGCCCCAGGGGACGGCTGGGCTGGGCTGGCTGCCCCAGTTAAAGAGACGTGGCCCCTGGGTCCCATCCTTTGAGGCAGAAGTACCGCTCCATCTACTTCCAGGCCTTATGGGGAGACCTTTTGTATCTGGACCCAAACAGTAAGAAAGTGCCACAACGCAGATGATTTCTGCGTGCTCGGTGATGAGAAATGTTTTCTCAGTGGCATCTGTGAAAGGTGCTGCTGTATCTTCCGAATTGTCAAAATCACACTCTGCTTTGAAAAACAACCCTGACCACCTGGGGGTTAATTATATTTGACCACATTCAATACAATACAATAATAAATTTACCACATCCAATATTTGTATTAAAATGTATGATTCATTCAAAATGATCCATGGGTTTTGATTATTTTTGAAAGCAGCAGAACACTATTCTTCAAGTGTTTCTATAAAAAACTCCAAAATGCGGGCCGGGTGTGGTGGCTCATGGTCTAAAAAGCCATCAGGGATAAAGGTTTCTCTGAGTGCTGCTAAAAGAAACCAAGACTGGGGCCCAGTGTGGTGGCTCATGCCTGTAATCTCAGCACTTTGGGAGGCCAAGGCAGGCTGATCACTTGATGTCAGGAGTTCAAGACAAGCCTGGCCAACATGGAGAAACCCCCCTGCCCCCGTGTCTACTAAAAAATGCAAAAATTAGCCAGGTGTGGTGGTGCACACCTGTAATCCCAGCACACTGGGAGGCCGAGGCAGGTGGATCACTTGAACCCAGGAGTTCGAGACCAGCCCGGCCAACATGGTGAAACCCTGTCTCTACTAAACACACCAAAATTAGTCAGGTGTGGTGGCATGTGTCTGTAGTCCTAGCTGCTCGGGAGGCTGAGGCAGAAGAATCACTTGAACCCGGGAGGCAGAGTCTGCAGTGAGGCGAGATTGCACCACTGCATTCTAGCATGGGTGACAGAATGAGAGCCTGTCTGAAAAAAAAAAAAAAGAAAACATACAATGCCTGGATTTCCTTTAAAATAATCCAGGGAAGGGAGAAAGGGTGGAGACTATAGATAAGAAAAAACTGCCCATGAACTGATACTTGTTGAAGCAGAGTTAATAGTACATTATATCATTCTTTCATATACTATTATTTTGTATTTTTTGTATCCAAAAGTTTTCATAATAAAGAGTTAAGATATATCATCTAAAATCTGAAAGAATATGCACAAAAATGTAGGAAGTCAATGTGAAATTACACTAACACATGAATACTTTCCTCCTTTTCTTCTTCATTTTTTTTTTTTAGACGGAGTCTTGCTTTGTCACCCAGGCTGGAGTGTGGTGGCTTGATCTCGGCTCACTGCAAGCTCCGCCTCCCAGGTTCAAGTGATTCTCCTGCCTCAGCCTCCCAAGTATCTGGGACTACAGGCTTGTGCCACCAGGTCTGGCTAATTTTTTGTATTTTTAGTAGAGACAGGGTTTCACTGTGTTAGCCAGGCTGATCTCCATCTCCTGACCTTGTGATCTGCCCGCCTCGGCCTCCCAAACTCCTTTTCTTCTTTATCTGTAGCAATGAGCATGCATAATCAGAAAGAAAAATAACGTTTAAAAGTGGGTTTAAAGTCTCTGTACAAGTTGTGGCTAAAAGGGGCACCAAAAGTAGCCACTTGTGGGCAGGCTGCTCCCTCCTCCCTCCGGGAGAAACACAGGTGCTGCTTTGTGCCCTTAGCTCCTGGAGCCTGGGGCTGAGCTGGGAGGGAGTAAAGGGGAGGGGGGTGGCAGGGTGTGTACTGGGGCCTGTATTCTATGCTGAGCAGAGTCCCAGCCACTCCTCGTGCAGCTTGTGAGGAAGCCATTGGTGGTCATCTTTAACAGGTGGGTAAACTGAGGCTCAGAGAGATCAGTGGAGTCATCTGAGAGAATGTATGTTGATGCATGTTCCCTGCTGGGCACTTCCTCTCTTATCTAATCTCTGAGGCCAGCCCTGTGGGGTGGGTATCATTCTCCCCAATTTATAGAGGAAGAAACAGCACCAGAGAGGGGAAGGGACTCACCCAAAGCAGGGGATCCCGAGGGCTGGTCTGGATCCTTTCCCCAAGTGCTTAATCCCACAGTTCACCGGGCCCTGAAAGGCACTAGGGGCTTCTATCTTAGTACAGGACACTTCTGCCAAGGTCGGGGCAACGACTTGTGGGGGCAGGAGGCCTGGATGCTTTGTGAGGGCTCTGCGTTGGCACCATCATGAGATCTGAGCTTTCCCCTCACCTGGGCAACTGGAATGAGCAATAGCCATCCCTGGCTAAGTGGGATTGTGGCTTGTAAACTGTAAAGTCCTGTGCAATGTGCAGGGTGGTGGAATGAGCATCTGTGTACCGCCCCAGACTGCAGTCTAGTAAGTCACTTGACATGAGTCACCCTGTCTGAGCCTCACCTGTGAAGGGGCAACATTAAGCTGAGGGGGGAGGTGGGGGGAAGAAAGGGGACAGCGAAAGGCAAGGAACCCAGCTAATGGAGTACCGAGACAGCCTCTCCCTCCCACACAGCTCTGCATCTCCATCCAGTCCCCCATCTCCACCCAAAACAGCTCAGTTCCCCAGAGAAGCTCCCTGGAAACCGGGAGGCTGACTTCTTCACCAACTGCAGAACCACCTGAGGCCACCTGGCAGGTGAGTCGGTGGCCTTTCTCCTGGGCTCGCCTGCCTGGCTCCTTAAGGCTGTGCTGGGCTGGCCTGGGTCACTCACCCTTTGGAGTCTGGCTTCTTAAGCAATGTCCTATAAAGCCAGGCCTGAGCCTCCGCAGGCCCTCTGAGATGGAGCTGGCCTCCGGGGCTGCCCCACCCAGCAGCTGTGACCTCCCACCCCGGATCCTGGCTCCTTCTCTCTTGCAAGCTCTACTCCGGGCATCGAGCTTCCCTCTCTCTCTCCTTTTTGGTATCTCTCAAATCTTTCTCTTTTCTTATCCTCTCTCCCTCCACCCCTTGCCATTTTAGTCACTCTTTCTCTTTCCTTCTTCTCTTTTGTCTCTCAAACTCTTTTTTATTTCTATCTTGGTTCATATCTGTTCAGGGAAAGCCTCTTTCTGTCTCGGCCTCTCCTTTTTTCCTGTTCACTGTTTATTCTTCCCTCTCTCCTTTATCTCTCCGTTGCTCTACTTCTCTGCCTTTTTCTGAGTCTGTTTCCTCTCACCATCTCTCTCTCCATCCCTCCCTCCCTGTATCTGCCTCTCTCTCCATCTCGCTGCTGTGTCCAGCTCTGTCTCTTGCTCATTCCTTCCTCACCATCTGCGGATCTCCCCGGCTCCGTGTCCCCTGCCATGCCCCGCGCCCCACTCACCGGCCAAAGCGCCCACGGCACAGAGCAGGGCCAGCCCGGCCAGCGCGCAAAGCAGGGGCCGCATGGTGCCAGCCTGGCTGAAAGCAGCGCGGCTTGCGACCGCAGCCGCCCTTCCCGGATCGCGCCCGGCCGGCCCAGAAGGAAATGCTCTCAGTCCGAGCCAAACTTCCTGGGCGACTCCGGGCTTTCTGGCTGGAGAGAACCCGCCCCCTCCAGAGGCTCCTGCGCACCCCATGGGCAGCGCAGAACCCAGAAACCCCCGGGACCTGAGGCACTGACGTGCCACCCGGGAGCCTCCGGAGGAAAGGGGGCCGCCCCCCCCCCCGAGTCCCCGCGCCTCCTGGGGGCACGGGAGGAAGGAGAGGGGTTGGGTGAGGTCATGGGCTCAAGGCGACTGAGCCTGGGATCAGGAGTTTGTTATAAGCCCATTTCACAGGCAGGCAGACTGAGACTAGAGAGAAGTGTCTTCCTCAGCATCACTCTCAGCCATGGCACAAGATCTGAACTCTCGTCTCCTGGGAGTGTGGAAGGTTTTCTCTGTCTACCGAGAACAAGAAATTAATTCTAATCACATGGAACAGTGTCTGCCCCTAAGAGGGAGACCCAGACACTCACTGCTCTGGTAAGGGAGTGATAGCAATGTGAAAAGGTACTTTTCAAAAAAAAAGGTAAAATCATGACTCTTGTAAAGATATGAAATTAGCATATACTAAAGGTTTTATTTAATTCATTATTAATGAGGGGACAAGTAAGATGGTACAAGCAGTCCAAAGTTTAGAACACAGTAGTGGAAACTTCCCCTATGGGACATGCCCATCCAACAAGTGCAACAAGAAATTAAGTTTTAGTGAAAACACCAAGGAAAAAAGCTACAGCTCCAACTTCTCTGCTGCAGAGCCCTGAGTGCCTTGCCTGGCTGTAAGAGGAATACTTTCATCACCAAGCCTAGGAGAATGCCTTTGTCCATTGAGGGTCCCCATTGGGGTTAACTGGAGCCCTTGCAGATCAAGGCTGCCTCTGCCTTCTGTGTTCCTGGCTGTGGCTGTGCAGTTGTCCATAACAGTCACCACCCTAACCAGTGATCCAGTTCTCACTCCCTCCTCCAGAGCAAGATAATAGCCTCAAATGAAGAAATTCAGATTCTGAGCCCGAGAATCTGAGACAGACTCAGATCTAAATCTTTTTAAAGTCTTCAAGGAGTTTATGATGCCCAGTGAGCTGGCTCAGAAGAATTTATTTCAGGAATGCCAAGAATTTCTCATGCTTGTTGGTAGGACATTCCTTGATAATTTAGCCAGGTGGGAAGTTGTCAAAGAACTGCCAAACCCATAAGGATTCTTGTAGCTCACAGCCAGGGGACGACCTTATATTTTGAATTTAAGATTAAGGGAAAAAAAGAAACACAAAAAACATATACAGTACATTCTTGTTGTGGTAGAGCACAAAGTAATTAAGTATACAGAGAAAAACATGAAAGTCTTTTCTGTTACAAATTCCCTCTGTCCAACGATTCAGGTCCAGTTCCCTTGGCTTGGTAGGCTCTGCCTGTTCCACATCTATGCATTCCCCGTCTATCTAATGTGTATTCAGAGACAAATGTATATACATGAGATCAAATCATAAATATTTTGAAGATTTGCTTTCATTCATGTTTACCTCAGTCATAACATTAAATCTTGGCTGGGTGCAGTGGCTCACACCTGTAATCCCAGCACTTTGGTAGGCCAAGGTGGGTGGATCACCTGAGGTCAGGAGTTTGAGACCAGCCTGGCCAACGTGGTGAAACCCTGTCTCTACTAAAAATACAAAAATTAACTGGGTGTGGTTGTGGGTGCCTGTAGTCCCAGGTTCTTGGGAGGCTGAGGCAGGAGAATAGCTTGAAACCAGGAGGCTAAGGTTGCAGTGAGCCAAGATTGCACCACTGCACTCCAGCCTGCGCAACAGAGCAAGACTTCGTATTAAAAAAAAAAAAAAACTTGGAGATCAATCTATGTGAGTACAGATAAATCTAAAATATCTCATGAATAGATGCAAGCAGCATTATTTATCCAAACAGTCCCCTATTGACGGACATCTAGATTGCTTCCTTTTTCTCTCCAATATAAAATAAACTTTAATAAATATACCTTTGCATATATTTTTATGTACATAGTACATATTCATGTATTTCTGAAAGGCTGGAAGAGGAATTATTGGGTCAAAGGGTCTTTTACATTTTGCCAGATAGGCCAAAAACTGTTCCCCAAATTGTCACTAAACCCACAGAAGGGACAGGAGGGACAGGGGTCTTCCAGCGCGGTTCCAAGGTGCACTGGAGTACATGTTTGGTCTACGTAAGAATTGGGCTGCAGGGGGCGCCATTTACATAAAATACTTCGGGATTGGAGCTACCTGAAGTGTAAACCTAGCGGTCACCTACATTCTCCAACATTGGATATTTATCATTTAAAATTTTGACAGCTCGATGATGGAAAATGTTACCTTGTTGTTATTTTTACTTACATGCTATTTATTATGAGTGAGGTTAAGCTTTATTTGCCTCGATTACTTTTTTCTATTTTCCTCCTTTTCCTTTATATACTCTGATTATTAATGCAATGCCTGTTATATATGTTGGCAATGTCTTCTTCCAGCCTTCCATTATCTTTACGTTTCTTGGTGGTGTCTTTCATTATTCAGGAGTTTTAAATATTAGGTAGCCAAATCTAATATTTTCTTTTCTGGCTTATAGTGTTTACAACTTGCTTATGATTCCTTGAATCAAGGCTGTAAAGATATTTTTCTATGTTTTCTTCAAATTGTTTTAAGGTTTTCTCAAGGTCTAATGTCTAATCCATCTAAAATTTTTATGTGGTTGCAAGGAAGGAATCAAACTTAAAATTTTCCCTAAATGGATATCTAAATGTCCTAATTCTCTGTATTGCGTGGTCCAAACTTTGCCACTACTTTGAACATAAAGTAGTTTGCTAGCTACTCATTTCCAAGGGGAGTTCTGGGAAAATCTCTGTACATCACATCTGTCACAAGGTCAAGGAAACAAAAATGCAAAATAAACATAATTTCAATAAATACTGAAACCATATTTGATGAAATTAAACAACCCTCCCTAACTTAAAAACAGTAATAGCAACAAACTTACGATAAAAATAAAAGAAATAATGGGACATTTCCTTAACAAGATAACTACTTTTTAATTTTTACACTTATAATTTTTCAAATTAAAAAAAAATAGAGATGAGGGGCTTGCTGTGTTGCCCAGGCTGGTCTTGAGCACCTGGGCTCAAGTGATCCTCCTGCCTCGGCTTCCCAAAGTGCTGGGATTACAGGAATGAGCCACCGTGCCCGGCCAACTACTTTTATCTTAAATAGTTCACATGTACATACAAGAAAAAGGAGAAATGTATTCTTTATTAAATCAGGAATGAGGTAAAGATGCCATATTGACCAGGCATTGTGGCTCATGCCTGTAATCTCAGCACTTTGAGAGGCCAAGGTGGGAGGATCACTTGAGCCCAGGAGTTCGAAACCAGCCTTGGCAACACAGCATGACCCCATCTCTACTAAAAATTAAAAAAAAATAATAAACATTAGCCGGGCTTTGTGGCATGTGCCTATTACTGGGGAGGCTGAAGCAAGAAGATCGCTTAAGCCTAGGAGTTTGAGGCTGCAGTGAGCTATGATCATACCACTGCACCCCAGCCTGGGTAACAGAGTGAGACACTGTTCTAAAAAATAAATAAATAATTAAAAAATTAAAAATTAAAAAAATTTTAAAAGATGCCACTATCAACAAGTGTTTGGCTGGGTGCAGTGGTTCATGCCTATAATCCCAGCACTTTGGGAGGCAGAGGCGGGTGGATCAGTTGAGGTCAGGAGTTCAAGACCAGCCTGGCCAACATGGGGAAACCCTGTCTCCACTAAAAATACAGAAATTAGCCGGGCGTGGTAGCACACGCCTGTAATCCCAGCTACTAGGGAGGCTGAGGCAGGAGAATCACTTGAACCCAGAGGGCAGAGGTTTCAGTGAGCCAAGATCGGGAAACTCCTGGGCAAAATGATAGTATGGAGCCAGTGGACCCAGTTAACAAACCTCCTCCTTCCAATATTCTCTAAAGTGACCAGTGAAATTAAAGATAGGGGAGACTGGCATCAGTGGCAGGAACTAGAGAAATATGCCAACCATATGCCAAGCCTCAAAGCAAGGGGGTAGCCAGCTGGATCTAATAATACCTCTTATTATTTATTATTCTATTATTTGCTAAACTTCTCTGAACCCGGTATTGTGCTGGGGCTGTATATGCATTATCCTATTTAATCCTTGCGTCAGTAAGCCTATCAAGTAGATATCCTTATCCCCATTTTAAAAAATAAGATCTATTAAATATATTTGATTCAAGGGTGGAGGGTGGCAGATCCCAGTTTGGAAGCTAGGTAGATCTGGTTCCAAAATTCATGGTCCTCAGCATGATCAGGCCCCTTGACTCTCAAGTCCCAAGAAGGGCACTAAATAGAGAATCTGGAAAAGAGTGGAGGTGAGAAAGGGACAAATGGGATATAGGGGGCACAGAGGGGCAAGACCTGTGCAGTTAGGGGAAAACGCTCATAACCACCTGCATGAATGAAGTGTCCTAATGTGCAGACGTTCCTCTTTCACTTAATGCTCCCATGACCCTGGCAGGTAGCCTCATAATCCATGCAGATTGTGACAGTACCTGCCATGGTCATGGGAGCATGTAGAATGTGAGGCTTGGAGAAGTTAGGAGGTGGCCCAGGGCACACAGGTACTATTTAGGAATTTGGGGATTTGCCTCCCAGGCGCCTGTGTTGCCTCCACAGGCAATGCTACAGGATGTGCACAGGTCCTCCCAGCCTGGCTGGGCCGGGGCACAAGTGGTGGGGAATCTGGCAGGGGCTTGCTCTCCCAACTCATACCCAAAGGCAAAGGGCAAAGGAAACAGGAAATAGGGGCTGGTCATCTCTCTGGGGAGAGAAGTACGCTGAGAGGACAGCCCAATTAAAAGAGCCTCAGTGGTTGGGAGGGTCTGAGCTGTACAAAGCCTCCTTGTCTTCTCCCTCTGGCACAAGAGAGGATTTCCAGAGATACCAGGAAGACCCACAATGGGAGAGTTCTCAGTGAGCACTGGGCAAGGCTAGCCCGCTCTCTGCACAGATGGACAGGGGCTACTAACCCAAGGCACAGAAGTTATAGCCGGAGAAAGTGAGCCAGTGAAGTGTGAATGTGGATGTCTCTGTTGAGGGAAGGAAAAGGAGGGGGCGACACGACAGGTTGAGATTTAAGTTTTTTTGAGGTTGGATGCAGTGGCTCACTCCTGTAATCCTAGCACTTTAGGAAGCTGAGGTGGGAAGGTGGCTTGAGTTCAGGAGTTCAAGACCAGCCTGGACAACATAGTAATACCCTCTCTCTACAAAAAAATTTAAAAATTAGCCGGGTGTAGTGGCACACACCTGTAGGCCCAGCTACTCAAGAGGCTGAGGTGGAAGGATGACAAGCTCGAGGCTGCAGCAAACTATGATTACGGCACTGCATGCCAGCCTAGGTGACAGAGTGAGACTCGTCTCAAAAAAAGAAAAAGAAGGTTTTTTGTTTGTTTCTTTGGTTCGCAAGTTTTATTCAAGAACTCATACAAAATATTCCAGATAAATGAAATTTAATCCTCATCTTCCTCCTCTTCCTCATCCTGGTTAATTTGGAAGTAACATAACTCTGCTGTTAGCAGCTACACAAACCAATCACATAGATTATTCTTCTTCAAAATTTTTTGGTGTGATATTTCAAATATCTTTTGGAAAAAGGCACCTCAGATGTCATGGTGATCTTGCTCTTGCTCCTTTCGATGGTCACCACCCCTCCACCAGGTTTCCCAGCTTTTCAGTTCACTTTGATCCTCTCTCGGAAAGGCTGTTCAAAATTGGCAGCGTCCATGATTCCGTCTTCCACGGGGTGGCTGCAATCTAGAGTGAACTTCAGAACCTGCTTCTTTTTTTTCCATTCACCACAAGCTTTTTCCCAGGCGCCATGGCGGCAGTGGAGGCAGAAAGAGAGCTGTTTCTTTTTAAATTGTTATTAATTTTGTAAAGTTTCAGTAGCTTTGGGGGTACAAGTTATATTTGGTTACATGAATGAATTGTAAAACGGTGAATTCTGAGATTTTAGTGCACGCACCACCCAAGTAGTGTTCATTGTACCCAATATGTAGCTTTTTATCCCACACTCCCCGCCCATCCTCCCCCTTCTGAGTTTCCAGGGTCTATTATATCACTCTGTATGTCTCTGTGTCCTCATAGCTCAGCTCTCACTTAAGTAAGAACATATGGTATTTGGTTTTCCATTCCTAAGTTACTTCACTTAGAATAATGGTCTCCAACTCCATCCCAGTTGCTTCAAAAGACATTATTTCGTTCCTTTGTATGGCTGAGTATTAGTCCATGGTGTACATATACCACATTTTATCCACTCATTGGTCAGTGGGCACTTAAGGTGGTTCTGTGCCTCGGGAATTATGAACTGTGCTGCAATAAGCCCCCTTTCTTTTTTTTTTTTTTTCTTTTTTTAGACGGAGTCTCGCTCTGTCACCCAGGCTGGAGTGCAGTGGCGCAATCTCAGCTCGCTGCAAGCTCCACCTCCCGGGTTCATGCCATTCTCCTGCCTCAGCCTCCCAAGTAGCTGGGACTACAGGCGCCCGCCACCACGCCTGGCTAATTTTTTGTATTTTTATTAGAGACGGGGTTTCACCGTGTTAGCTAGGATGTTCTCGATCTCCTGACCTCATGATCCGCCCGCCTCAGCCTCCCAAAGTGCTAGGATTACAGGCGTGAGACACCCCGCCCGGCTCTGCCCCCTTTCTTAAATGTGGCCCTGAATCCTCCCAGGTAGGATAAGCTGTAGGAAGATGGGGAGGTCTGCTTGGTACAGGGAGAAGCCAAGTGTAGCGTGAGGGTAGAGGTTTAATACTAAGAGTTATGGCTGGGCGTGGTGGCTCACACCTGTAATCCTGGCACTTCAGGAGGCCAAGGTGGGCAGATCACCTGAAATCAGGAGTTTGAGACCAGCCTGGCCAACATGGTGAAACCGCATCTCTACTGAAAATAATAATAATAATACAAAAAAATACAAAAATTAGCCATGTGTGGTGGCACACACCTGTAATCCCAGCTACTCAGGAGGCTGAGGCATGAGAATTGCTTAAACCCAGGAAGCGGAGGTTGCAGTGAGCTGAGATTGCACCACTGCACTCCAGCCTGGGTGACAGAGCAAGACTGTCTCAAAATAAATAAATAATAATAATAATATTGGCCGGGCGCCATGGCTCATCTTGTAATCCCAGCACTTTGGGAGGCCAAAGTGGGTGGATCACTTCAGGTCAGGAGTTCAAGACCAGCCTGGCCAACATGGTGAAATGCTGTCTCTACCAAAAATATTTTTTAAAGTTAGCCAGATGTGGTAGCACGCACCTGTAATCCCAGCTACTCAGAAGGCTGAGGCAGGACAATTGCTTGAACCCGGGAGGTGGAGATTGCAGTGAGCCGAGATAGTGCCACTGCACTCCAGTCTGGGTGACAGAGCCAGACTCCATCTCAAAAATAATAATAATAATAATAATATTAACAGTTATAATACCAATAGTTAAAACAGCCAACATTAATGATTTTGACTTCATGTCCAACCTGGTGTGTAGCACTATATAGTCTGTTTTTTTTTAATTTGTAAAAATTATATTATAGATTTATTTTTTCTGATTAAAATGTGTTTAATTTTTAATTTTTATGGGTATATAGTAGATATATCTATTTATGGGGCACAAGCGATGTTTTGATGCGGCATACAATGTGTAATAATTACATCAGGGTAAATGGGGTATCTGTCACCTCAAGCATTTACCATTTCTTTGTGCTACAGATATTCCAGCTGTACTATTTTAGCTACTTTTAAATGTACATAGAAAAGGTACAGTAAAAAGAAAAAGAAAAAAACATAAAATGTGCAATAAATTATTGTTGACTGTAATTACCCTGTTTTGCCATCAAATAATAGATCTTATTCATTTTAACTATATGTATTTCAATAGTTTTTGGAACAGGTGGTTTTTGGTTACATAGATAAGTTCTTTTACATATATATATATATTTCAATAGTTTTTGGAACAGGTGGTTTTTGGTTACATAGATAAGTTCTTTTTTTTAAATTATACTTTAAGTTCTGGGATACATGTGCAGAATGTACTGGTTTGTTACATAGGTATACACGTGCCATGTTGGTTTGCTGCCCCCATCAACCTGTCATCTATATTAGGTATTTCTCCTAATGCTGTCCCTCCCCCAGCACCTCACCCCCTGACAGGCCCCAGTGTGTGATGTTCCCCTCCACGTGTCCCTGTGTTCTCATTATTCAACTCCCATTTATGAGTGAGAATATGCAGTGTTTGGTTGTCTGTTCTTGTGTTAGTTTGCTGAGAATTATGGTTTCCAGCTTCATCCATGTCCCTGCAAAGGATATGAAGTTGTTTTCTTTTCTTTCCTTCTTTTTTTTTTTTTTTTGAGACAGGGTCTCACTCTGTCGCCCAGACTGGAGTGCAGTGGCACAATCTTGGCTCACCACAACCTCCACCTCCCAGGCTCAAGTGATTCTCCTGCTTCAGCCTCCTGAGTAGCTGAGATTACAGGCATGCGCTACTACCCCCCAGCTAACTTTTGTATTTTTTGTAGAGAGAGTTTCACCATGTTGACCAGGCTGGTCTTGAACTCCTGATCTCGAATGATCCACCCACCTTGGCCTCCCAAAGTGCTGGGATTACAGGTGTGAGCCACCGCACCCAGCCAACATGCATGAGCTATTTAGTGGCAATTTCTGAGATTTTGGTGCGCCCGTCACCTGAGCAGTGTACACTGTATTCAGTGTGTTGTATTCTATCCCTCACCCCCTCCCACACTCCCTTTCCCCAGTCCCCAAGTCCATTATATCATTCCTATGCATTACATCCTCATAGCTTAGCCCCCAATTATAAGTGAGAACATACGATCTTCGGTTTTTCATTCCTGGTTACTTCACTTAGAATAATGTTCTCCACCTCCATCCAGGCTGCTGCTAATGCCATTATTTTATTCCTTTTTATGGCTGAGTAGTATTCAATGGCTACATAGTCTATTTTTCAGTTAATCTTGGCTGCTACCCTATGCAATGGGTTCTGTGATTCTCCCAGAGCTTAGCAATAGCAGTTTTCCAACCAGTGTCTTTTGAATTGATAAATCCACATTTAGAAGGGGAGGAAACTGGCCTAAATTGAGGGCCCAGCAAAAGAACTCAGCCACCCGCAGTGCCTGGTGTCCATGTAGTCGGTTTTGAGATGTTTTAGCTGCAGATTCACATTGCTAAGTGTCAATTCAGTTCACTGTGAAATCCGTCGCTATTTCCTGAAAGTGCATCAAGCTATGAATTCCCTGTGGCTTCGGCGGGTAGAAGTGGGTTGGCATTTCCCTCCAGCTCTTTGAGAATTTTCTCTGCAGTGCTCTCTAGGGAGATGATCTTATTTTGGCTCCCTGAGGTGAGAGTCAGAGTAAAATATAAACTGTCTGAAGACATTGCTTGGCTGACTGTTCAGAGCATTTCCGAGTTAGTATCTCTTAGTAAGGGAGGCAAAGGAATTGAGTTCAAATCGTGACTTTGTTCTTGCTAGTGGTGTAGCTTCAGGCAGTTCACCTCCTCTCTCTGAGCCTCACCAACAAAGAGGGAGTAATAATAACACCGATGATCACAGAAGAATGTGAATTCTCTTGCTCCCTGCCTCTAACCTGCTTTCCTGGGCCTGTCACTATGTTTTCTTTGCTGGGTGTACTTGCAGGTTATAAGTCTCCTGAGGGCAGAGAGGGTTGTGAGTAATGCCAGCTAGGCCTGCAGAGGCCCCGGAAGAGGATCAAGGTTTCCAGGAGAGATGACTGTTGACCAAGGAAGAGCTGGCAGCTAACTCTGCTTCCTGAAGGTGTAAAGTAAAGGCCCCCCGAAAGGGTCTTTAAACATGAGTAGGAGTTTCTAAGCAGTGCATCCTTCATGCCATGGAGATTGATGGAGGTGTGTGGGCGGCAGGAGAATGGGCAGTAAATCTGGGGGAAATTTTGGTCAGATTATGGGGGGCCTTGAATGCCACTCTCAAAAGAGTAACCCTTCATGCTGTAGGCAGAGGTGCCAGCAGAGTTTTTGGCTGAAGAATTACACAAACCCATCCAATTCCCTCTTTCTTTTTCTTTTTAAGTATTTTTCCTTGGAAATAATTTTGAGTTTACAAAAAGAGTACAGCAAATTCTTGTACAACCTTCACCAGCCTCCCCAAATATTAACATCTCACATAGCTACAGAATTATCAAAGCCAGGAAATGAACATTAATGCAATCCTGTCTGTGAATCTACAGACTTCATTCAGTGTTGCCAGTAGCCCCACTAACGTGCTTTTTCTCCTCCAGAATGCGATCCAGGACTGCACGTGGCATTCCGCTGCCGTGTCTCAGTGGGATCCTTCCATCCAGAACGGCTCCTCCGTCTTTCTCCTCCTCTCATAATTTTGACAGTTTTAAAGCATCCAGGCTATTTTTGTCTTTCATAACCTTGACACTCTTGAAGAGTACTGGCCAATTATTTTGTAGAATGTCCTCCAACTTGAGTTTGTCTAGTGCTTTCTCACAATGAGAATGAGGTTTTGTGTTTTTGGTGAGAACACCACAGAAGCAGGTTATACCCTTCCCCATGCATTATATCAGGAGGCACATGTGATATTGCTGCATCCCATTACTGGAGACGTTAACTTTGAGAGATGATGTAGCAAAGATTTCTCCATTGTAAAATCCTATTTTTCCTTCTGAACTTAATGAGTATCTTACAAGGAGCTGTCTTGGAGACTATGTAAATATCTTGTTTATCATCATACTTTCACCAACCAATTTTGGCATTCATTGGTGATTCTTGTCTGCAATATTAATTACCACTGTGTTTTCCAACAGATGATTTTTCTACTTTCATAATTCCTTCTCCATTTATTAATTGTAATTCAGTGGTAAGGAAGAGCTGTCCCTTCTCTCCCAATTACTTATGCAATTATTTCAGTATAGACTCATGGATATTTAGTTTATTCTACCAGTGATAATCCATGACCAACATCATTTGTATCATTGTTCCAACTGTCCCAGGTATGGCCAATGTAAGCATCTTCAAGTCACCCCTTGTGTTTGTTTGAAATGCCCTTATTCTATTTTGAGCACTTCCTTTCTGACATAAGATGTTCCAGGATTATTTTATAATTTCACTGACCCCACCCTGTACTTAATCATTTCTCCAAAGAACTCTGCTTCCTTTATTGAGGGAATGTATTTAGAATCTAAGATCTGGGTGCTGGATGTCCTCATTGTTACTGAGGTGTCACTGTGTCTAGGGCCTCTCAGCAGACAGAGCTAGGGAATATGGGTTACCAACTCTGAAACTATTTTATGGGTATTCTGAGATTGAGCAAATAAGTAAATACATTGTATTTAGTGGGAGGGAGGCATCTCACTGTCAAAGAGAGAACTACAAATAAAAAGGGAAGGGCAAAGTGAACCCTATTGTGTTAGATTAGAATCAGAGGCATCAGCATGAGCTCCTGATTTTTAGTGTATGTACAGATTGACAGATATAGAAATAAATATGACCTGGCAATTCCATTCCTAGGCATATACCTAGCAGAAATCCATGGTCATAAAAAAAAACATGGACAAGAATGATCATGCTGGGAGTGGTGGCTCACGCCTGTAATCCCAACACTTTGGGAGGCTGAGGCAAGCAGATTGCTTGAGTCCAGGAGTTTGAGACCAGCCTGGGCAACATGGCGAAACCCTGTCTCCACTAAAAATACAAAAATTAGCTGGGTGTGGTGGTGCATGCCTGTAGTTCCAGCTACTTGAGAGGCTGAGGTAGGAGGATGGCTTGAGCCTGGGAGTCAGAGACTGAAGGGAGCCAAGATTGTACCACTGCACTCCAACCTGGGGAACAGAGTGAGACCCTGAAGAAAGAAAGAGAGAAAGAGAGAAAGAGAAAAGAAAGAAGAAAGAAAGGAAGAAAGAAAGAAAGAAAGAAAGAGAAAGAAAGAAAAAAAGAGAGAAAGAGGAAGAAAAAAAAAGAATGATCATAGGATCATAGCTGCACTATTATCATAGTCCTAAGCTGTAAACCACGCAAATTCCCGTTGACACCAGACTAAAGAATGAATGACCGACCACTACATGCAACATTATGGATGAAAATACAATTGCGGAAAGACATTTTCTCAAAAAATGCTGTGTGATACCATTTATATAAAGCACAAACCAGGCAAATTAATCCATGTCACAAGAACTCAGTATCAATTTTCTGCAAGAGAAACGAGGGGGTTTCTGAGCTGCTGGTAGTGTTCTGTCATTTGGTCTGGGTGCTGGTTGCATTGGTGTGTCTAATTCTTAAAATGTATATACATTATTCATCAGTAAAAAGTTTTTTAAAATATTCATCTCCTGGCTCTAAGCTTCATTTTATCTTCATTTCAACTCAGCTGCTGCAGGGACCCCATAAAATGAATAGAGTAGGACTAACTTCTAAACCTGCTCTGCTTCTATTCCCTTCCAGACTAGGATTGATATTTTCCCTCCAGGATTGAGACTCCTGTTAAATTTTCTTTTATTTCCCCTTCTTTTCTTTCTTTCTTTTCTTTCTTTCTTTCTTTTTTTCTTTTTCTTTTTTTTTTTTTTTTGACGGAGTCTCACTCTGTTGCCCAGGCTGGAGTGTAATGGTGATCTCGGCTCACTGCAGCCTTCATCTCCTGGGTTCAAGCGATTCTCCTGCTTCACCCTCCCAAGTAGTTGGGACCACAGGTGTGTGCCACCATGCTCAGCTAATTTTTGTATTTTTAGTAGAGACGGGGGTTTCACCATGTTGGCCAGGCTGGTCTCGAACTCCTGACCTAAAATGATCTACCCGCCCTGGTCTCCCAAAGTGCTCATGATTAAAGGCATGAGCCACCGTGCCTGGCTTCCCCCTTTTCACAAGTTCGATTTTTTTCTTTTTCCTGTTCTTTTTGTTTTGTTTCGTTTTTCTTTTCTTTTCTTTTTTCTTCTTTCTTTCTTTTTCTTTTTTCCTTCTTTCTTTCTTTCTTTTTTTTTTTTTCAGGCCTAGGACTCTTGATCCAGTCCCACCTGCTGGTGTAGGTCAGGAAGAGATTATTTTAGCCCCACCCAACTAGGAAGCTGCGTAGATGTAGGGGAGGAAAGCAACTTGCCAGGGGCTACCCTAGGTAGGAGATGTGGCTATATTCCAGAGTTGTTGAAGGTTAATACCAGCTAATGTTCTTTCAGTTACTGCCTTCCAGGTATTCACAACAAGGATTAAGGAAGAGAATTAAACTCTAATGCAATAGGCTTCCATCATTTGTAATGAATTAACTTCCATTGTCCTCATTGTTAAAAGATACATTTATTAAAATGGATAAAAATCATCAGCCTGGAGTGGCTGCTCATGACTATAATAGCAGCATTTTGGGAGACTGAGGTGGGAAGATCGCTTAAGGCCAGGGGTTCAAGACCAGCTTGGGCAATATAGTGCAACCCCCCTCTACAAAATAATAATAATAATAATAACAATTAGCCAGGCATGGTGGCTCAAGTGTGTAGTTCTAGCTACTCAGGAGGCTGAGTCAGAGAACCACTTGAGCCCAGGAGGTCAAGGCTGCAGTGAGCCAAGCTTGCATCACTGCACTCAAGCCTGGGTAATAGAGCAAGACCCTGTCTCAAAAAAAATAAATAAATAAAATAAAATCATGACTCTCAAACAGCAGATTATAACTGACTCAAAGGAGAAGTCAAAAAAGCTACATTTGTATGGAGCAAAGGAATGTTGAAACAAACGCACCAACAGAGCTCAAGCCAGCTTCTTCCAGGGTGGCAAAGGGAATTCCACTGAACCTCTACTGGCAGGACTAAATGTACAGGTCTAGAGCCAAGAATTATTTTTCATTTCTATCAGTTATCTACATTTTACAAGCTGTAAAATAACTCCCATGGAGTCAAAAGCAGATAATGTGAAAGGGTGGACTATAGGCAATATTTAATTTTCCATTGAAAGGAAATTTTTCCTACACTTTCCCTCTGTTTTGATAAAAAATAACCTCATCTATTCCCGGGTAATTCAACAATAGTAACATATCAAATATACCTGTTTATTTCTGGCACCTCTCTTTTCATACGGAGAAGTAACAAATCTTTTGCGATTTTCAATGGTATTTCTGGGAAAGCTCAGCTATCATTCCTTTTATTTTATTTTATTTCACATTTAGGAATTTTGGGAATACAAAATCCAAAATGGTCAGGAGATTTGAACACTTAATGTAGGATCATAGGTGTCTGAGAAATAATATTTGCCTACCCATTTGTAAGGGACAATACAACATTTAAAAATAGGCCGGGCAGCCCAGTGCTGTGGCTCACACCTGTAATCCCAGCAGTCTTGGGGGCCGAGGCCGGTAGATCATGAGGTCAGGAGTTCAAGACCATCCTGGCCAATATGGTGGAACCCCGTCTCTACTAAAAGTACAAAAATTAGCCAGGCGTGGCACGCCTATAGTCCCAGCTACTCAGGAGGCTGAGACAGAAGAATTGCTTGAATCCGGGAGGCAGAGGTTGCAGTGAACCGAGATCATGCCACTGCACTCCAGCCTGGGCAACAGAGGGAGACTCCATCTCAAAAAATAAATAAATTAATTAAATTAAATTAAATAGGTGGGGCACAGTGGCTCACTCTTGTAATCCCAGCACTTTGGGAGGCCGAGGCAGGTGGATCACCTGAGGTCAGGAGTTCAAGACCAGCCTGGCCAACATGGTGAAACCCCGCCGTCTCTACTAAAAATACAAAAAATTAGCTGGGCGTGGTGGCGGGCACCTATAATCCCAGCTACTCCGGAGGCTGAGGCAGGAGAATCGCTTGAATCCAGGAGGCTGAGGTTGCAGTGAGCAGAGATCGTGTCACTGCACTCCAGCCTGAGCAACAAGAGTGAAACTCTGTCTCAAAAAAAAAAAAAAAGAAGAAGAAAAAGAAACCAAACTAAATAAAAATAGATAGAAAATAACATGATTGTAAAGAACTTTAGCCCTCTCCTAAATAACAAATGTTGTTTCTTTAAATAGTCAAGGGCATAATAAAATCAACATGAAAATCAAAAAATTATTCTGGTAAAACACTGAATCTTTGCTATCTAGGTAGATTTACATAGAAAAGAAGAATAACCCTTCATAATATAGGTGAAGACGGCAAACAGTAAACCAGGGAAACAAGGCCATGAATATTAAACAAAATTTTTAAAGAATTTTAGTAAATTTAATAGTGTTAAAATGCATATGATGTATTTTATATGCATTATATATTATAAAATATTATATATTATATATGTTTTATATGATAAAGTGTATGTTGTTATAAAAGCAAACTTTTATAAGACCTTAAGCAAATTTCATAGTGTTTAACATATTTCAGACTAAAATATTTTATATATATATAAATACCAGTCTGGCCACCATGGTGAATCCTCATCTCTACTAAAAATACAAAAATTAGCTGGATATGGTGGTGCATGCCGGTAATCCCAGCTACTCAGGGGGCTGAGGCAGGAGAATTGTTTGAACAGGAGAAGTGGAGGTTGCAATGAGCCGAGATCGTGCCACTGCACTCCAGCCTGGGCAAGAGAGCTAGACTCCATCTCAAAAAAAAAAAAAAAAAAAAAAATTCATGTCGGCATGCTCTTTTGCATTCTACAATAAACTCACCCTTGACTTTAGGACCAAGCTCAAGGGGCCCATGAGGTCAGAACTAATTTCACAATGCTGCTGAGGTGTATTTATTGTACTTCATTCATTGTTGCTATTTTTAAATGAACCATTAAATAAGCTTTCTTAAAAGTTATGTTTTATAGCGTCCAGGCGTGGTGGCTCATGCCTGTAATCCCAGCACTTTGGGAGGCCCACATGGGTGGATCACTTGAGGTCAGGAGTTCAAGATCAGCCTGGCCAACATGGTGAAACCCCGTCTCTAATAAAAATACAAAAATTAGGCGGGTGTGGTGGCAGGTGCCTGTAGTCCCAGCTACTTGGGAGGCTGAGGCACGAGAAAAGCTTGGACAGGGGAGATCTCTAGTTCAGTGAGCTGAGATCGCACCACTGGACTCCAGCCTCAGTGACAGAGAGAGATGCCGTCTCAAAAAAAAAAAAATTATGTTTTATAGGTATGTGCTGAGAGGAATGAAAAAATATTTTTTAGAAATTTATGTTTAAATGTTTAACTGTAAATACTAATAGCTATAATACACAAAAAAAAGCTCTTTGGTGTCCTCATTATGTTGGAGGTGTGTAAAGAGGTTTCACCAAACAAACCAACTAAAAACAAACTCCCAAACCCATTGCCCCAAACCTAATCTGAGTACTGCAGCTTTAAGACAAAACCACAGTACTTTATTTTCCTTAGAAAACAGAAGTATACCCAGGGGCAGTGGCTCACGCCTGTATTCCCAACACTTTGGGAGTCCAAGGCGGGTGCATCACCTGAGATCAGAAGTACTGGACCAGCCTGGCCAACATGGTGAAACCCCATCTTTACTAAAAATTAGCCCTGTGTGGTGGTGGGCACCTCTCAGCTACTAGGAAGGCTGAGAGAGGAGAATCGCTTGAACCCACAAGGCAGAGGTTTCAGTGAGCTGAGATGGCGTCACTGCACTCCAGCCTTAGAGACAGAGTGAGACTCTGTCTCAAAAAAACAAAACAAAACAGAAACACATACACAGTTGTATTTCTCTGAAACTATTGCTCCAAAGCATAGTGTCAATCACTCACATTAATGATAACTTTTAAGTAAAGCAAATTCCATTTCACAGAGAACACGGGAAGTTGGACACTTTTAACTGTGACTGTCACTTAACATATAGCAGACAAGCAAAGCTCATGAATGCACATGACACAACTCTCTGCAGCCATATGAATCCCTTATGGTATAACTTCTCCAAGTGGCAAAAAGAAACACGTTCATTAACAGATCCAAAGATGTAAGCTCTTCGTAGCATATAAAAAAAGAAGCAAGGGCCGGGCCGGTGGCTCATGCCTGTAATCCCAGCACTTTGGGAGGCCGAGGCGGGTGGATCACTTGAGGTCAGGAGTTGGAGACCAGCCAGGGCAACATGGCAAAACCCTGTCTCTATTAAAAATACAAAAATTAGCCAGGTGTGATGGCACATGCCTGTAATCCCAGCTACTCGGGAGGCTGAGGCAGGAGAATCGCTTGAACCCAGGAGGTGGAGATTGGAGTGAGCTGAGATTGCTCCACTGCACTCTAGCCTGGGCAACAGAGCAAGACTCTGTCTCAAAAAATAAAAACAGGCCAGGTGCTATGGCTTACGCCTGTAATCCCAGCACCTTTGGAGGCTGAGGCAAGTGGATCATCTAAGGTCAGGAGTTCAAGACGAGCCTGGTCAACATGGCAAAACCCTGTCTCTACTAAAAATACAAAATTAGTCTGGCATGGTGGCAGGCACCTATAATCTCAGCTACTCTAGAGGCTGGGGCAGGAGAATCACTTAAACCCAGGAGGTGGAGGTTGCAGTGAGCCGAGATCCTGCCACTGCACTCCAGCCTGGCCAACCAAGAGTGAAACTCCGTCTCAAAAAATAATAATAATAATAAGGCTGGGCAAGGTGGCTCATGCCTGTAATCCCAGCTCTTAGGGAGGCAGAGGTGGGAGGATAGCTTCAGCCCAGGAGTTCAAGACCTGACTGGACAATATAGCAAGACTCTGATCTCCACAAAAAGGAAAGAAAAAAGTATAAAAAATAAAATAAAAATAATAAAGAAATAAAAATAAGCAAAAGTTTATACACTTAAATTATGCTTCATAATGCATATTTTAGCCTTTCATTTTTCCTAGAAATTATTTATGTAACTAGCAAATATCCATCAATTAAATGAGTAGAAGGTTTTAAGTTACCTAAAGATCTTTGAAATCTAAAGTGGACATACCATGAAAGATAACTTTTTTTTTTTTTGAGATGGAGTTTCGCTCTGTTGCCCAGGCTTGGAGTGCAGTGGCACAATCTCGGCTCACTGCAACCTCTGCCTCCCGGGTTCAAGCGATTATCCTGTCTCAGCCTCCAAAGTAGCTGGGACTACAGGCCCACACCATCACATCCGGCAAATTTTCATGTTTTTAGCAAAGATGGAATTTCATTATATTGGTCATGCTGGTCTCGAACTCCTGACCTCAGGTGACCCACCCACCTCACCCTCCCACAGTGCTGAGATTACAGGTGTGAGCGACCTCGCCCAGCCAAAAGATAACTTTTGAAATAAAATTCATCAGTGCAATATATCAATTTTGTTAAACACAGATTGACATTTACATATTTAAACATTATGTAAAAGCAATGCTAGCTTATTTTATCAGTAAATATGTATAAGTTCAGGAAAAAACATATATAAGCAGAATAAAAATGCATGCTTGCATTATACAATAATATGGGTGTACATTTCCAGAGTTCTCGTATTCATACACTGTATAAGAAGATGACAAACAATTTTGCAATGAAAAATCTTGTCCATACGTTTTTGGCATGCATCAGAATATATCTGTATTCCTGAGTCAAAGGGTTTGTGCATTTGTGATTTTGATTGATAATGCCAAATTGCCTCACAGCAGTGACTTTAATATACACTCTCATCCTCAGTGTATAGAAATGCTTTCTTCCTCACACAGCTCTAACAAGCACGTCATAAAACTTTTTTTTTATTTTTTTATATTTTGAGATGGAGTTTCACTCTTGTTGCCCAGGCTGGAGTGCAATGGTGCAATCTCAGCTCACCTCAACCTCCGCCTCCCGGATTCAAGTGATTCTCCTGTCTCAGTCTCCCAAGTAGCTGGGATTAGAGGCACGTGCCACCACGCCTGGCTAATTTTGTATTTTAAGTAGAAATGGGGTTTCTCCATGTTGGTCAGGCTGGTCTCAAACTCCCAAACTCAGATGATCCACCTGCCTTGGCCTCCCAAAGTGCTGGGATTACAGGTGTGAGCCACCACATCCAGCCATAAAACTCTTAAATATGTTCCTCAACATGATAGGTGGAAAATTGTTCTCTTAGTACAATATTTTTTTTTTTGTTTTTTGTTTGCTCATTAGTTTTTGCTTGTTGTTGTTGTTTTGTTTTGTTTTGTTTTAGACGGAATCTCACTCTGTCACCAGGCGGTAGTGCAGTGGTGCGATCTCGGCTCACTGCAACGTCCAGCTCCAGGTTCAAGCGATTGTCCTGCCTCGGCCTCCCAAGTAACTGAGATTATAGGCACCCGCAACCATGCCCAGCTAATTTTTGTGTTTTTAGTAGAAACGAGGTTCCACAATATTGGCCAGGATGGTCTCGATCTCTTGACCTCGTGATCCGCCTGCCTCAGCCTCCCAAAGTACTGGGATTACAGGCGTGAGCCGTTGTGCCTGGCAATTTTTTTAATTAAAAAAAATAAAATAAAATGTCCAGAACTGTTTGTATTTCCTTTTCTGTGACTAAATGTTTATATCCTTTACTTCTGTTTATTCTTTTTGTGTTGGTAGGCTTCTTCCTATTGAATAGTAGAAGCTCTTTATGTATTAGGGAAGTTCACCTCTGCCTGTGATATGATTGCGCATAATTTCTTCTTGCAGGTATTTCTCCCAGTTTCATGATTGTTTTCTCAGTTTGCTTACAATAGTTTTAACACAGAACTTTTTTATATTTCTATATTGTAAGATTTGCCAGTATTTCCATTAATATCCCTTTATGACTTTTGTGGAGAACAGAGCTTTGGGCCCCAGCTGAGTGGCAAAGGGCACAGTCCCTCAGTGTGGAAGACCCACTGCAGGTGACCTTGATGCCAACAGGCGGCGGGCCAGGGGGATGATGTTGATGACAATCTTCAACTACACTTGCCGATGAAGTGAGACATGGGGTCTGACTTCCACAGGGTAAGAATGGATTGGCCCAGAAACCACTCGTTTCTCCTTTCAGCAAACATTCTTTGTGAGGTTGCCACAGTCTTTGCCTATGTTTTACAAATGTGATTGAGAACAGATGAAAGATCTGCCCAAGGTCACACTGGATTCTAAAACCTGTTTCTAACTGTGTCATCCTCCAGAAAGTGAATGTGCATCTTGGAGGATGATCCCCAACCAACATGTGATCTGAAAGTACATATTGCCCATAAAAAAAAAAAAAAAAAAAAAAAAGGCCAGGTGCAGTGGTTCATGCCTGTAATCCCGACACTTTGGGAAGCCAAGGTGGGTGGATCACTTCAGGTCAGGAGTTCGAGACCAGCCTGGCCAACATGGTGAAACCCTGTCTCTACTAAAAAATACAAAAATTAGCCGGGCATGGTGGCGGGCCCCTGTAATCCCAGCTACTCGGGAGGCTGAAGCAGGAGAATCACTTGAACCTGGGAGGCAGAGGTTGAAGTGAGTCAAGATGGCACTACTACACTCCAGCCTGGGTAACAGAGTGAAACTCCATGTCCAAAAAATAATAATAATAATAGCTTATGTGGGGAATGGGGTTGCTTGTTTCTGACTGAGGTATAAGTTCATTTGTAATGCAGTGTTGAAATGATTGCTTCTCCTAAAAGCAGATCTTGAGAAAAAAAAGAAGAAGAAGAAGAAAGAAACAGTTGTTCAATTCTCAGTGCTGTCCGATCGTGAGTTCCCAGCAGGCCAGATAAGCAGAGAGGACTGCGGAGGGAATTCTGCTGGGTGACAGCTGGGGCAAAGGTTAATATGTAATTGGGGGTCAATGTTAGTGAGGAAACTTGCCTCAAAGGAGCAGAAGTGTGGATTCAGGACCAACAAGAGATGAGTTTCTTGTGACACAGGGGTGAGGTTAGATTAGAATTTTTAGAATATCATAGGCAGAGAGTTTCGTTTTGAATAATTGCCACTCTTGGGAATCTCCAATTTGCTGTAGTTGATGCATAGGCCTTGATTAAAAAATACATATATTCAGAACAGAAAACTGAGGGACTGTCACATGTAAGCGACTGCAGTAATGTGATTTAGTTAAAAACAAAACAGAAGTCCGAGGCGGGTGAATCACGAGGTCAGGAGATCGAGACCACGGTGAAACCCTGTCTCTACTAAAAATACAAAAAATTATCCGGGCGCGGTGGCGGGCGCCTGTAGTCCCAGCTACTCAGGAGGCTGAGGCAGGAGAATGGCGTGAACCCGGGAGGTGGAGCTTGCAGTGAGCCGAGATTGCGCCACTGCAGTCCAGCCTGGGCGACAGAGCGAGACTCCGTCTCAAAAAAAAAAACAAAAACAAAAACAAAAAAAACAGAACATCAAGCACTGGCCCGGAAGTGAGGACTCCAGGCAGATGTTTCCCAACTGTGCCACTTGTTCGTTCTGTGACTTTGGGTAAGTAGCTTGCCATTTCTGGGTGTTAGTTTTCGCCTTCTGTAAAATAAGGCTGCCGGTGAAGGGCTCAGAGCATTTGCAGCCCAAGCAGCGGAAAGCAGCCCCTTTCTGCTGCAGGCCGTGGGAAAGAGGCCTTGTTGGCAAGCCTGCCGTCTGCATTCCATGCTCAATTTCCTGCCTAGGAGGGAGATGGGTAGGAGGCAGGCACGTCACCTTGCACCCAGATCCCAGGCCAGCGGAAAGACATGCCCATCCCAGAACCCCGAGGCTACTGACAGAATTGGGTGGTGATTAGGACTTGCTGGGGGCCACAGCAATCTGATTTCCAATCTCTGTCTCTCTCTAGCTGTGAGCTCTCTGGTTAGTGCTGCCCCTGATCTGAGTATCCTCTGTACAATGGGGATAGTACCCACTCCCCTTGCAGTTACCGAAAAGATCAAATGAGACGTGTGTAAATGCTTAGAGCAGTGCTGGGTACATATTACATACTCAGTGCTATTTTTTATTATTGGCTTAATTATTGAAATCAAATATTAACCTCCTTACCTAATGTAGGAATTCTCTCTACAGCATATCAGACAACTGGCTATTCTCACTCTGCTTGGATGCTTCCAGTGACAGGGGACTCACTACTTCTCCCAGCAAATTGTTTCACTAGTAGATAGTGCTTCTGGAATTTTATGGAATTTTAAAGCTGAGAGGAACGTTATAAATCAAGTGTAACTGCCTCACGAGAAAACCCAAGTTCAAGAGGTGAAATGAGGCCGGGCACGGTGGCTCATGTCTGTAATCTCAGCACTTTGGGAGGCTGAAGCGGGTGTTCGAGACCAGCCTGGGCAACATGGTTAAACCCTGTCTCTACTAAAAATACAAAAGTTAACCAGGCATGGTGGTGCATGCCTGTAATCCCAGCCACTTGGAAGCTGAGGCATGAGAATCACTTGAACCCAGGAGGTGGAGGTTGCTGTGAGCCAAGATTGCATCACTGCACTCCAGCCTGGACAACAGATCGAGACTCCGTCTCAAAAAATAAATAAACAAACAAATAAATAAATAAATAATAAAATTCTACCTTCAAAATTACTGTCTCCTAATACTTTATAACTACTATGTAGTTTGAAGATGATCTGTTCTCTCTCTGGAAGCTTTTAGAGCTTTCTCTTTGTCATATTATTATTATTATTATCATTTTGAGAGAGGGTCTTACTCTATGGCCCAGGCTGGAGTGCAGTGGTGCATGATCACAGCTCACTGAAGCCTTGACCTCCTGGGCTAAAGTGATCCTCCTGCCTCAGCCTACCCAGTAGCTAGGACTACAGGCAAGTGCCACCATGACTAGCTATTTTTTTTTTTTTAATTTTTTCGTAGAGATAGATAGGGTCTCAAAATGTTGTTCAGGCTTGTCTCAAACTCCTGGCCTCAAGTGATCCTCCTGCTTTGGCCTCCCAAAGTGTAGGATTACAGGCATAAGCCACTTTGCCCAGTCTCCTCATTATTTTTATTTATTATTATTTTTTGCTTATTATTTTTAAATTTTATACTTGTACCTAGGAATTGATTTTTCCTTATCTCTTGTTAGCTCTTTATAAGTCCTTTCAAATAAGGTCATTTTTTTGGAAATGTATCTCCATTATTTCTTCAAGTATTTCCTCCACTCTATTTTTACTTCTTATGCCATCTGAATTTATTGCTCAGGTGTTCGCACTTTTATGTTTATCATCCACATTTCCAAGCTTTTCTTCTCTATTTCTTATGTTTTAGTCTTATTGTGAGACCACCACAATCATGTGTTCATATATTCTTTCTTCAACTATATCCATTCTATTTCATTTGTCAAATTTGATTAATTTCCATTTATCAAATTCTTTGTTTTAGCTATTTTATTTTTCCTACCTAATATTTTCACTTAGTTTGTTTTAATGATATCTTGTTCTTGCTGCATATTGCTAACATTTTCTCTTGTCTCCTATTTAAGGAGCATTATTAGATTTTGGGACCTTCTGCTTCAACATGTGTGATCAGATGATACGTGCTGCTTGTGTAGACTTTTCCTCCTCAACTGTCCAGTTATTTGGCTGTGGGCTCATTTTCCTTTGGGAAAATGTTTGGTCATACGTACTGGGAGGGGCCAAGGCCAGCCTCATCTATGTTGGTTCCGGCCATGTGAGGACTGAGAATCCAGGGATCACAGACCCCTTAGTGAATCCCTGTCTGAGGCCAATCCACTAATCACTCCTTTGGCTGGAGTTTTCACTTTTAAACCCTTAGGAGGAAATAAGATAATCTATAGTCCTAGCAATTTGGTTGGAAGCACGGTGAAGGAACTACCTGAGGGCTGTCTGTGACTATTTTTGTGAATTCTCTCCCATGCCCCCCGCAGAGTTTGTGTTGCTGATATCAGTGGACAATGCTCCGGGCACTGTTAACTGTCATGCTGAAGGAGTCAGGCTGATGACTATCTCTCTCAAGGCAACTTGAAGGAACAGAGCAGAATGTAAAGGCTGCCCAACCAGTTCTTCATGATGCCCAGGCTACACCCCCACACTAATTTCAGTAGTCTTCAGTCTCGGAGAGGGTAGTGAGAAATTCCCTAATTTCCCCACTTAGTGTTAGTGTATCTCTCTCCTGTCCTTCCACTATCTGTTTAGGGTTGATTTTGAAGATCTTTGCAGGGATTCTCTACCATGTAGTATCTTATTTATGTATTTATATAGAATGAATGAATGAGGTGGTGTGTTATTGTCTTTTTCTTTTCCTTTTTTTTGAGACAGGGTGTCCCTCTGTGGCCCATGCTGGAGAGCAGTGGCATAATCATGGCTCACTGCAGCCTGGACATCTCTGCGCTCAGGTGATCCTCCCACTTCAGCCTCCCCAGTAGCGGGGATCACAGGCATGTGCCACCACGCCTGGCTAATTTTTTGTAGAGACTGGGTCTGGCCATGTTGCCCCAGGCTGTTCTTGAACTTCTGGGCTCAAGCCATCCTCCTGCCTCAGCTTCCCGAAGTGCTGGGATTACAGGTGTGAGCCACTGTGCCCGGCCAGTGTCTTCATCTTTATAATATTTTATAGTATCTTCAACTATAAAATGGGGATAATGGTCACCTCAAAGAGCAGTTGTGGATTTTGGATATTTTATATCAGTTTCCAGAACAAAATAAATATTTGAAAAGTATTGAGTTTTTTTTACTTTCAAAAGACCTAATGCCTAATTTTTCTTCTCCGGGAGGGAGAAGTATGTGGATAGGTCAGTTGGCTGATTCCATCAGCATTTTCAGCCCTGGAGCAACGTTCTTTGCTGGATTGTGTTATGGCTCCAAATACTATTGACATTAACTACTAACCTCCCAGGAACAGTGCCTAGAAGTTTTTCTTATTGACGGTGTTGGTACATATAGAAACCAACGCTAAGCCTCAGAAATCAAGGCTGAACCATGTGATTTCTAGTTCTAAATTTTCTCTATTTTGCTACTCAAAGTGGTCTATCCATCCATGTGGTCAAGTTTGAGGAGCACAGGCTGCAATGTGGGCAATCACAAACCTTCCAGGAAAACTGTACTCGTGCTTTACGTGTTATAGTTTACAAAGTTTCTTTCTTTCTTTGCTTTATTTTCCCTCCCTCCCTTCCTTCCTTCTTTCCTTCTTCCTTCCTTTCCCTTTCTCTTTCTCTGTCTCTCTCTTTCTCTCTTTCTTTTTTTCTTTCTCCTTCTTTCCTTCCCTCCCTCCACCCTCCCGCCTTCCCTCCTCTCTTCTCTTCTCTTCTTTTTCTTTTCTTTCTCTCCCTCCACCTCCAGGGTTCAAGCGATTCTCCTGCCTCAGCCTCCCAAGGAACTGGGATTACAAGCAGGCACCATCATGCCTGGCTAATTTTTGTATTTTTAGTAGAGACAGGGTTTCACCATGTTGGCCAGGTTGGTCTCAAACTCCTGACCTCAAGTGATCCACCTGCTCCGGCCTCCCAAAGTGCCATACAAATTTTGGGATTTTTTTTTTATTTCTGAGAAAAAATATCGTTGGAATTATTATTATTATTATTATTATTATTATTATTATTATTATTATTTTGAGAGGGAGTTTTGCTCTTGTTGCCCAGGCTGGAGTGCAATGGCACCATCTCGGCTCACCACAACCTCTGCCTCCTGGGTTCAAGCGATTCTCCTGCCTCAGCCTCCTGAGTAGCTGGGATTACAAGCATGGGCCACCACGCTTGGCTAATTTTGTATGTTTAGTAGAGACGGGGTTTCTCCATGTCGGTCAGGCTGGTCCCGAAATCCCGACCTCAGGTGACCCACCTGCCTTGGCCTCCCAAAATGCTGGGATTACAGGCGTGAGCCACTGCGCCCTGCTCTATCATTGGAATTATGATGGGGATGGCATTGAATCTGTAGATTGCTTTGGGTAGTATGGATATTTAAACAATGTTAAATCTTTCAATACATGAACATGGCATGACTTTCCATTTATTTGCGTCTTCAGTTCCTTTCATCAGTGTTTTAGAGTTTTCAGTGTAGAGATCTTTCACTTCCTTGGTTAAATGTACTCCTAGGTATTTAACTTCTTTTTAACTACTGTAAATGGGATTGCTTGCTTGCTTGCTTTTTTTTTTTTTTTGATAGCTTGTTGTTAGTGTATGAAAATGCTACTGATTTTTGCATTTTGACTGCATCTTGCAACTTTACTGAATTTGTCTATTAGTTCTAACAGGTTTGGGGTGGTACTTCAATTCTTTCAATGATGAAACCAAGGTCCGGAAAGGTGCATGTGGCTAGAGCTAGGTTAAATCCCATCTTCAATCTCAACTAGTAGGGTAATACTTTCTGATTTTTAAGTGTGTCAAATGTATCAACAGTATGCATGGTGATTTTAGGTAATAATTATCCTTTCTTTCCATATATATTAGAAAAAATGTAATGAACAAACCAAGTCTGGAATTTCATAGTTATTCTTGTTTAGGAAATTTTTTTAAAAAGTGAATTTCTGGCCAGGTGCAGTGGCTCATGCCTGTAATCCCAGCACTTTGGGAGGCTGAGGCCGGCAGATCATTTGAGGTCAGGAGTTTGAGACCAGCCTGGCCAACATGGTGAAAACCCATCTCTACTAAAAATACAAAAATTAGCCAGGCATGGTGGTTGGCACCTGTAATCTCAGCTACTTGGGAGGCTGAAGCAGGAGAATCGCTTGAACCTGGGAGGTGGAGACTGCAGTGAGCCAAGATTGCACCACTGCACTCTAGCCTGGGAAATAGAGTGAGACTCAGTCTCAAAAAAAAAAAAAAAAAGAAAAAAGAAAAAAAAGTGAATTGCTTGAAATCATAAATAATAAATTCAGCTGTATTGTAGACATGATTAAAGTTGTGGAGGTGACCCCATGTGCTTGAGATTTAGGTAACTCTTCCCTACCTTACATTATAGATGCCATTCCTCTCATTTATAACAATGTTAAGATTTCTTCAATTTCATCCTGTGCAATGTATTAAAACAAGGAAAAAGTAAGCAAAAGTTCATTCATGAATATTTCCCTGAACAGCATTTTTATTGCTTCCTTACTTTTAAAAATTACTTTTCCATTTCCCACACAAATGTAACTGAACAGTATTCATTGTATACCAGGAGTATTTCCCTTAATCCAACATAATGACTTACTACAAATAGAAATGAGGCAATTGATGTACTTAATCCTTTATAAAAGCTTAGAAGCCATCTTAAAATACTTCGCAGAATTTGCAAATACAGTATTTTGAGTAGGATTTTCAAACGTTTACTGTGGAATCAGAGCACAAATCTCCTCTCCAAGAAGAGAAACGTGAATACTAAAGACTCCTATTGTGCAGTGTGGATGAAAATGGAAACATAATTCACAATTTGTTGTGGACAAGGAGCCTCACAGAGAGAATGTTTCCATGGTCTTCAAGTGTATTACTCAGCTACCCTACTAGCATTTTTTTCACTGTGCTGACAAGAAAGGGAAGAAAAAATATTCACAACCCAGGTTGCTAAACTAAGAGCTTTAATTAATGAGACTCCAGAAAGGGCCCTAGCAAGATAAAAATGTGATTGCACTGTGCTCTCTGACCTCAGTTGCAGGTTCTTTGACTTCTCTTTCATGTTCTCAGACCCTCAGTGTGAAGATATAAGGGCTGTCTGAGATTGCAAGTTGTTTTGCTAAAAAGCCTCTTTACACATCTGAAATATAACCTCTTAAACCTAACTCAGGCTTATGTTAACACCGTGGCTTTAAACCATGCTTAGACTGCATGGAATCATAAAGATGTTGAATATAGGAAACGCTGTTAGTTTATCAATTGGGCCTACTATTAAGTTCTTGAAGGGGTGGATTGCCCCTCCACACCTGTGGGTGTTTCTCGTAAGGTGTAACGAGAGACTTAGGAAAGAAAAAGACACAGAGACAAAGTATAGAGAAAGAAATAAGGGGACCCAGGGGACCAGCGTTCAGCATATGGAGGATCCTGCCAGCCTCTGAGTTCCCTTAGTATTTATTGATCATTCGTGGGTGTTTCTCGAAGAGGGGGATGTGTCAGGGTCACAAGACAATTGTGGGGAGAGGGTCAGCAGACAAACACGTGAACAAAGGTCTTTGCATCATAGACAAGGTAAAGGATTAAGTGCTGTGCTTTTAGATATGCATACACATAAACATCTCAATGCTTTACAAAGCAGTATTGCTGCCCGCATGTCCCACCTCCAGCCCTAAGGTGGTTTTTCCCTATCTCGGTAGATGGAACATACAATTGGGTTTTATACCGAGACATTCCATTGCCCAGGGATGGGCAGGAGACAGATGCCTTCCTCTTGTCTCAACTGCAAGAGTCATGCCTTCCTCTTATACTAATCCTCCTCAGCACAGACCCTTTATGGGTGTCAGGCTGGGGGACAGTCAGGTCTTTCCCTTCCCACGAGGCCATATTTCAGACTATCACATGGGGAGAAACCTTGGACAATACCTGGCTTTCCTAGGCAGAGGTTCCTGCGGCCTTCCGCAGTTTCTGTGTCCCTGGGTACTTGAGATTAGGGAGTGGTGATGACTCTTAAGGAGCGTGCTGCCTTCAAGCATCTGTTTAACAAAGCACATCTCGCACCGCCCTTAATCCATTTAACCCTGAGTTTGACACAGCACATGTTTCAGAGAGCACGGGGTTGGGGGTAAGGTCACAGAATCTCAAGGCAGAAGAATTTTTCTTAGTACATAACAAAATGGAGTCTCCCATGTCTACTTCTTTCTACACAGACACAGTAACAATCTGATCTCTCTTGCTTTTCCCCACATTTCCCCCTTTTCTTTTCGACAAAACCGCCATCGTCATCATGGCCCGTTCTCGATGGTCACTGTCTCTTCGGAGCTGTTGGGTACACCTGCAGACTAACAACAGACAAAACAGGCACACAAGGATTAATATGAGATTTATAATTGTAGTACTTCCGATGGTCTTAACCCAAGTGACAGGGTTAAGATTTGCGAGACCATCAGCAACTCCTGCAATTGCCTCAGTTCCTGGCACCAAATTTAAATGGGCTTTTGATGCTTCGAAAATTTGTTCTTTTAATTTGGAAATGTCTAAAGTGAGATTATCTTCTCTTCCCTGTAGATAGCGTCTAACCATGTCCCAGTGATGCTCAGACTCATTATAAATTTGGGGTGTAATACAAAAGTCTGACGTATTCCAGTCACACTGTAACTGGAAACGATGTTCTAAGCTCATGAGTCTGTCTCCCATCCAAATGACAGTTTGTCTAAGATCATTAATTTGATTTGCCAATTTTTGATCAATACTAGATTGTGAATTCCACAATCTTGTAGAATTTTTTTGCCAATCATTAACAAAGTTTACCGACTGAACAGAAGAGTGCAATGCAACTCCTGCTACAGCATCCGTAGCTGTGACTGCAGTTAATCCCATAATCACTGCAATTAAAGTAAAAGTGAATCTTTTGGATCTATTTAAAACGCCTTTTAATACTTCAGTCAAAATATGGACGGATGGCGAGGCCTCCCACGGTCGGTCCATGGACACAGGGATCCACACGCCCTCTCTTGCTCTCACCAGCAGAATACGGTGTTGCCAATTAAAAGTTGAATCAATGCAAGTAAATGATCTACAATTTGCACAGGTTATAGTCTGGGAGTCTGGTTTAATAACTATATTTCCTAAAACTAGCATATAAGGGGGCTTTACGCAACTTTGTAAAGGAACCGTTAGACTGGAATTTAGGTCGATAGTATAAAATGGCTTACGATATCTTGTTTCTAAAGTTTGACTTCCAGACCAAATTCTAATGTGGTGTGAGGCCACAGTAAGCCTCCATAATTCTGGATGTTCAGGACCAGAAACAGGACTTATTATTTTTGGTCTTGGGGTAGAGATTCCTTTTTCTCCCCATTCCCAATGGTAGAAAGACTGCAATTTTTTATGCTTACGTTTGTCTAGACTTTCTGTTAAGTCGCTATCAACAGCTGGACTCACTTGTGCACTTGGACATGACTGAGTTTGTCCTGAGCAATTGTGGTAGAATTGACCTCGAGGTGCCCAATCTGTAATAGTTCCGAATTCATTGTTTTGTAATATCACCGCACTATTGGCCACACATTCTTCCCAAACTAAAACGTCTGTATTTTTTGATTCTTTGGGAATTTCCTTGGGGCAAGGTTTCCCTTTAGGTCTGAATTTTAATGATCTTTGATAAGAAAAGTCTTGTAAATAATTTACCCGTGGCCTGAGTGACATCCCGCTTACCATGTGATAAGTGAATCTACTGATGGGACTGACAGTAGGTACTTCTACCAACCAGTTTTGGACTGCAGACATTAAACATCCTGGTGCTCTCCCTAGGCAAATAGGAGGATAACGATACCCAATGGAAATGTTTATCATCATCCCTTCTTCCTCAGGTTTGGCAGGGCAGCGATCATCTGTGGGGCCAGGTACCCATACACTATCATTAACATATACTTCTATAGGATTATCCATCCATGTGACTGGTGTTACCATCTCCGTGGAGGCGCTTTTCTTTGCATCTCCGATGGGTTCATTGTAGAACTTCAAATGTCTGGTGGGTATCCAAACAGGAAGCTGATTTTCTCCTGGTGAAACACAAGCAAAACCTCTCCCCCACGTTATCACCTTCCCTATTTCCCATGTCTTATTTTTATTATCTTTCCACCAAATTAGTTTTCCTTCATGTGGGCTGTTCTTTTTACCAGTAAGACGTTGTTCTGCAGAAGTAGTAGTCTGATTTCTATAAATGTTTAAAAAATTTAAACTATAGAGTGCTAGATTAAGTTGCATCTGAGGAGTGGTACACTCCTTACTGTCTCCCCCTTCTTTTTGTTTAACTAATTGAGTTTTGAGTGTTCTATTAGTTCTTTCAACTATGGCCTGTCCCTGGGGGGCACCAGATGTAGGGGTGGGTTGCCCCTCCAAGTTCTGAGGTCATTAGTTTGTTTTGTTTTGTCTTTGTTTTTTTTTTTTGTCGGTTTTTTGTCCTTTTTTATTTTTCCAAACTATATGTGCTTTGGAAATCTAAGGAGTGGGTATGAAAACAGTTTAGCCTGGTTTTTTTCCATGGTTGCTTCCACCAAGATGCCTCTGGCCTTTTCTCATCCAAAATCAACATAAAGCTGTTTCTCCCATATCACCACCATGACTACCACACAAAGCCAAGATGTCTCCATTTTTAAATTTGTTGCTTCACAGACTTACTACTAAACTCCTGGATGATGGGGGAGGTGGGCAACACGAGGCCCAGAATCATGCCTCTCTGTGTGATACTGGGCAAGTTACTTCACCTCACTGAGATGTTTATGGGTCTATGAAAGGAACGATCTGCACCATTTGCTCACTAGATCCCCCTTTGCATCTAAGCCATGATAATACCCCAAATAAGATGAAAGGATTTTATACAGGCGTGCCTGCATATTGACGTTTTGATCAATGACACACAGCACATATGACACTGGTTCCATAGGATTAGAACACCACATTTTTACTGTACCTTTTCTATGTTTGGCTATTTTTTTGTTTGTTTTGTTTTTTGAGATGGAGTCTCGCTCTGTTGCCCAGGCTGGAGTGAAGTGGCACAATCTCGGCTCACTGCAAGCTCCGCCTTCCGGGTTCAAGCCATTCTCCTGCCTCAGTCTCCTAAGTAGCTGGGATTACAGGTGCCCACCACCATGCCTGGCTGTTTTGTATTTTTAGTAGAGACAGGGCTTCACCATGTTGGCCAGGCTGGTCTTGAGCTCCTGACCTCAGGTGATCTGCCCACCTCAGCCTCCCAAAGGGCTGGGATTACAGGCGTGACCCACTGTGCCTGGCCTGTTTGTCTATTTTTTTTAAAATCCCATCCTAAAGAAAAGCTAGGTGCACAAATATTTACCATTGTGTTACAGTTACCTTCAGTATTCAGTACTACTCTATATGCTGTACAGGTTTGTAGCCTACGGGCAACAGACTGTACCATATAGCCTAGGTGCGTAGTCAGCTCCGCCATCTAGGTTTGTGAGTACACCCTGTGATATCTGCACAATGATGCACTCACCTAATAATGCATTTCTCAGAATGCATCCCCGTTGTTAAGTGATGCATCCTGGACTTCGTGCATTAAAAAAATGCCAGAACACTCCTTACTTAGTGCATAGACTTTATCAAATGTTGAATAAAAACAGAAACAAAAAGGAGACAATCCTACAATGAAAAGGAGACACTTATGTCTACCGTAGTGATTCACTGTACGTGGAGGAGGTAAGTGGGGCATGGACAGGTCTACAAATATAATACATATATACCCGACAACCACAGTGCTTTGCATTTCTTTATCAGTGAAAAACAAACTGGGATCTGAAGTGTATAAACAGTTCCCTAGTAAAGTCTATTTGAGATAAAGAATCAAATGTGCATCAATATATCAAAACTGACAAATACAAGAAAAGCATTCAGCTAGAGATAATTCACAGCATTTTATTCAAGTTAATCCATTTCATTCAATAATCTTCCATATTGTTCCCAGCACCACTATTACTATCATTATTTCTCTTCGGAGAAGACCAGGTATTAAGAAATCGGGTTTGAATTTCCATGATGCATAACTCTATGGTCAAAAATCCTTTTCCTTACCAAAAACCAACTTTTTAATCACCAGAGAAAAGAGAGAAAGACTGAGATATATTTGCAGAAATTTATATCCACTAGAGACAATTCATAGTTCATCATCTTTCAGGCTTGTGCTTTACTTGGTGGCTCTATTTTGGGGAGGGGGTTGTTTCTTATAAATATTTGTCTAATACAAATCACTTGCCCCACTGGACCACAGAAGGGAAATAAGGGCTAGTCCCCAGAAAGCAAGCAGGCAGTCCTCCTGGGAAGAAGCCCTAATGGCTCCTAGTGGTGACACAGTCATTCTGCCAGGGTGAGGGGACACAGTCATTCTGCCTCCCCAACCTCTGAGCAATAATAAAGTATAACCAAGTGAACAGGAGAGGTACTAACTAGCCGGATAATCCATGGGCTAGAATCTCTAAACAGGAATGTTTGTGTGTTTTGAATAAATCAGAGCTGGAAAGAGACACTTTTGGAGAAGTGATGGAGAATAGAAAAGTATGAAAAAGATAAAGGTTTCTCACCAAGGAACCCACAAAAAAGGTGGTACCAGTCAGAGGTAGTCTTGGGCTTTTCTTTTGAGATGAGTGTACCCCAAATGGGTTGTGCCATTTTCACATAAAAATTGGAATGATAATGAACAAGTGAAAGTGAAATCAGTTTCCCTCCTTTGTTCAATAAACACGGATAGAGTACCTGTGTGCAAGGTAGTGGGACAGGTGCTGAGGGGAAAGGTAAAGCTGTTTAAGCTGTGGCCCTGAGCTGAAAAAGAAATCTAGCAGTGCCATCAGACTGCACACTACAGAGTAGAGTGTCTCAGGGGCCAGGTGGAGGGAAGGATGACTTCCAGCTGCAGCATCAGGGAAGGCACTCTGCAGTCTCCCCTGTAGGTTCTCAGTGTGCCTCTGTGCCTGTGTGACCACTCAGCCTGCCCCATTCCAGGCACTTGCTCATCTTCCTTATCTTTCTCTCTAGTGTGAGAAGTGGAAGTTTAAGAGGATAAGATCCTGCTTCACAGGTACCTAATAAATGTGTGTGGAATTGACGTGTGGTGGAGGTGTCACTATCTTAGTGCAGCAAGGCGGAAAGAGTTTTGGGAAAGGAGAGCAAAGATGGTGGTGGTGAGGGTAAGGTGTTTTCATCAGAAGGCGAGAGCAAGGGTATACAAACCAAAAAGTCAATTTAGTATGTGGCTTAGCCCAGAGCACATGAGGGCACCAACACAGCCAAAGACCATAAGAAGGTAGCTGAAGTCCTCTGCCAAATAGGACTGAAAAGCTAAAATCTTTTCAGTTTCTTTCTTAAGCAACAACTGGTCTATTCAAGCTCAACCAGAGCATATAAGAGAAAAAATGACTAATGAGAGGCTCTTAAATAGTTTTGAAGGACAGACACTTTCTAGAAAGTAGAAAGATCACTGAGTAAACACTGCACCTCCCCTACCCCACAAACACACACAAAAAAGATGAGGATGAATGTAGAAGTGTAGAGCAAGCTTGTGGACATCCTCAAGTTTGGTTTTGGCGCTTCTGTTGGTAAGCAGTCAAGATGGTGAGAGACGCTATCCCAAAGGGGAAAGTCTGTAGGAACCAGAGTAGCTGAGCCTGACCACTTGTGTTGCCTTTATGCCTAAAAAAGAAAAAACAAAATTTAAACACCAGAATGTTAATCTTACAGTTTCATGGGAGTTATTGTCTTCTATATTGTTTTTTAAAATGTATACCTTCCATTACTTTCATTGGATTTATTTTGCTGCTTTTCTCTGGCTTCTTATCTTGGATGGTTTGTTTATTTTTCTTCTTTCTTGTTTTCTAATAAATGTATTTTGGATGGTACACTAGTCCCTGAGAACCAGTCTGGCTGGCTACTCTCTGGGGCACAGTATTATAAGACTGTTTCTCATGTGATTCGGATGGCTGCATGGAGTAAAACGCACTGGTATGGCTTCAGATCAAATGTTTTCAAGATAGACCAGATTTAAATCCTAGCGTGGCTACCTACCAGCTGTGACCTGGGCAAATCACTCAGTATCTCTCCAAATCAGTTTTCTCATCTGAAAAACAGGAATGGCAGTAGCTAGCTCACTGAGTGTTGAGATGATTTATGGGATAATACACACAAAGTGCTCAGGAAGGAGCCTGGCACACACTCATGATAAACACCTGCTTATATTGTCATTGAAATTCAATTGCTTAAAACGAAGTGCAAAAAAAAAAAATGACCCAATGGAAGTGAATGGCTTGCTACAGTCTCATCTGTATGGAAATAAGTCTCATTTGGATGACTTTTATTTATAATTTTAAAAACAATATATGTAAAAACAGTATAATTTTCTACAGTAACAGATAAAAGGAGAAAGATCATATGAATATCTTAATAAATGCAGAAGTGGCATTTGATAAATTCCACTATCCATTCTTTTTCCACCCCCTCAGGGATGGGGGTCTCACTCTGTCACCTACAGTGGAGTACACTGGTACAATTATAGCTCACTGCAGACTCAAACTCCTGGGCTAAAGTTATCCTCCCACCTCAGCCTCCCAAGTAGCTGGGATCATCACAGGCATGCACCACCACGCCTGGCTAGGTTTTTTGTTTTTTATTTATTTATTTTTTTTGTAGGGACAGTGTCTTACTTTGTTGCCCAGGCTGGTCTTGAACTCCTGGCTTCAACTGATTCTCCTGCCTCAGCCTCCCAAAGTGCCAGGATTACAGGTGTGAGCCACCTGCGTCCACACCTAACATCCATTTTTAATAAAAGTTCTCAGCAAATTTAGAAATACAATGGAACTTCCTAATTTTGACAGAGGAGATCTACAAAACTCTAGAATAAACACGATGCAAAATGTTGAAAGTTCTCCTTTGAGGTCAAGAACGGGGCGCACTTCTAGTCAGCACTGCTGGAAGTTCTAGGCAATAGAATAAGGGAAGAAACATAAATAAAAGGTATACACAATTGAAAGAAATAAAACTGTATTTCTGGACAGTTTTATACCTGAAAAACTGAAAATAATCTACAAACTATTAGAATTAATAAATTTATTTAGCAAGGTTGCTGGGTATAAGGTCAATATAAAAAATTGACTACATTCATAAAAACTACCATCAAACAATTAGAAAATGAAAAAAAGTGAGCTGAGATCATGCCACTGAACTCCAGCCAGGGCGACAGAGCTAGACTCCATCTCAAAAAAAAAAAAAAACAGTTGGTGCGGTGGCTCAGGCGTGTAATGCCAGCACTTTGGGAGACTAACACAGGCGAATCACTTGAGCCCAGGAGTTTGACACCAGCCTAGGCAACAATAGTGAGACCCCATCTTTTTAAAAAAGTCATTTATAATAGCATCTCAAAGTACAAGTAGCTGGAAATTAATCTAACAACGTGTAAAACCTCTTAAAAATTATAGATATATTAAAGGAGATCTAAATAAATGGAGACAGATAATTTCATCGTTTAGAAGACTCAGTAATAGAAATATGTGATGCTTTCCTGACCTTAAGGAAAAAAAAGAAAAAAAAAGTAATGGAAATATGTCAATGTTCTCCAGATTAGTTCACATGGTCAATCCAATAAAAATCTCAACAGCTTTATTTTTTGTTTTTGAACACAGGACAATGCATAGAATTTGCAAAGGTGTAGGAAAGGGCAATCCTATTGCACAAGATGAGAGGACATACTTTATCAGCTAACAATGATTATAAAGCTGCTGCTATTAAGACAGTGTTGTGTTAGCCCAAGGATAAACAGGCCAATGGAGCAGAATAGAGTGTTGAGAAACAGATCCATACATATAAGTAAAGACAGGGCACATCAATGAAGACTGAATGTCTCAATAAATAGCTCTGGGATAATTGGGCATCCAGATGGAAAAGGTAAAGTTGGAAACCTCTCTCTTACAAAAAAAAGCTCTAGGTAGAATGAAAACTTAAATGTCAAAAAAAAAATTCTAAAACTGTTAGAAGATACTGTAAAAGAATATAACTTTAGGCCGGGTGCGGTGGCTCACGCCTGTAATCCCAGCACTTTGGGAGGCCGAGGCGGGTGGATCACGAGGTCAGGAAATTGAGACCATTCTGGCTAGCATGGTGAAACCCCGTCTCTACTAAAAATACAAAAAATTAGCCGGGCGTCGTGGCGGGCGCCTGTAGTCCCAGCTACTCAGGAGGTTGAGGCAGGAGAATGGCGTGAACCTAGGAGGCGGAGTTTGCAGTGAGCCGAGATCGCGCCACTGCACTCCAGCCTGGGCGACAGAGCGAGACTCCGTCTCAAAAAAAAAAAAAAAAAAAAGAATATAACTTTAATACAAATAAATGAATAAAATTGACTAAATTCATAAACTTCTGTTTATCAAAAGGCCCAACAGAATAAAAAGACCGTGAGAAAGGATATTTGCAAAACATCTAAATGACAAGGTACTGAAGATCAGAAAAAACAAGGAGCGCCTATGAAAAGGTAAGCAAAGGACAGACAGCCCATTAGAACATTGGTGAGATTGTGGGGAAATGGGCACTATCATATACTTCGGTTAGAAGCATAAATTAGTCCCACAGTTTTGAAGGCAGTATGGAAGAAATACATATCATAATTAAAAGGTCATTCTTTTTTTTTTTTTTTTTTAGATGGAGTCTTGCTCTGTCGCCCAGGCTAAAGTGCAGTGGTGCGATCTCGGCTCACTGCAACCTCTGCCTCCCAGATTCAAGCGATTCTCTTGCCTCAGCCTCCTTAGTAGCTGGAATTACAGGTGCCTGCTACCATGCCCAGCTAATTTGTGTGTGTGTGTGTGTGTGTGTGTGTGTGTGTGTGTGTGTGTGTATTTTTAGTGGAGACAGGGTTTCACCATGTTGGCCAGGCTGGTCTCAAATTCCTGACCTCAGGTGAACCACTAGCCTCGGCCTCCCAAAGTGCTGGAATTACAGGCGTGAGCCACAATGCCCAGACAAAAGTATTCATTCTTTAATCTTCAAATTCCAGATCTTGGAATTTTTTGTAAGAGAACAAATACCAAAGTGGGACAAATACACGAAATTCATGTTCATTGCTGTATTGCTTGTAATAGTAAAAAAGTAGAGACTTAAAAGCCCATCAGAAGGAGGATTTCTTAAATACATTAAGGCACATCTATACAATAGAATTCTATGCACTAATATTAATGGATGAATAACTTTATACGTATAAACATAGACAGGCATATGTTAGTCCAGTGCAGTGGCACACCTATAGTCCCAGCTACTTGGGAGGCTGAGGCTGGAGGATCTCTTGAGCACGGGTGCTCAAGGCCAGCTTGGGCAACATAGTGAGACCCATCTCTTAAAAAATAAAATAAAATACAATTTAAAATAGGCATATATGACCATGGAAACCAATTATAGAAGAGATTATATCTATATGTATATATGTAATTGGATTACAGGCATGAGCCACCACTCCTAGCAACTTTCAATTTTATAAGCTGAGTTTTTAACAACATTATTAACTTAAAAACAAACACGTTTGTTTTGAAATGGGTGAAACAACAAAAATATTTTGTTTTGGAAAATAAATTTATATGATCCTGTAAATGTGTAAGATACTTAGGAAAGAAAAATAAAGATGAGTTGGCATCTTGGAAGAGCAGGCTCACTGAACAGCAGTGCTTGTTTCCTCCTCCTTCAGAGGGGTCACAGCTGGTGGCCAGGTAACTCGGAGAAGGGTTTTCCTGGGGTCATCATAACTTGTTCTCATTCACACACCTTTATCTGTATTCTTAGCTCATTTTGCCTATTTGAAAGACAAAAGCCTTTTAAGAAAGTTTTCTTAATTTAATTCACATTTCCCTTAATGATTCCACCAAGACCCAGGCAGATGTAAAAATCTCTTTGTGAGTATACTGTTTCCTGCCTTAGGAAAAAATGTTACTTCTGATACTTGAAAAATTTCACAATTTACCTGTTTTGTTCACTCGAGGCTGCCCTATCACAGAGTACTTCCACTTGTCAAGAACTTCTGTTCTGTTTCTACATGGTAATAAAATCTACTCTACATACAAATGTTTGCAAGAACTGAAAAACCTTTCTCAGGGCTGCAGAGCCAACTGGGGTAAACAAGCAGCAAGAATCTAATTTCTGAACTGAGACAATAAGCCATATATTCTGAATGGAAAATTCCAGATTGTAAAAAGGTAATAATGAACATGAATGTTGGCCTCAAAGAGATACTATGTTATTTACCCTAAGGAAAAACCGTTCTATTTTTCTTGTTAAAATATTATTATGTAACAAGAACTACAAGCACCTTCAAAGAAGAGTTGAACCTCACTTTGTAATCAAATAAATACAAGTTAAAATGGCTAGATAACCGTTTTTAATCTACCAAAATAGCAAAAGGTTTTTGCCCCCCATCATCAAAAATAGCACTTTTTTTTTTCTTTTTTTTTCTTGAGACAGAGTCTCACTTTGTCACCCAGGCTGGAATGCAGTGGTGCAATCTCGGCTCACTGCAATCTCTGCCTCCCAGTTTCAAGCAATTCTCCTGCCTCAGCCTCCCAGGTAGCTGGAATTACAGACGTGCACCACCACGCCCGGCTAGTTTTTGTATTTTTAGTACAGACGGGGTTTCATAATGTTGGCCAGGCTTGTCTCGAACTCCTGAACTCAGTTGATCTGCCCGCCTTGGCCTCCCAAAGTGCTGGGATTACAGGTGTGAGCCTGGCCAGAAATGGCAATTTCATAGAATGGTAGTGGAAACGTAAAATGCTAAAACCCGACTGAAAAGCAATTTTGCAGTAAGTACCAAGAGCTTTATAACGGTTCTTTCACTCAGTAATTCTATATCCACGGATTTAGCCTAAGGAAGAAAATAAGAAATACATAAAATGGTTAAAGAGTAAATGTGCATTGTTAGAAGGTTAAATAATTATGGGATATACAATTACAGGAGTCTTTTGCAAACTTTGAAATTATTTACCAAGAGATTTTAAAAACATGGGAAATTATTTCGTATTATGATTATGGCACTTATAAAGTCAACATGTAGTCCAATCGTATCTCTAGTGAAAAGGAATTCACCAAAAAATGATTTACTGTATTTTTTAAAACATGGGATTTAAGAGACTTCATATGAATATCTTGACTATGCATTGAAATTCTTATTTAGGGCCTAACACAGAGGAGGTGTTTGCTAAATGTTGATTTCTTGCTACCTGTTTTTTTCCTCCAAGATTGTTGCTGTATGTATCTAGGGTCCAGAGGAGTCCAGAATATTGTTTTGCGCATGTTGCTTATTGAATTAAAAAATTAACACATTCATGAAAAATAAAGAAATTCACCCAAATGTTACAAGTAGTTATTTGGCAGGCTGTAAATGTATACATGTCTTCATTCATCTAAATTTATTCATTCATCTCATAATTCCTTTTTTTTTTTTTTTTGAGACATCTTGCTCTGTTGCCCAGGCTGGAGTGCAGTACTGTGATTGTGGCTCACTGCAACCTCCACCTCCCGGGTTCAAGCAATTCTCCTGCCTCAGCCTCCCGAGTAGCTGGGATCACACGCATGCGCCACCACGCCCAGCTAATTTTTTGTTTTGTTTTGTTTTTTTGTATTTTTAGTAGAGATAGGGTTTCACCATGTTGGCCAGGCTGGTCTCGAACTCCTGACCTCAGGTGTTCAGCCTGCCTCAGCCTCCCAGAGTGCTGAGATTACAGGTGTGAGCCACCACGCCTAACCATCATCTCATAATTCAAAAGGAGTATTTATTCTGATTTATAGTGATCTCAATGATACATTCTAACATGTTAGACCATAAGGAAATGATTTCAAAGGCCAGGCACAGTGGCTCACACCTGTAATCCCAGTACTTTGGGAGGCTGAGGCGGGCACATCATGAGATCAGGAGATCGAGACCATCCTGGCTAACACAGTGAAACCCCGTCTCTACTAAAAATACAAAAAAATTAGCCGGGCGAGGGGTGGGCACCTGTAGTCCCAGTTACTCGGGAGGTTGAGGCAGGAGAATGGCATGAACACAGGAGGTGGAGCTTGCAGCAAGCCAAGATTGCACCCCTGCACTCCAGCCTGGGCAACAGAGCGAGACTCCGTCTCAAAAAAAAAAAAAAAAGAAATGATTTCAAGAACGTAATAATAGTGACCTAACCTCTATGCCTGTTCTCCCTCTGCCCTTCAAAAAAAATTGTATATTAAATTTGAGTATTTTGGTTTTCATCAGATACTCCAAATGCCAACAACAAAATAGGTGTCAGGCACTCCTACATTCCAAGTTGAGGGGCTGGGCCGGACACTTACAATCCGAGATTCCACTGGGATGCTGCAGAGGCCATTGGAAAGAGGTCCTAGTGAGCTGTGGCGTTTCCTACAAGTCAAGCCCAGACAATGGCTTCAACAGGACCATTTGTAGAGCTTGACATGAGTCCCCTGGAATTTGGGGAATGATTTAACATCTGATTCCAAAGAGTAAACACTGGTTTGGACTGCTTGCTGGGAGAGAAGGAAGCACCACCGCACTGTGAACTGCATGCACTTGCAGATTATCCCACTGGAGGGGTACTGAAGTTGTTTATACTGTGAGCCATACAGATCCTGGAGAAGGCACTGGACATGAGTAGGTTTAAAAGGGACCCTGTACCACAGGCCCACCTGAAGGATGGAAGTGATCTCAATAAAAGGGTAATTCTTCCCGGAACACAGACTCTGAGGGTGAAACTGCAAGTGGCACTCTGGAGGAGGTATCTGAACAACCATCAAGGAAACTGCAGAAGGGAGATCCCAGGTGATGAACAGTGTCTCAAAATCTACTACATTCCCTCTAAAGAGAAAGAGCCAATAGACTGGATACACAGTGTACACAGCACCCAGCTGCCTGATCACAAGGCAGCAACTGTTTATTGTTTTTTTAATTTTTTTTTTTTTGAGACGAGGTCTTGCTCTGTCACCCAGGCTGGAGTGCAGTTGGCTCACTGCAGCCTCTGCTTCCCGGGTTCAAGTGATTTTCACGCCTCAGCCTCCTAAGCAGCTGGGACTGCAGGCACGCACCACCATGCCTGGCTTTTTTTTAGTATTTTTTGTATTTTTAGTAGAGATGGGGTTTTGTCATGTTGGCCAGGATGGTCTCAAACTCCTGGCCTCAAATGATCTGCCCCCCTAGGCCTCCTAAAGTGCTGGGAATATAGGTGTGAGCCACTGTGCCCAGCCAGCAGCTGCTGTTTAAGGATGATCCTTGTTCTCCCTAACTATTCCCACCATCCCAAGGGACCACAAGCAGCGATTACTAGTGAATAGAGGAGAAGGTGAAGTCAACTGCATCCTTCTCCCCACTGCAGGCTCCTGAGCCTCTCCCAGCTGGAGGAGAACAGACATTCTGAATTAGAAGAAAGTTTATAGTTGTAACAAATAGAACGGGCTAGAATGGATAATATCAGATGGTGACTGGAAATCCTATGATCTGCTTGAAATTCCATCCAGAGATACGGTGGAAGGTGGGGAACAATCCACAAAGCAAATTTACTTGGAGAGGGGTGAGAAAGAAATAATAAAGTTACTTTCTGCTCCTCTTCATAGAAAGTCTAGCTTGTGGCCGGGCACAGTGGCTCATGCCTATAATCCCAGCACTTTGAGAGGCCGAGGCAGGCAGATCACCTGAGAGGTCAGAAGTTCGAGACTAGCATGGCCAACATGGTGAAACCTCGTCTCTACTAAAAATACAAAAATTAGCTGGGCGCAGTGGTAGGCTCCTGAAATCCCAGCTACTCGGGAGGCGGAGGAGGGAGAATTGCTTGAACCTGGGAGGCAGAGATTGCAGTGAGCCAAGATTGTGCCACTGCACTCCAGCCTGGGCGACAAAGCAAGATTCTGTCTCAAAAAAAAATAAACAAGAAAAGAGAGTAAGATAATTCTATTTAACATACTTAGCAGTCTCTGACATAGTGGTACACAATCAATATTGATTATTTTTATTATTGAAACATAGTAATAGAGTATCTTATTTTCCACTTTTAGAATAGAAAAATAATAGAGGTCATAGTATATCTTGACCAGAAATTAATTCAACTAATTAACTAATATCTTCATAAGAAATTAATTGGAAGGCAATTTGGCATTACTATAACCATGTTTTTCATTGTACCATACTTTCTGTATATGCTTATAGAAAATACAAACATAATTTTTTCTAGCGTTCTCACACAGTATTAACCTACACTAGCATCTGCTGAATGGGGTCTGATTTGGGGGCTTTTAACTGGCATTGCCTCCTAAAATTATCTGTGGAGCTTTTAAAAAGAACACATTCCCATCTCTGAGGCAAGACTTACCCAATCAGAATCTCTGGGTCTGGAAACCAGACATGTGTATTTTGAAAAAGCTCCTCAGGTGGTTCAACTGTAAAACGAGGATTGCGAGTCATCAGCCTAGGTCAGTCACTTAGCTCTTTTGAAAACTAGAAGCCAGGCTCCTAGTCTTTTGGTCTCTGAAAAAGAACCAGAGACACAGAATACCTATTAGGTCACTTAAAACCTGTTTTGTTGTTGTGGTGGTTGGTGGTAGTGGTGGTGGTTTTTTCGTTTGTTTGGGTTTGTTTTTTTTTTTTTTTGAGAAAGGCTGTGAAACAATACAAAAATAACTACAGACCAAAGAAACTCAGAACAGTCATTTGGGCCCCCATTCTTGACTTCTATTTTCTTTTTCCTTTTTTTTTTTTTTTTTTTCTTGAGACAGGGTCGCACTCCACTGCTGGGGCTGGAGTGCAGTGGTGTGATCATGACTCACTGCAGCCTCCACCATCTGGGCTCCATCCATCCTCCCACCTCAGCCTTCCAAGTAGTTGGGACCGCACGTGCATGCCACCATGCCCAGCCACTTTTTAAAATTGTATATAGCGATGGGGTCTCACTACGTTGCCCAGGATGGTCTCCAACTCCAGGGCTCAAGCAATTCTCCCACCTTAGCTTCCCAAAGTGCTGGGATTACAGCATGAGCCACTGCGCTGGGATGACTTCTATTTTCTAAAAGCAACTCTACTGGGAGATTTATGCTGAGGAAAGTATGTGGTTATCAGACTCAGTGCCCATGGTGGATGACTTCTTTTTTTTTTTTCTTTGTAGAGAAGGGATCTTGCTTTGTCACCCAGGCTCGAGTGCAGTGGCATGACCACGGCTCACTGTAGCCTCGACTTCCCGGGCTCAAGTGATCCCCCCAACTCAGCTCCCCCAAGTAGCTGAGAATACAGGCATGGGCTACCACAATTGTCTAATTTTTTTTTTTTTTTGAGACAGGGTTTTGCTCTGTCGCTCAGGCTGGAGTGCAGAGGCATGATCTTGGCTCACTGTAACTTCTGCCTCCCAGATTCAAGCATCTCTCGCCTCAGCCTTGGGAGTAGCTGGGGACTACAGGTGTGTGTGGGTGAGTCTGGGTGTGTGTGGGTGAGTGCAGGTGTATCTGGGTGTAGGTGGGTGAGTATGGGTGTGTGTCTGCGTGTAGGTGGGTGAGTATGGGTGTGCAGGTGCGTGTGAGTATGTGTTTACATTGTGGTATGTGTCTGTTGGGTGCCGCCATTAGGGATTTGGAAGAGTGAGGACCATAAACTTGTAAACATTTCTACATGCCTGGTCCATAAGAAGTGTACCAAGCATGATCAAAAGTAACTAAACCAAGTAAACAAATTAGACATTAATTAAACTTAATGCTGGGCAGGAAAGAAGTATTCAAGGCCAGGTAAAATGAAGAAATATAACCAAATAAATGAAATTTTAAAATTAGTAGAATGAGACAGAAATACTTTTTAAAGTTTTTAATTTCTGATGAATATCAGTATATAAAACTAACAATTATATGGCCGTTAATTGACTAAAAACAGTACTTTAGATTTCAGCTAGTGAAACAGCCATATATGATCTTCTAATTCCATTTTTATGTCTCAAGAATGACTTGTTTAAATAATTTTTTTTGAATTGTTACATTTTCATCTTGAAAGAGCTTCACAAAACTTACATGAGAATCTGGATTGTCATAAGAGGTCTGAGTTTTTAATGGTATGTTCGTATTTCTGTTATGTACATCGATGTCAAACATTCATTTCCTGAGCTGTTCTCCAGAACACAATTTGACTTGTAATGAACACTCAATAAATGGTTGCTTGGATAATCAAATCAACACCTTAGTTTCATCAATTTTCATTTCATATAAAAGTGACTGATCTTCCATACTCACCAATGAAACAGAGAGAGATGAGGGAGGGATAGCAGTGGAGACTAAGAGGATGACAAGCAGACCTCATTTTGCAGTGGATATCCTACACTCTCCACTTCTGAATGCTTGGAAACACTTGCCATACTCAAAAAACATTGCTATTTCCTAGGCAGAAAATGGGAGTTAAAGAAAATCCATATTTCTATATTACAATAACTTACACTATAATACATGGACGACATACATTTCTAAGCTCTTCAGTTCATAGAAAATGTAGATACATTTAGGTGAGCAAGATGCAGGAGAAGGGTTAATAATCAGGCTGAGTGTGATTGTGAGATTCAGTCTAATACAAGTCTTGGGTAATTGTATCAGTTGACATTTCTGTTCAAATGCAAGGTGGGAGAGTTTTGCAGGAGCTACTGAAACTTCCTGCCTGATGTTAGGAGAGATGTTGGTCCATGTGATTAGGCCAGATGTGTTTGCTTAATTGTGGCTTAGAAAAGTTAGGTTTCTGACCTCTCACAGAGACGGGGAGATAGGGACGTTAAATTTTATAACATTTCTATTTAATATATATTTAATAATACATAATAAAGTTTTTAAAATGTCAATTTTGTCCTTTTTCTAGTTTGCATTATTTTGTTTTCACCGCACCATTGTTTTTAGTACATATGTTTTGTGTATTTAAAAAACTGTGTTGAGGCGCCCTGGCTCGCCCTGCGCCAGAGGCTCGCGCACTCAGCAGGTTGGGCTGCGGCGGCGGCGGCTGGGGAAGCCGAAGCGCCGCGCGTGAGAGATCCCGGATACATCTGCGGTTTGGGCTCCGCCACCCTCCGTCTCTCTCCCGCAGGTCTCTGAGCCGGGTGCGGAAGGAGGGAACGGCCCTAGCCTTGGGAAGCCAAAGCACACCCCTGGCTCCTGCCGACACCGCCCTCCTTCCCTTCCCAGCCGCGGGCCTCGCTCCGTGCTCGGCTACTCTGCCGGGAGGCGGCGGCGGCTGCCAGTCTGTGGCGAGCCCTGCTGCCCTCCAGCCGGGCTCCTCCAGCCGGGCTCCTCCACCGGCCCTTGCAGGGGCGCAGAGAGCTCGGCGCCCGCCCTTCCGCTCGCCTTTTTCGTCAGCCGGCTGGAGGAGCATCGGTCCGGGAGGTCTCTGGGCTGAGGCGGCGACAGCTCCTCTAGTTCCACCATGTCCGCGGGCGGAGACTTCGGGAATCCGCTGAGGAAATTCAAGCTGGTGTTCCTGGGGGAGCAAAGCGTTGCAAAGACATCTTTGATCACCAGATTCAGGTATGACAGTTTTGACAACACCTATCAGGCAATAATTGGCATTGACTTTTTATCAAAAACTATGTACTTGGAGGATGGAACAATCGGGCTTCGGCTGTGGGATACGGCGGGTCAGGAACGTCTCCGTAGCCTCATTCCCAGGTACATCCGTGATTCTGCTGCAGCTGTAGTAGTTTACGATATCACAAATGTTAACTCATTCCAGCAAACTACAAAGTGGATTGATGATGTCAGAACAGAAAGAGGAAGTGATGTTATCATCACGCTAGTAGGAAATAGAACAGATCTTGCTGACAAGAGGCAAGTGTCAGTTGAGGAGGGAGAGAGGAAAGCCAAAGGGCTGAATGTTACGTTTATTGAAACTAGGGCAAAAGCTGGATACAATGTAAAGCAGCTCTTTCGACGTGTAGCAGCAGCTTTGCCGGGAATGGAAAGCACACAGGACGGAAGCAGAGAAGACATGAGTGACATAAAACTGGAAAAGCCTCAGGAGCAAACAGTCAGCGAAGGGGGTTGTTCCTGCTACTCTCCCATGTCATCTTCAACCCTTCCTCAGAAGCCCCCTTACTCTTTCATTGACTGCAGTGTGAATATTGGCTTGAACCTTTTCCCTTCATTAATAACGTTTTGCAATTCATCATTGCTGCCTGTCTCGTGGAGGTGATCTATTAGCTTCACAAGCACAAAAAAAGTCAGCGTCTTCATTATTTATATTTTACAAAAAGCCAAATTATTTCAGCATATTCCGGTGATAACTTTAAAAATTAGATACATTTTCTTAACATTTTTTTCTTTTTTAATGTTATGATAATGTACTTCAAAATGATGGAAATCTCAACAGTATGAGTATGGCTTGGTTAACGAGCAGTATGTTCACAGCCTGCTTTATCTCTCCTTGCTCTTCTCACCTCTCCCTTACCCCGTTCCCTATTTCCGTGTTCTTACCTAGCCTCCCCCCACTTCCTCAAAACAAACAAGAGATGGCAAAGCAGCAGTCCGACCAAGCCCACTGGAATTATCCTTTAATTTTACAGATACCACTTGCTGTAGGCTGTGGACCAAGATGTCCAGAATTATTCTTGAGCACTGATGTAAATTACTTAGATCTTCTTTGAGGTCAGAATTCAGCGATCACGGTAGGCAGTGCTTGAATGAGAAAAGCCTCCTGGTGCATCTTCAAAATGAGTCCTAAAGAACATACTGAGTACTTATAAGTAGCAGAACATAAAATGTATTTCTGACTAACACAAATGGTCCTTTCACATGTGCTTTATTAGACTCTGGGAGAGAAAAGTAACCAAGTGCTTCAGAACAGGTTTTTAGTATTTACTTCTTCATGGTAAGATAATGAAGTTCTAATGAACTATTTCTCCCAAGGTTTTAAAATTGTCAAGAGTTATTCTGTTTGTTTAAAAAGTAAGAAACCTCTGTAAGCAATAGATTTTGCTTGGGTTTTCTTTCTTAAAAAAATAATACTATGCAGGCAAGACACCATAAAAGTTTAATTCCTTACAGAAGAACCAGTGGAAGAATTTAAATTTGGCACTACGATCAAAACTACTGAATTAGCAGAAATAACGATATCTAAAGCTTACCAGCAAAAGAACCCTCAGCAGAATAGCAAAAACTTTGCTCAGGACATTTGAGGTCAAATTGAAGACGGAAGACGGAAGACGGAAACCGGAAACCGTTTTCTTGTAAGCCCCTAGAGGCAGATCAGGTAAAGCATACATAGTAGAGGGAAAGGAGAGAATGGAAATAAAACTGAATATTATGCAGATTTATGCCTTATTTTTTAGCATTTTTTAAGGTTGGGTCTTTCAGGCTGGTTTTGGTTTGTATTAGATCTGTATAGTTTAACTAGTGATTTAGTTTTATATTTAAGCTACGATTAATATTTTTTCTTTGGCGATATTTCTTTGCTTTTTTTTTTTTTAACAACTTTCCATTTTTAGATGTTTCGTTGAATCTATTTAGAGCTTCACCATGGCAATATGTATTTCCCTTAAAACACTGCAAACAAATATACTAGGAGTGTGCCCTTTTAATCTTTACTAGTTATTGTGAGATTGCTGTGTAAGCTAATAAACACATTTGTAAATACATTGTTTGCAGGAAGAAAACTTCGAGTTACAGGTCAGGAAAAGCCTGCTGAATTTATGTTGTAAACGTTACTTAACACAGTATAAAGATGAAAAGACAACAAAAGTATCTTCATACTTCCTCATCCCCTCATTGCAACAAAACCTTAAACTGGGAGAACCTTAGTCCCCTCTCTTTCCTCTTCCTCCTCCACTTCCCACTTATTGTCACTTTGTAATATTCAGAGAGCACTTGGATTATGGATCTGAATAGAGAAATGCTTACAGATAATCATTAGCCCACATACCAGTAACTTATACTTAAAGATGGGATGGAGTTATAAAGTGCTTTTATAATACAATATAATTGCTAAAGGCAAGGGTTGACTCTTTGTTTTATTTTGACATGGCATGTCCTGAAATAAATATTGATTCACTATGGCAGATGGGTCATATTCTTTATTTGGAAGAAGTCATGACTTCTGACATGGGGGTGATTTTCTCCCTACACTGTTGCATTTGATTCTTTTTATGTATTTTTAAGAAAGTAACCAGTTATACTGCTTTTAATATTGATTGGTCTTTTTATTTGGCTTGGAGTTCTTCAAAGCAGTGAAGTGTGTTCATAGTCCAGATTTTTTTTTAGTAAACACAATTTTGCTGCCAAAAATATATAAATAAAACACAAAAGGAAACAAAAATAAAAAGTTTTGAAAATGTTAGATCATCTCCCTTTTTACCGCCTTTCCCTTTTACCTTTTACTGCCATTTACATCCACACATCCACACACACAACGTGCACACACATACCGACTAAAATTAATTTAGATGCCAGTTCGAATTATATTTATTATCCTCCCACACACACACACACCTTTTTTTTTTATACGGAGCTTTGCTCTTGTTGCCCAGGCTGGAGTGCAGTGGCGCAATCTTGGCTCACCACAACCTCCGCCTCCCAGGTTCAAGCAAGTCTCCTGCCTCAGCCTCCCTAGTAGCTGGGATTACAGGCACCCACCACCAGGCTGGACTGATTTTTGTATTTTTAGTAGAGGCAGAGTTTAACCATATTGATCAGGCTGGTCTTGAACTCCTGACCTCAGGTGATCTGCCCACCTTGGCCTCGCAAAGTGCTGGGATTACAGTTGTGAGGCACCGCGTCTGGCCTTATAATCCTTTTAAGAAGAAAGAACATCCTTAATTTTTTGAAGAGACTATTCTGTGTCCGTTTTATAATTTTTTGGCCACCGAAAAAGATATGTCCAATCACAGACACAGTGAATATAACAGGTGGTAGTTTCAAGTGTTGACTTTTGGTCAGGTGTGGTGGCTCACACCTGTAATCCCAGCACTTTGGGAGGCTGAGGTGGGTGGATCACCTGAGGTAGGGAGTTCAAGACCAGCCTGGCCGACATGGTGAAACCTACAAAAATTAGCTGGGCGTGGTGGCGCGTTTCTGTATCCCAGCTACTCGGGAGGCTGAGGGAGAAGAATCGCTTGAACCCAGGAGGCCCAGGTTGCAGTGAGCCAAGATCACACCACTGCACTCCAGCCTGGGTGACAGAGTGAGACTCCCTCTCAAATAAATAAATAAATAAAATGTTGAATTTTTACAAGTCGTTGTTCCCATTCCAATTTTTGAATGCAACCGCAGCCTCTTACAAAACAGCCTTGTTAAACTAATTTGCTGATATTAAATTCTTAAGTAAAAGGGGAATTCCACAGGGATTTATATTGCTCTTTTATAAATCTCTTGAACCTAGGAGAAGGAGGTTGCAGTGAGCCAAGATCAGGCCATTGCACTCCAGCCTGGGTGACAGAGTGAGACTCTGTCTCAAACAAAAACAAAAATAAAAAAGAGGAAAAATCAGGCACAAGTATGCAGAGAAAGGTGAAGTGAGTAAAGGGTCTAACCCATAACTCTGAATTCCAAAGTTTGAGCTAATGCTCCAAAACACAGGAAATGGTATTTGCTTGTGAAATTGTGCATGTTTTTCATAAAAAGTAGAAAGTATTTGCACAGGTTTCTGCAGTCCTGAGGGGCAGAGATGAATCTGTCATTTGCAGATATGAAGACAGCTCAAGGTAGTGATCCTGGACATTCAGGAGGGGAATTAGACACGAGATCCGGGGCTGGATGCTCACTCAATTAGCCAGTCCCTGGGTCACTCAGGGGAAACCTATGCTGATTTCTGGAGCTCTTTCTTTGTATAGTTCGTTACTTTAAATTTGAGATGCTCACTTAGCCCTCCTAAAATAATATTTGTCTCTCTTCAATTCAGGGATTTCTCCAAGCTCTGTCTGGGTTCTGCTGCCAATGGTGTTGTCCAGTAAGTATCCCCAGGCAGAAATAAGGGGCTATTGTAGGGCTTACATTGCTTGTTTCTCTTCTCAACTGGAGAAAAACAGTCCTTAGTTGCTGATTGTCTAATGTTTGAAAATGATGGTTTTCTATAGTTTGTCTAGTTTTCTAGTTGTTTATAGTGGAATCAGTCATTAGCCCCTGATTAGAGACAGAATCTCTCATCTACTCAACTTTTTACTTTAATTTAAAACTTTTTAAAATGTTATATTTTAATTTTGTTACAGAATATAGTAATACATTATCCTAGTGTAAAATTTAAAAAGTAAGTAATATTTAGTAAAAAAAAATACTCCTCCCACTTTCACTCCCAGAAGTAACTGATGTTACAAAATCTTTCTGTCTTTTAGAGTTATTATATGTATCTACAAAATAAAACACAGGAAACTAGCCATAATAAAATAATGGGGTCTAAAGGAATTCAATCACATAAAATGTTAGGTCAAATTTATTGTGAGATTAATAAAAATTATACTTTTGTTAAACTATTACTCTCACAAAAAGCATAAAATGATTGTGAAACTTACAGCACACATTACTGACTAGTGAATTGAGTAACCGCCATTGATTGTGAGGCAGTGACTTCTATGTCCCCTTCCCCATCTCATTACTTACAAGTCATGTATAAGAGTTTCCTTTGTTCTGTAACTTCTCTGACAGTTGTGATTGAAATTTTAAATTTTTGTCAAGCTGGCTAATGTAAAACATCATCCTGTTCTATGTTTAATAGCATTTCCCTGATTACCAATATGAAGCATTATATATTGTCTGTTCATGTTTCATATTTTGTATAATGTCTATATCCTTTGTTCATTATTTGTTATTTGTATTATTCTTTATATATTATTCTTTAACACATTGCTGTTTATATGTTGGTTATATTTTACATTTTCTTCTAGTTTATGGGAAGTCTTTTTCTTTTCCTAAGACAATCTATTGATAAATATAAGCTGTGAATATTAAAGTTATAATTAAAGTTATCAAATGTTTGAGATAACTTTATTCATTAGCTCTTTATGAGTTTTTGGTTTTTTTTCAGTTAAATGAAATAACTTCTTTTTTTGTTTTTTGATGTGAAGAACTTGGTGGAGAAATTAAAATTTCAGATGCAGAAAAAGAAGCAAGAAAATTGCTGGAATGACAGGCATGGGTAGATAACAGGTGTGATGGTTAATACTGAGTGTCACCTTGATTGGATTGAAGGATGCAAAGTATTGTTCCTGGGTGTGTCTGTAAGGATGTCACCAAAGGAGATTAACAGTTGAGTCAGTGAACTGGGAGATGCAGACCCACCCTCAGTCTGGGTGGTCACCCTCTAATCAGCTGCCAGTGCATCTAGGATAAAAGCAGGCAGAGAAATATGGAAGGGCTCGACTGGCTCCACCTTTCTCCCGTGCTGGTTGCTTCCTGCCCTCAAACATCAAACTCCAGGTTCTTTCAGCTTTTGGACTCTTGGACCTACACCAGGGGTTTGCCAGGGGCTCTCAGGCCTTCAGCCACAGACTGAAGGCTGCACGGTTGGCTTCCCTACTTTTGGGATTTGGGGACTCAGACTGGCTTTCTTCCTCCTCAGCTTGCAGACAGCCTATCGTGCAACTTCACCTTGTGATTGTGCGAGTCAACACTCTTTAATAACCCATTTTATATATACATTTATCCTATTAGTCCTGTCCCTCTAGAGAATCCTAATACAACAAGACACAGCACCCAGTCACAGTAAGAGGGGTGGACATTATTTAGAAGCAAAGACAGTTCACCCATATGAAAAGGAGAGATAACAGAATGTAGGTATAGATATATGAAGATGAGCAGATGTAGAGACTGGAGATTTTGAAATTCTTGTCAAATGACCACTTTTTTTTACAAGTGAAATAGAAAATAAAGTCATCAGCAAAGAGCAAAGATGGGAAGGAGAGAAAATAAATATGAACTGTTACTCTGGGAAAGGATGAGAATGAATGGAGCAGGGAATATTTTTTTCTGGGAAGCATAAAGACATGAGCTTTGTGATCATGAATTTCAGTTGAAACAAATCAACCTGATTCCCTCTTACTCTATTTTAAATTTCAGTTTTATTTAAAAATCTGAACATAATATCCATAATTATAGTATTATACAGAAGAGTTTCACTGCCCTAAAATTCCTCTGTACTCCATCTGCTCATCCCTCTGTCCCCCATAACTCCTGGCAACCACTGATTTTTTTTAACTGTCTCCATAGTTTTGCCTTTCCCAGAATGTCATGTAGCTGGAGTCATACAGTATGTAGCATTTCCTGATTGGCTTCACTCAGAAACATGTATTTGAGATTCCTTTATGTCTTTTTATGGCTTGATAGGTCATTTCTTTTTAATGCTGAATAATATTTCATGTATACAATACATGTATTACAGTTTATCCATTTACCTAATGAAGGACATCTTGGTTGCTTCCAAGTTTGGCAATTATGAATTAAGCTGCTGTAAACATTATTGTGCAGGTTTTTGTGTGGACAAGTTTTCAGTTTCTTTAGGTAAATACTAAGGAGCATTAATGCTAGATTATATGATAAGAGTTTGCTTAGTTTTGTAAAAAGCTGACCAACTGTCTTCGTAAGTGGTGTAACATTTGCATTCCTACCAGCATCACCAGCATTTGATGCTGTCTGCCTTTCACATTCATCAGGCTTAACCTTCATAATTTTGCTGCACTTACTTTTAAAATGAAAGTCTTCAATTCATCCCGTGCTTTGTTTCTTAAACAATCTTGAATGAGTTCTTTAAAGTCTAAAAATCTCCAGAAAATAAAAGTGTTAACTATATATTGAGAGCTGAAGTTTGCAGAGCAAAGGAGTGACACTACATTGGTGATGATGTAAAACCTCAGCTGAAAATTCTAATAGCTACAGAAGAGGTATGATATTTTCATATATAGTTCCTTCTCATTTACATGTGTAAACTTAAGAGAGTCAGGAGTATTGTATTGTTAGGAAAATCAGAGCACTTCAAAAAATTGCTGTTTATAATGTTTAGAAATTTAGACCTAACACTTTCATGATATAGACTAGAGTAGACTTAGCTAAACAGAACCATTTATTAGTCTGTTGTACATATTGTTTTTGACATATTTATTATATTATAAACTACAAAAGGAGAATAAAATAGTGTAAAACTATTTTGAGAAGGGATCTAATAAAAATAACATAATTATGGGATTTCTATTATCCACACTCAATTAAGACTAATATTTTTAATTTAAAAAAAGTTTTTTAAAGAAGAATTCCTGAATGGTAATTGATAGTACATTAATTTGTTTTTTTGATAAAAATCCTCAAAGAATAAAAATAATTTCTTCCTACCTCTATATTACAATCAGCATAATTGAAATAATATGCTTCAATTGTTAGTAAAGTAACATTTATGTTTTGGAATCAATGAAGCTAAGCCAGCACTAAGAATTTTATTACTATTCCTCCACTACATTTCAGAGGGTTATTTCTTTATCCTTAAACATACCACAATAACGAGTCTGCTAGGTCCATTTAGATTATCAACCCAACCCTAAAAGAAAGAAGATTTCTATTGGTTACACATTTCAGAAGATTGTTGTATCTTTGGAACATCTGCAGTCTCATCTTAATAAATTTCAAACAAGAGCACTGAAACTCCAGCCAATAGAACTATCTAATTCAGTCTTATTAAGATCCCAAAGATCAATGGCAAAGCATTGGCTATTTTCTGCACTTTGCGCAAGAATTAAAATTTGGCCAGGATTGTTGTTCATAGCAGGAGTCAGGAATGGTTTTGTGGTGTTTTATGACATCTTAAGGGCTACATTGAACCTTGTCCTTATATCATGATCTGCTAAGCAATTCACCAACCATACTTCTCCACCTCAGTCCTGACTTTAGCCTCCTTAGGAGAATATTGGAGACATGATTGGTAGTAATGGCCCATTTCTTGACATTTTTGACCAGCTACAGATACACATTTTGACCATGCCAGATACACACATATATATGTGTGTGTGTGTGTATATGTAGTGTGTGTGTGTGTGTGTATTGTGTGTTGACTTGCTTAAAGACATTACAGGGAAGATTATATTTAAGACCAGTTAGAGGGAAATGTCTTTTTGAGTTTGTTCCCTAAACTCTAAGCCATTCAGCTGACCTTATTATGTCTGTTTACCTCATAGTGTAGAAGTCAAAATGTGTGTGTATAATGGGAAAGGAGAGAGGCAGGAGGAGAAGATGAAGGGATTAATATCCATGAACCTTGTAGTAAGGACCTGCCTTTTACTAGAGACTGAGCACTCCTCATACATTGTCTCATTAAACCACCTCTCCAAAATAGTATCCCTCTTGTTTTATGGAAGGGACAACTCAAAAATTTTGCATTGCCAGTAAGTGATGGAGCTGGAATTTATCTGCCCCAAAGCTTCACAGACTTGCTTTAAAGAAGATGGTATAATTCTATCTCACACCAGTTAGAATGGCGATCATTAAAAAGTTAGGAAACAACAGGTGCTGGAGAGGATGTGGAGAAATAGGAACGCTTTTACACTGTTGGTAGGAGTGTAAACTAGTTCAATCACTGTAGAAGACAGTGTGGCGATTCCTCAAGGAACTAGAACTAGAAATACCATTTGATCCAGCGATCCCATTAGTGGGTATATACCCAAAGGATTATAAATCGTGCTACTATAAAGACACATGCACACGTATGTTTATTGCGGCACTATTCACAATAGCAACGACCTGGAACCAACTCAAATCTCTATCGATGATAGACTGGATTAAGAAAATGTGGCACATATACACCATGGAGAACTATGCAGCCATAAAAAAGGATGAATTCATATCCTTTGTAGTGACATGGATGAAACTGGAAACCATCATTCTGAGCAAACTACCACAAGGACAGAAAACCAAATACCGCATGTTCTCACTTATAGGTGGGAATTGAACAATGAGAACACTTGG